>NC_000001.11:99553835-102053835 GCF_000001405.40 Homo sapiens | reverse complement strand
ATTGCTGCCTCTGATGCACAGAATTTGTGCAGGGAGTAGGGAGTTTCAGGCAGCAGTAAGCCACACACAGATCCCACTCACTTGGCAAGGCAGATCCACTCCTGCAGTGTTCCACTGGTAGCAGCAAGCTAAGTTCCAGTCAGCTTGCACTCAGAACTTGCAACTACCCTGGGTCATAAGTTTTCCCCATGGCGGTAACAACTGCGTCTTTCAGGCCATTCCCTTCCCCATTGGCTGCAAAGCTGGGCTCTTGGCTTCTGCACTTGTGGCTCCTGCCCTCCTGTCTGTAGCCCACTTTTCACTCTCCCCAGCTCCAGCTCTGGCCAAGGAAGTTCATCCCCACCCACTGATATATCATGAAACCCCAGTCGGAGCTTCTTTCAACCTGTGAACACTGACTGAATTTTCTGGCTGTCTTCCACAGGGTCTCCTCTGACAAAGAGTAACAATTGACTTCCCTTAGTCCACACTGGAATCTGGGAGTGCATGTAATGGTCTTCCCATCACTGCTTCTACTTTTATATTCCACAACCCTCCCCAAGTCAGTTCCGGGACTGGGTAGGGTTAAGGCCTTCCACCATGGCCTGGACTTCCAGGGTCCCTGTTTGGGGGTGTATATGTCAGAGGCTATCTCTTTCCTTCTCACAATCCTGACTCACAGTGTAGGCTGCAACCTCCTGCTTCCTTCAAAAGGGTCTGTAGATTCCTTCAGTTTTCCTGTTTAGCTCTTGCATAGCTTCTTAGAAAAAAGTTCACAGTGTGAATCTCTACACACTATTTTGTTCTTCAAAGTGGGAGAGATATGCTAGCAATGCCTCTCGTCCTCCATTTTGAAAAACAAAAAGAGAAACATCAGTTTCTAATAAATGGTGATGTTAATGTGGCTTCTATTTATGCCTTTACTGGTCCCATATCCCTTCTGCTCTTCAATTGTACATGCTTGTCTCTCCTGCCAGTGTCACTTCTCATTCTTTCAGGTTTACAGATAGAATAGTCAGATTTTTTAAAAAATTTATAAAATAGAGTGGATATTTCTTTTTATGTGGTCATCGGATCTATCAGACATAGGTACAATCTTCCTAACAAAGCCCAACTATCTCCAAATGTTTGAGGTTATTGTTGGAATGACTTTTAAGGCTAGGGGTTTCCTTGGTGTCTAAAAGCTCTTTAGACAGATTTCAGATAGTTGAGATTTAAATGCATAATGCATCTATATCATATTTTGTGACATTTAAGATTTCCGGTGATTTGTTTTCAACTTACATTTCTGGCTTTTCTCTAAATGTCCCTCTATGAAATCTGTGCTTTAGCCAACTTAGGTGTTCTGATGCCTCTTAAATGAACCTGGTGAGTTTTCTTTCTTATGTCTTTCCTCAATGTGTTCTCTGCTTGCAGTGCCTTCCAACCTGTTCTGCTAGTGGAATTCTGATTGCTGTTTTAAAACCCAGTTGTTATCTGACATCATCAGTCAGGCTTTCCTGACCTTAGCCAGAATTATTTCCCCCTTTTGATCTGCTATGATAATGGCAGGATTCGTTACAATGAAACATAAAATAAGAGACAGTGAGAAATTTTGATTTCTATCTTTAGTTCTACTTATATGACCTTAAATAAAACATTTAGTGTCTTATATTTAATATTTACCCAGCTTACTATCTAGATCTATTTTGAACTTCAAAGACTTACTAAGCTTTTAATTTTTAAATGAAAACAAACACCTTTGAAAGTTTTAAAGTGTTTTACAAATAAAAGGTACTGCTTTATAATTGAACATTTGTTTAAAGTTATTGTAATGATTTTATACTTTCCTTACATAAAAATTAGGACAATTCTAGTACCCACCTCTTTATTGATAAATAAGTTAATATATGTGAAGTGCTTAGCACAGAATCTAGCACATAGAAGAAGCCCAATCAATGGTTAACTTGATGCTTTTCTCTGACTACTTTTAAGATTCATATTGTCCTAAGATTGACTGATACTCACTTTTTTCAGTCTTCTTCATGTCTATGTTTGACTTTAGTTTCTTCTACTAAATTTTTAGATTTACTGATGTTTTCTGCCATGTCTAACTGCTGTAATCTCATCCAGTGTATTTGCAACTTTATTTTATTTGTTCATCACTAGAAATACAATTTGCCTCTTGTTTATCTTCTCATTTTATTCTTGTGTTCCTTAACCTTCTAGAACTTATGGAATATAGTTACAATATCTGTTTTAACATCCATATCACTAATTTCATCATCTCTTTTACTTGTGGGTCTGTTTCTATTGATTGTTTATTTTACCCTAAGTGTGGATCACATTTTGCTGCTTCTTCCAAGGCCTGGTAATTTTTTTATGTTTGTAGGACCACAGGAGCACACCACCATATCAGGCTAAATTTTTTTTTTTTTTTTTTTTTTTTTTGGTAGAGACAGGATTTTGCCATGTTTCCAGGCTGGTCTCAAACTCTTGAGGTCAAGCAATCTCCCCACTTTGGCCTCTCAAAATGCTGGGAATATAGGCATGAACCACTGCATCCCGCCATACCTGGTAATTTTTATTTGGTTTCCAGATGTTACAAATTTAATATCATTGGATACTCAATGTTATATTCTTTTAAATATTGCTGAGTTTTCTTCTGGACCATAGTTTGTTACTTGAAATCAATTTGGGTCCTTTTCAGATTTGATTTTAAGTTTTATTAGGGTACATTTAGAAAGACTTTTATTCTATGGCTTATTGTGTCCCAATATCCAGGCAATAGCCTTCTGAAGGTTCTGCATGAGGTCCTGGTATTATGAGGTGTTTACACAGTGGCTAGTGGGAAGGCAAACTCCTCTAGTCTTATGAAATCCTTGGGGACTTTTCAGCCTGTTGTTTTCTAGTGTTTCTTCATCCATTCTTGATTAGTATCCACTCACACAGGTAGTACTCAGCTTGAGATTCCAGTGGCCCATTCTGCAGATCTTTGAAGTGCTCTCTCTGTAACTTCTTCCTCCCTTAATTCAGCCCCACAAATTTATTTCCCCAAACTCTGATTCTGTCTCCGTCATTCAAGGGACTGTCAAGACTTATTTATGTCCCCACTTCCTGCACTGTTAACTGAAAGCTACTTCTAGGCAGGAAGCTGAAGTAATCATAGGCTTACCTTGGTTGTGTCCCTTCTCTTAGTGAGCATAGTCCTGAGGTGTCTTCTGTCCAATATCTGAGAACTATTTTTTTGTATAAGTAAAAGAGTAAACAGTTTTTTCAAATCCCATCATAGCCTAAACTAGAAATTCCTATCACAGTGCTTTGCACAAAGTAATACTGCAAAATATTGCTGTTTTACTTAAAAATAGTTGGTGGTGAAAACATGACCAGTTGAATATCTTAATTGTTGATTTGGCATTATTTTACCTTTATGAGCCTAAATGCTTTGACTTGAATTTCCTATGAGAAATACAGACACAAGACCCCCTGAAAGGAAAACTGGAAGTAAAAACATGAAGGAGAAGCTAGAGAGAACATGTTTGGAAGTGAGTAAAAAAGAACGACTATCAGTTAAATATTAAAGCTTACCAATTCATGAAATGCCCTCATTACTCTCATTAGTGTTTTAAGAGGAAAAAAAAAACAGAAATTAAAAGAAAGAAGTAAGAAAACAAAAAAAACCCTGATCTACTGAAAATAAGAAAGAATACTTGGAATAAGTTTTATTTTGCTGCTGACTGTCATAAAAAATTAAAAGTTTGGGCATATGGCTTTTGAGGTTTGAGGCCTTAAAACCCTTAGATACAACACTTATGAATCTGCCAAGTTAATGGTAAATTAAGCAAATCCAGAGAAGTAATGGACCATGCATTTCCTATTCTAGCTTATAATTTATAAGCATATTTCTTTCTGTTTAAAGTCTCTAGATTACAATCTTATAACTTGCCAAATCCCAACCACAATTCTATTTCTCTTTCAAAATCTTGAACATCACAGACATAGAAATAAAGCAGAGTGAATAAAGAACATTTTAGAAATGGCATCACAGTACCACAAACTGCTATATTGATTATACACAGTGACATAGATTACCACATTTAAATATAGTTCAATCTCAAACTAGACTAGAGCATAAAGACAAATGGTCACACATTTATAAGGGCTGCCGTAAAATTAAAAAAGATTTTATGTCTAAAAATTTTGATGTATTATAAAGGTAAATATAATAATATATAATATAAATCCATAAAATATAGTATATAACTATTTTAATATATTTATAAAACATATGAAAACACATAGATACCAACCAAAAAATCTGTTTTAATCCTTTTTCCATTTATTGACCTCATGTATGGCTTTACCTGAATTTCAAGTAATCTGTGTACTTTTTACACAAAACCATTCAATCAGTAGCACAGGAAGCCCACATATTTTTCTAGATTTTATAGTTGACTTACTTGCACTGCTTTTTCAATATCCCCTCATTAGTAAAATGACTGTGCATGGACAGAGAAAGAATAAAATCAGTAGCTCCATAAAAATTTGATATCAAGATGTTTGCCAAGGGATCTAAGTTATGACGATCAGTTGAGTTAACCAGCCACAAACCGAATTCCATAAGAGTTTCAAAAGATTTTCTTTTTCATTTTTTCATAGTATTTTGTTATTTGTCAGGCAAGTATATAAACTAGCAGCTATTACTTAAAACACACCCCACGAAGTATCTCTTTAAGTCTATGCTAGAAGTAGAGTGTTACAAATGTGGTTTTGTGCACTGATTACATTCAATACAAAAAACTTTAATTGAACACTTACCAATTTGTTTAACAAATCATTCTAACTAATAAATTTCTTAATATAATGTCTATATTAAAAAATAAAAATAAAAGCCAACTCTAAGAAGAGGAACTTCCTGTGTACTTTATAGTACTTAGTACTTAGCATCTTGAACATACAAGTGTTACTTCTGTATATTACTGTTCAAGAAGAAAAAGGTAACTTTATTGGGCTTTAATAAAAATTAAAATTTGTGTTTATATGTTATAAAAATAGTCACATTTTTATTTGTTTAACTCTATATAGAATCTCAAATAACTAATGTAAACAGTAAAAAAAAACCCTAATTTCCATTATTGCTTTGATATACATAGTTCAATTTAGACCATATTTTAAATGACTTAAAAATGTCAAAGATAAAGATTAATTGTTTGAAAAGGTGATTATAACAAAAGACTGGCATAACAGAAAGGAGACAACTGAGAGAGATTGTCAGAAAATTAAAAACATAAAGTTAATGTTTTCATGTTTTTCTATTTTTAGTAAAAAGTGACAAGTAAGTATCATTCTGCAGAAGAGCAATAGGAAATTAAGAAGCACATGCAACCTTTGATAGTTGACCTACAGAGGTGTAAATAAACAAAACTATTAGTAAGACCACAAGTCTCCCATGCATAAAATGGATGTTGAACAAACCACAGCTTGCTTAGAATTGAAAATGATTATTTAAAAAATAATAAATATACAATTTGCCAAAATCAGATGCCTTAAGTTATAAAACGTTACACATAAAGTCAAAAAGACATATAAATTATTTAAACAAAGGAAGAAATATACGGAAAAAGATAATTGGTTTTCTTTCTCTTTAAAGCCTTTGGAAGTTTAACTATTAGACTTTTATGGTATTGTGACTGATGGCAAGTTCGCAACACTATGGTATGCCTGCAGCAATCCCGACCCTTGTCTTCTCAGAGGAAAGATTTCAACTGAGAGACCTAGGTAAGTTTTAAAGCAGAGCCAAAGTTTATTAAAAGAAGCAAAGTACACATGGAACAGGGTCAAGAGAGTGACTGGAGACATCTAGTGCCTCCTCCAACTCCTGGCTTGGGATTTTTTTTTTTTTTTGACAGTCTCATTCTGTCACTCAGGGTGGAGAGCAGTGCAGTGGAGTGTGAATCATGAAGTGGAGTGCATGATCACAATTCACTGCAGCCTCAACCTCCCAGGCTCAAATGATCCGCTGACCTGTCTGCAGAGTAGCTGGGACTGCAGCACATGCCACGACACCTGGCTAACTTTTTTTTTTTTTTTTTTTCTAGACAGGGTTTTGCCACATTGCCTAGGCTGGTCTTGAACTGTTGGGCTCAAATGATCCACTTGCCTTGGCCTCCCAAAATGTTAGGATTACAAGTATCAGCCACCATGCCAAGCCTGGGATTTTCATACATTAGCTTGCTTCCCAGGGTTTTTCTTCTCTTCCCTTGATCCCCTGCTAGGGGAGAGCTGTTGTTCAATTGCCACATGCACGGTGGCCTGCCAGCACTTGGGAGGGGCCACATGTGCAGTGTGTTTACTGAAGTTGTGTGCATGTTCACTTGGGGTGATTTTCCTTTCCTGGTCTAGTGCCCCCAGAGAAAGGTCACATACCAGTCAAACTTTGCCATTTTGCCCCCTAGTCCACATGCTTAGAAACTTAACAGGGAATTGTGGTTTGCTGGCTCCAGGTGTTTTCTATTTGTTGGGAAACTCCTTTCCCTCTTTGCACCAATTGTGGCCACTTACCATTTCAGAGGGATAGTTTTATGGTCACCTGACCATCACCCAATGAGTGCCTACCATTTCTGGGTGCCCTCTCTTGCCCTGCTAATATCTGTCTAACTAACTACTCTAACATTTCCCCACTCAAATGTCCAAGATCCAATTCTTAGAGATAATGAGCGAAGGTCAGTTTTCTGTAACTGCTGCTGACAGAGGAGCAGTGGTTGCCCCATGGGTATCAGCCTCTTACTAGCTAAGATTTTGTCTCTGTCATGTTCCACTGGTGGGCAGTCCAGAGGTCCCCTGTAGAAGGGTGACACTGGAATACGGAGAGGACAGTATCCTTCGCTGAGGATCATCTGGAGCTTGACAACCTGAATGCAAGAGAAGACACATAGGGTTATGAGATTCAGAAGACATGGACAAAACGGAGCAAAATTAAGAGACAAACAAGTGGACCCACAAAGGGAAGAGTCCAGGAGAATCATTTCCAGTTTCCTTCCCAACCTTACCAACCCAGAGAGGTTTGTTCCAGTAGATGGGGGACTTGAACTATGAGTTGCCTGATGCTGTCTTGTACTTTTTTTATTGATTAATTTATCCAAAAGTAACTTTTATCTAGGGCCAAACAAATCCCTTCCTGTGCCGTCATTAACATATATAGTCCTCGGCGATTTTAGAGGACTATGGCTGCCAAAGAGTTGATTTGTTCTTCTGTGGCTGTCAAGGTTTTAGCCATGGCATCAATGCTGTTGGCTGTTTCTGCTGACAGTTGGCTATAGGTTAACGAGGCTTGTGTGACTAGTGATTTCTGCTCCCATACTGGCTGTGATACAGAGTCCCACAAGAAGGGGAATTAATTGGATAGCCGTCTTCACCCTGGGCAACATGGAATGCCTGTAGATTGATACTGGAAGGGAGAAATTGCCAGGGGCTATAAAGATGTCCAGGGATACATAGCCTATGGTACAAGTTCTAGTTCAGTTAGTGGGGAGGCTCTCATATAGAAGGCTCCCCGGTCTAAGATAAATAGAGATGTCAAAACGAAATAAGGGAGTGAGGTCAGGTTTAGAAAATCCTGAGGCTGCCCAACATGTCCAAGTAGCTGGTAAATATAATTATGCCAGCCAAGATTCGAGTGCATGGGGTTTGGCCCTGATTAGCTCCCTTGGTTCGATTCGTTCAATAAAGAGAAGTTCGAATTTGGTCCAATAGAATCTATTCTTTCGTAGAGCAGAAATTGGCTATCTGCAGACATTGGGTGGAATTAGTAGGCAAGTTTTAAAGGAGAGGCAAAGGTTTATTTAAAGAAACAAAGTACACTTGGAAGAGGGCCAAGCAGGCAACTTGAGAAATCAAGTGCCCTGCCTAGCCCTTGGCTTGGGATGTTTATGGATGGGCTTGGTTCAGGCTTTTTCTCTTCCTTTTTCCTTTTCCTCCCTTGATCCCATCCTAGGGGCAAGCTGTTGCTCAATTGCTGCCTGCCAGCACTTGGGATAGGCCACATGTGCAGTGTGTTTGCTGAAGTTGTGTGCATGCTCTTCAGGAGCTGTGGAAGATCCAAACTTACTGAAGGCAAGCAAATCTTAACTTATGAAGAAATACACAAGTTACTCACCGTGATTCATTTCTCATTGTCTTTTCAGCATTACTGCTTTTTGCACAATTTTGTCACCATTTCCACAAGGGAGTGTGTGTCAGAAACACAGTAGTCTTTATGAAAAAATATGACTGTTCATTACCAATCACTAGTTTTCTTTGCCAATCCCACTATATATATATGTGTGTGTGTGTGTGTGTGTATATATATATGTGTATATATATATATATATATATATATATATATATATATCTCTCTCAAAGAGTAAGAAATATTGGGGAGTCAGTGCCAATTAACATGAATCTCTATATTCTGCAAATCATACTTTATTTTTAAAAATAGATGTTTTTCCCCCATCTAGTTGACATTCTTCTAAATAGAAAGTACTCCTACCTTAATGTTTTGCTTGTTTTTTCTTCTCTGAGGTTTTCACAGGCAAACAAAATGTAAGAAAAGAAACCCAAGCCTTTTTTTTTTTTTTGGAGACGGAGTCTGGCTCTGTGCCCAGGCTGGAGTGCAATGGCACAATCTCAGCTCACTGCAAGCTCCGCCTCCCGGGTTCACGCCATTCTCCTGCCTCAGCCTCCCAAGTAGCTGGGACTACAGGCTCCGGCCACCACGCCCGGCTAATTTTTTGTATTTTTAGTACAGATGGGATTTCACCGTGTTAGCCATGATGGTCTCGATCTCCTGACCTCGTGATCCGCCCACCTTGGCCTTCCAAAGTGCTGGGATTACAGGAGTGAGCCACCGCGCCCAGCCCCCAAGCCTTCTTATTGCAAAGCAGAAACAGAAAAAAATCTCCAGCTTTCTTCAAATTGTGCTGTAACATTGGTAAAGCAGAAGGGAAAGAGAAAGCATTTGGAAAGTAATTCAGGAGTTTAAAAAAATGTTAAATATGTTTATAGCCTTTGATACATTAAATTTACTTTTATTAATTTATTCTAAAATATAATATAAAATGCTGACAATATTTGTGCCCAATATTTTTGTTGAAATCTTATTTACAATAGTGGCAAATTGAACATAGACTACATCTTCAGTAATAAAGTTCTGATTAGGTAAACTGTGCATATTTGCATTAATATATTAAATTATGCTAAATACATTAAATATATTTAGAAACATATTTTAAAGTTGTTTAAAAAGCAGGTAATATAATGTAATTGAAATGGCAGCATCACAGAGGCCCTGGAGCAGATCGCAATCCCAGTTAGCCACTAGTTAGCTAGGTAACGTTACTTGAATGGGTCATTCAACTTCTCTGTACCCCAGGTTCCTTTTTGTAAAATGAAAAAAAATGACATTATGTACTTAATGGGTTGTAGTGAAAAATGAATGCTGTAAAACATATGAAGTGATTGCAGCATGTCTGACCCACACAGAAATCATTCAATAATACTAGCTGTTATTACTAGTTGTATAAAATAAGGATACCTAAATCTGTGTGTGATGTGGAAAATACTTAGAAATGAGATATGAATTGTACTGGTATGTTGAAAATGGTAACATTTGATGGTAACGTTTTGTTCTGTCTTCATATGACTATTGCTAGTTTTTTTTTATATTTGCTGCTTTTTTTCTGAGAAAAATAAGTTAATTTTAAATATCATTTAGGATTAAAGAAAAAAATGTCTCTGAAAATTTATATAACCAACCTCTACTTCTAAATCAGCAGCACTATGTCACCAGGAAAATGTCAACTATATTGCTCAATCGCAAACTACAATATAGGTTATATCAATCATAATTTGTAAGATGTTAATATACTGCTAAGAGCATGATAGAAATACTCTCGGATTTTCTCAAGTAGTTTAATAGAACATGTATTCTCTCTCTCTCTCATCTGAGGAAAAATGTAATGTCCACATGGCTAGTCATACAATATCCAACTTGCCATTGTTCAAAGAATACATTTTAAAACTATTCAGCATAAATGGAAGAGGAATTCAAGTATAAAATGACTTGTTACATTGAATATTTCTATATTTTGACATGTACTTTGCTATTTTGTAGTGCATTTCTTCCTTCTTAATCTTTGTCATTTATGTCTATTCCTAATGTCATTTTTGAGAGTCTTAACCTCAACTGTCCTCAGGGTTTCCAACTTAGTTGGCCCACGACAAGATTGTTCACTGCAATTACCCTATCCAGTGTTAATAAGTAAGCATGATTTCAGCATCAATGGCAACTTTAATAGGCAGGAGCAAAAGGTTTATAACAGTACTTAATTTTCAGAATGCTGAGTTGTAAAAAAGTGATTTCACCATGAGATGCCAGTAGAATTTATTACATGTGGTACCTTATTTTGTTTTTATTTTAATTCTTGCACAATTTATATGGAATTAACACAGTTCAACTGATGTAATGATTCCTAATTCTATCCTGAAAAAACACACACACCCAAATATGCTGCTAAGAATTAGAATTAGTGAAAGTCATAAGATCTTAGAAATGATAACTAATGATGCTAGTTACATTTCCCAATGTCAGGAGACACATTCACTCTCTTGGGGCTGCAGTCTCTTTAAGTAACCTACAGCTCCTGGTGTAATATATAGTACTCTGTTTATCTGATAGAACATATTTTTAAAAATTGAAGACTACTTTGGTAGACAAGTAATATTGTTTACTATTTTAAGTGTTCTGCTTCTCAGTGTGGACTTGTTTTGAGATTAAATTTAGTCAGCCTGTTTTTGTTTCTAAAGATCCTTATTTACCTCTCTTTTGTGTATGACTGCGACCATGATTAAGGTAAATTCTTGGGGCATACTGTTAGATAAAAAAGGGAAATATTTCTAAGAGTACAGCAATGAGGACTCTGATACAAGACAGCTATGAAACAAAACCAAACAAAATGTCAAAGTAAATCTTGGGTAATAAATTTGAATTCATTGGGTATCTGGAAGTCAACAGAGAGAATGGAATCTGACATTGGTGAACATGGAAGAGAAGCACTACGCATAGGAGTTGTTCCTTGGTAAACAGGGCACAGGAGACATGGCTGGATGGTGGGTAGAATACAACAGGCTGTAGGAACACTAAGAAAATTAATGAATTAAAAATTAAAGGACAGACAAAACATGATAGTGGTACTAGACCTAGCAGCAGGAGCAAGAAGGTAAGGTAATAATGCCAGAGACTTAAACAGGAATGTGATTTTTAGAGAATAAGGAACTCAAGAAAGTAATCTAAATAACCACTGTAGATATCAGTAGGCAAGAATAATTTATTTGTTAGTCAAGCTTTTAACCAAACCAATAACTTTCTAATACAATATCTGTTGAAGTTAGAATTAATCCCAAAGCTTAGACAATTGATACTCTGGTGTAAAAATAAAAAATAGTATTAAGCTTGGTGAGATTTTGGTCCATATGTGAAATAGTCAAGAGTAGACTCTTCCAAGTCAAATATTAGTGAAATTAAATCTGTGCTAGATCATTTACCGTGAGGATAACTATGAGAATGCCACTTTACCTCACTGGAATTCAGTTTTCTGACTTTGAAATTTAGATAAGAATTCCTACCTCAGGTAGTTATTGCTAGACTGGAGAGAATATGTGAAATACTTGGTACATGACCAATGCTTCACAAGTGATAGTTATTTTTATTAATAGAATAAGTCCTCACTCAACATTATTGATAGGTTCTTGCAAACTGTAACTTTAAGCAAAACTACATATAACAAAGCCAATTTTTTCCATCAACATTATAACAAAACTACACTAAGCAAAATGATGTTATTTAAGGACCTGCTCTACTTCATTTCCCTTACAGCCAAGTATTCCAAGAACCTATCAACGACTTTAAGTGAGGACTTCTGTATTCAAGTCAGAGAAAATTTTCATCTAAATAATTCAAGCTGTAATATGTTGCTTTCTGAAAAGGATAAAATTTTACTTTCTATTTAATATTAACCTTTTTAGAATGCCACTTCATAGGGATCTGATTATACTTTTTTTTTACACGAGTTACTTCTTCACTGATGTTCAAAGCCACTTTCGCCGCAAATGATGTTTCTTTGTGTGTATGGGTCTGTTTATGGGCACTGCATTTTATTTCATTGATTGGTTTGTGTATATCCCTGTGTTAATACCACAATGCCTTAATTTCTTCTGCTTTATAATCTGAAAATATGATAGAGAAAATCTCACCCTTGGTGCTCCTTATTTAAGATAACACTCCTAAGATGAATCTGGCTATTCTGGCTTTCAAATAAATCAGCGGATTTTCAACCAAGGGTATTTTGCATCTCTCCCCCATCCCCCAGCCCACCGCTGGAACACCACCAGGGGACATTTGGCTAAACCTGAAGCCATGTTTGGTTGTCACGACTGGGAGGTTACTACTTTTACCCAGGAGATAAAGACCAAGGATGCTGCTAAACATCCTACAATGCATGAAACGGTACCTGATGACAAAGAATTATCACCTTCAAATGTCAACAGTACTGAGTTTGAGGAACCCTTATATTGCAAAATTGATGGTCCTAAGTTTGTTCTCCCTTAGCAACTGGGACTTCTAAATTATATCTATCTTATTGTTCTTTCTTCCAGCAAGGGTTCAGAGATAGAAAGAACATGATACCAAAAGAAGAAAAAAAGGAAGCCAGAGTCTTTTTTGGATCTGGGTCTCTAAAGAAATGCCCCCATCACTTTTACCATATCCTATTTCCTAGAATTGAGTCGCTAATCCCAGCTCATACATCAGGGAAAGGGATTACACAAGGCTGTGAATATCAGCAAATTAAGATCACTGGAGGCCTTGCTGTAGGTTGTCTACCACAGTCCTCTCTCTGTCTTTTAATGACTCAATCCCTCCCTCATATAAAATACACTCTCCAGCTGGGCGTGGTGACTCACACCAGTAATCTCAATGCTTTGGGAGGCTGAGGTGAGTGGATCACCTGAGGTCAGGAGTTCAAGACCAGCCTGGCCAACATGGTGAAACCCTGTCTCTACTAAAAATACAAAAATTAGCCAGGCATGGTGGTGGGCACCTGTAATCTGAGCTACTCAGGAGGCTGAGGCAGGAGTATCGCTTGAACCTGGGAGGCAGAGGTGGCAGTGAGCCAAGATCACACCATTGCACTCAAGCCTGGGCGACAAGAGTGAAACTGCATCTTAAAAAAAAAAACAAAAACGAAACAACAACAACAAAAAATTCTCCATAAGGCCCCCAAATGTTATCTCATTAAGTCACTACAACATCAGCTCAAAGTCCAGAATCTCATCATCTAAATAAGATTCTAGGCTAGATAAGACTACTAAGGTGCCCTTCTTAAGCCCTCAGGCATAGTTATGTATGTGCCTACCACACCATGGAGTGAGGATGCATGGAAATTTATGCATGGTTTCTTTTAGAACTTGCTTTTACTTTACCATATGTCTTTTCTTTTTGCTAAATTTTAATCTGCATCCTTTCACTGTAATAAATTGTAACTGTGAGTGTAACAGCCTTTTCTAATTCCTTTGAGTCCTTCTAGTAAAACAGCAAACCCAACGGTGGTCTCAACACTTATCTTCAACACTTTCCTTGAAAATCTCTTTAGCTATATTACTCAATTTATTAGGCACACTTCCTATATTTTATCTTCCAGAAGTAGATATTATATTATTGCTAAGCTTTCTGCCTCTCCCTAACAAGTATGCCCTTTCCTCCAGTTTCCAATAGCATGTTCCTTATTGCCTTTTGAGTCCTGGTAAATTTCCTCAACCTTCATATTTTTACTAACAGTCTTTTCAAAACAATTATTATTTATCTAACACTCACTTGAAATTTCTTCCAGCCTCCATCCACTGCCTGATTCCTAAGCCATCCCACATACTTAGATGGGGTTTAGGTATATTTAGGTATTTGTTAGAGTGTCACCCCATGTACCAAAATCTATATTAATTATCTATAAAAATTTCTCCAAAATATAGTGGCTTGAAACAACAAATATACATTATCGTATAGTGTTTTTGGAGTCAGGAATTCAGGTATGGCATAACAAAAGGCCTCTGGCTCTGAGTTTCTCACAGAGTTACAATCTACGTGTTGGCTGGAACTGCCATCTTCTCAATACTTTATGTGTAGAATGTGCTTATAAGAAAACTAACATGGCTGTTGGCAGGCAGGTACTCACTGGCTGTTGGTCAGTTACATCAGTTCCTTGCCAGGCAGGCCTCTTCATAGGGCCAAACATGGTATATTGCTTCCTCTAGAATGAGGTATGATAGAGCAGAATCAAAAGTGAGTGTGTATGTGTGTGTGTGTGTGTGTGTGTGTGTATGTATGTGACAGAGAGTGAGAAATGATGAAAGAGAGAAAGTAAGAGAGAGAAAAATGATGAGAAATGATGAGAGCCAGAGACCATAGCTTTTTTGTAAGCTAATCTTCAAAGTGACATTTCATCACATTTGTTACATTCTACTCATTAGAAAGAAGTCATTAGGCCCAGCCCATACTCAATGGGAGAAAGCTACACAAAGGTGTATGTACCAGGAGGTGCAGATCACCAAGGCCACACTAGAGGCAATCTACCACATCTAACTGGACCAGGAAAAATGAGAGGTGACAGACATAATCATCAATTAGAAATGAGAAACTACAATTCTTATAGAAATAAAATAAGAGAATATTATGAAAAACTATGCCAATACACTTAACAATTGATATAGTTTGGATTTGCGTCCCCACCCAAATCTCATGTCTAATTGTAATCTTCAATGTTGGAGGAGGGACCAGGTGCGAGGTGATTGGATCATGGGGGTGGACTTTTCCCTTGCTGTTCTGGTGATAGTGAGTAAATTCTCACAAGATCTCGTTGTTTAAAAGTGTGTAGCACCTCCCACTTCTCTCTTTCTTCCTTCTTCTCTGGCCCTGTAAGATGTACCTGCTTTCCTTTTACCTTCTGCCATGATTGAAAGTTTCCTGAGGGCTCCCCAGTCATGCTTCCTGTATGGCCTGTGGAACTGTGGGCCAATTAAACTTCTAATCTTTATAAATTACTCTGTCTCAGGTAGTTCTTTATAGCAATGAAAGAATGGACTATTACAACAACTTATATCAAAAGAACACGTTTCTTGAAGGACAAAAACTACCTGCCATGCTCTAAATGTTTGTGTCCATCAAAAATTCATCTGTTGAAACCGAGTTTCCAATATGACAGCATTAAGAGGTGGGGTCTTTGGAGCCAATTAGATTATGAGAGTGGAGCCCTCACAAATCGGATTAGTGCCCATATAAAAGAGCCCCCATAGGGCTTGTTTGTTCCATTTACTGTGTGAGGACACAGCAGAAATGTGTGATCTATAATGCAAGGTTCAGTAACAAATCCTTTTATTTGATTGATAATATTTCACTGCATGAATATGTCATGAGTTATTATTCATCTATGATAGACATTTGTATCATTTAAAGTTTTGTTATTACAATGCTACTAGTGAGTGCTTCTGTACATGTCTGTTGGTGTATAAGACATATAAAATTACTGGATCATATGGAATAAGCATTGTCAACTTTGTATCCTATAAAATAAAGTGTACTGATATGTACTTCATTAATTTGTTTATTCATATGTTAAATTAATATTTATCAAGCATAAATAATGTGTCTGTCTGTGTTCTAGGACCTTGGAAAAATTAGTTAACAAAACAAACTAAAAAATGTATGCCCTTGTAAAGCTTTTATGATTATAGTGTTGCCTGTTTTATTTTTTTGTCAATCTAGATAGTATAAAATAGAATGCCATTTTCTGTTTCTAAACAGAAGTATATATTGTGTTTTTAAAATATTTTATAAAATAGCTTTATTCAGAAGCAATTTATATGCATTTCATTCCACATATTTTAAAGTACAATTTGATAAGTCTTGACAGAAGTATACACCCAGAAAGGGAAAGAAAAATAAAGGAAAGGAAAAAGGAAGGGAAAGGAAGGGAAGGGAAGGGAAGGGAAGGGAAGGAAAGGGAAGGGAAAGGGAGCAAAGCAGAAAGGAAGAAAGGAACTCCAATTCATATTACACAGTTAATTCAAAAAATAACTCAAGTCGTTCACAAACGTAAATGTAAAACATAAAATGATAAAATCCCTAAAAGAAAATATAGAGAAATACCTAAGTTAGGCAAAGGTTTTTAAATACCAAAAGTGTGATCCTTAAAAGAAGAAATTTGTAAGTTAAATTTTATTAAAACATTTTAAACATCCTGTTATGGACACTGTTAAGAAAATAAAAAGACAAGCTAAATAACAGAAGAAAATTTTGCTAGGATATATCTGATTTAAAAAACATGTATTCAGAAAATACAAAGAATACTCAAATCTCAATAATAAGATAATAACCAACTCAGTTAAAAAAAGGGCAAAAGATTCAGAAACTTCATTAAAGATATATAGTTGCAAACAAGCACATAAAGAGATTCTGAACATAATTAGTCATTAGGGAAATACAAACTAAAACAACGAGACACCACTATACATTTAGTAGAAAGTCTAAAATTTAAAATATCTGACCACACTACAAACACCAAGTGTTTGTGAGAATGTGGAGGAATTTGAACTTTTGTGCTCTACTGTTGGAAATGGAAAATGGTACAACCATTTTGGAAAACAATTTGGCAGTTTCTTAAAAGGGAAACATAAACATGCAATATTGTATAACCTATCCAGATTATCTACTTCTATTTATTTACTAACAGACATAAAAGCACATGTCTATACAAAGACTTACACCTAAAATGTTAACAGCAGCTTTGTTGGTAATGGACAAAATCTAGTAACAACTCAAATGTCCATCAATGGGTAAATAAATAAAGTATTATATCCATACATTAGAATGTTATTCAACAATAAAAAGGAATGAACTATTGAAACATGCTACAATGTTGATAAATCTCAAAAACATGCTGAGTGAAAAAATACAGACAAAAAAGGTACACATTATCTGATTCCATTTATATAACATACCAGGATGTGCAAATTATCATATAGTGAAGCTTATCAATAGTGGAATCAAGAGAGGGTAGAGAGTGGTGGCCTAAAGGAATTTCAAGGGTGCATGAGGAAATGTTAAGTGTGATGTATATGTTCATTATCTTGTTTGTTGTGGTGGTGTCATGGGTGTATAATTTTGTCAAGGCTTATCAAATTGCACATTTTCAATATGTGCAATTAAATACATGTAAATTTTTTATGAATAAAGCTATTTTATAAAATATTTTAAAACACAATATATTCTTCTGTTTAAAAACACAAAATGGCATTCTATTTTATACTAACTAGATTGGCAAAACATAAAAACAGGCAACACCATAATCATAAAATCTTTTATATACTGCTGTTGATCAATAGAATGAAAGCTCCACAAGGGCATACATTTTTTAGTTTGTTTTGTTCACTAATTTTTCCAATGTCCTAGAACAGTGACAGGCATATCATTTATTCTCGAGTAATATTAATTTAACATATGAATAAACAAGAATGAAGCATGTATCAGTACATTTTACATTATAGGATATAAAATTGCCAATGCTTATTCCACGTGATCCAATAATTTTATGTCTTGTACTTGTGCAGATACCCCAATAGAGATATACAAATCATTCACTAGCAACAATGTAATAGCAAAAACTTCAAGTGATACAAATTTCCATCATAAGTGAATGATAACTTCTGACATATTTATGCAATGACATACTATAAATTAAATAAAAGGGGTTATTATAGAACCTTGCATCAGTATGACTGAATCTCAAAAATAAAATAATTGTGAATGAAGAAGACAATAACAAATATGTGCAGTATGATGCCAGTGACATAAAAGTAGAGAAAATTCTGGATATATTTGCTTTACTATTAAAATGGCAAAACAATTTGTGAAAAACAGAAACGTAACAAGCTGTAATTCAGAACTGTGGTTACTCTTGGAGTAGAAAGGTGTAGGAAGTGGCAAAAAGCACAGACCATCATATTCTATGTAACTGTGTCTATTTAGCTTGTCTTATTATTTGTTGTACCTTATTTACCTTCATTATGTTTATTATTTTATATATATATCAAATATTCCAAAAACAAAGTTATTTTGAAAAATAATAAGGAAATAGGAAAACGAGGAGTTTCATGCATGAGTGTCAGCCCCTACAGTGAGCGTGTGGGGAGCTGAGTTCTTGTGTTGTTTGTGGTGGGAGGAATGGAGGGGTGTGAAGGGCTAAACTAAGGAGGCTTTAATTCTTCTGCTAACGCTCACATTAACTTCACTCTTTCTCCCAAGATGCATTTCAATGTTTAAGAGAACTTCTTTTTTTGTTTGTTTTTGTCCTGAGGGTAATAATCTGGCTCCTTTGCTCAGTGGGCCAGGGATACATGAGAGAAATAGAAAGTTTCATGTTCTCTATGCAGATCTTTAATTAATCCCTTTTCTTTACCACCGTTGGCGTTCCAACAGGCAGAAGAACTCCCTTGGCCAACCGGAGACTGTTTCTGGTTTCTACTCTTCTAGGCTGTGCTTTTTCTCCTGTTTTCCACTGTTAGAACTCCTTTATATAACTAATCATGCACAGATTTATTGAGACCTCAATGTCTTTTATTGAGGCACAGATTTATTGAGACCTCAATTTCTGCTTCCTTTTCTGTATGCAACATTCTTTAAAAAATTCATATCCTATACATTTGGGAGTATAACTAGAGGGAAAAACTATAAAT
Organism: Homo sapiens; assembly: GCF_000001405.40. NCBI lineage: Eukaryota > Metazoa > Chordata > Mammalia > Primates > Hominidae > Homo > Homo sapiens. The sequence goes on along the minus strand of NC_000001.11, from coordinate 102,035,058 downwards.
GCATATGTTCAGTCTTCCATCTTGAACTAGATTTCTATCATTATTTTCCAATGTAAACACACACACACACACACACACACACACACACATGCACACAAAGAAATACCAAATCCAAATAGGCATGATGTTTTGAATAATTAGCTGTTTTGAATAATTAGCTGTTTTGAATCATCTTTTACTCTTTAACAGACTAATGAAGAACTGACCATAGAAAGTCGCAATTTTTAGTGTTTGCTTTCTCCTGTGTAGCTTACCCTAAAATAAGAGATAGCTTACCCTAAATTAAGAGCAGTTTGTTCTAGTTTCTTAAGTCATTAGTTCAAATCATATATTTCTTGATTTTATATGAAGAGTATCTATCTGACTAAAGGTGGCATGTGAGAAAAACTTGATCTTTACCAACTGACGGAGAGTAAGAAAATATATAAACAAAGTTTGCATAAGCATCCAGTAAAGATTTAGAAGTGACCAGAAGAGGTTCCAGCTGACAAAAAGACAATTGATCTATATTCATTTTTAATGAAGTAGTTACATTTTAGCTGAGTTGCTTTGGATCTGAGCACTCAATAAATCTCACAGCAAAATAACTTACACCAAGCAAGGCTTAAGTGGCTTGAGAAAAGGGTAAACATACTTGTGATTGAGACTACACTAAAATTGGATATGCTTCTCTTTACTTTCTAAAATATTTTAAACTTTTTAAACTTTCCTGTATAAAACTGAGTCCTTTGGTTGGGTACGGTCGGTCACCCACACCAGTAACCCCAGCCCTTTGGGAGGCCGAGGCAGGCAGATGGCTTGAGTTCAGGAGTTTGAGGCCAGTCTGGGCAACATGGTGAAACCCATCTCTACAAAAAAATGCAAAACAATTAGCTGGGCATGGTGGTGCATGCCTGTAGCCCCAGCTACTTGGAAGCTGAGGTGGGAGGACAATAAGCCCGAGAGACTGAAGCTGCAGTGAGCCAGGATCGCACCACTGAACTCCAGCCTGGAGGAAAGAGAGAGACCCTGTCTCCAGAAAACAAACAAACAATAAAACAAAAAATAATAAAATTGAGGCCTTTGATACCAAGGTTATTCGTATCTGGGTCTAGTGAAATGATTTCCCTGGCAATTGTGTAACCAAAAATACAGTGGTCCCCAAACTTTTTGGCACAAGGGACTTGTTTGGTGGAAGACAATTTCTCCACGAAACAGGTTGCAGGTGATGGAATCAAGTGCATTACAGTTATTGTGTACTTTATTTCTATTGTTATTACATTGTAATATATAGTGAAATAATTATATAACTCACCATAATATACAATCAGTGGGAGCCCTGAGCTTGTTTTTCTGCAACTAGAAGGGAAACAGTGACATCTGAAGTGTATTGCTTATGTCCAGTCTACTCTATAATCTTGTTTTGGTTGCTGTCACTGCAGAAAACCCTGCTTCACAAAGATAGGATGTTGGAAATGGAAGTAGGCTTTTGAGTGCTTTTGTGGCAATCTCAGGATATTGCACCTTGACTCTAATCCAGAATGTATGGACATTAGAAGTTATCTCAAACATACTTTCAATGCTACTGTCATTTGCCATCTCAGGCAGTTGATCCTCTTTCAGCATGGACAAAGTTGATTCACCTGGCTTATTAACAAATGGGTCAGGTATCCACTCCTTCCCAGTTCGGAGGTCTTTTGTGGTTTGGAAGTAATGCTCAAATTCTTTTGAAAGTTAAGATGGGTGATCATGCACCATCTGGGAGAAAAAAGGCTCTGGCTTAGTCTCTTTCAAAATCTCTGCTAATGTTTGAAACACATCGAAAATCCCAATGTTCACTCATTTCCCACATAATTCCAGTTTGGCTTTGAAGGCAGCCACTTTATCTGCTGACTTAAACACAGTTGTCATTCTTCTCTGAACTGACAGTTTGAATTTCTTGAGCATGTTGAACATGTCACACAAATAAACAAGTTTTGCGACCCATTCTGTGTGACTGAAATGTGCTGCCAGTGATGACTGTTTATCTAAAAGAAATCTCTGGAGTGGCTCTCCTAACTTGAAAACTCTGGCTAGTTATCTACTTTTAGAAAGCTGTCTCACTTCCGTGTATAAGAGACGACATGTGTGCCCTGCATCCATCTCCTCACACAGCTGCACAAACAGATATGAGTTAAAGGAATGTACTTTAATGTGTTAATACTTTTAATCACATTCTGCAAAACGTTGCTAAGTTCAGGTGACATTTGTTGGCTAGCCAGCATTTCACTACGAATGACACAGTGCATAGACTCACATCCAGAAGCGATGTCTTTGACCTGAGTAGTGAAACCAGAAAGCAATCCAGTCATGGCAGCCGCTCACTTCATGCAAATACTGGCATAAAATGACCAGTTTCGTTTTCCTGATATGTAATCATTCAAAGACTCAATAGTTCTGCAGCTGTGGTGTTGGTTGGCAACAAGAATGCACGTAATATATCCTCAGGAACATCCTCCTGAAAAATATATCAGACAGAAACAAGCATTGTTGCCTTGTTGTCGACATTGGTAGACTTGTCAATATGGATTGCGTACCACAATGACTCAATTTTCTCTAACAATTGTGCCTCAATATCCTCTGCTATTTTATCAGTTCATTTGGTTATGGTGCTAGCTGAAAGATGAACACGTGCTGCCTTTTTAATTGCTGTCTCTCCTAAAAGTTTATGACAAATGTCCTTAGCAGCAGTCAGGGTCAACTCTTCACCTATAGAAAAGGGCTTCTTAGCTTTAGCAGTGCAGTTAGCCACTAGGAATGATGCTCTCAGTGCAAATACATTTGATGAAGTGGTGGCCTTCAATAATTGCTTCTGTTCTTTGTGTTGATATTTGTTTCTTTTGAAAAACTCCAAAGACCTGTCTTTTAAGGCAGGGTGTTTGGTCTCCATGTGGCAAAGCCATTTTGAAGGTTTCATGGTGTCATGGAATAGGCGGTTGCCAAGTATTATACAAAGCAAGTGATACGGTTTGGCTCTGTGTCCCCACCGAAATCTTGTCTCGAATTGTAATCCCCATTTGTCAAGGGAGGGACCTCAGAGGAGGTGATTGGTTCATGAGGGTGGTTTCCTCCATGTTGTTCTTATGATAGTGAGTGAGTTCTCATGAGAATTGGTGGTTTTAAAGTGTGGCGCTTTCTTGTGCAGTCTCCCTCTCTCTCCTGCGTCTTTGTGAAGAAGGTGCCTGCCTCCCCTTCACCTTCCACCATGACTGTAAGTTTCCTGAGGCCTCCCCGGCCATGCAGACCTATGAGTCAATTAAACCTCCCTTGTTTATAAATTATTCAGTCTATAGCAGTGTGAAAATGAACAAATAGAGCAGGCTTGGAGAATGTGAATCACCTGTTGCAATGAACCCATAATTTAAGTAGGACTCTTGGTATTTTCTTTTAAATGCAACTTTCTTTTTGTTGGCAGTCTTCAAGTCTTCTGCTGTCTCATCATTTGGTCTTTCCCCCTTTTCAAAGAAGCTCTCCAGTGATGTTTGCTTTTTACTCATTTTGGCTAGGGTTAGCTTGTGGGCCTACCAAAACTATGACTGAATAAGTGCACAGTTCAGGAAAGAGGTGTGGATTGAAGTGGTAAATAAAATAATGGGCAGACTATAATAAGTGCTGGATTCTGACTTAAAGCCTGCCACTATGCAACTAATTGTCTCTTGCCACTCACTGATAGGGTTTTGATGTGAGTCAGCAATCAATTGATTTATTATGGTCTCTGTGTAGTCAATCCTCTCTGCTAATGTTAATCTGTATTTGCAGCCACTCCCCCGTACCAGCATCACTGCCTAAGCTCCACCTCAGATCATTGGGCATTAGATTCTCATAAGGAGCATGCAACCTAGATCCCTCATGTGTGCAGTTCACAATAAGGCTCATGCTCCTATGAGGATTTAATGTCACCAATGATCTGACAGGAGACAGAGCTCAGGCAGTGATGAGAGCAATGGGGAGCAGCTGTAAATACAGATAAAGCATCACTTGCTTGCCTGCTGCTCATCTGCTGTGCAGCTTGGTTCCTAACAGGTCATTCCCCAGTCCAGAAATTTCTTAGGAGCAGTGGCAATAGAATAGGAACAATGCCATTGTATTTATTAAAATGTATGTTTTGATATATAAAACCTGAATTCAAGTTCTGGTAGTATTTTTATAGCTGTATTACAATGACAATATCTACTTAATTTGTTGTGAGGATCAAATTAGACACCATTGATAAATGCTTGTTCATGAAATGGAAAATTCTAGAGTGTTTGTATAGTATTAGGGTTGCCTAATTGCATGATAACTAATAAATTAATGATACGCTATACTGTTTTTTGGTAATTCTCTAAATGTTTCCATTTCTACAGAATTTTTACATATATTTGATCTCCTGTTCTTGTACAATTTCTCTGTATCTGTCTGGCGTCCTCAGCAGTTCTTATCTCTCACTACAACCAAAAAATAACTATGTAAATTAATTTATCTTTGAGTCCTCCTTATATTCTCTGCATTTTAAAAGTACCTTCAAAATTGTAAGCTTATTTTTATATAAACCCTCCTAAAGATAATTGCAGAAGTTCAAGTAAAATACCTGACATGAAGTTGGCAATTGCATTCATTTTCTATCGACACAATAACATAGTATGACAGACTTAGTAGTTCTAAACAATACAAATTTATTATCTCAGAGTTCTTTAGATCAAAAGTTCAACATAGGCTCCTGAGCTAAAATCAAGGGTCTGTAGGCCTGTGCTTCTTACTGAAGGTTCTAGGGAAGAATCCACTTTCAGGTTCATGCATATTGTTGGCTGAATTCTATTCCATGCAGCTATAGAATTAAAATCCCTGTTTTCTTGCTGGCTAAAGGTCTGAATCATTTTTTACCTTTAGAGATTGTCTGCTTTCCTTATCTTATGGCCCTTTTATCTTCAAAGTCAGCCATCATGATTCAAGTCCTTCCATAATTCATCTCTTCTGTCATCTATTCTGACATGTCTTCTCTGCCAAGTCTTCACTGACTGACTCTTCTTCCTTCTTCTATTTGTAAAGGCCCACATACTAATCCAGAATAATCCCTCTATTTTAAAATCAACTTATTAGAACCTTAATTCCATCTTCAAAATTGTGTTTCCATATATCATAACATATCCACAGGCATTTGGCACAAGAGGGTGACAATTATGGCTTGTGTTAGCCATAAGATAACAGCACCTAACAGGTAAATAACCATTTAGAAGATAGAAAAAATTTTTTAAATTAATATCTTTAAAATGTTCATATGAACCCTTTTTTTTTTTTGAAATGTGGTCTCACTCTGTCACCCAGGCTTTAGTTCAGTGGTGCAATAAAGACTCACTGTAGCCTTGACCTCCCTGGCTCAAGCAATCCTCCCACCTCAGCCTGCCAAGTAGCTGAGACCACAGGTGCACGCCACAATGCCCAGCTAATTTTTGTACTTTTCGTAGAGAAGGGGTTTTTCTCTGTTGCCCAGGCTGGTCTACAGCTCCTAGGCTCAAGCAATCCTCCTGCCTTGACTTCCCAAAGTGCTGGGATTAAAGTCATGGGCCAGAGTGTCCATACTTGAATACTTTTAGATACTCCAGTTTTAATGAATCAATTTGTCCTAAGAAAAATTGAAAGGTGACAGTTTTGAAGGACCAACCAATATAATGTTGTTAGTCTTGAGATATATTAAAATAAAATGTTCATGTATACAGACTGTATACATTTAACACATATAAAGACTGTATATATTATACAGTCTGTATACATGTATACTGTATACATTTAACATGTATACAGACTTCTTTTTGTAGTCTACTTTTTATTATTATTATTATTATTATATTTTAAGTTCTAGGGTACATATGCACAATGTGCAGGTTTGTTACATAGGTATACATGTGCCATGTAGGTTGGCTGCACCAATCAACTCGTCATTTACATTAGGTATTTCTCCTAATGCTATCCCTCCCCCAGCCCCCCAAACCCCCCAACAGGCCCCGGTGTGTGATGTTCCCCTCCCTGTGTCCATGTGTTCTCATTGTTCAACTCTCACTTATGGGTGAGAACATGCAGTGTTTGATTTTCTGTCCTTCTGATATTTTGCTAAGAACGATGGTTTCTAGCCTCATCCATGGCCCTGAAAAGGACATGAATTCATCCATTTTTATGGCTGCATAGTATTCCATGGTGTATATGTGCCACATTTTCTTTATCCATTCTATTATTGATGGACATTTGGGTTGGTTCCAAGTCTTTGCTGTTGTGAATAGTGCCGCGTGCGTGTGTCTTTATAGTAGCCTGATTTATAATCTTTTGGGTAGTCTACTTTTTAACTCATTATATTCTGAATTATTTACTGCCAATGATTTGACTCATTAAATTACATCAAACTCTTGCAGAATTCAAAGATGATGGCTTAGACCTTATTTTCTTTTGCTATCTATATTCCAACTAATTTTCTTCCAAAGGAGAGAAGAAAGACTGCTTTTCTCCTCTTTTGAGTCTTCTGTTCATTACTTTTTCATACCATAGGAGAACAAGTTCCATATGATGCAATGGGAAGATGATAATATCAAATCCTAACTCGTTAAGTATATTAAAATGCCGGTGACTTGGTCAGTTTCAAATTTCAAATGATTTTGTTGTTACACCAGATTACACTTACAAAAAGATATGCATAATTTTCATGAATCAGTCATAGACACTTAAGAATATCTTCCAAATGAAGTAAATAAAATTTTAAGACACTCAATTATTTTTCTTCCTTGTGAAACCTCTCTTATCAGATAAAAATTTACCTCTGTCAAGAGTAAAGATTCAATAGTGGAATATCTATATTTCCACAGCTGAAATTCTGAATGTACTCTTCAGTATTTATATAAATTTAAATTTTTGTATTGTGTCCTATCTCAGATTATTTATGTCCATATCTTTCAAATAAACCAAATCACTATCAAACCACTCCCTTATTAATAGAGAACAAAAGACAGATATAAATATAGTACCATCTATTAAATAAATGATTGACTAACATGTTCAACCTGAAGTCAGAATGCATGTCTGTCCTAGATCCAGCACTAACGATCTGAGTCATAAAGGGCAGGTCATTTATTTTTCCACATGTGCTTACCCTTTTTTCTGATTTACAAAATATTGCTGAGTGATAGATCTTTACGTTTTTGTATTTGAAGCTAATTGTTCTAATGGTAGCAACATAACATCTTGGTTATAAGAAACAGTTCTGGAAGGACCACACACTGGTTCAGATCCTGACTCTACCACTTACAAGCTCTCTATCTTTGGGCAAGTTAATTAGCCTCCCTATGTTTCGGTTTCTTTATATGCATAATGCAGAAAATTACAGCAAATCCTCACAGGGTTATTTCAAAAACTTAATGACTACTATATGTAAAGCAGTTAGAAAAAATCTTGGCACATAGGAAATATTATAAAAGTATTAAAAATCATTTGTTTTAAAATTTACTTAAGGTTTGTTATCAGTAATCCTTTAATATATACCAATTTATTTAGACTTGGTTATTAAATGAAGTGTATTGTATATTCTAATAATCTAGTTTATAGTGATATCTTATATTTACCATTCATAGATGTCCTAGTGTAAAGAGTTAGACTACTAATACATAGACTAACCTCTACAACTAGGTTACATAAGAATAAATTTCAGCTGATATTTAAATAATTAGACAATTACTTGAAAAGTGGTTATTGTAAGCAGGGAGAATTATTAAACGGGGACAAATATAAAATGGTCTGCCATACTTCAGAAACTGCTAAGATTTTTATAGAAACCCCTGCTCTTGTGGTTATACAAAACGGAAACCCAAAAAAGTCATTGTAAAAATATTAGGCTGTTTCATTGAACCCAAAGACTAGGTTGGGGCTAAATAATGACCAACCAAAGACTGGAACACATCAAATGCACTCCCTCCGGTGTTGCTGCTTTCTTCTTCCTGTCTTTATTCTCCTTTTCTGTAGACCAGCTTTCTTCACATGACAAAGGAATATGGTTAATAAGAATTTGCAAAATGTAAATCTTGACTCTTTTAACCAACTGAAGAGAGCATGGCTCAATTCTCTAGGTCCTAAAGTAAAAATATTAGAAAAACAATTTTATTCACATAGCTTGGGACAGTTGCCCAAACATGGGCCAAACAGCTATGGCCCAGGGACAGGATTTCAGAACACAAACTCTTTGCTTTCCTAAAGCCAAACATGTGAGAGGGTCAGGGTAGGTAGGGGTGGAGCAGATCCAGGAGGAAAGGAGGATGAGCAAAGAGAAAGACATCCATGTATGTCCATTTTATATATCCATTATATTTGAATATAAATACTTCTCCAAAATAGCAGAGGATACATCGACATCTATTTCCATAGTCAGATATGGTGCTCACTTTTTCACCTTATGAATCTTAAAAGAGTAGCTCCAGAGATTCAAAGCAAGCGGCCAATGGTCATTGAGAATGATAAAGGAGAAAAAAAGAAGCAGCACCAGGATGGGGCAGAGAGAATCAAAGAGAAAAGTGGTAGCAAAGGACAAGGGAAGTGGAGAGCAAAGAGAAGAGAGAAAAGAGGAGTAAGGTAAGAAGTACAAAGAGGATTAAAGACATGAGCGCTGTGAAATGAGGCTTTGATTGTTTTAAGCCATTGTGACGCCTGGCTTCAGTGTAAATAGAAGAAGATGCAAGTAATTGTCATAGACATTTCTTTGACAGAGAAGCGAGGTATTTAGAGAAATATTCACAGTAACTACAACCCCATCGTCTGCTTAAATATTGATAAAAATTTCATAATGCTACTTTAATTGTAGAGGGAGATATTGAAGAAAAACATTCTTATTGTTGCTCAGTGACATTAAGTACTGGGGAAGTGTAAACTGAATTGGATAAAAAAAACTAATTTTTAACTTATTTTCAAAAGTAACAAAGCAAAAGGAAAACATATTAGTTATTTTTGTCTTGAGATTCTTGGATCCCAGAACGAAGTATTATACTAATGGGATAATTTATTTGACAGGAGGTTGAGGGGGGATCACTTAACTCAAAGACTTTTTAAATGTTTATATATGTGATGCACCATGATGTGTCCAAAAACCCACTCAGTTGTCAATTCTGGTAGAAATAGAAATAATTCCTTTACACAAGTTTGTGTCTACACTTTATACATACAGAAGAATTATGTGCATATGAAAGACTGTGGCTTTATATGATTTTAGATTCTATGTGGGGCAAGCATCTACATTTCTAGTCTCCTAGTAACCCCTGCTAAAACGTAAAGCCATTTTAATTTCTCTTTCCTCATCTATCCTTCCCCAAAACCAGTAGATATCTCATCCATATGTTCTCTTCTACCTGTCTTTTACTGTCCTTTTTTTTTGGTGTTATTAACCTAGTCCAGAGCTTCCAATTCATACCTCAAATATTACTACCATTTTGGCACTGACACTTCGTCCATTGTCTCCATTCTCTCAAACAGTGCTTTTCTACCTGTTCTGAAATGTGCAATGGCTTCTGGTTACCTGTAGGATAAGTTCCAGATTTCTCAGTGTGCCATTTGTGATTTTCAATACTTTTATCTCCTCCTGTTTTCAGACCTAATATTCCACTCTTTTCACAAACTTATCCTTAAACATATTACCGGTATGACTTTTTGTGACAAACTAGGTTTTTTTTTTTTTTAAATTTCAAAATGCCTTTAAAATATCTGGTTTTGTTTTGTAATGTTCTATTTTTTTGTTACCTATACAACCACCATGGATTATCCACCCTCAGTCTTTCTATCTGTTTAGTTGTTCTCACCCTGCAAGGCCCCATTCATATAAAAAACACAGGTTTTATTACCTCTGAGCTGCTAAAACATTTTTATTTATCAAATGTATATGTGTTGACAAATGTATATTGTAATACCTTCACTGTAGCTGTGGCTTCTTGGAGACAATGTTTTTAGCTTTATTAAATTCACTACAATACCCTTCTTTACAATAAAATTGTGTTGGCTTATATAATGAACACAAACATAATTTAATTGAAATTTGATATTATAACATCATTATGTTTGATTGTATGCTTCAAATTAAATTAGATTACAATAGGAAATTGGTAGTTCTGTGATATTCTTTCAATTTTTATCAAATAGAAGCAGTAGTTCTCAATGTAATAATGGCAAAGACACTTTAAGATGATTTAATGTTATTTGTTTAATTTGAGAAATGCAAATACATGATGCATTCTAGAATTTGGAAATATAAAAAGTACAATGAAAAATTTAAAATAGTCCTCCAATGAATAAAAGTGTATTTTGGAAATGGTTTGTTGTCTATGGTGCTTTCAAAAATTCTAGCTTTACAACATATCTGAAGAATTGAAGAAGTGAAATATTTTTTCTTCTTTGTAGACAGACTTTCAAATGTAACCACTGAGATTGCAGAGCAGCCATTGTTTTCTGTCTTTAACTTGTTCCATAACGAGAAGCTTGATTGAAAAAGTAAAAGAGTAAATCCACAATTTCTTAAAAACTAAGAAAATATAACAAAAATTTTAAAATGAGAGGTGTAAGGATTTTTTATTACTCTGGAACTTTGGTTTGACACAAACTTTGATTTGATCCATTTGTTCCTTTCAAGAATGCGCAAGGTGCTTCTAGAAATTAAGCTGATACAGTCATTAAATACAGTTTGTTTATTTGGGAACAAAACTTCAGAAATAGTTACAAAATATGAGAAGGTTATCTAATCATGTCATTTTTGATAACTATAATTTAACAAACTAACTGATTTTTTAAAAAAGATTTAGCTTCCATAAACCAATACTCATAATGCCAGCTGTTGGGTCTTATAAATACTGCTTGCAACTAGGGTTTATCAGTTATAAAAATAAATGCTAACTTAAAAAGCAAACCAAAGAATAAACTATCTGCTTGATTAAAATTATTTCTGATGCAATATCAGCACACATTTACTACTATGTCTGATAACTGTTTTAAAATGTTAACACATTTCATATAGTACAGTAAACATCATAGTGGTTTTATATGCAGATTTATTATCCTTTGGCAATAGATTACATACATTATTTGTCAGGGAATGCAAGTTTACCCCCAATAAACTGGTTGGCTATTTTTTTTTCTTTGAGTGTTAATTTTTTGTTATAACATGTTCAGTTCAAACACACCTTCAAACACACCAAAGGTGATAATAAAGAGTTCACTTTATGCCCCAAAGATATTAGATAATACAATTTAAAATAATTATAGCTTCGAATTGCTAATAATATAAATTTTTATGAAAATAAAATAAAAGCATTAGTAACATTTCAATACCTATGAATATTGTAACAGCATTAGTTGTACCATTTTGTATTTTGCTTTCTCTCTACTTTTTGGGGAGAGGAAAGGACTTTTTATTCTCTAAGTGGTCTCACAGACAAACTTATTTTTTATTAATTCAAAATTGTCATTCATTTACAATAATTATTTACATTTCTCTTATTGCTCCAAATTTGGCCAGCGAGATTCTAGTTATATGGGCTCCTAGGCTCTTCTGACATGATCACATTAGTCCTTGAAAAGTTTCTTCTTCTTGGGACATGATATTCTTTGTTTTGTTCTCTTTTTTCAGTTTTTGCTCATGTCTTAGAATCAGTCATTACTTCAAGGAGCCCAAATTGTTTAAGTGGATATATATGTGAAATCTATTTCTTATTTTCCAAAAGTATTAATGCTATTAGGAAAAGGAAATTGGTAGAAAGAGTAGTGTTTTCATTGCTCTCCCTAGTTCTCAGGAGGATAAGTGAAAGACTCAGTAGTCATCTGTCATTATGTTCTTGCCAGAACCCTGGAAGTTTACAGTCAGAAAAGATATTAGATCATGAAGCCAATGAGAAATCCAAAATCTAGAATGTATAGAGATTATACAGGTAAAAATAATAGAATATTTTGAAGACCATCAAAAGCTAGAAATGCTAAAATATCAAAGAGAAAATAAAGGCAGACACCCAAAGATACAGAGAGGTAGGAAGGAACCATGAAAGATCAAACCCAATCAGACAGATACGTCATTGTCAGGCATCAGTACCAGGAAGATCTGGAATCTGAAGTTAATTATTTTCCTGAAAATACTGTATTTACATGCATTCTACTGAGATTATGTTACATCTTGGGGTTTGACAGTCACTGTTTAGATAAGATAAAAAATAATTATCTAGATAAAATAACTAATAGTTAAAACTTTACAGTCTTTGAACTTTCCTCAAAAGGCATAAGCTGATTTACAAATAAATCAATTAATACTCTGAACAAAATTTGTCATTCTCAATAGGAAGGTTGTAAATTTCAGATACTCAACAACATAACAGTAAAACGTCCAACAGCTGATACAAACTACAAGCCATGTGAGGAAGCAGGAACATGTAATCCATAAGTACAAGAAAAATCAGTCAATACAAACCGACTAAAAAATGTCAAGGAAGATGGAATAAGCATCCAAGAACTTTAAAAGAACTATGTTAAAACATTCAAGCACTTAAGGGAAAGCATAAACATAATTAAAAGAGTCATGGAGATTTAAGATACTGAACTTCAAGTGCCAAAGGAAAAAAAAAACCTTAAAATGAAATAATCACTAGGTGGGCTTATGGAAAAATTAGAGAAAGATGAGAAAGGATTAGTGAATTTGAAGACAGGGAAATAGAATTACCTGGAATGAAGCACAGAAAAAAGTAGGTCAAAAGGAACAAAACGGTTCTTCAGTTTCCTTGTGGTAATATCAAGAAGTCTAATATATGTATAATTGGAGGTGACATATAAAAAGAAAAGAGATATGATGGGGGAAACTACCACGAAATAACATCTATTTCTCATCAGAATACAGTTCAAAAGACAATGTAGCATTTTAAAGTACTGAATAAAAATTAAAAAATTTTCAAGCTAGATGCTATATCCAGCAAAGCATTTGAGAAAAATAAAAATAAAATATTCACATTGTTAAATAACAAAACCTGAGAGAATTTTGAGCCAGCAGACCAACACTACATAAAAAGCTAAAAAACATTTTTCAGGCTGAATGCAAAGTTTAAAAAATGGTAAATATAGATAGAAATAATTCTTGATTTTTAATATTGTTAAATAATACTAGACTAAAGCAAAATTAATAGCAATATGTTGACTGCTTTATTACTTGTACAGATGTAAAATGTATTATAATAATAGTACAAAGGACAAAAAGGAAATGGAAATACAGTCTACAAGATTCTTTAATGATACATAATTCTATAATATGTTTTACAAGTAGATTGTCATAAGTTAAGGTTATATATTGTAAGTCTAGCAACCATAAAACATAAAACAAATACAGTTAATAAGCCAATAGAGGAGATGTTTCTCATCCCCTCATTTTGGTTTCTAAGCTCCTTCTGCCTGGAATAAATTTTCCTGCTGTTTTCTCTTTTTCTCACCCTCTCTATACCAGGGTTAAATCTTCTACCTTGGAATTTTTGTCACTATATCATATATAAAATATGTCATATATTATTTCCCCAAATCCCCAGTGATGTGGCCCACCATACTTTGGGCAAACACCTGTTTTAGGTGGTACAACATTATTATGTGTTTCTTTAATGAGCTAGATATTAAAGTGGGTCCTGGAGATGTGTCACTGTGTTAGTCCATATTCTGTTGCTTATAACAGAATACCTGAAACTGGGTAATTTATAAAGAAAATGAACTTATTTCTTACACTTATGGAGGCTGAGAAGTCCAAGGTCAAGGAGTGATCTGCTGAGAGCCTCCTTGCTGGTAAGGACTCTCTTCAGAGGCCTGAGTCATAGCAGGGCCTGGGACAGGGTGATGGTATTGAGTAAGCTAAGATTCTAGCTTAGGTCTCTCTTCCTCCTCTTATAAAGCTACTGGTTGCCCTTGCATGATAACCCATTGATTTACTAACCTATTAATTTATGAATATGTGAAAAAATTAATCCATTCATAAGAGCAGAGCCCTCTTAAGGACCCTACCTCTCAATATTGCCACATTGGGGGTTAAGTTTCAACAAGAGTTTTGGAGAGGACATCCAAACCATATCAGTCAGTGAACAGATTAGAAAGAATTTCTGTTCTGAAAAAGCTTATATTCTGTGAATAAAGGTGAATATTAAATGTGTGATAATAATAGCTACAGAGAATTATATTAAATCTGTTTTTTTTCATCTCTGCTTCTCCATTGCCTAATCAATGCTTGAATCACATAAAGTGATCAGTGAACGATTATTGGCTGAATAAGGCTACTCTGGGCACACTGCCTATGGGGTAGCCCTGCTACACAAGGAGCAGTAACAAAAAAAAAATTATTGGCTGAATAAAGAAAGGAAATCATGACTTAAATGCTGTCCTCTGATAAAGTCTTCTCTAATTTCTTCCAGAAAAAAAAAATGGGCGCTATAGCTCTTTGTTGGTGTCACTTCCTTACGGCCCTTATCATCATATTGATGATAACATATCTGCTTAAATAATAACTATGACTAACTTGAGAGTAAGTTTTGTACATTTTCTATAATGTGAATAAATATCTTCAAATTTATAGATCTTCTGAAATCACCTTTTTTTATTTTATTTTTTGAGATAGGGTCTCACTCTGTCAACCACACTGGAGTGCACAGAGGTGATCATAGCTCACTGCATCCTCCGCCTTCCAGGCTGAAGTGATCCTCCCACTTCAACCTACCATGTAGCTAGGACTACACGCCCATGCCATTGTGCCTAGCTAATTGTTTAATTTTTTGTAAAGATAGGGTCTCACTGTGTTGCCCAGGCTCGTCTCAAACTCCTGGGCTCAAGCAATCCTCCCCCATTGGCCTCCCAATCTCACATTGAGATTACAAATGTGAGCAACCATGCCCAGTCTTCGAAGGCACTCTTCATTTACTATTGTTCTGAATTGACTGTCTTTTAATGGAAAGCCACCCCTGCATTACTGAAATAAAGTCCTCTTGTTCATTATTATGCTTTCTGTATATGTTGGATTTTATAGTGAGTTAGAAATTTTCTCTTGTATTTTATATTTTAAGAAAGAGTTTCTGTAAGATTGATATTATTTCTTCCTTAAATATTTACTGGAACTTTTTGTGTGAAAGTTTTTAATAAGACTTTCCATTTCTTTAATATATCAGACACTAATCATATTTCTTATTTCTTGTATTGGTTTTGGAAAACTTTGAATTGTAAAGAATTTTGAAATGTATTTCAATTGTAAAATTTACTGATGTAAAGTTATTTTACCTCTTAATTATCACTTGAACAATTGTAGACACTGTATTGTCTTTGTCAGCAATTTTACTATGATGTGTTTTAGATTCATATATTTTCCTTTTATTTCTAATTTTTAAATTTGCTAATTTTTAAAAATTAGTCCTGCAGGAATTCATAAATTTATTAATTGTTTGAAGGGATATAATTTGGGCTTGGAGATATTCTCTATTAGATATTCCTTTTTATGCCTTATTATTCTTTTATTGTACTGCCTTTGCACTTTATGTACCATGCTTTTTCTAACTTCTGGAGATAAAAATTGAAATAATTGGTTTTAACTTTTTAATAATATGTTCATTTCATTCTTTTTTTTATTTTTTATTTTTTTAAATTATACTTTAAGTTTTGGGGTACATGTGCACAACATGCAGGTTTGTTACATATGTATACATGTGCCATGTTGGTGTGCTGCATCCATTAACTCGTCATTTAACATTAGGTATATCTCCTAATGCTATCCCTCCCCCTCCCCACACACTACAACAGGCCCCAGTGTGTGATGTTCCCCTTCCTATGTCCATGTGTTCTCATTGTTCAATTCTCACCTATGAGTGAGAACATGCAGTGTTTGTTTTTTTTGTCCTTGCGATAGTTTGCTGAGAATGATGGTTTCCAGCTTCATCCATGTCCCTACAAAGGACGTGAACTCATCATTTTTTATGGCTGCATAGTATTCCATGGTGTATATGTGCCACATTTTCTTAATCCAGTCTGTCATTGATGGACATTTGGGTTGGTTCCAAGTCTTTGCTACTGTGAATAGTGCCACAATAAATATATGTGTGCATGTGTCTTTATAGCAGCATGATTTATAATCCTTTGGGTATATACCCAGTAATGGGATGGCTGGGTCAAATGGTATTTCTAGTTCTAGATCCCTGAGGAATCACCACACTGACTTCCACAATGGTTGAACTAGTTTACAGTCCCATCAACAGTTATTTTTTATTTCAATAGTTTTTTCGGGAACAGGTGGTGTTTGGTTACATGAATAAGATCTTTAGTGGTGATTTCTGATATTTTTGTGCACACATCACTTGAGCATCATTTCATTTTTGAAAATGTTTTATCTTTGTGCCTAAGTTTGATAATGTCTTCAGTACAGTTAGGTTCAAACTATTTTCTAATCTCCATTGTTCTATTCCTTTGACCCATGGGTTATTTAGAAGTGCAACCCTTAATTTCCAAGAAGTTGAGAACTTCATTATTGATTTTTAACTCATTTCACTAAGGTCAGAAAATATACTCTGAACTCTTGAGATGCCCTTAATAATTCAAAGTACGATCAATTTTGGTAAAAGCTACACAAGGATTTGAGAATAATATGACTTTTGTCATTGTGGGATTCAGTTTCTAAATATATCAATTAGGTCAGTTTATAAATTGTGTTTTTCAAATTTTCAAAAAGTCACTGATTTCACCATTTTATCCTGTCAGCAATTATATGTTAAATTCTCCCATTCTGATTATGGCCTTATCTGTTTTTGTTTTTAATTGTCAGATGCTGTTTTATCTATTTAACTATGTTACTGGGTGATATAGATTTTAATTGTTTCGCCAGTAAGATAACTGGCAAAATGACTGTTTAATAAATTTTTAAAGTTCTGGAAATTTGTAGTGGTATGACCTAACTTAAATTTTGCTTTGCCTTATAGCAGTACTTCTACATGAACCTTCTCATGATTAGAGTTTGCTTGGCAATTTTTTTTTTAACATTTTACTTTCAAACTTTCTGAGTATGTTTTTTGTTCTTTGTTTGTTTTTTGTTTTTTGAAACAGGTCTGGTCTGTCACCCAGGCTGGAATGCAGTGGTATGATCATGGCTCACTGCAACCTCCACCTCCCAGGGTTCAAGTGATTCTTGTGCCTCAGCCTCCCAAGTAGCTGTAGCTGGGATTACAGGCATGCGCCACCATGCCCGACTTTTAGTATAATCCCAAAGTGTTGGGATTACAGGTGTGAGCCACTACACCTGGCTAAACTTTATGCGTCTTTTTTGGGGCATTTAGAATTATAGTTTAACCTGAATGCTATAGTTTCATCATTTTGAAGTTGTCATTTTATTGTCATATGCCTTTTATCTTTAGCGTTGATGAATACTGTAGCTGCTTTGAAAGTATTTTTTTCTCCCTTTGGTTAGTTTTAAGATTCTTGTCTTTGTCTTTGTCAGCAATTTCAACTGTGATTCGCTTTAGATTCACTGAGCTTCTTGAGTCTATTGGTTGATATCATCTTTCAATTGGATATAATTTTTTGTTATTATTTTAAACATTACATTTGCCACTTTTTTTATTTCCTGTCCTGCTGGGACTCCAGTAACATATATGCTAGGATCTTCAAATACTTGTATAGTTGACCGTGTCCCACATGTATCTTGTGATCTCATCTGTTTTTTTTATTCTTTTCATTTTTGTTTTTCTACCCCAGAATACATATTTCCATTAAACTGCCTTAAATTTACTAACATGATTTCTGCTGTTTCCAGTCTGCTGTTAATCTCACATAATGAGATCGTTATTTTGGACATAGTAATTTTGGAGTTTGAGAATGCCCACTTAATTTTTTTATGGATTCCACTTTTTGTTGAAATTCTATCTTTTAATTCTTTTTTATTTTATTTTTCCTCTATTTTAATATTTATAGAAGTTATTTTAAAGTATCTATCTACTATTTGTAATATTTTAACCATATGAATCTGTTTCTATTATCTATTTTTCTCTTGGTATGCCTAATAAGTTTTGACTGAATGCTAGGCATAGTATATACAAATTCTAGAAATTCCGTATAATATTATCCATCAAAGTGGGTTCTCCCTTTTTGGACATAGTAATTTTGAAGTTTGAGGATGTCCATTTAATTTTATTATAGGTTCAATTTTTTGTTGAAATTCTGTATCTTTTAATTCTTTTTAATCTTATTTTTCTCTATTTTTAATACTCATAAAAGTTATTTTAAAGTATGTATCTACTATTTCTAATATTTTAACCATATGAATCTGTTTCTATTATCTATTTTTCTCTTGGTATGCCTAATAAGTTTTGACTGAATGCTAGGCATAGTATATACAAATTCTAGAGGTTCCATATAATATTATCCATCAAAGTGGGTTCTCCCTTTCTTCTGCTAAGCAAATGCATTGATGGACTGGTTGCATTTTAGTCTAAATAAAGACTGAGATGAGTTGAATCCAGTTTGCAAATATGCTAAAACCAAGAGTACTCCTAATTTTCTCCTGTTCTTAAATGTCACTCCTTTTGCTTTCAACTGGTATTTTCAGTAGATTCCTGGTCTTTTGAGCACCATCAGACTACAATAAATTTTGTTATTCTTTTCAGAAATCTTCAGTTTATCTGACTATCCAGAGCTTTTGAATTGGGCAAATGCCTGGCAGGGGAAAACAGTTGTTTGTTGATTCCACTCAAATCCATTTTGTCACTTCAAATTCATGTGACTGCCAAAAGCTCTGCTGGCTTCTCCGTTCTGTTACCACATCTGTCCAAGCCCAAATTCTTAACTCTCACAATTGGCAAATAACCCTAAGAGAAAAAGAGCTATAGGTTATTAACTAGTGTTTAAAAGCAACTCTCAGCTATATTTGAACAGTTGACTTTTTTAGTTTATCAAGCCATTGTAAGTTTTCTAAGTGTGTGGGGTTATTTTTGTCTACTACAAATAACTTCATCCTACCGAAAAACAGTTTCATTTTTTTGTTTTGTTTTGTTTGCGACAAGGTCTCACTCTGTCACCCAGGCTGGAGTACAGTGGCACAATAATGACTCATTGCAGCCTCAACTTCCCAGGCTCAAGTGATCCTCCCACCACAGCCCACAAAGTAGCAGGGACTACAGGCATGCACCTCCACATCTGGCTATTTATTATTATTAGCTTTTTGTAGAGACGAGGCCTCACTATGTTGCTCAGGCTGGTCTTGAACACCTGGACTCAAGTGGCCTCCCAAAGTGCTGGGATTACTGGCATGAGCTACTGTGCCCAGTCAAAACTGTTTCTTAGTATGAAAAAAGAATCACTCAAACTCCACTCCACCCCAACAAAATTCCAGTAGGTACAGTGCACTTCTCAATATTTCTACAGATCACTAGGTGTGAGTAGTAATGTGGGAAGAAGCTGAAGGATGTATTAGTCTCTTTTCACACTGCTGATAAAGACATACCCAAGACTGGGTAATTTATAAAGAAAAAGAGGTTTAATGGACTCATAGTTTCGCTTGCCTGCGGCAGCCTCACAATCATGGCAGAAGGTGAAAGTCACGTATTACATGGTGACAGGCAAGATAGAATGAGTTTGTGTAGGGAAACTCCCCTTTATAAAACCATCGGCTTTCATGAGACTTATTCACTATCATGAGAACAGCATGGGAAAGACCCACCCTGATGATTCAATTACCTCCCACCAGGTCCCTCCCACAACACATGGGAATTATAGGAGCTAGAATTTAAGATGAGATTTGCATGGGGACACAGCCAAACCATATTATACCACCCTGGGCCCCTCCCGAATCTCATGTCCTCACATTTAAAAACCAATCATGCCTTCCCAACAGTCTCCCAAAGTCTTAACTAATTTCAGCAATAACTCAAAAGTCCACAGTCCAAAGTCTCATCTGAGACAAGGCAAGTCCCTTCCACCTATGAGCCTGCAAAATCAAAAGCAAGTTAGTTACTTCCTAGATACAATGAGGGTACAGGCATTGGATAAATACACCCATTCCAAATGGGAGAAATTGGCCAAAACAATGGGGCTACAGGCCCCATGCAAGTCTGAAATCCAATAGGGAAGTTATTAAACCTTAAAGTTTCAAAATGATCTCCTTTGACTCCATGTCTCACATGCAGGTCACTCTGATCCAACAGGTGGCTTCCTACAGCCTTGGGCAGCTCTGCCCCTTTGGCTTTGCAGGGTACAGCTCCCCTCCTGGCTACTTTCACAGCCTGGCTTTGAGTGTCTTCAGCTCTTTTAGGTGCACAGTACAAGCTGTCGATGGATCTACCATTCTGGAGTCTGGAGAATAATGGCCCTCTTCTCACAACTCCACTAGGCAGTGACCCAGTGAGAACTCTGTGTGGGGACTCTGACACCACATTTTCCTTCCACACTGTCCTAGCAGAGGTTCTTCATGAGGGTTCTGCCCTGCAGCAAACTTCTGCATGGACATCTGGGCATTTCCATACATACTCTGAAAACCAGGCAAAGATTTCCAAACCTCAAGAATTGAGTTCTGTGTACCCACAGGCTCAACACCACGTCGTGGTCCAAACTTTTATGCTGCCATGTGGGGCTTGCACCCTTTGAAGCCACTGCCCAAGCTGTACCTTGGCCTCTTTAGCCATGGCAAGAATGGCTGGGACACAGGCTACCAAGTCCTTAGGCTGCACATAACAGGGAGGCCATGGGCCCAGCCCACAAAAGTGTTCCTTCCTCTTAGGCTTCTGGGGCTGTGATGAGAGGGCCTGCCACAAAGATCTCTGACATGCCCTGGAGACATTTTTTCCATTGTCTTGGCAATTAACAGTCGGGCTCTTTGTTACTTATGCAAATTTTTGCAACCAGCCATCTTGAATTTCCCCTCAGAAAATGGGTTTTTCTTTCTATCTCACCATCAGGCTGCAAATTTTCCAAACTTTTATGCTCTGTTTCCCTTTTAAAACTGAATGCTTTTAACAGCACCCAACTCACCTTTCAAATGCTTTGTTGCTTAGAAATTTCTTCCACCAGATACCCTAAATCATCTTCCTCAAGCTTAAAGTTCCACAAATCTCTAGGGCAGGGGCAAAAATGCCACCAGTCTCTTTGCTAAAACATAGCAAGAGTCACTTTTGCTCCAGTCCCTAGCAAGTTTCTCAACTCCATCTGAGACCATGTCAACCTGGACATTATTCTTTAGGTCACTGTCAGCATTTTGGTCAATACCATTCAACAAATCTCTAGGAAGTTCCAAATTTTCCCACATTTTCCTGTCTTCTTCTGAGCTCTCCAAACTGTTCCAACCTCTGCCTGTTACCTGCTTCCAAAGTCGCTTCCATATTTTTGGGTATCTTTACAGCAGTGCCCTAATCCTGGTATCAATTTACTGTATTAGTCCGTTTTCACACTGTTGATAAAGACATACCTTAGACTGAGTAATTTATGCAGGAAAAGAAGTTTAATGGACTCACAGTTCCACATGGCTGGGGCAGCCTCATAGTCATAGCAGAAGGTGAAAGGCACGTATTACATGGCGGCAGGCACAATAGAATGAGAGAGCTTGTGTAGGGAAACTCCCCTTTATAAAACCGTCAGATCTCATGAGACGTATTCACTGTCATGAGAACAGCATGAGAAAGGCCCATCCCCATGATTCAATTACCTCCCACTGGGTCCCTCTCACAACAGGTGGGAGGGACCTGTCCTTATGGCATGTTGCTGTAATCCCCTTTACTCTTTCTGAAGAAATGCTTTTTTTAATCTTCTCTCATCTTGAAATTTGCCTCTTCCTCACTCCCATCTTTGATTAGTATCTTCCTCTGAGACACTAGATAAAAACTAAAAATTTCTCTTTTTATTTTATGTAGAATATATAACTCTTCATCTCTCTCTTAAAAATCCAACTTGTCCTCTACCTTTCTTAATCAAAAGACCTAATAATATTCCAAAGAAAATAATAGTTTGTTCCCCTATTTTCCTTGAACAATTTTTCAAATGGAAGCCAGTACTTAAAATAGTGTGTTTTGAGATACCTGTATACTAGTGCAGAGAAAACTAATTAATATATAATCATGGAGTCTCTGCCTCAGATATGGTTAATGTTGCTGATATTTAGAAAAGATAAACCATCTTTGCTTTCAAATACTGTTTTTTACTTACCAAATTCAAACAATTGCATTGATTTTCTTTCAATAATCAATGCTTTTTAGATGGCAAAAACTGGGTAATGAGGAATTTACACAGATCAGTTTTACTTGGGCACATATTGGAAGGGATTATTTGGGGGGTAGCATTATTTAAAATCTGAGGGTTTGTGTTGCATCCTGAATCTGCCATTCATTGGCTATGTCACCTTAAGTAATAAAAAGAATACTCCTTCTTTTTGAATCTCTCTTTCCTCAAATGTAAAATAAGAATTAAAATTACCAACTCTTGGCTGGGCGCGGTGGCTTATGCCTGTAATCCCAGCACTTTGGGAGGCCAAGACAGGCAGGTCGCAAGGTCAGGAGATCGAGACCATCCTGGTTAACATGGTGAAACCCCGTCTCTACTAAAAATACAAAAAATTAGCCAGGCCTGCTGGCGGGCGCCTGTAGTCCCAGCTACTCGGGAGGCTGAGGCAGGAGAATGGCGTGAACCTGGGAGGCGGAGCTTGCAGTGAGCCGAGATTGTGCCACTGCACTCCAGCATGGGTGACAGAGCAAGACTCCGTCTCAAAAGAAAAAAAAAAAAAGGTACAGTTCCAGGTCTGAAGGTGTTCAGTGTATAGTGAGAGACACGGAGATGCAGACACATGATTACAACTCAATGCGATTAATGCCATAGCAGAAGCGGGCTTAAAATATAATAGAAATCTAGAAAAAGGCTGTCTAAAACAGCCAGAAGGAGATAACAGAGAAAATTGAGATGTGAAATCAAACACAAAAGTTGGGAAAATAAATTGAAGGTAGAAGGTGCTGTTTGTGTAGAGGTCTTGTTGTATAAAAGCACATGGCATTTTGGAAGGCTTACAATTAAATCAATATAACTAGATGATTTTCTCCTAAAATTAGAGAGTTGATTCTAGAGGGGGTTGGGTCCAAATGCTAAAATCCTTGCGTGCCATGGTAAGGGATTTATACTTTTGTCATCAAGTCAATGGGGAGCCACAGAAGGATTTTCAGAAGGATCAGATTTGCATTTTAGAGGGATCTTCACATTCTTGTTAAACGCTCAGTTGTGATTATATAAATGATAATCTCTTTGCTGAACCTAAATTCATGGATTTGCAAAAGATTAAAGTTAATTAGAGAAAGGACCCATGGAATAGCCTCATTAGCCTAAAAATTTACCTGTCACATTTCTGTCATGTTTGACTAAATGCTAAAGGACTGGACATTAAGCTCCAAGAACTATTAAAAATCAGTAAACTTCCATACGATTCCTAGGGTAAGCTACATGATCTACACCAAACTTCTGCATATTTTAACTTCTTTCAGTACTTCTAAAATATCAAGCTGTGAGTCCCTTCACAAAAATCGACGTTATGGGACTATCATAGGGTGGAAGAGGACATAAATGTTGGCTAAACCAAAGTTGGTAGATAAAAAGTAAGTTTTATGGTGGGTCTATGGATTTATGTTTCTGCAATATGCTTAACCTAGACTATCTTTTCTAAGTTGATGACTTTGTCATCTGAGTCCTAATCAAAACGTTAGCAAAATCAACATTTTTTTCTTTGCTTTAATAGGTCCAGTATCCTCTCTCAAGATAAAATTATATTGGTTTTACAAGATTTGTTCTGCACACAATGTTTATTATTATCTGGTACCTGAAGTCATCAAGGTCTTTTCAAAGTTGATTGATGATTTGTTCTCATATTTTTCTAGGCATCAAGTTAAAAATGGAAGTAAGTTCTGTAACTTCAAAAGTTTTAAGAAGCTCATTTACAAAAGGGGAAAAACATGCATTAGTTTTGCCTCTTACTTGTTAGAGGGTGGGGGAGTATTGTAATAATCTTCAATTCTCAAAGGTAATAGCAAAGGAATTGAAAGACTGAAAGGCATGACATTAACGTTCCTATAAATGAAAGGATTTAGGTTATTTTAGAGGAGAAATTTATCTATTAAGAATGTGTTGGGGCTCAGAAAGTGATATCCCAAAATAAAAGCCTAAGAAGCAACCCCAGAAGCAAAGTCTCTCTCTGACCTTATTCTACCTCCTGTCTCTTGCCTTTCATTCTCCCCCTAGGCAAGCCATAGAAACTAGATTTCCTCTTCCCCAAGGTAGGTCATAAAAACCATAATATCTTTTTCCCAAAGCCAGCCATAAAGCCTAAAAACATAATAACATCCCCCGCACCACTTCTCTGTGCAACAGCTGGCCATAAAGAAATTAAGACTCTCTTTCCAGAAGGTCCTACACCACACCCAGGAGGAAGGAATGCTTCACAGAAAGTCCAAGAAAAATTGGAACAGGACTGGCTGAGTTCCCCAACTCAGTCTGTTATCGTTAGATCAGATCCTTCTTATCCAACTGTATTTCAACATGGCTGTCCATATTTAATTGAACCTAAGTATAAAAATGAACAGTTATCCCTGTATCTTTGTGTCTTCATTCTGAAGATTCTCAAGTCACTTAAAACTACAATGCTTTACTTTTGTTAACCTGCTTTTTTTTTATAGGGGTGTCAGCCATGACCTTTATAATGGGGAAGAAAGGGGTGGTTTTCTTTCCACCCCTAAAATGAAATGCCTCTAATCACAGAATAGCTCAGATTTGGTTGCTTGATTACAATTGAAATTTATTTGCTCAAATTAACATTTATAAATAAAACATTAATAGCTGAGTATCTTTGATATCAGTTTTCTCCTCAACCATCACCCCACATCTTAAATTATCTTATTCTTGATTTCTTTAAAGGACTTTTTAAAGGAAAGTTTATAAAAATAAATGTTTGCTCCTCTTGTTTCTTTGTACATTTATTTTTGTTTAAGCTGTTTGGTTGCTAAAAGGTCCTTTTCTTAAGAAAGTTTCCAGGTTGAATAACATATCTAAACCTTAAGTCACATTTTATAACAGTCAAACATGGAAAATAATCTCAAATCAAAATGCTAAGGCTATTAGAAAGTACTAGAAACCTGCTAGGTATAACCATAACAAATGTATTTGAAACTTTTTCTAGCATTACATAGCAGAATTTGGTTAAAATACAAAAACTACCTTCTTTTAATTTTTTTCATTTTGTTTACTTGTATTAAATTTAATGCATTAAGCTACATTGCACAGTGACCAGCCTCCCTACTGTTTCCTTTCCAAGCTCAAACTCACTTAAGAGATTATAAACCTCAAGTATTGAACCCAATTTGCCAATACCGCTAAAGCAGCAAGTAGATTCCCTAAAAGGAAAAGACAAATTTTACCTTCTCTATAGAAATGTTTTTCTCACTATTAACAGAATAGATCAGCTTTACTTTTTTGAGGGCTCCAAATATAAGTTTGTGGCACCAGATATGAAAGTCCATTTGATTTGCTCTCAAAATCTAAAGGCAGTACTTACAAAAGATCATAGAACATTGAAAACAAAAACATTAATTTCTCTATCTAACTATGTATAATGATATAGCCTTTTTTTTTTCCTCATTAAGAATGGTCAATACACCCTCTCTTGAGAAAACATTTATAGTTGATGGCATGTCAATATTCACAAATGTTATGTTCAAATAAAAGAATGTTCATCAGGCTGTTAGTTTTCTCCAAATTATTATTTATTTGTTAAATTGTCAAAAAATATGCATGACATAAAATTTATCATTTTAATCATTTTTAAGTATACAATGTATTGACATAAAATACATTCAAATTGTTGTTCAACCATCATCACTATTTATTTCCAGAACTTTTTCATCATGCCAAGCAGAAGCCATGTACTCATTAAGTCCTCTTTCTCTTAACCCTAGTAACATTTATCATAATTTCTGTTTCTATTAATTTGTCTATTCTAGGTACCTTATATAAGTGGATTCATATAATCTTTGTCCTTTTGTTTCTGGCTTATTTCACTTAGCATGTTTTCAAGTTTCATAGATGTTATAGTATGTATCAGAATTTTATTCCATTTTAGGTCTGAATATTATTCCATTACAGGTATGTACCACATTGTGTTTATCCATTCATCTGTTTATCAACATTTGGGTTGTTTTCTCTTTTTGGTTATTGTAAATTATGTTGCTATAAACATCTGTGTGCAAATGTCTCTTTCAGTCTCTGATTTCAATTCTTTTAGATATATACCTAGAATTGCTGGATCATATGGTAATTCTATGTTTAACATTTTTAGGAGCTGCCACACCGTTTCTACAGTGGCTGTGTCATTTTACACTTCCATCAGCAAGGCACCAAGGTTCCAATTTCTCCACATCCTCAAAACACTTATTTTCTCTTTTGTTTTGTTTGATAATGCCCATTGTAATGGATGTAAAGTGGTATTTCATCATAGTTTTTACTTTCATGTCTCTAATTATTAGTGATGTTTAGTATGTTTTCATATGTGTATTGGCTGTTCGTATATTTTATTTGGAAAAATGTTATTCTAGTATCTTGCCCATTTTAAAAATCAAGCTGTTTGTTACTGTTGAATTGTAGTTTTTATATATTCTGAATATTAATCTCTTGTCACACATATGATCGCAAATATTGCCTTTTCAGTCTCTTGACATTGTATTTTGAAAGACAAATATTTAAAATTTTGATGAAGTTCAATGTATCTATTTTTTGTTTTAGCCTGTGCTTTCAGAAAATTAAAATAATGGAACTCCAAATAGTTTTGCTGAAAGGAAATTACATATTAGCTTCGTACAAGCACATACTGCCAAAAGAGGAGAAAAAGTTCAGCTTATTGAAATTCTTGTATACTTAAAAGATGTAAATATGTTTTTTGAAGTTTTTAATTGTTCAATTATTCTTGGGTTTGGGATTGCATGTCTAAGTAATCCAATAGATGGCTAGATGTTCTCTCTATGACTTGTTTGGTCCTGCCTTCCACTGGACATTTTCCCATACATATCTAGGAGTATGTATTCTAAACTGTATCTCAACATTTAATTCAAAACAATTAATAATCAGTTTAAAAGCTGCAAGGCACTTAGTATTTATAATAAACTTTTAAAATTTAAAAGGCAACTTCTCAATTATCTTGTAAAGAAGTATTAGTGAATATATCCAGTCAACCTTATAGGTTATCTTTGCCTTTCATTGTTTTGACTAGCCTATTTTCCAACCTTAGAGAGATAGAAATTAATTTGTAGAAAATACATATCTATGCAAGCAATTTCTGTTCATAGAAATGCAGTCTGTCTGGTGGAGGTTCAATTTATTTTGTTTCCCTAATAGGAGAGGCCAGTTTTGAATCTATTAAGCAAATTCATTTTAGGATTTCTAATGGCCTCTGCATATGTCTGCTCTGTGGATTCTTCTTCTTACTAGTTATACATTTTTTTTTCTGATTCTCTCGTTAACTAAAGAGTTAAATAAAATCTTTGACAAATATTTATTTTCTATGAGAGCTGTAATTTTGAACATTAAAAATAATATTTAATGGCCAATACCCCATTAAAATAGTTCTTTAAAATAGTCAAGATATTTTTAGAGAAGTAAATATATTTTAGAAGTAGTTTAATTTAATATCTTCTCTATGTCATTTTAAAATTATTATCTATATCCTATACATCTTTTAAAAGGCAAATTAAGTCTTTTTAAAGTCAAGTTAAAATTTTTTTATTCATCTAAACTCAGAGTTTTATGAGTCAATAATTTATTCAATAATTAATCTTGTATAGCACTGAATATATATCTCTTTATACAATATTTAATTTTTATGTATTAATGCCTGTTTTTTTTAACATGAGTCTATAATTCTTAAATGTTGCATTGCATTGTAGCTCTATTTTTAGTTTTGTGAGGAACCTCCAAACTACTCTCCATAGTAGTTGTGCTAATTTACATCCCCACCAACAGTGTAGGAGGATTCCCTTTTTTCTACAACCTCACCAGCATTTGTTATTGTCAAGATTTGGAATCAACCTAAGTGTCCATCAACAGACAAATGGATAAAGATAATGTGGTACATATATACCATGGAGTACTATTCAGCCATAAAAAATAATGAGATTCTGTCATTTGCAACAATATGGATGGAACTGGAGGTCATTATGTTAAGTGAAATAAGCCAGGCACAGAAAGACAAACATATCACATTCTCACTTATTTGTAGAATCTAAAAGTCAAGACAATAGAACTCATGGAAATACAGAAAAAAGAATGGTTATGAGAGGCTGGGAAGGGTAGTGTGAGGGGTAGGGGAGAGGAGGGGTTGATTAGTGGGTACCAAGAAAAATAAAAAGAATGTATAAAACCTAGTATTTGATGGCACAAGGAGATTGTGGCCAATAATAATTTAATTGCACATTAATAAACAGATAAGAGTATAATTGGATTGTTCATAACACAAGGAGAAATGCCTGAAGAGATGAATAACAAATTTTTCATGATATGATTATTATACATTGCTTGCGTATACCAAAATATCTTATGTACCCCATAAATATGTACACCTATTATGTACCCACAAAAGGTAAAAATAAAAAAAATGTTGAGGTCTTTGTATCATCCACAACATAATGCTCTGTACAGAACAGACGCTTAAATAAGTAGTGATTTGATTTGCTTATTTAATTAATGCCCACAATGTCTAAAAATCCATCCAGGTACAATTCATATCCAGAAACAAAATCTGTTAAATAATTATGGAATTATCCAGGGTTCAAAAAATAATACAAACATATCTTAATTCTTTTCATCAAGTTTATATGAAGTAGAACTCAGGAACCATGGATGCCTCCTTGGCTAGCTTTTTCTTAATACAGTTTAGTCTTTTTAAAATTCACTTTGCTCTTCTTCCATCTCCATCCCTGAAAAGCCTGCAGGACCCCTTAGGGCTGACTATAAACCAGTGGTTTTCAACTTCATTTTTGCTCTGCCCAGGAGAAGAATAAATTAAGTTTAAATTCCTCTTAACAACTGTAATTAAGCACTAAGAAATAAGATTTTGTTGTATAATGTGAAGCTTCAGAAGGGCCACAAAATATTATACAGTATAAATTTTTTCTTCCCTCCAAAACCAACTTTTGCTCTCTTCCAGGCAATAACATCTCCCTTAACCTCTGTCAGATCACCTTTTTCAGAAGTCTAGGGTTACTAGGAATTCCAGATCATCTTACTATAGTGTCAGGGAAAGAGATGATCAGAAGCTGGTCATAAAAGCCCCTGTGAAGACTGTTTTATTTTGATTTCACCCTCACTTACAGGTGTTTAGCACTTAAACATCTCTACTCAAATTAAGAAGAGGGGGAGTGGGGACAGGGCTCTTACTTAGGCAAAAAACCTGGAATTCTAATTTGTGTTCCCCTAGCCCTGTGAGGTCAGAGGCTCCAATAAGTTTCTCAGTCTTTAGGTAGCTTCTTCTGAAGATGATAGCCACTCTTAATGGAAAAGAGGTCCTAAAAGCCAGGCTGTCTTCTTATTTCTCTGCTCTCTCAGACCTTGATCCCATATTTCATCACCGACATTGCTGTTATCCAATGCCTTCAAGCAGTTGTATTTACATATTTTTTCTGGTTCTTAAAGTCATTCTCAGTAAGAGACTTGGTCCAAATTATTTAGCCTTGCATTACTAGAAGCACAAGTCCTTTGTAATATTGGTGTTTATTTGTAAATATATATATGTATTTAAATATATATTTGTAAATATACATATTTAAATATATATATTTAACTTAATTTCTTACTAATTTTTACTAAATTGTTTTAGTAAAAAAAAGCTGCATATACTGCCAAAGTATACGCAAATCAAAATCCACCTTTAAAATACAACTCAGCTAGGTTAGTGATTGGTGAGGGAAACATGGATATTTTTAAATGAGTGTGTGAAATAATCCCTTTTGTTATATAATTTCAAATATGGCTGCCCTCAGTTTCTTCCCTCCCTGTATGCACATGGCTGTGCTTTACATTGAGAGATAAAGTCCAATTACTTTTCTCTTACATCTGGTCTTGTTTTAGTTACTTGCTTAAGAAAAAAAAAAGCGATATAAATACTTGCCTTCTTATTTTTTATTTTTATTTTTTTGAGACAGGGACTCACTCTGTTGCTCTATTGCCTAGGCCAGAGTTCAGTGGTAAGACCACAGCTCACTGCAGCCTGGACCTCCTGGGCTCAGGTGATCCTCCCACCTGAACCTCCCGAGTAGCTGGGACTACAGCCGTGTGCCAACATGCCTGGCTAATTTTTTTATTTTTGCATTTTTTGTAGAGATGGGGTTTCACTGTTATTAAGCTGGTCTTGAACTCCTGGGCTCAAGTGATCTGTCCACCTCAGCCTCCTAAAGTGCTGGGATTGCAGGTGTGAGCCACCATGCCCGGCCATGAATTCTGAATGTAGGTCATAATGTGATTTTTCAGTATAAGTCATAAGAATTCTCGCAGTTTCTGCCTAGGTCTTTTAGAATACTAGCTCTTAAGATGCTCTCTGAAAACCTAGCTGCCATATTGTAAGACATTCAAGCAACACAGAAAGATGACACAGAGGTGATCCACTCAATAATGCCACCTGGGCTCCTAGCTTACAACCAGTGTCAACCGTAGCCATGGGAGTGAGCCATCTTGAATATCTAGTCAAGTATAGCCTTCTATCTGACTGTAACTGTATACAAAATCCTAAGTAAGAAATTGTAGCAAAATTATGACCATTAATAATATATTTTTTATTTTAAACTATTAAATTTTGGAATGGTTAGTTATAGAGCAATTGATAACTTAAATATCCTCAAAAGCTTTACAATCAAGTGAAGAAAGACAAAAAAGTAGATTTTAATAATCAAGCATAGTAAATACAATGATGAAAGCATACACAAGACATTAGAAAACATGATGAGAAGAGACACCTTGAGGGAGGATACCAAGGGTCAAATAAAGAGAAGAGATGGCATTTAAAGTGAAATTCAAATGCAGAATAAGAACTTTTTAGGCAAAAGAAGAACTATTAATCTCACAGTAAAACAGAGTTAAAAGACGTACAATTACCAAACATTTGCCGGATTCCAATTATTAGTTGACAATGGTTAGAAATGAGACTGGATTGGAAGGCAGGGGCCATATCATGCAAAAGTCTGCATGAACCATTTTAAGGACTCCACACTTGATCACGCAGAAGTTAGGAAGCCATTGAAGGCCTTTAATCTGAGACCAATAAGATAAAATTAGTCTTTAAATCAATTAAGTCCTTTGTGGCAAACAAATTGCAAGTTGAAAATAGAAGTAAAAACAAACAAACAAAAAAACAAAAACTGGTGGCAAGGCAAGGAAATAAACCATTTTAATACTTCAAATGACATTAATAAGATCCTGACCTAGGTGTATGTGGAGCAATAGGATAGATTTAGAGATATTCTAGAGATAAAATTAACAGTATTGTTGATCCATTGAATGAAGAGATAAAATGAGGGAGAAGTTAAGTGTGATTTCCATGCTTCATGCTTTGCAATGGGGAGAAAATTGTGTCACAAACTAATACGATTTAGGAAAGATATTCATTTGAAATACTGAGTTTGCGATGGAAGAAATTACATAGTGACATCTAGTAAATCTTGGGTATATAAATATTCATGAAGAAATTAAGGTTGAAAAATTCAATCATTCATTCATTTATTGATGAAACCATTATTAAGTGACTGCTAGGTGCTGGACACTGTTCTAGATGCTTGAATTAAGGTAGAACACCATACAGACAAAGACCCTTCATAGAATACATTTTAATAAGAGAAACAGACATTAAATAAATGACATAAACATAAATAGAGAATAATTGGGGTATTATTTTTGATAGGGTATTTAGGAGAGGTAGGGGATCTAGATGAAAATGGCTTAAAAGCAGGCAGGAAGAAAAGTCACCATGAAAGAGAGTAGAAGAGCAGCAGGCAGGAAATGAAATCCTGGCAGTCCTCTGACAGGTCACAGACATTAGGAAATGAATCAAGGGCAATTTTCATCTACATAATGAAAGATGAAGAGTTGCTCAAGGAGTTTATATTACATGCTTAGTTATTGTTATTTTTATTCTAAACTAACTAGGTCTCTCCATGATAAATTATAGATGAAACCAAAATAAGGAACAGCATTTTTTAACATAATGGAATATCTCTGAAAAGCTGAGGAAGTATAAAATGTATGAGAAAAAGTACAGTTGGCCCTTGGACAACTGAAGTTGGTACTACACAGGTACATTTATACACAGATGTTTTTCAATAAATATATTGGAAACATTTTTGTAAATTTGCAACAATTTAAAAAATTCAGACCAACTGCATAGCCTAGAAAAATTGACAGAGTTAAGAAAAAATGAGCTATGTCATGAGTGCATAAAATATATGTAGATACTAGCCTATTTTATCATTTACTATGATGAAATATACACAAATAAATTATTAAAAAGTTAAAATTTATCAAAACTTGCACAAACGAACAGACTGTAAGTGGTGCCATTTGTAATACCAAGAAATATAAACAATATAAAGATGCAGTATTAAATCATAACTGCATTAATTTAACTGTATTACATATTGTACTACTGTAATAATGTTGTAGCCACCTCCTATTGCTATTACAGTGAGCTCAAGAGTTTCCAGTATCCACTTGACACTAATCTCCAGTGAGCCTTTTGTCTATCTAGTAAATTGCATGTCACAGTGAAAAGTGACTCTTGTGGTTCTCGTGTACTTTTCATAATGTTTAGTAAAACACTCTATACAATACCCTTGAATAACATTATGGCATTTGTATGAAGTGCCACTAGCAATGCTGGAAGTCCTTCCAAGAAGCAAAGAAAATTCATGACATTACAAGAAAACGTTGTACCATAGCTTGAGGTCTGAAGCAGTGGCTGCCCATTATTTTAACATAAATGAATTCAATGTAAGGATGATTATAAAAACAAGAAAAGGAAATGTTTGAAGCCATCATTGCAGCTACGTCAGCATGCACATATTTTGCCAAATAACTTTTGTGTACATATAAGATTTCCTGTAAGAAAGGCATACCTATAGACTCTAATGTGATTCCAGAAAAAGCGAAGTTATTATATAACAGTTTGAAGCAAAAGAAAGGTGAAGGATCTAAAGCTAAACAATATAATGCCAGCAAAAGATGGTTTGATAAGGTTGGAAAGAGGTTTGGCTTGAAAAAAAAATTCAGGATAAGAAGAGAAGCAGCTCCTGTTGACCAAGAAGCAACAGACAACTTTCCAGACACCCTTAAGAAAATTATTGAGAGAAAAGGATATCTTCCTGAGCCAGTTTTTAACACAGACAGAAATGCCCTGCTCTGGGGGAAAAAATGCCACAAAGGACATTTATTAATAAGGAAGGGAAGGGAACACTGGGATTTAAGGCAGGAAAGGATAAGCTAACTCTACCGTTGTGTGCAAATGCAGTCGGGTTTATGATCAGGTCTGCCTTTATCTATAAAGCTGCTAACCACATAGCCTTGAATGGAAAACATAAACACCAGCTGCCAGTCTTTTGGTTGTGCACCAAGAGGACCTGGGCAATGAGAATCCCTTTTATGGACTGGTTCCATCGATGCCTTGCCCCTGAAGACAGGAAGTACCTTGTCAGTAAGGACTCCTTTTTAAAAAGTTCTCTTGATATCGAACAATGTCTCTGGTCACCCAGAACCCCAAAAGTTTAACACTGAAAACATCCAAGTGGTCCACTTGCTCCCAAACATGTCTCTTTTTCAGCCATTAGATTAGGGGATCATAAGGACCTTTAAGTCTCCATTACACATGTACTCTATAGAAAGGATTTTCAACATTATCGAAGAGAACTTCCATAGAGAGAACTTGATCAAAGTTTAGAAGGCTTATGCCATTAAAGATGCCATTGTTGTTATAGAAAAAGCTTTGAAGGCCATCAAGCACACAACAAGAAATTCCTGCTGGAGAAAACTGTGTCCAGATGTTGTTCATGACTTCACAGGATTTACGACAGAGACAATTAAGGAAACCGTGAAAGATACTGTAGATATAGCAAAAGAAAGTAAGGGGTGAAAGGTTTCAAGGTATCAATCTTAAAGAAATTCAAGA
The DNA here is from genome assembly GCF_000001405.40 of Homo sapiens. Classification (NCBI taxonomy): domain Eukaryota; kingdom Metazoa; phylum Chordata; class Mammalia; order Primates; family Hominidae; genus Homo; species Homo sapiens. The sequence continues at coordinate 102,000,866 of NC_000001.11, read as the reverse complement.
GCTAATAGGTACTGCATCAGAGGAATTAAAAGAAGGTGACTTGATGGAGATGAGTACCTCCAAACCAATGCCAAGACAATGAGGAGGAAGACATAGAAGACACAGTGCCAGAAAACAAATTGACATTAGACAATCTAGTGGAAAGATTCCAATTATTCCAGACTACTTTTGACTTCTTTTGTGACATGGACACTTCTATGATATGGGCACTGAAATAAAAGCAAATGATGAAAGAAAGATCAGTACTACATAGTCAACTTATTAAAAATAAACATGTTTAGAGAAAATAGTAAAAAGTCAACAGAAATTACAATGTATTTCTGTAAACTTACACTAATAGTGCCTGCATCTCCTGTCTCCCTTCCCATCTCTTACATCTTTTCTGCCTCTGCCACCCCTGAGACAGCAAGATCAACCCATCCTTTTCTTCCTCTTCCTCAGTCTACTCAACATGATGATGACAAGGATGAGGATGGTTACGACTATTCAATTTCACTTAATCAATAGTAAATATATTCTCTCATTTTCTTAATCACATTTTTTCTCTAGTTTTATCATAAGAATGCAGTATATAACACATATAACACAAAAAAATGCATTAACTATTTATGTTATCATAAGGTTTTGGGTCAAGAGTTAGGCTATTAGTAGTAAATTTGGGGGAGTCAAAAATTATTTTTAAATTTTCAACTATGCAGAGGGTCAACACTGCTAATACCTACATTATTCAAACGTCAACTGTATATCATACAGTCTCTTATCAAAAGAAAATTAAATGCATAAAACATTTAGCTAACACTATAATCAAATATAGAATTAAGAACTTTTGTAACATAAGGCACAAATATTTTAAAAATTTGTATCATTTGTTCTAGGTGTTGTATTGTACCACAACTTCATATAAGCTTAAGAAGGCCAACTTTGACTAGACACATAACTATCAAATACTTTGTTATGCATGCATTCAAAAATGCAAGATTTCTAAATCTGTTATGTATAATTTTGTTATGTTATATATAATTATGTATAATTTTGTTTTCAGTTAACTACAGTTACAAATCTGAAGTGACAGTAAAAACAAAAGCAAAAAGATGCACCATTTATTACTTTTAGTAGAACTCTTTTGACTAGCTAATGCAAGACACAAGATACAAAGAACTACTTGGAATTTCTTTCTTGCAATGAGAAATGCTCCATGGATTGCAATGTATGAATAAGATATGATGTTACCTACAATGTTGTTAAATTGACTGTATGGAAATATATTATAAGAGGGTTTTATTTCTAAGCAAATGACTAACTAAAACCAATAGTTATCTTTAAGAGAAGCTATGCAACTGTATTGTTTTATTTTAGAAGAGAGATAGAGGAAGTAGTAGAGTATTGGTGAATTTATACTGTTTAGATTACAGCTTGTGTTTTTCAGTGGCATGTTTAATACAGCTTTGATTCATTACTGAACTTGATTATTCTCTACAAATGACTAAGCTTCTCTTATGGAAAATATGTTGTAAGTTTGCTAAGATCATCTGTTTTCATTTGTAACATAATTACCATATATTACTTATTTTGGATCTCTAAATATTATCATCTTCTTCCATCACATTTTTTCTGACAAGATTTCATAGAATTAGAATTTGCCTTCTTATTAACTTCTTGTTACAAATGACATTCCAGTGCCATAAAAAAGGAGAGTTAAAGAGAAAAAAAACTGTGCCCACATAAAAGTTTTGGTACAGTCACTAATATTGTAAACCATGTATGAGATCAGAATAATTCTGTTTCCAGAAAAAAAACATTATTTTCATTATAAGAATATCTGTTTATCTTGAAGTGATAAAATTGATATTATTATATTTTCATATTACTGTGTGTGTCTGTTAAATACAGCTTCCTCTACTCAAACAAGTATAATGTACTACTGTCTGCTAATTGAGAGGTAGAGATGTAAAAAAGATGGTAGAAGACTTCTTGGGAAGAGGGAAAAGCATGTGTAAATACAAATAACAAAAAATGTATTTAGAGAATGGATAATAAAAATGTATTATTATAATCATTCAGCCAACACACCTCTGCAAATTCATTTTCAATCTGCACAGTCATGTGAAATATTTAAAAATGGATGCAGAATTTTCAACAATTTCTATGTGTGATTTTTTAAAAATTATGCTGATTTTATCCTACATAGATAGATAAGTATGTAGATGTTGATAGGTAGAAAAGTTTAGGTTAAGAAGCAAATGTAAAAAGAAAAAAACTCTGACAAATATGTTCTAGGAAGTTACCCCAGAGAGTGGTACAACTCTATAGTTTTATCTATTACCTCAAAATAATGGAAACTTCTAAATATGGTTATGGCTGTTAAGATTATTAAATTAACACCATTATAAGTAATTTCACTTTCTTTCTATGATTTTGCAATCTCTATTTTGTATGATCCACTCCTTCAAAAAGAATTATCAGATGTAGTGAACTTCATGCCATTTATGTTTATAGAAAATAAAGACCTCAAGTAACTATACACACATTTATAATATTAGGATTAAAACAGATGCAATATGATGTAAATTCTTGGGGACAATAACTTTCAAATGCATTTGAGTCCTAATTGAGATTTCTTATATTAAAAAATAGGATATATTTTCAGTGAAAGGTTGATGGAGATTTCATACTCGGTATGTGTCTGATATCTCAATTCATTGTCTTTTAAATGTCGAAGTAAAAGGAAGCAATGTCCACAGACCCAGTCTATCTATATATTTTAACCCTTAGGAATTATAATTTCTAGAAAAATCAATAGAAGATGGAAATATTACAGGCATAATTGTACGAGAGGGATGTTTCAGGGTGGCTACCAACTTCTTCCTTTTTATATTATTGAGAACACTTTTTCCATATTCAAAGAAATGAAATTGCTCCAGTAAGGTTGAATGATGCAGGGTAAGAGAGTTTGCCATTTACCCTTTCTTTGCTCTTGTGAGGCAGCTATTCTGCCTTTTCTTGAGCCCTAGATTACAGAAGTGTTTGAAAGCTTAGAAATAAACACTCTTCCCATCCCGCTATCCATCTATCAGTGAATTCTTCTTCAAGTAAAAACACAAGTCAGACTGATAGAAAAACTATATTTCCAGGTATGGCTGTGCATATGGGGGGGATATTTCAGCTGGGGGGATCACTAATGGAATATACCATTTATAACTAAAAGAAGAATATAAGCCTCTTTATTTATTTATGCATAGTGTTTTTAGATGACCAAATCCCTAGATAGATAGATACACATTAATACCTAACCAAAACATATAACTTTAATAAGCTATTCATAAATGACTGCACATATCTATAAATTACCACATTCATCTATCAATAACAGCTGAAAATCGTGTGCCTTGGATGACACACACTGATAGTCTGCACTGCAAACTTTGTTTAAAGCACTAAATACAATATCAAGTCCTCTGTCAATGACAGCAGAAGGTTCTAGTGCACTATTTGTTTCATAATCCTGTATTTAGCTGACTCTTTACTTCTCTGCAGCTCAAGTTGCCGGCAAATGCTGAACTGGAGCACGAGAGTCAATCCTTGTTTGGTTAACAAATTCCCCGCAAAATATCCCCCCGAAACCCCCAGGAGCTGTAGTGATGTCATATCCGTTGTCCAGGTCTCCACACCTCTCTCAGCAGTTAATCCCTTTATCTATTCCTTGGGTCAAAACTTTTGAGGTGGGCTAGCTATATAGCAGCGGGGGAGAGGGTAAACTGGGGCGCGCGGGTTGGAGGCGCTTCAGCACCGCGGCCAGCGCCCACTGCAGCCCAACCCACTCTCTAGAGCTCCCGGACTCCTAGCTCTGAGAATGCCTGCGGAATGATCGCCCCCCAGGGCGGCTGCCGCCGCTGCCGCTGCTGCTGTTATTGCTACTGCTGCTGCCGCCGCCTCTGCTTCCACTCGGCTCTGACTGGCAGGCAGAAAGTGCAACTGACGAGGGAAAGGTCTCTGCAGTGAGTGGAGAGCCTACATAAAAGAGAGTAAAGAGGGGCAAAAACCCAGATCAGAATGCAGGCGACGTCCAACCTTCTCAACCTCCTGCTGCTGTCTTTGTTTGCCGGATTAGATCCTTCCAAGGTATGAACAATATTTTGAGTCTTGTTTGAAATAAATGTGCAATATGTAACAAACCTAACAGAAATGCAAATAAATATGTCAAAAACGGGACGAGAGACAGCTCTTTCAGCTACCTTATGGTGTCTGGCGTATCCCCACTGCTTGGAACATAACAAGGTGAACTACCGGAGGAATAGCTCCTCAAGGTAGAGTCCTACTGCGCGGGGGGAGGGACTAGGAGAAAATATAATGTGCATGGGCAGCGGGCAATGCGGCTCTCCGGGGAATTTAGCTTATTCCGTGTCCAACTGCTTAATGCTCTCTTTTGAAGTCGGACGGGTAATGCAAAGGAGTTTGCAGTAGAAACAATGCAATTTATAAACATGTATTAGGACATGGTGAACCGTTTCTTTGTTGAAAGCAGGGAAGCGTTTTCCAGCTGATCCTGGTCAATAATACTCCCATCGCAGACGTGCTGCGGTTTGTGTCCAAAACATTTGGGATGCTGCTTGTAAAACACATGGCAGAGCAGCAGAGCTATACTCTCTGCCATGGCTGAGAGGCGTTGGTGAAAGGAGCTTGTGTTTGTTTCTTCCTTTTCATTAAGAAAATTAGGGGGCACTGAGGAAGTTCTGATTATCAGTGTTAAGAAACAGGAAGTGAGAACCTTAACAAACTAAGGAGGGCAATAGGAAGGATGAGTTAACTCATAGACGTTGAACTCTGAAAATTATCTAGTACTGGCAATGAAAGTGAACGCTAAACTCCTTTGATAAAAAGACAGGAAAATATGGACAAATATTTTCAACGATGTCTGAGAAAAGTCTTGATGACAAAGTGAGATAATTTGAAAGCTTCAGCCTTCTAAGAAAATCATAATGACAGGGAATAAGAGATAAGCCACCTGGTGAAAAAGAGTAAGAGATACAATTTATTATTTTACTTATTTAACTGGCCAACAGCAATTTGACAATATAGGAAGAATGATTCCATGCTATAAAACTAATACAAGCTATATTTTGGAATATTATAAAGTTATTTTTAAAGCTTTACATCATGTGTGTAGTGTAGACAAATTAAGTTTCCTTTCATTACTGAATAGAACTAAGATGTAACCAAGCATAATTTAATACTGTGGTTGTGATATTTGTAGGCCTAATATAGTATACAGTTAAAACTTAGAATCATGTCGTATATATTTGTAATTATTTCTGTACTCTTTCATATTTAGAAGGACCTGATGAGAATAAATTCATTTTATTTTAAAGCTTTGATTGTACTGGTATTATTGATGTAAACGCTTCACTCTGTGTGAATGTCATCTTAATAATCTTAAAGGCATATTTTATATACTAAGGTGTAGCTTTAAAGCATTTTACACTTAGGAAAAAGTGTTGATTTTGTTTTTATATTTAATTTTTTTTCTTCTTGACTCTGCACCCTGTAGTGACACATTCTATCCACTGCCACTCTTTTTATATGATATTGTTTAAAACTTTTGAATACATTCCATATGATTTGGGAATATTCTTGGTAAAACATTTTCTAAAAGCAAAGTTAATCACTAAGTTACTGCAGAAAAAGTCACTTGACTTAAAGTGAGTTTTATTTGTTTTTCTTTAAAATAAATTCAGAAATGTAGAGCTTCATTAACAATTTTGTGTGTGATTTGATTTGTCTGTTATCTTTGATGCATAAATATCTTCACTGCTTGCACCCCTTTCTTTCCAAAATTAAATATGTAGATAATTTTCTGTTAAATATGAAGACATTTTTAAAATAAGCAATGCATCTTTGGTCAATATAATCTTTTCTAGTTTTGGTGAGTTTATTTGTGTGTATTCAATGCTACAAAACTTTTTACTTTCTTCAGAATGAGCTGTGGATATTTGCTACAAATGAGCTGAAAAATCCAGGGAAGGCATACATTAACTTTTCAAACTGTCCTTCTCAGCTTCCACATACTGCAATACAGTGTGCAAAGAACAAAAGATGATTTTTTTAAAAGACGATATTTGTTCTATATCATAGACATTACAGAGAATATTAAAACTTTCAAAACAAGTAATTTTAATGTTGTAAAAAGTTTTAGGACTTTTAGACAAAACATTGCTTTAAAAAATGAAGAGAAGCTACTTTTGTATTAATATTATATATTTATATTTATATAATATATATTTATATTGCTCCCCCCCAAAAAATTACAGATGGCACCATTGTGTCCTCAAAAGAATTGTCAATTAGGTTATAAACTAAGAATTTTGTAAAATTTTATTTTTCATTCTACTAGTTACTTAAGGGCTTAGATTTTAAAAGTCAGGATTCATAAAGCAAATTATATATGGTGAAATTAAAATTAAAAATCCAATAATATAGTACTACAAAAAATACAGTTTTTGGACAAATAAGAAATAATTTGTGATAACACTTAAATGAACAGAAATGCTAACCAACTGCCTTTTTGCATACTAATACATTTGGAGTGATATGGGTCATCATCAAATTTTCAAATAATTTTAAGTATTATTCTATATTGTTATACTTTGTTTATTTTATATATGTATATAATATATATACCTCACATGGATAAACAGAAACTGGCAAAATGGGAAAGCTCTTAAAATTGAATAGATTTTTTTTAGGTATAGGATTTTACATATATCAAATACTGGAAATCTACATCTTAGAAAGTACTTCTTATATATTAGTTTACCTGAAGACAACTGGGTTTTCTAACAACAGTGCCAATTCTATTTCATGGAAGACTATATAATGTTTACATTTATAATGCGGTGTGTGTCTTTTTTTTTTTTTTCTGTCGCTGAAGCTTACAGGTCTTATATGGCATTTTATAAAGTGCTTAAGTATCGCCATCTTATGGTAAGATAAGTTACTTGAAAGTCAGTATTGTTTTCAGGTTTTTAAAAATGGCCAAGATTCATTGTTCATAGACTGAGCTTAGTTTCAGCATGTACTTAGTTTCTTTTCTCTCATTTACTGTATCAAAAAATTGGCAAGATTGGTATTCTTTTCCAACAAAGGAAGGCAATCCACACTAATTAATTATTTGTATTTTTATAGGGACAGATGATCAATTTTTCTTTTAGGAAATTTGTTTGAAATACTTTCTATTAATTAAAGTATAATTAGTAAGTTTCCAGTTCTTTTTAGAAAAACTCAGATGTATATCACTGCCTATTTTAAGAGATGTCAATTAATTTCATTTGTAATGGAGTGTTTGAATTATAGACGACATGCCAAATCATCATTCTGTAAGCAAAATTTCAAACACCGAAAGCCTGTAGGAATTCAATTATTGCTCAATTTTATAGGGAAAGAACTATTTCTGTGTAGGGAATTTCTGAGGGCGGCTGCTAGATGGCATCTCTGTGCTTTTAAACTGAAGGCATTGATTTCAGTAATGACCTTGATGGTAGAAGAGTGGACTTCTTTCTGTTGCAGGAAGATTTTTAGCGGACCATTATTTGAACATTGTAACAAAACAGTAATCCCTGTGAATCAGAACCATGAATTTCTCTGCTCTGAACTATAAAGATAGGAGGATATAAATATGACTGAGCAGGTTTCAAACACAACATTGACACTGGAGCCAGCTACATATTTGGGGAACAGTTAAAAAGAGGTGACATGGCCATATCTGCACACCATTGTGACTGCTAAACTTTAGATGAGTCATACTTGTCTCATAAATATATCAGAAAATGCCCTATCAGGGGAACCGTGCTGAGTTTGAGGAAACATTTACTGTCTTCTTATGTAGAAATATGTTAAACTTATCTTCATGATACTTTCTCACACTACAGACATAAAATATAACAATGATTCAGCAATAATCTCCATCACCAAACTGTGGTTTCTGTCCAAGGCAACCCAGGCAATTAGATCTCTTGCCCTAAATAACATAATTGCTTTAAAGCCCTATAGGCATGATAAGCAGTAGGAATATTTTAATAATTATATTGTTGAATGTTTCATAATGTAATATACCATAACAATTTTGATATTGCTAAAGAAAATAATCAGACTTAAACTGCCTAAGTGTAGCTTTCATACATAAATCTAATTAAAGTTCTTGTTCTTACTATTTTTAAATGAAACTGAGAAAAAGCCAAAAAAAAAAAAGCAAGAGAAATAAACTGAGATTACTACTTGCTTTAAAATTCGCCTTAAAAATCTGTCTTTTCCTGTTTCTCTCGTGCGCTAGAGACATCCTCTTCATAACAGGATCAACTCAAATTAGAACAGAAAATATGGATTGATGACATTTGGCAAGGACCTGTAATTATGCACCAGTAAACCCTGATGTGGCAAAAACTGAAGAGTTCAAGGCAGCCTGTCTATGTTTTGATGGAGCAAATAGCTTCCTGGTCTCATCTTTTCTCATCTTCCTTAACCTAATTAAACTTTTATTGTGGAAGAAGTAAATATTCTTTCTCACTCTTTCTCTTGGCAACTAGAAACAGTTAAATGGTATCACCTTTCTTCATTTTTCTTTTAAAATTCTTACTGCTTATAGCTTTGCAACTATTCTCTTTACAAAGTGGCAATTGTGATGATTGATGCTCTGTTGGGAGGGAAAGCAGCACAAGTGGGAGAAACAGAGGATTCAAGGTCCTTCATTTCTAGACCCTACCTCTTCTATTGATGATATACATAGATGTGACTTTGGGGAAGCTGTGATTTTCATGCCCATACCTATAGAATGAGGAGCCTAGATGTTCTGAAAACTTTGTTAAACTCTAGAATGAATTTTTAATAATATTTGACCATTTATCAAAAATTAACCAATTCTTTTGTAGGGTCTAGTTAGTAATATCATAAACTTTGTGAGACCTGAGGACAAGCTTCCTTGGATAGTATCATGCAGTTTTCATCTTCTCGGTTTTGCCTTTAAAGCTTTCAATTTTCTACTTTCCACCTCACCACTCTGCTTCCCTCCCTGTATTCATATACACAATCCATATACTCAGGCTTCAATCCATTCACCTATCAAACATTGCTCCCCTGAAGAGATCATTCATTAATCTAGTATGTCTGAAAACCAACACGTTTCCTACTTCAGCCATAAGTATTTTATTTAACTGAAAGTCATCTAGGGAAATGTAAAGTAAAAACTTGTTTTCCATATGAAAAGAATTACTGGATGTATTAAAGAGATGTGAAAGGTTATTTGGGAAGGCTACATATAAAACGTAGCACATATTCTGTTACTGACTCTTCTAGGCAGACACATCCTTGAGGATTTTAGACTGGCAATTATTTTTAAAGCTTCAATTTTTGTACTAAGAAAATGTATAAAGAAAAAAGCGAGACTGGATAAACCTTCAGCTAAGAAACTAAGACTTTGCATCTGATTTACTTAAGTATTAATTAAACATCAATTTACTTAAAAGCACAAAACACAACTTAATTGGCAGTAGTGAAACTGGGGAAAGATACAAAACCAGACTGTTGTCTTGGTAGGTTATGTGAAATTAATTACAGTGAATCACTGGGATTATCTGTACATTTCCATATATCTGAGTGATATTACTTCCTGATAGCATTCAAGTATTAGGACAACATCAAAGCTCTGTAAACACTCATTACCCTGGTTTAAATCTACAATATGATGTTGAAATGGTGGTCCTTGAACATTTTAGTTCACCTAACACTGGTCATTAATCTACTCAGTCTATGCCCACTTACCAATCAAAAACCACGAAGTATATATATATATATATATATATATTTTTTTTTTTTTTTTTTTTTTTTTTTTACTTTTTGACAGAGTCTCGCTCTGTCGCCCAGGCTGGAGTGCAGTGGCACAATCTCGGCTCACTGCAAGCTCTGCCTCCTGGGTTCACGCCATTCTCCTGCCTCAGCCTCCTGAGCATCTTGGGACCACAGGCGCCTGCTACCATGCCTGGCTAATTTTTTGTATTTTTAGTAGAGACGGGGTCTCACTGTGTTAGCCAGGATGGTCTCGATCTCCTGACCTCGTGATCTGCCGCCTCAGCCTCCCAAAGTGCTGGGATTACAGGCGTGAGCCACCGCGCCCGGCCACCATGAACTATATTTTTAACGAAACTAATGCTATTATGACAATATTTTAAATACACTTTTAAATTTTGTACTTCCAAATCAGTGTAAAAACAGAAGCTGGACATGAAATAAGAAGTGGCTTTCAGCTCTAACAGTACAACTTTTCCGTAGTGAGTTAACATGTCTGAAGCTCAGTTTTCATAACAATGAAATAATATAACAGCAATGGAGCTTATACAATTATTTATGATATTAATACATGTGAAAACATATTTTAAACCATAAAATTTAGTGCAAATATTCCACTTACATCAATCAACCTATAACCAAATCTAAAGTCTATTGCGGACCATATATTAAGGACTCCTAATAATAAAAAAGGCTTATCACGTTCCTTCACTCTTGCTGTTTCCTCTTCTCAGCTTTGTGAAAAATGAATATTGTATAAAGTTATCAGCATAGCTTCTCAAAACCAGCCCATCATTTTGGTCAAAGCTCCAATTTAAACTTGTCACCTTACAAGTTTACATCATAATTATATCCAAAAAGGCATATTTTACAAGTTTCTTAGGAAAAAATGTAAAACACGAAGAGTGGCTTCATAATATCAAAGCCCAACTGCATCAAGAAAAGAACTTTTAAACTAATCATGGAGAAGAGATCACATAGGGGAAAGATATATTTAAACAAAGAATCTACCAACAGATAAAACTGTTTTTTATGGCCAGTGTGCAAAGTATGGACTTCTTATGTCTTCACAAACTATGATAATGAGAAAGTAGTTTACATTCTTTTGAAGATTCAAAAATAATATTAAGGAGGGAAGGTCAGAAAAGGGATTTTCTCAAGTTACTCAATCAAGGCAGAGGGTCATGGAGAAAAGACCGCATTTAGGAATATAATTTCTCTACTGTTTCCCTTGGATTGCTCTCTGTCCCTCTGCTTATATTGATCTTCTTGCTCTTCTCAGTAGAGACTTCTAAAGAGTTTTTCAAAAGACCTTGACCCTCAATTAGCTATTGTAATATTTCTGCTGATGTTACTCATCCAGTAGCAAATCCACCTCAGTAGCTCATGAGTTAATTTTTTTTCTTTTCTATACTCAACATGCAAATAATATGAAGGGTAAAAAAAAATACAAAAGGAAATATGTAATATCTAGAATAGACCCCACTCACGAACAACTATTATTTTAAAAATGTTTAAAAATACTTACACACCATACCATAATGAGGTTTAATTTATCTCTGTTACTTTCTATAAGAGGTTGCAGATTATTTGGGGGAATCTAAAATACAGAAATAGCATAAGACCATCTCTATCTACAGTGCCAGGTAATTTCAATGGCAACATTCAAAAATGTTGCTGAAATAATAAAAAATTGATTTTTCCAAGAACATTGATTCTTTTTTGCTTTAAAAACAAGGTGTTGTAAAGCATGTATCACAGAGCTATGCCTTCTGTTATTTTCATACCAAGCCTTCAGAAGTATAAAAATAAGTTTAGAGAGAAGATTGCAGATGCTGTTGTATTCATGGTTTTGCCTCTCCCTGGAAAGCTTTTTTCCCTCTTCTCCATATGTCAAAATTTTACCTATATTTTAGGATGCAACTCAAGTACAACTTTTTCCACAAATTCTTCCCTGACATTCCTTGCACCCCAAGAGTGGATAATCCTGATAAACTAAGAACCCCTAGAATAAAATAATGATGTTTTATTTATATTTGTATCTTTAGCTACAGGTACTGTGTCTGATGCAGAATAGTTGTTCATGAACAAAAGTTGAATTGGATTTCCTCCCTACCCCAAATTTGCAAAACAATTCCTAATCACTCTTTTCTTTTTGAAATAGTATTTAGTGTACACATGCTTTTCTTACTTTATTAGTAGTTATTTTATTGTATCTCTCTTACTAAATTGTAATGTATTCATTTATTGTATTTTATCCCTTCTAATAAATTATAAGGGCAGGTTCAGTGCTTTGGGCACTATCCTATTCTTTCCTATCTAGCAGCTAGCACAGTGTCTTATTGATATAAGATATTTAATAAGTATTTTTTGCATGAAAAAATGAATATATGAAGAATACATAAGTCAAGGAACACCTAATAAACTTGAAATCCTGGGTTAAATGATTCATGAATATAATCTATGTTTTTGATCCATTTTTCCATCAGACAAGATACTGAGGCAGTGAAGTAAGACTGAGTTTAAGAACCTTTAAAGACTTAGAACTCTTATGCCAGGTTACTTATCTTGACTTACGCCAAAAATCAGCTTTCCTTAAATTTCTTGTTAATTTCCTGCACACCCCACTATCCTCAGTGCTATTTTTGACTTGTAGTAGCTCTCTAGGTTGCTGCAACTTCAATACTCCTGTGAATTATCTGTGTTTCATGATGCTTGGTGGCAAAGTTAGTATATCCTCTTAGTGTCCATTTCATTTGCATGGACTTATAAGTCCAAACATTTCATTAATGTGTACATGTTGTTTTGACTACTTTTATTGTATGTAATGTCTTAGCTTTATTTGATAAATTCATATATTACCTATATTTTTCCAACTCTTTTTAAAAGCTGACCTTTTTTTAAGTATCTAAAGGTTCTGTTTAAATTATTATCTTAGTATATACACTTATAATGGTACTGTGCCATATAAAGAAAAGCCATATTGCCTCCATTTTTCTACTACATTATTCCAAGAACATAGCACCACCATCAAGAATAATTTTTAATAATTAAAAACAAATATAAGTATAGTGGAGTCAGATTCATTGGATTTTAACTTCTAAATAGTATCAGAAATTAAATATTTTGTATGATTAACTTTGTAGGTTAAAATGCTCTGGAAAAAATGTCAGTAATAAAGTTGCTTAAATATTACAAATAAACAGACATCTATATAACCCCAAAGGGAGGACATAAATTGAATAGACAAGCCTATTAATTTTTCCAACTAAGTTGAAGATGATTAAGAAGAATTGCCCCTTGATGATTTAAATAATATTACTAGAGGGACCAATTCCAGATGGCAAGATTTCTTCAAATAGAGAATCAGTACTGGAAATGTTGATTAACTAGCACCAAAATGTCACTGGTAAAATATGACTTACAAAAGATGCCATCTCTTCTGGGAGTGATCTACATTTACGGCTGCATCGGGAATTATTTATCTGGAATCAGGACCAACAGTCATTATTTTTACATGTACGTAAGTTTTGTGTCATAATGAAATCTTCATACATATCACTGTAGTAAAAACAAACTGAAATATTATTTGGCTCAAGACTCTCTAAAGACCTCTTATTATACTTATTATTTATAGATGCTACAGATATATTCTACTCTTTATAAGTTGGGTACTAGAAACAGAGAATAAAATGACTTTCATTTGATTGATCTTAAAGTACTCAAGGACTATGCAGAAGGAAATGTAAAAAGAGTAATGCGAAGCTTACGCTGAAGAGATAGCTATTGTAATATAATGACCCCAAACTGAGCAGAAGACATTTGAGGGTAATGAATCAAGTGAATGGAATTAATTCATTGTTTATTCATTGCAACCCTCATTGATGCCAAAGCTTCATGACCTCTTTGTCGGTCAAATCAAGGTAAGACTCCATATCTAAATATTTGTTCTAAAACAAAAATAAAATAAGACTTTGATAAAATTACAAATGAGTTTATATGTAGCATGGAGGTGAGCACATTCAAATACAGTTAAAAGAAAAACAGTGAGGAAAGCTATTTGTTTACGTATCAGGGATGGTTTAAGTTGTTACAGATGATGATTCATTTGTCAATATGTATTTAAATATTTCAGTTAACTTTATTGCTTCCTACATCCCCCAACCCCTACACAGAGAATGATTATATTAATTAATATGAGACCTAGTTACCCTTCTATTACTGCTGGTATTCAACTTTGGAACAAGATCTTCTTAGTTCAACTAATCTTAATACTTCTTAGAAAGAATAAATAGAAGAAAGGAAAAGGCAAGAAAACATCATTAAGCTCCTTTTTCTTTCCCTACTTACGTCTTAACTTTGCAGAGAAAGAAGAAACAAGCTTGACTGCATTTTGTCTATTTGTACATAATGATATTGGAAAAGATCTTATTTCCCTCTCAAGCGACTCAACCTAAATAATATTAATTTAGCATACAAAATGGAGATTAAGGAAAAGAGAAATCATACCAAATCAGAGAAAATCATATACTAAATAGGATATTGAAAAGTTGATAGTATTGTGGACAGAGTACCAAATTAGGAGTTAGAAAAGCAGGGAACTTACAACTGCTCTGTAATTATCTAGTTGTATGGCCCTGGGCAAGTCAGTAAAGTTTTGTGATTTCCATTTCCTCATGTACAAGATGAGTATGTTGAACCACCAAATGCTCTTATACTTTTGGTAGGTCATCCTGAAATGGGGCACATCAATCTCTCAAAAATGTAGTTCAGGCCGGGCTCAGTGGCTCACTCCTGTAATCCCAGCACTTTGGGAGGCCGAGGCGGGCGGATCACGAGGTCAGGGATCGAGACCATCCTGGCTAACACTGTGAAACCCCGTCTCTACTAAAAATACAAAAAATTAGCCGGGCGTGGTGGCGGGCGCCTGTAGTCCCAGCTACTCGGGAGGCTGAGGCAGGAGAATGGCGTGAACCCGGGAGGCGGAGCTTGCAGTGAGCCGAGATCGCGCCACTGCACTCCAGCCTGGGGGACAGAGCGAGACTCTGTGTCAAAAAAAAAAAAAAAAAATGTAGTTCATCATTTTTTCATTCTTTTTACTTCTGCTCATAGCCTCTCAAATTGGTTAAGTTAAAGGTAAAAATGTATATTGCTTTCATTTTGCTGAAAATTAGAATTAAAGTCTTGGAGAAAAATCACTGCAATTCATTGTATACATATAGTGACACACACACAAAATTAAGTACAAAAATATATAAGCTTATTTCACATCCCAAGCACTATGGCTTATTTAAGATTTATTCTGTATCTTCCCTTCCATTAGTTTTTGCAAATTTAATTGAAAGATAAATGAGTAAATTACCTTTTGTTTCTACTGTCTTTATCTTATGAAAGTTAAAGCAAAAGAGATGGCTAAAATTATAAGAAAATAGAGAGAACCTCTATTTCAAATCTATAACAGAGCTGATGGATGGTTATCTAGCTTCTGTCTATATGTTTCCGATAGTGGGGAGTAGAACAGTATTCAAGAAATTGGGTTTACTTTTAATCAGAAATAATTATGAGAAAGTTTCTTTTTATATTGAGTTACACCTTCTAATGATATTTACTGCTGCTGTGTTATGGTTTTTTGGCAAAATATAATAAAAATTGTATATTGACTGTGGTAGACAAAATAATATCCTTCCAAAGATGTCTGCTTTCTAATTCGCAAAACCTGTGCATATGTTAACTTACATGACCAAACGGAATTTGTAGATGTGACTAAAGTAAGGATCTTGAGATAAGAATATGATCCTGGATGTTCTGGGTAGGCTCAGTATAATCAAAATGGTCCTTTTAAGAGGAAGGCTGGAGGCCCAGAATCAGAAAAAGAAGCAAGGATGACAAAAGCAGAGATTGGGGAGATGCACTTTTAAAATGGGGAAAGGATGCACAAGCCAACATATGCAGGCTGCCTCTAGAAGCTGGAAAGCCAAAAGAAATGGATGCTTCCAGAGACCCTTTAGAAAGGAATGCAGCCCTGCTGACAGTTTGATTTTAAGCTCCTAAGACTCTTCAGGTTTTTGTCTGCCAGAACTGTAATAAATTTGTGTTGTTCTAAACCATTAGGTTTGTGGTAATTTGTTACAGCAACAATAGAAACTAATACATTGGCTTATATATATTAGTAATAATTGGTAATTACCTTATTAATGTGTACAAACAAACATAATCAGCCAAATAATGCTAAAGTCTATGCTTGTGAATATGAAAATTAGAAAGACCATAGACATAAATTACAGTGTGGTCTAAATATTATAAAAGAAGATAGATAATATAGAAATGAAAAATTGCAGCCGGCCACAGTGGCTCAAGCCTGTAATCCCAGCACTTTGGGAGGCCTAGGTGGGTGGATCACCTGAGGTCAGGAGTTTGAGACCAGCCTAGCCAACATGGTGAAACCCCGTCTCTACTAAAAATACAAAAAAATTAGCTGGGCATGGCGGCAGACGCCTGTAGTTCCAGCTACTTGGGATGCTGAGGCAGGAGAATTGCTAGAACCCTGGGATGCGGAGGTGCAGTGAGCCAAGATGGCGCCTCTGCACTCTAGTCTGGGCGACAGAGCACTGCTTATTGAAGAAGGCTTTCAAAGGATTACACACAGCCCTAACTGAATTACATGATAAGTTTAGGTTTTCCCTGGTTGACATTTATAATATAAAAAATAAATCATTTTGTTGTTAGGTAAAAATCTGCCCATAAAATCTCACCTGCAATTTAAGAACTTTTTTTTTTTTTTTTTTTTTGAGACAGAGTCTTGCGTTTGTCCTTTTGTTGCCCAGGCTAGAGTGCAGTGGTGTCATCTTGGCTCACTGCAACCTCTGCCTCCCAGGCTCAGACGATTCTGGGCCTCAGCCTCCCAAGTAGCTGGCATTACAAGTGTGTGGCACCACGCTCAGCTAATTTTTGTAGAGCTGCGGTTTTGCCATGTTGCCCAGGCTGGCCTCAACTCCTGACCTCAAGTGATCTGCCCACTTTGGCCTCCCATGGTGCTGGGATTACAGGTGTGAGCCGCAGGCTACCCGTGATTCAATACAATGATGACTATGATTCAATTTTTTCCTTCTCCATCGCTGTCATCAGTCAAAACGTGAGCTACCAAAGGCAATGGCAAGTCTTCCAATGAAAGCAATTTTGTTTAGAAAACCAATGCATATTTCATATAGAACAGACAAATAAATGATGATTGCTTAGTGACACAGGGTTTCCTCTTTCATGTGCAATTGAGAAAAAAATGTGTTGTATAGTTTGCTTATTTAATTGCAAATAATTGAGAATTGCTTTTAGGTTTAAGAAAATGTATAAAGAAAATTATTAAAGAAGAATATAATTAGTTCAGATATTTAAGATTCTCAGAGTTCTAAATTATCACATGGGATAGGCTGGACTATTGGCATTTATGTGGTAACTACTTTTTCAATAAATACTTACAGCTGGCACTAGTTTAGGAGTTGGACATAAAACATGTTTATAAAGATACAGTTTCTACCCTTCTAAAGTGCTTAACATTTTTTACTGGAGGACCCAAAGATATTTATTAATAATTATAGTACTGGATGACATGTCCCATGGCAGAAACCTGTATAAGACACAAGGAGAGAATGTGGCAGGGTTGAGAGTGGGGGACCTATAGCAGAATGGAGGATAAGAGAGAGTTCCCTGGGGACAGGAATCCTTAAAGAAAGGTTAACTAGACAATGAAGAATGAAAAGATATTCCAGTAAATGGCAACAGCATGTATGAAGTCAAAGAGATGTACAAGCCTGTGAAGCACTGAAGAGCTACTGAAGAGCTTTTTTACATGACTTGAGTTTTTCTTATCCTTAATTATGTGAGATGCAAAGAGGCTGATGAAGATGTAAAAGAAAGAGAGCCACTGGTGGTATTAAAATGATAAAAATATAATTATCCAAATATTTCAGGACTTAACCTGTACCAGATTAAAAATATTTCTGGAATTTAGTTATCTTAACTCCAAACAAGGTGAAAGATCGAATTTAAAAAACATACAATTTAGTTGTACTATTCGAGGTTCTCCTGAGAAACAACCAATATATAAATTGTGTGTGTGTGTGTGTGTAAAAACAAAGAAAGACAGAGACAGAGAGTGAGACTCATTATAAGAAATTGGCTCACATGATTTTGTAGGCGGATAAGTCCCAGATCTTCATTTAGCAAGCTGGACACCAAGGAGAGGGTATAGTTCTGGTCAGGTATTCTGGAGGATGAAGAACCAGGAAGAGCCAATGTTCCAGCTCAAGTATGAATGCAGGAAAAAAGGGATAGCCAAGCTCAAAAGCAGTCAGGAAGGTGCAGTTCTCTTCTGCTCAGGCTTATTGTTCTATGCAGGCCTGCACCAGATTGGAAGAGGCCCACACACATTAGGGAAGTTACTTTACTCAGCCTACCAATTCAAATTTTAATCTCCTTTGGAAGCAACTTCACGTATGCATGCAAAATATTCGTTGTTCAAATATCTGGGAACTCCATAGCCTGGTCAAGTTAACACATAAAATTAACCATCACAGTAGTAATACATTTTAAAAAAATCTAAGTGTCTCTATATTCTCTATCTTTATATTCCTATCTCTGTCTGTGTTTACCTACCTAGCTAGCTATGGATGATCTATTTATTTTAATCATCTAAACAAAAATTACTAAGAAGAATCCCAATTCATATCTTACCTCAAGGTCTCCATGATTTCATTGTGATTGTCTCTGCTTGTTGAAATTATGCTGATTGGACCCTATGATAATCATAAGTGGAGATTCTTTGCACTGTAGATTGCATCACCATCGCCACACATGCATATTAATCAATTATTTAAATTTGTATAAATTCTTTTATAATAAGTCTGTTGTTGGGGAGGTTTCCCCCAAATAAAGAATCTTCTACTATAGATGACTCTGGCTTGATTAAACTGGCCTTCAATTTAGCATAACCTAAAACATTTTAGTCATTTTGATTTCAGATTCTAATGACCAGTGTTTTTTCAATGTTTATTCATCTTGGGCTAAAAGTAATTCTTTTATTCATATCTTTCTTATTTTTCCATTTCTTTCCTTCCTTCTTCCCTTTCCTGCTTCCTTCCTTTATTCCTTCTTCATATTCTTTCTTTCATTATTTTACTCATTCTATAAATAAAATAAAACTCCATCCTAATGCTAAAATTGAGGCAAAAGTTCAAATCATGTGTAATGGGTTGGTATGTTGACATTAGCTAACAGGGAAATAATTCCCAAAATTTTCCCAACTGGAAGGGAATATGTTTCTTAAGATGGGAAATTTTGGTAGATGAGAGAGAAGATCAGGAGTTTGATTTTGAACATGTAAGTAAGTTTGAAATGTTTATGAGACATCCAAGTGGAATTGTAGAGTAGGCAGCTGTTATTTGAAGTTCAGGGGAGATGTCTGAACTGCATATATCATTTTGAGAATCACTAGTGTGCAGACGGTATTTAAGCCCATGAAACTGGAGAATTCTGAGGAGTTTTGCTGTAAAAGAAATGAGAAATAAAGTATACCTAGAGGAGAATATGGCATCAGACATGTTTGTTTTTGTTAATGTCTAAAATGGAAGAAATAACACTCTACTATGATGCTGATTGGAATGATACATGAGAGATTTGTTTTAAAATGGGAATGCAGAGACTTCCTTTAGAACAGGTGGGAAGACAAAGTATATGATACAAATGCTGTTGGAAGTTCAGCTAAGAGAGTGTGTGAGTGCATGGAAGCTTCCTTGTAGTTGCTTTCATTTTCTCGGTGAAATAGGAAGCATGGTCAGCAGCTGAGAGGGAGGATGACTTATGTGTAGGGAGAAGAAAAGAATAATGTCCTGAAAACTGCAATTAGCAGCAAGGAGGACAGCTTTTCACACTGCCAGGCTCACAGTGACAGAGAAGTGTGGCAAAGGGCTTGAGAATTCTTTCGGGGCAGCTGAGTGTTCAGAGAAGAATCAGATTTCAGTAAAAGTTAAAAGGTGAAAAACATTTTCAGAGAAATGAGCAGACATGAGGAAATGTCACTAATGATTGATTGTGAGTTCCTCACTTGTTGCAGTCTGGACTAAATCGATAATGAATCTTTCATATACATTGAAAGACAAGCCTGAGTTTTCCCCAGGAACTAGTTATTTTTTTTCACTGACCCTATGAAAAGGTTTAGTTAGCCCAGTTCTCTTCTGATGTGGAAAATGCACAAAGCCATAAACTAGTTGGAGGGCATTCGACACAAATTATAATAGAAAGTGGGAGGATGTATCACTCCCTTCCCTCTCACTCTGGGCCATATTTACCCTAGGTGGTTGTGTTAGTCCATTCTCACACTGTGATGAAGAAAGACCCAAGACTGAATAATTTATAAAGGAAATAGGTTGAATTGACTCACAGTTCCGCATTGCTGGGGAGGCCTCAGAAAACTTACAATCATGGCAGAAGGCAAAGGAGAGGTGGGCACCTTTTTCACAGGGTGGCAGGACAGAATGACTGCAAGCAGGAGAAATGCCAGATGCTTATAAAACCATCAAATCTCATGAGAACTCACTCACTATCATGAAAACACCATGGAGGACACCACCCCCATGATCCAGTCACCTCCACTTTGTCCCACCCTTGACACATGGAGATTATGGGGATTACAATTTGAGGTGAGATTTTAGTGCAGACAGAGCCAAACCATATCATTCCACCCCGGCCCCTCCCAAATCTCATGTCTTTTCATATTTCAAAACCAATCATGCCTTCCCGACAGTCCCCCAAAGTCTTAACTCATTCAGGCATTAACTCAAAAGTCCACAGTCCAACGTCTCATCTGATACAAGGCAAGTCCCTTCTGCCTATGAGAATAAAAATCAAAAGCAAGTTAGTTACTAGATACAATGAGAGTACAGGCATTGGATAAATTCTCCCATTCCAAATGGGAAAAATTGGCCCAAACAATGGGCCTACAGGCCCTACCCAACTCTGAAATCCAAAGGGCAGTCATTAAACCTTAAGCTTCCAAAATAATCTCCTTTGACTCCCTGTCTCACATCCAGGTCATGCTGATGCAAAAGATGGGCTCCCATGGCCTTGGGAAGCTCCACCCCTGTGGCTTTGCAGGGTACAGCCTCACTCCCAGCTGCTTTCATGGGCTGGCATTGAGTGCCTGCAGCTTTTCCAGGTGCACAGTACAAGCCGTTGGGGGATCTACCATTCTGGGGGCTGGAGGATGGTGGCCCTCTTCTCACAGCTCCACAAGGTAGTGCCCCAGTAGAGACTCTGTGTCGGGCTGCAACCCCACATTTCCCTTCTGTACCGCCCTAGCAGAGGTTTTCCATGAGGGTTCCACTCCTGCAGCAAACTTCTGCCTGGACATCCAGGCATTTCCATACATTCTCTGAAATCATTCCACATTGCTGGGTAAGCCTCAGGAAACTTACAGTCATGGTGGAAGGCAAAGAAGAAGCAGGCACCTTTTTCACAAGGCAGCAGGATGAAGTTAGTGAAAGCAGGGGAAATACCAGATGCTTATAAAACCATCAGATCTCATGAGAACTCATCCACTATCACGAGAACAGCATGGGAGAAACCGCCCCCATGATCCAATTACCTCCACCTTGTCCCACCCTTGAAACGTGGGGATTATAGGAATTACAATTCGAGGTGAGATTTAGGTGGGGACACAGAGCCAAACCATATCGGTGGTCATATTTTACTCAAGGGAAAACTCATCCATTGAGTGTTAGAGGTGGATATGATATAACTATGAAAGAAGGGCAGAGTAGACAGCAGGTGGGACTGTAAGTTTTAACAATATTTAGTCAAAACTCCACACTGAAAATTCCCTTGGAACATCTTTAAAGCAATGTAAAAATTAACCCATGTCTAAGAGAATGTATTATTTCTGCATGCCCCCCCACAAGACATACAGAAGAATAGGGTTCACTTTTGTTCCTTCCAAAAATTCTAAGACCAAAAATAAAATTTAATTTCAATATACTACGTTAATGGAAATAAACTTGTTATTTGTTATATTTAGCAATTTATTTCTGCTCTAGCATATGCCTAAGGAGACAGGGATCACATATGGCTCTTAATCTATTATACAATGTCTAATTATCCAACAAACATAGAGGAAGAAAAATGTTAACTTTAGTATTATGTGACTAAAGCAAGAAAAAAAAAGACCTATGTGACATTCTTCCCATTTCCCTTGCTATGGGATGATATAATAGAATGAAAGGAGCGCATAAAGTACTGCAATGTTGTTGAGCTACAAATCTGAAAATGAAAAAATTAAAGCGCCTGTCTGTGTGAGCATATATATGTTTGGTGTAAAAGAGCAAGAGTTTGATCTGGTTACTACTAAAGAGTGAAACCTCAATGATCAAAACTAATTACATTAATTCTAGAAAAAGTAAGTGAATGGCATAAATTACATAATTTTTTAAATGCACTTTATTATTTCTAAATTACATAATAACCTAAGATAATTCTACAAATTTTATTTGAGCTGTTGTCTTAAACAGATTCTTAAAACTAATTGAAAAACTGAATGAGAAGACTTTCAAATTATCCTATCAATTAAATAAACATAACAATTTAAAATTATTTTTTCATATAATTTAAAGTCCTACTGAAAATTTCATTTACTCTAAGAACGCTCATACCTTTTCTTTTCCGTATCTTATCTTTAATCTTTGTGGGAATTATTATATGGTTCAAATGATGCAAAATCATAATAAATAACTTCTTGTTTGAAATTGCAATAAACAACTTGTCTCACTTGAAGCATGTTACTTCTCTCCAAATCACACATTTCTCCATAATACAATTGGGAAAATAATACCTCCCTCAAGGGACTACATAAACATGAAATCACATAACATTTTGAACAGAATCCACTGCCTGGCATTTAGTAAATGCTAGATAAACTAACTTATTTTTCAGTAGATTAGTCTTCAAAAAATATTGCTCATGCTATATGTTCTACCTTGTAACTAATGTACTAATCTATAACCTGATGCTACTTATTCAGTTCATCTTACTCAACTTTACATGATTCCAGTATATGTTATGAGAAAGAAACAAAGTATAAACATATTATTTTTCATAAACTCTCTACCTGTTCCTAATCCCTCTTCATAAAGTTTAATGTTTTCAGGTTAATTTATGAAGCAATGGTGTTAAAGTGTTTATGTTCATGGGACAAAAAGAGAAAAAAGAAACCACAAAGACCCTTCTAAACATAAAAGGCTATATTTGATGGAATAAATCTTGGCCACAATTATTAAAAAAAAATAGCAACCATTGATTTGCCATGAGAGTTGACTAAAGAGAGGTGAAAGGACGCCATTTTAAATATTCTGTCTTTACTCACTTACAGATCATCTCTGTTCTTTTCAACATCACTTCTGGTATTAAAAATTCTTTTGCATAAAGTAGGATAGAATTGAACTAACTAGTGATCCTTAGTGTCCCTCCCAGTTCTGAAATGTATTTTAATCCAACAAATCTTTGCCGAGCACATGTTCAGTTCAGGTCTCCCAGATGCTGTGATTCTAGTTTGTTCCAATTCTCTACGCTCTTTTTGTACTCATGAGCCATTTGGTATTTATTCATAATCACAGTTAGTACTGAAGGAAAAGAGAAATACAAACAGATCTAAATTTGACTTTTTGTTCTAACTCTTAAACAAGGTAGAATATCTCCAAAAACTCAAAAATTAATTTAAAATGACCATTTTAATAATCATGTGAAAAGTTTCTCCAACTGCTATGGGGAAAATGTTTTGAATGAGAAAGTGTTGATTGTAATCTCCAAATTCATTTTATTTAATTACAAATGCTTTTATACTCTTCCATTTTAATAAAAGATGTTAATTCTACCTTTGAAAAATTGGTAAGACTCATAGTTTGTATAACTACTACTGAGATTTCCAGAGGGTAAAATTTCTAGTTTACTATCACCTAATTTTTATTGAAAGCATTGTTTAGGGCAAATTATTCAGAAAAGGTTTTAAATATTGAAGTTGTCCATGAGCTAGGGGGATATACACTCCCATAACTCACCTTCCCACTTTGTATCACTTCTAGTAAAATATACCTTACTATCAAACCAAGTACATCTATTAATGTATGTGTTAAGAATTTTGAGATTCTTAGAGTAATTTAGATTCTTAGAAGGGAAGAAAAGAAAAGTTATCTTTCTTGGAGTCCAGCATATGGTAAAGACTTCAAATTACTTTTCTAATTTACAGAATATACCATAAGTGGTTAAAAACTCATGATATGGAGATGAACTTTTTTGAGCATCTACTTATTAGCAGTAGAATCTTGAGAAATTATAAACTTCTACAAGCCTCAGTTTACTTATATACAAATTTAGGGAAAAGATGAAGCCGGACTTATAAGATTATTGTGGGAAGTACATGACATAATAGTTTCTGTCGGTATCTAAAACACAGCAAGACAGAAACAACCAAAAACACTAATACCAATTATAGCCTGATAGCTAATTCTATTATTGTATTAGTATTTGTATCCGTGTGTAATTGTCTCTTTTTAGGGTACCAATTATGTAAGTCCTCTCCATTTGATGAAAAAGGCATGGATGCAGCTAAAAATCAGCAATAGTCTGTCCAGTCTCGGGCAGCTGTCCAGGGACCAGATGGTCACTACAGTCTACCTGGATACAATGCAGTTCAGCTACTGATAATACCAGGTCAGAGTTCCTTACATGGGATTTAAACACAAAATGGAGTAATTTAAAATTATTTAATCAGACAGAGCGAAGCTCAGTCTCAAAAAAAATTATTTAATCATATATTTGGTAAATTTACTCTAAAATAATAACAAAAATACCCACACATCACCAATTGCAAATTGACTGTATCGTTTTGGAGTGTTTTGGAGACTTTCATGTCTTAATCTTAGGTTCTTTTGTATTCTGTCCTTATTAATTATTCAAAGAGCTTAAAATCTCCTATTAGAATTTAATAATGTCCACTTAAGTATAGCTAGGCTTTTGTTAACTTGCAGAAAATCCTTAAAAGTTGGCTGTTTTTTTCTTCCATCGTTTCTTTCTTACTTTGCTTTTCTTTCGTGCTCTTTCTTTGATTTTTGCATATTCTTTGTTTCCCTGATCTTTTCAACTCTCTGTGTGTGGGTATTACGCTGCGTTGCTCCCTGTGTCTCCTGAATATTCTTTCCTCAAGATAGTAGCCTCTGTGCAATGGGCTAACATTCTGCTACCTTCCCCTTACTTCTGCTATCTCTTTTGATAACTCTGAGCTGTGTGGAAATAGCAATCTCTGCCGAAATCATTGTACTCCTTGTTGTGTTGCAAGCATTAATAATAATACCTTTCTGTGACAGTGGTCACTTGTAGTTTCAAATGACATTTTGCTGGCTGCAATAAGACTATTTTTATCCTCAAGAAAACATTGATATTTTGGCAGAAAAGACTGGCTGTAAGTCAGCTGCCAAAAAACCCTGTTCCTTTAAAAGAATACAGCCAACTATTTCTTATGTTTTGAAGATTTCTCTACCCGCCGCAAAAAAAGGATATATTTTAAAAACTGAAAACCTTTGTTTTAATGTTTTACTATTCATTATCTAATGTCCACAGGATGTTGTTACGTTTCCATAGAAGTAAAAGCATCAGCATACAGATAATAAACTTAATTTCATTTCTAAAACTAAATGCATGTGTGTGATTTAGCCAGATATTTACTTTCTATCCATGAGACTATGTAGGTGTGTTACTGTGTCACTTTAAGTGTTAATATAAATGTTTTCTGACAATATCCGCACCACTGTACCCAAACAGCAATTGTTTACCTGGGAGAAATCTAGATATAGAGTTAATTTCAGATAATTGAAATAATTTGCTTCCTGTGGAGCAGGGATAATTATATGATTTACTTTCATCTGTAAAGCACATGCCTCCACAGACCATGAACTGATGAGTTTATATTGGCTTCTCATTGTTGAATTAAAGTCGTAATCAACTCAGAAGACAAATGCCATGGTAAAGGTGACTGAGAAACAGTTTTTCTGACATCTCTTTTATGAAAGATGGAATAAAGAACCCTGAAGAACAACAACAAAAAAAATGTTTCACATTCCCAATTTAACCTGCACCTTTTTCTAGAGAACATGGCTCAGAAATGTATCAGGAACAATCCCTACTACATGGGGCTTATACTGTAGTTGTGAACCCAGGACCAAACAAAAAAGTAGATAAGCAAATGTCAAAACTATCTAGTATTTGCAAGCTGTCTGCCACAAGCCCGGTTCAGAGCACAGGCATCAGTTGGTTGTAGGGTTATGTAGCATTAGTAGACCCTGTCAGAACTAGGTTAAAGCAGTGCTTTTTTCAAGAAACCCAGCAGAAGCACAACAATACATTGAGAGGACACTATGGGTCCTTATAACCTGGATAAGAGGAAGTTTATAGCATCTTCACAGTGACATAAAATTATGAAAGAAGAGCCACCGTTACAATGTCTAAAACTAAAAAGTGAGGGTAAAACTGGTCCAATTAAGGTATCAGGATCTTTAAGGCACTCCTTTAGTAACTATGAAATTATTGATCTGAGGAATGATATAAAGATATTTACAGCCTAGTTAGCCTACTAAAAATAATTAGCAATCAGCAGGTTGATGTCAAACAATATACTTTGTGTGGAAATACTCAAAACCCTAGAAAATCCATTTACCCTCTCATGCGCTAATTTCTTCCACAGACACGAATGTGTAAAGTGCTAGTCATTGGCAAAAAACAAAGCATTAAACATAGACCCAATAGTGGGTGAAAATAGTTGTTAAATTTGTCATTTTTTTTTTTTAGCATCCACCGTGATCCAGCCACTAAATTTTTTGTTAGTGTTATCTACGAGTTAGGGAAATGAGAAAAGCTAACTACTGGAGAGTCAATAACAACCTTGTATATATGCATTGTAAATGGGGTCTTGAAGCTAATCAAATTAAAAAAAAAAGGCAAATGAACCAAAGTCCTCAGACTGTAATAATCTTTTTTAAGGGTGGATGGTCTAAGCTATATTATTTCAAAATCCTTGGGAAAACAGTGAAAGAAAGCAAGTTTATTTTTCCTCTGCTCTTTTTATCAAAACTGCCAATAATCAGAAATTGGCTTTAGAAAAAAATGAAAAATTCCACATAAAATCCTTCAGTCTGTGACCTCATCTCTCTTTCTTGTCCTTCTTGATACTTTCTACTATAGGCCTATTAAAACTACCATTCCCACATCTGTGCCTTTGGAGTCTTCATTCCTTTGCTTTACAATATTTATTTTGCCTGGAAGACCAATTGTTCTACTCTTTAACTCTCAAAGCCTACTGATTTTTCATGGTTTCACTCAACTATTTCTTCTTCCCCCAGGCAGAATTGGCTTTTCTTTCCATGGCCTCTATGAAGGTTAATTTTAAGTACCACTTTGACCGGACAGACAGATACTTAGATAGCTGGCAAAACATTATTTCTAGGTATGTTTGTGAATATTTTTCCAGAAAAGTTTAATATTTAAATCAGTAAACTCAGTAGACAAAACCTACCCTGGACAACGCGAGTGAGCCTCGTCCAATCCCTTGAGGCCCCAGAAGAATAAAAAAAGAGGAAGGGTGCATTTACTCTCTCTTCAGTTGGAACATCTATGCTCTCCTGCCTCAGACATTGGACATGGAATCTCCTGGTTCTCAGGCCTTTGGCCTCCATGGTTACACCAGCACCCCACCTGGTTCGCAGGCCATCAGTCTCAGACTAAATTACAGCACTGGGTTTCCTATTTCTCCACTGCAGACGGCATGCCTTGGGGATTTGGGCTTCTATAATTATATGAGCCAGTTCCCATAAACAATCACTTCTCATATATCTATATATACCTATTGGTTCTGTTTTTCTGAAGACCCTAATACAGCCCCATAGCACTATATTTTTATTTTTTCTAAAACATTTAAACAGCCTATTTTTTTAGAGTCATTTATGTAGGTATCCAATTCTCTCATGAACGCCTCAAGGCCAGAAATTCAATCCATTTTATTTTTGCCATTGCCGCAGAGGAGGCACACTGTAGCTAGTCAATAAGTGGTTGTGGAAGGAATTGAGACTGATAGATCTATAAACCCACTTTCTGTGGTACATGCAGTCTATATTCAATATTCCGTGCAGCTTACTCCACAAGTGAGAGGAGGGTCTAAGCTTTTGAGCATAGGGATGGTTTTAGAAAATAATTACATTTAAAAAGCAAAATGGAGACCTGTTGAGAATAAATAAAGTCTTGTTTCTTATAGTTGTGAATCTTTTATATCAAGACTTCACCTGAAAAACTGCTAGATTGTGCTTCAAAGCACTGTAAGTTCTAGCCCTGGGTCTATAATGTTATCTAAGATATTTATCATCATTGAGTTCTCTGGACTCAATGTTCTTATCCGAAAATTGAAGGAGTTAGATATAATCATTTTTAAAATGTTTTCCAAACCAACATCCTAAAGTCTACTCTCGAGAATTAGCCAATGAAAGATAACAGACATTTCAGCCAGACAAGATAATCAACTGGAAAGTACTATTGATCAAGTAGTAGAAAGGGATGCATTTTTAATATTATGATCAATGCACTAATTTTCAGTTTTTGCCACTGAAATGTATGAAAAATAGCAGAACTGACAGCATTATGATAAAGACATTCAGTATTCACAAAGGGATAATTTCTACTATAAAGTGAGATTTTTAATATCCTTCTGGAAATATCACAAGACTATTCCCTAATGGGACAGAAACATTCAATCTGCTCAAGGAGCAGTAGGTGCCACATTATCATTACTTTCACAAAGGAAGATGAAAGCAGTAAAATCAAACATCAAAGACTTGAAAGAAATTGAACATAAACTTTAAAAAATATTAGTTATGCCACAGATATATATGTACAAAGGTGAAAAGATCTGATTTAAAAAGAAATAAATTTTGAACTAAAAGTTTACTTTAAAAAATTATCTTGAAGTCAAGTTTATACTTATATATTATAGTTATATATAATACATAAGTATGTGTATATACACTATATATAAAATACATAAAAACAAACACATATGCATCCTAAAATCCTTAAAGCAAAACTAAATTGTATTATCCACCTACTGGGACATAAACTACAAACAAAAAAAGATTCCTTTAGTTCTCATAGGAATAGTCCCCATACTCCTAACAACGTGATTAATAATAAGTGAACAAAGAGAAATTAAGAAATGATCTGACCAAATTTCTATCATCTCTTGTTCTTGAACTATAATATAATTTTAGACATCTTCAGGTCAGTAAAGTCTTGTCTAATTGGGCCTCAAAATATCTTTAATATTGAAAACAATACCATATACCCAATTAAATATAACTTATTCATTTAAGCTCACCATGTTTTCTGAACTTTATTCTGCAATTTTTCCATCTTTGGAAACCATCAAAAATGTAGCCTTGCCATCAAAGATCTGTCAACAGGTGGGGCTGTTCTCAGATGTGCAACAAGAACATGAGTTTACCAGAAGACTTGAAAATGCAGACTTCTTCATTCTGAAGTCTTCATAAAATTTTCTATGTAAATTGCAATTTCACATTTGGCAGAAACCAGCTGAAAAGAAAAGCGTAGGGCCACCCCAAATTCCAATGCAAAAACTATTCCAAGTATCTTCCACCTTCCACATTCAAGCAATCACCAATCCCCGTGTCTGCACCAATAATCAAATTTAAATCAGCCCTTCTACTCCAATTCTTTCATTACTGCTCTGGCTTAGATCCTCATCTCTCACCAGACCAGAACAATTGATGCCCACTTCTCTCTTATACTGTATTTTTAATAATACCTGGCCATCAGCACTGCTGTGAGCGTAATCTTTCCAACAATGGTTAAAAATGTAATTATTTCAGAATCCCACTCAAAAGTCATCAAAACAGTTTCATTATCTCAGAACAAAACCTAAACTCCTTTATATGGCATATAGAGGCTTTCAAAAGCTGGCTGTACATTGCTCATCTGCCATCACTCAGCTACGTGCATTTTATACACAGCAGTAAGGTGCTTTAACATTCAAAACATGATTTTTGTCATGCCGCAATCTATTATGTACGCGCTATCCCTCAGGATGAGAATATCCTCCTCTCCATGTTATTCTGCCTTGCAAACTCCCACCCATGCTTCAACTCAAATTGTTCCTCATGTATGAAGTGTACTCCAGCAGGAAATCGGGTCAGGGGAGGGTGGTCCTTTTCTCCTTTTGTATTTGGGGAAATCATTACAAAAGCTAATTATATTATGATTTTCCTAACTATGTTTGTGTTTGTCTCCCCAGTAGAAGGTGAGGATCTAAAAGACAAGAATCAGAGCCCTGTCTTCATTATCTGTATCCCCAGAGCCTGGCAGAATGCCTGACAGGAAGTAGGTACCAGTAAATATTTGTAAAAGGAGTACGAAAGAAAAGCAGGAAAGAAGGGGGAAAAGATTAGAGAAAGGAGGGGTAGATGAAAGGGAGAAAGAAAAGAATTAATTCATTAGGAGAGAGTAGTGTTTAGACAAATTACTTTGTCTTCATCTTCTCCTCACTTTTCCCCATTCTCTACTTGAAATATTTTTATAGCTATATCTGAAGTAAATAAATGCCAAGAATAATCTTAAAGTGAAAAGAAAAAGGCTGGCACAGTGGCTCATGCCTGTAATCCCAGCACTTTGGGAGGCCAAGGCGGGTGGATCACCTGAGGTCAGGAGTTCAAGACTAGCCTGGCCAACATGGTGAAACCCCAACTCTACTAAAAATACAAAAAATTAGCGGGGTGTGGTAGTGCACACCTGTAGTCCCAGTTACTAGGGAGGCTGAGGCAAGAGAATTGCTTGAGCCCAGAAGGTGGAGGTTGCAGTGAGCTGAGATCAAGCCACTGCACTCCAGCCTGGGCAACACAGCAAGATTCCATCTCAAAAAAAAAAAAAATCTGTCATTACAAAATGGCAACCTGTAGCCTGAAGGGCATGAGGGGACCTAGGGGAAACTCCTGTGTCAGTTAATCACTCCAGACCTCCCCCACTGACTTGCTGGTTGGTATAAGATGCTCCCCTTTTTAATCAAGTCTCCACTTAGAAATACCTCTTCCTTTACCCTAGTTCCAGTACCTTCTCATAGTGCCGACTCACTTATCCTCACCACCATTCTGATTGACATCCTTCTCCTGACATAGACACGGACACATCTTAGTGATGGTATGGACGGGGGAAAAAAAGCCCAAAGAGGGAAAAAAAATCAGTAAGAAGGCAAATCTAGAAAAGATTTGTGCTCATGGACAATGTTAAGAATTGCTGGACATAGAAATAGAAAATCTCACCTAATGTGTTGGAGTTGGTTACATATTATTAAAGTCTGAATAACACAGGAAGAAAATTGATTATTTAAATAGAGGAAAAAGTCTATGTACTTTGACACCATCATTCTTTAAATCTTTATTGAGTACCTAATGCTTTGGCTCTTTACGATAATAAAAAGACAAGTGTCCAGGCATGGTGGCTTACACCTGTAATTCCAGCACTCTTGGGAGGCTGAGGTGGGCAGATCACTTGAGTCCACGAGTTCAAGACCAGCCTGAGCAACATGGCAAAACCTTGCCTCTACTAAAAATACAAAAATACCAAAAAAAAAAAAAAATAGCCAGGCGTGGTGTTGCATGCCTGTAGCCCCAGCTACTCAGGGGCTAAGGCAGGAGGATCGCTTGAGCCTGGAGGGCGTCAAGGCTGCAGTGAGCTCTGATTGTGCCATTGCATTCCAGCCTGGGTGACAGAGGGAGACCTTGTCTCAAAAATAAAAGTAAAAATACATGTAAGACATGGTTTAGTTAGTTTGTAATCCAGCTAAGTAAAATAATAAGACAAATAGCCCTGCCATGCAAAGGCTGTTCACTCTGGGTCACTAATGTCATCACCAGGAAAGCAACTGAAAATCTCACAGAATCTGTAAACATTGAAGTAGAGATAGGAGAAGGAAGAAAAAGGCAGGAAAGGCTCTATGGAGCTATCTCAAGCAGGAATGTTCCCATTTTTAATCTCTGCACTTCCTGATTTCACTTGACTTCCTTGTTATCTTTCCTAAAATTCTATGAATCAAAAAATTCACAATAAAATCATCATTCTTTAAAAACTCCAGTGATTTCTGAGAATGTTAAGGAGCTGTTGCTTTTTGTTCACATATTAGTGGAATTTGTTAAATCGTATAACATTCTTCCTCTCAGACTGAAGTCATTGAGAGACAGGGACAATTTTATATAGTGTGAGTAGCTAATTTGAAGGTAATGAGAAAACACAGTAGTGGAATAGAAGTTGGTTTTCTTTTGCCTTTTCCATATAAGTGGCCTTGAAAAGGCAAGGGTATAATGGAATACTTGTGGGATACATGAGGAAGGGGTACTAATGCCTTTTTTTTTTTTTTTTTTCAGAACAAAAAGAGAGGAAGTTCTTTTTCATTTAAGTTTCCTTTACTAGATGATACCCCATTCCTAAGATCCAGAATTGAAAATAGTGCTACACATCATCTACACTATGGACTAAACATGATTCTGTGGGTTAATTGGAAAACCTAAGCTCACTTTGGAAAATGATTTCTGTGAAAGCTATCTTCTCTGACTTGGAAATCTCTTGCAACATAATTCTTTATGGTGTGAAGTTTTCTTCTGGATGAGGAGAGCAATTGTAAAAAGGATGTGATGGGACCATTCAAACTAGTGCCAAATGCATCATGTAGGTAGAGAAGCTATGAACTCATAGGATTAGGAGATTTTTAAAATATGTGGACTCACACAAAGTTATGTGCTGTTCATTCTAGTACTCAGGCTTAGGGTGACTAGGCAGAATGGTAAGCCACTCGTTTTGTTGCCTCAGCTGCCTTGTTAAAACCAATGCATCATGGAACTACTGTTAGGTCAAGAAAATAAACCAACTGGCTAGGTGGCTTCCTGAAACTTGAAACTTCCAAAAGGAGAAGTTAAGGGTTTTCTTCGTATGTTTGATCCAAAAATAACAGGCAACCAACCTTTCAGGACAAGAGTCGGTGGTAAAAGGGAAAATAATGAGAGTGGGTGCTGGGGGCGGAAGAATACTCTGAAGAATGCCTGCACATACCACCTCCCCCAACTCCTCTAAAGGAAAAAAAGTTAGTTTGTACCATTCCTGTTTCTCAGGATACGTCAGGGTAAAGAAACACAGTCCAGGGTCGGGAGGTGGTCTGCACCTCCATGGTATGACTGTATAACACAATTCCCAAACCAATTTCTTTTTCCGCTGATAAGTTTTCCCACTTTCAGACCATGTCCTTAAAATGATTGGTGTTCATTCCTTTCGTCTTCCAGTTATTCCTTTTTTTTTTTTTTTTTTTTTTTTCACTGACTAGGATGGAAGTAAAAAGGCAGGACCTCGAGCAGTCACCTTGGATCCCAAAATGAAAGTGTTATGTAAGTGGTTAGCAGAACCCTTTGTGACCAGCCCTGAATAATTGATCTTTTGACTGTTACATAAGGGAAAAATCAACTTCTGCCTTTCTTAAGCCATTGTTTTTTATGTTACTTTTTTTCTTTTTTTGCTACAGCAGCTTAGACTGCATTCCAACACAGTAAAGTTGAAGGCAAATCACTTATAGCCACAGGGGTCATGGTATTTGTTTTTTTTGTTTTTTGGCCAAAATGAAATGAGAAATTGTCAGAGTTTTGAATAGGGAAGACATTTAAGGGTAGACATGAGTACGCAGTTGGACTACAACTCAGAAATATAAACAAGAAGCCCAAATTACTGAGTGATTTAAATATAGATATAGTATATTGAAATCCTGGTGTGTATTAGATCCTAAAAGAGATAGGTAGTATAAAAGATAAAAAGGTGAAGGTCAATATACAGCCTGGAGGAAGTTTAATATAAATAGCAACTGGTGGAGGTTAATGAGCAAACATGACAAAAGAAACAATCAGAGAAGTAGAGAAATAAAATGCTAATGAAACAACCACATTTGCCCTAATTTCTATAGTAGATATTCAGAATATTTCCCTTCAGGAAGCTTACATTGTACTTATTTTTTTATATCTGAATTTTATCCAACTCTCAGATATAAGAAATATATCAAACCCAAACTGCTAACAATAAAAAAGGAAAAGTATTTTAAATACACATAGACCCTTCAAAATTCAGAAAGACCATATCAGTGTATTAACTAGAAAAAGGAGAACGCCAAGCCAGGATCTCAGTAAAGACCTCCAGATGCTTTGGTAAGTGTCAAATAGAATGTTAGGGCTTACTTTCTCTTCCCTAGCTCTAACTGATTGGTTTTCTGTCATCTCGTACATTTTCCTAACACTAGATCAGCACATAACATGAAAACATTTTCCCACAAGCTAAGCCATTTACATTTTAGTAAGTGGATACTTATCAATCAGTGCGCTGGAAGGGAACAAATGGCAAATTCGAACAAAGAACTTTAATAAAGGATTCATTTACCAAAGTATGAGAAGGACCCGACACAGTGGCTCACGCCTGTAATCCCAGCCCTTTGGGAGGCCAAGGCAAGTGGCTCTCTTGAGTGCAGGAATTTGAGACCAGCCTGAGCAACACAGTAAGACCTTATCTGTAGCGCACACACACACACACACACACACACACACACACAAATTAGCCAGGTGTGGTGCCAGCTACTCAGGAGGCTGAGACACAAGGATACCTTGAGCCTGGGAGACCAAAGCTGCAGTGAGCTATGATTGCACCACTTCACTTCAGCAGGGCAAGACCCTGGCTCAAAAATGAATAAAGTAATAAATAAAAATAAAAAAGAAAAATAAAAAACATATGAGAAGGTTAAAGAAAATCAACAAGAAATGTTACAGTACCATGGGGCTAATAGCAGAAGAGAACAACTGCTATCCCAAGCCTAATGAAAGAAGAGGAGTTAGCTATCTAAACTGGAGAGGCATACACACCTTGGAAAGGCTCATGCGAAATAAACTAGGACTTTGGGCAAAGGCCGAGAATGAAGGGAATAAATATATGGACTTCATTTTCCTCCTGTCTTTGATGTTCTACCAGTATCTCCCATTTACCAAATATAACCAAAAGGCAATGATCAGCCCCTTTCCCTGCAAACACATTGCAGGAGGTGAAGGGTGAAGAATGGATCTGGAGGTGCAAATTGAAAATATATGACTCTTCAGTACATAAAATATATGCCTCTTCAGAATATATTCAGAAAATATATAACCTCTTCATTTGGTTATAGTAGAATGGGTACTATAAATAAATGTGTTGTGTTATTTGAACTAATGACAAAGTAGAGTAAATTGAACCTATGAACAATATCTTAGCTTTTCCCTGGAATGAGATATTTATGGTTCTTGGTTTGATACCCAGTGACTCTAAACTCTACATAAAGACATAGGACATCTGGGCTTGTACGTTTCTGCCAGATGGTGTGGGATGTTCAAAGATCTGGATAGCTAATTTTACACAATAACTGCTTCTAATAGGAGTTTTATATTGAAACCTCTGACATTCTTTTACCAGCAGTTGTACTGCCAAGTCTGGCTACAATAAATGTGCATGACTTAATAGCTAATTCTCCAGAAATATCACATTTTTTTCCTTCCTTCGAAATCTTTGTCCTATTCTGCAGCCCGCATTTTAATTCTACAACATTTTATTCTTCTTTTGATTATTTTCTGCCCTGAAGGTTAGTTCCCGTTAGCCTGGGGGTTTATATACTATTGTGCATTTATTCAGGTTATTTGAAGTTAATTTTTGCCAAAAATAACAAAAGCACTGTTACTGAGGAAATTCCAGTGGCTCCTTCTGTATTTTCCTGGGGTCCTTTAGTACCCTTTAAACAATGTTGCTCTCTCCTAAAAGAGTTGCTGTCGGTGCTATTTTCTTTGCTTTTAAACTTCATCACAGTTTAAAGAGGTTTGAATGATCTTCCCTCTTTAAGCCAGAACATAGACTTGAGTTTCTTATACTGACTAATTTGCTGTCACAGAAATGCTTCTTTATACTTTACCCACATGACAGGACATACCCTCAAATAAATGAGAGAGGTTATGGCAAAATGCCAGTTCCCTTGAAGCACTGCCTTTCATCTAACCCAGTTTCTACTTTCTTCCCTTGGTTTGTACCAACTTGTTTAAAATAAAAATGGATTTCTCCTGTATACTTTCATGCTGATATTCTTGTATGGAGTTTTACTTTCTTTAACTCAGAATTAAATGAACACTTGTTGAAAGAATCTACTTGCAAGGAGTGAAGAACAAAATTCCCAGGTCCCTTTCTTCATGATTGTGAGGTGAAAATAGCAATAACTTTGATAGTTTAAACAATAATTTCTTTTTTTTCCCTAAAAATAAAGTTTAGAAAGTAAAAACTGCTTGATAATGGTGAAGATCCATTTAAAGTCCTACATAGCTAATCAACAGAAACACGAGGCTTTATTGCTGAATATTTTAAAACACACTGCACTTTCAATTGAATTTTTTACTCTCAGTCTGTCTCTTATAAATTTGCAAAAACATATTCTATTCTCAATTAATGTATTTTCCACTGAAAATTCTTCAAAATCCCATTATCCAAAAGATAAACTGCAAACCCTTTGTTGTGGTATATAAAACCCGTATGCTGTTTTCTAATCTCATTTCTTGCCTTTTTCATTCTACCATACACTCCAGCAATATTCAACGTTTCCCAACATGCTTTTCCTCCCACCCCCATGTTTTAGTACTTGCTGTTCTCTTGGCCATGCTTCCCTTAAACTTTCTTCCACATACATATACAACCACCATCACCACCTACAATCTGCTTCAAGACTAATTTAGGAATCTCTTCTATAAAGCTTTGCTCAGTGTTAACTGAACTGAGAAGAAAATCAATGATCAGACATATCAATGAAAGTGAAAGCTGTGCAATATAAGCATAAAGTTTATTTTCACTACTATTTGTTGAATATCCATATGCCCCAGGCACTGCACTAGTTACTGTGATATTAACATGAATAAGGAGAGTCCATGCCTTCTAGCACATGGTTATCTTTGGTGGAAAAGACTCATTTGTAAATCAGTATTTACAATACATTTAATAACTGTTATGTTGACAGTGTAAAAGAAAAAAAAACAAAACCTAAAATGAAACTCTTCTTTTCCTCACTTTGAACAGATAATGGGGTAGATTTCCAGTCCCATATGAGGAATTTATTAAAGGGTTGAATGTAAATGTCCCCCCAGCTCTTTTGGTCTCCTTATCAAAACCAATGATATAAAAAGGATAGAAAGGAATTCACAAAGAGGTGAAATGAAACTTGTTTGCATCTCTTGGATCTCTCATTAAACTCAAAGACAAGTGGTCTGAGAGATTTTTTTTTTAAAGAGAAAGAAACAAAAATGATGGAGACATTTCTCCTAAAAGAGTCAAGCCAGGCTGTAAGTCTCTGTAAGTCTCAGCCTCCTCACCCCAGATGCCTGTGGTGCTACCTTCTGATACAAATCTTAGTGAAGAGGGCTTCAAAAGAACCATTTGCAGAACTTTGAAGTGGATTTTCTGCAATTAGACACATAAAACTTATACTGGACCCAGTCAAAGTTTACTGCAGTCAGGGGTTACCCTCCCACCTGAAAAGAATTTAGAGGTCAAGGGAAAAGCTGATTTTCTGCTTTGGAAGCAGAACAAGGAGAGTGATCATGGAGGTGCCTGTACTCCTCGAGTTTGTCAGGAAAAGAAATAAGTAAGAATTTCCCACACACCATGGGTGGCAATGGGGGAGTAATGCATAACGAGGGCTCTGAGTCCTGCCCAATAGGGCGACCCAGAAGCATTGAAGAGACCCCAGCAGAATGAATCTGAAGGTGTGGTGCCAGGTGTCCAGTGCGAGAAAGGAGCTCCATTCTGCACATGGTGCATCTACTAGTATCAACTGAACTGTAGGAAAGAGAGCCCACTAGGGAATTCGTGAAAATCCCGAAAAGTTACACAATGAAATGGTTAGCTTCAATTAACTGAACACCACATAGGGTTGCCAAATTTAACTAGCAGCCCAATGAACATAATAATATTCAAGCAAGTAAGAACTGGCTTTTCCACGTCTGCTCCTCTCTATACACCACCCTGGACCATCAACTTTGGCAGTGAGTTAACTATTAAGGAAAAGCAGAGACAAACAGGTTGAAATGATAAAGAAAACTACAAGTAATGCTCCAGGTTTTTCAGTTTGAAGCCAGACTGAGATGAAAGAGGAAGAATATTTAACACAGAATATTTTCTGTTCTTTGATTATTATAAGGGACAAGATAATTTCTTAATCAAGACTATGTTTGTTTTTTGAAGTAATTTTAAAGCTGTTAGTTTGATCAAAATGTAAAAAGCCATGGAACCTCCTAGAGTTTTCACTGGGAGCCAGAGAAACTCACCCCATTGGATACATTATCAAGGATCAATAAAAATCAAAAAGAAAGTTGCATTTGGTCATAATCCATGCATCATTTGTACTCAACAATCCAGTTAGAGAATAAAGCTCAATTCTCTAAAAAATATCATAGGTGATTTTTTTCTTTTATTTGGTGTTTCTGTATTT
Source organism: Homo sapiens (assembly GCF_000001405.40). Classification (NCBI taxonomy): domain Eukaryota; kingdom Metazoa; phylum Chordata; class Mammalia; order Primates; family Hominidae; genus Homo; species Homo sapiens. The sequence continues at coordinate 101,962,384 of NC_000001.11, read as the reverse complement.
TATAAAGGAAAAGGAACAAAAAGCCCACTTTACTATAACTTACATTAATTAATCTCATCAACATCCCCACTAGAAGGAAGGAGTTTTGCTAGGTACTCCAGATTGAAGGGGGTGGGATGTATAATATTCAGGCAACACTCCATACAGGTTTATTGCATTGAATTGCAGAACTCCACGAAGTTTATAATCCCTACAGTTCTATCCATCACCCCTTCTTTTTACAACACTGAACTCCCAAAAAGAAAAAGGTGCTGATAACTAATGAGCAGTGACTAACAGTAAACTTTTAATTTAGCTTCACTAAACACCTCTACACCTATTACACGGCAAGCGGAAATTGTTCTTAAAAAAATTGAGTAATTTGAAGATTTTGGTGAATAAAATGAAAAATGTTGACAGAAGTGTTAACAGATGAAAAGGAAACTGTTGTGGGTGGTAGAAAAGATAGCTAGAAGAGAGGAAAGGAAGCTAAGTAGCTGAACCCTGAGATCTTCTCAGAACTCTCTGTACCCTTCAAGGTACACATTGCTATATGGTTTTCTTTCTTTCGATTTTTTTAACATACTAGCTCTGTGTAACTTACCTCTTGTGAAAACTTCATGTCCAGTGTCCTGAATAACTTCATAAGTTATATCTTTCAGTCATGAAAACATATTGGTTATCTTGCGACCTATTCTGATAATTTGCTTATTTCTAATGCATAGTCTCTCCTCGCTGTCTGCAGTAAATCGCTATCTCCTCTGTTTTGAAATACTACAAGATTAGAAATCAGAACAATATTGATGACTTTTTATTATATAAGTCCTTTAGTCTGTCAAGGATCTGTATCATTAGGAAAGGGATTTCTATAGGTGTTTTCTATCTCTAACTTAATTTTATTTACTAGACTTAAATATTTTTAAAAAGTTTTTAATAAAAAATATCTCTACTCTTTTTCACTAACAAAAAAGGCTTTAAATGTGGTATATAATAAGTTCTAGGAATGAAATATAAAATGCAAAATTTGATAGATTACTAAATACAGTATCTATTTTAAATATGTTACTATAATTTACAAATGACTTTGATCATCTTGTTTACTGAACTTAAATTTTCCATTTACAAATTAAATGTAACATTATATATAATTACAAATTAGTTTCTCTTTCAGCTTTTATGTGCAACAATCTATCATTAACTTCTTGAGAAATTTACAAAAGTCATTAATCCTCTAAAAATATACTTCTGATAAATTTTTATTTTCCCCATTATCTTTTCTTACCAGTTCTATAGATAAGCATTCCTATGGTAAATTGCCATATCTAAAAAGACATCTCCTAGAGCCATTGAACATTTACATATGTTATCCAAATAGTCTCATCATAGTCTCTAAATCAGAATTTTCTTTCTGTTCAACTTATTCTTAAGCTTAAGACTTATTTAAGTACTAAACACTCAAAATGTTAGAACTATTATGATCATATGTGTTTTTTATAAGTAGATGAATAAATGGACCATCTTAGAAGTCAGTGAACTTTCTATCTCTGTAAGAATTGAAGCAGAGTGGTTAACGATGGATGCTATTGTGAGGTTTTTCTCAGTTGGACTAGCAGAACTCTAGAGTTCTAGTTAACTCTAATCCTTTCTGTCTGTAGAGGGGTTGAGATACCCTGACTGAAGATATTATAAAGCCTAAGAATGTGCCAATCAAAAGAGAGAGTGGTCAGTCATCTATAAATATAAAATGAGAATTAATAAGGCAATTTGGCAATACTCACCCAAGAACTACACAGGGCTAAGAGTACTCTGTTAGGACAACATAGCCAGACTGCTCTGTTGCAATATATCTTCTGTAACACTAGGTAGCTCATATGATTGGCAAATACAGCAATAATGCTAGTAGAACAGAAATGTTGTATGGTTTTATAGATAATTTCTTCTAGGCAAGTGGAGCTGGAATAGTGAGAGTGAAATTATAATGAGCCCTTGACCTAGATTACCCTCTGCAGGTCTCCTCACTCCCTGCCTTGCTCTAAGCTCCCGGCATGTTGCAGTCACTGCAGAGTGCATCTAAAGAGCAGTCACAATGCGTCTGAGTTCTGCTGTCTTCTGCATTGTCCCAGTGCTTAAAAGTCAGTATTTCCACTCAATTGCTTTCAGCCTTTATAATATTTCATGGTGCAAACCCCAGCTATCTTGACCTCTCTTTCCAAGTTATTCAAGTAATCTCTCTAGGTACCAACCACTGTTTTTGCTAGTGCTTTTGGTACACAATTACATAGGTTTTGCCCCAGCCCCGTTTCCTCCATAAGCCTCGTAATTTTATTTTTAGTACATAGTTTTGCAGAATACAGGGTTTTTCAAGAATGCAAGTGTCGTGTTGCAAAAGAAACACTTTTATCCTCTATAGAGAGACTTAAGGATACAGACAGTGGTATTATTCGTGTTATATGATGAGGCATTCTTACACAGATTATTTTCTGATAATTAGGGGTCAGTATAAAGAAAATATTTAATCCATTTGCCATATTTCTCGTGGGAAATTATAAATTTGCATTTTTATTATGTATGCCACTTTCTTGTGAGTTTGGTTGACATATCAGCAACCTGCAGTTAAGTCATGTCCAATCACTAACAGATTCTGAACTTGAAGGAACTTACATAGATTAATGCTGCCTTATACGGTCTTGACTCAGCAGCTATCTAGCCTCATTGGAGATTGAGTCACCTTTCTGTCTTGCCCTGCAGCCTTTTTAAAAGTCTAATTTCAGTATTGCAACCCAACGGCAACAGATCTAAATTCAAATTTAAAGATCTCTCTAAGACTAATTTTCTGCATTAAGAACTGATAATATCCAAATACCCATTGCATAAGGTTGTTGTAGATGTTTTTTAAGCCGAGCACAGTGCATGTCATGTAGAAGTGCTTGATGAGGGATACCTGTTATTATCAAGATTCACAGTGAACAATGCACTCAAGTTGTGGGCCAGTCTTTTCTCATCCTTATGCCTCCAAATTCAACAGAGCTTTAGAAAGTGAAAGTAAAAAAGTTAAAAAAAAAAAAAAAGGAGGGGAGGAAAGAAGAATCTGTTGACATTTTAGAAATATGTATTTTTCCAAAGTCTAGGACCTATCTTGTTTGGCTTTATATTTTTATCACCTTTAACATATTCAACAATAAAACATTATTCTGTAATATTGAAAACTAGGATGCAGTATAAATGATATGCCTGCATGCATTGCAGCCTCACATGCAGTTTATAGGTAGTCCAGAACACCTCCTGGTCAAAAGTTTTGTAACTATTTTATCTAAAATTGTTTTCTAACACCAGGGGCTAAGACCGGGGTGGGAAGCGGGGAATGGGGAGATGTTGGTCAAAGGGTACAAAGTTTTAGTTAGGAGGAATAAGTTCTGCAAATCTATTGTACAGCATGGTGACTATAGTTAATAATGTATACTTGAAAATTGCTAAGAAACTAGATTTTAAATGTTTTCACCACAAAATATAAGTATGTGAGGTAACAGATATGCCAATTACATTAATCATATATATATATATATATATATAATATCACTTTGTATACCATAAGAACATACAAGTTTCATTTGTCAACTGAAAATAAATAAACTTTTAAAAATAAAGTCATTTAAGAGACTATACCCACTCTATTTGAGAGGAAAAAAAAATCACTTTAACTCAAGAATCCACTCTCATGTTCATACATTTTATACAGGAAATTATTCTTGTGTCTTCTCCAAATCCGCTTTTCATCGCCTGATTGGAGATCACAAACACCTCTACATTCTAAAATTAAGATGATAAAAAGCATGCATATTCTGAAGAAACTTACGATGCAGCTAATCTGTATGCTCTGCTAGTCCCCAAATCTACAATGTGGTATTGTAGACAGAACTCTCAAATAGTGGAATAATGTTGACTTCAACACTAATAAATTATATGAATTGGGAATAGCATTAGACATTTCTGAGCCTATTTTCTCCTAGTAGAACAGGATCAATAACATCAGTCATACCTACTGCCTCACAGTGTAGAAAAGAACAACTGAAATGACTTAGTTGAAAAGGTATGATGGGCTAAATAATGAAGAATCTGTAAGATTCTAATATTGCAAAGATTTTTAAATGTGAAATTTAATAAAAACTTTCAAGCTAATAAAAACAGTGGACACAATTAATATGTAATTCAAAACTTCAGTACTGAGTAAAGCATATAATGTGGCTTTTTTCCTGCTATGCCTTTAAAAGTTTCAATGTTTCAGGGAAATTGGGTTAGCTATTACAGGCTCAGTAATTAGAGACAGAATAGGTGATATAAGCCATTCACTTGCCAATGTCTTCAGAATGCAGTAGCAACTCTACAGCTCATTCATTTAGCCACATAAATCATAGCACAATCCACAGTTGCTGCACCTCTTTCTGCTGTGCACTCACATTTTGCTCTGATTGTCAGTTAAATGCAGGCATTATGTTATCACCCTCCCTATCCCTTGGGATATTTTCAGAATTAAATCCACTTAGGAAGAAAGTATTGTCTACAGTTTCTCTAATTTCCATTCTCACTTCCTTATTATTGCTAGATATCTGATGCTTGGAATTGGTTATTTGTCAATTTTAATAGTCTCTAACCTTTTAAGAAGCCACACTGTTACTCTCTTACTTCCTAATTATTCAGCCTCTTCCCAGAGAGACCTCACTTATGTAACATCTAGTCTTTATAATTTTCTTAAATTTCAAGGAAGAAAAAGAAAGCACATGTAACTTAGCAGTTATTTAATTCCTGTGCAATAACCAATCATGCACATTATTATTTCAGTCACATTTGGCTATGAAATTAGCAACATTTAGATTTTTAGGTGATGTTTTAACTGAAAATTGTGTTGTGTCCCTTTCCATTTCTCTTGATTTTGCCTTCCAAATATCTTTTGTCTTTCCAGCTTTTTCCCATTTTTGCCATCCCATCCTAATCCAAAACACCAGCAGCACAAATTGGTTTAGGGATAGTGAGCTAAAGGTGGATAATTAAAAAGTAAGTAAAATATAAATTGACTTGTAGAGTTTTTGGCTAATGAAAGAAGGGGAAGAAAAGGACAAAATGTCAAACAATCACAAAATCCCCACACATTGGGATTAAGCCATATAGATATGAGACTGACTCCAAAAGTCAAAAAGTGTATCTCTCATCATAGCCCTTCCCAAATGATGTCTTTAAAACCATAGCTATGTAATTGGTTTTATTTGGCCTCTCAATGAACATTGAATACCAAGAGAGGTCTTGTGGAACTAAAAGAAAGATTGAGACTTTAGCATTCCTGAGTTTTTCTCTGATGATTCTCCTTTGATATTATCAAGTTATCTTATCCAAAGTTTGATCTACAGCCACTTTTTTTTTATTGTTTCTGCTATTAGAGATCCTAGGATGGACATTCTCTATCTTGGAGGAGTTCGTGATCTGATTAGGAAGATAGAGGAGTAATAAAGCATTAGTTATTATATCATGTCATAATATATGGACACAGAGTTAAGACAGTCAAAAACCAAATAGATGCAAAAGATACCATCTCTCTTTCTTTCATTCCCTATAGATTATGTTTGGGGAAATCTGTCCAGTTGTAGTTACATGTTTTTATTTTTTACTAAATGTTCAAAACAGACATTTGAAGAACTACTAAGTGCTATTCAAAATATCAAGCTTTCCATTGACATTATAGTAAGTCTAGATAAAATGAATAAGCTTATAATAAGCTTATACTTACAGACTCAAAATTTTTAAAGCCAAATTTATATTTAATGTTGAAGGTATTCACTAGCCCATTGAAGGTAGAACTCTGGCAAAGTGTCAAAGAACAAAAAGGATATTTGAATATTGGAAGAGAAATAGATATTTCCTAAGAAGAGAAGGTGAGGGTAGATGGAGTATTACCAGCAAGAAAACAGAATTGAAAAAGGTATGGATTTTTTTAAATAATAGGTGATGTTTGTGGGTCCAGTGGAAAGTATGGTATACCTGGAATCAAAGACAAATGATGACGGGTGGGAATGAATAATAAGAGATGAGACTGGACTAACTCAGTAGATCAGGACATATTATAAAGGCCTTTATGTGGCACATTAGAGGCTTTTTATTTTATTTTATAATCAAATATCTAGAAGAGGATTTTCAGCAGATTTTGTTTTTAGTAAGATTGCTATGGTAGCACTGTAAAGTTTAGACTGGTATAGAAAAATGTTGGTAACAGTGAAGGGAGAAAATTCCAAGAAAATTCTGTAAAGGTTTTTTTTAAAAAAAAAAAAAAAAACCTGTTATTGTGTTGAATTGAGATATGACAGATGCAAGAAAAAATCATAAAGTAAAACTGACAGAATTTGGTGACCAGTAATGTATAAACTGAGAAATAGAATAAAGTAATAACTCTGTGACTTGTAGCTTGATGGTGGATGGTGATGCCATTAACTGAGGTAAAGAATACAAGAATAGGAGTAGACTTTGGAGGTGGTGGTAAAGGGAAAGCATGAAAGTACTCCTTGGTACCCATAGTATTTGAGGAACCTGTGGTATGTGCAATAAGCAATTAGATGTAACTATGTATAGCATTCAAGACTGAAGATATTGATCTGAGAGATATCAACACATTTCAGATAGTTGAAACCATTGGGTAAATGAGATTATTCCAAAATATATATAGTTAGAAGTGAAAATAAGGAACCAAAATGTGTTGAACTTCAACAAGTTAGAAGAAGACTTCAGCAAGGGGAACTGAACACTAATGCCAGAGAGATGAGAAAAAATAGACAGAAGTGAGAATTGTCTTAGAAATCATGGGGCGAAGAAAACTTTAAGAAGTAGAAGATGGATGGGCATTAGCAGTATAAATTTCACATAGAAGTCAAGTAGTGCTGAAAATAGGTTATCGAATATGGTGTTTATGAGGGTGTTTAAAACGCTAAAGTTTTGTCCACAAAAAAGCAAGAAAGGTTAAAGATGTCAAGTAGGCTTGACAATTCATTAAATTCTTACTTTTACAAAGAATTAGATATATCATAATTTGAGTAAGAATAGCCCAGAGTGATAGTGCCTTGGATAAGAATGATTATTTTGTTAAAATGTGATTAATGTCTGTCTCCCAATTCCAGCTGGCATCATGATAATGTTCAGCAAACCTAGGGGGTACCTAAATCCTTCCTTAAATCCAATTACTTCTTTTTCCTCTTTGGATCTCCAATGACGATATAGGTACCATAGTAGAAAAACAGTTTAACATTCTATCTTACAAACTTTCAATGTAGAATTCTAGCATGCCAAAATGAACCATATGGAGAATTTATTTTACATAATACTTCGTCTACTGAAATAGCCTCATAATGAACCAGGTGGTGTGATTGGCTCAGCCTTTCCCTCTCCAGCAGTAAAACTGTTGAAACTGAGTTTGGTGTGCAGAAAGGTTACACATATCCATACACTTAAAATTCTGTGTATTTTGACCCAAAGCATAATTGGGAGGAAGACAATTCTCATAGGAACAACATTGAAAATAGTCATACTTAGCTATCTAACATCACTTGAAAATGTCACTTATTAGCACAATAGCCAATTAAATGTTTTAAATTTTGACTAACCCCAATCACCACTCCTCCTCCTCTAGGATAGAATAAAAGAGGATGGACTTCATTCTTGAGGAAAGGAATTTATTGATAAAACATTAGAAACACTGTTATTTGCCTTTTAATTTACTTTATCTTCAGGTTTAGGTGACACATCTAGTTTGAAATGTTGAAAGTAGAGTTATTACTTTTAGCCAAAAGTTATTATTGACACTCAAGGTGAGTACACCTCTTAGAAGAGCTATGAAATTATCAAAAGCTAAAATTAAAGCTAAATTAAAACATTCTAGGGTACATGTTCATTACAAGCAAGAAACAGTGTGTCATGTTTCTAGAAATAGAATGAAATCCACTTTGATTTCACAATAGTCATATATATCCATCTGTTCTAGCCAACTTTGCACATTTACTCATGTTATTTCTGAAATAAAACTTATAGGTAGAAGAAATTATACATTCCTACATGTAAATTTGAAGTAAATCCTTTTACAATGAAAGTTAACAAGTTAATTTATTTCATTCTGTGACATAAGATAGAAAAGCAATTTGCTTTTGGGTTATAATTCTGTTTAAATTGTTGGGCAATTTGGTCAGTTCTTAATTATAAAAGATATGGTAGTATCATTAAAATAATTTTAAATGGATAATACAAAGGTCATTTTAAATTTATGTTAGAATACATATTTCAATATTGATACTCAGATATGAATCTATACTACAAGTAAACTCCATTTAAAATAAAGTATTAGCACCGTGATTCATAAAGATCAAGAAAATAAATCAGAAATGTGAATAATTTTCCTTACATTCTTAGCTGTCAACCAATGCTTCCTTTCCCCTCAAAGCTTTCCATTAAAGACTCTCCCTCATAACCCAGAATCTGAGCTAGTTGTCTCTTGTTAACATGAATCTATATTTGTCACTCTCTTATCTTTTTTACCCAGGGACTAATACAGCCCGTGCTAAATATGTTGGACACATGGGTCACAGTACCTGCTGGGCCCAGCATCCTGTTCTACCTGCTCACAAAAGTATGTGAAGGGTAAAAATATTAGGTTTATTTTTTGCCCAAAGCTAGTCACTTACTGGACTGAACTAAACATTTGATCTATAGGTTGGATAACACAGCCTGGTCAAAAATACTCTGAACAAACAGGATTAATGGTAATTGGATAAACCAAAAAGTCTGTTTTCTTCTAGAACATGGTTATTACAAAGGGGCTTGCCTGATTCATAGCAAGAAGGGGCAGAAAGGCAGATAAAGAGAAGCAGAGATATCAAGAGAAAACAACATCTAGTGTAGGAGTCTTTAAAATTGTGCTGTAAAGTGCCAAATCATAAATATTTTAGACTTTGTGGACTATACAGTATCTATTGTGACTACTCAACTCTGCCAGTGTAGCACAAAAGCAGGCATGAACAATATGTGAACAAATGAGTGGGGCTGTATTCCAATAAAATTTTATTTACAAAAACAGGTGGAGGGACGAATGCCCACAAGCCAAAGTTTGCCATCTCGGTCCTAGAGTACTGCTGTCCAGTAGAAATACAATGTGAGCCATATATGTAATTTGACATATTCTAGTAGTCACAATAAAAAGTTGAGAATCAGGTGAAATTAAGCTTATTAATAAATTTCATTTAACCCAGTATGTCCGACATGCTATCATTTCAATGTTTCATTAATAAAAATATTGAGAAGTTTTACATTTTTAAATTAATAAGTCTTGGAAACTAGCATGCATTTTTGTACTTTTACTCATGTTATTTCTGAAATAAAACTTAAAGGTAGAATAAAACTTACAGCACCCCACAATTAAGACTAGACACATTTCAAGTGCTGAATAGCCACTGAAGACTAGTGGCTATCATAATGAAATATGCAGCTCCAGACCATGAATGAGATCATGAGAGTAGTCAGTCTCCTGTGATGTCCAGAGTCCTTTTGATTTTTAATTGCAGCAATTTTTTTTTAAAAAAGATAGCTCAGGAAGATCTTGTTACTGTTAGCTCCAAAGCCTTTGTGTGAATAAATAAATGAATGAATGAACAATGGAATGAATGCTCATTGGTAAGTGGTTGTATCATCTCCTGCTATATATATTTTATTTATCTTAGTAGTTTCATTATTTTTAGATAATATTTTTAGAAAAAAGATTTTGTCTTGGATATGTTTATAACTCTATATCTCCTTTATAAACATATGCAATACATATACACATATGCATGTCTTACATATATTTATAATACTACATCTCTTTTTCTTATTTCATCCCAGAGAGATGCAAAAAATCTATTTACTAGCATTGATTCTATTAGTCATTATATATACCATCTACTCACAAAAAATGTTTCTGTTGCTTTAAAATAGATAATTGAGCTTTAAAATAAAATTGTATTCAGTACTAGGTAACTAACACTAAAGATTAAATAACTCTGAGCTTTAAAATATAATTGTATTCAGTACTAGGAAACTAAAACAAAAGAAGATTAAATAACTCAAGGATTCTATAAACTAGCCAAGAAAACCTATATGTAAACAAGTCAGTCCAAAAAAGGAGAAAATAAGAAATTATACTTTCTTTATAGAGGCAGGCTTTCTTGAACTAAGTCCTGAAGGCTGGGTATGTGTTTCCAAGACAAATCAGTTGTTTATGGTGGTAAATAGCAAAGCCAGGGTACAGTTAATAAATAGTGACTTTTGATCAAAAGTACCAGTGAGAAAGTTAATCAGATAGTTAGATAGGTAACTTTTAACTAGCTAAATATTTGGTAATGTTTTTTCAGATCATCTGAAAAACTTTAAATATTTACATATTTTAGTTTTATTTAAAAGAAAAATTATCCCAATCAACACCTTTCCATTTACAATCCACCTTCTTTATAAAGATAGAAAAATTGAAAAAATTCAATATTTGTTTCAGCAGTGGCAATCCTTTCATTATTTGAAACAAAGAAAGTTGAGTTTGAATGGTTTTGCTGATTCAAGCTCAAAACACTCCCTTATCTTAAAGACTGGAATATCTTATAATTTACGATTCTGAATGAAACCTTTATAGATGCAAAATATTTCAAAGTCTATCAAGAATAGTGCATGTTTGCTAAAGAAATGACACCTTTGAAATCTTGAATCTGGCTGACCTTTCCTTTTTTTGGCTTATTCAAGATAAATGGCTACAGAAAATGACTAAGTATTAGGGAAAAAATAGAACCTAAGAACCTTCAGAATTCTGAGGCACTTACAGATGGTAGATCATTTCCTTTCATTACAGGAACCCCTGCCAACATCTGATCATTCCGATGATTAGTTCAAACTAATCATGAATGATTCATTAAGTCAGTCTTCAGTTTATTATGAGGGCTAAGCTACATACACCAGGAATATTGAGATAGGAATGAGACCATTGTGTTTCATTTAACATATTTTGCCAAAAATGTAGGTTGATACTTTGATTTTCCTTTGTATACCACAACATAAACAAACAAACTTCAGTGAAAAATGTTATAAATTATCATACAGCATTCACAATTACTAATTCAAATATTGTGTATTTATCTCATTTGATCTTCCAAAATATATGTTTGTGATGGTCATTAATTTTTGTCAGGTGAAACGGACTCATAAATAAATTAGAATAGGAAAATTCAAGTGCTAAAAATCTGTGCTAATCCAAACAGTTCCTGGCTAGACTGTCAAAGCAATATAAATCATTCATTAAGATTTACTACATGCTCAGGTATCCCCATAGCATATAGTGCCATTTAACCTTAAATAGACCATGTAAGTTAGATTTTCTTTCTTTTTTTGCTAGGCAAATAGAGAAACTGGGACATCGAGAGTTTACATTACTTGCCCATGTTTGCAGTAAGTGGCAGATGTGGAATTCATTTATTTGTTCAATCAATAAGTATTTATTGAGTTCCTTTTCCGAGCTTGGCACTTTTGTAAGGAATATAGCAATGAATAAAGCAGACAAAGCCCTTGTTCTTATAGAGGATACTAGTAGACAGAGATAGTAAATTTTTAAAAATACAGACAAGGCCGCGCGCAATGGCTCACGCCTGTAATCCCAGCACTTTGGGAGGCCGAGGCGGGTGGATCACGAGGTCAGGAGATCAAGACCATCCTGGCTAACACGGTGAAACTCCGTCTCTACTAAAAATACCAAAAAAAAAAATTAGCCGGGAGTGGTGGCAGGCGCTTGTAGTCCCAGCTACTCGGGAGGCTGAGGCAGGAGAATGGCGTGAACCCGGGAGGCGGAGCTTGCAGTGAGCCGAGATGGCGCCACTGCACTCCAGCCTGGGCGACAGAGCGAGACTCCGTCTCAAAAAAAAAAAAAGAAAGAAAGCAGATAAATCTATTACTAGTAATATGGGTGTGGTAAGGTGAGAAATCCACCTACATCAAGGGATAAAGGGTAAAGGGTTCAGCTGGTCTGCGTATTTTATACTCTAAAGTCATGGTTGGCCTCTGTTAAAATGACATTTGAGCAGAAATGTGAAGAAAGCAAGAGGATGGGTGTTCCAGGATGGAGATAGTAAAAGGTTTTAGTGGTGAACCATGTTGGTGAGTTCAAGGAACACCAAAGAGACCAACTTACTTCTAGGCGATTAGAGAGTGATCAGAGATGATATTAAGAAAGTAGCTGAGACCAGATCCCAAATGGCCTTAAATATGGTAAGTAAATTTTAGATTGAATCCTCAGTAAAAACTGCAGCCATCAGAGGCTTTTTCTTTTTTTTTTTTTTTTTTTTTAAGACGGAGTCTCACTCTGTCGCCCAGGCTGGAGTGCAGTGGCACGATCTCGGCTCACTGCAAACTCCGCATCAGAGGCTTTTTTTTTTTTTTTTTCAGACGGAGTCTTGCTCTGTTGCCCAGGCTGGAGTGTGCAGTGGCGCGATCTCGGCTCACTGCAAGCTCCGCCTCCCGGGTTTACGCCATTCTCGTGCCTCAGCCTCCCGAGTAGCTGGGACTACAGGTGCCCACCACGACGCCCGGCTGATTTTTTGTATTTTTAGTAGAGACGGGGTTTCCCCGTGTTAGCCAGGATGGTCTTGATCTCCTGACCTCGTGATCCACCCGCCTCAGCCTCCCAAAGTGCTAGGATTACAGGCGTGAGCCACCGCGCCAGGCCGTATCAGAGGCTTTTTAATAGAGGAATGGCTTGATCAAATCTTTTGTTATAAAAAGGTCACTCTTGCTACTCTGGAGACAATAGGAAGATAGAGATGTAGGGGTCCAAAAAATTGGAATATATACTAATGTATATTTGTACAGATGGAATAGAAGTCAAAGTGTGAGGGTGGCTCTGATTTTGAGAGTAGCACCAATATCATTTGCTGACCTACCGTGAGATAAGGTATATGAGACAATTTTGAGAAACCTCAGCATGTACGTGATATTTTAAATGATACGATTGCATGAACTCATTTAGGGAGTGAATTCAGGAAAATAAAAATACCTTTCTGTCTTTCTTGGCCTAAGAACTAAGCACTCCAGCATTCAGAGGTCAAGAAGATAAAAAGAGCCAGCAAAGAAGGTTGAAGAGGAGCTTGCAGTGAGGTAGGGAGGGAACATAAACAGTGGTGTTTTGGAAACCAAGCAAAAAAAGTATTTGAGAAGAAATAAGTTCTGGATATTTATTGTAAAACTCAGATGTGATTGGAATAGTGTTATTATATATTATACAATTAAAAACAGGCAAAATATAAGATATATAATTTCATTCCAAATACATAGGAAGAACTTTTTTTATATGTGACATTAAAAGATATAATTAGCAATCACTTTTTTACAATCCTAACTTCCTGCATAGTTTGTGCGAAAATGGCAGGCTTGCTTTTGTTTTTTGTTGTTGTTTTTTATTTTATTATATATAAGCATAAAATATATATCTATAACAATAAAAAATATATAAATATATAATATATAAAAATACATAATATTATGTATAGTCACAGCATTGCTAAGAGAAAAGACTCATTTCTATTTTACTAAAGATAACTAGAGATATGAAATCAGTATTTACGCAGAGGAGAATAAAAAGAGAAAACCCTGAGTGTTTTGACATCCAGTTCTTTTAGTACCCAATTTGATGCAACAGGGAATGGAGGTATGTTTTCACAAATGTGTTTCAGTGAGACTTATTTAGACAAAAATTTAGAAAACAAAAGTGAAATGTGAACATTGAATGTTTAGAGAAATCACCAATAATGTAAGGAACCAAATAACATTTATTTAGCACTAAACTAAAAAATAATTGGCAAAAAAAATTACCTAAACAAATCTGACTCAAGTCTTAAGCGAAAACTCTCTCTCTCTCTCTCTCTCATACAAGTCTTAACACAAATATTCAGGATAAAAAGACAGTGTCATCTACTTCCTTAAATCTTCTCTGATAATTGATTTGGTAAGAAAAGGAATGAAGGAAGAATGGGAAGAAAACTCATTTTCTGAAAATTTGCTCATTCATTATCTCCAATTAATCAATGTAATAAATTTCATAGGTTAAAAAAAAGGCTGACAGGATTTGAACAATTTATTATCAGTATCACAGACAATAAGGGACAGAACTGACATTAAAATCTAGATCAACTTAATTTCAAATACTTAGTTTTTGTTTTATCAGTAATTGTATTTTTTTTCAAGTATGAGAACCTTGTTTCAATGTTAAAAAGGCTTGCATCTCCCTATTTTAATAATTTGCTTATAATCTTTAGACCAGTTATCTTTTGGTTTTCATTTGAATTTTCAGATCTATTGTGATAATTTCCAGGCCTCTAAGATTTCCCAAACACACTGGTGGCAAAAGTTGGCTTGGTCAACCACCTTCCCTTTCACTAAATAACACTAATTGACAACATGGAGCTCTTACTTGTGCCAGGAATCATTCTAAGTAAATTAATACAGAAATTGATTTAGTCTTGTTGAAAAAGCTCATATAAGTTAGCAGCTATTATTATCTATATGCCATATAAAGAGCCGTGGAGCAGTTAAATAACTCACCGAAAATCATATGCCTATTAAGTGATGGCATTGGGACTTGAACCATTGTGGAACATTATCTCACTTTTATCAATGACTAAAAGTTTATGAACATTTCTATACCTGCAACACTCATATTGAAACTTAATTCTATACTACACTTTATCTTTATTTTTAGAAAAATATTTTTTAAGAAAATTACTATGTCTCAATATGTTGTCCAGGCTGGACTTGAAATCCAGCCCCAACCAATCCTCCCTCCTCAGCCTCCCAAGTAGCTGGAATTACAGGTGTGAGCCAACACACTTGGTAAACTAGAAACAATTTTATTTCTAAATGGCTATTTTTTTGGTCTTACCTCCCTAAACAAACTAGGAACTTCTACAAATTAGATGCCACACTTGAACTTTGCTTGTATATACTCTTCAACTATAATTACATGAATACTGTGTTTATAATGAAGAGTTAACACCAACTGCAAAAAGGAAATGAAATTATTTTGATATTCCAGTTGATTTTCTCCTGGTAAAATTCAAATCATAGAGTGAAACTTTAAAATTATATTTTTGCAACAAACCAAGCATTGTGTGGTATTAAAATGAATGATCTAAACATTTTAAAAAGTAATTCATAAGAATTATAATTTTCAAACTTTAAGAATATGCTTAAAACTGAAATAGAAATTCTCTTAGGAAAGTATAGCAAATAATTATCAAAGCATCTCAAGGAAAAATGAAACCATGCAATTGTCTGATTGCTGAATAGACAATCAGCCAGATTTTCTCACTTAAAATTTTCTCATTTTCTTTCACATTAACGAAAGCACTTAATTTTATCTTCCAAAAGGCATTTTGTTTTTTACTTCACTATGTGCAATAAAACAGAATAACTGCATTTTTAATTTCACTGTGTACTATGTATTTATGCTTCACTTGTTCAATCATTGTAAGTATACACTTATTTAAAATATACGATCCTACAACATGATATTGTAGATTTTATTGGCTGGTTTATCTACTAAAGTTTCCATTTTATTTACTAAAAAAAGTTTATAGAGTTCAGTAGAACCTCCTGGGCCATGGGAGCTATATCCTTAATCTTTGCATTCTTCATTATTGGCAGTGCCTGATACACTATTTAATATAAATATTCAGTATAAACAGTGTTACATTAATGCCTAAATAACTGAATGACTAAGAACATAATTCATTAATTGAGTAAAAGATTGCCACTTATCGTCTTTTTGACTTTTCATTTCAAATTATAGGTACGCTAAAAATATATGTTGAATGACTCTATCAAGCAATTCTGATAGGAAGTTTTAAATAATTTAGGTACTTACTTGCTTGCCTGTTTATTTAAAGGGTTGGAACCAGATAAAGTCTTAACATTCTGACTTGCTTAACAACTTTGAAAACCACTTCTGTTGTTCAAGTCACATATCTTTGTCTCTAGATTTTCAAAGGATTCTCGTGATACTCAAATAAATTATGTCTAACACATAAGTGTTATTTGTGTCATTAACATATTCACATTTGCAGAGAAAATTAATTCATTATTTATCATTTGACAGATATTGAATCAAATTGGATTCTGATTAGAGAAATGTCTAAGCAGTCATTTTTACACTGCTTTTCTCTTTTACCTTCTGCAGTATTTCTCAGTGATCTGCAAACTTAAGAATGCTGCTGACCAAGGCACCCAAGTGGAGGTTTGATGCTAGTGCTAGGAACACGCTAACCTCAGGCATTTTCTGAAATGATAGTCTCAGTAACAGCATTCTCACAAGACAACATTTTTGGCACATGATTCCATTTTTAAAACATTCAGACTCTTGCCATGTCCCTGCCTCAACATTATCAACAGGAAATACATTCACCTCATTATAATCATTATAATAACAATATTTATTTATGCTCTTTTTAAAAAAATTTTAATTGTTGCTGTTGTGTTTGTTGTTTCTGTTTTGTCAATTATATCCCAATAACTTTATTGGGATAACACATTTCTTTTACTATAGAAGGTGTCTCACTATGCTGCCTAGGCTGATCTCAAACTCTTGGTCTCAAGCAATCCTCCTACCTTGGCCTTTCAAAGTGCTATGATTATAGGCGTGAGCCACTGTGCCCAGCAGATTTTTATTTTTATTTCAAAAAAAATTAAGATAAGTGTACAGTTTTATGTTTTATAAATTTCAACATATGTATTAACTCATAAAACTATCACCAATATAAAAAAAAAATCTATCACCACTCCAATTTTCCCTTTGTAATCTCTTCCTCCCATTTCTTCCTAACCCTCCTCCCACAGAAACCACTGACCTGCTTCCTGCAACTATAATTAGTTTATATTTTCTAGAATCTTAGATAAATGGAATCATACCATATATACTCTTTATGTCTGGCTTTTTCACTCAGCATTATTTTCAGATTCACTCATATTGTTGTGTATATCAATAGTTCATTCCTTCTTATTACTGAATAGTACATCATTGTATGAACGTATCACATTCGTTTATTCATTCACCTTTTGATAGACATTTGAGTTGTTTTCATCATTGGTCATTACAAATAAAGCTGATGTAAACATTTATGTACATGTCTTTTGTATTGGACTTTCATTTCTCTTGGATAAATACCTAGAAGTGAAATGGCTATCTAATATGGTATATGTATATTTATTTATTTAAGAAACTCCCAAACTGTTTCCAAGCAGTGTATGAGAGTTCCAGTTTTTCTACATTCTTGCCAAAACTTGATATTGTCAATCTTTATAATTTTATGTATTCTAAATGTGTGTAGTGGTATATCATTGTAGTTTCAATTTCTGTTTCCCAATGACAAATAATACTGAGCATCTTCTCTGGCATCTGGTAATTTCCTCACAATGGCACATGCCCAGGAACTTTTTTTTTTTTTTGAGGTGGAGTCTCACTCTGTCGCCCAGGCTGGAGTGCAGTGGGGCAATCTTGGCTCACTGCAACCTCTGGCTTCTGGGTTCAAGCAATTCTCCTGCCTCAGCCTCCTGAGTAGCTGGGATTACAGGCTCCCACCACCATGCCCGGCTAATTTTTGTATTTTTAGTAGAGATGGGGTTTCGCCATGTTGACCAGCCTGGTTTCAACTCCTTACCCTCAGGTGATCTGCACACCTCGGACTCCCAAAGTGCTGGGATTACAGGCATGAGCCACTGCACCTGGCGTCCAGGTACTATTAATGGCAGGTTGAATGTCTCAGATTGATGAATGAAGGAAGATGGGCAGGTGCACATGTGGAATCAAAATGAGGAGAGTTAGATTTATCCATATCTAGGTTAGGAATGGTTTTCTCCAGGAGTTAAGCCCCTCCTTTAAGCACTGCTTGAATAGGCACTATTGAAATTTGTCTCTGGCTCTTTCCTTTATCTTTCCTGACCAACTACCACTTTTCATTTTCTGCATCCCTCCTCTGGATTATTATTACAATGAAGTCATATGCAATTCTTGCAGGATTAGAGCCTTTAGGTGTAAATTTTAGTGTATGTTCTGGTCTGTGGTAACTTGACCTTAATGTAAAGTAAGCTCTTAATTTTCAGAGGTTACTTTCCTAGGCATTGGCAATAATTAAACATAATTTATATGTGATAATAAAATATAACATAGAAGTAGGCACAGATTATTTAACATCATTGGTCCATCAGTAATCTAGTTACTGCTATGTATGTGTATATATTATATATGTATATATATGTATTCCCACTATATATATATATAAAAATATATACAACCTAGATATGGATATATATATAGTGGGAATACAACTTTCAACGGAATATTCTTTTGGGGTTATTTTATCATAAGTTATTAGGCAATGTTGCAAGAAGCAAACATTTTTATTTCAATCAGAAACAGAATATTAATAAGAGGCTATTGGATTTCTAGAGTTTTATGAATTTAATCAGATATGATGTTATTAAATATACCAATATACAATAACAGCAGTAATCCTCCTTTAGATATACCTGTGCAAATACACACTTAATGGTATTAGAGATGTGGATAGATAATAGGTGAACTATAAATATATAGATACATACATCTATACATTTTTATTTAAGAAAACATTCCAGCTAAAGCTGATAATTAATATATTGGCAAATTAAGTTAAAATAATAGATAACAGTACATCTAGAATAGCAACATTCTGATCTAGACTAGTTCAATGTTTTGAAATCTTCAAGAGAATCATCACGTTTCTCTCTAATTCAGGGTAACTCCTTGTGTTTAACTTGTATATTTTTTGAGAAATAAGGAGGTACCTGAAGTTATTGCTTTAACTCAATTGATATTTGCATATACGTTTGTGCCAGTAAATGGACAACCAAAAAAGCAGAAGTGATAGGAGGTATGTAAGATATTTATTGCAAATAACTGTCTTACAAAATTGTGGGGCTGGCTAGACAAATTTGAAATCTGTAGGACAAGCTATCAAAAAGGGCATGCTGAAGCTCATAGCCCAGGCTGAAGCCGCTGTCCACAGGTGGCATTTCTTCTTTTTCAAGAAACCCTCATCTCTAATTTTAAGGTTCATCAGCCAATTGATTCAGGCTCATCCGGATTATTTAAGACAGTCTGCCTTACTAAATGTCAATTTTTATGAACATTAATACAATTTATAAAATAACTTTCACAGCAATACCTAGATTTATGCTTGAAAGACTAACTAGAGGCTATACCCTAGCCAAGTTCACACATCTAAAAGACCATCACGATGCCCCATTATCCTGTTAGCAGACAGGAGACGAGAAAGCTGAGTTTTGTTAGTCCTGTATGCATCTGAGCTCAGACATTCATAAATCATTCAACTCTAAGGTAAAATGAAATAAATAGAATTGTAAATAGTGACTCTCAGGAGTCACCGTTAGTAACCAAAGAAAAAATTATGATCTAATTGCTAAAAGGCTAAAGGTCATTCTTGATTTATTTTCCCTCTGTTTTTGTAAGAACAAAGCAAGAATGGAAATTTGGCTTCTCTTAATGCAATGCTATTATTCAAATGTCACTCTCCAGTAACTTATTCATTAACTGTGGGAGAAAAATAAGTGAACAGCCCTCATATTGTATACCACATGCATCAAAGATCAGTTCACCTCATGGCTACCAATTAGGACAGGCAATTGTCTAGTAGTAATTGAAAAAACCTTAGCAGGTACATAAAATAATAGAACTGTAAAGTACTGTTCTATATAACAATGATGTGAATTACTGCTACAGGAATAGAGAAATACAAAGAGGTGTCTTAGAAACATACAGAAGGGAAATAAGAACTACATTTACAGAAACCTTTTCCCCCAGTATGAATATATGAATTATATTAGGAGAAAACCCTTAGTAATATCACCATGGGACCCAAAACATAAGACTGCAATTACAAAATTAAATTTCTTGAGTTTGCTTTTTCACATAAACTCTTCAGTTATTAAACCTGATTGTTACAGCACCCCAATATTCCACTTTCAGCCTAGATTTTTCATTCTGTGGTCTTTAGACATGTAGCATATCCCTGAATATGTTTCAGAAGTGTTTCTGAAAGAATATTTGAATTTTGTATATGTGTATATCTATGTAGCTATTCTGGGGCGAGGGTTTACCACTTTCTTTTGATTCTCAAATATTCCATTACCCCAAAATGATTAAGATGCACTCTGGGCTTTTATACTTATAGCTAGACAGTTGTAATTAGAATCCAAATACTTAAGTTCAAAATCCCTTCGTCCTAGGGTGTGTTTTCATATCTCTGAACCTTGCTTCCTCATTTACAAAATTGGGATAAAAACATTTTCTTGAAAAGGCTTTATTATGAATAATAAATGAGATGATGAATAAATGAGGTTTGTAGATTACAAAGTGTTTTACGTAAGTTAGTTTTACTGGTATCTTTTTAAGAGCATGGTCTTCTATCTGATAACTCTTTCTGACAGCCTGGAGTTACTACACAGCTGCCTTGAGAAGCGGCTAATATCAATGCCCCACTTGTTTGAACCTAGGCTGTGCTTCAGTTTTAGCAGAGGCTACTTACATCTTCCCTTAGCAAGGATAAAGAGATACCTGAGTTAAAATGTAAGCAACCTCTGATTATAATTTCTGAAATGTCATATGCTTTTTAAAATTCTTTAAAATGTTTCTACAATTTTAATTTTGTGATGTCTCTAGATTTCCCTTCCTTTTATTACCTCATCTTTAGTCAATATCATAACTAAGTAGGGTAACAGAAATAACTTAAAATTGTACTGTCTCACCAGCTTCATTCATGGACATGAATGAGGTCACATTCATGAACTTATTTTCCGCAAAGAATATAACTATAATCTCTCAGTTCTACCTTTAAAAATGACCTCTCTGCTGGCATATTGCCAGGAGACCCCTGGGAGATTCCCACATTCAGAAATTCCATCCAGGAAAACCAACTGTTCTACCCTTCCCTGCTGAGCCACACCCTGAGCCACGACTGCCATTATTATACTGCTGCTTTTCAGTCTCCCTGCTGTAATGCTGCAATTTGGGCCTTGCCTGGACAATCCACAGGACCTAGGTGCCAGTAACTCTGCCACTGCCGTGGTTGATCTTTATTTGCTCTGTTCTCGGATGGACCTCCGTCAAACCTTGGGGACCTGTGCTTCCAATCTGCTGGTGCCATCACACTTCGCACTTTTCTGTGAAGTAAAATGGGAAACAACACACTTCCTTCTCTTATGATGGTCCAGAAGGGTTCCTTTAGCCTCACAATGCTGCAAAATTTAATGAAGCAACTCCTTGCATTTTACCTACAGCCTATTGTTCCCCAGGGTACAAATGTATCCACCAGTACAGATTCAGGAAATAAGACACTGTGTTGTAACCTCAAATATCACTTTTCAGTGCCAATTTCTTAGGCTTGGATAGTGAGATAGTTGGATTCAGTTAGATTTAAATAAATTAGGTATAGACATAAATATGTATTTGGATATAGCTACATAGTTAAGCTATACATATACATTTGTGTGTATATATATACACACAAATGAATATATATACATACATATATATACAAAGCTATATATACAAAGATATATATATATATAAAACTGGATATATATATATAGCTGGGTAGTTACAGTTTGGGGAATATCAAGGAATGTGTGACACCTGACTCCACCCACCACACATACCCATATTTGCCTCCATCATAGCTGGGACTTGCTGTAGCACAAATGTAGATAGATGATAGATAGATAGATACATAGATAGATAGACAGATGATATATTAGGTAGACAGAGATAGATGATTGAAAGATAGATAATAGATTAGAAAGATAGATAATAGATTAGAAAGATAGATAGATAAAAATTTTAAAAAATCAAGGCCTAGATTTTTTTTCAAAGCTCAAAAAGAGAGGGATGTGAGAAGAACCTGAATGCAGAGCCAAAAAAAAAAAAAAATGTTCCAAAACATTTCCATAGCACATGGATCCTGAGAATAGCACAGCTCTATTGTGGTTCTGAAAAATCAGTCAAACTCAAGAAACAAGAAAATATTCTAAAGTTCCACTTTTTTTCATCAGTTTTTTACTGACCCAGTATCACTGTTCTATATTACTGGCTGGAAACATCTCTCTATAACTTCTCCCTTCAGAATATTAGGGAGAATGCATGCACTTGCCCATCACAAACACACTCAGACTATGTCTATTACACTCCTACTGGCCCATATGAATTCCCACATTCATTAGTAAATAACTATGAACTTTAAATCAAATTGAGATGAAAATGTGAAATTGTTATATTTTTTCACCATAATTTTATAGGTTCTGAATTAATGCTCTTTTCTGATTACTGATTTATGAACTAGATGAAAATAATATAATGGAAGGATAAGCACTGTGTGGGTAGAGGCTATGATAATATCATAAAGTTTGATCACTCAAAATACCCTAAAAACAATGTAAGTATAACCTCTCACCAACAAAAAACAAGCAAAAACAAAAGACTTCCCTTACAATTGTTTAAAACTTCCACCACTTTGCTCCTCTGAAGGTAGCCCATATTTTCTAAACAGTCTACTTGGTACATGTTTTTCCTCAATGTCCTCAATCCTGCATCGCTTTAATTTTCCCTTCTGAAGCCACACACATTGAGTCTACTCCTTTGTCCATATGATAGACTTTCAATTCCTTGAAGACAAGTATCCTGGGCCTCCAGAATGTTATCTTCTCTCTCAGGTGTTCCAAAGAGCCTCAACAGTATCATCACATTTATGAAGACACACTCAAGTTTGTCCATAAGCCTCTTACAGAGAGTGATTTAGATTTTTATATCTACTATTGTTAGTCCTTGAGGGCACACACTGTGTATATTCATCTCTGTGGGCTCAACACATCTGACCACTAATGAGCAATGAACATGTTTGTTGGATGAACACATGAATTAAAAAAAAGCCACTTTCAAAATACCATTCTGATATAAATTATGTTTAGCCATTTACTTTCCTACACATTAACATTTTGCCATCCAAGTTTAGTTACCAAAGAAGTGCTTAAGCAAACAACAAGTAGAAACGCAAGCGACGTTAGTTTCTGGGGAATAAAACTTATGAAGTTTAGTATATGAGTTACAATCTTTCTCTTCACCTGTCTGTAGCACTGGATGGTGTTTGTGCTAGTTGTGAAATAGCTTATTTTCTAATGAATGTTTTTTATGGATTTTTTTTTAAGCATTGCAGGGATTTTACCAAGTGAGACCTACATTACACATTAGCATGAGAATTTATAAAAGATACTGAAATTAAGACTATGGAACAAAAAAGAGAAAGAAAGAGCCACTGCCTCTCTTCAGTCCCAGTCTCTCAACAAGGACTCCAGGTGGGTGGGAAATTTGCCCTAGATAGAGACACACAAACCATCTGGGATTTATCCTAGCAAACATGTTGATTCTCAGCATGGGAAGATGATTTGGGTGAATACTTGATAGAGACACTCCAATTTTCCCAGGCCTCGGGGGGACTTGTTACAAATACCTTGAGAGAGGCAGCTGTAAGAAACTGAGGGAGTGGGCCTAACAGATCCCTCTAGTATGTGCCAGGAAGCAATACACAAAACTGAGCAAATGGGAAAGCTCAGCAGGAACCCCAATAACTTTTAACACAAGTGAGCCAAAGCTTCTCTCCTTTCCTTGCAAAAGCAGCCTGTGCTATGATGTGCATAACTTTAAGAGACATTTGTGCTAATGATCTTGGTGGGAATAGCAATAATTATGTCACCATCTGGTGGCCAGGTAAATAACGGGGCACAAGGTAGAACATCAGAAGGCAGCAAAGATAAGCTAAAGAAGGCGAAAGTGGAGAATGTGTTCATGGTCTCCTAAGGACTCATGCATGCATTTCAGGGGACTAGAAAAACTTGGAGTATCCCCCAAAGATTCACCAGGATAGAAACTCAGAGGTAAAGTCCTGTTCTAGTTTACACTGGTGTTTCAGGTCATGGATTGTGCTAGGGTTGCCTATGTGTAAAAGATTGCACAAATAGCAATAGATTATAGAGAGAGGGCTCAGCGAAATAGAAAGCACAATAGTGGGCCCTATTTGTTTAGGAATTATATCTCTGATAAAGGATGTTAAACAAATATTGAGGAAAGAAAGCATGGTTCTGAAGAGTATTGAAGTAATTTGTTAATAAGTTACAATGAAAAATATTTGATTTCTACGTTAAATTTGCTATATCTCACAACAGAAAGCAAGAAGAGCATCATGCAATAAATATTTATTGAGCCATTGCTAAATGCCAAAGTGTTCAGAAAGCTCAAGGGAAAGCAATAAATAGAGCTCATAAAATCCTGCCCTTGAGGTGTTTACATTCTAGTGGGCAGAAACAACCAATATGGAAGTAAACAAGAAAAATCTATAATATGTAAGGGATGAATAAGTGATTAGAATAATGATAATGCAATTAAGGAGAACCAGATGTTGTATATGTATAGGGTGGTCAGGAGATACCTTTGATAAGAAAGTATTTGAGATATGAAGAAAATGTAAAAGTGAACTTTGGTATATCTGATGTATTAGTTTATTTTCATGCTGCTTTTAAAAGCATACCTGAGACTGGGAGGAAAAAGAGGTTTAATGGACATACAGTTTCATGTGGCTGGGGTGGCCTCAAAAGCATGGCAGAAGGCAAGGAGGAGCAAGTCACGTCTTACATGCATGGCAGCAGACAAATAGAGAGCTTGTGCAGAGAAACTCCTTCTTATAAAACCATCAGGTCTTGTGGGACTTATTCACTGTCATAAGTACAGCACGAGAAAGACCGGCCGCCATGATTCAATTACCTCCCACCGGGGCCCTCCCACAACATGTGGGAATTAAAGACGAGATTTAGGTTGGGACACAGCCAAACCATGTCATCTGGGTTGGAGCATTTCAGGAAGAAAGAACAGAGAACGCCAAAGACTCACACTGGAGCATGTTTGTATTGTTTTATGAACAGCAAAAATGTCACTTCAGCTGGAATAGACGGATACAGGAGCAGACCGGTAAGAAATGCAGTCAGTGATGTATGAGTGGGTGGGGTAAAAAGCATGTAGCCCTTGCAAGCCCTTTAAGGATTTTGGGGATCACTCTGATTGGGAAGAGTAAACACTTTTGTTGTGCAGAAGCTCTTTAGTTTAATTAGGTCCCATTTGTCAGTTTTTGTTTTTGTTGCAATTGCTTTTGGTGCCTTCATCATGAAATCTTTGTCAGGGCCTATGTCCCAAATGGTATTTCCCAGGTTAACTTCCAGAATTTTTATACTTTTAAGTTTTACATTTATGTCTTTAATACATCTTGAGTTGATTTTCATATATGATGTACGGAAGGGGTCCAGTTTCACTCTTCGGCATGTGGCTAAACACTTATACCACCAGCAGCACCATTTATTGAATATGGAGCCATTTCTCCATTGCTTGCTTTTGTCGACTTTGTCAAAGATCAGATGGTTGTAGGTGCGCAGCTTTATTTCTGGGGTCTCTATTCTGTTGCATTGGTCTATGTGTCTGATTTTGTACCAGTACCATGCTGTTTTGATTACTCTAGCATTGCAGTATTATTTCAAGTTGGGTAACGTGATGCCTCCAGATTTGTTCCTTTTGCTTAAGATTGCCATGGGTATTCAAGGTCTTTTTTGGGTTTCATATAAACTTTAAAATCATTTTTTCTAATTCTGTGAAGAATGTTGTTGGTACCTTGATAAGAATAGCATTGAATCTGTAAACAGGTTTTGGCAGTATGGTCTTTCTATCAATATTGGTTCCATGAGTATGGAATGTTTTTCCATTTGTTTGTGTTATCTCTGATTTCTTTGAGCAGGGCTTTGTAATTCTCATTGTGTAGATCTTACATTTCCCTGGTTAGCTGTAGTCCTAGGTGTTTTATTCTTTTTGTGGCTATTGTAAGAGGGTTGCATTTTTCGTTTGGATCTCAGCTTAGACATTGTTGGTGTATAGAAATTCTACTGATTTCTGTACATTGATTTTGTATCCTGAAACTGTTGAAGTTGTTTGTCAGACGTAGGAGCTTGTTGGCAAAGACTATAGGGTTTACTAAGTAGAGAATCATCATCTGCAAACTGAGATAGTTTGAGTTTCTCTATTTCTCTGATGCACTTCACATTTTTCTTTTGCCTGATTGCCCTGGCTAGGACTTCCAGTACTATGCTGTATAGGAGTGGTTAGAGTGGGCCTCCTTATCTTATTTCATTTCTTAAGGGGAATGTTCCAGCTTTTGCCCATTCAGAATGATATTGGCTATGGGTTTGTCATAGATGGTTCTTATTATTTTGAGGCATGTTCTTTTAATGCCTAGTTTGTTGAGGGTTCTTAACACAAAGGGACGTTGAATTTTATTGAAAGCCTTTTATCCATCTATTAAGGTGATCATGTGGTTTTTGTTTTAAATTCTATTTATGAGATGAATCACATTTATGGATTTGTGTATGTTTAATCTTGTATCCTAGGGTTAAAGTCTACCTGATCATGGTAGATTTGCTTTTAGATGTGCTGTTTGATTCAGTTTGCTGGTATTTTTGTTGAGAAATTTTGCATCTATGTTCATAAAAAATACTTCCCTGTAGTTTTCTTTTTGTGTTGCATCTCTGCCAGGTTTTGGTATCAGGATGATGCTGGCCTTGTAAAATAAGTTAGGGAGGAATCCCTATACCTCAATTTCTTGGAATAGTTTTAGTAGGAATGGTAGCAGCTCTTCTTTATACATCTAGTGGAATTCAGCTATGATTCCATCTGATTCTCGTGTTTTTCTGATTGGTAGGCTTTTTATTACTGATTCAATTTTGGAACTCATTATTGGTCAGTTCATGGATTCAATTTCTTCCTGATTCAATCTTGGGAGATTGTATGTTTCCTTAAATTTATCTGTTGCTTCTAGGTTTTCTAGTTGTGTGCATAGAGGTGTTCACAGTAGTCTCTGATGATTTTTTTTTTTATTTCTCTAGGTTCAGTAGTAATGTTCCCTTTGTAATTTCTCCTTGCATTTATTTCGATCTTCTTTTTTTTTCTTCATTAGTCTAGTTAGTGGTCTATCAATCTTATTTATTCTTTCAAAAAACAAACTCCTAGATTCGTTGATGTCTTGTATTTTTTTTTATACAAAAGATCAACCTCCTTCAGTTCAGCTCTGATTTTGGTTTTTTCTTGTCTTCTGCTACCTTTGGGGTGGGTTTGCTCTTGTTTCTCTAGTTCCTCTAGGTGTGATGTTAGGTCGTTAATTTGAGGTCTTTCTAACTTTTTTATGTGGGCATTTAATGCCATAAACTCCCCCTCTTAATACCAGTTTAGCAGTGTCTCAGAGATTCTGGTATGTTGTATCTTTGGTCTCATTAGTTTCAAATAATTTCTTGATTTCTGCCTTAATTTTATTCCTTACCCCAAAGTCATTCGGGTATATGTTGTTTAATTTCCCTGTAATTGCATGAGTTTGAGTGGTTTTCTTAGTATTGATTTCTGTTTTTATTGTGTTGAGGTCAAAAAGTGTTTTGGTGTGATTTTGTTTTTTTTTAATTTACTGAGGACTGTTTTATGGCTGAATGCATGGTTGATTTTAGAATATATGCTATGTGCAGATGAGAAGACTGTATATTTTGTTGTTTTTAGGTAGAGTCTGTAGATGTCTGTTAAGCCTATTTGGTCAAGTGTCAAGTTCAGGTTCTGAATATCTTTGTTAGTTTTTTAACTTCATGATCTGTCTAACATGGTCAGTAAGATGTTTAAATTTCCCACTGTTATGCTATAGTTATCTTAGTCTCTTCATAGATCTCTAAGAACTTGCTTTATGAATCTGGGTGCTGTGTGTATATATGTGCACATATATTTAGGATAGCCAACTCTTCTTGTTGAATTGAACCCCTTACAATTATGCAATGCCCTTCTTTGCCTTTTCTGATTATTGTTGGTTTAAAGACTATTCTGAGGTTAGAATAGCAACCCATGTTCTTTGTTTTGTTTAATTTTTTTAATTAGCTTTGTAGATTTTTCTCCACCCTTTATTTGAGGCTGTGAGTATCATCACATGAGAGATGTGTCTCTTGAAGACAGCAGACCATTGGGTCTTGCTTCTTTTTACAACTAGCCTTTCTATGTCTTTCAATTGGAACATTTAGCCTGTTTGCATTCAAGGTTAATATTCATATGTGCAGATTTGATCCTGACATTATGTTTTTAACTGGTTATTATGCAGACATGATTGTATGATTGCTTTATAGTATCAATAGTTAATCTATTTACATGTGATTTTTGTCACAGTCAGTAATGGTCTTTCCTTTCCATATTAAATACTCCCTTAAGGACCTCCTGCAAGGCAGGTCAGGTGTTAATGAAGTCCCTTAGCATTTGCTTGTCTGAAAAGGATTTTATTTCTTCTTCGCTTATAAAGCTTAGTTTGGCCTGATACAAAATTCTTCTTCGGATTTTTTTTTTCTTTAAGAATGCTGTATATAGGCCCCCAGTCTCTTCTTGCTTGTAGGGTTTCTGTTGAAAGTTCCACTGTTAGCCTGATGGGGTTCCCTTTGTAGGTGACCTGCCCCTTCTATCTAGCTGCCTTTAACATTTTTTCTTTCATTTGGATCTTGGAGAATCTGGTGATTATGTGCCTTAGAGATGGTTGTCTTCTATAACACCTCACAAGGGTTCTCTGCATTTTCTAAATTTGAATGTTAGCTACTCTATTGAGGTCGAGGACATTTTCATGGACAATATTATCATATGCTTTCTAAGTTGCTTGCTTTCTTTCCCTTTTTTTCAGGGATGCCAATGAATCATTGATTTGGTCTCGTTACATAGTTCCATATTTCTTGGAGGTTTGGTTCATTCTTCTTCGTTTGATTTTTCTTTATTTTTGTCTAACTGAGTTATTTTAGAGAACCAGTTTTTGAGCTCTGAGATTCTTTCGTCAGTTTGGTTGATTCTGCTGTTAATACTTGTGATCGTATTCTGAAATTATTGATGTGAGTTTTTCAGCTCTATCAGACTAGTTTGTTTCTTTCTCAAAATTCCCATTTCATCTTTTTTCTCTTTTTTTTTTTTTTTTTTTTTTTTTTTTGAGATGGAGTCTCACTCTGTCACCCAGGCTGGAGTGCAGTGGCGTGATCTCAGCTCACTGCAAGCTCCGCCTCCCGGGTTCATGCCATTCTCCTGCCTCAGCCTCCCAAGTAGCTGGGACTACAGGTGCCCGCCACAATGCCTGGCTAATTTTTTGTATTTTTAGTAGAGATGGGTTTCATCGTGTTAGCCGGGATGGTCTCAATCTCCTGACCTCGTGATCTGCCCACCTCAGCCTCCCAGAGTGCTGGGATTACAGGTGTGAGCCACCATGCCCGGCCTCTTGTATTGTTTTATTGCATTCTTTAGATTCCTTGGATTGGGTTTTGACTTTCCCTTGAATGTTGATGATCTTTGTTTCTATCCATATTATGAGTTCTATTTCTGTCATTTCAGCCATATTAAGAACCATTGCTGGTGAACTAGTGTGGTCATTTGGAGATAACAAGACACGCTGGATTTTTGAGTTACCAGAGTTATTATGCTGGTTCTTTGTCATCTGTGTGGGTTGATGTTCTTTCAGTCTCTGGAGTTGCTATTCTTTCCATGTTTTTTGTTTTGTTTTGTTTTGCTTTGCTTTGCTTTTATCTTCTGTCATGCCGTTAGGGATTTCACTGTGGTATAAGGTGGATTCAGTTGACTGGGTTTGTTTCTCTTCCCACAGTGTCACCAGGGTTTAGGAATGAGTCCCAGTGTTCAATAGCCCTGTGCAGGGTTCCCAGCTTCCTCCCCCTTCAGCCCAGTGTCTATGTCCTCCCTCTATCCACCCTCAATGCCTTTCCTCCGAAGATCTGCTCATAGTGTGCCTGTCTTCCCAATGTCGTGGTCTATTGGTAGGAGCTATTTCTCCTGGCTGCATCCAGTCATTCATTTTATGTAATACTTTTCTCAGTCTAAATCCACTTTTAAAATGCTTACTCCTGGGTCTCACTATAATCTTACTGAATTAGAATATCTGAAGATGAACCCACCAATTTCAATTTAAACATGATTCCAGAAAGTTCTTGGGAACACTAAAGTTTAAAAACCACTGCAACTAGTCAATTAGTCAATACAGAGAATATAGTATTTCCACAAAAGAAAAAATAAAGCCTTACAGTATAGCAGGGGGAAAAAATCACACTCTACACTTTTTATCTTCATCTTAAGTAAAATAATCCAGAGCCATGCATATTTTGCCATGAGATTCTCCAACTTATTTAATACATTCATGCCCTATAATAAACAATTATTTCATTATTGTAGGTCACCTTTAGTTGATCATGTGAGAACAAGATGAGTGTGTCCCGGGTGATGTGCTGCCCTGTTGCCTTTTTGTCAAAGATAAATTGCCATAAGTATTTTGATTCCATTTATCTGGCTACCCACAAAGCTACAGAAAGATTCTTGTGCCTGTAAGATGGAAAATTCAGGTTACCCCAGTGGATTGCCAGTTATTATTAGGAGATGATATTGATGAGCTCCCCACAGCTATATTGGTGACACAAGTCAAAACACCTGTGGATTCTGGAAAGCATGAGGAGCCTTCTATCTTCTCCCACTTCCCATTAATAATCAGGCATCTGCTCAGTATAGCTATGGGCACCCTATTCTCATTTTCTGTGTAAACACTAACTTGGACTTTGCTGTATATTCTCTTTGTGATTGCTCATGCAGTAATACATGAACCATTATTGCATCCACAGTGGAGGCAAAGGGAGGAAGACAATGACAAAGGCACTTACTGAGAGTCACTTACTATAAGATCAATTCTAGCAATTCCTCAGCAGCTATACCATGGGATAGCAGTGCCTTCAAATGGCAGGGGAAAGTGTCACCAGCATTTATTTCCCACCCTCTACAAGAGCAATGGGAAAGCAGGGAGGAATGAGAAAGTACAAGATAGATTTCTCCCCTTTGAGAGGATTAATTTATATGAATGTCCTAAGTAATGAGAAAAAAACAATTTTTTGGCCTTATGCATTTGTACAAAAGAATAGTGCCTTGACATAGGATAAAAATATGAGTTTGGTGAGGTCATGAGAGCTTATTATTGAACTACAGAGACAGTTTATTTTACTTCCATTGAGATGGCTTGGAAACAAAAACTCTTTGAAAGTAACCTGAAACTAGAAGACTTCTTAAATATTTCCACATACTATTCAAAAGCCTGCTTTGCATAACAGTTATATGAGTGAGTATATGTCACCATTAATTTTAAAAATAATTGCTAGGCAAAATATCAATTTCTTTAAAATGCTCTGAGATATTGAGGTATGCACATTCCCATTGATGTAAATGATTCCTTTAGGTCCCATTATTTTGATAATCCTTTTCAAAGCTAACACAGAATTGATTGCCTCATGTAAAAATGCTGGAGCCCTGGCTCCTGGCTCAGCCACTTAGTAACTGTCCACCCTGGGTAAAATTATTCAAATGTTCTTAGCTTTCAATTTCTCATCTGCAAAGGAAAGATCATAACGGCAGCTCCTCTACAAGAGATTCTGGATCTCCCTTGAGTAGTAGTGACTACACTTTTCTTTAAAGCCCTGCTATAATCTGCATATCCATTTTATCATAGCACCTACCATACTTTTGCTACCCAACTATACTATACACTGTACAGCTATAGAACCAGGCAAACAGTTAACAATCAGTACATACTTCTTCATGAATTAATAAACATATAATGAGAAAATCTTGTAAAAAACACTTATGAAGTGCATTTTATTCAAAAGAAGCTAAAGCTCCAAAAGTTTAATTTCCTAGGACCCAAAATTAGAAGGTGGAAAAACCATATTTAAACCTCAGTTTTATATTTTCTCACTCTACCATGCAGACTTCAACATGATTTAGTTTCCTTTCAAAAAAACTCACAGAGTATTTTGTGCTTTGCCTATGGCCACTATTATATTCTTCCTTGCACTGTAAGATGCCAGTACTTGCCTTATCTAATAACTAAACTGTAGATTACTTAAGGATAGGACAGCACATTACTGACCTCTATATTTGAATTCATAATGCCTAGTTTAATAAATATTTGTGGAATTGAAAAATTTAGCTCCTGAAGAGATTTCAGCAGTCCCTCTGGGTTGGTTTAAGTGAAGCTCAATCTGTAACAAAGGAAAGGATTAAACGGTTTCCAGCAGTAAGTTTATTATGCCTCTTCTAAAGCAAATTCAAGGTCCCTTTTCATTCTCTTTCATCTATCATATAATTTATGTGGTTTCTGCACAAATACTACCCTTTTCCTCTATAGTCTATATTCTATATTGGACCATAATTTTTATAGAATTTTAGAAATTATAAAATAATTTATGTAAGTTTATTATATGCTACAAGTCTTTTCTACATGTACTTTAAAATGTGTAAGCAATCTTTAAATCAGATCTTAAAACATTTAGAACTAATCAAGCAAGAAAACATTACTGGGATTATTTATTTTGCAAAAGACTTGGAAAAATTCTATTCTCTCTGACTTTAATAATTTTTAGATATTTCAAATAAATTTAATTTATTTTGTGTGGCAGAAAGTTTGAACTGGACTATTATGACCTCTAAATGTAGTATTCTAAATTTGATTTTATAGGGCCCTAAATGCTTTCCTAAGTTATTTTTAATTCATGTGAATTACCTGAATTGGAGGTCCATTAACTTTCATTATGCTGTCTCAGGAGCTAATTGGGTGGCAAAGTGCCAAACTCCTGGAGCCCGAGAGATAGAGATAGATGAGGATCTGCCAGAGTGGGGAGAAAGGAAATAAAGGTATACTTCCACCAAGAGCTGAGTCCACTTACTCTTCTGCATTCAAGTGTACAAGACTGTAATTCAACTAGCACTTTTGGCATTAAATAATCAAGATCCAAGAAAGCTTAGTATGACACAAGAAGTGGGTTTCCCAAAATACCTCTGCATTTGGCCTATACTTTTGGAAGGACTTAGCAGTATTCTAATGCTTCCTGATTTTACTCATCCAAATGTAGCAAAGAAACAAAAAGATGATTACACTGAGAGCACTTATGACATTTTACAGTGCCAGAATGATTGAATATCTGCTTAGTTAAGAAGTTTTACCTGTGCAATTGCTGCTGCTAGAAATCCATCACTAATGAGTTCAGTCCCATTTATCATAGCTAGAAAGCATGTGACAGTTTGAGTGCAATCCAAGTTCTGGCATTTCAGGGTTGTACTCTAATTTTCATCAGAATTTCCCAGGCTATGCATGCTCTTTACATAGAAGGGGCAGCTCTCAAGTGAAGCCGTAAGAACAATGGATTATAGGAAAGTTGCAAAACAAAACAGCCACAGCATCAAACATCCTTAGATCCAGACCTACCAGAATTGAGTCTCAGGCAAGTCATTTTAATACAAGCCTCTTTTGAGTACATTTAATATCTCTGAGCCTCAGTTTCACCCTCTAAAAATGAATATAAAAATGCCTAACTTAAAAGGTTTTTAGAAAAACTACATTAGAAAGTGTATGTAGTGCCAAACACATAGTAGGTCTTCAGGACATAGTAGTTGCTGCTGCATCTATAGTTGTTGTAGACATATCTAAGGAAAATATTACCCCTTATCACACCCTTAGAATCTCTGTGAAGGAAGAAACTTTATTTTGTTCACCAGGAATGAGTGAAATTCTAAGACTTAATGAGTTTTCTCAAGTTCTCTGTTAGAAAGTGGAAAAGTGCTTATGAATGAAAGTAAAAGGAAATATGAATTCTGTGCTAGTGTTACTGGGTAGACTGCCAGTAAAACACTCTCTTAGTAAAAGAAGACACAAGTAGATAAGAAGGAGTCAGGATCTATTTCTCTCATTTTGTAGATCTTGCCAAATTCAAAATGTGTTAAGTCATGCACAATAAACCTCTATAATCCTACAAAAAGAGCCATTCTAGCAAACATAATGAACACACTTTTTGTTTGTTTGTTTCTCGCTGAATGACTATATTTCCAAAGACTTGCACCTGAAAGTATTTCCAAGGCATGTATTCCCACGGCAGTGGTCAAAGATGTATTATCCTAGTCTAACAATGCAAATGTTCCCATATGAAGAAAGATTTCATGTGGTCTCTAAAGACAGCTTGTAAATTAGTTGCGGCAGCTTCTTTAATGTTTTGATTCATTCATTCAAAAAATATTTATTAAGTGCCTTCTGTGAGGCAGGCACTGTGAAATACAATCCTCAACAAGACAGAAACAGAGCCTATCTTAATGGGGTTTATACCTTCTCTTTGACATATCATTCTCTTCATATGTTCATCTACTAATTTTGTTAGGAAATATTTCCTAATTACCAAAGATATTTATGTTTTTATCAAAAATTCAAGAGATATAGCATAGAAAGAAAACTTCCTGTACCATATATTCTCTGTGAATCTACCACCACCAATAGTCTGGTATGTGTTTTTCCACTTTTTCTTATATATAGAAAAAATATTTATAATATTTTTAGAATATTATATTAAAACTTTAAATATTTAAAATAAATATAATAAAAGTGAAAAATTGTATAATTATACATATATATATACTTGCTTTTGCAAAAACAGTATATTATTAAAATGTTAATATTTAGCATAATGACTAAGTGATAGTAGTTAATATATTTCATTAACTTGGCTTTAAAGTAAGGAGGTTTGGGAACAAGACCTTAGGCTTTAGAAAAGCCAAACAGTCCTTTCAGACTCAAGAAAGAAAATTTTCCATAGTGCTGCTAGCTTTAACCTGATTATCTTCTTACCAGATAATCATTATTCTTCAAATCTTAAGAGATTGACTGACTTTATGAGACAAGGCTTCTTAAAGAAAATTTCGAGTGATGTGACAAGTCTTCCTCCATATTGCCAAGAAATGTTTGAATGGATTATTTTTTTAAGAATGATAAAAAATCTATATTCTAGATTAATAGGAAGCTAGTTCTTTTCTGTTTCATTCAAAATATTCGAAAGACAAGTCAGAATCATTTTAGAAAAAAATGACATTTTATATCAAACCATTTCAAGCAGTTTTTACTTCTTTTCTCAATCCCCTCTAGGCCTTTACAGCATAGGGTTATAGAAGACAGTCATTTTCAGTCTCTTCTATTTTTATAAAAGATGGAAGTAGTCATATGTAAAAAATAAAAGTGACTCTTCCTTAGAAATAAGGCTAAATAATTCTAAAAAGATTTCAAGCTAAGCATGGCTCTCAAATGCTTTTCAGTTCTAGAAGCGCTGCATCATTCATTCATTTATGGATAGGAAAAAGCGATTGTATTATTCTTCCAATTCTTTTTTTATTGCTGTTGTTTCCCAGAAGGTAATGCTAGTAGTAAGGGACTTCTTTTTTAGAAATGCATTAAAAATAGTAAGCCTTTTAAAAATCCAGTGTTAGAAAACTTTGTTCAGTTTCACCTTTTAAATGTTCTGCCATATTTGAGAGACAATTGTCTACCCTATTGTGAAGTGTAAACAACTAGTTTTATAATTCATCGTAATAGAATCATACACTCATGATGACATCAGAAATGACTGCCACTAAACCTCCTACTTTAGTAAGTGAAGAAACTCAGGGAGGTGACCAGGGAGGAGCCTAAAAATTCCACTATGCCAGTTATTGTACTAGAGACTTTGTATACTTTACTTCACTTATATCTGCTAAAATTTGAAACCAGAAGCATTAGCTCCAGGCTCTGATAACTTGTCCAAAGTCACAAGACAGTTTAATTGCAAGATGGAGACTTTTCCTAAAGACTTCTGTCTTAAAACAGGGTTCTTCTTGCTCCACCAGGCTGCCCTGTTCCATTGATCTATCAAAGGCTTGCGTGAATATAATGGCAGCCTAGATAAGTAGAAATGGCTTGGATACTGAATCATACTGTCAAAGTTAAGACAAGATAGTGTAAATATGATTTTGCCTGTGATATAGACTACAGTATTAGATATAGATTCAATATCATCATCCCCATAGTACCATCTCTGTTGCCGTAGAAAGAAAGAAGATAAGCTATATGACAAAATAGTTTAATGTGGTTGAATACGGCTTACTTGGCTTAAGCCTATAGTTAGAAAATTCTAATATTTTAATGATCTAGTTAAATTAACCTAAGGCTTCAAACACTGGACTATTTATAATGAACAAAGCATAGCATATTCATTACATATACTTCAGAATAATCTCTCAGGGTTAAATTCATACTTTGTCACTTTCCTTGATTATCCCATCTCACTTCTCTGCATCCTTGACACTCATGTCAGAGTTCTCATCTTAAAAATGTGATTAATATATTCACCAAATATTTACTAAGAATCCACCATGGGCTAAGCCAAGTGCTAGGTAATGAGCATATAACTGAGAATAAGGTATGTCAACGTCCTACAGAAGCCTGCAGTTTAGTATAGACTACAGATATAGGCCAGGCACAGTGACCCATGCCTGTAATCTTAGCACTTTGTGGGGCTGAGACAGGAGGATGCCTTGAACCGAGGAGTTTGAGACCAGCCTGGGCACTCATACAGAAACCCCTTCTCTACCAAAAAAAAAAAAGAATTAATTAATTAGCCGGGAGTGGTAACACGTTCCTGTAGTCCTAGCTACTCAAGAGGCTGAAGCAGGAGAATTTCTTGAGCCCAGGAGCTCAAAGTTACAGTGAGCTGTGATGATGCCACTGCCCTCCAGCCTGGGTGACAGAGCAAGATCCTGTCTGTAAGAATAAATTAATTAAATAAAAAATTAAAATAGACTACAGACACACACACACACACACTCACATACACAATTACAAAACTATGATGAGTACTATGGTAGAACTAAGTACAGCATACTATGAAATCTGGGAATACATAAGAAGGCATCTAATTTAGAAGTGCAGAGTATGATACTGCTTCTTAAAGACAGTGATATTTCATTAAAAAAAACGCCAATGTAATATAGATCAATGTCTTTCCATTTCCTACAAGGAAAATACAAATATTATAGAAAAAAAAAAGACAAATATTTAGGCCCTTCCCAGTCTGACTGCCTTCCATCTATCTAACATTATCTCCCACTATTCCCTCTCTGGCACCCTGTGACCATATACAACTATTCTATTCTCCTTCCCAAGCAGGCCATGTTTTATGAAAACCCATAACCTGGTCTTATTCTCTGTCTCTTCCTCCTCCTTATTCATGAGAAATGCATCTACTCATTAATTTAAACATAAATTGAATGTTTTGTATTTTATTTCATGTCTCTTAACCTCTTTCCAGCCCTAGATTTTATTCATTCCCCTGTGATCCACAACACTCTGTGCACATCCACACTATAGTCCTTCTTACAAATTGCCTTCAACATTCTTGGGTAGCTTATTCATCTATGAATTTTCAGCTTCTTACTACATTGTTTGACCTATCTCAAGAACTAAATAAACATTCATTGAATTTTGAATAATTTTCTCCTGTTACTGAAGAGCTTTGATCTGATTGGAGATACTGCATTTCCAGAACTGTAGTGTTTAAGTAAATAAATAAAAGAATTTAAAATTAACCATTATGGGAATTAAATTGAGAGACCCAAGAAGCAGCCAGTTAGGTGTGACTTGGAGGATGCAAGTGGAAATATTTCACTAGGCTTATTGGGAATGACAGTGTTGCATAGAATTGTCAGAAAGACAAATGAGAATTAATGAAGAAAGCAAACATCCTTTGTAAAAATATACAATATTATATCATGCAAGTGGGATCTAATACAATGGGTTAATTTTCCAGAATTCAAACTTTAGTAGTGATAGGTTGAACACACATTACTCTGCTTAGATTTATTTTCAACTCTATTTCACTTTTGCTTCATTTCATCCTTTGTTAGTTCAGATTCAATGTCGAAACAAAAGTAATATACTTGAATTCTTAGAATCAAGAATAAAAATAAAATCCATAAGAACTGTGAATTTCACTCTGGTTTTGATAGTAAGCTTATTGGCTTCCATGCAAACGTACTGAAAAGGCCACAGTGGCACTCTGTATCCACTATTGTGCAAATAATTCACTATAAAAGTGTTCATAATCAGTGCAAAATTGATAGAATCGTGTCAATTGATGTTTAAATTTAACGAAGCTGGTTCATTTTCTAAGCAAAATATGCACAATGAAAGCATTTTCACTGAAGACTGTGGAGAGAAAGTTAATGTGGTTTACCTCTGTTTTTTCTTAGCTAATGGGAATAATTTTCAGTTCTCAACAATGGTTTACTGCACTTAAAGCAATATTCAGGCCTCAAATGTGGATCAGAAATTTTAATCCTCAATACATTAACCTCAACTATTATTTTTTTCAAAGTTTCTGTTATCACAGTTATATTTCTAAGTGGAGAAAATACAAAAGTAAATTAGAGACTTTTAAAAAATATGTATGGAAGAAATGATATAGAATATTTTAGAAAAAAACACAGTCCCAACCTATTGAAGGGAAACCACTGTAACTGTAACTGTCTAAGTTCTGCACATATGTACATAAACTGAATTAGAAAATTGAAGAAACTGTCAAGAGAATTATAAGTTGAGAAGATAAAAATAAGTAAAGAAGTTTTAGAGACTTAGATTTTCTGATAACTCAATTTTTCTTGTCACCTTTTAAGAATAAGTAAAAAAAAAATCCATATACATTTTATTTGTTAGAATTTAGTAAGACTTTACCCCAAAGCTTTGCTAATTACATTAAACTTTAAACAGATTTTACCCGTGCTTTAATTACTCCACTAGCAAGATGAAGCTAAGAATATAACTTGAGACATCCCTATTTTCAGGTTGCTCAGAATTCAGAAATGCTGAAGTGTTTTAGATTCCCCTGTAGAATTTAGTGCAAAAATGTAAGTTAAAAACAAGTAATTGGATTGAAATTATAAATACACAGATTTAAAAGGACAAGGCCACAGGAGAAGCTTAAAATATTTATAAATTCTACCATATCTTATATTATATTCGGGAGCAAATATTCAAAAGCAAAGGAATAGTCACACCGGAAGGAATATATCCTTGTGTAAATTTTAAAATTTACATGCATTGGGGCAATCAGGTTAAAATCAGTCACTCTACAGAGATATGCCTATGAAATAAAGGGCATTGTCTGCTGGATAAGACCACCTGGCATCCAGAAAATGTCTGAACAGAATTTTCTGAGGTTCATGGTTAAGCCATAGGGCCCTGTAGTCAGACTGCCTGGATAACACTCAGATGCTATGACTTTGCTTGTTTGAGCTAAAACTGAGTCACTCTTTTATCTTTATATTGGGAGAAATTATAGCAACTGCTTTATAGAGCTTCCATAGAATTAAATGAATTATTGGATGTCAGCTGCTTAGTACAGTACTCCCCTCATCATAAACTCTAAATATGTTAGCAATTACTTCCATTTAATTTCACAAGATATTCTTCACATTTTCACAGCTATTGATTTAAAAGGCAAGTTTACATATTCATAGGCACATTGTGATACCTCTGAGGGAAAATATTCTGGTTAACAACACATTTTTAGGTGTTCCAGGTTACAACACATTTTAGGGTAGAGTGGGAGAGTTTTTATTATAATTTTAATCATTCTTACTTCAGAGAACACAAATACAAGAGATTTCTGACGGGTATTCATAGGAATAATTGGTTCTAAATGGCTTAATCCATAGGAAGGATGAAGAAATGAGGAGGCAAAGTCAAACAGAGGAACATCCTTATGAAAGAAACATCTGACCTGTCAGCTTGGGCCTCAATTAGCCCTGCTTAGCTAGAATCAGGGAGATGCTATTTTTGAAGGTCAACTGCATCCCATTCCTCTCCAGTCCTTATAATAATGAGATCAGCTGTATGTATGGGCCTGTATGTACGGTGTTCAAAGCACAGGTTGGAGTCAGATGAGTCTTGGTTATACTCCTAACTCTGCTGCATAATAAATTAAGAGCCAATATTTATTAAGCACTTACTAAACTAAAGCGCTTTACATGTATTAACTAATTTAGTAATAATAAGAACCATATAAATAGCTATAATTGTTAGTATTAAAGATGAAGAA
This sequence comes from Homo sapiens, assembly GCF_000001405.40. NCBI lineage: Eukaryota > Metazoa > Chordata > Mammalia > Primates > Hominidae > Homo > Homo sapiens. The sequence continues at coordinate 101,922,205 of NC_000001.11, read as the reverse complement.
AGAAAGCACAAAAGCACTAAGTAACTTTCCCAAGGCACACAACTCACAAGAAATGGAGTTGGTTTCACATAAGGCAATCTGTCTGTGGAGACCACACCCTCTCTTGTGTCTTGTGGTACAATTTTAGGCAGGTTCCCTTTTTTTTTTGAGATGGAGTCTCGCTCTATTACCCAGGCTGGAGTGCAGTGTCACTATCTCTGCTCACTGCAACCTCCATCTCCCGGGTTCAAGCCATTCTTCTGCCTCAGCCTCCCGAGTAGCTGGGACTACAGGCACCCGCCACCATGCCCGGCTAATTTTTTGTATTTTTGGTAGTGGTGGGGTTTCATCATGTTGGCCAGGTTGGTCTTGAACTCCTGACTTTAAGTGATCTGCCCACCTTGGCCTCCCAAAGTGCTGGGATTACAGGCGTGAGCCACTGCACCCAGCCTGGCAGGTTTCTTAAACTTTCTGAATTTCAGTTTTCTCATCAGTTCATACAGAGTTGTAGAGATAAATCAGATAGCACCTTTAATGCATTTATTATGCTCAAAAAATTTTGTTGTAAACAAACAAAAAAAATTTCTTAGGTAAAAGATTTACCCCTCTGTAGTTGAGGATAGAACTCTAAGACTTACTGACTCACTGGTCCCAAATGGAAATGAGCCCAAGTGCCTTTTACTCAAGCCAAGCTTCTCCAAGGATTCTAGCACCACTCCTCCTCTCAAGGAGCCTACACCAGCTTTAACTATACCTCCCGACTGAAGTTCCTCTCTTTCTAGCCCAGAAGAGCTTTATGTTGGGAGGAGGTGAAAATACTTGCAGCAGCCTCTGTTTTTCAAAATATGTTTCTTTTGCGGCTGAACTTTAGATTTTATATCTCAGAGACAAGGATTTGACTCTTTTACTCTTGTTCTGCTGTAAGAACCTTGCTTGAATCAAGGGATCATTATAATCACCAGCCTTATAAGAGGTTGGAAAGAAAGGAATATTTGTGTGTGTGTGTGTGTGTGTGTGTGTGTGTGTATAAACTTAAATAGATTGTCAACTATCTAATAATTTAATTGTTATATATCTAATTAAGAGATTACCAGACATTTTATTGTAATTATTATTAACTATTACATTTTCCACTCACCATTGAGCATCTTTAAAATACTGAGTGAAATAGGAAAAGTAGTCAAGACATTTATATTTGGGCTTATGGAGAAGGTGGGCAGCAGAAGGTGAATGATGCAAACAACCTAATAGAATATTGTACTTATAACAGTAGAAGTAATAAAAACACAAAGAAAAAACTTTTGAGAAAAATTCAAAGACAAATTGTAATAGCTTTCAGATGTTTGAGAAAGTCAATACACATATAAAACAAACAAACGAAAAGCAGGACCTGCCTGGTTGCTGTTAGCAGCAGCCAGACTGACAGTGAATAAAGCAGTGGGAATGGGTCTCTATTGTTTACTAAAGCACCAGAGACAACTCTGAGGACAGCTGATACAAGAGCTCTGGCAGAAGCAGAAATTTATTTAACCCCAATACCTCTATCACTTGTCAATCCTTAATTTGAAAAATACAGGCAAGTCACTGGTTACATACTGTTGTTCAGCCTATAAATTCCTTTGGAATCAGGTACTAAACACAAACAGGAAAAATAAACCCTCTGCATTTTTGCTGTCATCAGATTTTCTAAGAGGAAAAGTAGTGAACATATTTTACTTCACATTTAGTTTTAGACAAAATATGTTCACCTATTTAACAAACATTCACTGAGTGCCTTCACTGTGCCAGCATCTATTTCTGAAACTGAAAATATAAAGGAGACAAATACCCTGCCTTCATGGGAGAGAAGAACATTCCAGAAGGAGATAGAGCATGTGAAAACCTGTGAGTTGAGCTCAGGTAGGTAACAGAAAACCAGAGAATGCAGGAGTTTATAGGCCACTATCCTGACTTTGGATTTTACTCAGACTGAGTCAGGAAAATTGTATAAGGTTGTGCACAGGTAAATTATTTGACTTAGATTTTTAAAGAATCACTCTGCATATTGTATTTGAAAATGTAATGTAGGGAAGCAACACAAACAGAGAGACCAATTAGGAAATCAGGGAAATAATCTAAGTGAGAGATAAATGGTGGTAATGAATGTGGTGAGAAGGTTCATATTCTGGAACTAGGTTTACAATCGGCAGGATTTGCTGACAGGTTGGTTATGAAATATAAGAGACAGAAAAGAGTCAAGGTAAATTACAATGCTTTAGGCCTGAACATCTGCCAGAATAGAGTTGCCATTTACTGAGATAGAGAACATTACTTGTGCAATTTTGTTTTGTTCCTGTAAGAGAAGGGGGCAGAAATAATAAATTCAGTTTAGGATATGCTGAGTTTATGAGTCTCCTGGAGATCCAACTGGACATATTAAATAGGGAGTTTAGGTAAATGACTGTGGAGCTCCAGGAAGAGATACAGACTGAAAATAAAATTTTAGGAATAAATACCATGCAAATAATAGTAAAATCCCCAAGACTAGATAATCTCACTTAGGATGAGTAGAAGAAACACAGAAAAGTAAAAATCCGAAGGCTGATCCCTGGGGCACCCCATCATCGCGGGTTAAGGGGTTAAAGAAGAGAGGTAAATGTGGCTGAGGACTGAATGGTGAAATAGTATGAAAATCAAGAGAGTTGAGGTTCTGAATGTCAAATTAAGAAAGAAGTTCAAAAAGAGAATAATCATCTGCTTTGAATGCTACTGAGAGGTCCAGTAAAATAAGGACTGGGATTTGATCTTTGATTTAGCAGTGTGGTGATCACTGGTGACTTTCACTAAAATTACGTTTCCGTATAACGGGAGCAAAATATGACTAAAATAGGTTAAACGTAGAATGAGAAAAAAAATTGGAAATAGAAAGTTCAAAAAAATTTTTCAAGTCATTTTGTTTTAAGAAGGAACAGAGAAATGGGATAATAGAGGGATATGTGAAATAAAAAGATTTTATAAAGTATTTAAAGATTTTTATGAAATAATTTAATAATTATTTTTTTCAAAACTAGTATTTCATTGTTTTACAAGTCAGCGCAAGAAATTTCTGTAGAACCAAATTAAGTTCTACTGTCCAGTTGTTTTTGCTTTCTGATAGTAAGATTTTTCAAATAAAATTAAAGTACAGTTAGGTGGTTGATATGTAACAGTGAACTAAAAATACAAATGTAAATTTATTCACTAAGACTTAATCTATGCATTATCAATAGATTTGCTTATTTCTTTTGAAACCTGAAATGGGAAATTTTTCTTGCTTACTTAATTGCATATGATAAACTTTTGGCCTTATCATCTTCCCTGTTAATATTTAAATGTTTTAATATGAATAGGTTAAAACAACTTAAATATTGGATTTTTGAGTATGTCAGTGTTTACATCTAAAATGTAAGGTATTTATGGCTTCACCATAGTTTAGACAAGTGTGATAGGCAGAAGAATGCCACCTCTAATAAAAGATATTTACACATTCAAATCCCCAGAACCCGTGAATATGTTATTTTACATGGACAAAAAAACTTTGCAGCTGTGACTAAGTTAAGGATTTTGAGATGGAGAGGTTATCCTGCATTATTTGAGTGGGATTAATGTAATGGAAAAGCACCTTATAAGTTAAAAAAAAAAAAAGGAGGAAGGAGAGTCAGAGTGAGAGACATATGGTGGAAACAGAGATTGGAGTGATGCAATTGCTGGTTTTGAAGATGGAAGGGAGCCACAAACCAAGAAATGAAGGCAGCCTCTAGAAGCTGAAAAGACAAGGAAGTGAATTCTTTCCTGGAGCTTCCAGAAGGAACTCATGCATCAATAGCTTGATTTCAGCCCCACGATACCTATTTCAGCCTTCTGACCAAAACAACTTAAGATATTAATTTGTGTTCTTTTTAGTCACTAAATTTGTGGTAATTTGTTACAGGAGCGATAGAGAACTAACACACTATATATTAGGGCAATTGCTGAATTTGTTCTAGATTCCTCAGGAAATTTAACTCCTTGAAGACAAGTTGTGATGTCCTTCATCTCTTTATTTTTTACAGATCTCCACAGCACCTTGCCTATAGTGGTTGTTCAATAAATGATCGTTGAATTTCTTTGGACGACTTAATTAGTATTGAAGTATTATGTCAAAACCAGAACAGTAATTATAAAGATGTCTGTGGAAAGAAACTCCCAAAGGGAAGAACGATAAAATGTGGTTTTTTTTAATCAATGTTCTTTCCAGAATAAATACATTTATCAACATAAATAAAAGAAAACCTCAATAATTATAAATTACGTGCTCTTTTCTGCTCAGGAGAATACCACTGTAATGGCTGAACATTAGAAGAAAAGTACATTATTTGATTTCTCCAAGTTTGTACTATGATTGCATTCTAGGATTTGTATATTTTTAATTATGGGAAAAGTAATAAGATAATTCAATATTTTAAAAAACTTCAACAATAATGATTGTGATTTATAAAATATAGTGTTTATGGGCTGGACGTTGTGGCTCATGCCCATAATCCCAGCATTTTGGGAGGCTGAGATGCGTGGATCACTTGAGGTCAGGAGTTTGAAACCAGCCTGGCCAACATGGTGAAACCCTGTCTCTACTAAAAATATAAAGATTAGTTGGGTGTGGTGGCACATGCCTGTTATCTCAGCTACTCAGGAGGCTGAGGGAGAAGAATGACTTGAACCTGAGAGGCAGAGGTTGCAGTGAGCAGGGATGCCACCACTGCACTTCCGCCTGGGCAACAGAGCAAGACTCAGTCTCAAAATATATATATATATGGCCATATATTTATGGCTTTTATTTTTATTTTTGGTGCAGTGTTTACAAAAAGAAACACTAACAACAATTTGTCTATTTAAAATAGTGTTTTCTGAAAACAGTTTGCTTATTACACAAAACAAAATCTGTGCTTATTTACATAAACTATGCAGTATTTTATTTCAACCTTTCATTGCAATATTGTTACTACAACAGATGATACTGCAATTTAGGAACAGTATTAATAATCACTGTGATCTTAACTCTTGACTTAACTCTAAAATATTCTGACCTTCTTCTTGGCACACATAACAGAATATTGTACTCTTAAATCATAAATAACATAAATAGCCTCAAATAAAAATATCCAGATGATTATTTTATATTTAACAAATAATGTAAATCTGTTGTACTGCTTTCCTGTTTGTGGTTTCTTTATGCTATGATTAAATATTAAATTGCTTATAGCTTAGTGCAGCATTTTTCCTCATACTAAGCCTAAAATATATTAAATATCTAATTTTATCCTGTTCAGAACTCTGATGCTCTCAGTATTGTAAAATCTAATTCATGTGCTTAATTCGCTCATACGTCTATCCCCTTTGCTATAGCTTAGTATCTGGCTCACAGTAGGGGTATAATAATACACCAATTACCCAGATCTCACAATCACAAAAACTCTTTGACATTAATGATTTATGTTTAAAAAGAATATTCAGTCATATATGACAATCAGTACAGATTCAAGCCCATCTGCTGCTTTCAATATTTACACAAATGTTTTGCAAAGTGAGATTAAAATACTGTCCTTAGCAGTTGAAAGGCTACCATCTTCAACAAAAACTACAGTTGCTCTAATTGTATTCTTCCTAGTAAGGCAGGAAATTTAATTATATATTTTTAAAAATTGTCAACAATCACAAAAATTGAAAATTCAGCCAGCCAGAATGCTGATTCTTCAACCAGTCTTTTCTTGTAACATTAACTGTCTTAGATCATTTCCAGGTCTGTTTAAAAAATAAAAATTAAAAAAAAAGGAGAGACATTATACCTACTTCAAAGTGATAATGTAAGATTTAAATGAAGTAATATCTCAGAGGGAAGACCTTGAACTTGGAAGTCAGACAGACCTGAATTTAAAATTTATTATGCCACCACTGGGCTACTACATTCTCACCTGAAAGAGGGGAATGATAATATCTGTCTTTGAAAGTTTGAACTTTTAAAGATAGGGTTTGTTAAATTATCTGGCACAAAGAAAACACACAATTCACAATAACTATTATTAGGAGATGAAAGTGACTGCCCATAACAAATGTTTAATAAATATTTCCACTACTTTTTAAATTACAAAGATTCCTGATCTGTAAGTCACAGTTTCCCATTGTGTAACTTGTAGCGTCAATTCGGTCTTTTTGTGTCAATTTCCCATATATACAATGGGGATAATAATACTAGTCCTTTTTACCTCGCAGAGTTGCTGAAATAACTAAATGAGGCAGTACAAATGAAAGCTCTTTGAAAACCACAGGGTAGTATTATTAATAGCTGTGCTAATACGGGTAATAATTTTAACAGCACAGATAAATCTGGCATTAATTCAACAATGGGCCTTCTTACTAAGGATATTACAATGATCTATTTTCAGAATAGAAACTTCCCAGTGATTTGGCAAGTATATGGAAATAACTTCTGAAAGGATGCCAAGGTTGGAATATCCTCAGCTGTGTGTGGTTTCCAGCGATAGGACGTGAAACCATTCTACCTTGCAAAGATGATTATTACTTTATTTTAACATTCATCAATTTCTTCGTGTTTTGAATATTTGCCAACTTATTTTCTAGAAATTTTGAACTATTTCTACTAAGAGAGGAGAGATATTGTATTTTAGCTGTATCAAATGATTATCATTATGTTTAATTTCATCAAGAGCAGAGAATCTAGCTATTAAAAATAAGGAATTTTAAGATAAAGTGCTTCATTGTTTCAATAGCACGATACTTCATTTAGCTTAAAATAATGCAACTTTATTTATTGGTGCCCTTTACTTGTTTTAAACATGCTTTTTTTTTTAACAGATTAAATCCCAAGAGGATTAAATGTACAATTATTTATAGCAAGTTTTTAAAAAGCAGAAGTGTATATTATTTAAATAATAATTCCCACTGGTTAAATAAAGCACTCCAAAAAATTTCAGGTATTTTCTGTATCTTAAGAGCATAATGGCCCAATTATACATGAAATTTGATATTAGCGTAATATCTTGCAGCTTAAAAATCAAATTGACTTTCTTTTTCTGCAATGTTGTATTGCGTACACTGAATGTGTGCAATGTAGCATTAGTATGAACCTACTTTATGTAGTGTTGGTACCGATATAATTTTTGGAGCTCTTGAAATTGTTAATGTTTGCTGACTTTACTTGAAATATACATACTTTAGTAGGGCAAGTGAGGAATGAAATCAAGATAAAAAGTGAAGTATCTTCATCAAGTACTAAGTGATGAATAATGCAAACATTAGCCAAACTGTCAAGCATTTAAATTACCATTCTACAAAGAAATTTCCCAACCTCTTCTTTCTGTCAAATATGTTTTTATAGATGGACTCCATGAGTATGCATGTATTTAACTTCAATGATTTTCCTTCAGACCACTGAAAACTCTTTTATTGTTTTGACCATTACAACAGATTAAAGGCTGGAAAGAGCCGCATGCAGGCTTTGCCACCTTTGGCTATACCTACACAGCATTAATTTCTGGCACTTATCCCCACTTCATCATGTTCTCACTCTTGAACAATTTCCAGCATTATAGCACTATTAGAAGTAACATCTATGTTGGCACAGGTCACAGCAATATCACTCCAAAGCAATGAGCTAATTTAATAATATTGAAATAGTATTCTAAAAACTGAGAAATTTAGGTGGGAAATAAGTCAGGTTAAGCTCTGAATTTGGGACTCAGACTTGTTTAAGAACTACTGTTGTATACAGCCATCTAAAAAGCAATGCTGAGGCAACAGAGTATTAGCAAGTTGTAGAAAACATGGTTACCACCCTCAGTTATGCTCCCAGTTACTGGCGGAGACTGATATTTAAGTAGACAATTTCAAAAACAATGTGGTAAGCCCTAAGAAATTGGGTGTGGGCAGTACACAGTAGGAGCAAAGAGATGGGAACCCAATTCAGTTTATCCAGAAGGATCCAGAATGCCTTCATGATGATGGGTCGTCAGGGCAGACTTGCAGGATGACTAAGAACTGTTAGATATTAGTTCACTACAACATATAATAAACATTTTAAGGTTTATATAATTAATTATGCATGTCCCCATACCTGAAAAGGGAAGGATATGCTTAGAAAATATTAACAAAAATAATTAAAATTCTTTATGAAAGTCTCCTTGTAAATATTTAGTTTTACATGTCTAATTTGTAGTTTTGTGCCTCAAGTGTAGCATTAATTAGCTCAATATACAGGTAATATATTTGGAGTTTTACAATGGGTTCTCTGAGCAAGGTCTAGATTTAGTAACATATTGATCTTCCCTAGTCCCTTTTATTTCATATTAATTTACCTAATCTATTTCTTCTTCTGAAGCATTTAAATCATTGTATTTCTGTTGATAAATTTTTAGATGATTTCCAGTCTTAATGATGATGGGGGTTATTGCTTACTATTGCCACTTAATGGCCTCAGGGATATCAGTCTTTTTGACAGTTGAATAGTGAGTGTTGATTTTTTTTTTTTTTCTGTAGGGCTTTTAGGATTAAGGTTTGAACTCAGCCTCTGGATGGCAATAGTTACTAAATGATCATTCTGACATTATCTTCTTTACTTAAATACCTCAAATGTTAACATCAATGTCAATAAAAATGATGTCAGTTCTAAAGTGGAAGTAGGCTTTGAGTAGTAGTCTATATCACAATCAGCAAATCCAATAATGGCAGAACGTTCCCACTCATAAGCTAAGGTTATTTGAAGTTCATGTCTTTTATTTCAGTCCAAGCTTTAAATATTTTCTGTTAACTGGTAATAGTAATACTCCTTTTCCAAGAAGTGCAATGTTTCTTATAACATTCTTAGCCTCTTGTCTGTTGAGGGCGTTCAAGTCCCAAATTATTTAATGCAGAATTAGTAACCTCAAACTTTGCTGATCCAGTTTCATCTTAACCTTTCAATTAAAATGTCTGATGTGGAAAATCAATAGCTGCAGTTACATAATCTGTAGCCTTTCATGAGAGGGAAGATGGTGCAATTATGACTAAGTCAGATGTATAATTATTTCTTTATATCCTAACTAAACTTAGAAAGCTAAACATGGAGCACTGCTTTAGAAATTGCTTTGCTCCTTACACACTTTCAAGACTTTTTAAATAAAAAGGGTTTCCTACTAATTAATCTTTTTTTGCTTTGAAATTTCATATTCCTTATAGTTACTAGTAGGACAAACCTTAAAGAAAATAAATAAAAGTGAAATTTGACTTTGTAGCTCCTTTACCTCTTTTAATTTCACTTCCTTCCCTGTGTTTTTTATATCCTAGGACTGGATTATACTCTTTCAAAGCTATTGCTCTCAAACAGCTGACAACTAGCCCTTTTTACCATTAAATTTATAGCAATTTTTCCAAAAGGTATTTTCATTTGAACAGATCTTGAAGACCTAACAAATATCTAATGGAGGAAATTTAGATAATATCATAAGAGATTGTAGGTAGAAGGCATCATCTAGATATTCTCCAAATCATTCCAAATTGGAAGACGTCGTATTTGAAGTACCTCAATCGTATGATTCTCTTTCTCTCCCTGTAGGCGTCTCTGCAGCTTTCTCAACCTCTGTCTTATATCCCCTTAGCATTTCTGCTGTGAATAAGTGTAGTTCAAACCTCATGTTCTTCATTAAAAAATTGCGTGACTTTTGGAATTTTGCTCTACATCTCTAAACTTCAGTTTTGTCATTTTAAAAACAGAGATACGGAATTTATCTCATAGGGTTGTTGTAAAGATTCCATGGATGGCAAATGGAGTTATTGCTGATGACCTTCAGAGAAGCCATGTTGAATGCACCTCAGACTGCTTACATAAAATGATTAAAAGGGGAGTATTTATCCTCTGGCCCAGATCTCCTATTAGTTGAGATTTAAAGTGTTAAACTCCTTGCACTTTCAGCTTTGCACATACGTGAATTCAAATGTCTGCTTGGGTTCCCACAGGTATTCCAAAAGATAGCAGTAGAGAAGGCCTAAGCACAGAAACCCGAAAAGGCATGTGATTGATAGAGCCAAGAAAAAGTGCTGTCAGGTTATACCAGCACAGCTCATTGCCGAGAATAAGCATGTGGGCCAAGGGCATGTCAGACAGAGCTCAGAGATGCTCGATAAACCCCCTTCTTCTCCTGGCTGAGGACCTGTCATGCCTCACTGCCAAAGCTTCACTACTTGTGATATTTTTAATATTAATAACTTACGTACTCCATATGAAAATAACAAAGCAACTTGAACTATTAAATAAACTCCTTTCACAATTACCTACTTAAATAAGGTTGGAGATTCAAGATATGGGAGAAAGTTCAAAGAAGTAATTTGCAATCTTGTAAGTTTAAGGTAGTGTGAAGACTCATATAAATGCCTGTATTCAAATTAATAATCTTCCTTCTTCAATTTACAAACTGGTGGTTTGGTGGTAGCTTCTTAGTCTGGTTTAGCCTGGATTTCCTCCTCTCTGAGAATTGGGAAATTACATTTTTGTTGTGCATGTATTAGCCCCTTAAAACATTAACTGTATGTGTAAAGCTCATTGCTGTCTCAACTGGTATTTGTTGTCTTTCTGACTATCTTGGGGACTGTTGCGAGGTTAAACTTGGGTAACTTGTGAAAGTAGAGACCCAGAGTATGTTAATTTCACTTATTTTCCTCCACTGTATTAGAGTATTATTATTATAATAGGTAGCCATGTCATCACAATCTTTAAAGTAAGTCCCTTTCTTACTTTCTAAAATCAAGTAAGGGGCCCATGAGGTTTCAGTCATTTATCTATTTTACCTCACCACTGAATTTGCAATGGGGCCTCAACTCAGAGTCTAAATTTGAATGTTGCTTTTCTGGTATTGACTCTCCATTTTAAATTCTCATTACTTTTTCTGTGTAAGTTAAAAATCTCATTTTAATATTCTGCTACCCTTCCTTCCTATTTTCTATTGTCCTTTTCCAAATATAACCATATTTATCTTAAGTTATGGAAGATTATGCCTTTGCCCTACCAGATATTTGCTTCCATTTTGTTCAAAGGGTACCACTGAGCTCCTTAGTAATTCAATGACTAGATTTATGATGGCTTTACTCACAGAGTAGCTATGCATGAAATAATAACGAAATTCATAAAATATTACCATTGAGTCACTATGCCATTGTGCCGTTTTCCTTTCAAATATTTTAACATTACAATGCTAAATAACTCTAATAACTCTATTGAGTGAATATCCTCTCTGGATTGTGACTAAAAAAAAATGCAGTTTCCCAAAAGAATTACTGAATCTTAGTTCTTACCAATGGCTCTATTTCAGAAGCTTTAAATATAGCTGTTATGTAATCTGGAAATAGTAGTGATTTCTATCAGGGATTTAGGCATAGCTTCACTCCCTCATCAAAAAGAATTTTAAAGTACTAATTCTTCATTGTGCTATTTTAGGATCTGTACAAAGAGAATTATTTAAATAGGATCCCAACCCCTCAGGACGTTATAATCTAAGCAAGTACTGCCAAGGAAAAACATAAAAAGACATGCAAAATATCAACTGGAGAAGAAAGCCAGGAAATTGACACAGCTAATCATGATTTTAAGTATATTTTATGTATACCGCATATATTTTTCAGTTCATGTTGATAAGCTTTTGAGGACAGAAGTCTGAATTTATACTCTTTAGTCTATTTAGAATGTACTTTTTTTCTTCTTTCTTTTTTTTTTTTTTCAGTTGAGACGGAGTCTCGCTCTGTCGCCCAGGCTGGAGTGCAGTGGCGTGATCTCGGCTCACTGCAAGCTCCGCCTCCCGGGTTCACGCCATTCTCTGGCCTCAGCCTCCTGAGCAGCTGGGATTACAGGCGCCCGCTACCACGCCCGGCTAATTTTTTGTATTTTTAGTGGAGACGGGGTTTCAGCGTGTTAGCCAGAATGGTCTCGATCTCCTGACCTTGTGATCCGCCCGCCTCGGCCTCCCAAAGTGCTGGGATTACAGGCGTGAGCGACCGCGCCCGGTCGAGAATGTGCTTTTTAACATGATAGATACTCGATAAACATCTTGTGATGATGAAGAGGATTATTTAACTGTAAAGCTGAAGCTTCTCTGAGACAAGGGATATGAAGAAGCAGAAGGAGGAAAGCAGGAGGAGGAGAATGGAGGGGAAAGGTGAGGAGGAGGAAAAATAACCTTAATATTATAAAGCAAGATGAGATGTGTTCTGGCTATGCTTATGTGGTACCTTGAAGATTATTGGATGAGTCTATAGTTTACCTGGACACCAAGTCTGCCTTGAAAGATAGCGTTTTAGCTCAGGAAATCTTAATATTCTTCAAACCAGTATACACCCTTTTAATTACAAACATTTTTAATGTCCCCAAAAGCAATTATTTCAGAAAATAAATAAATAAACCTGCCAGCCTACACTCAAAATAACATAACTTACCAGCATCAAAATTTAAAAACTCAGTATAACTATCTAACTGTAATATAATTGAGACATATGACAAGTAATTATAATGGAATAATAAGCACTTCAATATTTAAAAGATATAATTAAGTAATTAGATGCTCACACTTATATGCAGAATGACCATAAATGTGAGAGTTTCAAATGAAGATTAATCAAGTGTGTGGTATGGGTAATTTGCATATTGTTGCTAACAAAACACACTAAATTTGTTCATAGACGGTTTTTAAAATAGTGAACTGGTCTTAGTTAAGTTCCAGCCCAAACAGAATATAATCTATCTTCCCCCAATTTACATGATGAATATATTCATGGAAAACTCAGTGTCTATTATAAGCCTGCCCAAATACTTTTCATTTGTACAAAAAATGTTATTTATAGAATCAAATAATTACAAATAGAGTTTTTGCTCATGTGAATGTCTCCTAAAGCATTTGAATGTCTTGAGGAATTCAGGAGATTTTTTGTTTTTTCTATCTGAGGCAGTCCTTAGATCTGCAATACCTGTGGCCTCTGTGTGTGTTAGCCACTCAAGGCCATCAGAATGACTGAGCTGAGTGGTTTCTCAGAGATGTCCAAGTGGCAGCAGAGAAGCCCCAGGGCAGAGTGAGAAATGTATTGTATAACTGAGTGGAGACAGGAAATTCATAGCAACAGCTAAAGAAAGAAGGTAAGCAAAGTGAAGGGGGGACACAAAAATATGAAGGTGGGATATACCTGTATGTTCACTTCCTGTGACTACTGTAACAAATTATCACAAGCTTAGTGGGTTAAAATAACAGAAATTTATTCTTTTATAGTTCTGGAACCAAAAGTCTGCAATCCAGGGGACAGTATGGCCTCTAAACCCTGTAGGGGAAACTTTATTTTTTGGCTCTTCCAGCTTTCTGGTGGCTCCAGGCATTCCTCGGCTTGTGGCAGAATCACTCTAATCTCTGCTTTGGGTCACACTGGCTCCTCCTCTTCTCTGTGTGGCTGCCTCCTTCTATATATCTCTTATATGAACATTTATCACTGGATTTAGGGCCCATCTGGATAATCCAGGATCATTTCATTTCAAGATCTTTCACTTAATTACATCTCCACAGATCCTTTTTCCAAATAAGGTTCCAGGGTCTAGGACATGTACATATCTTTTAGGGGGTCACCACTTAACCCACTTCTATTCCAGGCTGTGGTTTTGTTATGCCTCATTGTGACAACCAGAAACACTCCTACAAATATTCAAAATGCATCTATGTGCGCAGAATTGCTCCATTGAGAACCACCTGGTCTGCCTAGTTTTTCCGTCTACACCTTTCCAATAAAAGGTGTGAAATTTCAAGAGCTTTTAGCACATATAATTTACTCTCCCTCACTGTTTACTAATTTGGTTTGGACTGTTCCTCATAATGCTTTGCCTTTGTTCTTTTAGATATAGACATTTTTTCTGCTATTGACATATGGCATAATCAAGAACAATATGGCTGTTGAGAAAGGATTTAATTCCTCTTACTAAGATGTTATCCCATTTTACTGGTCAAATCACTTAAATTGCCTATGACTCATTTCTCACATCTGTAAAATAAGGATAAAAAGTTTTTTCCTCAGGCATGTGCTATCATTAAACGAAATTATGGAGGCAGATCCATTAGTAACACATAAAACACAATGTAAAAATAAAGTGTATTTGTTACAATTTGAATTGTATCTACATATTTAGTGAGGAAAAAATGCTAAATAGATTCACAAATATTAACTATTATATCTCCATTTAACATTTTTCACAATTAACATATTTTGGGGATGCATATAGATAATAATACGTGAGTAGAGGCTAATAGGTATGTAGACAATTTAATTTGAACTGGAAAAAATTATACGTTTTTTACTATTACTTCCAAGTGTCTGAGTGATTATTTTAAGGGAAATAGAGCTTTCTAAATAATCCAAGTACCTTTCGCCTTTTGCAAAAAAGAATCTTCTGAACTCAAAGTAGGTAACCACGAAATATCCCAGACTGATTAGCGACTTTTGTCTCTTCATTACAAGTTAGCCTTAGAGCAGACAGTATTCAAAAGAGCTTTGGCATTGCAGTAATGCTAATGACATGTAATGTTGAAAACTTTAAAATGAATATTTACAAATGTACAATTTGGAACATACTCTGACATCATCTCCGTCCCCTCTTTGCTATCCCTACCTGGTGTCCTGGGTCGCTTCTGCAATTCTGCTAATTAGCATCACAGAAACAGCTATCAAAGTCAGAGTGTCCTGGTTATTTTTCTCTATAGCCTGCACAGATAAGATCAAGTAAGGTCAAGCTGTCAGCAGGAGTGAGGCAGAGTTTTGAAACCAGTATCCCATTGTCTGCATTTAATACCACCTGGCTCTTCCAGAGCAGAGAATGGCATTGTCATCAAAATGGTTTTGTATATAAATAGTCCCAATAATTGATGAGTGATTGATGTTTGTATATGTGGGTTGTGTATTTTAAACATATTCTCTACAGAGATGAAAACTTAAAATTCCTTTTACTGCATGTAAATGATTATCCAAATATCTCATTAAGTTTATGATTTTATTTGAATCCCATGGCAAAAAAATGCTAAAATCTTTCATTGCTATTGTAATGGAAACCTGGTCTAAGAGCACATGTCATATAGTCACATTTATCTTGTAGCTCAATTTTAATCTTTTTTTATTGTCACAGAGAACAGTTAGAAAATTAAACATTTTAATTTCAAAATTAAGTGCTTATGAAAAATACAAAATGTAAATACGACAAATAATGGTTTATTATCCTAATCAAAGACTTCTCCTAGCTTAGTTTGAGAGTAACATATACATATGTATGCATGCATGTTTGTGTATGTGTGCATATATGTATTCATGTGTGTCATATTTGAAATGCTTGTATGTGAATGATTCATACATGTATGTATAAAATCTGGTCACTGATGATGATAGTCCACTGAATGAGTCTAGCTGTCAGATTTCCAAATGATTGTAGTAGTTTTCCATTTCATTTTAGCTTTTGTCAAGACTGTGTAATCTTCATCTACAGACTGCCGTTGCTTAGGATAAAAGAGTGATACTTGCTCTACATTTGTGGGCACTGGAAAATCTTAGGTTCTTCCATGGTTTTATTGTTTTGTTTTCAAATATGACAGAACTTACTTATAATTATGAAAAGATTACTAAGCTAAAATCAAAGGAACTTAAGTCCTTGACCATTTATCTTTCTAATCATGGAAATCAGTTTAACTTCATTGGGCCATAGTTTTCTTACATGTACAATGAGGGCATTAAAATAAATTATTTCTAAGATAATCTCTTTGGTAACATAAAAGATATGAAATAAAATATGAGAATACTTAAGAGGCAATGCACAGCTGAAAATATTGAGACATACCATTTTTATTCAGATATTTGAATTTTCTCACTGTGTCTAGGCATAAAATTAAACTTAGGTCTGTGTCATTTGTAAACAGATGTTTGTTCCAATTCAATAATTTAGTGATGATATAAGAAATCAGAGTAAAGTATCATCAAACATTAAAAAAAAAACTGGAGCTATAAAAGGCATTTCTCCAAGACTCTAGACTCTGGTTTCTATGGAATTGATTTATTAGTCAAGGAAACATCTTCAGTTTGTGGAGAAAAGGATAGCTATTTCTCTCCTGGCTCCTCAAAAAGAAATCATTCGAAATTCAGCCCTATTACAGCTTTTCTTAAAAAAGGGAAGAGATGTGAGAAAATGAGTTTTCCCTCATCTTCACTGATTGCTAGTGATTTAACCAGATAGTAAAGAGAAAAGAAGCCCATACAAAGTTAATACAATAAGAGTAGATCATTTCCTGGTTGCATTGCTGAGAATTGTGGTTCTCTGCTTCAAGTCAGAGGCAGATTCTTTTGGGTTTTGAGTTATTCTTTCAACTTTAAAGGTAAATTTGGGCCAATCGGTGTGTGTTTTCATAGATCCTTGCTGCTGCCAGTAACTCTGCCTTGAAAACACTGACTGCAGCTGTGATTTCAGGCATTAATGACCAATCACAATTCTGAAAGCCAGTGTTCACAATGTTTAAAGCGCCTTCCCCTTGTGATGTCATCTCAATTTCAGAGGCTTTATTTATTCCCTGGAAACTGGCTGTTAGCTTGATGAGCACTCCCCACTGAGAAATTTACTTTACAACTTCCTTAAATTTACAGTGGAACCCTTACAGAGCAAATTGCAGGCTTTCTCCAAGAAGTAAATAGATCTAAAGTAGAACAACTCTTTTGGCAATATAGCACCAGGATGAGTTAACAGTTTCTCACACCCAGTCTGGATACAGAGTATTAAATTACATTTGGCCTGACTCCATCATTGAGTGTATCTTAAGTGATATTTTTATTCAATAGCTGCTTTTAATGAGATTTTGATGTTTCAGGAAGTTTCATTGAGTCAATTGCAATCCAATGAATGTTTCCGTGTCTTCACATTACTCTCACTGCTTCAAAACTGGGGGAGGTGTTTTCTTGCACAGTTACATTAGAGTTTTGCAATATGGAAAGAGGCATGGTATTGACTGTCCAAGAATGTACACAGAAGTAAGAGTAGCTGATTGAAGACTTACTAATGAAAAACAAAAACTAAAAAATATACAAAATATATGTTCTGATGAGTACACATCTATCAAATCCTTTGTTGCCACAACCTCACTACCAAAACCTTCTTTTAGAAATTTTGGAAAGGTTCGTTTTATCTTACCCTAGAGCAATAATTTTTGACAAATAACTCCTCAGGCCTTACCACTTTCTACCTTCTATTGTGCCCAAAGATTACCAGTTTTGTCTGTCTACCACATGCTGAAAGGGAGTTATCTGAGACATTAGCTGGGCATTGGTTTTGCTGTGACTGTGGGGAGTAGAGGTAAACAGGTGGGAGGAGAATTCATCTCAGCATTTTATGTTTTCTGGATGGCTGTTTTTCATAATTGTAAGAGTTATTCTCAGTGATAGGGAGAAAGTTATTGCCTTGATTTGTTTGCCATCAGTTTTCACCTTCCAGGAAGAAAATCTCTTTGGAAAACAGTCATTTGTCATCATTGAATTGTATTGCTGGCCACCAGCTTTTTGCAATTCTGTTCACAGCTTTGTGTATTGCAGTTTTCATGTATTTATCAACCACTTATTCATGTGTTGAAACAGATTTAGCTTCCCTCCACATATTAAAGGATAAACAATATACTCCAAGTTACTTAAAAGTTAGGTATTGACAAACTCATTCTCATCCACTCTTTCTGTAGAATTATGGACCATGCGTCAGGCTAGCACTAGCAGCTGCATCTTCAGAAATGAAAAATGGAACTTCTCTCTCTTCCTCCACCCTACTAAATGTTACAAATAACTTCTGACTCGTTCCTAAAATAAAGTCAAGATATTTTTTCCTCCTGCCTGACATGATTAGTTTTGGAGTTCTGTTCCAATTTACCCTGACCATATCCTCTCCCATCTTCAATCATTCAAGAACATTTTCTTTTAACTTCTTCCATTTATTTTTTGATGATCTTAAACAGTTTCTTCAAGAAAGTGCGTTATTGTGGGCTATTCAATATAAAGAACTATAACTTGGCAAACTATAAGGATGACTGAGTCAACAAAAAATTCCCTACAATTGCCCATATTCTCTAGTAAATAATAGTTGTTATGGAAAAGGCAAGGTTTGAAAAAGTTTGGTTTTGTTGAAATAAAGGGATACTTTGTTCCTGTATCCAAAGCACTCTGAATAAAAAAGTAATAAAAATTACTTTGTTAATAAATTTAGAGGTGTCCAGTATCATATTAATAAATCAAACACAATCATATTTCCTTATTGTAATCAGTCATTTAAAAATAATAACTAAAAATAATGTATTGCCATGTATAAGTATTATAATGGTAAAAAAATCTTTGTTTCTGCTTAAAATATCACAATGTTTTGTTTCAGTTTTTCAGATACCAAATTTCCTTAAGAAGGACGTGCATTGAAATATATAAAGCTGTATTTTTACAAAATGGTTTCAAGGATTGTTTTTCTTTGATAGGACATGCAGGAAACATAGATTTTAGCAGAATCTGTAAACAAGCAGTTCTTAAGTGTCACTAATCATAAACAAAGTATAAAATAGCAAAAGCAATAAAAACTATATAGCATACAACCTTACTAAAGTCAATATTATAAGCCTTACAAACTCAACAGTTAACATCATGCACGGACTAAAATTTCTGCCTATCTGTGGCTTCAGTTCCTTAGCTCCATGACTGCAGCAACCCCAATTTCCACTCATTTTCCTTGGTATTAAATCTTTCTCTCAGGCAGAACTATGTCTAATTAACCTTTGAATATCCTAAGCTTATCCTAGTGTCATCAGTTTGACATATAAATACTTTTGAAAGAATTAAACTCCTCTCTAATACAGTTCTTTATTCTCTTCTACCTAACAATTGTCTTTGTTCTTGTGTTGCCCAGGCCCTTGCTTATGCCCTGTGCTTTCAATTAGCCACTCTCTTTGGGCTTCCCTTCTGTTCCATTCAGACTGGACTCCAGTGTCAGTCATTTAAAACATATGACAACTCTCACCTTGAAATTTTCTTTTCCCTGCCCTTCTATAATGCTTGTTTCCAAGTCATGAAATTATCTACTATCTTTGTTATCACATTCTGGAAGTACTCACAAAACCACACTAAATACAACACATTAGAAAGCCAAGCTGTCAAGTGGATTTCCACTGCTGCTGGAAAAATCCCTTTTATCCTTCATACAGTGGTGATTCTTCATATTTCAATCCACTCACCCAGCAAGGTGGTCAAGAGTATGGGCTTGGGAGCCAGTCTTAGTTTGATTCACAGATATAACTCTCACAGACAGCCTTGAATAAGTTACATTCTCTAATGATACAATTTCCTACATTTAAAATGGGGGTATTTATAGTACATACTCCATGGAGCTGTTGGAAAGATTAAATGAGATAGTATACGTACGCTGTTAAGCACAGTTCCTGGAAAATAGTAACCCCTAAACAAATAGTAGCTATTTTTAAATTGATTACTGCAGTTAGAACCAACCAAGTGGTGTTTGTTTAACATATCAATTATTTACAGAACTTCCACTTCTTTTCTTTGTACACCTGACTGAGACCATCTTTCTTATAAACATTTCTCTTTTAATGTGTAGTTTTGGTCCCTTGATTATTCTAAATTTCCTAGTTCCTCTTAGTTTCATTTCCATCTTTAATGTCTCCCTCTCTACTACTTAGTTCCTTCCCTTTTGGGTGGCAAACATGCTCAATTTCTTCATTTCCTCTCTGTGATGCTACTATTCCAAGCTTCCACACCATCTGTCCCCCTGTCTTGCTGCCAAGCTTATGGAAATAGATCATATCTTGATGTCACCACTTTCTCAGAAGTACTTACTTCTCAAATTTAACCATTATAATCAGGATTCAGTGTGGACTTATTCTATCGAATAGATCTTTTGAATATTGTTTTGAAATTATTCTCTCCTAACTATGGTTGTCCTTCACCAACCATGCCCTCCTTCTTGCACTCCCTCCCTATTTGGCTTCCACGTCATACAGTCATCATTTACTTCTCTTTTTTTCATAGCTATTTGGAAATTTATTCCTTTTCTATATCTAGTTCTATTTCCCCTTCCTCCTTTCACCTTTCAATAGTAATATCTCTCATCAGAGACAAGTTCTATTTTTAACCCTGTTGCTCTCTAATAATTTCATTCATTCTGAAGTTTTTTTATCTCATCTCCACGCAGATGATTCTTGAATATGAAATTCTTATTATGACCTCACTTCTGAATTTGTAGCTCAAAATTTAAATTGAATGTTTTACCTCTCCACTTTGATTTACCTGTAGCATTTAAATCAAATCAGAAAATATCAATTTATTATACCTATTACTTTTCCACTGACTCTCCTGTTTCTATTGAAGTACCACTGTTCTCCCAGTTGAAATTTAGTCGTCATCTTTAACACCATCCTTTGCAATTGCCCCATAGTCAATTATCTGTCAGGTCTGTAAATCACCATATATTTCTCATGTCCACATTCTTCCCCACTCATACTTCCTTTATTCTAGTTCAGGCTCTTATTAGTCCTTGCTGGACTTTTTCGATAGCCTCCTAGTTGGTATTTCTGCATCTAATCTACTTCCTTTTCCATTTTACGTTTTGCTGACAGTGTCCCCTGTCATCTTGAAAACTTTCAGACTCATTTAAGTCCCGACTCTTATTCCTGTAGCCTTATTCTCTATATCACCGTTCCAGCTCTAAATCTCTATACCCATATGTAAGGACATTCCATGTCCCATGTACAGTACTCATTGTTTCTCAAATGCTTGTCTCATTTGATTGTCTCCACTATTTTCTCTTAGGTTTTTGTCTCCATCTGAAATTCTACTTTGTCCTATATGATTGATAAAATTCTATGTATTCTTCAAGACCCACTCAAATACAATTTTTCTGAAGTCTTCCCTGGTTCTTCCAACAGTATGACAGCTGTTTATTTTGCATGTCCCAAACAATGTAAACTTCTTAGAATGTAAACTTCTTAGAAAACCAGCAGGGGTGCTGGTCTTAGCCAGTAGTAGTCTTAACCAGTTTGTTAAGTGAGGAAATCTCATTTTTCTTTGTAACTCTCATACCATATAGTAGGCTCTGAGGAACAATAATAAATTATATTATTGAAATTGACTTATTACTAGGAATATGATTAAAGATAAATAGAAAGGTCATAGAGAATCCAAAAATATCATAACCAATTATTGCATTTCACTTTACTTTTGAACAGGTTTAACAATTTATTTAAATATAGGCACCCGCTTCTGAAAGGAATTTCTAAATTTGCAGTAAATCTGTAAAGTTAATATTTTAGGATGTTCTCAAAATAGATGCCATTAACCTTTATCCCCAATCCACTTTAGCCACCCATTTTCATGTCTTATTCTGGCCTTGCCACCTCAAATATCCTTTACATCTCAATCATAATATCATATCCCAAATTCAACTCTTTCATATATTTTCTTTACTTTATTTAGCTTTCCAATCCACTAACTCTACCATTTTTTTTCTACTTTATCAGCTCCTTCCTAGATTCACTTCTTTCACTTTTTAGCTCTGACCCCATGATTTGTCCAGGCCAAACACTTTCTTGCCTTTACACTAAATTAGCTTGTCTCTCTTTATCTCCAATAGCCAATTTTCAAACCACTGAATGCCTTCTCTATGCCAGATCATGAGCTGTCATATGAGATCAAATATATGTACAGATTGATATCTCTATTGCTTCAGGGAAGCCTTCCCTTTCCCTTATTCCATCTCATTTTAGCTCAAATATTACTTCCTCTGGGAAAACTTTGTTAATCAAACATGCCAAGGGCTTGCAGGCTCATTAACTACCTTTCTTCTGTGTTCTCATACGAGTCTATCCATAGATTTCATTCATTTCTTCAGAAAAATTTCAGAATATTTTTCAAGTCTGTGTTCATGGACTTGTCTGGATGATTGAACCACAGAAATGAACAAAGCAAACAAACTTCCTGCCATTCTAGAATTTGCATTCTAGTGGGAAACATCAAACATATAAATAAACTCATGAGTACTATTAATATAATGTCAGGCTATGATAAGTGATAGGAAAAGTAATTAGGCAGAATAAGGGAATATCCTATAATATTTCAAGTGAAGATCTTGTAATTTCTTGTGACAATTCAACTTCCACTACCTTACCTATAATTCTAGGGTAATAATATGACAGAAAAGGGTTCCTTAAGAAGTTAAAATTAGAACAAAGAAATAACATTACAAGAAGCTAACATTAGAACAAAGAGCTGACATTAAAACAAAGAATGAAGCTAAATAAGTAACTTATGTGTTAAATGTTAAATTAAAAAATATAAATTTTCCAGTTTAAATTATTTATTTACATATTAAATTTTTAAATGTATTTATTCATTCCATTTTTATTGAAAGTTCAAACAGTTTTGTATTTTTTTACAATTCAAATTATTCTTACATAAGAATGTTTAGAATTTTTTGTCTTTCTAGTTATTTTTGCGAGGAAATTCCTATAGATTGAATTTATGATATAAAAGTTATGCAATTCAAATGTCAAACGTTTACCAGCAACTAACACATGTTAATTGCTATGGTAGGCAATTTCTACACTATCTCCCAAATTCCTTGTATTTATGTCCTTGTGGAATCCTACCTGCTTGAGTGTGGGGGTCCACCTAGTAACTCCCTTTTATGAATAGAATATGCAAAAGTGATAAAATTATGCCTTAAATATTAGTTTCAAAGACACTTTTGCTACAGTCTTGCCCCTCCTCTCCCTCTTTCATCTGCTCTTATTCTCCCTTTTGTTTGCCAGGAGGGAAACAAGCTATCATGTTGTGAGCTTCCCTAGGGAGAGGCCTACATAGCCAGAAACTAAGGGCAGCCTCTGGCCAATAGCCAGTGAAAAAAATGACACCTCAGTCCAACAATCAGTGGAGAACTGAATTCTAGCAATAACCATGTGATTGAGTTTAAAAGCCGATCGTCCCCAATTTGAACCTTCAGATATGATCACAACTCCAGTCTTGACTGTGGACTTGTGAGAGACCTTGAGGTAGAGCCTCCCAGCTGAGCTGTACCCAGATTCCTGGCACGGAAACTGTGAGATAATCAATGTTTGTTGTTTAAAGAAAATAAGTTTTGGGGTACTTTGTTACACAACAATAAATACTTCATATAATTGCTTTTTTTCTGTGTACTGCATGCCACCTGCATAATGAATGAATGAATTGCTGAATAAGTGAATTAAATACATGTTCAAGATTTTGTACTGCTGTCATTCAATTCTGTTTTTTTTGTTTGTTTGTTTGTTTTTGAGACACAGTCTTGCTCTGTCACTCAGGCTGGAGTGCAGTAGCATGATCTTGGCTCACTGCAGCCTCTGCCTCCCAGACTCAAGTGATTCTCATGCCTCAGCCTCCTGAGTAGCTGGGACTACAGGCACATGTCACGATGCCTGACTAATTTTTGTATTTTTAGTAGAGACAGGGTTTCACCATGTTGGCCAGGCTGGTCTCAAACTCTTGGCCCCAAGTAATCCACCCACCTTGGCCTCTCAAAGTGCTGGAATTACAGGCATGAGCGACCATGCCCGGCCTCAATTCTATTTTTTATTTTATGGGAAATGCATACTTGCTGATATAAATTAGTTCCCCAAACTGCTCAAGATTAAATAGAACCCCTTAAACATGGAGAAGTCAGGTCTGAACACCATTTACAGTTATGTTTAACCACCCACTATAATTTCAAAGTTTTGATACACTTCACGATAAAGCTGTATGCGTTTGGAATCCATCAGAAACTAAATCCTCAATCTGCCACTTACTAGTTATATGATGTTGGGTGAGTTGCTCAACCTTACTACATAACCACAGTTTCCTGATCAGTCAAAAGGAGATTATATTACCCAACTCAGATATTCCACTCAATATTATATTCTATATAATGATTGCTCAAAAATAATCAGTTTTTTAAACTCATCCTTCTAAAACTGAAAATATGAGATAACTTCTCCAAAACACTTTTTTTCAGTAAGCTATGGATAATTCTATTGTAGGTAAATATTAAGGAAGGGTGAATTATTTCTTTTAAAAATTTTTCTTATCCCAATTCAAATAAATAAAATAAATGTCTAGAAGGAGAATATAATAAAAATTGCCTTCAGACACATGGTACCTCAAGCTAAGAGTCAATCCTCAGTCAAAACATATTAATTGTTTATATGACTTATAAGAAATTTTGGAAAGTTGCCTTAGAAAAAGGAAGTGTTTTTGTTTGTGATCTTACAAACTGTATTTCTAATAATAATCTTAAAAGTTCTGTTTACTCTAGAAATCATTATTTTCCACTTTGCATCACATGAGTTACTTGGATTATGTTAATCAATATCCTCAGCAATGTATCCCAGATTAAATCAAACCTAGATTTATTTCATATTTTAATGTAGAACAATGTTATTTACTTTTCTAAAAGTTGGTAAATCATAGCTGTTTCTAATATTATATTTAAACATTTAGTGCCATGTTTCATAATGTATGGTTCATTACCCACATGAATTCTTGTGGTTGCAAACTGATTTTTAAAAAATATGCACTCTAGTACCATTAATTTACACTGTTTTTCACTCTTATGTTCACTTGAGGGCTATACTAGTAACTTCTCAAGAGAGTAAATAGAGATCATTATAATTTGGCATTCACAACCTAAAATTAGGGAGTAGCGTTCACTTAGCATTGCAATTTAGTGTTCTCCTGCCATGTAAAACTTAACCATTTTACAAAGCTCATTGTATACATACTAGAATTGTCGGAATTCTAGTAAGTTTTAGAAAGAATATTTTGTTATAAGTACAGTATAATTGCTGTCTTGTGTTAGTAATGGTATCTATTTTAAAATATTTTATAGGCATTTATTTATTTTTAGCATAGAGATAGTATTAATTTTGAATATGTATAATTCCTGCATAAACATTTGATTTCTTTCAATATTTTTCTTATCACAGATTACTTTTCTACAGGTAGTTGGTACATATGAAACACACACACACCTGCAGTTACAAAATGTGGAGAAATTATCTAGATCAGGATTTCCACATTAGCACTTATGGACATCCTAAGCTCTATGAATACATTCTGGAAGGTTCTATGACAGATGTTAAGTTTTGTGTTCTGTATTTCAAAGATAAGCGCAAAGGGAATTAATCCACTCGTGTTCTGGATCATTTTGTGAGCATCTTTTCTCCTAAGAATTTTGTTGTTTGCAATTACTTGTTGTTTTCTACTGCATTTGTTCTGAGTGAGAGTCAAATGAAGCCAAGGAATGATATAAAACAAAAGTTATGCATCAGTTCAGATAGAAAAGAGATCAGAGAATGGAAATATTGTATGGGTTAAGAGTGTATAAGCAGGAGGCCGAGGCGGGCGGATCACAAGGTCAGGAGATCGAGACCACGGTGAAACCCCGTCTCTACTAAAAAAAAAAAAAAAAAAAAAAATACAAAAAATCAGCCGGGCGTGGTGGCCGGCGCCTGTAGTCCCAGCTACTGGGGAGGCTGAGGCAGGAGAATGGCGTGAACCGGAGAGGCGGAGTTTGCAGTGAGCCGAGATCGCGCCACTGCACTTCAGCCTGGGTGACAGAGCAAGACTCCGTCTCAAAAAAAAAAAAAAAAAAAAAAAAGTGTGTAAGCATGCTAAATTGAAAAATAAAAACGTCCTGCACAACTGCAGTAAATATCATGTTCAAATTGTGAGTGCACGAACTGTGTCCACTCTTAGAACGTATCAGCTTACTGCAGTTTTTAGTAACAAGTGCCATGGCAAATGTGCATAATAACTGAATGACTTTCACAGTGATTCAAGGACGACACAACATTCTTAATATTAAAAGATAAAATCAATAGCAACTGAAAATTAAAAGGTGCTAATACAGCTTCATATTATTAAACACAACCTGGTCAGTTTAAATTCAGGAAAGCAGGTGCATGTGCCATGTTAATGTTATTTAAATTGTATTATTTAACTGGAACTTTCTGGCATTTTTACTACGTAAAGTAAAATGAATAATAAATTTATTCCTAATCTTTATAAATTATTGTTGCATATCTTTGTACGTGTATATTTTATTACATAAATCGATATAAGCAAATACTATGCATACTTTTATTATTATTATTATTATTATTATTATTATTATTACCTATGTTTTAAATGGATTATTTGGTAACTCTTGCATGAGAAATCCTGCTCTAGGCTTTAAAACTTTTCAAATAAAAACCAGAGTAAGTAATAAAAGTAATATATTTACCACAAGCATATACATACACATTCATACAAACACTGAAAATTTTGCAAGTTTTTCATTTGCAGTGTAACATAAAAATTATAAAGTTCAATCTGATGTATTTTATTCTCTTCCATTTCAATTATAAATCTGTTCATAGCCCATTGAATTAATTGAACAGCCTAATAGTAGTGAAGCCACACAATTTGTAAACCACTGCTTGGGAGATCTTGCCAAACAGTTCAACAGTCTTCACAGGCTATCTTGACATGGATCAAAGGTCCAAAAATGGGTTAAATAGAAGACTGAAGTTTCAACAGTAGAAAAGGAAATTGTTAAAAGCTCTCATTAATGTACAGGATTAATATAAAATTCATGGAAAATGATTAATGAAGCATGGAATTTAGGTGTATTTTAATGTAATCAAATGTGAGTGAGTGTGTGTGTGTGTGTGTGTGTGTGTGTGTGTGTGTATTCTTGAGCTTTACCAAGGTAGAATAGCACATAAGTCTAAGGTCAAAATCCTAGCTTAAGAGTAATTTTGTCAGAGTGTGCTGATACGCATAACTTATCTCTAGCAACAGAGGTAAGTGGAGGTTTGGGATTCTAGTAGAGTGGAACAGAAAAAAGACAATGAATTGTAAATAAATAAGCAAATAGAGGAATTTAGTCCAAAACAGTGGTAAAACTGATGGAGAAATAAGTCCCATTGTGGTTAGAAATAAAGGTTATACAGCATGTACAAGGGCATAATTACTCTTAGAAAGGGTTTAAAAATAAAGATGTTAAACCTAAGCCCATTTGTCTTATTCAGTCACTCCAATTCCAGCTGGCCTGAAAGTAAGCAGGGTGTTTACATTTATGAGTATTGTATTCATTCTGTTTATACAAAGTAAACAGCTCATTACTGGGATCATGTCCCCTGTATCCTGAGTGTTGTGAACCAAAGAAATCTCTCAGGTGTTTCCATGCCACAAATAACATGTTTAAGCTCCATGTAGGGAAAATATTTCCAAACATGCTACTGGAAAGCTTAAAGAAGGAACCTGTCCTTTCCATATATATAATTTGTGTAAAGATGCTTAAAGTTACACAGTTATAGAATGAATTGTTTAAATTACTGAAATACAATTACAATCTGTATTAGTGTTCCCTTTATTGGACTTTGAAACACATTTAAAATAAAATTTAAGAGGAAAAATTACATATGACATAAAGACAAATAGTAAAATAGGCATTCATTATGCCAAATACTCTATTTCTCTTTAAAACTGGAAATATTAAATGACATGGTCTTAAAAAGTGTAATTCCCTCTGAGTTTATGTAAAAGAAAATAAATAAAATAAGTAAAAGTCAATCTACTGGAAAATAAAATTATTCTTAGGGTTTAAATTATCTGGATTAAATAGCCCCACTGATTTACTAAATGAGATAATTTAGGTATCTACCGTTTTATGAATCTCAGTATATATTTAATATCTCAAAAGAGATTGTTTTATAAAATATCAGATAATAATCAGCAATAATCACTTCTGATATCTCACTAATAGAGCACTTTGTATTTCTGGTTCTCTGTGTTATACCTTCTATTAACTTACTCTGGAAACCAAATTTAAAACTATTTGTTGCCAAAGTGGAGAGAGGTTTGTTGGCCATGCTCATCCTTGTCAACTTTTAAAAAAATTGTATTTATTCTTCCTTTAATTTTTAAAACACTACTCTAGTTGAATAGTAAAACCAAAACAATAGCAAGTAGTGAGCATATTAGGATTACAGTCCTTTGCTCATTCACTACTGCCCATAAAATGCCAGCAGCGAGTATTATCACTGGTCCCATTAAGATGTTTGACACTGAACACCTCTGAAATGATGTTTATCATCCTCATGCTTTTCCATTGTAATGGTCCCACATTTGCTTCTGCACTGTAGTGGCATCAGCATCATCTTTCCTGATTTGAATCAAAGTCCACAAATTCTACTTGATTCATCTCATCAGTCTCTTCTACTTCTTTACTCTTTTGTAGGAGTTTTTCCAGCAAGGAGTTTGTCAAAAAAGGGAAAGCCATTATCAAGAAAGTTTACCTTAAATTCAATGATTAAGTGACTCTTCATGTGGTCTACAATAAATTGGCCTGCCTTCATTTAACACATGCTTGATGGCTCCATGCTTGACAGTTTGACCTGGATGAGAGATGATGACTATGGTTCAGTTGTCAAGAGTGGATATTGGTTTTCAGAAGCCATGCAATACTACAACCAGCTGTATATCCATACATATGAAAAGGTCTTTTCTTTGTCAAGTAAAAACAGCATGGTCCTTCTGATCTAATGCAATGATAATATCTCCTGGCTCCAGTCCTGGTTTTTGGTCTCTTTCATCATGAGATGTTATTTTCTGGCCATCTTTCATGCTTTTGTCAATATGAATTTCTAGAATCGTCTTCTCCCAAAACTATCTTCTTTCTGTTGCAGCTTTTACATCTATCTTGAGGACTGATCTGTTCCCCATGGCCCTGGGTCTCCATGCACACAGCTTGAATTTGCTGAGCTATTCCGGGTTCTATCTGATGAATTCTTATTTGCATTCCAATACCTTGGCAATTATGACAGCACTGTACTGTTCCTTTTTTTTTTCCCCACCTCTGTCTTCACACCTGTCACAAAGCACATTATTTTGCAGAGCCTGTTTTCTTGTTGCAGCATCATATAAATCTTCTAAGGTTACTGAGAGCTGGTGTACAACACTTTTACATTTCCTTTTACTCTGCATCCTTCCTCCTCTTCAGAAACCAAAAATTGGCTCACAGGTGCATTAAAAATCCTTTCACCTATAAGAGACATCAAAGATTCAGGAACTGAGGTTGATTAGAATGAATAAATGAATGAATGTAAATGTTACCATACAATCTACTTGAAAAAATTCAAATCTTACTTTTCCTGTTACCCTTCACCAAAAATAGTAAGAGGAAAAATTATAGCAAAGTATGAATAAAGTTAGCTTTTGTTCCTTGAATAGGTAAAGGTTGAATAGAGAGGACAAACACTTGTTTATAAACACATTCTCTTTTGGAAAGAGCCTGTTTGCCAGCCCCTGTGGATTTCTTTGCCCAGGCTACGATAATGCTTACAGTAAAGAAGAAAAGAAGAGTTGGGCATCAGCCACAATGGTGGCTAAACTTTGAATTCAATGCAAATTTTTCACCATTTTTAAAGTAAGAGTAAGGAAAATCATGTAGTTTCTTTAATAGCCTTGGACATTAAAATGAAAAGGACAAAGAAAAGGGAGGGAAAGGGTGGCAATGGGAGAGGAGGAAGGAGGAGAAAAGAGAAGCAAACATATTGTAAATCAAATTGTTTAATTTTTAAAAATTTGTTAAAGAGTGACCATATTTTTCTACTAAGATTTAATTTTTGTAAAAGGAATTAGGAAAAGTATGTTTGTTAGATACATGCGCAAATCTCAAAGACTGCTCTTCAGTTGTTGCTGCTCATAAGCTTCTATAGATGAAGTCTTTGTATAGAAGCTTAAATTTGACTGGCTGTCTGCTGGGGTCTCTTATATTCACCAGCTTGTTGTTAGAAGGGTTTATGGAGAATACAAAAGCTTTATTATCTCCCCAGGCTGCTCTAGTCATTCTGATACCGAACTGAGACTAGAACCAGTACAATACATCTCTTGCTTGGCACACCTGTATAGTGTTAACAGGAAAAATAAATTGCAGAATCATTTATTAACAAAATTGATAGAGTCTCACACAGGGCAGAGTTTCATCTCATTCTTGTCTAGCAGGGCCACAGAAAATATGAAGCTTGAACTAATAAAGAACTTCAAGCTTTATACAATTAAGTTTACACATTAAAAAATTTAAAATGTTGTCTTCAGTATGCCTAATTCTACAATCCGTAGTGTACCTAAAGACGAATTTAAGATCTGGGGAGAACTAAGTATTAGGTAAATGCATATCAAATTGGCCATGTTCAACATTTATATTTTTTAAAAATGGCAATTCCATATGGTTCTAACAAACACATAGTGAAATATAACTACATTTTATGATTTTCATGGTAAATAATGTCCATGTTAAACCTGAAATTTTAAACATCAGTAGTGAATATTAAATGTAGATAGCTTTGCATATACACATTGGAGATTTGGCCACTAACATTTATTTTCTTTAATAGCTAAGCACCATGCTTGTCTACAAAAAATGAATTGACATTACTGTAGATAATCTAATGCATATAATTACTAGTTTTTAATGTTTATTACATTATGAAACATTCAGTGGGCTTTTGAACCTAAGGGAAAAAAAAATCCATCAAAAATGAGAGGATGGTCCAAATTTTAAGAAAACAAACAAAACCATGCTTCTTATGAGTAATAGTGATCAGCAGCTCATCAATATTTTTTTATTCCTCTAGTGCTTACGTTTTATTTTTATTGCTTTTATTTTAATATTCATATAGTAATAACTAGCATGTTATTCATATAGTATCTACCTCCCTTATCTGGAATACTTGACAAAGTACGCTATTATTTCTTTCAAAACTACTGACCATTTTAAATTTCCTCCTGAATCTCTGCAAAATATTTAAATTGCTATGCTTAACCCAAGCCACTGTTTATTTTTTATACTAAGTTAATGATTCATGGGATGGATTAACTAGTGCAAATTTAAAATCTCTAGCTAAATCCTTCCAAACTCTGAGACCTGAGTGGAAGAAATATTCTTTTGCACCAAGAACAGTCTACAGGGTGCTGACGTTAGTTCAACCAAAATAATTAGAAAGATAAATTTGCTAAATCACTGTGAAAACTAATGTATTACTAATAATGTACTGGAAAAGAGGCTGTTTCATTAAATTGAATTCCCAGATTATCTAAATATTTGGTTAGGCTATATTGCATAAGGCATGAAAGACTATGGTCTCTGCGGAAAAGTGGAAATATTTGCTGTCTGAAGGCAAATTTTTTTCCAACAGTGTTAATTCATTCTGTTGTCTTCAATTTGCTGAACTATTACCTCTTTTTATTAGTACTCAAATCTTCCCAAATTATTTCTTGAATTTCATTTTTATAATTATTTAAGCAATGAATCAAGTAGTTCTTTTTTCATTGAGTTTTAGAATTCAGGATATTCATTATATTCAGTACTACTTCATGGAGTCGTTTTTGTTTGTTTAATTTTGTTTTATGCATAATGAACTTGGTGAATAAGCATGTGAAATAATTAATTTTATGCAGATATCAGAAACAAAGTTTTACCTTAATTAGAAGGATAATCAACTAATCCCTTTTTAAAGAATTCACAAAATTCCTGACTCATTGTGATATTTTCATGTTGGCTCTGATATATTCTTTGGGAGAATTAGAAAACCAATGACACTTATAAAAATTTCAGAAATTATAGAAAAGTCTAAAAAGTAAAATGAAACTAATATCACTCCTTGTCCTGGCAAGATTTCCTCACAATAGTTTTCTTCTAGATTGTTTTCCTCTTTCTGTGTGTATGTGTGTGTGTGTGTGTGTCTATAGGCATAATTGTGTTTTAAGGTTGTTCGTATTATTACTTGTACACAAAGATTATCTTCCTTTTTTCATTTTATACTACATCCAAGTATTTTCCAAGATTAGTAGCTATTTTCCAAGATCATTAAAAGCTCTTTGAAAGACATAATTTTAACATGAACAATTATCATATTTTCCAAGATCATTAAAACTATTTTCCAATATCATTTTCCAAGATCATTATGTTCCAAGATCATTAAAAGCTATTATTTTCCAAGATCATTAAAAGGTCTTTGAAAGACATACTTTTGATGTGAACAAGTGTCATATTTAAGACTTCAACCTGATTTACTTAATCAGTTCCCTGTGGCTGAATTTTTTGGGTATTTTCAACTTAGTCAATTTATATAATATGGATTACAATATTTGTTCTCCACTCTTTTCTGACTTTTTTATCATTTCCTTAAGACGACTTCTGAGAAGTAGAATTATAGGTTCAAATGATATGAGAAATAAGATATTTAAAAGTAGAAAAATAATATATTTAAATATGGCAAATATATGTAGAATAAACGTAACCATCTTTAACTCCTTTTAATCTTTTACCTCTTAGTCAAATACTGCTAAGTTTTATGTACATTTTTATATATGTTATCTATGCTAGATCAGTATATCCAAATATACAAATTTATTACATGCACTTTTTTATTTTATGATTTTTATTATTATACTTTAAGTTCTAGGGTACATGTGCACAACGTGTAGGTTTGTTACATATGTATACATGTGCTATGTTGGTGTGCTGCACCCATTGACTCATCATTTACATTAGATACATCTCCTAAGGCTATCCCTCCCCCCTTGACCCACTCCACAACAGGCCCTGGTGTGTGATGTTACCCACCCTGTGTCCACGTGTTCTCATTGTTCAATTCCCACCTATAAATGAAAACATGCGGTGTTTCGCTTTCTGTCCTTTCAATAGTTTGCTCAGAATGATGGCTTCCAGCTTCATTCATGTCCCTACAAAGGACATGAACTCATCCTTTTTTATGGATGCATAGTATTCCATGGTTTATATGTGCCACATTTTCTTAATCCAGTCTGTCATTGAGGGACATTTGAGTTGGTTCCAAGTCTTTGCTATTGTGAATAGTGCTGCAATAAACATACGTGTGCATGTGTCTTTATAGCAGCATGATTTATAATCCTTTGGGTGTATACCCAGTAATGGGATGGCTGGGTCAAATGGTATTTCTAGTTCTAGATCCTTGAGGAATCGCCACACTGTCTTCCACAATGGTTGAACTAGTTTAGAGTCCCACCAACAGTGAAAAAGTGTTCCTATTTCTCCACATCCTCTCCAGCACTTGTTGTTTCCTGACTTTTTAATGATCGCCATTCTAACTGGTGTGAGATGATATCTCATTGTGGTTTTGATTTGCATTTCTTTGATGGCCAGTGATGATGAGCATTTTTTCATGTGTCTGTTGGCTGCATAAATGTCTTCTTTTGAGAAGTGTCTGTTCATATCCTTTGCCCACTTTTTGATGGGGTTGTTTGATTTTTTTCTTGCAAATTTGTTTAAGTCCTTTGTAGATTCTGGATATTAGCCCTTTGTCAGATGGGTAGATTGCAAAAATTTTCTCCCATTCTGTAGGTTGCCTGTTCACTCTGATGGTAGTTTCTTTTGCTGTGCAGAAGCTCTTTAGTTTAATTAGATCCCGTTTGTCAATTTTGGCTTTTGTTGCCATTGCTTTTGGTGTTTTAGTCATGAAGTCCTTGCCCATGCCTATGTCCTGAATGGAATGGCCTAGGTTTTCTTCTAGGGTTTTTATGGTTTTAGATCTAATATTTAAGTCTGGAATCCATCTTGAATTAATTTTTGTATAAGGTGTAAGGAAGGGATCCAGTTTCAGCTTTCTACATATGCCTAGCCAGTTTTCCCAGCACCATTTATTAAATAGGGAATCCTTTCCCCACTTCTTGTTTTTGTCAAGTTTGTCAAAGATCAGATGGTTGTAGATGTGTGATGTTATTTCTGAGGGCTCTGTTCTGTTCCATTGGTCTATATCTCTCTTTTGGTACCAGTACCATGCTGTTTTGGATACTGTAGCCTTGTAGCATAGTTTGAAGTCAGGTAGTGTGATGCCTCCAGCTTTGTTCTTTTTGCTTAGGATTGTCTTGGCAATGCAGGCTCTCTTTTGGTTCTATATGAACTTTAAAGTAGTTTTTTCCAATTCTGTGAAGAAAGTCATTGGAAGCTTGATAGGGATGGCATTGAATCTGTAAATTACCTTGGGCAGTAAAAATGAATCATGCCATAATTACTTCACATTTAATTTTTCCCATTTAACAATATAAGTATTTTTCCAAGTCAATAATTATAAATGAAACACACATGTTAATAGCTGCATACTATAATACTACACAATTTGAATATATGCTTTTTTATTTAACAATTCTTATTGATTGGCATTTATGTTTTTTCAAACAATGCAAATGTAAGCATGAGATATATATCCACATATACTGATGCTTTTTTTTTTCTGTATAATGTGCTCAGC
Organism: Homo sapiens; assembly: GCF_000001405.40. Lineage (NCBI taxonomy): Eukaryota > Metazoa > Chordata > Mammalia > Primates > Hominidae > Homo > Homo sapiens. The sequence continues at coordinate 101,887,808 of NC_000001.11, read as the reverse complement.
TGTGGGATTTGTAGAATTTTAACAGACAATTTTAAGGTTGTTTATATTACTTATACACAAAGATTATCCTCTTTTCACTTTATACTACATTGTAACTATTTTGGAAAATAAGTATTTACCAAGATGATTTTATTTTGGAAAGTAAGTATTTTCCAAGATGATTATATTACTACTTGGACACAAAGTACAATAATACTGAATTTAGAAAAGATTTTAGCAATCAAGTTGCATAACAGACTGCCTGTTCCCTGTATGAAACTGAATTAAGAGATGTCCTAGACATTATTGACCTTAAGATCTTACTGGAAAAAATTCTCTTAAGGAGAATTTCTTTCAAATTTTATTCTTCCTATTAATGATTTTAAATATGTTATATGTTCATTTCTAATTTTCATTTCTTATTCCATAAATTGCATTTCCATATTTTATTGGTTTGCCATTTTATTATAAATATCTAGGAGCTCTTTAATATTAAACATTCTTAACATTTTTTCTGTCATAGGTATACAATTATTTTCTTTCAAATATTTGTTCTTTTATTCTGTTTATTATGCTTTCTGCCACAATAAAGTTTTTTTTTCCATTCATGGAGTCAACTCTTTAAATTTTTTGATTCATGGCTTTTTGTTTCTTGATATTTGTATAACCTCACTCACCAGGAGGTTATACAAATATTTCACCTGTATCTATATTTTATGCATTATAATTTATTTAAAAAAACAAAATTTTCTCCAGCTAATTTGAAAAAATGGTCTAAATTAACTTATTACAGAGTATTAGCTAATTGTTCTAATAGCAAATACTAAAATATCCATTAATTCCCCTCAAGATTTTTCAAGAGAAGAAATTATATAACTGAGGGTAGTCCATAGGAGGAAAGTATGATGTTTTATTTACCTTATTATACCCAGAGCCTGTCATAGGAGATGACTTTTAATAAATGTTTAATGAATAAATTGGAAAGAATCAACAAGGAGAAAATATGGTCTCATTAGTAATCTGGTAAAGGAGTGTGTTCCAATAATCTATTGCTGTGCAACAAACCCAAAATTTAGTGTCTTCATATGGTGATGTTTTAATTGTCTGTCTCACACCTCTGTGGGTTGGTGGGCCTCAGCTACGTGGTTTCATTTGGAGGTCTTTCATGCAACCGCAGTCAGATAACACCTGGAGTCGTCTTAACTAGTGTCCCCACTCACGTGTCTGATGTTCTAGCTGGAATGGCTGCAGTAGCCAGGGGCTGGTTCCCCCAAGCTAACATGCTATGCCTTGGATCCTGATTCTTCCCCCTCCAGTCTCATTTCACTTTTTTCCTTTGCTTTGTGACTGAACTATATGAGAAACATCACCACTTTATTTTATGTACATACAAAATTATCACCCTCCACCTACCTACCAGCCGGCCTCCTCCCTTCCCAAGACTTTTATGTATCATTGCATAATGTCTGAGCAAAAGTTGTGCTGCACTTCTACAAAATGAACAACTTAAAATTAAGTATTAGTTAACTTAAGTCTTTCCACTTTTCTATTATTTTTTTTTTCCATACCATGTATGTTTTCTCCTCCCTTGCCTCTGTTTTCTTACACATTTCAAATCTTGGGTGGTTGTGGGGAGAGGGTGCAACCTTCTCATTTTTGCATGAACTCAAAAGGAAAAACTCAAAATTTTTTTAAAAGACAAACACCTTTGTTTTTGTATGTACTCCCTCTTGCCCATATTCCAAATTAAGCTCAAGCTTGAATACTCAAAAATTCAACTGAAGGTTTTATATCACTTATTATAAGATATTAATTGAGTGTTTACACACTTCTTCCTTTGTCACTAATATCTATACATGTACACTGGACCCTTGAACAATGAGAGGCTTAGGGGTGCTGACGCCCTGTGCAGTCAAAAATCCATGTATAACTTTTGATTCCCCTAAACTTAACTACTAATAGCCTGCTGTTGACTGGAAGATGTACCAATAGCATAAAGCATTGATTGGCACATTAGCCTGTTGTTGACTGGAAGATGTACCAATAGCATAAAGAGTTAATTGACACACATTTTGTGGTTATGTGTATCATATACTGTATTTGTATGACAAAGTAAGCTGGAGAAAAGAAAATGTTATTAAGAAAATCATAGAAAAGAGAAAATTTATTTACTATCCATTAGATGAAAGTGAATCGTTATAAAAGTCTTCATCCTCATTATCTTCACATTGATTAGGCTGAGAAGAAGGAAGAGAAGGGGCTGTTCTTGCTGTCTCCATGACAGAGGCAGAAGAGGTGAAGGAGATGGAAGGAGAGAAAGGAGAGGCAGGCACTCTCCATGTACCTTTATGGAAATACATCATAATTTCTTTCTAACTTTTGCTTTTTCATTTATCTAAAAATATTTCCATATGGTACCAATCCTTTTTCCATCATTTGCTTTATTTCAGTGCTCGTATCATAGAAGGGACCATGTCATAAAAAGCAAAGGAATTCTTGAATAATCAGATACTTTCTGTTTTCTGGCACTGGTTTGGAAGCTCCCATCTCCATAAAGTCATCTTCTGTTAATTCTTGTGGTGTGGTGTCTATTAGCTCTTGAATTTCTACAAAATCTATATCTGAAAACCCTTTATTCGCCACCTTTTTTTGCCATATCCACAATCTCTTTCATAGTTTTCTTGGCTGGCTCTGTTGTAAATCCTGTGAAGACATGTGCAACATCTGGATAGTTTTCTCCAGCAGGAATCTGATGGCTTCCGTGGCTTTCATGGATTTTTCTATAAGAACAATGACATCTTCAATGGACTTTCCTGGTGTTCTGTCTATTGGGGTTCTCTTTCACAGCATTGAAAATACTTCCCATAGAGTAACATGTGTAATGAGCCTTATAGGTTCTTATGACCTTCTCATCTACAGGCTGAATTAGAAACGTGTGTTTCAGGGCAAGTAGAACACTTTGAGGTCTTTGGTATTGAACTCATGGGGTTGCGGGTGGCCAGGGGCATTGTGCAATATCAAAAGAACTTTAAAAGGCAAGCCCTTACTAACAATGTACTTCCTGACTTCAGGGACAAAGCATCAATGGAACCATTCCAGAAAAAGGATTCTCATTGTCCAGGCCTTCTTATTGTACAACCAAAAGACTGGCAGCTGGTATTTATCTTTTCCTTTCAAGGCTTTAATAGGGCAGTCCTGATTATAAATTGACTGCATTTGCACAAAATATTACAGTTAGCCTATTACTTTCTGTCTTAAATCCTGGTGCTCGCCTCTCTTCCTTACTAATAAATGTCCCTTGTGGCATTTTTTGTCTGTTTTTTTTTGTTTGTTTGTTTTTGTTTTTGTTTTTCAGAATAGGGCACTTATCCCTGCATTAAAAACAGGTTCAGAAAGGTGTCCTTTTTTCTCAACAATTTTCTTAATGGTGCCTGGGAACTTATCTGCTGCCTCTTGGTTAACAGAGGTTGCTTCTCCTGTTATCTTGACATTTTTAAAGTCAATCTCTTTGGGAAAACATTAAACCATCCTTTGCTGGCACTAAATTATCCAGCTTTAGATTCCTCACCTTCGTATTACTTTAAATTCTCATATAATGACTTTTCTTTTTTATAAAACATATTAAACATGAAAAAAGTAAAGAGGGAAATGCCAAGGGGAGCAGGAAAATAGAGAGGATGTTGGGAGAGGTCTGGGGCTCCAGAAAGTCCATAGAAGGGGCTGGAAAACAGATGATCTAAGAAGTCAAGGAAGGTGCAGATTCTTCTAGATCATTGATGGTGCTGTGAACAAATGTTGATAAATAAACCTAAACATTCTTTCTTATTTTTAAGACTCTTGGTGATAGTGGCTTAAAAGATGAGAATCAATACAGACCAGGATTAAAAAAAAAAGATAGTAAGTTTTTTATTTCCATTTGTAAGGCCAGATGGAACCCGCTGTCTTGTCCTTTACTCTTAATGTTTCTTATCTAAATATTATGAATGTCATGGATGTATTTAACTCTGAAGCTGTTTGTCTTTTACACATGTAACCTGTAACTCTAAAAGTATACGTTCTTGAGAATACAAAAATGCAATTATATGTATGTAAGTAGATATAATAATTATTGTTAATTGCGTGTCACTTCTTTTTCATATTATTCTGGCAAAAAAAGAGAAAGACAGGTAATTATACTAAAATTGATATTGTTCCCAGGTGGAAAAGCCAAGTAACTAGAACATGCTTTAGGAAGGTGATGCAGTGAAAGACATAATTGGACATTATCAAGGACATTAAGGGTATGTCACAGACACACATTGGTAAGGAAGGAACGGATTCTGAAATATACAATAGGAGGTACTCCTCCTACCACTTGGGGAGCTTATACCACAGTGGAATAAGAAATGGCTTGAAATATTTTATGACTATATTATTTTATTTGGAAGTAGAAATCTGAATTTCTACATTTTTGAATTGTATATGTGTATATATGTGTGTGTGTGTGTATATATAGAGTATATAAATTGTATATATGTGTGTATATATATTATATATAGTATATATATAACTGTAAATATAAGCAGACAAATATTCAGGTTTGATCTTAACAAGGATCCTCCAGGAGTCAAGCTAAAAACATTGATTTTTTTAAAACTGTAATACTGGTTACCTTCATCTTCTATTTCACTGGAAAGATGACAGCTACCTGGGACAGTTTTGCAGAGTAAGATTGGCTGATAGAAGTAACCTTAGGCTCACTTGATCTTCACTGGTCACGTCTTAGTTCCTTCCTGTCTTCACTCAAGAAGGTCTTTGGTAAAGAGACCACTACCCAAAGCCTTGAACTAAGGAACTATGCCCAGAGACATTCTGACTAGATTCTTTGGGGTAAGTAGATATGAAAGATAAAATTGTCAAATGGGAGACAATTTTATTTTTCATGTCTACTTTAACCTTACTGTTGTTACTGTAAAACAGGTGATCAGGCTCCTTCTCAGGAGACCGGACTTCATAAAACACCAGATGATTTCCTGGACTTCACCATCCTTGGCAGCTGTCCCTGCCTTGTTGAGGTTGGTCAAATCTTCATAGGTTTGCTCACTACTGGCAATTACATCTGGGGCAGTGTCATCTGGTACTGCCCAAGAGTCTATCTAGATTGTGGTCTTCTGCACCAAAATGAAGCAGATGTCAAACTTATAGCAACCATCTCTCACTTTACCTTCTCATGCCCTGTCATGCTTACATCAGTGTTGTCCCGGTAGAAAAAGCAGTTCTCCAGATTCCAGGAGTTCTCAGGGATCCAGATCAATACTATCTTATAGGCAGCCCTGGCTGCAGGATTGGCAACCTATACTGAGTTGGGTTTGCATAGACATGAAAGATGGCTTAGTTAAAGATTTGCCTGGTAATTTTTAGTCACCCTAATCCAATATATATGGATATTCTATATATGATTATATAACAATATCAGAACTGGCAGAATTCTTTTAATCTTTATATATATATATATATATTATATATATATATATGCACTTATATTAAGGGTAGAAATAACATAGTGTTGTTTTGTTGATTTTGACATACATAAATTTTTGGATATAACATTTTTGAAAATTTGATTGTTATATAGTCAATACTTATGTAGTTTTCCAAAACACCATTAATCTTCATTTTAATGTCGCATCTTATACTCAATGGTATTTTAAAATCAAATGAATGTCGTGTGTGTGTGTGTGTATGTGTGTGTGTCTGTGTATTTCATGACTAAATTTTCTTTTTTTTCTTTTCTAATAAGATTAGATTTATTCAATACCCTAGTAAAAGTTTTGATTATAAGCATCCAACAGTATGAAAAGTACAAAACAGATCTGTAGATTTCTAATATATTAATACAAAGTACATGACTACATACAGTACACCCTACAGGCAAAGAGAGGTGGAAGAGGAAAAAGAAGACTGTGGTTGAGGTCTAGTAATAAATAAATAAAGAAAGAAGTAGAGATGATCCATATTATAGTATATTCTACCACCAATACTGCAGCCAAAATGTAAAAAAAAAAAATCACTTCAAAATAACTCAGGAGGATGACAGTGGCTGGACTTTTGTAATTCGCCTCAAAGACTGTGGGAGAGCCAACTCAACTCACTGTATAGTCTGTGCATATGGTGGCTTGTAGCATGTAGGTTTTTTTCCAAAAGAAGGAAATATAAAATATTTAGATTAAGAACTATAAAACTACAGGGTGCCTATAAAAGGTGGCTTACTCCTTATTGTTATTATACTATCCAATTTTTAAAATGCAGTTTAAAAAATAAGCACTGAGTCTTATTATTATACGGCAGGCAAATGTTTCTCCCTCATTCTGAAAAGACTGAACTGGCAATGCTTTTCCTGAACATTTAGAAAAGAGGCAGTAAGAGTACTCTGGTTTGGGTTCAAGTGAGAGGCTTTTCATGAAGATCTTAGGATTGAAGAGCTCTAAGTTCAGGATATCTCAATGTTCAGAAAGCCTGACTAAAATAAGCCAAACCAAAGCCATTTAATGTGAACACAAACCTCTTTTCTTTTAGTAAATTTTACTTTTAATACAGAGTGAAAGAAAATAAAAACTTAATAGGCTAAAACAAGTCAAACACCCATTCTACACAGATAAAAACCTTCACAAAGGTCAACTGAAGTTATCCAGAGCTGAAACTGAATTGTGCAGATTTTCAATGAAGTCATCAAAGTCATGTAACACAAACAAAAGTTGATTATATTTACACACTCAGCAAGCCCGCTAAGAAATGTGTCCCAAAAAGTATTAACCTTTGTTTTGTGCCATCCTGAAGACTTGCATATTTTATTTTTCAGATAGCTTAACATTTTTAATCGAGTGTGTTCTCTACCATGTGGTAATGCTTTGGTACTATGCATACAGGGTCTCGCCTGTCCTAAAGACTTGCCATTTCCCCAAGAGGAGCTTTGATTCTGCTTTAGAAGTTTTATATGAATTAAAATCTTTATCAAATATTAATATGAAGGGAGGCACAGGATGCAACATATATAGTCAAGTTACCTCTCTGTATATTTAGAAATTACTTTCTCCTCCAAGGTATTTGCAGCAGAAAGCTCAGTCTGTCCTGCTTAATAATCAGTAGTACAGGTTTGAATCATCAGAAGCTTGGCAAGACCTTAATATTTCAAAATTATTAACAACTACCTCTAGGGGCAAGTCCATGTTACTGAGTTATGACAAATTTATTATCATGAGGGAAAACAAGAGTAGCCAGCCATCTTAAAAATGCCCCAACCACGGCTTCTCAATACAGAAAGACTGAAAACTACATACAGTTTATCATACAACAAATCCCATCTCTGTCCCCTGAAATTCCCCTAGTTTCATTCATTAGAAAGGGATTTAAAAAAAAGATTTAAAGAGCACTTTACAGCAGCAGTCAGCTTTCCTATGAAATACTCAGCATCTTAAATATTATGTATAACTCTTTTTTTAGTAAGCTAGACACTGGCTTCAGAGTTTGTGGGACTGGGGGAAATCAACCCATTCAAAACTACTCTAGAAACTGTCTTTTGGCAGAATAGCAGGTATCCAAGTTAAAAATAGGAGGGTCATTTGAGACCAGCCTGGCCAACGTGGTGAAACCCTGTTCATGATGAAATTTTCATTCTCTGTATTTAAAATAAAACTAATTAAATTATGTAGTGTGAATTTTCATGGGGTTCATTTCTAAAGTTGTAATCAGTGAAGAAATAGTTAATCTCTATGTGTTTTTGTCACATGTCTAGACATAATTATTAAAAATTTAGGCAAAAGTACAGAAAAACAGATGGGCTTTCTAATAGTAAAAGGCCTGAATGCTTGTTGTACAGCTGCTCTTTTTATAATCCCAGATTTTAGGAGATGGAGGAAAGAATGTTGTGAGCTTTTTCATCAATTATATGCTATTTTTCTTTACAATAAGAATGCAATTTAAGAGAAACTTTATTTTAGGGTGTTATTTGGCCTCTTACAGATTCATAAAGGAGTGACTACTGATTCAGAATATTTATGAAATTCAGAAAATGCATTTACCAAGTAAACCTTGCATCACTTTTCTTTAAATTAAAATTTACTGAATACAGAATAAAAGATATTTGGTTATTTGCTATTCAGAATTACATTTACCAAAATGGCATTCAATCAATCCATAGCTAAATCTAGGCTTCTATATAAATCCACTTATATTAAGTGAATTAGTAATATTCCAGCCATGTTAAAAGATAGGAATACATGATTTTTGACCCAGACCCAATGTATTGCATCAAAAAAGTAAAACAGCTCATTAACAGTAAGACATATAAAATATGAAACCAATATCAATCAAAATCTTTTACAAACGGAAGGTGAAATGATATAGAGCCCAGCATCAAATAATTTAAGATATAGCAAAGCAGCTGAAACATTGAATTGAGAGAAAATTATTATTGTAAGGAATAATTTCTCATTTATGTGATAGTGGTATGATCAAGAATAAGAAGAACTATAAATACATTTGGAAGTTCAACATTCAAACTATACTGTGTAGTCAGTAGCACATATAAATAATGCCATACAGACATCAAAAGAAAAAAATGTAGTGTTTAGTAAAATCAATCCATGTTTCCTGTGCTTTAAGCAAAAAAATGGATTCTCATTAGCTCTTGACAAAAGGATGATGCCACAATCCACTGAGACTCTGTGGCATCCTCTGAAGAAGTTTCATAGTTTTTCTTTAACTTTGTTAGAATCTCAAAGCTGAGGTGATAATTCAGTTCATTCCAAATTATCCCTTCTCTGCTTCCCTCCCTTGTTGATATTCCTCAGAACTTTCACAAGCATTGGTGGTCAATATGTTACCAAATGTGGTTCAGTTACATATATTTTGCAGCTCATATGATTTCTCTAAGGGGCAGTGATTACTGGTTGTAGTCTGTGATGAGATACACCTAAAAGCTATTTCTATAACTGCTCTCTGCCAACTGAACTATAGCTGATCTGAACTGCGCAAATTTGTACCAAGGCTAATTCTTCATTAGTTTTCAAGGACTGTGGTTGCTTCTGTTTTCTAAAGCTGTCTAGTAAGATTTTCTGCCATCATCATGAGTTGCTTCCTAGAACTCTGTTGCCATTGTTCAAAAGATGGACCCAGAAGATGCATGGCAACTAAGGATGCCACCAGCTCACAGGTAATGGCTTCCCGCATGAGCCCAGGTCAATACTAGAATCTTGTCTCCATTATTTCTACCCCTACTGCTTCCTATAACCACTAATCTCAAGCCAGTGTTAGAGCCTCCGTGCTACAGATGGCATCAGTATTCATCACTGTAGCTGATGTAGAATATAAATTTATCAGCTTATGAAAGTCACCTTCCCTCTGATGTGACCAGTTTAATGGGTGACCCAACATATATGAATGCCTATGTGTTTTGTGGACTCTACATAGTAAGCTTACATCTGCTTCCTCTGGCACTGATGGGGTCCACACAGAGCAGTTTGGAGAAGTTAATTCAGGTGTGCTGCACCATCATTGTCTACCACTCAATATCCAAAAATGAAGCATATGACCATTAACACAACAATGGAGATAAAACAATCTAACCACCATCCCTTTAATTAAAAAAATAGTACCCACACTTCTCTGATAAATGTCTCTAAGACATAAATCCAGCTTTGGGTCTCTCCAAAGATTTTTCCACTTTCAGAGTCTCAAGGTCTTGCATTAAAATGAAAGTCTTAGTGCCCAGGTGTATCTTCTCTAGGACATGCGGGTGAGAAGGCACTTAAATCCCCATTGTGCCTCAAGAGTATGCTCCTGAGGTCCTTTCACTTTGTGAGCTGTATCTAAGGTGATGCCACCAGCCATACATATCCTAAGCCAGTTTTATAAGTATTAAATAGAAAAAAAACTTATCTAGCAAACTCTAAGGGAATCTGAACAGTACTAAGGCTTTATTACAATGATATTAAAGTTACAACTAAGATTTAATAAAAAATATGTTGTATAAATAAAATTTGAAAAAAAAATGCTTCATTAAAGACCAAATATTTAAACACAATGTTAACATCTAAGTGACTTTAAATACTTAGACTAAGGTCATTTTTAATAAGATCGTACATACTAAAATTATTTTTTGCATTTATTTAAAAAAAAAACAGGTTGATAATGAAAGTAACTCAAAACACTAAAAGCCCAAAGTAGGTTTTACCTGTTTATCATTCCCTCTTTCTTCTCCTATTCCAAAATTCTTATGCAACATTGTCTCACAAAAATTAAAATATACAAAAGTAACTTCTGATGATGCTGTTTATTTTATGTAATAGTGTTGTTTTGGAAATATAGCTCATTGAAAAACTGGTTTTTAATATGTAATATCAGTGTCAACAAAATTGGAACATATTTAATCAAAATGAAATTCATGTTCTGGATTTTGATCTCCTGATCTCCAGCTTTTAAAATAGTAGTCAAGGTACAATAACTTGCTGGTATCAAGAAGTCCTTCAGGAATGAGGAGGAAGTAATGGAAAGAGAGGAATCTGGTTATCCTGATATATACTGATGGTGTCACTCTTAAAGCTTTATCATAAATGAACAGCTGGGTTAAAAGTTTCAACTTGCGAATCCAGACTTCTTCAAATGATCAGCAAATTAGAAATAACCATGGTTTGTATCATTTATAGTCAGATATTGCAACTATCTGAATATTTTACAGCATATTTACATACCACTTTATTGTTTACAAAGAAACTTTCATATGTAAGCTCATTTGTTCTTCAAAATGGCTCAGTGAAGGATCCATTCACCAACAAGTATGTTTCAGATATTGTGTGAGTAGGTTGGACTCTCTTCTTCTAGTTGACAAACTGAAATTATAACCCAAGTCAGACACCTAAGAGGGTGACAGAGCTAGATAAGGAATTGAGATATGATGATTGCAAATCTTGTGTCCATCCCACTTTAGGACACTGTCATTTACAAGACAATATGAACACAATTACATGACACAGTGACTTGTTACAACCTATACTAAAACCCTGGAAAAACCATGCAGTCTTCTAAATGATTTTAACATATAGAATTCAGGTAGGGTGATTATTATTAAAAAATAAAAAATGAAGTATAAAAAAGCTTAATAAGCTAGATAAATTACAATATTTAATTTGGAATTTTAATGCTAAAATTATCTCTTATTTGCATACTACTTTATTGTTTACAAATCTATTGTTTATCTCTTATTTTGGTCAGGCTTAAATTTGTTTTTATTCTAAAACAAACAAATACAAACAGAGCTAGAGCTATTAAATTGGCTGCCCTAAATTTCTGAATGTAAGAGTAATTTTTTTAGACATTCTTCATCCCAGAGATATAGAAATGCTTAGTAACAGTAATTTTGTAAAAGCACTTTACAGAGTATAGGTATGTAGTGGCCCAATAGCCATCTTTTCTCTGAGTGCTCGTTGCCTAGGCACTTTTGGACTTGCCGTATGGAGGAGGGAGCTTAAGAAGCCAGCCAACACTTAACACCACTGTCTTCTGGCATTCACCAATTCCCTTTAGTATGGTTTGCACTCTAAGGCTGTTCAGAGCAGGTGGCTCCTGCTGTAAGAAGAGAGTTGTGGGAAGATATCCATGAAATGAATATTTATAAACAATCCCAATCTTCATTTTAAGTATAAGGGAAAAATAAATTTTAAACAGAGAGGTCCTTAGGAATTGCTGATCTAAGGCATCATCTCTTAAATATTTACAACATTCTTATGTTGTGAAATTCTTTAATCTGAAGTACTGTAAATAAATTAAGAGTGCAAAACTGAATCTGCCAGAGAATTCTGATAAATTCTCTTTTAGCATGAGCAAGCCAGTCATTTATGTAAATAGTTTCCTCATTTTTTGTGCAAATTGTTCTTCAAGGAAAGTTAAATCATTTTGTTATTTAACTGAAATCTACTTTGTGACATCCACTTAAATGACAGTGTTGAAGTCTTTCCTTGTAGCTGTTTTAAAACTGTCAGGGCCATTCCAGCAAGATTACTGGAAGTTAGGTATGAGAATTGACATTCTCCAACTCAATTCCATGCATACATATTTTGAGCTCTTGATATGGCTTTGAAATGGAGACAAGTGGTCTGATGACAGACAAAATGGAATATTGGAAATGACACTTTTATAAAGTTCAGCATAGGGACTGTAGATAACCACTTCTTGTATACACATTTTATTTTCTATTTAACTCATCTTATGTCCTAGAATATACATTTTATTTTTTTAATTAACAGACTTTATTTTTTAGAGAAGTTTTAGGTTTACAAAAAAAGAGCGGAAAGTAGTGTTCCTATATCTTCCTTCTATTCCACAGACATGCACATAGTTTCTCCTATTATTTACATCTTGCATTAAGATGGTACCTTTATTAAAATTGATTAGCCAATACTAATTAACATTATACTAACCCATTAACACTAACTAAAAATTAACACTAACTAAACTCCACAGTTCACAGTAGAATTCATGTTGTACATTCTATGGATTTTGGCAAATATATAATGACATATATCCACCATCACAGTATCATATAAAATAGCTTCACTGCTCTAATAGAAATGTATTTTAATTGTTTTTTCAGATTGCTCACTGCCATCTCAGTATTTTTCCTCCCAATCTAGAGGAGATTATCTATTTTAAAATTCTGTTTATACAGAATCATTTAATTTTTCTTCATTAACAGTGAATTTAATTACTTTTTTCATAAACTAATATCTTTCAATGGATTTTAGCCAGGACTATGAGGTCAGAAATAATTCTACTTAATGAAATTGTTAGTTATGAGAGGATTCATAGTCATTGTGACTCAGAGAGTCTAATCCACAAATAAGAGAAGCTGGGATTTAGAATTCTGCAATGACTTTCAGTGTAATGTCTGCTCATTACTTAAATCAGGATGGGAAAATTCCAGCTGGCCAGTTGGAAACTACCTAGCCAGTTGGGGAAGATGAGACTAGATCCATGCCCCTATTTCTTAAAGTTAGATTTGCAGATAATCTGCCTTCTCCTTCCATTCAATACCTCAAACAGTATCACAACACAGAACAACAGATCTAACACTTGAGATAAAATAATACCAGTTATTCTGTGTGACCCTGGGCAAGAATTTTAATGTTTTTGAGCCTCAAACTCCTTACTTAAAAATACTGAATGTGAGTAACAAGTTGACACTTGCCTCAGTATCTGTAATGATCAAATTATTTAGTATATATCAAAATTATATACATAGTACCAGACATTTGACAGATGCTCAATAAATATTTGTCACTGCTGTTACTATTATTATTATTATTATATTATTAGAATTCTTATTATACTGTAAAGATACAGAAAAGAAATTGACCATAGCAACAGCTGACTGCAGTTCAGGCAAAAAATGATCAAGATACATATTAGATCTTCCATTCTTGACATGGATAGCTTTAGCTGTACAGCCAATGTAAATTAGCATTTTAGTGATGGGGACAATGTTCAATTCAACTAATACTCATTGGAATTTCTCCCAGTTTCCCTCTGGGTTAGTTTGACATGTGTCTATTTACTATCTAATGTGAAATCATCCAAAATATAATCAATCTTTGAAAACCACATGGTCAAGAGGCAGAAAAGGTTTTTTCAAAAATCACTATTAATCGTAAAAGTATTATATATTTTAAAAAGTTCCCTAACTATTTTTCCAACTTATAGAATTAGGGGACTACAAAGCTACGATGATTATTCCTGCTCTTAGGCCAGTCTGCTGATAATAAGCCATGTAGGTAAGAGGAAGAAATTAATAACTAAATGTTGAAGCCATATTACATTTTAATAGTCAAAATATTTTCTCTGCTAGATCTTGAAGTTGGAGATTAATTATTTTAATAAATAAAATGTAAATTTTTGGAGAATAACAATAAAAGTCAATATTTATTAGTGTTTAATTGGTCCGGCAAAATTTAAATGATGAGGAAGTATTGCATCATTTAAACCAAACAGTTCTCAGAGTACCATTATTTTCTTCATTCTACACTAGAGAAAACTGAAAAAAGATCTAGTAACTTGACTAAGCTAGAAAATGGTGTGAATAGAATTTGAACACAGGCCATATGGTTAACACTCCTCTGTGCTCAACTATTCTTTTATACTAGGGAAGAACAAATACATTGTAAATAAAAAAAAAATTAAACTCAGATCTACCACATAGTACTCATAACCATGAAAAAGTTGCAATATTTGCACCCCCCACCTGGGCCCCAGCCAGTTACATTTTCCTTAAATTAAAGTCCTATAGGCCTTACAGGGTTGCTGTATTTTGTACAACTTCCACAAATGACTAACATGATAGTATTATAATGTATATGTTTATCTATTTTTAATATAAAAGCTTGCATTTTATTAGCCCATCATTTTATGAGCCTGAATTTCATATATTGAAGACAATTTCCACCATACAAAATAAATTGTGATATATAAAACAGCAAGAATACAATGTTAAATCATTTTTGGGATTTTCTTGAGGCTCTTCTTTCCTGCTTATGTTCTTATAAATGAATATACATATGCAGAAGGAAGAGCAACAAAAGGGAAGCTTGGAAGCAATGTAAAGGGACACGGCACTCTTCTCATGCTCATGTTTTTATTATCACATTCTATGAAGCCATTCAGTTCTTCTTCATGTTTATTCATATTAAGGTAGCTATATTTTATGGTGACATTTTGATAGACTTCATCTTATTTTAGCAATTCACTTAGTTTGTGAAAATGTAAGTTGTATATTCTCAAAATTTTAAGTATTCACTGAAACATAAATTTTCAGCTGATGTCCGCTTTTAAATGTCCTACAATCATGTAATTAAAATTAGGTTGATTTGTTTTTAAAGATTTTAAAATTTAATACCTTTTTTTCCTAAAACTAACTTATTTTTTGCATTGTACCCATTAAGATATAGAGTGCTAGACAATCTTCAATAGAGTTTCTACAGAAGCAAAAATGATAGAACAAGCCTTTTGAAATCTAAAAACTACCAAAATGTTCATCTTCATTACTAAAATATAGTAATTAGATGCAAAATTTTAATCCCCATTTCATGTTGTCTTGTTCGTTGATGCCAAGTTGAGGTTTCATTACAGAATAATTATCATTCATCATCATTTAACTTGGAAAGTCTAACTTCTGAGGAAATGAGATTGAACCAGAACAACTGAGATCTTTCCAGGGAAGCTAGATAAATAGTTTTTACAGACACTGTTTTTAAAAGTTGAAAAGTAAGCTATAATTTTTATTTTGAAAACAAATCCCCTCTAAGGAAAAGTATAGCACTTATTTCAATCAGACATGTATGTATTAAAGCTTCCACTCATCTCTTAATTTTCTCCTATCCAATCAATCCTAAATACCTTTTTAATATACCATTAATCTTTAGCCTTTTTCAGACCTTTAAAAATAAATTTTCTGAACTCTTGCCATAGCCACCTAACTTTACCAGATCTATTCTCCACTCAACCACTTGGGTTTTCTGACTAAATCAAAGAAACAAATAAATTTTCTCATGCCACTACCTTGATAAACACCTTTGCTAACTCCCTGTTGCCAATATGTTGATGCACATATAGCCTATGAGGCTTTCCATCTCTTTTCAACATCTCTGAACTTATCTGTAATCTTCACCTTCCTATGCTTCAAGGACATGAACCTTCTTACCTTCCTCTCAAACACACCAGGTTCTCTGAGCTTCTGCTTTCACTCCTGCAAAACTGCCACCCATTCTTTAACGCTCAACTCAGTTAACACCTCTCTAACATATTTCATAAATCTTTAACTCAAAGTGAGTAGCTGACTTTGTGATCACACAGTAATAATTCATTTTTCTATGACAACGTTCATCATATTATGCACTCATAATGTGACCACTTCTCTCTGTGGTACTTAAGTTCTATCACATAAGTAGCTAAAATACATATGTTTTAAATAATTTTAATGTAAATTCTAGTTTCAGTGTATTTTCAAAGTATATCAATGCATATTTATGTGCATTCTATTTTCAAAGTATTTAATAATATTATAAATCATATTTATATGGTATCAAATATCAAAAATTTTAACTCTTTTGATACAATTTAGATTATAAATATGATTTGTTTGGTTTGGCTTCGATTTTGTTGTGCCTGAGTGACTTATCTATGGAGATGTTTATTGTTAAATTAAAATACATGAAAGTTCTCAACTGTTTTAGGATTTGTGTCTATTTTAGGGTTTGTGTCTATTGATAGTCTGTCAAGCTATCAATTCTTACTGCTGATGATGCATCTTTCTGTGGAAGATGTCAGCTAAACCACTCAATATTTTTACACAATTTACTATGAGTAAATTAACTAGTAAAGTAAAACTAACCTTATTATAATTTTGTTTACAGTAAAAGTGAATGATGACCTGGGGGCTTTCTTATAAAACAAAATATTTGAACTTTAATGTTTAGACTGTGTTTTCTCTGTTGGGATCTAAAAAAACTTTTTTTCAACACGCATTTTGTTATTCTACTTGAGATTTATAGTTAAGTGACAATAAGTAAAATGGTCTTAAAACATATTCATTCCTGTGTCAGCACAAAAGTACACTTACTGATTTTTGTCAAGTATTTAGCATTATACTTTCTTGGGATTAAAAAAATAAAATTCCTGCTGTCAAGGAGTTTGGTAAGGGTGATAAATATAAAACTAAACTATTAAAAAATAAGGTAACTGCACAGTGACTGAGTATGTACAAGAGTTATAAAGTCAACATATTACTCTGCTCTGTCTAAATTTCTTACTAGAATTAGAAATACAGGATCTTTTCTTTTTTTCTTTTTTTTTCTTTTTAAAAAAAGAGTTATAAAGTCAAGAATCAATGTTTCTGTGTAGTGTCATAGGAAAAGGAAGTACTGGATTTTAAAGGTAGCTTGGAAAATTTTTATATTATACATTCTTGCACTCATTCCCACAGCATGTGGGGAAGAAAAGCCCTCAGCATATGGATATTTTAAAAAAGCTCTCTAGGTATTATAATTCTGACCTTTCTGCCTACACCCCCACAGGAAGCCACTGTGAAAAAAAAAGACCCCCATTATCTCCTAAGTTTGCTTGAGGCCAGGAGTTGGAGAAACCTTCTGAGAGGAAATGAATTTTGAGTTTAATTTGGATGTGTTAGTAGACCATTAACAGTCTGTAATATCTAAGGGTACAGAGGCATTAGAAACGTAGCAATTGGGATGTATGAGGAAGAAGTAGAACAAGCAGTTGGAAAGCTAGACAAAGATTGAAAAGGTGTTATGAAAAGTTAGGAATCTCAAATACTGGTACTGCAAGGCAACTGTGTTGTCTTTAGCTAATTCAAGGTGGATACTTTTATATCCACTAGTCCCAGTGATAGCTGTGGGGAAAAATATGACACCAGAAGTCATTGCCATGCACTGTAGCTAAAACTGTCTGGGAACATTATGAGGGAGAAAGGTGAGCATGATGTTATTGATGAATTATGGAAAAATTTTAAGGTAATGAACAACATCCCTTGAGCTACTGATGTCTCAGAGATTTTTTTTTCAGCTACAAAGAGATATATCCACATTATAGGGGGAAGGTGAAGCAATTATTTTGTAATTACCAAGTAAATTTTCACAATTTTCCATCAACTACATGCTATCTATTGGGACTATTTAACAAATAAATATGATGGGAATGTTAATATTGTTAACAGCTAATATTTTTGAATAGTGCATTAATATATTTCTGGCATTACACTAAGCATTTTAGCTGGTCAATTATTTCATAATTACCTGTATTAGTCTGTTCTCATGCTGCCATAAAGAACTGCTCGAGACTGGGTAATTTAGAAAGAAAAGAAGTTTAATTGACTCACACTTCTGCAAAGCTGGGGAGGCCTCAGGAAACTTACAGTCATGGCAGAAGGGGAAGCAAACATGTCCTTCTTCACACGGCAGCAAGAGAGAGAAAACACCAGATGGTTACAAAACCATCAGATATCGTGAGAACTCACTCACTATAATGAGAATAGCATGGGGAAAACTGCCCCCATGATTCAATTACCTCCCACTGGGTCCCTCCCATGACATGTGGAGATTATGAAAGTTACAATTCAAGGTGAGATTTGGGTGACGACACAGCCATAACATATCGTTCTGCCCCTGCTCCCTCCCAAATTTCATGTACTCACATTTCATAACACAATCATGCCTTCCCAATGGTTCCCCCAAATCTCAACTCATTCCAACATTAACCCAAAAGTCCAAGTCTAAAGTCTCATCTGAGGCAAGGTAAGTCCTTTCCACCCATGAGCCTGTAAAATCAAAAGCATATTAGTTACTTCCTAGATAAAATGGAGGTACAGGCATTGGGTAAATACTCTCATTCCAAAAGGGAGAAATTGGCCAAAAAGGCAGTCATTAAACCAGAAAGTTCCAAAATGATCACCTTTGACTGCATGTTTCACATCCAGGGGACACTAATGTAAGAGGTGGGCTCCCAGAGCCTTGGGTAGCTCTGCTCTTGTGGCTTTGCAGGGTACAGCCCCACTTCAGCCTGTTTTCATGGGCTGGCATGAGTGCCTGCAGTTTTCCCAGGTGCACAGTAAAAGCTGTTGGTGGATCTACCATTCTGGGGTCTGGAGGATGGTGACCATCTTCTTACAGGTCCAACAGGTAGTGCTCCAGTGGGAACTCTGTGTGGGGCTCTGACCCCACATTTTCCTTCCACAGTGTCCCAGCAGTGTTTCCCCATGAGGGTACCGCCCCTGCAGCAAACTTCTGCCTGGATATCCAGGTGTTTCCATACATCCTCTGAAATCCAGGTAGGGGTTCCCAAACCTCAGTTCTTGACTTCTGTGCACACACAGGCCCAATACCACATGTAAACCACCAAGGCTTGGGGCTTGCACCCTCTGAAGCAACAGCCTGAGCTGCACATTGGCCCCTTTTAGCCATGGTTGGAGCTGAAGCAGCTGGGATAGAGGGAACCTTGTCCCAAGGCTGCATACAGAAGGGGAAGCCTGGGCCCAGCCCATGAAACCTTTCTCTCTTAGGCCTCCAGGCTTGTGATGGGAAGAGCCACCATAACATGCCTTGGAGACATTTTCCCCATTGTCTTGGTGATTAACATCTGGTTCCTCATTACTTATGTAAATTTCTGCAGCTGGCTTGAATTTCTCTCTAGAAAATGGGGTTTTCTTTTTTATCACATTGACAGTCTGCAAATTTTCCAAATTTGTATGTTCTGCTTCCTCTTCAATGCTTTGCTGCTTAGAAATTTTTTCTACCATAAATTATCTTTCTCAAGTTAAAAATTCCACAGATCTTTAGGGCTGGGGCAAAATGCCACCAGTCTCTTTGCACAGCAAGAGTGACTTTTACTACAGTATCTAACAAGTTCCTTATTTCCATCTGAGACCACCTCAGCCTGGACTTCATTGTTCATATCACTATCTGCATTTGGGTCAAAGCCATTCAACAAGTCTCTGGAAAGTTCCAAACTTCTCTACGTGTTCATATCTTCTTCTGAGCCCTCCAACTGTTCCAACTTCTGGCTGTTACCCAATTCCAAAGTTGCTTCCACATTTTGAGTATCTTTACAGCAACACCCCACTCTCAGTGGTACCAATTTATTGTATTAGTCCATTCTCACACTGCTATAAGACATACCCGAGACTGGATTATTTATAAAGGAAAGAGATTTAACTGACTCACAGTTCTGCAGGGCTGGGGAGGCCTCAGGAAACTTACAGTCGTGGTGGAAGGGGAAGCAAACACATCCTTCTTCACAAGGTGTCAGGAGAGAGAAGAATGAGAGCTGGGCAAATTGGGAGCCCCTTATAAAATCATCAGATCTTGTGAGAACTTACTAGTATGAGAATGGCATAGAGGAACTGCCCCATGATTCAATTTCCTCACACCAGGTCCCTCCCACGACACATAGGGATTATGGGAATTACAATTCAAGATGAGATTTGGATGGGGACATAGCCAAACCATAGCATAACCCTCATGCTGACTTTATGAAGCAAAAACTATTATTTGTTCCTGTTATAGACATAGGTAAATGAAATATTTATAAATTAAATAACTTTCTTTGAGTCAAACAGTTGTTGGGTAGTAGAGGCAGAATTCACATCTAGGTATGGCTAATCGTGGAGTACAAGGTCTTCATCGCTGAGTTATTCTGACCTAATGGGATAAATAATCATGAAATTCACCCTGCCTCAGAAAACAGAAAACTGTCTAATAGGAAAACAACTGGTTTGTGGTATAGTATTCTAGTCTAGATTGACTTTGGAATAGTATTCTAGTCTAGATTGACTTTATAAACATTGTGTGGCTGACAAGGAAGGTAACAATCCTTCAGGAGTTCTCCATATTAAGAACATTAAGAACAATTAAGATACTAAGAACATGACACCACTGTAATATTGAAAACGCAGTCTATAATATTTATGTTAGTGATGAGGTTCTTATAGCAAAATGCTTCAGTCTTAGAAGATCACAAAGGATAGAATTACTAGTAAAGATTATCTCCAGATTTGATAAGTAAATCAGAGGTTCAACTTTTCCTGTTACATTGCTGTGCAACAATGGTCATGTTTTTAGCCTTCCTTGGCCACACCAATTACTCATCATTAAAATAAGTATAGCAATGCAAATTGACCACCAAAGCCTATTTAACGTATAGGCAATATAACTGATTGTAAGAGGTTGTAAAGTAATGTGCTTGTTTAAATGTAGTATCATAATGCTGCCCCATTGACTGCATCATAAAGGTGCAGACCAGTAAGTCACTACTGTCCATGTCAGCAATGAGCCAAGTGTTTGGGGTTTAAATAATGGCTGTATCCTCTGACTCCATTAAAATATAATATTTCTGCTCTTCTCTCAGGCACAACATGTAGTAAAACCAATAAATATTTTAAATCACACACACATAAAACTTGAAATTAGAGATGTTACATTCCATTACCGAGTCATACTTACTATCTGTATTTTAAAAACCTGCAAATATTTGAATAAAGGATAAGTGATGTTACATATTGCATTTAAATTATTACCTAAATTGCAAAAATTTTTATGTAGAATGCATATGTAAAAACAGTAATATGAGCAGATGAATGCTTATTTAAGTAATTTATCGTGTTTATATTAAGTACTATTAAATGTTATTTAATTTTCTATGTTCTTTCATAGCTATTTTTTAAATTAACATTAACCAGATTTTAAAATGCACATTACATTCCTAATATACCTTGACATTTAACAAACTACTTACGCTTTTATGAAGCAAGCATTTAAATTAAGGTACTAATCACTGAAGCTAAAAAAAGATGTGGCATTATGTATTTTTAGGATTTTATCATCTATTGATTCAATACATAAATTGCAGTGTTTGAACAATAATATTGAAGATATTTTATTTTGGTAAAATTAAAATAGAATGGATATATTTAAAGCAGTTTTATTTGATTTAATACCAACTCAAAAATACATTTTATTCAAAATGATTCAACTAAAATAAAAAAGTAGTGATCTTCTAATTCCAATACAGCAATTACATTTTAATGTACAAATAATTATATTTATTTATATTACTAAACATAGTGTTTCCTTAAATACATTTGACTGAAGAAAACAACTTTCTGGAAATTCGAGACATTTTATTTCATCTGGCTGTATTTTAAATATACAAATGAATGGTCATTAGTGCTCTACATACTGATAGATTCCTTCAGCTGATGAAATATGATTGCTGTTTTCTCTTCTGTATGCATTTGGAAAGGCAAACAGCTTTGTTGCATATAATGAAAATCACTGGCCTAACTTTCTCCTTAAGAATGATTCTGATCAAATAAAATAAACACTCAACCAAATAGCTATGCTGTGTAAATTCATTAAGATGTTAATACAAATTCTTTATTTTCCTTTTTAAAGCAAATCTAGTAGAGTTAAATGTTATATAATTTTATAGTTACATAATTTTGACCTCGTAGTCCTTGAATTTGCCAACTCTGAGCCGGTGTGGGCATTACCAGACTTTGAATGATAGCACTACAGCCAGTGTCTCCCAGGACTTGTCCAGGCTGTGACTTTCTGGGGCTATTGGATATGCTAGGATAGATACTAATGATTGTAGAGTAGGAAGTGGTTATATGGTACATTGGCACAAAGCGCTGCTGAATGACCTGCTGCTGATTTGAAGGAATCAATGTGTCTTTACTTTCTATTCCAATATCCTCCCACATGTGGAGTAATGTCACATACTTGGAGAAGCTACCAGAATATGAAACAGCATTTAAAAACATTATAAAAGGAGAAGTAAATGCCTAGGGGTCTGCAGTGTAGATTGAATTCTACTCTGGGTTTGTGCTAATAGCTAGATT
Source organism: Homo sapiens (assembly GCF_000001405.40). Lineage (NCBI taxonomy): Eukaryota > Metazoa > Chordata > Mammalia > Primates > Hominidae > Homo > Homo sapiens. The sequence continues at coordinate 101,865,394 of NC_000001.11, read as the reverse complement.
GCTTTTGCAGTTATAAAGATTGAAAAGGCTTAGCCTTATTGGAAGGTAAAGTGACTTTGAAAGTAAGCCCGCAGGATCAAAAATGCCATTATATTCTCTCATGACAATCTTACTAAATCAACTTCATTTTAAGGATTGGCCAGGGCTGTTCCAATTAGGAGCACTGCTGAGAAATCACCCTGGTGCAGGGGGCTCCATAATGCTCAAAACTGGAGCAGGGAAGACAGAATAAGCAAGAAACCACTCAGAAAGTCCATGGTACAAATGGCTGAGGGAAACCAAAGTGAATTCTACATAAGGAGGAGGCAGAAATACTAATCAACTTTGAAGGTCTGAGCCAAGAAATTGAAGCCAAGGAGTTAAGCTAAAGCAAATTACCTTTGCACCAACCTAATAGATAAAACCAAATGGAATGGGCTAGAAGTCATTAAGATGAGGGCAGAAATGGGAGAATCCTGAGAAACTGTTTTTATGGGCCTCTGTTTGTGGTAGTGTGGCATGTCTTAAAAGCCTTGAACAGGGAGATAAAAATATCTTTTCAGCCATTAACTTTTCACATTCAGTGAGACATATTGGCACTGGTATTGAAGTTGACCACAAGTGTTTGAGGTAAAGGATTTACAGCCACTGAGATGAGTGAAGTTCAGAGGACCCCAGCCTCACAAAACCCCCTCAACCACACTGTCTCTTGATCTGTTCTGGTTGGGAGACTCCTGATCATGGTGCTAATAAAATGCAAAATACACATTCCTCAAGAAAACCTCATGCTTTCCAAAATCATGCATTATAAACAAGAAGGGTTATGGCATACCCCTCAAACCTATACAATTTTGTTAGAGAATTAACAAAAAACAGTAATTGTGTTACATACTAACACAGCTAAAATAATTTTATATTGCTAATAAATAAAAATACTTCAGTAAATACTGTTTAGGGTCTTAACTTTCAAGTTGAAGATTACTTGACAAAAATGGATGTAAGGATAGATTGAGGTAGCTGAGCTACAGAGACAAGAGAAAAGGCACAATTAGGGAGTAACACAGGCAACACATGTCCAAATCAATTCAAGAAAATAACTGTAGGCAAATTATCATTGTGTAAAGGACTACGTAACTGCAGCTTGCTGCTTTCAGCTATGATCATACACTTTGCTTGTTATTTTTTGTATAAAATATTAAAGATTTTGGAAAAAAAAAAAGGATATGAACCAGAACAAATTCACATTATACTGACATCACTCCCCAATTAACCAATTGCATATGAGCTAATTCAGTAACAACTGAAGTTGTTAGGAGAGTTAGGAGAAGGGTGAGTGGGCTAAATTCGAAACTAAAGTTCAAAGCCCTGAAGCAGAAGAGAAGAGGCACTGGCGCCCTCTAAGCTGTTTTCCCCATGGGGTCTCAGCCCATTTCTGAAGCATCAAGTTGCTCAGAGATCCATCCTATGAGACAATTGTCTGGGAGCCAATAGCAGTTAGGGATAGTGAATCTTTAATGAGATTTAAGAATATATCTTAAATCATTATGTGCAGTGATGAGGAAATTTTAATTTGATTTATCACTGAGATATATATTATCATAATTGAAAAATAACCATGTCTTCTGCAATGGAACTTCACTTTAGCAGACAGCGTTTGTTGGCTTAGAATAAAAATATTTTCTTTGTGTCAGTTATATAACCACAATTCTTCATGAAAAAAATAATATATTTAAATTGTGATAATTTTCCTAATTCTATAAGGGAAAATATATTGATATTTTTACGAATAAGCGTCCTTACTTTCCTGATCTAGGCTCATCACACAAACCTACAATGTTTCAGAGTATATGATTCTGTACTGAGTCTAGTAAGATTAACCAGCAAGAATGTGTGCAGATGAGAATAACCAGGAAGGGGGAAGCTCTGAAAGCATATCATAAGAGAAATGGTCAAAAATCTGGGCTGTATTCTTCTCTAAAACATACAAGTTGAAGTAGCTTGATATTTGAAGGGCTGTTATGTAGCAGAAAGAAGTAAATCTTGGCTGGTGCAGCAGAAAGCAGAACTCAGACAATGAATGGAGTATGAGTATAGCAAGGACTTATTCATGATTGGAAATATCCAATATCAAAAGCAGCTACTGGCCAGGCACACTGGCTTATGCCTATAATCCCAGCACTTTGGGAGGGGAAGGCAGGCGGATCCAAGGCAGGTGGATCGCTTGAGTCCAGTTCGAGACCAGCACGGCCCACATGGTGAAACCCTGTATCTACTAAAAAATACAAAAGTTAACCAAGTGTGATGGCTCATGCCTGTAATCTCAGCTACTTGGGAGGCTGATACATGAGAATTGCTTCAACATGGGAGGCGGAGGTTACAATGAGCTGACAGAGCAACACTCCGTCTCAAAAAAAAAAAAAAACTAATTACATAGGATTTATTTTTACCAATACTGAAGGTATTCAACTTGAAAAATCAATGTATCAGAGATTTTCAAAGGGCATTACAACACTGAGTGAAATCTGTACAAGATCATATTTATGCCTATTTTTAATGTTCTAAACTTTTACTTCTGATCATTTGGGAATAGTTTATGTATTGAAATGCTTCCTCATGGTCATTTGGTTATATGAGTGTTTCTGAAATTTGGTTGCATATCAAAATCAGGAGCTTTTGAAAAGTGCAAATACATATTTCTCTGCAAGTCTGTTTATTGAATCACATTTCTGGTGAGGTGGGATCAGGAAATCAGTATTATCAAAGGCAACAGGTGATTGTGCTGCACCTAGACTCCTCTTGAAAGCATGGGGTATCTAAGGTCATAAGAATGAATTCCTCCATTTATTGGCTAGCTAAGTTTTCAGAATTGTGCTTTTCAGTAACTAAAGTTTAGTCATTTTAAGTCAGCATCCTGTCTTATTATGGTATATTTATTTGTGAAAGTACAGCTAAACAATAATAGTAAGAGTAACAATTGCTTATAAGATAAGCACTGTGCTCAGTACTTCATGTACATTGCTTCATTTTATTTGTACAAGCCTATGAGGTCAACCTCTCAATACTGCTTTTGCTACTTTACCAAAGGATGTAACACTGAGACACTTTGTTCTCTAAAATCACAGACTATTAGAAACTCTGCCGTTTGAAATCAGATCAGTAAAAATGGAACAACCTACACTTGCCTGGAAGATTTGAGTCACTGACACCAAGAAACAGCCTCAATTTTCAACCCAGGTGCAAAATTTCAGATAAGGGTTTTTCAGATACAATATTCAACATGTGTCTTAACTTTGGAGTTTCCAAGGAAACAGAATCCAGAGTCCACTTCTTAACTCTGGCCTGATGTTAATCTCTTTACTTTGAGCATTGCTCATTTTTAGCACTATCACGATTCTTCTTTATTTAAGTATGCCTAAACACCATTTTCCCCCAATCCTATTTTTAACCCTGTTTCTTCCTTTGCCTGATTGGATGCTCCATGCTTCTGCTGTGCAATCTCCCTTCATACAACAAGTTAATAAATCTAACTTCGTTGAACTATAAGTATGCCTTTGGTGTACCTTGTCAGGTGGGCTTCATCAGTAGATATTATAATCTCTAATTTGAAGATTAGTAAAATGAAGTTCAGAAAAATAATTAATTTACACAGGATCACACAGTAAGTGACAAACCTGGCATTCCAACCCAGGTCTACATGACTACAAAGCCCATGCTCTTAACACAATGCATAGAGTCAGAGAATGTTGAAGCTTCAAAAGAAACTAAGGCATGCCATACTGCTAACTTCACATGGACAGTAAGACTAGAATTCCATTATCGTGACCTTCCAATCCACTGTCATATGGGAATAGCTTTATCTTTGTTCAGCTGCCAATCAGCAACTATTCAGGCTTTCCCCTTTCCCTGAACCTTCTATGGTGTTTCCTGGACACTTGGGCCTCACTGAGACAGTAGTAACGTAGATACTACAAACACTGGTAATGTCTAGGCAGCAGCCAGTGATGCAGTTATCTTCTGAACATCTTCTTTCTGACAGACAAAAGTATAATCAAATCTCCGGGCACGGTGGCTCATGCCTGTAATCCCAGCACTTTGGGAGGCCGGGGCGGCCAAATCACTTGAGGTCAGGAGTTCCATACCAGCCTGGCTAACATAGTGAAACCCTGTCTCTACTAAAAATACAAAAATTGTCCAGGTGCTGTGGTGGGTGCCTGTAGTCCCAGCTACTCGGGTGGCCAAGGCAGGAGAATCGCTTGAACCCGGGAAGCAGAGGTTGCAGTGAGCCGAGATCGCACCACTGCACACCAGCCTGGGCAACACAGCAAGAATTTGTCTCAAAAAAAAATATAATCAAATCAAACTATTTCATTTCAGATTTCTGTAGCTGCTGAGAACACAATGCATTAACTCTTCTGCATGTAGTTAGTAGGATCCGTCCCTAAAATGAGTGAATTATGTGAAAGCATGATCCTTCTCTGTCTTTTCTACCTATATCAAAAAGTCAGAGCATATGGGTGACTGGCTATTATGTTTAAGCCTCTTGACAACCCTGAGTTAAAGTTATCAAAAGTATGTGTTTTCCAAGCCACTTATTTAATGAATTACCTCTCAATCCCACTAAAGTATCCCTTATTGCCTAACAGTGGAATCCTTCTTGAGCCACTGATTTTTGGATATTAAGACTACCTAATGCTATTTATTGTAAATATGATGGAAGTTAATATCATGTAAAAGACACATACATGATTTCATGAAGTTGATGGAAGTGTTATGAGAGAACTGGTCTGACCAAATACAAAGGGATTACTAAACAGTAGCTGGAAGGTATACATTCTTTAACGATTGAAGAGAAAATTTATGGGGCGGACTCCTCAAAAGACAATGATATGGATATCAAAAGAATAAAAGAGGGTCTGAAAAAATTATGGAATTCCTTGAAGAGTTTTGCAAAAACATATCTCTTCATGATTGTGGAATGAAACTAAATAATGAGATTGTTAAAATAATTGCATAAACACACACATATATGAATTAAGACTGTTATTCATGCTGAGTTAACACGCAGTTGCAAATACATCCTCACAACAAGGATAAGATTATTTTTATTTTTTTAGTTCAAGATAAATTTTTAAATACAGCTTTTCTTTACTTCTAAGAAATATTGGTACCTATTTAAAGTGGATTACTTTTAAATGTTTTCTGTTAACAATTAACTCTGGATGACAAGAACTCTGGACCCCCTTTCTTGATAAGAAGCATGTGTGCCTCTGGGCAATCCTCACTCACACTTCTCTTACATAGCTGGCCTTTCCCGCAACCCCACTTTGGTTGTGCCTCCTTATTGTCTACACACATTAGCACTTCACTTAATTCCACAGTCTCTGAGCTGGCTTCCATGGCTCCTTCTACTCAAAAAGTGTTTTGTTTACCAGCTCCTTCTGCATCTTCTGGGAGCTTGTTAAAAATATAAAATCTCAGACTGTATCCCCAATTTCTTGGGCAGGGGCCACACTAACCTTCCCTGTATCATTTCCATGTTAGTATATGTGCTGTTCAAGCGAGCACTCTATTCCCAACTTCTGAATCAAAATCTACATTTTCACAAGATCCTCAAGTGATTCATTTGCACCTTAACATTTAAGAAGCACTGGCCTAGACAATTCTTAAACACTTTCTGTTATATAGGTTGAATTTTCCTAATCTGAAAATCTACATCTGAAATGCTCCAAAATCCAAAACATTTTGAATACCAACATGACACTCAAAGGAAATGATCACTGGAGCATTTTGGATTTTGGATTTTTGGATTAGAAATGCTCAATCAGTAAGTATAATGCAAATATTTCAAAATCCAAAACACTTCTGTCCCCAAGCATTTCAAATAAGAGACATTTAACTTGTATTGTATTTTGTGAAATCTAGAGGCTGCTTTTGTCTTGTTTCTCTCTCTTGTCTTTGCATCTAATTATTCACAAAATCCTGTGTAATGTGCCTAGCCCATGTCTTATTCTTCCCCAGTCTTTCTGTTATTTCTTATGCTGACGCTGAAATGGCCGCCTAACTACTCTCTCAGCTGGCATTCTCACTCCTCGCCCACTCCCTAATATTTATTGCATCTTTTCTGAATGATATTCCTCTAAATAACAAACTGGTTTGGTATCATCAGTTTCTTCCTGAAACTCCATAAAGACATAGTGGTAGCAATGTTTAATCTTCTCTTTGGAGAGCTACATGTTTCTGCTACCTCTTTTTCCTGCTACCTTTCCAACTCTATTTCCTCTCTTCCTTCCCCCTATCATGCATTTTTCACTTCCCCCACTGCAAGCTACTCAGATCTCCTAAATAACATGGGATCTTTCACACTTCAGAAATGAGTTTTCACATGCTGTCACCAGTGTTGAAATGGCCTTTCCTTCCTGATTTTCTTGGGAAATTTATTGAAGCCATGGAAATCCACTATCCCTCTGAAGCCTCCTCTATCCCACCCAAATGGAATTAATCACTAACAGTTAATGACTGTATTAGTCTGTTCCACATTGCTATAAAGAACTACCTGAGACTGGGTAATTTATAAAGAAAAGAGGTTTAATTGACTCACAGTTCTTCAGGCTGTACAGGAAGCATGGCTGGGGAGGCCTCAGAGAACTTACAATTATAGTAGAAGGCAGAGGGAAAGCAGGCACATCTTACATGGCTGGCACAGGAGGAAGAGAGTGAAGAGGGAGGTGCTACATGCTTTTAAACAACCATATCTCGTGAGAACTAACTCACAATCACAAGAACAGCAAGGGGGAAATTCACCTCATGATTCAATCACCTCCCACCAGGCCCCTCCTCCAACATTGAGAATTACAATTTGATACGAGATTTGGGTGGGGACACAAATCCAAACCATATCAATGACCCATTGCACATTGTACACATTATGGGTCCCATTATATTGAAATTATACTTACAGCTATATTTCTTTCTTGTTCCTGTCAGTATCCCACTAGAATGGGAGATCTTGAGTCAGAGTTAATTGCATTAGTTCCTGATCTCTAGCATTTAGTGTCTAGCATATAGAGGATGATCAATAAATCCTTCCTGAATGCATAAATGCAGGTTTCATGTTTCACTGTGAAACAGACCTTGCTCCTCAAATAATTCTACATATATTTTTGGTAGAAAAATATTAACTCACTTATATGGATACTTTAATAGATATTAGTACACATATTATTGAAAGGGAAAATATATGAGAGAAAATTTATTTTTTATCATTGACATATTTATTAACCAGTCCTGTAAGAAAAAGCTATTAATGAGGTTCACATGAATAATATACTATGATTATGAAATACCAGTTATGAGGAGTTTCCAGTTTTAAGATCAATAACTTCTTTAAAACCTTATGGATTGCAATAAAATGTAAATTGTGACCTACACATGCATTTTCAATGTTCAGATAAGAAAAAAGTTGTTTTGTTTTGTTTTAAAACAGTGTTGAATGAGTGGAGAGGTAAATCAAATGTTCCAAATATGAAGTGCAAAATATTACAATGATCTGTGCTTAAATTGCAGCCATACGGCCTAGGCAATGGTTAAAAATGAGAGCACATCAAAATTACCTGGGGAATTCTTGGAAACCATACTTAAATCCTACTTCAGTGCAGAACACCTAGAAAGGACTCAATAAAGTTTGGTGAAAGTGAAAGAGAAGAAAGGAGAAAATATGGAAGGAAGAAAAGGAGACAAAGAGGTAGAAAAGAAGGAAAGACAGATGAAAGTAAGAATGTAAGAGAAGGAAGGCAGGAAGAGAGAAGGGGAAAGGAGAGGGGGGAAAGGAGAGCATGGGGAGCGGGTGGAATGCTTTGCAAAGCTGATCCATTTTCAGTATGGTAAATATATTAACACTCCTCACGTTACAATGTTTATATAATGTATATATGTCTCTTTGCAGAGACCTGATAAGAAGCCTCTACACTAGATTTACAGTTTTAGCTCTGTACATTATGACTCATTATGTGTAAATTTATAATCCAAATTACTTGTTGAATAATGTTTGTTTGTAATTTTGAATCTATTTTCTTGATAATGCAAGGTTCTCCAAGAACTCAGATATTTCTATGTGTCTGTTATACTTCCCAAGGAAAATACTGTTTTCCTGACAACAGTTACTTCCTTTTCACAGTCTCTTTACATTCAGTAGCCCTATATTATGTTCTAGGTAAATATCACTACTTTATTTTATTAATGAAAAGAGAGATGAAAATGTAAAGTACTGGGGAAACAGATGTACATTGACAAAGAAAGAGCTAACATACATAAATGTCTTTTGGAGTATAGGACCAAGATCCCTATGACTTACATTTTATCTTGTGTTCAGGGCCCATAGTAAATTTTACTGTCAGTTTCTCTGAGTGAACTAGAAATTTAGATCTGAATTTATAAAACTAACTCAAGCATTATCTTTTCCACTGTGGTCTTTCCTGACCATTACACTATGTGGTACTAATTCCCTCTTCTTTTTCTCCTCCATTATATCCCTATAGGTACTTACAAGTGTGGAACTATTTGAATCCAATATACATAATCACTTGTATTCTGTTACAATCCCAGTTTGATGAAATACTCAGAAGGCTGTATCATATTAATCTTAAATTTTCAGAATAGTACAGTTCCTGCCCCAAAGAATGCACTTGATAAATGTTTAATAGACCAGTGCCTTTAAAGGTCAGTGAGAGAGACATAACATACTTCTGTTTATGTTTTTCTGACAACAGAAAATAATACATAATTAAGCTGGAAAATGTGGAGAGAACAAAAAAATATTAAGTAGCAGAAAAAAATCAGCTATTTGATTTCAATAACAAGAGACAACCTTTATCAACATTTTTTTCCTTTACTTATCTATTGCTATGTTCAGACGTAAGTCACTGGTCTCTTTTCAGATGAGTATTTGCAAAGGGAGTTGTTTTTCAATTGAGTTACTTATGTCCTCCTGAAACAGTTTTTATAAGGTTAAAAGTGTTTAATTGCATTGAAGCCAAAAAGCGCAATTTAATGAAGTAAAGGGTTTATATGGCTTCATCTATGTGGTGGTTATTTTAATGAACCAGACTTAACTGTTTCCGTCAACCTCTCATAAAACTGTATAACTCTTAGGATGCTTTCAGTGATAAATAGTGCCTGACTTATTTCAACACCAGATCTTTAGAGGTTTATATTTAACCGTATTTGTCTGCCTAGAGCTTTCAAAACACAAAATAACCTTTACTACACATATTGATGAGAGGACAATGATGACAAACAGTGTAACTATGCTGCTACATAAAACCCTACTCTGCAGATCTCCTATTTGCATGAATTTGTTAAAAAGCAGACTACAGATGTAATCTTCTTTCATACTTTGATGTTTGGGGTTGTTTACTACCACCAGATTTTTGGTACCTGTTAAACATACATTTTATATGCCATGAGGGAGATAAGCTTTATGAAACAACTCATAACAACTTTTCAGAAAATTGCACATTTGAAGATCCAATTTTGTTCTTTCACACAACCACTGAAACAGTCTCCTTTCTGATCACCAGGCAATTTCCCAATCTCCTTAAAATTTATCTTTCTAAACAATTTCTTCCAGAAAAGCTTTTGGCAATAATTTAACACTTCAGTCTGCCCTAGTGAGTTGGGTGAATTAGAAAAGTCTGAAAATAGATTGCAGTGAAAATAAAGCAGGGGGACCAAGCCCTTACCTGAGTGTCAATGCCTCCCTGGTGAGAGCTTTGCTCCATCACATTCAAAGATAAACTCAATAAGTGAAGACATGTTGCTTTTAATTTTTGTGCTTAGCTTTTAGCACTCACTGATAAAGCATGCAAATAACTAACCTATAATGCTTCACCCACATAATTCTAATTGTTTTAAAAAGACTAAATTTGAAATCAATATTGGCTATTTTTTTGCATACCTATGAGGTGAGTGTGTGTATGAGACACAGTGAGATAGCATAACTAACAACACACTATCTGGGATCTGACTATGGGGGTTCATATACTGGCCCTGTCATTTATTAGCTGTGTGACTTCAGCGAACATATTTCACCTCTCAGTGTCTCTGTTCCTTAACTATAAACTGGTTACGATAGCAATACTACCTCATCGGGTTTGTCTGAGGATTAAACGACTTCATACATGTAAAGTTCTTAGAATAGTGCCTGGCTGACAGGCTTAAATAAGGAAGCTTCTCAATAAAACATAGGACAGGCACATTTTATATACTTTCTAGAATGTTTGAAGTCAATCCATATGAACAAACCATATTAGAAAGATGAATATTTAAACTCTAAAGATAAATTTTATATTGTTAATTTACTCCAAAGTTTGATGAACTTCGCTTGTCACTAACATTTGTGCTTATGCTTTCTTCCATGAAGATGGGTAGAAGATGCATACATTTCTTTTGCATAGTGATGGCAAACATTGATTGAGCACTGATCATGTTCCAGGCCCTATAACAGGGCTTTCTATGTAGCAGTTTATTTTATCCTCACAAATACCAAAGAGTATCTCTTATCATCCCCAATTTACACATGAGAACACCACAGCTCTGGGAGGTCACATGGCTAGTCATCTACTAGTGCCAGAACAGGGAGTGAAAGGGTACACGTGAGACTGCAGGGATAAAGACTGAGCTCTTAAGAGTGGCACTATATCATGAAAGGGGCTAGATAGGAAATTTTGTTTAATATCTTTATTTCCTATTTGAAGAACCTAAGACCCAAAGCAAGGTAGTGACTAAGCTGAAGGTTTCTGTCACACCACTCTGCATTCTTCGTTTTTATTTCTGGACTAATCCTGGATTTATATTTTCCCACTTCTTCAATTTTGAGTAGAAAGAGAAAAAAAAATGTTTGCCCTGAATATATTTCTCTCCCACACATCCATTTTTTCTCCTTTGAAGTAGCAACAACAGCTGCCAACGGAGGATCCCCCGGGCTTATAGAGCATCAGTCAGCTTCACAGATGAAGGCAAAGATGAGAAGACAGAAATCCTTCCTTTAAAGAACTTTGCAAATGTTTTTCATTCTAAATTCATTCTTTCATTAGTGAGTACTTTTAAGACAATATTGAAACCTCAAGGCAAAAATGGCAAAGCACTGATTCTAGGACCTACAAATGGTCCCTAATTGGTTGCCAAGGGCCAAATTGAAGGAGATTTGGGTGAAAGGAGACTCAGATCTCTATCTTCTCTAAACCATTTTTTTTTAAATCTGTCTTTTCTTTTTAAATTTTATCATATTTATTGAGGGTGTACAACATGATACTTGATATACATATAGATAGTGAAATGGTTTTTTAAAAATATTCTCTACATACCATACGTCCCTTCTGCCACCCCTATGCTATTAGAGAAAAATTTGGCTAGCCAAAGGCAAGAAGAAGAAAAGATTGCTTCCATATTTATGTAGGGTTCCAGTGACCCGTGAAGCTTATCAATAGAAGACAGAATCAAAGTTGGAGTTAGTACTTCTTGGCTTAGACCAAAAGTGCTTGCATTCTACATGTGAAAAATGGAAGGAAAAAATACATGTAACTATAAGCATAATGTTTCAATACTTTTCACTATCCATTACCCACGTATAGGTCCATCATGCACACATAAAAACATACATGCAAAACACAATACTGGAATACATTGTACTGGTTTGTTTTGCAAGAATAAGCTGTACTGTATATTCACACTAAAAATGGTTTCCTTTTTAATCTGAGAGCAGGCCAGAAATTAAATAGTAACATATTCATTTATCCATTTATCTCATAAATATTTATTGTGAAACTACTGTGTGCTAAACACTCTTCTAGGCTAAGAATACCCCAGTAAAGAAACCAGGAATCATTTCTCCCTCATGGAGCTTGATTTCTAGTGGAGAAAACATAATAAGCAAGATGTATAAATATAATATATAGCATGCTACCTAGTTCTAAGGAGAAAAAAAGTAAAGCAGCAAAAGACAATATAAAGCAACCAGGTGACAAGAGTAGACATTTTAGATAGTGTGGCCAGAAAAGATCTTATGAGAGATGATCTTGGGAGGAAGGAGAAAAAGAAGTGAGAAGATATTGAGAGATTGTAATTTCCACAAGAGAAGGGCAAGTGCAAAGTCCCTAAGGTGAAAGATTGCCTTGCATCTCTGAGAAACAGCCAGGGGGCCAGAGTGCCTCCAGAGGAGTTAACAAAGGGGAGAGCTGAAAGAAATGAAATCAGAGTGATAAGAGGAGGCCAGATTATGTAGAACTTTATAGTGCAAGCTAAATATTTTGACCTTCACCATGAGAAAGATGGGAATCTAGGCACTGGAATAACATAATTTGATTTATATTTTAAGAAGATAATGTTGGTGTGCAGCAGTAACAAATGGTACAAAGTAACAAGTGATACAAAGTCAATAACTCGTGACTTTTGTAACAATCCAGATAAAAGACAATGGAGGCTTGAAGCAGCACAGTGGCAGCTGGGATGGTACAAAATACTTGAATGTTGATATATTTTGAGAGTAGACACTAGCTGACTGAATTGATAAGAGATGTGGAGGAAAAGACATTAAGATTGAAACTTGACTTTTTGGCCTGAGCAACTTAACTAGAGTGTTGCCAGTTAACTGAAATGGGAAGATTGCAGGAATGGCTGCATGTGTATTTTTGTTGTTGTTTATTTGTTTGGTGTATTTTTGTTTTGCTTTCTTTTCTGGGGTTGGGGAGCCATAACAGGATCTCACTTTTTCAATGTGCTCAATTTAAGATGTCTGTTAAACACTGAAGTGGAGATGTCAAGTAGATAATTGGATATGCAGTTCTGAATTGATAGGAGAGGTCTGCTGGGAAAAAATGAATTTGGGAATCATTAGCATATAGATGAGGAAGAATCAGCAAATGACACTAAGAAAGAGAGGTCATAAAATTGGAGGAAGACTAGTGAGTGTGGCATCCTGGAAGCCAAGTGAAAAAACTATTTCAAAAAGGAGAAAGTAAATTCACATGAATGCTGCCCATAGGTTAAGAAAGTTGGGGACTGAGAATTGACTGCTAGATTAGCAATCTAGGGGTAACTGGTAGCCTGATGAAAGCAGTGTCAGCAGAGTGGAGAAGTGTAAACAAAAATGCAATTAGGAAGAGAGAAATTGAAGATGGTAAGTATAAACAATTCTTTCAGAGGGTATGCTGTAAAGGGAGAGTGAGAAATGGTGGAATTCCTGGAGAGAAAATAAGATCAAGAAAGTTTGTTTGTTTGCATTTAAAGTAGGAAAAGTATGGTGGTATTTATGATGCTGGGAATGATCTGCTAAAGAGGGAAAATTTATCGACGTTGGAAAAAGAGGAAATAAGAGTTGTCTTTGAGTAGGTGAGAGAGATATAACCTAGGGCTGTCTACTCAAAGGGTGGGCCAAGAATTGCAGCATCAGCATCATCTGGGAGCTTGTTAGAAAAGCAAACTATTTTGTCCTGTCCTAAAGCTAAATCAGACTCAGGTGAGACCTGGAAATTTGGGTCTTAACAGGCTTGCAAGTAATTCTTATGCATGATTGTCCAAAACAACTGATTTATTGCACAGAGGAGAGCTCTGCCTTATCTAGGAACACAATCAATTTATCCATGGCAACCAAAAGGAAGGTACACTATGTGGGCACAGGTGAGGAAGTAAGCAGATATGGTAATGGGACCTTATGGAAGTTTTCTAGTAGTTACCTCGACTTTTCAATGAAGAGGGAAGCAAAAATAGCAATCAGTCCCTTTCCTCTACTTTGAATTGGACTATTAGCCCCAGAGCCACAGACTGATGGTGTCATCCAGCAAAGTTGTATTATTCTCTTCACCCAAGGTGACTGAATTGCAAGACAGCATATACTCCAAGCTGCACTCAGCTACCCCTTTGCAAAGCTGCAAAACTTTCCACCTTCTCTAGGCCTGATTGTTCCTTCAGCTGGTCTGTTCCTTTTGGCTGGCTCAAATCGTGGTATTTCTTGTCAAAAATAGGGTTGCCATTTATTTTGCATTTGACATACTATAGACACTTTCAAAATATGTCATCTCATTCAGTCTCTCAAATAACCATTTCACATTGGTGCTTCTATCTTCATTTTACAGATAATAAAATGGAGACTGAGAGACTTACTTAGTCAATGGTATCTTTCTAGTAAGTGGAAGAATCTGGAGGACTATCCACTAAACTGCTTTTAAGGTGCCACAGAGGGTGGAGAGCGGTTTATGTACCTGGTCACTCTCAAACCACACCCCATCCAGGGTATCCAGCATTCCCCAAGTGATTTCAACACAAGTACTCTGTCTTCCACCTTCTTCTATTTTATGTTACTCTTCCTATTTTTCCTACTTAACTTGCTAACAAGAGCCCACTGTTTTTTTCTAGAGGTCACTCTGGTTTAATCAGTCAATACAGTTCATTTTTCGATGTTCTACCCAATTGCTGTCCTCCTTCTTATCTCTTTTTTTCTTCTCCTCCTCCTTCTTCAATAATTTCTTCAGCCCTGTATTTGTACCTTTACAACTATATCTAATAAGCCACTTTCCCCTCTGCCTGAAGCCATTTACAAATTTAAATTTTGTTTTAAATAATAAAAATAAAGTATGAGTACACTATTTCTTCTTAAAGCTTCTACTGTTTAGCAAGCAATCTAAGTCTCTTCTCATTTTACCTAAAGTCAAACTTTTAGGTCACAATTACCTCATTAACTGTTTATTTTCTACCATATTTTATGTGGTCATCAGGTTTTTTTCATGTATTTGATTTTTCATATCTACCTAGGTTGTGTCTTCTAGAAACCTTCCCACATCTACCATACATACAGTCCCAAACTAGGAAATATATATGATTATATGTCTGTGTAGGGTCATTAAAACAACATTTAACTTTTGTTCTACAAATAAAAGAAAAAAATAAAATTCTAATGACAGAACATGCTAATATTATATAAATTACCTATGAGTCATTCTCACTCAATATTTATTTGCTTATTTATTATTTACTATATAAGTCTATCATGAAATATACTCTCTGGGTAATAAAAAGGACAGGCTACTATAAAAAATCTAATGAATAAATATATTAATCAATAGCTTTCAGCATTCCATGAGCAATAATGCACAATTGTAGGTTATATAGTTATTGATCCACTATGAAATTCCACAAAGAAAATAAGTGTGTAGTCAGGTCACATTTTTTGTGAGATTATTAGATTTAGTAATATTTCACTATTTACTAGTGATAGATTTTGGTTTGTTATTTTGAAGGACTGTATAAGTAATTAAGTTTATAGTTTACCATGAATTGAATAAATGAAAATTGTGGTAGTTTTAAAACTGCATTTTTACGTTGACCATTTTTTTCATACATGTAGGACACATTATTCTCACTAGTCCATTAAGTTGTTGCAGCCTAGGGAAATTAATTCTTTTCTGAACTCTAAGTGTGGGGCACATTATCATCCAGTGACCCTCTGTACTACAGGTAATGCATATCAGCTGACAATAAATTCTATCTTCTTCATAAAGTTATGCTTCTACCTGTGTATCTTATTCTGATGATTGACGCTCATCATCCAAACCCCCAAACTAAACGTTCTCCCAGGTAATTTCCACTGCGTCACATTTATTCAGTCACTAAGGACTGCCAATTGTTGTGCAGACCTTTATGGAATTCATCCTTTTGAACCTCACTGACAGTTTATTATTTCAGGACCTCATCATCTCTTGCCCAAACCGTGAGAATATACCTCTAAGTGACCTTCTTGTCTCTGATATGCTTTGCACTCTCTGCAGCCCCTGCCTGCCTATCCTGCATCATAAAAATGACTAAGCAATGATTCACAACATAAAACTAATGATCTTACTGCTTTGCTTTAAACTCTTGAATTACATAGAAGATAAAGTCCAAACACTTTTGGGTGACCCTGAAGCCCTGAGCTGGTCACAGCCAGCATTTCCAGCTTCATCTCATTGCCAGTGGTAATATCATTACCATTCACACTATGCTTGTGGAACTTCTGCAACTACTGGGTTGCTTGCCCTAAACACAGTCCGCTACTTCTCAATAGACTAATCCTTTCTCCCACTTACAAACTAGGACTCAACTTTTCAAATGGATATCACTTCAGTAGACTATGAGAGTACTGCAAACTATTTAGCTCTTTGCAAATTGCAGCTGTTTTAATTTCCCACAACTAATAATTATTGTAATTTGAGCTTTTCTACTTCAATGTGTATCATTTAAACCTGTTCTAAAAACAACACAGTTTAGCTTCTATGTTGTTCATAAACATCGCCGAATCATAAACTTTTACCATTGTTCTACTTCAATTCTTTAGTGTAGTAATTTGCATCTCTGGAAAATTACAAGAAGCATTCCATTTGTATTGTTTTTCTCTATTTCTTCCTTTCTTTATAATTTGCAAATCAGAGCACTGTTTTCCCCTGACATTCAATCTTATATTCTTCTAAAAATGCTACTATTTTGTAGGCTGATAGCTCAATAATAAGTATAATTACCATCTGCCACCTCATTTCTTAAATTATCTAGTAATTATATGTATATTTTCTTTCAATTTTGGAAATTAAGCTCTTGAAAAGACACCCCCCTTCTTTATTAAAGTAAGATAGAGTTCCAGGTGTATTTTTCAACATTAGATTTGTAAATCCACTTTGCTTTTTGTCATTAACACATTGTAATACTAATGTAAAATTTCACAGGGCTTTCTGCTAAGTTTAATACATAAAATATTGTGCCTTTATTGGTTTTTCATATGGCATGATTTTTGAAAGAATAGAAAAGTAATAATATTTGGTTTTGTGGGCACTGTGGTTAAAAAATAAGAGTTGATTAAAGTCATTTGGATATATTTTGAAAAAAAAAAATGGCCTGGATTCTAAGCTAATAGTTGCAAGGAAGATTTGAGGAGTCTTTTAGCATCCACCCCAGTTTAAAGCTGTTTTTGAAAGTAAAATATACACACACTATAAATATGTATCTCTTTCAGTTTTATTAAGGACATTTTATTTATTTCTCCTGCCAAAACTATTTAAGAAAAATATATATCTTTGGCTGAAGATTCCAAATACAAACAAGTCCAGAATTCTCCTAAGAAATCAAAACAATACTTTTCCTTTTTGTAACCAATTTCTTTTCATTTAATTTTCATTCATCCATATTTTGTTTTGTGTCTTCTCTTTATATTTTTACTTTAAAACACATATATTGGATAAGACAAAGACCTCTGATTTCTTTCATTTGGAACCTGAGATTTGGATGTGGAAAATTTATAGTATTTATGAAAACAATATAATAAAGTTACCCATAAACCCTGGATTCTATATACCACACTTGCTAATGTAATCTAATAAACAGATCATTGAATTTGAGAGCTGGAAGGGACCTTGGAGAGCATATTTTCCAACATCCTTATATTGTAGAAAAAACTGAAGCCAAGGAATCTTGTCACCGGCCAGTCATATGGCTAACTAGAGGAGAACAAATACTAGATCCCAGACTTCCTGAGTCCAAGTCCTGTGCCCTTTATACTAAATCACATGTTCTCTCAAGATACAGACTTTCCATATCAGTCCGTCATTCCTCACAAACTGAAAATAGAGTTAACTGAGTTTCCTGTGTGACTGAACACCTACGAAGCAAAGCCTTCATTCTCAAAAGCAAAACTGGAAACACATATAAAATTTCTGTAACAGAAGTTTTTCTGCAAGGCTGTCTTTTCTCTTTTCTGTCTGTTCAGGTGTAAGATGCCTAAAGGTAATGTTTGCCACAAGCAGTAGCTATTAATCTTTGACTATATTTTTAAAGCAATGATGCTAATTTTAGGTTACTTTCTAAAAAAAAAAATTATCTCCTACTCTCAATATGATCATCTGGAAAATTATTTGCAGACTTTATTTTCATGTTCTTCCTAAAAGCACTCTGTCCTTGCCCAGAGAAATCTGTAGATATTAAGTTTGGTGTTTGAAATGTGCACTTTGGCAGACCTCCATTTAAAGGTGTATTTTTTTTTTTTAATGAAAGATAAAGAGTAGCTGATTATACTTACACAAACCCCAGAGGAAATGGATTCTGTTGATGGTAACTAACTAAAGTGGAGCTGGGAAAGCTCAAGTTTCCGCCTCCCTCCAACCTCTGCTCTCTGATAATTACCAACCAAGCCTATCAAGAATATTTTGTTTGATGATCCAGCAAAATGTCTGGTAAGGGAGGAAAAAGAAGGGCAGGGCACTTCCCACGAGGATGGGGGAAGGAGGTTCCGAAGCTTTCCTGGGTGATTAGAGCTGGGGAAGTTGATCTCTTTTCATGCTGTAGATGTGGCGCGCTGCAGTCACGCCTCCCGCTGCCAGCCCGGCACCGGGATCTTAATCAGTCACTATGAAAACTCATTAGCTCCACAGCAATGAGTCCTCCACTGCTGAAGCTTGGCGCTGTGCTTAGTACCATGGCAATGATCTCAAACTGGATGTCCCAAACTCTCCCATCCTTGGTGGGACTGAACACCACGAGGCTGTCGACTCCGGATACCTTAGTAAGTTACTGCGGTGGGTTTGGCCATCTTGAGAAGTAAGTGCATTTAGTGGGCTTTGTTTTGTAAATTGCAAAGGCTAAGATTTTGCTTCTGCCTTTACAGGTCAGCTTCAAAAATGTAGTAACTATGTGGTAACTTTCATCATATTTATTTATAAACACTTTATAGTTATACCCCAAAAATGGACTGCTTGAGAAATGAGCTATGAAAGAGAATACCAGAGTCATTAAATTCTTAAGGGTGAAAAGCTTTAACTATATTACTTGGAAGCTTGGGCAATTCTTAAAAATATATATATATATATGTTTTGTTTCTTATTCTTTTACTTATTTTAATATCTGTAAAAATCTTCATAATTTTTCCCACAAAGTAAGCTACAAAGTATATTCTGTCAAATCTAGTTCTGCTACAGCAGATTCTTCCTTGGAATGCAATGCCTGTGACTATTTGCAATGAATTCACTCAAAGAAACTAACATCTTTTAAGCATAAATGAATGAAAAAACTCGCCAATTTAAGGCCTGCCCAAAATTCCTTTAAGAAAGCTAAGAAACATGAGCAATAGAAAACTTACTTGATAAAAACATCTTCCTGTATTTTTAATATTTTATGAAGACTTCCTATCACAAGACTGTCTTGTATAATCTTCATTCATCTAAAATTAATGGCTTTTTAATCCTCCCTACTTTCTAACAAAGTATTTCCTGATAGTTTGAAGCAAGGTTCAGTGAGCAACATGTTTGATATTTCAAAGAAAAATGAAAACTATTGTTTTTTGAAATAGAAATTTACAAATTCAAATAAAAGGAATTTCTTAGAAAATAATTCCTCTGCCCTGAAATAAAAGGTACAGAAGCAAAACTAGGGGTTTTCACTTTCATGTGGGTTACTCCAGTGGATCAGAAAAAGTCAGATATGGAAAGAAAAGTAGCCCTCCATTTCCAAGTGTTATTTGCTGTTACTAATAATAATCTATCAACCAATGTTAATCAACTGAGTATAGTCTGACCAAAAAGTTAAATAATTTTCCAGATTCTCCCAGTGCTTAAGGCACCAGCAGAGCACATACAAGCCACACTTTGACCTGCTTTTACATTTTCATTTCCCTTAGGTTACTTATGGAACCCCAGAGCCTCCATTGCTGAGATCCTCTTCCCTACCTGCATGAAGTGGCCTGGCAGGAAGGATGTAAAAGAGATTTGGAGTTATAAAGAAAGCAAGAGATAGACATCAATAAACAATTACAAAACATAAACTTATATTATCTAATATTTACTGAGCCAATTTTTTTTTCAATGTCCAAGTACCAGATTTCAACAACATCATTGTTGAATTAACTCTTGCAGGATAATGAATGTAAACTGAGGTACTAATGAATGAGTTATATTTCAAACTTTGCACCTTGATTCTGACATGTATATTTTTTGTGTATATAGACATTGGCTTGGTTTTTTTTTATTGTTGACTGATGAGAATGAAATTTCCAAAATTATACATGATTCTCTTAGGATTTCTAGTTATCTTACAAGTAAATTAAATATCTTTACTTACTGATTGAAAAATTGTTAGTTGAAAAATATAAAGCATTGCTGTATGTCTGTATATGTTTTGACACAGACAATTCTTACTTTTGATTCCCCCCTTTGCAAAAAAAATAATAATAATAAGAAAATAATAAGAAGAAGAAAATAATAATAAGAAGAAGAACAAAAGCAGAAAATGTAGAAAAGGTTTCACTATGGCTACTGAAAATAAACCAGTAAATGGTATTCACTGGAATGGAGAAAACCTTTTTTGGATGTTTCTTTTTTTTATTTTAGGTATGCTTTCCAGAAGAGCAATGTCTATGACATTTCCCTAATTATCCAAATGAGTGCTCATACTTTAAGATTCCCGGGGTGAAGAATGAATGCATCAGTATCTCTTAGACTAGGAACATAAAATGTTAATGCTAGAAAGGTGGAAAGGATCTTAGAAACCATCAAGCCAGTTATGTTCATACTATTTTTAGCAGCAGATTTTTTTTTTGCAAATTAAATCTTATATGTGCTAAATAAATATTTTTGAATAAAACAAAATGAAAATTCAAAACATAAAAGAGGTCTTAAGTCAGATAATAAATGATTGGGAGAGGCATTTACTGGGCCTCCACCATGTGTTATCTCCCCACACAATCAACTGCTTGTCTCAGTCAAGATATCTCCTTAGAAATCTTAGGGCTCTCAAGACTTTAGCTGGAAATATGACTGATCTAATTCAGCCTCATTATTCTACAAATGGGGAGACTAACTGGAAATATTTAAGCCACCAATCAGATTTCCCCCATTTGGTTAATGGCAGAGGCAAGTGTGGAACCAAGTTACATGACTACCTCCCTACTCAACAAAGCTATTTCACCATTGCTTTGCCAGTCATTGGCCCTCTTGGTCCCTGGTGCCCCACTAGGTTCTCACTACCCTGCTCAGATTGTTTCCATGTCCCTGGATTCTTCTTCTTTCCCTCCTACACACCAACACCTTCATCCTTTAAAGTATGTTTTCTCATCTCCCTGGCCTCATAGAATTGGAGAAAAGCTATACTCTCAATTATGTCATAACCATTCCCAAAGGTTTTGCATTTATAAAGAAGAAAAAAATCCTCCTTTCTTGGCATTTTAGGCATGTGACAAAGCAGTGAAAGAGGTTCTTTTGCTTAGGGGATTCTTCCTGCTGCCTCTCAAATAATTCCAAGGGACCCTTACTGCTGCTTCCATGTGGAGGGCCAGCAAAACTCTTCCCTTAGATGGAAGGGTTGACAGCTCCCTGGCTCACTAGGTATTGCTGTAAAGTAGTAAACCAGCTCTTCTCATCAATGTTCTCACTCCATGTTCTCACTTTAAACAGTATGAATGGGATGAGTTTGCAATATACCACACGCACACGCACACGCAGGTCTTGAAATCTGAATGTTCATGGAATACGCAGAGGTTAAAAAAACAGATTAACATAAATACGATGGTTTAAGAAAAGCAGATTTACACAAATATGATCATAGTCCTTTTTTAGAATGATAGTTTCAAATGACCTGGAAAAAGAAAACCAGGAAAAATAGAGTTTAAATCATTAAATGGCAATTAAATCAATTTATGGCAGGTGCCTCTGAAACAGGACACATTTGATTATCTCAAAAGCTGAAAGGGGTTTTAAAATTTCCAGGATGTTTTTATTAGTAAGTAGTTAAATACAGCTCCTTATTAGGGGAATAAGCTCCTTCTTGTTTTTCTCAGAATCTTGAAACATTCCTTTATCCTTCTTGTTGGCCCTGTTTTCTTTCTTTTTTATTCCCCTTCCAATCTATCCACTGGGCCCATCAGCCTTTGGAGGCATTGGTTTCTGAGCAGAGGAAGCCTCAGCTCTCAGAAGGCTCAGGCTCCCTCTGGCGCGTCTCTTGAATGCAGAGTAACTTCCCCTAGAGGCTGAGCTTCTGAGAAATCCCTCACGCTGTGGGCTTCACACCAGGAAGACCCTGGGAAAGAGCAATTAAAAAAGTTGAGGACATTCAGCAGACACCCGCTGTTCTCAAATAGCCCTACTGCTGTGGTGGGAAGAGGCCTCGAAGGAACCTGTGGGCATGTCATTTGTTTTGGTACATTTTCAAAGGTCTAGCTGGCTTCTCCTCATGAATAACTACTTTGATGAGTTAGTCAATTTAAAGTTCTATAAAATGAGTAGAATCCCCTGAAATGAACTGTCAATATCTTCTAAGCTTCTTAACCTCAATTAACCAATGTGTTTTAGTCCTGGATGAAGATATCTGATTTAACTGATTTGTATATGACTGTTTTTCCCCCCAAATTCTGTTTTCCTTCCCTAAACTCTTAGGTAATGCTCATTTCGTGATAGGGCAACTGAACAAATTAAGGAGGGAAGCCAGGTGAGAGAACAGAATGGCAAATCTTGATGGTGACAGAGAATATGATCATTGCTTTCTTATAGAAGAATCCTCACATGAATAAGAGAGTAGATTTATTCTAGCTTGAGTGCCTGAAGCAAAAGTAGGGCCAAAGAAGGAAAACTGCAGAGAGAGGAGTTCGGCTCATGCCCCCTGCTTTTCTTCAGTGGAGGGGGCTGCCTGTAAAGCAGTGAAATCCCTTTCATGCAGAGGTCTAATGGAAACACAAGGAGAATTTGTAGACGTTCCATTGTGTGGAAAGACATGGGACTAAATATGACTTCTAAGGACCTCCCCAAGTCTAAGTCATTGTGATTTCCAAAGGGCATAAGCAGAGGTGACCAACCTAAATTTATTATTATTATTATTTTCAGACAGTCTCACTCTGTCACCTAGGCTGTAGTGCCATGGCACTATCTCGGCTCACTGTAGCCTCGACTTCCCAGGCTCAAGCCATCTTCCCACTTCAGCGGCCCCCCATCTCACCCCACTGAGTAGCTGGGACTATAGGCTACCAGGTCCAGCTAATTTTTGTATTTTTCCTAGAGATGAGGGGGTCTCATTATGCTGCCCAGGCTGGTCTCAAACTCCTGGGCTCAAGCCATCCACCTGCCCCAGCCTCCCAAAGTGTTGGGATTATAGACCTGAGCCACTGCACCCTAACCTAAATTTGATAATGTTTTTGGTTTTTATTCATTATTATTATTATTATTTTTGCTTTTATAGTTGTTTTTTCTTAAAGCCTGGAGGTTTCCTTCAGTGAAGAATACGCGTTTCTTATTCAGTCCTAAGAATTATTATAAGTAATAGCAAGAAAACAGCTATGCAGTGACATCTTTATTAACATCCTCCAGAACACAGCTTCTTTTGGCGTGGTCTGTCGACATCTGTCTAATTCCTGTCCTCACATTTTCTTGTCTCCACAACTGAAGCCATTAGCATGCTAAACCACATGTCACTCTCTGGGACCAAGCCTATCTTCAGACAGAAAATTTATCAGGGATTTTTCATCACTCAGGTATCTCCACTCTAAATCAAGTAAGTTTTAATAAACAGATTTATTTAGGCTTTATTTCCTCCATTTGTACAACACTTTCAGTAGCTATATCCCTTTTTGTCCTTTTTATGAAATACCCAGAAAATCAGGATAATACAAAAAATCTAGCAATATTCGATCAGTTGATTTTCTTCTGTTCAAAGGATCAGAATTCTCTTACTTTGCCTGTCCCTCCATCTAGACCCTGATAAATGATTGCCGTGCCTTCCACAGGAATATCTGACTATATATTGCAGAGCCTGTACTGCTATCTGTTCCTCTGAGGCACCAATGGCTACTTGTTTCCATGCTGTTTGGATAATGCCCTCTACCTGCCTGGGTGCATCTCTTCTCATCAACTACAGTGGGGCCTGTCTTCTCTATAGCAGTGTTTATGGTTACTGGTGAATGGACATAGATGATCTATCTACATTTATCCAAAGAGTATGAGCATAAAAAGCTCTGGGCTAAAAACTGGGGAAAGCTGGTATAAGTCCTATATATGGCATTAACAAAATGGATGACTTATAAAACATGTTTAAGTTCTTTGAGTATTGGTTTCCAGTTTCCTCATAAGTAAATTTAAATACTGTCTATTTCTAAGGATAGTTCGTTCAAGAAAAGTGAGACTAAAACAATAGCAGGGATTTTATAAGCAAAAAATCTATTGAAATGCAAGGTAGTTTGATTATTTTTTACTTTTACTTGTCAAGCCTCAAGATCCTTCTTTCCTATTACAAAGCCCCTGAAGCCTTAGAACTATCATATACTAGCTTTATATTTATAAAGCACAGCTTTGTAATTAAGTTATAAGCAAATAATCCAGATTTGTAATACAATTGTTAAAACTATAATTTTAATTCTCCTATTTAGAGCATTCTTAAATATTTTATGAGTTTTACAATATTAAAAACTGCTCAATACTTCATTTAGTTCTTCCAATTAACACGAAAGGTTCAAAGAGAACTGCATCAGTAATCACTGTGATTATTAATGCTTTGGGTACCACTAAACTATATGTACCCTCCAGGTCTAAGCACTGAGCTTCACAGTAGTTCAGAAAATGCTACCAAGGTTATAATCATTATGTATGAAAGGGTATTAAAATAATTGATGGTGTAGTGTGGTGGTTAAATTTCACTCTCTGTTGGGAGGCCGAGGCGGGCAGATTGCCTGAGTCCAGGAGTGCGAGGTAGGCCTGAGCAACATGGTAAAACCCCATCACCAAAAAAGATACAAAAATTAACTGGGCGTGATTGTGTGTGCCTACAGTCTCAGCTACTCAGGAAACTGTGGTGGGAGAATCACTTGAACTCAGGAGGCAGTGGTTGCAGTGAGCTGAGATCACCCCACTACACTTCAGCTTGGACAACAGAGCGAGAACCTGTCTCAAAAAAAAAAAAAAATCTCTGAAATAAGACTCTCTCAGTACAAATCCCAGGTCTGCCTAAAAGGCAGATTTACACAAATCTCCCTACTCACTGGCTGATACTCCCTGCATGACTTTGAACAAGTTCCTTCCTGTCTCTGAGTCTGTTTCCTCATCTGTATAATGGGCAGAATACCACCACCTAGTCCATAGGTGTATTATAATATTCGAAAGCAATAGCACATATGAACTGCCAGGTAATGAATAGAACTCCATTAATGATTGCTATTCCTGTTGCATGTTTTATTGACACCTAAATAATTGTTCTTATATGTTAAAATTGGAGCAAGTCTTTTCCAAAAAACTTCTAAATACGTCCTTCCATCCGAGATCTTAGTTGGTTTGATTTTGATTCTCTTTTCAATGCCAGCATGGATTCTCTAAAAGAGAACACTAGAAACACTCATAAAGCTTCTATTTATCACTGACCCCAACACAGAGGTCTCTATCAAAACCCACAGGACTGTCAAGCACTCATCTTTTCTATTAGGTTTTTTCCTCTTTTGAGTTACCTTTTTCTTGTCAAAAAGCTGGCTTTTTATAGTTTAAATCATTCAAAGTAACTCTGTAGTAGAGAAGGTCATGGCTCTTTTCACTGATTCTTACAATAAGACAATTGGAAGTACAAACAAGTCTGGAGTCTTTAGTTTTATTGAACTGACACTTCAGGGGAAATGCTAAATGAACATTAAACCCTCTTCACCTTTCCCACTTCCCTGGTTCCAGAGAGCAACTGACATGGAGTTCTGTCATGATGAGCTCCACACTAGTTAGCCAAACACTTGGCAAGTGCACGTCAATATTAATGCTGCCAGGTTTAATAATCAGTGTTTGGACTGCTGTTAAAATATTTTAATATTATAATTGGGTGGCCTCTCATCCTTTGTCCAATAGATTAATTTATCCTAGTGACAAGCCTCAATTTTCTGGCATATTTTAGATTTGCGTCCAATGTTAGGAGATGCCCAGCTAAAACTGCAGGGCTTATGTCCAGATACATCAATCGCATACTGTTACTCAACTTGAACCTAATTATATCATTGAAATTACTCTGGTAAGCTGTTTCTATTTCCATTCTGTGGGTAGTCTGCATTTTAAAAAATAATACTAAAAGACTAACCCAGTAATCTCTAAGATCTTATCTAATTTGAATAATGTATAATTCTAAGTACATCTTTCCATCCTAACTGGATATTCAAGCATAAGAGCTAGAAAGAAGGGATGGGGAGAATGTTAACGAGTCTGACCCCCAAAAATAAAAGGCAGCATTGGAAACATCTATGAATTAATTTTTTTAAAGGAGTTAGAAAATAAGACATTCAAAAGATATGTCTGGTACCATTTCCTTTACGTAATAGATCAAGGATGATGACTTGGTATCATCATGAGTTTCTTGAGTTTATAATTTTTAGCATCCCCAATATTTGCTCATGATTGTTGTTGGAAGGCCTATCGGCACCTAGAAGTAGTTATCATTAAAGCTTTCAGAAGAAAAAGACCTTTGTGGTGGTTTATGGTATGTGATGAGCTAGAACCTAGGACAAAGTATACGGGAGATTGTGTCTCTTCTGCTGTGAATTCTAGAGACAGAAGACTCCACCTACTATGGTAAATCTGTGGAGAAAGAAGTCAACCTGGTTCATGCTTTAGTTACTTTAAGAATTTGCTCCTGGCCCAGCGCGGTGGCTTAGAGCTTTAGTCGCAGCACTTTGGGAGGCTGAGGCAGGCGGATCACCTGAGATCAGGAGTCTGAGACCAGCCTGGCCAGCATGGCGAGATCCAACTCTACTAAAATAGCTTCTATCTGTATAATGAAAAGAACTTTTTAATGGAATATCAGGAGAAGCTAGAAAAATAAAACCATCAAGTTTATTAATACAGACACTTCTAGTTTACAGAATTTCAAGTCTACATGTGGTAACTTTCTTCCACTGAAATTTATTTATGAAAATAAATTTGGTGTACATTATTTGGAAGTCTATTGATGTTCTTGCTGAAAAATGATTTCATAAAAAATAATAATGCTTATCTTTGTGCTTGATAGAGTCTACTTGATAGGTCAAATAGGAAATATTTACATTTCTAATAGCTGGGCTGGTTGCAGTGGTTCATGCCTGTTATCCCGGCACTTTGGGAGGCCGAGGCGGTTGGATCACATGAGCCTAGGAATTCAAGACCAGGCTGGCCAACATAGTGAAACCCCATCTCTACTGAAAATACAAAAATTAGCCAGACATGGTGACACATGCCTGTAATCCCAGCTACTCAAGAGGCTGAGGCAGGTGAATCGCTTGAACGTGAGAAGCAGAGGTTGCAGTGAGCTGAGATATCGGCTGAGGTGGGAGGATTGCTTGAGCCCAGGAGGCTGCAGTGGCTGTGATCTCACCCCTGCACTCCAGCCTGGGTGACAGAGTGAGGTTTTGTCTATATATAAAAAAAAATAGCTGGATATAAGCTAATTGTTGAAATGAGATATGTGAAAGGCAAATGACAATTCTAGAAAATATACATTAAATACCTAATGAATAGTACAGACAGTTTCTTCACAACAGGTAGAAATCACAAGGGCTGAATAAATTCATGGTTTATAAAGGAGGCATTCCAAGCAGGAAAAATGAAATGAGCGACATAAAAAGACATGAATCAACATGGCATGCTTGCACGACGCACACAGACCGATTTGGTTAAAGGTTTCTGTTGGATGGTACAGAAGATAAATCTAGAAGCATAAATTGCAGAAAAACTACAGTAGAACTGGAATACCACCCCTTCACACTTGAGTTCTAAGAAGGTAGAGTGATAAGTGTACAGAAGTTTTTGGGAAAATCAATTTGGCAGACTCTGCCAAAAACTCTAAGTCCTCTAAGAGTCTGCATTTCGTGCAAAATAGTGCTGGTCTAATTATTTTTAACCTATGTCGTCAATGATCTCTTTTCCACTTTATTAATAATTAAGGCTTCAATATATGGGAAACCTCCTTGAAACAGGACTTTGTTTCAGAATATCACACATGAATTATAATTAGAAAATAATATATTAATATTAGTAATTGTCATTTACTGTTAAGAAGATCTTATGTAGAAAGACGAGTCATATGTGATTAAGTAGTTACTAGATGCTTCTAAAGTTGCATTAAAATGTCACAAAATAGAAAAAGCATTGGGAAATAGTATGAGATCAAAATCAGTTACTAATATGGCACCTGAAGACAAGAAAGGATCTTGTTTTGGACATTGATAAGGAGGGTATACTGAATGAAGCTATACTGCCTATATAAATTGTTTAATATCTCTCTGCTAACTTTAAAGATTGAAAACACAAAGTTAAATTATCAAAAAAGTGTTTTACTTGAAATGCTACAAACCAACACTCTTTTTATCCTATAACAGGAGTCTGTGTTTTATGTTTCCCTTTGGTTTCCTCAGACTCAGATTAGTCCTAAAGAAGGGTGGCAGGTGTACAGCTCAGCTCAGGATCCTGATGGGCGGTGCATTTGCACAGTTGTTGCTCCAGAACAAAACCTGTGTTCCCGGGATGCCAAAAGCAGGCAACTTCGCCAACTACTGGAAAAGGTAGGTGTCCTGTGTCCCCTATGCATATTTTTAGTAAAATCGACCATTCTTTCAAAAGGAAATATGGTAGAGCCGATAATAATGAAGAGGATTCTTTTGATTTTTGTCCCCCTTCTCAGATAAGCTTTTTTTTCTGATCCTTGAAAGGGTTACCTCAAGCTTCCTGCTATTGTCTTTGTCCTATTTCTATGACTTTTTACTTTTTCTAACCTTGCCACCTTAAGACTGGCTCTCTACCATATATCTTAATCTCTAGTTGATATCTCATTAAGGAAAAAAAAAAAGCATCTTATTCTGATGCCAAAAATTCAGCTCCACTCTCAGGATCACACTAGACTCTTGGAGCTCAAACTTTTGAATCCCATAACAACCTTGCAATAAAGTTAAAATAATTGCATGTGATATGCAAGCTATCTGGACAGATAATGAATAATTCCAAGTGTTTATCATCATTCTCTAAGTGATTCCTTTTAACATTAAGCTCTTCAATTTCATTCAATACCATTCTCTCCATAATTTACTTAATATGGATTCATAACAATCAAATGCAGAATGTCTTTGATTTATTCTCTTTTACACATAAATGTGAGCTCATGAAAGGTTATTTATGTTTAGTTGGGAGGGAGGAAAACCAATGAATCGTTCTGTCAAATATTCTCACTCAGACTTTCACTGTGCTGGGCTCTAAATGTAGTAAGACAGCTGGAGTGGCCAGATTATGGAAAGATGACGTGTTTGGATTCTAAATGTCATTAGGAATAATAAGATAAATTAGGTAGTATGTGTTCTAGAGGACATCATGCTTAACAATTGACTCTGTGTGATGTCATTTTCATGATCACCCACACATTTATGGCATTGAATAGAAACTTTTTAACAAAAAATGAAGAGAAGCTAGAAAAATGAAATCAAGTTTTTTAATAGAGACACTCATTATTTACACAATTTCAGGCTGCCATGGTGACTTTCTTCCACTGCTACATAGTGAAAATAAGTTTCCTCTGTATATATTATTTGCAAGTATATTGATGCTCTAAGATTTTAGGATTTTTTCATGTGCTTATATAAAGCTTAGTCTGTTTCTCCTTCCCCTCTGCTTGAAGTTATCATCACCTATTGGCCCTTTCTTCTTAAGCCTCCTTTTATGGCAAGATCCCATCCTTTCGGATCCCTCAATATCTGTCATCCAACAAGAGCATATGTCATTTTCATTCAGAATAATGACTTCAGCTAACATGCATCTAACTATTAGAAACCATGACAAGGCCAGGTGTGCTGGCTCACGCCTGTAATCCCAACACTTTGGGAGGCCAAGGCAGGTGGATCACCTGAGATCAGGAGTTGGCAACACAGCCTGGCCAACATGGCAAAACACCATCTCTACTAAAAATCCAAAATTAACTGGGCATTGTGGTGTGCACCTGTAATACCAGCTACTCAGGAGGCTGAAGCAGGAGAATCTCTTGAACCTGGGAGGCGGAGGTTGCAATGAGCTGAGAACTCACCACTGCACTCCAGCCTGGGTGACAGAGCAAGAATTATGATTATTCTTGAGTTTATTTTCCAAAGTTGATTTTTTTATTTATATAAAAATTCAAATATATATTTTGTTTGTTTACCAGGGAAATTATTTACATTAGTAAAAAGATCTAATCTTTTACATCCAATTTTGCTTTCCTGTTAAATTGTATTTCCCTTCAGATAATCAATGTTCTTCACCAAATCTTCTTTTCTACCCAGAAATATCTTTTTTTCTATATAAACTAAGGTGAGAGATTTTCTTAGACACCATACTTTATCTTCTGTGTTGCTATTTTTCAGTACAGCATTACATATTCACACCTACACATACACTCAAACATTTCTTCAAAAATCAGTTGAAAAAATTAAAATAAAGTATAAATGTCAGAAAGTGGATAATTCCCTTTACAGGTTCAAAGTAAAATGTATTTCATAGCTATGATAAAACTGGGAAGTAGTGAAAGATGAAGAAAGCAAAAATGTATGAAAGCATTATATTGGTTGGTTGAAAATAATAATAGAAATTAATATGACCACTCCATCCATCCAACATGTAATTTGTCTGAATGTTTTCAAGAAATTCTAGAACATAATACCTTTAAAAATTTATTAATACATAAATGACAAAAAACAAAATTTATTCACAAAATTGGAGTCACCACAAGGCAGATGTATTAAACTTACCATATGGTAGTTTTAGAGCAACAGAGGAATCGTAAATTGTGTGCACTCTTTTACAGTGGCCTGAAGGAGGTTAAGTAGCACTGGTTTGCTGCACTGATCCAAAGAAAAGATGTCTGAGATATCACAGTATTTCAGACTGAGCCAGTCCCTTGCTTATCTCTCTATAGTTTCACATATATCCAAGGCACCAAAGGGCAAACAAGAGCATGACCTTTAAGCACCTCCTTCACTTTTAACCAAAAAGATTGATTTAGTCACATATAAGGGAATATTGTTAATAAAGACAATATTTACAACAATAGTTCCCATTATTAGTATATTTTGTATTATATTTTGTATCTACTTCATTAAATCCTTATAGAAGGGATAGTTATCTTTCTAAGTTTATGTAAAAGAAAACTGGTGGTTTTTAGGTTGAAAACTTTCCATTGTCACTCAATCAGTAAGTTGTGGCTCTAACAGATCCGTTTGCATTTTCTCAATGCTGTACCAGTGTCATACAAAATCCCACTGGTATATCCATACTTATTTAAGTGATGCTCTGTTTGCCATTTAACAGGTATTTATATTATTGAATATTAGAAAAAATATAATTGGTTTCACAGTATTTCAGGTCTTAGTATGCCAAAACTAAAATTGCTCACCTAAAAAATTATTTGTTTGTTAACTATGTAGCTTCCCTGTACAGTTAAAGATGTCTTGTATTATCTAAGTCAATATTTCCTAAAGTGTGATTTTTTTTAATAGGACACTGCCATCATCCTCACCAATGACATAAGTTTAAGAAACATTGTACATGATACTTCATTCTTGAAGATTTCTAATACACAGTTTACTACTAAAGTTTTTGTTAAGTCCTACAGTCAAGAAATCGGTTTATATGTGTTAAATTCAAGGCTATCCAAATGTATTTAATTAATAGACCTTTTTTTTCAAGTGACCACCTCACTAATTATGAGTGAGAGTGAAAATCAAAGTTAATTTGTGTTTAAGTCCAGAAAAGCCCCAGATATCTTATTTATACAAAGAACCAGAATAAATAAAAATTCCAAAAGAATTATCCAGGAAGGGCGACAATGAGCTTGCCAAACTATGCTGAGAGATCCTAATCACAGAAACACCTCTGGAAAGCTGAATCATAGAACAACCGCAGAGATAAGCCAACAAAAAGAGGGAACATAGCAGACAGTTCTCCTTCCTTACTCATGTCGTCATGGGTATTCAGTCTCCCGTGTCATCAGGAAACTGATGCTCTGTAGGCCTCTATAGCCAGTGGGAAACTAAACAATCCTAGTTATAACCAGCAAGAGATGCTTAAGACCACCTGAAGCCAAATCCTGGCCAATTAGACAGCTCTAGCTCTAGCCATTACCCCAAATGTAGCTCCTCTAATTACACATGATTCTGCAATATAGGTCACCATCAAGCCTTAGCAAAAATTATCTCAGTGCATTTTCCTGTAACACAAATGAAGTTGAAAATTAACCTTATAGGGTGAGTCAAAGGCAGAAATAAAGACAGGCTATTTTAACTTTATCCAGAATACCTTATCTTGCCCATCATTTTCTAATTGTATAGACTTGGCCCAGGTACATAGAATTATTACCAGGATATCAGCCATGCTAATGATAGGTGTCCTCACAGACAAATGCCATATTTAAATACGTAGACAGTTTTTTTTAATGCAAATGGCTTTTCCTTATACATGTTTAACCACAAATGAAGTTAGAAAGTTATGTTGAAAGCATTGCATTTATCCACAATGGCGTTACCATGCTTCCAATGTTGTCTTAGTAATTTTGTGCTAGATTAAATATTTTGAAAATTAAAAATAAAGCTTTCGGAATATTAAACTTTTAGTAAATTAAGAAATACTTACATTCCTATAATGCTGTTGCCTAACCAGAGACAGGAGTAGGAAGACTCTCCTTAAAATTCTAAATACTTATTATTACTATTACAAACCCAAGATAATTTTACTCAATAAATATTCACTGAACACTTACTCTGTGCCTGGTTCCGTGTAAGGTCTTGGAAATGGAAGATATGAGTAAGACACAGCTTCTAACCTCATGGAGCTCACAAAGGGAAGGCTACTTCCCTGCCCCTACTCCACACCCACATAACACAATTAGTTTTAAGATAAGCCAGACTGTAATATGTCCTAAAAGGACAGGATCCAAAAAGGGCAAGATGATGGATCAAGACAGCAGAGGGAACAGAAAAGGGTGAAAAAAAGGCAAAGAACTGAGGCAGGCCAAGACAGTATTCATTGCCTTTTTCCAATATTATAGTTCTAAGGAATGTATCAACTATGGGAACTTTACAGCTGGCTGATCCATTTAGCATTGCCACTTTATCTGATGACAAAAATTTGTGTCTGAACAAGTCATCCCTTTGTAAATCACATGTTTTCAATGAAAATAACTTTTTACTGATTATATGTGTGTGCATGTATTTGTATTTGATTTAGAATAAACAGATTGGCTGGACGCAGTGGCTCACACCTGTAATCCCAGCACTTTGGGAGGTCAAGGTGGGTGGATTACTTGAGGTGATAGTCATCAATGTGATGAAACTCCGACTCTAATAAAAATACGAAAATTAGCCAGGCGTAGTGGCGTGCACCTGTAATCCCAGCTACTCAGGAGACTGAGACAGGAGAATTTTTTGAACCCAGGAGGCGGAGGTTGTGGTGAGCTGAGATCATGCCACTGCACTCCAGCCTGGGTGACAGAGCGAGACTCCGTCTCACAAAAAACAGCAACAACAACAAAAGCAACAAAAAAGATCAAATTTTATGAAGATCTTTACATTTGCTTTTCTCATTGAAATCTTTCTATATTGAGCAGTACTTCTCAAACTTTAATAGACATAGGAATCACTTGGGAATCTTGATAAATGTATATTTTGATTCAGTAGTTCTGGATGAGCATTTCTGAGATTTTGCATTTCTGACAAACTCCTAGGTGATACCAAAATTGTTGCTTTGAGTACTAACAGCATAGAGATCTATCTTAATCTTTATAACGGGTCATTCATATTCTATTTCTCTATTTAACACATCCCCTGTTATTAGATGCTTTCTCTTTGTTTTCAGATTTTTGTTGCTACAAAAATTAGACCAGTCATTTTTTCCTCTCATTTCTGCATGCGTTATAGGTTACCTCTTTTTTACTTCCAAATAGCCCAGGGTTCAGCGAACCTGGGATGGTGCCATTGGCTTAAAATGTGTTTAAGTCCTGTCTACCAAGCACTTGATGCAGTTACCCTTTTCCAGGTCCCTCAAACACTATGCTGTCCAATTTAGGGAGTGTTCTAGTACTGCTACCACTTGTCTTAGTCAATTCAGTCTCACCCCTGGGAGTACTTTAGACCCATTAAGAACTTACTGAGCTAGAATGAATGCATTCTAGG
Source organism: Homo sapiens (assembly GCF_000001405.40). Lineage (NCBI taxonomy): Eukaryota > Metazoa > Chordata > Mammalia > Primates > Hominidae > Homo > Homo sapiens. The sequence goes on along the minus strand of NC_000001.11, from coordinate 101,831,256 downwards.
CCTCTTCGACACTTCACTACCATCCACAATTGCTAAACATCCTAAATATTTAAGAAGTCAGAATTAGTACTTACAGAAACAACTTATTTTGACATTTAACAGGTTGGGATGTTATTAGCTTACAAAGCCTTAAAATGAAAATTCTATTTTTAAAGCTTATTTTTCTAATGTATTAAGCCCATTTATATTCAGTCAGTTCTAATGCTAGAATGCCCGTTTTTAAATTTCCTGTCTAGGTATAATTTTCTCTTGCTGAATTCTTTAAATGTTTATAATGAAGAATTGTTCTTCTGAAAATGTGTCATATGGGAACCCAGTTATGAATTTGGCACTTCTAGTTTTTATGTTAACGGCATTTTTGCTATTTCTTAGTGATTGCACAAACCTGCAAACAGATAATAATGTACAGACAATATTCTTGTTCAACAGGTTCAGAACATGTCCCAGTCTATTGAAGTCTTAAACTTGAGAACTCAGAGAGATTTCCAATATGTTTTAAAAATGGAAACCCAAATGAAAGGGCTGAAGGCAAAATTTCGGCAGATTGAAGATGATCGAAAGACACTTATGACCAAGCATTTTCAGGTAGGTTTGACTTCTGCAATCTTGTCAATCCAAATCAGACATGGAGTGGGATGGACAGCAGTGGGGCACTCAGCTAGAAATGAATGTGCATTGGCCCATATGTGCAAGGTAAAAGACTCATGGGGGATTTCAGTCATCTCTCCACTGAAACTGACCATTAGCTGGTAGGAAGACATGGAAGTCTTGCTATAGAAAAAGCTTCATTCTTGTAGAGTTTGGTGGAGTTTCTGAAACAAGGGAAATTTCCCCAAGGAAAATTAATAATTAAATTATAAATGTTTCTCTAATGGTTTTATGCCCTGCTAATATGAAGAAAGATGTAGATGATATAAATTATTTAAAGAGAAAACTATGCCATTAATATGAGCATGTGGAGAGAGTTGTTTCATAAATTTATCCAAATAAAGTATTTTTCTAGATTTTAAGTGTTGTATTGGCAATTATTTACAAATACTGAAAATGGAGAAAAAAATCATGCTATGTCAACTTTTGTTAACTATATATGAAAGAGTTATGAATTTTAAGAAAAAACTCGGCCGGGCGTGGTGGCTCACGCCTGTAATCCTAGCACTTTGGGAGGCCGAGGTGGGCAGATCACAAGGTCAGGAGATTGAGACCATCCTGGCTAAACAGGTGAAACCCCGTCTCTACTAAAAATACAAAAAAAAAATTAGCCGGGTGTGGTGGTGGGCGCCTGTAGTCCCAGCTACTCGGGAGGCTGAGGCAGGAGGATGGCGTGAACCTGGGAGGCGGAGCTTGCAGTGAGCCGAGACAGCGCCACTGCACTCCAGCCTGGGCAACAGAGAGAGACTCCGTCTCAAAAAAAAAAAGAAAAGAAAAAACTCTTGGTCTGCTAATGCAATCTCAGCTCCCATTAAAAGTAAACCACTTGCCTTACCTAGGCATAGCACATAGTTCATAAAACACTGTGGTTGCCCACTTAATAGCCTCTGGTTTTCTTGTCAGTTAGGAAGTGAGATTCACTGCTGATGTTGAGGGAGTGGATCTGAACTCAAGCCCTTGGGCAAGGAAAGGAGTGCTTCCTACACATAGTGGTGGCTGGTGGGGAGCTAGTGAGGAACATGTAACCGAGTCTCTGCATAACACATTTGAATGTGGCAGAAAGTTTCATGGTTTTGTAATTTTCTTCAGTGGTACTCCAGAGACTGAGTAGAGAGGTATAGAAGAACATTACACCCTGAATTGGTTTTAAAGTTTTACCCAGACGGTCACAAAGGAAGAAAAAGAGGGCAAGAAAGTTGAGGGTATTGAAAAGAGAGGGGACTGAAGTGATTAATCATGAGGTTTAAATTGAAGAGAGAAGTACACAAAACCAGCAGGTTAAGTAATTAGGACAAATTAGAGCAAGATTTAGAATATACTTAAATTTAAAGATTATTGAAAATGAGAGTGTGAGTGAACTGGATAAATAGGAAACTTATGGATAAATGGTAAACAGAGAAGAATATGAGGATGAAGAGCAAAAGAATTAATTTTAGCCAGTATTTATCGAGCACATACCATATACAAGGTGCGGTTGGCCCCTCTGCTGGATGTATTATACGTAATCTGTCTTCTATGAAAGACAACTAACAGGCAGGTGAATTGATGGTGAATAGAGGCATAAACATTACTTATGAGCACAAAGGGAGGAGAAATTAATTTTGATTTAAAAAGACCAGGAGAAGAGCTGGTTTCGTACTAGTGACCCTACCCCTCCACTATTAAATTATAGGGGGATCAAGAAAACCAAAAGATTTACTATGTCAATTTTCAATTCTCAGGGTTAGAGTGTAGATGGTAAAATAATAATGGGAACCCAATGCTGAGGTCATCGGCAAAGTAGAAAATAGTAAGCTGGCACCTTAGGTGTGGGAAGAGCATTCCCAGAAGGAACTAGTCAGGAGGAGAGGAGTTCAGACTGTTTGGCGTAGATGGACAATGCAATGAGAATTCTGCAAAGCCAAAGGACAGCTTGAGAGTGTCAGGGTTGACAGGGCTGGGGAATGCATGATGAAGCATGTTCATCTTTGGGAACTTTTGCGAGAAGACAGGAAACTAAGAAACAAAAAGGATACAAAATTGAGATAAACCCCAAAGAAATAATGTACCTAGTCCTATAAATTGCCTAGCAGCAAATCAGCCAGGCTACTAATAAGAAAACAATTTTCAGGCAGCAGCACCATGTGACATAATGGCTTGGATTTTCCTAGTTCATGTAATCCAAGTATACGCTGAAGTTATATGTCAAAATCCAAATAACAGTAATGATAATAACAATAATGATTTTTCAGAATATTATACATATTCAAGGTATAGTTCTGAGCACTTTCAGTATATTAACTGTATAATGCTCGCAACAGTCTTGTAACTCAGGCACTATTTTCATTTCCATTTTAAAGATAAGGAAACTGGAGCACAAAGAGTGTATTGGTCTATTCTCACACTGCTATAAAGATCTGTGCTGAGACTGCGTAATGTGTGAAAGAAAGAGGTTTAATTGACTTACAGTTCTGCATGGCTGGGGAGGCCTCAGGAAACTTACAATCATGATGGAAGGGGAAGCAGTCACCTTCTTCACAAGGCAGGAGGAGAGAGAGAGAGACAGAGAGAGAGAGAGACAGACAGACAGACAGACAGAGAGAGAGAGAGAGAGAGAGAGCATGAATGCAGAAGTACCACACTTTAAAACCATCAGCTCTCATGAGAACTCACTCAGTATCAGAACAGCATGGGGGAAACCACCCCCATGATACAATCACCTTTCACCTGGTCCCTCCCAGACATATGGGAATTACAATTTGGGATAAGATTTAGGTGGGGACACAGAGCCAAACCATATCAAAGAGGTTGAGTAATTTATCCAGAGTCGTATATCTAATATGCATGAGAACCAAGATTCAAATTCAGAAAGTCCAATTCCAAACTTGTACCTTCTAATACTAATGCTGCATTGCTTCTCCAAGTAGACTTTAGGTCTCTGAATTACAAATAATAATAATTAGGTGCTCAACATATATTTGTGGAGTTTATTTATTTCTTGAGTCCTACCATGAGTTGGATTTTGTTCTAGGTGCTAGTACTATACTTGAAAAGAGGAAATGGAACGTTCCAAAGTAAATTCAATATTGAAGAATACTTTTTAAAAAATCTTCCTACCCTGTCTCTACTAAAAATACAAAAACTTAGCTGCGTGTGGTGGCAGGCGCTTGTAGTCCCAGCCACTCGAGAGGCTGAGGCAGGAGAATGGCGTGAACCCGGGAGGTGGAGTTTGCAGTGAGCCGAGATCGCGCCACTGACTGCACTCCAGCCTGGGTGACAGAGTGAGACTCCGTCTCAAAAAAAAAAAAAATTCTTCCTCTGTTACACAATTTCCATCGTATCAAGAATGTTAAGTAGGTTTTGTCTTCTACACTTTTTCAGATAGAAAGCTTATGCCAACTACTATACTTGAGATTGACATTCTTATATGAAGAGATTGATGTTGGCTCTACTCTAGCTAAGAACTTGGATGTAAAAGCAGCATAGTAGAAAGTGAGATTCTAGAAGAGATTAGCAAACACAGGTCTATGCTATTCTACTGTAATCTTTTAAGTATTTGATATGAGCATTGGGTGGACTTTCCAATGCTCTCATATAAGTTTTCAGAGTTTCACAATTGATCGCTAATAATCAAATTATGAATTGTTGAAAAGATTAAAAAATATAAATATCTAGTTTTGAATTGAGGGAGAAGAAAAGCTACCAACATTTTGACATTGAATTGCTCTCTTTTAAATATGCCCATAGTAGAATGTAAAACCTTTGATTGTAACAGTTGTTATAATGTGCAGAAAATGATAACCACAGAAATATTTTCATTAAAATCCTAATGAAACAATTGTGTATTCCTTTAGGGATACCACAAGATACTTTAATAAGTCTATTTCCAAATGAGCTGACAAAATGAGCAAAGCACTGCAATTCTGCCTTTGACTGTGATATTTATGAATCTTTCTCATTATTAAGTCTCTCCTTAGCCTCCCACTCAATATGTACATGTGAACAAATTCAAAGATTCTGAACTTACAGAGCAAGTGGAAATTTCCCCACAAGAAACTCAAACCCATAAATCAGGGCAGCAATGGGAGCTCCTGCTATTTTAATGCATTTATAGTAATAACATCTCCTGAATGTAATTTAAAAATGCAATTTTCAGCTCCTTAAATCAGTTAGTGTACAGTATAATTTCTGACAGCATCTATGTATTATTCTCAAATAATCATAAGAGGGACTGCTCTTTCCACAAATGACATTATTTCCAATAAATTCACAATTGAATCAAACTCCTGAAATAAATAAAGAAATATTTATTTATTTTCACTACTATTTTCACTACTATGAAGTTAGAGAGAAAGAAGTAACGGTGACATGTCTAGAAACCCAAGGTGAAACTGTAGGCGTGCTTCAGTCCTGTTACGGCTAGGGGTGAGGGATACTGCTTGACAACATACACTGTGTGTGTGTGTGTGTGTGTGTGTGTGTGTGTGTGTGTGTGTGTGTTTGACGAAAGTCAATGCTTCAGTTTCAAACAACTCTGTGTAACTGGCTCATCTATTACATAAACTACACACCTTGGTTTCTTAAAGAGTTAATTCGCCACATGGGCAAGCAATTCTGCCATACATAACGACCTTTAAATTATCTATGGTAAGATAAATGGAGTCGAAGTACAGGTAATAATTCAAAATAGTAAACAGTAACATACCTTTATTTGAGCCTTGGGACACTTCATCTGATTTATAACACTTACTGAACTTACCTTCATAATGAAGTTGTGCTAAAATTGATATTTAAAAGTTCAAGGAATACCTGAGCACAAAGGAAAAACAAAGTTGGTTGATGGCCATGATGGAAAAATTCTAAGTGTCAGAAAAAAGCTGATCCAGAGTCCACAATTTTCTGTATGTGCCCCATAACATGGATACTTAGTAGGTGGATGATTAGACTCAACTGAACAATCATAGGGTATTGACCTATTTTCAATCACTTTATTCAAACTTAATTCATAATTAGAAGATGGATTCTGCTTATATTTCCTAACTAGATAATACATTGTTCACTATATAAAATGTTACCAGAAAATGAAATAGTATATAGTCCTAGTTTCTACCATAGGAAGTTTTTCTAATTATGATAAGGATATATTTGTTATAGAAAACTAAGCATTAAAGAAAGATTCTCATATGGAAAAGCTGAAATAAATGGACTTACTAGTAATAATCACATGACCGCTTAAATTTTCACAAAATACCTAATTTCAACCAAAAATCAATAAGAAATGTTGAAGCTGTTTTAATAATTTCCTTTAAGTATCATAATAAAAAGAACAGAGCAGCATGATCTGTTTTAAATGACTCTCAGGAACAATAGGCTGCTTTTCACAGGAGTTGAAAGAGAAAATGGACGAGCTCCTGCCTTTGATCCCCGTGCTGGAACAGTACAAAACAGATGCTAAGTTAATCACCCAGTTCAAGGAGGAAATAAGGAATCTGTCTGCTGTCCTCACTGGTATTCAGGAGGAAATTGGTGCCTATGACTACGAGGAACTACACCAAAGAGTGCTGAGCTTGGAAACAAGACTTCGTGACTGCATGAAAAAGCTAAGTGAGTATGACAATTTAATTTGTCTAAGTTACGTTTTTATATAGTTTCAAAGAAAATTGTGCTCTTACGTTTTATAAAGAGTCATAAAATATCTAATTGTAAAGAAATCAGAGCCCATTTTCTAAGTGTGAAGTGTCCCCTAATGACTTAAGCATGTCTGGGTACTCTGTGCTAGACTAATGGTTTCTTGATTTTTAGAGCCCTGTGTTACCATTTGGTGGCTTCAAATAAGTAATCTGGCAAATACAGTCAACTCTATGGACTACACTAGTGGATATACATTTTATTTTCCAATATGTGATATCAGTCATTGCTTGGCTAGTGGAAAAAGAAACTGTTTTTTGTTGTTGTTGTTGTTGTTGTTGTTGTTGTTGTTGTTGTTTGGTTAGTGGGGAAATTTGGAGACTAGAGAAAGGAAAGTTACCCTGGGACCAAATGTCAAACAGCAATTATTAAAGCAAATGGAAATAATTCCTCCAATTTACAGAATTGCCATCAACTGCTCTGATCTACTCAAGAAATGAAAAGGTGGCAGCTACTTAAATAGGTACTCACCACTGTGTAAAGAGTCAAGCATGTGACATGCATGGGTCATGGACTCTACTTCTTACCTCCTAAAATGTGTGGTCCAATCTGGTCTGAGTTACAAACTCTTTCGTGATATCCATGAGCTAATTATTTAACTGAAGTCAACATGGGACTAGTCTGCAACTTGAATTTAAAATAAATAAGTGGCTATGAATTGAATAAGGAGGAGCTACAAGTTAATTTAGGATCAGTATTTTAGTTGTTGACATGATGCGATATGACAGGGAGGGCAAGTCAATACCCATAGAAAGTGTTCTCTCAAGATAAATAAATTCTTTTGTGGATCAGGAAAATTGGGAAGAGAAGTAAAGCACACACACACACACACACACAAAAGATTAATTTCTAGTAAAGAAAACTTCAGTGAATAAATGTAAACATTTAAAATAAAATTTGAGTGGCTTACAAGAACATTGTAAAGACTATTTTACAAATATGCTTCAAGTGATAAAAAGGAATCCAAAATGCAAAATGTTGCATTCAGTTATCACAGCCTCAAAATAGTGTGGGAAATTGCTACATCGGAGGCTCCACTGTCATCATACCAGGATTTCTAAGAGAATCCAACAAAATGAATCAGGAGGAAATAAGGTAAACCTGAAGGCCGAAACACATGTTCAAGAATCCTCAGTTCTTTATTCCTCCTCAAACACAGTCTACATTTTCTCATTTACAGTTGGTCTTCTAACAATCAACTATATATAATAGATTCTGTGACTCCAGTTTTCATTCCTCTCTAACTCATTGTACACATTATTGCCAAAGGGATTTTCTGAAGTATCAATCTGAAATTATTTTGCTCTGTTGAAAATCTCCTATGGATTCCTTATGTTGTAGGATACAGTCCATGGCTTATGTGACCCTTCATGTGTGGCCCCTTCTGCTTCTCCAGGCTTAGCTTTTGCCACTTCTCTCCTCACACACTAAGTCCCAGTCATGTGTGCCTTACAATGTCTTACCATGGAGTTGTTATAAGATGCTGTTTGTTCCTGCTCCTGAAACACTCCTTCCCCTATGTACCCTGCCTCCATCAACGCACTTTCACCTGCCACATGTGATAAACTATTCATTTGTCAGGTCTCAGTTTAAATGTTGTGTCTTGCTAGAATCATTCATTGCCCTCCCAGACTAAGCTGGTGTCCTCGCTAGGCACTTCCAAATCCTGATATTTCACTAATGATTGGACTTCTCTTGTTTCATTATCATTGCATGTGTAGCATAATGTGTCTTGCTAGACTTTTTTTCCGAGGACAAGAACAATGTCTATCATGTTCACTCTACATGTTGTATCTTCCAATGCCTAGAAAACTACCTGGCAAAGAAAAGTCACTCAATAAATATCTGGTGAATAAATTTACTCTATAAGGAGTCATAGGAATAATTTCTACACTTTTCAACCATATTACCTATTTCAAGTAGCAGAGAATGATCTATTTTACTCATAACAAGAAATGCATCTTTTTAGCCACATCCTATTTGAGTCAAAATGGCAGGGCATGATAAGACTAAGCAAGGGAAAAGTTATTTATTTAACATAGCACTTAAATAATTATTTTACATGCTCTGCTTTTATAATTCAAGTTGTGGAGTTTATGGTTAATATACAATAGGTAAACATTGCTTACATAAGGAAATTCTGCTGTTATATTTGATTCTTTTTATATTAAGAAATATCTTTAGTTTAATGCCCATATTAGTGACAGGGCTTGCCAGATGGTGTCTCCATAAAATAAGATAACAAGTAAATCTCAAATGAAGAATTACCCAGTGTCCTCAACAATATGAAGTTTACAAAGAAATATCCAGATGCATTTTCTATTAGCTCATAAAATATCTGGTTAAAGATTTTCTGCAAGTGACAATCTGTAGGATTTGTCTGTGTAGGGCTTTGACTTGCTTTTGAGGAGGAGGTCCATTTGTTATAGAGAAACCAACCGTTCCAGACCCTGAGAATCAATTCACTCTTCCTAGCATGTCACAATAAACCCAAGCACATAGGCATTGCATGTAGTGAGCCGGCATCTGCTAAGTACAAATGCACTCTACTGAAGCAAGGACAGGCAATAGGATGATTCTAGTTAGTAAACCCCCTGAAACCTAACGTATGTCAGTTATGTTTTTGAATGAACAACACAAAAAACAACTTCTGGGATTTGCTCAATTTTATAAATGAGCTTTCCTTCTACAGGTATTCTGTCTGGTTTACCTAGATGGAAATAATTTGTACTGCAGTTGGGTAGTTCTATATTCTCCTCAGCTCTTTTTTAACCCCATTTGTTTGTTTTTTCTAACCCACATGTAACCCCCCAAATATAGCCTCTTCCGATATTTTGGACAAAGATAGTTAATCTAAGTAGGCACGCATTCATCCTTTTTATTCTTCCTATTGAACTTTGCATAATATTTCTATAGCATCCTTATGCTTAGGACTTGATCCTTAATATCTGTAACATCACAGATCTTTTTAATTAATTTTATCCAGTGGGCCACAATGTTAGAAAGAATTTGATTGTCAAATAAACTGCATTAGTTAATCAATATTTATTTTTATTTTAGCTAATCTAAAACAAAACTTGGCAACTAGTATAATACAAATATCAAATAGCAATAAAATCGGTATTCAACTTTCTTATTTAATGAGATGGTTGCTATATAAGTTAATCGAGATGACTTTATAAAATACTGAAAATAGTTCCCACATTTCATAAATGCTTTCATAGATTATTAGCAGCCTTCAGTTTCTTATTTACTTAGTAGAGGGGCCATTGTCACAAACAATGAATGTAACTCTTTCATGCTTTTTATCTCAATAACTGGTTAGTTTTTACTATCCCAACATGTTTAGGTCAATTAACCACTTATTGAGCATCTCCTGAGCAAAGAGGATATTTTATCCGCTGGACCACAACCCTTAATTACAATGTAGAAAACGTCCAGGCAGAGCCATACAGTCATTATACAGTGAAGTATAAAGCCACATGGTTACTGAAAAAATAAATAAATGAAACTTCATATTTTTATTTTTAAAAGAGCCACTCTACTTGAAAGAAGATGTGTGGTAGTATATATTATATATGTTGTTATATTATATATAGTGCATAAATATATGTATGTATATAGACAATTGCAGAAGAAATCAAATATATAACTTTTAGTATAGCAGTAGGTTATAGTTTGATTAACACTCAATTTAGTATTTACATTTCCTGGCAATTGGTACAGTTTGGATCAATTCATCTCTGAGAACCCTTGAACTCCAAGGCTAATATTATCACATAAACAAATACCCAATTATCCATATATCAGAATGCATAGACTTGGGGAAGAAAACTGATGTTAACATCAGGACCATTAACAGAAAGGGTAGAGAAAGAAAAGCATATCAGGGGTTCAGTTGTTCCAAAAGGGCCTATAATCCAGTTGCTATGCTGCTCAGATCTAGAGTGGGACATTGGATAATTACAGAATCAGCAATATAGTAACAACAGCAAGAAGGCTTATTCATCAAAGACATCTTCACTCTACACAAATGCTTCTCAACCCACACAGCCAATTAGTAGAGGGTAGAAATGGATTAGAGAGAAACAATAAAATTACAACAATGATGAATGTGTTTTCCCTCACTTTTTCAGTGGATTTGCTTTTAAATAAATGTCACAGCATACATCACATGAATTTTAAGATGCTAAAAACCAAGCTAGTCTTATTGCCTGCAAAATCTAGGTTACCCCCAAATAGTAAATAAGATCCCGAAGGAATCATAAGTCATCAAGACCACTGGGGCACCATGGGCACCATTTTGCTTATTTCTACTAGAAAATTAAAGGTTTGGAGAAATTAGGAAAATCTCTCAACAGCGATGGACCTCTGGCCTGAATGAGGTACAGTAATGTCCTTTTCTAAGTTCTTAATGTACTCCAATGAAAGATGGAATAGGATAAAGTCCCCTGTTCTTAATTGAATCATGTCACATTTCTAGATATGCAGAATGTAATTGTATGGATGTGAGAATTTGACTGAAAAAACATGATTGAAGTTTGTACACACCCCTAAGAACACCAAATAGATATTTAATGTAGATTATAATAAGGCTTTCCAGCTTTCCAGTCCTCTGCCCCAACTCCCTCCTGTTAGTGCTGTTTTAGGGCAATGGTTTGGTGCCATCTAGTGAAGCATTAGGTTCTATTACACAGCTTTGGGACTTCATGTTTAACAGAAGGAAGATTAGAAACTTAAGGTCACAAGTAGAGACTTGAGTTACTGTCTTTACCGTTTATGCCAAATTAGTTTTTAAACAAGAACCAAAGTATCTATGGGCTAATATTTTAATTTAACAATTATTTATTGACTCTCTAATGTGTGCTGGCACTTTGCTAGGTATTTGTGGATACAAGGATGGGAAGGAGACCATCTTCCTCTTCCTGTCAAGGTTATATTTTAGTGGGGACAACTGACACATAAGTCAATAACTCCAGCAATATTGGATGCCTACTGCTTGACAAGCGCTAGGCCAGCTGCTTTGCATGTGCTATTTCAAATCTATGCAAGAACTCTGGGTTAGGCATTAGTATCAACTTCACTAAAACAGATACTCAGAAAGTTTAAATTAACTTGCCAAAGATTCATGTTAGAGGCAATCACTTTACATGGAAGTCCTTCTGAGTTCAAAGACTGAGATTTCTTTCCCCATACATAATGTCTTTTGTGGAGTACAAAATAATAAAGACCCCCCCAGATACCTCAATAACTTTAATTTAATGACTAGAACCACCATCCACCCAATTGTTGTAGAAAAAAAAGAGGCTAGATTCATTCTTAATTCTTCTCTGAACTTCACACCGCCATGCAATCGCCACATCTTTTATCTCCCCCTCACCAATTTCTCAAAACCAGCTCTTCTGCATCCTCACTTCCACCAGCCGAATTCAGAGTGTCATTCATGATTTTTCAACTGAATTACTCAAATGGCCTCCTGATCATTTGTTTTGGCTCTCCATCACTAAAAAATATTTAGTGTGATCTTTCCCCAATACAAATCTTGTTATATTACACCTGTATTCAAGTGGTTTACCTTTAAAATGGAATCCAAACACCTTTGCATGCTTTGTCTTCATGAAATGGGCTCTGCCTGATTCTCCAGGCCTTGAGTTCTCAGGTTCTCATCATGCACTTACTCTAAGCTTTAACCATTCTAATCTTCCAGTTTCTCAATTGCGCATGCTTTCTTTACCTTCTTGACATTGAACTTGCTCTCCCTTGTCATGGGACACCCTTCCTTCCCACTTTAACTATTCCATGATTTTTCCTTAATGTGGTTGGAGTCCCCTGGCATGGTCTCCCACAACCACCTCCCCTACTCTCCCATGACACTTAGTACATTAACATATTTTACAGAAAATGCCCATTTGTTTTTCTGTTTTAAATCTTTACACCCTTATAGATAAATTCTCCCTGCACTGAGAGATCAGAATCAATGTCTTGTTCTAGTTGAATTTCTGGAGACCATTGCAATATACCTGAAACACAGTGGACAAAAATTAGTATCTGCAGAATGGTCAAGAGCAAATTTGATTTGTAAAATCAAAAGCTTTAAGTTGCTTTCAAGAAATAAATCAATGTGTGTCAAATATAAAACACATCGATATCTTTTACAAAGCCAAAAAGCTTTTGGGGGGAAGGAAAATAAAAGCACAGCCTTTTTTCATGTTTGTTGTCATTGCCAACTGTTCTCTCTTCAATGGCAATGCAGTATTTCATTCCAAAACATCTGATACTTTGTTTTATTAGCACTTAAAGCAAGAGACACGAAAGATCTCAGTGAAAGCAGGAATTAACAAAAAAGTCAAGCTGTGTGCCTGAGGTAGAGATGTGGGAGATTTGACTCAGAAATGCAATGGAGGAAATTTATAAGACTATTCCTTTAAATTAAATTGAATCTTCAAATAAGTCATTTACCAAAAACAGTCTTGCTCTTCCCAAAATTCTAGGTTGTAAAATAGAATGGCAATGTCTCCATTGCTATGCATTTTATTCTTTCTTCTGGAACTCTGGAACCTTAGTTATATTTTAGCCATATTTTTGGTAATTGGTAAATTTTATCATATATTTATTTATCATTAATCCTCCTCTTATCTCCTACATTTTTCTAGATTATAACTAAGTTATGAGCCTCTTAATAATATAAAACCTGTATTTCCAAAGTCAAGTAGGAATTGTAAAATTAGTTGGGATTTCATAACACAAGTTGTCATTCAGTTTGAATGCTGAACAGGCTTCTCCTTAAAGATATGTTCATAATTAGGCTTAATCCCAGAAAAGGTAAAAGGAAGAGTCAAGGGAGTTTCAAAAATAATTTAAAAGGTGAAACTGTGTTAACTTTGAAAAATGTTGGTTATTTAGAATGTTCATATTATTCTTGATCCCATTAGCCAGATAACCATTAGAAACTCATTCCGGTGCTCTATCCAATACAACATTTTAAATATCCATTCTTATCCCTACCTTTACCTCACAAATATAACTCATAAGGCTAGACATGCAAATAAAAGTTTAAATAATATAAATTTATTTTACTACCAAATGTATGGTACAGACAAACTTATTTTAAGTACCTAAATAGGTAGACTTTAAAGATCAAATCAGAAGTATTTCTTAATGCATGAGTTCTCTAATGGCCTTAAGTAAAAAGAAATAACATTCTGTCCATAAACATATTCAATAATCCATTTAATTTGTTTATAAGGGCATAGCCTTAGGATTCAAATCCAGAGCTATTAGTGCAGGATATTACAGAGTACAATTATATAAGAAATAATTATATATATGTAAACAAATAAAAGAGAGGACAGATGGTTTTTACACTTCGTTAGTCCAAACAACTGATCTTCCTGCTGAATCCCAAATGATATCTTTTCCTGAGCTACTGATTGATAAATATGGATTGTAACTGACTATAAGAAATTTAAAGTCCAAAAGTCATGATAGAAATAAAATGGTCACGGTCACTTTCTTCAATTACTGCATTTGGTAAGATGTATATTTCAGTACATTTTCTGAATATATGCAATGTGCACATACAATATTTTATAAATGCTAATGTTTTCATATCTTACTGCAGACAGAAGAGCATAGCAGGAGAAAATCAATGAAGCAAGACTCCTAACTTCCTTCTTTGCCATCCACCTTTGCAGGAACATTTGTCTTCCAGGCATTTGGGAAAATTATCCTCTCTGTCTGGCTCCCTTTGTCCTCATAAAAAGTGAGAGTAAAGTGAGAAAGATAATGATTTATTTGAACAAAGGCTAGTGTGAGGAAGCTGAGAAGTAAAAAATGACTCTTATTGTTTATTTTATTTTACCACATTTTACAGTATCTATGCTCCATTAGAATCTGGAGATACCTATGTTACTTAACACTAAGGTACACAAAATTATAAACAAAGACACTGCCAGTTTTATACATTCCTGTAACTTTAATTTTGTTAATTTCATTTGGCAAGATGAATTCTAGCTTAGGAAATCAATAACCATTTGTAAGGGAAGCATCTACTAAGAAGAAATCAACATCGAGAGCTCTGTCAGCTTTTTGCTTCCTGAGAATAAGGGTAGATGATGGTGATCATAAACATAACGCTGATGGTGTTTATTTGACCACAACCACAAATACCACCTTCTGTCCACCAGCATATACATGCTATTGATCCACTATCTATTCAATGTTCCCTTAGTTAAAATGAAAAAATGTCAAGCTTCAGAATTTTCATTTTATAGATGAGGAAATTCCACTCCAGAGAATAAGGCATTGTCCAACTTCATACAATGATTGAATGCTGTGGCCTAGATTTGAAACCAGGCTTCCTAACTCATGCCTCAGTGTTCAAACCTGGATGGAATATACCACTCTAAGAACATTTCCTGTGAAATTGATGGGAGTAAAAACAGACAGACACTCACACACAAAAATTATAAAAGGAAAGATAGGCACATGATTACTCATGGTTACTAAACAGATTAAACTACCATCTGCTCATGGGATTCATTTATTTAATTATTGTCTTTCACAACATCAGCGTATTGCTCCCTACTAGATTATTTTTATAAACAAACCTTTCTTAACCATCATCAGCACAACAATAAAAACTTCCTGTAATCTCATATTTTCCTACTCCTGTCTCCCTGCTTCTTTTCCCTTGAAAGAATCTTTTATAGCTGCTACTTTGGTTACGTTCTTTTCAAACCAACTTCGATTCATTTTCTGGGATCACCACACTTTTTCTGAGTTTTGTAATCAGCAGTGACTCTTGCTGCCAAATTTTATGGTTATTTCTTTGATCTTATGCTGCTAGACATCTTAGTGGTGTTTTTCACAGGTCAGTACTATATCCTTCTTAAAACACTTTCTTCTTTTGGATTTCTTAATACCACGTTATTTTTTCTATCCAACTTATAGCTTATTCTTGGGCTTCTTTGATGAGTCTTATAAATATTGTGATTTACAGAGTTCTGTGCTAGATACCTTTCTCTTTTCTGTGTATGCCTTCCCTCTGAGGCAATATGTAGCCCCTGGCTTTCACTGTCATCATTATGCTAAAAACCATCAAAACTGTTTTGTCAAAACTCAAAGGAGTATCTGTTCCCTAGATTTATATGCTGTTTCTACTGATACGTGTAATAGTCATGAACAACTTAGAATTATCCCTGTTGGATTCTTTATTTTTGCTCCCAAACCCATTCCTCCCTCAGTCATTTCATCCGAGTAAATGACACTACAATCTGTCTAGCTGGACAAGCCAAAAATCTAGATGTTATCTTTGATTATTTTTTTTTGAGTTTTTAAATTCCCTTTCCTCACATCTAATCCAAAGCCTAGTCCTATCCACTTTATTCTAAAAACATACCCCAAGTCCATCTACTTTTCTCCATCTCCACAACTGCTTCCATCATCTTTCACCTAAATCAGCCTGATAACCTTTTTTTTTTTTTTTCTTTTTTTGAGACGGAGTCTTGTTCTGTCACCCAGGCTGGAATGCAGTGGCGCGATCTCGGCTCACTGCAAGTTCCACCTCCCGGGTTCATGCCATTGTCCTGCCTTAGTTTCCTGAGTAGCTGGGACTACAGGTGCCCGCCACTACGCCCGGCTATTTTTTTTGTATTTTTAATAAAGACGGGGTTTCACCGTGTTAGCCAGGATGGTCTCGATCTCCTGACCTTGTGATCCGCCCACCTCAGCCTCCCAAAACTGATAACCTTTTAATGAGACTGTTTACACTCTATCCACTCTACAATTAATATTCTATACAGTAGCTAGAGAGATCTTTCTAAGGTGCAGCTTACATTCTGTCATTCCCCTCCCCCTTTAAAATAATCCAATGACTTTCGATCATTCGTAGAATAAAATCCAAATCTTGTCTTCACAAAGTTTACAAACAATGTGGACTACTGGACTACTCATCTCTCCAATCTCGTCTTCTTCTGTTCCAAGTGTATTCTAAATACATTGATCTTCTTTCTGTTTATTTGCTCCTCTTAATTCATCAAGCGTATTAAGGCCTTTGCAATAACAATAATAATAGCTATTATTTCTTAAGTACTTAACTATGTACCAAGCACTATTTTAAACATGTAGCCATATTTTTTATTTAATCTTCTCAATAACACTTTGATACGATATTATTTCTATTGTTACCCATGAAACACTGAGAGGTTAGAAAATTGTTCAAGGTCTCCAGCGAATAAGGGATAAAATCAGGATTCAAATCCAGGCCGACTCTTTAACCCATGTCCCCAACCACTTTAAGATGCTGCCTTCCCCTAGCTATTCTCTAAATGGCTAAATCCACTAAACAACTGCTCCAGTAAATAAACTAAATGCCTAAATGTCCTTCTCTTGTCAATAAGATCTCAAATTAAATGTCACACACTGAGAGGTCTTCCTTACCCTCCCAATATCAAGTAGCTCCCCAGTCACTCTTTATAAAATTGCCCTACTTAAATCTTGGCATTAAATTTATTTCTGTATGATATGTTTAGTTTGTTTGTTTATTTGTTTTTTAATTTATTCTTTCTGTCTTCTCACCAAAATGTAAGCTTCACCAGAACAGAGGTGTCATGCTTTCTCATTATTGTTAACTCTAGTATCTGGAACAGTGCTTTCTGCTAAAAAAAAAAAAAAACCTTAGCTGGGTGAATGAATAAATAAATGAATGAAGCACATAGGTCACATACAAAAGCTGTTCTTTTAACCACCTAAAAGTTTGCTTTCTACGGTAAGACTGACTGGAGTAAGAATCTATTTTCCCCACAAAACCAGGTAAAAATAAGAGTCAACTAGCCAAAAGACCACTTTACATGGTCATCAAATGTGGAGAAACTTTATGCAAAGCACTTTGTCCCCTACTCAGTGAAAAGTAAAGGACATTTTCATACATAATTATCATATACCTACCTTGGGTTTTAAGCAAGTGTATTGCTTTGGAGTGTAATATTTTTAATGTATTCACTATTTCAGAATAAGAAACCGAAGATGCAGTTATTATTTTTAAATTGTTAATGCTTTGGGACATTAACTCTTCGTTTAAAGTATGTTTCTTAGATTAACACTACAAATATTAGTTTACCCAAAGGATTTGACTCCAGGAATAAAAGTTGTGATGGACTGAGGTCAAATAAAGAGTAATAGCAGGAAGACAAAGCCTGCAATTGGGCATTTTGAGTCACTGGTCAGAGAGAAGATAGCTAATGGATGACAGACATGAAGCAACCTGACAGAGAGAAGATTACACAGAGGAGAATCAAATAATGCAAAACACTAAATTCATAAGTGTTCATAAGACCTTCCCTGGCCAACACTAGATATATATTGATTTCCTGATTATAGGGATAAGTTTCCATCGTACAGACAGAACAACTACCTTTAAGACACGTGTGCAGGAACAAATCGGTGAGCTATGGTGAAATATAACTATATTTGATTTTTTTACTAGACACACATATTCATTTTTTATAAACACTAAACATGGAACAGTAGTTTAATTTGCTTGTTTCTATGTTGACAGCTTATGAGTATGTTTTGTGGAAGAAGAGTAGAGGCAAATATGGCTAAACATAAGATATATTTCAGGTTATCTAAGAAGACTGTCTTAACGGAATGCTGTTATGGTACAGTACTCATGACTGAATTTCAATAATTTTTATTTAATATTGACAAATATTTAGTGCACTCATTGCTATGTCCTTTTCTTCTCAATACAGATTTGGTCCAATATAACTTCTTTCTTTAAATTTCCTTTCCAGTTGATTTAAAAAAGAGAAAAGAAGAAGAAAAAAGGCAACAGAAAGGAGAAGCATAAGCAATAGTATTTTGGGAAGCTATAACACGCGACTTGCCTCCCTGTTCACCTTTGTATTCTCAGCACCTAGAATAGTTCTGGTACAAAATAAGTTCACAGTAAATGGTTGTCAAATGAATAAATTAATTATTATATCTTTAAATAGTAACTATTGTTTTTACCCTCTAACATATTTCAGAGAAATGCTTAGTGCTACAAGAAAGTAAAGTTTGCTTTCTAAGGTATGATTGACTGGAGTAAGAATCAATTTTCCTCACAAAACCAGGTACAAAATAAAAGAGTCAACTAGCCAAAAGACCACTTTACCATGGTCACCCAATGTTTAGTTTAAGAGCCAGAAGCTTTTAACCTCCGGTACAAATTCTGTCCTAAGTTTTGGCCGAAACAACCTAAGACTCAGCAGTATCCCTTTGCCATAGAGATGCAAGGCTGGATTAGATTCAAGCACCATCGAAGCCAAAGACACCCCAAGCCAGTGATGTGCTGTGGGTTGTTTGGAAATGTCGATTAGATAAGGCTCATGGTATGATTCAGAGCTCCAAGGACAGTTCTTGTTCAGGTTTCAACTAATCAACATCGGATTATGCACACCTCAACATCTGAAATATGCAGACATTTGAGACAAATACCAGAATTGTGTCTTCTTGCTTTGTACAAATCATGCTTCAGTCTGGCAATAAGGTACCTATACCATAGGAGGCAGTTTCGCTGGTAAATCAAACTTCACTTTGAAGTTTAATTTTATATATTTTTAAAATTACACTTTAAGTTCTAAGGTACATGTGCACAATGTGCAGGTTTGTTACATATGTATACCTGTGCCATGTTGGTATGCTGCACCCATTAACTCGTCATTTACATTAGGTATATCTCCTAATAATATCCCTCCCCACTCCCCCCACCCCATGAAAGGCCCCGGTGTGTGATGTTCCCCTTCCTGTGTCCAAGTGTTCTCATTGTTCAACTCCCACCTATGAGTGAGAACATGTGGTGTTTGGTTTTTTGTCCTTGTGATAGTTTGCTGAGAATGATGGTTTCCAGCTTCATCCATGTCCCTACAAAGGACACGAACTCATCCTTTTTTATGGCTGCATATATTCCATGGTGTATATGTGCCACATTTGCTTAATCCAGTCTATCATTGTTGGACATTTGGGTTGGTTCCAAGTTTTTGCTATTGTGAATAGTGCCGCAATAAACATACGTGTGCATGTGTCTTTATAGCAGCATGATTTATAATCCTTTGGGTATATACCCAGTAATGGGATGGCTGGGTCAAATGGTATTTCTAGTTCTAGATCCCTGAGGAATCGCCACACTGTCTTCCACAATGGTTGAACTAGTTTACAGTCCCACCAACAGTGTAAAATGTTCCTATTTCTCCACATCCCCTCCAGCAGCTGTTGTTTCCTGACTTTTTAATGATTGCCATTCTAACTGCTGTGAGATAGTATCTCATTGTGGTTTTGATTTGCATTTCTCTGATGGCCAGTGATGATGAGCATTTTTTCATATGTCTGTTGGCTGCATAAATGTCTTCTTTTGAGAAGTGTCTGTTCATATCCTTCGTCCACTTTTTGATCGGGTTGTTTGTTTTTTCTTGTAAATTTGTTTGAGTTCCTTTAGGCTCTGGATATTAGCTTTTTTCAGATGAGTAGATTGCAAAAATTTTCTCTCATTCTGTAGGTTGCCTGTTCACTCTGATGGTAGTTTCTTTTGCTGTGCAGAAGCTCTTTAGTTTAATTAGATCCCATTTGTCATTAGTTTGGCCATCTAAAATGTTAAGTCAAACTCCATAACTACAAAATCTGTATTCACTTGGACAATAGAAAGAACTTGAAGTTGCCATAAATTTTTACAGATTGTGTTTCCGCTTGGTAATTTCCTCTGAGTATAAAGTTTTGTGGGAATGCACATTACATTATGTTTGTTTCATATTCGAGACATTGTATTAATCTGTATTCAGAACAAAATTGGACTCAACTGACTTCTGAGATCCTGTGTATGTATATTTTTTCAAATAATAATAAAAATCATTCACATTTTTAAAATATTTTTAAGTTTTAGACTAACATTTTCTCCTTTAACTAGTGGATCTTCAACAGGAGTATATTTTTCCAAGATTGTAATCATTTAACTACTTTGAAAATGCATATCATTCATACTTGAATCATATGTACAGTATCTTTTATTACAGCTCCTGCACATTTACTAACCACTGTAAATTTATTAGCTTTGATATATATATTAAGTGATAAATATTATAATTCATAATATAAATTCTAATTTTTTAAGGTTGAAAGAATTAAAGAGCAAGAGATTGCTATGTCAATAGTAAGAGTTAAAAGTTTAAAGAACAGAGTTTCAATCTATTCCTTACAGGATAAAGGCCAAATTAAAATGCAGAATATTCACAGTTTCCACTTCTGCAAACTATTCACATCTTCCATTTTCATCTACTTCCTGGTCCCAAGGAAGCATGGCATGTAAAACCTGGAAATGATTTTTCAAAAGGGAATATATAAATGTGATTTTTGCTTTATAAAATTAAAGGCTACTAAATTTTTGCAGCTATTTCAACTTTTTACATTATAACCTAAATATTGTATGCGTGTAGCTGGAAAATTGTATGCTTAGA
This sequence comes from Homo sapiens, assembly GCF_000001405.40. Classification (NCBI taxonomy): domain Eukaryota; kingdom Metazoa; phylum Chordata; class Mammalia; order Primates; family Hominidae; genus Homo; species Homo sapiens. The sequence continues at coordinate 101,810,452 of NC_000001.11, read as the reverse complement.
ATAAAAAGCAGTAGTCTCCTTCTTTAGCTCTGCTCCGCAGTTTCAACCACATTTAACAGTTTAATTTTAGGGCTATTAGTGATTATGTCTATATTTATATTAACATGCTTTTTTTCTTCAATTATTTTGGTTTACAGTTTTAGACATTGTTTATTGACTTCCTGCTCTGCAAGATGAGGATTTAGATAACTTCTCCAACTCTGCTTTCTTTCATGTTTCCTCCTAATATGATTTCATGACTATTCACAGTTCAACCCTATCAATGTTGTAATTTCAAGTCTTAGATTTGAATCTTCATTATTTTTCAACAATAGGAAAAATCTCTTACCTCCATATTTTTAAAATACGAAGACAGTTACACCCCCATCTTTCTTTCCATTTCCTCTCCCAATGTTTAATTCTCTAACAACGTGGACTTTACCTATTCTTCCATGTTGTCATGGTTGGAAACATTTTGGCTTTCCTGTAATCACAGAGCAGATGAGATCTGTAAGAAGTTTTATGTAATTAGTTTATGGGCTGATTCTACAAGTTAGACATGAGTGTTTACATTATTATAGCAATGTTTATATTGTTCCTTGGGAGCTAAGTGGTGGACTTAGACACATTTCCTTCCTCTTTAAGCCCAATGTCATATTTGTTCCATTCAATGGAGGCTATTACCAGAGTTAAATTCAAGTGAATTATTTTGTATACATCAATAAATGCCTCTGCATTACCCAGTTTCTCTAGAGGATCTCATACAGTCTATCTATGTATCAATTCCACTTATTTCTGAGACCTCCCTCTTGGAACTGTGTTTCCATTCTGGGCTGATTATTCTCAAAGCCCACTGCATAGTTGTCATTCTGGGACAGGAAGTCACTATTTTCTTGTCTGATGTCTTCCCCTGTCTTGGTGTACTCACTGCAATATATCCCCAAGTAATTTCTGAAGAAAGAGTTCATTGTAGGTAAATTTTTGGAAAGTGCACATGTTAAAAAATATCTTTATTCTGTTTTCCTCTGATTTTCTTCCTAAATATAAAGGCCCTCATCATTGTCTTCTAGCATCCAGTATTGGTGATGAGAAGCCCAATTCTGGTCTAATTCTACCTGTTTGCATGTGACAAGCTCATATTCTTTCTCTAAAAAGTTTCCATTTCAATTTACTCTTAATCTTCTAACATTTCACAGTAGTTTTTTAGAACTACTTTTAGTAGATCTTTTTTTCATTCATTATCATGTGTTCTTTTAATCTGAATATTTAGGTGTTGTTACTGGGGAGATTTCCTGTATAATTTCTTTGATAATTTTCTCCCCTCTTTTTCTCTCTCCTTTCATTCTAGAAACCTTGCTCTCTGGATGTTGGAGCTTCTAGATTGATCCTAGATGCCTCCATATTTTTTCTCTTATTTTCATTTTTATCTCTTTTGCTTTATTTTGGAGATAACTCTTTTTATCTTGCAATCTATTTTTTAATATAATTATATTTTTGTTTTCTAATAGTTCTTTTGTGTTTTCCTTTTACAATACTCAGTATATATTATACAAATCTCTTAGAAGGTACTAGGATCTTGTCTATCCTCTGAGTTATCTCTTCTGTGGGGAGCCCTGGTTTTTCTGAACATTTACATCAGTCATTCTTACAAACTTTTTGAAAATATCTGGCCATCCTCGGTTATACATATATTTTTAAAGTTTTGAACAATAAATGTGCTTGGAAACTCCTGTTATTAAGATAGGGCTTGGCAGTTCTTTCTGTGGTGAGTAGGCAGGGAAACCACCAACGTCATTGTGTAGGAGGCTTTCTTCTGGCCCTCCAATGTCTGTATTAATCACCCTAGGTATACTCAGATCACCAACACAGTTTCATATTTTTTTTCCTTTGCCTTCTGCAGTCCCGCATCTACAGATGAAGATGTAATCAATTGCTCTTAAGGCATGGTTTAAGTGGTGTGCCTGATTTCAGAGTCCCATCTCACTCCTAGCATTCTTTCTACTTATGTTTCTGACTCCTTTCTTTTTTCTCTTCAAGGCAGATCATCTCCCTCCTCGGGTCTCACTTGCTCTGCATAGACACAAATGCATCTTATTCCATCTTCATCTTTAATGACCACTTTTCATCAACCCTGCCTTCTGGAAATTGGTTAAAACTTCTTCACTAATGGCTCTTGTACCTTTGCTTTGCTTTTTTTCTTTTGTTTTTTTCCCCTCATGTTTTACTCCTTTACTATTATTTTAATGAGATCATAGAAAATGAAAGCAGATAAAATCATGTATCACTCCATCATCTTAAGTCAGAATTACTTTTCCATGCTTAGAAAAAAAATCACATGTTTTATGACGTTTTTAGGGGAAAAGAGAGGCCCTTCTATTTGTTACACTCTACTTACACTTGAAATTGTTATGCTCATATCATCAGTTGATTAAAAAATGTATATAGGACATTATTAAAAATAATACTACTTCTACTTATTCTGCATTCAGAAAATATACTCAACTAGAACCATTCAGAATATGATTAACATTTTCTAGTTCAAACCAATACTACTTTACTCATATATTGTTTATGTATTTGTACCAAGTAGAGCTTATATATTCTAAATAGGCTTAATGCAAGGTCTTGCAATTCCATAGATAATGTCATAAAGTCTTCTGAATTATTGGTCCAGTTTTACTGATTTGAGGAAATCATAAAGTAACCCACACTATGGATATAATGATGCCATCACATTTGATTTCTTTTACAAAAAGGGAAAAATATATTCGATTCAAGTTTTATGAAATGCTAGAGATTATTAAATTTGTAGTTATCACTAAACTAGTAGTGCAAAATATAATGTTACCATTCATCATCTTCCTAACTGCAAAGCTTAGTATTCTGCCAATTATAAATTATTCTTATAAGAAGCACATATAGAGAAAACTGAGCCAAAATAAGCTTCAAGTTATAGTTAGTTTGTCTTTGATTTGCTTTGGGTATGTGTTCTTTTCTTTCCAAAAAAACAAGAACCAACAGGAACTAATAGAAATTGATCAATTCTAAATAGTCAGAGGAGGAAAGAAGATATGTAGAACAAGTAGGACCCAAAAGAGTTTTAAGAAAAGAAATAGAAGAAAATAACATGATATAAATGGACAAGAAAGAAGACTTTTGTTTAGACCAAAACCCAACATTTTATAGGCAGTCATATTGCCTTTCACAATGTGTATGATTAATAAATCACTTCTAAATTTTGCTGTTCAAAAATCTCATAAAACTATATATTGGGTGCTATGCTTACTACCTGGGTGCAATATACCCATGTAAGAAACCTGCACATGTATCCCTAAAATAAAAGTTGAACTTAAAATAAATAAAAAAGAAAGATAAGCATAATAAGTGACCCAAACTAATATAATCCAGGTAAAGGGACAAAAACATTATTTTAAAATACAGTTAAAACTTTATAGTAATCTTTTTTTAAAATCTCACAAAAATGTCTAGCTTTCTGTTTGGTTTTGGCTTTGGAATTTATGAAGTCCAAGCTATTTCTAAGATCTTATTCACAGGTGGGCTGGGCTGATAAAAATATTACAACTTTTTTCATTAAAGTCTTTTTGTCACGTATTACATCTCTTCATCTTTCATCTGTATGTGACTTCAGGGTCTGAAGGTTTGAGTTTTGGGGGTTTTGTTCTTTGTGTGTTCATATCTGCCCTGTCAGACCTGTTAGCTGTATAAGGCATTTACCTTTAAAATCTCTACCTCTTTCTTATAGACTGTGATTGAATGTTTTATTCTTATAGACTGTAAAGTTATCTTTCTTGGGGGCTTCTTCTTTGCCAAACAGAATGAAAATCAATTGGTAGTGTTTTTCTGGCTGGTATAAGTTATCCATAGTCACAAAGCATGGGGACAGGGGAAGGGAAGGAGTTTCTGGCCATCAACTAAACAGGTCTATGGGCAATTTGCTTCATTTGTCTAACTTTTTACTTAAAAGTAGCAGCCACTGAACTGGTATAATGATAATGATATTCCTCATTTATTTCTTTCCGGATTGTACAAATCATTTCCCACTTTAAATTTTTATGTTTAAAATTTGGAGCATTGAAAAAGCAACTCCTCATGGTTCAATGTTTGGTTAAAGGCCCAGCACCCATTGTGAATAATCATTTATTCAGAAATGTGATATTAATTCCATGGATTGGCTTAGTTTTATGATCCCCTTCTTTGCTCTTAGTGTGAGTATGCGTATTGGAATCATTGGCTGCGTTCACCTAACACGTTTGTGTTTCTCTAATTTCAGCATGTGGCAAACTGATGAAAATCACAGGCCCAGTTACAGTCAAGACATCTGGAACCCGATTTGGTGCTTGGATGACAGACCCTTTAGCATCTGAGAAAAACAACAGAGTATGTTTCTCCCACAAACACCTTTGCTTAGAATTAAGTTCTGCTTACACTTTTTCTCTTCTGGACTATTCATTTTCTTCAGGGATATTTGTTTGTACTTGAAAACTGGTACATAATTTGCAAATATTTTCTGTTTGATAATATTAACATATCTACGAAAGAATGACAAATCTATTTTAGTAAAATGTTCCATCTTCCAATTCATCACTTTAGCAAATCTAATTTTTATTGATTTTAGTCATGTTTTATGCTTGAAAGGGGCTAATTTCCTGTATACTCTTTCTAAAATATGTTTAGTATGAAAACATAGCACTAAATAAGTGAAAAACTCAAGGGCAAACTTCCCTGCCTACTCTTTCTAAAATATGTTCTTTAGTATGAAAAAATAGGACTAAATAAGTGAAAAACTCAAGGGCAAAACCAATTTACTAAATAAGCTTAAATATCCCTGGAGTCTAGAAGTAATTTTAAAAGAAATAGCGCTGAAACTTCTGGGAGGTATTTTCATAAGTTGACAATGCCTGTGCTATATAAATCAATATACTAGAAACTTGCCATAGCTCTATTTATGTCCTATTACAGAACTCAGTAAAAATTAAGATTCTCTAGGGTTATTTCTAAATGAGGTTAGTTATTAAGTTAGTAAAATGGTTTCTTTAAAATGTAGTTGTACTTACAGGCTAGCCCAATAAACAAGTGTTTCTAGAAGATTCTATGGTACTTATTTCAATTGAATACGAAAAACTAGACTATACATTTTTTTCAGAGCAAGGGATAGAATAAATGTAATTTGCTGAAGGTTGTATTTGCTGTAGTTTTCACTGATGGCATTATTTATCAGGTGTAATTTGCATTGACATATGATTGGTTCACTCAGTGATATGCACCAAATGGTCAGGAATTTAAAAAACAAAGAGAGAAAAAGCAAAAAAGCAAATTAATGTCAAGGTAGTAAATTCAGTTATTTCTTTTCCACATGGACAGACCATAGCAATATTTTTACAAAAGCCTGAAATACATTGCGGCAGGTCAGCAGTAAGATAGTGTGGCTTCCAGAGCCTGAGAATTATAATAAGTGTTGACTCTCACTGTCTTTCTTTTGGGGTTATCAGAAAAGTACAGAATTTAGTCACTCCATTTATTTTTTTCCTTCTTCTCAGGTCTGGTACATGGACAGTTATACTAACAATAAAATTGTTCGTGAATACAAATCAATTGCAGACTTTGTCAGTGGGGCTGAATCAAGGACATACAACCTTCCTTTCAAGTGGGCAGGAACTAACCATGTTGTCTACAATGGCTCACTCTATTTTAACAAGTATCAGAGTAATATCATCATCAAATACAGCTTTGATATGGGGAGAGTGCTTGCCCAACGAAGCCTGGAGTATGCTGGTTTTCATAATGTTTACCCCTACACATGGGGTGGATTCTCTGACATCGACCTAATGGCTGATGAAATCGGGCTGTGGGCTGTGTATGCAACTAACCAGAATGCAGGCAATATTGTCATCAGCCAACTTAACCAAGATACCTTGGAGGTGATGAAGAGCTGGAGCACTGGCTACCCCAAGAGAAGTGCAGGGGAATCTTTCATGATCTGTGGGACACTGTATGTCACCAACTCCCACTTAACTGGAGCCAAGGTGTATTATTCCTATTCCACCAAAACCTCCACATATGAGTACACAGACATTCCCTTCCATAACCAATACTTTCACATATCCATGCTTGACTACAATGCAAGAGATCGAGCTCTCTATGCCTGGAACAATGGCCACCAGGTGCTGTTCAATGTCACCCTTTTCCATATCATCAAGACAGAGGATGACACATAGGCAAATGTGACATGTTTTCATTGATTTAAACAGTGTGATTTGTGATAAACTCTATAAGACCCCTTCCGTTTTTTTCTTCACTATTATTTTTCATCATTTCTCCAAAGCAAAGCATTTTTATTGTAAAGTTGGTGTTTCAAAAACATAGCTGAGCTTGTCTAACTTACCATGTTGGAAACACATCTTAACTTCTAAATTTACAAGGCCTATCATGTCCTTGTCATGAAAAGCACTAAAAAAAAAAAGAGTTTAAGTGGCTAAAGTCATAGTTTTGCAAGAGATTAATGATCTGCCTTATATTAGAGTCAGAGACTAATGGTGGCTTAAATGCACGAATGTCTTTTTTTTTAAAACTGTCATTTTTTACTGTCTTTTGCTCCATATCAGGAAATATTTTGGTAGGAATTAGGAGAACAAAAAGCACTTTTATCCCATTTATTTCTTTAAAAAATGTAAGGATTTCATTTATATTGAAAAATAATATTAATCATTTTGCTGTTAACACAATTCTCTGATGCGGTGCTGTACAGTCATTTTTAAATCTCTTGCTAACATTTTATTGGCAGTATGTATTTCTACCATTGTAACCACCATTGTGCTATTGTATCTCTTCACTTCTGTGAAAGTAATATTTTTTATAAAATACACTGAAATTTAACCTCAGTAATTGAGTCCATTTTCAAGTGTGGTCAAGAATAATCTTCTTGGCTTACCCCTTTACATAAGCATTATAAACTAAAATGAAAACCAAACCAGACACCTGACATAGAGTCTTTATTTTACCCCAAGTTTTTTGGGCCACTGACATTGAATGCAACAACTGATTTCATACAACTGAGTTACTCTGTTCACTCCACTGAATGCAACCCATATAGTTTCTTGCACAAGGTGCATCTGGATTCCAAATATTGGATTTGAGTTGACTCTACTCATTTATTATACACTAAAGAAATTTTGTTCTTCATAGTTAAATGTACTAGCATTTAATTTATATTTTACATACAACTTGCAATAATGAAATTCCTTATGTCAGGACCCTGAAAATAAGCACATTTGAAAACTCTTAGAAAAAAAAAATTCTGTAATGTCCTCTAGATTTAGATTATGAGCCCTGAGGAGTTATTGGCAAGATTTGTGCAAAATAAAATATGGGGAGACTTGGGAGTTGTCTTTGTGGTTTCAAAAGTGTAAATAACCAATTCAGAAAACAAAATGGAAAAACGACCCCTTGTTACCTTGATTCACTGTATGTGGAAAAATAATGTAACCAAAAGGGAAGAGCTTTAATAATACTTATGTTAATAACTCTATGAAACATATAAGCTAACTATATATCAAACATTTCATTGAGTTTGGATGTATTTTCCACATATTAAAAAAATAGTTCCCTAAGGCAGCTTTATGGAAACTAATATAGGTTGGTTTTACAATTTAAAAAGTATATTCTATAATAAATAATAAAACAAATTGTTTTAAATGTTTAGTTTCACACATACATAGTACCATGATTTTCTTTGAAAGATAAGGATGTAATGATTTAGATAAAGCATCATGTAAAGAAATCCTAACATTTAAGTGTAATTCATTTCAAATGTCACAAGTAAAGCATCATCCTCAAATATCTCACTGTCAAAATTGTAGAATTAAATAACCCAATCTTGAAACTGTCAAGGTTTAACAATGATTTCTTTTTTTGCCTACAAAAAGTTAACATGATTGAATGACTACTCTGGGTCCTTTTGCAATATTTTATTCTTTTTTTAACGAGTTTACATAAGCTCTGGTTTGCTACTGGGAGTTGGAAAATTTAAGAGATTCACTTGTCATTGTACACACACCACAAAAACAACCAGTCTGTGTTCCATATATTGAGTTTGTATGAGGAAAGAAAGTCACTTTAATTTTAAAAATGAATGAAATTTTAAGTAGATAGCCTCTAATAGATATCTGGATCATCATTACTTGTTTAAAATGATGTTATATGGTACCACATACATTCACAATTTGGCTGATCACAGCTTATTCATGAGGTATGAAACTTGCAAACCACTTTATTGTTTTCTATGTAAGATTTTATCATGATTTCCAATTTATAGTGTATGTGCTGCTAGAGCAAGCACAGATATTATTATTGTCACTAGAAGTGGGGAAACATGAATTTTAAAATGTGATAATCATTAAACATTTACAGTTTAAAAGCATTTTTTCTTAATAAATTATTATCAGTTTTTTGCCTGAAATAAATAAGAACTACTCTATTCACTGTTTTTTTAATCTCCAACAAAGAAAATAAATCTTACGAGGGAAATAATGAGTATTTTTAAATCACGCACATAATCAAAGCATTGGAGAAATCCAAGCTCAGAAAGTCTTAATCCTAACTGAACTACGTAACTGATATTTTCTGAATTGGCCAGAACATTAACAAGCTTTCATATCACTCAAATAATAATATGTTCATGGTCTGATTGTGTTTGTGTGTTATTTGTGGCGCTTGAATCACAATGCTTATTATTTGCACCTAAACTTACATCTACGAGTTCAGATAATGATAGTATTTCAGTATGTTTCCAATATGTAGAGATAAAAGAAAAAAGAACAGCAGATGTGTTATATAAATAGAACTATGATTAGTTAAGATTCATTACAAACTCCGAATCTCTGATTCGTGTCTCCATACTCATGGAGTCATTTCACCTTTGTAGTCAGTATTATTCTCTCTGATGAGATCTTCTCTTCAGAAAATAATGTTAATTTCTTATCGTTTCTTCTTTTAATAAGAAACAACAAGCTTTTATATCTTAAAATAATTACCAAATTTAGGTGTATGAATTTTTCAACCAGCAAAATTATTTTAAAAATGTAACTATATAAAATTATGCTTATGTTCATTTCAAAATAAAACCAATTATTTCCCTATTAAGGTAAGTTTTACATGTAATAGTTCTTTAGTGTTATTCTCCTTAAAGAATAATTTACAAAAAAATTTAAAAACTTATCTGATCACTTTAGCCACTGCAGAGTATTTAAAAGTCAAGCTTTATAGAAATATAATACTTTGGAAAACAGAATCCAAAATGTCATCTTGTTGACTTGTTAGAGTAGTTATGATTATATTCTTTGTTGTACTCTGTGTGATAAAGTTCCCATGACATGATCAAAGGTTGGATGCTCATGAAGGAAGAAGAGCTACTCTATTCACTGCAGCAAGAAGGAATCATCTATGAAGCAGGAAAAGGGCCCTCGCCAGACACAGAATGTACTGGCACCTTGAGCTGGGACTTCCCAACCTCCAGAACTGTGCGAAATACATTTCTGTTGTTTATAAGCTTAAAAAAAATGGACATCTAGAAACAAAGTGTACTTCACTTTCTCCATCATCAGATGATAAGTAGAACATGAGACAAGCTACTATGAAATAGTCTACCTAGTGTTCTAGGAAAGGAGCATGAATTATATGCGGACTCTATAGGATGAAACAAAGCCTTCATTACTTAATGTTTATAGCTTTAAACAGTTATTTATAGAAAGGCCCAGAGTCATAAATATTCACTCAGCAAGCAGTATCCATACTGAAATCAAGATTGTAGAATCATTTCTCATTCTAAAAGTTAACTAAACTCAGCATAAAACTATTAGCTAACAATTTGTCATCACTAGTGGATTCAGAGAAAGTCTGGGACTTAATAAAATCTGTTCTTTTGCATTGTTGGCCTTATACTAGAAAATAAAATAATGACAGCACTAACTTATGGAAGAAAAAACAACTTCATGAAAATTTTTTCATTATTTTTCTAAGAAACGATGAATGCAAATCTTGAAAATCTCCTGAATAAAGAATAGAAAACTATTTGCTCTAGCAGTTAGCCAATCAGAAAAAAAAATGTTTCCCCCAACTGATTTTACCAAACTGATTTATCTGACTTACATCTTAAAATTATGATATGCAGTTTTTCTCTTCTGGTTGATCTACCAGGCATAGTGGAATTTTAATCCTGTTTGGAGCCTGCCTTGTCTCCAAAATGTCAAACTGGTTGGCATAAAACTTACTCCCTTTGAAGTTCGGTTTATCAAGTGTCAAATAGGTTTTACAGATATAAATTATTATTAAACATGACTTAAAAGTGACATAAAAGAAAGGAATAAAGTTATACGTTGCTAAGAGGATATAGTAACTTTTATATTTTATATCTAGGACAATCTAAAAAAATAATATAAATATAATTATTCGTAGTTAAAGATATGAAGTGATATGGTGAACATGGAAAAGTTCTTGGGAATATTTTGGTGCCCTGAGAAGTCTGCTAGTAAACCATACACATCTATGCAGTTCAGTGTCATGTTTCATCCCTATCAATGTTATATTATGCCCGGAAGAGCTTGCAGCTGATTTTTATAAATGACTAAGAGTCATTTATATTATTAGTGCCATAATATATATTCCCTACCACAATTAAGACTTGAAAACATTGCATATAAATAGGCATTTTAAGAAAATTAATATTTTGTGACAAAAAATGTTTAAATGGAGCAAGAAATTAGCTGAATAAAAGAAACACTGACCATTTAAGTGTGTTATGGAAGCTTATCATGCTACAGTAATATATTTCCAGCCGGCTGTTTGTCCATATCATTCTTGACTTAACATGAATTCATATATATTACCAGTGGGTAGTTAGCCAACTTTACAACCACATGCTACTGCATTATGTATTCCCAGACGACATTCTAGATGCTAGGGTTATAGCCGTCAACAGACAAATAAGGTGTTCATGTGCTTACATTCTAATGGGAACAGGCTGCTGCAACAAAAAATTAATAAAAAGTAAGTTCTGGTTGTATCAATTGCTGTGAAAAAATAAAAAATATATATGATAAAGAGTGACTGCCTTTGCTAGGGGTAAGGTGGGATAAGAAATAATGCTTAGAGGAGATAGTCAAGGGAGGTCTCCCTTAGAAGAAGCCTGCCATGGTAAATTCATTCAAAGAATGAAACATCGTGACTTGTTCCATGTAAAATAATTTGTCCTCTTTATTTCTGTTCTTAGAAATCCATGGACCAAATATTCCCAACATTTCTCAGTTACAGAAGTTTTTTTGTTTTGTTTTGTTTTGTTTTTAAATTGAAATCCAAAAATACCCTTCTGGGAATGGCTGAACCCCCTGAAAATGTACGCTAAATTTATTATATAGATGTGGTTGTGTACTCTTTCTGGTAGAGGATTTCCAGTTTTCATCAGATTTCCAAAGAAATCCATATCCCAGAATACCACTACTATGTCAATTTAATCTAATTTAATCCCAAATTTATTAAATATCCTTATAACAAGCACTGAATGGCTGTCATCTTTCTTGCAATCTTCAAGAATTTCAGCTTGATTCAGAAAGAAAAGAAATCAACATCCTAGTATCAGTAATTTTTTGTGTTTTGTTTTCATAAGAACTCAAGATGAAGTTGTTCCTTGTAAAACCTCTGAGGAGATTATATAGATATATGACTGAATCCAGTTATTTTTCTGTGACAGAGCCTTACAGGCACATTCTTGTTAGATTCAGTGACCCAAGAGTCTCTATTATGAAGTCTGTCCTACATCTATCTGAGTCTGGAGAACATTGTCTTATAATGCTAATGCAGCCTTTTGGCAGCACCATTAGACTCTGACTGCAATTGAGCAGATGCAGTGTGCTCCATCAAATTTAACTGCAAATTCCTTTTCTGAAATTAGCTACTGCAGCAACATATAAACAGCAAAGAGAAAGCTTTTAACACTTGCCATGGTTTAGAAACTATGGTAGTTGACGTGCGCATAATCTATAGCTTCAGGATTTTTAAAAATGTTTATATTAAAAAAACTGCAGTCACACGCAGATAAAGTCATGTTGAGTACAGAATTGAGGCTGTTTCCATCAGTGATGTTTACTTTGACTTTTTCTTATAAAGGACTTGAGAAGACTTACCCATTAGCTTCCATTTCAATGTAAACCAAAAATAATAAAAATAAGTATTTTCATTCTCTCTCTAGTATCTTTATTAAACTTCATTAGAAACTATTCTTGGAATATGAAGTATACATAGAAAAAGAAGTTGAACAATTTCTTACATTATCAGATTTTTATGAAAAGATAAAATCTAATCATGTAAATAAATGCCTGTTCCAAGTATTTGTTCTCAGCAAGTATCTTCCAATTTTTTCTGTTCACTCAGTGATTTCAGCTGTCATTCAATCAATTTCCCGATCTCCATCTCTATGCCCAGAATTTGGTGCCCTGTTTCGAAATGATTCTTTTGTTTACTGACCTCTGTTACCTTTCCTGTATAACCAGTTTTACTTTTTCCTTTGGCCAAGGAGTACTGCCATCAGCTACTGCTTTATGAAATGTTCCCTGACGAAGTAAGCCATTATTTTCCAACTCAGATGAAAGAGTGAGGTATATACTCTCCCTCATAATTCACTTCAAGGTTAACCGCGAACTCTCTTTCATTAAATTTTGATTCATCTTTTAGAATTTACTGAAGACATCATCTTATTTCATATAGAAACATCATTATTTTGTGTTCCCTTTGTATTGATTTTGTATTATCAAATTATCACACCACATTGCAATGATTTGTTTCCTTCATGTTTAGTGTGGACTCCTCAAGAGTGGGGTCAATGGATCTTTGCCTTACATACCTGCCCCTGGCAAAGTGTCTGACAGAGTAAAACCAAAATAAGTGTTAGTAACCAAAGAAGTATAAGTGGTCAAGTAACCTCTTTACCATACATAAAAACACTAAAATATTTGTTTCATTCTGGAAACATCATGATAAATTAACTTTTCCAAATTTATTTTATTGGAAATATATTTCTATATCTTACTAAGGTAAAATTCTAAACATAAGAAGTGTCAAGAAGGTAAAACTAGGCTTAATTTGCTCTCTTGGGTGAGTGGGCCCCTTCCTGATACAGTACATTTTATTCCAGGGAAAAAAAGCTTAAAAGGGCTCCCATAGTTATTTTTGTTATTTTTCTCATTAATACCTGTTTTTAAAATAAAAAAAACATTTTAACTTTCACCCACTCAACATTTGATTCCCGACTTTCCCTTTTCTCCTTTAAGTAAAAACTTTTCATAGAAATATGATTTGTCTTTGGCAGAACAGACAGAGTTTTATCAAAGGGACATGTACTACCAAGGCCAGGGAAAGATGAAGGAGTTACCCCCTCCTTCCTTAGCCCATGTTTTCAAGGGGTACACCAACAAGAAGCCTGATGTTCATTAATCAGTCCAGTTTCTAAGTAAAGGCACCTGGTAAAGCCTTTTAAGTAACATCAGTGAAGAACAATTCTTTATATAATGTAAGCAATTCTTCCAGAAGGCAGAATATTTGTTTTAAAGTTAAATATAATGATACGTCTCTGAGCAAAGTTTTTTTTCTGTAAATGAAAATATTGGGCATAGTTTTCAAAAGCTGCTCTTTCGAGCTTGAGGTTTTCTTCTGAGTCTACCATAAAAGGATAGATGAACCTAATTGAGACAATATAATAAATCACAAACTCTTTCATCAGCTCCAATAAAGACAACCTTACTTTTATCTACTTTTAAAAATGTTTCTATGTTGGGTTTTTTTTTTTTTTTTTTTTGGTCAGAAAACATTTTGTGGTTTAAAAAAAATAGTATGAAAACCACTTAACCAGATGGTCTCCGAGCTTTCTTCCTTCTCTAACCTTCTACTAATCTGTGATTCTAAAAGATCAATAAAGACTGTGCATGAACTGGAACTCATGGTTCTGTAGCTCAGATTGAAAGGGAAAATACCAGAGGGAAAGGAGAAATAAAATAAAAGTTTACCAATTCAGTTTCCAAAAGTTTTTAAGTAGTTTCTGGAGAGTTACCTACATTATGTTAAAACAAAGACAAACATTTCATATTGCTATTATTTGACTAAACTTGCTACTTACCTAGGAATATTCTCTCCCACACCTCAGTTCAAAAGTCTATGGCTCTTTCCTCATTACACTACTTTTAAGAACTCCTCCTATCACTTTCTTCAGCTATTACTGAATTACTTCCAAATTCATCTCACATCTGCAATTTTAGCATTTCTAGCTATCTAAATGATATCTGCATGCAAATGTTCAATGAATTTCAAGGTAATATCTCCATAAATGGACTAATCTCTCCCACACCATCTTCTTAGGGGATACAAAGTCTAATCTCCTTAAACACAACCTTATACACCTCCTTATACACAACCCTTCATCATCCTCAACAAATAAGAATTTAGGTTTCACTCCTCTTCATTTTCTCCCTGCTGTCACTTCTACCTATAACACTGTCTGTCATATCTTTCTTAATTGGTTACTTCTTGCCCCTGTTTCAGAGATGATCTTAAATTTTTGTTCTTTTAGGAAGCTTTCCTAACTATTCCCTTAGGTGTGTGATTTGCTCCTTTTTGTGTGCTGTCATATATTACCTTGTACTTATCTCTATCACAGCAATTGAACTACAAATAAATATCTATTTACTTGTCCACTTCCCACCCTAGACTATGAATCTCCTGGAGTCAAGAACAACATTTATATTAACATAGTGATTTCTGCTAAGTAGGTTCTATATGTTGCTAACTTGACCAGCTAAACCATTATATTTGATAAATAATATCACTATTCTTCTGGACACATTTAACTCTTCCATCACCTTCATTCCCTATGTCCAAATTCTTACTAAAATACACAAATCTGTTATTTCTTCTTCCAAAAGACTTTCTCCTCAATCTTACTGACTCACACCAGCACTACAAGTGACACAAGGTTTCACCACCTTCTATCTGGAAAATATACTACAATATGCTGCTGACAGATATTTCTTCCACTCTCTCTCCACACAAAATGGAACCTGCATTATTCCATCAGGTTCATATTCATAAAACATTTATAACACACCTTTGCTCATCAACAAACCGCTTTCTGTTTCCCATTACATCAATTTTAAGCTGTACTGGCAGTATCCGCCGGACATTTAGAACTTAATTTTCATTATTCTCCAAATACTCATCCAGTCATTCAGTCTCCATCCTTGTCAACAAATGCACAATACAGACTTCTTTCCTCTAAGCTTATCTAGTATCCACATTCTGAATGTCATCTTTCCTCTCTTGTCGAAATTTTCACTTATGCTTCCCAGACCAATGTAACGCCTACTCAGGCCAAATAATTCTGTATATAGCATCAAAATTAAAAAGAAAGGTAAAACAAGAGTCACACAAATTCACAAGAAAGTATGTGTTTTTGGTTTCTGCAGGAGTATACAGTGATATTGGTGAAATGATTTTCAGGAAAGAGCAAGTTCACATATCTATTATACAAACAAACAAAACCTTGTCCTTGACATAATAGCACAATTAATTACTTTCCCAAATATATGTGAGCTGTTTGTCAGACCAATTTCTGTCAGAAGCTGACTAATGGTGCTATAAAATCTGCTCAAATAAACCTTGTTTTTGAACAAGGATTTCACCACAGCAACTCATATTAGGTTCATTACTCTGGAGGAATGATTCAATTTCTAGTGGTTCTAAGAAATAGAAGCAACGCCTCCTCTAATGACTCTCCAAAGGGAATTGGAGTATTTAGTATTATATAAATATGTTTGTACTACACTGAAATTCCTCCTTGAGTCTTTATCCTCTCTGGGACTTTCTTTAGGCTGATTTTGAGGCTTCTTAGGTCCAGTGAAAGCTTCTTGACACCTTAATGTTTGACTTTCACCAAAACCAGGGAGATCCCCAAAATCAGTTTAGATCATAAATGAATAATAAAGAAAAGATAAAGGCAATGTAAGAAGATAAAGTCAAGCTTTTAGTAAGAATTAAAAAAAGAAGTTTAAGTTATATACAAGTTGATTGAGTTGAAACAATTCACTCCTTCATTCAGTAAATATCTATGGTGTGTTCAAAAAATACCAAGGGTAACTACTAAATAAACTAGATGTTGGTTACTGTGGACACAGAAACTAATTAAAGGCAAACTTATGGGCTTCTTTTATGAACTTTGCAGTCCACAGTGCTTGAGGAATTTCATAAGAGCCATTGATGACCTAGGAGAACATCTCTGTTTCTCACCGCGTGCTCTGTAGGCTTATTTTCTCTATTGGTCACTTCGTTAAATGCTGCAAGACTCAGTTTCATATTTTTGAACCTGCTTATTTTCTCTAATTCTCGTACACTGCCAAACAGCAAGTAAATTCCATTATGACAGAGACTATCGCTGTGTTATTCATGTTTTTTAGTTGCAGTGCCTAGCTTAGTGCCTGGAATATAGAGGTTTCCCAATGAATGTTGAAAAAATGAATGAACAAATGAAAGAATGAAGCAATCAATTGTTTTTTAAAAAAAAAAACCATTATCTCAAAGTCAGAATTCCAACATGTATATCTCAACATCTGATATTGTTTAGTTGTTTATTTCTCTATTCATTTTTTAATTGCTTTGAATTTTTTGTGTTCATATACCTAATAGGATCAAATACATGTTTGCCTAAACACAGTTATTAGGTAGCAGGTTAAAAGAAACCTCAAATCTGGAGTCTGCAATAACACCAACCAAATGCCTCAGTTATTTTTACCTATAATGTGGTAACAGTGGAAAAATATGATTAAGACTTTGTACAACTATTGTTTCTACTACTCCACCACTACTCGTACTAATAATAATACTAAACTAACAGTAGGGAATATTTGCACTTCTGTGGTCAGCTTAATTTTTTTTAAATCATATTGAAACAGAGATGAGTATTTCGGAATGTAGGGTTACATTTTTTAACCTCTTAATCGTATCTGTGGAACCATAACCAAAGAATGAACCACTGAGAGACAAATTTTCTTCCCCTCTAATAATAACTGAGATAAATCTTCTGTTATTTTTGTTCCTCATCAGAATTTTAGTGTTCCACTTTTATAGCTAGGCCGTTTAGCCCTTCTGTTCTTATAGCTTGCAGGCAATTGGAAACTTCTTATTTTTCCCTAAGGGAGGTAGAGATCCACAGTATAAAGTCAGCATTTTCTTAAAAATCATCGACATCTGTTGCAGTCATAAGTATCTTGCCTTTCGAGGCTCCCCAGAACATCCTGCAGACAGAACTTTGCCCACACTTACTGCTTCAGCCAGAAAAATAAAATAAATGCTTCGCAAGACTGATGTAATGGTCTAAGGAAACAGAATACAGTTGAGTAAAGAAAGCATAAAGACTGCAGTGCTGCATATGACATAGGAATGGAATCCGATTAAATTAGATGTATTGGGCCATTTGCCCATGTTCCCATTTCTATTTTCCCCAAATGCCACAGAAGTGTCATAGTATAAAAAGATAATAAGAAAAGTTAAGTCCACCAGGTGGTCTCCTACATCTAACAACTGTGTTTTCACTTTATTGACTTCCAAAATTCTTAAATCAAACCACATAGTCTTCAGATCATGTTGATGTTGTACATTTTATTTTCTATAACTTAGACCCTCAGAACCACAGGAGTTGTAAAGTCTCATTTTACCAGCAACTTTCAGATAGTCAAGGGGCCAGACTGCAGACTTTAATCCTCAGAAGAATCATGCTGAGTTTTAGTCCCCAGCAGAGAAAGCTGCTTCTACCTTTCTTGTTATTAACAGTCAGGCTGTGTTAAGATGATTTCATTTTTATTGAATGCCATCTATTAACTGGCTAGTACTAAGTCCTTCATTTGTCAAAGCCTAAAGTGCTTATCTGCATGAGATACAAGTTTTCTAAGCATGAGAAATGACCATGAAATAGTAATGCATGATTCGTTATAAGGTATGTTGATCAAAACTATTTTTAAAAACAAAGACATCCAATAAGGCTGATATTTTGGGTAGCTACTAAAAAAGGAAAATGAAGGGAAAAAAAAGGTAATCTGGATTGTGGTTTATATTCATCACTACTCCTAATGGCAAAGGTCAAAGGAAGACCTTACTTGTTAAGAATCGAATTTTCCTTCTCCTTTTCCCTGTGTCTCATGGTAAAGAGTAAAAGGGAAGCAAGAGAACTCTGACGGTTCTTGACAAGAACTTCCTGTTTCCCCATCCCACTACCCAAGGTTCACAGACGGAGATCATCTAGTCTAATACCCTTGGTCCAAGAAACCTAAAACTAGAGTTCAGTCTACTTTCCTATGACATGTACATCCACTTTCAGATTTTTGACTCCCAACCAGTGTGTCCTCTGGAACTTAAAATTTGTCATAAACAATATCCCCCACCTTTCTAACCTCTGCTCCAAAAGCTCCCTTCATCTTGATCTAATGGAAACCTGCCTACAGTAACAGTTCTTAAGCTTACCTCAATTTTCTGGAGAAATGTCTGTTGGCTTTTTGCTTGTTTTTTAAAAACAGACTTTTTTAGAGCAGTTTCAGGTTCCAAGCAAAACTGCACAGAAGGTACAGAGACTTCCCACATGCCTCCTGTCCCTATGCAGGCAAAATTTCCCACATTGTCAATAGCCTGCATCAGAGTGCTTCATATGTTACAGTTGAGGAAACTACACTGACACATCATTATCACCTAGAGTTCATAGTTTACTTCAGGGTTCACTCTTGGTGTTGTACATTCTATGGGATTGGACAAATGTATAACAGCATGTATCCACCATTGTAGCATTATACAGAGTAATTTTACCGCCTTATAAATCTCCGGTTCTCCACCTATTCACCCCTCCCTCCCTCCTAACTCCTAGCAACCACTGATCTTTTTACTGTCTCCACAATGTAGTCTTCTTCAGAATGTTGTAATGTGTAATTGGAATAATATAATATGTTGCCTTTTTACATTGGCTTCTTTCACTTATTAATATGCATTTACATTTTCTACATGTCTTTTCATAGCTTGATAATTCATTCCTTCTTAGCACTGACTACTATACCATTTTCTGGATGCACCACAGTTTATTTATCCATTCATCTACTGAATTGCACTGTGGTTGCTTCCAAGTTTTAACAATTACAAATGAAGCTGATACAAACATCTGTGTATAGGGTTTTGGGTGTACAAAACTTTTCCATTTCTTTGGGTCAATCCAAGGAGGAAAATTGCTAGGTCCTTTGGTAAGAGTGTGTTTAGTATTATAAGGAACTGCCAAACTGTATTCTAAAGTGACTATACCATTTTGTATTCTTATCAGTAATAAACAAATATTCCTGTTGCTTCACATCTTCACCAGCATTTGATGTTGTTAGTGTTCTGGATTTTATCCATTCTAATAGTATAGTAATACTTCATTGCTGCTCTAATTTACATTTATCTGATGACATATGATGTGGAGCATTGTTTCATATGATTGTTTGCCATCTGTATATCTTCTTTAGTGAGGTGTTTGTGAAGGTCTTTGGCGCATTTTTAATTGGATTGTTTGTGGTCTTATTGTTGAGTGTTAAGAATTATTTGTATATTTTGGATGATAATCCTTTATCTGATATGTCTTTTACAAATATTTTCTCTCAGCCTGTGGATTGTCTTTTCATTCTTTTGACAGTGTGTTTCACAAAGCAGTGATTTTTAATTTTAATAAATTTTTATCAATTTTTTTCATAAATTGTGCCTTTGGTGTTGAAACTGAAAAATCATTGCCAAACCAAAGGTCATCTAGATTTTCTCCTATGTTATCTTCTAGGAATTTTACAGTTTTATGTTTTACATTTAGATCTCTGATCCATTTTGAGTTAGTTTTTGTGAAGGATGCCCAACTATTCCAGCATCATTCATTGAAAAGATTATATTTTCACTATTGCATTACCTTGCTTCCTTGTCAAAGATCAGCTGACTCTCTTTGTGTGTTTCACTGGCCTTTTTATACTGTTCTCTAGAATCTACCCCTCATGGATTCTGATTGACTTGGTCTTGGATGGGGCCCAGCAGCAGTATTGCTTTTAGCGTTTCTGAGGAGACGTTAATGTTTCTAGTAAGCTATCAATGCTGAGAACCTCTACTGAGTCTAATGGAAAACTAGCTCTCCCCAAGGGACATAACTTTCTCTTTCAAAGAAGGCTATTTCCTCTCTGACTGGCCCTCATACACCTGGGTCTAGAGGTGAGTTTGGGTTCTCTATGCTCTTCATTGCCACTCACTGTCCACTCATTCCAACAGCACCATTGCTCAATTTTGAGTCTCTTGTTGTCAGGCTTCAGCATTCATTAAATTTCTTTGTAGAATCATCTGCAGACCTTCAGATCTCACTCGCTTTTTTCCAATATTTTGCATCCTGGCTCATCATTGCTGTCTCCAACACTACTACTGCAGATGATCTTCCAACACTGGCACTTCTCAATTCCTTAACCTACCGACTGGTGGCCTAATCCTAAACTACCTGATCATGTGGTCGTACCCCCAGATAAGAGTATGTATACACAGATTGCTTTTCTTGTGGAAGCTTTTTCTTTTTAGAGAATTAGCATCCTCCTTACTTAGATAACACTGTTTTTTTGTTTTGTTTTTTTGTTTTGTTTTGTTTTTACCAAAAAGCAAAAGTAATCAATTCATCACACAAAGAAGCTGGGGAATTGCATCAACCCTATAGATGGTGGTGTAGAAGAAACCACATTTCACGAAAAGACTATAAGCCAAATTCCATTGCTATTACCTTAAGGTATTAGAATTTTTATATATTGCATGATTCTCAACATAAACTCTTTTGCCGCAGTTATATTTTTGTTGTTACTAAATAAAGAATTAGATTATGATACAATTAATTATAAAGAGATTTGACCTATTATATGCCACAAGGAAGGGTTTCTATTAGGCAATTAGTCAGTTTTCTAATTGAAATAAATGTGTTTCAATCATCCTGTTCCATAAGGAAAGGAAAAAATGACTTTAATAATTGCACTTTGCATTTCTATAGCCACTTTCATCTAAGAAGCTCAAAGAACTAATTTAATTAAACCTCCAAATACTCCCATGAAGTAAGTGTTATTATTTCCATTTGACAAAGGTTTAAATGAAGTCACAGAAAGATTAACTAACTTGCCTGTGGTTACACTGTGAATTAGTAGGGAGGTCAGAATAAATGCTCCAATCTCAGAAAGATTGTTCTCTATAGTATAGATTGACAATCTCTCAGTACCATTGGCTTAACTTCTGCTTGCGGTTGGAGCAGTGCAGGATTTTAATTCTTCATTAGTTGGGGAAAACTGAAGCATAGAATTTACAAAAATGTTTTAGATTTTCATTTTTGTATCTTACTTTCTGGAATGGTATTCGTTTGCAGCAAATTCTGGTAATATTTTCTTCCCTTTTCAGTCAAACATTTTCTATCAACATATTCTCTCTTTTTTGTATAATTAGGTAGCCTAATCCCAAAAAGCAAAGCTGTTTGCTTTTAATTAAGGAGTGAATTGTGCTTCAAAGTTTCATAGGAAATTTTCAAAATCTCTACCTAATCTTTTCTTAATGAAATGGATCTCATGGCTGCTCTGTTTGTATTAGTCACAGTACATGCTGTACATGAATTTAAGGAATATATTGAGCAAATAAAGTTAAAATATAGCAGGAAGTATTCATTATCCAGGGGATGAATATGCAGACATTGTCAAGGGCAAAAGTTTATCATTATATTAAATCACTATATAGAATTATCTTAATTTTGTCATAAGTCAATTTCTTACCATTGCTTTCTTACCTTTCAACCAAGGAGCCTAGCATCCCTCTCAAAGCATAATATTTTTAGAAAAGTCCATCTAGTCTCAGCTAATCACATAATATTCTAGAGATGTTGAGACCAGTGAGATCAAATGAATAAAATAAAGATATACTATTTCTTCACGTTAAGTAATGTATTAGTCAGCTTGGGCTGCAACAGAATACCACAGATTTTGTGGCTTAAAGAATGGAAATTTATTTTCTCACAGTTCGAGAGGCTAGAAGTCCAAGGTCAAGGTGCCAGCAAGGTTGCTTTCTGGAGAGGCCTCTCTTCCTATCGTGCAAATGGCTGCTGACTTGCTGCGTTCTCACACGACCTTCCCTCTACGTTTGCAGAGAGAGAGGGATGTTTGTTGTCTCTTCCTTATCTTAAGAGGACACCAATCCCATTGGGTTAGAATCTCACTTTATTTAACCTTAATTAACTCCCTACAATCTCTATCTTCAAATACAGTCACAATAGGGAGGGAGTAAGACTTCAACATTTACATTTTGGGAAGTAACAATTTGGTCTATAATAACTAATTTTTGTCTCAGTCAATTAAGCAGAAGAAAACGGCCCATTGCTATGTTTAGGGACTCTCACACGCAAGGATGACCCTGATCAGAAAAGACATAATTTAACACTCTAAAAGTGGCATGTATTCAAAAATTTTTAGAAGTCTTTATTACTTTAAAAGAAGGCAAATTCCATGGTCCTCTGCTAATTGCTAATTCAAGTTCCACTTTTCAATCTGCTCTGCCACTCACCCCCGTTCATCAACACAACTGCCACTCCAGGCCTGGGAAACTCTTCATTTGAAGCCTATTTCTCTTTCAGTATGTTCAAAACATAGCTCCATTTCAACTTTCAAAAGCAAGTAATGTCATGTGGCAAAAATTTTATTCATATTATTAATCATATTATAAATCAAAATATCTGAAATTTAGTCCTAGCTCTGACATTCAGTGACACTATATAATCTCAAGAACACCATTTAAACTTATTTTCCTTCCAGCTTTCAACTTTTATTATTACTTCCAGAAGAATATCTAGGATTAAAAGACGATAAGCACTTACATATATGTATTGGAGAAATAGTGACAAATTAAACTAGTAACTCATCAGCAAATGGTTATGGCCTTCAAATATAGTGAACCATTAAGAACCATTTAGAAGCATAAATGGACAGATGAAAGGGACATGATAATCAATTTATGAGAACCGTGATTTAGGCCTGAATAATATGCAAAACAAGCCTTTAAAAGTTACTGGCGCTTTTCCTTGCTACCTGCAGAGGGGTCCATACGGCGTTGTTCTGGATTCCCGTCGTAACTTAAAGGGAAACTTTCACAATGTCCGGAGCCCTTGATGTCCTGCAAATGAAGGAGGATGTCCTTAAGTTCCTTGCAGCAGGAACCCACTTAGGTGGCACCAATCTTGACTTCCAGATGGAACAGTACATCTATAAAAGGAAAAGTGATGGCATCTATATCATAAATCTGAAGAGGACCTGGGAGAAGCTTCTGCTGGCAGGTCGTGCTATTGTTGCCATTGAAAACCCTGCTGATGTCAGTGTTATATCCTCCAGGAATACTGGCCAGAGGGCTGTGCTGAAATTTGCTGCTGCCACTGGAGCCACTCCAATTGCTGGCCGCTTCACTCCTGGAACCTTCACTAACCGGATCCAGGCAGCCTTCCGGGAGCCACGGCTTGTTGTGGTTACTGACCCCAGGGCTGACCACCAGCCTCTCACAGAGGCATCTTATGTTAACCTACCTACCATTGCGCTGTGTAACACAGATTCTCCTCTGTGCTATGTGGACATTGCCATCCCATGCAACAACAAGGGAACTCACTCAGTGGGTTTGATGTGGTGGATGCTGGCTCGGGAAGTTCTGCGCATGTGTGGCACCATTTCCCGTGAACACCCATGGGAGGTCATGCCTGATCTGTACTTCGACAGAGATCCTGAAGAGATTGAAAAAGAAGAGCAGGCTGCTGCTGAGAAGGCAGTGACCAAGGAGGAATTTCAGGGTGAATGGACTGCTCCAGCTCCTGAGTTCACTGCTACTCAGCCTGAGGTTGCAGACTGGTCTGAAGGTGTACAGGTGCCCTCTGTGCCTATTCAGCAATTCCCTACTGAAGACTGGAGCGCTCAGCCTGCCACGGAAGACTGGTCTGCAGCTCCCACTGCTCAGGCCACTGAATGGGTAGGAGCAACCACTGACTGGTCTTAAGCTGTTCTTGCATAGGCTCTTAAGCAGCATGGAAAAATGGTTGATGGAAAATAAACATCAGTTTCTAAAAAAAAAAAAAGTTACTGGCAATTTTTTTTCTGTATTTCAAAAAAAAAAAAAAAAAGAACACGGGATACATGTGCAGAAATACATGTGCAGAAAGTGCAGGTTTGTTCCATAGGTATACATGTGCCATGGTGGTTTGCTGCAACTATTGACCCGTCCTCTAAGTTCCCCCACCTCACCCTCCACCTCCCAACAGGCCTTGATGTATATTGTTCCCCTCCCTTTGTCCATGTGTTCTCAATGTTCAACTCCCACTTATAAATGAGAATATGTGGTGTTTGGTTTTCTGTTCTGGTGTTAGTTTGCTGAGGATGATGTCTTTCAGCTTCATCCATGTCGCTGCAAAGGGAATGATCTCATTCCTTTTTATGGCTGCATAGTATTACATGGTGTATATGTACCACATTTTCTTTATCCAGTCTATCATTGATGGACATTTGGGTTAGTTCCAAGTCTTTGCTATTGTAAATAGTGCTGCAATAAGCATATGTGTGCATGTGTCTTTATAGTAGAATGATTTATAATCCTTTGGGTACATACCCAATAATGGGATTGCTGGGTCAAATGGTATTTCCGCTTCTAGATCCTTGAGGAATCACCATACTGTCTTCCACAATGCTTTTAACTTCTGCTGCTTAACTCCACCAAAACTATTAACATTTATTGTTTTGAATAGCCTAAATAATTTTAAAGAATTTAGGTCATTCATGAGATGTTTCTTTCTAAAAATAGTTTTCTAAATGCACTGCATTTTCTACTCTCTTTTATATGATCTCATACTATTTTGTATATACCCCTATTGCAGCAGCTTTCAATTGTATTATATTTTAGTTATTTTTAAGTTGTCTTCCTCATATATTGTAAACTTCTTAAAAACTAAGATCAATTATTCATTTAAATGTTTCTCCAACAGTTAGTATAATGCCTAGGACATGATGTGACTCAAAGTGCTTAAACATGTAAAGATTCCTTCAAAATTACAAATAATAATTTTATTTCCCTAAATGTCTAAAGTGTCCCATCATTTTTACGGAACTACATACAGAAATACGGAGTGGGTAATAAAGTATTCAAATGACCCCTACTTTTTAAATAATATTTTGTTCTTTAGAACTCCATATAATTCAGTTTAGTCATTCTTTAAATTAGAGGACATCATTAGACATTTGAAAAGGATTTGGATTTATAAACTAGAATATGAATAGAAAACATGACACTATTAGACAGATAGTACTTACTTGTTGATGGTCTGGAATTTGAAGAAGTTGGAAAATGGATTATCAATGATTTGTGGAAGTGTTAGTTCCAGAATTCGTCTGCTGTATCAGTATTTTTCATTTTTCTAACTGTCAAAAGAATACCAGAAAGCAAGAGGAAAGAATAGCTATAGATGGGGCATCCTAAAAGTAATGAAAGCAAATATTCTGTCACTCCCCACCCCCCAAAAATCCCATAATTCCATTTACTTTCAATAATATAATATCCAGGGTGACACTAGAATGTACCACTGACAGTCTTCATATGTTATAATAATCTGATTATGTTTCTCATAAAGTAGTCAGATCAGTGGAGTGGTCCTAGATTATAACTGAAAATAATTCTTTTAAGAATGTGTACATATTAAAAAAAATATGTATATGCTTTTAAAAAGGACTTCTCCCAGATAAATTCTTTGGTGGTAAGTGGTCTTCAGTCACATTCTACGCCTGAGAAAATGGGCTCCATGAGGGTCCCAGTGATATCTAAACCCATGGTTCACGAGCGTGGCTTCCAGTCTAACAGCATCAGCATCACATGAGGACTTGTTATAAAGGCCAGTTTTTGTGCTCTCACACCAGAGGTACTGAGTAAGAAACTCTAGGGTAAGGCCTGATAATCTGTGTTCTTCAAGATGATTCCATTTTGTCTAAACACACAGAGTTAGTTAATGCCAAAGTCTTGATTTCAATGCTTTGAGTCCAATCTGCTTCACATCCATTTATTTTGGCCTGCATGGAATAAATGTTTCATTGATCACATTAATAATAGCTTTAGAAACAAGTGATAAACCATCAAACTCTTTCTTTAGAAAGAAATGATAAACCATCAAACTCTTTTCCATCAATATCTACTTTCTTAACTAAAATCTGTCTTGGGTGTCCTTATGTTCACTGCAATGCATACAAAGAGATCTGATTTATGATGGAAAGTTCTCATCTCTCTTTTTTTCACTAAATTCTTCATATAAATCATTCTCATGTCTTGATTTTCATGTTGTCCTCTAAATTCTTTCCAGCTCCCTCATTCCATTTTCTGTTGCTTCCATTTTATCTCTTTCTCTCTGGCCTCTTCATATTAATAGTGATCATTGCTTACACCTGTGCTAGCCCAGCTTATCTTATTGAATGAATTTTAATGCCAATTTGTTTACACAGAATTTGAAACTGCAAAGGAGATTTATAGTTCAGGGAGCATCATCTGGAAAAGGCCCTAATTTATTTTCACAGTTAGGTAAAATTTAGATCTCTTGTGTCTCTAAAACCGCCTGGAAGCAACAGCAATTATATTTCACAGGCCAGTCTGCATGAATGATTTAAAGCACACTCTAGACATCAGGTGCTCTTTTTCCTACTTTTCCCCTCAAGAAAGATTTGAATATATTATTCTTTAAAAAAAGGAAAAGGAAATTAAATTAGACCCTCACAAATATAAACAAAATCATTATGTCCTTCTATATCAATAAGCTGTGTCCATGGCTAGGAAAATTTGACCAAGCTATTCTTTCCATTTCTTTAGATAAGATAGACACTTTGTTGCTCTATAATATAAAGTAAACAGCACGTTCCTTTTGGGAGTTTTACTCAACCCCAGAAACTATCACTGTGGCCATTTGTTGTTATTTCAAAGATGGCCAGGAGAACAGAAACATAACTGAAGAGTTGCTGAGTCCTCACTACTCTAACCAGCCCAACTGAATCAGCCAACTGCCCTTGCATGCTATTTCACCCTGTAATTCCACCTGCTTCAGTCTTGGATTTTATGCCATGTACAGTAATGTAAGTCAGAAGAAGGGCTTAGGATTCAAGAAAACCTGCCAAGTTCAAGTGCTGACTCTGTCAGTCACTAGCCAGAGAACACTGCATAAGTCACTTAAATGCTTTGAAATTTTGTTTTCTCAGCTATATACTTGAAACCTAATACTATCATTCCCCACACAAAAAAGTTTGAAGATCAAGTGAGAATTCATGGATCTCAGGTAGAGGTAATTTTGACCCTCATAAAGTTTAACAATGTCTGGAGACATTTTTGGTTACCATAACTGGGGGTGGGGGGAGTGAGGAATGTGGATCCAGTTAGTAGAGACAAGGAATACTGCTACACATTCTACATGCAGAGAACAGTCTTCTAAAACACAGAACCATCTAGCCTAAAATAGCCAATAGTGCTGAGCCTGAGAAACCCTGGATGAGAAGGTGTATGTGAAATTGCTTCATAAAGTGAAAGGACAGTTATTTGAAAAAATATTCACTGTGTGTCAAGCGCTGTCTTTGGAGCCAGGTGTTGTATTCATTTTAAACCTAAATACTCAGGGATGAGACACAAAATCTCTACAAGCTTCAAGTCCTTTTGTGGAAAAGAACTCCCAATCTATTTATTTGACCCTCTAATGCTTTGCCCAGTATCTTCACTGTAGCACCAAGGGCTGTGGATGCTTTGCTTGCTTACTTAACTAATTCAATCGAAATAAATGGCAAAGTTCCCTTAAAAACTACCAGTTTTTATTCTCTGTCATAATTATCCCTATGTCAGATATTGACATAAGTCATCTAAGAGCTAATCATCTGGTTTTCCTTCATCAACAGCACTTATGATAGTGATATGAACAAAGTACATATAGTCAGTAAATATTCCAGACTCAGTTGTGCGATATCATTAGTTTTTCTGGATCAGCAAAAAATAAGAGGATTCAATAAAGTATCAAAATTTAACCATGATGATAATAATAATAACTTATGTTGATGAAGTACTTAAAATATGCTAGGCACTTTTACTTACAATAGTTTACTTAATCCTCACAAAAAACAATTGAGGTAGCTACCCCAACTTCACATAGAAGGAAATTGAGGCACAAAGAGTGTAGGTAAATTTCCCAAAGTCATACGCTAATTAGTAACAGAATTGGGATTTGAACCTCAAGATAGTCTAGCTCCAGAGCCCATGTGCTTTATCTATCACACTATCATTGAAGCCTAGAAGCAGCAAAACCCATTTTATCTAGCAAAGCCACAGCTATGGAAGGCATACAGCATTGGTAAAATTAATAATCAGGTCAGTTCAGGACAATATTGAAATGAAATAGTGCAAACCTGACTGAGAGTTGCCAACCTGAAAAGGTGCTGACATATTTGGGCCAAGTCATAATGCCCCCAGTGAAATTGTAGCACTTCAAAACACTGTGGCCTTTTGGTTTTGGTCAAACTGTTTAAATCGCCAAGTACCTGACCTTGTTGCCAAACATATGCTCACTGCAGGTGACATTTCAGTAGCTTTCTGAAGGAGAAATTGCTGCTTTCACTTTGCTCCTATAAATTGTGCAAAATGGCCTATTACCTCTGGTCCCTGCAACAGGAAACTTCAAAGGCAGACTGAAAGGAGAAGAAGAACCACTCATCTGAATGGCAAGCTGCCAATGAACAGACCATTTAAATCGACACACACCCGTGCAGGATTAGGGAAGGACAGGGTTTTGTAGCCTCAAGAGCAGTCAGCAGTTGCTTTATCTGAATTCTGGTTTTTCTTCTTTCTCCTGCCAAATGTGATTAGATGTGATGCAAATCCTTGACTATGAAGCAGGTTCTTTTTATAGAAAAACAACCATACTTCTCTCCTTTGGCTGCTAATTCACAGAAGCTCAGCTTAATGTCCAGAACTTTAGAAATAACAAAGCCAAAGAGAACAGTCTCCTGGTAAAGAAGTCCTGGACTTCACTAAATCAGATTTTTTGCCTGTTAAAATGATTTAAAGTCAGTTGTTTCATTCTGGCCATAAAATTCATTTAAAAATCAAGTCTGTCTTTTAAAAAAGAAAATCTGCTGAGAGTACAGAAAAGAACACAGATTTATTCATGCACAAGAGTCCCATTTTAACAGTGTTTATGATATGGCTCGTTGACCAATCCTTCAAAACAGAACTATGAACAAAAAGTGCTTGCTACACATCACATAATTAGCCCATAAAACGGATGTTCATTTCTTCACATAATGTGAGCATTTTTGAAAAATATCACTTTATTTAATTTAACTCTAACATTTTCAATGAGTGTGCATTTTATAATATTTGAGTTAAATCGTACCCAAAATGTTAGCAAATTTGAAACCATATATTGTAATGACTGTTACAAATATTTTAAGCTTTCAAAGATTCCTCATACATGTAGAGATACAGCTTAATTTACCAAAGTCATTCAGAGATTAAACTAAAATTTCTCCAGCCCTCAAGTCATAATCACAGGTAAGAAATTAATAAATTGTGCGCTATATTGACATTAAACTTTTGAACTTTTTATATAAACTAGCTTGTACTGTTCTTCTCATAACTAGCATATGGGACAGTATGCAAGAATCATTTGTTCCAGTTAAAAACTGAAGGGTCACTCATGCAAGGAACCAAAGTAACTGCCTAATAATCTATAATACTAACTGGTGGAAGTGAAACTCAAACTGCTGTCTTTTGAGCCTCAGTTTAGTCACTGTCCTATTGGACCAGCCATTCCTTGTTGTCTTTTGATAAGGTTTTCACTTGTCTGTTAAGAAATAAGAACGTTAAATGCAATGACTTTATAAAATTAAATTATTTCTTTTTCAAAGGATTGCCTTTTATTCTTTCTTTTTCATGAAGATGTTCTTTTTTAAAATTAAATGATGATGTCAGACAAGAGAAAGTTATAAAGAGCATCCAAATTGGAAACAAAAAAGTCAAATTATCCTTATTTGCAGATGATATGATCTTATATTTGGTAAAACCTAAAGACTCTACAGGAAAACTATTAGAACTGATAAAGAAATTTAGTAAATTTTCAGGATACAAAATCAACATACAAAAATCAGTAGCATTTCTATATGCCAACAGTGAACAATGTGAAAAAGAAATTAAAAAGCAATCCCATTTATAGTAGCCACACATAAAATTAGATAATACCTAGAAATTAACCAAAGAAACGAAAGACTTCTGTAATGAAAACTATAAAACCCTGATGAAAGACATTGAAGAGAACACCAAAAAATGGGAAAGTATTTCATGTTCATGGATTAAAAGAATCAATATTGTTAAAATGTCCATATTACCCAAAGCAATCTACAGATTCAATGAACTACTTACCAAAATACCAATGACATTCTTCACAGAAATAAAAAAAAAATCCTAAAATTTATATGTAATCACAAAAGACCCTTATCCAAAGCTATCCTAAGCAAAAAGAACAAAACTGGAGGTATCACATTCCCTAACTTCAAATTATGCTACAGAGCTATAAAAACCAAAACAGCATGGTACTGGCATAAAAACAGACACATGGACCAATAAAACAGAATAGAGATCCCATAAACAAATCCACAAACCTACAGTGAACTCATTTTTGACAAAGGTTCCAAGAACATACACTGAAGAAATGACAGTATATTCAATAAATGGTGTTGGGAAAACTGGATATCCATATGCAGAAGAATAATACTAGAGCCCTATCTCTCACCATATACAAAAATCAAATCAAAATGGATTAAAGACTTAAATCTAAGACCTCAAGATATGAAACAACTCCAAGAAAACATTGAGGAAAATCTCCAGGACATTTGTCTGGGCAAAGATTTCTTGAGTAATGCTCCACAAGCACAGGCGACCAAACCAAAAATAGACAAATGAGATTATACCAACTTAAAAAGCTTCTGTGAAGCAAAGAATACAATCAACAAAATGAAGAGACAATCCACGGAATAAGAGAAAATATTTGCAAACTACCCATCTGACAAGGGATTGTTAACCAGAATATATAAGGAGCTCAAACAAGTTTACAGGAAAAATCTTATTAGACTCTGATCAAATAATGGGCAAATGGTTTAAATAGACATTTCTCAAAAGAAGACATATAAATGGCAAACAGGCATATGAAAAAGTGCTCAATATCATTAATCACCAGAGAAATGCAAATCAAAACTGCAATGAAATATCATCTCACCCCAGTTAAAATGGCTTATATCCAAAAGACAGCAATAACAAATGCTGGAGAGAATGTGGAGAAAAGGGAACCCTTGTGTGCTGTTGGTGGGAACATAAATTAGTACAACCACTATGGGGAACTCTTTGGAGGTTCCTCAAAAACCTGAAAATAGAGCTACTATATGATTCAGTAATCCCACTGCTGGGTATACACTCTAAAGAAAGGAAATCCGTATATCAAAGAAATATCTGCACTCCTATATTTTTTGTACACTATTTACAAGAGCTAAGATTTGGAAGCAACCTAAGTGTCCATCAACAGATGAATGGATAAAGAAAATGTGTTACATATACACAATGGAATATTATTCATCCATTAAAAAAATGAGATCCAGTTATTTGCAACAATATGGAACTGGAGATCATTATGCTGAGTGAAATAAGCCAGGAATAGAAAGACAAACATCACATGTTCTCACTTATTTGTGGGATCTAAAATTCAAAACAATTGAACTCATGGACACAGAGAGTAGAAAGACCATAACCAGAGGCCAGGAAGGGTAGTAGGGGCCTGGGAGACAGCTGGAGATGGTTAATGGGTACAAAAAAAAATGGTTAGAAATAATGGATAAGACCTACTATTTGATAACACAACAGGGTGACTATAGTCAACAATAACTTGATTTAAAAAGAACTTAAAGTGTGTAATTGGATTGTTTGTAACTCAAAGGATAAATGCTTGAGTGAAGGGATACCCCAATCCCCATGATGCACTTATTTCACATTGCATGTTTGTATTGAAACATCTTATGTACCTCATAAATATATACAGCTAGTTTGTACCCACGAAAATTTTAACAATTTTTAAAAATAAAAATAAACAAATGCTTATGATAAACGATGGCCGTTATTTGCATTTCTAAATGGTCTTTCTTGGTATATTAGTCTCAGTTGCACATGTTTAAAACCTAACCCAAACTGGCTTAAACTAAAAGAGAATTTATTGACTCATGTAATGAAAAAAATTCATTGTCATAGTTGCAAATATGTCTACATCTATGATTCAATTGACGTTTTCAGGACTTGGTCTCTCTCCATTTATTGGCTCTACTTTGCTTTTTAAAGGGCTTTATCCTCAAATTTGACATAATGATCTCATAGGAGTCAGGTTTACATCATCCTTATTTCTAATCCTAGTAGTGGAAAGAAAACTTTTCCTAATAGTTCAACAAAACTCTTACTGGATATGGGTAGATAATATAACCAACCCTGAACAAACCATTGTAGCCAGAGGGTTTAATGGTCTAAATGTCCATACCTAAGCCCAGAGATAGAATCAGATCCTTACGAACAACATGGAGTAAAAAGGAGGAAGAGCTGGATCCTCTAAAAAAATCAGAGTGCTGTTACCAGATAAAAAGTGAATAATTTTGAGTTAAGCAAAAACATCAGCTGTGCCCAAGTCTTGCTAATACAGTATATTGACCATGCAGTATAATTGTGCCGACTTTTTAAAAAAAGTTATAAATTCTTCAGATCCGAAAGGCTAGAAACCACTGCGGTAGACTACAGGGTCTAACAATGAGTAAACTTTCAGGGCACCTATTCATTAGTCACACAAGATTCTTTGGACATCTAAGCAGCTAAAAAGACAATATACCAAATGGCTGCTTTTTTCCTCAACTATTCAGACATCTGAAGGCCAACTTTTTTTCACTATTAGTCAAACATGTCAAGTAAACTCCCCTTCCCAATGTTTTGAAATACAAGGGTAGCCCTGCTACCAAATAGATTGTTGCTTGTGAGCTATATTTTAATTTACTTCTACCAAAATTGGGAGAATAGAAGAGAAAGAAATATTCAACCAGAATTCCAGCACTGCCTTCTAAGTCAGACTATGATTACATAGGACAAAAATGCTCTAATTCGAGAGGTGGTACTGTTTGAAACTTGCTATTCTCTGTGTTTGGTAACTAAAAAAGGGTTAGGGTTAACCCTTTTTTAGTTAGGGTAACTAAAAATAGAGCAAGAACATAATTTTTTAAAAACAATTATATTTGTAACCAAAATTTCATCCAAAGAATTATTGGTATATTAACACTAAAAAAAAGAAGGCAGAGTGGTCCTTCAAAATAATCCCATCGTTTTTTCTATGTTTTCTGTAAACTGCTTCCAGCTCTTGCATATCCCTAAAGACAGCTGGTTTTAGATCACTAGCCAAAGTTTCAAGGTGATTTCAAAGAGTCTAGCAGGATTCATTTTCTTAAACATACACTTTCTGTTGACCCTCATATCTTCAACATTATCAATGTAAGAAATTTTAAAAATAAAAATCCTTCATATAGAAACATTAATATAAATAAAGCCTATAGATCTCTTCCAATGGATAACACAGGTAACTAAATATTCTAAAAATCTAGACTTCTCAAGCTTCTGTTGCTTCTAAAGCTACGATTGAGGTAATTCCATTCAATGCAAAGCATTTACCTGATTACTTTTTAGACCCTGCTTACTTGTTTTCTTTTTAGCCACTAGAAATTTGGCTTCTATTACTACCACTTTACTAAATATGCATTCTTGGTAATCTCCTTCTTGACAAATTAAAGGGCCTTTTCTCAGTCCTCATTCTCTTTGACCCTTTTCAACATCTTGACCTTCAAGATATTGACCTTTTTCTTTTTTTACTGTATTTTTATTCTGATTGTTCTCTTTTCCTTTATGCAAATAACCAACCCTGGGCTTTTTTTTCCCCCTACATTTATAATAGCTTCTCTAGAGAAACTTATTTCTCCTTTTTCTAAATGTAGATAAGCTAAAGAAACTGATATTTTTCTACTGTATATTTTTCTATTCAACAGTACCTTGGAAAGCACTCAAGTAATAAATGGAATCTAATATTTGAATGAGAGGATAAAAATATGCAATAAACATAGTTATGTGATTAACTAGTTAACTAGTTGGGGGTTCAACAAAGGCTTTATTAACGCCCCCTCCTTCCAGTTAGGTTTATAGAATCTAGAACTAGCTGAACGCCATTTCCCCAGTTAGGGAGTAAGCTTCCCAAAAGTAAAAAGGGAATTCTGTTTTCTGTATTCCCAGCACCTAAGCAGTGTCTAGTCCAGAGAAGATAACAAAAAGCTTTTAAAAAATAGCAAGTAGCACCAAATGTCTAAGGCATATGATACATGCAGGAGAATATTGAAAGTACTAAAAAGTATGTGGGAGAGTATTGATCTAGATGCTAAGGATTCTGGAATTATTCTCTATATAATGGAGAGCTCTGGAGGGGTTTTATACAGAACATAATATAATATAAATTATTTAATACATGTGAAAAGACTTAGAATTGTTTATGTCATGTAGTAAGCCCTCTATAATTTCTTGTTATTATTATCATCATCTTCATCAGAGCAATGTTTATTAATCCTCTTAAAAGAATTTCTACCTAATGTTCATATTCTAATGTACAAAACTGTGAGTTTGCTTTTGGTATTTTCAAAGCACTTTCTTTGCAAAAACAAATTGCAGGAAAGTTGCTCCCAGTTTTAGTCTCCTACTCTGAAAGAAGTCTGGTTCCAAAGTCAACCACCTGCTTTAATCTCCAGAACTCACTCCAAGTTAAAATCACTCAACTCCAGTCTATCACCAAACACGAAAAATTTCAGTTTAAAAGGATCTCCAGCATCTGTCTGGCACCATGGTCGACAAAGCCAGAGTGAGCCAGGGCTCCTGCTTATATGAAAAGGAGGAGTCTGAGTATATTTGCCTGGTGATCTTTGCAAAAAATGAAGAGATGACCACAGAGGAGACCCAGTTCAGGGAAGTGGAGAAATGAGCAGGCAGCTCTACACAGACCACAAAAAGTTAATCAGGCTTTGGAACAATTTTATTCTAGTTTGTATTCTTTGGGGATAACTTCCTTAGTAGCAGCTAAATGGGGATCCCTAAGGCTTGCCAAATATCCCATTTGAATTAGCATATATTTGCATATATTGACATACAGAAAGATGCACCACCAGGCTACCAAAAAAGTGTCCTTCCACACTCCCAGGTAGGTCATTTTTCCTCTGCAATTCTCTGGGCAACCAAGGCAACAATCCTGCCAGAACAATGACCTGGGAGACCAGGATTCTTTTTCCGTGACTGCGTACCTGTGATGCTCCAGGCAATTCACTTATTTATTTTTGGCCTCAGTTTTCTCACTTAAAATGAATGGGGGAATGCCACAGAACCTCTAAAATTCCGTATGTTTCTAAAACTCTGATTCTTATTTTCCATACTTTTCCCAGAGGTAGGTTGTTGAATTAAGTAAAAGATTAGCAAATTACAGCCTAGAGGCCAAATCCTCCCACCACCTGTTTTTATGCATAATGTTTCACCGAAACAGGCACACCCGTTTGTTACATTTTATCTGTTGCTGCCTCCCTTCCATGGCAGAGCCAAGTGACTGTAACAGAGACCAATCATAGCCTAGAATATTTTCTACATGGCTCTGTAAGAGAAAAACTTTACTATTTCCTGATCTAAGTAAAAGTCAACAGAAATTTTCATTTTCTCATTTATTTCTTATGCTAATTTACATATGAGTAAATTGAGAAGCCATGAGTAAGGTCTTGGCTGAGGCAGTGTGCACAATTATTTCTTCTGCTCTTCAACAATAAGTATTACAGCAACAAATAACAAATTTATGGCAAATTGTTTTGATGTTTTAACCTATAGAAAGTGTCATGTGAAATGCTGTTGTCACACCCAAGCCAGTTTTCAAGACATGTGTGAATTGAAAAAACAAACTATCATTTTATTCTAAATAATTTTCTTGCACAACTCACTTGAAATAGGTTGATATTTGCTTTATGGGTTATTCTGGTAGACTTCACAGAATGAGAAATGATTCAACATCTCAATCTCCCCTTTCTCAGTTGAATGACTCCTTGATTAATAGCTGAAGGTGGTAGTTGTATGAGCTCCATAGTGAATTCTATTTTAATTATATAAAAAAGAGCAATGTTAAATCATGCAATGAATAAGAAGGGACTTAAGGAACATTAGCTAGTCAATACATATAAAATAATTATAGGCTGATTGATGTCTGACTTGACACTTGACTATAAGTGTGTCTCTCCTTAGAACATTAAGTAGAAAATAAAAGCAGCTATTCAGAATTTTTACATTTTATAAATGGAGCATAGCTGGAAAAACTGAAATTTATGTTTTTTGGTTATTTAGAAAATACTCTCACTTCATTTGAGCCTCAAAAAATCTCAAGTAGCAAAGTTTCTCCTGCTTTATGTTCTTCTTGTGGATATTCTTCTTTTTAAGTTTCTATCTTTTTGCTCACCAAGTGACAACCCTGTTCTTTTTCACTCCTTAAAATTTATCACCTTGTTTTTCCAAACAATCATGAAATTTAAAGTCCATTTGGAGCCACACAGACTGTAGCTGATTTCCAGCATTGTGACTTTAAGAAAGTTATTCGAGCCAAGGTTTTCACATTAAATTTAGATAATAATAGCTACTACTTCATAGTGTGTTTTGAGAAGTCTATTTGCTAAATGTTTATCCCTAGTGTTTATCTTATTCTTACAGACATCATTAGTCAACTCATATTCCAAAGAAGAGTCATGAGACTTTCTTTCTCCCCTCCCATATCCATTGGTTTTCCAAAATTGTAGTATCTTACCAATTGATGTGGTTAGGCTTTCTGTCCCCACCCAAATCTCATCTTGAATTATAATCTCCATAACCCCCATAAAACCCACCACCTGTCAAGGGAGAGAACAGGTGGAGGTAACTGAATCATGGGGGCAGTTTTCCCCATGCTGTTCTTGTGACAGTGAGTGAGTTCTCATGAGATCTGATGGTTTTTTAAGGGTTTCTTCCCCCTTCACTCAGCATTTCTCTTTCCTGCCACTTTGTGAAGAAGGTGCCTTGCTTCCTCTTTGATTTCTGCCATGATTGTAAGTTTCCTGAGGCCTACCAAGCCACCTAAACTGTGATTCAATTAAATCTCTTTTCTTTATAAATTGCCCAGTCTCTAGCACTTCTTAATAGCAGTATGAAAAAGGACTAATACAGCAATCATTCATTTCATGGAGTTCAGTCATTTGTGTCTCTCAAGTGTTTAGCTGAAAACTCTTGATCAAATCCTATTTTTGACAAAAAAATAGGATTGTTCCTATTGAGTTAAATTTACCAGATAATCATGTGTCTCTTTCATAAACTAGAAATAAAACTCATTTTCAAAGATACAGTATTGGAAGTACTACTAATGAGATCCCAAAGATTTAAAATATTGTGAGTCCAGCAGTCCATGAAAGCCTAGTGGATCTCTGTTACTTCATCATTCTTGACAGTAACCTAAGTGGTGGTTAATTATTTTCTACTTTCTTGAATACATCAAGTGTAAATCCACAGAATATATTAACCAAAGTCAATAAGCAAAGAGGAAAGAAACACTTAAAAGCCTTATATCTAGACAGAAAGACCACTCTGATGATATGCATTTAATCATGTCTGTTATTTTTAAAGGTCAGCATTACAGTTCAATTAGTAGTTCTATTTGTTAGATGCATTTTTCTTAATAGAATTATTCATCCAGGCTTTTAAAACATGTTCAAGCCCCAATTAAATATATCTCTTGGAAGAAATTCCCATCGGATCTCTTGGTCTGATTTCAGGGTTCTCATTAAAGTTGTCACTTAATATCATCAAATCCTATTATCTCTCAATCATCTCTAACTCTCTGAATAAACATATCGAACAGATAGGATATTTGCATAAACAGATAGTTAAGACCAGAAAAGATTATATTTACAGGGATAAGTAACCTGTGCTCCCCAGTTTGTTCTGCTCCAAAAGAATAAGTAACTTGTTGGCTCTCAAAAAGTTAATCCAAGATGAGTCTAAGGTGATATTGAAGACCATACTCTAAAGATTCCCTTTCTAAATAAAATAATTTTAATAATATTAAGGCATATGAAATTTAGCTTACTACTATTACTAGAATGAACTCTGATAGCCTGTATTGCAATAGAAGGGCACATAGTACAAAGCAAGGATTAGGTAAGGGACAACTTAAAAAATAGTAACAGAATAATAAGATTTAAGGGAAGCAACCCAAATAAAGTGGAAAAGGGATGACAAGGGGTGAGTGATAGCACCTGTCATCATTTTAACTTTTCATAATTTATAACAAACAAAATATGAAGGAACCAGTCATGGAGGTGTGCGCCTATAATCCCAGCTACTTGGGAGGCTGAGGCACAAGATCGCTTGAACCAAGGAGGCAAAGTTTATAGTGAGGTGATGCCACTGCACTCCAGCCTAGGCAACAGAGCAAGACTCTGTCTCAAAAAAAAAAAAAGATTAATTTTCAGATAGTAAAGCTTGTTTCTTTCAAATTCCATGTACAATAAACTCAAGATCTAAAATTCTATTTTGTATTTGGAAAATATCCAGTAAAATCAAAAACTAATGTCAAAGCTATAAAATATTTTACCTATTCAAATGGTCTCCTGCCATATATAAATGCTGAAGAAATTCAACATATTTATTTTCATAGCAAGAGAAATTTATTCTCTAACATAGTCTATTATAAGAACTGTACTTCTATTATTTGCAACAATTAGCCACTGGTCTTATTGACATTAGGACCATTAAATAAGAGCTGTCCCTAGAACTAGTATACTTAGAAGGTTCTACAGCCTGATTACAACCAGACACATCAAGGGCCATACATGTATTTTTAACTGGAATTCACTATAAAGATTTTGATTGATTCAAAATTGCTATGTTCTCTTTTGAAAAGCAAAGGATAAATTGTGAGTTGCACCATAGGCAATTGGTATGAAACTCTTCCCTCTACTTTTTTATTAAAATAAAATTTAGTTTAATTTTAAATATGTAGATAAAAGAAAACACATGTGTTTGAAATGTGGCTTGCTGAACCAATGCTCTCTTGAAAATACAGATGACATTATAAAATGAAAGTGTATATGTAAGCATGTGAAGTGAACATGTGGGGGGGTAACAATCTATGGTACAGAATACCTATGTAATCAGAAAAGATTAAAATGTTTGAAGAATAAGATAACTTATGAAACTTCTGAAAATATTTTTTTATTTTGTGAATTTTCTTTATTTTATTTTATTTTTTTATTATTATTATACTTTAGTTTTAGTGTACATGTGCACAAAGTGCAGGTTTGTTAACATATGTATACACGTGCCATGTTGGTGCGCTGCACCCATCAACTCGTCATTTAGCATTAGGTATATCTCCCAGTGCTATCCCTCCCCACTCCCCCCAGTAGGGGCATGGATGAAGCTGGAAACCATCATTCTCAGCAAATTATCGCAAGGACAAAAAACCAAACACCGCATGTTCTTACTCATAGGTGGGAATTGAACAATGAGAACACATGGACACAGGAAGGAGAACATCACACACCGGGGACTATTTTGTGAATTTTCAAAGACAGATTAACCCAACACTCAGAACTATTTTCAAGCAGTCTGTGTCCAGGTATGTTCCCTGCCCCTTGGAATTACTATTTCTGCCAAAATATTTTCTGAACACACTATTATGTTTCAAGCCAGCCATTTCCAGGTAACCTATTTTCACCAGTCCAGTTATCTGATTGGTTGGCAGTGATTTTCCTTGGCTAATAGGAAAGATTAGCAGTGCCACTTTGAAAGAATTGGTGATAATGAAGCCAAACTACCTGCCTAATGACACAATTTAGAGTTTATTAGTAAACTGTGCAACTCAATGTATAAGGGCTGTTAAAAGGAGATAAAGGGCTAGAATCTCATCAGAGGACTCCTCTTTCATTCTCGTCTACTCTAGTTCAAATAGAGATGTCAGAAGTGCTCTGACCTTACTGGGTTGTAAGGAAGAAAATAAATTAAGCAGGATATTGGCTAATTAGTCGTCAGCTCATATTAACAGAAACACGACAAGCACTTTCTCCTTGTAGCATTCAAATTTTGTATTCGCATTTCTATGACATGCACCACTTTTAAAATTGTGTTCTATTTTATTTATTAAGTATTCCTTTCCTGTCTTTTTGACCACCAACAGACTTCTCAGGAGTAGAGATTTAACTGTTCTTTGAATCTACTCCAAAAATGTAGGCATTCATTAAAAGTTAATTGAAAGAATTACTGGATGAATGATTGAAACACACTAATACCTAAAAAAGAAATTGGAGGAAATAATCACATAAGAACTAGGATAGATGAAGCAGGGTTATATAAGTACACAAATTAAAGAGACATTTCTGTATTTTGTTCCCCAGAGATGTCCTTGAAGGCGATGGATGGTCTTTGAGCCAAGCAGTCCTGAGATTGGAAGCCACCTGGTGGCCATAGAGAATATTATAATACGTTTCTGAGTGTACCTTGATTATATAGGCAAACTGCTTAAAAACTGGACCCCAAATTGCAACAGGTCAGACATAATAGACATTTGTTTGCTGCTTACATGTATGTTCCAAGCGCAAAGGATGTTCTCCTCCTCACAGAGAGTCAGAGATGCAGCTGAGTTGCCATGCCCAGGGTTAGTTAGAGGAAGAGAGAAAGTATTTGAAGAAGAGAAGGCACATCCATCCTCTGAAAAGCTCAGGCTTAGAGGCACACATAGTTTCTCTTACAAGATGGGAGAGAATTCGCCAAAAGGACATATCTTAATGCAAGAAAGTCAGAGAAATGTCAAACTATGTGCCAGCCAGAGTCCTGTTACTATGGAAGGAGGTAAAGGATTTGCAGGGTGGCTAGAAGACTACCACAGTTAGTTTCTTTATTTATAAAAATAAGAATAATGGCATTCAGCTCAGATTGGTGTCTCTAAGATTAAGTAATAAAAATCAAGAAATATATTAGGCATCGAGGATAACAAAGTAAAAAAATATATAAAAATTTAGCTAGGCTAAAGTTTCTTGATTCCATGAAGAGATTCATAAGGGGGCAGTTTCCATTTATCTGAGTAGTAAGAACTGAATTATATTTTATTTTATTCTAGATGATCCATAGAGAAACTTCATATATTGACTCACTTACCAAATAGTCATTGCACACCCACTCTGTGCCAGAGTCACACAGTACAGCAATAAACAAAATAGAAATCCTGCCCTCAAGCAGTAAACAGGTATGACAGGGGAAATTTTAGAGCATAGCTATTTATGATCTTTTGCCATCTCACTTTCTGAGGGATCTCAAATATTTTTACACTACTCAGCTATAAGGACAAAAGTATAAGAAAAACAAAAACTCTGTGTTTGTTTGAGTTACAAAGATAATTTCTTTCATAATGAAGAATTACTGTGATACAGGTTATTAAAAAAAGAAAAACAGCACGCATAAGAGCAATTAACAGGGACTCTGATCCAATCTATGGGAGATGGAGGAATGCCTCCTTTAGAAAGTGACATGTAAAGTGCTGCCTGAAGAATGACTTATTTGTATCCAGGTGGCAGGTGAGGGTGACCAAGCTTTGCAGGCAGAGGAACTAATATGTACAGGCTTCCAAGGCTGGAAGAAGCATGGGTATTGACTGAAGTGAAATAAGGTCCATATGGCTACTAGGTGTAAAAGGAGGGGAAAATAGTATGACATGAGATTAGGTAAAACAGATCATACCGAGACTCAAAATCCATGTCAGGGCTTTTCAACTTTATTTGAAGAACAACTGGAATTCACAAACTATTTCAGACAAAGGTATAGCATTATTGAATTGGCATTATAAAAGATCAGTCTAGCCATTGGAGAATGAATTAAAAGGAATGTAAAATAGATGCATTGAGACCAGTTGAAAGATGTTTGCTGTATTCTAAGCAAAGAAGCATTTTGGCTTGGACTAATGTGGTAGAAAGGAGATGAAGAGAAGAAAACTGAATCAAGAAATACAGTCAAGGTAGAAGAGACAGGACATGACAATTGATTAAATGAAATAAGGATAGGGAAGTAGGGATGAAGGATAAAGGTTAAAATTAAAAAATATATAATACCAATGATTCTAGCTTGAGCAAACGGTAGATAATTAACTGATATCTCCTGATTTAGGGAACTTAGATAAAGAAATGTCTCAGGGGAAAATGCATGTTTACAGAAAAAGCTTAGCATCTCATACAGATTCCTTTTTACCCTCCTGGTATAATACCATGTGCTATTATAATGTCATTATAAAAATTAAAAAAAAATAGACCTAGGTAAACATGCTAAGAGTAATTTCATGTACTGTTCATCTTAGAATAATTCTTGGGAAAGTATGGGAAAAGTAAATAACTCACTGACTAGCAAGAGTATACTCATGTTTTAGAACATTTTTTTCCCTTT
Source organism: Homo sapiens (assembly GCF_000001405.40). Taxonomy (NCBI): domain Eukaryota; kingdom Metazoa; phylum Chordata; class Mammalia; order Primates; family Hominidae; genus Homo; species Homo sapiens. Next base: position 101,767,744 of record NC_000001.11, on the reverse strand, counting down.
CTTTACAAGGAGCACTTTAGGAATTGGAGTAAAATTAATTTGGATGCTGAAATTCTGCAATAGTATAGAATACCCTTATCACTTAGTAACTTAGTATCTGTAAGTCTCATCTTCCTTATCTGTAAGGATGATCATAATCAATCCTACTTTATGGATTTGTAGTTAGAAGTAAATGAGATAATCTGCATGGGTTCTAGAGCATTGCAAACACTCAACAAATTAGCAATTATTACAGTAATACAATTATTGATAAGAAAAATTTTTAACAAATAAATTCAGATAAGATAAATTTATTTTTTTTCAAATTCAGGACTTTATTTATTTATTTATTTATTAACTATAAGTTCTGGGATACATGTGCAGAACGTGCAGGTTTGTTGCTTAGGTATACACGTGCTATGGTAGTTTGCTGCACCCAACAACCCATCCTCTACATTAGGTATTTCTACTAATGCTATCCTTCCTCTAGTCCCCCATTCCCTGACAGGCCCCAGTGTGTGATGTTCCCCACCCTGTATCCATGTGTTCTCATTGTTCAACTCCCACTTATGAGTGAGAACATACGGTGTTTGGTTTTCTGTTCTTGTGTTAGTTTGATGAGAATGATGGTTTCCAGCTTCATCCATGTCCCTGCAAAGGACATGAACTCATCCTTTTTATGGCTGCACAGTATTCCATGGTGTATATGTGCTGCATTTTCTTTATCCACTCTATCACTGATTGACATTTGGGTTGGTTCCAAGTCTTTGCTATTGTGAACAGTGCTGCAATAAATATATGTATGCATGTGTATGTATCTAGGTATGGTAGACTGATTTATGATCCTTTGGGCATATGCCCAGTAATGGGATTGCTGAGTCAAATGGTATTTCTGGTTCTAGATCCTTGAGGAATCACCACACTGTCTTCCACAATGGTTGAACCAATTTACACTCCCACCAACAGTGTAAAAGCATTACTATTTCTCCACATCCTCTCCAGCATCTGTTGTTTCCTGACTTTTTAATGATTGCCATTCTAACTAGCATAAGATAGTATCTCACTGTGGTTTTGATTTGCATTTCTCTAATGACCAGTAATGATGAGCTTTTATTCATATATTTGTTGGCCGGATAAATGTCTCCTTTTGAGAAGCATCTGTTCATACCCTTTGCCCACTCTTTGATGGGGTTGTTTGTTTTATTTCTTGTAAATTTGTTTAAGTTCTTTGTAGACTCTGGATATTAGCCCTTTGTGATCGATTGCAAAAATTTTCTCCCATTCTGTAGGTTGCCTGTTCACTCTGATGATAGTTTTTTTTTTCTTCTTCTGTGCAGAAGCTCTTTAGTTTAATTAGTTCCCATTTGTCAATTTTGGCTTTTGTTGCCATTGCTTTTGCTGTCCAATATCATACTGAATGGGCAAAAGCTGGAAGCATTCCCTTTGAAAACAAGCACAAGACAAGGATGCCCTCTCTCACCACTCCTATTAAACATAGTATTGGAAGTTCTGGCCAGGGCAATCAGGCAAGAGAAAAAAAATGAAGGATATTCAGATAGGAAGAGAGGAAGTCAAATTGTCTCTATTTGAAGATGACATGATTGTATATTTAGAGAACCCCATCATCTTAGCCCAAAATCTCCTTAAGTTGATGAGTAACTTCAGCAAAGTCTCAGGATACAAAATCAATGTGCAAAAATCACATGCATCCCTATACACCCATAACAGACAAACAGAGAGCCAAATCATGAGTGAACTCCCATTCACAATTACTACAAAGAGAATAATATACCCAGGAATACAACTTACAAGGGATGTGAAGGACCTTTTCAAGGAGAACTACCAATCACTGCTCAAGGAAATAAGAGAGGACACAAACAAATGGAAAAACACTCCATGCCCATGGATACAAAGAATCAATATTGTGAAAATGGCCATACTGCCCAAAGTAATTTATAGATTCAATGCTATCCCCATCAAGCTACCATTGACTTTCTTCACAGAATTAGAAAAAACTACTTTAAATTTCATATGGAACCAAAAAAGAGCCCATATAGCCAAGACAACCTTAAGTAAAAATAACAAAGCTGGAGGCATCACGCTACCTGACTTCAAACTATATATACTACAAGGCTACAGTAACCAAAACAGCATGGTACTGGTACCAAAACGGATATATAGACCAATGGAACAGAACAGAGGCCTCAGAAATAACACCACACATCTACAACCATCTGATTTTTGACAAATCTGACAAAAACAAGCAATAGGGAAAGGATTCCCTATTTAATAAATGATGTTAGGAAAACTGGCTAGATATATGCAGAAAACTGAAACTGGATCCCTTCCTTACACCTTATACAAAAATTAATTCAAGATGGATTAAAGACTTAAATGTAAGACCTAAAACCATAAAACCCTAGAAGAAAACCATTCAGGATATAGGCATGGGCAAACACTTCATGACCAGAAATTTATTTTTTACACTCCAACATTCCTCTCTATTTATATAATCATAACAAACTAATACATTTTATCTAATCATAATATTTTACACCTTCACAGTAACCTGTATGCTTCAAAATAGTTTCATGTGCATTGGCTCATTTGGGCCTTGTTTTATCTATGTGAGGTAATCATGGCAAGTATTATCACCCACATTTGTAAATAAGAAAACTAAGCCTCAAAAAATGTATAAATTATATAGCTAGCTCACAGAGGAACCAGAACTGGCCTCATAAACCAGGTCTTCTGATCCTTAGACCAATAGCAGACTAGAATTCTATATAGATCCTGCTGAAGAAAGAAGTCACCTTGCATGGTGAGAAAATAATTTGCTCATACAAATTTCTTCTAACGGCCTTATATTTCCCTTGGTTTAATGCTGCACCTTTGCATTTCAAAAGCACAATCTGCAATATGATGTATAAACTATATTATGCCAAGTTTGGAAGACACCTGGGATTTTGTCTCAGAATTTATGATTTCATGTAAATCTGAATCTTGTCAGTGAGCTGTTGACTAGAGCTTATTTGAGAATGAAAAAAGTTACTGATACTTGTATAATAATGGTTTTGTAGTTGTAGGTCATGAGAACTACATATAGTTAGTAAATATTTATTAAGCATCTATTCATTAATAAACATACAATAATATTTATTGGTTATTATGCTAAACACTAACAATACAAAGATAAATTAGATATAACCCATGACCTCAAAAAGATTGTAATTTAACAACATAAAGACATATAAACAAATTATTGTAATGAAGTTTCTATTATCACATTTCTTTATATTAAAGTATTCTTTTGGCTTCCCATCTCTCCTTCTAAACTGAGAGCTTCTTAAGGTATCATCACTTCCTAGGAGAGTTAGGATGAGGTGGAGACATGAAGGAAGCCCAACAGACTTGTGCTCCAGGCAAAGGGAGCAGAGTGTGAGAAAGTTGTGACATTTGGAGCCACATGTTCTATATAGTAAACTTTGAGTAGGTCACTATAGAGAGAAGGTTAAGTCTATGTTGGAGATAGGAAGCAGAGAGAACCATTTAGTAGGTGAGGCTTGGGGAAGTATGTTTAATTTAGAATATTCATTTAGCATAAGAGGAATAGCGTTTGGGGAAAAATAAGGAGTTCAAATTTAGAAAGGTTGTGCAACTTTCAGATGATTGATTAGTTCATTGTGCATATAGATCTGCAGTTCCAAAATTAAAGATTTTTAAATCGTTTGTGAATAAGGGCTAATCAATGTGATTTCCTAAGAAGAAGAAAATAACTACTACTAGAGATATGCTCTATGTAAGAAAAAAATTACTTTCCCTCTTTTTTGATACCATCAATAATGTTGCTAGTTCTTGAAAAATCTTATAATATTGTGCCAGGAAATAGAAATTTTGAAGTGCTAAGATAAAAAACTTAGGTTTTCTTTATGTGCTAGAATTGAAAGAAAGGTGACATGCTTCATCTCTGCTGTAATTTAAAGGGAGAATTTGATGTTAAAAGAACCAGCCTTCATCTGAGAATGCCATTGCAAACATAATAAGTGAAAATGAGGCACTTTATGTATTTTTCATTCAAACTTGTAAAGGAGGCAGAGGAGGAAAAAGAAGTTGTTGTATGAGTGTGCTTCTAGTTTTTAGGGCTTCTAGAATTCTGATATGCCTTTTTTCCTCCTTTTATAATAATTCTCATCAGAAACGTATCTTACAACAAATTAACATCATTCTTGAAGCTTCACTTAGAGGCATTCAGTTTGAATAGCTTTTTTCATAATTGTTCATCGAGACAATTTCCCTGATTATTTTATGATGGTTTTTAAATTATGCCAGAAGGATAGAAATAAAATAGAATCTATCATTTTCATTCTCATATTTTAAAGCAAAGCAGTGAAAATGCCACTGTAAGGATAACATAACAAGAAATAAAAATATTAGATTTTATAACTGTCCTAAACTTATCAGGCTTAAAACTACACCACTTTCACTAGGTTAGCCTGGGAAGCATAATTCAATAATACATGCCATATCTATATGAACATAGTCCCAAAGGATATTTAATCCTGGTCTCCACAGTATTAAATCAAAAAGAATCTTAAATGAATCAACAGAAACACTCATGACCATTCTTTTTTTTTTCTTTTTGATCTTTTATAAGTACAAGAGCCTCAGGCATATAGTCTCTCTGGATCTAGAAACCATTCTGAACTGCTGCCTGAAAAAGTCCAAACATAAATGAAAGAAATAACATATAATCTTGAACTAGGTCACTATTTTTTCTTTACTGAACTCTCTTCTCCCTTCTCCCAGGAAATGATGTGTCAGGGTCAAATGGTTAGCATTAGAAATCATGTTCTTTTTCTCTATGTATGGCCTACATCAGTGTACATATCATTTATATAAGCCAGAGAAGGAAGAAGGAAAGCTGATGATGAGTTATAAGAAAGAGGGAATTACAAATCAAATACATTCCTTGAGTTCCACATCCTTGTATGAGTCAAGACAGCCTGGATGGTAATCTGTTTGACATTATTCAAATACATTGAAATTTGGAATAGATAACATCTTGGATTACTTTAAACTCTGAAGAAACTATTATTCAAGGAAAAGTTGGCAGCATACATTGAAGCTTGCATAAAAGATATGACATGCATGGGAAATCTATAAATATTAAATTATCAATTATTATTGTCAATATAATAATTGAAAGCTTAGAAATCGATATCTTCAAAGGGGTCATCAACAGTTACAATAGTGCTAGTGGTAATAACTAACAATTACTGACAACTTGGTATGTGTTTGGCACTATTGAAAGCACTTTACATGTATTATACTATTTGATCCAAAAAAATCACAAGAAATAGATAATTTTATCATCTTTATTTTACAAACAAAAACAAGGCACAAAAACTAAAGTAACTTCCCCAAAGTCATTGTTAACTACTGAGGGAGCCACCCAATAAAATAAAGTGAGTGTTTTTTAAAGAAAAGAGGAAATCCTCTAACTCAGATATATGGCAGAATAGATGCCTTTAAAACTCCCAAAACAAAGCATTTGAAAATGATCTATACTGTATAGCAAACATCATTTTAAAGACATAGCTGAATTTATAAGAACTAAAAACAAAATCTCAGAGGCAAAATAGAGGAGGAACTGAAAACATAAATAGTGAGCTTACTCAAAAGGCATGGCTAATCTAAGATGATGTATTAATCTCGGTAAAATAGACTTTGTCTTTCATGCCAATTATGGAATAAGTGGCAAGACCTTGAGTGTCACATAAGGTAGAGTGTTAGAAAGGAGCTCTCTACATAAAAGTGTATGCCTCAGAGGTCTATAACCTTAGTAAAATTACAGATGAGAAAAAATAATGTTGGCATAAGGGGAGAACAAGGAAATTTTAGCTTTTATGTGAAATACAGATGAAAAAAAATCTCCTGGAAATTTCAAGTCACACAAAGCTGAGAATGCTAATCTATACTATCTGCAAGGTCCAAGAGAAAATTAACTTAATAGTAGCCTCCTGAAGAATCAAAGGCAAATACTGTATTCTCAAAAAAGTAGCATAAAAAATCAATAACTGCTGGGATTCTAAAAAAATTCATGTTACAAATGATCTAATTACTTAAGATCACAAAACACTTCAGGAACATAAGATACCACTAGGGAGAGTGAGCAGAAACAGCCAATAGTATAATTAGGCATCTGATGACATCAGATAATATAACCATAAGATTCAGAATATGACAGAAGTATCTTTAAATATTTAAATACATTTAAAATGGAATAAAAATATAAAAGATCAATAAGATATTTTTTAAAAGATAAGGCATATTTTTAAGTAAGTGAATAGTATTTCTAGAAATAAAAGTTATTACTAAAATTAAAAACACAGATTGAAATCAATGTTCGGATTAAACAGCAGGTTATGAATAGCTCAAAAGAAAATTTATGAATTGAAAGATGTGTATTAAGAAATTACTGGCTGGGCACAGTGGCTCACGCCTGTAATCCCAGCACTTTGGGAGACCGAGGCAGGTGGATCACGACGTCAGGAGATTGAGACCATCCTGGCTAACATGGTGAAACCCCGTCTCTACTAAAAATACAAAAGAAATTAGCGTGGTGTGGTGGCGGGCACCTGTAGTCCCAGCTACTTGGGAGGCTGGGGCAGGATTATGGTGGGAACCCGGGAGGCAGAGCTTGCAGTGAGCCGAGATCGCGCCACTGCACTCCAGCCTGGGAGATAGAGCAAGACTTCTTCTCAAAAAAGAAGAAAGAAATTACTGATAATACAAGCCAGTAAAACAATGAGCTGGAAGATAGAAGATATGAAAGAAAATAAGAAAGTCTAACGTATGGGTAATTGGTTTTTGAGAAGACAATTTTTTAAGAGATATTAAAAAAATAATGTCTGGATTTGAAAAATAAAATGCTACTCAGTGATTAAAATAAACATTGGGCAAAATAAGTCAACACAAAAATCATATGTACTATGGAATTCCATTTATGGAAAGTTCAACAACTGGCAAAACTCATCTTCGGTTACAGAATTCCAGACAGTTGTAACACTTGGCAGTAGAAGATGACTGAAAGGGAACATGAAGGAGGCATCTGGAGTTCCACAAATATTGTATTTCTGGATTTGTGGGCTGGTTAGATCTATATGTGTGGTTTGCAAAAATTCATTGAACTGTACACTTGTGAACACTTTTCTGAGTGCATATTATACTTCAACAAAATGTTCTTAAAATTTTTATGATTTTCTAGAATTATTGAAGACACAAATCCTCATGTCCAGTAAGTACAACAAATCTTAAACAGGTTAAAGAAAAAAATTTAACTAAAAGCATCATTTGAAAACCAAAGAAGAAAAAAAAAAAGGAAGATCTTAAAAAATGCCTTGAAGATAGAAACAAAGACAGATTGTATTTAAAAGAATGACGATTAACTTAAAAGGATATTCAGCAATGGCAAGAATAGAAGCCAGAAAACAGTAAAATAATATTTTTAAAGTGCTGAGAGAATATAATCACTAACCTGTAATTACAAACTTTCACAATAATCATTTGAGGATGATGATAAGTTTTAAATATGTAGAAATACAAACTGTAAGTGTTTAATCATTTAAAAAAACCCTCACTAAATGTATTTTTTAATGTTTCAGGAAACTTTTTATTTTTATTGTCAGGGAAAAAATTATCCCAAAAGAAAAATATCATGAAAAAAAAGGAGTGTTGAGAATTTAAACAATTTAATAGCAGATAGTCAAAATATGTAAACAAAAGCACATCTAAAAAAGTGGAAAGTTGAAAAAAAAGGAGCTGTGTGTAACACAGTCAAATATCTGACATAAATGTAGATATAGCCCCAAACACAAACACAAATCAGAAAGGAAATGAAGCAGAAGCAAAATCTGAAGAGAAGACAGGGGAGAATCCAGAACTCAGGAAAGACAACAATCCACATATTCAAGAGGCACTGGAAAATTTAAATGCAATAAAAACAATAACAACAACAACAAAAACACACCTAATCACATTACAGAAGAAAATCTCATACAAAAGGAGAGAATCTGGAAACAGGGAATAAAATTTTAAAAGGCACATTACTCAAAGTAACAAAAATTAATTTTACAACTGATTTCTCAAGAGAATAACAGAATCCAACCAAAAATGGAACAAAATCTTTAACGTACTAAGAGAAGTAACTGCCAACTTACATTCCTATACTCATATAAAATAGCCTTCAAAAATGTAGGCGAAATAAATATATTTTCACAAATAAACCAATCAAGAAGAATTCAAATAATGAACCAGTAAACCAGCACAGAATATATTTAAGAATTTACTATCAGTAACAACATAATCCAAGATGGAAACCCAGACACATTATAAGAAATAAAGAGTAGCAGAATGGGTATGTGAATAAATATAAGTTAATATTGATAATACAAATTAATACTTTTTAAAAAGATAGATTACTTGATTGAAGCTCTGGATATCATGTGTTGACAGCTCTCATTTCTGAAATAATTAGTTATTATCTACCACCCTAACTGCCCATAAAAGTCCTAATCTATACAGTATGAGAACCACAAATTGGATAAGGTGAGTATTGTCTTTGCCTGGAAGCTTTTGCTTCACTAGATTAATCTCTCAAGTTGTTCATCATGTTTTGAAGCAAGCTCAAGGTCACTATAAAAGGACTTTGGATTTTGCTGATTGGCATTTGGAATTGTTCAATGACAATATATCCCTCAGATAAAATCTCATTCCATGGGCACCAGCAAAGCTCAAATGTACCATTGTGCTTCATGAATAATACCATTCAAATCTGACATTTTAACGTAGTTCTAGGAAAAATGATCCTGCCAATTCCAGATCATTTGCTGATTTCATTTTGAGATTATAACCAAAGTCTAGATTTCAGGAAATATATTCAAGCCAAAATTTAAATACTAGACAGGAAAATTTGTTTTTAAAAGATGATTTGTAAATACGGAAAAGCTAAAATGTTACTAAGAGGAATTCATATTTAAGTGTACAGTTGTATTTTTCAATAATAATTTAATATTATGTTACTAGTTGCTTTTAATCACGTTTATGATAAGAGTCCGAAAAGGCTAAAATAATCTATATTTTAAATTTCTCTGCTTAAGAAAATCTTTAACTCAGAATATTTAGGAATATAGTGGTTCTCCCTTATCCTCAGGGGATACATTCCAAGACCCCAAGTGGATGTCTGAAACTACGGATAGTACCGAACCTTATGTATAGTATGTGCAGATTTCTTTTTCTTTCATCAGAATTTTAGAGATAAAAGATTCATTCTTACCACAGATTTTAGCAATCTCAGGATATGATTTCTCTCCTTTTCTTATTAAGTTGAGAACTTTCACATTTCACTTAAAGGAAGCACTTTACAGCTTCTCTCTGTCATATATAAATTGCCAGCATCACTATTTTTGTACTCTGGGGTAATTATTAAGTAAAACAAAGGTTACTTGAGCACAAGCACTACAATACCTCAACAGTCAATCCTACAACCAAGCCTGCTACTAAGTGACTAATGAACGAGTAGAGTTTACAGCAGAATACCTGGAGAAAGGGATGATTCACGACTCAGGAAGGACCGAGCCTTCCTGATGGTGTGAGATTTCATTAGGCTACTCAGACGAGTGCACAATTTAAAACTTATGAATTGTATATTTCTAGAATTTTTCATCTAATATTTTGGGACCATGATTGATCTCAAGTAACTGAGTCAGAGAAGGCTATACCGCAGATAAAAAAAGATTTCTGCATATCATCTATAGTACATCTTTTTAAATATTTTTGAAGTAAATATAGGCATTATAAATATACGTCTTATATACATATGAAAAGTCACACACACTTATCCACATATATAAAAGATAGAGTAAAATTTTTTATATCAAAATAAAAGTCATAAAATTACTAATCCAATTGCGTTTAATAGATGAGAAATAAGTAATGTTATTTTTTTAAAAAAATTAGTGGCAATTACTACCTAAGTTTTTTCTTTTCTTACAACTTTTAACACTACTGAGACATTAATCCGTTTTATCTTAGACAGCATTGACTACTACGTGAAGAGTGAGAGGTATAGTTTCTCTCTATGTAAGGGAATGGAAATGTCTAATAATGTTCTTTTGAAATATTTCACTGTTCATTACAGAGGATTTCCAGGCCCTCTAGCATGTCATTTGATGTTTCCTTATTACAGCTCTTTCTTCTGGCCTGGGAACATCAGCATGACTTTGCCCCATTGCCTGGTTGATGCATACCACCAGATTTCAATTTCTGTTGCTCCAAGTAAAGAGAATGGTTATTTGTAATATTGATTTTAATTGTTCACAAAGCAAATTCTTCAAACCCACTTCTAATTTACATGCTTTCAAATGTCCCTTAATTGTATTTATTATATATAATACTGTAACCTTATACTGTAATTATAATACTATAAATTTAAATTTAATTTAATAATTAAATACTGTAACCTCTCTGTGAATGATAGTTACATATTTGGATGAGAAGTTCTTTGAAGTGTACCATTCCACTTTCCTAAGAGAGTATAGTGAGGGAATGTAACTTTGGCTTCCACACACAGAGATTCTGGCCCAAATGAGATTATTGAACACCTTAGCTTCAATCTAGGCTCCAAAAATTTTACTCATTCCTTTCTTCTTCCTTTAATTAATTTATTTATGTATTCCTTCATCTGCTTAGCAAACCATCATTAAGCAGGCATTATGTTCCAGGAGTTGTAGAAAGTATTGCAACCTATTAAAAAAAGTTAAAACGCTATTTCAATTTTTGAGGAATTCCCACAAAGGAACTCTCTATATAAGCCAGTAAATATGACAAAATTTATTAAGTTAAATTACAACTATAAACAAAGTACTATTTATATAGAGAAGCTTAAAAATATTTCTGCAAAAGAATGTTAATAACAAAATGCTATTTAATCATGAAGTCGTTTTTTTGCTGTCTTTCCAGTAGAATATAAGCTTCATAATAAATTTTGTCTGTCTTCTAGCATCTAGAGCAGTGCCTGGTACCTTAAATATGTGTTTGAATGATGAATGAATGGAATTCTAGTCCTAATTTCTTGCATTACACACAATGAAACAGAAGCCCCATTGTAAGTTGAACTAGGATCTGGTTTCTCACATCCGGATTGTCTTTATTTGGGAAGTCAACTTTGTATAACTTTACATGCTATTATTACTGCTATTGGCTACTTGGGAGTATGAAAAATGAGCTAGAAAAATCTATTTTAACAAGAAAAGATTCAGAAATGCCTGAAGTTAACATCTCAAGGGCTATGACTGACCAACACACGTACAGTAAATAAAGAACCTGTGTTTTGAAGAAAGATCTGTACACCTCTAACGTTAAAAAAATAGAAAAGCAGGCTTCATGCAATAAATAATTTTACTTGGATGAAGTAAATTCAAGTAAATTTATCCATTATTTGAATACTTTTTATCCGTTATTCTTATTCCCCATAAGATTTTATACAGAATTTTATTTAGTTCATAATAGGAAAGTATATTCAACTTAAATGTAATATGCTATATACTCGAAGATTAGATGCCAGTATTTATATTATTTTTTGCAATTGTTAGAAATGCCCTTAGATATTTTGTCTCATTTATCTCAGTTTTGTGAAATAAATAATTATTTTAATTTAAGAAAATATCTCAAAAATACATTGAAAAACCTGTTTATCATATGTAATAGTTCTGATTTTTAAGCCTGTAAACATATTTAAAATATGATTGTATAGGCCTCAAGAATATAAAAATAATTTATCAACTCTCTGCAGTTATCTCACACTATAAGAATGCAAAACAGTATTTTCCTCTGGCCATGCAGTGTTAGAGAATTGTAAATACCAAATATGCAATGTCAAATATGACAAAATTCTCACAGGTGAAAACTGACTAAAAATGGATTACTGCAAAAGGAGTCATGAAAGAAAAATAGTCCTGGCAGAAAGTAAAGAAGCATAGTACTGGCCATAAAATAGCATAACTAATCCCCATTTTACACAGAAGTATACTTTTCATTAGATTGTATAGATATAATAATTAACACCTGTATATTGTGATGTGCACTATACACAATGTTTCTCATGAATATTTTGTCTAATCCTCCTGACAACATTGTTACATAAGAGTAAATGAAATAATGAATGTAAAAGGCTTGAAAGTGTGCTGGGCATATGGTACTATATAATTATTAGATGTTATTGTTTTAATTTTTATATTAGTATGTATTTCATAGGAATTCTAAGGATGAACTGACATGTCTTTACATGCTTTAGCCAGCTATCTAATGCATATAGCAAATTCATCATAAAGTTTAGCCTAGTTATTACTATTATTATTATTTCTATCTTAAAAATGACATTGAGGCAGAGTCTTGCTTAAAGGGGCACAAGTATGAAATTGAAGATTCAACATCTAAACTTCTATCACTTGACATCTAGCCCAGTCATCATTTTCTTTTTAACACTTTCTTCCAACACTTCTATTATTTCATTTGCTTTGAACATAAAGGGAGATTTGGAGTTTATACTTACTATTCTAGAAATTGAGAAGTAGAATCTAAATGTGTTTGCTTAATGCATTCGGGCACTCATGCAAAAAGTATTTTTTGCTATTTTATTCGAGATACTGTGTGCTAGGTGCTAAAGTTAAATGGTGAACAACAGCAAGAACAGCAAACAAGGTTAACCTTGCCAACTCACAGAGCAAAAGCATTTGTTGAGGACTTAAAAATTGCATACATGTTAATTTACAATGGCCATTAACATTATAAGAGAGATGTACATGGTTCTATAAGAATTTTCAGTAAGGACAACTGATCTGGTTTAAGATAACGGGGACTACTTCTTGAATAAGTGAACATTGGGTTGGAAGTTGAAGAAAGTAAGTTAGCTAGGCTACATTGTGTTAAGGCAGGACAAGTATAGAAGACGGAAAGAATAGCCTATGGAAGAAGAAAACCTACAAAAAATATATATTTTAAAAGGCTAGTGTAGGTGTTCCAAAAGTAATGGGTGAAAGTGTGATACCGAAGTGGCCTGGAGAGGTATTTACATGACATACCATACAAGGTTGTAGAGAAAATAAGTATTTTTGTTCATTCTGACAATCATGAAAAGCCAAAAAAGTTACTTAATGGGGCATGGATGGGAAGAAATGAGATTTACATTTCAAAAACATCGCTGTGGCTCCTGTGTTTTGAATTGGAAAAAAGGCAAGAATAAATATAGGAAAACCAATCTGAAAACTACTACATGATCCACGTTAAGACTTCATGGTAACTTGGACAAGTATGCTGAGGCTGAATAGAAAAGAAGTGAGAAAATCATGAGTGAAGATGACAAAACTTCATATCAGCTGAGAAATAGAGGAACATATTTGTAATTCTTCCTACCTATAATAACTAAAGTCTACACATGAATGAGATTGCCCAAGGCAAGATTTAATGTGGAAAGAGAAGAGGCTATAGAAGAATGAGCTTGTAAAGGAGACTAATATAGCTAGGGAAATGGAAAATAACTAATAGGTCCTAGGCTTCGTACATGGGTGATAAAATAATCTGCACAACAAACCCCCATGACACACGTTTACCTATGTAACAAACCTGCACATGTACCCCTGAACTTAAAATAAGGAAAGTTAAAAAAGAAAGAAAGAAAGAAAGAAAGTACACAATGACCAGGAAAGACGCTGTTCCAAGGAGAGGAAGTTTAACAATGCAAAATGTTCATTAGCTTTAATGATATAGAAGTCATAGAAAGAGCTGTTTCAGTGACATGATATGGAGAGAAGGTGATGAGAGATGGTGAACACACAAAGACAATGAGGAAAGAGTGGTTGATCATTATGAGAATAAAACTTTCTAGATTCTGACAAAATAAGGTGAATATTTATGTACATAGAAAAAGTAGTACTGCCACATGATGATAGCATAAGAACTTACATCTCACTCTACTCACTAACTTTGTATTAGTATGAGTCTGGATTAACATTTCATTTACAGTGATTTGAATGACTTCAAATTTTGTGCACATAAGTATGTTCGTAATGTGTCTTACACCATACCATTTTAAATTTACAAATTTTGAATTTACTTAAAATTCAACTGAACTACAGAGGAAGCACTTCTGGAAACTTTGGCTGTGAAAGCAACCAACAAGCAAGTATTTAGAGAATATGAGAATTATACTAGGTATGTTTTTAAAAATGAATGTGCATTAACAACAAATGTGTATTGTAGGCTCCATTAGACCTTTGAGTTAATCTGTCCTCCTAGTCCTTCCTTAGTTCAGTGCTAACCAACATATAAAGTTGTTTATCTGATTGGAAGTCAGTGGCAGCATTTTCTGGCTAATTAATTCTAAGCACATTTCAGATAATGATTAAATCCTTAGTAACTAAGTGATTGCCAGGTGAGAAGAGGGAAACTATATTTTTTAACAGAAAAATTGAGAATAGTTTAGATCACCCCACAATAGATTTTTAAAAATAAAACGAGTTGAGGTTTGGACTAACTTAAGTATATAGACTCCAACAAGAGATACTTCCTTTAAAATATTAATACAGTAAAAGGAATAAGCACTGTGATCAAATGGGATTTATTTCTGATGTATAAGGATGGCTCCACATATGTAAATCGATAGATATTATCACCACAATAACAGAATGAAGAAAAAAAAGTACACAATGATCTCAATAGATGCAGAAAAGGTATTTGACAAAACTCAACATCCTTTTACAATAAAAACTCTCAACAAAGTTAAAATAGAAATAATATATCTTAACGTAGTAAAGGCCCTATATGACAAGCTCACATCTAACATCATACTTAAAAATGAAAAGCTTAAAACTTTTCCGCTAAGATTAGGAACAAGACAAAAATGCCTACTCTTATCATTTTTATTCAACATATAACTGGAAGTTCTAGCCAGAGCAATTAGGCAAGAAAAAAAAAACTAAAAAGCATCTAAGTCAAAAGGAAATAAATTAGATTGTTTTTGTCTGCAAGAGGCATAATATTATATATAGAAAACACTAAAAATTTTATTAAAAAATAAAAAGTAATATGTGAATTCAGCAAAGTTGCAGAAATTGAATTCAGCATGCAAAAAATTCTATACACTAATAAAAAAATCTGAAAAATAAATTAAGAAAACAAACCCATTTCCAATATTATTAGAGGGTATAAAATACAGCTGGGCATGGTGGCTCACACCTGTAATCCCAGCACTTTGGGAGGCCGAGGTGAGCAGATCATGAGGTCAGGAGTTCAAGACCAGCCTGAGCAATATGGTGAAACCCCATCTCTGCTAAAAATACAAAAATTAGCTGGGCATGGTGGCACATGCCTGTAGTCCCAGCTACTCAGGAGGCTGAAGCAGGAGAATCGCTTGAACCTGGGAGGTGGAGGATGAAGTAAGCCAAGATTGCACCACTGCACTCCAGCCTGAGTGACAGAGTGAGACTCCATCTCAAAATAAATAAATAAATAAACAAATACATACATACATGCATACATACATACATAGGAATAAATTTAACCAAGCAGGTGGAATATTTATACATCAAAAACTATAAGGCATTGATGAAAGAAATTGAGGAAGACACCAATAAATGGAAATATATCCCATGTTCATGGATTGGAAGAATTAATATTGTTAAAATGTCCATGCTGCCAAAAGTGATCTACAGATTCAATGTAATCTCTATCAAAATTCCAATGAAATTTTTCATGGACATAGAGGACACATCCCAAAATTGGTATGGAACCACAAAACACCCTGAGTAGCCAAAGCAATCTTGAATAAAAAGGAAAAAGCTGGAGGTATCATACTTCCTGATTTCAAAGTGTATTGCAAATTGATGGTTATCAAAACAGTATAGTACTGGCATATAAAGAGACACATAGACCAATGGAACAGAATAGAGAGCCCAGAAATAAAACCACATATATATGGTCAATTAACCTTTGACAAAAGCACACAGTACACATGGAGAAATTATCTCTTCAATAAATGGGGTTGGGAAAGTGGATATCCACATGCAAAAGAATAAACTTGAGCTAATCCAAAATATTCAAAAAATAACTCAAAGTGGATTAGACTCACATTGAAGACCTAAAACCATAGAATTCCTAGAAGAACACAGGGAAAATACTGTCTAACATTGGCTTTGGCAATGGTTTTTATACCAAAAACATAGACAAAAAAAGCAAAAATAAACAAATGAAACTACATCAAACAAAAGCTTCTACACAGCAATGGAAACAATCAAAATGAAAAGGAAGGCCAGGTGCAGTGGCTCACGTGTGTAATCCTAGCACTTTGGGAGGCCAAGGCAGGTGGATTGCCTGAGCTCAGGAGTTTGAGACCAGCGTGGGCAACATGGTGAAACCCTGTCTCAACTAAAATACAAAAAAAATTAGCCTGGCATGGCGGCATGCACCTATAATCCCAGCTACTTAGAAGGCTGAGACAGGAGAATCACTTGAATCTGAAATGTGGAGGTTGCAGTGAGCCGAGATCGCACCACTGCACTCCAGCCTGGGCAACAGAGCAAGACTTCATTAAAAAAAGAAAAAAGAAAAAGAAAAGGCAACCCACAGAATGAAATAACGTATTTGTTAAACATATATCTAATAAGAAATTAATATCCTGAATATATAAGAAACTCATGCAACTCAATAGCAGAAAAATGAATAACCCAGTTTAAGAAATGGGCAAAGAACCTAAATAGACATTTTTCAAATAAAACATACAAAAGGCCAAAAAGTATATGAAAAAATGCCCAATATCACTAATTAGAGAAAGGCAAATCAAAACTATAATGAAATATTATGGTTTTAATGTTGGTAAGGATAAAGGTCAGTGAGTAGAGAAAAGGGAAACTTTTTATACTGTTGATGGGAATGTAAACTGATACAGTCATTATGGAAAACAGTATGGAGGTTCCTCAGAAATTAAAAATAGAACTGCCTTCTGAACCAGCAATTCTACTTCAGGGTATATATCCAAAGGACATGAACTCATTATGTCCAAAAGTTATCTGCACTCTCATTTTCATTGCAGCAGTGTTCACAATAGCCAAGCTATGGAATCAACCTAAATTTCCATCGTCAATGAATAGATAAAGAAAATGTGGTACAGATACATAATTGAAATCTATTCAGCCTTAAAAAAGAAAATTCTGCTGTTTGTGACAACATAGGTAAACCTAGAGAACACATGCTAAGTGAAATAAGCCAGGCACAGGAAGACAGATACTGTATGATCTCACTTATACATGGAATCTAAAAAAGTGGGACTAATGGAAGCAGAAAGTAGGATGGTGTTTGATGGGGGCTTGGGAGGGGAGTGGCGAGGAATGTGGAGATGCTGTTCAAAAAGCACACATACGATGAATCAGTCACGGGACAAATGAACAGCATGGTGACTCTAGTTAGTAATGCTGTAATGTTTACTTGAAATGTGCCTAGAAAGAGCTATAGTGTCTTCACCACACACACACATGCACATGCACACACACACACGCAGTGGTAACTTGGTGTGGTGATGGATGTGTTCATTAATTTGATTGAGGTAATAATTTCACAATGTGTAGGTATATCAAATCATCACACTGTACAACTTGAATATAAACTGCTTTTATTTGTCAATTATACTTAAAAAAGCTGGAAAAAAATAGCATAAAGGAAGAGAAGAAAAAGAAAAAACTAAAGCGAATTAATTTAGAAAAGTGATTCTTGATTATTTAAGATCATGTAACCTACATTTTAAATTTCCATCCTTTGTGGATTGGTTTTCCACATTTACTAAAAAACCTAGTTGAATGTACATATAAGTTTTTAATTCAATTTTAATACCAGTAAATAACATTTTTGAGCACCTATAGGGTGCCAGAAACTGCAGACACACACACACACACACACACACACACACACACACAATTTAAATTCTCATACAACTTTGAGATAAAGAAATTATCTATATTACAGATGAGAAAATCAGGGGTTGACAAAACTAAGTTAAATGCCTAAGGCCATGTAGTTTGTAAATGGCGTGGCTAGCACAGCTATAATTTAATCCAAACCCTGTCACATTTTAAAGCCACTTTCTATAATGTCCCTCTAGTGTTCTAATTTGTGGTCCAGGATTAAATGAAGTCGGATAGAGGTAGAAGTAAAGAAGATACAGCAAACAAAAAGAAAGATACAAAGTAGAAGTAGAATCCACAATCTGTACAATACCCCACCCTCACCCCAAGATGCCTGCATTCATTTCCAGCAAACTTTCACAAACAGCCCCAGGAAGTCACTGTATATATATGAAAACAAGCTCATATTCAAAAAGACCTTTTCACTGGGTTTCCCAGGGGGCAAGGGATGAACTGTCACACCTGAATCTATGAATCAAAACCAGGCAGAGTTTTGCAACATTAATATACAAGAAGACTTTTAAGCTGAGAAATTGTTGAGTACTAATCATGAGAAATTTGATGGCAAGTTATTCAAGAAACTTGAAAGTGACTTTATCTCAGGAGAACAAGTTACTGAAATCAATTCTATCTAACAAGACATCATCTCTAATGGAAACAGAAATCTTCTGCTTCCTAATCTAAGTCCCAATGTGAAGAACAAGCATAAGGACTTTACAAGGATTAGAAATTAGAAAAATTGCCACTTTTAGAACAGTCCAATAATATAAAAATGCAGAACCACAGGGAAAGCTCCATAATTTGGAAAGTGAATCATCAAAATAAATTGATCAGATATGAACTGAAGATAAATATTACAGAAAAAGACAACTGATCTATGTCCCCATGTGACTATGCATTTATGAACACAATTTCCTCCAATGTTAATTTATTCAATCATCATCATTAGAATTCATTTAAGTTGATTTCCATCTCTGTAGTAAGGAGTAAAGTAAGAATTAAATAAAACGCCTCAATCCTGGTGTAGAAACATTAAAACATTTGTAATTATATTTGAGATAAACTGTTTATTATCTTAACATAAGCAAAATAGAGCCAATTAATAACTTTGAAGAATTATCACAAAACACCTGCCAATATATATACCTTTATAACCAAAATTACATAAATTTTCTATTTTTTATATGTATCTGATGAACCAGGCATTGTTTCGGGATAGATCTAAGCTACTTAGTAATAGAAATAAATATTAATGGATAGGAATAAAAATAATGTTCAGATATTCCCACACTCATGGAGTTTATATTTCTAATTAGGAGACACAATAAATATAACAAAGGAAAGAATTTTACAGTCAGTTGGAAGGTGATGAGACTACAGAAAAAAGAAAATGTAGAGCATAGTAGAAGCATGCGCAGCTTATCTTCCCAGCTTCTGGTCTGCCAACAGCAACCCCTGGCTCACCATCAGATTCATATCTGTGGATTCCAGAGGAAGTAGCCACACAGAGGCAACCGCTTGTCAGAGACCTCTCCACAAACAACTCCTTCAGGTTTTCTCCAGAGGCTGGATGTGCTTGGCCTTTTAGATCTTCATGCTCTTTTTCCAGACATTTGCATCCCTCATTCTCCTACATTTTATAAGGCTCATTTCCTACAGTAAATCACTAATATTAAAGTCACCATAGCTCTGCTTCAGCTGAATGTAACCAATAGAAAAACCATTCTCCACAATGCAAGCAGAATGTTCTTTCCAAAGACAAAAATGTGACCATGTTCTTCATCTGTTAAAAGTTATCAGTGGTAGTTTATTTTTTTAATTTTTTTTTCTAATGTCAACTTCTATTTTAGATTCAGTGGGTTGAGATTCTATTTTAGATTCATGTGTAGGTTTGTTACATGGGTTAATTGTGTGATGCTGGGGTTTGAGGTATGAATGATCTCATCACTCAGATAGTGAGCATAGTATTCAATAGGTAGTTCTTCGGTGCTTGTCCCTCCTTCCCTCCCACCTCTAGTAGACCCCTGTGTCATTGTTGTCATCTTAAAGTCCATGACTACCCAATGTTCAGCTCTCACTTATTAGTGACTACATGCAGTATTTGGTTTTCTGTTCCTGCATTAATTTGCTTAGGATAATGGCTTCCAGCTGCATTCACACTACTGTAAAGGACATGATTTCTTTCTTTTTTATGGCTGCATAGTATTCTGTGGTATACATGTACAGCATTTTCTTTATCCAGTCCACTGTTGATGGACATCTAGGGTGATTCCTTGTCTTTGCTGTTGTGAATAGTGCTGCAATGAACATACAAGTGCATGTGTCTTTTTTGAAGAATAATTTATTTTTCTTTGGGTATATATACAATAATAGAATTGCTGGGTTGAATGGTGACTCTGTTTTAAGTTGTTTGAGAAACCTCCATACCTCTCTCCACAGTGGCTGAACTAATTTACATCCCCACCAACAGTGTATAAATATTCTTTTTTTCTCTGCAGCCTCATCAGCATCTGCTATTTTTTGACTTTTTAATAACAGCCACTCTGACTGGTATCAGACATTATCTTATTGTGGTTTTGATTTGCATTTCTGTGATTAGTAAGGTGGATCATTTTTTTTCATATGTTTATTGGTCACTTGCATGTCTTCTTTTGAGAAGTATCTCTTCATGTCCTCTGCTCACTTTTTAATAGGGTTTTTTTTTTTTTGTATTTTCTTTTTTGGCTTTTTGAGTTGTTTACGTTCCTTATACATTGTGGATATTAGACACTTTTTGGATGCATAGTTTGTGAATATTTTCTCCCATTCTGTAGATTGTCTGTTCACTCTGTTGATACTTTCTTTTGCTGTGCTGAAGTTCTTTCATTTAATTAGGTTACACTTCTCAATTTTTGTTTCTATTGTAATTGCTTTTGAGGACTTAGCCATAAATTGTTTGCCAAAGCTGATGTTGAGGTCATTTTCTAGGTTCTCTTCTAGGATTTTTAATGTTTGAAGTCTTTCATTTAAATCTTTAATCCATCTTGAGTTAATTTTTGTATGTGGTGAAAAGTAGGGTCCAAATTCATTCTTCCGCATATGACTATATGACTAGCCAGTTGTCTCAGCATCGTTTATTGAGTAGGGAGTCCTTTCCCCATCACTTGTTTTTTTGTTTGTTTGTTTTTTGTTTTTTTCTAATGGTTTTGACAAAGATAAGATGATTGAAGGTGTGCTGCTTTATTTCTGGATCCTCTATTCTGTTCCATTGGTCTGTGTGTCTGTTTCCGTACCAGTAATTGTAGCTTATTTTCTTCAGCATGAAGTCTTAAATCTGAAAATGATTTACCAGGCCTTCATGTTATCTCAACACATCTAAATAGGCTTCTCTGTCTCAGATTCAAAATAGAGAAATTCTACCCTTTTCTCAAACTCTCTCTCATCTCTAGGTCATCGTACATAAGTTCTCTCTCCCTGGAGCATTCTCTTCATTTTTCATGTAATAAATGTCTTATTCTTCAGAACTCAAAAATAACACTTTTTAAAATAAACCCTCCCAACACCAACGTTACTAGTCAGGCTTTTCTGCCATTTAGACTCCCAGTGTCTCATGATCCCTATTCTGTACTTGTACCACACTTCATTAAAATTGCAAATTTGACCGTATGTCTTCCCATCTAAACAATAAGCTCCAAAAAGACAACAGCCATGTCTGCTTGTTGTTCATTGTTATATCCCCAGTGCCAACATTGTTCTAGTACATAATAAATACTTCATCAACATTTGTAGAATGAACAGATGGTTGAATTAATAAATCACAGTTATATTAGTTATCTATTCCTGTGTAAAACATTACTGTAAACTTAGAGGATCAGAGTGACACACATTTATTATCTCATAGCTTCTATGGTAAAGAGTCCCTGCACAGCTTCATTGGGTCCTCTTCTTCAGAGTCTCTCTCTCACATGCCTCTTATCAAGGTGTCACCCAGGGCTGTCATCTCATTTGTAAGCCAGAATGGTAAGGATCTGTTTCTAAGATTGTGTGATTGTTGGCAAGATTCCATTTTTCACAGGTTTTTGGACTGAAAGCCTCAGTCTTTTTTTGGTTACTGGACAGAGACCAACCTCAGTTCTTTGCCATATGTAACTCTCAACATTTCAGCTTGCTTCATCAAAGCCAGCAAAGGAGAGAGTCTGCTACCAACACAAAAGTCAGAATCTTTTGCGATCTAATGATAGAAGCAATATCCCCTCAACACTGAGGTACTGTATTACTTATAAGTAAGTTACTCAATGAAAGGCCTTGATTACTAGCATGTAGGGATTATTGGGGGACCAACTTAGACTTTGCCTCCCATAACAGTTGGGTGCCAGAACTTGTGCTGGAACAACTATGATGAACTTCTGTTGGTTTTCAAGTGCTTGTTAGAAGATGGCTCAAGCTAACCTAAAAGATCAGTGACAAACTAGTCGGAAGATGTATTTCATGAATTTAAGGTTGCCTCACACACTTCTTAAGCTCATCTTTTCTAAATATATTTAAAATACCCAAGTGAGGCCAGGCGTGGTGGCTCACGCCTGTAATCCCAGCACTTTGGGAGGCCGAGGCAGGTGGATCACGAGGTCAGGAGATCGAGACCATCCTGGCTAACACGGTAAAACACGGTCTGTACTAAAAAATACAAAAAATTAGCCGAGCATGGTGGCAGGCGTCTGTAGTCCCAGCTACTCGGGAGGCTGAGGCAGGAGAATGGTGTGAACCCGGGAAGTGGAGCTTGCAGTGAGCTGAGATTGTGCCATTGCACTCCAGCCTGGGCGACAGAGTGAGACTCCATCTCCAAAAAAAAAATCCCAAGTGATAATAATTAGTAGTAGAGAGAGTTTTATTAAATGCTAGTAATATTATGGAAAAACAGACCAGGAAAGAAAACTTAAGGAGTGAATTATTCAAATAGTTTACAACAGTTGTTTAAGTCTCATTCATAATATATGTAGGCTACACATCAGCCACAACTCTAATTCAGGCTCTTAACTGAAACACTTTCTCCTCAAAACTGAAACACTGTTACTTCCCTTGGCATTCTGATCATGGGCGGGAATTATACTTTACCTACAGGAAGAACTGGGAGTTGCCTGGCACTGAGCTGAGCTGTATAGTCCACTTTGAGGGACAGGGAAGGGGCATTATTGACTGGGTACAATGATGTGATATACCATAAAATCTAGTACTTTTATTTTATAGGTAAAGAAACTTTGATGGTGAAGGGGCCAATGGATTTGCTCTCTCAAGGTTAGTTGACAAATTGACTCAAAAAAAGGCAGATTAAGTAGAGAAAAGGCATACAAATGTATTTAACGTGTATACATGGGAACCTACCAAATGAAGACCCAAAGATACAGGGGAAATTGTCCATTTTTATACTTAGGTTCAGCAAAGTACGGTCTGCCATGTAGAAAGATGATTGGACAAAAAGAGCATGTTCTAATGCTAATAGGCTGAGTAAGGAAACCCAGTAAGGCCTGTCTGTCTAGATTCTTCTTGGCTTTTCAGAGCAGGTATTCCTTCCTTCTGGGTATGAGGCAGGACCCTCTCCAGAGTGAGGGTCTTATGATCTATAATCAAGAAAGTTAGGTCAGATAATTTCTTTGTAGCCAGCTTTTACACAGATAGGACAGAGGGAAAGTTAGAGTAATATTTTTAGGTTTTTGTGGCTGACGTTGGGGAAAAGGGGTTCTGCTTTCTACGACCCACCTCGGTGAAGAGGGATTCTCATTTCTAGGCTTACGTCAGGGGAGAATGGGATGGGGAGACAGGAGGGCAGGAGAAGGTCACAGAAAAACTCTTGCTTCTGAGGCTGCTTTGAAGGCCTTCATTTGGGGGTATCAGTTTCTGAGTCCCAAAGACAGGCTAATGACTTACTCCAGTGTACACAGTAAGTTAATGGCCAAACTTAACCTAAAAACTCATCTTTCATCTATTTGTTAATTCTTTCAACAAAATTTTATTTTATTTTAATATGCACTGCCAGAACTTACACTAGGAGCTGGGGATAGAAGAATTAAGTGAGCTATAGAGATCAGTTTATTAAGGAGATAGGTATGTGAACAGGAAGCTACAGCATAAATTTTTCCAAAAAGCTATACATTGAAGTTCATTTGAACTAGGTATTAACTAATGAGTATAAGTGTCCCATTATACCCCACACTATAATTAAGAGGGTGTAATGTGGGCATATTAGTAAGGGAGAACAACATGTGCAAAGGTATAGAAGCAGTGATGAGCATAGTGTTTTTTAAAGTTTTATGATCAGAACATATGTCTATTGAGTCAATAGAGTTTGTGAGTGGTCCTCAAATGGCCCTCCATATTACTAGGTTAGTGCAAAAGTAATTGTGGCTTATGCCATTAAGAGTAATGGCATCAACTTAATACACAGATTTTCCTATCTCTGACCTTAGAGAATAGTAACATTTATGTTGAGTTAATAATAGTAAATATTGAATAGAATAGAAACAGAGACATGTTTAAAAAATGACAAATCCACTACTTTTTAGTGAAATAAGCTCACACTCTACCTTCTCTCCTTAGCTTAAGATTTTCAATTATGTGCAAAAGTTGCCTTGAAGTCCATGATCAACAAAGTATGGGAGAAAAATGCCTAAGTTTCTGAGCTGTAAATATATGACCAAATATTTAAAAGCACAAAGCAGATATATTTTTGTTTTTTTCAATACCAGAAAGTGCTATATTTTGAGACTTAGTGAGTCTAGACCAGTCCCAGAAAGCAGGGAAGGATGAAGTGAGGTAAAATGACATGCCTCTGCTGAAATGTGCCATATCCAACTCAGAGCTGCTTTATAGTTCATGAGGAGTCAGCCTAAAGTTACCAGATCTACCACTTTGACCAAAATTACAAGTTAAATCAGGAACCACACATAAGTTTAAGCAGTAGTTGAGTTTTTCCTACTGAGCTGACCAAATCAAAGTTACCTGACGTTGTGTAGACAACTTTATTAGAGAAGATATTCACCTAATGTAACATAACACCTCAATGGCCTTGAATATTCATGTGAGTCATCTGGAATACTCAGATATATTCAAGGACTGTAAAATAAAGTTCTTAAATACAAGGCTCCATGTAAGTGTTGAGGAGGTCAGTTTTACAGCAAAAATTTAGAATACCTGTGTTTTGTAAAAAGTATTGGCTTACAGTCTTCAAGGACCAAAACACCTGTGAAAATTAGAGGAGGCTGACATTGACTTAGTGCTCTTTGTAAGAAGTTTTTCCATATTCCTGCAATCGTGTGAGATAAACTTTATTATCTTCATTTTATAAATGTAAAAACATGGGGTGAAAAATGTTCACTATCTTGCCTAGCCACAAATAAGTTAAGCGATGACCTTTTCATTTTAAAACCATGCTTTTTTCATTCCTGTGAACTACTGCAGATCTAAGTTGGAGGGAGAGAGAAGGTGGCCTGAAAAGCACTTATCTGCTTGTTAACGAAGGTGACAAGCCATCCTGGCTTGCCTCGGACTGCCCTGGTTTTAGAACTAAAATTTCTGTGTCCCAGGAAACCCCTCAACCTGGGCAAACTGGTACTATAGGTCACCTTAACATTCTGAAGTGCTAAGGTCACACCACTGAAACTCATACGGAGCAGAGATACACAGGGCAGGGAGACCCAGAGCCTCTGTAAGTACAAGTGGAATAAATGAGTACCACAGGGATGAAAGGGGCATTATTGGGAAGTATAACACTTTTTCTGTTGGTCCGTTTTCTGACAAAAAATTACCTTTGCATTTTGTGGTTCTCCTTATCTTCTTTCACAGTTCACCTTTGTTTCACCTGGCCGACCAACTGACATGACTCACAGAATACATTTGCATCACCTTAGACAGTTTCATTAGTGCTTTACTCTACCAAGGTGAATTAGCTATCATTAACACAAGAGTAATTTGAATATTAAGGCTGCTGCTAAAAAGGTGCTTGCAGAGAATAGTCTGCCCTTCTATTTAAAGTGAGCTAGCCTCCTAAAAATAAATCTAGTGCTGGCTAGTGAAAAAAAAAAAGAAAAGAAAAAAGAAAACAGAGAAAGCTAATCTTTCCTGGGATAGGTTAGTCTCAGAAAGACTGTTGCTAAGTTAATCTGTCACTAGTTCAAAATGACAGTCTGTCATTGGCCACTGTCACCATCTATAGTGTATGCAGCTTCTGCATTCTTTTTTCCTGGAGGATTGCTTTGTCTGTCTCTGAAATTATGTTAATTGGAAGTTTGTAAATGGAAGAGCTTCAGTATTGTACAGAACCAAATGGTGGATGACTTGGGAGGTAAGTGTAAAAAGCTCTGGGATGTGAGAAGTAGAAACAATGATAACACCAATAATGAATATTTATTGAGCACTTTCTATGTGCTAGATATTATTCTAAGCATTATCTTTTTTTTTTTTTTTTTTTTTTGAGATGGAGTCTTGCTCTGTCACCCAGGCTGGAGTGTAGTTGCGTGATCTTGGCTCACTGCAACCTCCACCTTCTAGGTTCAAGTGATTCTCCTGCCTCAGCCTCCTGAGTAGCTGGGATTACAGGCATGTGCCACCACACCCAGCTAATTTTTGTATTTTTAGTAGAGATGGGGTTTCAGCGTGTGGATCGGGCTGGTCTCGAACTCCTGACCTCATGATCCACCTTCCTCGGCCTCCCAAAGTGTTGGGATTACAGGCGTGAGCCACCATGCCCGGACAGCATTATCTGTTTTTAAACTCGTTTTACTCTTGCAAACTCATGAGGTACTATTACTATCCCTATTTTACCAAGATGGAGGTCAATAATCTACACAGATCATGTTCCAAACTACTATACCAATAAAGTTTATTTATAATTAAAAAAATAATAAAATAAAGTGAGCTAGCCAGCCTCCCGGTTCAGGTAACCCTGATGACAGATTGAATCAGTGTTGGCTTCTGCAGTGTGCTATTTGGAACTCTAGGCAGGCCTTCATCTCACAAGTATCTCCATCTCCGCTTTATTACATTGCCTGAAATGCTGTCATTAGCAGAGGTTTTAAGAGGACGCTCCAAGTAAGACAGGACAAGAGAAGGCAAGGACTCCAGGAAGTGGCATAGAAGAACGTTCATTTGCAATTTGGCAGAGTCAGCCCTGTCCTTGTTGAAGATGCAGCAAATGTGCTTCACTAGCAGTTTCTGCAAAGGTGAACTATAGGCCAGTGAGTCAAAAGTATTACAAATTCATTTGTTTTGTAAGGTTTTTGGCCTAAGCTCATTTAAAACTTTAAGGCAGTATTCAGCAGAAAAGATCATTCCAAACAGAAAAAAAATATGTCATTTTATGTAAAAGACAGCTTTACTGAGTGAGTCAATTTTCTGGAGCTGTTATAACCATTTTCATTAAGTCAAAGGTCTCTGATCATACAGGAGCTATTTTATCAACTTCAGATGACCTCTGCTGGGATGGCATAATACTATAAAATTGTTACCTTGATCCTTGGCAATGTTTATTGCCTCTTTGTATAACTATAAGAACAGTTGCATCCTAGCATAATGAGGACACTTTCCAAGTCTCAAGATGAAGTTTGGCCTTAAGGAAAGAATGAAGCCAAATCCCTAACAGAGAATTACAAAGACAGCTTTGTGGCAATATTTTGTAACACACAGTTCATTACGAGAATGCTCTTTAATATGCAAAATCTATTGTTAACATTGTGGTTTGTAATGCTTAAACCACAGATGCACAAACTTTACTTCAGTCAATATGTGGGATCATGAATTCTTTATTTTCAATGCCTCAGAAATCTGCAATTGTGCTATGTGTACAACTACACTATTACCCACATCAAGAGTAGAAAAGAGTATTGTTTATAGAAAAGATTCTCAACTAAAAGGATGATCTTAATTTAAAATATTAAAATAAAATAAAAACATTTATGGCCAAATAAAGCTTGGAGAATCACAATGTATAGGAGCATAATAAAAATTCTCAAATCCCTGATGAAATATTCAAACAACCACCACAAAAAACAAAATTATTTGATTACAGAAACATGCTTTAACGTTATTTCTATGGAATACATTTAGAAAATATTAATAAGGATCAATTAATTGCAATCATTTGTGACATAAAATCACAGACATAAAGTCACTGTGGTTATTGATAAATAAAATCAAAAACATAGATATGCTGTGGTTATGGATAAACTTTTGTCATTCTGTAAGCTCGGTTGGTGTTCCTGGAAAGCTGTAGAATGAATGAAGACATCATACTACATCAAATGCTGGGTCAGTTCTCATAAGGAATTGGAGCAATTGTCCAGTCTGCTAACGCTGGCTTACTTTGAGGGCTATGGCGGCTAACTATGAAGCCTCATTAACTGTTTCAGATAAATAGAGCCTGTCTTCTTCTACTCTGTTGAACTGAATTAATGTAATGTCGGGAAATTACCCATCAAAGTAATCTATGCTAGGCTGGTTAATTTGGGGCCACAGGGCAAGGCAGCAGCATATCAGACAGCAACGGGATGCACTAGGGCTGGTAATGAGCACTACCTGAAGGTCAACAGGTGTCCTTCCTGAGAGCACGATGGGGAAAATATCACAGGCCATACATCAGTCTTTTTCTACCTTAGCCACCCACCTAAGGAATACTTTGATAAGATGGCTGTTGAGGAGGAAAGATTAATATTCATTTCATGGTCTACCTGTGACTTGTAGCAGCTTTTACTAAATCTCGTTTTGTTTTAATAGATGTAATTCTATCTGCAATCCATCAGAAGATGAATAAAAAAACAAGGTTCAACTCTATATGCTTTAGGTACTAAGAAATTCTGTATTGCTGAGTTAGAAAAGAGGCATTCCAAAAAAAAAAAATCACCAGGTAGAAAAGAATCCTTTATAAATAATACCACATTTTACTCATATTTATGTTTTAAACTCATTTGTCAAAGGCTGTAGAATTCTCATGTATTACTAAAAACCCTCTGAGGAAACATGCTTCTATAAACTGCTTCATTAAAATTATGAAATTCTAAAACTCACTACAGCAAAATATAATAGGAAATGACTCATATGAGGTATTTTCCTATTACAAAATGGCTCAGATTCCTTCAAAATGTGCTGTTCTGTTGGTACAGTCTTGAAAATAAGATGCCAGTACAATAACTTCAACATTATTAAATCCATCAACTATAACACTGTACTACCAGTGAACTCTACTTAAAGACGAGTATTCTAATTACTATTAAAGTTACAAGTAAATAGCTGTTTTAAATAAATATTTCAGTTCATTAGGGAAAAATGTCAAGTAATTATTCATTAAATGAATGAAAAAATATTATTCATGTTATTCATTAAAGTATCTAGTGAATCCATAGGCAATAATTTCCTAATAGGTAATTTTTTTAAAATTTGCAAATAATGTTCAAAAAATTTTTACTATGGTGCTAATTTTAAATTTAATATATGATTAGATGTCTAAGGCCATAAAGATTACATTTTGTCCAGATTTGTGCAAAATGAGAACATATTACATATGTAGAACTACACTAGTCAGTGGGGAGACATAGTCAAAGGATACAGGATTTTAGATAGAAGAAATTTAAAAATCTGTGGTACAGCATGATGACTACAGTTAATAACAATTTATTACATACATAAAAATTGCTCAAAGATGTTTAGTGTTCTCACCACAAAAGAAAATAAGTATGTGAAGAAATGGATATGTTAGTGAGCTTGATTTAGCCATTGAACAATGTATGAATATTTCAAAATATTGTGTTGTAAACTATAAGTATATACAATTTTTATTTTTAAGTTTTAAAAATGTACTTAAAAAGAACTATACTGGGCTAGGCTTATTACAAAAATCAATAAACAGGATTCCTTTAGAAAATCATTTTCTAGTAACAGCAAATATTTTGAATACAGTGAAATAGCTTTGAGGCATAAGGCATCTTTTTCAAACATTTGATTTGTAAAGAGAAAATGGACATAATAGTGATGAAAAATATGTTTATCTAATTCTACTAGTTTTTAACTTATGCATTTTTGTACACTGCAATAAATAGAATACATTTATCATAAAACTAGAGTGCTAAGTTTTGAAATTCACGAAAGACAACATTTTGACTCATGTTTTGGATTTCATATTTATTTTATCACTCCAAAAGCTTCATTTTCTGAGGTTAAAAAAATAAAATACATTATATTTCAATTCATTTAAATAACATAAAATATAAAATGTACTTTCTTTAGTTTTTAAAGCCAATAACCTGCTCTTTGTTTCTTTAAGGTCTTTCTTGCATACAACCCAATCTTATTTCAACTTTCTTGAGCAGCCAAAAAAGCAATATGCTGGTGAGAACACTGCTGGGAATAGTAATTGAATGAATCAAGTCTGAATCCTTACCCTGTTCAGGTCCAGCAAATAGATGACATTTAAGAATAACTGTTTCTCCTTTGTAGCTATATTAGCTGCAGTGCTTTCTTTCAACAACACATAAAAGTATTCTGAAGACAGTTTGTTGTATTTTCAAGCAGCACCTGGATGAAATAAAGTTGCTTAGTATTTCTGTCTTGTCTTTTTGTTGTGGTTGTTGTTTTATTTTCCTTTTTCAAATACAAGCCTTTTTTTTTTAAATTTAAGAATTTGACCACTTCAATCAAGTATGTCTAAAATAAGACTTCAAATATGTATGTTTGTTTCTGTGGTTAAGAATAAAAATGAAATTGATTTTAGTTTAGGAAATACATAACTGAGTTAAACTCATAAACTATGACCAAACTTATTTCCAGAGATCTTTCAGTTTACAAACTCGATCTGTATTCTCTAATAGGATTTAGGGACTCAATACCCTTGTGGGAACAAGAAGATATTGAGAATTTATACAATATGTGCAACAGGACATGGTGTTTTGTTTTCTTCTATACCCTTTTCTAATTTATCTCCTTTATTAAAGTGCACCTAATAGCTTATAAAAAGGAAAACAAGTAAATATATGTAAATATAGTTCCAACAAATTCTCCCTGCCATGAAAATCCAGTAAGGCAGTAGCCTTATCTGTGGATCCGTCTTCACAGACAGCTCAGATTAACAGATTAATCTCAGGATTTAGAGAATGAAGAAGAATGAGGGAGATGCCCATTCCTTCTATTGGAGAAAAGGACAAGCTAAACCATGTATGAGATTTAAGAACAGGGCCTACTTACTCTCTTCTGAGTTATGCCTATGAGTGGGTCAATTTGCCCAGGTGTCAGATGAGGTAGAGTTAAAACACCTCTGCAATTTCTAGACTAAAATTTCATTTTGAAAATTTCAAAAGTCAGTTGATATCAGTTTATAAGAGAAGTTTCCCCCAAAAGGACATTGCTCTGTCATTTTAATATAGATATATTTGCTAAACAAGAAAAACTCTGCTCCCATGAGAGGAGTGTTATTATTGGTGTGTAAGGGGTCTTTGTAGGTTACAGATATAGTTAATAGTTCCTATGACTAAATGTATAGTTAGTCTTTTCAAAAACCTTACAAGTCTTTTACTTAATACATTATACGGTTGATATATTTAAATGTGTAGTCACTCTGCACATCATCTTATATATATCACCCAGCTTAGAGGACCAGACAAGCTAAGAGATAGATACCTCCCATTATTTCTTTGCTGCTGTCTGTAATGGGCTTGGGGGATCGTTTTGAAAGTTATGATCTTAACCAGCTGACATACGGTAGCTGTTGACATGTTAGAGTCAGCTCAAGCAGAGAAGCTTCTCTCAGAGTCTGAATCTTCAAAAGGACTAGACTCTATCCTACCAGTTGCAGGAAGAACACAGTCTTCTATATGGATATGCCTTATTGATTTCTTAGTAATTCACCTATCAAGAAGTTTACATCTTTATCTGTCACTTGCATGTGGTCAAGTTTCCCAAACTTTTTTTATTGTCTTCTGGATTTCCTATCTAGCTGAGAAAGTTTTCTTCATTGAAAGAGTAAATAGTCATAAAATGTGACCATGTTTGTTGCCTCCATCTTTTTCACCATTGATCTAATTAAAGTCATCACTCACTTACCTAGAATGCAGCCAGGCCTTGCCCTTTATGCTCCAGCAGCACTGCAGGGCTAAGTAGGAGTTTTCTTTCTTCACCAGGCTATACCTCACCTGGACGACTTTACTCTTGCTGTTTCCCCCTACCTAGAACATTTTTCCCCCTTCTCCTCCTTTCTACCTGGTTCACCCTACATATCCTTAAAGATTCTGCTCAGTGTCATTTCCTCCAGAAAAACTTTCTTCCCCCAAACAATGTTAGTTGTCTATTTTGTGTTCCATAATAACCTGCGTTTAATAATCCATTCCCTGTCTCTCCCATGTGACTGTGAATTCCTTGTCATAGAGAACTGTTCCTTAGTCAGCCCTATATATCTGAATCCTTAACACAGTCCTTAGAACCTATATGAGATCAAAAGATATCTGACATATCAATGAATAAATTAGCAAAATTAAGCATTTACAAACTGCTGTAATAACAGATTGGGCAGAGGTTCAGAATTTTTGGAACAATTGAGAAAGTTACCAGTTTCAAACCCAAAATAAGATTACTTTGAAAACAAATCTCAGCTTCATGTATCTGTGGAACACTTTCCCTTTATCATAATTTTCTTTTGAAATACTGTGCAAGAATTGGAGTTTGAATCCATCAGGACTTTTGTGGATTTCTTATTACATTACTCTGAAAAAATTGCTTTGTACTTTGCACTTACATATGAAAACTGCTTTTTTTCCTCCTTACTAAAATCCCAAAAGCATTTCTAGAAAACCTAGATAAATTTAATTTATCAAGCACACCAAAGGGATTTTAACATATTAAAAGAAAAGCACAGGTGAAGATTTTTGAAGTATGTGCTTTGGTTGAATTATTATTGTTATATTATAAATATAAGTCTCCTTTTACAAAAGAAAGCTCTCTCCCAGAAAGTCAGATTCTTAAATATTCAAAATAACTTTTAAAACTAAAAGAAAAATCATTTCAGTTCACTGACTCTAATTATGACCTACATCAAAATATTTGATCCATAACCTTTCTTCCTGGCCTCTGTACCTATATCTCCAACTCTCTAAGAGATGATTTCACATGAAATGCAAATGTCATAACACTAATAATAGTAATAATAATTATCGACACTTACCTAGGGCAAACACATACCAGAAACTGTTTTTGAGTGATATCTATGTGTGTATATAATATGCACTTATTCATGTATATATATATATATATATATACACATGATATATACATAATACACATACACATATATGCACTCATATCATTTAAACTTCAAAAACCAACCTTATGCAACAGATACCACTATTGTTTTGTCCTTTATTTAATCAAAGATGAAGATAAGACACAGGGTGCTTAAAGATCTTACTTTAGGCCACAAAACTTAAAACTTGCAGAGGTGGGATATGAACCAGGCACTCTGTTTCCAGGG
This sequence comes from Homo sapiens, assembly GCF_000001405.40. Classification (NCBI taxonomy): domain Eukaryota; kingdom Metazoa; phylum Chordata; class Mammalia; order Primates; family Hominidae; genus Homo; species Homo sapiens. The sequence continues at coordinate 101,734,282 of NC_000001.11, read as the reverse complement.
TCTTTGTACTGACTGCTCTCCAACCCCACCCCATACCCTTTAGCCTTTCATCACTGGAAGTGTGTGAATAAGACACAGCTAGAACTGGGTTCAACTCTGGGCTACACTACATTAATCAGGAAGTTTTGCTACTATCAACAAGAATTTGCAACTTAATTAAGTTGTACAGAAGGCAGGAACCTTATCTGTAAAATAAAATTATTAAATTTAATGTTGTTATTGGGAGAATAAAATGAAACAACATGTGTAATTTCCAACACTGTACAAGTGCTTAGTAGGTGGTTAATAAATATTAATTTCTTTCCACCTGGTTGTCTTTCAGATACCTCAAATTTAAAATAACACAAGGTCAAACCCCAGATATTTGCTGCCCCTTCCACATGCCTTAATGTGTGAGAAATTAATGTGCATCCATTAATCCAAATAACATGTACTCAACTATAATCCTTGACTGTTCTTTCTCTCTCCCCCATCGCATCAAATCCATAATCTAATTGGTCTATCAGCTAAGTATTTCTTAAATCTCTCACCTCCGCTGTTCTCCAACCTTCATGAGACCACTGTCTTAATGTGGGCCCTTAGAAACTCTCACCTAAGTTATTATAACAGTTTCCAAGCTGGTAGTCCTGTCTGTGGTCCCTGCACTTTCCAGCTGATCAGTGGATGCCTCAGTTGCTAAATCCCTGAGATACAAATCTGAACCAAGTCACTCTGGTGTTTAATTACCTTCATTGTTTCCACACTGCCAACAGGGTAAAGTCCAAACACCAGCTTAGCAAGTCTGGTTTCATCCTGCCTTAGTAAATTCAGTTCCCATTACTCTGTTCACATTTAAAGCAGCACCAAACATCTAGGTATTCTTATTACATGATGGAATGTGATGTGATGGTTGGTTTCCCAATTTTGCACATGCTCTTTCTCTCAACTTAAAAGACCATTAAATCTTCTGATATCTGATGGTAGATAAATTGATATACAAATGAACTGATAGATAAATTTACCAAACAAGGATTTGTTAACTCCATATATCCAATTGTTCTCCAAATACATTCTTTCATGCTTTGGGTACTATATCCTTCAAGGAGGAGGTGGTGTAAATATATAATCAGACTGAGAATAAAGATGAGATGGTAAGTCCTCATGTTAACAGGTTATCAGAATAGCAATAAAGCACTACACTAACAATCCACAAAGAGACATAAAAAGATGAAAACTTTTTTTTTTTTGAGACGGAGTCTCGCTCTGTCGCCCAGGCTGGAGTGCAGTGGCGCAATCCCGGCTCACTGCAAGCTCCGCCTCCCAGGTTCATGCCATTCTCTTGCCCCAGCCTTCCAAGTAGCTGGGACTACAGGCGCCCACCACCACACCTGGCTAATTTTTTTGTGTTTTTAGTAGAGACGGGGTTTCACCGTGTTAGCCAGGATGGTCTCGATCTCCTGACCTCGTGATCCTCCTGCCTTGGCCTCCCAAAGTGCTGGGATTACAGGCGTGAGCCACCATGCCTGGCCAAAAGATGAAAATTTTTAATGGCATTATAAATCAAAGCTTTGGGAATGCCATATTCTCTTATTTAAACTACGATTTTACTGATGGTGATATTTAGTGGACTTGGGTGAAAGGTCTGGATATATTCCACAAACCTCATCAGAATACAGAAGACCCTAAGACTGTTAGATATAACATTTTGACTAACTCCAGCCATGTACTACTAATCCCAGAATGCAAGTGATACACCAACCATTTAAAAAAGACCTACCTCAACTGCACTGGAATTACGAGCAACTTAACTCTGAACCTTGTCCTCCTCTCAGCCGCTCCCCTGTCAGAGCCTTTATTTACAAAGTCAGACAGAGATTGAAACTCCCAGTATACAATGTGACAGGAAGTGGAACTGCATGGCTGTGCACACTGCATGCAGGACTGTTGAGTTATATACAGAAGAATATTAAAAGGAGAGATAGAAGCACTGATATCATTACTGTGTTTAGTCTTTCATTTTCCTCACTTATAAAGCAGAACAGCTAATGCATATGATCCACTTAACAAGGAAAAGATACCCACAACTGAAGCAGAGAGAAGCCCCCCTAGCAGGCCTCTGTATACAAATGGCCATGGTACTCAACAAATAGAGCTAAGGGTCAAGAACACAAAAGTGTCTTTCAGAGCTAGATGCCAGCACGCAAGTGGACATTAAAATAGGCTAGGAACACTGCAGTCATTACCCATCCACTTGTTGGATAATGAAAAATTTTTATTCAGGAGTGAGTGGAGGGAACAGAAAAATGTCATGTGGTTTCTGAAAAGATACCTAAAATCAAGGAGAAGTAGCCTTTGCTTTGAAGTCTGAGAAGAAAAACATATCACTGAAAATCGTCTTCTTCAAAAGACAGAAGAAAATTTGTGGGGATGTTTAAGAGAGCATGATCTGTATATGACAAAAGGGAATGGCCTGCCATGACAGCAGAGATACAAAAGGATCTGGCTTAAGGTTAAAAATCAAAATATCCCACCAAATCACAGGCAAAATTAATGGAGAACTTGTACACACTCTGGCAATTAAACATATCAATTAAAAAGCAAAAGCATGACTTGGGGTTTTAAACAAAATAAAGCTGGTTTCTTATAAGAAACTTACTAAATCAAACTGATGGGAAAAAATAAATAAATAAAGAATGGCCAGGTGCGGTGGCTCACACCTGTAATCCCAGCACTTTGGGAGGCCGAGGCAGGTGGATTGCGTGAGCTCAGGAGTTTGAGACCAGCCTGGGCAACATGGTGAAATGCTGTCTCTACTAAACTACAACAAATTAGCCAGGCATGATGGCATGCGCCTGTAGTCCCAGCTACTTAGGAGACTGAGGCAGGAGAATTGCTTAAACCCAGGAGGGGAGGTTGCAGTGTGCCGAGATCATGCCACTGCATTCCAACCTGAGCAACAGAGAGAGACTCCGTCTTAAAAAAAAAAAAAATACACATTTTAGATAAAAGAATACCCACAGAAAACTAGAATGGCCATATTACAGTTAGAATAAAAATAATTTATAAAATATTATTTTTCTATAAAGCATGTCCCCTAGCATATGAAGCTTATTTTCTCAAGTAAGTAGAGGAAAGGTATAATATAATAAAAAAAAAAAGTCGCTGATCAGCTTTAAGAACCATACTACAACCCTGGTACGCAGGAGTCCTGCCCCTACCATCACCCAAACATACCATCACCCAAACATACCATCACCCACACAGGCAGAAAAGGAAACCCCAGGCAGAGCTCCTTTCTTTCTGGACTCGCTTCTGAGACAAAATCTCAAATAAATAAATATCCTTTATACAATCAGATGTCACCTGGAGGAGATGGTAGGCAAGGGAAAAAAATAAAGGCACTAATTAAAATATTAGGAAGGAATAATTTTACTGGATTAGACTAATTTAGTGATTCATCTCTACTCAGTGCGTGTGTGAGAGAGAGTTGGTAAGCAGACTGATGTTGGTTCATAAGATTCTTTGGTGTGTAAATTCTATCAAAGGAATCTACATTCTCTTTGCATATTGCAAATTGGAGTGTAGTCCAAGTGACTGGGGCATGTCAACATGGCATAGCAGTTAAAAACATAGATTTTGGACCTAGACTCCCTGCTTTAGAATGTTTCTTAACTTCTCTGTGTCACAGTAACCTTGAATATTAAGTGGCGATTATAATACATATTACATAGGACTGTGGTAAACATTAGGTGGGTATACGTGTGCAAAGTCTTTAATATTTATAGTAGAAATGTTTGTCTAATAAATGATATCCAGGAAAATATTGATATCCAGGAAAATAAATGTATTCTTCAAGACTCTTTGATTTGACTCTGAAAATACTGTAAATTGGATAGGCAAAAGGAAGATTTTGCTCACCTAACAGAGCCACAAGAAGATAAGATACAGAAGCACAAAGAGTGCAAAAAGTATCAGGGTAACTGGAGCTAGCACCACAAAAACTCTCTCTCTTCTCTTCATCTAGTCAGTTTATTCTCCCAAGTCAGCAACTAATGTGATGGTTCCCACTAGGTTCAACTGGCCATGCCAAAACCAGCTGCTATAACAAGGTAGGCAAGATTCATATAAAGATGGATGAATTTCCTCACTTACAAAGCTCTCATTTGCAGTTGCATGGGTAGAAGGGATAAAAATGGCTAACATTTATATAGTCTTTATTTTGTGCATGGCACTCTTCTACTCATTTTACATGTGTTAATTCATGTATTGCTTACAATAAGCCAATTAGATATTATTATTTCCATTGTACAGGAGAGGAAACAGTCCAGAATGACTAAGAGATTTACCCTAAGCCATACACCTTGTTATTGATGAAGCTAACATTTTAAACCTTCCAGTACACATGTCAACCTATTCTTAAAATCTAAGCTCTGGCTCACCCTAGACACCTTGAAATGTATGTTGTAGGAATACTAGAGAAATACAGAAATATTGACAATGGTAATCTCTAGATTACAAGATTGTGGGTGGATTTTTAATTTTTTCTATAATTTCTCTATAGTCCAAGTAACTAAAATGTACCTTATTACTTTTTTAATAATAAATAGTAATATTTATTATTAGTAATAATAATAGTAATAAATAATAAAATAGTAAAGTTTGTTTTCAATAAGGAATTAGTCTCCAGGATTGAAGATGAAGGCGATGTATTTAGCTCTGCTAAAACATAGAATTACCTATTATAGTGAAGAAAAGAAAACAGAGAAATCAAGAGATGACATTATATTGACAGATGACACTCTTTGGAGGAGGTTGTAATCCAGAATGTGGCATGAAGGAAACTTCAGGGAGGAAACGAGCCACTCTGCCCATCAGAGCCTAGAAAATCTCTGAGCTCAGAGTCTCCAGGAGCAATGGAAGAACAGCTAAAAACAAGGGGGATTCCTTCAAAGTCTGCATACATAATATGTACACTAGTCAGCCGCTATCCACTTCTTTTACATTGGAGCCCAGAGGAAAGCTCGACGTTTGCCCTAAAAAAAAAAAAATCATTAGACTCTTCTCCACAAATAATGAAGTAAATTTCCTTAGAGCTAATAATTCTAATATAAGTAATGTTCAAATGTTGGTGCCTGGTTCCATTCGATTTTCCCTAAATAAAATATACATGCTAACATATCTGTGATAACCATTGCAAGAAAAGAAATGAACATAGTCTCTAAACTGATTCAAGATAAAATAGAAATTAGATCGGTCTTACATATATTAGATAAATTGAGTCAATAGCTAAAAATTCTTTCTGCAGTTAGAAGAAAAAATAGAAGACAAGAAAAAGTTTCATCAATACAAATAAAGACAAAAAAAGAAAGAAAAAATATAGTACAAATGGGAAAAACAGAAAGCACAAAATAATAGGATAGAAATGAATCCAAATAGTTAATCACAGTAACTATAAAAGGACTAAAATTTCCAATGAAAGACAGAAGGTTTTTTACTTTTAAAGACTGTTTTTTTTTAAGTACATCCAAAAGCTCTTTTTAAAAGGAAGACTTAAAACATAAGTACAGTGCTCACTTGGACAGCACATATACAAAAACCAGAATTATTAGCATGATTCCTGCATAAAGATGACATGCAAATTAGTGGTGTTGTCTATGTACTGTACAATTAAAGATGTTTAAGAGGATACATCTTTAAAAAAAACACACAAGGACAGGAAAGTTGAATGTAAAAAAGATTGGCATATGTTAATCAAGAGAAAGCTGATACAGAGTTAATACCAAATATAATACACTTTAAGGCAGATAACATTACTAGAAATAAGAAATTCACTCCTTATTTATAAGAGGTTGAATTCACTGGGAAGGTATAATAATTCTAAACTTATATGCACCTAATAGCAGTTTCAAATACAGGCAATCTTCGCTATTTGGGGTTTCCATATTTGCAAATTCTCCCACTCACTGAAATTTATTTCTAACCCCAAAAGCAATAGTCATAGGACTTTTGTGGTCATTTTCAGACATGTACAGAGTAGCAAAACATTTGAGTTGCCCTAAATGCACCTTCCCAGTTGAGGCTGAAGAAAGTGACGTTCTGCTTTCTTGTTTCAGCTCTCACACTGTAACCAGGTGTTCTTTTCACGGTCTATGTAGTTCTGCGTCTTTCACATTTGTGCTTTTTCTTGGTGATTTCACAGTTTAAAACGGCCCCTAAGTGTAATGCTGAAATTCTGTCTAGTTTTCATAAGCAGGCTATAATGTACCTTATAAAGAAAATACTTGTATTAGATAAGCTTTGTTCAAGCATGATTTATGATGCCGTTGGCCATAAATTCTGTGTTAATGAATCAACAATGTATGCTAAATAAAGTACCTTTAAATAAAACCACACACACACACACAAACTTATGTGTTGGTCAGTTGATGGAAATATTCTGACCAGAGACTCACAGGAACCTAACCCTGTATTTCCCCTCAGAATAATGGTTCGACATTCACTATTTCAGTACTCACAGCAACTTTATAAAACAGAACTATTAAAAACAATGAGAATGGACTGTATGTAAAGCAAAAACCAACACAAACGCCCACAAGTATAAACTAATACATCCATTATCAAAAGATTTAATATACATCTTCCAATAACTCATAGATCACACAGACAAAAATAAATTAGTAGGAACATAGAAAATGTGAAAAACAGAACAAAGGAGGTGTTTGTGTGAAAGAGCATACGAATGAAAAACAGGATCTGGCAGAATGCAAGGATAAATTGATTACTCTTGTTTGAAAGGGCAGAGAAATGATGGCGAGTGATTCAGAGGGCAGGTATCAGAGTTGTCCTAACATTTAGAAATAATCTAAGAGGGTGATCTGTGAGAAATAAGAAATAAATAAATATTAATTCAACAGAAATCCAAACTATAGCAGTTGTTACCAAAAAAATGGAAAATAAGAAATAACCATAACATTGTTAGCAAATTATTACTAATTTGCATTATTTGTATAAAATGACAAAAATTTTTAAATGATGAAAATCCAGAACAAACATGTATTGGACATGGGAGATCTGTTTTCTCTTTCTGACAAGATCCTTCATCCCTTTCTCTCATCTTAAAGATTTTACAAAAGAGTTGAGATCCAAGAAGCCGTGTTTTTGAAAAAGACAAGTAGTCCTCTAGCAAGGAAGACTTTCTTAGTGGAAAAAATTGAGCTCATGGCTAAATGTATAATATAATTTCCCTTGATATGTAGTCATAAATTGGTTGCCCACTTGATATCTTCAATATGACATAAATAGTTACAATCCTTCCAGCTGAAATAAAACTTAGATCTAAGCAGCTAAAAATTCAGAACTGACATGGGAAACTAAATATGGACATAGTCCAAGATCTTGCAGCTCTGTTAGCTCCCTTTGAAAAGGACATTATCATTTGTTATTCTAGCATTCTGCTCAATATGCTTTCTTCTGCAGAAGCTGTTATTTCTTTGCTACAGATCAAATATTCTGATTTGTTTCTCCTTACTTCTTTGCACAGAATAAGTAATTGACTTATTATGAAGTAGTACCCTGGTTTTGGAGACAAGTTCCCGGAATAATAAAAATCCAGAATTATTTGCCCAGTTTCAGATTTGAGGATCAGAACCCTGTAGCAATGATATAAGAATCAGAAGCAAGAATACATTTCATCTACATTTGTTCTATTTCCTGCCATTTAGTTTCTAAAATGGAAGCCATTTCTTGCTGGGAAAACAAAGGATCTTTCCATCCTCTAATGGAGAATCATGCAGTCTTAGAGTTGGATATGACTTGAGTAAAGTTCTTCCAACTCATGTGCCACAACACAATGGTGTACTCTGAAAAGGTTAGAGGTGAGTGGAGAGAGCTTTCCAGCCACCAACAGGGAGTGGGATGGGCTGAGCTTCAGCCAATTGTGTCTCACTTTAAATGGCCTATCACAATTAATCACACTGTGAGACACAAATATTTCTTTCTTTTGTGCCATGATTTGGAAAATGTTGGGAACCACTACCTTGGAGATACATAGTCTAACTTACTCAAAAAGAAATGCTTGCTGCAATCATTCTGGCACAGGGCTGGTTGATTTCTATTTGTATGTTTTCCATGACAGATTCCTCAGTACTTTATGAAACAACAACTCTCTTTGAAAGATCTGTCAGAGAAAAAAGTTTAAAAGATCCCCTCCAGTTTCTTTGAATTGATGAAACTTCTGGCATTTGAAGCCACAGTAGATACAACTTTATGTGATAGCTTTGAACCTTGGAATGCAGATATTAAGTCTTTTTTTAGTTATTGCTTCTCCAGGACATACATCTTCAGTTCTCTCAAATGTTTGTAAAATGAGAAGGCTAGGGAAACTTCCACAATGTAGCCACAACCCCACTTACATCAAAATGTTTATTTTTAAAATACAGGGTCTGGAACTGAATACGCAGATGTGGTTGTATCGACCCTTATTAAAATGTGTCTATTAAATCCTCGATTTCTATTTCATCAAAAATATAAAGGGATGTTTACTTTCTTTTCTTAACAACTGAATGGTATTTTTTGTTTGTATTGAATTTGTGGCCAATGAAAAACCTCAGGATATTTTATATGAACTGCTGTTGAGTCACATGTTCTTCATCCTGTATTTACTCATCTTGTTAAACATAAAAACAGCAATTATCTTTCTTTTCTCCTATGTGAAACTTAAGTATGTTGACTTCTCACATAAAAATAAAATTATAATCAATTTGTAATCAATTAATTTTCATTGTTGATAGCTCTTGCAAACATGACTTCTTTATAGGTTTCCAGTCAAATAATTGCAACATAATTGCAAAGCATGTCATACAAGTCAGACAGGACAGGATCTCAGGATACATCACTACAGACCTCCCTTCACCCTGGCACCTAACCACCTAAATGTCACTAAAGTACTTCTTATCTGTAACATTTTCCTTATAGTAAAATTAAAAATAAACACAAAATCATGCCTTATTATTTAAGTAACATTAGCTTATTGTAACAAATCAATCTAAAAACAGCTCATACACATTTAAATTTTATTTCTTCCTCTAAAAAACAAAGGTGTTCCTGATTGACTGGAAGCTTTCCCTAAAGTAATAATTCAAGGACACAAACTCCTTCGGTCTTATGGTTCTGCCATCTTCAATATGTGGCTTACAGGGTTGTCATGCTCCCTGAAACCAAGATGAGAGAAGGTGAAAAAGCCAGTGAAAAAGGCACACCTGCTTCTTTAAAAATCTAGCTGAAAAGTAAAACGTAAAGTAGGCACTTTGGGAGGCCGAGGCGGGCGGATCACGAGGTCAGGAGATCGAGACCATCCTGGCTAAACAAGTGAAACCCCGTCTCTACTAAAAATACAAAAAATTGGCGGGGCGTTGTGGTGGGCGCCTGTAGTCCCAGCTACTCAGGAGACTGAGGCAGGAGAATGGCGTGAACCCGGGAGGCGGAGCTTGCAGTGAGCCGAGATCGCGCCACTGCACTCCAGCCTGAGCGACAAAGCGAGACTCCGTCTCAAAAAAAAAACAAAAAAAAAAAAAAAAAACAAAGTAGGGGAAAGTATTTGCTGGATTGGAAACCACATCTTAGCAACAACTCCACATTATGGACATTATAGAAGGAGACACACAATTTTGAAGGGCTCTACTAGTCTTATTTTAAATAGTCCACCCCTCTGGCCATCTATTTCCCTCACACATAGGACATAGTCAAGCCCTGGCCAAGAGAGATCTTCCAAAATCCCATCAAGAAACTTTTACCAAATCGAAGTTGAGAATGTCCTGGTGAAATACAGCCTTCTTCACCAGGTCCTAATGGCTCCTACACATTAACAGACAAATCAGTTTCTACTTCCACATCCTCCTCCCTTCCCCCGCTTCTCTCTGTCTTTCTCTCAATATATGATAGAGGAGGAGGGATAGGAGGACTATAATTAAAAACTCCCAACTGGAAAAGAAAAGGGAAAACAGTAAAACTCTACAGAAATAGCTAACTCCTGCTGGGTAGGCGTTCTCCTATTTGTCAGTAGAGAATATTCACAGATTAGACTATAAACCTGCTGCCTGGTAAAAAAAAAACTCTCTTGCCCGTCGTTGTCTTTTGTCTCTGGTTCCAGCCCTGAGAAGTTTGTCCTTGTACCTTATCTTCTGTGAATATTGAAGAGTGAGCCAGTTTTGGGGACCTATACAACTTCCAGAAACTCTTTCCTGCTGGTGCAAGTTTGAGGACTGGAAAAGAGTATTATAGTCATAGGCTTTTTCTTGGCCAGTTCATAAGGATTTTAACAATTAGAATCCCTCAAAATCTTAGTAGATTCTAATTTATTTATTTCCAGTTGTTTCCATGTACAAGTAACTAGGACCAATTTTCTTTCTTGAGTATAATTTTCAAGCCTACCTGAATTCTTTACTTCCTTACTCCCGTGCCTTTCTCTTGAAAGTCAGTGGTGTCTGCCTGGAAGCCAACTAATACTTTATTGTTGATTAAGAAGGCAATACCCGTAGTCTGTTCTTTGTCCCAGGGCTGTTTACCTGAAAAATATTAATAACTTCTTATTGTTCAACGCTGTTTTCAGTTTCATTTCTTGCTGTTTGGAATGTAGAAGCTGACAATTTTTCCAACTCTACAAGCCCTAAAGCTTTCAGAATCGTTCTACACCGTTTCATTTCTGCTTTCAAACTGCCAGTTGTTCTTATACTTTTTGTTTTGTTTTAATAATACATTTCCATGTGCTATAAGAAGCAACTAGTACACAATCAGGTGTCTGTACTCCTAGAGTTACAGACCTATAAACAATTGATTAGCTTCCAGGTGATTTGCAGTTTTACCAAATGTTTTGTCACTGCAAAATATAGATTGTCATTTTTCCAGCCTCTAATATGCATTTTCTTGCCCTCTAGTGATTATCAAGCCAATGCCACATATTTTAATTATTTGTTGGAGAAATAACTCTTTTTCAAAGTTCCAATTTTTATATTAATTAAAAGCTAGATGATGTAACAAACAAACCCCCAAATTTTAAGTGGCCCAAACACATTAGAAGTTTATTACTCACTCCTACATAGTCCTAATGCTCCTAATCTGTGGAAGACTCCCCTCCAAATAGTAACTCAGAAAAGTAGGTTGCTTCTACCTATGCCACCACCATCTTCCAAGGTCACCATGTTGATCTGTATTAAGTTAGTGGACGGGAAAGATAAATTCAAGAAGCCACATCTACTTCTTAAAAATTCATTCTAACCATTCTATTTCATGGAGAGCATAAAAATGCTTGTATAAAGGGCTTGGTTATTGCTGGTTCTGCAGCCACTGACTGGTGTCCGCTAGCCTTCTCTGACTCAACATCAATCAGAAGTGCTAGAGGAAAATAAATTCAAATCTTTGAATTATCTTGGGAAAATATGCATAGGGCATTCATTCCAAATTAGCATATACCCCACAACCCCCTATTCTTTACTCTGAAATTTTCATTAGATCAATAACATGCCAAATGAGTAAGAACAAATTATTTGCAAAGAAATTGAAAATTGATGTCTTTATTATGATAAACATAAAATTCAGGAACAACAACAATACTCGGTGGTACTTGGTAGCAGAAATTGGACTAAACAAAATAGAACTGGTAAAAATAAGAAAACAAACAATAACACTATGAGAACTACGAGACATCATTAATACTAAACCACAATCTGTGAAAAGAGGAGATAAATAAAAGAATTATAGCTGAGTTTGAAATGAGATATTACCACCTACCCACTAGAATGAATAAAATTTTATCCATCAATCCATCAATCCATCAATCTGACAATGCTAACTGTTAAGATATGGAACAACAGGAACTCTCACTCCCTGCTAGTTGAAATAAAAGTAGAAAAACCACTTTGGAAAACTTACAGAATCTATTATACAAACTCTGACCACGTGCATTCATATTGTTTAACAAGTCCACTCTAATTATATACTCAACCAAAATGTGTACAGATATGCAGCAACAGATACATACAGATATTAATACATATTAGAATGCTCATAGCGGCATTATCATCAATAGCTAAAACTTGGAAAAAGCCCAATTGTCCATCAACAGGAGAACATTTTTCAGTGTGTTTTCAAACAATGGGGCACCATATAACAATGATGAGGAGCACACTACTATAATATACCATCACACAGATGAATACCACAGGCATAATACAGAGTGTAAAAAGTCAAAGACAAAAATACAAACTGAATTATTTGATCTCATAAAGTACATAGAGAGGCAAATCTAATATGTGGTATTAAAGTCAGAATAGTGGTTACCTTTTGCCAGAGCTGGGACAGGGGCTCAGTGCGTAAGTACTGGGAGCACCTATGAGAAAGTTTCCTGAGATGCAAGTAATGTTTTATATTTTCATTTAGGTGCATATGCTGGTACATTCATTCAGTAAGAATAAGTTTACTATACCATTAAAATTTATGCATTTTCATGGAAATGTATCAATGTTTTCATCACTAAATTTTCCTTTTATTATTGCTTTATGGACAACATAATCTGAAAGAATTTGTCTGCTTACAAAACTATATTTATTAATGTTTAGCCCTATCTTTTCTTACACTTATTCAGATTTTAACCCTACATTCTGTATTTGTGATTTCATAATATTTTTATGATTTAACAAGTTAGTTGTAATACTAAGAAGTAATAAATAAGTTGACAGACACTTAGCATTTTTCAGTGCTACCAGTAGCTCATTTTTACTGTCACTTAGCGTTTGTATCCAAGGTTTATCACACATAGGACATGTTCAGTTCATTACAGTGACCATTTCATGGGGTTCTAGTCACAGTGTTTAATCTCCTAACTTGTTCTAATAATTTCTGTGATATCATCAGAAGCCAATCATTACCTATTACTTTCAAAATGTGCTGCTTTACTTCTAGCCCACAGAAAAGAAAACATATTTTGTTAGCCAGACCATCTAATTCAGGGAATTAAGCAATTTCAAGAAGATTATTAAAATATTAAAAACACCCTAGAATTTTACATCCACATTCATAGACCCTTAAAAATCTAGGAACCAACAGCATATTATTTCTACCGCAGGTTCAGATGAAGTAGCAGGGAGTCTATTTCTTAACTTTTAATAAATTGTTGTTGTTTGACAATTTGAAAGGGCTATTTAAAAAGATCTACAACAGTAATATTTTAAAGGCTTTATATTTGAATTGAGAATCTAATCTGTCTATTTATTTCTTTTCTCAAATCTTCTCTTTGAAATTCAGTCTCTGCTCTCTATAAACCTTTACTGACTTTGAAAGTGAACAGGATATCTTTCTGGGTTTAAATATTTTTCAAGCTATTGCATGAATTTTAACTAAGATTTTTGTTTTTCATTTTGGCTGGCAGATGGTGTTCAATCTACTCTGTCAGGTAATTTGATAGGTCCTGGGTATATAGCAATGATGGAGACACAGCCTTTGTTCTAAAAAAACTCAGTTATGCAGAGAAAAAATTGTAAGTAAGTAAAATAAACTGAGCTAGGCACCAACAGCAATGAGTGCACTGAAAGAAACAAGAATCAATTCAACCTGGCAAATCAAGAAACTTTTAGAAAATTACCATCAGGAACTTGAAGTGTCTGTAATAATAACTTATATCTGCATAGCACTTATTATTTTCAAGTACTTCATATGTATTTCATTTTTCTTAAGAAAAAAATTCCTATGAGTTTTATATTGTCATTATTCTTATTATACTAAGTAACTTGACAAGGCTATCCAAACATGAAATAGTCACGTTAAGGTACAAATCTCGGAAGGGGCAGTAAGGGTTAGAAGGCAGATTGAGGCTTTGTAATCTGAGTAACTTATCTTTGAAACACTGCTTTGCCATTTCTGTGTGAGAAAATTATTTGTACTTGTGAGCTTTCTTAATCTCTAACATAATATTATCTTTGCATCAGGATTACTGTGCACTTTATATGAGACAACAAACGTATGTGAAGTGTTTAGCACTGTGTTTAGGAGAATGGGCTTTCAATTAATTGGTGCTTTGTATTTTGATCCTAAACCAGGGGATGGGATGAGGACATGATAAATCAATGTTTTAGAAATGTAATTAGGTCAGCAATGTGCAGGATGGGCTGAAATATCAAGAAGCACAAGAAATGTAAAAGAGGAGTGTTTTGTAATAGTCTAGCCTTAAGAAGATGAACGTTTGAACTAAAGCAATAGCAGTTGGGATAGACAAGAAGAAGGGATGATGAGAAACATTCAAAGGTAGAATTGCCTTGAAAATTGGTTGACTGTCAGGAGTAGAGAGGAGGGAAAGAATTACCTAACTATAATTTGGGAAACTGGTATATTGTGCTGCCAGGAACTGGGATAGAAATACAAGTTGATGAGATACTTTGAAAGTGGACATTCAATACTGTTTTAGACATTGATTTAGGGATACATGCAAGAAGAGATGCCTGAGCAGGCAGTTGGAGACGTAGGTCTGGAGCTCAAGAAAGATTTGAGAGTCAAGTCATAGATGCGAGTTGAAGACATGCTAGAAAATGTGATCAAACAGGGAGAACATATAGGCCAGGTACAATAAATATAAAGACCAAAAACCTGAAGAATAATAACACTTAAGAATCAAGAAATGAGGTGGGGTGAGAGGAATCCAAGAAAGCCCAAATACGACTAGTCAGATATTTAAAAGAAAATAAGGAAAGTGACATGACATAGAAACCAAAAGAAGAGGGATTTAAGAGGGAAGTCAACCAAAAAATTACCAAAGAGAAGATTAAAACCATAAGCACTAGTATCAGATCAGCAGTAACGCTTTGACAGCTTTAGTGGATTGGATGAAAAAAGAATTTATTGACGAAAAAAGAGGTTGGGAATCTACAGAAAATAATGAGCATGAGCAAAGACACAGACAGATACAGGAAATAGTTTAAGTTGTGTTTGGTGAGCATTGAGTTAACAGGACCATGAGTTAACAGGACAAACTCGGCCTTATCTCGTTTTCCTTCAGAGTAGAAAAAAAGCACCTCCTTTGCGCGGACACAACTCTGAAAGTGTGTAGCTAGGCCAGAGCGCACGCTGAGTTTCAGTCCCCTTACCCTTCTGCCTTTGTGCAGTTCACTACTGCACAGCCACTTACAGCAGCCATAAGTCAACAGTCCTATGGAGTTGAAATGCAGGGTACTGGAAGGGTATCACCAGAGCATAAATATGAAAAGATATCTTATAGATCACAGTGTGCAGAGGATTGAAAGCTGGTTGAGACTATTGTGTTCCATTTAGGAGACGATGGGGAATCATCCATGTCTGTGAAGTTCACTTATGGAAGATGAGCCTGGCAGCAAAATGCAGATAGTGGGAGGAGGAAAACATAGGTGGTAGGAAAACTACTAAGAAAATGACTTCAACTGGATATCTAAATGCACAGCCTTGTGTTCCCTTTGATCTGATTTGAGATGTTTTAAATGAAGTCTAGAAAAAAAAACATAAGGTCAGAAAAAGCAGTATTTATCCATGGAGCTTTGATTTCCAAAATGTAAAAAGAATTAGCTCCTCCAGGAGCAAATTAGGCAGATACAGAGAAAGGCAATCTCTGTACACCTTGGCAACACGATTTAGTGCCCTGCTTCCTACCTCTCCAAGGAACTACAGTGCTTTGAAGTACTATTTGTGGCCTTTCCCTAAGGTCTTCCTTATATTTCCTGCTACTAGGAGAAAAGTTGAGTCCTAGAAGGCCAGGATTTTAAAAACCAAAAAGTTCAGTCAAAACAATTCACATGGTGTCACTTGGATTGCCTCTCTTGCTCATTCCTGTAGCTCATAAAATGACTGTTGACCTGTAATTACTTACTGGGTTTAATGAGTTAGTTAGCCTTGTTTGATCAATCCAAAAAGGCAAGATAAAGTAGAAAGAAAGAGAAGAGGAATTAGATTAATAGGAAAAAAAGGGAGAGAAAGCCATCTTAGAATAATTTAAAACTTACTGAGTATCTGTTGTGCACTTTTGCTCCTTTTGAACAACATAAGACACATTTTATAATTCTGATAACAACTCTGCTATTGCTATCAGCATTTTACAGATAAAAAATCTGAAAATTCGTAATGTGAACTGCTCCATTATAATAATGGCAACTGGTTGAAAATATGCAAAGTTATTGATAAGAAAACAAGTATTAGCATAATATGTCTACTAAATAACAGTTAAAATGAAATACACTAATGAGTCTGGAGGTATAAATCTTGACATATATGATTGAGTAGAAAAAGTAAGTTTCAAAAGAGTATGTACAAAGTGAAAACATATAGGTAATATTTTAATTAAAAAAATATATAATTGTCATACATTTTCAGCCAAGATGGAATAACAGAGATCAAATTTACCCCTCACCCTCCCTCCTTAAACAATTGAAAAAACAAGCAAACAAAAACAAAAAAACAAATGAGGTGAGCCCCATCTTATTGGCCTTGAAAGAGATTTTAAACTATGACAGGGAAGGAACTGAGGGTGAAACCTGGCAGACTCCATGAGGTGAAGAGACAGAGCTGAGATTCCTGGAGAATTAAGACAGCTAGTGTTCAAAGAAAAAGTTAACCAAGGAAGATACAGCTGTACAGAGAAACGCCCCTACTCCTCTGTAGAGGGCCACATTCCACCTTCACATCCCACCCTTATTGGCATTCAGCAGTAGATCAGTAGATCACTAGATCAAAGCAAGTGTGTGAGAAAATTGTCCAAGGCTAGAAAACACTGTCCAAAATAATTAGAATAAGTAGGGTCCAACATTCACATAGGGCCAAGAAATGTTTGTGTTCTGACCAACCAGACTGCAAAACCTCTGATTTCACAGGACACTGGGTAGAGTGCCCAGGAAGGTAGTGCCTCAATAGCTGAAAATTAATTATAGACTAAACAGTGCTCCTAAGCTACTGACAAATTATTTTTATAATGCACCAGTTCCAAAAAGATCAAACCATTTCCAAGTAGTTAAAAACAAATTGTAAAAGATTTATAGAAGTACAAAATTATCCAGCACCAAACAAGGTGAAATTCACAATATCTAGCTTTTAATTAGAGTACCAGGCATGTAAAAAATTTAGGAAAGCATAAGCCATAATAAGGAGAATAATGAATTAGGTGAAATTGACCCAGAATTGACATAGACATTAGAATTAGCAAACAAAGACATTGAAACCCTCATGATAATGACATTCCATATGTCCAAAAAGTTAAAAGAAGTTAAAAGAAGACGTAGCAGATGCTAAAAAAAGAATTCAATTGAGTTTCTAAAAATGCAAATGACCATGCTGGAAATTTAAAGTATATTAGCCAGGATTAGTGGTAGATTAGACATTGTGAAATAAAAGATTGGGGAACTTGAAGGTATATAAATATAGACATCCAAAATGAAACATACAGAGAAAAATACATTTTTAAAAATACATTTTTAAAAATACAAAGAGCATCACAAAGCTATAGAACAATTTCATTTGAAGTCCTCAAAGGATGGGATTGGAGAACCAAAATAATATTTGAATAAATAATGACCAAAATATTTACGAACTTGATGGAGATGGAATTTTTTTTTTTGAGACAAGAGTCTCAGTATGTCTCTCAAGCTGGGGTTCAGTGGCACAATCTTGGCTCACTGCAACCTCCACCTCCCAGGTTCAAGCGATTCTCCTACCTCAGCCTCCCAAGTAGCTGGAATTACAGGTGTCCACCACCACACCTGGCTAAGTTTTGTATTTTTAGTAGAGATGGGATCTCACCATGTTGGCCAAGCTGGTCTCAAACTCCTGACCTCAAATGATCCACCCACCTTAGCCTCCCAAAGTGCTGGGATTACAGGCATGAGCCGCCCTGCCAGGCCTGATGGAAAATGTTGATCCACATATTCAAGAATCTCAATGAAACTCAAATCAAGAAACATGAATAAAACAATACCAATGTATAGCTTAATCAAAATTGCTTAAAAGCAGTGATAGAGAGAAAATCATAAAAGCACCGGAGAAAAAGACATGTTATGCAGAAAGAAACAAACCTAGGAATCATATCAGATTTCTTATTGGAAATAATGCAAGTAAGAAGACAGTGGAGCAGTATATTTTAAGTATTGGGAAAGGGGACACTGTAAATCTAGAATTCTATACCCAATGAATATGCCTAGCAGAAAATAAAGACAAAGTAAAGTGTTTTTAGACATACAAAAGATGAAAGAACTCATCACCAGGCAACCTGCACTACAAGACATGTTAAAGGAGATACTTCAGGCAAAATAAATAAATAAATAAATAAATATCATTCATGATTTCATATTTCATGAAAAAACAAAAACATATTGATTAAGAATATAAAATCTGGAGACAACTCCATCATTTCCTAACTGTGATTTTGGGCAAGAAACATTTTGGGCTTCAGTTTTCTCATAACTAATTTGGGAATAATGACAGTATCTACCTCAGAGGATCATTGTGAAGACTAAATTGTGTGTGGGGTGTGTGTGTGTGTGTGTGTGTGTGTGTGCCATCAGAATAATGACAACTGACTGGTATAATAAAAGTACTATAAATGTTGGCTATTATTTATGATTACATATATCTGTAATAAAAATATAAAAAGACGAGTGAGAAGAATACACACAGATTTAAAAAAAAAAAAGACAAAGGAAAAGAGAAAAAAACAGCTGGAGGTATATATCCCAATGACTGAGTATGTGATGACTGGAGGAATGGAGCAGTGCTTACCTTCTCCACCTCATGGAAAAAAGAGAAGAATTCTGGCAAGAAAAAGAGAGATGCCCTTTCCATTTCAGCTACTTGCAACAAAGAGGCTAAAGAAAGAATCCAATCAATGGATGGATGTGCTTAACGTTTCAATCATTTTGGAAATCCAATCACCAGGGACTATTGGCTAGTGAGGATGAACATTTCTCCTCTTTGGGGTGGCTGGGCATAAAATCAAACTTTGAGCATCATTTAGAAGCTTCTATAGTTTGAATGTGTCCCCCAAATTCATGCATTGGAAGCTTAATCCCTAAAGCCAACAGTGTAGACAGGTTTCTTTAAAAGGTGATTCATTCATGAGGGCTGGGTTTACCTGGGTTTCTAGTAAAAGACTGAATTCATCCCCCTTCCCTCACCCAATCCCCCCACAACATTGTGCGAGCTCTCTTGTTTTCTGTCTTCCACCATGGGATGACACGTGAGAAAGCCCTCACCAGATCTGGGTTTCTCAACCTTAGACTTTCCAGCCTCCAGAACTGTAAGAAATAAACCTCTTTTCTTTATAAATTCCTCAACCCCAGGTATTTGGTATAGTAGCACAAAATGGAGCAAGAGAGAAGCTTAAACTCAAACTACAGTGAGGTAGAAAGTTCCTAATTCTCAAGCAAATGAGTGAGCTTCAGAGTCCCAAGATTCCTTTGAAATTGTATACAAAGAAAGAATATATAGAATTATGGGAGGTGTGTGTGTGTGTGTGTGTGTATTTAGTGAGAGATTGCATAGTCTTCCTCAGAGTGGCAAAGTGAAGACCTTAACCCCAAAAACAATACAAATGATTGAGCCAAGAGAAAGCTGATTCAAACCAGGAACCGCATTAGTTAGCTTGTTGGATTCTAAAAACTAAGTCTATGCTTTAAAGGCTCATGGGATTTTTTATTACATACATTAAGCCAACTAAAATGCATTGAAAATTGAAGTAGACACGGGAATGTAATTT
This sequence comes from Homo sapiens, assembly GCF_000001405.40. Taxonomy (NCBI): domain Eukaryota; kingdom Metazoa; phylum Chordata; class Mammalia; order Primates; family Hominidae; genus Homo; species Homo sapiens. The sequence continues at coordinate 101,714,553 of NC_000001.11, read as the reverse complement.
ATTAATTATGAGAAACATAATTGCTGTAAGACCTGAATTTTAGAGAATGTATCTAAAGCATTCTTTCTCTTATAATCCAACTTTTAAAAAAGGCTGTGATAATCCTAAATTTACATGGTCTAAATTAGTACTAAAAGTATTTAGACAGTCTTATTAAAAATACCCAAATAAGATAGTCTGGGAGTCTTTGCCACTTTCTGGATAAGCCTGGCAATGGGAACAGAATTTGTGAAATATTTTTACCACAGGGACACTCTCTTTTAGCTAAGCGTAACTGGATTCTTCCTGTCTGGTTTCTTTTTTTTTTAAATGCTGCCAGACTGTCTTCTATCACTACCTTTTTTTCTTTATACCTGCTAATAATATTGTTTATGCTACTGCTGTAAGTTGCCAATATAGTTTGGGAAGGAAAAAGAAAACAACTTGTGGTTTTATAATACAACTTTAAAAGAACAGCACTATTCCTTTTACTCAAGGTCTAAGGGAATTATTTTGTAAATTTAAGCACTAATCCTAACAATAACTTTATTAGCAAAACAAAAATTTTCCCAATGGTTACCACTGAGTGTTTTAATTGTGCATAATACTTATTGATTGAGTCCTCCACAATCTGATCCATTTGAGGTCCCACCTTCCTCCCTTCATGTTAACCTCTTACACCACCACCACCACCCTCTGCCATGGGGAAAGAGAAACTAGGGGTGCAACACACGCATGCACACACACATTTAATAGGTTCAAGTTTATGGTCTGTGAGGTTAAGATTGTGATTGCCTTACTAATTACCCCTGGGACTATATACCTACAAAATACAAGCAGCAAATTTTAACACTAATTCACGTTGATCTTAAGAAAAAAAAATTCTAATCTACATGAAATATGAATGTTGTTCAGTGTGAAGATGCCAATTTCTACTGCAATGATAATTTGAACATACTAATTATGATAAATCTCTTTTAAGAAAGAAAAACCTTAACTGTTGAAAACCATTCAATGAGCTGTTTCTCTAGATGTGCTTATTAAAAGAAGATTCTGGATATTTTTCTACCAAAAAAATTATTTAAAAGCTCTTCAAATATTAAATATTTCTTACAGATGCTCATTAAGTGCAGAGTGGTAGAACCATTTTAGTTATTTTTTACTGTTTCTCTCTCCCTCTACTAGGATGGTGAAGATGTATGAATAGGACTTCTGAGACATTTCTTAATTGTTTTGGGAGAAATGAATTAGAAGCAGGAGGAAGGTAGTAAAGTATTAACCCAATCATAGTACTGCCATGCCTTTAAACTCTGTACTAGTACAATTATGGCTTATCTAGTACTCATCTCCGAGGAGTCAGAAACTCTTCCAATAACAAAAATGACTCCAAGACAGGCATAGTGTCCATAATGTTTACATTGCATTAAAATGAAAAATACTGAACTTGAAGAAAACGAGAGCTAGAAAAAAAAGACACAAAACAAGTAACTATCACAGCCTACCCAAAGAGAGAGAAACAGAGAGAGACAGAGACAGAGAGAAAGACAGAAACAGAGAGAAAGACAAAGAGACAAAGAGAGATGTATTTAATATATGCCTAAGATTTTCAAATGCAGTAAATTATAACATAAATTAAAATGAAAATTGGTCTGGAGGATAAAAATAGGGATAAATAGCTCAGATAATCCCCCTGTCTACACTTACCAACATCCCACCATCTGCATCATCATCCCTTTATTAGGATAAAAATGCTTCCAGTTGTTTAGGGTAGTGATATGGTTTGGCTGTGTCCTCACCCAAATCCCATCTTGAATTCCCACATGTTGTGGGAGGGACTGGGTGGGCAATAATTGAATTATGGGGGCAGTTTCTCCCATACTGTTCTCTTGGGAGTGAAAAAGTCGCACAAGATCTGATGGTTTGAATAAGGGGAAACCCGTTTCACTTGACTCTCATTCTCTCTCTTGACACGACCATGGAAGAAGTGCCTTTGGGTTTCTACCATGATGGTGAGGCCTCCCTAGCCACATGGAACTGTAAGTGCATTAAACTTCTTCCTTTTGTAAATTGCTTAGTCTTGGGTATGTCTTTATCAGCAGTGTGAAAATGGACTAATACAGGCAGACAGCAAAACATGGAATTAAACTCTACTGCAGATCTGTAACTAACTGGTGATAGTTAATCAAACATATATCTATTGAGCATTTTCTGTAGGCGAGGACTCTCTGGGAGCCAAAGCTGTACAGTCAGCATCCCTGTTCTAGGAAAAGTTACAGTGTATTTATTTAACAAATATTTGTGAATGCCCTCATCATGTCATCATGTCATCATGGCAGCATAAACAAGGTACTTAGAGACATAATGGCAACAAGATAGACATTGCCTCTGATCCCATGGAGACTACATTCTGATCCAGAAGATAGGCACTAAGCAATTTATTACACAATTATTCATTACAACTCTGATGAGACTTAACAGCATGCATACTGACTGCCATGACCTAATTTAGAGAATCAAAGCTTTTGCTCTTAATTATAATCTAAGCTTTAGAGCTACCCTGTCCTCAAACAATTTCAAATCCAAGCTCCACTTCCAGCTTTGGAATCTCGAATAAGTCACTTAATTTTAATAAACTATCCGTGCCTCAGTTTTTTAACTGGCAAAATAAAAATAATAAAACTTTTTATGTAGGTTTATGGTAAGATTTAAATAGGCTAACATATTTAAAGTGCTTAGGACAGTGAGTGGCACAAAATGAAGCTCAGAAAAATGCTAGCTGTAATTGCATTTATTAAAAGATGTGGAGAAAGAAAGATAAGAAAAGTAAGAAGAGGGAAGAGCATGTGCAAAGGTCCTGAGAAAGGAAACAGTACATTTGAGGAAACTGAAAAGAAAAATAATGAAAGATTGGCCTGGAGAGGTAGGCAGTGCCCACATCTAAAAAGGCCTTGCAAGCCCTGAAGGGTTTTAGACATTAATGCAATTGGATGTTATTAAGAGTTTTAATTGTGAAAATTACATGGTTATATTTTTACTTTAAGTAAAACAATTTCCAGTGCAGATAATGTAGAATAGAAGCAAAAATGGAAGAAGGAATTTAAGGGGCTATATCTGCCATATCAGTAAAAGGCAATGGTGGCTTAACTTGGGAGGCACCAGTGGAGATGAAGAGATATTTAGAATGAAGGTGCAGCTTAAGATTGAATACGTATCAATCTACATTAACTACTGTGCTAATTAAGGTTTCAAATTTCTATAACTGGGTGGATGATGGTGCTATCCACTAAAATAAGAAAGATGAGAAGGGGAGATTTGAAGAAAAATAAATGAATTCAATATTTAGGCATGTATGTGATTTCTCTAGGACTGCCATAACAAAATACCACAGAATGAATGGTTAAAACAACAGAAATTAATTTTCCCACAGTTCTGGAGACTAGGGGGTGAAGATCGAAGTGCCAACAGATTTAGTTTCTTCTCAGGTATCTCTCCTTGGCTTGCCAGATGGCCCCCTTTTCACTGTGTCCTCACACGAACACCCCTCAGTCTATGTGTCTATGTTCCTTATCTCTTCTTCTATAGGATGTCAGTCACATAGGATTAGGGCCAACTCTGATGATCCCATTTTAACTTAGTTACTTCTTTAAAGAACCTGTCTCCAAATACAGGCACTTTCTGAGATCTTAGGTGTTAGGACTTCAACTTATGAAACTGGGGGGAATCAATTCAGTCTGTAACATCATGCTTTTTTGGGGAAGGACTGTGAGAAAATGCATGAACATATTATATAAACAGGATATATAGATCTAGAGTTCAAAGGAAAGATCTTGGACAGAATTATAAATTAATGTTATTTGTGTTTTACTGGTAAAGAAAGTCAGAGTTTGGATGATATTACCAGATAGATAGACAGACAGATAGATAGATAGATTAGATGGATGGATAGATAGATAGATAGATAGATAGATAGATAGATAGATAGAGATAATGTAACAGAAGTTAGCACTGAGTGTTCAAAGATGAGAAGGAGGGGAGGGGGAGAAGAAGAGATGGTAGGGGATAAGGGGGTAGATATTTTACAAATGGAAAAAGAACCTTTAAAGAAGACTAAGAAGCAGTGGCCAAAAACACGAGAGGAACAGAAGAGAGTCTTTCAAAAAAGCATGGGGACCAGCTATGCTAAATACAATGCAGATGGCAAATATTATAAATCCAATAGGAGATATTGATATGTAAAGAAGAAAACAGTAATACAATGCAGTGCTATAAAATAAATAAAAACAGAGTGATATAGGAGCATGAAAGGCCTATGTTTATTCATTTAATACATATTTGTGGAGTGACACTGTAATTCATATTGGCAGCATAATGTTTAAAAAGCAGAAAAAGTACATAAGTACATGCTCTATTGGTCTTTATTAGTCTAATCAGATTTAAAGTCAAATGATGAGCCAGTTAAAACAGAGCATAAGTTCTATGGTAGGTGAGTGGTTCTGAAGAATTGCAATGCTATTTTATTTTATTTTTTTTACAAAAAGAAGGGGTAGAGGGTGGAAGCAGAGACTATTCATACCTAATAAAGGCAGCAACTACTCCTTAAAGCACTCAGTTGTGAAAGAGCCCAGTGCTCTGGGGAACAGAGAGATATTCAATGTGGGGACAGCTGTAACAGCAAGAGCAAAGAAATGTGCATATAAACACATGTGTTGTGTGAAGTTATATTATGAAGGAATTTCCATGCAAACTAAGAAATTTGAATTTGGATTTTTCTATATGAAATGGATGTAACAGAGGTGTTTAAACAGGAGTAAAATAGTTATTTTTCTTTTATAGAAACATCATTTACAGTAAGTTAAAGGATGGGCTGCAGTAAACAGAAATTGGTGACAGACATACTTTATCAGGATTCTGCCATAGTGGTCCAAAGGAGAGTTTATGAAAGCTGTATTGAATTGGAGGTGAAAGGGATGTGGAAGAAAGGACTAACTGGAGCAACATTTCTAGATATAATTGTCACATTCATTTCCAGTAAGAGTGAGAAGGGACAAAAGGGAAGGTCAAGAAAGAGGAGGCAATAAAACAATAAACAAGGTAAATGATGATGCTATTATTGAAAGACACAGTAGAATGAAACAATCTGGATGTTCAAGAATGAAACTGGAGTTGGAGGATATTTTGCAACAGTAGTCATGCTTCTTTTAATCTCACACTCATTTCTTCTTGCAATCAGGATGCAGTAAGGGCATCTACACTACTTCACTCAGAGTTGCATTGTTAGAGCAAAAATGCAAAGAGAATAAAAGAGAATTGGTTTTTGTTTCAAAACAGAACTTTGCATTGTATGGTACAAAGGTTTTTAATGGAAAAAAATGTTAAACTGTGAAATTCTAAATTTTGATGATTAAAAGCCAGATCTCTAAATAACAAGGGGCATAAAGTTTAAGCCTTAAATAATAAGCACAGAAATATCTGAGCTTGGTCAGAGCTAATTTTTTCCTACCTACCAGAAAAAAAGATAAAATTCTCTTGAATTGGTGAAGACAAAAAGTCAGAGAAGAAACTTTTATACACCTATATGGGACTCTGAGTGGTAGACCCCCAAATCTAAGTAAAATTTTTTGGTAGGAGAAATGGTATTAAAGACAACAAATTACACAACTGGAAACTCAAGAACAGTATAGACCTAGAGATCACTGCATGTTTGGTTTAGCATTAGCAGAATACTAAAGGCATCAGAATTAAATTAAATTAAAGGCAAGCAGAATTAAAGGCATCAATCTCCCAGTCCCCAGGGTGGCATGAAAGAGAATCAGAATATTTTCATGTCTACACTGGGAGTCTCAGAAGCAAATGACTGAGGGCCAGGAGAGCTGTGTCATGTTACAAATGAGTGGAGAGTAAATTGTCTAAGTGAATGCCGAAGACTAGATAGAAATATAGCTATCTCAGATCACTAGGACATGCTCTGATGAAAAGGAACCAACATTTATGAGGCTGCGAGACAGGTAACAGCAAGAATAGCCATAGACTACAGAGAACCTCATATTTTTCTCCCTCTCACCATACCCATTTATGCCCCTGGAACTTAAAGGCAACCTCAGAGATAAGTGGCTGAGGGATAAACTATGAATCAACTGACACTAATCTGAAAGTTTCTGCTACTAGACAGTAAGTTTGGTTATAGAAAAAAGGATACATTTTTGCTTGTAGAAGTTCAGTAAGTAATGGAAATGTAGATCTAGAACTAAGAAGAAAAATCTGGGCCAGAGAATCCAGTTTGGAATTTATCAACACAGTGATGATAAACTGAAGCCATAGGAGTGGGTGAGATAAAGTGATGAAGGAGGACAGAACCCTCAGTGTTGTAGCATTCAGGGGCAAGCAGAAGAGAAGGAGATAAGAATAGAAGAAAAAAGATGTTGTCAGAGATGAGAACCAGAAAAGAATACTGATAAGGAGAGATGGCAAGAAGTCCAAGGTCACCAGCATCTAAAAGTTGCAAGATCATGTAGAATACACTCTGGATATGCATAGACTATAATTGATCTGATCAAAAGAGTTTCATGGAAATGATGGGAACAGGAGCCAGGTTCAACAGATTCAGAAGAGAATGGGGAATCTGACAAAGTGAATACAGGAGGTGCAGGTGGTATTTTTAGGAAAAGAGTGCAGGAAGGAAGGAGGGAGATAGGGAAGAACTTTGAAGGTGGTGCTTAGTTAAATGAATGGTTTGGGTTTTAATTAGACCTTTATTTTCATTGTGAAGATTTGCTTTCTTTGGCTTTATGGATGTAGAAAGTATATTGTCAATGGAAAGGGAGAGAAAACAGGTGGAAGAGTTGATTGATTATAAGAGCAGTTGTGAGAATATTGGATAGTGCAAAGTGAAAGACTTGGCCTCGGAATGGAGCAATGTAAAGGAACAAATGAAATAAGTTGAAATGATAACTGTAATGCATACATTTTTGGAGAGAGAGGAGTAAATTAAATAAATTCCACGTATATTTTTCCTAGGAAGAGGGTGATAAATTGTCAACTAGGTGTGAGGAGGAGGAAAGGAGAAAGGCCCAGGAACATCCTGGTACAACTGGGAATGAATAAAGAACTACTGAGTAGTTCTGAGGGCCCAGATGAAAGTAAAACCCTAAAACCTTAGTGCCACCAATCAACACAGTATTTTCTGCAGCAAAATTTATTGAGCACTACAAGTACAAAAGTAACTTAGACACAGTTCCTTATGTTCAGGTTGCTCTGATGCAGGAAACAATGGATAAATAAACAATTGCAGTTCAATGTGATGAATCCTTTAGAAGAGTGGTAAACCAAGGTGCTGTATATGAACAACTAACTTTGACAAGGCTTCATAGAGGACATGACATTTTATTTAGGATTTGAAGGAGAATGTTTTTTAAGGGGACGGGATGGGAAGATTTCTAATTATAGATGCAGCATATAGAAATCATGGAATTATAAAAGGAGTTGGCAGTTTTAGGATATGGCACAAGTTTTATTTGGTTCTGTGATGGGGTAAGAAGGAGGAAATTTGGAGATTATTCTAGAAAAAACTAGAAGTTACAATAAATTATTTCTCTTGTTTCTTATAGTTTTTCAGAAACCGTTTTATAATTTTAATTCTGCAAAAGTCATAGGAAAGGAGAACTCACTGCAATCATGAAATAAAATAGTTTTTAGTCCAATTGTAGAACACATTCAAAGAAAAGGCAGAAAAACAGTCTACCATTATGTTGCATATAGCCAATTAACACTTCAGGATTACATATCAATAGATAGATAAAAATAAATGCTAGATAACTAATACAAATAAACAAATAGAGATATTGATAGATATAGTCTCTAAAACTTCTTTCACTGTTTCAATTTCTTCTTTGGAAATCATAATTAAGACCCACTGTAGAGTCATGAGTTGAAAATAAAATATTTTGTTTGGCTACAAAAGGGAAAATATTTATGCTGCCCCAGAAGAGACTCATTTGCAGTCAGTGGCACACCAGATGGCAGCAAGTGGTCTGTGCAACAATCTGTTATGCCTACAATGTCTACAGTGCTCCTTCCATAATGCATTATTGAAGTGATAAAATGAAAAGGAACTCTCTGAGAACACTATGCTCATAAAGAATGCAGTGGATGGACTCTAGTGTTATAGATCTAGAGGTAAAATACTCAAGGAAAGGGATCTCTGAACCACCTTTATTAATATATCAGGGCCTAAGAGTCTTCACACTCTGGGAATTGTGCTGTAGTTCTAACCTCAACAACCTCTTCAACATCAGCTAGTTTTATTTTATTTCATTCAGAAAAAATAAATTGGCACCTCTACATAAATTTTTTCATTCAGGAAAAGTAAATTGTTTGTATTTCTTCTTAATTCAGAAATGTGAATAAATTTCCTAAATCACTATTCAGATTTACAGAAATGAAACTATCTAATCTCAGATCTCCTCATGTTCCTCATTTTTGAAATTCTCACAGTAGATATTTTCCATGGTAAATGCAGAATTTATTTTAACAATCCATTAGTTACTGTTACTGTGTTAAAAAAAAAAATCCCTTCAAAATTTAGCAGCTTAAACAACCATTTTATTTAACTTAACAAGGATTCTGTAAGTCCAAACTTTCAGAAGTATACAATGTGACTGGCTCTTCTTGGCATCACAATATCTGGCACATAAGCTGAGAAGAATTGAATGACTAGATCTCTTGGTAGAGAACTTGGGCAGAGCTATCTAGAGGTGACTTCACTTACTTATCTGACGCTTGGTTTGGGGCTGTTGATGGGAGTACCTACACACAGCCTCTCCTTTTGTCCTGGACTTCCTAACAACGTGGCAGTTTCAGCGTACTCAGACTTCTTCCATGTGTGCATCGTTTTTTTTTATGACCGGGCCTCATAAGTCACCCAGCATAACTTCCATTAATTTCTATTAGCTACAAATGAGTCACTAAGGCCAGCCCAGCTTCTCCATAAGAAAATGTCAAAGAATTTGTAGAAACGTTTTAAACCATTATAAACAGCATCTAAATCATTAAGTTCATAATTTAAAACAGACTCTTCAAAGTAAAAAAAATACATATACCCACTGTACAAAGAACCCTTTCAAACTTTTTGAAGGCAATATGGGCATCATATGTTAAACTCTTATTTGTTCTGAATGAATAGGTAGGTAGCAGTGTTCTGAATTTACCTGAGTCTCAATTAAACATTCTTAGAAAATTCAAGTCTAAAAAATGTACTTAGCACTACATATAAAATATCCTCACGTATTTAATGAAAAAAAACTTAACACAATGTCCATAATGTCATTTAGTCTCATTTATATAAAAGGTCAGGTTAGGAATTCCTTTAAGAATTTAGAGTCAGGTGACAGTTTCTATGCCTTTAATTTAGAGTCAGGTGACAGTTTCTATGCCTTTTAGAATTAACAGACTTCCTCCTTTTGACAAGGGTTGTATAACTGTTTTGCATTGACAACATGGAGGTTCACAGTCAAATTTTACTCTCCAACACAAGACTTATGCTAATGCATAGAATTTAGCATATGAAATGCCTTCATTTTACCCTTTACTAGTTTCCCTGACTTCCACCTATTCTTATTTTATTAACCTTAAGGTGTATGTCCTATTATTGTACAACAATGCAAATCCTTTTAGAAAACAAATAGAGTGTACTAAAATTAAAATAAATACTTATCATTAAAGTTATTCTGAATGTAATGTAATCTTTGATAATTCCAAAGATTTTAACAGTTTATAATATTTTGATGAATGTACTATGAACATCTATTTTCTTTTAAAGTAAATTAAAAAGTTGGAAGAAGTTAGGCTATCTCTACACTAACTTCATAACATTACTTAAATGTTATGTTTTTTCATAAAAAGGAGGCTAAAAGCCTGAGTTCTGGTCACTCCTCTCCTCCACCATTCCTCAGACAAAAAAACCGGTCAATTTCCTTCTCTGGACATTAATTACCTCATTTGGGGTGGTAGACATTAGAGTAGAAATTAGGTGTTTTTGACCTTTTAAATCTTTTGGATTTCAGATAAATGAAATTTGAATATGATGGGGCCAAAAGAGGGATTGATTTACCATGTGTAGGAATTTTTTATCCTTATTGTCAGAACCCACCCACAAATTTATAGTTTAAGGAAAGAAAATAGGGTTAGTCTTGCTAAATGATGACGAAATAGCATGTTTAAACATATACTTTGAGCATTATAATGTTTTAGAATCCAGGTTATTAGTGTTTAGTAAAAAATATAACATTTATAATTATTTATCACTTGGGGTTGTTTTATAATAAACATATCAAAAGTCCTCATATGCTTGCTTTGTATATAATTGAGATTTAAAACCTCAAAGTGAATTTTAAAATGTTTAGTATTTTAAAATAGATGTTGGATTTCCCTTAATCAATATCAGACTAAGTTAACTGATGTATTTTCATTAAGTATATGATCCTTCAGCAATATGAAACGTGTAGTTTTTTATTGATGTGTTTTTTTATTATAGATATATGAATATAATCCCATCTTTGTTCTCTTGGACATATGATAGAATAAGAATAGTAATATTCTTGCTTTAGGCAAAGCCCTGTTCTAACTGTTTTATATGCCTTAACTCACTTCATCTTTTGGAAAATGATATAACATTTATGTACATATGGTTTTTAGTTCCCTGTTAAGGAAGCAGACTTTTGCTAACATCCCTCACTCCTCAGAAATCTAAAGAACTCTATTTTTATTTTCATTTAATACTTCCTGAGTTTTCTTACTTTAAAACAATACTTATAAATATGGGGTTGGGAATTATGTATGCCCAAATCTCAATTATCCATGAATTTACCATCCATTTAGCAGACTCAGAAGCAAATAGTTTTTATCATTTATATTTGTATATAAGACATTAATCCAAATAAAGCAAGAAATGAGTGAATGATCTTTTCTCTCTCTCTACAAGATCCAAAATCTTTTTTCTATGCTGGTTTCAACAGAGATATAACCTAAACTGAAACTGCTTTAGTTGAAAGTATTCTAAAAGGTCTGGAATCATCTTTGTGAGCTCTTGTTCTTAAGTTTTTGCAGTGCAAAATAGACCAAACATAATAGGCAATTATGAACACAAGATTCATTTCATTGTTGAAGCTTTGAGCAAACAAATACAGCAATTCTGACTCAACCAGTCTTAGGATCAATATCAGACCTCTGGGAAATTCCCAAGGATGATAAACCTTGCTTATTAGCTTTCAGAGCAAAAGTCTTTCATTGCTATGAAATACAGCAGATATATGTGTAGTTCATGATGGAATGCAGTGATGAAGAGGACAAGCTCCAGTTAGACACAGACAGGCCTGGAATGAATCCTAGCTCTACCTCTGGGCAGCAGGTAGGCCACAGTCATGACATTTAATCTCTGCCATTTCCATCTATTACAGCGAAATGAGAAGAACAAACTCTGTTTTGTAGACCAGCTTTGAGGACACAATGAGAAAACGCATGGAAGTGCCTAGAACACTGCCTGGCATATAGAATTGTGTTCCATAAATAATGTTCACACATATTGTTATGGCATAAATCTTTTATATTGTTTCTCTACTCCTTCTCCATATTTCATGCAGAAAAAAGATTATGCTCATGGTATTGAGCACAAAATATCATTTAATGACACCAGTTGAGTGGATTGACAATATATGCTAATTTATAAAGACCTTCAAAGTAAACAGAAACATCACAGCAGCCTTCACTCCCAGCTCTCTATCCCTTTTTCTTAAACATCTTATAGAAAAGATCTCTGAAATCTAGTAGCATACTACTAGCATCTCACTTGTTACATAAGAAATATATAAGTTGTAAACTATTTCCAACTCCAGAATTCCATCAGCCATACATAAAATCCTGGAGCCTGGACAGTTTTGGCTGTAGCGGCCATTTAATCCTTGAAATTTTGAGGGAAGCTCTGCTGACCTTCACAGTAAGAACTGACCTCATTATATTATTTCAGGACCAACATAGAAGAGTTCCAACCCCAAAGATTACCTAGTCAACTGCTTCTGTGCACAATTGCCTAAAATTCCTTCAAGAAAAGACAAAATTATTTCTCCCAAAATTAGCAATGAAACAGATACCTTGTAAGAGCTAACATTTGCTGAGTACCTGCTACGTGGCAAGATTATCATGGATTTCATATTTTAACTCATTAAACCAAAACCACAAACCTCTGATGGAAAAACTACTATAATTTCATTTTACACAAGAGAAAACTGAGTTATGGAAAACGTAAGTTACGAACACAACATTACAACACTATAAGTGGTAGATCTGGGATTTGAATCCAGATAGTCTAGCCCTCAAATCTCTGTTTTTAACTACTATGCAAAATAAGGGATGAAGACTGACAAGAGAGTTTTTTCTGAGGTTTTATTGAAGGAGGTGAGAGACACAAATTGCTGAAACAAGGGGTATCAAATACCATGAAAAGGAGAAAATAACAATAAGAAGAGGCTAGAGGCCGGGCGCAGTGGCTCACGCCTGTAATCCTAGCACTGTGGGAGGCCAAGGCCAGTGGATCACTTGAGGTCAGGAGTTCAAAACCAGCCTGGCCAACATGGTGAAACCCCATCTCTACTAAAAATACAAAAAAAAATTAGCAGGTCATGGTGATGGGCGCCGATAATCCCAGCTACTTGGGAGGCTGAGGCAGGAGAATTGCTTGAACCTGGGTGACAGAGGTTGCAGTGAGCCAAGATCACACCACTGCACTCCATCCTGGGTGACAGAGAGAGAAAAAAAAAGGAGAAAGAAAGGGAAGGGAAGGGAGGGGAGGGGAGGGGAAGGGAGGGGAAGGGAAGGGAGGGGAAAGGAGGGGAAGGGAGGGGGAGAGGGAGGGGAGTGGGGAGGGGGGGGAGGGGGAGGGGAGAGGAGAGGAAGGGAAAAAAAAAAAAAGAAAGAGAGGCTAGAGATACCAAATAAACACCTCATTGACTTCACAGTTTTATCAAGGGGCTGTCCTAGGCACAGGATTTCCTTGAAGTTATTTTGTCAGACTTCTACCCCCACCCCCCAGGAACTTATTCATAAAAACAGAGTGTATAAAAGAGACCACCTGGCATCTAGTCACAAGATTTCTTCCCCCTCAGCACTGAGCTAGCACTTTACTTAAAACTGCATTTTAGTCTAAGTAACATCCTTTTCTGATAATTTATTGGTCTATAACGTAATCCATCTTAGAAAGTGCTAAATAAATATAGTGTAACCATTTTTTATAAATTGTCTGTTATCTGTGTTAAAGACTGCAGTTAGGGCTAATGAACATCTATTACACTCTGTCATACTAACACATGTAAATTTTAAGTGATACCTAATGTCCATTTTTTTTCTAAAGTAAATGCCAAATTGTTAAAAATGCTTTATTAGAAATAAGCTATTCACGGAAATAAAGAATACTCTATTTTCCCTTCAACAACAAGAGCTTTCCTAAGTGGTTTGCAAATCTTAGAGCTTCATAAATCAACATCAGGAACTCACTAGGCTATATATCCCATGACTCAAGAGCCTCCTTTTTTAGAAAATGGAGAGGAAGAATATCAGGAAGGAGACCAGGAGTTAACTACATCCTGGGCCAGTGCTCAGTCCTAGTAAAGATCAACACGGAGTACGTTGATCTCAAATCCTAATATGATCCAATATTAATGACAGTTTTGTTATTACTCTTCACTGATAATATTTTCTATAACCAGATGAGGTATCCAGAAATATAAAAATATACTCCTAACTGTTTTACTTATCTTAACAATTTTAGGTTCACTTACTAGTAATGGGTCCACTGAGGAGAGAATGGCAAATGGATGCCAAGGCCACGAGCTATATGCCTTCCCAAACTTACACTGTGCTAAAACCTTAATCAAATCATTTTGAAATATGTTTTTTATTTTTTATTTCTTTATTATACTTTAAGTTCTAGGGTACATGTGCACAATGTGCAGGTTTGTTACATATGTATACATGTGCCATGTTGGTGTGCTGCACCCATTAACTCGTCATTTACATTAGGTATATCTCCTAATGCTATCCCTCCCCCCTCCCCCCACCCCACAACAGGCCCCGGTGTGTGATGTTCCCCTTCCTGTGTCCAAGTGTTCTCATTGTTCAATTCCCACCTATGAGTGAGAACACGCGGTGTTTGGTGACAATGGAACACAGACAAAAGTTGTTATGATTGTTTCCTATGATTGCATCTTATACATATCCTACTAATTCTAAATCAGCAGTGTTATGGTTATATGACAAGAGCATTATTTTTTACCCATGCATTCATTCAACATTATCTAGCTGATGCAAGGCACTGTTCTATGGTATATACAGAAGTAAGCAGGACAAAGTCCCTGTATTCATCAGTGTTGTATTCTAGGAGGAGGCAGACAACAATCATATACAAGCAAATGATATAACTTCAGAAGCAAACAAAATATGGTCATGAAAAACTGTTGAATGCTCTTCATAATTTAACGTTTTAACTACTATGCAAAATAAGAGGCAAAGAATGACAGAGAGTTTTTTCTGAGGTTTTATTGAAGAAGGGGGAGACACTAATTGCTGAAACAAGGAGGAGCAAATACCATAAAAAGGAGAAAATAACACAGTAAGAAGAAGCTAGGGGTACCAAGTAAACACTTCATTGACATCACAGTTTTATCAGGGGCTATTCTAGGCATAGGATCTCCTTGGAGTTATTTTGGTAGACGTTTTCCCTTCCCCTAGGAACTTATTCATAAAGAATAAGTTGTAAAAGAGGTCCTTCTGAAGAGCTGGCAGGTTGAGACCTAAATGGTGAAACAGTATAACACATCGGAGAGAAGAGGGTTCCAGGCATAGCAAACCGCAAGTTCACAGACAGAAATGTACATGCTTGGACTGTCAGGAGCAGTGAGGGCAGTAAAATGGCACAGCATTTTAAAAAAGGAAAGAACCATTAACCATGCCTCTTTCTTCATGCAGTTTTGAAGGACAGGATAAAATTGTGAGATTATATTCCAATGAAAATAGAAAATCTTGGGAGGGTTTTTACAAAAAGAAGTAAATATGATTTGATATACATTGTAAGGAAATCTCCTTGGCTGCTGATTGGAAAATGGCTTTGTGGTTTGGAGGATAGGGACAAGTTGTGGCAGTTGAAAGATCAGTTAGGAGACTTCTGCTGTCGTAAAAGTGAGAGATGATGCTGACTTCACGAGTGCAGTAAAGATGTTGAGAAGTAATCAGATTTGGGTAGTCATTCAAGACAGCGCCAATAAGACTTCTTGATGAATTATATTCGGGATGTTAAAGGAACTACATCATACAGCATTAGCACCTGTTCTAGGATATAAAGTGCTCACTGAATTGGTCATTGAGCTATTTCTGTGTGAAAAAAAAAAACCCTTAAATTTTATTGATAAAAAAACTACGCAACCATGGACTATAGTGTTGTGAGCTTTATTTTTGCTTTGTATTGCTGAGTTAAGAAAAAAATATGCTTAGAGGTCTCCAAATGAGCTGAGTATAGGTTAACCTCTTTAAGAGTTTGCTTTCAATCTCTTCTAAAATGAAATTTACTGGAAGGTTCTGGGAGTTTTGCATTTTCATCTGCTTCACTCCTACAGCATTAAATGAAAATGCAAACCTCTCAGAACATATGTGGTAACATATTGGATTCTCAATGCATAATTCTTCACTGGTTTCATCAAAAAACCTAATCTCAAGATTCTTGCCAATTAAAATATTCGATCTTCATTTTCTCTTGAGCTTTTTGCTCTTGCAGTTGAATTCCTATTCTTCTTTGTGCACAATGCATACAACTGTTTAAAATGAATTTTAAAATTGTCCATTTTCAGTGAAGCATCTGACTTACACCAAGATGTAAGAAGTTCACAGCTTGTCAAACATGCTAACTACTGTTAATATTTTATTGATTTTAGTAAAAACCATTTTTTAAATATGCTAAGCATATATCTTATTAGATTTCTAAATCCAGACAGACAAGTTGAGAGTAGAATACCACTGTCCTGGTCCCCAACAGAATTCCTTTCACTTAATTGCACTTTGGTATGTGGCCAGCAATTTATATTGAAGGAGATTATGAGGAAGGGTTCTCTGAAATGTATAGTTACACCCATTTTCAGGATTTGTAAAGAAGTTTCTTTATTGCCTCACGAGCAGTCCTTTTTATGAAGTACTCCTTAGGAAATATATATCTCTAGTGAGAATATAAAATATAAAATTCACTGCTAATTGTACTTTGCCAAAATAAATAAATAATAATTTTCTTCTGACTATTGTGAATGATATGACTCAATTTTCCTTGTTTCTTAAGTTGTTAAAAAATTCCAAAATGTGTTCAGTTAAACAGGTAACAAATAAATCATTACAGTAAGCATGTTAACATTATTTCTGGCTTTTTTTTTTTTACCCCAATCTATATAGTCTCCTTGTTATGTTGGTTTTCTGTATCATTTTAGACTTCTGGAAAAAAAGACAAGATTGAACAAGTTATTTGACCTCTCTGGATCTCGGTTTCCTCATTCTAAAACTTGAGAGTTGGATTACAAAACCTTCAAGATTCTGAGTATGGATGAAATATATACTTTAGCATCAGAGATAGGGAAAGAATTTTAGTGTGCCTCAAATCCCAATACAGAAGCAGCTACTTACTCTGCCCACATATAAAACCAGATCTGCCTTCAGGAAATGGAAAATCTAATTCCTAGCCTATCTTGTTAAGTTGCAAAGTCACACTTGATTGGAAATGTACTCTCCAGCAGCATTGTTGAATCCTTAGAATTTATGTGGTTATTTTAGGTAGCTGTAGCTCTCCATCATTTTGCAACCTACACCTAAGTAGTTCAGTTTATAATTGAAATACATAGATTGAGAGAAAATATTTTGGCATCAATTATAAATTTCAGGGGGATATTTTATTTGGGGGCAAACTATTGGCAATTGTGTGTATTCTCTACTTTGTGAACTCAGAAAATCACAAAATAAAACTATTCTCAGACCAGATACTGGCTTTATCATAGCATACACAAAAACAAATAGGAGATGAAAATGAACACAAAATTTGAAAGACATAGCAATCTATAAATCAACAAGGGGCTATAAAGTAATGCAGTATTTTTTAAAGCTACTTTATGCTGTGCCTATGCCAAAAGCTCAAATCATGGTTGGCTCCAAGTACTAACTATATTTCACTACCATATATCTCCCTCTTGGGGTTTTTAAAGTGATTTGCAGACTGAAAAATGTCAGGGACGACTGCTTTTGAGTCTTCCATAATACTGCAGTCAGAGTGGGAACTGAGAAACTGAAAGCAACAGCCTCAAGGACTGTCTTCTACTGCCTACTCTTTTCTAAAGACTAATTATTGTTTCACACACCTTTAGGCTTTTTCCCTGAACCCTGTGTAAGGAGAACCTATTAAATTTTATGCCTTGAGATTTCTAAACAACTTGTGAACTCTGCCATTAAGCCAAATCTTCTTTTCTTTGCCTGTTTCTGTCCTACTTTCTGCTTCTTCCCAGGTAAGGCATTCACTTTTAAGTAAGTGAAGATAAAGCTGTTCTTTCCCATGGGATATTAATAAAATAGACTTATGTAAAATTTCAGCTTTTGCTCCATATTCTTTATTTACTATATTTTCTTGCTGATTTTCTCATACTCAAGTCTGATGTTTTCAGTTCTTTCATTGCAATAACACTGCAAAAGCAATGCCAAGTAGCAAACTGGAAAACTACAACACAGATGCCTAATCATTGACTCTACACTAATTTCTTTTAATTGACACTCTTTTGGTTAGATTCCCACATAGAAACTAACGGAAGGAAATTGCCTACATGTTTATTTTTTAATAGATCAGGTTCATAAGGCCTGCAAATGTGAGTTGACTGTGTGTGTGTGTAAGTGTGGGTGTACATGCACGTGTGTGTGGAAGACAGCTTATTAATTATGACTTCCAGAACTGTTCTTATTTCAAATTAGATTGATAATATCATTTTTCATCAATTATTTCTACATGAGAAATCTAAGTGGGGAAACCTATGAAAAACCTAGGCTCAAGTAAACTAAATTTAGGAAGGTCATTTTTAATTATCTTTATCTGAAACAAGAGTTTCCATCATATAGCATATTTTATGGTTTAGAATAGTGATATTTTACATCATTAATAAGTATGTGCTTAACAAAGAATAAGATTACAAACTGAGCAAATTATTATTGTTAATAACCCTCAATTCTAAGAAAAATTTAATATAAATTTTCATTGAGCATACAAAATGTCCCCAAAGAAGTTTACTTGCAAAATTATATTACTCTTATTTTCTAATTTTAGGATAATTGGGAAATACAAGACAATTATTATAAATTCCATGTAATATAGTTTTTGCACCCAAAGTAACTCTGATGATTCCTCTTTTCTCCAATTTTTTTTGCCTTCCTTCTACAGAATTAAAATATCAGAATTTATATTTTAAATTAGTAACAACTTCTGTTTAATTTAGAAGTCAAACATCTGTCTCAAAGGTTAGTCAGAATCACCAGGTAAGTTTTATTTCTTTAACAGAGATTCGTAAAACTAACTCTAAATACCATGATTCGGTACACTTGAGGAATGCAGAATTCTATTTTGTTTAAATGTTCAAGAAAATGTCAAGATTTGTCTGACTCAGTTATCAGTAAGCAATTCGAGATCTTTAATTTATTCACAGAAAATGTGAGTTTCCAAATACAAGTAAAAAATTAGATGCCTGAAAATAAAGAGGATGTAAGGAAAAGAACGCTTAAATTTAATTTAAATTTGAAGGAGATGGTTTGAAGAGATTTTTGAAATGGTGGGATTTCTTCTATTGTACTAATTCTTCCAGACAAAACTATATAACTCTCATAAAGGTATAAGACAGGAATCCAACAGGAGTCAACACATGGAAAAAGAGAAACAGCATTGAGTTTCCCATTTGTGTGGCTCTTTATCTGACGGAACACCCCATTCAACTCCACACAGGTGGCTGAATATTGGATAGAAATACATAGTTTTGCCAACTTGAAGAACTAGACGAAAGAGCTCAAAGTAAATGGCAGCTTGATGAGGGGGGAAATCCCAGAAAAAAAAAAAAAAAAGAGAACCAAAGATTTGTAAGATTGCAAGTCTCTTACATTTTACAAATGGCACAATACAAATTAGATAGAGTGTGAAAACTAAATATTTGTAGTATAACTCCGGAGGCAACTCCTAAAAATAATGCAAAAAAAAAAAAAATTAAAAAGTCAATAGATAGATTAAAATTTAATTCATACAAATGTTTATTCAATTTAAAACAAGAAAAAAGGCAGGAGAGACAGAGGAAAAACCTACATGAGACAAAGAGAAAACAAAAACTGAAATGGTAGACTTAATCCTAAGCATATTAATAACTATAATAAATATATTATAAATGGATTAAACTCTCCAATTAAAAGGCAGAGGTTGTTGGCTTAGATTTTAAAGCAAGACTCAATTATATTTATTTTAAGTATAAAGACAAAGATAGATTAAAGGTACATGAATTTAATATTACTTTTAAAATTATTTTAAATAAAAATTAGTGAATGTATTATATACTAATGTTACATATAAAATAAAATACCAATATTTGAGAAAGTCAACTTTAAGACAAAGAGCATTAACAGAGATAATGTGCTCCTAATGATAATAACAATGGCAAAGGGGTCAATTCATACCAAAGCCATAACAATCAGAAATACATATACATCTAGTAAGATAATTTCAAAATACATGAAGAAAAAATTAGCAGAATTAAAGAGATAAATAGACAAAGTCGTGGTTGGAAGTTTCTTGGAAATTTCTTGTAAATTTGTTTAACACCCCTTCACAGGAAATGATAAAATTAATTTTAAAAATCATCGAAGGCATAAAAGTTTTGAACAGCACTTCCATCTTAACGTAGTTGTGTATGTGTTTGTTTGTTTGCTTTTTCTTTATTTGTTTTGAGACAAAGTCTCACTCTCATTCAGGCTGGAGTGCAGTGGCTTAATCTCTGCTCACTGGAGCCTCCACCTCCAAGGTCAAAGGATTCTTGTGCCTCAGCCTCCTGAGTAGCTGGGATTACAGGTGTGTGCCGCCACACCCAGCTAATTTTTATATTTTTAGTAGAGATGGGGTTTCCCGACATTGGCCAGGCTGGTCTCCAGCTCCTCACCTCAAGTGATCTGCCTGCCTTGGCCTTGCAAAGTCCTGGGATTACAGGCATGAGCCACCACACCTGGCCACATAATTGATACTTATAAATCATTACACCCAACAACTGCAGAAAACACTCTTTTCAAGCACACATGGTATGGTCAACAAGACAGAAAATACTCTAGGTCAAAAATAATTGTCAATAAACTAAAAAAAAAAAAAAAAATGAAGTTGGCTAGGCGCAGTGGTATAGGCTTGTAATCCCAGCACTTTGGGAAGCCGAGGTGGGCAAATCTCTTGAGTCCAGGAGTTCAAGACCAGTCTAGGCAACATAGCAAGATCCCCTCTCTACTAAAAATACAAAAATTAGCTGGGCATGGTGGTGCGTGCTGTTTTAATCAATAGCCTAAATCAATAGCCTAAAGTTCCACCTTAAGAAGCCTGATAAAGAAATGCAAAGAAAACCCAATGTAGGGAGAAAACAAGTAGTTGGTAGTGCCAACTACCTGTGGGGGGCAGAGATGGGAGGATTGCTTGAGCCCAGGAAGTTGGGACTGCAGTGACTCGAGATCACACCACTGCATTTCAGCCTGAGTGACAAAGTGAGATCTATCTCAAAGAAAGAAAAAAAGCCTGAAGTCATATAGCACGTGTTCTCTGACAATAGGATTAAATAGAAATAAATAACAATAAGATATCTAGAAAAATCCCACAGTTTGGAAAAAAAATTATATAATTTTAAATAACCCGGTGATTATTTTGGGGATAGCCTTTTCTTTTCCCCCAGTAAAAGAAGGATGACCCAAGAGTCATAACTTTAAATGATCCAAGAAAAATTAGAAAATATTTCAAGTTCTATAATAATAAAAGTATTAGTACTAAAACTTAAGGGGAAACTAAAGTAGAACTTACAGAAAAGTGTATAGTTTCTAATGTTTATATAAGAAAAAAACAAAGGTGTAAAATCAGTAGCCTGAAGTTCCACCTTAAGAAGCTTGATAAAGAAATGTAAAGAAAATCCAATGTAGGGAGAAAACAATGAAACAGAAAATAGGAAAACAATAAAGAGAATTCACAAAGTTGAAACTTTGTTTTTCTATGGCTGCATAATATTCCATGGTGTATATGTGCCACATTTTCTTTATCCACTTTATCATTGATGGACATTTGGATTGGTTCCTAGTCTTTGCTATTGTGAATAGTGCCGCAATAAACATACGTGTGCATGTGTCTTTATAGAAGAAAGATTTATAATCCTTTGGGTGTATACCCAGTAATGGAATTACTGGATCAAATGGTATTTCTAGTTCTAGGTCCTTGAGGAATCACCACACTGTCTTCCACAATGGTTGAACTAATTTACACTCCCACCAGCAGTGTAAAACTTTCCTATTTGTCCACATCTTCTCCATCATCTGTTGTTTCCTGACTTTTTAATGATCGCCATTCTAACTGGCGTGAGATGGTATCTCATTGTGGGTTTGATTTGCATTTCTCTAATGACCAGTGATGATGAGCTTTTTTTCATATGTTTGTTGGCTGCATAAATGTCTTCTTTTGAAAAGTGTCTGTTCATATCCTTTGCCCACTTTTTGATAGGGCTTTGTTTCTTCTTGTAAATTTGTTTAAGTTCTTTGTAGATGCTGGATATTAGCCCTTTGTCTGTTGGATAGATTGCAAAAATTTTCTTCCATTCAGGTTGCCTGTTCACTCTGATGATAGTTTATTTTGCTGTGCAGAAGCTCTTTAGTTTAATTAGATCCCACTTGTCAACTTTGGCTTTTGTTGCCATTGCTTTTGGTGTTTTAGACATGAAGTCGTTGCCCATGCCTATGTCCTGAATGGTATTGCCTAGGTTTTCTTCTAGGGTTTTTATGGTTTTAGGTCTTACATTTAAGTCTTTAATTCATCTTGAGTTAACTTTTTTATAAGGTATAAGGAAGGGATCCAGTTTCAGTTTTCTGCATATGGCTAGCCAGTTTTCCCAACACCATTTATTAAATAGGGAATCCTTTCCCCATTGCTTGTTTTTGTCAGGTTTGTCAAAAATCAGATGGTTGTAGATGTGTGGTGTTATTTCTGAGGCCTCTGTTCTGTTCCATTGGTCTATTTGTCTGTTTTGATACCAGTACTATGCTGTATGGGTTACTGTAGCCTTTCAGTATAGTTTGAAATCAGGTAGCATGATACCTCCAGCTTTGTTCCTTTTGCTTAGGGACATGGATAAGCTGGAAACCATCATTCTCAGCAAACAGAACAGAAAACCAAACACCACATGTTCTCACTCATAAGTGGGAGTTGAACAATGAGAACACATGGACACAGGGAAGGGAACATCACACAATGGGGCCTGTCAGGGTGTCGGGGGATGGGGGAGGGATAGCATTAGGAGAAACACCTAATGTGGATGACGGGTTGATGGGTGCAGCAAACCACCATGGCACATGTGTACCTATGTAACAAACTTGCACATTCTGCACATGTACCCCTGAACTTAAAGTATTAAAAAAAAAAAAAAAACTTTGTTTTTCAAAAAGATCAACAAAATTGATAAACCCCTTTGGATAATTAAGAGAAAAAACAAGGACAAAAGAATAAAAACATAACTTAAACAAAAACATAACAAACATCCCATAGGTTTCCATCATAGCTAATCAAAATAACAACTTTACTAATACAAAATGTGCCCATTATTTACATTTACCAGTTGTCACTTCATATTCACTTTTGAATAAGAAAGCATTCTGGATGTAACTTGAAGTAAAAAATTTCCTCATATTCCTCAAATTTTTGAAATTCTATAAATCAGTTGAAATGCAGCCATGCGTATTTTTGCATGAGCGAATTGCGTCAATAATTAATTCATTGTGAAAGCTGCTATGTTTACATACAAAAAAATTATTTAAAAATTCCAAATAACTAAATAGTAAAATAGAATGACAGTTAATACAAAGAGTCATTAGCTAGATAACTTTAAAACTTATTTTATTATTTGAGTAAAAAAATTATGAAAATTTAAATATTAATACAAAGCAGAAAGTAGAGATTATATCTAATTCTTATTGTAGAATTGTTTATTGTGCTATCATTAATATTAGACAAAATGAAACATAAGAACTAGATTTAATATTTAGTTGTTTAATTCAATTTATGCTCTAAGTATTTTGAGAATAAGTCTTATTACAAAATAATTCACTTCTGAGGACAAATTCAGGTTGCAATACCTGCTCACCCCCTCAAAATTTTATTTCGACAAAACCTTCAAAGTTATCCATAAGATTAACCATAAAAAATTCCTTAAATCATGCATAAAAAGGGATATAAGTACTATGAAGAGAGAAAAATGAAGCATTCCAAATATCCTCATTAATTAAACTTTGAAATAAGAGACATTACCATAATGCTATAAAAAGACATTTGTGAAAGTTGTGAGTATAGGAAATCTGTATCCACGGTTTGCAAAAATCTTTTTGGAAGATATTTATAGATTGTTGTTTATTTTCAGTAGATGAACACAATACTTTTTGTGACATACTAAAGCTATAAATTATTCTAGAAAATATTACTTTCCAGGTTAACCGTATCAGGGCAGCTCCCCCACTCCCCGCCCCCCTCAAAAGTATTAGCTCCTAAAACTTAGAGCATGGAGATGAGAGAGAGAGAAGCTTTTAAAAGGGGGTAAGCTGAAGGTCTAGTTTCTCCTTCCAAACCACCTTCTCCCCATAGGAATGAAGCTTTTTAAAAGATAGAGCGAAGCCAGGAATGTTGTAATAATTGATGTCCTCCATGGAAGGAAACACAGAGTATGGGGAAGAAGCATTCCCCCAAAGTGATCCTTAGGCCTTCTTTGTTCCAGAGCCTATAGTGTGGATACTGAGAATATGAAGAAGAATCAGGAAGAGGTCCCTGCCTAGGAGGGACACACAGTGTAATGAAGATGGCAATCCTGTCAACAGAGGCATTGAAACCCTCTGGCTTTAGTTCCTTGCTTCCTACTCCATCTATCACACACTGCAACTTGGTTCGGCCTCAACTATATCACTGAAATTATCCTCACTGCTACATATTAGACAAATCTGATAAGCATTATTCCGCCTTCTCTGTTCTGCTCTCCCAGTCTTGTGAAGCCATATATTGTTGAGTTTTCCTCCACCTCTCTGGCCGTTCCTTTCTAGTATTCCTTATGGGATCATTTTTCTATGCCTTATCTCACAAAATATGGGCGATTCTCAGGACTTTCTATTTTGTATTTTTGCTGGAAAATACCATCAGCTCTCAATAATCCACATTATCTCCATATGCAACCTAATAAGAGAGAACTATTCCAAGAGAAAGAATGGTGGGGTAATATAAAAAGACTTAAGTCATAGATCACATAAGCTTTATCAGGTAAAATTTAGATTCCTATGTTAAACATTTACTGACTCCAACAAAATATGTGCACTCATTTAAATCATTTACACTTGCAGATGATAGCCATTCTCATTTATTATCAAGCATCATTCCGGTTTTAATCAGTATCAATTCCGATCTGAATTTGAAAAATGAGACTCCTGTTATTCACACAGACATAGAAGGCCTCAGTAAGAGTTGTTGTTCTTTTGTTTTTATAAGTGAATTCATTAAATAACAGCAGGTGAATTATTATGGCAACATCTTCTTAATCAATTTGAGTAAACCATGGCAAGTTCTCTGTGATGGGCTGTGTGTTTTTCACTCATCTGCAGAATGTTTTGTAGAGATGTCAGGTTTCCAACTTCTAGTCTTTGCTTAATCAGAGATAATTTTCTGGAAATCTGAAACGACAGCATTTATGAACCCCAATCCAAAGTAACTTCCGGGTAGTCAGATATGAGATAGACTGGGCATGGCTCTGAGTTCATAGAATAGCCAGGTCTATATATCAATTGAACTTAACTAAAAGCTTTCAGTTGGAAGAGAAAGTAGGGTGGCTTCTGATAATGCGTCCTGCAGAATGCACATTACATCCTGGCGACTTTTAGTTGCAAAACGCTTGGGGGAGAAAGATGAAGAGAGTGCATCATGGAGGGTTAGGAATAACCAAGGGTGAGAAGATGGTATGAAGGAGAAGACCAAGAGGTCCTAGCTGAAGGACCTGCCCAACTATCTCTTTCCAGGAGAGTCTCTAGAGAGGAGAAAAGGATGACTCAGAAATCCTGAATGAGTTCTTTATATTCTTCAAGTTTGCTTTCTCATTTCATATATAGGGATACTGAGACCTAGAAATGGGCAGGAAACTTTCTGAAATAGGATAGTTTGAAAAATAAATAAATAAGATAAATTTTAATAGAAAATGATGTTTAAAAAAAGATTCCTTATACTCTGCTGAGCACTGAAAGGTTACTGATAATGTACCATGTGATACTTATATGTCTAGTACATCTGATTTATGGGCAGGCAGAACCATCCAATCAAGAAACCTATATGGATAATTGTTTTTTAACTTTGCTAATGTGGTGGACTCATGCTGAACTCAACAGTGCTTCTGATGTACCTGTTTGGCAAAATATTTCTGGGTCTGATGCTGTATTATTTTCTATGGCTGCATATCAAATTACCACAAATTTAGCAACTCAAAAAAGTTCCACGTATTAGCTAAGAGTTTTGTAGATCAGCAGTCTAGTGTGGCATAACTAAGTTCTCTGTTCAGAGTATCCCAGACTGAAATCAATTTTTCTACCAGACTGAATTCTAGGAAAAATTTCTCCTCCAAGCTCATTCTTGTCATTAGCAGAATTAATTTCCTTCTAGTTATAGGACAGAAGCCCCTGTTTCCTTGCTGGCTGTCAGCTGGGAGCTACTGTCAGCTCCTAGAGGCCACTCATAATCTTTGCCACATGATTTCCTCTTTATCTCCAAACTAGCAATAGCAAGTTGAATCCTTATCATGATTCAAATTGCTTATCCTCTTTGTCTCCCACTTCTAAAGCCAGATTTAAAGGACTCATGTGATTAGGCAAGGCCCACATGGATAATCTCTGATATCTTCAGGTCAACTGATTTGGGAACTCAACTACACCTGCAAAATTCTTTTTGGCCATAAGATGTAACATAATCGTGAGAGTAATAAACATCATATTTGTAATTTTAGGGGTTATACAGTGTGTGTACATCAGGAAGCAGGAGACTTCGGGGCTATCTTAGACTTCTAGCAATCACATGTGCCAACAGTATCTGACTAAATAATAATAATTATTGAATAATAAATTATTAACAAAAATTGCATGCAATTTTATTGACAGTGTGATAAAAGCTTATATTTTTATATGGTTAAAAATTATTATAGAACACAATACAACTAAATTACTAGCAGTATGCAGAGAATTGTTGGGCCACTATTTTCATTCTTTTTAAGCCAAAGGCAAAAATCAAAAGTTACAGGAGATTTTGGAACTGCAAACCAAACTAGATGGAGAAGTAACCATCACATATTAAAATCTGCTTAAATAAAAGAAAGCCTTAATACCATACCATATGTTGCAAGGGGGAAAATCTCCAACATAGCAAGTCTTACTTAACAACCAATAATAATTATTGAATAATAAAGTATTTCTCTACAAACAACAGTTGTTTGTAGAGAAAGTTATTTATATACTAAATCAGGCAAACTATGTGCCTTGAGATTACAACCATTTCTTTACTGATAAGTTCTGCTAAAAATATCCTCCTATCATTCTATTAAAAGATGCTGGGAGTGCAGACAGTAAAAGCTGGGTGCAGATAGAAATTCGGACAAGAGTTTAGTAACTTGAAAGTCAATCACATTGCTCCCTTGTTACATTTCTAGCTCCAAGATTAAGAACAAATTTCCCCATAAGACAATATAAAGCAGTGAATGCTTGCAAATACATTAGAATAAAAATATTGAAATGAAAGCAACAATATGTCTGCATCTGAAAATATTCACAAAGTGGTTTTCCATCAATGCGGGAAGCTTCTAAGTGTGAGATTGGGTTGTTAGGACAGCCACAAGGGCACTGATCATATCTGAGAGCCCAAATGTCGAAGAGTAGTTAACCCTTCACCACATTCAGCTCTGGCTAGAGAAGAAGAAAAGCTAAGTACTTGGTGGAAACATCACAATCCAGGAGTACCCTACTCTGGACAAGGTAGAAAAAGTAGATCTTGTCCCATTATTGACTTTTCTCTGTTAAAAGTTAGTATTTTTGCTGAAAAGTTATAAATCTTGCATTTTAATGTCAAACTTTAAAAATAGATCTAGCAAAAGTTTTAATAAAAAATTGTAACCATAGTAAACATTTTAATAACATTTCAGATTCAATTTTGAATCATCTTTGGCCAAAAGGCATATTTGGTCTACTTCTAGCCACACATTTCATATTTTTTGTTATCCAACACTTTATTTTTCATTTTCTAAAAAATAGCCTAAGCCATATCACTGTGGATTTCTGATCATGAGTAA
This sequence comes from Homo sapiens, assembly GCF_000001405.40. Classification (NCBI taxonomy): domain Eukaryota; kingdom Metazoa; phylum Chordata; class Mammalia; order Primates; family Hominidae; genus Homo; species Homo sapiens. Next base: position 101,686,909 of record NC_000001.11, on the reverse strand, counting down.
ACTGGTGAAAAATCATACTGGTTTACCTCCTTGCTTGATGAATGGGCATTTTTATTTTGTGATAAATAACAGTACTTAATGTCTCCTTTCATCTGCATTATCTGCAAAGAAATAACAAAAGACAGCATTGCCTTGGCTTTTAAAAACGTATAATATGGTTGAATTTATATCGACTGTTAACATTTTGAGGGCAGAAACGTAAAAAATTAGTGTTTGTCTAAATCAACTTTTTGTAGACCTTACTGATGAAATTTAAAAAAAAAGTAACTTTAAAGGCCAAAGAAAGATGCCTTTCATTAAGGAATTTATTTTTGGGCAACAGAGTCATGACTAGCTTAAGAAAAAATTTTCATATATTTATAAAATGGTCTAAATACTATGGACTTGGAGGAACAAATATTTTCCTCAGTGTTGGATTAACTAATTGGATGTTTATATTTATATTAGGGTCTAATATTAAATTAAACTTATAGGTTTCAAAAATCTCCAGTAATATATATTGCAAACATAGAAATATACTTTATATTACATTACACATATATCAAGAAACAAATAAAACTTGTCAGAAAAAAATATAAATTTTCCGGCCCGGCATGGTGGCTCATACCTGTAATCCCAGAACTTTGGGAGGCTGAGGCAGGTGGATCACTTGAAGCCAGCAGATCAAGACCAGCCTGAGCAATATGGTGAAACCCCCATCTCTATTAAAATTCCAAAAATTTGCTGGGGTAGGCATGGTGGCGCATGTCTGTAAGATACTCAGGAGACTGAGTCAGGAGAATTGCTTAAACCCAGGAGGTGGAGGTTGCAGTGAGCAGAGGTCATGTCACTACATTGCAGCCTGGGCGAGCAGAGGTCGTGTCACTACATTGCAGCCTGGGAGACAGAGCAAGACAAGAAAGAATGAAAGAAAGAGAGAAAGAGAAAGAGAAAGAGAAAGAGGAAAGAATGAAAGAAGGAAAGAAAGAAAGAAAGAAAGAAAGAAAGAAAGAAAGAAAGAAAGAAGAAAAAAAAGAAAAGAAAAAGAGAGAAAAAGGAAGGAAGAAAGGAAGGAAGGAAGGGAAATATAAATGTTCTCAAGGACTTTTATAAAGTCCATCTTAATCTGAACACTAAAGTAGGGTTTGATTCATTTTTTCGCCTTGAATCTTTTTAACAAATTGAAGAAAAATTAGAAAACAAAGAATCAGAGAAATGTGTAAGGATAATACGTGGTAGTCTCTCTATTTAAATCATAAGTAAACTCATAGGATTCTAAAATACTCTCAGCTAACCTTTACTGTAATGAGTGTAATTTTTCTAATGGCTGCCCTCTAATTTTAAAATTCCAGATCTTGCTTCATTTGACCTCAGTTGGACTGCTATTTTAAAAGACTGTTCAGAAAAAATAAAAATAAACCTTTAAAATATTTTTACAGTTTTGCAGCTATTTAAATGATTCGGCTGCAATAGACACAAATCTTTAAAATAGATTCTGACCAAAATATCAAAGCGTCAATGACCTCTTTTCCTAAATAAGAACATGAAAATGGTAGATTAGCTCAATTAGCTTCAGGACTAATGGATGTGGGTTTAGTCAGAACTCCAAAGAAGAGCTAAAAGTAGGATGAAGTTCTGCTTTTTTTAAAAAAATTTTATTTGTATGGGAGGCACACACAAAGACTATCGTAAAATGGATGATTGGGACTTCTGTAGTGATCCTCTAACGGGCTGTCAAAAGACAAAATTATAACAAATTTAATTTAAAGACCTTAGTTGGCTTTTATTTGCAATTCTAGAATCAGGCAAAACCCCATTCTGTAAAATAGAATGAGTATTCCAATGAGCTGAGTGGAGGAGTTTGGCTTTATGGACAGAAAAGGGCTGAGGAAAGCAGAAACCAAGAACAAAAAGCAGATTGGTCATTTCAAAGTTATTTTCCTTGAAAAGGTTAAAGCAGAGGGAATGTCCTTATCATACGGACTAAACCTGACCTGTTTGGGAATTTAGCTATTATCTCTCTTGATTTCTCAGAAGGTCAGATAAACAACTTGGTTTTGACTTGGTGGCTGGAACTCAACAAAAATGATTTCATTTTAGTTTGATCTGTTGGGCTTAGTGTAGGAGCTCAGTTCAAACCAACAGTCACCTATAAATTTTATTTAACAACAATAACATCAGATGAGTTTAAAAAGGAAAAGTTAATCATGTGAAACAATGTTGACAGGCATTACATGCATCAGCAGTCTCTTTACTCCTGTGTGTACATATATTGCTGAGTTAGACTAAAAATTCTCACAGAAGATTCATTCTAGAAAGGCTGTGCTCTCACAGTCCTTCCCTCCTCCAGTCACCCCTTATCTCCCATACACGCATATTTTCTTTTCTGGTACATTTGACATTACTGTAGTTTAGTTATTTTTAAATTATATTTCTACCATAATATCCCTATTATGATGATGCTGAACACCACCCTGTGTCTCTGATATTTATGGTTTTCGTTTAGCTCTGCCTTTCCAGAAGAATCGCAGTTAAAATATTCTGCCCTATTGTCTTCATAATGCACTCATACTTATCAAACCTTGTATCCTGGATTTTAGCTTCTCAAATAATGTCTTGACACTCTTGGTTGAAATTTGATATTTTTTTTTCATGGATATGTTATTACAAACGTTGGTCAGACTCCCAGGCAAACCCAAAGCTCATTTAACTCATAGTTGAATATGATACAGGTAATACAAGTGAATTATTTATCATTTAATCTGTAAACCTACACTGATTTCATAGTGGACAAGAGCTTACAGAGCATCTTAATATCATGGGCTAACACGAGTAATGTGTTAACACTAAAGCAGTGCAGAGCAGCAGATAATGCTGGAAAAAATACAAAGAACTGATATTAGTTGCACATATGTGAGTTAGAGTTTTTCAGATTGTAATTAACAAAAATATAACCAGTTCTTCACAAATAATCAAAGCTTATATTATGGATTATCAGGGAAGTAAGCAAGAACAGAAAAGAAAGAATCCCAGTCAGCAGAGAACTGAAATCATGGAAAAAATCTGGAATGAGTCTGAGAATAGAACAGCACGGGTGACTCTCCAGGCACAGCAACAGCTGCAGAGATCTGGTCCGCTTTATGCCCTCTGCAGCCGTGCTGTGCTCTTAGGTGACTCAGCTATCCTCTGTTTTACCTCTTTGAACTGCTCTTATCAGTACTTGACTCTCAGGCTATTTTTGCATTAAAAATGCCCCCATTGAGAATATTACTGCTTTAGACAGTTCCTACCTAATGTACTGGGGACCACTTCATGGGCTGCTGTCTACTCAATAGACAACCTCTTTTAGGAATGCCACCAATCTTTAATCCAGTCAGGGGCAGTGAGGGTGCTGAAGTAAGGTGGCCATATGTCCTGGTTTGTCCTAGTTTGTCCCAGCTTACATCTATTATCATGGTGTCATTAATAGAACCCTTTTTATTCTCAAAAGTGTTTGGTTTGTATACAAATTATATGGCTGCTCTGTGCAGAGTCACATTGAACCAAAGCATGAGAATTTTAGGTCAGAAAATGCCTGCAGGAGGGCAAGTACTGGCATTTACCCCAACCATCTGTCCAGTTCAGTAGGCTATCGCCTCAGCAAGGGCCAATCCACTAAATTGCTAGATTATAGGACTAATTGTTACCAATATATGCAACTCATCAGTTCTAGATGCAAATGTTACATTCATGCATTCAATATATTTTTTATGGAGTGTCTCTTTGTTCCAGGTACTATTCTAGGCACCGCAGATGCAGCAATGAACAAAACATAAAAATGCCTCTCCTCATGGTATTTACATACTAATAACAGAATTTTCTAATTATGGCAAATATTCACTGAATACTTCTATATCCAGGGTATTGTTGTCATCATATTATTTAAATATATTATCTCATTGTGTCCTCAAAATAACTCCATTGTGTGCTTTCTATTGTCATCATCACCATCATCATCATCACCATCATCGTCATCGCGAATGACTAAGTCAGATAGAAATTTGGAAACATCAAGGTGAGACAGTTAATGAGTGGTGGACCAAGGGCTTGAATCTAGACAGTCAGGTTCTGAGTCCTGCTGCTGATCACTATATTATACCACTTCTCTGTTAGCAGAAAGTACAGTCTCCCTCTTGAAAACTTGTAGGAATTGTAGAAGATTGTATGAGTCCAAGGGAGGACAGCTCTACTTCAAACCAAAGAAAATTTGAAGTGGAATCTGAATAAGTTACTACAGACAGCCCTTGCGTTTTTCTGTCAATTCCCAACACTGATGCAGCACAGCTGGGCAGATTTTTTGCCCACTCCATGGAGAACGCTTTGTAGACCAGTTGCCTATTAACACTTTGTGCTTGAAAGTTACATTTTTCTTAGATCACAGGCCTGTGCTTAGTCATTGTTTCTCAAGTCAATACCGTTCCAGCTTGGCTGAATTCTGCGACATTTGCAGACTTAGCCATGCTTTGCTAAATTCAACTTTTCTGCCGTGTGAACACTTAGGCTCTTGTCTTACAACTAGTTCAACAAATTAAATGTTAATTTTCCTAAGAAAAACTAAAACCAATTAATTTTTAAAAACTATGTATACACACACACACACACACACACACACACACACACACCTCACTTTCTTTCCTCAGTATAATTGTTCAGTTTCTACAAGAAGATTATCTCTAAGAACTAGACGGCTTAAGTCCAAGAGTGCAGTTAGGTTAAAATTTGAAAACTAATCAATCCAACTCACCAAATTACAGAATTAAGGAGAAAAATTTTGTGATTCTTTCAATAGTTACAGAAAAAGCAACTGATAAAATTTAATATGAACAATTAAAGTCTCAGTAAACTATGAATCAAAAGGAATTGCCTCAATATGATAAAGGTATTCCTACAACAGCTTTAACTAACTTCTGCAATGGCAAATTAATAAATTTGTTTGCACGAAAATCATAGAGAAGTTAAGAATGTCTGCTTTTATCTCTTTGTTTTAACATTGTAGTGGAGGTTCTAGCCGTGCAAGAAAGTGAAAGAAAAAAATAGGCATATGATTGAGAGAAAAGAAGTAAAACTGCCTCCATTCCAAGACAATATGATTGTTTATGTAGAAAATCATAAGGAACCTACAAAGCAATTGTAATTAATTTTTAAATTTAAATGATTGTGGGATATCAGATCAAAATAAAAATATAACACCTAGTAAATATAAAAAAATTCAATTGCATTTCCTTCTATAAACTGGCAATCAAAATTAAGAAATAACTTTACAAAACAATAAAGTTTACAATAGCAACAAAAAACATACTTTGGAATTGTTATTAATGTGCGAGAGCTCTACACTGAATACATTTTAAAGGAACAAAGAGAAATTAAGAAAGACAAATAAATGAAGAGATAAACTACATAGATTGGAAGACTCAGTATTATTAAGATACTGATTATCTCTGCACTACCAGTGGCAGTCAGGCAGGGTGCAGCTGCTAAACAAGGTTCACAGGACCCAAAATGGCACTGTTTAAAAATCTACAGTTTATTGCAGAAAAAGAATATAATATAGCAGGCATTCAAGAACTTTTGTCTACTTTAAATGTCCTAGAGAAGCCAGGTGCAAACCAATTTTTCTCCGTCTCTAAAGTTCACTGGGAGACACACTTTCTCCTTGGATAAGGAGCCCCCAAAATGTGCAGAGAACACCAAAGAACCAAGAACTCTAAAAAGGAATCTCGGCTGAGATTTCTTATACTCTGCTGATTGCATAAGCATTTCTGCTATGTAAGCAGCCCCAAAAGCACAGCCCTCCAGGGGTTTGTCTGAGAGAGGATAGTAAATTATCTAATTATTATCAATAAACAAAGCTAACAAGCTGGTCCACACAATCCTAAAATTCCTTGGGCCCACGACTACAAAGCAAAAACATTATGATAATATGTTTCATGCCTTGATAGAAGTCAGTTTCATGCAGGTACTTTAGCAAAACAGCTCAGGCCAAATCCAGAGGTGATAGAATTAACCTTCATGGTATTCTCCCTCAGCTAGAATTAACACCATCTCTATCATAATCCTATCATACTTTTCTTCTGAAATTAACATATATTCTAAAATATGTATGGAACTCAAAGAATCTAAAGCAATAAAAACAATATTTAAAAAGAAAAATTAAGTTGGAGGCCTCACACTACCTGATTTCAAGGCTTACTATAAAACTACAATAATTAAGACTGTGGAGTTGACATAAGTATAGATGATTAGATCAATGAAATAGAATACAGAGTCCAGAAAACAGGCTGTTGCAAATAGAATTAATTGATTTTTCACAAAGACACCAAGGTAATTCAATTAGGAAAAGAGAGTCTTTTCAACAAATGATGCTGGTATGCCTAGATAAACATTTTAAAAATAGGAACTTGGCTGGGCACAGTGGCTCACACCTCTAATCCCAGCACACTGGGAGGCTGAGGTGGGTGGACCACCTGAGGTCAGGAGTTGGAGACAAGCCTAGCCAACATGGTGAAACCCCGTTTCTACTAAAATACAATAATTAGCTGGGCATGGTGGCGGGCACCTGTAATCCCAGCTACTTGGGAGGTTGAGGCAGTAGAATCACTTGAACCTGGGAGGCAGAGGTTACAGTGAGCAGAGATCGTGCCATTACACTTCAGCCTGGGCACAAGAACAAAACTCAGTAAAAAAAAAAAAAAAGGACCTCTTGTTCCAGCATAAGATGGACTAGACACCTCTCACTATCTTCATCTATAATGTGAAAATTATATTACTTAATACTAAGTTTATATGACTATGGTGTGGCTAATGTTTGTATGAGCTAATGTATGTATGGTACTTAGCACAAGTTCTGACATAAAATGTATATATTCAGAAACATAAGTACATCTCCCTTAATTACCTTCTTATTCGTGGATAGTCAACATAAATATCTTGTGTTTTCAGTCCAAAGCTCTGTTCTGCCAATATTCTTTTCTGCAAACCTTTAAACACTGCAGAAATATCACACATATCCTATAAATATGTATAATTATTATGCATCAATAAATTTGTTTTGATCAGCTAAGTTAGCAGGAAATTTTTAAAAATCAAGTTTCAAGATTAAATGTATTATTCCATGTGTGGAAAAAGACACAAAGATATATTTTTACTAGTATATGGAGAGATAAAAAGAGAGAGAAGAATATAATCCAAAATATTAATAGTGATTATCTCCAGAAGTGGAATAATGCGGCACTTTAACTTTTTCTCTATCATAAATTTCTGTAATATTTTGATTTCTGTAATAAGCATGTATTACTTTTGTAATTAATAAAACTATTCTTTGAAAAATTAAAAAATACAATATTTAAACAAATATGGATTTAAAAAAAATACAAACCAACACTTATAGCATGGAATTAAACTGGAGGATAAAATGAAGCTAGAGAGAACATGCTGATGCTAGATTTAGGAACCCAAAAAAATTTCATCAAATTCTAATCATGGGCTGAATCAAACTAGAATTTAACATAGATAAATCAAAAATCTGGAGCACAAGTTCAAAAATATAGCAGCACATACATAGCCTTTTGAGGGTTTAATTTTCTACAAGACTCATAAGAATCAACAATCTATCCGTACTTTAATACACACTAAAAAGAAACATGTTGTTAAGGCACACGTACTACTTTAATTCATACTCAAAATATGGAGATGGCCCAAAATTATTCTACCTAATCTGCATTACTGAGTATAAGGTACCAGAACAAGGAAGATTAATCTATTTTAGCTATTCTGAGCTAATTAGAATAAACTTAGACATAGTTTTGGGTATCAGAATGAATGAGATTTTGGAACACTAGATTAAGTGCTGAGAAGAGTATGTAAGAGGATGGGGGAATTCAATACAATGGCAAATGAACTGCAGTCAGAATCCCTAAGGAGAGGGATGGCTTGTGTGAGACATCTTAATTGACCTCATATATTATGCTGAAAAGAAATTAGACATTTTTCTATATGCCCTAAGGAATAGCACAAATAACAATTAGTATACTTTTCTGAGAGCTAGATTTCATTTCAATTTAATAAAAATAATTTCTTAACAATTATATGTATTATTAAATTGAATGGTCTGTCACTTTAAAAAGTTCAATTCACTGGGGGTTATAAAACAAAAGCAGTAGGGTTTTCTCTCATAAGAAATGGCCTCCAGTGAACTTTTCAACTAAAAGTCCATTATTTTAAGATATGAGTTTTATTTTTCAGTCCCATCATCTGGGATATTCAACAAACATATATACTCTGAAATATTCGCTTAGAGTAGGGGGAGGGTGTGGACTTGATTAATCAGTTCTGAGATCCCCACCACTACTGTATATTTTGCTTTAATTTATTTCTTATTTTTGTAAATTGTTAATCCATCATCTAACAAATCATAATAATTCTAACAGTGGCTAACATGTATTGAGTATTTACTATGTGGTAGTCATAATGCAAATTTTCTCCATTGATTTTTTTTTTTTGAGACGGAGTCTCGCTCTGTCGCCCAGGCTGGAGTGCAATGGCGCGATCTCGGCTCAATGCAAGCTCCGCCCCCTGGGTTCACGCCATTCTCCTGCCTCAGCCTCCCGAGTAGCTGGGAATACAGGCGTCCGCCACTACTCCTGGCTAATTTTTTGTTTATTTAGTAGAGACGGGGTTTCACCGTGTTAGCCAGGATGGTCTCGATCTCCTGACCTCATGATCCACCCGCCTCGGCCTGATTTTTTTTATTTTAATCTTCATAATAACTTCAGTCCTTTAACTTATCATACTTCTAACTGTATTCAGTGCTATTGCTATACCCATTTTACAGATGAGGAAAAAAAGAAATTAAGCAACATTGTTAGATCCATTTTCTTTATGCTGCTCCTTGGGACCCTGAATAAATATCTAATGTCTCTTTGGTAGACTATATAAGGTTATGTGACACCATGTCACAATTCAGCAACACAAGCAATAGTTGGAATATCAAGAGGTCCAATCAAGACACAAACTCCAAAGTTGAAATTCTTCATTTTTATATGTTTTAGATATAAAACACAAAGGCACTGAGAATTACCAAGAAAATTTTTCTGCTACTGGAAATTTAAAAAGAAAAATTTAACATTCAAAGGAAAAAATAATTATCTCATTTTCAATACATAACGTATTAATTTTTTCTTATATTAATCACCACAGATAAATGTTGGTGGATAGAAAACAATATTGCAGCAAGATTGACTATGATTTATTCAAGGTGAGCATATTAGATTTCTTTGTAATTCATTGTTGACTCATATCAAAATCATAAACCACTTTAACAGTTTTTAGCCAATAAAATTCCAAGGTGGTATTCAATTCCATAAAGAGCTCAACACTGAACTAACTTTCCAAGGTTATTATTGTTTGGTCCAATTTAAGTTTGCATTTGCTAAGTACTTTTTTTTTTTTTTTTTTTGAGACAGAGTCTCGCTCTGTCGCCCAGGCTGGAGTGCAGTGGCGCAATCTCAGCTCACTGCAAGCTCCGCCTCCCGGGTTCACGCCATTCTCCTGCCTCAGCCTCCTGAGTAGCTGGGACTACAGGCGCCCGCCACCACGCCCAGCTAATTTTTTGTATTTTTAGTAGAGACAGGGTTTCACCGTTTTAGCCAGGATGGTCTCGATTTCCTGACCTCGTGATCCGCCCGCCTCGGCCTCCCAAAGTGCTGGGATTATAGGCGTGAGCCACCGCGCCCGGCCGCTAAGTACTTTTAAATGATAATGTGTCCAAGACACTGACTTTAAAATGCTGATGAAGATATTGTCCTATTCTGGAGGAGCTCAGAGTCTTTAGGAATCATAGATATATAGTGATATTGCATCATCAAAATGAAGAAAGCAATAAGATAGCGGTAAGTCCAGGGTGTAAAGGAGAACACAAGAATAAAAATTGTATTAGGCCATCGGTTACATGTAACAAATTAAAAAAATTAAATCTCCAATTCATTAGGAAATTAAATGTTATGGAAGAGTATTAGAATTCTGAAGTAAAACAAACAATTAGAAGAAAAAAAACGCAAGAACCAAAGCCATTCTGTGTGTATTAGGGACTGAAAAGGGAACTCGGTAATTATTAGAACTCCATCTCTCCATCTCTTGTCTCTGATGATTGTCTTTAATTTTTCCTAATGCAAGGCTTTTTTCATCTTAGTGACCCAGTAGGCAATAGGATCTTTAGTCTTCAGTTCTTGTTAGAATAACTTTGGTAAAGATTCTGCCAAGTCCCTTCTACTATAGTGAGAATGTCTAGGGCTGTAGCAGAAGTGAGATATGGGGAAAGGATACTGGGCAGATAAAAATCACTGTTACCATAGACACTATCCTCAAGAGAGAAGCTCAGAAATCCTCAGAAAGAAGGACTAAGGAGTCTCAAAAAACAGTACAATTTAGCCAAATCTTAAGCTAAAAGGGTAAAACAATAATAATTTTAAAAAGCAAAGATATCTCAGCAAGAATCAACCTGATATATAGCCAAGGTACAGTTTGAAGTGGTGATTATAAGGGAAGATGAGGCTGGAGTGTCAGGTAACGGTCAGGTCATGGAGAACCTTGTACACTATGCCCCAAATCAGAGATAATTGATGAGACTACATGAACTGAAAATCTAATTTTTAAATTTCCAATTCTACTTAAGATTTAATGAGCTAATGCACATTATGTCCCTCACAGGCAAAATTTCTTTCTTAGCAAAACCTACACCTGTGTATCGTATTCACCACCCCCTGCTCTTCCTCCACTATACATTTGTCACCAACTCTGATAATGTCATACATTTGTATGGTAACAAGCTTAGGGCTACACAGCAATGGTGGCAACTCAGAGACTGTTCTTCCTGGCAGGGTTTAGCTGCTTCAATCAGTTTTCTCTCAACCATCTCATTTTAGATTAGGGCATAAAATTCACTGAGTTTGCCAATCCATCCTGCACCCTCTCACTTGAACTCTATTCATCATTTTATCCAAAGAATTGCCTAGGAGAGAAGTATTTCTTGAGGCAAGTATAGAGTTGGGGCCTATTATAAAATAAATAGAGCCAGTGGGATAATTAATTTGTTTCAGTTGCATTAGAAATCCGCATTTGTGTTTTATGCATCCTTTCCAACTCAGCCTCCCTCTACCTTATAATTAATATTTTAGAGTCTTTTTCGCAGAGTGTATAGCCATCACAGGAAAACTGTGCCATTCTTTTTTTTGATTTTTTTTTTGTTCACATGCCAAACACTGCTGTGTAGCCTTCTCAGGGGAATTCTCTTTCAGCTTCAGAAAGTTGTTAACATAAGGCTGAGCCTGTACTGTGACCTTATTATGACAGCTTCTTCAAAACTACAAAAGACAAAGGACAGGAAAAGTTTAGAAATTGTGTCTGTTACATACGCACATGGTCCCCTCAATATGCTAAGCTTGGAAATGGTGGAAGCTACAGTTCTAGAAGAAAACCAAAGCAGTCAACCATTCTTGACTACTTTCAGCCATTTCAGTAGTCTGTAGCTCTTCGATATCAAAAATAAATGTAACTGTTAAAATGCAGGGAAGGATGGCAACTCTTCTGACAGAAAATATAGCCTATTAAAATGTTTAACCATTTGACTCAAATTATTGAAACTTTCAGGTTAATTCTAAGTTTTGGTATGGAATCCTCTTTACCTGTGAAGGTTTAAAAAAAACCCTGTGTAATTCCACATAGTGTAGTGACTTGAAGCATTCCATGGCAGATATAGAATATATACATGGTATAATATCAAGATAAGAAAACAGAAGCCAAAATAATATAAACATATTTTTGAAACCATACGAAGTTTATAAAAATTACTTTAAATGGTGAAAATTAAAATTAATCAACATAACCAACAAGAAGATAATTATGTGGTATATTCATCTCATGAGAGTTTTATAGTTGCTAAAAGTGACATAAATAAAAGTTTATAATGCAACAATGACATACTTATATGTAAAAAGTAAAACCAAGCATTATTTATACAATAGGGTCATATTATATAGATAAAATGCATAGAGAAAAGGTTTTATATGGAATGCTAATATTTTTAGTCTTTGTTTCAATGTTTCCAGGTATATTTTCATCAGTATTTTTTATAATAAGAAGTATAAACTACAGGTAAAACCATATTTGAAGAGCAGTTTGTCAAAATCTGTTAAAGGTGAAGACGTCCATGTCCTATACCTAGTAAGTTTATTCCTAGGTATATAACCAAAAGAAATCTTTACAGCTGTACACAAGCATACAAGTACAAGCAGGTTCCTTATAGCATTAACTAACTGCAAAAGAACAGAGAACAATCTTTGTTTTTTTGTTTTTGTTTTTTGAGATAGAGTCTCGCTCTGTTACCCAGGCTGGAGTGCAGTGGCACAATCTTGGCTCACTGCAACCTCCACCTCCCAGGTTCAAGTGATTCTCCTGCCTCAGCCTCCCAAATAACTGGGACTACAGGCGCACACCACCATGCCTGCTAATTTTTGTATTTTTAGTAGAGATGGGTTTTCACCATGTTGGCCAGGCTGGTCTCAAACTCCTGGCCTCCCAGAGTGCTGGGATTACAAACATAAGCCACCGTGCCCAGCCAAACTTTGTTTATTTAAAACAACATTAAATTCAATAAACTGGAACTGCATGTAGCAACATTGCTAAATCTCAGAAGCATACCATTGACCAAAAAAGAAAAGATCAAGTTGGAGTATGTACATATAGTATGACATTTTAATAAAGTTTAAGATATCTGTATTAATCCATTTCCACACTGCTGATAAAGACATAACTGAGAGTGAGCAATTTACAACAGAAAGAGGTTTAATTGGACTTACAGTTCCACATGGCTGAGGAAGCCTCACAATCATGGCAGAAGGCAAGGAGGGGCAAGTCACATCTTACATGGCTGGCAGCAAGCGAAAAATGAGAGAGAGCTTGTGCAGGGGAACACCTCTTTTTAAAACCATCAGATCTCATGAGACTTATTCACTATCATTACAACAGCACAGGAAAGACTTACCCCCATGATTCAATTACCTCCCACCAGGTCCTTCCCAAAACACATGTGAATTCAAGATGAGATTCGGGTGGTGACACAGCCAAACCATATCCACATCCCTTGTACAACTTCATAGCAAAAAAACCAAATAACCCAATTTAAAAAAGAGAAAAAGATTTGAATACACATTTCCCTAAAGAAGGGATACAAAAGTCAACATATATGAAAAGATGCTCAGCATCAATAATCATTAGGGAAATGCAAATTAAAACCACAATAAGATACCACTTCATGCCTGTTAGGATGGCTCGTATCAAGAAAACAAAGATAACAAGTGTTGGTGAGAATGTGGAGAAATTGGAACCCTTGTGTATTGTTGTTAGAAATGTAAAATAGTGCAGTCACTATGGAAAGCAGCATGTGGGATCAATCATTGAAAAATTAAAAAATAGAACTATCATATGATCTAGCAATCCCACTACTGAGTATATACACAAGATAATTGAAACCTAAATATCAAGGAGATATTTGCACTCCCATGTTTATTGCAGCATTGTTCATAACACCCAAGATATGTAAACAACCTGAATGTTCATCAACAGATGAATGGATTTTTAAAATGTGATTTATACATACAAGGGGATATTATTCAGCCTTAAAAGGAAGGAAATCCTGCAATATGCAACAGCATGGACGGAACTGGAGGATTATGCTAAATGAAGTAAGCCAGTCACAGAAAAACAAATATTGCATAATTATATGAAGTGTCTAAAATAGTCAAACTCATAGAAACAGAATGGAATGGTAGTTGCCAGGGACTGGGGGAAGAGATATGAGAAGCTACTCTTCTTCAGTTGTAAAGGGTCAGTTATATAAGATGAATAAATTCTAGAGATCTGCTATACAATGTAGTGCCTATAGTTAACAAGACTTGACAATTAAAAATTCTTTACTGCAATAATTTTTTTTTTTTTTGAGACAGAGTCTCACTCTGTCACCAGGCTGGAGTGCACTGGCACGATCTCAGGTCACTGCAACCTCCAACTCCCAGGTTCAAGTGATTCTCCTGCCTCAGCCTCCTGAGTAGCTGGTATTACAGGTGCCCACTACCATGCCCAGTTAATTTTCTTTTTTTTATTTTTATTTTTAGTACAGACGGGGATTCACCATGTTGCCCAGGATGGTCTGGATCTCTTGAACTTGTGATTCACCTGCCTTGGCCTCCCAAAGTGCTGTGATTACAGGCGTGAGCCACCACACCCAGTCAATAATTTTTAATTACAAAAATAAAACATCACTGTCTTAGCTCCTGCTGCTATAACAAATATCATAGACTAGGTGGCTTAAACAATAAGCATTTATTTCTCACATTTCTCTAGACTGGGAAGTCCAAGAAAAGGTGTCAGAAGATTTGGTGTCTAGTGTGGGCCCACCCACTTGAGGACAGCTACAAAGGCTATGTCCTCACAAGGCCCCGAGAGAGTTCTGTCCTCAGTGTCCTCACATGGGCCTGAGAGAGAGCTCTGGTCTTATCATTCCTTTCTAAGGACACAAGTTCCATCATGGGCTCCATCTCATGACCTCATCAAAACCTAATAACCTCCCAAAGGCCACACCTCCAAATCATCACACTGGGGATTAGGGCTTCAACATATGGATTTGAGGGGGACATTAAACATTCAGTCTATAGCAATCACAAAGAATGCTACATATTTTTTATGCATGTTTATATTTATAGTAAAAGTAACAATGAAAGAAATGCATGGAAAGGATAAATAATAAATTCAAGATAGTATAAACTGCTAGGAGGAAAGGGAAGAGATTAGATCAGGGAGAGATATATAGACTTCATCTGTGGTGGTTTCTATTTTTCTTTAGATTTTTTAAATTAAAAGCCAAGTAAAAATGGTAAAAATTAGGAAAGCTAGGTGGTGGGAATTTGGGTCATCACTATATGTACATCTTTTATAATAAGCTTGAATTATTTCATAATGTCAGACAAAATAAAATATTTTAATACATCTAAAGGTAGAAAAAATTAAATTTTATTATAAAAAGTAGCAAATGTTTATATTATTTTACACACGATAAAATTACCATATTTTTATACATCACAGTTTGTTGTGTACAAGAGCTTAAAAGTAGTATTATTTATGTGTTTAAATGGTCAGAAATGGAAAGAAACAGAAACACATTTCAACACTGAGAGAAAAACAAATAGTAAGTTGCAGATTGCTAAGAGAAAAAACAAATGAGAACCTAAGAAACTGGGAGTCTGAGTAGCTTTTAAATCTGGGTAATGTATAATTACTCAGAAGGCCATATAGGGTGTGATTGTGGGTACAGACTCTGTACGATATTGGTACTGTTAGGGTTTGAATTCTAGCTCTATTACTTAGTTATGCAACCATAGGCAACCTACATATTCTGACTGGGTCTCCATGCTTTTGTTTCCTCATTTATCAACTGTAGAGAATATGAATAATTACTTCATAAGCTAAATGTGAGAAAAAATGAGTTAATACATATGAAATGTTTAGAAATGTGGCAAGCACCTTTATCATTTAGATATTAGCTCAAAGTTTACTGCCTCAGAGATAACTTACCTAGGAATCCAATCTAATCCCACGTTCACTCTGTATCACATCATCCTGTATTATCATCTTTATAGCACTAAACATTTTCTCATAAAATTTTATAGCTGGTTTGTTTATTTGGCATTGCTGCCCTCCTTCAATATAATACAAGTTTCAGGAACACAGGGCCTTTCCTTGTCTTCTTCACCACTGTATTACCAGGACCTGGGTCAGCACCTGGCAAAAATATTTACTAAATGAAGCATAAGGGGCACACCTCTAACAGTGAAGGAGTCTTGACAAACTTGAATGTCTATTCTTGGATATTCTTCCAGATGTTGTGGAAGTCACATATATCAAGACAGATCTGGTGAAAAGGCTAACCCAGACTAACTCATGTCAAACCATTCAATACCTCCTAGACCAGCCGCCCCTTCAACAGAAATAGTTTACACTCACAGCCACTGCTAAAGTAGTAGAACTATTATAATATAGGGGTTCGGATCCAGACCCCAAGAGAGGGTTCTTGGATCTCATGCAAGAAGGAATTCAGGGCAAGTCCACAGTGCAAAGTAAAAGCAAATTTATTTAAAAAGTAAAGTGGTGAAAGGACAGCTACTCCATAGGCAGAGTGGGACGTTCCTGAAAGTAACAGGAGGAACGCATCTACCCTAGGTACAATGTTTGTTTATATGGGGAGATGTGCTCTGCTACAAAGGTTTGTGATAAAGGATTAACTTTCTTAATTACTGTATTTTTCAAGAATCAATATTATTATCTTTAAAGCAATATTAGGAATGCCTTTGCTTTCCAGATATTGGGATATCTGGACATTCCTAAGTCTGGGTCTGTTTAGTAAACATTATTAATTTATTCCCTTAACCATAAACATCTAGAGGCTAGGAATGCCTAAATTCCTGAGAATGCAGCCCGGCAAGTCTCAGCCTCATTTTCCTAGCCCTCACTCAAAATGGAGTTGCTCTGGTTCAAATGCCTCTGACAGAACTAACCATCTATGTTGTATCATATGAACCTGTCTTCCAGCCAAAGCTAAGAGGACTAGGAATGAACAAAGGGTTCTCCAAATGTTAGCTGGGCTTAGGCAATCACATCCCCTCAAGAGAATCTGAACAAAATGCACAGAGACAGTTGTCAATTAATGTTGGTTGTTGAAGCTAAGTATTCATGATGTAGTGGCAGAGTCTGGAGACCATGTTGAACCAGGTACATTTTGAGTAAGCAAAAAGAGAGATGAATAGAACATTAGGCAAAGCAGAGATAAGAAAGACCACATGGCTCTAGAGAGCTAATAGGAATGAATTAACTTCCTGGCCCCCAATTCCATTACAATATAAAATGTGAACTTTGCCTTGGGATCATGAATATCCTCTGCATTGCATGATAAAATCCTCTATTTTACTAGTGGAAAAGAGTGACTATTTGCAACCAAAAGAACTTTGACTGGAACGCTATTGAAATTTACATATTTTTATTCAAGAGTAAATGTGATCCAAATTTGTTGAATCTAGGTGACCTGTTAAGAAACAGTCAACAAAGAGCAATCAAGTGTGTAAGCCAAATCCAATCAAAATGCAACTCTTACATTATGAATTTACTCATAGAGGGGGGAATCATGGTGAAGTCAAATAGACATGAAGGTCCTTAGAAGTGGTTACCATGTCCTAAACTTCTCTAGTCCCTTCACATTACTCAACAAAGTTGAAATTCTTCCATGTTTTTCCCTTTTTCTCTTGCATGCCTATTTTTCTATAGGAGATGAGATTTGCTTTGATATTTGTTGCAACAGAAAATCTTAACCATTAGACCTAAAACCATAAAAACCCTAGAAGAAAACCTAGGCATTACCATTCAGGACATAGGCATGGGCAAGGACTCCATGTCTAAAACACCAAAAGCAATGGCAACAAAAGCCAAAATTGACAAATGGGATCTAATTAAACTAAAGAGCTTCTGCACAGCAAAAGAAACTACCATCAGAGTGAACAGGCAACCTACAAAATGGGAGAAATTTTTCACAACCTACTCATCTGACAAAGGGCTAATATCCAGAATCTACAATGAACTCAAACAAATTTACAAGAAAAAAACAAACAACCCCATCAACAAGTGGGCGAAGGACATGAACAGACACTTCTCAAAAGAAGACATTTATGCAGCCAAAAAACACGTGAAAAAATGCTCACCATCACTGGCTATCAGAGAAATGCAAATCACAACCACAGTGAGATACCATCTCACACCAGTTAGAATGGCAATCATTAAAAAGTCAGGAAACAACAGGTGCTGGAGAGGATGTGGAGAAATAGGAACACTTTTACACTGTTGGTGGGACTGTAAACTAGTTCAACCATTGTGGAAGTCAGTGTGGCGATTCCTCAGGGATCTAGAACTAGAAATACCATTTGACCCAGCCATCCCATTACTGGATACCCAAAGGACTATAAATCATGCTGCTACAAAGACACATGCACATGTATGTTTCTTGCGGCACTATTCACAATAGCAAAGACTTGGAACCAACCCAAATGTCCAACAATGATAGACTGGATTAAGAAAATGTGGCACATATGCACCATGGAATACTATGCAGCCATAAAAAAGGATGAGTTCATGTCCTTTGTAGGGACATGGATGAAATTGGAAATCATCATTCTCAGTAAACTATCCCAAGAACAAAAAACCAAACACCATATAATCTCACTCATAGGTGGGAATTGAACAATGAGAACACATGGACACAGGAAGGGGAACATCACACTCTGGGGACTGTTGTGGGGTGGGGGGAGCGGGGAGGGATAGCTTTAGGAGATATACCTAATGCTAAATGACGAGTTAATGGGTGGAGCACACCAGCATTGCACATGTATACATATGTAACAAACCTGCACATTGTGCACATGTACCCTAAAACTTAAAGTATAATAATAATAAAATTTAAAAATTTAAAAAAATAAAAAAAAAAGAAAATCTTAACCCAATGGTACTAGCACAGCACAGCAATTATAACTCAAGCTAGTTTCATTCTACTAGTTTGTGTTTCTCTGCCCAACAAAATGGTTAATTATATACCACCAAGAAATGTGGTGAGTATAGAGTGTAAATCATTGTAAGAACTTAAGTTTAAAGGCATCAACAAACTTCTTTAAATATAAAAAGTAAAAGAAGCCTTAAAAATTGCTTCCTTAGAAACTGAGAAAGTAATTCTGGAAAGTCACAGTCTATTTTCCAAAAGGAATAAAACAGAAAAATAATAGGTTTAGCATAAGGATGGAAATGGAATGCCAAGGCCTATTTATTTCAAAGATACAGAGTATTACGGAATAGTCAATAAAATATGAATGCAAATTGTCTGAGTTTCACTCTGAAACGTGCCAATAAAAACTTGGCTGACTGAACATTATTTCCTATCATACAGTTGTGAAAATGTGGAAGATATACAATAAATTTTTTTATAAATACAGAACCTTTTATGTAAATCTGGACCCTGAGTTCCCAGGAGCATCAGAATTCTTCCCTGACTCAGTTATCTCTCCACTTTCCAGTGCTGTGTTATCCAGAGAACACAAATAATTATCCACCGTTAAGAAAACAACATTTGCATCATTATGCAGTAGAAAGTGTAAGTTCTTTCAAGAATGCTAAAAAATTAGACATACTAATAAAGTTTGTCTTTTGTCTCAAAAAGTGTATTTTATTATAAATTATGACTTTCAGGAACATGGCTTATTTGAATGAAAAAAAATCAACAGACTATATTGAGAGTTTTGAACTGACTCCCCATGCCTACCTTGACTGGGTTGATTAGGTAAAACGAACTAGAAATTCAGGGCATACATAGCTTTTTCCAGTATTCAAAAGTTTGTTCCCGATCTCCCAGAGTGTGACAGGCTAAAAAGGCAAAATGTTTTGTATATCATCACTTACATCCTCGGTAAAATGTATTTAAAACCCTCTGGAGAAGAGGTGTTAGGCAAATCCCAAATATGGTTAGTATTTAAGCTTAGTAGAGTAGAAATATTTTAAAGGTTGGCTTCCATCAAATCTTTGCACATAAATAATAGAGGGGCCTTACTTGCCTTGTAGAAGACAACCAAAGCAAAGAGAAGCTTTATTTAGACTACAGTAGCTACAGCTTGCTTCAGCAAGTTTTAAAGATTTTCTTCTCCTTTCCATCAAATAACCCCTAAAGTGTCATATTCTTGTTAGTTTCCCAAGCAAAAGCAAGAAATACTCTATTAAAAATTTTATAGCTGAGTAAACCAAGTCCCAAAGCACAATAAAAAATACAGCAAAAGGAACAATAAGTTTTCACAGTTACTTTATAAAATAAGTTTATTTCAGGTTATTTTCAGGCTATCTTTAAAATAAAAATTGATTTGTGACCAGAATTGACCCAAATTAGGCTCCCAACCTTTGTCTGTTTGGGCTATTACATTGCTTCATGGGTTGCCTTCAATAGAAATGTCATAGTTATTCTTCAAAAACTAAGACTTAATTAGATTTTTAAGGGCTTTTTGTCTAACCAAAACTATCAGATTTTTTTCCTGATAAAAATGTGAACTTCCTGCATTTTGAATTCACTCAGAATCTCTCTCAATAGAGGTTATGGGGAGGGAAAGATTCAACTCCTCAATTTTAGCTTCCCAGGAACCAAATAAAGATGGGCACATTCATTTATGGTCTCTTCTATGCACTGGCCTTTGTCATAAACCAACTGAATCTAATAACATAATTCCTCAATTAGAGAACATCAGCAGTTGTAAAAAAAAAAAAACCACCATTTGCTTAATAAAAACTTTCCAAGTAATTTACACATTAATGGAAGGTACATTTAATCTCAGAAGTGGTGAAGATCTGCATTACAGCCAGGAAGAAGATTTCAGTTCCCAGATTCTCTTCATAAAAACATTGCCTAGAAGGAGCTCCTAACTCAGAGAACCTGTTAACATCTGTATTATCTTCAACTACAGACAGTTCAAAGTATTAAAAATATAGAAAACTAGGATATTGTCAAGTGCTGACTCCCTGAAATATTATCAAAGCAACTTTTGATAAGATAAGGCTGAGTTTAATTTTACCATGGTAAAGGAAGGCACTACCTTAGCAAAGTCATAGTTGTATCTCAGAGCAGGGAGTACAAAGTTGGGATATTTGTGGGGTTTTAGACTCTGGTTTAAGGTGGGCCTTTCAATTCATGAGCTTAGTTAAATTTTGTAACAATGTGTTAGTTTAGTATTGATGTGTCCAAAGACAAGGCTTTTCAGGCAAGTTCAAATAGTCTTGGAGACTAAACAATCATTAGAACCTATCTATTGAAGAGTTAAATAGTTTGATATTCATTTAAATAAATTCTTCTGGATGTTCCTGGAATAAACAATAAATTTACTTTCAACTTTTGTCTTCCTAGGCAAGAGTTTCTTGGAAATTGGAAACAGTGGAAGAGTAAAGTCACATTAATGTCGACAGAAAGCTGCATGGGTGCAGATGTTTCAGTTCTCAAGGTCCCTAAAGCAATAGCCATACAATATATGATAGCACCGGGAAAAAATATATAAGCTAGGATACGTTCAAGTAAAGCTGGTTGTATAGTAAAGCTTGTCTTTATATGACAAGACTCCATCCTTTCCAGATACATAGCCCACATACCTTTTTTTGTTCCAAATAAGAGAACTGCATAACTTTCAATAAAGCTATTTTACTCCAAAGATGAACCGCTTTCTGAAAATAAGACATATCATTGACTTCCAGCACACTGAGGTGAAGACCTAATGCAATACCATGTGCCAGTTATTGCAGCCAGAAGGTGTGTGATTCTGTTCTTTCTTAGGTTCACTTCCTATACAGCTCTAGAAATATCAGTAAAGGAAGGTTGGTTATGTTATCTATATAATAGAATTTTTGCTTTTTTTTAGCTTATTTCTGTTAAGGTCAGGCACAATGTGGTATAGCAATTAAGAGCATAGACTAGCTAGACCATGTACTCAAATCCTGGCTGTGCTACTTATTAGCTGAGTAAAAGTTGACTTGGTTAGAAATAAACTTTCAGTGCCACGAAAGAAATAGCACTCAAACATAAATGTAATTTTCTCAGCAAGGCAATTTTACTTCTATAGAAGGGTGCACATCACAGATGGAGCAATGGCAAGAGCACACCTGCACAAGGGAGGGAAAGGCGTTCTTATCCCTGATGCAGGTAGCCCCTACAGCTGTGTCATTCCCCTATTGGCTTGGGTTTGGGTTGGACTGCACAATCTAAGCTAATTATGATTGGCTATTTTAAAGAGAGCAAGGATACAAGCTGGAGTGGCAGGGTGAGTAGTTTGGCCGGAAGGACAGTTACAGAACAGGTGACTCTGGATGACTCAGGTCAGAGCAGGTGACCAGGGGTGACTCAGGATGGAGCAGGTGATAGAAGCTAGGAGGAGGTTGTTTACTGAAACTAGGGGCAAGGAGACAAAGATAATGAGGAAGTTAAACTTTAAAATGAAGAACAAAGAAGAGGGGAGCTGAACATACTGATACATTGCGTCTTTGGAGAGGATCTCAGAACTCATTGTACTTAAGAATTTACAGGCTAAAACCTTTGAAGAGGAATTTATTATATCCTACAGTTATTTTACCAATCTGTGCATCAGTCCCTTTGTCTGTAATATGGGGAAAATAATAGTCATAATACAATAAGTTGTTATGAAGAAAAATGAGCTAATAAACATGAAGCAGTTTGAATAGTACTGTTTCAACAGTCAGCAAACTACAGCCTGGAATCATTGCCTGTTTTTGTACAACCTGTGAGCTAAGAATGGTTTTTGTATTTTTAATCATCTTTTTAAAGTCAGAGCAAAAATAATATCTTGTGACATGTAAAAATTACATACAATTAAAATTTCAGTATTTATAGTAAAGTTTTGTTAGGATACGTACCTGCTCATTTGCTCATTTATTGTTTCTGGAAGCTTTTGCACTGCAATAACAGAGTTCAATGATTGCAACAGAGATAATATATAATATGGCTTGGTTTTGCAGGAAAAGTTTGCTGACTCCTGCTATAGCAGATACTACTGCCTGTGGTCTGCTCAGATTCCATTGCTTTACCAGTTCTGTGCATCCTTCCCTTGGCTTTTATTTGTACTACAAATTATTTCATTGTGGTTCTCTTTAGAGGCTGCCCTTGAGCTATTACAACTACTTTGACTGCACAGAGGTCTGGAAATACCTGGGAGTTTATATTTCCGTCATCCTGGTATGACCCGAAGCCAATAACTAAATGATGTGAGAATATAGCTCCCTTGCCTCAAGTTGGAATAAATTCTGAGGGATAATTTATACTTCATAGATAATTTTATACTTCAGATACTTTTTATTGGGAAATAGCTTATTTTTCAGTCTTCTACTTATCATTCAGCATAGCACAGTATCCTGCCATGCTGTGGAGGTCACCAGGTTAATTTTTTTCCATTGCCACTATCTTTTTCCTTTAAAAAAAAACTGTGAGAAGGAAAATACTAAATTGGGTACAGTTTTTTTGTTTTGCTTTGTTGTTGGTTTTTTGTTTTTGTTTTTTTTTTTTTTTGGAGACAGAGTCTCGCTCTGTCACCCAGGCTGGAGTGCAGTGGCACAATCTCAGCTTACTGAAAGCTCTGCCTCCCAGGTTCACGCCATTCATCCCACCTTAGCCTCCTGAGTAGCTGGGACTATAGGCGCCTGCCACCATGCCCGGCTAATTTTTTTGTATTTTTAGTAGAAATGGGGTTTCACCGTGTTAGGCAGGATGGTCTCAATCTCCTGACCTCACCATCCACCTGCCTCAGCCTCCCAAAGTGCTGAGATTACAGGCGTGAGCCACCATGCCCAGCCAGGTACAGTATTTTTAAAAAAGGTTTTCATTGCTTAGAAACAAGAACAACACATTTTAATGTCTCCTATTCTTACTACAGTTGCTCAGAATTTTCTGGTTAACAATTTAATGCTCATGGTTTGGTGATCTAGATATCAGTTTTCTTTCTCCAGGTTGAGTTATTGAGCAGTTTTTGACTACCCATTATATAACAGGACCTATGATAATTACTGAGAACACAGTGAATGTAAGATGACCCAGATACTAAAAATTTCACACTTTTGTGAGGAACTTGCAATTTCATATGCCACTAGAGAAGGGAATGAACCTTCCACTATATTTCAAATTTTTGGAGTGCCAAGCACAGGGATGTACTGAATAAATACTTGCTAAATGTAATTGTATCTCATCATTCCCAAAAACGGAAATCTATTCAGCCAAGAAGCAGCTGAATTTCATACATAATTTCTAGTAAAGAAATTATTGACACATAGCTCAACATGTTATATTGTCACAAGAAATGGGCACCAGGCTGAAAACTTGAAGTCCTGACTCTTTCTTTCCACTCTATTGATAAATCCCTAGGTGACCTTAGGTAATTCTTTTTATTCTCTAAACCTCAATTTCTTTAACTATAAAATTAAGAAGCCAGATTAGATTATTCATAAGGTTTATTTCAGCTCTGAAATTCTGATTCTTCTGAACTCTTAAATTATTTAGCAATGCCTGACTTCTCATGAAATAATAGACCTTACTTCATGGCCTTATCCAATACTATTATGTGAGTTAAACTACAGATTTTTTCACTGTGATAAACTTTATTGTTGAGGCAGAACTAATATGTCCCATGATTTATTCCTTTTACAGTCTCAGGTGTAAAAATACTTCCCCAATATGTCATTCTTAGTTTTCAGTCTCTTGTTTTTAAATATGTTTGCAATTAGTTCTGAAAATATTTACTAATAATTTTCCATCTCAGATTTATAGATAGATCCAAGTTCCAATTAATTTCACAATTTTCTATCCCAACAAATTGCCTCATTTTATCATTTTCAGTTAATTTTAAGAGTTTTCAATTTTGAACACATTCAAACTTGTTCTCTTTTTATTAAACCACTTTGCCTCCTTCTTAGGTCCCTAGTCCTCATTAAGAGTCCTAAGACTAGTAGAGATGGAAAATGTCAGCAACGTGGCAGAGTAAAATTTTCAAGCAAAGATAGAAAATGTCAGCAACATGGCAGAATAAGATTTTGAGGCACTTATCCCATTATAAAAGCATCAATTTGAACAAGTACCTATGCATAAAACTATCTTCACACCAGCTAGGAAATCTAGGTGAGAGATTACAGCACCCAGGGGAAGCACAGAAATAAGGAAAGATGCATTGAAAAGTGTACAAAGGACAGTTTCACATTACACACACCACCACTCCCCCCAGCATGGGCAGCACAGTGCAAAGAAAAATACTATCCACATAGGGAAAGAAGAATAAAGTGAAAAGTCAGCTTTCCCACAGACCCCAGCACCAGGTTCATGACAGTAAACCAATGCCAGGCTGGTCCCTGTGGACTCAGGCTCCAAGCCCACCCCAGCACCAGGCCAACACCCATGGTCCCAGGGTTGTGGCCTCCCCAGTGCAAGGGGAGGCAACCACAACTCCAGAATCCTGGATATCCCCTTCAGACCCAGGCTCCAGCCACACTCCATCACCAGGCTGGCCCTTGTGGACCTAGAATTCAGTCCCATACCACAGACTCAAGCGCCAGGTTTATCCATGCAGACAGAAGCTTCAGGTTCATACCTGCAGACTTAAGCTTCAGTATAGCCTCTGCAGACCCAGGCTCCAGGCTGGCTGCTGTGGACTCAGGTGCTAGGCCTGCCTTCCCACTGACCCAGGACCCAGGCCACCCCATCTAAGGATAACAGCAGCAGACTAATCAGTAGAACCCACTAAATGGCCCACATAAAATCTCTGGATAGGCTAACTACTGAAGCCAGTCAGTAAGGACTCTAAGAAGTGCCTAGTTCTTCAAATGCACAGACATCAAGGCCACTAGGATCATAAATAATCAGAAAACAATGACATCACTAAAGGAACAAAATAAAGCACCAGTAACTTATCCTAAAGAAATGAAGATTTACAAACTTCTCAACAAATAATTAAAAATAATAATTTGAAAGTAGCTCAGTAAGCTGTAAGAGAACCTGGAGAGGCAACCAGACAAAACAAGGAAAATAATAATGAATAATATGAGAAGTTCAACAAAGAGGTAGAAACTAGAAAAAAAGTACCAAATTATAGTTCTGGAGCTGAAGAACACAATGACTGGGCTGAAAAATTCCATAGAGAGCTTTAAGCAGAAGAAAGAATCAGCAAGCAAAAAGATAAGTCATTTGAAAGTAACAAGTCAGAAGAATAAAAAGAAAAACCAATGTTGCATTTCTACACACTAAAAATGACTCTATAAAAAAGCAAAACAATCTCCTTTACAATGGCATTATGGAAGAATAAAATGCTTAAGAATAAATTTAACCAAGCAGTTGAATGATCTGTACACTGAAAACTACAAGATATTAATGAAATAAATTTTGAAGACACAAATAACTGGAAAGATTTCTCATGTTTATGGATTGGAATAATTAACATTGTAAAATGGCAATTCTACTCAAAGTAAGCTACAGAGTCTTGCAATCCCTATAAAAATACAATGACATTTTTAATAAAAATAGAAAAAAATCCTAAAATTCATACGGAACTACAAGAGAATTCAAATAGCCAAAGCAATCTTGAACAAAAGGAACCAAGCTGGAGGCATCGAACTATCTGATTTCAAAATGTACTACGAAGCTATACCAACCAAAACAGAATAGTTCAGGCATAAAAAGAGACATATACATCAATGGAACAGAATAGGAGAGCTCAGAATTAAATCCACATTCATGGCCAATTTACCTTCAATAAATATGCCAAGAACACAAAATAAGGAAAGTCTCCTCAATATACTGTGCTGGGAAAACTGGATATCCACAGTCAAAAGAATGAAATTGGAATCTTATACCATATGCAAATATAAACTCAAAATGAATTTAAGACTTAACTGTAAAATTGCTAGAATAAAATATAGGGGAAAACTTATTTACATTAGGATAGGCAATAACTTTTTTGATATGACACCAAGGCACAGGCAGCAAAAGCAAAATAGTAGACAAATGGGAATGCATCAAACTAAGAAGCTTCTGTACAACAAAGAAAATGATTGAAGGAGTAAAGACACAACCTAAGAAATGGGAGAAAATTTTGCAAGCCATATATCTGATAATGTGTTAATAGCCAAAAATATAGAAACTCAAATAACTCAATAGCAAGATAACAAATAACTCTATTAAAAAGTGTGCAAATGACCTGAACACACTTTTCTCAGAGGAAGACATACAAATAGCCAATAAGTATATGAAAAGATACTCAACATACCTAATCATCCAGGAAATGCAAATCAAAACCATGAGATATCACCTCACAATGATTAAAATGGTTAAGATAAAGACAAAAGCACAAGTATTGGCATGGATGTGGAGAAAAGGAAATCTTGTATACTGTTGACAGAAATGTAAATTGCTATAGCCATTATGGAAAACAGCGTGTATTTTTCTCAAAATATTAAAAATAGACTACTATATGATTCAATAATCTCACTTCTGGATATATATCCAAAGCAAATGAAATCAGTATCTCAAAGTACCTCCATGTTCAACACAATATTATTCACAAAAGTCAAGATATAGAATCAACCTAAATGCCGGTCAACAGAAGAATGGACTACACACACACACACACACACACACACACACACATGCACACATGTATATACACACATATATAATGAAATATTATTTAGTATTAGCAATGAAGGAAATCTCATCATTTGCAATAACACAGATGAAGGATGTTACATTTAGTGAAGTAAGCCAGGCACAGAAAGACAAACACCAAATAATCTTGCTTATCTATAGATCTAAAAAGTAGAACTTACAGAAGTCCAGAGTAGAATTAGCAGTTGGCAGGGGCTTGGGACTGGGAAAAATTGGGAGAAGTTAATCAACGGGTACAAAGTAGGAGTTATCTGCATTTTTCTTGATGCAAATAATTTACTTTTTGGTCTTGCAGACATAGTTATAGTTATGTAGTTGAGTATTCACCTTATTCTAGTTGTTTTAATGAGAATTTTAGTTTCATGTGATTCTAAATATAAATTTATATTTAAGAATGTAATATTCATGTTCCCCTTCCCATCTCTGAAACTATGCTTCTTCCCAAAGCCCTTCTTCAATGTAAAGGAAGAGAATTTTCTCACCACCACTACTGATCTCTGTATCATTTATCCACAGTTTTAACATTTATTGGACCCTAAGTACTTGGCCTGATGCTAAACTTTGAGAATATAGAGAGAGAGAAGAAGAGAGGTTTTTTTTCTTTTAAAGGAGTTAAATTACATTTTGAAGAATGAGTGAAGTTATAAGAGAGAAAATAGAGGCTTGAAGATCAGAAAACACAGCATTCAAGAACCTGTAAGTATTCTAGGATGGCTAGAGCACTGCATCCTCCATAAAACACACTAAGACTAATCAAATATCACTGGAATGTGCATGATTTATCTATATAGTTATCATTATTTCCTCTTCCTATGTTGGCCCTAATATAGGGTAATATACTTTCTGATGAAAGAAAATAAAATATATTTTTTCTTTTTAAAAAATTTTCACCATTACTCATTTCCTTTTTTTTTTTTCTCCAGTTTTTAATTTATCACCCAAACCCATCATTCAATGTTCCTATCTTCCTGGGCCCTATTTCAGGTGTCACTGTGTAAGTAGGAGCCAATTGCAAACCATGCCCAAGGACAATTCTACACTAAAATTCTAGCATTTAGCATTTATAGATTTAGAAGACTAAAAGCTGAGGTAAAGAGATGAAAAATTAGCTTCACACTCAGATCTCACAGTCAGCACTGTGTGTTATGAAGTCCTGCATATACAAGTTCTTTAAGATCATTTTTTAAGGAAATGTGTAAATTGAAAAAAAAATAAGAATAATTTGGCCAGGCGCAGTGGCTCACGCCTGTAATCCCACCACTTTGGGAGGCTAAGGCTGGTGGATCACCCGAAGCCAGGAGTTCTACCAGCCGACCAATGTGGAGAAACCCTGTCTCTACTAAAAATACAAAATTAGCCCCCATCTCTACTAAAAATACAAAATTAGCCAGGCGTGGTGGCACATTCCTGTAAGCCCAGCTACTTGGGAGGCTGAGGCAGGAGAATCACTTGAACCCGGGAGGTGGAGGTTGCAGTGAGCC
This sequence comes from Homo sapiens, assembly GCF_000001405.40. Lineage (NCBI taxonomy): Eukaryota > Metazoa > Chordata > Mammalia > Primates > Hominidae > Homo > Homo sapiens. The sequence goes on along the minus strand of NC_000001.11, from coordinate 101,658,094 downwards.
AAGATCACACCATGGCACTCCAGCCTGGGCAACAAGAGCAAAACTCTGTCAAAAAAGAAAGAAGAAGAAGAAGAAGAAGAAGAAGAAGAAGAAGAAGAAGAAGAAGAAGAAGAAGAAGAAGAAGAAGAAGAAGAAGAAGAAGAAGAAGAAGAAGAAGAAGAAGAAGAAGAAGAAGAAGAAGAAGAAGAAGAAGAAGAAGAAGAAGAAGAAGAAGAAGAAGAAGAAGAAGAAGAAGAAGAATTTTACACTCTTTGTAAAGAAAGAAAGGAAACAACATATTTGATACTTTAAAAAAAGTGACAAAAAAAATTTTTAATATATACATAAGTAGAGAGAGTGCCTGGTTTGTCCCCTAACCCCAAAAGGTCCTTAATGAGCCAAAAAATATACACAAATATAAATAATAATTTATCTATAGATACTTACACACTGAATGGCATTATGAATACATTTGCCTATACACACATACATGCATGTGCGTACCTGAGATCCTTGCTCTCTGTTGAATGATCAAATCCTATGAGATGAGATTAACTTCAAGGGTCAGACTTACTTTAGATAGGTGACCATAAAGATCCAAATTAAACAGATTCTCCACAATTATCTCTCATCAAAGTTTGCAGAAGAGTGGCACTGGTATGGGAGAAGGGCAGAAAAATGCTGGGAGAAGAAGGGCAGGGTCCCTGGCGAGGGCTCCACCCTCGAGCTTGTACCCACGGACCTAGGTGAGGACAGGCACTCCTGTTTTTGTGCCCAAATGTTGCATTTTCTAAGACCACCCTAACCTGCCATGCCCCCTATCCTGTGCCTATAAAAACCCTGAGACTCTAGTGGCCATGCACACAAGTGGCTGGACATCGAGAGGAACACACCAGCAGAAGAGCACACAGGCAGTTAGACGTCTAGAGGAGCAGAGGAACAGAAGAGCACACCAACAGGCAACAGCAGACACCAGCAGGCCATCGACCAGTGGAACAATGTGGATGCTGAGGGGAATTTGCCCAGGGTGGTCAGAGGAGAGTGCAGCCATTGAGTGACTGAACTCCGGGGGAAAACCACCTTCCCACTCCATCCCCTTTCTGGCTCCCCATCCATCTGCTGAGAGCTACTTCCACCATTCAATAAATTCTTGCATTCATTCTCCAAGCCCATGTGTGATCTGATTTTTTCCAGCACACCAAGGCAAGAACTCTGGGATACAGAAAGCCCTTTGTCCTTGTGATAAGGGTCTAATTGAGCTGATTAATACAAGTTGCCTACACACGGCAAAACTAAAAGAGCACACTGTAACACACACCCACTGGGGCTTCAGGAGCCGTAAACATTCACCCCTAGACACTGCTATGAGGTCAGAGCCCCACAACCTGACCATCTCCATGCTCCCCCTAGAAGTTTGAGCTGCGGGGCATCAAATAAGTGAGCCACACCTTCATCATACACCCTGCAAGGGGGATAAGGGAAATTTTCCCATTTCAGCACCATTCACCTTTCCCATCCCTTCCCATTATATATTCTCAATACAACCATGGCTGCATTCCCTCTTTTCATATTTATGATGTAATTAATCATCTATATCAGATACCAACTATAGACAAATTAAGTATAGCTAATTGGATCTAGACTTTAGTGAAATATTTTCTGGTCTGGTTCTTTCTTCTTTTCCCCAGTTCTACACATGTGTTTTTTTTTTTTTAACTAACAGAATTTTTAACTTTTCATTGGCATCCCTTTGGTCAATTGACGTATATTCTGTAAAGACAGGTACTTATAAGCCAAACCATTCCCTTACTTGTGACAAAGATTCTCTCCTTGTTCAAACCTAGTCAAGATCCTCTGAACCCCCTCCTAGGCCAGACCTCAATATTCGGCTATAAAACTGCAGCCTCTCAGCACAAATGATTCCATTATTTTCCTGCCCCAACACTAAGAGGCTTGAACAAACACCACCACAGTTTCTGGGGTGACCTGATCCCCAAACCCCCTTTAAGGTGTCTGCCTCAGAAAGCTCAGTGCTTCCAGGGGAATTTATTGTTTGTTACAGCCAAAACCTGGTAATAGACAGGTCTCTGAATACTCTCTTAGGGCAGTTACTCTTGAAAGCTTGAAGTTGTAAATATAATACTTTCTTTCTGCTTTTGAGACTGATGTTTCCCACCATCTAGAACTTTCTTCTCAAGAACCTGAGATCTGTCTCTTTGAAATGCAAACTTCAGGGAAATAACTCTGACTCTCTCTCCCAGCCTGATGGGCATCTTGCTCCAACATGTACCACTACCTTCTGTCATAAATATAAGTTCACATCTCCTCCTGATAAGCACCAATTTAAATACACGATTTCTGCTCAAGCCTCCACTTTTTCCTCTTCCTCACTCCCTCATTCTCCCTTAAAAATGTCCAGTACCTCTGTACAAATCAAAGCTGAGTTAATACTGGAACTTCTTCCCCATTGCAACGTGAAGGATAGAAGACTATCCCACTTCAAAATATGCTACTTTAGCATGAGGATTATTTTGAACTGAAGGCAACTGAGAAAAAGCAGATACAAGAAAAATTTTCTGCCTTCTTCCTATTTGCCTAAAGACAAAATATAAATTTGTAAAGATAAAGATGTCCCCTCTTTTTTCTGTAACAGGAAGAACAGAAGTAAATCACCAAAGACTATTTTAGACCCTTGTCAGCTGGAAGTCAACAGAGGACACTCCACAATAAACTTTACTAACTAGCCCTATCTTCCATTAGTTTCCCCCATGTATTTACCTTCTCATGATTTGCCACTCTAGAAACTCTATGTCCTTTTATTTTTGTTTTCTCAATTCCCTAAATGTGTATTGTTCTTTTGTTGGGATCCTACACAAGCCCAAGTTCTAACTCCTGTCTTAGTCTATTAATATTGCTATAATGAAATATCACAGACTGGCTAGAGAAAAGAAATTTATTTTCTCACAGCTCCAGAGGTTGGGAAGTCTAAGATGTTTTTTGATAACAACTTGAATGCTATATTCTCTGAAGGGGTGAATGTTATGTCCCCATGTGGAGAAGGGCCAAAGAGCAAAAATGGTAAAGCTAGTTATCTTTATCTCCTTTATGAGGTTATACTCATTCATAAAGGTGGAGCCTTCATGATCTAATTACCTTTTAAAGGCCCACGCTGTTAATATAGTTTCCTTGGGGATTAAGTTTCAACATTAATTTTAGAGGGAACAGAAGTGTTCAAACCGTAGCACCACCTCTTTCAATTACTCATGTTTGAGTACTCCCATGGGTATGCACATACATTTGTTGATAAATCTGTTTATTTATCTGTCTTTTGTCAGTCTAATTCTCAAGGCTCCAGCCAATGAACCTAAGAGGGGTAGAGGAAAAACAGTATTTTTTCTTCTTTACCAAAGGTTATTGATGAAAAACATTTGTCCTTACCACTTTATCTTTGACACTTGCCAGCATGATGTTCTGCAAACTGAAAACAAAGGAAAAATGCCTCTTCTTGTACCAGTACCAACAACCAAGGCCGAGGACCAAAGGGTTTCATAAAGGGGGTCTGGAAAAGCTCAGAGGGGCCAAAAACTAGTTTCTCTATGTGCTAAAAGTATAATGCATCAAAAAGGAGCAACTAGTTAATTATGAGATTGGCAGATAAACGCTAAAATGGTTGGGTGACTAACTCATGATGTTAAGATTGCAGATTATCTTTTTATCATTTTGTGCTTTTCTATATTTTAACTTATCAAACATAAACAATTATGCTATTAATCAGAAAAATTACAATGTCAGAAGACAGTTTCAAAAACTCTATATCAAAAGTGACAGTGATGCATAGGAGAGAAAGAGAGAGAGAGATCACCAAAATAAAAGAGTAGAAGCGATCTGGCTTTCTTGGTTGTTCTCCCCCTCCAAAAACAAAACCAACCACCTAGTGCCAAGGTGATCACCAGAAATATCTCAGAACTCAAAATTAAGTCTGTGACAATCACTGGGATCACAAAGAAGCGAAAATCTGCCAGCAGATGATAAAAGAAATGGACCACTCTAACTGCAATGCCCCTTCCTGAAGCTGCTAGGTACCACACAGAAAAGTCACCCTACACTCCAGTTTCTACACTGGGAAAAGTAAAATCAAGGCAGACAGCCAAGTTCCCCATCATCTTGGGGTTTTTGTTTTTGTGTTTTGCATGATAACCATTCCTGCCACAACCCATGGGAAGCATTGTAAATGGCCTGTAGGGCAAAAATTCCTGAGGGCAGCTAGAGAAAAAGAGTAGGGTGGGGCTAGTAACATTCAGCTCATAAAATGTGGTGGCTATTGTTTGACTTGGCCAAAAAAAAGGTGGCTATTCTCTGACTTGGCAAAATCAGGGAGGCTGTTTAGCAGCATAATACTGTAGGGTACATGCTCCATGGGTCCTCTGGCCACAAACATCTAGCCAGCCTTCCCGAAAAGCCAGGGGTAATCTTTGGGATCCCCCAATATTCAGGAAGGGCAGACTAACTTTTGCAAGAGCCACGGCAAACCTAGGCTTAGGGAGCCATCTAGTGCCATAAAAGAGGCAGCAATCTCGGGCCAGGGGAACTCAATCAACACAATACCTATGCAGAGACATGCACTAGAAAAAATAAATCAAGCCAAACAGTAAAGACGGAGGTAAATGATTAATCCTTCAGTGCAATGATATAAACAGAGGTTTATAAGAAATAAGAGCAAATGAGGAACCATGAACTCCCTAAATGTAAAAAACAAGAAGGCAGTGACTGATCCCAATGAAATGACAATGTGTGAGCTCTTGGATCAATAATTCAAAATAACAGGTTTGAGGAAATTCAGTGAACTCCAAGGTAACACAGAAAAGCAATTCAGAAATTTATCAAATACATTTAATAAAGAGGTTGAAATAATTTTTAAAAACGAAACAGATATACTGGAGGTAAGAAATACAAGTTAAACTGGAAAATCTATTGAAGGATCTTAATATTAGAATTAATCAAGCAGAAGAATAAGTGAGCCCAAAGACAGGAGATTTGAAAATACACAGTCAGAGGAAAAAAGAATGAAAAATACTTACAAGAGCTAGAGGATAATCTCAAAAGAGCAAATCTAAGAGTGACTGGCCTTTGAAAGGGAACTGAAAAATTGTAAGGAGTCAGAAGTTTATTCAAAGAAATAATAAAATAAAACTTTCCAATCCTACAGAAAGATATAAGTATCTAGATATAGGAAAATCAAAGGTCACCAAAGAGATTCAACCCAAATAAGTATACCTCAGGACATATAATGATTGAACTCAGAAAGGTTAAGAACAAAGAGAGGATTCTAAAGGAAAAAGATGCAAATAACGTATTCGGGAGCTCTGATTCATGTGGCAATAGACTTCTCAGCAGAAACTTTACAGGCCAGGAGGAAGTGGGATGACACATTCAAAGTGTGAAAGCAGTAAAACTGTCCACCAAGAATACTGTATTCAGCAAAACTATCGTTTACATATGAAGGAGAGATAAAGACTTTCAGAAAAAACTAAGCTGAATTAATCAACATCAGACCTGTCTTAGAAGAAATGTTAAAGTTTTTCAATTAGAAAGAAAAAGATGCTAATGTTCAACAAGAAAAAATCTGAAGGTATAAAACTCAGTGGTAAAAGTAAGTACATAGACACATTAAAATAGTTTAATACTGTAATTGTGATATGTAAACTACTCATATATTTAGTATTAAGATAAAAAGACAAATCTATCAGAAATAATAACTACCACAATATAAGAGATAAGCCATGTTAAAAATGCATAAATTGAGACAACAAAAAGTCAAAGTGTTGTGGAAATTGAGATAAAATATGTAGTATTATAGTTTATTATTTGTTTTTATTTTTTTAGATCAAACGCATCATTATTATTTTACTTTTCATAACTAAAAGATGTTTTTCTGTAATCCACATGGTAACCACAAAGCAAAAACCTCTAAGAGATACACTAAAAATAAAAAGTAGTGAATTAAAATATATTACCAGAGAAAATCACTTAACCACAAAGGAAGAAAGTAGGAAAAGAAGAATTGAATACAGGAGTAACAAAAGAGCCAGAAAACAAGTAACATAATGGCAGTAGTAAGTACTTACCTATCAATAATAAAATTAAATGCAAATTGACTAAATTCTTCAATTAAATGACACAGAGTGGATTAATAGATTTAAAAAAAAGGACTTGATAATATGTTGCCCACAAAAAGCTCAGTTCATCTGTACAGAAACACATAAACTGAATGTAAGGGGATGGAAAATGATATTCAATATAAATTAAAACCAAAGAAGAGAAGGAAAAGCTATACATATATCAGATAAAATATACTTTACCTCAAAAACTATGAAAAAAGGCAGAAAAGGTCATTATATAATGACAAAGAGTCAATTCATAATAAAAATATAAAAATTATAAATATATATGCACCCAACACTGGAGCATCCAAATATATAAATCAAATATTAATAGATCTAAAGGGAGAGATATACTGCAATACAATAATAGCAGGGAACTTCAACACCCCACTTTTAGCAATGAACATACCATCCAGACAAAAAAAAAAAATCAACAAAGAAACATTTAAGTTACAACTATTCTCTAAACCAAAAGGACCTAACATTTACAGAATACATATTCTTCTCATTAGAACATGGATCATTCTGCAGAATAACCATATGTTAGGCCACAAAACAAGTTTCAATAAATTCAAAAAAGTTTAAATCATATCAAGTATCTTTTCTGACCACAATTGAGTAAAAACAGAATTCAATAACAAGAAAAACTTTAGGAATCTTACAAATACATAGAAATTAAACAACATGTTCCTGAATTACCAATGAGTCAAAGAAGAAATTAAGAAGGAAACTTTGAAAGTTTTTGAAATAAATGAAAAATTGAAACACTACATACCAGAAACTACAAGATACAGCAAAAGTAGTACTAGAGGAGTTTATAGCAATAAACATCTACATTAAAAAAGCAGAAACAGTTCAAATAAGCAAGACAATGATTCACCTTAAGGAACCAGAAAATCAAGAACAAACCAAACTCAAAATTAGTAGGAGAAAATAAATAATAAAGATCACAGAAGAAATAAATGAAATCGAGACTACAAAACAATACAAAAGATAAATTTTAAAAAGTTAGTTTTTTGAAAAGATAAACAAAATCAACAAAACTTTACATACACTAAGAAAAAAAGAGAGAAGACCCAAATTAATAAAATCAGAGATGAAAAAGAGACATTACAACTGATAGCACAGACATAAAAAATGATCAGTAGAGATTACTATTATATAATGACAAAAAAGTTAATTCATAATAAAAATATAACAATTGTAAGTATATATACACCCAACACTGGATCATCCAAATATGTAAATCAAACATTAATAGATCTAAAGGGAGAGACAGACTGCAATACAATAACAGTAGGGAACTTCAACACCCCACTTTTAGCAATGGGCATACCATCCAGGCAAAAAAAAAAAAAAAAAAATCAATAAAGAAACAATAAATATGCCAATAAATTGGAAAACCTAGAATAAACAAATAAACTTCTGGACACATACAACCTACCATGATTGAACCATGAATAAATAGAAAATCTGAACATACTAATAGCAAATAATAAGATCAAAGCTGTAATAAAAATTGTCTCACCAAACAAAAGCCCAGGACCTGCTGGATTTATTAGTGAATTCCACTAAACTTTTAAAGAGCTAATACCAATTCTACTTAAACTCCAAAAACTTTGAAGAGGAGAAAATACTTTCACATTTGTGCTTTGAAGCCATCATTACCCTAATAGCAAAACCAAGTAAGAACATAAAAAAAAAAAAGAGAGAAAGAAAACTACAGGCCAATATCCCTGATGAACAAACATAAAAGTAAAAATTCTCAGTACTAGCAAACTGAATTCAATAGCACATCAAAAAGATCATTCCCCATAATCAAATAGGATTCAGCCAGGAATGCAAGCATGGTTCAACATACACACATCAATCAATAAACATGATATATCACATTAACAGAATAAAGAACAAAAATATAATAATTTCAATCCATGCTGAATAATCATTTTATAAAATTCAACATCTCTTCATGAGGAAAACTCTCAAAAAATTGGATATAAGAGAAACATAGATTGAAACAATAAAGGTCGTATATGACAAACCCGCAGCTAACTTCATACTAAATGGGGAAAAATTGAAAGCCTTTACTCCAAGGTCTGGAACACAATAAGAATCTCTATTTTCACTACTTTCCCTCAATATAGTACTGGAAGTCCTACCCAGAGAAATTAGCCAAGAGAATAAAAATCAAGGGCATCCAAATTGGAAAGAAAGACATCAATTTGTCTTTTTTTGCAGAAAACATAATCTTATATTTAAAAAAATCCTCAAGACTTAGCCAAAAAACTGTTAGAACACATAGACAAATTCAGTAAAGTTGCCAGATATAAAATACACATAAAATAAGTAGCATTTATATGTGTTAGCGAATAATCAGAAAATATCAAGAAAGCAATCCCATTAACAATAGCTACAAAAAAATACCTAGTAATAAATTTAATCAGGAGGTAAAAGATCTCTACAATAAAAACTACAAAACATAATGAAAGAAATTAAAGGACACAAATAAATGGAAATCCCTTCTATATCCATGGATTGGAAGAATTAATATTGTTAAAAGGTCCATATTATTTAAGGTGGTCTAGAGAATCAGTGTAATCCCTATCAAAATACCAATGATATTTTTCACAGAAATAGGAAAAAACAATTCTAAGATTTGTAAGAAAGCACAAAAGACCCCAAATAGTCAAAGCAATTCTGAGCCAAAAGAATAAAACTGAAGGCATAACACTGCCTGACTTCAAAATATACTGCAAAGCTATAGTAACCAAATAAACACAGTAATGGCATACATAAAAGCAGACACAGAGATCAGTGGAAAAGAATAAAGAACTCATAAATAAATTTATTTATTTATTAATACATCCAACTCACTTTAGACAAAGGACCAAGAACACACACCGAGGAAAGGACAGTCTCTTCAAAAAATGGTCTGGGAAAACTATATTCATATGTAGATGAATAAAACTAGATCCATATATCTCACCACATATAGAAATCACATCAAAATTGATGAAAGGCTTAAATGTAAGACCTGAAACTATGAAACTACTAGAAGAAAACATTGAGTAAGTGCTTCAGGATGTTGGTCTGGGCAGATTTTTTTTATTAAGACCTCAAAAGCATAGACAGCCAAACCAAAAATAGACAAATTCAATTATTTCAAGCTAAAAAGCTCTGTACAGGAAACAAAACAATCAACACAGCGAAGGGACAAGCTACAGAATGAGAGAAAATGTTTACAAACTGAACTGTTCCTCTGACAAAGGTTCAATAAGCAGAATATATAAGGAATTCAAACTACTAAACAACATAAAAGACAAATAATCCAATTAAAAATGGGCAAATGATCTGAATAGACATTTTTCAAAAGAAGACCTACAAATAGGCAACAAGTATATGAAAAAATACTCAACATTACTAAATATTAGGGAAATGAAATAAAAACCATAATGAGATTATCTTACCCAGGTTAAAATAGCTATTATCAAACAGACAAAAAATAAAAAATGTTAGTAAGGATGGGGAGAAAAGGGAACTCTCACACACTGTTGGTGGGAATTCATATAATCATTATGGAAAACAGTATGAAGATTTCCCAAAAAACTAATAATAGAAATACCATAAGATCCAATAATCCCAGTGCCAGTTATACATACAAAGGAAAGAAAATCAGTATGTCAAAAGATTACCTGCATTCCCATGTTCATTGCAGCACACTATTCACAATAGTCAAAATATGGAATCAACTTGCGTCCACCAACAAATGAATGGATAAAGAAAATGTGGTATATATACATAATGCAATACTATTCAGTCATAAGAAAAGAATGAAATTTTGTCATTTGCAGTAACACAAATGAGTCTGGGGAACATTAGGTGAAGTGAAATAAACCAGGCACAGAAAGAGATTATTGCATGTTTTTCCTCATGCATGTGAACTAAAAAAGCTGATATCATGGAGGTAGTGAGTAGAATGGTAGTTGCCAAAGTTTTGGAAGGGGAAGGAGAAGAGAGGGATGAAGAAAGACTGGCTAATGGGTATAGAAATAGTCAGATGAAAGGAATAAGTTCTTGTGTTTTATAACCCAGTATGATGACTGTAGTTAACAAGAATGCATAGTATACTTCAAAATAGCTACAAGAGAAGATTTTGAGTATTCCCAACACTAGGAAATGATAAATACTTAAGATGATGGATATCTCAATTACCCTAATTTGATCATTACATGTTATATATATGGATCAAAATATCACATGTGCTTCATAAATACATATAATTATTACATATCAATAAAAAAAATGAAAAAAGAAAAGAAAACAGAGAAGGAAAGAAGATAGGAAGGAAGATAGGGAGAAAAGAAAAAAGGAAGGAACAAAAAAGGATCTTTTCACTGAAGTCAACCAAATCCAAATTCAAATTTTAGCTTTGCCTATTGCATGATCTTAGGCAGGTAATTTAGCATCTTAAAACTTCAGTTTACTTAAAAATTGACAAGATAACCCTTAACTCATATGGCTGTAAAAAAGGTGAAATAAAACATATTTATATAAATTTAAAAGAATTTTCATTGTTATTATCAAGGTGAATCTTTGCCTTCCCAAAGTTTAAAGCCTATCCTGAATCCACTCTGGTACTGCTGTCTTAACCTTTAATTCATGGAGACACTGTGGTTTGTAGCCCTGACACTCATTTCATAGATACTTAAAGACCTAACAAAGAATAAGAAAAACCTCATGTGCATTCATGTAGTGGACTTTTCACATGTAATGTATGGCATCTATTAGCAACAACAATAATTATGATGATGATAACAATAAATAATTCCTGTAACCTTAGTCTCTGTCAGGTTCTGGGTTAATCACTTTATATGCAATATTTGACATTATCTTCACAGTGACCTAAGGAGGTAGATACTATTATTACACGCTAGTAACTTGCTCAACATCATTGAGCTAAAAACTGGTAGCCCTGGGTCTCTAACCCAATCTTTGAATCTTCAAAGTTTCAACAATCTTTGAAGTTGTTTATACAACTTCAAAGAGTAGCCTTCTGACCACTTTGTCATCTACAGAATGAAATAAGTACATTTCTGTCTAAGGTATATTTCCAATTTCTTTTTCTTTTCACAATCTTGTTCTTACATAAAACTGCAGTCTACCCTTCATATTCCAGTTCTGCATCTGTGTATTCAACCAACCACAGATGGAAAATATTTGGAAAAATAAAAAATAATAATACAATATTTAAAAATAACGCTAATAAAAACACAGTGTAACAACTATTTACCTAGTATTATAAATAATCTAGAGATGATTTAAAGTATACAGAAGGATGTGCATGGCTTATATGCAAGTATACCATTTTATATAAAGGACTTGAGAATCACAGGGGATTTTTGTATCTGCAGGGGTCCTAGAACTAATTCTCCACAGATTCTAAGGGACAGGTATATATTGAACTCTACATTGTGTGTCATCCTTTCCCTGAGGCATGACAGAAACAAAAAAAGTCCAAACTCTACAAATAAATCTGGTCATGGGAGCTGAAGAAACCACCAAATCTGTGACCAAATTACAATTCTGATGTGTGTTACAATACCTGCTTCACAGATACCACAGGCAGAAATGCTGCTGTCACAGCATTGTGATTCCATTTTTCACAGATTCTGAAATGCATCCACACCAGGCTGAACTAAATCTGTTAGAAAGTAAATCAGTACTCCAGTTAACTTTTTAATCATGTAACTCTGGCTAATCAGAATGAAGGCAATTCTGAATTGTCTGCATACAACTATATTTGTATGCCATCAATACATCAATTCCTTGAAGATAACGCCTTTGCTTTCATTTAATAAAATCACATCTTACAATATCAAATTAATGAATTTGGGGATTCTAGGAACACACACTGTCTTTACAAAGTTTAAGAAATCATATTGTGCAATAGTTTTAAAGTGTGTTAGATTTTTAATGAGGGTGGTTTTTAGTTTTCAAATTAGCAAAATCATGCACACATTTGTTTCTTCTGCCCTTAGAGATTATAAACACCCAGAGGCAACTCATTTTTTGGAGTATTTGCTGTCAAGAAGCAATGAAGTGCAAATGGAAGCCAATCGAACTTAGCAATTTGTTTACTCAGAAACCAAACAGCTGGAGAAAAAAAATTAAGTATTTTAATAATTAGTCAGTCATGTCAGATAAGGGGCATTCCAGTGTATGATATAGCATTATAATAAGGAAGCTGCCACTTTGGATGCTAAAGAATTAGCAATTAACCTTCTTCAAACTCAAGAAAACATCCCCAGAAAGGAGGGAAAAAAGTTTTTTAAAAATCCTTCGGTTTGAATTATATTTACTAAGTCTCCAGAGTCAAAACAATTATTTTTAAAGTTTTATGAGATGATGTGCTTTCAGTACATTCACAAATAGAAGGCATATGTGAGCCAATGCTAAAGACTATGTATTTAAGAAATTATAAATTAGCATAGTTATCATAGGGAACTGTTGTCAACTATCTGAACAGAAGTTAAATTCTGATAATCCTTTAGCTTTAATGTCTATATCTATTGTAAACTGTAAAAAAAAAAAAAAAGTGCAAGTTAACCTCTGCTGTAGCCCAATTGTTATCTACCTTCTGGTACTACATGCTCAATTAATTATAAGCAACACCAACTTAACTTCCAATCTTTAACCACAAAGTCCTTTCAACATGCACCTGCTCAAAATATTTTTAAAATATAAAAAACACACTCAAAGAAGAGATAGGACCACACACCATTGACATATGAGATTATAACTATGGTCCAGTGAAAACCTAGGCAATAGGAGCCAAGAATGTTGACTTTGTCCAAAGCTCACATCTTCATCTCTGGCCAACTGCCAGCCAAAGGAGAATGTGAATCTTTCCCTTTCCAGAGAAGTATTCCAATTAGCAGTTCAGATGGAGAATTGACTTAAACTTTGGATACTTTGCTTTTGTGTAGCTATATCTAAACATGTACATTAGTCTTTGAGGTCCTTATGAACAACTGGAGCACTAAACTAAATAACAATTATATCACATATATCCCAAGGAGTATAAAAAACAAAGAAGTAATTGTGTGGAGTTGCATTTGGTACCTTCAGGGGAGAAAGAAAAAGAGGTGGATAGAGAGAAAAAGAAGTAAAAAAGGAGTTGAGGAGAAATCAGTACGGTTATAGTCTCACTGGCAATTCTTAAATTTGGTTACAAATCAAAATAACTTGGTACAGTAGCAGTACCTAGTCAGAATAACCCAGAACATGTTGTTGTTGTTGTTACTGTTATTGCATGGCTGCTGCTGCTGCTGCTGCAGCTGCTTTTCCTCAAAAGGTTCTGATATTTCTGACGAAGGACATTTTAGAGCCTGTAGTCTTTGGGTTTGTTTGTTTGTTTGTTTTTGGAGCCTATAGTCTTTGGAACCCAAATCTATCATGTAGCAGAGTTGCTCAGGGACTTCCAGTATCCAGAGGAATAAGACCATGTACTACTAACCTTTATTTCCTATAAAAACAGGCTGTTTTTCTCCCCTTTTGATCCCTGTATTAGTCAGGGTTCTCTAAAGGGGCAGAACTAATAGCATAGATGTGCATATATGTAGAGGAGTTTATTAAGGAGTATTGACTCGCACGATCACAAAGTGAAGCCCCACAATAGGCCATCTGCAAGCTGAGGAGCAGGGAAGCCAGTCTGAGTTCCAAAACCTCAAAAGCAGGAAAGCTGACAGGGCAGCCTTTAGTATGCGGCAGAAGACCTGAGAGTCCCTGGCAAACCACTGGTGTAAGTCCAAGAGTCCAAAAGCTGAAAAACTTGGAGTCTGGTATTTCAGGACAGGAAGCATCCAGCATGGGAGGAAGATGAAGGCCAAAAGACTCAGCAAGTCTGTTCTTCCATCTTCTACTGCCTGCTTTATGCTAGCTGCACTTGCAGCTGATTAGATAGTGCCCACCCAGATTGAGAGTGGGTCTGCCTCTCCCAGTCCACTGACTCAAACATTAATCTCCTTTGGCAACACCCTCACAGACATGCCCAGGAACAATACTTTGCATCCTTCAGTCCAATCAAGTTGACACTCAATATTCACTATCACAATCCCATAGATGTGACTATGATGAGATTTTATCAAAATCACTTTATCATTGTTACTCCTGCCAGAAAGATGGTGCATTACACCTTCCTGGCTTTGATGTAGACAATGAAACTTTCTAATAGATTGTCGATTGCTTTGACACAAAAGCTAGAGAAAATGTAACTTATCCCAGAACCTTTTTCGCAATCTGTCTCCAGCACTGCAGCTGTCAAATCTGGCCCCGAAAATGCCCTTGATTAAAGGAGTCAGCCAAAGAAAGAGTAATAGTCTGCCAAGTTAGGTGGCTATAATCCTCAATATTGGTAATTACACTTCAAATACATTGAGCTTTGTTGTAGAAACTTAGTAAAACTGATTCATCTAAACAAAAGATGATTCAGATCTTGTGAGACTAACAACATTGAGGATGTTCTAAAGTATCTCCTGCAACTACATTACCTTCATTTGTGATTTTTGTCAGATCTCCCATGACAGCTTCTGCCTAATGTGGCCATCTGAGGAAATCTTGGGCAATCATGGAAAATATTACAGATGGCTCATTTTTCTGAGGTAGAGCACCAAGTATGAGGAAATCATAGACAATCAGAAAATACATGTGGCTCATTTTTCTAAGGAAGAATACCAAATTTGATGCTAGGTTTTATTGTTATAACATAAATCTGAGTCCTGTGCCATTTGTGGTAAATAGCTCTGAGATTTCATCAAGAAGAAAAAATTCACCTACTTCTCCTTCAGAGCCAGTCAGAACAATTAACTCATCTGATGTCGTCAACCATTTGCATCACGATCTCATTCAAAGCCTTCCTTGACTTAAGTGGAGTTCTTGTATCTCTGTCAGCAAAAATGCATTACTCTTCACTTTCAGTCTGTCATAGACTCAAGAGTTGGAAATATTTATAGAACTGGTCAATAATACGGGGCTAACTTGTCTCCCATTGGCTAATATCTGGGTCCTTCATTTTTATTTACAAGTTTTTCTCATGAGTAATGGGATGACTTTTTTCAAATTTCTATCACGTACAAATTAATGCATCACTTAATTCCTTCTACAATCAACAGTGTCAAAGTATAGCCTTCTTCTTGTCTGACTTATAGATGGCCTGGGGCTGATGTAGAAACATTACGTTAAAATGGCAGCTTTAGTAGTCTCTGAATAGGGTTCAGTAACTTCCACACTTTTGTCACAATTGGCATCAATTAATTCACGTTATGGAACCATTTATCAAATGTTTAAGAGCTAAAACACAAGGGTTCTTACTTGGAAGAGGGTTATTCTCCCAACCTAGCCAACCCAATTAAAGCTAATTTACCCCCAGAACAAATTAAATCTTGGTTATGGCTTTAAAAAATTCTAATGCCCAAACTCAGTGAGTTTCAACTTCACTCCTTCGGAACCTCCTTCACAATCTATTTAAAAACTGTCTTCAAACCTAATTTCACATTTGAAAAAGCCACATCTAGAAAACTTTTTCCACACGGCATTTTCCAGGCATTCTCAAAATAATTCAGGGATAGAGATGGTGAAATCCTTAGCTTAAAATGTCATTTCAGAAATTAATCCCACCAGAAAGTAATGCTTCTTATATTGACACAGCTGTGGCTAAATTAACTTTTAGACACTGAAGACATTATTAGTCCTGATGCATACATAGTCACAAACAATGTTCTAAGAGAGGGGTTCTCTGACCCTGAGTACACAACCAAACCAGAGCCAGAGGAGCACTCTAAGTCAGCACCATATTGCTTCATTTTTTCATAATGCTATACAAACCTGGTAGACCAGGAAACACATATCCAGACTTTGTTGTTGGAAGCCTAATATTTATTATTATTGTTGGTAATAAAAATAGTTGTCATTTACTAAGTATTTACCATGTACCAGACTCCATGTTAAATATCTCCACATTGTTTATGTGCTTAATAATTAATATTTGGGAAAACATTAATTTTAACATTAGGAATCCCATACAGTGAATATTCAAAAGGAGACCTACTTTTCTATGAAGTCTTTTTCTTAAAATAGCAGAGAAGAACTTGCCTAATTACACAGCTACCAGCATTCTAGAAGGAAAATAGAAAAGAAGTGTGTTTGGGGGAATAAGTCCTGATTACCTGCAACTGGGCAAAGAGAAGTGAATGGAAATCCAAGGAAAGAGGGATAAAAAATGAAAATATATTACAAGACTAAATCTTCAGGAAATATAACAATATCAAGCTATACTATTACTAATTGGAGAGAAGACAGATAAAGAGAATACTTTAATAGGTGGGTAAAGAAGGGTATCTACCACATTCACGTCAAACATGAAGATTAAAGCAAACTAGGTAGGCAGTTTGGAGAGCTTAACTATGGATTTGCATTCACTAAAAAGCTTAGTATTTAAATTCTGGAATTCCTTTGCATGGTATGTTTCATCCATGTTAAAGTGTGATGAAAGTAAGACTAGAAACCCCTGCTTTTATCATACACTTTATCACCAGTTGAAACTTAAGTGAAAACCTTTCTGGGATTCAGTTTTACCAATTGTGCAGTGGAAATTAATCAAACCGCTCTGCCAACAACACACAGCTTTTAAACTACACCATATTGCTTGAGGCAATGGAAAAGAAAGCTCTTTGACATAACAGAAAGCACTATACAAATGTAAAAGTTATTATTCTCATTTTGTGTCCAAATGCAATCAGCTCCAAATTGATAGCTAGATACCACAATCCTTCAAGAGGGGCACTGGACAATGTAAGAAATGTCTAGTATACTACTAGGGTCTGTGCCTCAGTAACTGACAGTGAAAGCAGTATAATGAGAATGGACCAAAAAGATCCATTGAGAATGGTAAACAAAGGAAGAAACATTGGAATATTTCCCTTGTATGCCACTAGTTGGTTTAATTATTCATTCATTAAATCTACTATTTCCTCCCTGCTTGGGATGCTTCAAGCTTATTTTCTCTTATTCCTTGTTGAGTATATATGAAGAATAGAATAGTAATTCCTCACATATTTTCCATAATCAACACCTAGATTTTTCATCTTGAGGAAAAATAACTCCATTAATAACTCCAATGTTTTTCATTCTCCCTGACAAAGATTGTCTCTTTGACCAAATTTTAGTCAGACTCCTCTGAGCCCAATGAGGCTCCATCCTCAGGTATGTTCTCCAAGAACCTGGTGTTAGCAAGAATCCTGTCAAGTTTGATTAGCCAGAGTTCCTTACCCTTGATACGTATTCACCCTCCATATCTGACAGAGTTTCTCATCCTCTACTCGTCTTTTAGAATATGATGACCCTGATCTGCCTTCAGAAAGAATCCTGGTTAGGTCAGTTTAGCCCTAATCCCCCATTACCCTTGACATTCTCACAGTAATTTTCCATCCATTAACCTCTCCAACCCTACCCTTCTCCTTGGCTATAAATAACAGCTTTTACTTGTTGCACTCAAGAGTTGGTCCCAATCTCTCTCCCCTACTGCAAAACCCCGTTGCAAAAGTCCCTATACTATTGTGGCAGTCCTAAACATAGTCTGAACTTACTGTTTTTAATAAGTTTTTTGAATCATTTTTTTCTTTAACCTCCCTCAAGGAGAAATATTTTTCAACTCTCTAATTATCCACATTGAACTTGCCTGGACTATAGAGATGTGGAAACCTGTAATCTCTGTCAGATTCTGTCCAAATGGAGAAAGGTATCTTTGTCAGATATTGTCCCGGGGAAAGCCTTCCTGGGCTTGAAGTCATTTGGGTTACATAGAAACTTTCAGGCCTGAACTTAATTAAGCACTAATTGCTAGTGCCCTTATGCACCTGACAAAAAAATGAAAATCTTTGGAGGAAAGCAACATAATGCTCAATCTTGAATTATTTCAGCAATTAGCTTTTCAAAATACAATTTTCAGCATACAAGCTAAAATAACTAGAGACATGTGTGGACAAAAACTTCAAGAAAGAACCAGCACAAATAACAGACAACTAACTGAAAGTTGATTTGAAAATCTTGTTAAGGAGCTCGAAACTATGAAACATGATATAGATAGCTGTTTGAAAGAGTCAAAATCTTAGGATATTGTCTTAGGCCATTTGTGCTGTTATAACAAAATACCACAGACTGGGTAATTTATAAACAACAGAAATATATGTTCTCACAGTTCTAGAGGCTGGGAAGTCCAAGATCAATGCACTGGCATCTGGTGTCAAGTAAGAGTCTTTTCTCTGCTTTTAAGATGACGCCTTGATGCTACATCCTCTGGATGGAACACTGTGTCTTCTCATGGATGACGGTGAAAGGGAAAAAAAAGTAAACTTCATCCTGCAAGCCCCTTTATTAGCTCACCTAGTCCTATTCATGAGGACAGAGCCCTCATGACTCAATCTCTTCCCAAAGGCCACACCTCCCAATGCTGTTGCTATGGGGATTAAGTTTTAGCATGAATTTTGGAGGGTGGAAAAAAACATTTAAACCATAGAAGATATTACAATAGAATTTAAGAATTTAATGGATACAAATAAAGAGAGAAGAAAGTATAAAGAAGAGATGTGGTAAGAAATGAAGAGCAAGGCCAGGTGTGGTGGCTCACGCCTGTAATCCCAGCACTTTGAGAGGCCACGGTGGGCGGATTACAAGATCAGGAATTCAAGGCCCGTCTGGCCAACATAGTGAAACCCTGTCTCTAATAAAATACAAAAAAATTAGCCTGGCATGGTGGTGGGCACCTGTAATCCCAGCTTCTTGGGAGGCTGAGGCAGGAGAATCACTGGAACCCAGGAGGTGGAGGTTTCCGTGAGCCAAGATTGCACTATTGCACGCCAGCCAGGGTGACAGTGTGAGGCTCCATCTCAAAAAAAAATAAATAAATAAAAAAGAAGAGCAATGAAAGTGATAAATATATGGGAAACTCTACATGAGAAGTGATTGTATAAACAACAATAATAATGCTTTTCAAAAACATACTGTATAAACACACATTTTACATATTACCATTTGTTGTTTTGTACAGTCATGGTTTATGTAGACTTACCCATATTAGCATGTGTGTATGTGTAAGAAAATCATAGCATACGAGTCAGTATAAATGAATTGAAATGTTGTAATGTCCTTGCAATGTCCAGGGAAAGTAAAAAGTGCATGTTGTAATTTCCAAGGCAAGCACACACACGCACATGTATACACACACACAAACACACAGATGATGAACAATTCTAACTGAATGGAAAGTAAAAGTTATCGCCCTAAATAACAAGAAAGGAAAACATAGCCAGAGCTGATTATTTGAATGGGAGGGAGACATGTAAGGAAGGGAAGGACATTAATATCATTTTTACATTAAGGGAAATCAAAAGATGCATAGAAAACTGGTAGAGAGAAATGGGGGTTTAAGAACAAAAAAGGCACACAATTAACCAATACAAAATTAGGAGAAATACTAGAGCTGTCAAAATTGGAAAATATGGAGAGGTGATATGAGGTATTATAAATCAGCTTAATATTCATCTTTTATAATAGGAAATCAAGTTCATAAGTTAGGAAACAGTATTATAAGCATTTCATTTTCTTTAGAGTAATTACCCAAGAAATTGTAATAAAAAAAATTTGATTATACTATCTTAAAAATGGCACTTAGAATGGTGAAAGATGAAATAAGGAGCTGCTGCATTTTATTTGAAGTTTTTCTGTTTAATTACCTTATACTTTGGATAGATAAAAATTTAGATTATATATGATTATATATAATTTTATAGTTTTGTGTTACATTAGCATATGAATATAGCATATTATGTTTACATGTTAATTTATATTACATATAATAAAATTATAGATAGCATACATGATAGTATATGCTATATTATTAACAATATGTTTTATATTAAATATAATTATATATACTTTATATTATATATTTTACTATATATAATATCCACATTTTATATATTTATGTTCATAGTTATGTAGTCCAGCTGGAAAATTAACCTGCTATTATCCTTATGAGCTAACCTTATTTTCACTGATCTTTAATAAAAGGTTGTTAAAATTCAGGTCATATTTTCACAAACTCAGAATCAGACAGATTAGATCTCAAATCTCTCTTCTGTCATAATCTGGCTATGTGAGATATAAAAATTCACTTAACTTCTTTGAGTCTCTATTTTCTTATTTATAAGGTAAGAAAAATCATAACTACTTTCAGAAGTGCTGTGATTGTTGGAGAAAACATATTTAAAATGCTTAGCCAGTGTCTTCATAAAAGTAAACGCTCAAAAAATGAAAATAATGATATCATTTAACACTATTAATATTCATTTATTTAATAAACATTTGGGGAGTGTATTATGTTTAATAATTTTCCCAAGACTGCCCTCAAGAAGTTTGCCATATGATGGGAAGAGGGAGGCAGAGGAGGCTTCATTTACTCGTGGACATATGAACTGCATTGTGACAGATAATAAGCTTCAGATAAGGAAAGGAAATTGCAAGTAGAGGGAACAGCATAGGCAAACAGCATATATATATAAAGTAACATGATATATTTTATGTCTTAGACAAGAAGTTTGGATTTGCTCAACTCTAGAGACAGCCACTGAAAAATTTTAGAAAGACAATCCTGTCAACAACAATAGAAACAAACTGGGGCCAGGCACAGTGTAATCCTGGCCTGTAATCCCAGCACTTTGGGAGGCTAAGGCAGGGAGACCAATTGAGGACAGGTTGAGACCAGCCTGGCCAACATGGCAAAACCCCCATCTCTACTAATAATACAAAAATTAGCTGGGTATGAAAAAATGCTCACCATCACTGGCTATCAGAGAAATGCAAATCAAAACCACAATGAGATACCATCTCACACCAGTTAGAATGGCAATCATTAAAAAGTCAGGAAACAACAGGTGCTGGAGAGGATGTGGAGAAATAGGAACACTTCTACACTGTTGGTGGGACTGTAAACTAGTTCAACCATTGTGGAAGTCAGTGTGGCGATTCCTCAGGGATCTAGAACTAGAAATACCATTTGACCCAGCCATCCCATTACTGGGTATATACCCAAAGGACTATAAATCATGCTGCTATAAAGACACATACACACATATGTTTCTTGCGGCACTATTCACAATAGCAAAGACTTGGAACCAACCCAAATGTCCAACAATGATAGACTGGATTAAGAAAATGTGGCACATATACACCATGGAATACTATGCAGCCATAAAAAAGGATGAGTTCATATCCTTTGTAGGGACATGGATGAAATTGGAAATCATCATTCTCAGTAAACTATTGCAAGAACAAAAAACCAAACACCGCATATTCTCACTCATGGGTGGGAATTGAACAATGAGAACACATGGACACAGGAAGGGGAACATCACACTCTGGGGACTGTTGTGGGGTGGGGGGAGGGGGGAGGGATAGATTTAGGAGATATACCTAATGCTAAATGACCAGTTGATGGGTGCAGTGCACCAGCATGGCACATGTATACATATGTAACAAACCTGCACATTGTGCACATGTACCCTAAAACTTAAAGTATAATAAAAAAAAAAAAATTAGCTGGGTGTGGTGGCACATGCCTGTAGTCCCAGGCTACTCAGAAGGCTGAGGCCGGAGAATCACTTGAAGCCAGGAGGCCAAGGTTGCAGTGTGCCAAGATTTCACCACTGCACCCCAGCCTGGGCAACAGAGGGAGACTCTATTTAAAACAAACAAACAAACAAACAAAAAAGAACCTAGGACACTAGGGAAGAGAAAAGTTGTAAATGATTAAGATACAGGAGAGGATTTATAAGTATATCATAATAATCTGTGAGATAAGTGACAAATACATGAATCACATCAATAGGAAAGTCAAGGAGAGAAGTTTACAATTAAGAAGGTAGAGAATAGGGACATGGACTGATTTAATGTGACATGTGAATTAGAGGGAACAATTTAGGGTGGCTTTGGAAACTGGGTGAATAGTAGTGATTAACTGAAATAGGAATTGCGGATAAAGGAAAATCAAGTTAGGATACATGAGTTTGGGCAATATGCCAGAAATGATGCTAGTAATAGGAGATAAACTAAATATGACATAGACCTTATCCTAGAAATACCGGAATGTCAAGTGCTAATGTTCAGTGGGTAGTGGCTTTATGGTTCTGAAGCTCAGCAGGAAGTCTGGGCCGAGGGTCTATATTTGGCTTGGTACGTAGATAGTGGCTAAAAACATAAGTTTAAACTATTTTTCCAAGGGAAATCTCAGAAAGTGAGAAGAGAATTTACTCCTTGTCTAAGAACCAGCCCTTCAGACCCACTCATTCCACTGTACAAAATTGTATTTTTTCACTCACCAAAAATTTTTTGATTTAACGCCTATTGTCCAAATTCAGTGATATTTTTGCATGTCATATACTATATATATTTATTTACATTCCAAGACTAGAATAAGTATTTCTAGGATGAGGACTATGTCATATTTGCTTCATCTCCTATTACTAGCATCATTTCTGGCAGAGGGAACATCCCAAATATGTGTTTGCTGAGTAAATTCCTCGCACCTCTGGTAGCCTTATAATGTTATTCCTTATCTTATGATTGAATCGCAGCCCCATCTACAGCTTTAATTCAAGCTGTTTCTGTTTCTCTAGATCATACTTTACATCATATTGCATGTTACTACTCAAGTTTCTTTTAATAAATAAATGCTCAATAATAAATGTCAGCGGAAAGTCACCCAGTCAACCATATGGAGCTCACTAATCATGACACAATTCATGAGAGGACAAGTGAAACTTTAAAGAAGCTCAAGGTATATTCCTGCATATGTCTCTCAAATTATCATTGATTAAGAGCCCCTGAGCCAGACATAAAGAGAAAGAGAGGATGACATCATTGGCATTGCAATTATTGTAGTAAATTTAATACTGTCATGTTGGGGGTGAAATGATACTCCTTTTATTTTTATTTTTATTTTTTATTTATTTATTTGTTTTGAGACAGAGTTTCACTCTTGTTGCCCAGGCTGGAGTGCAGTGGCGCGATCTCAGCTCACTGCAACCTCCGCCTCCCAGGTTCAAGCGATTCTCCTGCTCAGCTTTCCAAAGTAGCAGGGATTACAGGCGCCCACCATCACACCCAGCTAATTTTTTTGTATTTTTAGTTGAGACTGGGTTTCACCATGTTGGCCAGGCTGGTCTTGAACTCCTAACCTCAGGTGATCCACCCACCTTGACCTCCCAATGTGCTGGGATTACAGGCATGAGCCACCATGCCTGGCCGATACCCCTTTTAATTGGAATCATATGTCATAGAGGAATGCCCTAGTCTGTGAGAAACTCTTAGCCTAGTCTAAGTCTATCCATCGTGCAAAAATTTAACCAGCAGATATAGCAAAAATGACAATATCCCTACTAGAGGAAAATTCTGACAAGAGTAACAACACTCGGGAAGACATGAGAAATATGTTCTTTGAAAAGTTTCATTCCAAAACAGAGATTTTTCAAAAGGTTGAATGCATTTGGAAAGAGAAGGTCACACTGAAGTCAGCTCCACAAAAAGATTTGCTCACAAAAACACTAGCAACAAATAAATAACATTTGAGAAACAATTGTCTTGCCCTGACTATATACAAATGGAGAAAAGTCTTCAAATGCTTCGATACATTCATTTTGAAATGTTGTCAGCCTCAGCTTTTCCTGGTGATACATACTGGCAATACTTGCACCTTATTGTTTTCAGAGCTATTAACCAAATGTTAAATATTATGCAAGTGCCATCTGAAAAAGTGTGTGTCTGAGATGCATTTATTTTGTAATAAATAACAAGTAGTCACAAGTAACCAAGCAGAACACAATATTTAGAACAAGAGCTACATTTATCAAAAAAGTAAAAATCCAAAAAGTGAGCATGTCAAAAAACAATTGATATATTTTTAAGTAAAAATAACTAAGAGTATGACATGTAAGTAACAATGAATGAGGGTTGTGAAGGACAGACATGTCATAAATTTGAATGCACATTGAACACAAGTAGCAGTGGCCTATTTTCTAGTTTTTCTTATTATCATTATTAATCATAAAGACAGTTAAGAATTGTCTTTCTGTATTTGAAGTCAAACTACCATCCTATGAATCACCTGGGTTGAGTAGCGTATTCCAGTCTTTTGTTAATGAAAGATTAGGCAGTGTTTATAACAGTAAAAAAATATAGTTCATTAGTAAAAAATACCATTAGCCATGTGGGAAAAACAGCCAGAGAAAGCATTCCCAGGCTAGTCCTCCCATGTAGCCAATGATTAGAAGTACAAGCCCCAGGATCTGCTTACAAGTGATAGTTTTTCAGTATCCCATTCAAGTTCAAACTGAATCACGATCCAGCCATTTTCTAACTGCAGAGCCTCAAGTAAATTACCCAACCTCTTTGTGCCACCAGTGTTCTTATCTAAAGTCTGCATGGATGGATGTAATAGCTACTTCATGGGATTATTGCAAAGATTAAATAAAATCATGAAAATACAAAACCAGTACAACACCTGGCACATGATAAGAACTCAAGAAAAGTTGACCATTATTATTATTATTATTCCTGGACCTTACATCCACATAGCCTATATAATAGGGAGTTGACAGTAGACACAAGTCTTACACATATCCAATGTGTGTTGGGTGGTGCCCCTTCCCTAAACTTCTATGTGCATCCTATGTGATTTTCCTGGAGGCTGAGGACCATCCTAAGATAAACATTTGAACTGCATCCACAATTAAGGTTCAGACTTGCATAAGAATGTGTGAGGACCTGGGTAGGGGGTATAGGTAGTGGTGACAAGAGGATGGTTCTTTCAAATTTGCATACAGAACAAAGAGCCCTGAGATGGAATCACTTGAAAAAAGAAGGATCCAGCCAGTGGGCTGAGAGCAGACAAAGGGCATAAGATTACTGAATGAAAAAAATTAAAAGTTACACTATTAACCTCTGTAGTATTTCAGAATCCAAGCAATAATACTGAGGATGTGCCCTGCCCCTGACCTGAGCATAAGGCGGAGGGTGACACCAGTGTGTGAGGTGAATCAGCAGATCTCATCCTCAGCAGGTCAAGACAGCTGAGGGCAGAGCCGCACTGTTCAGCTGTCAAAGATAGCAGCTGCAGAATCCAGGATCTGCAAACAGCAAGGTCAGCAGATCTTCAGGGTGAAGCACTGAGGTGATGGAAGGAGCCTAAATGAAGTGATCAAGGTGGCAACACAGCGCAGAGCAACAGAAATCCACCTTGACGTGCAGACTTAAAGCTATGTTTAAAATAATTCCGAAGTGAGCCCAGCCAAACTCAGTAGAGTGAACTATGCCAGAGGACCTTATAAATTGAGCATAAATGCTGATAGGCCTTCCTCATCTCTGGCTGGCTAATCCTGAGACAACTGGCTTCTGTTATGTTGTGTTTATTGTCTTTCTCAGCAAAGTGTATTATTTTTGTGGCAGCTGTCTAAATTCAGAGTAAAGAGTTTGGCTTGACAAGTTGGTAAACAGATGTTTCTGGTGATAACTGAAGCATAATAGCTCAGATTTAGGAGAGGTTCTTCTCTCCTCCAACTCCCAGAAGCCAGATCATCATGGTTTTGTAGGTTCAGATGTGACAGCTGAGCTGAAAACAAGTTTGTTTGCTCCTATTTGACATAGGAGATGATTGGGCAGGGACACAGAGAGCATACTCAGTGAATTTCATTTCCCATTCTTAACATTATTCCTCAAGTGAAATGTATTTAAAATGAATAACAACTTAAATAGCAGGTGAATAAGGGAGGTTATCAAAAATATGACTATATCATGTATGATTTTTAGTTGCCAAACTACAGTGTACAAAAAATACCATTCTTAAAATTTTCTCAAACTAAAACAAGAAAGTTTTCACACTCTGAGCCCCCATCCCACCAGGCTGGCTGGGGAAAAAAAAAATTCAGACTTTATCCTTCAGGAAATTTCTCATACTTCTGCTCCTTATCCCATCTCCTCCCCACCTGGATTGAGAAAAGGCTGAGAATCTTACAAAAGAATTGATACACTGGGGAGTGTCTTCTGGTCATGACTCATTAGTACCTATTATTTCCCTTGGAGACACATCCAGTCTCTTCAGATCCTGCAGCTTTGCTGCTGCCATGCCATCCTTGAGTCTTGAGTCAGAAAAACTTTGAAGATAGTTGGAGCCTCCAGATTGGGAACTCAGACTCCCTGGGGACCCCACTCAGACTTTCCCTGAGAGCTTGACTCCTCCCCAGTGTGGCGTTACAGAGCAGGACAAGGGTCTCCACTATCAAAGCACACAAGACGTTCTACTGTTTCCCATAGAGAGAACATATCTCTTTTCCCTTGGTGCCCTCAGAAGTCTTTAGAATAAATAACTCAGAAAGTGAATTTTAATGCAATATCTGCTTTCTGCAAGCCAAAAACATCCAGAATCCAAAAACCCATGAGCCTGACCTTCTGCTTGAATAAAGGAAGGAAGGGAAAGGTGGAAAATATAGAGAGAGAAAATCATGCATTAATGTGTGCTGTAGTTTGAGTGCTTTCCCCCAAAAAACTCCTTTTGAAACTTAACTTCCAATGCAACAGTATTGGGAGGTGGGGCCTAACTAGAGGTATTTAGGTCATGAGGACTGCACCTTCCTGAATAGATTAATATCACAGTACAAAGAGCTTATGGAAGTGGATTCACTCTTTTGCTCTTATGCCATGTGAGGATACAATGTTTATTCTCTCTTGCCTTTCTGTCTTCCACCATGTGAGTCTGCATCAAGAAGGACCACACCAGACACCAGATACTAGTAACTTGATCTTGGACTTCTCAGCCTCCAGAACTGTGAGAAATAAATTTCTGTTCTTCATAAATTACTCCATCTCAGGTATCCTGTTATAGCAGCACAAAACAGGTTAAGACAATGTATCAAAAAATTATCCTGCTGCAAGTAAAAAGCTATGGTGACAACTTATTTATGTATCAAGCCCTTATGTAGCACTTAGCATGAACCGGCCACTGTTCTAAGCACTTTTAAAATATTAATGTACTTAATCCTCCTAACAACTCTTTATTAACCTCATTTTACATTGAAGAAACTAAGGCACAGAAATTAATTCCAGTTCACACAGTCAATCAGTGACAGCGTCTAAATTCAAAGTGAGGTCATCAGGCTCCTTAGACTCTCCTTTTGCCTATTGCCATGTACACCTTATGGGAGGAGATGAATCTGCTGAGTATTATTCTATTATGTTCCATAGCTGCTCTCTTCTCCTTTTGCCCTCTTGCCCTGAGCCACTGCAGCTCCCTCTACTTGAACTACAACACACTGGGCCCAAGTTTATGTTCCAAAATCTAGACGTTATGGGTTCAGATCCTCTTACATTGTTCCAACATTTGCCCTTTGCTCCCTGCCCTGTTCTTACATTTTCACTGATGTAATGAAGGCATAAGAATGTTGATGATCAGACCTTAAGACAGATTTGGCTTTTCTGACTTCCAGCCTCAGAACCCACTCTTTGAACTTCCATCCTCAGAAGTCCCTCTTTCCATCCTTTTTCCATTTTGAGCTCTCTGGGTAATCCTTCTGGCCAAATTCTAATGCCTGATATCTAACTATCATATGAGGCCTCCTGGCCATTGTCCTTGCTGAACTTGCTCCAGATTCCCTTGAGGAGGGATTGGTGCCAGGTAGAACTCCAGGAAAATGTAATACATCCTGTATTCCCTGAACTCAGGGATCTCAAAAGCTTTTTAGAAATAAGACATCATTTTTTCTCAAAATAAAGTTCACATTTGTATATTTTAGACACTTAATACTTGGAATGTCTCAATTTTTCTAACTTTTATTATAAAATAATATGATTTTTTATAGTAAATTAGAAAATAAAGCACTGAGTTTCTTACCAAGTATTTTTTTTTCATTTTTTTTTTATTATACTTTAAGTTTTAGGGTACATGTGCACAATGTGCAGGTTAGTTACATATGTATACATGTGCCATGGTGGTGTGCTACACCCATTAACTCATCATTTAGCATTAGGTATATCTCCTAAATTTATCCCTCCCCGCTCCCCCCACCCCACAACAGTCCTCAGAGTGTGATGTTCCTCTTCCTGTGTCCATGTGTTCTCATTGTTCAGTTCCAACCTATGAGTTAGAATATACGGTGTTTGGTTTTTTTGTTCTTGTGATAGTTTACTGAGAATGATGATTTCCAATTTCATCCATGTCCCTACAAAGGACATGAACTCATCCTTTTTTATGGCTGCATAGTATTCCATGGTGTATATGTGCCACATTTTCTTAATCCAGTCTATCATTGTTGGACATTTGGGTTGGTTCCAAGTCTTTGCTATTGTGAATAGTGCCGCAAGAAACATACATGTGCATGTGTCTTTATAGCAGCATGATTTATAGTCCTTTGGGTATATACCCAGTAATGGGATGGCTGGGTCAAATGGTATTTCTAGTTCTAGATCCCTGAGGAATCGCCACACTGACTTCCACAATGGTTGAACTAGTTTACAGTCCCACCAACAGTGTAAAAGTGTTCCTATTTCTCCACATCCTCTCCAGCACCTGTTGTTTCCTGACTTTTTAATGATTGCCATTCTAACTGGTGTGAGATGGTATCTCATTGTGGTTGTGATTTGCATTTCTCTGATAGCCAGTGATGGTGAGCATTTTTTCACGTGTTTTTTGGCTGCATAAATGTCTTCTTTTGAGAAGTGTCTGTTCATGTCCTTCGCCCACTTGTTGATGGGGTTGTTTGTTTTTTTCTTGTAAATTTGTTTGAGTTCATTGTAGATTCTGGATATTAGCCCTTTGTCAGATGAGTAGGTTGTGAAAAATTTCTCCCATTTTGTAGGTTGCCTGTTCACTCTGATGGTAGTTTCTTTTGCTGTGCAGAAGCTCTTTAGTTTAATTAGATCCCATTTGTCAATTTTGGCTTTTGTTGCCATTGCTTTTGGTGTTTTAGACATGGAGTCCTTGCCCATGCCTATGTCCTGAATGGTAATGCCTAGGTTTTCTTCTAGGGTTTTTATGGTTTTAGGTCTAATGTTTAAGTCTTTAATCCATCTTGAATTAATTTTTGTATAAGGTGTAAGGAAGGGATCCAGTTTCAGCTTTCTACATATGGCTAGCCAGTTTTCCCAGCACCATTTATTAAATAGGGAATCCTTTCCCCATTGCTTGTTTTTCTCAGGTTTGTCAAAGAAAGAGGAAGTGAAATTGTCCCTGTTTGCAGATGACATGATTGTATATCTAGAAAACCCCATTGTCTCAGCCCAAAATCTCCTTAAGCTGATAAACAACTTCAGCAAATTCTCAGGATACAATATCAATGTACAAAAATCACAAGCATTCTTATACACCAATAACAGACAAACAGAGAGCCAAATCATGAGTGAACTCCCATTCACAATTGCTTCAAAGAGAATAAAATACCTAGGAATCCAACTTACAAGGGATGTGAAGGACCTCTTCAAGGAGAACTACAAACCACTGCTCAATGAAATAAAAGAGGATACAAACAAATGGAAGAACATTCCATGCTCATGGGTAGGAAGAAGCAATATTGTGAAAATGGCCGTACTGCCCAAGGTAATTTATAGATTCAATGCCATCCCCATCAAGCTACCAATGACTTTCTTCACAGAATTGGAAAAAACTACTTTAAAGTTCATATGGCACCAAAAAAGAGCCCGTATCACCAAGTCAATCCTAAGCCAAAAGAACAAAGCTGGAGGCATCACACTACCTGACTTCAAACTATACTACAAGGTTACAGTACCCAAAACAACATGGTAATGGTACCAAAACAGAGATATAGATCAATGGAACAGAACAGAGCCCTCAGAAATATTGCCGCATATCTACAACTATCTGATCTTTGAGTTTCTTACCAAGTATTTTTTATATTAAAAAGTTATTGTCATATTGTAAACATTTACATGTGAACCTTCTAACAACTCCTTGAGGTAAACTCTGTAAGAGACTTTAGTTGCTTTAGGCCAATGATTTTCAAATATTTTTTACTGTAGTCTATAGTAAGAAAAACAAATAATGGTGCAACCCAATGCATGTGCGCTAAGACAAAAATTCCTCCAACAATACTGTATTAGGCCATTCTTGCATTGCTATGAATAAACACCTGAGACTGGGTACTTTATAAGAAAAGAGCTTTAATTGGCTGGTGAGTTTGTCGGGTATACAGGAAGCATAGCAGCGTCTGCTTCTGGGTAGGCCTCAGGGAGCTTTTACTCATGACAGAAAGTGAGGCAGGAGCAGGTACTTCACATGGTGAAAGCAGAAGCAAGGGGGTGGGAGGAGGTGCCATACTTTACAGGAAGATCTCATGAGAACTCACTCACTATCAGAAGGACAACATTAAGCCATGAGGGATCCACCACCATCTCCCAAACACCTCCCACCTGGCCCCATCTTTAACATTGGGGATTACAGTTCCACAAGAGAGTTGGTGAGAAGAAAGATCCAAACCATATCACTCCACCCCAGCCCGTCCAAATCTCATGCTCTTCTCACACTGCAAAATACAATCATGCCTTCCCAACAGTCCCCTAAAGACTTAACTCATTCCAGCATTAACTCAAAATCCCAAAGTCCAAAGTCTCATCTAAACAAGGCAAGTCCCTTCTACCTATGGGCCTGTAAAATAAAAAAAAAGGTTATTTACTTCAGAGATACAATGGGGGTACAGACATTGGAAAAATATTGTCATTCCAACGGTGAGAAATCAGTCCAAAGAAAGGGGCTGTAGCCCCCAAACAATTTCAAAACCTGGCAGGGCATTCATTAAATCATAAACTCCAAAATAATCTCCTTTGACTCCATAGCCTTCATCCAGGACATACTAGTGCAAGGCTTGGGCTCCCAAGGCTTTGGAATCTCTGACCCTGTGTCTTTGCTACACTGAGAGTTCCACTGGGGACTCTGTGTGGGGATTCCAACCCCACATTTCCCCTTGTCACTGCTCTAATAGAGGTTCTGTTCTCTGTGGGGGCTCCACCCCTGCATCAGGCTTCTTCCTGAGCACCCAGGCTTTTTCATACCTCCTCTATAATCTAGGCAGAGGTTGCCAGGCCTCATTCACTCTTGCACTTTCTGTGCACACAGGCTTAACATCACATGGAAGCCACCAAGGCTTAGGGCACCTTGTACTCTCCAGAGTGGCAGCACAAGAAGTATCTGAAGCTCTTTGAGTCAAGGCTGGAGATGAAGTGGCTGGGATGCAGGAAGCAGTGTCTCTGGGCTGTGTAGGGCAGTGGGGCCCTAGGCTTGTCCCATAAAACCATTCTTCCCTCCTAGACCTCTGGGCCTGTGATGGGAGGGGCTGATGTGATGGTCTCCCATATGCCTTTAAGTTCATTTCCCCATTGTCTTGGATATTAGCACTTGGATCCCTTTTAGTTACACAATATCTCTAGAAAATGATTGCTCCACAGCCTGCTTAAATTTGCCTCTGGAAAAAAAAGCATTTTCTTTCTCTGCCACATGGCCAGGCTGCAAATTTTCCAGACTTTTATGCTATGCTTTCTAATAAATATAAATTCAAACTTTAAGCCATTCCTTTACTCCCATATCTGATCATAGGTGATTAGACACAGCAAGATCACATCTTGAACACTTTGCTGCGTAGAAACTTCCTCCACCAGATATCCTAAGTCATTACTCTTTAGTTCAAACTTCAACAGATCCCTAGGGCATGAACAGAATGCAGCCTAACTCTTTACTAAGGCATAACATGTGTGACCTTCGCTCCAGTTCCTAGTAAGTTCCTCATTTCCATCCGAGGCCTCCGAGGCCTGGACTTCAGTGTCCATATCACTATCAGTATTTTGGTTACAACCATTTAACCAGTCTCTAAGCAGTTCCAAACTTTCCCTCATCTTCCTATCTTCTTCTGAGCCCTCCATATGCTTCCAACCTCTACCTGTTACCAGTTCAAAAGCTGCTTCTACATTTTCAGATACCTTTATAGCAATGCTCCGCTCCTCAGTACCAATTTTCTGTTTTTGGCCATTCCTGTATTGCTATAAAGACATACCTGAGATTGGGTAATTTATAAGAAAAGAGGTTTCATTGGCTCATGGTTCTGCAGGCTGCATAGGAAACACAGTGGCATCTCCTCTAGAGAGGCCTCAGGGGGTTTTTGCTCATGGAGCAGGCACTTCACTTGGTGAAAGCACGAGCAAGAGAGGGTAGGGGAGGTGCTACACTTTACAACAAGCAGATCTCTTGAGAACTCACCACCATGGAGACAGCACCAAGCCATGAGGGATCTGCGCCTAGATTAGTCAGGGTTCTCTAGAGGGACAGAACTAATAGGATAGATGTATATTAAAGGGGAGTTTATTAAGGAATATTAACTCACAGGATCACAAGATCTCACAATAAGCCATCTGCAAGCTGAGGAGCAAAGGAGCCAGTCTGAGTCCCAAAGCTGAAGAATTAGGAGTTCAGTGTTCAAGGGCAGGAAATATCCAGCACAGGAGAAAGATGTAGTCTGGGAGGCTACAACAGTCTAATATCTCCACATTTTTCTGCCTACTTTTATTCTGGTCATGCTGGCAGCTGATTAGATTGTGCCCACCTAGATTAAGGGTGGGTATGCCTTTCCCAGCCCACTGACTCAAATGTTAATCTCCTTTGGCAACACCCTTACAGACACACCCAGGATCAATACTTTCCATCCTTCAATCCAATCAACTTGACACTCAGTATTAACTATCACAGTTCCCATGACCCAAACACCTCCCAACAAGCTCTACTTCTAACATTGGGCATTACAATTCAACATGAAATTTGGTGGAGACACAGATCCAAGCCATATCAAATACTCTCACCTTTCCAATGTATGATACACTGATTTTGTTTATTTTAGGCTTTTATTTTTTCAAATAAACCAACTAATAAGTTATGTTTCAATTTGAAAATAATCAATGTTATTGTCAGTTTACTGTTCTTTGATAAACCTATCTTCTCCTTGCTCCTTACACACACACACACACACACACACACACACACACACACCACAGAGAATATATAGCTCAAAAATTCATACTAGGAACAGAACACCGTCTCTCAGAATCTGGCTGTTTTCACAAGCCTAACAACTATCAGGAGAGTGTATGACCACATGGATTTCCTGTCCCTTGGATCCAAAGGATCAATTTATCAAATACTGGAAAGCTTTGTGTAAGACTCTATCCTAAAGCAAATGACACTGGTAGAGCTTGTTTCCTCAGTCTAAATGAGGTAGTATTGACTGTGGAACATATATTATTTGTCAAAGGAGGGTTAAGTGATGCTTGAAGTTGAGAAGGAGATGTATTTAAATACTGACAAGGAAACAAATTATAGTCTTTTTCTAGAATATGTTACTTTCTGAATTTGTAAATTATACTGGATTAAGGATATGGATTTCTAACTAATAGTTTACCTATGTTTTCCTTTTCTATGCCTAGGATATAAAAATAAATAAGTGATTTTACAAATGTATCACAAGATTGTAGAAAAGAGCCTGGAACAACCTTAAGAAGATCCAAATTATTTTCCTCATCTAAATTCATCAAACTTCATTCATTTAACAAGATTGGTAACCAAGACCCTTCCTTTGAGACAACATTTTTAGCCTCAAGATTTAGCACAGAGGATTTATATTCACTGTGTAGAGGAGTCTCCAACCAAGAGAACCCCAAGTGCTAACAAGGACCAAAGAGTCTACGGAGCCCTTTACCCTGGTTACCTCACTACTTTTCAGAGGACCATTATAAGGGCGGAAATTACACCGTGTTTTCAAGGGCTATATGCTGTTGAGAGTAGAAAGTAGTTCAGCACAGTACATTGCTTTGGACTTGATTCTGTATTTTCTCAACCCTCAGGGTAAAAAATTGTAAAGACAGGATAAAAGCCAAGAAACAAAATATACACAATAAATGGTGGCAGAGAGAGCTCTGGAAGCACTGTTTTTGCTTCAGAGGAGAGTTAACATGAAATTTAGATGAAAAGAGGTACTAAAATACTTCCCAGTAAGTAAGTAACAAAAGACAAACTCACCAGATCTCTTGGGAACAGACAATTTCATATTCATGGTATTTATAAATGTTTGAGTCATCAAAACTATAAGTCTGTCATTGCCTAGAAAATTACTTAAATTACTTAATTCACTTCAAAGATAGATTATCTGTCTCTCCTGGATTCAGCAATTCTTCTCTTTCAAACGTTCATTCAAAATTCACTTAGTCTGCTTTGTGCTGCTATAACATAATACCAAAGAATGGGCAATTTATAAAGAACAAAAATTTCTATCTTACAGTTCTGGAGTCTGGGAAGTCCAAGGTTGAGGGGCCCACATCTGACAAGGGCCTTCTTGCTGCATCACTCACGGCAGAAGGCAGAAGGACAATAGAGCATGTGGGGAGTTACTGGGGGGAGTAGACTGAACCCCGCCTTCTATCAGGAACCCATTCCTGCAATAACATTAGTCCATTCATGAGGGCAGAGTCCTCATGACTTAATTACTTCCTGAAGATCCACCTTTCAACACTGCTGTAGTGTGGGTTAAGTTTCCAACCCATAAACTTTGGAGGGCACATTCAAACCACTGCATTCACTCACACGGTAAAGGCCATCCCACCAGGATCTGTGAATTTCTATAGAACACACTATCTGCATGCTTATTTTTGCACTTGATAGCACAGACAAATCCAACTCTTTTCACTCCTGTACCTGTACAGGTAACCATGACTATAGAAAATCTCACAATCATGTGGGAAGATATGTTGAATTAATAAACACAGATAAGGGTGAGCTGCTAATGCTACCAGAAATTCTACTGAACTTCCCTAATCTATCCACTTTTTCACTCCCCTACATGATAATCCACACCTTTCTCCTCACACCTCAAACAGCTTCTATTTTATCTCTATTCCCAGTAGGAAGCTGATGACTCTGCTTCCTCCATACTGAGAAAATTAGAGCAATCAGAAAAGAACTTCCATGGATTCCACTGTCTGCTAACACTTGCACTCACATACTAGGCCCTTTCTTCTGTTGCCATAGATGAATTATAGATGAAACTACCTAAAGCCAAATCTTCCATTTTTGCACTAGATTCCCTTGCCTCTCTCCTATATCATCAGCATTTCATCCTCTGCTGATTCATGCCCACCTGGATATATATACACATACATATATATATTCTTCTTGACCCCACTACCCTTGCTACTTATATTTCCATATCTTGGATCCCCTTTGTAGAAAAATTTTTTGAAATAGTTATCTGTATTTTTTGCTTACCTCTGTTCTCACCCTAATTCTCTTTAAACTCATCCCTTAAGGCTTTGACTTCATCGATTCACTAAATCTTCTCTGGCTATTGTCACAAATGACCTCCATGTTGCTAAATCCAATGATCAATTTTCAGTCCTCATCCTTTTTCCTATAGTTGATAGCATTCTCCTTGATACATTATTTTTCACAGTTTCTGAAAGCCTGTATTTTTCTTGAGTTTCCTCCTACTGCACAAATCACTCCCATTCCTTCTCAATCTCTGTTGTGGTCACTTTTCATTCTCAAACTCTTTATATTGAAGTGCTTCAGGACTTAGTCTTTAATTGCCTCCCAGAGGAGGATTTACAGTGAAGCTAATGATGTTTAATTTTAGTTTCAGCAATCCTCCACTGCATGGGCCCATTTCAAGGGTCTAGGAAAGCCCCCAAAATCTGTTCATGCTTTCAAATTGTAATTGGTTAAGACTACTTTTTCCTCCTTTTCACTTCTTTCTATCACATTTCCTTACATCCAGGTGCTACTAGAGTAGCAGCAGTCATGTTGGGGATGCGGCCAAATGCAACCAAGGTTTTATAGGGTATTTTTATGTGGTTTTGTCATTTCCATGTATTAAGGTAATGCTAGCTACCTCATAAAAGAGCTGGCTTTAAACAGTACTCCAACTACTCACGTGCCAGAGGTTGAGTTGCATTGTGAATGTGTTGTGAGGCACCTGAGACTATATATGTAGTAGAAGGAAAAAATGATTTAAAATATATGGATCCATAAACTAATCTAAAAAAAATTCTTCCAATCTTCAAACATGTGAAATTAATACCTAATCAAAGTGAAAATTTTTGGCTGGGCATGGTGGCTCACACCTGTAACCCAGCAATTTGGGAGGCTGAGGCAGGTGGATCACCTGAGGTCAGGAGTTCAAGACCAGCCTGGAGAACATGGTGAAACCCTGTCTCTACTAAAAATACAAAAATTAGCTGGGCGTGGTGGTACATGCCTGTAGTCCCAGCTACTTGGGAGGCTGAGGCACGAGAATTGCTTGGACCCAGGAGGCAGAGGCTGCAGTGAACCGAGATCACTCCACTGCATTCCAGCTTGGCCGACAGAGTGAGACTCCATCTAAAAAAAAAAAAGGAAATTTTTTTTCTGTCAGTAACACACTTGGTAATGCAGTATGTCAATTGTAAATGTAAAATTTCTTTCATTTTTGATGGTAATAAAATGTAATCAAATGTAGTAGAACTTCTGTTTGTAGGGTATAAACCTGTATCAGTATTAACAGTGAGTTTGTCTGTGGATAAAATCTTGCATCTTGTGCATCCCACTAATCAGTGATAAAAAATGTTTTTTGAGAAATTATTTCTATTTTCTATGAAAACATTTGTAAATTATTGTCATAGTGGTATAAGTAGGCCCGGTATTGTGGCTCACACCTGTAATCCCAGCACTCTGGGAGGCCGAGGCGGCTGGATCACAAGGTCAAGAGATCGAGACCATCCTAGCCAACATGGTGAAACCCCGTCTCTACTAAAAATACAAAAATTAGCTGGGTGTGGTGGTGCGTGCCTGTAGTCCCAGCTACTAGGGAGTCTGAGGGAGGAGAATCGCTTGAACCCAGGAGGCGGAGGATGAAGTGAGTTGAGATCACGCCATTGAACTCCAGTCTGGCTACAGAATGAGACTCCGTCTCAGAAAAAGAAAAAAGAGAGTGGTTGAGAAGACAGCCTAAAACAGTAAGGAAAAATGTTAGAGTGCTTTGTCAGTAAATTAATTAAAATACTGTCATTTTTCCAAACTTGGTAATATTTTTATATTTCTCAGCTTTTTAAAATATACAACCTGCTTTTTTCTTTTTTCCATTATTTACTGTTGCCCTAATTTTATATTCATAATTATTTCAGAGAGTCCCCCACATTGTTTATAAATCAGATCCTGGAAATGGAATCCACTCCTCCTGCTCCTCTTCCTTATCTGCATTCACTCTTTTGGGGATAATCCAGTCATGGCTTTAAAATCTGTGTCAATACCAAAGAATCTATCTCTAATACTAGACTTCTATCTTGAATACAAACTTCTCTCTGGAATTGCAAATTTTAATAGATGTCTAATACACATCTCATACTCAACATGTCTAAAATCAAACTCCTTTATAAAACCCAAACTGCGTCCCCCACCAGTCTTTCCCAAGTCAATTATAGGTGACTCTATCTTTTCTGTTGCTCAGGCCAAAACTTTGGTGTTATCCTTGACTCATTTCTCTGATTCTTTACAGCTAATCATGTTAGCTCTACTTTCAAACTTCCATACTCAGAATCTATATCCAAACTCTATCCAGGTCACCTCTCACCATCTTCACTCCTTCCCCCAGGTCAAAGCTACCATCATTTCATGTCTGGATTACAAGAGCTCCACAATATCTCCTTGTTTCTACTTCGGCTTACACCATTACCCCAACTCTCCCACACACACATCATAAGTTAGTTCATGTCTCTCCTCTGTGCAAAACCCTGCCCTGGCTTCCTGTTTCAATCAGAATAAAAGGAAAAGTCCCTACAATGACCACCAGCCACTATATCATTTGTCCTCTTTCCTCTTCTCTCTCTGACATTATCTCTTACTTCTCTCCCTTCACTTTATCTGTTTCAAGCACAGCAGCTTTCTTTCCCATCCTCAAATATATAAGATTACTGCCTGAGGTCTTTCGCTCTGGCTGTTGCCTCTATTGGAAATGCTGCTTTTCCTTCACATATCTCCATGGCTCTCTCATTTCCTTTAAGTCACAAATGCCACCTTCTCAATAAGACCTACTCTTGATCACCCTATGTAAATTTCAACACATTCCCCTCCATTTCCAATACTCCTAGCCCTGCTTTATATAATCTTTTTCCATAGCATGTAAGATCACCTCTTCACATACAATATCATTAACTTAATTATGTTATCATATGACATCTGTATCTGCAACTAACCCTGTATGTATGTATGTGCACACATACCCCTGAATGTGAATTTTGTGAGTTAAAATGTTTTCTGTTTACATTACTAATACATTCCAAGAGCTATGCACCCAAATAATTTTTTAAATAAATAAATAGAATATTTTTGTTATAGTAGTAAATCATGTAATTAAGAGTAACAGCTACCAATATTTATTTTTCTTAAAAAACAGAGGTGGAAAAAGTAGATTTAACATATGATTAGTTTATATTTTTTATTGCTTTCCATTTATTTGTGGGGTATTTTTTGTTATTGTTGTGGTGGTGGTGGTGTTGTTAGTATGAACAGAATTGGATTTAGGGCAGGGTTCCCCCAGGGTCCCCAGACCCCAGGCTTGTGGACAGGTACTGGTCCCTGGCCTGTCAGGAACCTGGTGGCACAGCAGGAGGTGAGCAGCAGGGGAGAGAGCATTACCACCTGAGCTCTGCTTCCTGCTAGTCAATAGTTGCATTAGATTCTCATAGGAACACAAACCCTATTGTGAACAGGCATGCGAGGCATCTAGGTTGCACTCTCCTTAATAAGACTCTAATGCCTAGTGATCTGAGGTGGAACAGTTTCATGCTGAAACCATCCCCCACCACCTCACTGCACGCTCATCCGTGGAAAAATTATCTTTCTTCCACGAAACCGGTCCATGGTGCCAAAAAGGTTGGGAACCACTGATTTCGGGGAGGGGGCATAAAGTTTTGAAAGAATGAGTCAGACTGCCAAGACTACAGAAAGGAAGAGTCAGAGGGGCTCAAACATCCTCACCAGTTGGATTCCCATCATCTTTCCTCCCGGAATCTATAACAATATTGTTCCCAAGACCCTCAGTCTGTTTGTCTCCTGACTAAAACTGCATTTCTTTAGGAGAAAAACCCAGATTGGCCCACCCAGGATGCCTACCCATGAATTAATCAGTTACAGTCTCAGAACCACTGAGACCTAAAATTGTGTATTAGGAGCCATGCCTACTGAAAAGTGAATAGCTATGAAGCAAGTTCTCAAATGTGCAAATTGATCTGCCATTTTTAAAACTTTTACAAAGACAATTGAGGAAGGACAACTACTCAACTTTATGTTTTTATTGTTTTAAATTTTATTCGAGCTATTCCTAAACAACATCAAAATATTTTTATTTTGATAAGAAAATGTAAAACCTTTCAGAAATATATTCCTGAAAATTTAATTATATCCTTATATGTTTGAGTTCATTTTTTTTACACACTTAAAAGAATGTGTTAGACAACATTTTTTAAAGGCAGGGAGCTGGACTTATTGATCAATGTACTCTGTTCTAGGCACTGTTAACCACATTATATTAAATGAATATATGTACCAATCAGTACATTAGCAAAGCATCACAAAAATAAACCTTGAATACACAGTCAAGAAAAAAGAAAAAAAGAAAAAAGGCTACCCCTCAAAGAAAGAGTAGTTTAGACACAAAGTCAAGTATATATCATCATCCAGGTTACCCTGATAACTTCAGTTCATTCTTTAAACACATAAAAATAACTATGACATTAGATAAGGCTGGGAAAAAGTAAAAGAAAGTGAAAGCATACTGAAACCTATGTTTTGTACAGTGAGAACTAAAGACACTAGACACAAATAACTTTAAAATCTGATACCAAATCAAACATAAATATAAGTATGTATGTTAAAAGCTATATAAATTAAAATTGTAACATACAAATCAAAAGAGAAAAAGAAAGAGTTTCAAAAAATCAATCAATTCAACAGAATATTGGAAAGGAGAAAAAACAATAAGGGAGAATAAAAAGTACAAAACACAAAATAAGTTGGCAAATACAATTCCAAATATGTTCATTATCAGAAAATATAATTGGCTAAAATCACTAGTTAGAAAACTCAGCTATATATTCTTCCCAAGAGATAAACTATTTAGAAGGTAAAAATAAAAAGACAAAAGGAAATAACAAAGATTAAAACATCAATATCTAAAAATTGGAATTTAGAGAGGCCAGACTGAACCACTATTATTGCTTTAAATTGGGAGTAACTACGTATTTATTTATTAAGTCAACAAATATTTGTTGATAACCTACAATGTGTCAAGCATTATTATAGGCCAGGGACACATCAGTGAAGAAAACAGGAAAAATCAAACACATAATAGAAGGAAAATACCACTCACCATGCATCAAGTATAATAAAAAATTTCAAAATCAATATAACAAAGTGTTTAAGATATTAAGGTTAAATCATAAAATGGCAAAATATAATCTAAAATTATAATAATTATAATTACAGTTATTCTTTATAGTTATAATAAAATATTACTAAAGAAAGAATAACTGAATAAATGGAAAAATGGACCATGTTAATTAATAAATTCAATCAAGACAATATTACCTTTTTTCAAAGTAATCTGTAAATTCAAAACAAGTTCTTCAAAATTTCACAGGGTATCTTGTCTCAATGAAAGTGAATAAAGAACAAAAAAACAGACCTATCTATCTATGGAATCATGGAATAATAAAACGGCAAATTGCAAATCAGCAGGGGAAAAGGACTATCAAACAATTCAAGTTAGGACAATTGGATCTACATAATGAAAAAATGAGATTTCTATTCATACCATAAACAAAAAGATTTCCAGCTAAAGACCTACATTAATAATAAAAGTGAATAAAAAATATAAAACTATTAGAAGAAAATGAAGGAAATTACTTTAATCACTTAGAATAGGAAACCTGTCTTAAATGAGATACAAAAAGTACACACTCTAAATAAAGAGAGATAAATAGAATTTGACTTCACCAAAACTTAGTACTTCTATGTAAATAGAGGGAGGTGCAGATACCAGCAAGAGGCAAATCAATTACCTCACAGAATCTTAGAGGATTCCAGGAAATGGAAACACCTAGTACCTCGTAAGGCAGGTTTTGCCTTGGAACCGAAAATAGGAGAATCGATTGAAAGTCTATGTAAAGAGCAACAACCCCATATGTTCCTCTCTTGTCATGAGTCAAACAACAGCCCCAACCTCACCCCGCACCTACTGTCAAGCAGATATTAGATGATATACTCTCTGGAAAGATTTCACCACAGAAAGCCTGGATACAGTGGATACTAGGCACTGCTGAAGGAATAAATGAATTATTGTATTAAAGACCAAGGGATATATACAAAATTCTGCAAACCAAACAGTGAGATACTCAGCCCCTTTCCATTCTTGATTAGTCCTCAGAATCATAGCAGCCAGGCTTATTATACCCATCCGTTTCCCCATTCCTGGTAAGTGATTAAAGGATTCTTTAGGGGAACTGAACAGTCCAAGGTATAGGGAGTGAGCATGAGGAGGTCTATAGACATACCTTAATGATCCTGCAATAAAATGGCAAGGTCCTCACCCTATAACTTGATAATAAAGGCTACCCTCTCATGCTCCGGTCAGATTTGTTGTGCCTCACTCTTCAGTATGAGTGGCTGACCAAAGATCACCAAGCAGTTGAGGAGAGCCTCTATCATAAAAGACAGAGAAAAAAACAAACAAATATTTTCTAAAGTACTTAGGAGCAATGCATGCAGCAGCAGAAAAACTTTTAAAAAATTAAATCTACAATTGATAACTGTAGAGAAAAAAAGAAATTGTTTAAAAAGGAAACAACAGCAGAATACTATTTAGAAGACAAAAAGAAAAAATGAGGAATTCTTAGAAATTAAATATATATGTAACATATACACTCATGTATACATGTATACACATATATAATAAATATAAAAATATTTTAGCTCAAGTAAAAAAATTATTCACTCTTGCTAAGCTGAAAAAATTTCAAAGAATGCAGGAAAAAAAGGAAAAACAAATAGAAAATTAACTAAAAAAAGGATCAGTCCAAGTGATTCAAAATCCAAATAATTAGTGCTGTAGAAAATGATAAGAAGGGAAATGGAGGAGGGAAAGTATCAAAGAAATAATAAAAGAAAAATCTTCCTCCAAGCCTAAGGAACACATGTTTCCAAAATAAAAGGGTCATGAAGGAGCTAGAACAATGACTAAAAGGAAAAAAAAAGAATATCTTTAAGCACAACATCACACAATTTCAGAACCATAAAAATAAAGAGAAAAATCCTAAAAGTTTTCAGAGAGAAAATAAATGTCATATACTGAGAAACAGGCATTAACATTTATTTTAGACTTGTTAACTACTACAACGGAAGCTAAATGCTACTAGAGCAGTGCCTTTAGAACATGAGAGGCCACTGTTAGTAACATATAATTCTGCTTCCAGTCAAATATGGACATAGAATAAAGGTATATTTGGATTCACACTCTTTCCCTTAAAGCTCTTTATGCTCTATGATAACAGGGAAATCAAGCCGAAAAGCAGAAGAAATCATATCCAGGAGGCAAGAGAGACAAAACTGGAGAGAGGCAAAGCTAATTCACAGCACAAGTCCCAGGATGACAGATGAGTAGCAAGCCTAGAGAGCAATTGGTCCATACCCAGTAACTAGATATCATAAATTCTTTTCAATCACCTGTGGATCGTTTATAAAAACTGACCACATACTAGGTTATAATACAAACTTTAAAGAACTGGCTCATGTAGATTACATTTTATCATAAATTAGAAATCAAAATTCAAAGACATTTTTAAAAATATATACGGATTTTAAAACATACTGTTAAATAACTCATTAATTAAAACATACTACTAAATAAGCCCAAATTATAATGAGAACGATAACAACCTTAAAACAGAAGTTGGGAAAGGAAAATAAAGCTCAATAAGGGAAATCTGAAAGCTAAAATAACAAAGATGCATCAGAAATTAAAGAGAAAAAGACAATAGAAATATAAGCATAAATCTAGTAAAGATATGGATGCCCACTGTCACCACTTCTATTCAACATTTTACTGGAAGTTCTAGCCAGTCTCATCAGAAAAGAAAAAGAAAAAGTGCATAAGGAAAAAATAAAATAAAGCTGTTATTATTTGTTAATGAGATAAATATGTACATTGAAAAATAAAATAATTTACAAATAAGATTTTAGAATTTTAAGAGTTTAGCAAGTTTATGGATATAAAAATATAATTGACTTTCTACAGTGGGCTAATATCCAGTAAAATAAAACGTAAGCTTTTCAATTGTATTTATATTAGTATTATAATAGGAAAATAATAGTGGTAATAATAATGAGGTGCCAAGGAATTAATCTAATGAAAAATGTACAGTTTTCTATAGAAATATTTTAGAAATATATTGAAAAAATACTATTGAATACTTAATAAAAGGATAGGCATGCCTTTACAAAAAATACTGTCAGAAAGTTGTCAATTTTCCTTAAATTGATGTATATATTTGGTAAAATTTCACACAATATTCTAACAGATTTTATTATTTATGTGTATATAGGTATACTTGTGTGTATATGTTACATATATATTTCATTCAAGGAACTTAAATTCATTTCTTAAACTTTTTATTTTGAGAGAGTTATAGAATCTTGTGCAGTTGTAAAAAATAGTAGGAAGTGATCACATGTACCTTTTACTTAGTTTCCCCTAGTAGTAACATCTCACAAAACTCTAGCACAATATCAAAACCAGGATATTAACAGTAACACAGTAAAAACACAAAACAATTCAATCGCCACAAGAATCCCTTGCTTTACTCTTTATGGCCACACCACTCACTCCCCTATTCTTACCATTTGGCAATCACTAATCTGTCCTCAATTTCTTTATGTCATTTGAGAATGTTATATAAAGAGAATCATAGTGTATGTAACCTTCTGGGATTGGCTTTTTTTCACTCAGCATAATTGTATCAAGATCCAACTGATTGTTGCACATATCAGTTGTCCTTTCCTTCTTACTGCTGAGTCATATCCCATGGTATGAATATTCT
Organism: Homo sapiens; assembly: GCF_000001405.40. Classification (NCBI taxonomy): domain Eukaryota; kingdom Metazoa; phylum Chordata; class Mammalia; order Primates; family Hominidae; genus Homo; species Homo sapiens. The sequence goes on along the minus strand of NC_000001.11, from coordinate 101,613,686 downwards.
ACAGCTTGTTTAACCATTCACCTGCTGAAGGATATCTAGTTGTTTCCAGTTTGGGGCTATTCCAAATAAAGCTTCTATGAACATTCCTGTAGAGGTTTTGAATGAACAAAAGTTTTTATTTCTCTGGGATAAATCTGTAATGGTACTTTTGTGGAATCATATAGTAGTTGTATGTTTTGTTTTGAAAAAAACTGCCAAATTATCCTGCCAAGTGCCTATGCCATTTCACATTTTACATTTTTATTTTAGTCATATGTATAGGTCTGTAGTGATATGTTATTGTAATTTTAATTTATATTTCTCTAATGACTAATGATGTTGAAAATGTTCCATATGCTTATTTTTCATGTGTATATCCTCTTTGTTGAAATGTCTGTTCATGTCTTTTGCCCATTTTTCTGCTTGGATTATTTGGGATTTTTACTGTTGAGTTTTACAAGATACTAGTACTGTTTTAGATACATGATATACTACCAATTTTTCTCTATATATAGTTTATCATTTTATCTACTTAGGAGTGTCTTTTGCAGGCAAACTTGTTAAATTTGATGAGATACAGTTTATCAATTTTCCCTTTTTTGGATCATTTCTTTGTTATCAATTCTAAGAACTCTGCCTAGCCAAAGACTTTTTTTGTATTTTTTCTAAAAGCTTTATAGTTTTATTTTTTACATTTAAGTCTATGATCTATTTTGAGTTGGTTTTTGTATACACTTTTTATAAAGGTTTAGGTCAATGTTCATTTTTTTTCCTATGGATGTCCAGTTGTTCCAGAATGACTTGTTGTAAAGGCTATCCTTCTTCCATTGAATTGCTTTTGCTTCTTTGTCTAAAATTAGTTGGTTATATTTGTATGAGTTTATTTCTGGGTTCTCTACAGCATTCCACTGATCCACGTGACTAAGTCTCCACATTTAAAAAAAATAAAATCAGGTAGAATGATTTCTCCTATTTTATTCTTTCATTTCAAGATTACTCTAGGTATTCCAAGACCTGCATTATTTCATATAAATTCTAAAATAAGCCTGTCTATCTCTATAAAAATGCCTTGCTGGGATTGTGGTAGGAATGCCATTAAAACTGCAATTCAGTTTTGGAAGAATTGACAGCTTTATGACATCCAGTCTTTTGTGTCTTCTATGGACTTTACAATGTCTTACAATGTTGAGTCTTCTATATCTCTACATCTTCAACTTATTTTATCAGCATTTTGTAATTTTCAGCATTTAGATTCTTTATATGTTTTGTTAAATTCATACCTAGGTATTTTACTTTCTTTGGAGTGGAAGTTAATGTTATTATCTTTTATTTCTATTTTCACATGTTTGTTATTAGTATATATAAATGCAATTGCTTTTTGTGTGTTGATCTCTTAGCTTCTAACCTTACTGAAGGCATTCATTAGTTCTAGGAGTTTTGTTTCAGTTTTAGTTTATAAATTCCTTGGAATTTTCTACATAAACAATAACACCATCTGAAAATATGGGCAGTTCTATTTCTTCCTTTTGAATCTGCCTGTCTTTCCCCACCCCTGGCCTTCTTTCCTGACTTTTTTTGCAGTGGCTAGAGCTAGAAATTCCAGTATTACATTGAATAACAGTGATGCCAGCAAATTGACTTTAATATTTATGTGGAAGATCAAAGAATAAGAATAGCCAAGATACTCCTAAAGTACAAGAACACTTTGTGAAGATATGTAACATCAAATTTCAAAATTGATTGAACATACGCATTTCTTGAAAACTGGGGATTCCAATTCTAAATATATACTCTAAAAAAAACTTTGCATCTGTGTTCCTGGAAACATATACAAGAAACTTTATAACAGCAAAACACTGGAAATAATAATCATATGTTATAACATTGTTAATATTAAATAAATTATGTGTATTTGCCCAATGGAATATTATACATTACAGAAAAAGATGACCTATAGCTACATAAAAGAATGGGAACAAACGTTTGAAACAAAACTTTTTCTGCTTTATTTTATTTTTAGGATTAGTGAGGTATAATTGGCAAATAAAAATTATATATATTTATAGTTCACAATGTGATGTCTTGATCTGTGTAAAAAATGTGTTTTAAATTATTTTAGAAATTGCCAAATGTTTTTCCACAACGGCTGAACTAATTTACATTCCTACCAGCAATGTATAAGTGTTCCCTTTCTCTGCAACCTCACCAGCATCTGTTATTTTTTGACCTTTTAATAATAGCCATTCTGACTGGCATACTATTATTGAGTTTATACCCAGAGGAATATAAATAATTCTACCATAAAGACACATGCACATGTATGTTCCTCACAGGATTATTTACAATAGCAAAGGCATGGAATCAATCTAAATGCCCACCAACAGTAGACTGGATAAAGAAAATGTGGTACATATGCACCATGGGATACTATGCAGCCATAAAAATAACAAGATCGTGTCCTTTGCAGCAACCTGGATGGAACTGGAGGCCATTATCCTAAGTGAGCTAACACAGGAACAAAAATCAAATACCCATGTTCTTGCTCATAAATGGAACCTAAATGTCAAGTGTATATAGGACACAAAAGGGAAACCACAGACACTAGGGCCTACTTGAGGGTGGAGAGTGGGAGGAGGAGGAGGATCAAAAAACTACCTATCAGGTACTTTGCTTATTACCTGAGTGACAAAATAATCTGTGCACCAAACTTCCACAACATGCATCCTATTTACCTGTATAACAAACCTGCACATGTACCCCTAAACCTAAAATAAGTTTTAAAAATGTAAAATGATTAAATCAAGCAATTAAAATATCCATCACCTCACATATTAATTTTTGGTGATGAAAACACTTAAAATCTACTCTCTTAGCAATTTTCAAGTATATAAAACATTATTATAACTATAGCCATCATGCTGTAAAATAACTCTCAGAGCTTATTCATTCACTAATCATAACTTTGTTATCCTTTGACCAATACCATTCCATTTTCCCTACCCAGCCCCCAGCCCCCAGCAACTACCATTGTACTTTGTCTATGCTTTTTGGCTCATATCCAAAAAACTATTGTCTAGATCAGTATCATACAGCTTTTCCCCATGTTTTCTTCTAGTGGTTTTACAGGTTCATATATTAAGTACAATCCTTTCTGATTAAGTTTTTATATAGTGTATGAGATAAAGGTCCAGTTTCTTTCTTCTGTATGTGGATATCCTCTTTTCCCAATACCATTTATTGAAAAGACTGGATTTTCTGCATTGTGTCTTCTCAGCAACTTTGTCAAATATCAATTAACTATAAATTCACAAATTTATTTCCAGGCTCTCTATTCCATTCTATCTGTCACTATGTCTGTTTTTATGCTAGTGCCATGCTGTTTTAATTACTGTAGCTTTACAGTATGTTCTGAGGTGAGGTATTGTGATTCTTCTAGCTTTATTCTTTTTGTTAAAGATTATTTCCATTAAAACGTCATTGGACTTTTGATTAAGAGTGCATTAAATCTGTAGATCTCTTTGGACATTTAAATATTAATTATTCTAACCCATGAACATGGAATATCTTTTCATTTATTTGTGTCTTCAATTTCTTTCATCAATGTGTTACAGTCTCAGATCTTTCATCTCACTCTCTCCTGGCCTGCAGTTTCTGCTGAGAAATCCACAGATAACCTTATGAGATGTTCCTTGTATGTGATGATCTGATGATCATTTTTTCTCTTGCTGCTCTCAAGATTCTCTCTTAATCTTTCATTTTTTACAGTTTGATTATTATATATCTTGGTATAGTCTTCTTTAAGTTGAATATGATTAGAGATTTTTGGTTTTCCTGTACTTGCATGTTTAGATTATTTTCCAGATTTTGGAAGTGTTCAGGCATTATTAATTTAAATAAGCTTTCTATCTCTTTATCTCTTTGCCTTATAATGTGAATGTTAACTCTCTTGATGCTGTCTCATAAATCCGTTAGGCTTCCTTTATTCCTTTTCATTCACTTTTCTTTTGTTTTCTCTGGATATTTTTAAATAAATTGTCTTTAAGTGCAAAGTTTTTTTTTTCTATCAATTCTGCTATTGGCTTTTTCTCTATTGCATTTTTTATTCTTTCATTGTATACTTCAGATCTAGAATTCCTATTTAGTCCTATTTAATGTTTTTAATCTCCCTGTTAGACTTCTCATTTTCTTCATGTACTGTTTTCCTGATTTCCCTGAGTTGTCTCTCTGTGTTCTCTTGTAGTTCAACGACTGTACTTAAAGCAATCATTTTGAATTCTTTTCTGGCCAATTCATAGCTTTCCATTTGTTTGAAGCCAGTTACTAAAAATATTTTCCTGTTCCTTTGATGGTGTTATGTTTCTTTGTTTTTTCATGTTTCTTGTTGCCTGACTGAGAGCAGTCAGTAACATCTGGAAGAGTTACTCCAAATGTACTCTTCCAGATGTTACTAACTACTCTCAATAGGGAAAGCCCTTTTCTTATGGGCTAGTGTGAGGGTGCTGTCTGGGTGGGGCATGGCAGTCCAGGCTCTGGAGAGGGTACAGCAGCATAGTCATCATGCAACTTTGTTATCTAACATTAGCATGGCAAAGATTGCAGGGGTCATCAGTGGCCAAGGGAGTGGCTCTGGTGTTTGCAGTGTGGGCATGCATGGAACACCACAGAACTGGGTTTTGGAATGTGGGCACACATGAAGCAACCATGGAGCAGCATCTGGAGTGTAGGCATATATGACATGGCCACAGATCCAGGGTCTGGGAGGTACACAGGGTTGAGAAATGTAGCAGTCGTCGTCCAGTGGTAACACAACAGAAGCTCTTACTTGGGAGTGGGGGTGGAGCACAGCAGCATCTCCCTCTCTGGACATGAGCAGAAGAAATGGCTATTGACAAAGGGTGTCTCAGTGGCAAAGGGTGCTTATGTCATCTGCAGAGCAGATCACTGGGGACTGCTGTGACACCCACTGCTTAGCTGATACTGATAGCCCCCATCCTTCCATCCTTATTTTTTGTTCTTAGCCATTTCCAAACATCTCAGCTATGTCAGACAACCCAGTGATACTTTCTGCACAATTATTTGCGAGTTTTTTTCACCAATGTGTTGCTGCACCTTCATAAGTGGACTCTTGAGCCCTCCCTAAGTGTATTAGTCCATTCTCGTACGGTTATAAAGATACCACTTGAGACTAGATAATTTATACACAAAAGAGGCATAATTGACTCAGTTCTGAATGGCTGGGAAGGCCTCAGAAAACTTAAAATCATGGCAGAAGGCAAAGGGGAAGCAAGGCACATCTTACATGGCAGCAGATGAGGGATGGGTGGGGAAGCACCAGACGCTTATCAAACAACCATATCTCATGAGAACTCACTATGACAAGACCAGCAAGGGGGAAATCTGCCCCCATGATCCAATTGCCTCCCACCAGATCTCTCCCTCGACTCGTGGGGATTACAATTTGAAATGAGGTTTGGGTGAGGACACAGAGCCAAACCATATCACTAGGCTACTTTCATTCATGGGTAGCTGTCTATTTCTTGCTTTTCCTTGGGCAACAAAAGCAGATACCTCCTATTTCACCATTTTGCTGATGTCACAAGAAGGAATAACATAATTTTGAAATCTAAAGTTGTTATAAAAAACAACCTATAAGATGATTTCAGTTTATAAAACCAATTAAAGCGAAACTAAACAATATATTGTTTTTGTTTTTGTTTTTGTTTCATAAAGATGGAGTCTCACTATGTGGCTCAGGCTAGTCTCGAACTCCTGTGCTCAAGCCATTCTCCTGTCTCGGCCTTTTGAAGCACTGAGATTACAGGTGTGAGTCACTATGCCTGGCCCAATATATTGTTTTAACATGCATGTGTATGTGGCTAAACAAGGAAAACAAAAAGGAAATGATAAACACAACATTCTGTGTACCAGTTACTTTGATTGAGGGGTAGACAGAGAGATGAGATTAAGAGGTACACAGGTAGAATCAAGGGTATTGGTAATGTTCCCTTTCTTCAGATGGGTGGAGAAGATGTAAATATTAGTTTTACTTTTTTGATTTAAATAAAAAATTTTATTCCTAATAAATATTTTATAATTTTTAGAAGAAAATAAAAGATAAGAAATATGCATACAAAAATCATGATGGTAGCTGCTTTTAACGGGAGCAGGAGGGAAATAGAACTGCAAATAATGTTTTAAAAGGACTTTCATCCTAATAATTTATTTCTTTAACAAAAGTGGAAGAAAATATAACAAAACAAGTAAAATATTCACAGGTATTCATTCTGATTGTAGGTGTGGAAAATACAGATTTTTGCTACATTATTCTTGTAATTTTCCCTATTTGAACTCTTTTTAAAATAAAGTATTTTATTCCCATCTGCTTTGTGCTGGGATCGTAATGCCATAGATATAGACAGACTTCTAGGCAGACAGATTATAGAACAAGACTGTGAAGAGTAACAATTAGATATGCTGTTCCATCCTCTGAGATACACTGTGAGCAGTAACATGATGCAGCACAAACAGCACTTAGCTCTTGGCTGAGTGAGGTGATAGACAGACAAACACTTTCAGCCTATAACACATCTTTATATTGTGTATTACTTCAATACTACCTAAATACCATGGGATCTCTTTCTGACAACAAAGTTAACAGAAAGTGGGCAGCAAAATATGTTCTATGTAAAAAGAAGAAATGTGAGTACTAAGCTATTTTCTAGAAATCAGTGACACTATATCAACTATAAGCATTCAGTGACTATAAAAACATTTTAAGGGCTACATCCACAATACAAACAGACAAAATAACTTGAAGTACAATTGAAACCTACAAAATTCTAAAAGATGTCATTTGAATTCTCAAAGGCATAGCAGTCAGAAAGTGTGTTTTTGAAAGCTAAGGAAGGGAATTTGCACAGTGGAAAGATAAAATCTTCAACTAAACAAGAGTCTTGTATAATTCAGGAAGAGAAATGAAATTGATATGTCAAAGAAGTTGGAGAGTGAAATATGGAAACTATCAAATCCAATGAAAGGAAGAATGCATGAGAAGATAAGAAAATTCTGTGTAAAAATTACAGAAAGATTCATTGAAAATGTCAAATACTTCAAGATGGCCATAGGAAAGTACATGCTCTTTCTCTAAGGAAAGGCTGCTCCATATCAGCAGAAAATTGGGATTTGTAAATACACATGAAGTTTATAGAATGCCATTTAAATGTATTGCTATTCCTTCTTCTATGCTTGAGTATTTGGAGTCTATCTAATCGAGATTGAGAGACTATTTCATCAGCCCTGAAGCACACTGGCACTCAAAGATTAACAGAGCTATAAGCCCCAGGATGGCAGGGTGGGTGTCTGATTTATCATTTTTATCTCCCCAGCACTTATTATAGTACATTGTTCATAATAGGTCCTTGATAAATTTATGATAAAAAATAAAAAACAGTCCTACTAGAGAAGAGGTCTTTTTTGCTTAATAATCTTAATAATCAAGTAAGCTCCAAAATAAATTATTTTTTGACAGTGAGGTAATAGGAAACACCGGATTAACCACACCACTATATTTTGAGAAATCTGTCTTGACATGGCTTTCTCTAATGTGGTATTGCAAATATTTGTCGTGCCCAGTAAATGAAAGCTTTGTTATCAGTGAGTCAGTATGGAATAATAAAAGAAGCTGCTCACTAAAAGAATCAGATAACAGACTACTACCTTAGACCACTTAGTTGTGAGATCTTCAACAAACCACTTTACCTCCCTGGCCTTTGGTTTTCCCATTTAGATAATGAGGCTGTTGGAGTAGATAATCCCTAAGGTTCCTTCAAGATATTTCATATAGTCTCTGATGTGAATCCCTGAAAAAGCAGAGCATAGCCAATGATATCCTTAGACTGAACTTTAAGTTAGCTTTTCTTCTCCAGGTGATTCAAAAACAAAAACAAAACAGGAAATACAATTTCCCAGAACAGCACAGCAGGGCTTTCCTAACTAGGTAATGATGTACTGAAAACACCAGCAGAGCCATATGAACTTGGTGGAGGCAAAATTGTTTTCTCCCAAATTGTCTGCATAAAAAGACCCATTAGGAAATAATGGAGTTCAGACATATGGAATACCTATCAGACTGTTCTCTCACAAACAGGCATTGCAGACAGGCAGTGAAAGCAAGGCATATTGGAAGTGAACAATCAATAACCTCTGCTCCTGGTTTCCTGTCCCACCTCCAGCCTGCCCTGTTTTACAGAAAGCATAGCCTCAGTGGAAACCTATGGTTTGAAACAATTGGCTCTGCTAAGGCAGGGTAGCAATTCCCTGTCATTACAGGGGGTGCTACAGCCAGTTTCTCTGAAGTTAAAATATACTGAAAAGGTCAAGGAAAATAGGCAATGAAACCAAAATGGTATTAACTGAAAGGAACATGAAAAAGCAAAAGGAATTCCATAAACCTTTTGACTTGGAGGTGCACAGTAATTCCACATATCTGCATTCACAGAAATGTACAACCTTCTATGGACTTCCACATTTAAAATTGCCTTTGCTAAATCGTAAACACCTGCACAATATATGAATTATATAGAACATAAATCATTGGTATAAAACATAGTGGTTTATTTTTTATCTTCTCTACTAGTTCATGCATTACATACCCCAAATAAAGAAAAACTCTATATAATTCCTTGGCACAGAATGCGACCTGACAAAAAAAACTTCTGGAATAAACAAGGCATTTCTGTGAAACTGAATGATCTGTGTTGCAAATGAAGACTCTCCTAGAATTCAGGCTTTATTTTTTAACTTCAATCATTAACTTTTTCTTTTACATGTCTGATTAGGCTTAATGAGTTAGCTAGGTTAATGAAGTGTGATGTCCCATTAAATACATCAACTGACAACAATTAATTCCTCAGAGCATGTTCTCTGTTGATTGATTATATTTATCAGTGTAGAAGAATTTAAGCGATGTAAATCTCTTAGCAGAAAATAAGACTTGCAAACTCTGAAAGTTTAATTCAAAGATAATGATTATTTTCTATAAGTGAACTTTGTTCATTTATTCAGAAAATCATCCTGTTGACTTGTCAACAAATTAAGGAAAGCATCACAGTAACAAGTTACCCCTCAATAAAAAATGTCCACTATCATTGAAAGTCTTAGCTGGGAGCTCCCTTGTTGTGTAGAGTATTATCTACAGCTATTACCTTAGAATTGAGAAGTACATCATTGAGCTAAATCTGTATAAGAAGCAGTGTGAAGTTTGGAGATTTAGAAAGAAAGCTCAGAAATGTAGAAAAATACAAGTAATTTTGAAGTTATTGAATATCCAGATCCCTTTACTTATTTTTGGTAATAGCCCAAGTTCCCCCAAAGCAATCTGTCACAGGAAACTTGCAAACTCCCACAAATCAACATAGTAATAATGGGCCATCATAGAGCCTTCTTAAGTGATCTGGATAGAAGACATGTAGGGTAACCCAGGAGATTACAATCCATTTAAATCACCTCAGTGAGTGAAATTAGCCAAACGAGAGATCCTAGTGGGAAAAGACCAAACATCTGTTTAAACATAAATAGCTCAGTAATGAACAACAGTAGAAAACAAAGTATTAAAAACAAGAAAATGACAAAAGACTCAAAGCTTTCATTTGCAAAATGCATCCACAGTCAGTAGAGTCTGAATAATCTAAAGATTAGTGTCAGATGTGTGTAGGAGTTGTGGGGTCCTTTCAATGGATACAAGTAGTCAATGGATGATGAGAAAACTCCATGGCATTTCCTTCTATACTTCACAGCACGTTTCTGGTGTTGATATATGTGGAAGATTCAAAAGCACTTACTCATATATTCATTGACTGAACAGGGCAACACAGAGGCAAATTTGTTCTTGGGATATGCATATGTACAGTCTTTCTCAATACAGAATCACCTTTCTTGGTTCTTACATATTATTAAACAGTTAAAAGTCCTTAACTTAAAAAATTCTGGATTTAATTAAGTAGATGGTCAATGGTTGCAGGTGAAAGAGGTACCTTTGAATTGTGTTCATTTAAGGGTGTAAGTGGTCAATGAACATAAGCATCATTTTTAACTAGAGTTGGCTGTTATAAATAGTATATTTTTGTTTGTTTGTTTTATGGTGCTTAAACCAGGACATAAAAGTGAATGATCAGTGACAGTAATTTTATATATTCAAGTAAAATATTCAACAAACGCATTAATTAAATCGAATCCTCCACATCTCATGACTAACCTTGAAGTTAGTTTCAGGCCTCTGAGCCCAAGCTAAGCCATCATATCCCCTGTGACCTGCACGTACACATCTAGATGGCCGGTTCCTGCCTTAACTGATGACATTACCTTGTGAAATTCCTTCTCCTGGCTCATCCTGGCTCAAAAGCTCCCCTGCTGAGCACCTTGTGACCCCCGCCCCTGCCCACCAGAGAACAACCCCCCTTTTTCCTTTATCTACCCAAATCTTATAAAATGGCCCCACCCCTATCTCCCTTCGCTGACTCTCTTTTCGGACTCAGCCGGCCTGCACCCAGGTGATTAAAAAGCTCTATTGCTCACACAAAGCCTGTTTGGTGGTCTCTTCACAAGGACGCGAGTGAAATTTTGGTGCGGTGACTCAGATCAGGGGACCTCCTTGGGAGATCAATCCCCTGTCATTCTGCTCTTTGCTCCATGAGAAAGATCCACCTATGACCTCTGGTCCTCAGACCGACCAGCCCAAGGAACGTCTCACCAATTTTAAATCCGGTAAGCGGCCCCTCTTTATTCTCTTCTCCAACCTCTTTCACTATCCCTCAACCTCTTTCTCCTTTCAGTCTTGGTGCCACACTTCAATCTCTCCCTTCTCTTAATTTCAGTTCCTTTCCTTTTCTGGTAGAGACAAAGGAGATGCGTTTTATCCATGAACCCAAAACTCCGGCGCCAGTCACAGACTTGGGAAGATAGTCTTCCCTTGGTGTTTAGTTGCGCAGGGATGCCTGCCTGATTATTCACCCACATTTCAGAGGTATCTGACCACACAGGAATGCCTGCCTTGATCCTTCACCCTTAGCAGCCAGTACCACTTTCCTGGGGGGCAAGCACCCCCCACCCCTTCTCTCCATGTCTCTACCCTCTCTTTTCTCTGGACTTGCCTCCTTCACTATAGGCAACCTTCCACCCTCCATTTCTCCTTCTCCCTTAGCTTGTGTTCTCAAAGACTTAAAACCTCTTCAACTCACACCTGACCTAAAACCTAAATGCCTTATTTTCTTGTGCAATGCCACCTGACCCCAATACAAACTTGACAGTAGTTCCAAATAGCCAGAAAACAGCACTTTTGATTGTTCCATCCTACAAGATCTAAATAATTCTTGTCATAAAATAGGCAAACGGTCTGAGGTGCCTGACATCCAGGCATTCTTTTACACATTGGTCCCACCCTAGTCTCTGTTCCCAAAGCAACTTGTCCCAAATCTTCCTTCTTTCCCTCCTGCCTGTCCCCTCAGTCCCAACCCCAAGCATCGCTGAGTCTTTCCTCTTTCCAATCTTCCTTTTCTACAGACCCATCTGACCTCTCCCCTCCTACCCAGGCTGCTCCTCGCCAGGCCGAGCTAAGTCCCAATTCTTCCTCAGCCTCCGCTCCTCTACCCTATAATCCTTTTATCACCTCCCCTCCTCACACCCGGTCCAGCTTACAGTTTCGTTCCAAGACTAGCCTTCCCCCACCTGCCCAGCAATTTCCTCTTAAAAATGTGGCTGGAGATAAAGGCATAGTCAAGGTTAATGCTCTTTTTTCTTTATCCAACCTCTCTTAAATCAGTTAGCGTTTAGCCTCTTTCATCAAATATAAAAACCCAGCCCAGTTCATGGCTCATTTGGCAGCAACCCTGAGAAGCTTTACAGCCCTAGACCCTAAAAGGTCAAAAGGCCGTCTTATTCTCAATATACATTTTATTACCCAATCCACTCCCGACATTAAATAAAACTCCAAAAATTAAATTCCAGCCCTCAAACCCCACAACAGGATTTAATTAACCTCACCTTCAAGGTGTACAATAATAAAGTGGAGGCAGCCAAGTAGCAATTTATTTCTGAGTTGCAATTCCTTGCCTCCACTGTGAGACAAACCCTAGCCATATCTCCAGCACACAAGAACTCCAAACACTGAACCGCAGCTGCCAGGGGTTCCTCCAGGCCCACCTCCCCCAGGAGCTTGCTACAAGTGCCGGAAATCTGGACACTGGACCAAGGAATGCCCACAGCCCCGGATTCCTCCTAAGCCATGTCCCATCTGTGCGGGACCCCACTGAAAATCGGACTGTTCAACTCACCTGGCAGCCACTCCCAGAGCCCCTGGAACCCTGGCCCATGGCTCTCTGACTCCTTCCCACATCTTCTCGGCTTAGCACTTGAAGACTGATGCTGCCCGATCGCTTTGGAAGCCCCCTAGCCTATCACGGATGCCGATCTTTGGGTAACTCTCACAGTGGAGGGTAAATCCATCCCCTTCTTAATCAATATGGAGGCTACCCATTCCACATTACCTTCTTTTCAAGGGCCTGTTTCCCTTGCCTCCGTAACTGTTGTGGGTATTGACGACCAGGCTTCTAAACCCCTTAAAACTCCCCAACTCTGGTGCCAACTTAGGCAATACTCTTTTAAGCATTCCTTTTAGCTATCCCCACCTACCCAGTTCTCTTATCAGGCTGAGATATTTTAACTAAATTATCTACTTCCCTGACTATTCCTGGGCTACAGCCACACCTCATTGCCACCTTTTCCCCCAGTTCAAAGCCTCCTTCACAACCACCCCTTGTATCTCCCCACCTTAGCCCACAAGTATAGGACACCTCTACTCCCTCCTTGGCAACCGATCATGCACCTCTTATCATCTCATTAAAACCTAATCACCCTCACCCAGCTCAATGCCAATATCCCATCCCACAGCACACTTTAAAAGGATTAAGGCCTGTTATCACTCGCCTGCTACAGCAAGGCCTTTTAAAGCCTATAAACGCTCCTTACAATTCCCCCGTTTTACCTGTCCTAAAACCAGACAAGCCTTACAGGTTGGTTCAGGATCTGCGCCTTATCAACCAAATTGTTTTGCCTATCCACCCTGTGGTTCCAAACCCATATTCTTTCCCATCCTCAATACCTCCCTCTACAACCCATTATTGTGTTCTGGATCTCAAACATGCTTTCTTTACTATTCCTTTGCACCCTTCATCCCAGCCTCTCTTCACTTTCACTTGGACTGACCCTGACACCATGAGGCTCAGCAAATTACCTGAGCAGTACTGCTGCAAGGCTTCACAGACAGCTCCCATTACTTCAGTCAAGCCCAGATTTCTTCCTCATCTGTTACCTATCTCAGCATAATTCTCACACGTGCTCTCCCTGCTGATCGTGTCTGACTAATCTCCCAAACCCCAATCCCTTCTACAAAACAACAACTCCTTTCCTTCCTAGGCATGGTTAGTGCGGTCAGAATTCTTACATAAGAGCCAGGATGATGCCCTGTAGCCTTTCTGTCCAAACAACTTGACCTTACTGTTTCAGCCTAGCCCTCTTGTCTGTGTGCGGTGGCTGCCGCTGCCTTAATACTTTTAGAGGCCCTCAAAATCACAGACTATGCTCAACTCACTCTTTACAGTTCTCATAACTTGCAAAATCAATTTTCTTCCTCATACCTGATGCATATACTTTCTGCCTCTCAGCTTCTCCAGCTATACTCACTGTTTGTTGAGTCTCCCACAATTACCATTGTTCCTGGCCCGGACTTCAATCTGGCCTCCCACATTATTCCGGATACCACACCTGACCCTCATGACTGTATCTCTCTGTTCCACCTGACATTCACCCCATTTCCCCATATTTCCTTCTTCCCTGTTCCTCACCTTGATCACATTTAGTTTATTGATGGCAGTTCCACCAGGCCTAATCACCACACACCAGCAAAGGCAGGCTATGCTGCAGTACAAGCCACCAGCCCACCTCTTAGAACCTCTCATTTCCTTTCCATCGTGGAAATCTATCCTCAAGGAAATCACTTCTCAGTGTTCCATCTGCTATTCTACTACTCCTCAGGGATTATTCAGGCCCCCTCCCTTCCCTACACATCAAGCTCGGGGATTGCCCCTTCCCAGGACTGGCAACTCTTAACTGCCTCTTAGAGTGGATAGATGATCTTTGCTGGCAGGGGACCTTTCAATACTTTCGCCCTGATGAAGTTCTATTCTTTACTTTTACACTCAGTCTTATTCTCATTCCCATTCTTATGCCACCCTCTACCTCTCCCCAGCTATCTCCACCACACTATCAACCTTACTCATTCTCTGCTAGACATTTCTAATCCCTCCTTAGCGAACAACCACTGGCTTTGCATTTCCCTTTCTTCCAGTGCCTACACAGCTGTCCCCACCTTACATGCAGACTGGGCAACATCTCCTGTCTCCCTACACCTCCAAACTTCCTTTAACAGCCCTCACCTTTACCCTCCTGAAGAACTCATTTACTTTCTAGACAGGTCCAGCAAGACCTCCCCAGACATGTCACATCAGCACGCTGCCACCCTCCTCCACACTTACTGAAAAAACCTTTCTCCTTATATCAACTCTACTACCCCCCATATTTGGACCTCTCACAACACAAACTGCTATTCCTGTGGCTGCTGCTTTATGTATCTCTCAGCAAAGACCCACTGGAATTCCCCTAGGTAATCTTTCACCTTCTCAATGTTCCTTTACTCCTCATCTCCAAAGCCCAACTACACACATCACTGAAACAATTGGAGCCTTCCAGCTCCGTATTACAGACAAGCCCTCTATCAATACTGGCAAACATAAAAACATTAGCAGTAATTATTGCTTAGGAAGACACTTACCCTGTATTCCATGCCATCCTTGGCTACCTTCCCCTTGCTCATCAGACTCTCCTCCCAGACCTCTTCTTGTTTACTTATACCCAGCCCTAAAAATAACAGTGAAAGGTTGCTCATAGACACTCGACATTTTCTCATATACCATGAAAATCGAGCCTCCCCCTCTATGCAGTTACCTCATCAGTCCCCATTACAACCTCTGATGGCTGCCGCCCTAGCTGGATCCCTAGGAGTCTGGGTACAAGACACCCCTTTCAGCACTCCTTCTCATCTTTTTACTTTGCATCTCAAGTTTTGCCTCGCACAAGGTCTCTTCTTCCTCTGTGGATCCTCTACCTACATGTATCTATCTGCTAATTGGACAGGCACATGCACACTAGTTTTCATTACTCCTAAAATTCAATTTGCAAGTGGGACCGAAGAGCTCCCTGTTCCCCTCATGACACTGACATGACAAAAAAGAGTTATTCCACTAATTCCCTTGCTTGTCGGTTTAGGACTTTCTGCCTCCATTATTGCTCTCGGTACTGGAATAGGAGGCATTTTAACCTCTGTCACGACCTTCCGTAGCCTGTCTAATGACTTCTCTGCTAGCATCACAGACATATCACAAACTTTATCAGTCCTCCAGGCCCAAGTTGACTCTTTAGCTGCAGTTGTCCTCCAAAACCGCTGAGGCCTTGACTTACTTACTGCTGAAAAAGGAGGACTCTGTATATTCTTAAATGAAGAGTATAGTTTTTACCTAAATCAATCTGGTCTGGTGTATGACAACATAAAAAAACTCAAGGATAGAGCCCAAAAACTTGCCAACCAAGCAAGTAACTACGCTGAACCCCCTTAGGCACTCTCTAATTAGATGTCCTTGGTCCTCCCAATTCTTAGTCCTTTAATACTTGTTTTTCTCTTCTCTTATTCAATTTAGTATTTCAATTCATACAAAACCCTATCCAGGCCATCACCTATAATTCTACATGATAAATGTTTCCTCTAACAACCCCACAATATCACCCCTTACCACAAAATCTTCCTTCAGCTTAATCTCTCCCACTCTAGGTTCCCACGCTGCCCCTAGTCCCGCTGGAAGCAGCCCTGAGAAACATCGCCCATTATCTCTCCATACCACCCCCAAAAATGTTTGCCGCCCCAACACTTTACCACTATTTTGTTTTATTTTTCTTATTAATATAAGAAGACAGGAATATCAGGCCTCTGAGCCCAAGCTAAGCCATCATATCCCCTGTGACCTGCACATACACAACCAGATGGCTGGTTCCTGCCTTAACTGATGACATTCTACCACAAAAGAAGTGAAAATGGCCTGTTCCTGCCTTAACCAATAACATTACCTTGTGAAATTCCTTCTCCTGGCTCATCCTGTCTCAAAAGCTCCTCTGCTGAGCACCTTGTGACCCCCACCCCTGTCCACCAGAGAACCCCCCTTTTTCCTTTACCTACCCAAATCTTATAAAACAGCCCCACCCCTATCTCCCTTCGCTGACTCTCTTTTCGGACTCAGCCCACCTGCACCCAGGTGATTAAAAAGCTTTATTGCTCACACAAAGCCTGTTTGGTGGTCTCTTCACCGGGACGTGAGTGAAAGTTAGCATAAAAGGTTTTTTGCAACCAGCCAGGTAAAAAATAATAAACATACTGAAGTCAAAAGCATACCCTGGCTATTTCATATCTACATGAGATGTAATTATCAAATCTGGACAGAAAAAGAAAGCAAAATATTCCCATTTAAAGTTAATGAAATTCACTGAGTGACCCAGCCACTAAAATTAAAAGGCAGGTGCTCATCTAGAGTGCCTGGACTGGATAGTGAACTTCCCCCTCATTATCCAAATGGCCTCCCATTGCAGTCTGGCTGGCATTGCAATGGCAATTTCTATAACTGCTGCAGAACTGGAGTCACATGAGGGAGATGAGAAAACCATGAAATTATATGCCTCCTGTACATACTACCTATAATATCTACCCTTTGTTCTCTTCCGTCTTTACTCCTAAATATTAGATCCATCTGCTGGTATTTCCCTTCATGCCACCTCCTCACATCCAAAACCAGAAAGAAGCTGACAAAACATTGGCTTCACCATAAACACTTACAGAGACTTTTTAAAATACAGGCATGCCTGATTTTACTGCACTTCACTTTATTGTGCTTTTTTGCACAAATTGAAGGTTTGTGCCAACCCCGTGTTGAGCAAGTCTATTGGTGGCATTTTTTCAGCAGTATGTGCTCACTTCATGTCTCTGTGTCACATTTTAGTAATTCTTGCAACATTTTAAGCTTTTTCATTATTATTATAGCTGTTATGGTGAACTGTAATCAGTGGTCTTTAATGTTAATATTGTTATTTTTTGAGGGTGCTATAAACCACTCCCATATAAGGTGGCAAATTTAATCAGTAAATGTTGTGTGTGTTCTGTGGTTCCAGCAACCATCCGTTCCCCTATTTCTCTTCCTCTACTCAGGTCTCCCTTTTCCCTGAAACACAACAGCATTGAAATTAGGCCAATTAACAACTGTGCAAGACCTCTAAGTGTTCAAATAAAAGGAAAAGTCTCATGTCTTTCACTTTAAATCAAAAGCTTAAGTTGAACTTTTAAAATGATTAAGCTTAGTACAGAAGGCATGTTGAAAGCCAAGATAGATCAAGGACTTGGCCTCTTGCATCAAATACTTAGCCAAGTTGTGAATAAAAAGGAAACGTCTTGAAAGAAATCAAAAGTTCTACTCCAGGGAACACACAAATGATAAGAAAGTGAAACAGCCTTATTGCTGATATGGAGAAAGGTTTAGTGGTCTGGATAGAATATCAAACCAGCCACAATATTCCTTTAAACCAAACACTAATCCAGAACAACGCTCTAATTTTCCTCAATTCTATGAAGCAGTAAGCAAACTGCAGAAGAAAAGTTTGAAGCTATTTGAGGTTTTGTTCATGAGGTTTAAGGGAAGAAACTGTCTCTATTACATGTGCAAAGTGAAGCTGCAAGTGCTGATGTAGAAGCTGCATCAATTTATCCAGAAGATCTAGCAAGGATAATTTTATGATGGTGGCTACACTAAACAAAAAAAAAATTTAATGTAGACAAAACAACCTTATATTGGTGGAAGATGCCATCGAGGTCTTTCATAGCTACAGAGAAGTCAATGCCTGACTTCCAATCTTTAAAGGAGAGGCTGACTCTCAGTGTAGAAGCTAGTGCACCTGGTGACTCTAAGTGAAAGCCAATTTTCAGCTACCATTCCAAAATCGAGGACCCTCAATAATCCTGCTAAATCTACTCTACCTGTGCTGTATACATGGAATAGCAAAGCCTGGATGACAGCACATCTGTTTACATTATGATTTACTGAATATTTTAAGCCCACTGTTAAGAACTACTGCTCAGAAAAAAAGTCCCTTTCAAAATATTACTGGTCACTGACAATGCACCGTTATCCAAGAGCTCGAATGGAGATGTACAAGGAAATTAATGTTGTTTTCATGCCTGCTAATATATCAAGTCTGCAGCCCATGAATCAAGGAGTAATTTTGACTTGCAAATCTTATTATTTAAGAAATATATTTTATGGAGCTATACCTGCCATAGATTATGATTTCTCTGATGAATCTGGGCCCAGTAAATTGAAAATCTTCTGGAAAGGCTTCCCCATTCTAGGTGCCATTAAGAACATTCATGATTCATGGGAGGAGGTCAAATTATCAACATTAACAGGAGTTTGGTAGTAGATTCCAACCCTCATGGATGACTTTAAGAGGATTAAGACTTTAGTGGAGGAAGTAACTGCAGATGTGGTAGAAATATCGAGAAATAAAATTATAAGTGGAGTCTCAAGATGTGACTGGATTGCTGCAATCTCCTGATAAAACTTGAACAAGATGAGAATTTGCTTCTTACAGATGAGCAGAGAAAGTTGTTTCTTGAGATGAAATCTACTCCCGGTAAAGAAGAACTCCAGTAAAACATTGTTAAAATGACAACAAAGGATTTAGAATATTATATAAACTTAGTCGATGCAACAGTGTCAGAGTTTGAGAGCACTAGCACTAACTTCAATTTTGAAAGAAGTTCTACTGTGGGTAAAATGATACTAAACAATATTGTACATGACAGAGAAATATTTTATGAAAGGAGAAGTCAATTGATGTGGCAAATTTCATTGTTGTCTTACTTTAAGAAATTGCCACAGCCACCCCAACCTTTAGCAATCACCACCATGATCAGTCAGTAGCCATCAACATCAAGGTAAGACCCTCCA
Organism: Homo sapiens; assembly: GCF_000001405.40. NCBI lineage: Eukaryota > Metazoa > Chordata > Mammalia > Primates > Hominidae > Homo > Homo sapiens. Next base: position 101,594,556 of record NC_000001.11, on the reverse strand, counting down.
CCAACAAAAAGATTATGACTCTCTGAAGGCTCCAATGATGTTTAGCATATTTTAGCAACAAAGAATTTTTTAATTAAGGTACGTACATTGTTTTCTTTAGACATAATGCTATTGCACACATGGTAGACTACAACATAATATAAATATAACTTTTATATGCACTAGGAAGCCAAAAGAATCGTGTGACTCATTTTATTGTAATATTAACTTTCTTGCAGTGGTCTAGAACTGAACTCAAAATACCTCCAAGGCATGCCTGTAATTGATCAATGTCCTAGTTGCCAGATAGAAACTGCTGTAAGCAAATAGGATAAATCTTTTATCTGTTTAGTACAGGCTTCCTTTCCTGAACAATTTTTATTGTCATTGGAACATCTCATTTAAATGTATCAGATTTTGAATATTTAAACAAATAATAACAAGTAAAATTTTATATTAATTCTCATTATTATAACTGGTTCTCATGTTAACTTTCTCTGTTCAGCACAGTGTATCCCAAAGTGTAGACCTAAGACCATATTAAACATCAGAATTGTTTGGAGTAAGGAGAAGCTTATTAGAAATGCAGATTCCTGGTTCCCTACCTACTGAATCAGAATCTCTTGGCAAGGACAATAGTAACCTCCATTGTTAATAAACAGTCCCAATGATCTTTATGCACGAAAATTTGAGTTTCAGTCTAGTAAATGAATGCTTACACCCCTTAAAAAAAAAAAAAAAGAAGAAGAGAAACACTCTATGAAGTGTCACCACAAATAAGGAAATTATAGACAATTACATTTCATAGAATTATAAATGTACAAAAGAGGCCAACTGGACAAAATATGCTGAGTTCCTATTACTCCATGCTGCACCTTGTATTTACTCTTGAGTGCAGCACTCACCACAATGTTTTGCCTCATCATATATTTGATATATTTATTTTCCCTCCTTGACTATTAGCTATTAGGGAGAAGTAACAGTGTCTTCCATTATTTTCTTAGTATCAAAAAATAGTGTCAATTATATATACTGAAATGAAAGAATAAATATTTGTCTAGTAAGTAAACTTATTGAGATATAAGAGTTAACTTGAGAAACTCCATTTAAAGTTGCCAGAAGAGCAATACATTACATTTCATTGAATCTAACTTGCCACTGATTGTAAAACACACCATTATTCTATGTACTACTATAAAGAAAAACTCAGGAAAGTAAATATGACACCACTGTTGATTGTAAGATACACTCCACTTTCAAGGATAATAAAAATGTGAAAAAGTGTGTCTTACTGTTAATGAAATACGTTACATAGTGTATGGCACCCTGATAGGCATAAGGAGTAAACATACGTCAACAGGAAATGGTTTTCTTGACTGTATTGTCTATTCATTCCTGTTTCACCAAATTACCATGTAAAGAAAGTAGGGTTGATATGTCTTCAAGAACCATAGTCTGAGATTTTCTAGTGAAAGATATTTTCCCATTCAACACTAGCCAAAGTAAATACAATTTACCAGAAAATATGGGTCTCAACAGACACTGACTCATTGATTATCCAAATGGAGCACTTGTCTCTCCATTCAGCATGCATTTTTTCAGGCCACAGAGCTCTGTAATATGAGCCTTAACTTGTACTCAGTGTTTAAATGGGAATAATAAACATAAGTGGGTGGGCCAGGGATAGAAGCCATCTATTTAAATGAATTTTAAACCTAATTAGGTAACTAACTGTGCATCAGAACTTAGTTGGTGTACAACATGTCATGTATGGTTAACGGTGATTTATTCTAAAATTCTTCATTTAAACTGCTTTGTTCTCCATTTTCAATGAGTCAAATCACTAAAAGACAGCTTTAATTTTGACAATGTTCTCTCTTTTAATCATTTTCTGTCTGTGAAATTTGCAGAAATTTAAAAATATCATGAAATAGAAGCCGATGTTAGAAAAATGAAAAGTAAGAAAATTTGCTGTATAAAGCCCCCCTGGAACCTTATATGTGGCACAGAATTGAAGCAGTAAATTCTGGGCCACATTGGCCAAACACATAGTACTACCCTGGTAATTATCAATATTGCAACACAAAAGAAACATTGTGTGAATAAAACATCTTACAGGCCTACATAGCACACTAGTAAATAAACTCTTTTAATATAAATAATTTCCTCAATTACACTTTTAAAGCACATGAGGGCAAAGACAGTAATTAATTAAACTAGTTTTTACTCTACTGGCCCAACAAGGAGATAGAAATATGGTATTAAGGAAATAACAGGTAACTCATCTTTTAAAGTTCACTTGAATCAGCTCTAGTGGACAAGGATTAAGATCTTGGTCTCCCTATCCACCTTTCTTCTTAAATAACTGGGGAAGTGAAGAGGCAGCAGGGATAGTGCTAACATTTGGATACTAAGAGGATGCCTGCCTTCCCAGCTAATGGCCTGACTGAGCATTCAAGGAACTAAGGAGAGAACATGAAAGACTCTTCTCCCTCTTACTCTCCACTGTTGTCTCCTCACTAGTTCAGTAGCCCATGGTACTGAACTTTACTCTTTATTTACCAGCCTCTCTGTTATCTCCAACCAGTATTCTTCACTCATGAAACCAATCTCCTTCTCTTATTGTGTAGGCTTAAGAGGAAAGCTTGAAATCTGATTTTTTATTCCAGCCTCACCACTGATCTTATTCTGTGAATTTAGGCAAGTTCTTCCTTCTCTGAGGCTCATATTTCTGATCTGCATAATACCTACTTCACAAATTTGTTATAAACATTAAGTAAGATAATGTATGTGAATAATTAGCACCATGCCAACACATAGACTGAAACTCATCCATCAAGTATTTTTTAAGAGCCTATTCTTCGACACTCAAACTGGGTTAGAATGTAGGTGAGCTAAAGATGAAATAGGGAACCAAACATATTTGGCACCTACCCTTGTGGATACCCTGTTAGACCTTTTTAGACCTTAGGGTCTAATGTGGGACAAGTAAACAAACAATTCTAATAAATCACGTTCATGCTCTAATAACAAGATTACAGTGAGCTTTGTGAGGTCCCTGCATTGGTCTAGCAAGAGGCAAGATAAGTTACCTAAAATACAAGTAAAGTTGGCCTGGCCTGCTAGGGCAGGAAAAATTGTTCCAGGCAGAGAAAACAGTTGAATGAAGGTAATGCTTATTTCAGAATGTGAAAGAAGTTGTGTTTATAAGGGATTGGCAGCTTCAACACAATATGTGAAAAAAACAGGCTAAAATAGAAAATACGAATTTCTTAAAGAATTCAGACTTTGTTGTAAAGCAATGATAATATGGTTTGGATATTTGTCCCCTCCATATCTAATGTTGAATTGTAATCTCCAATGTTGAAAGTGGGTCCTGGTGGGAGGTGTTTGGATCCCAGAGGTAGATCCCTCTTGAATGGCTTGGTGCCATCCTGATGATAATACGTGAGTTCTCGCTCTAAGTTCATGCAAGATCTGATTGTTTAAAAGAGTGTGGCACCTTCCCCTCTTCTCTCTTGCTCCCACTCTCACCGTATGACATATTGGCTCCTCTTTTGCCTTCCACCATCACTGAAAGCTTCCTGAGGTCTCAACAAAAGCCAACCAGATGCTGACACCATGCCTTCTGTATAGCCTGTGGAACTGTGAGGTACTTAAACCGCTTTTCTTCATAAATTACCCAGTCTCAGGTATTCCTTTATAGCAATGCAAAAGCAGACTATTACAAGTGGGAAACAAAAAAAAGAAGATTTTAAATCAAAGAGGAGCATGAATCAAATTCTAGAACAATCACTCTTGCTTTAGTTTCAAATATAGATCATAAACGAGCAAGCCTGAAGGGAGGGATTTCAGCTGGAAGACACTTATGTTATTCCAGAAAAGAGTGAATGGATGAATGGAGACATGGTCTGGGGTAGAACAAGTGTAAATAGATGGAGATGGATGTGTAAAAATGATTGAGGGTAGAACAAAATAGATAATTATGATTTTTTTAAATGTGTCGGGGTAGAAAGGGGTAGAGAGGGGGCAGAAACATGATGTAAATTGAGAAGTCCAGGAGTCAGGCTTCAACGGAAAAGCAGTCTGGAGGAGTTCAGTTTTATATATTCTTGAAGTTCCCAGAATCATTAAAATGCCTCTCAGGAGGCAGATGAATACTCCATGAGGAGATAACCCACTGGCAGTTGGTTGGCAGTTGGATATATGGGAGCAGAGTTTAGTAGAAACTTTGGGACAGTGTCAATATTATTGTTATTTTAATCTGTTTCATTCATTAACTCATGCTGGGTCTTTGTTTAAGGTGATCTTCTGAGCCTAGCAGTTCACGTCATACCTTCTTCGGTTATTGGAGTTCAAAAAATGGCAAAATACTGCTATAAAGGGTAATGAGAAAAGCATCTAAGTGTTTGCTGACTCTGGTCCCAGGACCCCTAAAATTTTTCTGAGGAACGGTTTTCCTTATCTCAATATGCAAAGATAGCCAACTACATTTGTTGTAGAAAAAGCAGATTTTGTTCAATATACGCTCTGTACATCTGCCATTTGGTCGCATTTCTCCATCTAAATAAATCTGAAAAGGCCGCCACCACAGATTACCTCAGCTCACATTTGGCTTTTGTCAAATGTGGTCTGAGGAGAAAAAAATGAAAACTGGAGACTATCTATGCTGAGAAACTTAAAGAACAAGCTGGATTCTCTCTGTACTCTAAAAGGAAAGCAGGTTTGCAGCACAGAAAACTTGATGGAAATATTCTGCCGAGAGCTCCTGCATAAATGAAACAGAACGTAAAAGAGAGTGTGCTGATCAGCACACAATTGCAAGCAGAAACTAGAGCTATCCTTATTCATTTTTCACTCTGGAAGGCTCTGCCAGGTACTCTATAACCATGAACAATTTCTTTGCCAGTTGCGTCAGGTGCTTAAGAAAATGTTTTCATAAACATCCTAGTAACAGATTTTCCTTCAATGTTTGCCATGTCCTTTTGGGTTTAATGAATGCTTTGAAATTCACTTTCTGAGTTTTAGTCCATGAGCAGCACTTAGATTCAGAACCAGCCTGTATTTCCCTTAGCAAAGGCTGTCTGTTAAGATTCTTCTTGGCCTCTCTGTGCAGCATTCCTTCCTTCTGGGTATAGTGCAGGATCCTTTCTGGAATGAGGGTCTTATGACCTACAATCAAACAAGGTAGGTTAGAGAATTTCTTTATGGCCAGTTCTACTCAGAAAGGCAAGGGAAAGTTAGAGTGGTAATTTTAGGTTTTATGGCTGGCTTTGAGGAAAGAGATTTCTGTTTCTTTGACCCACTTTGGGGAAGAGGGATTCTAGTTTCTATTTTGCCACTGGGGAGAATGAGGAGTGAGAAACAGGAGGTCAGGAGAAGATCAGAGAAAAACTTTGCTTCTGAGGCTGCTTCCGAGCCCTTGACTTTGGGAGTATCATTTTCTGAACCCCAACAATGGCTCCCAATTGTTGAGAGTTTCCTACATAGCAGGACTTTGCAAGTTTTCTGAGAGCATAACATTTAAAAAAAATTAATCCCATAAAAATGCTATGAAATTGATATTTATTTTAAGCATCTTATTTACTCTTTTGGTGAGGAAGAGATTCCCACCCTAGGGTTATGAGGATGGCTGAACACACAAAACCAGAAACTGAAAAGATGAGACAGAGAGACAGCAGGTTATTAGTCACACATACCCTCAGCCCAGTGGAGAAGGGAGTCACATGCTGTACAGGATTACATGGGGGTTGCACTCAGGAACAGAGTGAACAGCCAAGTGCTATGGCAGGCAAGCTTTGGAGTAACAAGAGGATGAGGTACCCCTGGTTCCTATGAAGGATGCGATTGACTTCTTTGAATAATTATGCAAGCTGGCAAGGAACTGCAACCCACAAAGGTAGCAGAAATGAGATCTCAAATATCTATTTGATAAGGAAAGTTGTTTGGCTAGAGGGCCTTATCCATGGAGCAGAGTGGGGAGGGGAACTTGGAATTAATATATTTGAGGCCCTTCTAATTTCACCAGATGTCAAGGCATCGCATAATGTTAAATCTTAATTTTAGGCATTACATCATAGTATTATTCTCATTATCATATCCAGAAACTGAAATTCAGGGAGATTTAATAATATGCTGGGGCAATATAGGTGACAAAGGATACAGCTAGGATTTTAGCCCAAGATTCTTGGTCTCTAAAGGTGAAGAAGTATTTATTTCTTGTCTTAAGTAAATATTTTGTGATATAATTTCAAGCTTGCTCTATCTTCTTTCTGAGATATGGCAGAATACTCTATATATAAATCCAATTACACTGGCTTTACTTTAAAAAAAAGATAAACATCTGAATCCTGCTGAGAAATTCTGGAAGGCAGAATAATACACTCCCCCTATCCTCAGAAATGTCCTAATCCCTAGAACCCATGAATATGTTACCTTTCATGGCAAAAGGAACGTTGAAAATATGATTAAGTTAAGGATCTTGAGATGCGAGATCAACCTGGATTAGCCAGGCGGACCTGATGTAGTCACATAATGATGCTTGTAAGTGAAAGAAGCAGGAGAGTCAGAAGAGACATGACGACGGAAGCAGAGGTCAGAGTCCAGTAGTTGCTGGCCAAGGGCCAGGAGCCAAAAAATGCAGGAAGCTCTAGAAGCTGGAAAAAAACAAAGAAGCAGATTTTTCTCTAAAGCCTCCAGAAGGAATCAGCCCTGCCAACATTTTTACTTTAGCCCTGCAAGACCCATTTCAGATGTCTGACCTCCAGAACTGTAAGATAATAAATTCACCTTGTTTTTAAGCCATTACATTGGTAGTAATTTATTACAGCAAAACAGGAAAATAATACAGCAATGGTGAGCCTCAATGCTTTTTCCAATATTGTTTTTATGTTCTTCCCACATCTCCAGTTTCTTCTTAGGACATTTTGGTATTCAAGAAGCATAGCATCTGCTTCTAAGGCCTCTCATAGACCCTTTCAATGTCTATGTCTGCTCTACTTCCCAAAATTCTATTATGACTCCAGGATCACATTTAATATCATTACTCCTTCACATCACCTCCTATTTTCTTCTGAAGGATTCTAGTCCCCATGTTGTTTCTGCTTTCTACATACTTTAATGTGAACCTCAGGTCTTTTTACCTTTCATTTCTACTGCACTGATTCCTTCTGTGCTTCTTTTATCCACTTCAATGCTTCTTATCCACCTCTGATCTACTCTTGTTCATCTCTTGTTCATCTCAGGTCTCAGCTTAAATGTTATTTCCTCAGGGAAGACTTCCTTATACCCTAGACAAGCTCAGAACCACATGTTATACAATCTTGTATAGTTTTTGCAGCAGTTGCAATTTACTGAATACTTTTTAAGGTCTGTCTTTCCCATTAGACACAATCCCTGTTAGAGGATGGTTCATGTCTTGTTTACAACTGTATCCCTAACATCGAGCCAAGTGTCTCTCACCTAGTATGTAGTCAATAAATAGTTGTTGAACAAAAGAATGAATAAATATATAGCCTCATTGATAGTTCCTGTAACTCAGAAGAAAGTGCAACTCTTCTTTATCCCTATACTAAAAGTAAAATTTTCCTAATAATAATAAAGGACATATATACATTTAATATAATCAACAACCTTGGTACAATATATGGAATATATTGCATTCAAAACATAGTCAACATTTGTACGCATGTGTTTGTAAAAGTTAAGCATTACTAATCCAAAAATCCAAGCTACTCCAAAATCTGACATTTTCTGAGCACTAACATAATGCCACAAAGGGAAAATTTTATAGTTGACCTCATGTGATGGATCATAGTCAAAACACAAGCACACAGCATAGTTTATTCTGTGTCTCCAAGGAAAAATATACTCTTCCAGCCCCTTCAGCTGTTATATATATTTTCCATACATGCCCAGAATCCCTCACACAAGCAGGAACACAAAGAGTAATAAAATGATATGCATGGAGGCTGGACATGCTGCAAGTTCTCCATGATTTCCCAAATGGACCAAGACCTATGAACATTACTAACTGTATATAGGTCTTATTCGTATGCCATCTGGTATAAATATATTGTGGAAAATGTCAAAACATTCTACAGATACAGCTATCAGTAATAGTGATAAGAAAAAGAAGCAGCATTTATGTTTATGTTTATCTGTAGCACAGAAAGTCAAGCGGTTGGACAAACCGGACAGCAGTGTAAGTGTGAAACATCTTACAGAAGAGCATGGTGTTGAAATGACCTCCATATATTACCTGAAGTAAAGAGAAGGTTAAACTAAAGAGAAAGTTTCACTATGCTGAAAGTGATAAACAAAAGTTAATTTTTAAAAATAGAAAAACACCACATAAAGCTAAAATGAAGATCTTGATTGTGTACTAAAAGGTGGATCCATCAGCATCATGGTGAATACATGCCATGCCACTTAATGGTGACACTGATCATGAAACAAGCAAAGATCTAGCATGGTAAACTGAAAATTAAAGGGAACCACAAATATTAAACAGGCTGATTGCAGAAATTTAAGAAAAGGCATGGTTTAAGTTTTTAAAGATTTGTGGTAACAAAGCATCTGCAGATTATGAAGCGGCAGAGAGATTCATTGATGAGTTTGCCAAGATCATTGCTGATGAAAATCTGACACCAGAACAAGTTACAAAGCTGATTAAACATCACTGTTTTGTCATTGTTGCCCTAGAAGGGCACTGACTACAGCATATGGAACAGCCCCTAGAGGAACTAAAGGTGAAAAGGACAGAATGGCTGTACTGGGATGTCCTAATGCAGCAGACATGTATAGGTGTAAACTTGCTGTGATAGACAAAAGCTTGGGTCCCCACTGTTTTCAAGGAGTGAATTTCTTTTCATTCCATTATTATTCTAACACAAAGGTATGGATCACCAGGAACATCTTATCTGATTGGATTCACAAGTATTTTGTACCAGTGGCTCATGCTTACTGCAGGGAAGCTGGACTGCATGATGATTGCAAGATTTTGCTATTGCTTGGCAACTGTTCTGCTCATCCTCCAGCTGAAATTCTAATAGAAAATAATATAATGTTTATGTCATGTATTTTATCTCAAATATGACTTTATTAATTCATCTATGTATCATGGTTTCCTTAAATCAGTGAAGTATAATCATAAAAACACTTTCTTGAACACTTTCTTGTTCATGCTAGCAGCAGTGAACAGAGGCGTAGATGTGGAAGGTTTCTTTTTTTTTTTTTTTCTTTTTAGACAGGGTCTCACTCTGTCGCACAGGCTGGAGTGCAATAGTGTGATCATGGGTCACTGCAGCCTCAACTTATCTGGGGTTAAGGTGATCCTCCAACCTCAGTCTCCCAAGCAGTTGGAGCTAAAGGCAATTGTCAACATGCCAGGCTAATTTTTGTATTCTTTTTGTAGAGACAGGGTTTCACCATGTTTCCCAGTCTGGTCTAGAACTCCTGGGCTAAAGCCATCTACCCACCTCGGCCTCCCGAAGTGCTAGGATTACAAGCATAGGCCATGATGCCCAGTCATGAAGGATGTCTTATATGCTATTGCCAATTATTGGAACACAGTGACGAAAGACACTCTTGTGCATGTCTGATACAACCTCTGGCCTGAGACTGTGTTCGGTGATAATGATGAACAAGGTGATGATTTTGAAGGACTTGTACCATATAAATTCAGAGTCAGGAATAATGTTGATGTCAGACAACCACAGATTGTCCTCATGGGTGGCTGAAATAGTGACATCTTTACTTATTGATGGTTAAATGTACACAAACTTCGTCTCATACGTGAAACTATTTATAATATTGTATAAAATTACCTTCAGGTTATGTGTATAAGGTATACACAAAACAAATACATTTTGTGTTTATACTTGGGTTCTGGTCACAAGATATCTCATCATGTATTTTCAAACATTCCAAAATCTGAAAAAAAAAAATCCGAAATCCAAAACACTTCTGGTCCCAAGCATTTCAGATAAGAAATATTCAACATGTATGTGTGTATGTGTATACAATAAATTTCACAGACCCATTCTTTATAATGTTCTGCTATAATGACCACTTACATAGCAAATTAAATGTTATTGAGTAGTATCAATTCTACAGCTCAGCCAGTAAAATATGGTAGAATTTACATCACACTGCACATTTTGTGGAATCCAAGACTGACCTGTGATCAGAGCCAGCTTCATGAACATACAAAGCCCTGCATTAGGGGGACCTCAAGCTCAATTTAATGCTCTATGGTTGCTAACTTGAAATCCTTAACAATTACTGAACAAGGGCCCCACATTTTCATTTTGCACTGGAATTTTCAAATTGTGAAGCCAGCCCTGCTCTTCATGGATGAATTTATTCTACAACAGTTTTTAAGATTCTATTATATGTCAAGTACCATTTATGGGGATACAAAATACAAATAAGAGATGTTCTCAAGTTGGATACAGATAGCCAAACAAAATTTACAAATAATTACAAAATAACATGACAAAATCTGTAATGGAGCCAAACAAAAAGGACTACAGGAACACTAAGAGGTAAGTTAAAAATCCTGCCTGAGAGAATTAAGAAAAGCTTCTCAGAGGAGATAACATTTCAGCTGAGTCCTCAAGAATGAAAAGGAATTCTCCAGTGGTAAAGGTCATTATGAATGCAGTGATTATAACTACTTAGTAAGCGTACCAAAAAAATGAGAAGATAATAAGACTTTCTGCAACTACTTTTCCAGATCGGAGAGTATCTGTTTTATTTCATCACTCCTTAAGAACAAGCCCAAGGATACTTCCCTACAACAATCCCATTGAACACTTATTTACAGTTTTAAAAGTCCTGGTCTAATGGAGTAGGGAGGAGACAGTGAGCAGTGAGCACACAGGGGATCTGTGAGAGTTGCTCAACAAGGACAGAGCAGAAGATGTAGGTATTGGGTGCAGAAAATATAAGAGACTGCTTGGTACAACTTTCTAAGAACCCCAAGGATCTTAGCCAGGACACTCACATGGGTCCTCTCTCCTTCTGGGCAACTTTACCAAGATGAGCCCACTGGCTTTTTGGCACCCCTGTGGTAACTTTCTCACTTTCTCCCTGTCTCTTCATTTTTTAATCAGGGTAATCCTTCTGTCTACAACTTTTTCCAGTGTTCCTCAAAAGGAGATGCCCCTGTTTTCCCAAAACCTATTCACTTTTTTCCACAACATTCTTTTATAGCATATTAAACTCTGAGCCCGAAAGGATATTTGTTTTTTATCTATCTAGTATAGCACAGTAAAAGAAGAAAAACTGAAGAGTTAAGTCCCCATATGAGAGTATCTGCAGTGGATCCTTAGAGCATGAGGTGGGAGATGATTCTGGCTCAAGATCCTCTGGGCATGTCCCAGGGATTCTTGGTGAGTTCACTCAGCATTAATGAATTATTATGGTTAAGATGGAAACCTTGGCTCTACCTTCTCTGAACTCTTTCCTTTTCCAAAAGAGACACCTAAAGAGGTCGGGTCATCTCTTACAGGTCTAGAAGCTTCAGTTCCACTTTTGTGTCCGAGGATTTATCTCAGAGGGAATGGTGATGCCTAGAGCCTGTTCAGAAAGATGTGTAGAAACTTGTGATCCTGAGGAATTATAATAACCTGGAGTCATGGCAGGACTTTACATTTCTAAGCCAAATAAATGTCATCTCCTTATGGGAGCAAGGGAAAGTGCCCTAGTTAGGCTGCCAGAGAGCTGAAAGTTTGTCTGCGTCCAGACAGCATATTGTTAAATATCATTTTTTGTCCAATATTAGAATCTGCAACTTTTAACTGATTCTTGTATCAATGTTATACTGGTCTCATAAAACAATTTCAAAGTGGGTATTTTTCTGTTTTTTCGGACAAATTTGAAGAAAATTGATTTTAGTTCTTTCTAAGTTATATATTGTTCAGAAGACATATTATTGTAAAAGTACCAATTCTTCTGCCTCAATAATTCTATAGATACAGTGCAATCCCAATAAAAATCCAGCATGTTTTTGGTTAATATTAACAAGCTGATTCTAAAATTTATATAGAAATAAAAAAGGCCAAAAATACCCAAGGCCAACTCACAGAAGAACAAAGCTAGAAGAATTTACTGCCAGATATCAAGACTTATTATAAAACAATAATGAATAAGACATTGTGGGACCTGGCATGGTGGCTCACACCTGTAATCCCAGCACTTTGGGAGGCCAAGGCGGGCAGATCACTTGAGATCAGGAGTTCGAGACCAGCCTGGCCAACATGGTGAAACCCCATCTCTACTAAAAATACAAAAATTAGCCAGGTGTGGTGGTGCACCTCTGTAGTCCCAGCCACTTGGGAGGCTGAGGCAGAGAGTCGCTTGAACCCAGGAGGCAGAGGCTGCAGTGAGCCAAGATCATGCCATTGCACTCCAGCCTGGGTGACAAAGCAAGACCCTGTCAAAAAAAAAAAAAAAAGACATTGTAGTATTGATGCAAGAATAGAAAAAACTAAACATGGTATGGACACAAGAGCCCAGAATCAGACCTACACATACATATTGTATCAGCCTGGACTCAGGACAGGATTGTTCATATTGCCTGCACCAACTATCTATGCCTTTTTGTCAAAAGGGGAGTTGGTTGGAGGGGTCAGGGAGGAAGTCACTAATGAGTCCTCTTGATGCACTTGCATGGATGAAAAAGTCAAAGATTGCAGGACTTTCTGAAAAACCAAGCATGTCCAGCTGCAGACATGAAGAGAAAACAGAAGATCTATGGCAAAATGTTGCCTGCATGCAATACCACTCCTGTGGGTGCACTGCCAACCACTGGTGGGGGCCTAGAGCTACTGTTGGTCAGCTGAGACAGCAGTCAGAAGGAAAAGCTAGACATGGAGAAGAGTGAGAATAAACTAGAGCTCACCTACATCTCTGTGTTCATCTATTACCATATCTACCAGAGAAGACCTTCAATACTAATAGCCATTTTCTCATATTCTCCTTCCAAATCTGTTCAAGTTCTTTTACATAGCCAGCTCTAATGGAAAACTCTTCAAATAAAAATTTTGGAAATGCAGTTTTCAGTTTAACCGAATTTAACACATCTCAGTTTACCACATATAGTCACTTGATTTATAACAAATGTAATATTCTGATGCAATGCAGAAAAGATAATATTTTCAATAAATTCTCCTAGATCAGTTGGATATTCATGTGAGAAACAATAAATCTTAATACCTAGCCTACATCACAAATATAATCAATTCCAGATGGATTATAGATATAACTGTGAAAGGTAAAACAATAAAGCTTCATAACCTCAAAGTAGGCAGAAATTTCTTAAGGCACAAAAAGCATTAATGATAAAGGGCAAAAAATGTGATCAATTGGACTATATAAAATTGATAAGCCATTAGAAGAGTGAAAAGGCAAGCAACAATGGGAGGAGATATATGCAATAAATATGTTAGGGACTCATGTTTAGAGTGTTTAAATGACTCCTACAAACAAATAATCAAGCAAAAAAATAAGCAAGAAAACATATAACTCAACAGAAAAATGGGCAAACGATGTGTATAGGCGTGTCACAAAAGAGTATATCCAAATGGCGAAATAATTATTACTGTTTAAAAAATTACCCCAATATAGTAGCTTAAAATAGCAAGCATTTATAATAGCACATTTATTTGTCTCACATACTCTTATTATTCCTATGGGTCAGGAGTCCAGGTACTTAACTGGGTCCTCTGACTCTGAGTCTCTCACAAGGCTCAAATGAAGATGGATCTGTTTCTAAATTCACTTTAGTGATTGTTGGCAGGATTCACTTTCTCATCGGCTGTTGGACTGAAGGCCTCATTTCTTCAGTTCTTTGTCACATAGGCCTCTCAGTCTAGCATATCATAACATGGCAACTGGCTTCAACAGAGAAAGTAAACAAAACAGCAAGAGTGCCAGCAAGACAGAAGTCACAGTCTTTACAATCTGATTTTAGAAGTAACATCTCATCACTTTCACCATTCTCTATTGGTTTAAAGCAAGTCAGAAGGTCCTATACACACACAAAGGAGGGGAGCATATTACACAAAGACATGACTATCAGGACAACAAGAATTCTCAAACACTGTTGATGGGAGTATGAATTATTACAACCGTGCTGGAAATTGTTTGGACAGTATTTATTAAATACTGAATATACATGTAACCTCTTACCCAGCAATTCTATTCCTTTGTATATGCCCAAACAAAATATATACGTCTGTTCATCCAAAGAAATGTTCATCCAAATATATGTCCAATATAGACATATAAGTTGGCTCAAGCCAACCTAAATGTCAATCATCAATGAAATGAATAAGCATGCTGTAGCATATTTGTAGAGTGAAAGTCCAGCAATGAAGATGAGTAAATAATGACTGTGTCCTACAATATTAATAAATCTCTCAAGTATAATTTGAGTGAAATAAGTTAGACACACAAGAGGGCACTCTGCTCAATTTCATTTATGTTAAAGTTCAAGTGCAAGATGAAGTAAGCTATGGTATGGAAAGTCAGCATAGAGGCTACTCTCGGTAGTGACTGGAAGGGAAGATTAGGGAGTTTGTAGGGTTTCGCTCAAAATCCTTCAATGTGTTTCCATCTCATTTAAAACTCATTGAACTATAAGACCTCATATGATTTGTTCCCTGAGCTCTCCCAGTATCACTCTGTCCTCACTACTAGTCCCCTCCCTCACTACGCTAAATTCCTTGAACCTCCCAAGCATGCTTCTACTTCAAGGTATTTTCTCCTGCTGCTGATAGGCTTGGAAATTTCTTCCCTCCAGATTTTGGAATGCCTCGGAGCTTCACCTTCTTCAGACTTTGTTCAAAAATGAGTTTATCAGAGAAGATTTAAATTACCATTCTATATAAAGTTGCTTTCAAACCTACTTTATTTTTGTCATGACAGTTGTCTATATCTGCCATATCACTGCAACTCATTTATTTACTTAATATCTGTCCTCCTCTACTAGACAATAAACTCCAGGAGCAAAGACTTCATTGTTTTTTAATTGCTGTTTCTGTGGAATATAGAACAATGCCACTCTTTAAATGTTTGATTTTGGGGTTTTGTGGGATTTTTAAGACAGAGTCTCATTCTGTCACCCAAGCTGGAGTGCTGTGGCACAATCATAGCTCACTTCAGCCTCATCCTCCTGGCTTAGGCAATCCGCCTGCCTCAGCCTCCCGAATAGCTGGGAAAACGGGCATGTGCCACTGCACCCAGCTAATTTTTTTAAATTTTTGTAAAGACAAGGTCTCTTTATGTTGCCCAGGCTGGTCTCAAACTCCTGGGATTCAAGCAGTCCTCCAGCCTCAGCCTCCCAACGTGCTGAGCTTACAAGCATAAGCCACCATGCCCAGATCTTTAAATATTGTTTAAACAAATTAGAGGCCAGAAATTTCAGTAACAAGACAAGAAAGGATCACAGAACAGAGCTAGCATCAGTACAGGCAGGGATCAGGAAAAATCACATGTCACAGAGAAATTGCCCATTTCGGTTATTGAAAAGAAAGGAGTTAGTGCATGATCAATATCTTAAGAGCAAGAGATATGAAGAAGGTGATATCCACTTGATGCAAATATTAATATCTCATGAATTCACTCTGATAAAGATGGGAACAGGGATCAATATCAATACTTCTGGGTTGTAATAGTTCTTCCCATATGATATTAATCAGAGCCTTACATCAGGGTAGTCCTAAACTACAGGAGAGGATACCACTGAAGCTTCCTGAGTGCTTTTTGTGTCAAAATATTTCATTTTTTTCTGATAGATGACTAAGGGAATGGTTCACAGACAACTAAAAATAAAAAGTAATTTATGTAAACAGAGAGCAACAAAATCAGCTACACAATCAGATTTTCAAGTAGCTCATAGTATATCAAATTGTTTGATTGATTTTTGAAGCCATTAGGGTAAACTGCTGTTTATTCATAAACACTGTTAAGTCTAGTGCTTTAGTAGATGAATGTACTGAAAGTGGCAGCTTTTAATTCATTGCCACTATATTGTTCACAGATAGAAATGATATGACAGATGCTCTCAATATTTCTTTTTATGCCACATTCACATTTGTCTTAGGTCGTTTGACTCACAGTTTTATCAAATTCACATACGCAGCTCATATGCCCACATTAGCAGTCTTCTTTTATGTTTTCCATTATTGGTACTCTGTAAATTTTTATCTTACTCATTATCTCTCTGGATCAAGGACCATTTAAAATATTAAGTTGAAATGTGTTTTGTTTTGAGTTTTCAACCCATAAAAGAATAGTGAATACAATGTAATTAAGTCAATATTTGGCATGTTTCCATCCCATAATAATAGTATTTCATTCAATTTGGTTATTAGAACTTTATAGAGCATAGGTCTTCTAATTGCACTTTTTTAGAGAGTAGGTTATGCATTTCATTTTCTGGGAATATCTAAGAGATACTATAAATAGATACATAGTGAATGGAACACATCGACTTTATCAGCTAAGCTAAGTATGAATATTCACCTCCCATGTAATCAGAAGAAAATAGCACTTCAAATCTGGCCTTCAAATTTAGGAAACCATAATGCATACTTAGGTGTGGCTAGAAAATGATGCATTTATCTATAATCTGGCAATTTACATATATTTTATGACATGCCTAAATGCATGTGCACTTAATATAACCTTATATTTACAAATTAAGAAAGATAATATGAAATAATAGATTTGTTTTCTTGCTAACATATTAAATTCAAATAAGCCACGATATTAAGATTTAATTATATAAAAATAGAGTAAATAATCATCTTCAGGAAAAGGTTAGAGTAAACGAACTCCTCTATAAGCAGCATGGGAAAAATAATATCCACCTTTGCTTATTTTTCCTATTCCAAACTTTTGAGTCTTTAAGTCAACCAATAGGAAATAATAAGCATATGCAACTCAATTTGATCTTTCATTACCAAGTCAATTTCAGTTTTAGGACAGTAATTGTCCAAGATTTTTTAAAACTCTTTCTTATAAAATTAAAACAGCATCTTTTTTGTCATATATTTTCTCAAAGCAAACAAGTAAACAAATTTACTTCTGGTATTACAACTTCCTTTCTATACTTTTTACAGTTACGCATTTATTAAGAATCTAATTTGTTCCTCATCTTAGAATTTGTTTCTTATGCCTGCCATATTACTGATCTTCCTCACACTACACAGAAACTGTCCAAATGCCTTATTTTATAGCCCCAAACATCTTGCTTTTCCCTGAAGCACTCCTTGCTTTCAAATTGTTATTTTCTTCTACTTTGCCCCCATCTTTTCATCTAAGAACTATGTTTGCCTTCAATGATTCCAGTTCAGGAAAAGTAGGCAAACAATCTACTAAAGTTAATATGCTAAGACATGAATAAATAATCTGTTGGACTCCAATCATTCCGTGTGTTTTCTATTTAAAAGCCAGAAAGGTTTAAACCAAGCACTTTGTAATTTGGTGGGCTTGCCAACAAAATGATAGCAAACATGGGCAGGCAGTAAGAATTTGAGTGGACGTGTACTCCAGCACAATGAAACCCTACTATGTGAGTTATGTCCCACCACTTCTGTCATTGGTCAAAGGCAGCTTTTGGAACCATGTATGCGCCTCATGGTCAAGTGTGTTCCTGCAACCAGACAAAAGCCCCAGATTACAGTCTTACGTGTTTAACAGTGATTAGCCTTCAGTGGGTAGAGTTTAGAGCATCTGCTACCAAAAGGACAAGTGGCAATAATTTGAAAAATCCCACCATTATCCTCTCCCATATCCAAGTCTTCGAAAGTAGAAATAAACCATAAGTTAACCTAATGATTCATCAATATTATTCCAACGAATTATCATCATCTTCATCCAAAAATATTTACTGAGCCCTCTGTGCACATCCCTGGCTAGAAGAACACTTCAAAAATAGAGAATTAGTATGGGCCACCTAGGAACTTACTAGTCAAATAAGGGAAAAAATAATCACAGAAAATAAATAAGTAAAGAGCAGTACGAGATTGTGCGTGCGTGCGTGTGTGTGTGTGTGTGTGTGTAATATGTGTTATATATATAACACAGCCTGGGTACTATTAATTTATAATGCTATTAATAAGAATGTTATTTCTTGCCTCAGAAGGACTGACAGAAACCAAACAGCAGATCTTTCTTCATTAAGAAATGTTCGGTGGCAAAGTCCATACATTACCAGCATGGGTAGAAATTTTAGCAACAATAAATCATAGAGATTCTGCAGCACAGTCCCATGATTGAGTCACAGAGAGGTGAAGTGGGTTGCCTAATGTTGCAGAACTTAAAACTGGCACAAAAACCTCTGATATTGACAATAAGTTCTTGAAGTAATTAAAGAAAGTACCTTGGTCAATATAAAGCCAAGTCGGGAAGAGATGTCACTATTTCTCTTTCAATACATTGACCATTTTATGTTATAATGTCCAAAATCAATGGCGGTAGGTGGATCTGTATTCATGCTGTCAAAACAATCTTCAATAGAGCTTCAAAATGAGCTCTCTGGTTTCATAACAATGATCAGCAAGAAAACACAAACCTGTTTTAAACCAGCCATGCCCCATTTTGCTGGTCAGAACATCCAGCCATCATGTAACAAGCCTCTAAAATGAACTGCCTGCCTCCGGCTGTTTACTCTTCATTTATTAGGTGAATTTATTGGGGAAATTCTCACATATCAGTATTTATAAATAAAAGCTGAAAAGAATTAAGTGGCTATTTTATTCAGTTTTCAAATGGTCAATCTTGATTTTGAGAAATACTATGCTATTGTTTAAAGTGAATACCATAGATGGAAACAGCCAGTTTTGGAAAGATAAAAATAACGGTAAAGCTGTGTTGTAAGAATGCCACCAAAATATTAAGAAAGTCGGCCGGGTGCGATGGCTCACGCCTGTAATCCCAGCACTTTGGGAGGCCGAGGCGGGCGGATCACGAGGTCAGGAGATCAAGACCATCCTGGCTAACACGGTGAAACCCCCGTCTCTACTAAAAATACAAAAAATTAGCTGGGCGTGGTGGCAGGCGCCTGTAGTCCCAGCTACTCGGGAGGCTGAGGCAGGAGAATGGCATGAATCCGGGAGGCAGAGTTTGCAGTGAGCCAAGATAGTGCCGCTGCAGTCCGGCCTGGGTGAAAGAGCGAGACTCCGTCTCAAAAAAAAAAAAAAGAAAAAAAAAAAGAAAGCCATTTTGCTTCACGTGCGTAGGGAAAACCAGAAGAAATAATATAAAAAACAAAGTAATATTCTAGTTAAGTAAATGAAAATTGCATTTTCTGTCACATATTGTTAATTATGTGGCAGTTAACATCCTCAAGCACATAAACGCACTTCAGAGTCACGCATGTTACCTCACTGAATATCTTCAGAAAAGACTCCTGTAAATTATTCACCTATTAAGAAGAATATTTGTCTCTTCAGAATGACCGACAGAAACCAAACAGATCTTCCTTCATTAAGAAATGTTCAGTGGCAAAGCCCATACAGTACCCACATGGGTTACAGTGGCCTGCAGAGATGTGACAGAGATGTGTGATAGAGATGAACAGAGGACAAACAAGTCTCAAAATTCTCAGAAAACTATGAGCAGATTAAAACTACCCAGCATGCTTTCCTAAAGGATAAATATTTCCAGGTAAGTGTGGTGGGAATTTTAAAAGATAATATAAATCTAGTAGAGTGCATCCAAATGTGTTTGACATTTGTACCACACAGAATCATCCCATATATAGTAACCTAGTGGAGATGGGGGTGTGGGGAAGGAAGTCTAGTAATAAGTAACAAAGTATCTTATTGAAAAGAATTTTTATTCTTTTAATTCAGCCAAGTGCTTGGTTTCTAACTGGTAGTTAGTATATATTTGTTGTAAAAGTAAGAAAGAATAGAAAAAAATTTGCTTTCCAGACACAGAATAGGAATTAATGAGATAATCAAGGGAAGACTATAATGAATTTAAGAATAAGAAAGAATTGTTCTATTGAAACATAAAACCAAAGTGAAATTGGAATGGGGAAGGGTTGGAAACAGGAGTATTTACACAAATTTAGAATTATATAAGCATTCAGATGGACAAAATTAAGCTGTACGTTTGTAGGGCACGGTGAGAGTGGGGGGCTGAATTATTTTATGACTTTCATTTGAGAACTTCCTTTTTTAAATTATACAAAGAAAATTATATAACTGTTAAGTTCAACAAGACTCACAAAGCTTTAGCCACATGTCAATTAAATTGCACAGGGAATTGTGTAAGGAACCCAGCCAGAAATAAAAAGGTATGTAAGCAACTTTCATCAAGCTTTTTTTTTCCAAAACAGAATTTTTTAAATAAAGAAATGAAATAAGTTATAGTGATTCTCATCTTTTATGTTTTTGTCAGCTTACCTTGAACCTTATACCCAGATAATTAATTATGTAGGGCCCTCATTAGTTCAGTAAAATACTATAGCTATGAGTTTTTGTCTGCCCATCATAACGAAGATAAACCTGCCTTCCTATAACTGAGATAAACCTACCTTCTTTTTGTTTTTTTAGGAACTGTTTCAAATCCATATACATAACAGTGCTTTCTACTCACCCGGCCAATGTGGAGGTGCCTGACATTGCACTGGCCTATCAACATAGCCTATTCCTCTGTCCAGGAAGAGATGCATAGCCTAATCTAGGTCTATAAAAGCAGAATTTTTTAAAGAATTACTCTGATACAAAAGACACTCAATCCATATTGGTTAAATCAATATTTAATGAATGAATGAACAAGCTAGTGGGAATAAGTTAGGACTACTTCTTTCCTTGAGGTAGATATAACCCTGGCTCCAGTTTTCATTAACTTACTAAAAGAAGCTCATCATCTGCAGATGATAACAATGCCAAAATGCTTAAAAGAGAGAGAGAGACAAGCATAAGTAAGAGATGAAGAAATAGAGATATAACTTCATGAAATTTTCCTGGAATTTCTGGTTTGGGGAACTAATAAATTTCTGTTTTCCTGAAGTTAACTTGAGTTTCCACCACTTGTTCAAGGAAGGTCATGACAAATAAAATAATCATTAGTAGTGCTTTAACACACCCCAGAATACCTAGTGGAAACAAGGGGTGATTAATCGTCAATTATTATATGTTTACATGAAAGTACATCATTATAGATATGAATAAAATTCAACACTGCTGTTGGAATAAGCAGAAAATCTTGTTCAGAGTGCACTTTCAATTCATAGTTGCTTCCACGTTAAGCCTAAGAACATTACTTTAGGAACAAGGAGATAGTAGTAAGTTCATATATGCTGCATATCCTGAATAGTATAGAAGACTCTAAATAGCTGGATGTTTACTATTTCATTTTCATGATTTAAGACTTTCATACAGTGTTAGAAATTTAAAATTTATTTGTAACTTGCTCTTGCATTTCCTTTTTTCTTATCGCTTTGGATGCCTACTTTAAATTTATCATCAGCTAATGAGTTTCATCTTGTGGATATGAAGTTTTGGAATCATAAACTTAGATTTCTACAAAGCCACAAAAGATATTTTACTTTATACTGAGCTAAAAACTGTCTTAAGCAGTAATTCTGGTGAAATTAATTCCCCTTTCAGCCTGTGGGAACCAACTGAAGGAAATCAAGATATTTCATTCCAAAATACACTTCTTTGATATATTTTGAGATGGCCCTTCAGAGGGCCTGCAAACAGAAGTAGCCCTGCAAAGCTGTCTTTTGTAGGGGAGATTTTTATCTGCAGAGAATCTGTACTGATGCAACCAGGTTTTCTCTGAGGTTCTACCTCATCTGTCTGGATCTAGGAAAGATTAACTGAGAGTCTGACACTTTTAAATGTCTGAAAGAAACATTTATCTATTCTTTCTGGGGGACTGCTACCCACTTTTGCTTACAAGCCTCCTCTTCTCGCCTATAACCTGCTTTGCCACCGCAACCCAATTTAGCAGCATAACCCATTTGACCATGCTTGGAGTCCTCATTCTTTCTGTAACCTAAAGATGGTATCCAAGATTCTGAACCTCATTGGGGTGTTGGGGTAATCACTCTGTTGTTCTCCCTCATGTACACATTAGTAAATTTGTATGCCTTTTCTCTTATTAATCTGCCTTTTGTCAGTTGATTTTTTTAGTGACCATTGAGAGGGCAAAGAGGAAGTCTTCCCTTGGCCCCTACCCAAGCCACAACCATCATCTCTGCCTCAAAATGTGGAAGATGAATGAGAAGAGAGCATCTCAATTACAATTCGACATCCATTCAATAAATATATGTGGTGTACTTACCATTATAGAAGTATTGTTCTAGGTACTAGAGATAAAACCTTGAAGAAGTAGAATGGATCCTGACATTATGACCCTGATATTCTAGAGAGAGACAGAGATTATAAAGTAAATAAGTGAGATAATTTCAAATAGAAATAAAAAATATGCATAAAATTTAAAAGGTACTATATTAAAGAATGACCAGGTTAAAGAAAGCCACTCTGGGGAGATGATGTTTTAATTGAGACTTGAATGAAAATCACCAGGTATATGAAAACCTGGGAGACAAGCATTTGTCAACCTAAAATAATCAAAAGGATCAGAATCTAGCTTAAAGAGAGTTGATTCAAACACAAAGTCTGAGGACAAGCTACCTGGGAATCATGGATTCCAAAAAGTAAAAGTCAGTGTCTTGAAGTGTAGAAGTTTGGGATCATGTATATAAACAAAGTTTAGGAGAGGTGAAGAGAATTTCAACATTTATGTAAGGCCAAATGCGTACTTACAGTGATATGATTAGTCTAGGTGGTATTTTTCTTTTTGGAAAGGTATATTTAACATTCCACACTGAAGATGTAACAGTAACAGGGTCTTGGTTGCCATCTGATCTGAGTTAAGTATAGGACAATACAGGAGACAGGAGGCAGTTAATCTACAACAAAGGTCAATGACTAAAGCTAGAGCGGTCTAGTCACTGGTCTCTCCTTCTCATTTCCAGAACAGGAACAATGAGGGAGAAAGCTCATCTATAATCTAAGATGCAAAATTGCAGCCAGGCGCGGTGGTTCACGCCTGTAATCCCAGCAATTGGGAGGCCAAGGAGGGCAGATCACCTGAGGTCAGGAGTTTGAGACCAGCCTGACCAACATGGAGAAACCCCATCTCTACTAAAAATACAAAATTAGCCTGGCATGGTGGCTCGTGCCTGTAATCCCAGCTACTTGGGAGGCTGAGGCAGGAGAATCTCTTGAACCCGGGAGGCGGAGGTTGCGGTGAGCTGAGATCGCGTTGTTGCACTCCAGCCTGGGCAGCAAGAGCGAAACTCCGTCTAAAAAAAAAAAAAAAAAGATGCAGAATTGCAAACCTGTTACATGACTCAGTCTCCAGGATTTAACTTTTTCCTTGGCATGATAAATTTAGAAGGTCTTGAAATGTTATTTTATTTTACATACTCTAAGCAGAGGCAGCTGGATCTGCAAATGCTCTAAAGATGCAGTGTGTTTGAAATGCATGAAAAGCAGATGGATACCTAATGTGGCTGGAATGTGGGCAACAAGAAGTGTGGTAGACCATGAGATCAGAGAAGCTCTGTGATGCTGGTAAGTTTGGAAAGTATTGAGGAGTTTCAGGCAGGGAATGACATGATCTGATTTTTCCATTCACAAAGGTCCCTCTGGCTCTGGTGGGAGACTAGTCTGTAGGGCTGAAGGTTAGAATTTGGGACATCAGTAGGAAGCTATTGTAAAACCCCAGGGGAGAGACAAAGGTAGCTTGGACTAAGAGGTTAAAATGGAGAGCAGTGGAATACTTCAGAAACTATATTTGGAAGTAGAGGCTGTAGGATTTCTATGAGGCAGGCAAAGGAAGAAGAGGAAATCAACAAATCCCGTAACTGCTGCTGATAATGAACTTTAAGAATTTGCCAGGATGGTTTTATTGACTCTAGCTAACATGGTGTTCTTATCAAATCTCCAAGTTAAACTAATTTGTTAAATTTACTCTCATTTTCAGGACATGTAGTGTCATAAAGAAGAAATGACTAAGCCAATTAATATGATTAAGACTATAATTTATGACATGATCTACTTTCCATTGCAGGGGAAATAATGACTTTAAAAGAGGTATATTATTAGGGAGAAGATGATGACAGGCGTTTGAGAGTTTTCATTCTTAAAGTTGACAATCTTATACAACCTTATACATAAACCACCTTACAACTGCCTTTAGAACTTCTCTATCACTATTACTATCTTTAGTTATTACCTCTCATTTTTGTGTATGTCTTTATATCTTATTAAATAGTAAACTTACTTATGCTTTTTATATCTTCCCCATCATTTAACACATTTTTCTTTCTCACAATAATGGCTCAACAAACATTTTCAGTGTGCAAATCAATTCCTCTTGGAGAAATAGTTCCATCATCTTCCCCTTTTCATAGTTTACTCATTCTACCGGTACAATTCAGCTACATCTCCTCTGAAAGCCTCTGATGCCTCCTCATTCTTTCCAGAGTATTTCATTGTCACCTCTTTCACTGAACTGCTCTTTACTCTCCTGTTAACATTGCATTTGCTGGGCCATATCGACAGGGAAATCAGTCCCTCCATCATTAATAGAACTTTATGTCTCATATTCCAAAACTTAAAATTTCACCTAACAAAAGGAAACTTAATAATTTACTCCTCTGGACAAATACTGAAATCCCTTTTTAGATCTTGAATTCTTCATTCTCCTGAACAAATTCAATAAACTCTTTAAAAGATCCTTAATGTTTTACTAGATGATAATTGTGGCCAGTATGCTGTTTCAAATACTGT
This sequence comes from Homo sapiens, assembly GCF_000001405.40. Taxonomy (NCBI): domain Eukaryota; kingdom Metazoa; phylum Chordata; class Mammalia; order Primates; family Hominidae; genus Homo; species Homo sapiens. Next base: position 101,569,741 of record NC_000001.11, on the reverse strand, counting down.
ATTTCAAATTCAAAATTTCAATGGTATTCCTTTCAAATAAACTAAAACTCACCAAAAAATAATAGTATCCACTTTCCCCTTGCAATTGACCACTCACCAGATCTCATCTCCTTGACTTAAGTGCATAGGCACCTCCTTTACTGCAAATCACAAAACAAATCTTGAAGAGGGTCTTTCGTACTCAAGTGTAAAAGAAAATCTTTAATTTTCATGTGTTTAAGAAAGAGCAGGTAGTTTCCCCAGTGCCTGGCTGGTGTGTACTCTCCTTCCTTCTTACAATGAACTTCTATCAAGAGCAAAATCTTTTTTTTAGATTTTGAAGCTGTGCTTCTTTTTTATGCAATATCTTATCCACTAAACCATAAACTAATACTCATCATAATGTCTGTAACAAATTTTTTAAATACATTACAGTATATATTAAGAAATCAATGAGTAAATAAATTAATAACTGCTTTGCTGGCTATTACATTGAGGGCAATCTCATCTGAGCCAAATTTTTTAAAATTTTAAATTCAGTCAGATTTGCATTAGAAAGCCTCCTTTGTGCAAACACTCCAGGGTAACTGTGCAAAGTTGCTTTGAAAGTAAATGTCATCAAATATTAATAAGATAAGCCAAGGGAAATAAGGTTGTAGTTTATCCTGGATTAAAAAGGGCATTTTTCCCCCTGAAGTATGAACACATATAGGAATTGAAAACTCTGACCCAGACACCAGACAGAGGTGTGTGGGTGGCCAAGCTAACTAAGAAAAGCAGATTGAGTGTGGCATATTGGTAAGATTAAATGGATATAAAAACCTCCGAAATGGGGAACAAAGACCTTAAAAAATGCTGCTATTTTTCCATTTAAATCTTCTCCCAGGATATACAACTGTCCAAAAAATCTAAGAGCAAAATAAATGTTGAGGTATATTCTAATAATCTATCATGCTGTGCCTACCATAATTAAAACAGTCCAGGATCTCTACTCTGGGGTCTAGAAAGGCCTCATGTATTTTGACCTAAGAAAAAATAGAAACGATGCTCTGGCTTGATAGAGCTCTCACTGAGAATGGAAGAAAGGGGATTCTATAAATATAAATATAAAGCTCACACTTTCTATTCTATAAATATAAATATAAAATATAAATATAAAGCTCACACTCAAAAGACAGTTTCCATTGTGAAAAATATTTTATTAGATCGGAAATAAAATACTAAAAAAGGAGCCAATTGGTCATTAAACAAAGTTAGGCATCCTGGATCTTCCCCCACATCATGATCCTGCTAAGCACAAGAGACCCATCATCAGCCCTAGAACTTATCTTATACATAAGTGATGCGTGGTAGTAATAAGGGCATTGGATTAAGAGTCAGAAGAGCTGGATTTTAATTCTAACTCTGCAACAAATTGGCCAGTTGACCTAAGCCAAATTATTCACTTCTCTGGGCCTCAGTTTACTCATCTGAAATAAAAATACCACTAATATCAATCTCACATGGCTATATAAATATATGTGTGGTATAAACAGAATAAACTATAACTTTGACAGTATGTTGGGATAGGCCCTCTACCATCCCAACCTCTTCCCCACGTGCTTAAAGTTTGATATTATGAAAATAAAGAAGCCTTGCATGTATAATTAGCTATAAACTTTTAAGTCATTAACTAGTAAGAAATAATATGGTGTAACTAACTGGCATCACATTTTCCCTGATGTTGTCTACTATAGCCTCTCCTCTGCGAGAGAGCCTAGATAAAGAATGTATGGACTGGACCCACCCTGAAGGAAAGAAAATTGTACACTAGACCAAAAAGAAAATATTCAAATATATTCAAATCAATCTGAAAAAAAAATGTCAAAAATCAAGCTGGGATGTAAAGCTGCCTCTAAAATTGTTCCTCCAACCTGGTACCACTTAGGTTAATTGTGCCATATCGAACATTAGTGAACCCAGTGGTGCCACTGGCACGTCCTGGCCACTAGGGGGAGGTGGCAAGCCCTACTCTGTTTTAAAAAAAAAAAATCAAGAGTCTTGTATCAAAGCCAAAGAGGTACTTATTGAAGGGAAAGAATTATTTTGATTTTCTGGAGCCATAGGAACTCCTGCCATCAAATTATTTCTCTGGGATACAGAAGAACAAGCATAGCAGTTTTATTCCTTGGAAAGAAAGATGAAACAAAATACAAACTCGAGAATTAAAAATTTGATATTTTGTGCATAACTGCCTTTAAACTTCCATTTGCAAATCAATGGATTAAAATTGCCAGAGAGAGCACCCCAATGTGCTATCTTCAGATAATTGACACATTTATTTATTTTTAAATTTGATATGCTGTAACTATTTATTGCCCTGTGTGTCAGAGGTGGGCCAGAGAACTGAATATGCCCGTGCCCTTATGTCTAGTAGTAGGGCCAGACCAATTACAGCATATGTAATAGACAAACTGACACTGCTATACTGCTTGCTTTTCTTTCTTTATGAATAAATATATGTGTATGTGTGTCTGTCATGTATCATGTATATATGTGTGTCTATGTATGTATCATATGTATGTATCATGTATATGTGTGTGTGTGTCATGTAGTCTTTTGTGTGTGTGTCTATATATACACAGTACCACCTTGAGAACTAGAATACACTGTATGCTTTAAACTGTCTGTTGGCTCCTTCCCAAACCCAATTACCTGTTTCCACCCATATTGAGTCACTACTGTGTACACTGTGTTTATCATTTTATTGCTTTTTATAAGATAGCTTTCATCACACATATGTATGCTTAACAATATATATTTTAGATTTTTTGCTCAGGAGTTTATTAAAATTACATCATTCTGTATATATTTTTAAGGTTTGTTTTTTCTTTCAACAATATGTTTCTAAGCTTCATCCATTTTCCAGATAAGTGTCATGTATTCTTTCTCACTGTTAAATAGTATTTCATGGTGGATTATACCACAGTGTATTTAATTATTATTTCCATTTCTGCTGTTATAATTGATTAATATTATTGCTACAAGCATTCTTGCTTATATCCCTTAGAATGCAGAAGCAAGAGTGTCCCAAGGGCATATACCCAGTAGAATTGCTGGATCATAGGTCGTATTCATCTTCAACTTTTAAGAAAATACTAAATTGTTTCCCAAAGTTGTGGTTCCACTTTATGCCATTACTCGTAAAGTATGAGAGTTCTCCTTACTCCACATCCTTTACCAGGATCAGCATTGTCAGACTCCTTTATTTTGTTTTGTCAGTTAAATGGTTGTAAATAGTTCCCTGTTGAAGTCATAATTTGCATAAAGAGGTTGAACTTCTTTTCAAACGTTAATCATGTTTATTTCTTCCATGAAATAACTGTGCACATCCTTTGTTCAGTTTTCAATTGAATTGTTCTTTATTTTCTTTGCAGATTTCTTTTAGATTCTAATCTTTAGTTTGTCTTAGGTGTTGAAAATATCTTCTCTGAGATTTTGGTTTGTCCTTTTCGCCTTTGTTTTGGTTTCTTTTTATGTTAGAGGATCTTTTAATATAATAATGCTATCAACCATTTCTTGTAAGATTATTGCTATTTGTATCATATTTAAAATAGTCTCCTATTTTTATTCTAATATTTTTCTAAGTTTGCCTTTCACATTAATGCCTTTTATCAATTTAGAATTCATTTTCAGGTAGAAAGTAAGGTAGGGATTAAAGTTTTCTCATATGTTAACCAGTTGTCCCAGCATCATTTCTAATGATCTACATTGCCCTTCTCTCTACTTTTTTGTTACAATTTTAACTATTTCATCTTGATATGTAAAAATGCAATTGCATTATTGAAGTGGATTTTATGTATAGCCACCTAAACTCTCTTGTTAATCCTAATATATTATCTGTGGATATTTTGGGGGTTTCTATGTAGATAAGCCTATCATCTCTGTAATTAATTTTGTGTATTCTTTTCTCTGGTAGGCTGAATAACAGCCTCTCAAAGATACCAAAATGCACATTCCTAGAACCTGTTAATTTGTTACCTTACATAATGAAAGGGATTTTGCAGATATGGTTTAGTTAAAAATCTTGAGAAGAAAAGAGCATCCTGAATTATCCAGATGGACCCAAAGTAATCACAAGTATCTTTATAAGAGGGAAGCAGAAAGAGATTTGATTACAATAGTAGGAGATGAGATGAAAAAAGCAAGAGACTGTAGTGATTCAAGAAAGAGGGCATGAGCTAAGGAATACTGAGAATGTTTAGAATCTGAAGAAGCCAAAGATTCTTCCCTCAAAACCTCCAAAAAAACCAGCTCTGCTGACATCTTAGCTTTACTCTAATGAGATTAATTTTGAACTTCAAACCTCCAGAACTATAAGCTAATAAAATTTTGTTTTTAGCTACTAATTTTGTATTACTAATACACTTTCTAATCAGTTTCATTTGTTTTTCTTGCCTTATTGCTTTGGCCAGAAGTCCTAGCAAAATGTGTCAGCAAGTATTTTTGTTTCGTTCTAATTACATGCTTTTCCAACAGATTCTCAAATATGATGAGAAGGAAATTCCATAATACTCTAGACATTTTCCATTTTATTCAAATTATTTTCTAAAGTTTATAATTAAGACTGGAAAGTATACTGTAAAATATTCTAGGCGCACTACCTTAAATGGTAGCCACCTAATTGTCATGCCTATAAAAACGATCACTGCCATAAGCATCAGGTTCACATACATTCTTTATTTGTGATTGACTGGTATCTCTTCCATCTCTGGAAAGGACTGAGGTATCAAAATTGTTAGAATAGGAAGATTAAAAATTATAGCAAAATAGCATAATATTTTAGGAGGAGAGAAAACAGACATTCCAGGTACCTGCAATGAGTAGTGAGCACAATAAGAGTTCTTAAAACTGTCAGTTTGCAGGACTTAATTTACAAGGTAAAGCCTGACTTACCCATTACTCAAATATCAGAGTGACTTTGTAAATATATAAATAGCCATCACTGCTAACAGCAATATGATATCATGAAGACTAGGGAGTCTCAACTGTCAATCGATACCATGGTTGGTGAAATTTGGGGATGTTTCATCAAAATGCACTCTTTATTTAATGGTTTATAGTGTAATAACTTTTAGTATTTACAACTGATTATTTATCTAACAGAGTGCTTAAATTAATTTTAAATATAGTTTAACAAAAGTAGGCAGATAAAAGCTATAGACCATTTTTGTGCAAGTTGACATCATAATTCTTATCATTCTCCTGAGGGAAAAATTATATATTATTTTCTCCATTTAATCAATTGATTCAGTCCAGCAAGAACTGACCAATCAATGGATCGTAAACTCAATTCTGTAAAATTTATTGGAGAAAGCAATAAAAAAACTTTAAAGGTGCTCTTGTATAGCCTAATTCCTCAGTGAGGACTAAAATAATTATAAAGCTATAAATTCATGAGCTCTAATAATCTCTTTAAAAGATTTTTCTGTGCTCCCTCACATTTGGATAGATTTTTTTGAAAACAGTTTCAGATTCCTTGAAATCTTTGCTGTCTTTTCTAGTCTAGTTTTGTGCCACAAAAATTGCCTTCTTTGGCTTTCATAACAGTTTTGTTCATACTCATTTTGGAGACATACACACAAGGTAAGCAATAATATTTCTTGCACCAGGTGGAGAAGTCTGCTTGCCATGGTTTTCAATCCAGGACTTGCTTTCCTCATAAATTGTACCTTTTCTCTTCTGATTTATTCCTGAAGAGACAGCTCATTCCACTGGACTTTTTTCTACAAAGGAAAACATCAATACAAATAAAATTTATTTTCCTCAGCAAGTAATTTTATGGATTGATCATGTGCTGCTTTAACCTTCTCGCTACAGCTATCCTTCCCTCATATGGACTTGCATCCCTGATACATAAAATAAAAATAGAGGAAAGGACATATAAAGATTTCACCTTGAAATGTACCACCTACCCATTTCTCAGGATTAAATGTAGAGCTTTCAGTGGGAGGAGTGAAAAGATGTTTCAATAAACCTGACAAAAATTAAAGAAAACACTCTCCCAATTCAAACATCCTCCTAGGATTTATTGCTTTAATCTGCCTTTGCAGCCCAAGATCTGGTGCTCTAAATAAATTGAAAAATAGGAGACAAAAGTTTTACAGTTTAGTCTGAGCTCTGATGTAAGTCTTAGGAAAGGGTAATAATATCTAACATCAGTTGAAAATCTACTATAAACCAGACTTTTGAACATTTGATGTACTTTACATATCCTAATTTATGTGGTCCTCATAAAAACTCTGTGAGTTAGTCACCTATGAAAAAACAGTTGAGGCATACAGAGATTAAGTAAAATGCCCAAAGCCATAACCTATAATCCCTCGTTAAAAAGTTCTTCGCATTTTATGTTATCCAACCTGCTCACCAGAACAGGAAACTAGATAGAGATTTAATGTATAACCCTAGGTAGAAGTTAACTATTACACTAATTCCCCTAAATTCTGGTGGTGGTAAAGAGTCTGAAGGAAGCCCAAATCCAGCAGAGGAGAGAACACTACTACCATGTGAAGTGTAGTATACTGGAATCTAAGGAAAAAGGACAGGTATAATACCTGGTTCCTGTCCTCCAAAGTTTTATACTCTAAGGATAAGCTTAGATATTCACATAAAGCAATTAATTAGTAATTCAATCCAGCACCAATTTATTCTATTCAATACCATAGACATTTGCTGAGAGATTACTCTATTTTACAAATTAACTAAAGATGCCAAAATCAAGGTCTTTTTTCAAGAAGAAAAATGAGAAAAGCATGAGATCTGTTTGAAAGAAATCAAGGTTTATGGGGAAATAACCTGTCAACTACCAATCAAAATTTCAATGTAGTCAATGCACTCAGGAACTAGGTACCCAAGAGGAAGACGTGACTCACATTTCCTAGAAGACTAAAGAATGCTTGCCAAGAAAGGTAATTCTTAAGCTAAATCTTAAGGAATAAGTCTATAGTAATCCCATGAATTGAATATTTCTCACTTGAAAATATAAATTTTCATTCCTAAATAAAACTGAATTGTATTTGACATTTCCTTGATACATTGTAGCTCTGCAAGCCTGAGAGTATTGTCCATTTGTGGACACAATTAACTTCATATGTTGCAAATCAGTCTAACTTGGGGCATGACATTTGGAAAATTAATTTAGTGAAAGTGCATTGCCAGGGCAATGAATAAATGAACTTCAAATCAGTACCCCTATGCTGGCTAATTCAAAAGCTAATCAGTGACTAGATAAATACATAATTCTTCCATTTTATCCATTACAATGCCTTATTTTTCACACATTTCAGGAATCTAAGGATTTGGATATATATTATGGGTTATTGTCATTATAATTTTTAAATAAGGTCAAAATCCAACATTTTGACATATTCACCATTAGTTTACTACTTCAGGTACGTTCATTCTTTGAATACATCCATATTGAGAACCCACTCAGTGCCAAACTCTGTTCAGGGATTGAAGGATACAGATGTTAACAAGGAAAGCAAGATTCTAATTTTGAGGAAAACTACACTCTAATAGAGAAAAAAACGACAATAAATATGTAGGAATTGAATAAATAAGCTAATTTTAGATGATATTAATAATAAGTGCTATGAAGAAAGTAAATTTAAAGGGTAGTAGGTTAGAGAATGAATTGAGGCTGTAGAAAAAAGCTACTTTAGCTAGGATGACCTAAAAATCCCTCTCTGATGATATGACATTTTAATCTAAGACTAGAATGATCAAAAAGTACCAGCCATAAACGATCTAGTAAAGAGAATTCCAGGAAGTAAGAACAACAAGTGCAAAGGGTCTAAGAAAGAAACAATCTAGGGATGCTTGAGGGACAGAAGGAAAACCAGAGTGGCTGGAGAATAATCAAAAGAAATGAAGATGACCAGAGGTGAGGCCCCGGAAAAAGACTGTAGACAGATCATATAGGGTTTTAGAAAGCAAGGTAAGAAGTTTGGATTTATTTCCAATTGCCATGGAAAGTCATTGGAAGAGGAAAAGCAACATAATAATGTGATTAGATTTATACTTTGAAAAAAATTGTTCTTGCTACTGTGTAGCAAATTGACCACAGGGGAAAAAAAAAAGGAATGAAAGTTGGAAAATCAATTAAGAGGCAAGTGCAGTTGTGCAAACATGAGATGATGGGTCAGACTAAAGTTGTAGAAGACAGTAAGATGCAGTCACATTTGTCATGCACTTTGGAATTAATACTAGCAACACACTTGTGCATTGGGGTTTTGGTTTGTCAGGGGATGAGGGGATGATAAAGATTAGGACCAGAAAAAAACTGAAAAAGAATTGGAAGGTAGAAAAATAGTTACCTTTGCCATGATAAGTTTGTGATGACAATAGCACAATGTTGATATCTGAGTGAGTGTGCCAAATAAACTTCTATAAGTATAATTCTGGAATTCAGAGGAAGGATATAAAAAATGGGATTTATATTTGGGAGTTAACATCATATACAGAATATTTAAATCCATGGAATTGAATAATATAAAATTAAAAGTACACAGAAAGAGCTGGGCAAGGTGGCTCACACCTGTAATCCCTGCACTTTGGGAGGCCAAGGTGGGAGGATCACCTGAGGTCAGGAGTTTGAGATCAACCCGGCCAACATGGTGAAACCTTGTCTCTACTAAAAATAAAAAATTAGCCAGACGTGGTGGTGGGTGCCTGTAATCCCAGCTACTCGGGTGGCTGAGGCAGGAGAATTGCTTGAACCAGGGAGGTGGAGGTTGCACTGAGCAGAGATTGTGCCACTGCACTCCAGCCTGGGCAACAGGAACAAAACTGTGTCTCAAAGGAAAAAAAAAAGGACACAGAAAGGAAAATGGGAAACTCAGACTGTGGTGGACTCCAACACTTTAGAATCTGGCAAAGGAACAAGAGATTGAGAAAGAACATCGGTGAGATAGGAGGAAATCAAGCAAATGTGACATCTTAAAGGCCTAGAGAATAATTTCAAAAAGGATCCATTTGTCAGTGATTGCTGTGAGGTCAAGAAAAATAAGGATAAATCATTGACTCTTGGATGTGGTAAATTAGACGGCCCTGGTGACCCTACCAAGGATATTTCAGATGCTCAGTAGCAGTGAAAGCCCTATTAGCAGAATGTGTTAGCTAGCTATTGCCATGTAACAAGCCACCACAAAAGTGAGTAAATTAAAATAATGACTATAATTTCTATGGGTTAATTAAGTGGCTCTGCTAATCTGAGCCAAGCTCACCTGGTCTCATCTGGGCTACCTCATATACCTACAATCAATGAGCGAGGTAGTCTAGGGGTCAGCTGCTTTAGAATGGTCTTGGCTGTAAAAATGTCTGTTTTGCAAGGTCTCTCAACCTCCCAAAGGACAGCCCTGGTTAGTTTTCAGAATGGTGTCAGATTTCCAAGAAAGAAGGCAGAAGAGCACAAGGTCTCCTAAATTCTTGGCTGAAAATTGGCATACCATCACTCCCCACATCCTACTGGCAAAAGTAAGTCCAAGTCTGTATTAGCCTGGTTTTGCATTGCTATAAAGGAATACCTGAAATTGGGTAATTTATAAAGAAAAGAGGTTTATTTTCGCCCACAGTTCTGCAGGCTGTGCAGGAAGAAAGCTTCCACCATCTGCTTCTGGTGAGGGCCTCGGGAAGCTTGTAATCATGGTGGAAGGTGAAGGGAGAACCAGTGTATCACATGGTAAGAGAGGGAGCAAGGCAGAAAATGTACCACACTCTTTTAAACAACGAGATCTCAAAGCAAGAACTCACTCATTACCTGCAAGCCATTTATGTGGAATCCACCCCCATGAACGAAATACCTCCCACTAGGTCATACCTCCACCACTGGGGATCATATATCCACCTGAGATTTTGAGGGAACACATATCCAAACCATATCAAAGTCCATTCCAGAATCAGAGTGGGTGGAGACTACAAAGTTAAAGACCAAAGTTCATGAATACAGGGAGGTTATTAATTAGAGCCCACAATGCAATTAAGTTGCCATAAGTTGGCCAGACAACTGAGAAGAGACTAGGAGGGGTGCATAGAGAGGGTCACAAATATTTTGAAGACTTTTTCTGTAAAAGATAACAGATAGATGGCTCCAAAAGTGAGAGATGCAGTGGAGTCAAGGGTTCTATTCTGTTTGTCTACTAGATTTTTGTTTTTAAGATAAGATATGAAACAGTATGTTCACAGCCTGATTGAAATGATTCAGGAGAAAGAATTCAAGAGATAAAAGGATACCCACGGGAACAAAGTCAATGAGTAGATAGGCTAAAATGAGAGGGGTTGTCCTTACATAGAGCAGGACATGGCTTTAAGAGTATCAGAGGGGGAGAAAAAGAGTAAAACATGTGCTAACTTGGTCTCCTTCATGTTGAATTAGATGTTAAATTCAGAATTCTTAAGGATTAAGAAAACCCTACCAGCTCAGGGAAGTCTTGTTTAAAAAAAAAAAAAAGAGCACCGCTTACAAATCAAAATTACAGAGGAGTGTTGTTCATACCATGGGAGTTTACTTCTGCTATGAATTAAAGCTGTTAAGAGACAAAGACAAAAATTAGTTCAGAAGAATCGCCTGGGATCAGTGTCTTGATTCTAGAAATCAAAATATTTCACAATGACTTGAAAATCTGTGGATAGGAATCCAGTGAGGTAAATTGTGTTTTTAAAGAAGTCACTCATCAATGTTAAATGCTGATTTGAATCCATTGTACAAATTTGCATTATTACCATACTCCTAGAATGCTAAATTTTGAGTATGCAATATTGAACATCTTTTATTTCATTAATCACTTGAGGAATTGAAATGCCATTCAGTTGGAGATTACTTAAATTTACAAACCACTACATATATAAGAAATTCATCAACTCACTATAGAGAGCTGTTGAACAAATTGTGCATGACTTGGGTCAAATATCTTTGAGTGCCTAATACCATCTAGGCAAATTAGTACAAATGGAGGTGGTTGGGGGAGAAAAACTTTACAAAATTAAACCTTTAAAGCCTGAGTTCATTAAGCAGTTTTTACAAAATTTTAGACATTAAATTGCAGATTGAGAAGGAGCTTTGTATGGCTGCAATGAATTTGACATGAATAGTGACTGTTTCAAAATCAGAGGCTTTCATTCAAAATCAGGTTATAATTTCACTGAGAATTCAAACTGACTAAGTATCTAAAACTGAATTTTTTAAGTCATTGTTAAGCCTTTCTTTTCACATGAGTTGAAGCCAATACAAGATAACTTCTAGGTCAAGAATAGAAGCACCCTAATTTCAAAAGCTTCCCTGTAAAATCTTCCCTACTTATGACTTCCTCCTAGGTCAATTGCCTCAAGCTGTCCATGGAGATCTTAACAGGGTTTAGGAGCAACTAAACACAAGTGGGGTTCTTTAAGGAGTTCCTGATTTCTATTTGCTGTTAAAGAAAACATTCCAAAATCAAAATTGTTTCAATACTCTTCATCTGGCTCTAGGAATGTCTAACTATACCACAGCCATCACACAGAGAGAGGGATGAGCAGATAGTAGGAGATACAGTGAGGAAGAATCACCACAAATAGACCAATTGACCAACAGGAACACATAGTGCAAGAAAAGAAAGAGCCAGCTGAACAGACCAGAGGCAGGTAAGAAACAAGGCGAGTTTAATTTACTAGTGTTAACATTTATTGAGCACCTACATGAAACAGACATGGTTCAGAAATAGAGATGGGAAAGGGGTACATAGCAAGGAAGACATATAACCATGAAATATTAATGTAACACAACGGTAAGGCCATAGACAGGATTTCAAGGGTGCCCAGAAGAGGGATACATGACCAAGTCTGGGACACCAGAGTGGATATGCTGGGAGATATGCTGCCTGAGCTGTATCTTAAGGGTATGGATAGGAATTAGTGAGCTAAAATAGAAAATCTTGAGGCAAGGCAAAACAAAGTTCTAAGGGCATGAAACATCATAATGTCTACCAGAAAAGTACAAGCAGTGAGTCTAGAGTGGTTAACAGACTAGGTCATGGAGAACATTGCTTGCTAAATCTGAACTTTATTCAGTAGTTAATGATCTCCTTTTTTTTAAGATTTTTGAGTACAGGAGTGACATAATTTGAAGGTGTTGAGACTGGAGACCAAGAAATCAGTGAAATGCTGGACACGGTGGCTCACACCTGTAATCCCAGCCCTTTAGGAGGCTGAGATAGGAGACTGCATAAACCCAGGAGTTTTATACCAGCCTGGGAAACCCAGTCTCTACAAAAATGAATGAATGAATGAATAAATAAATAAATAAATAAATAAATTAAATATTAGCCTGGACTAGAGATGCACACCTGTGGTCCCAGCTAGTCTGTAGGCTGAGTTGGGAAAATTGCCTGGGCCTGGAGGTCAAGGCTGCAGTGAGCCATGATTGTGCCACTGCACTCCAGCCTGGAAGACAGAGCAAGACCCTGTCTCAAAACAAAAAAAAATACTAATCAGGGAAGAGTCCAGAATGTATATATAAAAAGGAAGGGGCCATATAGAAAAAATAAATGATAAAGTTGGTGGGATTTGGCAGATATATGGAAATGCAAGCAATTTTATTTTAAAAAAAAAGGGGGGTGGGGTAGAACAGGGACTTGATACTGCTAGACGTGTCATGATCAAGAAGCTAGACAGGGAAAGCAGCTTTCAACCTTAACCTCATCCCTGAAAATTGTGAAGTCCTTCTTCCATAAGAGAAGTCCATGTGGAGGTGATCCCAGAAGTCTGAAAATACAGTCTAAAGCAGATCCAGGGATACCTTGTTTTATTGTGCTTCACTTTGTTATGCTTTGCAGATACCATGTTTTTTTTTTTTATAAATTGGAGGTTTGTGACAACCCTGTATTGAGCAAGTCTATTGGCACCATTGTTTCAATGGCATGGCTATTTTCATGTCTCTATGTCACATTTTAGTAATTCCTACAATATTTCAAAATTTTTCATCATTATTATATCTGTTATGGTGATCTGTGATCAGTGATCTTTGATGGTACTATTGTAATTGTTTTAGGGCATCACAAACTGTGCCCATATAAGATGGAGAATTTACTCAATAAATTTGTGTGTTCTAATTGCTCCACCAACTGGCCCTTCCCTCATCTTCGTCTCCACAGACCTCCTTATCCCCGAGACAAACCAATACTGAAATTAGGCCAATTAATAACCCTACAATGGCCTCTAAGTGTTCAAGTGAAAGAAACAGTTGCACATCTCTCACTTTAAATCAAAAGCTAGAAACGATTAAGCTTAGTGAAGCAGGCATGTCAAAAGCAAAGATGGGCTGAAAACTAGGCCTCTTGCACCAAACAGCCAAATTGTGAATGCAAAGAAAAAGTTATTGAAGAAAAGTTAAAGTGCTACTCTATTGTGGGATCTGGCCAGCAGCCCGCAATGCAATGGGGCTCTTTCTTTTTTCCCAGGCAGATTGGCAGGTCGAGAAATAATAGACACACACAAGATAGTGAAAGCTGGGTTCAGGGGGTCACCACCTTCTGGTCCTGTGATGCCACCAAAGCACTGGGTATACCAGCATTTATTATTAAGTTTAGTGAGGGCGGGGATAGGTTAGTGAGGGATTTAGGGTCATTTGATTATGAGGTGAGATGGTCACAAGGGGATGAAGTAATTCTTTAACATAACATCTGTATGCAGAAGTACAGTATACAGAGATAAAAATTTACAATATAGCTTGTGTATCAGTAATTTCTAACAGAGCCTTAAAACAGAAATACAGTCATTCCATAACCTATGATTAGCAAGATATTAATCAGCAGTAACAGTTGCAGCAAAAGCTGGTTACAAACAATCCATAGAAACAGCATGTGAAGCTAGACAACCAGTTAGACCAGAAATTCTCAGAAGGGAGTATGCTTTAACCCTAAAGAGGGCTAGAAGAGCCATGGCAAGATGAGGGTTTTTATAGCCCTATCTTATCCATTTGAATAGGTGCCCCTCACGCATCTGTTTATAGGCTCTCCACAAGGGTGGCATTCCATTCCCAGAGCTATGAACATCTGCTTTCCTGGGATAGGAATCTTGGTGATGTGAATGTGCACGTCCATTCACAGGCTCTCTGCAGGAGGAAGCACATCACATGCTGTTGGCTCATTCTGGCAGTCCAACCTGGCATTGTCTTTACACAATCCTGCATGCAACTTTGTATTTACAATAATCAGGAGCATTTCATCTTTTATTCCATAGCAATAGTTTCAGGGGGTCTCCCTACACTACTCTAGTAACAAATGATAAGAAATGATAAGAAAGTGAAACAGGCTTATTGCTGATATAAAAAAAGTTTTAGTAATCTGGATAGATCAAACCAGCCATAACATTATCTTGAGTCAGGCCTAATCCAGAGCAAGGCCCTAACCCTTCAATTTTATGAAGTCTGAGAGAGGTGGGGAAACTGCAGAAGAAAAGTTTGAAACTAGCAGAGGTTGGCACATGAGGTTTAAGGAAAGAAACTATCTCTCTAATATTGAAGTACAAGGTGAAGGAGCAATCTTTGATGTGATGTATAGGCTGCAACATGGTTCTCCAAGAAGACCTAGGTAAGATAATTGATGAATATGGCTACACTAAACAACAGATTTTCAATACAGGCAAAACAGCCTTATATTTGAAGAAGATGCATCTAAGACCTTTATAGCTAGAGAGGAGATATTAATGCCTGACTTCAAAGCTTCAAAGGACAGGCTAACTCCCTTGTTAGAGACTCATGCAGCTGGTGACTTTAAATTAAAGCCAATACTCAGTTACCATTCCAAAAACCCTAGGAACATTAAGAGTTATGCTAAATCTACTCTGCCTGTGCTCTACAAATGGATCATTGAAGTCTGGATGACAGTACATCTATTTACAACATGGCTTACTGAATATTTCAAGCCACTGAGACTCACCACTCAGAAATAAAGGCTCCGTTTCAAAATATTACCGATCACTGATAATGCATGTGGTCACCCAAGAGCTCTGATGGAGATGTCCAAGGAAATTCATGTTGTTTCATGCACTAACACAACATCCATTTTGCAATTAGATCAAGGAGTAATTACTCTCAAGTCTGGTTATTTTAAATATACATTTCATAAGGCTATAGCCAATATAGATAGATTCTTCTTATGAATCTGGGCAATATAAATTGAAAACCTTCTGGAAATGATTCTCCATTCTAGATGCCATTAAGAAATCCATGATCCATGGGGGAAGTTAAAATATCAACATTAACAGGTGTTTAGAAGATGATGATTCTAACCCTCCTGCGTGACTTTGGGAGGTCCAAAGCATCAGTGGAGAAAGTAACTGAAGATGTGGTAGAAATAGCAAGAGGGCTAGAATTATAAGTGGAGTCTGAAGACGGTACTGGAGTGTTGACAATCTCATGATGAAACTTCAATGAATGAGGAGTGGCTTCTTATGGATGACCAAAGGAAGTGGTTTCTTGAGACGGAATCTACTCCTGGTGAAGATACTGTGAATATCGTTGAAAGGACAACAAAGAATTTAGAATATTTTTTATATATGTAATATATATGTATATATATAATATACATGTATATATATTTTATATGTATACATGTAATATACATGTATATAATATATATGTATATACAATATACATGTATATTTAATATATATGTATACATAATATACATGTATATTTAATATATATGTATCTATAATATACATGTATATATAATATATATGTATACATAATATACATGTATATATAATATATATGTATATATAATATACATGTGTATATATAATATACATGTGTATATATAATATACATGCATATATAATATACATGTGTATATATAATATACATGTATATATAATATACATGTGTATATATAATATACATGTATATATAATATACATGTATATATAATATACGTGTGTATATATAATATACGTGTATATATAATATACGTGTGTATATATAATATACGTGTATATATAATATACGTGTGTATATATAATATACGTGTATATATAATATACGTGTGTATATATAATATACGTGTATATATAATATACGTGTGTATATATAATATACGTGTATATATAATATACGTGTGTATATATAATATACGTGTATATATAATATACGTGTGTATATATAATATACGTGTATATATAATATACGTGTGTATATATAATATACGTGTATATATAATATACATGTATATATAATATATGTGTATATATAATATATATGTATATATAATATATGTGTATATATAATATCCATGTATATATAATATATGTGTATATATAATATACACAAATATACATAATATATATGGATATTATATATAAAAATATATATAATATGCATGTATATATAATATACATGTATATATAATATACACAAATATACATAATATACATGGATATTATATATAAAAATATATATAATATGCATGTATATATAATATACATGTATATATAATATACATGTATATATGTACATATATAATATACATGTATATATAATATATACGTATTATGTGTATTATATATTATATTATATATATTCTTATATTCTTGTATATATTATATCTATAATATATATACATATATACATGTATATCTATAATATATACGTATATACATGTATATATCTATAATATATACATGTATATACATGTATATATCTATAATATATACATGTATAAACATGTATATCTATAATATATACATACATATACATATATGTATATATTATAGATACATATATATTATCTTATTAATAATATATTATTAATATGTATTATATTATGTATTATATTATATATAATATTACATATTATATTATATGTATATTATATATAATATAATATATATGTATGTATATTAATATGTATATATTATATTAATAATAATAATATATTATTAATATGTATTATATTATATTATGTATCATATAATATATTATATTATATTATGTATCATATAATATATTATATTATATTATGTATTATATAATATATTATATTATATTATGTATTATATAATATATTATATTATATTATGTATTATATTATTAATATGTATATATTATATTATATATAGACATAATAATATGTATAAATAATATATAATATAATATATACATGTATATACATATACATGTATATATTATATATAATCATACTTTATATATGTATATACATATGCATGTATATATGCATATATAATATATGTATATACATATGCATGTATATATGCATATATAATATATGTATTACATATGCATGTATATATGCATATATAATACATATATTATATGCATTAATGCATATATAATGCATATTATTAATGCAATAATGCATATAATACATATATTATATATGCATATAGAATATATGTATATACGTGTATATATATGTATACATATACATGATACATATATATGTATAAACATATACATGTCTATATTATATATATAATTATACTTTATATAATTATACTTTATATATGTATACATATACATGTATAATTATATATAAAATTATACTTTATATATGTATACATATACATGTATAATTATACATATATAATTATACTTTAAGTTCTGAGATACAGGTGCAGAATGTGCAGAACGTGCGGGTTTGTTACATAGGTATACACGTGCCATGGTCGGTTGCTGAACCTTAGTTAATACAACAGCAAAAAGGTTTGAGAGGATTAACTCCAGTTATGAAAGAATTTCTACTGTGGGTAAAATAGTATTAAACAGCATTACATGCTATAGAGAAGTCTTTCTCAAAAGGAAGATGTGGCAAACTTAATTGTATTATTTTAAGGAATTGCCACAGTGAAACTAGCCTTCAGCAACCACCACCCTGATCAGTCAGCAGCCATGAACATCAAGGCAAGATGCTCCACCAGCAAAAGATTATGACTTGCTAAGGGCTCAGATGATTATTATCATTTTTAGCAATAACATTTTTTAATTAAAATGTGTACATTACTTTTTTAGACATAATTCTATCGTATACTTAATAGACTATAGTATAGTGCAAATATAACTTTTATATGAACCAGGAAAATTAAAAATTATATGACTTACTTTATTTCCATATTCTCTTTATTATATTGGTATGGAACAGAAATGGGGTTGTGTACTTCCTGAGGTACATACCTCTCTAAGGTATGCCAGTATAAAGGTGATTTGTACCATAAGAAAACACCTAGGGCATCTACAGAAATAAAAAAATTTAAAAAAATAAAAGAAGTAAAAGAAACATAAGGGAGTATATACAATGAACCAGATCTTGGGGCATCTGAAAGATTAAATGACATAAGGCTACTAGGGTTGAGTTACTACTTACCATGTCACATCCATATCTGCAGACTTTAGATAAAGATGCGTAATCTTACAGACTGAAGTAGTTTGTTCTGTGGCTGGTCAAATAGCATACAGGGAAAACCACTAATCTTCACATTCAGCTTTTGCTATCATCAAAATCAAACTAAACTAGACAAAATTTGACAACCTTACTTTCAATTTCTTCTCACCAGTGAAATCCAGTGTTTGTGTTCAACCCTTCCTTAAAGCTTTTCCAATAACCTTTGGTTACTATGAATCAACTAGGTAGTTAAAGCCATTGAGGAATTTTTTATCTGAAAAATGAAGTTTTGGGTCAGGATTTTAATAGTTTGAATGGTATTAGAACTACTTATTGTTAAACTATATTGAATAATCCATTAACTGTTGCTGTTCAAATACGGTAAATCTTTATAAAGTGTAGCCTAAAAATATTTAAGCCAATATTTCATAAGATCCTATTTATGAAAAAGATCTTCCTGTGTTGTAAAACTACCTAATTCTTTGCTTAGAAGATAGAACTTAAATACCAGGGCTTATTACATAATCTGAAATCTAGTTCTCTCTGGAAGGCTTTAAAAGATGTAGCTCAGACATATTTTTTAGCTGTCCTTGGTAGCAGGATAAGCTAAATCTCTTTTCCTAATTGTGAAATCTCTGCATCTGTGTTGCCATGTTATATGCCCAAGTTCTGCTCCTGTAGTTATTATAAAGCCAAATTTACAGTAATTAAAGAGACAACTACCCAGTTACAGCTATAAGACCAGCTCTCTAATGGGAAAGGAAACAATTCACCAAGGCTGAAATCAAATCCTTTTAATGGGCTTTCAACTTGCTCGGGAGGAGATCTATTCCAAGCATAAACACAGCCTTCCAGAGATAGTCTTTTTATGTTGCTCTTAAATGTCTAATAGGTATTCCACATCAGCTGCGAACTTGTGAACCCAGAAGAGATTTAGAGGTTTTCATAAGTTCAGTGCAGTATAGAACACACACACATATACATTAAAAGCAACCATAGCCATTGTACTATCATTGCCGTAAAACCCACTGTCTGGTATCTTTATGTGCTAAAATAAAAAATTATTTTTAAATTTACAGTGTAAAAATACCTACAAAATGGATTTCAGTGACTCTATAAAATCAATAGCTATCCACCTTAACATAAAAATGTTTAGGAACTGAATGGTATGTTGTTTTGTACAGTTGAATTTTTCAGTTAGATATGCATTTTATTACCTTCATTTAAGAATTCTACACAATAAACTTATTCCTCAATAGCATGAATTCTTCATAATGTTGCTTTTTTTAAAGGCATTCCAATCTTGAAAGTGCTAGCTGAAATCCTTTGTTAGCCCTTGGAGGCTAGTAATTTCACAACTTCCCAATGAAGTATTTCAATTCTCATACTTAAATTCTAATATTTAAATCTCTATTTATGTAGCAGATATGATCTTGGAAAGGTCTGTAAAGTAAGAATTTTAAAATAAATTACAACATAATAAATAACTGGGGAATTGGTTAATTAAGTAAAACATATATAATAGTAAATTCTTTTACATGGCGACTCCTTCAGTAAATTGAAAAGAGTAAGATCATTTAATAAATCGGTTTTGTAAATTTAGATTTTCGTGTATGAGATTTTCCGAAACTCAGGCAGATTTCCGTATCTCCTTGCTGAGGAAGAAAGCATTCTAATTGCATGAGTTGGGGCTTAGGCGAGATTGCTCGATCTTTTTAACACTGGGTAGGTAGGTGGCTTTTTAAAAATATCACTTCTGTAATGGCTGACCAGATTAATGCCTCTATTTCCCTGTTTGGTTATCTCAAATATCTATGCATCAGGAATGGTTTTTAACTGTAAACGACAGAGCTCATTCCATCCAATATACAGAATAAAAGTATGTGTTAAAGTTTATGAGAGGGAAGGCTGAAGATATCTAGCATGCATACTATGCAGCCAGGAAGAATAGTTGAATTACACTGATAAAATGCTCCAGTAAAGTTCTCACTCCACCAACACAGCCCGAGTTTGCACTACCTACCCACAGCATGGGGCTGTAACCCCAGGATGACTTGCTTCTGTGACTTCTGAAAGCTCATTTTCTATTACCTTCACAAGATTTAATTCCCTTTGGTGTTACTGCTTCATGTCACTCTCTTCTGAACTAAGTCCCAACTGGATTTCCTCCAACCTGCATTCCAGCTTTAATGAAAAGTGGGAAAGTATTTCTGTCTTCCACCTTAAAATGATATACCATGAGGGATTCTATCAGGGGTATTTATAAGGGGCTTGGAAGGCAGTAAACAAGACAAACGTTCACTAGATGCCCAGCATAGTATAAATAAACTTCATTTTCCCATGTCTAAACTTCCAACCAGTAACAACCACACAACAAATGCTTATATCTAACATAACACAACTACTTTTTTCACAAATGAAAATGCACTTGCTATTGTCCCTTTTTCAGGGACAATTGGTTGCTGCACCCAGCTCCAAGTCCAGGGCCAACTGACTCCATCTTAATAGTCTGCAACAAAAGGATAAAGTAGAGGAGCCAGCCATCATCATTAGTGATAATGAAATTAAACAGGTAAATAGCAAGGGTAACATGGGGATAAACAGAGGTAAATCAGTTAACACAAAATTTTTTAATATTTTCAGAATAATTAGCCCCCCTGAACAAAGATTGGTCTCTGCTACTAACAAGTTGAGCATTCAACAATGATGTTAGTCAAATAGGCCTGAGGGGATGCCACCATGATCTGCTACCATGACTACTTTTTGAATAGCTCATTGAGCAGGCAGTGGGGCTGGGAGATGACTGGGGAGAAAATGGTCACCATGCATACCTAGTTATCAATAGCCTCCTCTATAATGGATGGTATTTGCTGAATATTCAAATATTCTCACACTGTCTATCCTGAAAGAATCATGTGCATTCCAGACCTTCTTTTCACAAACTCTTCAGTCTGTCCACTCAAAGCCCCTCTATTATAGAGCCAAATAATTAGTACCTCCCCAGGAATCATTGTAATTGTTAATAGCAGCTGGTACCTGCATAGTATTAATGAATCTACTTTTAACTGTTGCCCTCTTCAGTCAAAGGTCACCAGAAACAAAGGTGGCATAGGGTGATAGAGAAATGTCGGCCAATTGGGGAAATGCCTGCTAAGAATGCGAGCTACCTGCTCATGGAATTTACTTTATGTCACTGGAGGCATATTCTTAGTTTGCCAGGGAAAGTACTCATTAGTTCTAGATGTCCTGGTATTAGAGCCACTACTAGTAGTGCCTCTTTTACTTTCAAAAGTGTCCTGCTTTGGATGATAAGTTATATATTCACTTTACATATATACTACTTCCACTTGATTACAAAGTGCTACAAAGCGTGCCTAACTTTTCTCGGTAAATTTGTTCACCAAGTTATCCAAATTTATGATAATGTGTAGCTTAAGCATGGCCAGTGATCAACTGTTTAAACTCTACCAGGACCTATTAGCAAGAAGAGAATAGTTACCTATCAAAAAAGACATGACTTTTCTCCAGAACTCTAGGGATCTCTGCTGTGATTCTCCTAACAGTGATTTCCACAAGTAACCCAAGGTACTACACATACTTTGAATACCACTGTATGCTCTAAGTCATAAGAACCAAGTGAGAGAATAAATTACACTGTACCCTGACTCAGATGGAGATCCTTCCCTTGATCTGGGGCCTTCTCAAATTTGACAGTCTTTTCGGTAATAGGGTAAATTATTCAGCACCTCACTCCCACATATAACATGCATTTATTCAATATGCATATGTCTACCAAGAAAGTGCCTCTTTAATAGTAGTTATGGTGTATAAAGTGCAAAACTTGTATTTCGCTTTGAAGAGAATATCCTGGAAAGTCCCTTAACAGTAAATTCCTTATAAAGTAAACAGACCAGCCTATTTTCATGCACTTCGTCTGCCTCCCTCTAGCATTGCACACAAAGGCACTAGAACACTTGCTGTTCCCTGACCCTCTAGTCCTTTCAGCATGGCAGCATCAATGTTGTAGAATACACGATGTCCTGTGGAATCGTAAGAATGCCAGGGTGCCTGAAGACATGCATTTTTTTTCATGAATCTAAAGAGTTAACATGGCTCTGAGATAAAATGAGAAAAATGTATTACTTTCCCTGTAAGATAAAAGCAAACTGCTTTCCTTGTTCTCCGCATATTGGAATAGATAAAAAGTAAGAGGTGTATAGTAGATGCCAGAGACTGTGTTAATTTGTTTCAATAAAGAGATGACATCTGGAACAGCAACTTAAAATTAGTCACTATCTGAATATGCTGATGAAATCATGTCCCATTTTTCAAGACCAATATGACTTCTGAATAGCCAAACAAGTCAGTTAAATGAGGTTCCCATTGATTAGCAGTGTTCAATGTCCTGAACATGTTACCCTTTAAAATGAAAGCAAGTTTGGGGAGGGTTATGTGAAAGATTTAAATCAAGTCTTATGATGTTATGAAAGGATCTTTCCTCAAGTATACTACACTTCCCATTTTTTCATTTTTTTTCCCAAGTGGCTGGTTCTGTTAACTGACTTTGTTCTTGGAATTAAGAATCCCATGACTCTCTACCTTGGTGGCCCAAGCCTTTTTTTTTTTTCTTTTTTTACCAGACCTAGAATCTTTCTTTCTTTCTTTTTTTTTTTTTTTTTTGGTTGGTTTTGGTTTTCTAGATAAGACTTTAATTGGTTATCTATTTCAATCTTAATGATCCTATAATCAAGTAGCCACCTCCAACTTTGCCTACAGATTACATTATTCCAATTATGACTATAAGAGACAGGAAAAATCAAACTGTGTTTCCTAGACTCACACTCAACACAGAACATTTCTCACACTAGATACATGGGTTTTTTTCCTCCCCACATTAAGCAGTTTTCCAGTGTACACCCTCCACCACAACCAAGGCCTTTTCCAGGGCCTGTGAAATTGTGAAATTCATTAATTTCAGGGTAAATCAGCCTTTGGCCACACGCCTCTACTTTAGTTGCAAGAGAGACTGAGGAAATTCTTATTTCTACATGAATAGATGAGTTGTAAAAGGTGAGAAATTATCTCCTTGCAAAGACTCTTGCCAGTTTAAGAGTCTCCTAAACCACCTACATTTAAATTTAGAAATTTAAATTCTCTAAATCTCAGATTTAAGAATTCACTAGAAGAACTTACAGAATTCACTTACAGCTATTATACCCACAGTTATTGTTTATTATAGTGAAAGGATATGGATTAAAATCAGCTGCAGGAAGAGGCCTATGAAGTAGAGTCCAGGGCATCTCCAAGCATGAAGCTTCCAGTTTTCCTCTTCCAGTGCAGTTATGGACAGTACTAAATTCTCCCACCAGTGATGTCTGACAATACACATGGAGTATTGTCCACAAGGGAAGCTCACCTAGCCTTGGGGTCCAGCCTTTTTAGTGAGGTTTGGCTGTGTAGACATTGTTGCCTGTCCACTTGGCTGACCTAAGTTTCTAAGTCCTCTAGAGGTCAAGATAATGTGTGTCACCCAAAGTTCCCATCATATATTATATTGTTAGCATAGACTATTCGGCATGGCCCAAGGTTTCTAGGTAAACAAAGACAACCTTATAAGGCAGAATATTCCAAAGGCTTAAAGGTTACCTCCCAGGAGCTGAGGGCAAAGGCCAGACCTCTATTTGGGTAAGGTTACTTCTTTACTACACTCTAATCCATTATCATATTTTGTATTATCAAATGATATGGTGGGAAAACCATGAATTTGTATATTTAGCTTCTGTACCCTCCTCCTCTGCTACCTACTTGTGTAATTTTAATTATTTTATTTCCAACATAGCAAGTTTATTATCTTCATAAAAAGTTTTGAATACTTACTATGAGCTATGCACAGATCTACAAATCACTAGAGAAACAAAGACAAGTAAAACATTGTTCCTTTCCTTAAAGAATCTGCATAGGGTTGATAAAGAGGGCACCTTGGAATTATCTATATTCTTGTAATGATCACGGATCACAAGTTTTCTAAGAGAGTGCTTATAACAATTATTCATTTTTAATTTACTGTCTTATTTTGGAAAAGTTCAGCATATGCAAAATAATCATATAATCAACCCCCATAAATCCATCAACCAGTTTGAGAAAATAGCAAGCAATTCATGACCAATTCTTTTTATCTAAATTACCCACTTATCTACCTTGTTTATTGGATTATTTTGAAGCAAGTCCCAGACATCATGTCTTTTCATCCTTAAATACTTAGAATGTATCTTCTTTTTTAAAAAAATAACCATACCACCATTATTATGCTTAAATAATTAACAATAAATCATTTTTTACAGCATCAAATATCAAGGTAGTGTCCAAATTTTCCTAAATATATATATATATATATATATATATATATTTTGAGACAGAGTTTCACTCTTGTTGACCAGGCTGGAGTGCAGTGGCGCAATCTCGGCTCACAACAACCTCCGCCTCCTGGGTTCAAGTGATTCTTCTGCCTCAGCCTCCTGAGTAGCTGCGGTTACAGGCATGCCCCACCATGCCCAGCTAATTTTGTATTTTTAGTAAGGACGAGGTTTTTCCATGTTGGTCAGGCTGGTCTCAAACTCCCGACCTCAGGTGATACGCCCAGCTTGGTTGGCCTCCCAAAGTGCTGGGATTACAGGCATGAGCCACCATGCCCAGTCTTTTCTACTGTAAAAAAATAATAATTGTTTACAATAAATAAATACAATAAATACAATAAAAAGTAAAATTTTATTGTAAAAAATATATATTTTTTACAATCTGTGTATTCAAATAAAGATTCAACCAAGGTATACATTTCTAGCAAATAGTTTAAACCACTGTCCCCTTAGATACCTAAGTACTATATTGGCAGGACCTTGGGTGGCAAGTGACAGAAACTCAAACAAAAAAAAAAAAATGGTGGTGACTGAGTCACTGTGTGAGTGGGAAGAATTGTTTATGGATTTTCCAAGTGGAAGATTCAGAAACGGGATTCCTTTCAGAAATGCCTTGATAGAGAAGCTTGGAAAATGCATAATAATTCTGTCATTTTCTCTCCTTGTCACAGTACTGCTTTCCTAGATGTCAGCTTCTTTTCCGCATGAAGTGGCAAAGATGACCATTGGCAGTTCTAGGTTTTGTTTATCTCTGCAAGTAATGATTCCAGGCAAAAGAGTGCCTCTTTCACATGATGCTTAGAAAATATCCCAGAAATGATGATAGCCTGGCCCCCTGTAGCAGACACATGGAGTATTCTGGTTGGTCAGCCCCGGGCACAGGTCCACTCCAGGAAGTGGGTGCTAAGATAAACTCCAAGTGAACTCTAAGATGGAAAATGAAGGAGAGATGACTTCTCTAATTGATGACACATGGAAAAATAGAATTCCATCACAAATACCCAAATAATATTGTATAAAAGATCCTGAATTTTGATTCTGAACTTTGGAATGCTGGTTTGTGATTCTGCAAATAATTTCTGCTTTGCCAGCTGACTACCTGTTAGATACTCCCAGTAGATGGAGGCTGCAAGGTTGGAAAGATAGGAAAGGATTTGCTCCTTCCTGCTTGCTTCATGCTTCCTGTTTTTCCCTCCAGTTCTTGTTCAGCCTCCGTTTTTACCCAGCAGCAGCAGTGCACTACAGCGCATTCCAGCTTCAGCAGTCAATTCTATTTGGGAGTTCTTTCAGCACTCACATATCCATCATCACAGGCAGGCCCTCATCAAAGGACTGAGTTTCAGCTCCAGGAGGCCTCTCTTCCAACCATCTAAGTTTTCATAATTCCAACTGCTTCCTCTGCTCTTCTAACTGTTACCTGTATCTACTATCTCTGTGGTACTTTAGTGTTCCATGTTTGACTTTTTGATTCTTCAAAACCTAATTAACTACTCTTTATATAAAATTCTCTCTTTTAAAACAATGAACATGGTCTGAGAGATAGCTATCTTCTGCACTTGCTTCCTGCCATGTTGCTTTAGCAAGACACTTTTGGTCTTTTCAGTTTTCCAATATCTAGTCAACAATTTTTTAATATTCAATTCTTTGCAAAAATATCTGGTATGATTTCTATCTCCTAACTGAACTCTGACCAATACATTGGTTATACAACCCCAAATTAACTACATGAAATTAACAAAATTGCACTCTTTTCCACCAGTTCCTTCGCTGAAATTAGTCCTTTTGGACTTGCATTCAAACCTTACTTGCTTCCTTATTCCTTCTCCTCACTCTATTCAGACTCATTCTTCATTCATTTATTTAATGAAATTGTGCTGAGATGGAAATGAGTGGATGAGATTCTACAAAAATATAAGTGAATATGACAAGATCTTCTCACAGAATAGTGGACAACGTAGACACATAAACCAATAACAACCATCCAGAGGGATAATTATGTGCAACTAATCAATGAAACTGGACATAGCAAGTAAAGCTCACATCCCTAACAATCCCAGAAGCAAAGAACTGGTTTCCTTGCTCTGTACAGCAAGGCTTGGGTCACAAAAGTCTGTAACCAATTTTCCCTTCACCTTTCTTACTTATAGTTTCAATTCATTCGTTAAAATATACTAGGCATTTAGAACAATGCCTGGCACAAAGTCAGGGGGTCAATATCATCTGTTTTTATTGTTATATTTTTCTTTACATTTTTTTGTCTTTTAAAATTTCATAACAGCTTACATATATGACTCTGTGTGGCACCTTGTGTTAGCTGACTTCAGAGATTCTGTCCATCATGTTTAATTTAACATAAACTGTTTTCTAATTAAACAGTAATATTTTTTCAGTGTCCAGATAGAGATTACTCTGTTTACATGGTAGGAGACCTGGAGCACCAGGAAGTCCTTGTATTTCCAATATACTTGATGCTTTCATTTAAGAAATCAGAGTAAACAACTCAATTATTCCAGAATTCATTGGTTATTATCTTTGTTTTTCACTAAAATAGATGGTTCTCTCCTAGAGATTCAGTAAAGATATTATAATGTGCAGCGGCTTTGGAAAATATCAGAGTTCAAATCCTGCTTCTGTCACTTGCTGGCCACTGTTCATTTAGCAAGTTTCTTAAACTTCTTCAACTTCATTGTGTGATAGTTGAATTTAATTTGTGTAAAATGCTTCACAAAGAGCTACTCAGTAAATGATAACTCAATACTATTAGTAATAATATTACTAGCATCAACACAAAATCATTTTTATTATTTATTATACATAGAATTATAGGGCATATCCTTTAAAGAAAATGATAAATAACCCAGTAAAGGGAAGGTGAAACCAACAGTTTAAGAGTATTACATTGCATGGCTTTAGATCACAAATAAAGGTGTCTTAGTCCACAGCAGTAATTGATGATCTTTATTCACAAAGGAAGAAAACAACATATTTCACTCACACCTCACTAGGTCTGAGTTATGAAGCATTCATTATTATAAGAGTACCTCCTACCCCTCACTACCATCCATAAACTGTTTTCTTTTTCACCTTGCACCCTTGACAATGTGAAAGGTGCAAATACAGTTTCTAAATACCTCACAGCAATTAGGGTAATGATCTTCCCATGTACAAAACATGGACTGCTCCCCACACCATCCCATTCAGCTAGCTAGAAATGTTTGCTGTAGGGTGCTCTTTAAAAAAGCTCTTTCCTATGAAAGCTACAGAAAGAAATTGTCTGCTGAAAACTATCACTGAAAATTGAGCTTGCATCCGTTTTACCAAAAATGTTAAATTCTCTCAGGAGTTTTTTGAATTCTATTCCAAAGTAATATTAAACCATTTAAGACAACACTGCATAATTCAAAAGAAAAGAATGGATATGCTGCGGCAAGGGAAATTGTATAATACTGTGGTTTAATGTAATAGAAGTCAGCATTATCTGAATCTTTCTAATCATAATTTCAGCTGTTAAAGCACCAGGGACTCCATCAGTATAGACACTATATTCTTACTCAATTATATTGTGCATTAAAAGTACTGGTTTACAGCATCTATTAGAGTTGTCATTACCCTTGTGCCATACTTGATTGACCAAAGGGGTGGGGGAAACTGTCTCTCCTGGGGGAGAAGAAAAGTAAAAAGGAAATTCAGTGGAATGCATAATAGGTGCTCCTTGGGAGACTGCTGTAGGTTTCAGCTCATTTCTTCTAAAGATGAGCAAATATTCCCACCAAAAGCATCAGGGTAAACATCATGCCTCATTACTCTTTTCCATTGTTCATACAGCTTGCATGTAGGTGTAATGCTGATTAATGGACAGAAATTATAATATTCAATGGCTTTGAATAAGCAATGGAGGAGGCAAACATTTTTTGGACTTCATGAATAAAAAACAACCTCTCAAATAAAGCATATGTGAGAGGATAATGGTTCCAGCTATGTTGGTGAAGGACACAAGGTCCCCTTTTCCATGAATAGCTGGGCTTGCTTCATAGGTGGTACTTAAAACTACTCAACCTCATGCATCACTCTGAAATGACAAAGCAAATAAATGGCGATTTAAAAAATAAGCTCTTCAAATACATGTCACATGGTGAGCATTTGATAATCTCAAAAAGCACATACAGGAATTGCATATGCAGACTCTTCTGTTCTATAACTTAAAAAGCTCCAGAATTGAGAAAATATATTCCTGTTGTTTAAGCCATCCAGACCCTGGTACTTTGTTATGGCAGCCCTAGCAGGCTAATACATCCACTAAGTCAGAATCTCTAGGTATCCACCGTATAATGTTTCTCTTTAAAAATATCCCCAGGTGACTGTGATAATTAGCCAGATCTAGATGAATCCCACTATCCAGAAGTTGGATCCAGTTATTTTTATTCGTTCTTGTTATTTTGTTTTGTTTTAATTTGCTTTCTGAGAGTACCATTACTAAGCATCTGCTCTTAACTAGGAATGGCTCCAGACACAAGGGATGCAGATGAATAAGACACATTTTACTCAGCGAGCTAATCATTTAAAGTATACAGACATAAGATGTGAAACTAACACAGAGCAGAAGGTATCAAAGGCGAACTGAAGAAGGACACTTGACAGTCTGCAGAGGTCAAGGGAAGCTTCTTGAAAGAGACAATGTTTGAAATGTATATTAAAATGTGTTTAGGAGTAAAGCAAGTAAAGAGAACTGAAAGAAAGAGACAACATGAGTGTAGCACAAAGGCAAGGAACAAGATAATCAGTGCAGAGAACCACAGGTAGTTCCCAGCTGAATTCTACCAAGGGAGAATCCAGACTATGCTTCAACATGTCCTGTAATTTATCCTGATCAAAAGCATTAATTCCCCCATACATATTTCCTGTGCAAAAAAAAAAAAAAAAAAACTAGTCAAAGGAAAAAACATAAATAGCTGAATTCATTTAGAGTTATGTTTAGATTCTAAATAATAACCACCCCCTGATTTATAAATTCTATAAATAGAACTTACAAATATTTTCTGTGGAAGTAAATCACAGATTTTAAGAACAAAAATACAATGGGTTTAATTTTACTTGAACATTGTTTCTGTTGGAATTATTTATTTTAAAGTGACAAAAAATCCACTAAAACCAGTTTAAGTAAAAAAGAGAATTTATTGAATTTAAAAATTTAAACTTGTTTAATAGAATGGCAATGTCCAGTCTCAAAATGTGTTATCAGAATACACTGTCTCTTATCACCTCTTATCTCTACCGTGTTGGTTTCATTCTCAGGAACACCCTTCCCATGCAGTAGCAAAATGGCCCCCAGTAACCCCAGACCTTATTCTACCCATTTAGCATGCTCTAGGGACCTCTTTCAGATGCTTTTAGTAAATTCCATTGAAACAGCTTCCAATGGTCACAGTAATAAGATGCCCACGCTTGAGCCAAGCATCGTGGCCAAGGGAATGCAATACTATGACAAGCCACACTTTGGGCGATATGTTCTCACCTAGAACCAGAAGTCATAGCCATCTAAAACATATGAACTAAGAATTAAAAAGAGGCAGTAGGTTCCCAAAAGAGAAATAAAACTACTGTTAGGAGAAACAAGACTGCTTTGAAGGTAAAAATATCAGATATCTATTAGAAACAAGGGAATCAATTAATCTGGCTGGTGAATTAGGAATAAGGAAAAATCCCTTCTTCCTCTAAAAAAATGTCCTTGGGAATTATTCATAAATGTGCACCTCCAAAAATGTTTAAATTAAAGAAATAGGTCTTTATGCTACAAGTCCATCTCTCTTCATTATTAGCATCACCATCTTTAGTACCATTACACGTAGGGGCCAGAGGGCATAATAGAGAATATCATCCTGAACATAATCCTGACTATAACAGGGGAACATTGGCCAAGCTATGCTAATGAACAGAACAGGAAATCATGGAGAAGCATCAATTTCCCCACTTACAAAAACATTGAAAGAACAGATTCAAAATATTCTTATTCATGACTCCATAGGCTGTCAAGACCATGGGGCAAGTATCCTATTAGAAACAAAGCAAGGACACACCATTAGTTCATACTCAAGAAAAAGGAAAAATCCAGTGAATGGGATTGTGCTTTCTCATTTTAGGATGGAAGAAGAGTTCCAGGAAACTATCTCTCGAGTATTACCTCCTTTTTGACATCTAATCAAATAAGAAAGTGTGATTTTAATTTATTTTGGTTAAGACATTTTTCCAAGGAAAAAATTCAACACTACTAAAATTACAGTTTTCTCACAAAGAAAAATGTAACATTATCAATTAATTACAATAGCTTTTAGAGCTGATTCATAACAAACTCTAAATCAAGTCTTATAGAAATTATTCAGTATTATCAAAATCCATCAGGACTTCATCAAAATTTGAATCTTCTGCTCTTCAAAATACACTATTAAAATAAAACAAGCCACAGACTATGTGACAATATTTGCAAAATATATATATGATAAAAAATTTGAATCTAAAATATATACTCTTTTACCTTTCAAAATTTAACAATGAGGAAAAAATAGAAAAAATGAGCAAAAAATTTGAACAAGCACTTCAACAAAGCTAATATATAGCTGGCATCATGGAACGAATGTTTCTGTTTCTCCCAAATTTATATTTTGAAATCCTAACCACCAATAGGATGGTATTGGGAGGTAGAACTTTTGGAAGACAATTATGTCACAAGCATGGAATCTTCATGAATGGAATTTGTACCCTTATAAAAGAGACCCCAGGAAACACTAACACTCCTTTTTCTTCCATGTTAGGATACAACAAAAAGATGGTTGTCTGTAAACCAGGAAGGGTGCCCTCACCAAGAGCCCAACCATGCTGGCACTCCGTTCTTGAACTTCCAGCCTCCAAAGTGTGACAAATCAATTCTGTTGCGCATAAACTGCCCAGCCTATAATGCTTTGTTATAGCAGCCCAAACTGATTGTTATAGATAGACAGCAAATAAGCACATAAAATGAAGCTCAACCTCATTAGTTATTAGGGAAATGCAAGTCGAAACCACCATAATATACCACTACTCTCTCCACTATAATATACCACTACTCTCTCACTTTTTAGTGGTTAAAATTAAAAAGATTGACCACACCCAGTGTTGGTAAGGATATGAAGTGACTGAAACTCTCATACACTACTCGGGGCAATAGAAAATGGTACAACCATTTTGGAAAGCAGTTTGGTAGTTCTTTAAAAAGTTAAACATACACTTAGCATTTGAACCAAGCATTTCATTTTCATTTTACTTTTACTTTTAATTTCTTACCCAAGAGAAATTAAAGCATATGACCAGGCAAAGATTTGTACATGAGTGTTGCAAGAGCTTTATTCATAATATCTAAAAACCAGAAACCACCAGTCCATCAACAGGTGAATGGATAAACAAACTGTGGTATATCCATATAATGGAATAAATCTGGCCTGTGATAAAACACATGAACTTTCTGGGTGACACTTGACAGGAAAGGGTTGTAAGCACAAATCAAAGAGATCATTCAAGACTAGCAGCCTTGTAACCCCTCCCCAGTACATATAGGGAGGACCTAAACCATAATTAAGGTATTAAATCAGGATGGTAAAGATTGACCCCTGTAATGGGTACATGGTGGTTCAATTCCACTATTTTCTCTACTTCGAAATTTTCTGTGTTTAGGCCATTCTTGCATTGCTATAAAGAAATACCTGAGACTGGGTAATTTATAAAGAAAAGAAGTTTAATTGGCTCACTGTGCTGCACACTATTTAAAAAGCATACTGGCATCTGCTTCTGGAGAGGCCTCAGGAAGCTTCCAATCATGGTGGAAGGCAAAGGGGGAGCAGGCACATCGCAAAGTGAAAGCAGGAGCCAGAGAGAGAGAAAGCAAGCTAGGTGCCACATAATTTTTTTTTAATCTTGGAACATTTTTAAAAATTTTTATTTCCATAGGTTTTTGAGGAACAGGTGGTATTTGGTTACACAAGTAAGTTCTTTAGTTGTGATTTGGGAGATTTTTGGTGAACCCATCACCTAGGCAGTATACACTGAACCCAATTTGTAGTGTTTCATCACTCACCGTCTTCCCACCCTTTCCACACACTTTTAAACAAACAGATCTCGCAAGAATTCACTAGCTATCACAAAGGCAGCCCCAAAGGGATAGTGCTAAATCATTCATGAGGGATCCACCCCCATATCCAATCACTTCCCACCCAGCCCACCTCCAACATTGGAGATTACATTTCAACGTGAGATTTAGGTGGGGTCAAGTATCCAAACTATCACTTTCCATAACAAGAACTGTTTCAATATAAATATATTTTGGTTCAGCCATTCAATAGAATATTATGCGGCATTTAAAATTCTTTTTAAAGAGCATTTACTAACTTGAAAAACTTCTTAGAATAAACTTTAAGGGCAAAAGGCAGGATAAAAATTAAGTATGTATTATGATCCCTATTATTTGCCTATGTGTTGACATACAAGGAGATAAGTCCAAATGCCTGCAGTGGGAGATTTATGAATGAGGGATTTGTGAGTGGCAACTGTATTTCTTTGTACCTCTGTTTTAAAAATTATCTCCACTAAATAGAGAATTGTAAATATAACGGTTAAAGTGTGTGTGCATTTAAAATGTTTTATTATTAATTGGCAGGGCTTTCTACCCACAAGAGATAAAATAGTAAAAAAAAAAAAAAAGTCAATAAAAGTAATAAAAGATAAAGGTAGAGAATAGGAGACTTTTAGGGCTCTCTCTAGGCCTTATCATAATATATAGCATATCTCAAATCTGTCTGCATATTAGAATGACCTAAGTTGCTTTTAAAAAGTATTAATGCCTGGACACCATCCAAAGATCTTCTGATTTAATTGCTCTTGAGTAGAGCCCAGGTGTGAGTTTTATTTGGTTTTATTTTGGGGGGGCGGGGGGGTGGTGTTTACGCCTCTCCAGGTGAATCTAATTTGAAGTCACTGTGAAAAACCAGTGTTCTATATGTATGAATCACATATCATTTGCCAAACACTATGACTTGCTAGAGCAAAATGTATGTGGAGTTTCACTGACTTGAGGAAAGAAGCATGATGGAGAACACTTTGGAAATGTAAAGGAAAAACAAACAAACTTTACCATAAACTTTCTAGCCAGAAGCAGAGTAAATTAGAACACAATTAGCAGAGATTTTACACACATGAATATGGTCAGGTGTTATTCGGTGATATAAATTCACTCTTGGTTACCTGCCAGAAATTTATTCAGGTAAATTCAGAGAATTTGTCAAATGTTTTATTTCACTTGTTGAAAATTTCAGCTATCCACGTATATGGGATGTATTAGGTCTTTAGAACTCTACATTGAGACTGCAATTTGACCAATCTTCTTTCTTTATGCCCTTGAACCGATAGGCTGGAATTTACTATACTGGCTTCAATTAATTAATGCTGATTGTCAAGAGGAAATAAGGGTGCTACTGTGCAATGGGGGCAGGGAGGAGTAAATCTGGAACCAACGGGCTCCTCTATGGTTCCTCCTAGTACCACTTTTTCCAGTAACAAAAGTTAGGAAAACGACAGAAACCCAATATCAGGAGACACTTTCATCCCAAGAAGGACTGGCTAAGGACAAACAAATTTTTTTTTTTTTTTTTTTTTTTTTTTTTTTCTGAGATGGAGTCTCACTCTGTCACCCAGACTAGAGTGCAGTGGCGCGATCTCGGCTCACTGCAACCTCCGCCTCCCAGGTTCAAGTAATTCTCCTTCCTCAGCTGAGGACAAAGAAATTTTAAAATGGATAAAGTTAGGGTAGGAAAGGAGTTCCACCTCCTTTATTCATTAAACAATTTCTTTTTTTTTTTTTTTTGGTTTCCTCCTTTCCATTTCCCTTACTATTTTAAGTTGGATGAGCTAGTGATGGTAAACTTTGTAAATTTAGCATACATTAAGTATATCAATACAGAGCAGTAACTGAAGTAGAGAAGTTTTGAGCAACACCAAGCAGAAATGGGAGTAATGACCGATGAGATTTTGAGCCTCTCCTTTTAGGAGAACGTCAGTCTTTCTTCTATCTGAAAAAATAGGTTTGTGTGTGTGTGTGTGTCCCATGCTGTTGGTTCCCATCATTCTGGGAAGAAGAGTACCTATGCATGTTAGGTGGCCCAAGGGGTAACTACAGCTGACATGACAGATTGTTCACTCAGCACCCTTCCGGCAGCCTTACAATATGCCTTTCTGTTCATTAGAGGTTGGAAAGTTAACTCTCCATTTCCCAGGTTTCCTGCAGCTAGATTGTACATTTGACTACATTCCACCAAAAGACTCACCTCATGAAACTTTGATGGTACAGACAATATTGTGAAGCAAGGACTACACAGATCTGACAAACACAGCCAGGGAGGCCTTAAGTGTTTCAAAAGCACCTCTGGAGGAGGATTTGGTGAACAGCTGTCAAACAGCTAAAGGCAGCAGCAACATTTCTTCATTTTTTTGGAAACAGCGTCATGATGTGTTTGGGCATTTCTTCAACTTGCATCACTCCTCTCTGTGTAACACAACCTTGGTTCAATGCACACACAGAAATTCTATCAGTCAACTAACACTCTGTAATAAATCCCCTTCCATTTAAATTATCCAGAGGGAATTTGACTATTAACTAAGAACACTGACTAGTACAGGAAAATAGTTTTGTAAATAGAGCCGATGCCCTGAAAGAATAAAACTGTTTAAATAACATTTATATTAACCTGACAGAACAAGACCATGTTTATACATTATTTATATAATATATATCATTATAATGTGTAAATTAAGTTTACATTAAGGAGGTCAAAATGGCCCCTTTGTCTAGAATTGTTGGGGGAAGGCATTAAGGACAATATTTTTTAAAAAGTAAGACTTTGTCATTTACTGAAGGCTTACATGAAAGAAGAGATAAAGACAGAACCACCAGACAGAAGGTGAACAAATACCATATCTTAGTTCTTAACACGTCAAAACCACAGACTCTCTTTAATATAAGGGAACAATATAAGACATAGTTCAAAAATTGCCTTAGGGACAGATGGTTAGAAAGGATCTCATGACACTTAGATAAGAGAGAAAAAAACTCCATCATACTCAGGTAGGAAAGTGAGAGCCCTTCTTCCTCAGAGGACAGAAGAAAATAAACCCTAAGTCCTATGTCAGCTAATGTCAAAAAAGCTATTTAAAAAGAATACCAATAACATAAATCTGAAAGTGGTCACAGTATTTGTAAAATATTGAAAATCTTTATATTGGTTACAATGTTTCCTTTACAATGTTACAGTGAAACATGCAATCTCTTTGTTAGTTGAAATTTAAAATTTTTAAATATGTGACATGAGGTTCTGTTAATTATGGAGACTGATTTCTTCTTTCAAATCTCTGTATGAGAAAGACATAAGGGCTAGCTGTTGTATGGTTATATGGGTGTGTAGTTGGTTCAACAACTGTGTCCAAAGAATAGTATACCATAATGTTTTGCCATCTGCCTTGTTCTTTTCAGTACCTTCAACACTGACAAGAAAGTAGATATAACTTGCAACTTTATTACATCTTTACAAGACATAAATTAGGATCCAAAGTGAATTTAAGAAAGATCAAAGACTATGTAGTATGCATAATAAAATTTAGTTTTAAAAACGAATTCTACAACTATAAAGTAAGAGAGATACAAATTCTACAACTATAGAGTAAGAGAGATATAAATTTAAAAAAACTTTCATCAAAAAATGAGGTGTTTCATAAACTTATGAGTATGATAAGGAAATATGAGTATGATAAGGAATTCAAAAATAATTGATTTTATTTCAGTTAAGCATGGCTAGAAGAATAGGGTTCAGAAAAAGGGAGGTTACATGTCTTCGTTTCATTGATTAAATAGATGTCAGAATTCTAAAGTCCTGTCATATTCTGCCTGAAATACTAAGTTCCATTCCAGGTACAGCATTTTAAGCAAGATATTGAGAAACTGATATATACCCAGAGAACTAAGATCAAATGGTGACAGAGAATTTAGACTCAAGTATTTGTGGAATCCTTAAATAGTCTGTCTGACCTGGAGAAGACAGAGCTCCTCTTAAATATTTAAGAAATGTCCTTGTATACACAGGATTGAAATCCTTCTAGGAGGCTTCCAGAAATTAAAAAACAATTAGTGTTAACAATCATAAGCTACTGTTACCCAAATGACCCCAAGTCCCTTAGCTTTTTATGATCATCTTTTTCTTCACTATCCAAACAAAATAACCTTACTTCCTTCCCCATATCTCCACAACTCCCTAGAGGTAGGAGAAAGTTGCTGACATTCCACAATGCATTTCCTCGACTCTCATCTGTTGGTTCTGCTCCAGGCTTTTTGTCATGCATTTTTAGTATGTCTGGTTGCCTCACCCTCTTCCTATAACTGTCCTAGATTTTCCACCCCAAGTCACCTCTTTTTTTTTATTTCACAAAGTACCATTCTGCAATGTTACTTTGTAACAGACTTTAGCTAAAAACTTTGGTTCATAGAGCAGCCTTACAGCACAAAACCGAAAGATATAATCAAACATCAAAAAAGCAATATTCTTGGAGTCAATCTGCCCATCATCATGTTTTTGGACATGGTTTTCTTGTTTCTTTCCTGAGTTCCACAACCCCAATTTCTAGCTTTTGGACTACCATCAAATCAAAGCCAACTTTCTACTCCTTTGTCCAACTTTATTTCTTTTATTCATTTGCTCCTTATTTCATATAATATCCTGGATCCACTTTTTATAACTTTTCGAAATTTATTTTCCTAAAGAAGAAAGCCTTCTCTTCAGGGTTCCATCTTTATTCAAATAACCATCTAAAGACTTCACAAATCTCCAATCAAATTTTAAAAGGGGCTTGCTATAGTTTGAATATGTTTTTTTCTTTTTTTCACCAAAACTCATATTGAAATTTGGTCCCCAGAATGGTGATGTTGGGAGGTGGGACCTAGTGGAAGGTGTTTGAATTATGGGAGTGGATCCCTCATAAATGGCTTCGTACCATTCTCACAATAGTGAGTTGTCACTCTGGTGAGATTGAATTAGTTCCCATGAGAATGGATTAATTCCTGTGAGAGCGGGTTGTAGTAAAGCCAGGACCCATGGGTTTTGCCTCTTCACATGTGTCTACTTCCCCTCTGACAACCACCATGTTTTGATGCAGCATGAAAGCCCTCACCAGAAACCAAGGCCACATCCTTGAACTGCCCAGCCTGCAGAACCGTGACCTAAATAAACCTCTTTTCTTTATAAATTACCCAGTTTCAGGTATTCTGTTATTAGCAACACCAAACAGACTAAGACAGGGCTCAAGGTCAAGATCACTGTGTTCAACTTCCATCACTGCTTGGAAAGCAAGAAAAGTATGCAATAGCAGATTAATTATCGGCCAGACATGGTGACTCATGCCTGTAATCCCAGCAGTTTAGGAGGCCGAGGTGGGTGGATCACCTGAGATCAGAAGTTCAAGACCAGCCTGGCAGACATGGCAAAACCCCATCCCTACTAAAAATACAAATATTAGCCGGGTGTGGTGGCATGCACCTGTAATGCCAGATACTCTACTTGGGAGGCTGAGGCAGGAGAATTGCTTGAACCTGGGAGATGGAGGTTGCAGTGAAACTAGATCATGCTACTGCACTCCAGCCTGGGTGGCAGAGTAAGACTCCATCAAAAAAAAAAAAAGGCAGATTGTTTTTCCTCCTACCCAGAGCAAACCCCAGGTGGATGCAGCAATAATTTTTATTGTTATATAAGGAACATATCTCTAAAATTTGATGCTATCAGCAAATATGGGCTGATTCTTGAGATCCTGAATTCCCCCATGACTGGAGTTATTCCAGCACAGAAGCCAATTTACTATCTGGGGGAATGTTACAGAGTAGAAAGTCAAGTGAAAATCCCTTCAGCTATAGAAGTGTATAGTTCTATTTGTTCCTATATCATTGTTAATAAAGCTCTATGAACATTTCCTTGTGAAATGAAAACTCTATATGACATAGAAGAGAAAAAAAAGAAAAACAAAACAAATTAAGTTCATGTGGCTTCTTCTGTTCAGCTAATATTTTACCAGTAAATAATAATAAACAGTGCATTTTCTTTCCTTTCCTCAGTCCAAAGAAACTCTAATGAGAACTGCCTCATTTACTTCTTTGTAATCCTTTGCAAATTCTTCAGTTTGGGATAATGACATTTATCACAAAGAACAACTTAAATTTTTGATCCAGTCATCCAATCAAATTCAAATATTTAAAACCTTTTCCTCTCAGCTCTTTCTGACTCTGAATAATTTTGGTAATTCTCATATTAATGCTCATTAGTAAAAGATTCCTCTTTGAGGACACCGAAGTCCCTTTCCTAATCATGATGGTCCATTTAAGCTGAGCTAGTTTTAGTAGGGGGTCTTATTAAAAGAATTTTACACAATCTCAAACTCTGCCTTTCTATACTGAGCTGAAATGATTTGCCTGTGGCATAACTGACACAATCAATGCTCCTATCTCTATAATCAAAGTATATTACTACACAACAAATTTAGCTACAGGAATTACTGACAATCCCAATAATGGTCCAAATTAGTCAAGTGTGACATTGTATGTCAATAAATGTGCTTACATTACCTTTCTCAAGAATATAAGATGGTGAGTCTAGAATTGCATATTGGCATTAGGAAATTTAAACCATTTCAGTCCCCATAAAACCCACCTCTCTATCAATATATAGATAATTGTTAAGCACAAAGATTTTCATTATAGTCTTTTAATCACAATTGGTTTGAGGTAAAGATCACATGTACTATTGTATAATCTCCTAAATATGGAGGCAGATTCTCTCTGAAGTCAAGGCTTGCCTATACCCATACTCCAACCCCAAATTCTATATCAACTTGACAGACCAAGATATATCCTTTTTCCCAGATGCTCTCAGGGCAATTCCAATAAATTCCTAAAATTCTGTAGGTATAGACCCAGCTACGTGGCTTCTGACAATTAGTCATTTCACTAGAAGATCAAGTTCAAGATGCAGCAAATTGAGGCAGCATAAGTATTCACACCTGGTCACTGCATCCTCAGGCACTACCATTAGCAAAGTGAGTGTGACGGTTCATTTGGGGTATCAACTTTACCAGATTAAAGGATATCTAGATAGCTGGTAAAGCATTAGTTATTCTCATTGCTTCAATAAGCACTAATCTCATCCCCCTTCTGCTGAAAGGGAATCTCAGGTGGCTTGGCATTTTATTAGAATGATTGAGCTTCCCCAGATGTGTGTGCAAGGGTGTTTCCAGAGAAGACTGGCATTTGGGTGTGTGAACTGAGTGGAAAAGATGTCCCTTCAATGTGGGTAGGCATCGTCCAATCAGCTTAGGGCCTGAATGGAACAAAAGATAGACGAAGGGCAAATTCTTGCTATTTTCTGGAGCTGGAGAACTCTTTCTTTCCCAGCTTTGAACATCAGCTCTCCAGAATCTCTGGAGTTTGGACTCCAGGACTTACACCAGTAGTCCCCCTGGGTTCTTGAGTCTTTGAATTCAGACAGACTGAAAGTATACCATTGGCTTCCTTGGTTCTACAGCCTTCAGACTGGGACTGAGCTACACTACTGGCCTCCCTGGTTCTCCAACTTGTAGACAGCCTATTGTAGGACTTCTCAGCTTTTATAGTGGCTTGAATCAGTTCTCCAAATAAATCTCTTCTTCTCTCTTTCTCTCTCTCTCACTCTGTCTCTCTCTCTTTCCCGTGTGTGTGTGTACGTGTGTGTGTGTGTCTGTGTGTGTGTTTATACACATTCTATCAGTTCTGGCCCTCTGGAGAACCCTGACTAAAACAGTGAGTTATCCTGCAGGTCAATGGTAAAATGCCCTAGTGCTAGTGCCCATTATAGCCCTAAAGTTTTATCACTTAGTCCACAACATCTTGCTGGTCCTCCCAAATTTCTATTATTATTCTACTTGCTGATGCTTCAAAATATACAGACTCCCATCATTAAGCCTCTGCTATAACACCCAACCCATTTTTTAATAATTGCCACTAATATTAGGTGCATTTATACTATATAGTCACTTACTTACATTATACTGCTTATTTCTCATAACAATTCTACCATGTTGTGATTTTAGCTGTTTTAGAAAATGAGGAAACTAAGGCTAAGAATGGTTAAGTGCCTTGCCCAAGATGACAGAACTTATAAGTGACAAAGACAGGATTCTAACCAGGTCTGTAAAATCCTGACTCGTCTGCTATTCCCAGTAGATCTTAAGGTCCTCTCTTTTCAAGCATTATAACATAATCTTATTATCCATAAGCATATGCCCACCTGCATTGAAAAGGCTCAGAGACATACCCTTGGGGCCAATTGCTACTTTCCCTGTGGCACCTGTCACCAATTCCTATTTCTTTATATACCTAGAACATAACTGGAGTACCAAAAATAAAAGCCCCAAAACATGCCCTCAATTAGGTAGAAATTTTAATCCTATCATAAATCATCATTCTAGGCTACTTGAGAAGCACAGGGGAAGAAAACCCTAGTTGCTAGATTTCTATTTCCATCACAGACTCACAAGCACTTCAGTAATCTTTAATCTGAGAAGTCACTATTTTTGGATTTGAAAATAATTACATTCTTTTTATTTTTTAGTTCTATTAATCTTTGTAAATTTCAGACTATATGTCCACTAGTGAAGAGTAATTTTTACAGAATATACTCAATATTGACAGATTTTTGTGAGAAAGATATTTTATACAGTGCAGAAAGCAGCACAATCTTTCTTTAAAAGGTTAGCTAGATATATACTCAGAACTTTTAAACCTTCAAAATATTTATAACATTTGAACCCATAATGCCACTTCTAGATACCCCCAATAAGGAAATAACCAGAAATACAAACAAGAACATACTGCTGCAGTGGTATTTTGAACAGTCACAAAAAAAGCAGAAAAAAAAGGACATGGTTACAATATTCATCCAACTAGATATTACACAACCATCAAATATTATGCTTATGATACATTTTTAAAGATATTTTAAATTTTGAAAGTAGAGGGTAAAATTTGAGTGTAGCAGTTTGGTATTTTTTTAATGGAAAGAAATATCAAAGTTTTAAGTGGTAGGTCTGAAAAACTAATAAGAAAAATAGAAATAAAATAAATTTTGCCTCCTAAAAATTTCTAGAGAAGCCAAAAAAAATGTGATTATATAGTGAATAGAAAATACTGGAAAATTCCTTATGAACAATTTATGTACTGAGAATGTATTTGCATGGTGAAAGGCTTTTAAATCTTGTTGACCTAACTTAGGACTCAGTGCAAATGGGACATTATAAAATGTCACTTACAGTTTTCTCCCAAGTCAACTAGGATTTATTGTAATCAGGTTTTACTGCATTCCATTAACAAAAATATATGGCTAAGTATGTGTTCTCTGGTAATTAATACTCTTTGTATTTGGCCTAATAGTTTTTACTGCACCTGAAGCATGCACTAGTGGCCCTGAAACACATGCCCTATTGATCATCACCATTAAGCTGGCAATTATTATCCTATCATTAGCCAAATTATTAGGCCTCTGGAATTTAGCAGTTGAACCATCTGAACCCAAGAAAAAGAAAGTGTCCTTAAAGCTATCAGTCTGGAATCCTCACTTCCCCCTAAAAAGAAGCAAATCTTGAATGACATCTGTATCAGTTACCTGTTACTGAAATAATGCTGTTAATAAACTACCCCCCAAATCAGCTTTTATTTAGTTCACAAGTATGTGCACGAGCAATTAGGCTAGGTGGGCCTCCCAAGCTCATTTAGGCTCTTAAACATCCGAGGTCAGCTGTCTGTCAGTGAGAACACCTGACTGCTCCACGTGTCTCTCATGTTCCTCCATCAGGCAAGCCCTGACATGTTTCTATGGGAAAGGCTGAGGTTCAAGAGCAGAAGCAGCATTGTACAAGCACTTTTTCAAGCCTCTGCATAAATCGCACCTGCAAATTGTATGGCCAAACTCAGAATATGGGGAAAGGGAAAGCGATTCTGCTTCTTTGGTGAGAACTGCGAAGTCACAAGGCAAAAGTCCCTGATAAAAGAAGGGGTGAGTAATTGGGACCCTTAATGCAATTTATCTACTACACAAGTGCATCCACTTCTCTAACTCTTTTTCAACAAGCTGCCTACATCATTGCTGCAGCAGCTCACAATTACCCCAAGGTCAATAGTGTCTTTCGAAAAAATTCAAGGTAGGAATAAAATTGACCAAGGTATTTTAAAAACAAAAGAAAACCCTTACTACTTTTATCACCTTAGACACTATTATACACTCCCCCAATTCACAACTATTAATAGGTAGAGTTGGTTTGTAATGCTGAAAGTTAATACTTACAACACACACTTCAGTGACATATTTAATACATGCCATCCCCCATGAGTATCTTTTCTGCTTAACCTGACTGGCAATTTCACATTTTGCATTCATATTAAATACATAAGGAAAATATATCAACTTATAAATTGTTTATTCTTTTCATGACCATGGCAGAAAAATCAAGGCCATTTCAACAAAATTTGTTAATCTTTCTTCAAAAATAGTGAGTCTTTTTCTTTTCCTTATGCCAAGTTACTCTTAGGCTTTTTATTTTCCCCAAGCAACGAAGCCTACATATTGACTCACCACCTACCTTTACCTCTTAACTTGACCAGGTGCAAGAAATTCTTGTGTGCCGCACAACAGAGCAATTTCAGGATATATAACCCTCTTCAATGAGGTAGCACAGAATTCCAGGAGGGTGAGAGCGGAAGCTGCAAAACCTCTTGAAGCCTAGACTCAGAAGTAACAGAGCATCATTTCCAATGCATGCTTTGTTCAAGGCAAAACACAAGGCCATCCCAGATTCAAGAGTAAAGAAATAAACTCATCTTTTGATGAGCAGGAGGGCAAAATGCAGAGATGGAAAAGGGTATTGGGGCTATTTTTGCAAAGAAAACGTTATTGGGGCTATTTTTGCAAAGAACTTTTCACGAATGGTGATAATCATACCCATTTCGCAGTGTGGCCATAAGGATCTGAGGAAACATAATGAAAGCATTTTGTAAACTGTGTTCAATTAGATGTACATTCATTTCTAAAAGAAAATATAGATGAGAGTTTGAATCTGCATGCAGATGGTTTAAATGTGACTCTAAACACATGCCTTACTATCCTCACCATTCTTCTTACCTAGAATTTCCTCCTAAGGTATGCGGGGTGGGTTGGTGAGTTGGCTTAAATATATCCAATTACATGTAGGTTTTTTCATGATTTTGTCTTTGCATTCATCTGTAGATTCTTATTTGAAAGTAGGAAACCAAACACCTTTCTCTACATTATAGTTAGAGATTCAGAAGGTTATTTACTAAAAGTATTGCTATATATCTATTTCATTCTATATCTATTTCAGTTTGCCTCCACAGTTTCTCTCCCCAGTTCATCACTTACCTTTATTTTAATGAGATAATTATCATTTTCAGCTTCTTCATTAAGCCTATGGAATATGTAAAGTTCTCCCCAAATTTGAGACCTGGTTCTCCATCACTGCTCTTACTGCTGCTACTCATCTAACAACTCCACTGCTCTAAGTTCTTTGATCACCCAGGAAAGAGGAGCCTTCGAGCCCCTGAAGAATCAGCTACCACAACCTAGGAAGAAATCTCATACTTGCTTTATGCAGAATTAGTGGCTCCCAGAGAGATATGTCTCAGTTGTCTTCACCCTTGGAACCTATGTTGACCTTATTTGGAAAAGGGTATTTGTAGATGAAGGTAAGTCAAAGATCTTGAGTTGAGATTACTTTGAATCTAGGGTGAGTTCTAAATCCAATGACAGGTGTCCTTATAAAGAGAGGAGATGACACAG
Organism: Homo sapiens; assembly: GCF_000001405.40. NCBI lineage: Eukaryota > Metazoa > Chordata > Mammalia > Primates > Hominidae > Homo > Homo sapiens. Next base: position 101,525,008 of record NC_000001.11, on the reverse strand, counting down.
AGAAACATGGGAGAAGACAATGGGAAGACAGAGAAAGAGATAGAATCCATGCTGCCACCAAAGAATGCCTGGAGTCTCCAGAAGCTTGAAGGACAAGGAAGAATTCTCCCCTAGAGGGACCATGTCCTATGGACACTTTGATTTTGGACTTCTGGCCTCCAGAACTATGAGAGAATACATTTCTATTGTTTCAAGTCACCCAATTTGTGGTTATTGTTATGGTGACCTTAGAAACTAATGCACTTTATTTGAATATTGCCAAAGTCTATATAAGCAGAGACCAACAGAATGGTCCCTAGATTTGAGCTCTCCGTCCTCAGTTGAGAAAATAGCCTCTACATCCTATCTAAATACCCCAGTTGTATGGCTCAGAGTCACTTAATAAATCATTCTATCCCTTAAGGCAGGAGATATACTGATAGGTAGTCTCGCCCCTGCACCCAAAAAATCTGTCGGTATAACGTTGACACTTCATGGCTTCCAGTTTCTGAACTGCTAGCCCACAGTGCTTGTAATGAACTGGATTCTTCATTTCCCCTCCTATATACTATCAGAAAGGGAGAGTTGGGAGTTCCAAGGCTTAAAAATGTAAGCAGATAAGGATGTTTTTATCTTTATGAATGTACTAGTGTGTATGTGCACATATGTGTGAAGTTACGCACAACTAAAACTATAAAGGCATTCTGCACAACAACTTCACACAAAGCACCATCATCTCACATGGTTTCACTTCTTTCAGCATTCATTTTCTCACATAATTAAATACAAAAGAAATAATAAATTTCACTTGGTATGCATATTGAGCCACTCCTCACTTTTTTTTTCCCAAATGTGGGACTACAAAATAATTGGTAACATGTGTTATCATTGACTATTTTCACAATTCGTGTGATACCTGGAAATTTATTATAACAAAGAGCACAGTAACTTTATTTTTTTCAAGCAATGATCCCAAGAATGCAACAACAGCATCTATGACTGTCACTAATCAGGGAGTCACTCAGCTGAAATATGACACAATTACATGTGGTTGATGCCTCAAAAATTATTGCTAAACATAAAACACTAATTATTTTCATTATAGGTCTCCAGGCCATCGCCAAATGGATTGCTGTAGAAATACTGGAAATCTTAGGTGGTCCAAAGAAAAATTAAAAAAAAAAACAAAGCAGGAACTCGTCCCCACCTATCTAAACAGTCTATAGTCAGGGCCTCCAAAACACTAGCAAAGACTCTATGAAAGCATGCCTTTCTCCAGCAGAAAACACCAAAATATTAACTATGGAACTGTGACATCTTAAAGTGATTTCATCATTATTGTCACATAAATCTTTTGTCTGTGTGGGTGGCGAGAAAATGGTATAGTTTTTATGACAACAGAAAATTTCATTTTTTGTTAGAGTATTCATCCAGCATGTCAACTATACATATTTCTTTTTTTCTTTTTTTTCTTTTTTTTTTGAGGTGGAGTCTCGCTCTGTCACCCAGGCTGGAGTGCAGTGGCATGATCTCGGCTCACTGCAAACTCCACCTCCTGGGTTCACGCCATTCTCTTGCCTCAGCCTCCCGAGTAGCTGGGACTACAGACGCCCGCCAGCACGCCCGGCTAATTTTTTTGTACTTTTTTAGTAGAGATGGGGTTTCACCACGTTAGCCAGGATGGTCTCGATCTCCTGACCTCATGATCCATCCCCCTCAGCCTCCCAAAGTGCTGGGATTACAGGCGTGAGCCACCATGCCTGGCCAACTATGTACATTTCTAATAAGGCCAAAATGCTTTTCTCCATATGTACCCACAGCATAGTTGAGGCAGTGATTCAATGGCGCTTGTGATGAAGAATGAATTAAATAAGGTAAACAAATTGTCAAGACTAGCAAAAGTCCTACTAAAGTTGGCTTAGGTTTTTTAGTAGCTTCAACAATATGGATTTTTTCTTATAGAATTTGTAGGAGAGGAAAACTCTTTTTCCTCTACCAATCTTATGATCACTGGATTGGGCCCCATATTAAAAGACAAAGTAACAAGAGAAAAGCATACAAATTTATATACTATGTTTTACATAACATGGGAGCCTTCACAAGGAAATGAAGACACACAGAAATAGTTAAACCTGTGTATTTTTATGTCAGCTTTGATGAAGAGGTGACAGTCAAGGAGAAATGTGATGGAGCAAGAAGCATACAATCTAACGGTAATAAACTATGAGAAAAGTTAGGAAGGCCTGTTTGTTCAGATCTTTCTCTGGGGCCCCTTGTCTTCAGAGATTCAACACTCCACCTTTCCTTTGCATATAGGAAGAGAACATGTCACATGAGAATCTTGTGACCTGCTTCAGCGAAGAAGGGCAGGAGAATGGCAGAGAGAACTTCCTGCTTCTGTGGTTTTCTCACCTTCTTTCTGCTTAAAATATCCAATGTGCCCAGGGGCCATATTCTGTGGTAGCATATCCTGAACCCCATTATGTCCAATCTTTTTTGTAGATCAGAATATAGTGTTAAAATCTCAGCTGTCCTCAGCCTGAGCAACATAGTGAGATCCTGTCTCTAAAAAAAAAAAAATACAAATACAAAAATTAAGCCAAGCATGGTGGCATGTGCCTATAGTCCCAGCTACTCAGGAGGCTGAGGTAGGAGGATCGCTTGGGCCTGGGAGGTAGAGGCTGCGGCGAATAAGCCATGATCATGCCACTGTACTCCAACCTGGGGACAGCAAGACCCTGCCTCAAAAAAAGAAATCTCATCTGTCCCTTGAACTTCATCTATTTTTTTTCTCATAGTATGTAATTAAGCACTTCTACATGAATTTCCTTAGACTAGTGTGGAAGCTCCAGGAGGGGACAAGGCATTGTCACTATCTTCAAATTAAAGTCTATTGGATATAATATACAAGGAAATATGTATTTACAGTACAGTGTTATAAGCACTACAGGAAAAATATATAAAGCTAGTGGGAGCACAGAGGGAAAAGCTTTCCACAGGAAGTTCATTTCAGAAATATTTGCAGAATTATTCCCAGTTTAAGTACAAAGATCTGAGAGCAAGAGGCACCTGGTATGCTAGAAAAATGTACTTTGTTCTGTATGAACTGCAGCAGAGTGAAGACTAGTGCCGATTTTTTTTAAAAAGTGTCTAATAAGCAAGATAATAAAGATATAACAAGAATGAAATGATAAATATAAAGAAGGCAATAAGGCAATAAAATAATTTGTTGACTGTAACCCTGCTGCAAAGATAAGAGCTGCAACCATTTTAAGGAATAATTTCACCTAACAAAATCCAGGGAATGAAATGAATGAAAAGTAGAAAGGCCAAGAAAGCAAAATACATAATGCACATATCTCACACACACACACACACACACACACACACACACACACGGCTTAAAAATTTCCTTCAAAGCAGGGCAGTGGATAAGCAGATAGTGAGGGGGAGGTGTCAGCATATTTACCTGTGGCTTGGGCAGAATTGTTTTAAGTTTCTACACTAAGCCAAAGATGGGCATGTGGTTTGGCAACCTCAGAAATATTAGGAGTAAGGTTTTAAATTATAAATGTTTGTAGTCTTTTTTCCAAAACTGATTCAGGGAAAAAAATACATTCTATGCTGTCATTCAAAACTTCCTTCTGGTAATAAAGCCAAACTTTTTAAAAAATACATAAGCAATTTTTTGAAAATATTTAAAGGGATTAAGGCTTGTTCTCCAAGCTCACTCTCACCGTGTTGACTATCACTTGTCAGTCAAAGACTCCTAACCAAGCATTCTTTTTAAAAATCTAATCTACTCAAGTATGGTTCTTCAAAAAATTTAGACCATAACTCTCTTAAACAAGAAATAACATCAAAGATTTTAACATTAATTAATGAGGAAATCAATAAGGTATTAAAATTGGTTAAAAGGAGAATCTGAGAGGACTTCCAGTTTCAAAATGGTGGCATAGAAGCAAGCTGGCTTCACCCTCCCCACCACTGCCACCACATACACATAGAAAACCAGAAACATATATACAGCTCTAACATCATCACTAGCAATATTCTAGAGCTCAAATAGAAGGGTCAGATCATTCCTGGGACCACAGAGAAGGGAAAAAACCTTTCAACACACAGTAAGAAAGTTGGACTTCCATATCCGTGACACCGCTCCCCCAAATCTGTTCAACAGCAAGAACATGGAAAATTTCTCCCCAACTTAGGGTTTCTACAATAAAAAAAAATGAGATGATGTGGACAACCAGCTTCTTAACCACCTTGGGTTTCTTGGCAGTAAACCTGTCTCTGCCTCAAGCCACAGGAATCATCAGGAGTGCCTAAAGAAATATCTCTGAGGACAGAGACAAAGAGCAGAGATGGGAATACTATCTATAAAACTGGAAACGTCTCTGTAACTCAGCCAAAAGAGACATCAAATCAGAGTGGCTGTTCAACAGCACCATGTTATAGGAGGTTTGTGTAACAGCTTCCCTGGCACAAACCCCTAGCCAGCCTTCCCGCACTCAAGATATCCGTTTTGGGATATCCTCCCATTCGAGAAGGGAGGCACTCTGATTGCCTAGAACCAAGGAAATCTTGGTCTTAAGCTGCCATCTAGTGACCAAAAGGAGGCAGTGACCTAGCTGGGGTGATAAAAATAATGACAATTAACAGCTAAATTATGAAGAATCTCTAAGCAAACATGTCCAGTGTAAATCAAAACAGGTCATACACAGAAGCCTGGAATAAATAATCGTTTAATGCAAAAACATGGATGTACATCCACAAGAAACAGCAGACAAGAAACCATAACCTCTCCAAGTGGACAAACCAAGGAATCAGGTACTGACCCTAACAAAATGGCAATATGTTAACTCTCTGATCAAGAATTCAAAATAGCAGTTTTGAGAAAACTCTGTGATTTTCAAGATTACACAGAAAGGCATATTTAAAAATTATCAGGGATCTCTAACAGAGATTGAAATAATTTTTTAAAATCAAACAGATATCTTGGAACTGAGAAATGTATTTGCTAAACTCAAAAATTTATTAGAGGGTTTGAAGAACAGAATAAATCAAGCAGAGAAAAGAATCAGTGAGCTCGAAGATAGGCTATTTGAAAAAAACAGTCAGAGAGTAAAAAAAGAAAAAAGAATGAAAAGCATGAAAATATTTCATAAAATTTAGAAAATTACTTCAAAAGACCAAATCTAAGAATTATTAATTTTCAAGAGGCAGTTGAGCAAGAACAAGGGGTAGAAAGCTTATTCAAAGAGAAAAAAACAATAACAGAAAACTTTCTAAATGTGAGAAAGAGATAAATATCCAGGAACAGGAAGGTCAGAAAACACCAAACAGATTCAACCCAAATTAGACTACCACAAGACCTATAACAATTCAACTTTCTAAAGCTAAAGTGATAGAAAGCATCCTAAAAGCAGAAAGAGGAAGAAAAGCAAATAATATATAAACAAAGCTCCAATTCATCTGGTGACACAATTCTCAGTGGAAACCATACAGGCCAGGAAGTAGTGGGACAATATTTTCAAAGTAATGAAAGAAAAAACTACCCTCCAAGAATACTGTATTCATCAAATCTATCTTCAAATATGAAAGGTTTTTCCTCAACAATCAAAAGCTGAGAGAATTTACCACCACCAGACCCGTCTTACAAAAAATGCTACAGACAGTCCTTCAATCTGGAAGGGAAAAAAAAAAACATTAACATGCAAACAGATAATTTTTCAAAGTATAAAACCCACCGGTATAATTAAGTACATAGAAAATCACAGAATACTCTACTACTGCAACAGGTGTACAATCTATTCATAACTCTAGTGTGAAGCCCCAAAGGCAAATCTACAAAAAACCATAATACCAACAGTAACCTGTTAAGAGATTGGCAATATAAAAATATGTAAATCAAGACAACTTAAAGTCAAATGGGGGACAGAAGTTAAAATGTAGAATTTTTGCATTTTTGCTTTTTTTAACATTCTTTGTGATCTAAGTTTTTATCTCTTTAAAATAATTTATTTTATCTATAAGATGGATTTTCTAAGTCTCATGATAACCACAAATGCAAAAACCTATAATAGATTCACTAAAAATAAGAATGAATTAAAACACACTATCAAAGAAAATCACTTAACCACAAAGGAAGACAGTTAAAAAAAGAAGAAAGAAAGAAAAGAATTACAAAACAACCAGAAAATAGACAACAAAATGATAGTAGTAAGTCTTTACTTGTCAATAACAACACAGTGTAAATGGACTGAATTCTCCAATTAAAAGGCATAGAATGGCTGAATGAATAAAGAAGCCCCAACTATATTCTTCCTACAAGAAACCCACTTCATCTCTAAAGATACACATAGACTAAAGCTGAAGGAGTTAAAAAAGATAATCCATGCAACTGGAAATAAAAAACAAGCAAGAGTAGCTACATTTATATGAGATACAGTAGACTACAAATCAAAGACTGTAAAAAAAAGACAAAGAAGGTCACTATATATAATGATAAAAGGGTCAATTCAGTAAAAGGGTATAACAGTTATAAATATCTCTTTATCTGACACTGGAGCACCAAGTATATAAGTAAACATTAATAGATCTAAAGGAAGAGAGAGACAGATGGCAATACAATAACAGTAGGGGACTTCAATACCCCAGTCTCAGTAATGGACAGATCATCCCAACAGAAAATCAACAAATAAACATTGGAGTTAAGCTACACAATAGACCAAATTAGCCTAATTGACATTTACAGAACAATATACGCAACTGATATAGAATTCACATTCTTTTCATGAGTACTTAAAACATTCTCCAGAATAGACCATATATTAGGCCACAAAACAAGTCTCAGCAAATTCCAAAAAAGTAGAAATTATATCAAGTATCTTTCTGACTACAATTGAATTGAACTAAAAATTGTTAACAAGGGAAACCTCATAAAATACAGAAACATTTTGAAATTCAGCAACTTACTCCTGAATGAGCAATAGGTCAATGAAGAAATTAAGAAATAAATTTACATTTTTTAAACAATTAAAAATGGAAATACAACATAGCAAAATCTATGGGATACAGCAGAAGTAGTACTGAGAGGGAAGTTTGTATCAATAAATACCTATATCAAAAAGGTAGAAAGACTTCAAATAAACAACCTAATGATGCACCTTAAGGAACTAGAAAAGCAAAAACAAATCAAACCCAAAATTAGTAGAAGGAAAGAAATAATAAAAATCAGAGCAGAAATAAACAAAATTGAAACTAAAGGCAGATAATCAACAAAGTGAAAACTTGATTTTTTAAAAGACACACAAAATTGGCAAACCTTTAGCTAGATTAAGAAAAAAAAAAGAGAGAAGATCAAATAAATGTATTCAGAAGCCAAAAAAGGAGACACAACAACAGAGATCACAAAAATAAAAAGAATCATTAACAACTATTATGAACAACTATATGTCAACAAATTAGAAAACCTAGAAGAAATGGATAAATTCCTGAACGCATGCAACCTACTATGATTGAACCATGAATAAATAGAAAACCTTAACAAACCAGCAACAAATAACAAGATTGAAGCCATAATAAAAAGTCTCCCATAAAAGAAAAGCCTAGGACTTGATGGCTTTACCACAGAATTCTACCAAATACATTTTTGAAATCTAATGCCAACTCTACTCAAAATCTTTAAACAAATCAAAGAGGAGAGAATATTCTAAACTCATTCTATGAGGCCAGCATTGATACTAAAATCAGGCAAAAACATAACAAAAGAAAGAAAACTACAGGCCAATATCCCTGACGAACATAAACACAAAAATCCTCAATAAAATACTAACAAACCAAATTCAACAACACACTTAAAAAAGCACACACTGTGATCAAATGGGATTCATCCCAGAGATGCAAGGATTGTTCAACATACATAAATCAATAAACATGATACATCACATTATATGGTTTGGCTTTGTGTCACTACCCAAATTTCATACTGAATTGTAATTCCCAATGTTGGGGGAAGGACCTGGTGGGAGGTGACTGGAGCATGGGGGCATAGGTCCCCCTTGCTGTTCTCATGATAGTGGCTGAGTTATCATGAGATCTGGTTGCTTAAAAGTGTGTAGCACTTCCCCCTTCACTCTCTCTCTCCCCTGCTGCCATGTGAAGATGTGCTTGCTTCCCCTTCACCCTTCCATCATGATTGTAAGTTTCCTGAGGCCTGCCAGCCATGTTTCCTGTACAGCGTGCGGAACTGTGAGTCAATTAAACCTCTTTTCTTCATAAATTACCCAGTCTCAGGTAGTTCTTCATAGCAGTGTGAGAACCGACTAATACATTACATTAATACAATCAAGGACAAAAACTATGATCATTTCAATAGGTGCCAAAAAAGCATTCAGTAAAATTCAACATTCTTTCTGATAAAAACTCTCAACAAAGTGGGTATAAACGGAACATATCTCAAAATAATAAAGACTATCTATGACAAACCCACAGCTAACATCATATTAAACAGGTAAAATTAAAAGACTTTTCTCTAAAATCTAGAAGAAGACAAGGACATCCACCTTCATTAATTTTTTTTTTAAATAGAGATGGGGTCTCACTCTGTCACCCAGGCTGGAGTGCAGTGGTGTGATCATGGCTCACTGCAGCCTCAAACTTCTGGCCTAAAGCAATGTTTTCACCTCAGCCTCCCTAGTAGCTGGGACCACAGGTGCATGCCACCACACCCAGCTAAATTTTTTTTTTAACTTTCTGTGGAGACAGGGTCCCACAATGTTGCCAGGCTGGTCTTGAACCCTGGACTCAAACAATCCTCCCACCTTGCCCCCCCCCCCGCAAAATGCTGGGATTACAATCATGAGCCATTGTGCCTAGCCCTTTCTTACTTTTATTCAACATAATACTGGAAGTACTGACCAAAGCAATTAAGCAAGGAAAATAAATAAAACTTATACAAATTGGAAAAGAGGAAATCAAATTGTCTCTATTTGCAGATGACATAATGTTATACTTAGAAAAACCTAAAGATTCCATCAAAAAAACTGTTAAATTTAACTGATAAATTTGTTAAACTTGCAGAATACAAAATTAACATACAAAAATTAGCAGCATTTATATATGCCAACAGAAAACAATCTGAAAAATAAACCAAGAAAGCAATTCCATTTAACACAACTACAAATAATATAAAATACCTAGGAATCAATTTAACCAAAGTGAAACATCTGTACAAGGAAAACTTTAAAACACTGATAAAAGAAATTGAAGAGGACATGAAAAAATAGAAATACATTACATGCTCACAGATTGGAAGAATTAATATTGTGAAATGACAATTCTACCCAAAGCACTCTACAAATTTAAAGCAATCTTTACCAAAATACCAACGTTATTCTTCACAGAAATAGAAAAAACAATCCTAAAATTCATAAAGAACCACAAAATACCCCAAATAGCGAATGCAATCCTGAATCAAAAGAACAAAGCTGGAGGCATCATACGATTTGACTTCAAAATACACTACAACATGTACTACAAAGTAACCAAATAAGTATGGTACTGACATAAAAGGACATATAGACCAACAGAACAAAATAGAGAACCCAGACGTAAATGCATGTATTTATAGCCAACTCATCTTTGACAAAGGTGCCAAGAACATACAATGGAGAAAAGACATTCTCTTCAATAAATGGTATTGGGAAAACTAGATAACTATATGCACAAAAATGAAATTAGACCCCTATCTCTCACCACATATGAAAATCAAATCAAAATGGATTAAAGACTTAAATGCAAAACCTGAAACTACAAAAATACTAGAAGAAAACACTGGGGAAATGCTCCAGGACATTGTTCTGGGCAAAGATTTATCAAAAACACAGGGAGTAATGAATGCTGGTGAGGGTGTGTAGAAAGGGCAACCCTCATACACTGTTGCTGTGTGTATAAATTAGTAAGGCAGCTGTATGGAGTACAGCCTGTATGGAGGCTTCTCAAAAAACTTAAAATAGAACTAGTATATGGTCCAGCAATTTCACTACTGCATATATATCCAAAAGAAAGAAAATAAATATATTGAAGACATATCTGCATTCCCATGTTCATTGCAGCACTATTCACAATAGCCAAAATATGGAATCAACCAGTGTGCCCATAGATGGATGAATAAAGAAAATGTGGTATAGATACACAATGAAATATTACTGACCCATAAAAAGGAATGAAATCCTGTCACTTGCAACCACATAGATGGAAGTGGAGGTCATTATGTGAAATGAGACAATCACAGAAAGATAAATATCGCATGTTCTTGTTCAAATATGGGAGCTAAAAAAGTGGATCTCATGAAGATAGAGAGTAGATTGGTGGTTACCAGAAGCCAGGAAGGGTAGGAGAGAGGGAGGATGAAGAGAGTTTAAATAATGGGTATAAATATACAGTTTGATAGAAGAAATAAGACCTAGTGTTTGATAGATACCAACTGGACTACAGTTTACAATAATCTATTATATATTTCAAAAACTAGAAAAGAATGATTTGAATGTTTCTAACATAAAGAAAAGATAAATATTTAAGATGGTAGATATCATAATTACACTGATTTGATCTGTACACATTATATGAATGTATTAAATTTTCACATGTACCCCATAAATATGTACATATATATCAATTTTAATTTTTTTTTAAGAAGGAGAATTTAGAGTCTGAGGCAGGAAGACTGCTTAAGGCCAAGAGTTCGAGATCAGCATAGGCAACACAACAAGACCATCTCTAAAAGTATGAAGCAAATTCTCCAGGCATGGTGACCACACCTGTCGTCTACTCAGTGGGCTGAGGCAGGAGGATGGTTTGAGCTCAGGCATTCTAGGATGCAATGAACTATGATTGTGCCACTGCACTATAGCCTGGGAGACAGAGTGAGACCACATCTCTTAAATTAAAAAAAAAAAATTATAATGTGAAGCACTATCTATCTATCTATCTATCTATCTATCTATCTATCTATCCATCTATCTACCTATCTACCTACCTATCTAACTAACTAATCTGTCTATTATACAGGCAATTGGGGCTGCTAAATGAATCTGCTAAGAGATACAACCTGGTTAACAACTTAAAATTTAGTGTTTCAGATGATCTCTTCTACAGGGTAAAAATAAATTGTATCTCTACAGGACAAGTTTCTTTTGCATTGTCATGAGTGAGACTCATTTGAATACTATCAGTTTCTACAATTTAATTTCCTCTCCTACAGGGTTGTAAACTAGTCTGGACAGAGAAACGCAAAGGTACACACCCTATAAAGTCCCATTATCCCTAAAGGGAATCTCATTTAAACACTCCTCTAAAAGGACAATCATCTCTTTTGCCAATTTCTAAATCTTTGAATATTTTCTTCACAAATCTAACGTGAATTATGTAATCATTCCTTTTCCTGTATAATGGATCTATAGAAAATGAATGTTTTAATTGGCCTACTAGGCCCTCTTCTTTTGTATCAAGATGGTAATAAAACTTTGTCATATTCTCATAAATTGTCTGAAACATTTTCTTTTACAGATTTGTTAAATTTCAAACTGTTTAAGAAAATCTAACATGACAGCTTTTAATTTTACATTGAAATATCTAACTGATATTTTAATCTAAAAGGTATGAAAGAAATTAAGTTTGTGAGCATAACATAAATTTTAGGAAAACCCTATTTATATTTATAAGTTTGATTTGTCAGATTTACAAAATTTGCTTAAATGTTTAGAAAGATTATTTCTTAAAGCTTTAATTAAAAGCACTTTTACATAGTAATGTAAATGTTCTTAATGAATTATACACTGAAAAATGTTTAAAATGGTACACTTTATGTTATGTATATTTTATGATAATAGAGAAAGCACATTTACTTGTTTTTTAAAGTGTCTGGCACAACAAGACATTTAAAATGTTTCAATATAGTATAAAAAATTTAAGGGAATTTCAAGTAACTAAATTTGCAAATGGAGTTAATTGCTGAGAAAAATTTAATCTACTAATTTATGAATTATTAATATTAATTAATCAAAAATATAATCAAAAAAGCAAGTTGAAGATAATAATTCTTAGTTTTTAATACCAGATTTACAAATAAATTTAAATATTTTGATTTTGACCTAGAGAAATTAAGACATGAGACAGGAGAGAGCTAAGGAGAAACCAGATCACGGTAAGATTGAGTTTAGATTTTGTCTTGTGAGCAACAGGAAGGTATCAAAGTAAAGCAAGGAGGAGCACTAAGGAAGCAGCACATCTGCATCTTAAAACTGCTCACTCTGGCTTGTTCTGTGGAGAAAAGGCTGGAAGGAGACTAGATTGATAGCAGAAAAATTAGGTTAGTGCTCTTATTCAAGTGAAATATAATAATCAGGACTGAAGCAATAAAGTAATAATTATCACCAATTTATATAGATCATCTATTATGTATCAGGAATTTTTCAGAGAACTTTATCTATATTAACTCATTTTATCCTTTTATTAGCGTACTATTATTACCTTACACAACAACAACAACAAAAATAATCTTCCACTTTTATTAAGCTCAAAGCCATAGGGGAATCTAAGAATATATGATTCAGCAAATGCCTTATCAACTTGATTTGGAAGTGGGGGATGAAAAATTAATAATATTAATTATTAATACCAAAATACAAACAGAAGAACAATCAGCTCCTCACTGCTTAGAGTTTCAAGTTCAAGAGAATGAGTCAAATATGAGAAACATTTTTGTCCAAATAGCAGTTAGTACTGATTTATACCACTGGTTATTAACCCGCAAAGAACTCAAGTTGCAAAAATATAATCAATTTAGAAAGGGAAAAATGCACTTCTCATGATAAGGTATTTGAGGGAAGAGTTAGTTATTGATTTATTTATTTGTACATGTGTTGGCTGTGGTGTTTTATCTCCCAAGAAATCCTGTTTCACTAAATGACCAAACAGATTAGGATAATGTGAAAAATGGGTAAGGTTTTACATATGCCATGAAACCTCACAGGTCATATTTTCTGTCTCAATAATAGCTTTAAATTGCTGGCAATAAAACAAGAGCTAAATGGCTTGTCTCTTACAAAATGTGAGATTTTTAAGTCTGCATTTGTAAAACTAATCTTGAGAACATTCAAATGCTTCATTTGAACTCAAGGAAATGTTAGGATTCCAGAATACTACTGTCTCTAAGTCCACACTTACTGGTCAACTCATTCCCAGTGTAATGGCTTGCTCAGCTGCAATTAAAAGCATCAGACAGGTATTGAAAGGCTTAATCTTCATAGATACTATGGTAAGGAAATACACTTTACCTTTGTAACTCAACCCAGTGAATTCCGGTAAGAGAGAAGGGAGTGTCTCTAAACAGAGCTGAATCATACATTTATGAACACATAACATTGATCTGACTTCTTCAATACTACTTTAAAGGAATTCTATTCTAAACTTCTATTAGGTTAGGTTTTCTCTTTGATATTCCACCAATTAGGCAGAAAGATTTCTTATACTTGCCCAGCTCTCTCTTACACATATAAGCCAAAGGCAATGTCTGCTGCCTCATTACCAGTTGAACAGCCTGTTCCACAGACCAATTCATGCATTACAAATCATCCTAATGATAGTCTATTATAGTGCGGTCATTTTCACCCATTTCTACAGTAGTGTCTGCATTAATTGACTAAAACATTCATCCTCTTCATTGAGAATCCCTAAATATTCTCACCAGATATTCCTGAAATAAATTACCAAAAATTATATACATCCCCAGTGAGAATAATTTTAGATTATTGTATTTCAGCATGTCCTCTTTAACAATAAGAAGCATCTTTGGGGAAAAGATTATGAATATGGCTTTAGAGTATGATCATAACGCTGCTCTATGCTTCTGCCTTCTTAGGTAACTTCACTTGCATTATCAGTGCACCAGATCCAATATTAAATAGTAAATCAACTGGGCTCAACAACAAAATCTGGATTTATTCCAACCCATCAAAAATGAAGCAATGTTCATTACAATTTCCCTACTGCTTCAAAAAGGCTGTAATAGTAAAAGTCTAACATTATATGAAATGTAGGGTTATGTAGTAGAAACAGCATAATTTTATTGTTAACAGACTGGGGTTCAAAACCAGATTTTTTCATTAACTGGCATTTTGATTTTGAGAAGTTCACTTAAATCATTGGGTCTTGTTTTATCACTAACAAAATGGGAGCTATAACAATTGCCCATGAAATCATTAAGAGGTTTATTTTAAACATACATAAAATACCTGGCATGTATTAGGCATTACTATCGCTCTCAGTATCAGGATTCTGAAGCAACTGCTCTATTGTGAACCTGTAAAGAACTTATAAGCCAAGTAGAAAACACATTTTTAAAGACAATGGGAAAGAACAGAAAATCGTCTCATGTGCCTCCATTAAGGAATGAGTTGACTCCATTTTAGCAGCCTTCGGGAGCATCAGCTATAGAAAATAAGTGTTTTCAGTGAACTGATTACAACTGCAAATAAAAGCCATTCTTCACGCTTGCAAAATATGGACATAAATATTGTTGCAGCTATGTTTATAGTTGCATCATTCTTTAATTAGAAGAGATTACAAGATACATTATATATGTGATGTCTTGTGATGTAACCATGAATAATAAAATGACATCCATGATTTTACAAAATATAGCCTTTTTCCAAGTAACTATTGATGCTACTAAGTGATCCTCCAGATTCACCAAATACCTTACACACCAATAAAACCTACTGCTAAAAGTCCAGCACATTTCCTTCAAGTCTTCAGTGAATTAAGACATATTTATACTGATAATAGCATCCTAGCACATTAGAGAAAACACATTAATGCTGTTTTCTCTAGTTTAGACACTTGTGTTCAGTCTATCATAGTTTATAACTCAGTGTTTTATGCATAATAAGTATTCCATAATTACTTTGCAAAAAATGGCAACAGTGAACACAAATGTAATTCTTTAATCCAACAACAGATGATTTCAATTTAAAGGGTATGATACTATTGAAACATCCATATTAAACACGAGCTTTGATTTGAAGAGGAGTATAGCTTGTTAGTCAAACATCATAGGTTCCATGTTTTGGATACATTTTTACAAGTCTATTTTCACTTCATTTTTGGCTACAGAAATGTCTAACTCATTTGACCACATAAAAACCCTTGAATTTCTTATACTTGCCCAGCTCTCTCTAACACCAAAAAATTATCATTTTATTACTGATGTCATAATGCTATAAAACAGCTGTCACAATTACTTTCAATGACTTTACATATGTGAAAACATTAATGAATTTCAAAAATTGAAATCAGTGTTCCTCATTTGAGCACACAAACAATGAGTGTGTCCCATGATGAACCACCCACAAATGTGCACCAGAGCCAGCAGGGAAGCAGGGGAGGCAGCTGCTTTCTTGGCAGCAAAAGTGACAGCAGCTGGAGCATCAGGGTAGGCAGGCTGCACCGAAGTGCTGAGATTCTCCCCTGTGATGCTACTAAAGTAACTTATCCCTGCCTATCTATCACATGAAAAGTGCCATAGTTTATGTCTACATAGACTACAAAGTGAATAGCAATAACTTGTGATTAACAGCACTTTGAAAGACTGCATAACCTTTTTTCACACAAGCCTTACAAACACCCAACAATGAGGTTCTCCACCAAAACAGCAGTAGCTTCAATAAAGAGAAGTTTTGTTTTTTTTTTTTCCACATAAGCAAATAAGTGCTGATATGTTGGCTTCATTATTATCTAGGATTTAGAATGCTTTCGGCATCCATCTCATGATTTCTTATACTTCACTCAGCATGGTCCTCCAACAAACATACCTAAGCTGTAAACATCAGGAGGCAAGTAGGGTGAAGCAGGGTCAAAGTACACCTACTACCTATCTTAAGAAAACTTCCCAGAAGCTGCCATACACTTCCACTTATATCCCTTTGGCCAGACTTTAGGCCTATAACCATAACTAATTGTAAATATAGTCTTTATTCCAGTTAACCATGTGCCTCGACAAAAATTGGGAGTTCTAAAAAGAGAAGACAGATACTAGGTTGGCAACATTCACCTATGCCATAGCAGCTAAAATGCCTATAATCTGAGTAGATTCCAGACAAAGAATATTCTGAAACTTAGAGGTCATTAGAACACAGATCTAGAAAGAAAATCCTGTGCTGCATGGATTTGCTACTGTCCATGAATCAATACAACCTGAATTTGCAGAGTTCTCTGATAGTATTTCTGAGGTCCTCACTCATTAGAAATTGTTTTCAATGCCCCAAGTTTCATAGCCCTAAAACAATCTCCAATCAATATCAAGTGGCCAGAATCCTTTGTGGGATGTAGTTTGCTCAGATATTCTTCTACTTGGTCAAATAAATGTTTATATATCAGAATCCCTTTGGTCACCCACATTGAGATTTTTTTGTCAAGCAGATGCCAAGGAAACAAATGTTGAGATGAGTGATCAGTGGAGTCCTGGAAGAAGAAATTTAGAAATATGGGCTGACAATAGTGGGCTGACACCTTGCCCCCCACTCACTTCCCCATCCCAACTCTCCATCATCCAAGTTCAGGCCAATTAGTCATTATATACCAGAATATAAGCCAGCCAAGTAAAATGACAACCAAAAACACTAATCAACCAGTGTGGAGAAACAAATGGCTCTATTCAGCAGAACATGACAGTTTCAATACTACAGTAAGATGAAATGAGAAATACAGTTTAATCACTAAGTACTTGGCAGAAAGCAGAATAAAACAACTTAGCAATTATTTGTGTCATGTGTTTGAATGTTCACAAACTACAAGCTTCTTCCTTTAAGGTAGAAGACAAATATCTTTCAAAAGAGGACAGGTTTTTCATATTAGTCTCTAATACAAAAAGGAATGTTTTTAGCCATTCCACAGTGACCTGTTTTTTTTGGTTGCTTGTATTTGGTTTTGCTTTTTTAACATGACGATACAACTGGGGGAAGGGGGTTCTTCACTACCAGTCTTTGATAGTAATTCCAGCATAATTACCCCACAGGATAATCACAATGGTCTTCTGTTTTATATCAGCACTTCTATATATAATACCGTGACTCAGCATCACAACCTGATGACAAGTATTCACAAGGGCTTTCTAGTGAAAACATGTTCTTCTCCAACTATTTGCAAAAGTCATCTTCTCTTTATAGACTGTGGTAGGCAGTCCCCAAGATGGCCCCCAGTGATTCCCACCTCCTTGCATTCATTTCCCATGTTAGTCTCCTTTCATACTGAATCAGAGCTGGCCTATGAAATCACTAAAGTACAACAGAAGTGATAGTATGTGACTTTCAAGGCTAGGCTGTATGGTATTACAGCCTTGTTTTTTTTGGATTGCTCACATTGGTGTAACCTGTCATCATACCATAAGGATGCTCAACCAGCCCTGTAGGGAGGCCTACACAGGGAGAAGAAGAACTGAGATCTCCCTCTAACAATCAGCTTCAACTTGCCAGCCGTAGGAGTTAACTACCATGAAAGGGTACCCTCAAGCCTCAGTCAAGTCTTCAGATTGCTGTAGCGCCAAATGATATCTGCTTGCTTTCTCATGAGAGCCTTGAAGCCAGAACAATCAAGCCAAGCTGCTCCCAAATTCCTAGCCTCAGGAACAGTGATATGTTTATGTTGTTTTTAAGCCTCTACATACGGTGATAGATAACTAACACACACAGAATCACACATATACTCACATAACTTCATAGTTTCAACCACTGGCTAATTTCCACAGGGAAATACATCAACCAGCATGTCCCTTCAAATACTCCTTTAAAATACATGCACACACACACACACACACACACACACACACACTCAAGTGTAATCAGACTGATCATTTGACAATAGTGAATTAAATTGGATTGGGCACTCCAGCAATGCTAGTATGAGACTAATCTGTCCTGACTGGAAAGACATTGTCATGCCTTTCTCCCCTCTCATAGATCCAGAAAATATCTCCATAATGTCACTTTTTAAAATAGTCACGTTGGTCCAATGAATCAAGGAGACAATATAAAGTTTGGGAAGAAGTAGCTTCCTCCAGCTGACTTTAAAGTTATCAGTCTGTAAAAAATGTCTCTCATTTGCTTAGATGTCTTTATATATCTGCCACATCTGAGCCACTTTGTTAGATATTGTTTGGGAAAAGGTAATCTATCTTCTCAGCCAGGGATGTGCCCATACTTTTAATCATTGCTCACTACTGCCACCTCCTGGACATCTAACACTTTGCAAACATGAGGTATGACTGTTTCAAAGTATCTGCCAGTTCTTGTCTAAAGACTTTGAGGAAAATCTGTTATTACAACACAATCATGTTCACATTTTAGTTGTTTTATTTTATTTAAGCAATGAGCACTTAGCCCCACATATAATAAAACATGAGATTATAATATGTCTTAGCTAATAATTGAAGCAAAAAAATGGAGTTTCTGTTCACAGCTTCATTCAAAATATAACTCTTTCTGGAACCAGCTAACATTGGTTTGGAACAAATCGTCTGAGCTCCTGAAACCACTATTTAAAATAATTGTACTAGGCTTAATCTACTGACACAAAATGGAGAGAAAAATAAAACAAATTATTTTCAGAAACAAAGTTAAATTATCCCAGCATAAAAATATTCATTTTAGTGGTTTAAGGGAAATACACACACAGAGATGTGTCCAGAGTTTGTTCCTTCTGGTGGTTTCATGGTCTCACTGACTTTAAGAATGGAGCAGTGGACCTTCGCGGTGAGTGTTACAGCTCTTAAAGATGGCACAGACCCAAAGAGTAAGCAGTAGCAAGATTTATTGTGAAGAGCAAAAGGACAAAGCTTCCACAGAGTGGAAGGGGACCTGAGCAGATTGCCGCTGCTGGCTGGGGTGGACAGCTTTTATTCCCTTATTTGTCCCTGCCCATGTCCTGCTGATTGGTCCATTTTACAGAACGCTGACTGGTCTATTTTACAGAGTGCCAATTGGTGCATTTTACAAACCTCTAGCTAGCTACAGAGCGCTGATTGGTGCACTTTACAAACCTCTTGGAAGACAGAAAAGTTCTCCAAGTCCCCACTCGACACAGGAAGGCCAGCTGGTTTCACCTCTCAATTTCCTCTCTAAACAGGACACCCCAACTGCTGTAGGGAATTGGGCAATGACCACTCTAGCTACTTCCTGTTGGATAAGGGTGAAGAAGGGGACCTGCAGTTGTAGTGTCCTCCAGAGGGGAACTCTCTAGGCCAGTCAAAGGGCCAGCGGGTCAATTCAGGTGTCCTCAGTAGAAGTTGTGAGTTGAGCTCATTTGGGGTTCCATTTGTAAGACCATCTGTAGCTTGATGGCCTCGATCCTGGAGGAAACAAATTTGACAAGGAGGTTAAAAACACACGACCTGAAGGCAAGTAATGGCAAGATGGCTGTCACGGGACCTAGAAAGGGGAGAAGCCATGTCGCCCAACTCCAGTGGTCAGTATAAGAGTTTGAAAGGCATTGTCTGATTTCAGAAGCCTTTTCCTGTAAATGCTGGACAGCGTCTCATGCTATCCCTGACTGGTTAGTGTAAAAACAACACTCTTCACCTAAGAAGGTGCAAAGTCCTCCTTTCTCAGCAGTAAGGAGGTCTAGGTCTCAGCAGTTTTGGAGAGTCACTGCTGCCAAAGAGTCTATTTGGGATTGTAGAGTAAGGATAGATTTTATTTCTTGCAAACTGTCTGAGAAATCCTTTGAGAGTGTGTGGTAGTAAGATAGTGAAGTGGACAAATCTGCTTTTCCAGTTCCTGTAGCAGTGGCCATTCTTAACCCTATAAGTAGGGATATTAGTTGTACGGCCTTGCGCTGACAGACTTGAGTTTTGAGGGGACCTGATAGGGTCCGATATCTACAAGATTAGAAGTTAGGATAATACATGTTACATTGTTAACTTTTAGCAAACTTCACTTCACTTCCATTGAAAACCTTGTAAGTTTAGGATTTCAATTATTCTTTCCTATCAATAAGACCTCGTTCAGTCCATATTAACTTAGAATTTGTATAGATGGCCCCTTCCTGGTTCTGTAAGTACTTTAAGGTTTGGCTGAGTGCAAACAGCTCGCATGTTTGAGCAGACCAATTATTAGGCAATTTTCCTAACTCTGCTTCTACAAGAGTTTCCTTATCACTTACTGAATACCTATTGTGCCTTTTTCCCTTAACAGCCCAGGAGGAACCGTCTATGTCCTCTCCTGAAGGGTGTTCCTCCTAGATCTAGACCTTGTATGGTAATTAATTAAGATTTAGATCTCCTGTTAGGAAACCTGCTGGGTTAAGTATCCTTGATAGAAAAGCTATGGGTTGTCAGTGGCCTCAGTGCTTTTGGGCCATGCCCTTGTTCACACTGACAACGAGGTGGCATTGGAGTGTTATAGGGTCATGGAGAAGACCCTCAACTATCAATTATAGGTTTTAAATTTACCCTGGCTTTTAAAGGAATAGGGTACACTGTTTTTTCTTTACTACTTCTATCTCTCTCTTTCTCTCTTTCTCTTTGACTCCTTCTTTGTCTCTCTGTCTCTTCCTCTCTCTTTCTCTCTTTGACTCCTTCTTTGTCTCTCTGTCTCTTCCTGTCTCTCTCTCTCTCTCTTTGACTCCCTCTTGGTCTTTCCCTGCCTCTGCCAGCCGCTTATGCTGTTGTTCTCCCCTCTCCTTCCCCTTTTTGATGGCTTCGGCAGTGTAAGACTGCCACTTCCTTGAGTTTTTGCACTGTGTGCAATAACTCCATGATTTCCTTGTGGTATTTAATAGGGGTTCCCCCAGAGGTTAGGAACTCCCTTTTTTTCCATATTGCAGCATGGGCATGTAGGATTAGATAAGCATACTTGCTATCTGTATATACATTTATTCTTTTTCCCTTTCCCAGTTCTAAGGCCTGGGTATGTGCCACTAGTTCTGCTAACTGGGCACTGATCCCTGAGGGAAGAGGCTTAAAGTATTGTTACATCACTAACTGTGGCATAACCTGCCCTTCATACCCCATTCTCTACAAATGAACTTCCATCGGTATACAGCTTGAGGTCAGGATTAGCTAAGGAGACTTCTACGAGATCCTCTTGGGCAGCGTAAGTCTGGACTATAATTTGTTGGCAGTCATGCTGAATTGGCTCTCCATCCTCTGGGATAAAATTGACAGGGTTGAGGGCCATACACGTGCATATTCGAAGCACTAGTCTCTCAAGGAGTAGTGCCTGGTATCTAAGCAGGCAGTTGCCTGATAGCCATAAACTTCTTTGGCACCTAGTATGCCATTTATATCATGAGTAGTCCAGACAGTGACATCCTTTCTTTGTATTATTTTGATAGCCTCTGATACTAAGATGGCCACCACCACAACTACCTGTAAACAGTGAGGCCAACCTTTTGCTACCATATCTATTTCCTTACTTAGGTATGCCACTGGTTGTGAGGTTGTCCCACAAGTCTGAGTAAGGGCTCCAAGAGCTATTCCTGTTCTCTCTGTCACATATAAAGAGAAGTTTTTTCCTGTGGGAAGGCTTAAGCCTGGAGCTTGTACTAGGGCCTGCCTTAAGGTTTTGAAGGCTGTTCCTGCCTCTGGTTCCCATTCTACTAGATGAGTATTTGCCCTCTGGGTCTCCTTGATTAGAGTATAGAGGGGCCTGGCTATCTCGCTGTATCCAGGGATCCATAGTCAGCAAAAGCCAGTGATTTCAAGGAACCCCTGCAACTGTTTTAATGTCTTAGAGCTAGGATAAACCAGTACAGGCTGTATTCATTCCTTGCTGAGGGTCCTGGTTCCTCTGGCTAATATTAGGTCTAGATATTTAACTTGTTGTAGCCAGAGCTGGGCCTTTGATTTAGATACTTTGTACCCTTGATTAGCTAGAAAGCTCAAGAGATCTAGAGTAGCCTACTGGCATGAGGCTTCTGAACTGGTAGCTAAAAGTAAATCATCCACATACTGAAAGACCAGAGTGTCTGGACTTGAGAAGTGGCCTAGATCTTGGGCCAGTGCCTGACCAAACAGATGAGGGCTATCCCTAAACCCTTGGGGCAAGATCGTCCACTTAATTTGGGATGTGTGGTCTGTGGGATCCTCAAGGCAAAGAGAAACTGGAAGTCAGAGCACAGGGGAATGCAGAAGAAGGCATCTTTGAGGTCCAGAACAGTGAACCGTTCTGCTTCCTCTGGTATTTGAGAGAGCAGGGTATAGGGGTTGGGTACAACTTAATATAGAGGAATTACTGCCTCAATTATGAGTCTAAGATCTTGCACTAGTCTCCTCTGACCAGTCAGTTTTTCTACTCATAGAATTGGGGTGTTGCAGGGACTGCTGCATTTTCTTACTAAGACTTGAGCTTTTAAATGTCTAATAATATCTTATAATCCTTCATGAGCTTCAGGCCTTAAGTGATATTGCCTTTGATACAGAAAAGTTGTGGGGTCTTTTAGCCTGATTTGGACTGGGCAGGCATTTTTTGCCCTTCTGAATAGTCTTTCCAATCTTCCAATGCCCAGACGTCAGGGTGGATTCCCTCCTCAAGTAGGGGAAAACAAATGAGTAACTTGTTCCCTGTATCCATATAGATAATAGCTCCAGTTTTGGCTAACACATCCCTCCCTAATAAGGGTGTGGGACTTTCAGGCATAATAAGAAAGGCACGTGAAAAAAGCAAAGTCTCCCAATTACAGCTGAGGCAGTGGGAGAAATACCTGGGAGAAATACCTGGTTATGGTTGTCCCAGGATTCCTCAGATGGTAATGAACCTTGAGGACAGCCATCTGGGACAGGAGATTAACACTGAGAAAGTCATGCCAGTGTCCAGGAGGAAGTCAATTTTCTGGCCGTCAATGGTTAAACCTCCCCAAGGCTCAGTAAGGGTGAGGACATGAGCTGGTGCTTGCCCCAGGCACATTCAGTCCTGTTGTTGGATCATCTGGTTGAGGGCTTCTGGCCCAGAGAACCACTGCCTTCTAGGGCAGTGTGCCTTCCAGTGATTGCCTTGGCATAGAGGACATGGGCGAGGGGGCAGCTTGTTTCTCATTGGACAATCTTTTTTGAGGTGTCCTTGCAAACCACACTGGTAACAAGCCCTACTGGGTGATTGACCTGCTCCATTTTCTGTCCTCTCTGAACCACCAAGGTTTGTTTGTCTAAGAGCCATGACTAAGGCTGTGGCCTTTCTCTGATCTTGCTTTTCTTTTTCGGCCTGTTCCTCTTGGTCTCTATTATAGAACACTGAGGTTGCCAGGTTTAATAATGCCTCCAGATTTTGTTCAGGGCCCAGGGCTCACTTTTGGAGCTTTCTCCTGTATCTGTGGCTGATTGGGTAATAAACTTATCTTTGAGGATCAATTGACACTTGATGGAGTTGGGTGACAGGGGAGCATATTTTCTTAAGGCCTCCCATAGCCTTTTGAGGAAGGCAGAAGAATTTTCTTCCTTTCCCTGAGTTATGGTGGACATCATTGAATAATTCATGGGCTTTTTCCTAATTCTCCTTAGTCCTTCTAGAACACACATCAACAGATGTTTGTGACTCCAGTCCCTATGATCCGAGTTGAGATCCCAGTGGGGATACTGGGGATGGTTTGCTGACCAGTAGGGAATTTTTCCCTTTCTTCAGCTGTCATCCTATCATTTACTTGACTAAGACACCAGGTATCTCCAAACTCTCGGGCTGCAGCTAAAGCTGCATTTTTTTCATTAAAGGCCAGGGTTTGATCTAACAATAGCATAACATCTCTCCAAGTGAGGTCAAAGGTTTGCCCTAGACCCTGTAGGATATGTATATACCTATCAGCATCTTCTGAAAACTTCCCTGGGTCTATCTTGATCTGCTTTAAATCAGAGAGGGAGGAGGGGACATGTACAGAGGTTGGGCCAAATTCCCCTCCCCCTACAGTTGAAGGGGACACAACCGATATCCCTGGGGCTTTTTGTGGTCCTTTGGAGATTTCTTTGCTTGTTTCCTTCTGGGTGGGGGAGATTAGAGGAGGCTTATCATTAATAGGAAGGGGAGCTGTAGGAAGGCTAGGATATGGAGGTAAGCTGAGAGGTCCTTCTGTGGAATGTAAATTGGAAGCTTTGCATAGTTGTGGATTCTCCTTTAATGAAAAGAAAACTTGGACATAAGGTATTTCACTCCATTTGCCTTCCCTTTTACAGAAAACATCAAGCTGCAGCATAGTATTGTAATTTATACTTCCCTCAGATGGCCATTTTTCCCCATCAGAGAGAAAATATTGGGGCCAGGTCATAGTGCAGAAAAAAATAAGCCACTTCTTTTTCAGGGTTTGGGGGTCAAATTAGTCCCAATGGCTTAGGATGCATTTCAAGGGTGAGCCTGTTGTTGCCTGAGAGTTTCCCATCTGAAAGAAAAATGCCCATGGTTTTGGTTTGTTTGTTCCCACCCCCCACCCCCGTCCAAGAACCCACAATGGTCCCTGGACCCTGCTGATCCGAATAGTTGCACTCACCAAAACAGCAGAAGAAACACTAATTTTCCTCCTAGACCACAAAGAGGACCAAGGAAGGTCACATTTAGTGGCCGTTACCAATGCATTCTAAAAAACCTGCACCCTTACGTTTCCTCTTAGACCACTAAAAGGACCAAGAAAAATCAGATTTAGCGGCCCTTACCAACGCATCTCGAAAACCTGTTAGAATCCTAAGCATTTTCTCTTGTTAGTATTGGGACCTTACCCCTGTCCTATAAAGATGATATGCCTCAAAATGGAGTGGAGGGCCATACCCTGAAGGAGGGAAGGGATCTCCAGGGTTGGAAGAGTGATGCCTTTTGTTCTTACTTATCATATGAATAGGAAGAATATAATTTCTGAGGCCCCCATATCCTAGCTTCAGGAATAGCTTTTCTCAGGCCTGCTAGTCTGAGGAGGGATCCTGAAATTCCCGATGGTGCCCCTCCAATGGGGCTTTGGGCAAAAATTATGTCCGTCTGATTGGTGAGCCTTAGTGCCTAAAGAAAGAGACAGAGTCCTGAAATTTATACAAGAAATCATTCTTATAGGAGAAACTAGAAAAACACCAGAAACAGGGAATGGTTTTCAGAAGAAGGACTAGCCTCAGAGAAGAGAGGTAGGAGGAGGTTTGTCTGACAGGCGTTAGGACCCAGGAGGCAAGGGTCAAGATAGATAGGATAGATGGGTGAGTCTCACTTGGGCAATGTGACTTTGAGAGTTCCACTCATGACTGCAGGGTCAGTGAACTTTTTATCAGGACCCTAGAGCTGAACAGTTTTCCTCTCTGTCGACCCTCGGCTGAGCCCGGAAATGCAGAAAAAGAGGAAGCTAGTTCCAGGCAAACCAACGCTCCCAACTCTGAAGAGTTAGGGGTTGTTAGAGAGCCCTTTCCCAGAAAGCCTGACCCCTGTGTCTTTAGTCCGGCAGCCATACTATTCGCTTTTAACTGGCCGACAGGTGCCCAATGTTTAGTCCCTAAATTCTAAGGAAACACAGGACAGAATTGCAAGTCAAAGGGGTCCAGTGGTACTCACCACGTGGTGATATTCCGGATGAGCCCCCAAGATGTGTCTGGAGTTTATTCCTTCCAGTGGGTTCGTGGTCTCACTGACTTCAAGAATGGAGCTGCAGACCTTCTCAGTGAGTGTTACAGCTCTTAAAGATGACATGGACCCATAGAGTGGGTGGTAGCAAGATTTATTGTGAAGAGCAAAAGAAGAAAGCTTCCACAGCATGGAAGAGGACCTGAACAGGTTGCTGCTGCTGGCTGGGGTAGCCAGCTTTTATTCCCTTATTTGTCCCTGCCCATGTCCTTCTGATTGATCCATTTTACAGAGTGCTGCATAGTCTATTTTACAGAGTGCTGATCAGTCCATTTTACAAACCTCTAGCTAGCTACAGAGTGCTAATTGATGCATTTTTACAGAGCACTGATTGGTGCATTTTACAAACCTCTTGTAAGACAGAAAAGTTCTCTAAGTCCCCACTCAACCCAGGAAGTCCAGCTGGCATCACCTCTCACATACACATGTACCCCTTTATATATTCTGAAAGTTAAAAACTCAACTAATAAAAACTATTCTTAATGTTTTACAACTTCAATGTCATACTGTCTTTGTACTTCTGAACAAATACTGTGACTCTTTTTCTTGTCAAATGTATATCTACTTAAGAATACCTTACCTTGTTTACTGTGATTCCTCTTGTCTTCAAAATATGTATCTGCATCTCTGATTAGATTTATAATTTATCCATGTTTACTGTTATTTTTCCTATTTTTTAAAGATGCACTTGAATCACTTCTCAATGTATGTTGTGAATTTATTTGTGAATACAAGACCTCCTTCCATTTTTTTTTTTTTTTGAGATGAAGTTTTGCTCTTGTTGCCCAGGCTGGAGTGCAGTAGCACAATCTCCACTCACTGAAATCTCTGCCTCCCAGGTTCAAGTGATTCTCCTGCCACAGCCTCCTGAGTATTTGGGATTACAGGCACATGCCACCAAGCCAGGATAATTCTGTATTTTTAGTAGAAACAGGGTTTCACCATGTTGGTCAGGCTGGTCTCAAACTCCTGACCTCACATGATCCACCCTCCTTGGCCTCCCAAAGTGCTTAGATTACAAGCATGAGTCACCACTCCTGGCCCTAGGACCTCCTTCTATGAATTCCACAACAATTCTAGAAAGTAAGGAGATAGGGGAAGGTGTATTAACATGTAAAGAGAATTTGTAAAACTAATACATTCAAAACTGAGATGAATAGTCACTTGGTTTCTGACTGGTTGATAATTCGCTCTTTTCTTTCTGCATGCAGATTCTGAGAAAAGCCATGTTTCAAAAATGTCTGAGACTGGGTTTTTTCCATAAGTGAAAATGTTGACAACTCCCTTCTACACATGTGCACAGCCATTATCCTTTCAACAGTCCCTCATCATGAATACCATACTTATTTGGCACGCTTTCCACTCAATCATACCACAAGATTGTCTATACATAAACTGTTGTTATCATTTCTCTGAAGTCTATGTCAAGTCACCCAGTTTCAGCTTTCAGAGCTTCAGGAAAGGGGCAGTTTTTGTTCTCAGTCATTCCAAGTTAAAAAGGTGGGAGAAAACTGGAAATGTTAGTTTGAAGAATCACAGCCAGATATTGGCTAGAAGGATTCAGGATTCAGTCAAGTGTACAGGCAGGTAATAAATACTCAGAAACAATGAACAAGGCTAGAATATGATAATGGGTATAGTTTCCTTAAGAAATATAATTTTTTCTCTCCATAGTCACCCCCATCTCAAAGACAATCATTGCAAGGTCAATCAACCTGCAAAACAGGTCTCATTAAACACAGCCTAATCACCTACCCAGTATAGCAAGACTCGTGATTAACTAAACAGTCTCTTTTTAAGTCTACTTTGCTGAAACTTTTAATAAGGAATCTCAGATTAGACTGTTAAAAGGCTCTTGAAACTAGGAAGCCAAGCCTCACCATCAGACTTAGCTGTAATACCTATAAACTTCGATGGATTTTCTCTTTTCTCAAGTTTCCCCAAATACTTTTAAGTTTCCTGGGCCTTCTTTTTGTAAGACCAAGGAATCCCTCGAAGGCATGTTTTCTATGCACATTCTCAAATATGACATTCCAGTCAAAATGTTGTTATTATAATCAATATTTCCAACTAACTTATTTAAAAAGAACAGATTTTTGTTAAACATAGCAAATAACTATGTTTCCATAAAAATAAGAATATTCACAAATTCTGGAGAGATCAGGCAGGGGCAAAAGTACTTGTTTTGTCTCTGTTTACAAAGATATACTTTACCAAATTGCTATAAGCTATGGACAGCTTAAAAGAAAACACTTTCTTAATTCTGGAAAATAAAATATTAAAATAAAAAACTGCAAAATTTCAAATGAAAAATCATAAAAATTTATCCTCATCAGTGCATTCAATCACATGTAATTAATTCTTTTTCTGTTTGATCCTGGTTAGCAGTTTCATCAACTCATCAGTTTCTTCATTAGATTTCTGGAAATTCTTACTCAGTCCAGTGGTGTAATCTTAAAGTTATCAGAAAACTATACTTCTTAAAGTCCTTTCCATGAATCTCCTTTAAGACAAAACACATTCAAGTTATAGTTTTATAAAAATATCAGAGTAAGGCCGGGGGCAGTGGCTCACACCTGTAATCCCAGCACTTTGGGAGGCTGAGGCAGGTGGATCACGAGGTCAGCAGTTCAAAACCAGCCTGACCAACATGGTGAAACCCCGTCTCTACTAAAAATACAAAAAAAAAAATTAGCTGGGCATGGTGGCAGGCACCTGTAATCCCAGCGACTTGGGAGGCTGAGTCAGGAGAATTGCTTGAAACCAAAATGCAGAGGTTGCAGTGAGCCGAGATTGCACCACTGCACTCTAGCCTGGGCAATAAGAGCAAAACTCAGTATCCAAAAAAAAAAAAAGTCACAGTAAAATAACTGTCTGTGGATGACATGACTTAGGATAGCCATGGTTGAAATTGTGATGAGAGGTCAGGTGTCGTGGCTCAGGCCTGTAATCTCAGCACTTTAAGAGGCCTAGGTGAGAATACCACTTGAGCCCAGGAGTTCAACCAGCATGAGCAACATAGTCAGATTTGACTCTACAAGAAAATTTTTTTTTTAATTAGCCAGGTGTGATGGCTCATGCTTGTAGTCCCAGTTACCCAGGAGGCTGAGGTGGATCGCTTGAGCTGGGGAGATCAAGGCTACAGTGAGTCATGATTGTGCCACTGCACTCCAACCTGTGTGTCAGAGCAAGACACTGTTTCAATTTAAAAAAAAAAGTGATGAGAGTTCATTATAATGCAATTGACAAGAGAATTTCATACTTTTTGTGTCATATAATACTTTAATATAACAACCAAGATCATGACTAATAATATTATACCAGAATAAATCATATTTCTAGGAATTCCATGTAATTTCTGGCATGCTCATATCAATAACACACCAATAAATATAACTTTAAAAACACTAAGTATCAGGCCAGGCATGATGGCTTATGTCTGTAATCC
Source organism: Homo sapiens (assembly GCF_000001405.40). Lineage (NCBI taxonomy): Eukaryota > Metazoa > Chordata > Mammalia > Primates > Hominidae > Homo > Homo sapiens. Next base: position 101,495,950 of record NC_000001.11, on the reverse strand, counting down.
TAGCACTTTGGGAAGCTGAAGCTAGAGGATCACTTGAGCCCAGGACTGGTCAACATAGTAGAACCCTGTCTTTAAAAAAAAAAAATGTTTTTTAATTAGCAAGGCATAGTAGCACATGCCTGTAGTCCCAGCTACTCAGAAGGCTGATGGAAGAAGATAGCTTGAGTCTAGGAGATTAATGCTTCAGTGAGCCATGATTGTGCCACTGCACTGCAGCCAGGGCAACAGAGTGAGACCTTTTCTCAAAAAAAAAAATGGTTTAGGGTCACTTATTATCTGAGTGACACAATGTTTTTCATTTAATTTAAAATACCAAATAAGCCTAATTAATTTAACATATCTTTTTTTGTAAGGAGAGTGAACAAATTATTTTGAGATATTCTAGGGAATCTCTGAAACATCCCAAAGTTAGTGGAGGTCAAAATAACTTAATTCAGAATTTGATTTAAGGACAACAAAAATGTCAAAAGGCTTAAAACACTTGACTAAATAGACCACAGGTAACTGTGAAAAGATACTTACATACTTATTTAACCAGAATGATAATTAAAGACTTCAAAGGCAAATTCAAAATGTTAAATAGTTGTAGGAAAAAACCTTAGTTATTTTAGTAGAGAGAAGTCAGTTTTCTTAAGTAATCAAAGACATGATAAAGGCTGCAGTGAGCCATGATTGCGCCACTGCACTCCTACCTGTGTGACAGAGCAAGACACTATCTCAAAAAAAAGGGATGAAGCACAAGAAATTATCTTAACATGAAACATAAGAAATTATCTTAATACAATGCAGAATTTTTGTTTTCTAGGCATATCACTCAAGAAATAAAAACCTTTCATTAAAAAAAACTTTGTTCCTTTAACAGGAGGAAAATCAGTTTCTAGTTTTTTGCCAATACAATTTTGATATTAAGGCTCATTTTTAAAACACAATAATTCATTTAATTTTAGCTAATTTGACCACACATTAAAATTTGTCTTTCAAATTTTTTTTTCCTTAAACAAAACACATCCTCATACTTTACTACTTTCTTTACTAAAAATACATCTTACTTTCCTCACATATAGTTGTTTTCTTTATTATAGCTAATAGTTTTAATTAAATATACCAATTACAATTACTTTCAGTATCTTTCATTTCTAAAAGCATGCATGTTTTTATAGTATAATTTTTATGTTTATTAACAAACCCAAATATTTCCAGCTTCTCTATAGCTGTGAAATGACAAGATGCCAAAAGTATATAAACTAAACATATATTCAGTAATTACTGCTTCAATATTTTAACTTACTTAGAAATAACTTAGACATTTAATGAATATATATTATCTAATATAACATAACTTTAATGTTTCAAGTTACTAAAAAGAACTTTTGAAACTACTTTTAAATAGACATGTTGCATAAAACGTAATTATTTTTGAAATTTTGTAAACTTTTATTTCACATACATTTACCTCATTCACTCATTTTTTAACAATTATTCTTGAACTCCTCATGAAAAATTTCCTAAAACATTAAACAGTCTGGGCACAGTGATTCACACCTATAATCCCAGCACTTTGGGAGGTCAAGAAGGGTGGATCACTTGAGGTCAGGAGTTTGAGACCAGCCTGGTCAGCATGCAGAAACCTCATCTCTACTAAAAATACAAAAATTAGCCAGACGTGGTGGTGTGTGCCTGTAATCCCAGCTACCTGGGAAGCTGAGGCACAAGAATCACTTGAACCTGGGATGTGGAGGCTGCAGTGAGCCAAGATCGTACCACTGCACTCCATCCTGGGCAACAGAGCAAGACTCTGTAATAAATAAATAAATAAATAAATAAATAAATAAATAAATAAATAAATAAAGCTAGCTAGCTATTGACGAGTCTGGGAAGTGTCACCCCAAAATATGCTACTTTGGTACATTAGTTTAAGCTGAAGACAGTTGAAAAGCAGCAAATGCAGGGTTAGGCTTTTTCTGACCCTCCTTAGCCTAGAGATAATACTCCAAGGAACTTGGTCATCAATCCCCTCCCCCAAGAGTTTTATTAACCAGGAAAGACCAACTCCTATTCCAGGAGAAGAGACTAGAAGTCGATCTCAGATAAGTGTCATTACAAACTATCATCTATTCTAATAAGGACCCATTCATCTTTCCCAGGAATTATTTACTCTCCCCTAGGTTGTCTACATTTTCTCTTCCTTCTCCCCTATGAAGAGGGTATATAAGCTTTTAAATATCACTGTTGGTGGTGGTGGTGGTGGTTGGGTAGGGGGAGGTATTTACTTTTCATTCCTATGATGTCCCATGCACATAACAAATTTGTATACCTTTTCTCCTGTAAATCTGTCTTTTATTTATTTCATAGATTTAGTTATCAAATCCTTAAAGGGTAGAGAGAAAGTTTTCCTTTGCCTATACTATCATTTTAAGCTGTTTTATTTTTGTTGATATATCAAACAAGTATCAAAAACATACAGAAGCAAAGAAATTAAAATTAAAATCAAAAAGTTAAACATATTATTTCCTCTGTTTTTTGTTTTTACTTCCATGACTGACATGCAAAAAGTAATTTAGTTTTACTCTGCATTCCTTCTCTTAAGTTAGATTTGTAGTTTTATGGTCTTAACATCTAGGAGATAACATAAGGTTGTTTGACTAATAAATTCAGGTTAAAATTAAAAGTATGTCTGCATTATACTTAATGCTGACAATTTTAAAAACATTTCTATTTTTATTTTGTCAACAATTTTAAAATTATTACCAGAGATTTCCCCAGACCTTGTGAACTTAAAAACATTTGGGTCATCTTCTATTTTTCTGAGAGGTTTGGGAATACGTAATTGATATAAATATTCATTTATCTCTAAGACAATTTGAATAGAACTTCTTTAAGGGATTTTATAATTTAGTTATAATTACAGGCTAATGCCTGTAATTCTGGGCAATTTGGGAAGCTGAAGTGGGAGGATCACTTGAGGCCAGGAGTTCAAGACAAGCCTGGGCAACAAAGTAAGACCCCCACCCGCCATCTCTACAAAAATTTTATTTAAAAAATAAAATTAAAGTATAAAAAACTAAAATTTGAAAAAGACTTAGACAACCACCCAATAATAGTAAAAGACTTCAACATCCCACTGACAGCATTAGGCACGTTACAGAAGCAGAAAACTAACAAAGAAATTCTAGACTTAAACTCAACACTTAACCAACTGGACCTGTGAGACATCTACAGAACACTTCACCCATCAGCCACAGAATATACATTCTTCTCATTTGCACACCAAACATGATCCACCACATGCTGGGCTAGAAAGTAAATCTCAGTAAATTCAAAAAAATTTAAATCATATTGTATTAGTTCATTTTCATGCTACTGATAAAGTCATACTCAATATTGGGAAGAAGAAAAGGTTTAATGGGCTTACAGTTCCACATGGCTGGGGAGGCCTCACACTCATGGTGGAAAGTAAGGAGGAGCAAGTCTTGTCTTACATGGATGGCAGCAGGCAAAGAGAGAGAGTTTCCCTCATGCAGGGAAACTTCCATTTAAAAATCATCAGATCTCATGAGACTTATTCACTATCATGAGAACAGCACAGGAAAGACCCGCCCCCATGATTCAATTACCTCTCACTGGGTTCCTCCCATGAAATGTGGGAACTGTGGGAGTTACAATTCAAGAAGATATTTGGGTGGGGCACAGCCAAACCATATCACATATCAACCTTACTCTCAGACCACAGTGGAATAAGAATAGAAATCAATACCAAAAGATCTTCAAAAACTACACAATTACATGGAAACTAAACAACTTGCTTCTGAATGACTTTTAGGTACACAATAAAATTAAGGCAAAAATAAAACATTCCTTGAAATAAATGAAAACAGATACACAGCATACCAAAATCTTTTGGAGATAGCAAAAGTAGTGTTAAGAGGAAAGTTTATAGTGCTAAAAGCCTACCTCAACAGTTAGAAAGATCTCAAATAAGCAATCTAACATCACACCTAGAGGAACTAGAAAAACAAAACAAACTAACCCCAAAGCCAGCAGAAGAAAAGAAATAACTAAAATCAGAGTAGAACTAAATAAAACTGACACATAAAAATTGATACAAAGTACCAAAAACCAAAAGTTGGTTTCATGAAATGATAAACAAGATCAATAGACCACTAGCTAGATTTTAAAAAAGAGAAGAGAATATCCAAATAAGCACAATCAAAAGCAACAAAGGTGACATTACAACTGATCCCATAGAAACATAAAAGATTCTCAGAGATGACTATGAACATCTCTATACACACAAACCAGAAAATCTACAGACATTGATACATTCCTGGAAACACACAACCTCCCAAGATTGGATTGGAAATAAATTAAAACCCTGAACAGACCAATATCGAGTTCCAAAATTAAACCACTAATAAAAAATTTACCAATCAAAAAAGTCTCAGATCAGACGGATTAACACCTGAATTCCACCAGACATACAAAGAGCTGACACAAATTCTACTAAAATGATTCCAAAAAATCTAAAAGGGACTCCTTCCTAACTCAGTCTACAAAACCAGCATAACCCTGATACCAAAAGCTGGCAAAATACAACAACAACAACAAAAAACTACAGGCCAATAACCTGGATGAACATAGACACAAAAAAATCCTTAACAAAATACTAGCAAACCAAATCCAGAACTACATAAAAAAATAAATTCACAAAATTAGAAAAAAATTAATTCATCACGATCAAATAAGCTTCATTCCTGTTAGTCAACATTGGCTCAACATGTGCAAATAAATAAATGTGATTTACCACTTTCATGGAATAAAAAACAATAACCATATGATCATCTCAATAGGTGTGAGAAAAACACCCAATAAAATTCAACATCCCTTCATGATAAAAACCCTCAAAAAACTAAGCTTCAAAAGATCATATCTCAAAATAATAAGAGCCATCTATGACAAATCCACAGCCAGCATCATACTTAATGGGCAAAAACTGGAAGCATTCCCCTTGAGAACTGGATGAGACAAGAATACCCACTCTCACCACTCCTATTCAAAATAGTCCTGAAGTCCTAGCCAGTGCATTCGAGCAAGAGAAAGAAATAAACGGGATTCAAATACGAAAAGAAGAAGTCAAACTATTTCTCTTCGCAGACAATATGATCTTACACCAAGAAAACCCTAAAGACACTGCCAAAAGGCTTCTGGAACTGATAAACAACTTCAATAAAGTTTCATGATACAAAATCATTGTACAAAAATCAGTAGTATTTCTAACCAAGAACATTCAAGCTGAGCATAACATCAAGAATACAATCCCATTTACAATGCCCCTCCCCACCCCCACCCCACCCCCACCCACACACAAATACCTAGGAATACATCTAACCAAGGAGGTGAACGATCACTACAAGGACAACTACAGAACATGGCTGAAAGAAATAATAGATGACACAAACAAATGGAAAAACATTCCATGCTCATGGATTGAAAGAATGAACATCTTTAAAATGGCAGTGCTGCCAAAAGCAATCTATAGATTTAACACTATCAATCTACCAACATCATTTCTCATAGAAATAGAAAAACCTATTCTAAAATTCATATGAAATCAAAAAAGAACCCCAGTAGTCCAGGAAATGCTAAGCAAAAAGAGCAAAGCCGGAGACATCTCATTACCAAACTATACTATAAGTCTACAGTAACCAAAACAGCATGGCACAGGTACAAAAACAGACATATAGACCAATGAATAAAAGAAAGAACCCGGAATTAAAGCTGCACATGTACAGACATTTGATCTTTGACAAAATCAAAGAAATAAGCAATAGGGAAAAGACTCCCTGTTCAATAAATGCTGTGGTATAGCTGGCTAGTGATACACAGAAGAGTGAAACTTGACCCCTATCTTTCACTATATACAATAATTAATTCAAGATGGATTAAAGACTCAATGTAAGGCCTTAAATTATAAGATTCCTAGAAGAAAACCTAGAAAACACCATTTTGGACATCAGCCTTGGAAAAAAAGTATGCCCACATCCTCAAAATCAATTGCAACAAAAACAAAAATTGACAAGTAGGACCTAAGTGAACTAAAGAGCTTCTGAACAGCAGAAGAAACTATCAACAGAGTAAACAGACAACTTACAAAATGGGAGAAAATATTTGAAAACTATGCATCTGATAAAAGTCTAATATCTAGAATGTATAAGGAACTTAAACAGTTGAACAAGCAAAAAACAACCCCATTAAAAATGAGCAAAAGACATGAACAGACACTTCTCAAAAGAAGATGCACAAGCAGCCAAAAAACATGAAAAAATGCTCAACATCACTAATCATCAGAGAAATGCAAATCAAAACCATGAGATGCCATCTTACACCAGTTAAAATGGCTATTATGAAAAAGTCAAAAAACAACAGATGCTGGTGAGGCTATGAAGAAAAGGGAAACATGAACTGTTGGTGCAAATGTAAATTAGCTCAGCCACTATAGAAAGCAGTTTGGAAATTTGTCAAAGAACTTAAAACAGAACTACCATTTGACATAGCAATCCCATTACTAGGTATATTTCCAAAAGAAAATAAATTATCCTACCAAAAACATAGATGCATTCCTATGTTTATCACAGCACTATTCACAATTGCAAAGACAAGGAATCAACCTAGGTGCCTACCAGTGGTGAACTGGATAAATAAAATGTGGTATGTATATACCATGGAATATTATGCAGCCACAAAAAAGAACAAAATCATGTCTTTTGCAGCAACATGGATGCAGCTGGAGGCCATTATCCTAAGCAAATTAATTTCAGAACAGAAAATCAAACAACACATGTTGTCACTTATAAGTGGGAGCTAAATATTGGATACTCTTGGACATAAAAATGGCAGCAAGAGACACTGGGGACCACTAGAAGCAGGAGGAAGAGTAGGAGGTAAGGACTGAAAAACTAACTGTTGGGTACCATGCTCACTACCTGGGCAATGGGATCATTTGTATGCCAAACCTCAGCATCATGCACATATACTCCCTGAATCTAAAATAAATGTTGAAAGTAAAAAAAAAAAAATTAAAATTAGCCAGGTGTGGTGGGATGTGCCTGTAGTTCCAGTTACCCAAGAGGCTGAAGTGGGAGGATCACTTGGGTCTAGGGTGGAGTTTGCAGTGAGCCCTGATCATACCACTGCACTGCAGCCTGGGTGACAGAGCAAGACCCTATTTCAGAAAAAAAAAAAAAGAGAGAAAATATAAAAAAAAATCCAAACTTAAAAGCTTATTAATACAGAATTGGATAAAGGACAGTCTGTATAAATCAAAAATAATTTTCAGTAATAAAATTAAAAGGAGATCTGTTTGACTTGAGGGAGAGCCCAATTTTATAAACAAACACTTATCTATTATTATTTTTTTATGGTCTTCAAGTTTAGGTGGTAACCAAGTGAAAGAGCAGATACAGAGAAGGCAGAGGATACAAAAGAAAAATATCTGAGAAACCTTTGCATGCTAATCAAAAATATATACCATTGTTTCTGAGGTATTTGGGATCCTTTTTTTTCAATGCACCCCATTTATGAGAATTTTGTTTAGGTTAAAACTTCCCCATTGTAGCTACCAAGATCCTATGATTCCCCATTTCTCTAGAAAAGCACAAATTCTGAGATGGAGTCCCAGACTCTTTGGATTTATGTGAATCCATTATTCTCTGTCTTCCTGAAACCTTTCCTACTTACGATCCTTAACTAAAGCTAGTTCAGGTTCCGTCTAACTCAGTCAGGTATCTGAAGCCTCCTTACAGGACCCAGTCTAGTTTCTGTCATGTCTTCCAATCCCAGTCTGGATCAAAAATGCTCAAATAAAATTCACAGAACTTGACACAAATTGTGGAGTTCATGTATGGGAAGGACTTAACAGTGATTACTGCCAAATGTACAGCAAAAAAAATCTCCTTACAGGACCCAGGCTAGTTTCTGTCATGACTTCCAATCCCAGTCTGGATCAAAAATGCTCAAATAAATTCACAGAACTTGACACAAATTGTGGAGTTCATATATAAGAAGGACTTAACAGTGATGACCTCCAAACGTACAACAACAACAAAAAACTCAGTATCCCACTGAGTACAGGGGGCTCAGTGGGATACTTACACCTGTTTGCTCCTTGCTTCCAAAGGTCATCATGGGGTGAGAGGGTGGGGGGTCTCTTTCAGACCCCACTCTGAGAAAAGAAAAATTTAGACAGGATAAATTTAATAGAGTTTATTTGAGCAAAGAATGATTTACAAATTGGGCCGCCCTCAGACCCAGAGGAGGTTCAGAGAGCTACCCTCTGGAACATGGGCAGTGAGTACTTATAGATAGGAAATGTCTGGCTGGGTTCAGTGGCTTACGCCTGTAATCGCAGCATTTTGGGAGGCTGAGACAGGCCAGGAGTTCACAACCAGCCTGGGCAACATAGCAAAACCGCGTCTCTACTACAAATACAAAAAGAAAAAAAACTTAGCCAGGCATGGTGGCATGTGTCTGTAATCCCAGCTACTGAGGAGGCTGAGGCACAAGAATAGCTTGTACCCAGGAGGTGGAGGTTGCAGCGAACTAAGATTCACCACTGCACTCCAGCCTGAGTGGCAGAGCAAGAGTCTGTCTCAAAATATAAAAATAAAAAATAGGAAATGGCTGAAGAAAGCAGAAACAAGGAACAAAAGGTGAACTAATCATTTCAAAGTTACTTTCCTTATATGGTTAAAGCAGAGGAGACATTGTTATCATGCCAGCTTACGTTGACTGAGCCCCTTCTGATGGGTTGCTATGAATTTTCTTTCTTTTTTTGGGGGGGAGGGTGCTGGCGGAAGGGATAATTGTCTCATTTTAAAGTACAGTTTGCTACATGGCACCTAGCTTGAGTGATTCCATTCAGGTTTAACCTGGTCTATTGGAGTCTAGTGCAGGAGCTCAGTCCAAAACAATAACCTCCCCAAAATTTTATTTAACATTACTGAACAACTTTCTAATTATTCATTTGACTTCTGGGTATATTGATTCCAGGTGTGAGAAAAGTTTTCTGAATTGCAAGCACCACCATCCTAGTCTAGAGGATAACATCTCATCGTATATTCACAAATTGTCAGTCTAGGTTGTCTACTTCAGTCTCTTGAGTTTAATTGATATTAGCTTTCCCAAGCCCAGCGAACATTGAATACTGAATGATTCAGAAGTGGCCTGAACCACAGTAAATTCACCAGTAGATTAGGTCTTTTGATAGTCATCTTGTCTTCTCTTGGTAACATCCTATCCTTCTGTTACTGCCCCTATGCCTTACCGCTTTTCTATTTATAATAGTTGTTAAGTGTTGATTAAATATAGCGTTTAATTTCCATTTGAAGATTAAAAATTCTCAACTGAAAACAATGCTCTCCTATTTTTCAGTTATCTTGGCATGGGGAGAGGGGCAATAATTCTCAAAGCCAAATGTCTCAAATAAATTAAAATGTAATATATTTTAAAGCCAAGAAGATAAGAGATATGTCATAAAATGAACAATATAGGAGAAGATTCCAATTATCTCAGAGCTCCAGGCAATAATCCTCAAAGCAAAATTAGGTATAAACATTTTAAAAATAAGAAAGTAAAAGATATGGCCCGAAGTGAATTATATAGGAAACAGTATTTTTCACAAGAGTTATTATGAAACAGATATAAAGACCTCCTTGGTATTGTGCTGGCCTATTGGCAATTTACTAAATTTAAGATAAATGGCCTTGAAAATTGAACCAGATGGAATCCATCTTAGTGGACTATTCAAGATAGAGAACTATATCACAGGTCCTTCAGAAAATAATGGAATTCAAGTGCAGCACTAATCCAATAAGAATTTTTTTAAGAGTCAACATCAGCTACTTAACAGTGATAGCAGCAAAGCCATTACTGTTGACTCTACTTTCATTACTCAAAAGTATTGCTTTGCTATTAAACTATAGCTTTAGGGGATATTTAGACCTTTTACCCCTAAGCATCTCTCATAATTTATTCCATCTGGAAGATTTGCATCAAGCATAATTTAAAATCTGCAGGCTCTATTCTCTCCTGGTGCAGAAGCATAACTCCCATTAGCGCTAATGAAAGCTATCTGTACATCTCAAGCAGTGTACCTCACTAAGTGCCTAAGAACCAAAATGTTTTATGCCCTGTGAGAAAAGCAGCATTACAGAGAATCTGTACAATTCAACACAGTTAAAATGCAAAGTGTGAATTGTATTCCAAATGACAGTGTTTCTTAAAAAGTGTGTCAATTTTCCATCAAAAAAGAGCAGAGCTCTCATACACCCACTGGAAAAAAAGAATTTCCAAGTTTGAACATACACAAAAGACAAGAAATACCTCTATTTCCAAAAAGGAAGTTTAGAGCCTGTGATTGTTATCTTGCTTTTTTTGTGAGAGGAGAGAGGAGTGTTTATGTTTTAAGTGTATTTGTATACTACTTTATGTGTAGTAACTCTTTTGCCTAAATTCAGAAACTCATCAAGTCTCAGGCCAGCTCTATACCGCCTTTAGTTTACTAGAAGTTTGGATTTTTGTGTGTGTGTAGATTCATCACTAAAAGCCAGTCATTGTCCATCTCATTTACACTTAACTGCTACTTTTATTTTTGTTTTTTCTGGACAGTATGCTGCTGAGTTTCTCCACAGAATATCCCCAAATCAAACTCCCAGCAGCCTGCAGCTGTTCTTCTAATGGCATCACATTGGAACCTCCTTCTGCACATTCTTCTGTCCAGTTTGTGAGTTTGTTTGGAATATCAAAATCCCTGGATTGCTGTAAGAATAAATCTGTTCAGTCTCCCATCCCCCTCCCTTAATAAAACAAAGGAGCTATTTAATGTTTTCTTGAAAACACAGAAATAATCCTGAGGAAGATTAAAGGATTTCCTCATATTTTGGAATCAAAGGGTTGTTCCAAAACCGGGATAGTTTCCAAGTTTTGATGTGGGAAAATTTGGTTATCACAACATTATCACTAAGACTGTATGCTGCACAAAACATTGATATAAAGCAACATCACTGCTGATTAAACACTATTAGCATATTCAGTTGGAAACACAAATGTAAACACAGATTTTTCAATGTTTGCATCAAGTACAATTACAATATTCATCTTTACACAGGAGTGAGTAAATAGAGACTCAAAGACAGCAGAAAAGATAGCATGCACATCGAAAAATGTGTAAATGAATGTTTAAAGTGGCTTAGAAGGTCTTATTTATCTTTAAAATAAACAACTAGTTAAGTCCTTTTGTTTCGTTTTGTTTTGTTTTGTTAACAGCTTGTAGCTATTATGCGCTTGTGATCTTGCCAAATGGAATGTGGCTGGGAGCATATGTTTAATAAAAATGAGTGTGAGCACACCCACAAACACACACACACACAAAACATTAAAGCAACACTACAGTTTACTTTTAAAATGACAAGATGCAAGGCGCTTTGGGAATTGAGGCAGCTCTCTATTTTAACTCTCCACATTATGTTCAGGCACTTGGAGCCTGAGTACATCTCAGCAAAGGAAAATAAGGATGCCTTATGTAAGAACTGACAAGCAGGCCAAAGCGGTTACTTTTGTTTGTCCAGAAGTTTTTTCCTTGTCTTTTTCCCAGCTTTTAATTTCATACATTTTCAGGATGCCAGAAACTCAAGTAAGTTGTGTTTAATTGGTCTTCCCTGCACTGACCCTACCAAGCTCAGAATCCATTTATAATTCACTTCTGCAACCATTCAGATCCTACTATAGATATTCTGTGCCTACAGCTTTATCTTAATCTTCCCTCCCCTAAATTCCTAATTTGTTTACTATAATTTCATTATATTTATTGTTGTAAGCCACCTCACATTTTTTATGAAGTAAGATTGGCTATAAATAAATAAATTTCATCCAGGCACCATGGCTCACGCCTGTAATTCAGCACTTTGGGAGGCCAAGGTGGGCAGATCACTTGAGGTCAGGAGATTGAGACCAGCCTGGCCAACATAGTGAAACCCCATTTCTACTAAAAATACAAAAATTAGCTGGGTGTGGTGGTGTACACCTGTAATCCCAGCTACTTGGGAGGCTGAGGCAGGAGAATCACTTGAACCCAGGAGGCAGAGGTTGCAGATTGCTCCACAGCACTTCAGCCTAGGCAGCAGAGCAAGACTCCATCTCAAATAAATAAATAAATAAATTTCCAGTATGATTTAAGTTTATGGAGAAAACATATTAAGATAATGTTAAAGTCCATGTTCACATTAGACTAAAGTTATTCTTTATCCTATGTTCTGTGGGCATCAAGGATGGAGCACCAGAATGAGAAAGAGCCTGGGAGTCAGAAATCTGAATTCATATCCAAATTTTCCTTATGAGAAAAGAAAAACAGCCCAGAGCAGTTAGAGTACCTGAGGTAAGGAAAATTTATCAATCCCAGACAGACAAGAGTGTGCGACTTCAGTCATGTGAGAGGAAGGGGGTGGCCACCATGCCCTGGGGCAATTGTTTATAGACATTTTGTTCTTGGGTAGCTGCATTACCCATTATCTTCATGTTCTTGGAATTTGTGATACAAAGCACAACGTATATAGCCAATCAATAGCCTATGCTATTTTAATGTAAATTCTTGGTAAACAACTTAGGAGTTGCCCCCTTTTTTTTCTTTAAAAACTCACCTGTAACTGATGCTTCTCAAAATGTACACTCAGGACAACTTGAATCTATGCTCCCAGGTGGCCATCCTGAAGCTTCTTGAAGCTCAAATAAATGCTACACTTAATCATAATTTTTAAATTTTGTTATTTAAGGTTGACTTTCTAGCTAATAATATATATTATTAGCTAATAATAATATAGTAATTGTTACCCATACTCCAAAATCTTCTTGTGCTTCAATTATTTAGTTTGCAAGAATGGACAGTTGCAATAGATAAGGAGCTTTCTATTGTTTAGCAATAGAACCCTTTATTTCATGTAAAAGTTTGCCTAGAACCAATATTCAAAAGAATCAAAACCAAGGTGGCTTATGTTGAAGCTGAATGGAACACAATGCTCCTTCTCTACCACTTTCTCTTTTATCTCCCATTTCACCTTCATCTTTACCATCACCTCCTCCAGTACCCCTTTGTGATACTATAACCAAATGCAGGTCCCACCACTTGCTGCTTGCACAGTCCAATTAACAACAGCGAGGTCCGTAGAAAGAAAGTGACTTTATTCCAGAGCTTGCTGAGAGGAAGCTGTACAGGCTCCTGTCTTGAGGGTACCGCTTCAGCTTCTGGAGCAGAAAGCAGGGTCTTTTAAAGGGGGCTGGAGGGGTTTGGTGTAAAGGGTAAGGAGGTGTGGGGTCTATGTGACTTGCTTCAGATGTCTTATCTATCAAGTGGTGTGACTGGCATGATTGTGTGCAGAGCTGGGTTGTAAATTGAGGCAGTCTCTTAGTGGGAGAGAGTTTCAGCGGCGCCTGGTTTGCTTCACGGTTCAGTCTCTGGAACTTCTAAGTAACACATAGTTAGATAAGCTTGCTGTGTAGGGAGTGTCTGGTGGAGAAAAGGTAAATGATATAATTGCATTCCTAAAGAGCTAAGTAGAAGGTGGGGGAAAATAAAAAATATTCAAAATAATACTTTTTTTTCCCTTTTAAAAATGGGGTATTTGATTACAAAATTGTGAAATATATATTTGGTGTTCCCTCCCTGTTTCCTAACATACGGTTACTGAAACCCATGGAATCTCTGGAGTGATGAGTGTCTTTGCTAGGCTAATGAGATGACTAGTGGCTGGGGGGCTCCAAGATAGCTTCAGGATGGGGATTGGGCATCAGAAAAACTAAGGCAAGATTACAGGGAGGGAAGAAGGATTGAAGGTTAAGTTGATCACCAATGACCAGTGATGTAATCAATCATGCCTGTGTAATGAAGCTTCTATAAGAACCCAAAAGAATTGGGTTAAGGGAGCTTGTGGATCACCAAATACTGTCCTGAGACAGTGGAGCACCAGGAAAGGGCATGGAAGCTCTGCGCCCCTTCCCACACACTTTCCCCATGCATCTCTTCAATCTGGCTGCTCCTTTGTATCCTCTGTAATAATCTTCATAATAAACTGGCAAAAGTATATAAAGGGTAAAGACTAAACTCTGACATTTTGATTTTGTCTTGCCCAAATTTCTATCTAAGGGGCCTAGGGAGTCACATCCTATAAACCATAAAATCTCATTAGAGAGGTTTTTATTAACCCAGAATAATAGGACTTCCTTTCCAATCTGACTCTAGTACAGCATCATGTGACAGATAGCAGTCTCTGAAAGAAATCAAATTATTTTACTCCAAAATATATTTCTTTGACATATTTTGAATTGGCTGCCACTGGGCCAACAGACTGAAATGGCCCCACAAAGTTGTCTTTTGTAGGCAAAATTTGCATCTCTAGAGAATCTCCATTAAAGCAGCCAGGTTGTTTCTTTCTAGGCCAGGGATGTCTAATGTTTTGGCTTTGTTACCAGTGGAAGGTATCTGAGTCACTAGCGGAAAATCTGTATGGGTTTGCAGCAACCTCAATTCTTGCCTCTTCAGAAGAAGGAATTCAACTGGGGAGGCATAAGGCAGAAAAAGAGACCAGGACAAGTTTCAGAGCAGGAGTGGAAGTTTATTTAAGAAGGCTTTAGAGCAGGAAAGAAAGAGAAAGTATGCTTGGAAGAGACCCAAGTAGGCATATGAAGGTCAAGTGTAATGTTTGACCTTGATCCTAAGACTTTGTAGGCTGGCCCCTTTCCCATGATACTTCCCTTAGGGTGGGCTGCCTGCATGCACAGTGCCTTTCTTATGCTTAACATGAGCACATGCCATGTGTTTAGGAAGCTGTAAGCATGTTTGTCTGAGACTTCCTTTCCTTTAGCAGTGGAGTGCCCCTAGAAGGTCATACTTCACCATTTTGTCTCTTAATGTGCTTGCCTGGGAAGTTGCTTCTCCTCCCTGGCATCTGCATTTAATTAACACTTTAGTGCAACAGGTATGGACCATCAGGACATGGCCTCACCCTGGCACTGACTGTCAACTTATCACTTTTAGAGAGGCAGTGTGATAACTGCCAAACCATCACCCAACATTCCTGGTGGGTGAAGGAGAGCCCTCTCCTGCCCTGCTCACACCTCTCTGACTACTTATAACAGCTTCCCTGGGCAACAATGGAAGAAGAAGAATTGTCTTGGGTCACATATAAAATACACTAACACTAATGACAGCTGATGAACTAAAAAAGTAAAAATAAAAAATTGCAAAAAAATCTCATGTTTTAAGAAACTTTACAAATTTGTGTTGGGCTTCATTCAAAGCCATCCTGGGCTGCATGCAGCCCACAGGCTGCAGGTTGGACAAGCTTGTTCTAGGCCTTTCCTAGATCTAGGAGAGATTAAATGAGAGCCTGACATCTTTTAAGATCTGAAAAGAGACACTATTTATTCTCTCTAAGGACTGCTGCTTTTGAGGCTTCATCTCTACAACAAGATCCATTGCCTCCACAACCTCCTTATCTTAACTCAGGATTTCCTTTCTACTGACTTCAAGTCTTGAGACAATAGCTTAACTTTCTCCACCAATTGTTGACTAAAGAACCTCTAAAACCCACCTTGGACTTGTAAGCCCCCTCTTGGAGATGTCCCACCTTTTCAGACCAAACCAATGCATACCTCCCACATATTGACTTATGATTTTATCTGCAATTTCTGTCTCCCTGAAATAAACTGTAACCCAACTTCCTCAGGCAACTTGTTCAAGACCACTTGAGATTGTGTAACCCATGCCTCAGTCACTTATATTGGCTCAGAATAAACCTCTTTAAATATCTTTTGGCAGAAGTTGGTTTTTTCCATCATCAAGTGTTTCCCTGAGTTCTGTGAGCTACTTTAGCAAATTAATCAAACCTGAGGAGGGGATCATGGGAACCCTGATTTGCAGCTGATCACAAGCACAGGCCACATTCTGGGTCTTGTGATTGACATCTGAAGTGGGGGACAATTTTGTGGGACTGAGCCCTCAACCTGTGGAATCCAACTCTATTTCCAAGCAGGTAGTGTCAGAATTGGATTGAATTAGAGGACACCCAGTGGGGTGTCCCCTAGTCTGCTAGAGAATTACTTGGTCTGTGAGGAAATACTTCCACCCATCTGGTGTTAGAAGTGTATTGAGTGACTATGTAAGACAGAGGAAAAAACACCTTGTTTTTTTCTTTCATCAAGTTGGTGTGACAGTAGAGAGTAGGAAAAAATATTGGCTTTTCCAATATATCTTACTCTTTTCCATGAACCCTGAAAGTTCTGAGGAATACTATTGAAATCCTGTAAAAATATATAATCTCAATAGAATCATTTTGATGGAAATTATTTTATTCTAAGTATATTTAGAAAGGGGTGGTAGTCAAATCATTTAGCATAGTAATATTGGCACCAACCTGTTAGAACAGACTTCAGCTAAAACCAACCAGTAACCTATGCCCCCATCCACCAGGTGAAAATTAGTGAAGACAGAGGCATGACACCCTAGGGTGTTTCGGGGCATACTGGAGTCATGCTATCCCCATTAACAGAGGACAATGTGATTTTTGTGGGGAGATATTGAAACTACAAGAAATGTAGGACCTATCTGATATTAACCTATCATACCACAAACTCATGTTATATAGGAAAATATTTATATAAGATAGTATTAAGCAATAATATACAATAGGAGAGAACAAAAATCTGGCTTCATTGTATGGCAAATGATTATGGAGAGCAGCTTGTACATAATTACCGCCCTAGATCTCAGATATTCCACAGATTATTTGGACAGTACCTAACACCACAATTCATTGGGAGGCAATTGGGTTGGGAAATACTGTCTATAACACTAAGTAATTTCAATCAAATGTCAGTTGATGGTTGATATATTCTCTACCCACAATGAACAAGTCCTGGGGTACACCAAAGCAAGACTTTGAAAGGTGAAGTTGCTATTGTTTTTCATAATCTGATATGGAGTATTTCTCTTGCTGACTGCTTGTGAGTTTGTCTTCTTTATAAATTATCATGCTTCATCTTGTCAGTGATTATGTCCTAGACCTCTTGAGATATGAGGCTAAGCATGCCCTGGGGAACAAACTAGAATGAAAAATCTGGTGGCTGGGTGTGATGCTTAATTTTATGTGACAACTTGACTGGGCCACAAGGTGCCCAGACATTTGATCAACATTATTCTGCTTGTATCTGTAAGGGTGTTTCTGGATGAGATTAACATTTTAATCAGTAGACTGAATAAAGCGTGTTGCTCTCCCCAGTGTAAGTGGGGAGAGCAATCTATTGCAAACCTAAATAGATTAAAAGGCAGAGTAAGAAAGGATTCTTTTTCTGTGCTTGACCATCTTCAAGCTGGGACATTGGGCTTCTCCTGCCTTTAGACTCAGATGCACACTGGAACTTACACCATCATCTCCCCTTGCTCTGGACTTCTCAGCCTCCAATTATAAGGAATGTGAACCAATTCCTTATAATATATATAAATTATAGTACAGAGGTATACATTCATTAATAATGTGTTATTAATAATTATCAATATAGCACATAATATAATATGTAATATCAAATTTTATATTATTTTAGATTTTATATAAATGTTTCATATAAATAATACTTATAAAATATATTTTATATTATATACATTATATATTTAACATTGTATTATTTTATATAATATAAACAGATACATACACATCTTATTGGTTCTGCTTCTCTGGAGTATCCCAACAAATACACTGAGGTTATTTACAATTGCACTCTGGATTTTTCAGCTAAACTTGTACTAGGGGCTTTAAAAAAGGAAGCTTTGTCTTTTTGTTCATTGGATCTCAGACATTCAGGATGTTTGTCTTGAGATCATTTATATGAAAATGCGTAGTAAACTATATCCTTTGTCAACACCATTATTTTTTATGTATCCTTAATAGGGATTTCTTTTAAAAATTCTAATGAGGAATTAAAAAAAACTTTTCTAATGAAGAAAATAGTAGCTAAAAATTAAGACTAGATAGCTTTTCTAATATCATATAAGTTGATAAATATTTTACATAAAAACTCATTCAAATTATTGTGACTACACTAATCAATTAGCTGAAGAATTATCAAACCTCCATCATAGTTTATGACATATAAACAACACCTGAGTTGTAGGGGATGAAGAAGACACCTAAAACTAAAATACTTGGTACTCTCAGCTAACTTGTACTTAGCCTATTTCCCAGGAAATATTGGGAATATTTGAGGCACTGAAATTTGGTACATTCAAGGCCAAGAAAATTATGAACAAAACACGAGGAAATCTCAGGACACTAACAATACCTGTGGTAATTTTAAAAATATGTTTACACATTCTTTGATATTCTTCCCTTCAAGAAGGAGAGCCTAATTTTCTTCCCATTGAATGTGGGTAGACTTAGTAACGTGTCTAATGAATAGAATACAGCTGAAATAATGGTGTATCACTGCTAAAATTAGTTTTAAAAAGACTGAAGCTTTTTATAATTTGAATCAGTCTCTCTCTCTCTCTCTTTCTGTCTCTCATATATCACTCACTATGGGTGGAAGCCAGCTGCCATGTTGCTTGAACTACCCCAGAGAAAGAGATGCACGTAGTGAAGAACTGAAGTCTCCTGACAACAACCATGTGAGTGAGCCTGGAGGTGGATTCTTCAATCCCTTCAAGTGGCTACAACTCCAGCTAACATCTTGACTGCAACCACATGGGAGACAATAAGTCAGAAGTTACTACCTATGACACTCTGATTCCTGACCTTCAGAACTGTGTGAGATAATAAATGTTTATTGTTCTAAGATACTAATTTTGAGGATAATTTATTGCATGGCAATAGATAACTAATACAATTATATGAGTCATCAGCTGCTCCTAGATTTGGGCAAAATATTTCAGGTTTAATAAATTTCCCATCACATTTAAAATACCTTTATTCTCACAAAATCAAATAGTTTAAAAATGAACTCTTATTTTAGGATTTTACCTATTTCTAATTTCTTTGAATTAATAGGTACAGAAAAATATTCCTAGTCCCGTTAAGACTGAACACATGGGCAGGAAGTATTCTTAACCACAATATAACTTAACACAGGAACAGGATATTATTGGGGGGTTTCAATTCTCAGCCCCTGGAGTGAACAAACTATAAGGTGGGCCTCATGACCCCCACTTCCTGATATTCATGCCTTGTGACCCATGACTTGCTCTTAACTGGTTGAATAATGCAAAGGTGATGGGATAAGAGTATAATATTCCTCTTGCTAAATTTTGTCCCTTGTTAACTTTAAGGAAGAAAACACCTTTGGTTGAGTGGCAAGACACTAGTCTCCAGCTGATAGCCAGCAAGAAACTGAAGTCCTCGGTCCAGCTACCCACTAGGAATGAATGCTGCCAGTAATCCTGTGCACTTAGAAGCAGATTGTTCCGCAACTGGACATCAAGTGAGACTGTAGCCTCAACCAAAATTGAGAATTTAATGCTGGGAGACCGTAGAGCAGGGGACCCAGCTAAGCCACTCCTAGATTTCCTAGATCCCACAGAAAGCATGAGGTAACAAATGTGTGTCATTTTAAGCCTCCAAATTTGTGGTAATACTTGAACACAGCAGCAGAAAACTAACACAGTAACCCATTAGATCATGCTTCTTCCTAAGATGAAAGATAGGGCATTATCTGTGCATTCAGTTCCATACTGCTGGATGACTTGTTTTAGTTGTGTGTGGACCTTCTGATGGTAATCATTCCAACACCAGTTAAGGGTCAGGTTTGCTTATTCTTTTGGTGGAAAATGCATTTATTGGATCATTTGATGGGACAGTGACCCCCCCACACACACACACAGCATTTAAGCCTCTAAATACCGTATATTTGATCACTGAAAAATGGAAATGCTAACTGAAGGATAGTCATCAAAACTTGTAGTCCATTCACGATAAGGGAGTCAAGGCTATCCAAATTTAACCAAGAGAAAAGAGCTCATTCCCAAACTAAACCAATGAGACAAGTAACCTAATTGTATCATTTCTTTTTCTTGTTGTTGTTTCCTGGATATTTTAGTTGTATGAGAGATCCTAGAGAGGTCTGTAGGGATGTAAGTACAACAGTCTTCTAGGACAGCATGCAATTGATCTCATATGCCAGTATCCTAAGCATTTGGTACCACCACCTGTCTAATTTCAGGATGCTCTCCTGCAAGTCTCACAGGCTCAATGGCATTGTCTAGCTGTCCTTCTATACTTTGAACCATTTATTGTAGGATTTTCTAGTTTTGGGGCTTTTGTAAAGTATAAATTGAAGAAGCTTGGTGGCAGAGGAAAGCTGTCCAAAATTCTCTTTCAATGGTTAACAGTTTGAAAGAAGTTTTTAAAATTGAGACCAGTTTTTCTCATTCTTAAGTTAAATTAATCTAAATATGTGTTTTCTTCTGAGAATAAAAATCAAAGGACCAAAATGGACCTTGTGTGATATCAGGGACTATTCCAAAGGCAGCCATTAAACTGCCAAGATAAGCTATCTCTAAAAAATTAACAGATATAGTCAATAAGCTTTTGTGTTACAAGCCCAATACCTACCAATGATTTGTAATAACCTACTAATGATTTATTTTTGGCTGCTATACCCTAAGGCGTTGCCATACAGAATGGCAGTGTCTTAATACCACTCATCCAGAATGGTCCTGCGCCAGGTGATGAAATTTGTCATACAGCAAACATCAGGTAGATCTAAAGCAGAAAACTTAGGGTTGTATAAGTGGCATGCTTTTCTTATAAGATCTGAAAATGCGAAACAGCCTCTGAACATATACCATCTGCTCTCTAGCTCTTTTCCAACCTATAACTCTAGGAAAGTTCTATGGCAAAGTCTAGCTTCTGTGAAGGGCCCCAGTTGTAGTCTCTTTGGGGAAAAGAACCTGCATTTGTAGGTATAATGGACATAGGGACTGTTAACAGCAATTACCTCTACGAAGTCAGACCAGATGAGAGAAAACAGTACAGTCAAGAAAACTTTTCTAATATGCACAAATCTGCATCATTTATGATATGATATTTTAGCTGAAACAAATTCAGAAACCAATAAGTGTAAGATATTACCTCTTTAAAATGTGACATTTCCTTATTCATGACTAAGTAAAACTATACCTTATAGGTGACTTGTTTTTTCTTCATTTCCTATTCCCATTATAGTCAATAGAGACTGTTTAATGTGTATGCAGGTCACAGTGGCTCTTCAACTAAAACATTGAAGTAATGGAGGAAAAGATGTTTTCTAAGCTTAAAATAAGCATGTAATTATTCAATTCCACTACTCAATTTTCAAGTATAGACACATATTGGAAGCTCAATTTTCACCAAGAATTTTTTTTCTATTGAAGCTCTTTCTGGACATGTTTAGTCTTCTGCTCTCTAAACATGAATATTCAAAGAAAACACTTTTATTTTGTGTTGTCACATCTTTTTATGGAAAATGACTGGTCTTAAATTATCTCAGACAGAGCAAAACCCTGTAGACACTAAATAATAACATACTTAAGATAGTAGGTTTTAAATTCAACAGCAACAACTTTTTAAAAATAAGGGACTACTCTTCAAGCACATTTAGACAGAGGTGTGTGAAGTCCAGATAAGAGATAGGAACTCTAGCGCCATCTAGCAAACATGCTGGGGAACATCACCAACTTTCTCTACTAAGACCTAACAGTGAGGTTAAGTGTCCTTCAGTTCTATGTTGATAGTTGGCCTTGGAAATCACATGTAAGCATTCCTTAGCCTTTCCAGAATTCTGAACTTGCTATATAGTTCTTTAAAAGGCAAAGGAGAAAACAGTTTACAACTGCATCAGGCCTGGTTGGTAAAGAAATGTGTCTTAGCAAATAAACGCCAGCTAACTATAAATCTGATAATACATAAATGTCTTCGCCTTCGTAAAAGTGGTGGTATCATTCCTTCTTGATAAAGACATAATTATGCTAAATTTGCTAATTTGTAATCTAAGCTATTTTTAGTAATTAAAGTAACGAAGAAAAGAAATATTTTCCTTTGCCAGCTTCCCATACAGCACACACACACACACACACATACATACACACACACACTTTAATATTTTTAATACATACTCATATATATTGTTTGTCAAGCTAGCCAAATCTCAACTACACAATAATTTCCAAGCAAAAGTATGTATTTAAATACAAGTCTGAACAAAATGAGTTGAACTCAGAAATCTCTTGACCTTCCAAAACCTTAAGGTCTAAATAAATGTCATCAAGCATATGAAATGTAGAACCTGATACTTTACTGCTAAAATTTCTAGAGCAGGAGGGTTTTAATGATGAAATTCCAAGAGTCATAATCCCCAATAGAGTTCAATAACAACATAAAAAGTGTCACTTTATAATAGACAAGACACGAATGAATGAATGAATGACTAGAAGAATTAATAAATAAAATTTCTATCCACCTGTTATCAGCCACAGAAAAGATTCCAAAAATGAGATTAACTTGTTGCTTTCTGCTTATAAAGGGCTGCTTCAAAAAATTCATTGTGCTTGGAGCCTTCAAAAAGCTTGTATGATGTTGCTTTCACTGTCACTGCTTACCAGAAGCAAGAAAAATATGGTAAATAATACTACCTTCTGGGACTAGAACATATATCCTTTCATATCCTCACATAGAGATGTGGAAGATGCTTCTTCATTATAGATGTGCAGAATTAGATGCCATTTATGTCAGTCAGGATGTGATCAAGGAACAGGAATTTGAACAGAAAATGTTTAATATAAGTGTTACTAACTTCAACAGGAGATTGGCTAGGAAGAAGCAAATGAAACTCTAAGGAATATAGAAAGACTATATAAAAGAAGCAGCTGTGACTCTTACGACAGAGCTAGTACCCCTAAGGAAGAATCTCCCTCTAGAAGAGCTGAGATCCAGACCCCACTGGAGAGGGTGAAGTTGTGGCTCATTGGAAGGCAGAGAAGTTGCTGAGGTGCTGTACCAGGAGAACTTGCTAGAAAGCTGCCCTCTGGGTTGCTGAGGAAACCATCCACAGAGTGAAACCTTGCTGGTGGCTCTACTATGAAGCCACCTGAAGGAGTGCCAGGAGAAGCTGCTGGCCACTGGGTGTCAGAGAAGCCATTCATACTATAGGAGCCTAGTACTAGAGAAGTTGCACATGTGGCAAGAGCCAAACCTTGGAAAATCTACTTGTGCCACAAAGATCTGGAAAGAGGAGCACATGGGAGGCAGCAAGAGAAACTCCTTTCTCCTCTAGTGTCCCTCCAGCACCCTTCACTGGCAAATCTTAACATTGTGCCTACTGGCAAACAGGGCCCAGCTTCACTATCACAGAGCAGGCATTGAAGGGTAGACTTGGAGCTAAGAGGCAATAAATTGGTACCTAGCACACCATTCTTTATGTGTGCCCAGTGTCACACATCATGCTTTAAAAATTGCTTATTCTCTGCTAACTGGTTTCCTCAAACTTAATTTTCACAAGAGGTTTTTCAATGTTTAGCTTAGTCTCCACTTTTCAATCTGTAGGCCACCACCAGATTAATTTCCCTAAACCACCATTTCACCTTGTCCTTACGCTGCTCAAAAGCCTTCAATAGATTCATACTGCCTGGAGTAGTGATCCCAAACTTCTTGAGTATAAGAACTCCTTCACAATATCAACAATTTTGTATAGTCCACCACATAATAGCATATTTACTATTAGAACACTTTAATTAAAAAAATAAATCTTAAAAGTGCTATAATAAATTTTGAAATATGTAATTAATCTGTATTCTGCTAAGTCACATTATCAACACGTAACAATAGACAGTAGCTCACATATGTGTAGAACATATCTATTTAATCTCTGGGCCATGCTTGGTATTCCCATGGATCAGAGTTCCTTACAATATTAACTCCAGGGTACCCAGAGATCTGAGGCCCACAAGTTGGGAAGTCACTGAACTAAAATCAATTCCAAACCTCTCAGCTCAGTATTGAGTTTTTCACACTCTGGTCCAATCTACTTTTCTAACCATATCATTCACTGACTTCTCACATTACTCCAGTTAAATTACTATAATCACTGCCCTGACCACATGTAGGGCTACCCTAAGCCTAAAATATACTCCTTCATCCTTCCTCTTTATCTATCCAATTCTTACCTTTCTTCAAAGCCCACGTTATACCCCTCTTCCAGGTGATTTTTCTTGGCCACTGTACCAGATGTGTCTGATTCTCAGACTCTCACTGAACATCTAAGTTATCTCCTGTGTGGAAGAGGTTGAAATCCTGAAAATGATACTTTCCAGGCCTTCCTCAGCAGAGCATTATTGTAATCTATCATTTATTCATATTGCCTTATGCACACTTATTCAAGAACTGAAATCAGAGGCAAGCAAGACATTTTCCCCCTGCAGACCTGTAGGTAGATAAATGGGCACTTTCAGCTGGTAAATATGGGGTTTGGCCTGCAGCATTCCCTTCTCTGTGCACCATTTGCACTTTGCACATAACTCTATCACATCACTTATCACATTGTATTTTAATTATTAGTTTATCTGGTTATTCTCCTTACCAGACTGAGAACTCAACAAGAGTAAATATGATCCTCCTGAATGGCTACTATCAAAAAGAAACAACATAACAAATATTGGTGAGGAAGTGAAAAAATTCTGCAACATTTCAAATTTGTAAAATTGTGCAAGTGTGCATGGTTGATAGAAATGCAAAATAGTGCTGCTGCTGTGGAAAACAATATGTTAGTTCCTTGAAAAGTTAAAATATAATTACTGTATGATTCAACAATTCCACTTCTAGGTATATACCCAAAAGAATTGAAAGCAGGTTCTGGTAGAGATATATGTACACTCATGTTCCTAGCAACATTATTCAAAATAACTAAAATATGGAAGCAAGCCAAGCATCTGTGAACAGGTGAATAAGTAAAATGTGGTATATAGATACAGTGAAATATTATACGGGAAGGAATTATTATTCCAGAAGGAAATTCTGGCATAAGCTACCACATGGATGAGCCACATGGATGAGGACGTTATGTTAAGTGAATCAAGTTAGTCACAAAAAGATAAACATTGTATGATCCCAATTATACCAAGTAAGAACAATCAAAATCACGGGATCACACAGTAGAATGATGGTTACAAGGGGTTGAGGGAAGCAGGGAATGAAGAGTTACTGTTCCATAGGTGAGAGTTTCAATTTTACAAGATGAAAGGGTTAGGAAGATGTATGGTGGTGATGTTGCATATTATGAACATATTTAGTATTATTGACCTGAACATGTGAAAGTGGCTACATTGGTAAACTTTGCTATTTGTGTGTGTGTGTGTGTTTTTGTGTTTTGTTTTTTGTTTTTGTTTTTGTTTTTGTTTTTTTTGATGGAGTCTTGCTCTGTTGCCAGGCTGGAGTGCAGTGGCGCGATCTTGGCTCACTGCAACCTCCACCTCCCGGGTTCAATCGATTCCCCTGCCTCAGCCTCCCGAGTAGCTGGGACTACATGCATGCACCACCATGCCCGGCTAATTTTTTGTATTTTAGTAGAGACAGGGTTTCACCATGTTAGCCAGGTTGGTCTCGATCTCCTGACCTCGTGATCTGCCCACCTCAGCATCCCAAAGTGCTGGGATTACAGATGTGAGCCACCGTGCCCAGCTGTTATTTGTATTTTACCACAATAAAATCACAACAAATTTTTTTAAAATGTTAAGAAAAATTCAGCCACTATTTTTAAATTTCAACTTTTATTTTAGATTCAGAAGGTACATGTGCCAGTTTGTTACCTGACTATATTGATGGGTATATTGTATGATGCTGAGGTTTGAGATATGAATGATCTCATCACCCAGTTAGTGAGCATGCCACGCAATAGTTGGTTTTGCAACCCTCTTAAGTTAATTATTTTATATGGTGAAAGGTGGGGATCCAGTCTCATTTTATCCAGTTATCTAAGCACCACTTATTGAATAGAGAGTCCTTTCTCTATTGCATATATTTGTCAACTTTGTTGATTAGATGTCCATAGGTGTGCAGCTTTATTTCTGGGTTCTCTATTCTTTTCCGTTTGTCTACGTGTCTGTTTAACTATGGGTACCATGCTATTTAGGTTATTGTAGCCTTATTGTATAGTTTGAAGTTGGGTAATGTGATGCTTCTGGTTTTATTCTTTTTGCTTAGAATTGCTTTGGCTATTTAGGCTCTTTTTTGTTCCATATGAATTTTAGAATGTTTTTTTCAAATTCCGTGAAAAACGATCTTGGTAGTTTAATAGGAATAGCATTTCATCTATAGATTGTTGTGGACAGTATGGCCATTTTAACGATATTGATTCTTCTAATGGATGAGTACGGAATGTTTTCCCATTCGTTTGTGTAATCTGTAATTTCTTTCAACAGTGTTTTATAGTCCTCCTTGTAGAGATCTTTTACACCTTGATTAGATGTATTCCTGGGTATTTTTTGTGTGTACGGCTATTATAAATGGATTATGTTCTTGATTTGGCTCTTAGCTTGAACGTTATTGATGTATAGAAGTGCTACTGAGTTTTGTACATCGATTTTTTTATCCTGAAACTTTACTAAATTGTTTATCAGTTCCAGGAGACTTTTGGTGGAGTCTTTAGGATTTTCTACATACAGAATCATATTGTCAGTGAAGAGAGATAGTTTGACTTCTTCTTTTCCTATTTGGATGCTTTTACTTTCTCTTGTCTGATTGCTTAAGTGGGCCGCTTCTACATTGAGATTACCAGCAGTAGTTTTTCTTTGTTCCCTGCACTTCTAGGTTTCTTAAAAGCCAGTAGCAGCAATACTTACATTCACTCCACATCTCATCCAACGTTTCTGTAATCCCATTAAGCTCCTTTCTACTTAAAATATCTAAAGTAGCTTTCACTCCTTGGAATTGTGATGCAGAGTTATCAGATAAACAGAGTTGTTTACAGCTTATGTTAGTTATGTTTCCATAACTAAGTGCTTGGTGCATTTAGGTTATCTCCACAACTGAACTTCCTAAAGAAAGGACTGTGTTTTATAGTTCTTTATGTGCAGTACAGAATCTTCTCTTGCAAGCAGTTTTTCAATAAATAATTAATGATTTTATATGATTAAATATAGGTATAAATAAGATTGAGATGAAGGCATACTAGACTGACATCTTAGAAAAAGTTGGGCAAAATTTCAAACTTGCAAGTCAATATTTAGAATTTTAATGGTTTAGGATTTTTTCAATGACCCTTCCCCTTCCCATTCCTCAGTAAACTAATTTACCTATTTTGAATCAAGTTGATGACTTCCATTCTAAGTATTTATCACCATTTTTGGACGGGCAACTTCAGGTCAACTAAGCCATCACAGCACTTCCTCCTCCACTTTTTGTTCCTGAGCATTTTGTATTCTTCCACGTTTAATCTCCTTGCCTCTATTTAATCTTGCGTAACTGCCCTTAAAAGTCTACCTTTCCCCCTTTTTTTCTTTCTACCATCAGGTATAAAATAATATGAAAAAAATATACTTTTAAAATGTGAAGAAAGATAAAGCTTTTATCCTTAAGCTACAAATACATCTTTTCCTATTTCTGAAAATCTAACTGCAGTGGGTTGAATAGCGACCCCCTCCCCAAATTCATATCTACTTGGAAACTAGAATATGAGCTTGTTTGGAAATAGGGTCTTTGCAGATATAGTTAATGACCTCAAGATGAAATCATCCTGGATTTGGGGTAGGCCCTCTGTCTCATGACAGGCGTCTTTATAAGAAGAGGAGAAGATACAGAGAGACACAGAAGAGAAGGTCATGTGAAGACCAAGGCAGAGATTGGAGTAAGAGTGCCATAAGCCAGTCCCTGGGGCCACTAAAAACTGGAGAGGTGAGGAAGGAGTCCCCCTTAGAACTTTCAGGGGAAGTATGGCTCTGCAAACACCTTGATTTTTTACTTGAATCCTTTAGAAACTGTGAGACAACAAATGTCTGTTGTTTAAGCCACCGAGTTTGTGATACTTTTTTATGGCAGCCCTAGAAAACTAGTATACTACCATAGCTGTTACTTTTGATGATAGTCAACGTAAGCATTATAGACATAAATAATTGTATTAAGTTGTAAAGAATTTGACATCATTGTACATGTGGCTAAACATGAAATAGTCATCATACATACCCTCTTCTTTTTTTAAGACCACCCTTAAGGATATAAATAAAGTGTCTCCTGCTGAAAGGACTTACTGGTTTGTAGTTTATTAGGAAAGTCAATTTAACATTTAACATTTAGAAGCTGGTTTCAAAGACAAAATTATCATGGTAAAAATTAAGCCATTTTCTACATTCTAAAGATAAAACTTTAGTAATTATTTTTAAAACCTGAAAATTTAGTGAAGACATAATTCTTCTTTCCCTTGAGCAATAGAAAAGTTGGGGGGAAGAAAAACATTTTACAACCTATGAGCATGCTCGCTTCTCCTCTTGAAAATGTCAGGCATTCTGAGGATTATGTTCTAAGGGATGCTATAGAACACAAATCTCCAGGCAGAGTTAATCACGCCCTTCCCAGTGCCTCCAGTACTGTGTACTCCACATGCACCTCTACTACATCACTTACCACATTATACTGTTGTTATTGGTTTACCTGATTGTCCTCCCAATAGACTGAGAACTCCGCAAGGGTGGGAGTGTATATAAGTCATCTTCACACTCCCAGGCCCTGGCACCACGCTTGGCAGTGCTTGGTGCTTGATAAATGCTGAACTAATTAAACTTGTTAACCTTGCTCTATTCATAACAGAATAGAAACATTTAAAACATATTGCAAAATTGCAGCCCTGAAATTGAGCATTTATCCTCGAAGCAGATGCAGCAGACATTTTTATTTACAAAGTATATTTTATGCACAGTATATTTCTTTTTCTCAAAAGAAAGCAGCAAGACTAGGCAATTAATAACCCAGACTTAATGAGGGAAATGTTCACAAGTTCCTGCAGCCTGATATTCATCAGAAAGATATAACAGCTTGGTGGTAGCAAGTCCAAGACATTTTTCCTCTTCACGTGCCATCCTACCATAAAGCAGTTTTCAAGAACAGTGGTAATGTGTCTGAAAGAGAATGAGTTTTGCCTAAAAGTCACACAAGCCAGAGGTTAAATTTTCCAAATTCCCTGGCCTAGAGTCATAACCACATTCCATACCCTCTACATTTAATATTCATAATGAATATGTAAACATTCTAAGGTAATTCTAGAGTTTTTCTAAATAGAATTTGCTATCTCAAGGGAACACAGACTCTAGCTGGTATGCTCATCTCTGAGCACATATCACCAGTCTAGTTTTAGGCTAATGGCTTTAGGGAGCAAAACAATTTTGGTGGGGGAGGGGAACCCAGAAAAGTGAAGAAATTGGGAAAGTCAGGACAGGAGCCCCAGTGAAACATATCAACAATTTTGGCTTCAGGAGTTTGACTGAAAGGGATAGGGTTTAAAATAAAGACTTCCCTGGCTTTCCAGTTTGCTGTAGGCAGCCCCTAAAATGGTCCCAATGAGCCTTGACTCCTAGGACCCAAGCTCTTGTGTAGTTGTCTTCCCTTGAGTGTGAACTGGACCTAGTGGCTCTTTTGTAACAAATAAAATACAGCAATAGTGACTGCATGTCACTTCTGAGATTCCGTTATGTCCATCCTTAGCTGCCTTCCCTCGCTCTCTTGCTCACTCAATCCAGAGACATCCAGTGGTCACATTGTGCACTGTCCTGCAGAGTGTCCCATGTGGCTGGGAATCCAGGCCCTCAGTCCAACAGTCCACAAGGAAATGAATGCAGCCAACAACCAGGTGAGTGAGCTTGGAAGAGTATCCTCTCCTGATTAAACCTTGAGATGACAGCAGCCCTGGCCACCATTTTGATTTCAGCCTTATGACAGACCCTGATCCAGAGGCTCCCAGGTAAGCCACACAAAGACTCCTGACCCACAGACTCTGAGATAATAAATGTTTGTTTATTTAAACTATTAAGTCTTGGGGTAACTTGTTACACAGCAATAGTAACTCATATATACAGCTTAAATCCCATTTCTAATATTAAGGATGGTCTTACTTTTCAAAACACATATTCTGATTTTTCTTTGTGTCAGAAGGCTGCCAGACACCTTGGATAAGGGTAGAGACCACTGTTTTAGGAGCTAAGTACTGTTTTGGATGTGCAAACTCAGAAAGCAAATCATTATAATCAAGATCTAGGCTGTCTCCTTTCCCACAAGGCCAATCAAAGAGAATGCGGCAAAACTGACCCTCGGACAGTCTCCCCAAGGCCAGAAAAGCCCATTCACTCATCACCTTATGACCAGTAGTGAAAAAAAAAAGTATTTTATTCTTTAAACACCTAACTATGTGTTTTTGAATTACTTTCAATGCAATGATTTATATGGGAACTGGAAAGTAACAAGAAGTGCCTCTCCATTGCTTCTGAATCATCAGAGATGCTCTCTACATGCACAAAATTAATACTAAGCATTTATTCTGTGGAGAAACATAATTGCCAGGCTGCTACAAGATAACATAAAATGTTTCAGCTTCTATTCATTGGTTACTGATTTCCCCAAACGATTTCCCTTTTGCTCAAACTTTCCTATACAACAGAGTACTTTATTAGATAATGTTTACTAATAAACTGAAGGCAACAGTGACTATTAAAAAAGATAAAGTGTTCAATTAGAATAGCTTAATTACAATGTGACTTTCTGCAGAGTTTTAGCTTGTAATTTTATCTGATAGCAATGTCAAGTGTTCATTCAAAATAAGACATCACATATTTGGTTCTTTCCAGATTTAACTAGATACGCTAAACAACAAGGCCTATACGTAGATAGATTCTTGGTGTCTAGACCTTCACAAATAATGCTGATATTTTCTGCTTATAATGAGAAATATCATATTAGGATACTCATTCAAAACAAACATGTTTTTAGGTCTTTCAACCTGAGGTACCGCCATGGCATTTTTTGTTAATGGTTCTCAAGTAGGGGAAACAAGCAGAACTCATCATTTGTTTCCTAGGGTAACAAACCAATTCCAACACTTTTCAATGTTTAGAGTAAAAAG
The DNA here is from genome assembly GCF_000001405.40 of Homo sapiens. Lineage (NCBI taxonomy): Eukaryota > Metazoa > Chordata > Mammalia > Primates > Hominidae > Homo > Homo sapiens. Next base: position 101,464,789 of record NC_000001.11, on the reverse strand, counting down.
CGACCTCTACTCAACAGTTTGAAACAGTTTTCAGAGATATTCTTGGAATTCAGTTTCATTTTACATTTCACTATGTTTTGAAATTGTCTCCTATTAAAGAAACTCATTAAAGACATCTCTTTTCTCTGCACTGTGGTTCAAATGAACTCACTGAAGGTAAAGTTAAAATCTGAAGGAATCTGAAGTGACAGAGACATCTAAATATTTAGCTAGGTAAATACTGTCTTATTCCCTTCCTAAATCAAATAGAATTTCCATGTTGCATCTGCAGGTGCAAACATGGAAAAAGGTGAAATCCCAGATGGTATGTCCTGGACTGAGGAAAACTCATATAATCTAACAGATATCACATCAGTGAACACATTTGATTTAGCTAATTTATTTATTTTCAGCTTTTATTTTAGATTTGGGGGTTACATGTGCAGGTTTGTTACCTGGGTGTATTTTATGATCCTGAGGTTTGGGATACTAATGATCTTGTTACCCAAGTCCTGAGCATAGTACCCAACAGTTTTGTTTTTCAAACCTTGCCTCCCACTGTCCTTCCCCCATCTAGTAGTTCCCCATGTCTATTACTGCCGTCTTAATGTCTACAGGTTCTCAATAATTCGCTCCCACATATAAGTGAGAACATGTGGTATTTGGTTTTCTGTTCCTGCATTAATTTGCTTAGGACAAAGGCCTCCAGCTGCATACATGTTCCTGAAAAGAACATGATTTCATTCTTTTATATGGTTCTGTAGTATTCTACATATACCACTTCTTTTTTAAAAAAATCCAATCCACAGTTGATGGCCACCTAGGTTGATTCCACGTCTTTGTTATTGTGAATAGTGCTGGAATAAACATCCAAATACATGTGTGTCTTTTTGGTAGAATTATTTTTTCTTTTCTTTTTTTTTTTTTTTTTTTTGAGACAGGGTCTTGCCCTGTCACTCAGGCTGGAGTTCAGTGGCACGATCTCAGCTCTGCAACCTCCACCTCCAGGGCTCAAGCGATTCTCATGCCTTAGCCTCCAGAGTAGCTGGGATTATAGGTGTGCACCACCACACCCAGCTAATTTTTGTATTTTTAGTAGAGACGAGGTTTCAGCATGTTGGCCAGGCTGGTCTCAAACTCCTGACCTCAAGTGATCCGCCCACCTTGGCCTCCCAAAGTGCTGGGATTATAGATGTGAGCCACCATGCCCGGCTGAATTTTTTTATTATTATTTTGCATGTATACCAGCAATGGGATTATTGGGTCAAATGGTAGTCCTGTTTTAAGTTATTTGAGAAATCTCCAAACTGCTTTCCACAGTGGCTGAACTAACTTACATTCCCACCAACAGTATCATGTGTTCCCCTTTCTCCACAGCTTGCCAACATCTGTTGTCTTTTGACTTTTTAATAACAGCCATCCTGACTGATGAGAGATGGCATCTCATTGTGGTTTTGATTTCATTCCTCTGATGATTAGTGATGTTGAGCATTTTTTCATGTTCGTAGGCTGCTTGTATGTCTTCTTTTGAGAAGTGTCTGTTTATGTCTTTTGTCCATTTTTAATGGGATTATTTGATTTTTTGCTTGTTTGATTTTTGAAGTTCCTTATAGATTCTGGACATTAGACCTTTGTCAGTTGTATAGTTTGTGCATATTTTCCCCCATTCTGTAGCTTGTCTGTTTACTCTGTTGATAGTTTCTTCTGCTATGCAGAAGCTCTTTAGTTTAATTAGGTCTGACTTGTCAATTTTTGTTTTTTTTACAATTGCTTTTGAGGACTCGGTCATAAATTCTTCCCCAAGGCTGATGTCCAGAATGGTGTTTCCTACGTTTTCTTTTAGTTCTTTCACAGTTTGAGGTCTTACATTTAAATCTTTAATCCATCTTGAGTTAACTATTGTATACGATGAAAGATAGGGTTCTGGTTTCATTCTTCTACATATGGCTAGCCTGCTATCCTGGAACAGCATTTACTAAATAGGGAGTCCTTTCCTCATTGCATATTTTTGTCAACTTTGTCCAAGATTGGATGTTTGTAGGTGTGTAGCTTTATTTCTGGGTTCTCTATTCTTTATTTCTGTCTTTTTTTTTTTTTTACCAGTACCATGCTGTTTTAAGTACTGTAGCCTTATAGTATAGTTTGAAGTTGGGTAATGTGATACCTCTCACTTTGTTCTTTTTGCTCAGGATTGCTTTGGCTATTTGGGCTTTTTCTTGGTTGCATACGGATTTTAGAATAGCATTTTCTAATTTTGTAAAAAATAATGTTGGTAGTGGTAGGAATAGCATCAAATCTGCAGATTGCCTTGGGCAATATGGTGATTTGGCCTATTTTAGAGGAGATCAAGAAGCAATTATCTACAGTGATGCTAGGATCCAAAATCACTCAACCTAGTCTAGAAAGGAAATAATCCTAGGTAGATCACAGTTGATGAAACTGCATTAGTCTTGTACACCACTGTGTCCTCAGAAGCTTGAAAAGTGCATGGCACATGGTGGATGCTCAGAAATTATTTGTTAAATGAATGGATTAATTGAATGAATGAACCAGAAATGTCAGGCAAGTAAATCTTATTGCCCAGACAATACTTAACTATATCTGTTGTTTATGGACCCTCAAGTTAGTTGATTTATTGATTTATTTAGTCAGTGTGTTCATCACCCACATCTTTATACCTCCACCTGCACACCTACATATGTTCCTAACATGAGTTGAAACAATCTCCCCAGTCTGAATATTCTAATAAACAAATGAGCATTTGGCAGTGGGATTAAACACTGAGGTGACCCTCCTGCCCCTTGAGCCACTTCCAAATATCAGTCAAAAGAAATCTTTTATTTTTTTTTATATACTGCAATTTTATTTCAATCACACAAACGAAGTTAAATTATTATATACATTTGCTGTCACATACATAACAGTTGTGTCATTATTAGAGATTTCAGTAATTAAAATGGGAAACAGAAGCTTAAGTTATTTACCTTATCAAAACTATGTTCCTTGGAGCCACATTATTATGATGGTTTTTGTGCTCTTGTACATCGGATGTCTTAAGCTAAGTACAGTTTAGGGGATCCTTTCTAATTACAGGAAGGTACTGCTTTCCTCAACACTGTGATCTGACCTGTGACAAATCTGTACTATCCACTATGTAAATGGCAAACAAGTCAATCGCAAACAAAGTGAATGTACAAATCTTAGTGCTGGTGTTGAAATCTCTTCAGAATAGTCAGCATGATTTAAAAGTTTGTTAAAAAATTTACAAGCATCAAGTGTCAATCAAAACTGAAGATGAAACACTAATGAATGTTGAAGAGAAATCTTTTCTAAGGAGCCTTTCCTATCCTCTCCATCCCATAAAACTCATTCCTCCCTTCTTCATATTTTCCCTCTATTCTGCATATACATAAACATTTTTAACTGTAAAATATAACATGCAGAAAAGTATATAAAATATTTCTGTACAGCTTCACAAATTACAGCAATGCACAGCTTAACAAAGTATAACAAATTGCACAGTTTAACAAATTATAGTTAAGTGGATCCATGTGTAAACCCACTGAGGTTAAAATATTGAGCTTCATCAGCATCAGAGTATGCCCCCTCTCTGTCTCTTCCTGATCTCAAACTCCTTCCTCCCCTTGGGGTAACCTCATCCTGACTATTAATGATGATTTGTCCTTGCTTTGCTCTATGTTTTGCCATATGAGCAGGAATCCCTAATCAATGTGTTTTACTTTTGTTTCATCTTGTTTCTTTGTGGAACATTATGTTTCTAGAATTTACATATGCTGCATAGAGCTGTAGTGTGTTCATTTTCATTGCTGAATGTATCCTATTACATGAATAAGCAGTTTGTCTATTCATTTTACCATCAATGGGTGTTTTGGCAGGTTTCCATATAAGGCCATTATGAGCAATACTGCATATTCTTGTCAAGTGTATCAAAGTGCACATAAGTATGCATTTCAATAATAGGTGTATCTCTGAGAGAAGAATTTCTGATTGTGCATTTCTGCACTTTACTAAATAAAGCCAAAACAGTTTCCAATGTTTGTGCTAATGTACAATTCCACCAGTTTTCGAAAGCTTTTATCACTCCACATTCTTTCACTGGTGTTCTCAAACTTAAATTTTCTCCAATCCATTACGTATCTAGTGTTTTCTCATTGAGGTTTTGATATTGAGGTTTTCATGATTCCCAGTGAGTTTGAACACCATTTTAAATGTACATCCATCATTTTGATTCATTTTTATTTCTTCATTTGTGAAACCTTCTGCCTGTATTTCTATTGGATTTGCAAGAATTTTTTTATTTTTTACTAAAATTTTATTGAAATTAAATGAAATCTATAGTTCAATTTAAGAAATAGTGAAATTTTGGCCAATTTAAGTTGTAGAATCGTGACTATTTTGTATTTCTCCATTTATTCTGTCTCTTTAAATTTATTTTAATGAAGTTGCACAGTTTCTCTAGAGAGTTGTTTCTAGGTATTTGTTTTTTCATTCAGTTGCACCGAATGTCTTATTTAAACTTTAGTTTCTGTTTGTTTCTAGGGTTTGCAAACAATTACCTTTGCATGTTGGTTTTTAGAGCTACATTGCTAAATTATTTTATTCTTATTATTGATCTGTTGATCATCTTAAATTTTCTATATACAATATTATGTCATTCAAGCATAATAAAAATGTCATTTTTTAAGTTTCAAATTTATATAGGCTTTGTTTTGTTGTTGTTGTTTTGTTGTTGTTTGTTTTCTTTTCCTTACTGTATTGAATAAGACCTCCAGAAAAGAATGTCGTACAGAGGTAGTCATAGTGAGTAACCTATCTTGACCTCAAGTACATAGTAAAATTCAACAAAGCTTCAGCACTAAAAATAATTAAGCATTAAACATGATGTGCTAGCCTGGTGTGGTGGCTCATACCTGTAATCCCAGCACTTTGGGAGGCTGAGGCAGGCAGATCATTTGAGATCAGGAGTTTGAGACCAGCCTGGCCAACATGGTGAAACCCTGTCTCTATTAAAAACACAAAAATTAGCCAGGCATGGTGGCAGAGGCCTGTAATCCCAGCTACTCAGGAGGCTGAGGCATGAGATTCGCTTGAACCCAGCAGGCGGAGGTTGCCGTGAGCCAAGATCTCGCCACTGCACTCCAGCCTGGGCAAGAGAGCGAGACTCAGTTAAAAAAAGAAAAAAAAAAAAAAACCATGATGTGCCGTACATATTTGCTAACTACTTTTTATCAAATAAATGAAGTTCCACTTCACTCTTATTTTGCTGAGTTTTACGTAATTTAGTAAAGATACTGAATTTGAACAAATATCTCTGTTCATCCACTAAAATTAAAATAGGGCTAAACATGGTGACTCACACCTATAATATCAGCACTTTGAGAGGCCGTGGCACGCAGATTGCTTGAGTCCCAGAGTTTAAGACCAGCCTGGGCAACAGGGTGAATCAACTCCATCTCTACAAAAATACAAAAATTAGGCAGGCATGGTGGTACATGCCTGTCATCCCAGTTACTCGGGAGGCTGAGGTGGGAGGATCGCTTGAGTCCCTGGATGTTGAGGCTGCTGTGAGCCATGATAGCATCACTCCATTCCAGTCTGGGCAATAGAGAAAGATCCCGTCTCAAAATAAATAAATAAATAGATAAGATAGGATGTTTCCCTCACTCTTACCCTGTAATGCAATGAATTTTATTTATTTATTTATTATTTATTTTATTTTTGAGGCAGTCTTGCTCTGCCACCCAGGCTGGAGTGCAATGGTTGCATCTTGGCTCACTGCAGCCTCAACCTCTGCAGGCTCACAAAATCCTCCCACCTCAGCCTCCCAAGTAGCTGGGTTACAGGCATGCACCACCACATCCGGCTAATTTTGTTATTTTTTGTAGAGATGGGGTTTCACCATATCACCCAGACTGGTCTCAAACTCCTGGACTCAAGTGATCCACCCACCTCAGCCTCCCAAAGTGCAAGGATTACAGCTGTGAGCCACCACACACGGCCAAACTTCATTAATTTTCTAAATCAACCTCATGTTCCTTGTATAAATTCAACTTTGTCATAATACATTAGCCCTTTTATGTACCGCTGTATTAGATTTACTAATATTTTGTTTAGGATATTTTCATCCATGTTTATAGGAGACATTTACCTATACTTTAATTTTCTTATATCCTTCCTGAGATTCGTTATTAAACAAATATTTTATGATAGCCTCATAAAATGAATTGGGGAGACTAATCTTTGGATTCTCTGGACTTTTGTGCAAGATTAGCATTATTTGTATCCCAAAAGCAAGAGAACACAATAATTAATCCATCCAGACATGACATTTTCTCTATGGAAAGTTTTTAAATTATCTTTTCAATTTTTTTAGTAGTTATATGACTTCACATTTTCTATTTCTTATGTCCATTTTAATAAACTGTCATTTTCTAGGAACATGTTCCTTTCATTCAAATTTTCACATTTTTGTCACAAAGGTATTCATAATATAATATCTTATTATTCTCTTTTTTGAGACTGCAAGGTATGCAGTAATATCCTATTTTTGATTCCTGATCATTGTTATTCACACTTTATTTTCTATGATTAGTCTTTGGTGGGGGGGGAAGGAAGACAAACAAAGATTGGAATGGAACTTCTTTAATTTGATGTTTTTAACTATATCTAATAAACACCTACAGCACGTGGTGCATAATGGATTTGGAAGACCTCCAATGTATACTGTGTGCTCCCAGCTTCCGTCATGGTCTCAGCTTATGTGTTAGAGAAATAACCGCTATAATCTTTAACACATAGTTAAAGCTGAAAGACAGCTAGCATTAATCCCTTTCTCTTTTTCTAATTATCTCTTTTCAATTCCTTCTCATACAAAATAGAACTAACACTTTCTTTTCCAGGAAAGCTTGTAAGGGCTCACAGATAAAACAACTTCACTCAAACAAGAAGGCTGAAGCCCTTGATGACTATTTGGTCCACCAGCTAATTGACCCATATCCTATGCCTGTGATATGCATAAAGCCACAGGATGTCAATCAGCAAAGTCAGTGGAAAGCTGGGAAATTATACGTTAGGACTACGTGAAGTATGTGTGGAAACAGATGATGATAAGTCCTGCCGTTGAGCACAGACGAAGTAATCGGAACACACTTTCCACAGGGGTTTTTTCACTATTGTTTGTGTAATTGGTAAGTGTATAACCATTTGTTTTATTATTTTTCATCACTTTAATTTAGAATAAACACTATTGGCAGCAATTCATTCAGAAGAATGGAACTGCATGTTTAATGAAAAAGTAATTACTCCATATCTATCTCTGAGAAAGTTAATGATGATTGTGTAACTTGCAAAAAAAAAAGTTTTCAACATTTACCATGCACTGTGAAGGCTGTGGTGATATTGCTGAACACATAAAAAGGCACAAATCTGCTGAAGAATTATCAGCATCAATTTCAAAAGTAACTAAGAAGACTTAGAAACTATTGATTCAACATGTGCAGCTGCAGAAAGTGCATCTACACAAGACTGTGGGGCATATCTTTTCATTTAAAGTGAATGCCTGTTCTAAATTAATTTTATTCATTTTGATTTCAGGCTTTTTTTTTATGAGACAGCGTCTCACTCTGTTGCCCAGGCTGGAGTGTAGGGGTGAGATCATAGCCCACTGCAGCCTCCTGGGCTCAAGCAATCCTCCTACCTAAGCCTGCCAAAGCATTGAGATTACAGGCATGAGCCACTGCACCTGACCATATTATAAGTATGAAACTTTAAACCTATGAGATATTTTATTGTTGTTTTATTTAGCCAATATTAATTCAGATTTACCAAATATTTGCTCTTTTATTATTTTTATTCTTCTCTTTATCTCTGGCTTTCTATGATTTTTTTCTTCTATTTAATGAACACTCTTTAGTATTTCCTTTACTGTTGGTCTACTCATGGCAAACTATCTCGGTTTTTCTTTATTTCAAGATGATTATTCGAAGACATTTTCACTAGGTACAGAATTTTAAGTTGGCTACTATCTCAATGCGTTAAAGGCATTATTTTAGGATCTTCAAGCTTCTATCAATGCTGTTGAGAGGTCAGTTCTCAGTTGTTTTAAAGGAAAGTTGTCTTTTTTTCCCTGCTAATACAAGTTAAACTTGTTTCTCTTTTCTCTTGATTTTTGGAAGTTTCACTCTGATATGTCTAGGTATGGGTTTCTTTTTATTTCGCATGCTTAATATAAGCATGTTGGGGTTTTGAATCTTTGTATTTCATCAGTTGCAGAAAATTCTGTCATTGGTTCTTCAGATATTCTATCTGCCACATTTTCTCTCTCTCCTTTCCTGCTTGAAATCCAGCTAAACTTTTCACTGTGTCCTCTATATCAATGACCTATTCCTCAATATTTTTCACAAATTGCCCTCTCTGTACTTCATCATAACAAATTTCTTCTGCCACACCATCCAGTGCACTAATTTTCTCATCAGTTCTATCTAATCTACTATTACACTCATTCACTGTGTTCTTTAATTATTGAAATTAGGTCTAGAATTCATACTGTATATGTGCTATTAGTCTTTAGAATGTACAGTTATCTATCACCATTTTTATACTTGATGCTTACTTCCTGAGTAGTAATCATAGTTGTCTCATAGTCTGTGTCTGATATTTCCAGTACAGGTAGAGTATACCTTATCTTAAATGCTTGGGATAGAAAGTGTTTTCAATTTTTTACTTGTTGTATGTTAAAATATTTGCATATACATAATGAAATATGTTGGGGATTTATTTGTGTTTCTCACATACCTTATACATCTATCCTGAAGGTAATTTTATACAATTTTATTTTATTTTTTTGAGAAAGGGTCACACTCTGTCGCCCAGGCTGGAGTGCAGTGGCATGATTATGGTTCACTGCATCATCAACCTCCTGGACTCAAGCAATCCTCCTGCCTCCCAAGTAGCTAGGACTACAGGTGCGCCCTACCACACCCAGTTAATTTTTGTATATTTTGTAGAGATGGGGTCTCACTATGTTGCCCAGGCTGGCCTCGAACTCCTGGGCTCAAGCAATCTTCCTGCCTCAGCCTCCCAAAGTGCTGGGATTACAGGTGTGAGCCACCTAGACTGAGCAGGACTTATTTTACAGCTTAGCTAGTCACCTCTCCCTTTAGGTTCTAAGGTCACATGGGCTGGATCCACATCTCATAGATCCCTTTGTCCCCCACAGCTGGCACATAATAGGTTTTCAATTCATGTTTGCTAAAGTAATGAATTGGGCATTAGCTAAGTCCTGCAGGGCAATCTCCGGGGGCAAAATGGAAATTGAAAGGACAAGTAAATGAGTGCGTGTGTTATTATGTTACAGTCCTGCTACCTTAGGCCAACCTTAAAAACTTTTGAAAAAGAGAAGAAACTGTATCTGCCACCAGGGGACTCAGCTGTACACCTGTTTTGTTTTGTTCTGCCCTGGCAGGTGTGCAGCTGGGAGCATGAAGCTGTCCGAATTCCTGACACAGAAGGCATCTGAAGGGTTAATGGGTCAAGAACTATAGATGACATAAAATATCCTGCTGGAGATCAGCTGTTGGGAGGTTCTCCTTATAGGAATCGTCTTTAGGAGGAGCAGATGAAGTTTTAGAACAAAGAAGCTTCTTGGAATTATTTTCTCTCCCTCTTTGAGGGATAAAGTGGTCTGTGCTAACTTACTTCTTAACTGAGAAGGGATTCGATTCTTGGATTTTCCTCAACCTCTCAATGAGTGGGAATAGAGATCCTGAAATGTAGTTCATGCCTAATTTAAATATATAAATGATACCAAAATCACATTCCCAGCTAGGAATATTGCAGCCAGGGTAAAAGAGTTGCAGCCATAATCCCACTTTACATGCATTTGAAACTTTCTTGTCCTCAAAACACTTCCTCGGCCAGGTGTGGTGGCTCATGCCTCTAATCCCAGCACTTTGGGAGGCTGAGGGGGGCGGATCACTTGAGGTTAAGAGTCCAAGACCAGCCTGGCCAACATGGTGAAACCCCATCTCTACTAAAAATACAAAATTAACTGGGCATGGTGGGGTAGGCCTGTAATCCCAGCCACTCGGGAGGCTGAGGCAGGAGAATAGCTTGAACCCCAGAGGAGGAAGTTGCAGTGAGCTGAGATCACGCCACTTCACTCCAGCCTGGTCAACAGAGACATTGTCTCAAAAAATAAAAATAATAAAAACACTTCCTCATCCATTATTCAGCTTTAACTCACAACCTCCTCTGACATACTGTTTTACATAAAAGCAAATGGAGACCCAGAGATAGTGAGTTGTTCTCCATCAGACATTCAGCAAATGAGAGCTGAAACTAGAATCTGCATGTTCTTTCTCTTAGTCCAGCGGCACTGTGCAAGGGAGGAAATAAATCAGAAATTATGTGATACCGAGGAAAGGCAATAGAATGCTTCTTGAAAGATGAGGACTTTGAGGTGAGCTTGAGGGAAAGAATATTCACAAATGTCAGAGGAATAAAGCTTGGGTATGCAAGAAATATAACATCACTATCACCAAGACGGAATTTCTATTTTTAGCCCCCATCCCACCAGGTGGCATATACGATTCAATTACAGTTTTCTCCTCCTTTTTCCAAGATTGGTTTAATATAGGGAAGGGGAAGCCTACAGGATGTCAAGGCTGTGGGCTGGGGCAGGAAGTGGGTAGAAAGTTGTTCTCATCTCTCCACACTAGCATCTGCTGAGATGCCTTCTTTCCTGTGACTTCAGGAAGAACACCCCTACATATTCTCTGTTTCTCTTCCCTCCCACCTTCTTCTCTCATTTTGTGTGTCTCCTGAGGACATAGAAAACCTTTGGCTGCTTCCTACATGGTGCAAAAGAACTCAACAAGCCACCATCTCTCCTACTTCTACACTAAGCCTGCAGTACAAGACTGTAAACATGATTAACTTTCCATCTCACCCAGGAAGTAAGGCACAAGCTTTCTCTGCTGTGATCCCCAAACCCATATGGGGATACGTCATTATTCCTTCATCAAGATTCAGCCCCAAGAGGCTGGGAGGAGTGTCGGACCTGTCTCAGAGACACATCGGCAATGTCCTGTGATTCTCTCCTGATTTGTTTTCTCTCTCTCATCCCATAGAATCTTTACCTATCTGAATATCAGAAAACTGCCTCTGATGCACAGCATATTCTTCCAAATCTATCACTTAGGGCCTAAATTCTGCCCACTGCAGGGCTAAGGTCTCTAGCACCCAAGTCCAAATTTTCACAATTCACAAACCAAGAACTTCACTCTTATTCTCAGAGCTGTGCTCTAAAGATCCTCTCTGGAGCTGATGAATGACCTTGAGTAAATGAAAGGAAGTCAAGAGTTCAAGGTAATGTAAAGGGAGATAGAGGCACACATGACAAATCAGTCAATATATTTATTGGACTATATTAAGCTTATAGTTAGATACTGTGTTCTGCAGGATCTCAAGAAATAGTTACGGGAGCTTCCTGGGAGCTGAACACGTGGAGGTTCCTGGGGGGTGGCACGCCCAGGGAGGGCACAAAAGCTCTTTGCCCTGTTAGCACTAGGGAATGTATCTGAGTCACACGGCACCAAAGTATGTTACCAGCAGTGAATCCTTATGGGTCAGCAGCGACCTCAATTCTTGCCTCCTCAGAAGAAAGAATTTGACGGAGGAGCGGAAGGCAGAGTGAGAGACCCAGGCAAGTTTTACAACAGAAGTGAAAGTTTATTAAAAAGCTTTAGCACAGGAATGAAAGGAAGTAAAGTACATTTGGAAGAGGGCCAAGCAGTCTAGTTGAGAGATAAGCGCGCGGTTTGACCTCTGACCTGGGGTTTTATACATTGGCATGCTTCCGAGGTCTGCATCTCTTCTCCCGGGATTCTTCTCTTGAGGTGGGCTGTCCGCATTCATAGCCTGCCAGCACTTGGGAGGGGCCGCGTGCTCTGTGTTTACTGTTTAGAGTTGAGCACATGTTCCCTTACCAGTCAAATGTCCTAGAAGGTCATTTACCAGTTAAACCCCACCATTTTGCCTCTTAGTACACAGGCTTGAGCTCACTCACCCAACTCCTGATATCTTACCGAGAAGCTGCTAATCACCAATTTCAGATGTTTCTATCTATTGGGAGACTGCCTTTTCCTGGCACTGGCTGTGGCCAATTATGATTTTAGAGAGACAGTTTAGCAACTGCCTGACCATCACATGGTGGTCGCCTGACAGTCCTACTGGAGCGGAAGGGGACCTCTCTTGCCCAGCTTATGTCTGAGTAGCTGCCTACTGTAACAGCCTCTTACCCCATACCTCACCTTACGTGTCTCTTCATATGTATCCTTTGCAATATCCTTTATAATAAACCAAGTAACATAAGTAAGTGTCTCCCTGAGTTCTGTGAGCTGCTTCAACAAATTAATTGAATCAAAAAGGGGGGTCATGAGGACCCCAATTTGAAGACAGTCAGTCAGAAATTCCAGAAGCCCAGATTTGTGACTAGTGTGTGTGTTGGGGGCGTGCTGTCTTGGGGAACCCTTAACCTGTGGGATCCGACACTATCTCAGGGTAGATAGCAACAGAACTGAAAGATAGTATCAGAACTGAATTAGAATACTGGTATCAACTGATATTCACTGCTTGGCGTGTGGGGGAAATACCCACACACATTTAGTCACAGAAGTCTTCTTCTGTGTTGATGATTGTTGTGGCATGAGAGTGAAACCACCTTTGCAAAAATTATAACTCAGTGAATTATTACAGTGAAAGAGATCTGACCTAACCGACTCCATCTTGCTTCTAACCTCCAAGCTGTCCTTGTTCATCCCTGGCCGTAGGCCAAACTAACTCCGGGAGGGAATTAGTTTATAGTTTAATTTTGAAACAAAGATAATAACAATCATTTCCCAAAACAAAACCCCTTCCTGCCTGGGAACTAGACTGCCTTTACGGGACTTACAAATTAGCCACACAATTAGAAGTTATGGTTAGGGGTCACACAGCCGGAAGCTGCAAAATTCTCAACCTCCCCAAATTATTCCTGGAGATAACATCACTATTGTAAAACCTAACATCACCAGTGCTTGAGATATTTTGCCGACACTGCACTCAATGGATCAGCTGACACCACCCAGATCAATAAACTGTCTCATCTGGCCTTGTGGCCCCCACCCAGGAACTGACTCAGCACAAGATGACAGCTTCAGCTCCTTATGATTTCATCTCTGACCCAACCAATCAGCACTTCCAACTCGCTGATCTCCTACCCACCAAATTATCCCCAAGTCTCTGGGAGGCTGATTTCAGTAATAATAAAACTCTGGTCTCCCGTACAGCCAGGTCTGCATGAATTAAACTCTTTCTCTATTGCAATTCCCCTGTCTTGATAAATCAGCTCTGTCTAGGCAGCAAGTAAGGGGAACTCATTGGGCAGTTACAAAAGTAGAGAAAAACATGGTTGGAGATAGTTTTTCCCTAAACAATTGGTGTCAGAGAAGTGGGATTTGCTGGAAAGGCCCTTGTTCACGGAAACATGTGGCTTGAGAAAAGAAAGGACAAAAGGGTGGAAGGTGAGGAATTTTTTTTTAATATACTTTAAGTTCCAGGATACATGTGCACAAAGTGCAGGTTTGATATGTAGGTATACATGTGCCATGTTGGTTTGCTGCACCCATCAACTCGCATTTACATTCGATATTTCTCCTATTGCTATGCCTCCCCTACTCCCAACCCCACAACAGGCCCCGGTGTGTGATGTTCCCTGCCCTGTCCAAGTTTTATTGTTCAATTCCCACCTATGAGTCAGAAAATGCGGTGTTTGGTTTCCTGTCCTTGTGATAGTTTGCTGAGAATGATGGTTTCCAGCTTCATCCATGTCCCTACAAAGGACATGAACTCATCCTTTTCATGGCTGCATAGTATTCCATGGTGTATATTTGCCACATTTTCTTAATCCATTCTATCATTGATGGACATATGGGTTGGTTCCAAGTCTTTGCTATTGTGAATAGTGCCGCAATAAACAAACGTGTGCGTGTGTCTTTATAGCAGTATGATTTATAATCCTTTGGGTATATACCCAGTAATGGGATCACTGGGTCAAATGGTATTTCTAGTTCTAGATCCTTGAGGAATCGCCACACTGTCTTCCACAATGGTTGAACTAATTTACACTCCCATCAACAGTGTAAAAGCATTCCTATTTCTCCACATCCGGTGAGGAATTTTTGATTCCTGGGTGGCAACCTGGTCACCTATGGTATGAAGCCACAGCTGTGTTAAGATCAGTTACTAGAAGTAAAATTTACCAGTGGAATTTAGAGATGGATTCAATTCCCCAGGAGTTGGTTCATTGGATGCATAAAGAAATGCAAACTAATAAGAAAAAATCAAAATAATCCCTTGGTTATTATTATCTGTGAGAGCTAAAATGAAATTAAAAGAGACTACTGGGTCAGGTCTTAATGCTACACCAAGGTGAGATTTCAGTCAGCCTGAGCCTCAAAGCTGCCCCTTAAGAGCAGAATTACGCAGGGACAACAGAAAGCACCTCTGAGAACTGTAGTTCCCAAGAAAGTAGTGAATGTGAAGAAAGGGCAAGATCAAGTAACTACTGAAAAAAGAGGTTACAGTGTGAGGGAATTGTTCCATTATGTAGATCAGCATCATTGCCTTCCTGAGGAACCTTTACTAAAGTGGATTATGAGAGCAATTAATTTTGAGGAAGTATCTTTGGTTTTAAGTGCTGCAGACAGGTAGAGCATATTTGGGTTGATGCAGGACCCACAGCTCACTATTGAACAATCGCAGGTGGGTATCTGTGATCCAGACATACAGGAGGTTATTCCTGAGGGAACAGTCAGCCTCATGGACGGGATACAAGCCAGTGTGAAGTCTGTTTACCCTGAAAAGGGGAACTGTCCAACTCCACCTGTAAATGCCAAGTGGAGCACCCAAGATGAAGCAACTGATATCCTTCATATGCAAGCCACATGAGACTGGCTTTATGATGACAGGGAGATTCACCCATTAAATATGCCCATTACCGAGGTCATGGTAAATGCTGTGGTTAAGGGGGCCTCTTCTACATGAGGTGCCATGTGACTTTACACTTTCATACTGGAACAGTTCAAGAAGCCTTATCACATTTGCTGCCTCAGCTTCCCCTCATAGGTCTTACAGATGCTAAGAAAAACGTTAGGTTAATTAACAAAAGAATAGAAAAAGGCAAAAGAGAGAGTCAAAGACCTCATTGCAGGAAGGTGAACATGTTTAAATGATTATTAAAAAATAAGATGAGGCTGGGTGTGGTGGCTCACACCTGTAATCCCAGCATTTTGGGAGGCAGAGGTGGGTGGATCACAAGGTCAGGAGTTTGGGACAAGCCTGACCAACATGGTAAAACCCCATATCTACTAAAAATACAAAAATTAGCTGGGTGTGGTGGCACACGCCTGTAGTCCCAGCTACCTCAGGAGGCTGAGGCAGGAGAATCACTTGAACCCAGGAGGCAGAGGTTGCAGTGAGCTGAGATTGCACCATTGCACTCCAGCCTGGGTGACAGAGCAAGACTCCATCTCAAAAAAAGAGAAAACATTGATGGGGTGAAACTAAGAAGAAAAAGAAAGGGGGAGTCATGGGACTTGTCCCAGCAGGGTGGAAATCTTTAGATGACTATTAAGAAATGAAATGAATAAAATGAAAATTGTTGGTGTTAGAACAAAGGTCTTAATACAACACTATAGAAGGCTGAATAGACCAAAGGGAGGTGTTTCTGGTCCCTCAACATTAAAGGGCCCCAAATGAGTTTGCTGTTTCTCCCAGTTTAGAGAAGTTTTAAAAGCTGGAATGCACAGATTGCAATGAAAAAATTGCAATGAAAAAATCTGACCTCAAAAGGCCCAGGGTTCTTTGGCTCAACTCTTGGCTGGTGATATGGTGATATGGTTTGGCTCTGTGTCACCACTCAAATCTCATCATATTGAGGGAGGGAACTGTAATCCCCATTGTTGAGAGAGAGAGGTGATTGGATCATGGGGGCAGTTTTCCCCATGCTGTTCTCATGATAGTGAGTGAGTTCTCATGAGATCTGATGGTTTTTTAAGTGTTTGACAGGTCCTCCTTCACAAGCTCTCTTTCTCCTGCCGCCTTATGAAGAAGGTGCCTGCTTCTCCTTCGCCTTCCACCATGATTGAAAATTTCCTGTGTGGCCATGTGGAACTGTGAGTCAATTAAACCTCCTTTCTTTATAAATTATCCAGTCTTGGGTATTTCTTTATAGTAGTATGAGAATGAATGAGTGCAGCTGGGGACCCAAAGCCTTTTGCACAAGAAAGGGTAAAATGATCTGGGGATGGGGAAGAGAAGTTTCTGAGGCTAGAATATAAAATCCATGGCTTGATAGAATTGTGAAAGTTGGTATATTTGAGCATCCTCATGTGAAGTGGTTGCATCTCTTTTACCTGATTTTATCATGGGAATGAACATTGTATCTGATTGGGGAATGTTTCCCTTACCTGGTACTATAAAACAGAAGGCATGTAAATTCACCCTTCCAGCAATACTAATTGGATATGCTAAATGAGAACCAGATTACCCAAGCCAACACAGTGCAGAGTAGAAGCTAGAGTGCTGATAGGGACAAATACATAATTTGATAACCCTCAAGTATTTCCTGAGGCTTATGGCAAAAGCCTGTGAACACCTCATAGCAACAACTACTGGGATTTGGACTAGAGGATTTCCTCTTGAGGGGCATTTACTGCCTTCCTATGAAACATTAGCTAAAGCTACCTCTATGCCATCTAAAATACCCATGCTGTCCCAGATGATGTCAGAGGAACATTCTAATGTGAATGACAGTGCCCAGAAGGGTTCCATAATAAAATGGAAATGATTTATAGAAGATCATGCTACATGGAGAATGCAAACAGGAGCTACTCTTGAGCAGGAAGTTTCTTTTTTCCTAGGACTGACTCTGGAACTGTGTAAGAAACTGCTAGTGCCTGATAAACTCAGTACTGGATAAACAGCTCTCTACTGATCAACCAAGAGCTGCTTGGTTCATGGATAGCAATTCCAAGGTAAATGAATACCAGCCTGTTTGGAATGCTGTTATTTTGATCAAATAAGGTAAAAATAGACGTGCTCGATGGGCTGAATTGCATGCCGTTTTTCTAACAGTGATGGAAGCATTGAAAAATGGCAGGACCCTCTATATTTGGGTTTTTACTGTCTCACGGGCAGTGACCAATAGCCTGGTCATACACTCACACAAGAGTGCAAAACTTGGTCTATTAAGGGGATGCCCATAATGGAGCATGGCCCAATGGGAATTTGAGGAGTGTATTAGAGTAAGTCTGTACCCATCAGAAGAAATCCTTTCCCGGTTTAGATAGTGACTAGAATCAACAAGCAGAATTCTCCATGTGCTCCCTGAAGGTGGCCACCTGGGCCCACAAAATGAGTGGATATGGGGATATTGCAGCAGGGCAGAGATGGGCTGAATCCAGACGTGCTCCTTTTGCATCCTCTCAGGCACAACATGCCGGGAAGTTTTAGCAGCAGCAAATTGATTCTTGCCTCCTCAGAGGAAAGAATTCAGCTGAGGGGTATAAAGCAGAGTGAGAAGCGGAGGCAAGTTTTAGAGCAGGAGCGAGAGTTTATCAAAAAGTTTTAGAGCAGAAGCAGAAAGAAATCATGAGCAGAGTAAACAGATATCCCACAGAGTGAGAGAAAATCCTTGCAAACCATGCATCTGACAAAGGACTAATATCCAGAATCTACAAAGAAACTCAAACAAATCAGCAAGAAAAAAAAATTCCATTAAAAAGTAGGCTAAGGAAATAATAGATAATTCTCAAAATAAGATATACAAATGGCCAACAAAAATATGAAAAAATGCTCGACATCACTAATGATCAGGGAAATGCAAATCAAAACCACAATGTGATACTGCCTTACTCCTGCAAGAATGGCCATAATCAAAAAATCAAAAAATAACACATGTTGGCATGGATGTGGTGAAAAGGGGATATGTTTACATTGTTGGTGGGAATGTAAACTACTATAACCACCATGGAAAACTCTATGGAGATTCCTTAAAGAACTAAAAGTATTTGATCCAGCAATTCCACCACTGAGTATCTACCCAAAGGGAAAAAGAGGTCATTATATGAAAAAGACACATGCACAAGCATGTTTGAAGCAGCACAATTCTCAATCACAAAAACATGGAACCAACCAAAATGCCCATCAATCAACAAATAGATAAAGAAAATATGGTATATCACATTCTTGTAATGTCAGCTACTCAGGAGGCTGAGGCATGGGAATAGCTTGAACCTTGGAGGTGGAGGCTGCAGCGAACCAAGATCACGCCACTGCACTCCAGCCTGGGTGACAGAGTGAGACCCTGTCAAAAAAAGAAAAGAAAAGAAAGAATAAAACATGGTATATATATGCCATGGAATACTACTCAGCCATAAAAATGAACAAAATAATGGCATTTGCAGCAACTTGGATGGAGCTGGAGACCATTATTCCAAGTGAAGTAACTCAGGAATGGAAAACCAAACATTGTATGTTCTCACTTATAAGTGGGAGGTAAGCTATGAGGATGCAAAGGCATAAGAATGACACAGTGGACTTTGGGGACTTGGCAGGGGGCAGGGGAAGGATGGGAGTGGGGTGAGAAATAAAAAACTACACACTGAGTGCTGGGTACACTGCTCAGGTAATGGGTGCACCAAAATCTCAGAAATCACACCTAAAGAACTTATCCATGTAACCAACACCACCTGTTCACCAAAAACTATTGAACATAATTTTTTTTACAAAATTTGACAGCAAGATTGAAAGAAAGTAAAGTGTCCAGGTGTGGTGGCTCACACCTGTAATCCCAGCACCTTGGAAGGCTGAGGCAGACTCCTGAGGTCAGGAGTTCAAAACCAGCCTGGCCAACATGGCAAAACCCCGTCTCTACTAAAAATACAAAAATTAGCTGGGCACAGTGGCGGGCACCTGCAATCCCAGCTACTATGAAGGCTGAGGCAGGAGAATCGTTTGGACCTGGGAGGTGGAGGTTGCAGTGAGCCTAGATCATGCCATTGCACTCCAGCCTGGGTGACAGTATGAGACTCTGTAAAAAAAGAAAAGAAAGTACACTTGGAAAAGGGCCAAGTGGGCAATATGAGAGATCAAAGTGCCCTGTTTGGCTCTTGATGTGGGGTTTTATACATTGGCATGGTTCTGGGGTTTCCACCTCTCCTCCCTTGATTTTTCCCTTGGGGTGGTTGTCCACATGCACAGAGGCCTGCCAGCACTTGGGAGAGACTACATGTGCAATGTGTTTACTTAAGTTGTGCACATGCTCATTTCAGGCTCTTTTCCCTTACTGGTTGACTGTTCCTAGAGGAAGGTCATATACCAGTTAAACTCCATTATTTTACCTCTTAGTGAGGACACTTGGACCTGCTTGCCCAACTCCTGAGAGCTTATCAAGAAGCTGCTTATCACCAGCTTCTGGTGTTTTCTATTGGGAGATTGCCTTTCCCTGGCACTGGCTGTGACCAATTCTTATTTTAGAGAGACAGTTTAACAACTGCCTGACCATCACCTGATGGTTGCTTGGCATTTCTTGTGTGGGTGGGAGGTAGGGGGGAGGGCTCTCCTGCCCTGCTCACATCTGACTATCTACTGTGACAGAAGAACTGTTCTGTTTCTCATCAAGGGAGACAGGGACTGCTGACGGCTATGGGGAAAATGCTCTGGTGGGAAGACCCAGAACATAGCTGACAAGTAAAACTGATGCTGGTAGCCCTGGGGAGCTACAAATGTGTCTTGACAAGAATAGACACGATTGCAGAGTGGGTTTTGCTTATCCAGTGGAAATGAAAATGCTCAGAGTGCCATAAAAACAAAACAAAAAAACAGAAGATGTTGCCTGGATGTGGATGGTCAACCACTATTTCTTCAGACCAAGGAACACACTGTACAGCCCATAATGTCCAACAATAGGCAGAGAGATATCTTCCTTCGAATAATAGTTTGATAGAGAAGTAGAATGGGCAACTGAAACATTGGTATTCTAAAACAGGGGGAAGATAAAAGCATGAAGGGCAAGCTTACATGCCTTCAGGAATGTGTGCTCACACTCAACATGAGTGGGACTAGACTGTCTCTGCTAGATTTTTTCTCATTTTTTCTGGTTGACTGGAGAAGAAGGGGTGGAGAAGATGCTGGTATGACTATGCAATTCTTGCTGAGAGAGAATCGCACTAGTATAATTACTATAATTTTTTCTTTCTTCCCCAGATCACCTCAAAAAAAAAATTTAGGCTGGGCATGGGTGGTTCACGCCTGTAATCTCAGCACTTTGGAGAGCTGAGGCAGGAGGAGCACTTGAGCACCAGAGTTTAAGACCAGCCTGGGTAATATAGTGAGACCTCATCTCTATAAAATAATAATATTAATAATAATAACTTTTTAAAAATTATTCATTTTTGCTCCTCTACCTGATACACTAGTCCGAAGACTACGGCTATAATTACACATGCTGAAACAGCAGAGATTATTTCTAAACAAAAAAACTGTAACTGTGATTTTAAATCTTATGTCAAAATCCTTAAGGCCATGATGGGAGTGGGTTGTGCCTTCACCCCATGTAGCAAAACTGGGGCTAACAGTGAATGCATCGGTATTGCCTGGTGGTAAAAATAGCTCACTAGTTCTGCTGTTATGTAACCTTACCCTATCAGAATGGGAATAGACTGAGGAGGAACTACTTGCTAGACTTGTATTGCTACCTGCAATCTAGACCAGCACAGTGGCATTTCTAATGTCTTTCCCAAAGGTGAAAAGGTTTGGGTATTAATGGAGAGAAGGGGAAACAGTAGCTGAGAGTAGGAAAATGAATATATAGGTTATTAATCGAAAAAATTCAATGTTACGTTTTGTGAAAGGAAAATAATTCAGGACCTCAAAGTCACTAAGCCAAAGGGAAAAGTCAATCCAGACACTGTATCAGGCAAACCTGCCTTCCATTTTATTCCTAAATAAGACAGCTACAAAGATTAAAAAAAAAAAAAAAAAACATAGCTCCCTCACAATTTGCCCACTAGAAAACTCCTTGTGGGCCTCAAGATCTTTACCCTAAAACAGTTCTGTTGAATTTCACCCTAACGATGTAACTTGATAGCTTATCCTTACAGGTACAGGACAAAGAACACAATTCAAAGTCATCCCTCTGCTCACCTGAGCCAAGTGCATATCTGATTGCTTCCTCTGCCCTATGCTTATTGTATCTTATGTAAAAATTCAGATTCACTGAGCTAGATGAATGCATAAGCAACTATTCTTCTACTCTTCTTTCACATGTGAACAGCTACTCAAAGACTCAAAAGAATGCAACCATTTGCCTCTTATCTACTCACATCTCTTTTTTTTTTAATTTTTTCACTTTAAGTTCCAGGATACCTGTGCAGAATGTGCAGGTTTGTTACATAGGTATACATGTGCCATGGTGGTCTGCTGTACCTATCAACCCATTATCTAGGTTTTAAGCCCCGCATGCATTGGGTATTTGTTCTAATGCTCTCCATCCCCCTGCCCCCTACCCTCTGTGTTGTTGCCCTCCCTGTGTCCATGTGTTCTCATTGTTCAACTCCCACTTGTGTCTACTCACATCTTTCAAAAATTTCTTTCTCTTTCCCCAATAGCCACACTTTCCCCTTTAAATATTGAAGCCCTCAAAATCATCTTTGGAGAAAGGCACAGACTTGTCTACTGGGCATGTGTCCTTAAGCTTGGCAAAATAAACTTCTAAATTGATCGAGACCTGTCTCAGGTACTTTTTGGCTTACAGTTAACAACTCAAAGGAGTCTCAGAGTAAGAGATGATATTGTCTCTTAGGTCAGTCATCCCAGATGCCTGAAAGGGTGAGGTTGAATATTTACTGAGGCCACTCCTGCTTTTGGGACCTGACAAGACTGACAGGAAACCTGCAAACCTGGTTGATCTCATCCTGGGAGATACTCACACAATCTGATTAACTGGACTAATTATTAATGATTGTGTATATATATATTTTTGATGTAAAGGATCCATGGTTGAAAACCAGGGTCTGGCCTGTGGTGTTATGATATATATTGGTTTTCATCCATGGTTCCTTGTTCATAACTCCCAGAGCCCTTGTCACAGTCTTCTGTCACAATGTTGGGGGTGTTAGGCCTCAGGCGCAGGCCTCAGGAAATAGAATCTTTCTTCTGCTCTCCTTTCACCTGCTCCAAGGCAGGACTCTAATGTTCCCCCATCTTTCTGATTGTGGGTCTTAAGACCCTCCCAGGAGAGAATCCCACCCTGTACCCTAGGGGGAGGAATGCTGACATCATGGAGCTTCCATAAAAACCCAAGAGGGCAGAGTCAGCGAGCTACCAAGCTGAACTCTGAACGTGTGGAGGTCCCTGAAGGGCGGCACATCCAGGGAGGACGTGAAAACTCCCTGCCCCTTCCCCCATACCTCACGCTACATGTCACTCCTTCTTCTGTATCCTTCGCAATATCCTTTATAATAAACCAGTACATGTAAAAAAGAAAAAAAAAGAAAGAGGCCGGGCGTGGTGGCTCATGCCTGTAATCCCAGCATTTTGGGAGACCAAGGCGGGTAGATCACGCGGTCAGGAGCTCGAGACCAGCCTGGCTAACATAGTGAAACCCCGTCTCTACTAAAAATACAAAAATTAGCCAGGCGTGACGGTGGGTGCCTGTAATCCCACCTACCCAGGAGGCTGAGGCAGGAGAATCACTTGAACCTGGGAGGCGGAGGTTGCAGTGAGCTGGGATTGTGCCATTGCACTCCAGCCCAGGGGACAGTGCGAGACTCCGACTCAAAAAAAAAAAGAAAGAAAGAAGAAAAGAAGAAAGGAAGAGAGAGAGAAAGAGAAAGAAAGAAAGAAAGGAAGAAAGAAAGAAAGAGAAAGGAAGGAAGGAAGGAAGGAAGGAAAGAAAGAAAAAGAAAAAGAAAGAAAAAGAAAGAAAAGAAAGAAAGAAAGAAAGAAAGAAAGAAAGAAAGAAAGAAAGAAAGAAAGAAAAGAAAGAAAGAAAGAAAGAAAAAGAAAAAGAAAGGGCTATGTTTGTATAAACATGTTTTTAAAATTATCACATTATTTGCTAATATAAACTTAGTATACATAATATATTTATGAAAATAAACTACAAGGAAATCAACTTTTGTGTTGTTAGGATGAATCTCTAGCTATTGAATCCCTGAAACCTTAAGAAGCAAATTTTTGGAGGCCAGTCAAGTCCTCTATGTGAATCCCCAGGACTGGCTTAAGGAGCTTTCACCCTGAGAAGTCATTTAACTGAGAGCATGGAGAGGGTAGTGGAAACGACTCAGGCATTGTCACCAAACCAACCTGGGCTTTCATCCCGCACACCCTGTACTATCTGTGAGAAGCCAAGAAATTGACACAATTTTTCAGAGCTTGTTTCCTCAGACGTTACCAATAAAATGGGAGAAAAAAAAAACTCCTTGGGATTATTAGAAAATCAATGACATATAATGTGCAGTAGAACACAGCAAAGCACTGGACCAGAGTGAATAATAAATAATAAATAGAGTTGTCTGTCCTTGCCTTTCTTTTAACCAGCCTTCCAACCTCACAGATATGACTATACCAGCTCATATTGGATCACATGCTCCACATAAAATACTCTGTGTCTGTATATGCAGGACTATGAAAAAGGTATGCTTTGTGCATATGTTTGATGCCCTTAATTGCAGCTTCTTCCAGACTGCTTCTTATTTTCTCCCACCTTCTAATCTGGCAGTACTTTAGAGGGTTCAAATTGGCTCTGACCCTAAAATAACTTACTTTTGCTTCTGATAGTCCATAACAAGAAACATTTTTATGGAATATAATGGAGAGCTGGCAGCAGGCTGAGAATCTAACACAAGACTTTAAATGCTGCAGTTATCCATCAGTCACACTATAGAGCAGGTCACGCATAATAAACAGCTGCTTTATTAGGTTGATGGAGTATGCAGCAAATACAAAATGACGGAAAGCAGCTACAGACCAGAAGCTGAGAAGTCGCAGGAAAATGTGCTGGTGTGGGCCAATTCATGGATGCCATTGACAATCATGCCAGAGATCAGTTCTGACCAGCACACATTTCTATACTGGGAAGCCCCGGGACATTCCAAGCGCAAGAGCCAACCATCCCTGCAGGGAGGACAACCAGTATCCAGACCAAACTCTTCTGTCAGTTGGCTGCAAAATCTACTTTTCTCAATACTGAGATGCTACTAAATAAACATGTAACATGAATAAAGATAAACTATTAAAAGCTTATTTTCATGTTAAATTAGCAAGGATATTTGGGGATTTGTTTCATGGCTTTAATCCAGGCATATTCCTCCCTCATCTTTTTTTGAAATAGACTCAAGTTCTGTTTCTGACTTTATCCTGGGAGCATTTGTTTGTGACATGCAGAAAATGGGAACTGAATAGCCAGCAAGCCAAAAAGGGCAGACGATGCAAAGTCTATAAGGCAAAATGGAATGTGGGGAACAATTAGACGGCTCAAACTCTTCTCCTTCTGAGCACCACTGCATTTCCTTTTATTCATATTGTTTTACTAACCATCCCCCACCCCATAGGAGGAAAGGGATCAAAAGCTCATCAGCTATGCTAGCTTGAGAGTTGTAATCCCGACAAGCCAGCTAAAAAGTACACAAGTTTTTAAGTATATGCAAATGTGCACTGGTTCCTCTACTAATCTTATTTTGCCTTCTTTTTTAAGAATACTTTTTGGTTTTTTTTCAGACAGGGTCTTGCTCTGTCACCCAGGCTGGAATGCAGCAGTGGGATCTCTGCTCACTGCAACCTCCACCTCTAGGGTTCAAGCAATTCTCCTGCCTCAGCCTCCTGAGTAGCCGAGATTACAGGCGGATGCCACCACACCCAGCTAATGTTTTTGTATTTTTAGTAGAGATGGGGTTTCACTATGTTGGCCAGACTGGTCTTAAACTCCTGACCTCAAGTGATCCACCCACCTCGACCTCCCAAATTGCTGGGATTACAGGTGTGAGCCACCACGTCCAGCCTAGAATATAATTTTTTAATGTGATTCCATTTTATACTATGCCATTGTGACTTTGTGATCCATAAGGATGTCACAGAAAAACATACTATTGAAATCATGAGATTATAAGAGTATATGCTTAAGACTACGTCCAGCCAAATTACAGTTGATCATTTCATGGGGGAAAAAAAAAGAAAGCTTTTGCTCGTTGATCTATGCTTTTTCCATCTTAAAATTCCTTATGTTAGTATTTCAAGTCAATTTTTGTTTCCCTGCATAATCCAAGCAATTGCCACAATTTTCCATTTTACTTTGCAAATATTCATACATCAGGCATAACATTTTGCAATGATCTATCACAACCAGTTAAGTCTGTCTCTATAAACAGTAACTTTATTTTCTGAACCAAAAACAGGCCACCTGGGCTGCTGGGAGGGCAGAGTGCTTTACACCCAGCCTGTATCCCTGATTCACTCCCTTCTCCATCAAATAAGTATTCAAAACTGCCACTAGTGTTATCTTTCTAAACTGGAAATCAAATCAAGTCACTCCCATGCTTCAAACCTCTTGATGTCTTCTCTTTTTCTGTAAGATAAAATCTAAACTTCTTGGTTGAACAAGCAAACCCCCAAATAGCCAGGCTCAAGCCATCTCTTTCTGAAAAGAGAATCCACTTCATAAGCCCTTCCATCCAGCCATTCTCAACTTCTTGCCCTGGCTTAACGCAGCCTTTTCCAGATTTCATATCTTTGTACCGGCTATTCTTTCTGTGGAAATATTCTTACTCACTCCCAGTCCCCCTCACCCCCACCCATACACACACTCACTTCTACTTATTCTTCAAGACAGATTCCAATGTCTCCTCAGGGTATCTTTCCAAGACTTTCCCAGGCAGTTAGTTGTTTCTTAACAAGTTATTTGTGCCTATATCAAAGCACTCACAACATTTTATATCAATTTATCTATTTATACATTTATGTCTCCTTCTAAGCTATAGCTCTCTACAGTTTTAAGTAGACTATTTTGATGGATAACTCCAAATTGTAACTGTCTGCTGGAAGCTGGAGACTATTTTTGCCTCAGGCTCATGAGGTGAGTTCTATCAGGATCAAGGCTACCACGTGGGGGAGATGTTGTAAAGAGAGTACCAGCACTGGGGCAGGGAAGGGACGAAACAGTGATCTTTAATAATTCTTTGATAACTTTAATTTTTTAATGACTCTTCCACACCTAAGATGATGAGCGTAGGACAATAGAAATAGCCTCACAACAATCTTTTTGGTTCATCAGTAACCAGCAGCCATAAGCCAGGGCTGCCATAAGGCTTCACTACAGAGAAAGGCAGCATACTTCTAGCTAATTTATTAAGTTGAGACTCCACATTAGACACAGTCTGGGGTTAATAGCTGTGATTTTTCTATCTCTAAAAAGCTAATTACAAAGACCTATCATTCCCATTTTTGTTGGTAACTAAAGCAGTTCAAGAGGTATGCCTATTGGGGAAGTAGGAGAAGTTAGAGAGGCTTAATTGGGATAGTTGCTAATTCCAAAGAAGAGGAAACATAATAACAAAAATGCTTTTTTTTTCATTACAAAGAAGTTCTCTTTGAACTACAAATATAAGCTCTAGACAAAATGCATTGGCCCAAATATTTAGATTCCTGCTGACAGTCAGAGTCAGTGGTGGACTGATGTCATGCCAACGGACATGCAGTGTGAGCCTTTAACTTAAGAGTGCTAGGGCTAATTAGACAGGAAAATTACACCATGCCACATCCAGTTCTGGAATGTGTATTTCCACTACAGAATAGATAACAACAATGTGTAGCAGTACATCTCACATCTTCAGACTTGATCTAAGACAAAGAACAAAATACTTCAGGAATAATTCCTGAAGAACAGAATGGGATTCAGCCTTTTTTGCCTCTTCACAAACCCTTAAAAACAAAAAAGGCAAGCAAATCTTTTTTATATCTTAATTTTCTTCCACTTTATTCACAAGTTATTTTTTCCCCTTCCTCCTATGGGGTGGGGGATGGTTAGTAAAACAATATGAATAAAAGTAAGCCTCCTCTGTTGAGTTTCTGGTATAGGTGCAGAACAGTGCCAGCCTCTGTTCCTGGTAGCTAGACACTGTGCCTAGTGTGGAAACTCCACACATGCACTCTCCAGTGTCTGGGAAAGATGCCTCCAGCTGACATAGACCAGTCCCTGCCTTGCCCAGAGTCTGAAGCCAGTTTTATCCTGAGTACCTCTCCTCACACCGTGGGAATTCTGATTTTATTTGGTTCTAAACCCCAGTTCGCTGCTAGCTGGAAAGACAAGAACTAGAATCCTGTGCCTCCTCTCCATCTTTAGGAACCTCTACACACTGCAGAGTTGCTAACACAGTTTTCCTAGAAGCAATCATCTAAACCAAACCTATGTCACCAAAAAAGCAGAGCAAAGGCTGGGTGCAGTGGCTCTCACCTGTAATCCCAGCAGTTTGGAAGCCAAAGGTGGGAGGATTTCTTGAGCCCAGGAGTTCAACACCAACCTGGACAACATAGCAAGACCCTGTCTCTAGAAAAAAATACAAAAATTAGCCAGGTGTGGTGGTGCATGCTTGGGCACCAGCTTCTTGGTGAGGCTGAGGTGGGAGGATTGCTTGAACCCAGGAGTTCGAGGCTGCAGTGAGCTATGATCATGCTACCGCACTGAACCTGGGCAGCAGAGCAAGCCCCTGTCTCAGAAAAAAAACAAATTCTTACAACCCCAATAATAAAAAGATAAATAACCCATTTTCTAAAAAAAAAAAAAAAGCAAAGCAAAGAGATAATCAGAAAATAAGTATCTAGAAGAAGGGAAGTATCCAAGAGCAGTGTTCATAGCATCTGATGAGAATTTCTTGTCATCTCCAGTCAAAATTTTAAAAATAACAGCTCCATCACAAAATTATTGTCTTTCCTTATCAGTACATTTGGAAAAACTAACAGACCTTGGTCCCAAGATGTTCATTCAACTGTGGAATTCAGTTCATCAGAATCTCTACAATTTATGTTTTCTAACTATCTCTTTCTAGAATCATCAAAAGTAATTTAGTGCTGATATATGAACCAAATGAAAGTTGTTCTGAGACAACTATTACTCAGGTCAAATTACTTTAATGTCAACTATGTTAATAATAATAGCTTTTCAAGAAATCCTTTATGGAACAAATGACCTTCAGTTTTTGCTCATTGTTCCACTGAAACAACTGAAACACAAGTGAAATATACAGAGAAAGCTCTACAGATCATAGCACCATCTGCATCTCATGCCCATCCTGTTTCACTTCCTTCTCAAAATTATGGTTCTGCTTGACTTTTCCTAGTGATAAAAGTTAAAATAAAACCTGAAAATAAAATATGTAAACCCACGATTATTTATAGTTGCCCAATTTCTTATGACACAGATTTGATCCAGTTCTGCATGACTAAGAAAATTAAGCATGAAACATCTCTTTCAACAGACTTCTCAAGCACTGAGATGCTTTGCGGCAATTCGACACGTGTGTTGGTAGGAAACAAGAAATACAAAGATAGATGGCATCATCTGAAAAGAAAAAAGTGAGGGCCTAGGTCTATGGAGGCAGTTTAATCACTTGCAAGCAGTTTATCATTCAACATAATAACACAGGCCCTAAAAAGCCTGCTCTGACACTCTCATTTGTCCTGTGATAGACTGCTCACTGCATGGGAATTTAATATCCCCAATGCAATCAAACTTTGTGGTGCACAGAATTTGTCCATCATCTATAAGCTAGAAGTCACAATACAACTCACTTCACTCACCAGGGCAGGATGCTGCAAGGGGCCACAGTCTGTCACTGACAGGTTGGTTCTCAACCCAGCTCCCACATAAGACTCATTTGTGAATGCCCAGACCCCACCTCAGAATGTATGAAGCCAGAGCATGGACATTTTTTTTCTCAAAGCAGGTGATTCTATCATAGAGCTTTGTTGAGAATCATAAGGATTCAACATTTGACCTTTCAGCATGATTGCTGGTGGTGTTTTGAAATTTGGTTCAAGGGCAGAGAATACACTACCTTCCAGAAAACTAAAGCAGCCTCATTTGTGAGGCTACATAATAGTTTTCCTTGTAGGTGGGCAGCCCTCAGGGAGTTCTCTGATGGGGTATAAATCTCGTTTTCCATAGAAACAAGCAGATCTCCTGGCTGTTCTGTTCCTGATTAGCCTGGCACAAAAATCTCATGTCCCAGGCAAAGTAGATGTTATTATCATTAGTTTATAAAGAAATGGAAAATCTGAAAGGTAAAATGGCTTGCCTAGTTTCATATTGCTGGCTGAAAATTGGCTGGCTCAAAGCAAAGATTACAATTTTCTATCTCTAAGTTTTTTCCTGATCTTAAAATGTATTGTCTACTGTGTTATCTTCCCATATGAATTAAATTTCAGGTTTAGGAAAATAGGATGTACTCTTTAAAAATAAAATAAAAAAATTTATTTTAGAGTTTATTTTGGAGCAACGATTTTCAAAGTGTAATCCCTGAACCAGCAATATGAGGATCACTTGGGAATTTATTAGAAATGCAAATTCTCATTCGGACCTAGAGAATCAGAAGGTCTGGGGATGGGGCCAGCTCACCAGGTGATTTACATGCCTCCTAAGGTTGGAAAACAACTGTTTCTAACAAAAGCTAAACTGTTAAACTGTAAGCATTTTCCCCAAAACGTTGTTGAAGTAGAACTTATAAAAACACTTTTTTTAAAGTAACTCCAAAGGTAAAGCCAGAGAAAAGTAGTTTTGGCTACTTGATTGCCAGATGTTGGGTCCTCTTGGCTACAAGATAATCATGAGACAATCCTGGGAAATCAGCCCTAAGTCATGTTTTTCTCTTCCTTGAGGAGAGAAGGCATTCAAGTAAAAGTTAAGACAGGCAGAAACAGTTTAAAGCAAATATGTTAAACAAAGAAAGATAATTCTCTGACAAGGAAGGTAACAGGGCTTAATTAGTCCCTTAAACTAGCAGGACATAGAGGAAAAGGCCCTGTGGAGAGAGGTAGACAGGTTTAACAAATCTATTTTCCTTTCCACTCAGGTACATGGCCAGACAAATTCTCCAGCCTCCCTGGCAATAAAGTGTAGCCACATGACTGTGTTCTAATTGATGGAATATGAGTAGAAGAGATGGATGCTACTTCTAGCCCAGCACCCGAAAAATATTTCATAATGCTCCCTTTCCACTCTCTGGCTGGCTGGAAGCAGAGAATTCAGCATAGGCCTCCACAGCTCCAAAAGACAGTGCAGCCACCAGATAGAGTTCATAAATCACCCCAGGGAGAGCCACCCACCAAACACTTGCACAGAAATGCTGCATGAATGAGACTTAAGTTCCACTGGGCTAAGCTGGTGACATTTGGGCATTATTATAGACAGTGTATACCATGTGGAATTTAAGTCTTTGGTAGAGTAATTAAAATAAATGCATATTTAGCCAAAGCAGCAACATTTTATTTCATTCTGAAACCTATAACTCAAAATGGCTACAGAGCAGAAGCGATGAAATCCCTAAGGATCAAAGTCAAAAAGTGCTCCATAAAGGTCAGCCTTGCACACCTGTGCCTTGTTTTTTCTGTAAGTCTTCCGCAATGATGTAGGATTCCACTCATATTCTTGACCAGCTTGTCTTTTCAGAAATTTACCATCATATCCACATACTGTAGAGGAAAGGTGATCTAGTCAGGGTTTTAAGTCTAACCCTAATAATTGACCACAAATAACATGATGGATATGTTTGTGGAAATCATCACTTTTCTCCCAACTCCCACATTTTATGATGACTTCTCCCATTTTCCCTTGATGGCCTATGTCTTCCTCTAAGATTTCATATCTTGTGTTGAACATTTATTCATTAATTCCAAAATTATTTGTTAAAATCCAACTATTAGTCCAACTTTGTTAGTTACTCTGGGTACAATAGTGAACATAAGTTACATGTTGGGAAAACAGATATATGATTGTTTTCCATCTCTCCACAGCTTTTGATATGGGTGAAACTTCCCTTGGTTTTCATCACACAACCATCTCCTGGTTTACTTCTAGTCTCTGCAGTTTCTTCTTTCTCTAATTTACACAATCATTCTTCGTTATTCAATAATTACATTGCATTAAATGATGAAACTTTCTCAAATTTCTGTCTTAACCTGTCTCTCTTTTCAATTTCTATATTCAGGCAATTATATCCATACCAATGGTTTCAATTTTCATCTATTTACACAAGAGTCACACTTGTTAATATTTCTCTGGCACAGACCTTTCCTGGGACTTCTAGATTCATATAACCACTTATACCAATTTTCTACTAAATGTCCCTGCTTTGCTATCTCAAAGGCACTTAGGCACAGCATAACGAAAAACTGAACTCATTGCATCCAGCCCCACACTACAGCTCCATACCTGGTTTTCTTCTGGTGTGACCATTATCAGTGAACAATATGAGCTTCCATTCTGGTAAGCAAGCCAGAAATCTAGGAGTCATCCCTGACTCCTCCCTCTTTCTCACTCCTCATATTGACTCTAAAACCATACCTTGTCAATTTGACTTCCAAAATATCTTCCAAATCTTTTCACTGCATTATATCTCCTCTGTTGTATCCTAATCCAAGCTGACCACATCTCTTGAATGAATTGTGGCAATAATTTTTCCATTTAAACCATGACTTGTCCATTCTCTACAATGCAGAGTGATCTTTTACAAAGTGCAAATCTGCTCATTTTATTACTGATTAAAACTCATCTAGGGGCTTCCAGTCAATCTCAAGCTAAAGATCCAAATGCTTGACATTGTCTATAGGTTCCCGCCTTTGTCTGGATCCCACCTGCCTACCCAGCCTCATCTGAAGACCATCCTTTCACTTTCCCTCTGCTACACCACCACACTGGCTTTTTTACTTGAATAAGCATGTTCCCTTCAGCAATGTGGCCTTGAGTCAACTTCCTTGGACTCAAACAATCTCCCTACCCATATCATTCCTCTTTTACCTCTTCTTTCAGAGTTTATCTCACCGTGTTGCCCCTTATCAGGAATCCTAGTGTGACCTTCATTTTGTGGTCAATTATCTCTTTCTTAAGTCTCTCATCTCCACATTTATCATAGTTGTAAATTTTCATTCATTTGTAAGACTCTTTGATTAACGTCTATTTCCGTCACTAAACTACGAGCATCCTATGAGAGCAGGAACCACGTCTGCTTTTATTCCACCTTTGTATCCTGAGTCTCTCACTCATTTAACAAATATTGTGAGGATACACTAATAACAAAACAGAGAAGTTTCCATCTGTTGTGGTACTTACAGTGTAGTGATAGACAATGACAAATGAAAAGGACATGAGATGGAAGCCAACAGCTGGCACAATGCCAGGCTCATTATTAATATTCAGTAAGTATTTACTGACTATTGTTACAGCCAGTTGGCAGATAAGCAGAGCTCACTGAGGAGCCACTAACCAAGGCTTCTTCTCTTCAGGCTATGAGAGATGGAGAGGGTGGGGAGAAACAGGTGACGTGAACGGTTTCTGTTGTAGTTGCTATTGACTGACAGATCTTCAGTGCTGCTTTCAAAGGAAGTAATGTGTGATGCATTGATTTTTGGAATTTCTATTGTAAGACAGGGATGACTGGTCTTATTGACAAGAGTGATTCAGTAACTTGCAGACAACAAGACCCTGGTCAGGCTGAAGGAAAACCTGCACCTGCTGTAACTATTACTGTTTTGCTCAAATTATAGCTGACTCTGAGACATTGCTTTGAACTAGGCACAGTAAAATTAAAACTGTTTTCTTGATTTAAGGTTGTCCTTTCAAAGTTAAGCTAAGTGTGTAAACAAATTCATAGTATCTTGAGGATACTTTGAACATAAAATATAATGTTCAAGTCTAGAATCATCTTATATCTTCTTCTTCCCAGCCCTTGGGTACTCTGCAAATTGAAGTTGTCCTCGGTTATTTTTCTCCTCCTCTAACTCTGGAGTAACAATAAAATTTTATGCATCAAATGATAGATAAGAAATGCTCTTCCCCAGGCAGAAAATGGGATCAAAGCAAAGTGTTACTCAAACCTTCAGCCTTTTTAAAAAGCAAATGCTTCTTCATAGGATGAACTAAAATATTTAAGGTTTGGAGAAAATAAGGTCTGGAAAATCCTTTAAAGTTGTTGTTCAATCGCATAAATAAATTATTCTACTGAATAAAAGTTTTAAAACCATTAGTTCTCAGGTTTTTACAAATGATTCTGTGTGTGTGTGTGTGTGTGTGTGTGTGTGTGTGTGTGTGTGTGTGTGGAAATTTTCTAAAGACTTTTTAAATAAAAGGGCCTGTGCATCTTTCATTTTGGAAGGTGACTCTTGATGACAGGACTTGAAGATGCTTCAGTTACTCCTGATCACTCTCATTAGTGAGTTAATAATCACCCTTAAGTTAACCGAATTGACTTACTCAATGACAGTTCCTTTGAGAAAGTTATTCTCCCTGAACCTCAACAACCTAGCCTTAAGGTGGTGATAATAATACTTCCCTTACATTTGGATAATGCTCAACAGCATCTGATATATCACTTACAGATAAAGAGTAACCAGAAAAGATAATTAATGTTACGATGCTGTCTTTACAAGAATAAGACTTTATAACTGAAGGAAGGCAGTAGGGAACGTGTTTAGATCAAATACACATCCCACAGTGTCCTGACATCTCCAGTCAGTTTATTCCTTGGGAGTGGGACTTAAGAAGTTTTTCCCCACACACTGGGACATGTTGGAGGTGTGGGGAGAGGGAGAGCATCAGGATAAATAGCTAATGCATGTGGAGCTTAATACCTAGGTGATGGGTTAATAGATGCAGCAAACCACCATGGCACACGTTTACCTATGTAACAAAACTGCATGTCCTGCACGTGCATCCTGGAACTTAAAATTAAATTAAATTTTAAAAGAAGTTGTTCCCCTTTCTAGCTGATCATCAGAATCACCTGGAGAGCATTTTTAAAAGTAAACATTTAAAGGGAATCTGATAGCCAGATTTGGAAGCACTGAGCTTGAGAATATACCGTAACGACTAATATTCTGGAGGATTTTTCACATATTACTTCTTATAAAGTTCATAACAACTCATGACTTTTTAGGGGCCAAAGCACCTGTAAATATAATCATTTAAAATGAGAAATGGTGTTTTATTGTGGGGAGGGGTTGTGTGTCCTGAGTGTTTTTATTATACAGTAAAACCAAATAAAAAAAATATGGGCATCTGAAAAAAGATGTATAAGTGTCCACGGTATGTGTAGTGTGTGTATAGTACATGTTTATAACAATATTAGAGCTATGTCAGCCCAATAAGACTTTGATGGCCCTTCTTTTTTTGTTGTTATTGTTGTTTGTTTTTAGGATTTCAAAATGGTTGATCGAACTCAGGTTGAGTGTTAAAGAAAATGTTTTAGTTTTAGGCTGGGTGCAGGGGTTCACACCTATAATCTCAGCACTTTGGGAGGCCAAGGCAAAAGGATCCCTTCAGCCCAGGAGTTTGAGATGAGCAACATGGTGAGACCTGATCTCTATAAAAAATGTAAAATTATTCGGGCATGGTCTTGCACACTTGTGGTCCCAGCTACTTGGGAGGCTGAGGCAAGAGGATTACTTGAACTCAGGAGGTCACAGCTGGAGTGAACTGAGATCATGCTACTACTACACTCAAGCCTGGGCAACAGAGCAAGACTCTGTTCAAAGAAAAAAGTAGTTTTAAATGTGAATTCTGGAAGAAAATTCCGTCTGCCAAGCTAAAAGAAAACATCTATCTGTTGAATCATTTAGGAAAACTACTATGATTCTTTAATTTTATATGTAGCATTATGAACTATTCTAAAGGTGCTTATAATCAGAAACCATTAAGGAATTCTTACCTTTCCTCTATAAAATATTTTTAGTTGCTGGTTGGTTTTACTTTAATAGTTTCCATTCTCCTAAATCACCACCTAAATCAGATTTTATTGTAGATGAGAGCACTTAGAAAAGAAAAGAACAGAATTTAAAAGTCTGTGGTTTTTAGTGCATATGCTAAAACAAAATGTTTTATATGGTTACAGAATGAACTTTCATTTTTGAGTCTAGATTATGGGTTATAAGATAATTGCAATGGTTATGTAAAATGTGCATATAAATACACTGCCAGCTTTAAGAAAGATGTGCATTATACCTCATCTAGAGAGTAGACAGTGACCATTTAAGGTCCAAGAGTAAAATACTCTTCTATTATATTCTTAACTCTGGATCCTAAAAATTAGAAAACAGAAAGATCAAGAACATAAAAAGGACACATTCTCTGAGACTAAAAGTAATTCACACAAAATAAATAAGATCATTTGGCACCTAGAAAACATTCTAGAAGCAATTAAGAGACAGTCCATTGAAAAGGTACTCACTGTGAAATTGGATGCTGACATTGTAAAGATGTTCAGAAGGTATTGCAGTGAGGTAGAAAACTAAAATAAGAGTTGAATTTTGGGCCAATGCAGGCACTACAAAAAGGAAAGTTAGAGGACATTATTTTATCAGTTTCCTAAGCCATGTCCAGTGAATAACATAGTCTAGTTTTCTTTTTTAAAAATCCAAATTATGTAATCAAAAAAAAATCTAGAAAACAGAATGAGACTTTAACAGGCTAATATTCATTGGTCAAAGTCATTTCCAAAGAACATTTATTCTTTTTGCTCTAAGTCTGATTTTCACGCTATATTTGCTTATGCCATTTAGTTTCCTAAGTAGATACAGCCACAGAGAAACCTCAAATGTAGTGAGCCAAAAATATCCCCTATTGTAAAGCAATATTAACTTTCCAAATTTCAAAACAATCTCTTGATAGTTTGCTTAGCACTAATAAATCTCTCAGAGATTGATTAAACAGAATATGTGAAAAGGGCCTTAGTGGTAACCATGACAACATACAGTAATCAAGAAGCACCACCTACATCTCCACAAACACACTCACACAATCATGCACACAAACATATACAAAGACCATCCTCAAATCTACAATGACCTCAGGAAATCTTCATATCTGGCCAAATCAAGCTTTATAAGCAAAAAAGAGATAAGATCCTTTTCAGAGAAGCAAATGCTGAGGGAATTCATTACCACCAGACCTGCCTTAAAAGAGCTCCTCAAGGGAGCACCAAATATGGAAAGGAAAAATCATTACCAGCCACTACAGAAACAAACTGAAGTACACAGACCAGTGACATTATGAAGCATCCACATAAACAAGTTTGCAAAATAACCAGCTAGCACCAAAATGACAGGATCAAATCCATACATAATAATACTAACCTTAAATGTAAATAGGTTAAATGCCCCAATTAAAAGACACAGAGTAGAAAGCTGGATAAAGAACCAGGACCCATTGGTATGCTGTCTTCGAGAGACCCATCTCACATGTAAAGACATATAGGCTCAAAATAAAGGAATGGAGGAAAATTTACCAAGCAAATGGAAAACAGAAAAAAGCAAGGGCTGCAATCCTAGTTTCTGACAAAACAGACTTTATACCAACAGAGATCAAAAGAGACAAAGAAGGGCATTACATAATGGTAAAGAGTTTCATTCAACAAGAAGAGCTAACTATCCTAAATACATATGCACCCAATACAAGAGCACCCAGATTCATAAAGCAGGTTCTTAGAGACCTTCAAAGAGACTTAAACACCCACATAATAATAGTGAGAGACTTTACTATCCCACTGAAAATATTAGACAGATCAATGAGACAGAAAATTAACAAAGATATTCAGGACCTCAATTCAGCTCTGAATCAAAGGAACCTGATAGGTATCTACAGAACTCTGTACCCCAAAACAACAGAATATACTTCTTCCCATTGCCATGTCACTTATTCTAAAATTGATCACATAATCATAGGTAAAACACTCCTCAGCAAATGCAAAAGAACTGAAATCATAACAGTCTCTTGGACCATGGTGCAATCCAATCAAATTAGAACTTAGGACTAAAAACTTCACTCAAAACCATACAAATTACTTGGAAATTGAGTAACCTGCTCCTGAAGGTCCTTTGAATGAAATTAAGGCAGAAATCAAGAAGTTCTTTGAAACTAATGAGAACAAAGGTACAACATACCAGAATCTCTGGGACACAGCTAAGGTAGTGTGAAGATGGCAATTAATAGCACTAAATGCCCACATCAAAAAATTAGAAAGATGTCAAATTAACCTAACTTCACAATGGAAAGAATTAGAGATGGAAGAACAAATCAAACCCAAAGCTAGAAGATGAGAAATAACAAAAATCAGAGCTGAAGTAAAGGAGATTGAGACATGAAAAATTATTTAAAAGATAAAAAAACCCAGCAGTTGTTTTTTTGAAAAAATTAATAAAATAGGCCATTAGGTAGGCTAATAAAGAAGAAAGGGGACTATGCAAATAAACACACTTAGAAATAACAAAAGGAATCTTACTACTGACCCCCACAGAAATAAAAGGAACCATCAGAAACTGCTATGAACATCCCTATGTAAACAAACTAGAAAACCTAGAAGAGACAGATAAATTCCTGGACACAAACACCCTCCCAAGCCTGAGCCAGGAAGAAATTGAATCCATGAACAGATCAATAACAAGTTCTGAAATTGAGGCAGTAATAAATAGCCTACCAACCAAAGAAGAAAAAGAAAAGCACAGCACCAGACATATTCACAGATGAATTCTACCAGATGTACAAAGAGCTGGTACAATTCCTACTGAAACTATTCCAAAAATTTAAAAATGAAGGACTCCTCCCTAACCCATTCTATCAGGCAAGCATCATCCTGATACCAAAACCTGTCAGATACACAACAAAAAAAGAAAACTCCAGGGCAATATCCTTGATGAACATCAATGCAAAAATCCTCAACAAAATACTGGAAAACCAAAACCAGCAGCACATCAAAAAGCTTATCCACCACGATCAAGTAGGCTTCATCCCCGGGATACAAGATTGGTTTAACATACACAAATCAATAAATGTGATTCATCACATAAACATAACTAAAGACAAAAACCACATGATTATCTCAATAGACGCCAAAACAGCTTTCAATAAAATTCAACATCCCTTCATGTAAAAACTCCTGATAAACTAGGTATTGAAGGAGTATACCTCAAAATAATAAGAGCCATATATGACAAACCCACAGCCAACATCATACTGAATGGGCAAAAGCTGAAAGCATTTGCCTTGAATACTAGCACAAGACAAGGATGCCCTCTCTCACCACTCCTATTTAACATAGTGTTGGGAGTTCTGGCCAGGCCAATCAGGAAAGAGATAGAAATAAAGGGCATTCAAATAAAAAGAGAGGAAGTCAAACTATCCTTGTTTCCTTATGATATGATCCTATATCTAGAAAACCCCAGTGTCTCCCCACAAAAGCTTTTTAAGCTGACAAGAAACTTCAGCCAAGTCTCAGGATACAAAATCAATGTGCAAAAATTGCTGGCATTCTTATACACCAACAACAGTCAAGCTGAGAGCTTGAATGATTAAACTCCCATTCACAATTGCCACAAAAAGAATAAAATACCTAGGAATACAAGTAACAAAAGAGGTGAAAGATCTCTACAAGGAGAACTACAAACCATTGCTCAAAGAAATCAAGGATGACACAAACAAATAAAAATGTTTTATGCTCATGGATAGGAAGAATTAATATCACAAAAATAGTCATACTGCCCACAGCAATTTATAGATTCAATGCTATTCCCATTAAACTACCATTAAACTATTCCTATTAAACTGTTATTCCCATTAAGCTACCATTAAACTATTTCCATTAAACTACCATTGACATTCTTCATAGAACTAGAGAAAACTATTTTAAAATTCATATGACACCAAAAAAGAGCCCGAAAAGCCAAGGCAATCCTAAGTAAAAAGAACAGGACAAAAAACCAAACACAGCATGTTCTCACTTATAGGTGGGAGTTGAACAGTGAGAACACATGGACACAGGAAGGGGAACATCACACACCGGGGACTGTTGTGGGGTGGAGGAGGGGGGAGGGATAGCATTGGGAGATATACCTAATGCTAAATGACAAGTTGATGGGTGCAGCACACCAACATGTCATATGTATACATATGTAACAAACCTGCACATT
Source organism: Homo sapiens (assembly GCF_000001405.40). Lineage (NCBI taxonomy): Eukaryota > Metazoa > Chordata > Mammalia > Primates > Hominidae > Homo > Homo sapiens. The sequence continues at coordinate 101,425,525 of NC_000001.11, read as the reverse complement.
GTGCACATGTACCCTAAAACTTAAAGTATAATAATAATAAAAAGAACAAAGCTGGAGGCATCATGCTACCTGACTTCAAACTATGCAACAACTAGGCTACAGCAACCAAAACAGCATAGTACTGATACAAGGACAAACACATAGACCAATGGAAGAGAATAGAGAACCCAGAAATTAGACTGCACAGCTACAACCATCTGATCTTTGACAAACCTGACAAAAACAAGCAATGGAGAAAGGATTAACTACTCAGTAAATGGTGCTGGGAGAACTGGCTAGCCAAATGCTGAAAACTGAAACTGGACCCCTTCCTTATACCATATACAAAAATTAACTCAAGATGGATTAAAGACTTAAATGTAAAACTGAAAACTATAAGAACCCTAGATGACAACCTAGGCAATACCAGTCAGGACATAGGCACTGGCAAAGATTTCACGACAAAGATGCCATAAGCAATTGTAACAAAAATAAAAATTGACAAATGGGATTTAATTAAACTAAAAAGTTTCTGCACAGCAAAAGAAACTATCAACAAAATAAACATACAACCTACACAATGGGAGAAATTTTTTGCAAACTATGCATCTGACTAAAGTCTAATATCCAGCACCAATAAGGAATATAAACAAATTTACAAGAAAAAAACATGATCAAAAAGTGGACAAAAGACATGAACAGACACTTCTCAAAAGAAGACATACATGTGGCCAAAAATCATACAAACAAAAGCTCAACATCACCTATTATTAGAGAAATGCAAATCAAAACCACAATGAGATACCATCTCACACCAGTCAGAATGGTTATTATTAAAAAGTCAAAAGACTAACAGATGCTGGTGAGGTTGTGAATAAAAAGGAATGCTTATACACTGTTGGTGGGAGTGTAAATTAGTTCAATCATTGTGGAAGACAGTGTGGCAAGTCCTCAAGGACCTAAAGACAGAAATACCATTTAACCTAGTAAGCCCATTACTGGGTATATACCCAAAGGAATATAAATCATTCTATTATAAAGACACATGCACATGTATGTTTATGACAACACTATTCACAATAGCAAAGACATGGAATCAACCCAAATGCCCACCAATTATAGAATGGATAAAAAAAATGTGGTACATATACACCAGGAATACTATGCAGCCATAAAAAATGAGATTATGTCCTTTGCGGGGACATAAATAAAGCTGGAGGCCATTATCCCTAGCAAACTAACACAGGAAAAGAAAACCAAATACCGCATGTTCTCAATTATAAATGGGAGCTCAATGATGAGAAAACATGGACACACAGAGGGAAGCAACACACACTGGGGCCTATAGAATGGTGGAAGTAGGAGGAGGAAGAGAATCAGGAAAAACAACTATGGGCACTAGGCTTAATACATGGCTAATGAAATAATCTGTATAACAAGCCCCCAGGATGCACCTTTACCTATGTAACAAACCTGCACATCCTGCACATGTACCTCTGAACTTAAAATAAAAGTTTTTTTAAAAAGATCCATACCAAGACCAATATCAAGGAACTTTTTCCCTATGTTTTCATGTAGCAATTTTACAGATTAAGGTCTTATGTTTAAATCTTTAATCTATTTTGAGTTATTTTTGTGTATAGTGTAAAATAAAGGTCCAAATTCATTCTTTTGCATATGATATGCAGTTTTCCCAACACCATTTATTAAAGGAACTATCCTTTCCACATTGTGTATCCTTGTTGCCCTTGTCAAAGATTAGCTGATTGTTTATGCATGGGTATATTTCTGGGCTGTTGATTCTATTTCATTGGTTTATCTGTCTTTTTTTATGCCAGTACCATACTGTTTCAACTACTGTAGCTTTGTAATATCATTTGAAGTCAGGAAGTGTGATGCCTCCATCTTTGTTCTTTGCTCACGATTGCCTTGACTATCTGAGGTCTTTTGTGACTCCATATGAAACCCATGAGATTCGGACACAGGTAGCATGATGGTTAATACTAAGTGTCAACTTGATTGGATTGAAGGATACAAAGTATTGATCCTGGGTGTGTCTGTGAGGGTGTTGCCAAAAGAGATTAACATTTGAGTCAGTGGTGAAGGGAAGACAGATCCACTCTTAATCTAGTGGGCACAATCTAATCAGCTGTGAGTGAATATAAAGCAGGCAGAAAAATATGAAAAGGAGAGACTGGCCTAGCCTCCCAGCCTACATCTTTCTTCTGTGCTGGATGCTTTCTGCCCTTGAAGGTTGGACTCCAAGTTCTTCAGTTTTGGGACTCAAATTGACTCTTCTTGCTCCTCAGCTTGCAGACAGCCTACTGTGGGACCCCATGTTTGTGTAAGTTAATACTTAATAAACTCATATATATATATGTATATATATTAAGTATATATACACACATATGTATATATATTAAGTATATATACACATATGTATATATACATATATGTGTATATATTAAGTATATACATATACTCCCATATATATACTGTCATATATATAGTCCCGTGTGTGTATATATATATATATATGTATACTTTGCAAAAAATTTCTCCCATTCTGTAGGTTGTCTGTTTACTCTGTTTACATATATATATATATATATACACACACACACACACATATATGAGATATATACCCTATTCTTTCTGTCCCTTTAAGAGAACCCTGGCTAATAAAGGTAGTCTGAGTAACACTCTTTGAAAATATTCCTATAATGAGTCCTACTCATCACAACACTTGGTGTAGTAGCAAGGTATGCAGCAGAGACCTACCAAATCACAATTCAGTTGAGGAAATTCCACATCCTTCACATCTATATCTGTGGAATCTATAGCTCTCTATTCAACTGAGCATTCCACATGAGATAAAATTCAGTGAGAACATCAGCAGGGAGTCCCATAACCATTCTCTGTACTAACCTCAATTCCATTCTAATCTAGCCTAGAGGATAGTAGTCTAGACAAAAGTGTTCAGTGGGACTACCTTAAAAGAGAAAGACTCAATTTAGTCATGGTTTAAATTTCTACACACAGATCTTGAGTAGAAGGAGTCCTTGACAAAAGCAATGGTAAATTTGGGTAAGGCATAGAATTTTTGTAATATCAAATTACTGAATTCAGTCATATTTCTCTATGGTCATTCCAGCCTTCCACAAGAATTAACCTACCTCATTTTAATAATTTTAATGCATTAAATTTGAAGCACAATATTTATAGTTTCTGTGTAAAAATTTTACAGCAAAGGAAATTTTATGACAGAATTAGAAAAACATCCCCAATTACTTAATTTTAGAAGAGAAAGATTAAATTAGTACATCGAATTGAAAAACACTCTTTCAGCAGAAGTAATATTAAGAAATGAGAAGAATTTGGAATAAATGTATATGTCAGTTATTATATGACAAGATCATATAAAAGTGATCATAAAATCTTGAACTCCTGAAATATTCCTAATAATTTCAGCAGAGTTTTTACCCATAGTACATTTCATACCCTCACCACAATAGTGATCTGTCTGAAGTCTTATATTATCTACTGCTATATTTATACTATCCTTCAGCTGAATCAGAGTCAATATGAGAAGGCCAGGACAAAAATAAATACATAAATAAGAATAGAGGCGTCTTGCCACAGTTTTTTTTTTATGGTTGATTATAACAAACAATATTTTTGAATTTTATGATGTAATAATCAATAGTTCCCGTTAAAGGTATTTTATTCCATTTCTCCACACAAATCTCAGGCCCTTCACAATTCTTGACACACATAACTACCATCATCATCAGAATTGTCATATAAAAACTCATTATTTTCTTAGTTCTAAGATGCTTTTGATTATAAGAGATCTCATTGATTTCATAACAGCATGTGGCAGTGGATTAAGAAGGGGAGAAGACTACTACTTAAGGTACACATTTGATATGAAATATATTATAATTTCAAATTAAATAACAGTTTATAAAAATGCCAAAGTCAAGCAAAAACGTTGTGTTCAATGTGAATATTTAGTTAACCTAAAATCCTCAAAAATAATCTGACATTCTCATTCATTCTTTTATTTGACAAATATTAATAGATCCCCTATTATATCACTATCCTAGGTGTTGGGAATATAGCACTAAAATAGAAAAGAATTTCAGCTGTCATGCAATTTTCATTATAGAGGAGAAATCAAATGATAAGCAAGATGAAAAGCAAAATATACAGTATAATGAACTATTGTTGGTGCTAAGAAAAAAATACAATAGAAAAGAGAATAGGAAATATTGGAAGAGGGCATTAAACTTTTTAAAGAATAACTAAGAAGAGCTTCACTGAGAAAATGGTAATTGAGTAAAGACATAAAGAAAATCAAAGACCCAGCCTTAAGGATATCTGAGAGACCAACATTCAATCAGAGAGAATTACAAATGCAACAATATTGTGATAGATATGCTAAGAGGCCAGCATAACTAAATTAGATTGATTGAGGGGGAAAGCAAGAGTACATAAAGCCAGAGAGCTATTGATGGGGGGCTTTGAGGTGGCATAAACGAGAGAAAAATCATGTAGAACTTTGAGGTATTTGTAAGAATTCTGTGTTTTCAAGGCTGAGGTGGGAAGTTAATGGATAGCTTTCAAAAGAGAAGAAATATAATACATCTATATTCTTCAGGGTTCACCAGAGAAACAGAATCAATAGAATGTGTGTATATATGGAAAGATATTTATTTTAAGGAACTGGCTCACACGACTGTAGAGGTTTGGCAAGTCCAAAATCTGATAGGAGAGGCCAGCAGGCTGGGGACTCAGGAAAACGTTGCTATTCAAGTTGAAAGGCAATCTACTGTAGAACTAGTACAAGGCAATGTTGCAGATGAAGTCTGAGGCAGTCTGCTGGAGAATTTTCTCTTGCTCAGAGGAGGTCAGCCTTTTGTTCTATTTAGGCCTTTCACTGATCAGATAAGTCCCACCCACATTATAGTGAGCACTCTGCTTTACCACAAACTCCCCGATTTAAACTTACATTTCATCCAAAAACAAACCAAAAGAAACATCCAAAATGTTTAGCTAAATATCTGGGCACCATGCCCCAGACAAGTTAGCACATGAAATTAATCATTACAGCATCTAAAAAGATGAATGAAGGGAGGAAAGAACAGAATTGTTCTGTCTGGTAAAGACAGCAGAATTGGCTCTTATGGAGGGAAGTTATAGTTGGGTAGATCTAAGTTCATATATTAAAAAATCTTTCATAAATAATTTATGGAAAAGCCTGTGTGACATTTGGAAAATATTACTCCATTGTTAGGGGGCTGAACTAAGTGAACAGATTCCTTTATTACTTGTCAATCTCATGATTCTGTGATTTGTTGAGGTAATGTACCTACAACCAAAGTTAGTCACAACTTTTCAAAATTTCTTACTCTCAAATGAAAACGTTTTTTTCAGGTTTAGCCAAATGAATATCTTTCAGAGTAAATTCTGAACCTTGATTCTTAACTATAGCAATAACATACCAACTGCCTTAGCTCAGTTGACAAGCACTTAGCCCATAATATTCCGCTCTTGGCTCCTCAAAATTAATGTCCTCCATGTATGCAAAATACGTTCCTTCTATCCCAAAAGCCTCAAAAGTCTTAATTCATTCCATCATCAACTCCGAAATTTAATGTTCAGACTTTAAATATCATCTAAGTCAGATATGGGGTAAGACTTCAGGTACAATTCATCCTGAGGCAAAATTCCTCGGCAGCTGTGAATCTGTGAAACCAGGAAACTTATGTGCTTACAAAATATGATGTAGTGGCAAGCATAGGATAGATATTCTCATTCCAAAAGGGAGAAATAGGAAATGAGGAAGAGATTATGAGCCTCAAGCAAGTCTAAAACCCAGCAAGGCAAATTCCATTTGCTCTTAAAGCTCAAGAATGATCCTTATTGGTTCAATGTCCACCCTTCCAGACCTGCAGGGGTGGCAGTGTCACCTCCTTGGCTCGGTGGAACTGCTTCGTTCCTTTGGCTGGACATGCCACCATGGTGGCCCTGCCTCCCTTTTTTTTTAAGGCAGAGTCTCACTCCTGTCGCTCTAGCTGGAGTATAATGGCACTATCACAGCTTACTGCAGCTTCAACTTCCCAGGCTCAAGTGAGTCTCCCACCTCAGCTGCTCAGGTAGCTGAAACTACAGGGATGCACTACCATGGCCAGCTAATTTTTGAATTTTGTGGAGATGGGATTTCACCATGTTGCCCAGGCTGCTCTTGAACTCCTGGGCTCAAGTGATCCACCTGCTTTGGCCTTTGAAAGTGCTAGGATTACAGGCGTAAGCCACTATGCCTGGCCACCCTGCCCTCTTAAACTGAGAAGGAAATGACCTTGCTGACTGGGCCCGTGGTGGAAGCGGTAGCTGCGATGATCTCTGAAATGCCTTTGGGGCCATTCTTCCCTTTCCTTGAAAAATAGCATAAATTCACAACCAAATAGCTCTATTTTCCTATTCTATAGAATTCTAGAAATTTAATGGCTTTCCTTCATTCCGTCCTACTTTCACTCTCACCATTAGTTCAAATTGGCAGGGTCTCTGCTATTATAATCCAATCTCTATCCCTGGCTTCTACTGAGATGGCTGATTAAGGCCATGAGTCACACCCATAATCTCTATGTTAATCTCGGTTCTCCAGAGAAACAGAAAAAAATAGGATATATATATGGCGAGAGAGAGAGATTTATTTTAAGAAATTGACTTACATGATTACAGTGGCTGAGAAGTCCCAATATTTGCAGTCAGCAAGCTGGAGACCCAGGAAAGTATAGATACAGTCTAAATTTGAAGGCTTGAGAACCAGGAGAGTTGCTAATAGTGTAAATTCCAGTCCAAGTCTGAGTTCAAATTCAAAAGCAGGAGAAGACGGTCAGGCAGAGAGAAAGCAAATTTACCCTTACTTAGCCTTTTGTTGTATTTAGGTCTTCAGTGGAGTAGATGACAACCCTGGTGAGAGCAGTGTGCTTTACTCAGTCTACCAGTTCAAATATTAATCTCACCCACAGCCACCCTCACAGACATACCAAGAATTATGTTTAACCAAATATCCAGACAACCCCTGGCCCAGTCAAGTTGATACATAAAATTAATCATCACAATCTCTTTATCAAATTGTTGTTCAGCCACACCCTTAGTGCTAAGAATTTCCAAATCTCCAAATTCTAGTTTATTTTTGCTTGAAAATTTCTTCTTCAATTCATCTCTCCCTTCTTGCATTTTACTGTAAGCACTAAGGAGGGCCAAATCAGCACCTTCAATACACAGCTTAGGAATCTTCTTTGCTAAATATCCAATGTCATCACACATAAATTCTACCTTCCGCAATACATTAGAACACAAGTCAGCCAAGTTCTTTGCCACTTTAAAACAAAGACTGCTTTTCTCAAGTTTCTAATATGCTGTTTCTGTTTTCTTTCTGAGCCCTCACCAGAATGGCCTTTAATGTCCATATTCTGTCAACATTCTGTTTATGATTATTTATATATTCTCTAAGAAGATGGAAGCTTTCTCTCTAGCTCTCCTTATTTCTTCCTGAGCCCTCACCAGAATCACCATTAAATGTCTGTTTTCCCACTAATAACCTCTTCATGGCAATCTCAGCTTTTTCTAGTGTGCATCTCAAACTCTTCCAGTCTGTACCCAACACCCAGTTCTAAAACTACTTCACGTTTTTACAGATTTGTTACAGCAACATTCCACTTCTCAGTACTAAGATTTGTATTAGTCAGTTCAGGCTGCTGTCACAAATATTATAAACTTAGTTGTTTTAAACAACAGAAATTTATTTTCTAAGAGTTCTGGAGGCTAGAAGTCCCAGATTAAGGTCCCAGCCAATTTGGTTTCTGGTAAGAGCTCGTTCTCAGCTTAAAGGTAACTGCCTTCTTGCTGTGTCCTCATGATAGAGAGAGTCTAAACTCATGTCTCTTCTAATGACACCACCAGTCCTATTAAATCAGGGTCCCACCTCATTTGGCTTTAATTACCTCCATAAAGGCCCTAACTCCAAATATAATCATACTGCGGGTTGGGACTCCAACATGTATACTTTGGGGGAAACAAACATTCAGTCCCTATCAATATTCTATCTCTATTTTTGCAAATTGCCAACTCAGTAGAACTTATATAAATATTGTACCAAACAATTTACTATGATCATCAATGTGAAATGGATGCTAATACCTCTCCATTCCTGGTTGGTTTGTTTGTTTGTTTGTTTTTCGGTTGTTGTGTTTCATTTCTGTAGGATTTTGGGGAAGAGGTGGTGTGATGGTTAATATTTAGTGTCAACTTGACTGGGTTGAAGGATGCAAAGTATTATTCTGGGTTGTCTCTGTGAGTATGTTGCCAAAGGAGATTAACATTTGAGTCAGTGGACTGGAAGAGGCAGACCCACCCTCAATCTGGGTGGGCACCATCTAATCAGCTGCCAGCATAAAAGCAGGCATGGAAAGAGCAGACTTGCTGAATCTTTGGGCTTCCCTCTTTCTCCCTTGCTGTATGCATCCAGCCCTCAAACATCAGATTCCAAGTTCTTCAGCTTTTGGACTCTTTGACTTATACCAGTGGTTTGCCGAGGGCTCTAAGGCCTTTGGCCACAGACTGAAGGCTGCACTATGAGCTTCTCTACTTTTGAGGTTGGGGACTTGGACTGGCTTCCTGGCTCCTCAGTTTGCAGGTGTCCTATTGTGGGACTTCACCTTGTGATCATGTGAATCAATTCTATAAACTCCCCTTCATATATTCATTTATCCAATTAGTTATGTCCCTTTAGAGAACGCTGACTAATACAGGTGGCATTTGGTTACATGAATAAGTTCTTTAGTGGTGATTTCTGAGATTTTGGTGCACCCATCACTCAAGCAGTATACACTGTACCCAATTTCTAGTCTTCTATCCCTCACCCCCGTACCACCCTTTCCCCAAGTCCTCAAAGTCCATTGTTTCAGTCTTATGCCTTTGCATTCTCACAGTTACCTCCCAATTATGAGTGAGAACATACAATGTTTGGTTTTCCATTCCTGAGTCACTTCACTTAGATTAATAGTCTCCAATCCCATCCAAGTTGCAAATGCCATTAATTCATTCCTTTTTATGGCCGAGTAGTATTCCATTGTGTGTGTGTGTGTGTGCATATATATATATACAATTTCTTAATCCACTAGTGGAGTGGTGGGCATTTGGGCTGGTTCTATATTTTTGCAATTGCGAATTGTGCTGCTATAAACATGCATGCACAAGTATCTTTTTTGTATAATGGCTTCTTTTCCTCTGAGTAGACACCTAGTAGTGGAATTGCTGGATCAAATGGTTGTTCTACTTTTAGTTTTTAAAGGAATCTCCATATTGTTTTCCATAGTGGTTGTACTAGTTTATATTCCCACCAGCAGTGTAAAAGTGTTCCCTTTTCACCACATCCACGTCAACATCTGTTGCTTTTTTCATTTTTTTTTTTATTATGGCCATTCTTGCAGGAAAAAGATGGTATCACATTGCAGTTTTGATTTGCATTTCCCTGATAATTAGTGATGTTCAGGATTTTTTCATATGTTTTTTGGCCATATCTTTGTATATCATATCTTTGTATATCTTCTCTTGAGAATTGTTTATTCATGTTCTCAGTCCACTTTTTGATGGGATTGTTTTTTTTCTTGAGAATTTGTTTCAGTTTCTTGTAAATTCTGGATATTAGTCCTTTGTCAGATGTATAGATTGGGAATATTTTCTCCCACTCTATGGGTTGTCTGTTTACTCTGCTGGTTGTTTCTTGTGATGTGCAGACCTTTTAGTTTAATTAAGTACCATCTATTTATCTTTGTCTTGCTGCATTTGCTTTTGGGTTCTTGCTCATGAAGTCTTTGCCTAAGCCAATGTCTAGAAGGGTTTTTCCAATGTTATCTTCTAGAATTTTAATGGTTTCAGGTCTTAGATTTAAGTCCTTGATCCATCTTGCGTTGATTCTTGTATAAGGTAAGAGATAAGGATCCAGTTTCCTTCTTCTACATGTGGGTTGCCAACTATCCCAGCACCATTTGTTGAAGACAGTGTTCTTTCCCCACTTTAAGTTTTGGTTTGCTTTGTCGAAGATCAATTGTCTGTAAGTATCTGGTTTTGTTTCTGGGTTCTCTATTATGTTCCATTGGTCTATGTGCCTATTTTTATACCAATACCATGCTGTTTTGGTGACTATGGCCTTATAGTATACTTTGAAATCAGGCAATGTAATGCCTCCAGATTTGTTCCTTTTGATTAGCCTTGCTATGGCTACGTGAGCCCTTTTTTGGTTCCATATGAATTTTAGAATTTTTTTTCTGGTTCTGTGAAGAATGATGGTATTTTGATGGAAATTGCATTGAATGTATAGATTTCTTCTGGCAGTACGGTCATTTTTATGATATCGATTCTGCCCATCCATGAGTGTAGGATGTGTTTCCATTTGTTTGTTTTGTCTATGATTTTTTTGCAGCAGTGTTTTGTAGTTTTCCTTGTAGAGGTCTTTTATCTCCTTGGTTAGGTACATTCCTAAGTTTATTGATTGATAGATTGATTGATTGATTGCAGCTATTGTACAAGGGGTTGAGCTCTTGATTTGATTCTCAGCTTGGTTGCTGTTGGTGTATAGCAGAGCTACTGATTTGTGTACATTAATTTTGTATACTGAAACATTGCTGAATTCATTTATCAGTTATAGGAGCTTTTTGGGGGAGTCTTTAGGGTTTTCTAGATATACAGTTATATTATCAGCAAACAGTGACAGTTTGACTTCCTCTTTACAGATTTGGATGCCTTTTATTTCTTTCTCTTATCTGACTTCTCTGGCTAGGACTTCCAGGTCTATGTTAATAGAAGTGGTGAGAGTGGGCATCCTTGTCTTGTTCCAGTTCTCAGGGGGAATGCTTTCAACTTTTCCCCATTTAGTATTAGGTTGGCTGTAGGTTTGTCATAGATAGCTTTTATTACACTAAGTTATGTCCCTTGTATGACAATTTTGCTGAGGGTTTGAATCATAAAGTGATGCTAGAATTTGTCAAATGCTTTTTCTGCATTTATTGAGATGAAGGGTCACGTAGTTTTTGTTTTTAGTTCTGTTTATGTGATTTATCACATTTATTGACTTGCATATGTTAAACCATCCCTGCATCCCTGGTATGAAACCCACTTGATCATGGTGGATTATCTTTTTGATATACTGTTGGATCTGGTTAGCTAGTATTTTGTTAATAATTTTTGTATCTACATTCACCAGGGATATTGGTCTGTAGTTTTCTTTTTTTGTTATGTCCTTTCCTTGTTTTGGTATTAGGGTGATATTGGCTTCATAGAGTGATTTAGGGGGGATTCCTTCTTTCTAGATTGTGGAATAATTTCAACAGGATTGGTAACAATTCTTCCTTGAGTGTCTGATAGAATTCAGCTGTGAATCCATCTGGTCCTAGATATTTTTTTTGTTGGTAATTTTTTTATTACCATTTCAATCTCACTGCTTGTTATTGGTCTTTTCAGGGTTTCTATTTCTTCCTGATTTGAGCTAGGAGGGTTGTATAGTTCATGGAATATATCCATCTGCTCTAGGTTTTCTAGTTTATGCATGTAAAGGTGTTCATAATAGCCTTGAATGATCTTTTGTATTTCTGTGGTATCAGTTGTAATATCTCCTGTTTCATTTTTAATTGAGCTTATTTGGATATTCTCTCTTCTTTTCTTGGTTAATCTCACTAATGTTCTATCAATTTTATTTATCTTTTAAAATAACCAGGTTTTTGTTTATTTATCTTTTGTTTTTTTTGTTTCATTTTCATTTAGTTCTGCTCTGTTCTTGGTTATTTGTTTTCTTTTGCTGGGTTTAAGTTTGGTTTGTTCTTGTTTCTCTCATTCCTTAAAGTGTGACCTTAGATTGTCTATTTGTGCACTTTCAGACTTAGCACCACCTTTGCTGTATCCCAGAGGTTTTGATGGGTTGTGTCATTATTATCATTCAGCTCAAAGAATGCTTTTATTTCTATCTTGATTTCATTGTTCACTCAACAATCATTCGGGAGCAGTTTATTTAATTTCCATGTATTTGCATGGTTTTGAGGGTTCCTTTTGGAGTTGAGTTCCAATTTTATTTCGCTGTGATCTGAGAGAGCTCTCGATATAATTTCAATTTTCTTAAATTTATTGAGACTTGTTTTGTGGCCTATCATATGGTCTATCTTGGAGAATGTTCCATGTGCTGATGAATATAATGTGTATTTTGTAGTTTTTGGGTAGAATGCTCTGTAAATATCTGTTAAGTCCATTTGTTCCAGGGTATAGTTTAAATCCATTGTTTCTTTGTTGACTTTCTGTCTTGATGATCCATCTAGTGCTGTCAGTGGAGTACTGAAGTTCTCCACTATTAATCTATTGCTGTCTACCTCATTTCTTAGGTCTAGTAGTAATTGTTTTATAAATTTGGGAGATCCAGTGTTATGTGCATATATATTTAGGATTGTGATATTTTCCTGTTGGACAAGCCTCTTTATCATTATATGTCCCTCTTCATCTTTTTTAACTGCTTTAAAGCTTGTTTTGCCTGATATAAGAATATCTACTCCCACTCACTTTTTATGTCCATTTGCATGAAATATCTTTTTCCACCCCTTTGCCTTAATTTTATGTGAGTCCTTATGTGTTAGGTGAGTCTTTTGAAGACAGCAGATACTTGGTTGGTGAATTCCTATCCATCCTGCCATTCTGTATCTTTTCAGTGGAGCATTTAGGCCATTAACATTCAATGTTAGTATTGAGATGTGAGGGACTGTTCTATTCATTATGCTATTTTTCCACCTTTTAAAACAAATTTATTGTGTTTTATAGGTCTGTGAGATTTATGCTCTAAAGAGGGTCTATTTTGGTGTATTTATGGGATTTGTTTCAATATTTAGTGCTCCTTTTAGCAGTTCTTCTAGTGCTGCCTTGATAGTGGCAAATTCTATCAGCATTTGTTTGTCTGAAAAAGACTGTATCTTTCCTTCATTTCTGAAGCTTAGTTTCATTAGATACACAGCTCTTTCCTGATAATTGTTTTGTTTAAGGAGGCTGAAGATAGGGCCCCAATCCTTTCTAGCTTATAAAGTTTCTGCTGAGAAATCTGCTGTTAATCTGATGATAGGTTTTTCTTTATAGGTTACCTGGTGCTTTTGCCTAACAGCTTTTAAGATTCATTCCTTCATCTTGACTTTAGATAACCTGATGTCTATGTGCCTAAGTGATGATCTTTTTGTGATAAATTTCCCAGGTGTTGTTTGAGTTTCTTGTATTTGGATGTCTAAGTCTCTAGCAAGGCTGGGGATGTTTTCCTCAATTATTTCTTCAAATATGTTTTCCAAACTTTTAGATTTCTCTTCTTCCTCAGAAACACCAATCATTCTTAGGTTTGGTCATTTAACATAATCCCAAATTTCTTGGAGGCTTTTTTCATTTTTTTTTTCTTTTTTCTTTGTCTTTATTGGATTGTGTTAATTTGAAAACCTTGTCTTCAAGATCTAAAGTTCTTTCTTCTGCTTGCTCAAGTCTATTGCTGAGACTTTCCAGTGCATTTTGCATTTTTCTAAGTGTGTCCTTTATTTCCAGAGGTTTTGATTGGTTTTTATTTATGCCATCTATTTTACTGAAGATTTTTCCTTTCATATCTTGTATCTTTTTTTATTTCATTAAGTTGGACTTCACCTTTCTCTGATGCCTCTTTGATTAGCTTAATAATCAACCTTCTGAATTCTTTTTCAGGTAAATCAGGGATTTCTTCTTGGTTTGGATCCACTGCTGATGAGCTAGTGTGATCTTTTGGATGTGCTAAAGAAACTTCTTTTGTCATATTACCAGAATTGTTTTTCTGGTTCCTTCTTATTTGGGTAGACTATGTCAGAGAGAAGATCTGGGGCTCAAGGGCTGCTGTTCAGATTCTTTTGTCCCACAGGGTGCTTCTTTGATGTAGTGCCATCCCCTTTTTCCTAGGGATGTGATTTCCTGAGAGCAGAACTGTAGTGATTGTTATTTCTCTTCTGGATCTAGCCACCCAGCAGAGCTACTGGGCTGGTACCAGGGGATTTCTGCACAGAGTCCTGTGATGTGATCCTTCTTCAGGTCTCTCAGCCATGGATAGCAGCACCTGCTTTGGTGGAGGTGGCAGCGGAGTGAAATTGACTCTGTGAAGGTTCTTAGTTGTAGTTTTGTTTATTGTACTAGTTTTTTGCTGGTTGGTCTCCTTCCAGAAGGTGAACTTCCAAGAGAGCATCAGCTGTGGTAGTATAGGGAGGATCAGGTGGTGGGCAGGGCCTTGGAACTCCCAAGACAATATGTCCTTTGTCTTCGGATATCAGGGCGGGTAGAAAAAGACCATCAGGTGGGGGCAGGGTTAGGCAGGTCTGAGCTCAGACTATCCTTGGGTGGGGCTTGCTGTAGACACTGTTGGGAATGGAGTGTGTGGTTCTCAGACCAATGGAGTTATGTTCCTAGGGGGATTATGACTGCCTCTGCCTTGTCTTGTAGGCCACCAGGGAAGTGGGGGAAATCCAGCAGTTACAGGCCTCACCCAGCTCCCACATATCCCAAAGGCCAGTCTCACTCTTGCTGTGGCCCCCTCTACAGCACCAAGTTTGTTTCCAGGCAGTGGGTGAACAGGGCTGATAACTTGCTCCAGGCTACCAATCTCCAGCTGTAAAAGCAAGCAGGGCTTTCAGGTTTCATGGCTCCCCACCTGCCACAGCTTCTGTGCTGTGTCTGCACTCCAGATTCACCCCTCCCTCAAGTTCCATCCAGGAAACTTTGTGTTCAGTTGAAGTTGTTACACAGTTCAGCTAAAAGTTTCCTCCCTGTGGTCTTTTCCCAGTTCCTCTGGCAGCACTCCCCAAGGACCTCTGTGAGACAAAGTCAGAAATGGTTTCCCTGGGGACCAAGAGAGCCACAGGGCTCTTCTAGCTGCTTCTTCTACCCTTGTATTTTGCTCAGCTTTCTAGAATTGTCTCAACCCCGGGTAAAGTCAAATCCTTCTCTTGTGATCTGAACCTTCAGGTTCCCCAGTGAGAGTGTGTGTTTGGGGGTGGATGATCCCCCTTTCACACTTTCACACTTTGGCTGTCTCTCGGGGCCTGCAAGAGTGATTCACTTCCTTCAGAGGGTCTGTGAATTCTCTCAGATTTCCTGGTATGTTCCTGTGATAGATGTGGGAGCAAAAGTTCACGATGTGAGTCTCCACATGCTGCTCTCTGTCTGAATGGGAGCTGCAGTTTAGTCCTGCCTCATATCTGCCATTTTCCCCAACCTGTCTCCATTCCTGTTTTTAGCAATAGGAAGACTCACAGAGATACAGCAGCCTAGACTTCAACCAGCTTGTCATCTCCAATCAATTATTTGTGGATACATTGAGCACTGTGCTGACAGGCTCAGCTTTAATGTCATGATCTGTGAGTAATGTCTGCCATGACTTTGATTATATATTTTCCACATACCTATCATAAGTGTAAAGGGCTGTAAACCCAGACATTAATAATTATATAATTACTTTAGCCTGTTATTGTTTGTATCAGCAAAAACAAGGTAATAACTGTCCAATAATTGGGGGTAGGTTAGATAAGTTATATGTAATGTAGCAATATTTGACTATTAAAATATAATCTATACATTTATCAGATGATTGAAAAGATGTTTATGATTATTATGTGAAAAAATGAGTTTCAAGTTGTATAAAATATGATCACATTTTTCAAATGGATTGTTGAGATAGGATGTATGTTGAGACACTATTTACATATGTAAATATAAAGCAGGTCAGAGCTCAGAGCTCTTCCTCATCTCTTTATTTTCTTTTCTACTGCTTCCTAGGAATTTTGTGTTTTGTTTTTTCTTATATTGTTATTGTTGTTGTTACAGTTATTATTTCATTCTGTTTTGTTTTGTTTGTGCCTTTTTAAGGTAGGAAAAAAGAGAGAGAGAATCTGTTAGACTAGTAAAGTATTACATTTTTGCTATAAAAGGCATCAATATAATCAAAGGGTTTTTTGCCTGTAAATGTTTAATTCTGATTTTTACAAAACATCCCTTCTAAATAAAGCACAGAATGAAAGGCCCTGACACCACCTTTTCAAGAGTGGAAACCAATAAACTAGCAGAGAGAAAAAATGGTAAAAAGGGAGCCCAGAGGGAGCCCATCTGAGGCAAACCTGGATGAACTGACACATAACTCAGAGGAGAAAGTAAAGGACTGTTCTGTATCATCTTCCAAGCTTGGTACATCTTGAACATCTAGTAGTAAAGTTTTCTCAATGTACTTAGCCTTAATATCCTTCAAGATGTCACTAGCATAACTAAAGGATATGTGTGCTTATGGGTGTGTTTTCAGAAAGAAAGTCAGAAATAATGTCTACCAAAGTGTTAACAGTAATTATCCAAGAGTAGTGATATTATGCATAGTTCTTACATTATTTTTGCTTATTTATATTTTCTAACTTTTTTCTACAATAAACACAGAGAGTTTTAAATGAGATTTTTAAAATTATAGCTATGATTTTAAAAGAGAGAAAGAAAAATCATACAAAGGAGATTTCAGAAAAGAAGATTCCCATATTCTCCCATGTTTTCTTCTTCATGGCAGGTAATAGAACATGTTCTTACTTCTGGAAACTGCAAAGCTGGAAGGGATCTTAGAGGTGATATGGTTCCTCCTTCTCATTTTATACATGAAGGAACTCAGGTCTAAGATGCTTAGTATTGCTCCCACTCAAGGTTCACAGCAGCAGAACAAAAAGTAATTTACATTTGTTGATTCTTAATTTAATACTTTTATAATGTGGCAGAAAAAACAGCATCATAAAAGTTTAAGATTCTACAGTGTCTCCAGTTAATTCTATCCAAAAATAAAAAATTAAAATAGGAGGTTTGTTGGCCAATAACAAAAGAATGGAGGCAGCAAAGCTGGAAATATATGCCCAATCAACTTGGAGACATTGTCTTAAATTTATCGCCAATCTTCTGGGATATATTGAATGGATATACAGCTATAAGCTGCCCTCTTTAAACTAAACACTGCACTATATTCTTGCCCTTTATAACAACTTCCTCAGTGAAACCTGCCCTGTGATTATATCCTCCTCATCTGTCCCAAGAGAATAAGGCAAAAATATTATTAAAACCTTAGCTTTTTTCAGTGTCATCTCTTAAATATATCTGTTTCTGACTCATAGGCAGTATTTTCCTTTTATCTATTTCTTACTCATATGAATGAAGCTTTAAAGAAAATTTTACACTGATGCATGCCTCCAACTTGCCTCAGGTAAAATGAATGAGACAACATCTACACAGCACTTTGAGCTCCCCAGACAGGGACATCAGAAATGAGCAGTAGCCTTGCTCTTGTCAAAGATATCAACTGAGCCTGGCAAGACTCCAAACCATAGAATAACTTTCCTGACCCCTCATCTGTATCTCTCAACTAGATACAGAATTGAAAATAGGAACCAGTCATTTGGGGTAAAACATATGCCAAAATAGTTCTGCAGCGTGGGTAAGAAAAAGGGTGAGATGTGCAAAGGGGAAGCTCTCTGAAAGCAGAGAATATAATTAAGTCAACTTTCAAATTCAAATGTACTTCTTCCTTTCCCACATGTTCTAAATCAGACCTCTTTCCCATAGGGCTGCAGATGGTGCCTCTAGGGCTGGCTGTCACTGATCTCTGAAGGGTAAAACTGAACTGAAACCTACAAGCTTCACACCTGTGGGGTCAGCTTCATTAACAACTTTGACCTTTGCTCGTTTTTAAGAGCTGCCCCAACAAATATCACTGCAAACAAGGTGCACCCTGACTCTTTGGTGATATATCACCTTCTCTTTTCACCTTGACCCTTTGGTCATATATCACCTGACCCTTTGGTGATACATTACCTTCTTGGCAATCTAATTTTAAGTCTCACTTCATGTTAATCCAGGACAGGGATCTTAAGTCAGTCTTGAACTCTCTTTGTAAAACCTAAGGGAGGTTTAACTACTAATTTACTGCTTGGACCTCAATTAACATCTGTTTTTAAAAATCACTTAACATTGCCACAAAATAATAGTTCTATGCTTCTCTGACAGATTTCATCACCTCAGTTTTCCAACTTTTGACCCAACTACAGTTAAAGCATGAAAAAGACACATTGGTAAGGCCAGCTAGTGGTCACGTCACACATAAATTACCACTTTCTACTGTAGGAACTGTCTCCATCTGTAGGAAAAACCTGGAGAATCCTGTAAATAGCAGAAATATTATAACAAATCTTTGGTGAATGGAGGAAAGTGGTGGAATTAAAGGTAGAACTATCAGAAATTACTTAAAAAAAAAAAAGGACTTGTGAGGCTTGTCCACAATACTTATCCCCATTTTACACAATAAAAAACCTAGACACAAAGAGGTTAACTTGCCCAACTTATACAACTAAATTATAAAGATTCCTATAAATATATTCTCAATATGTGAAGCACATTATACACTTTATTGAAGCATTTAGTATTTAGTGATTATCATTCTAACAATGTAGGAGAATATACTTTAAGAAATACGGAGCAAAATCATTCATTTTGAGCAAGGCCTTGGGTTGGCAGTGAATCAAGATGACAGCTTTACTATTTAAGAACAGCTCTTTGAATTGTAGAAATAGTCCTTAATCACAGGACAAACTTGGCTCCATGGTGGAAAAGATTGTTTTGTTTTAATTCCAAATATCTATTAAGTACCTACTGCTAGTCCCCAGTACTGTGCTGATATGCCACAGATGTGCCCATCCCTTCTTTTTGCAAAATTTTGAAAATCTAATAAGGGTAGAGAAATAACCAACTTTTATGTTTTATTCTGCATTACAATTCAATGCAGAATCAAAAGATTTCCAAATAGAGCTACAAGCGAGCAGCATTTGGAACCCCAAGGAAGGAGCATGATGACCCAGGAAAATGTCAAGAATTGGATGTTGAACATTAGCCTTTCAGCCACAATCACAGACAGGAGCACTGTCTTCCAAAATAAAGAATAAGGTATGATTACAGGACTAAGCTGAACATAAAATTGGCCTCTAGATGGTCCTGGTGAGGTGAAAATGGCTAAAGGAACTTCATCAAGATTACCTGGAGAAAGTGGCCAGAGATACATTAAGGAGCAATACGGTTTGGTGCCCAATAGTAAAGAAGAGCATGCATATCGGACAGCCAACGGGAAAGAAAAAAGGAGGGAAGACAAACAAAAAACAACATGGCCAAAGCTTTGTTTAAATAATTTAATCAGCAGCTTCAATTTGATCCAGAGATAAAGGGGGATGAAATGAAACAATGAGAAGGACCAGAATAGAAAACTTGAGTAACGTGATGATATCATCAGCATCAGTTTTCTAAGTGTTTACTATGCATAGGATGTTATGATTAGTGTGAAGTAAGGCAGCCTTTGCCTTCAAAGAACATTTAGGTTAGTTAGGGAGGCAGAAAAAATGTCAGAAGATGTCCATACAGATGCTAAATGGGAGTTATATCAAAATAAGTGCTTTGGGGCCAAGAGGCAAGGAAGACAGGAGTTAAGGTAAACAGAGGATGCCATAACTGAGGCTCAAGAGAGAGAGGCAGGGATATGGAACACTCTGTAGTGCAAGTAAAGAAGGAGTAACTTGAGATTATGTTAAAGTACTATAAGCAAACCCAAACAAAGCATAACATTCTGTGAGGCATAACATATTCACCCACAAACACTAAAACCATTTGGGCCCCAGAGGCTTTTCCAGGATGTGAAGTTGCCACCAGATTTTCAACAAGCAAACGACAATTTGTTGAAGGTATGTTGTACACGCTAAGACAACATTTTTGTCACTTATACTCACCAAACTTATACTATTCTGGCCAAAAATCAGGTTCCATTTTAGAAACTGGAGAACGATGCATCTGGTATGAGTGATACGATTAATTAGAAACATCTCCTATGACAAAATGATTATCTATAAAACCGTGCATTTCATGTTGAATGAATCAGATTGCACTTATATATTATAACTTTCAGAGAATGCCATATAGCTAGCATGTGGTGGGAGTGGTCATGTATTCAGAAAATGTGAAATCAATCTCTTTTGTTTAGAAAATGGCATAGAAAATCACTTTGTTCATTTAGAAACTGCTTTATGAAAATATGTGCTGTACTTATGCAGTAAATAATTCATTTGGCTTCCAATGCAATCAAGAGCCAATCATCTCCCAAATATCCTACTTTTTGAAGTGCTAAATGTATTTCATGCTTTCCATTCAAAATGTAAATAAAATACCTATAAAAAATTTAAAACCACTGTTTTTTAACAGAAATTACAAAGTACTAAAAATCATCTTAGTACTCTGTGCTTGGCAATCAATAAAATTGTTGTGGTAAAGATATCTGGACAGAGGTGACAGTAAGCATTTACCATCAGTAGTAGACAGAATCATGGGCCCCCAAGATGTCAACATCCTAATCCCCTAAACTTTTGAATATATCATCTGATATGGCAAAGGTGACTTTGCAGATACGATAAAGTTAAGGATCTCGAGCTGGGAAGATGATCCTGTATTATCCAAGTGCGCCCAATGTAATCACAAGGGTTCTTAGAGAGGCAGGAGGGTCAAAGTCAGAGAAGGAAATGTGACCATGAAAAGCAAGGTCAGAATGAGGTGAAGGAGAGGCCATGACCTGAAGAATGCAGCCAGCCTCTAGAAGCTGGAAAAAGCAAGGAAACATTCTCCCCTGAGGTCTCCTAAGGGGACACAGCTCTGCTAACCCATTTTAGACTTCTAGCAATGTCCAGAAAACATTCTGTAGAAGACCAGACAGTGAATATTTTGGTTTTTCTGGGTCATATGGTCCCTGTTGCTCCTAAATTCTGCTGCTATAGTGCAAAAGAAGCCAAAGAAAATCTTAAAATGAATGGGCTGACAAGCTTTGTTCCAGTAAAACTGTATTTTTGAAAAGAGTGGTGGGTCAGCTTTGGCTTACAGTCTGACCCCTGAACTAAGGTATTGAAATCAACCAGTAGTAACAGACAAGGTTAAAAAATGCTCCATTAGAAAAAGGAACACTTATACACTGTTGGTGGGAGTGTAAATTAGTTCAGCCATTGTGGAAGACAGTGTTGTGATTCCTCAAAGACCTAAAGATAGAACTACCCTTAGATCCAGCAATCCCATTACTGGGTATATACCCAAAGGAATATAAATTGTTCTGTTATAAAGAAGACACTGCAGCTGGGTGCAGTGTCTCACACCTGTAATCCTAGGGCTTTGGAAGGCCAAGGTGGGCAGATGACTTTACGTCAGGAGTTCAAGACCAGCCTGGCCAACATGTTGAAACCCAGTCTTTACTAAAAATACAAAAATTAGCCGCATGCCTATCATCCCAGCTACTTAGGAGGCTGAGGCACAAGAATCACTTGCATCTGGGAGGCAATGCTTGCAGTGAGCCGAGATCATGTCACTGCACTCCAGCCTCAGTAATAGAGACTCTGTCTCAAAGAAAAGATACATGCATATGTATGTTAATTGCAGCACTATTCACAGTAGCAAAGACATGGAATCAACCTAAATGCCTATCAATGATAGACTGGATAAAGAAAATTCAGTACATATACACCATGGAATACTATGTAGACATAAAAAATAATAAGATCATGTCCTTTGCAGGGATAGGGGTGGAGCTGGGAGCCATTATCCTTAGCAAACTAATGCAGGAACAGAAAACCAAATACCTCATGTTCTCAGATGTAAGTGGGAGCTAAATGATTACAACACATAGACACATAGAGGGGAACAACAGACTCTGGGGCCCTATCAGAGGGTGTATGGTGGGAGGAGGGAGAGGATCAGGAAAAATAATTAATGGGTACTAGACTTAATACCTGGGTGATTAAATAATCCATACAACAAACCCCCATGACAAAAGTTTACCTATGTAACAAACCTGAACATGTACACCGTAACTTAAAATAAAAGTTAAAAAACAAGAGTTTGATGTATGGGAAGTGTTGGAGTTCATGGATGGAGACTTTGCCTAAGCAAAAAATGAACCATGGGGACTTGACATCAATATATCAGAAGAGTTTAAAAGATCAGTATGAGAGGTTTGGTATATAAAATCAAAGACGCATTTATTGCCAGGCCTAGCCAAGGATTAGAGGGAATCTGAATTTGTTCCAGAATTGTATCTGTTAAAATGCATTTCTCCCAGGGACTTTTATTCTCCATACTCCTTCCCACTCCAGATCATCTCAGATTTACTCTGACAAGAACACTTTAAGTCTCAATAATTCTTTATTCTTAGTGTTGCTATGACAAAGCTTAATTTCAGCTCACAGATTGGGCTCATAGTCAACATAGGGAGAAAGTTGACATACGCTGCATATCTTCCTTTGTTCTTTGTATATAATTTAGTTTCAGCATTTTTCACTCTAGAGCATATGAAATGTTTCAACTCCAATTATCTCCACAGAAATGAAGGCTTCCCCTTCTCTTATTTTATAATTCAGAGGGGACAGCATATCCAGTGTGATGGCAAAAGATTTTTTAAAATAAGGGAAAAAACTCTCTGCTATAAATAAGTTATTGATAAATAATTCCTTCCGATATTTTTTGTTGCTGCTGTACTCAAAATAAATCACATGAAGAGTTCAGGAGAACAATGCAGATTCTCATTTTAATTTCAGTCACTCTTCTAAAGCGCTGAGGTCACTGTAGAGTCCAAAATTGGGTGGAATAGTGACTCATCTTGCTCCCTACCACTACTCTGTTTCCAGGTGTTTCCCTGTCACTTTCCATCCACCCTGCTGAGCAAATAAATCATTCAGTGAGAAGGTAGCATCATTTATAATACATTTTCTGGGAGGGGTATTTATCTCATCCCCAGACAATAATAACTTTTCCACTGGCTTCTCTATTATGTCCTCATGTGCCTTCTTAGCATTTCAGTTCCTTAATATGGTATTGAACAGGGAGAAGAATGAAAGGACATGGAAAAGCTCTGTGAAATACATGCACTTAAGGGACTGAGACACTTGCAAATGCACAGGAGAAGAGAAATCTCCTTATGTTCTAGCACATTAGAATGATGTCAGAGAAAGTGCAAACTTGTAAGACTGAATTGGGAAGGATTTGAGATTCTACCTATATCACAAAGACATGTTGAAAGGGTAACAGTGCCCAAGCAGTCAATTTAGATTAAAACACAACTGCAATGACAGACATTCAATATAGAAGTCAATAGAGTTGGACCGATTGAAGTGACAAGCGCATAGGGACTGAATCTTAAATCTTTTCTACCCATACAAAAATCTGTGTACATGCGTGTGTGTGTGTGTGTGTATATATATGTGTATATATGTACGTGTTTGTGTGTGTGTGTGTGTATATATATATATATATATATATATATATATATATACACATATACATATATATATATAGGCTTTCCTTAGATTGCAGGGAGTCCAGGGAGATGTGTTTGGATGCACATTTTAGTTTTCTCCTATACAGAACCTAACTTCATTAATGCTTTGATTCAATCAGCATTGACAAGTGATGAGTGATGGAAATATATATATATATATATATATACACACACACACACACACATACATAGTTGTATATATACACACATATATATATAAGGATTAAAATAAGTTTATTAAAATCCTACACCTTGTTTTATAATGGTATACAGGGATTATCCCAAACTATAAAAGTAGCTAGGGGTGACTTTTATCACTATATATTTCTATATTTCTACAAGTTCTTTAGTGAGTAATATAACTTTCAGATTAAAATATTGACATTAATAAAAATCCTCCTCTTCATTTTTTTTCTTAAAAATAAGATCAGATCTCAGGAATGCCTCAAGTATCCTGCTGAGGAAAGACCATAAACAGAAAAAACAACTGCAAACAGGTGTCTTGTACTTATGTAGGGAAAAAGAGGGAATCTCCCAAGCCTTAATCCTGTGCCCAGAGTAAGTGCAGATGAAACACAGGAAAGCAGAGGGGGTCTTGGCCAACCTGAGAAGGGGCAGAGAGGAGTGGAAGCCCAGACACAGCGGGAAGAAGCAGGGGATGTCTTCAAGCCAGATGTGCCTGCTCATACTCTGCTGTCACTCCCCACCCTCTAAGCCAGGAGTCCTCCCTCCCATCCAGCGTCCTTGGATTCTCTCCTAACTCACCATCTTAAAAGTCCTATGAACTTGGCTGGGCACAGTGGCTCACGCCTGTAATCCCAGCACTTTGGGAGGCCGAGGTGAGGGGATCATGTGGTCAAGAGATCAAGACCATCCTGGCCAATATGGTGAAACCCCAACTACTAAAAATACAAAAATTAGCTGGTGTGGTGGCGCACACCTGTAGTCCCAGCTACGCGGGAGGCTGAGGCAAGAGAATCGTTTGAACCTGGGAGGCGGAGCTTGCAGTGAGCCGAGATTGTGCCACTGCACTCCAGCCTGGGGGACAGAGTGAGACTCCTTCTCAAAAAAAAAAAAAAAAAAAAAAAAGTCCTGTGACCTTATTCAGACTGAGATGTGACTGCTTTGGGTTAACCATCCAATGTGATGTAACAAGAGGATTGTTACAATTGTTACAAAGACCATTGTGAGGAAGGTCGCAAAAAGAATAAAGGAAAAATTTGGAGAAGAAAGTATTTGGGGTGACACAGGGAGCCCTCTGGGACTGCTCTCTCCCTCCTATATGGACACACCTCTGTTAAAACAATGTAGGTGGTGCTTCAGAGTTCAAGTCCAGGAGCCAGATGGCCACAGTTCATATGCCTGGTTCTACCTCTTGCTAGCAGTGTAAACTTGGATAAGTCCTTGAGTTCATTTGCCCCAGAGCTCATCCATACAAAGTACTTTGAATAGTGCCTACCATATAGGACAGAGACAATAAATGTCATCAATAATTATTATCACAACATATACACAGTACACAGTTTCAATCTTCCAAGAGAAATGAGAATCCTTGAGAGCAGGACCCATGACCAGTCATCTTTGAGCCTAGTTCACACAAAGCAATCCATAAATGCCGATTGAATCAAGGCGTTAAAGAAGTTAGGTTCTGTGTGGGAGAAAACTAAAATGTGCATCCAAACACAACCTAAGGAAAGCCCAGGGCCACTCCCTCTGGAAAGTCTTCTCTGATGGGGTCCTAGCCAAAGCTATGGGCCCTGATGGGAACCCCCTCTGCACCCTGCACTTCTCCCTTATGACCATTTGTTGAAAACCCTTGTTTGATTCTTTTTTTTCACAAGAGAAAGCTTCTTGAGAGCAGCAACCATGTCATTTATCATGAAATGTAATCACCACTTTTCCCCTAGTTCCTTGCATGATATTACTACATAGTAGATGTTCAATAATTATGTTTAAGTACATAAAAATAATAATATTACAGTAAGTCCTCACTTAATGTCCTACACAGGTCCTTAAATAACTTTCTTTTGTTCAGTGTTGTTTCATTAAAACTGATGAGAAAAATGGCTTTGTAATACATCATTTCACTTAAAGTAATCATTTCCAAGAACCTATCAATGACATTAAGGGAAAACTTACTGTGCTATTATTTTGTAGAGTCTTATATTGTACAAAATACTCATCTAATTCTCATAGCTAGTGGTACTTTTATTAATCCCATTTTACATGCCAAAAAAATCAAGGTTCACATGAATGCGCCACTGCTCTCCACCTGGGCGACGTGAGTAAAACCCTGTCACAAAAAGAAAAGGAAAAAAGTCAAGGCTCAGAAAGAGAAATTATTCTGTGGTCAAACACACATAGGATGTAAACCCAGGTCTGTCTGGCTCAGAATTTACTCTTATTACATGAACGCCTCTCTAAAGAGCTAGATCCAGGCTTACACACAGAAAACTAAAGGGAAAACTAGCATTCATATACAAATTCCTTTCAAGCTCTATTATTCATATTTCCCCAATCTAACTTTGTACTTTAATTAAATACTGAATTTGATGGATAGGTTCTGTGTAAGTCTCATTGCTAAGGAACTCTGAACAAAGAAAACAGGTCAGCGTATTTTAACAGTTCCGTTTTGAGCAATGTTGGTGACAAAGGAAAAAAATCAATAGAGAAAACTGTGCATTAGGAAAGAAACACTGGGCTAATGGTAAATCAAAATGTTTTGAGCAAAAGCCAGACAAAACTGGATTCTACTTATGCCTTTCCACCATTTAATTCTTCAAAATCCTTGAATTTTTTCAAGGGGAAATAATATGCACTGGTTTGAATGAGAGAGAGAACAGATGTAAACCGTGTCTTGTAAATTTGAGTTTGTACCCAAGAACTTTAGTTCCCACATCCTTACCTGCAGCCTTTGTGATTTGTGCTGTGAGAGTGCAAATATGTCCAGCAAGAAGGAAATAGCTCTCAGCTTGCAAAAAAAGCTTCTAGAGGGAGGTTCCAGAGAACTGAAATGATGAGGCTGGCATGTGAGAAAGGCTACAATCATCACAGAGTTTTTGAAGTGCCCCAGGAATTTGATGGGTGTCTGAACTAGGGGGCAGAACACTGATTTCATTTTCATTGCTTTACAGTGACACTCTGTAATGTGATGTGGTGTGTGTGAACGATTGCATGTGTGATTTTGTGTGTGATATGGTGTGCATGTGTGTGTGATTGTATGTATATAATGTGGTATATGTGTGATTAAGGCTTGTGATTATGTGTGTGTAAATATATTGAGGATCTATATCAGAGAGAGAAATCAATTACCCCTGTGCTTAGGTAGGGGAATAGACTGCAGCTAAAGATTCAACAACACCCAGCAATGTACTGATGAGTGTGAGCAAAGCAGGAGTCCTAAAGCCAAATGATACAATGTTTTACCGCAGAAAACACAACTAGGCTTGATTTAAAAAAAAAAAATTTACATAATTTATAGCAAAATGAGATATTGGTCTTTGTCTATCAATTTCGCAAAAGTTAAAAAAATTGGTAATAGCCAGTGTGGGCAAGATGTGGGAGACTTGACATTAGTGTACATATCTGGTGGCAGTGTATTTAGTACACTGCTGGAGGGCCATTGGCAATATGTTCAACATAAATTATACTCAATATTTGATCCAGCAATTCCATGTTGTTGGAATTTATCATAGGAAATAAAAGGGTAAGTGTGGAAAGATGTAAGTGAAAAGACACTCCTTGCAGCACCATGTGTAACAGGAGCAATCTCATCAACGATAGTATTTATTTGTTGAATAAATAATAATACTTCTATTTGAAGGATGAGCTATAGTGCTGTAGGTAATGATCCAGAAAGATGTCTAATATATTCACAGTGTTAAGGCAAAAGATAACCTTGCCATATGTTTTTGTTTCAAAAAAATAAAATTGTGTTAACATTTATAGAAAATATTTGGAATGATTAATAACAAAATATTAACAGTGGGTTATGACTGAAGGGGATGACATTGGGGATAGGGAGAGAATTTTACTTTCTATTCTATACATAATTATTTTTTTCCAAAAAAAGCATATATTATGTCTATACTTGTGAGGAAATAACAGTAAGGATGTTTCTATTTAGAAATGAAGGAAGAAAGGAAGCTTTTGCAAATACCTATGGTAGAGCAGACTCAGTTTATATCTCTCCATTTCTGACCTGAGGCTATGGCCAAATTTCCAACCAACTAAAAATTCAAATAACCAGATTTCTAAATCTGTTTTCCCATTGATTCATAGCCTGTTATTTCCTGTGCAGCCTGTGTATCTGCAGCCATCTGGGCAAAACAGAGCTGCTGCAGTAGACAAGCAAGGTAAGTCCTTCCCCAAGAGCCCACCTTGTGCTTGTGATAGACACAGGAAAAAGGAGAGCTTTGGTCGTAGAGGGCCTTATAGATGGTTTAATTTTTTGGATAGTAAAAATGAAAGCAAGGACTACCTATGCTCTTACAACCAAACAATCAAAAGACATTATTAAGAAGTCATGCTATTTAGCATAGAAATGTACAGACCACATTTTTATACATAGCAATAATATTTAGATTTTAAAGTGTATGTTGAATAATAAAAAAAAGTACCTACTTTCAACAATGCTGCAGTTCTATTCAATTGTTTTGGACTTTTCTGCCTGTGACTTGCTGAAATAGAGCCTTTCGTCATTCATAGCATGTCTTCTCATAAAATACCATACTTCTCCTCTGTGCAAAAACATAGCTTCCATTACAAGGGAAAAGGCACGTTAAATCTTACAAACCATAAAAAATTTCATTTTGTGTCACATTTTTAAAATGTATTGTGAATTTCATATTTTTCCCTTGGCTTAACCATTTTCCAAGTGGATTTTTTTCAGTTTTTTAATCTTTAACCACTACTATTTCCTAAAACATTTTCTCTTTCTTTAGCTTCTCTTCTCTACCATCACTATTTCCTATTTCTTTGTAATCTACAAATAAAATCCTAAGTATATTAGATCTGTTCTATTTAAAATAATTCTTGCAGAAAAGCCCCTTGGAAATTAAGGAATTATACAGGCCAATATTGTAACTCATCTATCTTACACATTTCTCATTTAGAATGTGAGTTCTTTTTGAAGTGGATACATCTAAATTTTTATGTTTCTTGTTATATAACTATAAAAAACAAGCAAGGAAAGAGAAGGAAATATCTTCAGACAATGCAAATTAATTGCAGTTGAATCAGGAGTCCTAATTCTCAGTTACAACCAAGGTATTTTTAGGATTAATACATATAATTTTTTTTTTAATTCTGAAAATAGATCGTCCTATGAAGAGAAACAGGAATCCACTGCTGATGCTAATTTCTCTGAGAAGACTACTGGTCAGTTCTACCTGGCATGCAGCTTCCTTCTCTTTGACAACAACAAAGACTATTTTAATCTTCCTGGCATCAGCGCTTTGTCGTAATCTGAAGGACAAGAAGATGCAGTAAAGCAACAATAAGTAACTATGACCTCATATGTGGAGCCTAGAATTATAAGAAAAGAGTCAGAAATACACTCCATATTGTCATCTTTCTTTGTACGTGCTCATATGTGGGACACATACAGGTCGATGGGCAAATCAGGTGCCAAGCAAAATAGATTACATAAGATTCTGAATTAGGTACAGGTTTGTGACTTTGGTGGCTAACTCACTTGAATCTGACATGTAGCAGCTCTCAGCCTCAGTCTCCCTCAGATATTTGAAGCCTTACTGTAAAAGATTCAAACACTACAGAGGCTTCAGAAGTGCTAGACTCTTCCTTCACCTCTTACATTTTTACCCCCACACCGAACGAGGATTGAACTGTTAATAATTTGTTGGGTTTCTGTGAAGACCTTTTCTTCTTCTTCTTTTTTTTAATTTGACAGGGTCTTGCTTTGTTGCCCAGGCTAGAGTGCGATAGCAAGATCTCAGCTCACTGCAACCTCTATCTCCCAGGCTCAAGGGATCCTCCCACCTCCCCCTCACAAGTCAAGTAGCTAGGACCACAGGCACATATCACCATGCCTAGCTAATTTTTTAATTTTTTAGAGTCGAGGTCTCACTTATTGCCCAGACTGGTCTCAAACTCCTGGGCTCCAGAGATCCTCCTGCTTCAGCCTCCCAAAGTGCTGGGATTACAGGAGTGAGCCACCAGTGTGGTGGTGGCTAGTCCTTTTTTTATGTCACCACTTGGATATAAATATAGAGAAAACCTTGATCTTCTTATTGTATTAATGGAGAAATACAGCTTTGGTGATTATGGTAGATTACATGGTTGTTGCCTACTATTGGGTCCCTTCTTAAAAGGATAGCACACATCCTTGTCTATTGCAATATGATTTGCAGTTCCTCCCAATATGTACATCTGAGAGAGTGGAAATTTACATAGGCAATTTGAACTTCCCATCTGGATCTCAGAGAAGTCTGAAATAAAGTGATGTAAAAATTTGGGGGTTGTCATATGAATGATGGTGCTGTTCTCTAAATCAGGGAACCATGGAGATGGGCCACCATACCAGTTACTGTGACTATGTATAAATAAAAAGTGCTTTTCCTTCTACGTTAACACTAAACACATCCCACTTCACTTCTGACACCAGATGTGTCGGGGGTTCCCCACACACCAAGCAATTCTCCATCAGACACCAATTGGGTGTCCTATAATTTAACTCAATTCTGACACTATCTCCTTGGAGTTAGAGTCAGATCCCACAGGTTAAGGGCTCAGTCCCACAAGATTTCCCCAACTTCAGATGCCAATTGCAAGTAGTAGGTTGTCACCTACACTTCCGACAAACTAGATATACATCAACGTTCCCAAAACCCCCTTCTTCAATTTGCTAGAATGGCTCACAGAATTCAGCAAAACACACTTTCTGGTTTATTATATTAATTAAAAATATGATAAATGATACAGATGAGCATCCAGATGGAAGAGAAGCATAGGTCAATGTATGTGGGAAGGGTTGTGGCGCTTCTATGCCCTCTCTGGACACCATCCTCCAGGCACCTTCATGTGTTCAGCTATCTGGAAGCTCCCCAAACCCTGTTTTTTGAACTTTTATGGAAGCTGTATTACGTAGTCATAAATGATTACACCATTGGCCATTGGTGATCAATTCAGCCTTCAGCTCCTCTCCCCTCCCTGGAGGTCCGGTGGTGGGGCTGGAAGTTCCAACCCTCTAATCACATGGTTGGTTCCCGTGGCAACCAGTCCCCAACCAAGGCTCTCCAGGATCCCATGAAGAGTCACCTCATTAGAAAAAAAGATGTACCTTTCACTCAGGAAACACCAAGAGATTTAGAGCTCAGTGTCAGATGCTCCTATCACTCAGGAAATTACAAAAAATTTGGGAAACCTGTCTCAGAATATTTGAGCTCTAACTCAAATATTAAAAGAAAAGGTTCTCCTAGCACCCCATCTCCAAGGATATTAGAAGCTGTCTCAGGAACTGGAAGCAGAAACCAAATATATATTTCTTATTATAAATCACAATACCCCAAAACTTAGTGCCTTAAAATAACAACTACAATGTGTCGTGTTCTCTCATGGGCTGGGATTTGACAGGCTCCAGCGGGGCACTTCTCCCTGAGACTTTCTTACACGGTTTTAGGCAGAAGGTGGCTCATTCACATGTCTGGTACCTGGGCCCAGAGAGACTGAGGCATCTGGTGGCCAGAGCAGCTGAGGATCCTCCCACATGTTTCTCTGTCTCCATGTTGTCTCTCCGCATGGTCTCTCCAGCAAGATCACTTCAGCTGTGTGTCTTCCATGACAGTTTAGGACTTCCAAGGTTCCTATGCCAAGAGAGTGACTCATCCATGAGCTGCATCCTCTTTATGGCCTCAGAAATCCTATAGCATCACTTCTCCTGTACCCTGTTAGTACAAGCAGCAGTCACAGGCCCCTTAACAAAAATTCAAGGGGAAAGAACACAGATCCCCATCTCTTTGTGGGAGGAGTATCTTATTTTAAGAAGCACGTGGGGGATGGGATATATCCCTAGCATCTCTTTGGAAAATATAATCTGCCACAACCAGATTTAGGAGACTAGTAAAATGGGCAATAAGGATATTGTCAAAATGCCTGTGAATTAAAAATTATTATTGCCATCGTTAAAATTACAACTTAAATATTTTCACCCAAACTACTAGTAAAAGTGGAAATGAGTCTAAAATTAAGCTATAATCACGTATTTCTTTTTCATTAAGGGGAAGCATTTTACTCATCTTCATATCACTTTAATATGTATATTAATAAAGATTTACATGAATAAGTTCACTGATCTCTACTACTCAAAACTTTTTTCCTTATCTTTTCAGAAGTTGATTACTAAAAACATGTAAAGTTCAGTATAAATAAGATTAATGGGAAGACTTTATTAGAAATACATTGATAAATTGTTCATAATAAACTTAATTTCCTTATCTTCTGGGAACAGAGCAAACATTTAACAGGAGAAAACAGGGCTGTAAACCAAGTTATTTATTCAGAAAGCTACAAGTTTCTGGGATTCGTGTACTGTACAAAAGCAAAAGACACCATAGAGAATACAGCCATACATAAGAAAGTAATCAGGCAGAGATTTCTGTCAGCGTTTCTGAATTATTTACAACAAATTGATCTCAGTTATTCTTTTAATGCAATTCAGAATATTCAGTTATAAAAATAGTCATGTTTTCAATAATGAAGATAAGAATACCTAAATCAAAATACTAATAAAGAATTTATAATTGCATGAAGGCCGACATGTAAATTCATGGACAAAATTTCTAGTTATGAACTGTTCCATCAGCTACTGATTTGTTGTACAAAAATTGCTACATCCACTCTATTGGATTAAAGTTAACTGAGCAATATAATGAGTCATTAATAGACAGAAACCACTTTGCCAATATTGTCACGTTTGTTCAAATCCTAATGAAACAAAAGAGATTTACTAGGAATGTAAAATCCTAACTTTATATTGGTATTGTATAGGAGGCATATTTTTAAAAGAGCTAAACATCACATTATTTTCTATTTTTAAGTATTGATACCCGAATATTATGGGCATTTCATCTATTGGATAACAATAGGATAAATAAAAGTTTATTTGGTAATTAATCTAAGATACTGTGATTTTGCTCAAAAAAGTTATAAAAATCATTTTCCAAACTGCCAGTCAGCTGGAAAATTTCACTCCTGGCAGACTTGTCTTAATGTCCCTTCAAAGCACAAGTGTTTGTTCATATAACTAAAAGGTCTAGGATAAATCTTTCAGTGCAGTCAGAGTCAGCGACTCACATAATGTCATCATAGCCTCTCTTTCACTGCCTGTATTGAATGTAGTCTCTCTCTCAGGGAGAGCCCTTCCAGTGTCCTGGCTTGAAACACTGGGGTTTGCTTTATAACACTTTAGCAAGCAGGTAAAAAGAAGAGGAAAGAAGAGGGACTAGGGACGGGGAGAGGTGATGAGAGTGGAACAGAAGGGTCGGGGAGGGCAAGAGGAAGGAGGGAGGGAAACGGAAGTGGAGAGGGAGGGGAGAAAAGAAAGAAGGGTAGAAGAAAAAGAAAAAGACAAATGCAATAAATGTGGAAACATGATAACTGTTGAATCTGGGTGATAAGTATGAATATGTAGGGATTCATTATATTCTTCTCCCAGACACTTTAGGGTTTTTAAATTTTTCAAATCTTTTTAAATTTAAGTTTTAATTTATGAAGCATTGATCCAGAAAAATAAAGGACTAAAATAAGGAAGAAGAAAGCACATGACCAAGCAGAGGAGAGGTCCTGAACATAAAAATGGTGTGGTCCAAAGATGACCGTGTGCAACAGCCCTGGAGGAAAGCAGACTGGAGCGGAAGGATCAATGCGCCACAGTAAAGCGACGCGGCAGTGAGGGCAGGAATAATTGACAGATCATCAGACATGATTAAACCATTTGGGGAAAGCTTCTTAACTGTGTAGAGCAGACCTAATGGAGCATTTGGAAAAGATAAGAATAGGTCTATAGGAGACTAAGGAGCTAAAACACATAAAGCAGTTTTTGATTCCAAAAAAAGTTTTTAAGTAGTAAAAAAGAGACTATCGAGCATAATAAAGGGAATCATAGTATATTAGCAAGCTATTCAGTAAAATATATTTTCTACATAATCATGTAAGGACTGATATTTTGTTGCTGTTGCAGTAAGATTGTGGCCTAATTAATTATAGTAGACAAAGGAAGGGAATAAATTTCGGCCAATGCATCTGTAATCTCAGCACTTTGGGAGGCTGAGGCAGGGGGATACCTTGAACCCAGGAGTTTGAGGCTGCAGTGAGCTATGATCATGACACTGCACTCCAGCCTGGGCAATAGAGTGAGACCCTGTTTCAAAAGAAAAGAAAAAGAAAAAATTGGAGGAAGTGGTAGAGAGTTAA
Source organism: Homo sapiens (assembly GCF_000001405.40). Taxonomy (NCBI): domain Eukaryota; kingdom Metazoa; phylum Chordata; class Mammalia; order Primates; family Hominidae; genus Homo; species Homo sapiens. Next base: position 101,391,654 of record NC_000001.11, on the reverse strand, counting down.
ATCATCAGCTGTGATAAAAGGAAGTCAATAGAAAATGTCTAATACTTTGGATTCAAGTAATTACAATATGTTGAAATTAATATTAGAACAGAGGGTAAAAAGAGTTAAAAGCGGTCTACTCTGATGTGGGAGAAGTAGGGCAGAAACGGCCACTTTTCATTAGAATCCTTGGGTGATATTTGTAACTGTGCATGTATTGTATTGACAACATTTATTTAAGAGTAAAACTAAGTTTATGAACCAAGAAAAACCAAAATTTTAAGTAATTTTTAAAAATGTGTCCTTGGAAACGGCTGGTTTAGTTTTATCCTTTAGCTCAAGAGTTTGAAAAGTATCAAAGACACTGGGGAAAATGAGCCCTAATGTCTGCCTTTGACCCGGGAAAGGCAGGGTCTCCAACAGATCATCATTAGGCATCAATAAGTTCAGGAAAGAAAGACTTCCCTGAGGGATCTTAGTTATCCTGTCACACGGCGGAGAATAAGGGTGGTCCTAAATGAAGATGTTATTCCAATAAACGAATCCCCCAGCTTATAGAATAGCTTAGAAATCCATGGAAGTTTAATCGATTTGAATTAGGTTTTACAGACATAGTGTTATAATCTCAAGTATGCCTTTCTGAATCCTTTCAGGATTTTAGTAGCAATGGATCCAAGGGGTGGGAGTGTGAGCTTGGTGGAATAGAAAGAGCACTGAAATAGAAACCATGAGATCTGGTTTCTTACTCCAACTAAATATGCAACACTAGGATGTGACTTAAATGTTCTGAGCCATAGTTTGCTCGTTTTAATTCCCTTCGAGTTTGAAAATACTATGATTTGGAACTTGCTACCCATGAGAAATGCCATAGTATAAAAATACAAAGTAGAAGCTTGAAATTCTTTTGTTTTGTCTTCCTTTTGAATTTTAGGCCCATTGTCTCACGTTTATTTGGAAATATGAATATTCAGGATTCATAAAGAGAATATATTGAACACGTAATAACCTCAGCATGAACAGTTGCAGACAAAAGTTAGAAAGGGTTCTTAAGGCCAAAAGTAGCAGAATACCTTGTCCTTTAGCTTCCAAGTGCATTTTGACATGAAAACACTCATAGAAAATGTAAAGGACAAGATAAAATAATGGCTCTTGAGAAGCTATTTGGATCATTTGAGAAAGTTCAATTGAATAGATAATTCCAAAACATTCACTTACTCTCTTTACCACAGTCCATCTACTTGGCCTTGTGCTGCAGAGACTCAGAAAAAAAAAGTTATCCTGTTTATGTGTGTGACCAGATAGACGCAGAGCAGTAAAATAAGTCAACACAGTGGTGCTAAATTTGGGGACCACACTTACAATATTTCCAGGCTTTATTTGATTTCATGGTCTGTTTTAAGTTTCAGAAGTATTTTCCTCATTTTGGCTGACCACCCACACTTCTTCTGCTCCCTGTAAGTATCTACCTCTAAGCATGTACAGCATATGTACCTCCCTCCTCCATGTGTACAAACATTCATCACAAACAGAGTCCCGGCCATGTGTCAGGAGGAGATGTGAGGCATTATGAATGAAGACAGGAGTTACAACCAAACATGCAGAAGACAAGCTCCAATGATATCTCACTGTCTGCTCACTTTTCACCAGCACTATCCAGAGAATAGTTTTTCTCCTTCTGCCTTTTAAGTCCCAAAGTTCTTTTTAATCTTTTTCTGTGATAGTGTTCCTCTGATGCCTTCTCTTGATTCAAGTCAAGCAGCATATGAAACTGCCTCTGGCAAGATGCCTGTTCAGTGGGTCAACTGGCATATCATACATATCATACTGCTGGAAATAAGAATATGAAGAAATCATAGAGGAGCTACTGCTTATTGAGGGCTTACTAAGAATCAGACATCCTCTTGCCTGCTGCCAGGTAAGACGTGACTTTGCTCCTCCTTTGCCTTCTGCCATGATTGTGAGGCCTCCTCAGCCACGTGGAACTGTGAGTCAATTAAACCTCTTCCCTTTGTAAATTAAAAAAGAAAAATCAGACATGATGTTAGGTGACTATTACATAACACTTGTCTCATTATTCCATCTTTCAGATTATGAACTTGAAGCCCAGAATGATTAAATCTCTTTGTCCAAGATCCCCCAAATAGAATGTGGCACACACAGGATCTGAACCCCTCTCTGTCAATCTCCCAAAACCCCAGTGCTTGATTCTATGCCACTGTGGCAGCCACAAAAGGTGATGAGTCACTGCAGTAGCCTGCTTACTACACAAAGCACACAGAGATAAGTGATGGTTTAAATGAGCTTCACATGACTTAGAGTGGTTCACAAACCATAGCAACATAAGAATCATCTTGAGAACTTGTTTTAAAAAAAAAGTAGATTTGCAGGTTCTTCTCCAAGGCCCCTAACACAAACCTCTGGGGATAGAGCTTAGAAGATTAGCATCTTGAACAGCCTCCACCAGTGATTCTTAGCAGGTGGCCCTCACACCATACATTGAAAAACACCAGTTTAACAGCCCTTGGCAAGCTGTTTCTCTAATCCAGTGGTTCTCAAAGTGAGGTCCCCAGACTAGCAGCACCTGGAAACTTTGTTAGAAATGCAAATTTTCAAACCCTACCCCAGATCTACTGAAGCAGAAACCCTGGGACTGGGGCCCAACAATTTAGTTTAACAAGCCCTGAGGTGATTCTAATGCATATGAAAGTATGAGAACCAATGCTCTAACCTAATGTGATCTTGACATTTTCAGGCCTGACCCACATTGCCAACACCATGGGAAACAGGCCTCCAAAACCTTCATGAATTTTATCCAGGGTGCTCGACCAATCCCACTAACTCATCTCTCACCACAGACTCTAACCTGTTCCCACCCTCCTGGATTCTAACCTTGTCATTTATTCTCTACCACCCTTCACCTGACATTCAGATTTATACATTTGGATCCATCCCTCTCTAATCATAATGTGGGTGGGTAAAAACTTACCTAGTTCTCATGTTTCTCAGAGCAGGCCCCAGAGACATTCGCTCTGGTGAGTGCCCTTGGCCCTAAATGGGGTATCCAATTATTCTGTTTCACCCCAGCTTCTTTTGAGAACTCTTGAACTTGACATCTGCAGACTCAGTCTATCATTGTTGGACTCTGTAGTAATGTTGTTTGTTGTTGATATGGTTTGGCTGTGTCCCCACCCAAATCTCATCTTGAATTCCCATGTATTGTGGGAGGGACCCAGTGGGAGGTAATTGAATCATGGAGGCAGGTCTTTCCCATGCTGTTCTCATGATAGGAAATGGGTCTCACAAGATCTGATGGTTTTATAAACAGGAATTTCTCTACACAAGCTCCCTCCTTTCTGTCTTTGCCTGCCGCCATCTATGTAAGATGTGTCTTGCTCCTCCTTGCCTTCCACCATGATTGTGAGGCTTCTCCAGCCATGTGGAACTGTGAGTTTTCCATTAAACCTGTTTCCTTTGTAAATTGTCTAGTCTCAGGTATGTCTTTATCAGCAGCATGAAAATGAACTAATACAGTAAATTGGTACCAGTAGAGTGGGGCACTGCTGAAAAGATATCCAAAAATGTGGAAGTGGCTTTGGAACTGGGTAACAGGCAGGGGTTGGAACAGGTTGGAGGGGTCAGAAGAAGACAGGAAAATGTGGGAAAGTTTGGAACTCCCTAGAGAGTTGTTGAATGGCTTTGACCAAAATGCTGATAATGATATGGACAATGAAATCCAGCCTGAGGTGGTCTCAGATGGAGATGAGAAACTTGTTGGGAACTGGAGTAAAGGTGACTCTTGTTATGTTTTAGCAAAAAGACTGGCAGCATTTTGCCCCGTCCTACAGATTTGTGGAACTTTGAACTTGAGAGGGATGATTTAGGGTATCTGGCAGAATAAATTGTTAAGCAGCAAAGCATTCAAGAGGTGACTTGGGTGCTATTAAAGACATTGAGTTTTATAAGGGAAACAACATAAATGTTTGGAAAATTTGCATCCTGACAATGTGATAGAAAAGAAAATCCCATTTTCTGAGGAGAAATTCAAGCCAGCTGCAGAAATTTGCATATGTAACAAGGAGCTGAATGTTAATCCCTAGGACAATGGGGAAATGTCTCCAGAGCATGTCAGAAGTCTTCACAGCAGCCCCTCTCATCACAGGCCTGGAGGCCTAGGAGGAAAAAGTGGCTTCATGGGCTGAGCCCTTGGTCCTTGTGCTGTTTGCAGCCTAGGGACTTGGTGCCCTGTGTTCCAGCTGCTACAGCTGTAGCTGAAAGGGTTCATTGCAGAGCTCAGGCCATGGCCTCAGAGGGTGGAAGCCCCAAGCCTTGGCAGCTTCCACATGGTGTTGGGCCTGCAAGTGCACACAAGTCAAGAACTGGGGTTTGAGAACCTCTGCCTAGATTTCAGAGGATGTATGGAAACATCTGGATACCCAGGCAGAAGTTTGCTGCAGGGGCAGGGCCCTCGTGGAGAACCTCTGCTAGGTCAGTGCAAAAGGGAAATGTGGGGTCAGAGCCCCCACACAGAGTCCCTACTGGGGCACCATCTAGTGGAGCTGTGAGAAGAGAGCCACCATCTTCCAGACCCCAGAACAGTAGATCCACTGACTGCTTACATTGTGTGCCTGGAAAAGCCAGACACTCAATGCCGGCCCATGAAAGCAGCCAGAAGAGGGGCTATACCCTGCAAAGCCACAGGGACAGAGCTGCCCAAGACTATTGGAACCTACCTCTTACATCTCACATGACCTGGATGTGAGACAGAGTCAAAGGAGAACATTTTGGAGCTTTAAGATTTGACAGCCCTGCTGGATTTCAGACTTGCATGGGGCCTGTAGCCCCTTTGTTTTGGCCAATTTCTCCCATTTGGAATGGCTGTATTTACCTAATGCCTGTACCCTCCATTCTATCTAGTAAGTAACTAACCTGCTTTGATTTTACAGGCTCATAGGCAGAAGGGACTTGCCTTGTCTCAGATGAGACTTTTGACTGTGGACGTTTGAGTTAACACTGAAATGAGCTGAGACCTTGGGAGACTATTGGGAAGGCATGATTGGTTTTGAAATGTGAAGATATGAGATTTGGGAGAGGTCGGGGTGGAATGATATGATTTGGCTCTGTGTCCCCATCCAAATCTCATCTTGTAGCTCCCATAATTCCTACATGTTGTGGGAGGTACCCAAGGAGAGATGATCAAATCATGCAGGCAGGTCTTTAACATGCTGTTCTTGTGAAAATGCAAGGGTCTCACACGATCTGAAGGTTTTAAAAACAGGAGTTTCTCTGCACAAGCTCTCTCTTTACCTGCCACCATCCATGTAAGATGTGACTTGCTCCTTCTTGCCTTCCACCATGATTGTGAGGCTTCCCTAGCCATGTGAAACTGTGAGTTCTCCATTAAGCCTCTTTCCTTTGTAAGTTGCCCGGTCTTTGGTATGCCTTTATCAGCACCATGAAAATGAACTAATACAGTTGTATATCCAACATATAGACTCTCCTCCCCCATCCTCAACAGAATTCAATTCCTGTTCAGATATCTACCCCATTTTTACCTTCAGAGACTATTACACATCAGTCAATGTGCCAATTATCACATGACCCAGGGATGATTTTTGACTAATAGATGAGCATATAATCTGTCCAATCAGATGAAAAGGAATGAATTATATTCCCTGCTTAGGGAAAAGGCTTCCCTCTTTCTCTTCTACTGGACATAAACAAGGAAGAAAACAGCTCCTGTTGCCACCTGCATCCATCTTGCTACCACAGGGGATCCACCCTTAGGATGGTACCCACACCGAGGCAGCAGAGTGGAGGCAGATAAGATCCCAGGTCCTTGACAATGGCAATGAGCTCAAGATTGTACTGTTCTTGGGCCCACCCCATCTTCTACCTCTGTACTTCCAATTCTTGAGACAATAAATTCTCTTCATATTTAAAACAGTTCAAATCAGGGTAGTCTGGCATTTATAGCCAAAAACAATACTTCCCCATTTAAAAAAAAATTGTTCTTCAAGGCACCTAAATTTTGGTTTATTCTCTTCTGAATTCTGCCCAGCATCACTTTGTTCACTGCATTCAGACTCCACATCTGCCTAGACAAAATCCCTTCTAGCAGCTGCCTTTTCTCTGATTTGCCAGATAAGTTATTGTGCTCTTTTGGCTTCCTCAATCCCCTAAAACTTGTGTAATACAAATCTATCTCTTCTCAAGTTTCTTATATTTCTTAAACTCCTGCCTTTCTCTCAAAGTTCCTTTATATGTTGTAAATTATTCCTACATTTCTTAGAAGACCAGTCAGTATCATCAACATAGAAATCATGGTCACAGTTTTATTTGACACTTCATGATTTGGGAAAGTAAAACATCTGAGACACTAATTGTTGGGTTGATCCAAATATAGAAATGCTGTAAGACAACACCAGCTTCATTGGAAGATGAACCAAACTCTACCTGGGACTCCAAGCCCCCCATAGATACTCACATGTCTTTTATTGAAAATTAATGGCAGGGCATGGTGGCTCACACCTGTAATCCCAGCACTTTGGGAGGCCAAGGTGGTTGGATTGCTTGAGCCCAGGAGTTTGAGACTAGCCTGGGCAACATGGTGAAACCCAGTCTCTACAAAAATTAGCCAGGCATGTTGGCTCACACCTGTAGTCCCAGCTATTCAGCAGGCTGAGGTAGGAGGATTGCTTAAGCCCAGGATGTGGAGGTTACAAGAAGCCCAGATCGTGCCACCGCACTCCAGTCTGCATGACATAGACCCGGTCTCAAAAAATAAAAAACAAAAAGGAAGATGAATGAGAGGTCGAGAGGTTATTTCCTTAGTAATTTCTCCAATAAAAAAGAATATTTTTATTTGGCAGTTTTAATTGCTTTTAGCAACAAAAGGTAGAGAATTATGTTTTGTTCCAATTTGGGGAAGTTTTCTGTTTGGCATCCTCTTATTTTGGGAATCCTATCATGTGTCCCTAATATATAAACCTCTTTGCTAACCTAGGCAGGACACTGAAGCAGAGCATAATTTGAGACGGGAAATACTAAAATAAATTTCAACCAATGTGGCCTTGGAAATAATTAATGTCTTCTTTTGATCAATTTTAGAAACTTTGGGGAGTAACACTAGAGGCATTGTTTCTTCAGTTGAAATGGTCACCCATGTTCAGAGCAGCAAGGAAAAGGAACCTATCAGATGGGGCTGTGGCATAGACTTCCCTGATGCTCTGATGATTTCTTCCCCTAAAAAACACTGCAACAAGCCTCACTGGGCTATATCCCAGTGGATTTAAAAACAAATGTTAAGGACTAAAAACAAAGAATATAAGGTAGAGGAATTTCCCAACCCTGTTAAGGCCCCACTAGGCCATCCTTCCCTGAGTTCTGCCTGAGAGTTATGGCCGTAGCTAACAATAAAGTTACCTCCTGTTTCCACTGAGTTATACTTCCTGTTTTATGTACCATTTGGGAGAATTTTGTTGAAGGGATGACCACAGTTTGGGGCTAATTTGGCACTTTTCTGGAATCCCTGTGGATAATGGCATCTTAGAGCCAACCTAAAATTCCAACAACTGCCAAGACAAAGTCTATGTTAACGGGATACCACATAATCAAAAAATATATTGGAAAGTTGGGAAACCTTTTTAAATATATCTACCCCTTTCAAGTAAAATAGCAACTTGTGTTCAATAATTCCCTAAGTCATTACAACATCATTGATTCCTTATGAATTATCAGAGGAACTGGGGATTAGCTTTAGTGGTAAGAAAATGTAGTCATTTTCCTAGGGAATAGAATAGGTGCAGACTCTAGAAGAAGATATCTCTAGGTTTCAAACCTAAGTCTTCTCCACTAACTGTATGGTTATTTATATTACCTCTCTGGGCATTAACATAATCATCCTAACATCCCAGAGTTGTTTTGGGAGTTTCATGAGATTACATTTATAAAGTGCATAGTTCAGTACAAAGTTTGTTGAATGTACTACGTAAACATTTGTTCTTTTTCCTCCTTTACCCTTATTAAATTGAAAATGTATACAAGGATCTTTATTAACCGGAATATTTTATTAATCAGATTACCTATTCCCCAGTTAAGGGTTATCATATAAAATAGTAAAATTTATTTACCAAAACTCTGGTATATCTATTAGAATATTCCTTTGTGTCTCAATACTTCATTCCCTCTTTGCCTAAATAAGAAATTGGCTCTTTTCCATTTTCTTCATCCAGTCCATTCTTCATAGTTGAGTGTAGTTGCTGTGAATATCAATCAGCAATTCCATTGTGAGGCGAGCCCCATATGTGTGACAGAAGGTTCATCATTATTCATTTAACAAATCAATGTGCTGGGTGCTAGGAGATATAAATGGGTAACACATGGTCTTCACCCCAACCCACCTGCCCCAGAAAACCATATGTAGAGGGGATACAGGTATCTCTAGTGGCAGCTGGAATTCAGTGTGTTAGCTGCTCTGATAGCATAAAGAAAGAAGTCAGAAAAAGTTTTCTGGGGAAAGTGATGGTCGCTTAATGAATGAGAAGAGAAAAGTGAGGCAAAGAGGAAGGAAAGGGTGTTCAAGGCAGAGGGAGAAGTGTGTGCAGAGGAGTTAAAAGAGTATGGTGTATTCAAGAAACTAGAAGGTGGTCAGTACAATTGAGGGTGAAAGATATCGTTGGAAAGAGAAGAAAGGGTCATATAATGAAGGGTCTTGTAAATCATGTTTAAAAAAATAGGATATTAGAAACTATTCAATGATTCTAAGCCAAGGATTGAATCAGTTTTGCTTTCAGAAAAAATCAGAACAGAGAGAATAGAAATCAATACACGTGTTAAGTATCAATTGATTTTCAAAAAACATGTCAAGGTAATTCAACAGGATAGTCTTTTCAACATTGATGCTGGAGAAACTGGAAACTTAAAAAAAAAAAAATGAAAGCTGACTCTTACCTCAAAACCATACAAAAAATTAATTTGAAGTAGATTGCATACCTACATATAATAGCTAAAGGTATAAAACTTTCATAATATAGAAGAAAATTTTTATGATCTTGGGATAGGGCAAAATTTTCTAGGTAAGATGCAAAAATCATGAACCCTAAAAGAAAAAGAATTGTAAATTCCATGCAGTAGACTGAATAATGATCCCCCAAAAGTGTCCACATCCTGTCTCCAGAACCTGTGAATGGGTTACCTTACATGGCAAAAGGGACTTGGCAGATGTAATTGTGTTAAGGATGTTGAAATAGGGAGATTACTATGGGTTATCTGGGAAGGCCTAATGTAATCACAAGAGTCCTTGAAAGAGGGCGGCAGGAAGTCAGAGTCAGAGGAGGCACCTTTGACAAAAGAAACCAAGGTCAGAGTGCTGTGGCACCTTGAGGGAAGGAATGCAGGCAACCATTAGCGGTGGGAAAAGGCAAGGCAATGGATTCTCCCCTGGAGTCTCCAGAACGAATGCAGCCCTGCCAACTTAGATTGGTCTTCTGACCACTAGACCTTTAAGACAAATTGTGTTGTTTTAAGCCACTAAATTTGTGGTAATTTGTTACAGTAGCAATAAGAAGGAAACTAATACATTAGACATCAGCAAAATTAAAAATCAATGTTAAGAAAATAAAAAGTCAATCTACAGACTGGTATAAAACAAATACAATGCATATATCTAATAACAGGCTTGTACACAGAATATATAAAGAAATCTTACAATTCAATAAGACAACTCCATTTAAAAATGGGCAAAAAATGCTAAGAGATGCTTCACAAAAGAAGAAACGTGGATAGCAATAAACACATGAAAAGGTGCTCAAAATGATTAGTTATGGAAAATGAGAAATTAAAGCCACAATGAAATCTTACTGCACACCCATTTGAATGGTTAAAATTTAAAAGATTATAATACCAACTGCTGCCCAGCATGTGGTATAACTGGAACTCTCAGACAAAATTTGTAGGAATATAGAATGGTATAGCTACTTTGGAAAACACTTTGTCCATTTCTTATAAAGTTACTTGCATAGTTATCTATGGCCTAGCAATTCCACTCCTCAGAATTTACTCAAAAAAATTAAAAATGAAACGATATATCCATAGGGTTGTGTATACAAATATTCACAGTAACTTCATTCATTGCAGCCCAAAACAAGAAACAACCTAAATAGGCAATAACCAGTGAACAGACACACAAAATGTGTTAAATGCATACCATGGAACACTTCTAAGCAATAAAAGAGAAGAAACGATTGATATATACCATATGAATGAATTTCAAAAACATGATGCTAAATTTTAAAACAAAAGCCTACACAAAATAATATATACTGTATGATTCCATCTATATGAAATTCTAGAAAAGGGAAACTAATCTATAGTAACAGAAGACTTCTTGGGGCAGGAGGGTAGCAAATAATTAATTGCAAAAGCGGAGGAGGGAACTTTTTATAGGAATGGAAATATTCCGCATCTTAATTGCAGTGATGTTTACACTGATATATGCATTTGTATGTAAATAATAACCCAATGAAACTGATTTCTTTTAAAACATAATGATTAATAAAATGTTGGGAACTGGGAAGAATGGGCATAAAAGGACCATCAAACTAAAGCGGGTATAGGGGGGTGCCACAGCCAGAGCAGCAAGAACAGGGGGTGGAGTCAGTATGCCCAGCGGCTATATGTGTTAATAGCAGGAGTCACCTTAAATGATCACTTAGAGGAGTTGAGCACACTGTGTGATTCTGTTTATTGGGCAGATGGCAAGAGTAAAGTATTTTTCACTGTTCACTGTCTGATGAGAAGTTTTTAGCCAAGTCAACAATACATATTTAGGGGAAAGTAGATTTTGCATGGGACAATTTTATACTGTATGATGTCTTACACATCAGAGCACTGAACTGAATGGGCTTAATGAGAGAGCTACCTGGAGATATTGCCAACAGGAAAGAGCTTTCTAGAATTGTTTGAATAGTCATAACTCTATAACAAAAATAATCAAGAAGAAGAACACAGTCTTTGTCTGAGCCATGGGGATCCTCCATTTATTGTACCATTTCCCCTTTGAAAATGGATAGCCTTGGGTTGAAAGAGGCTACCCACTGATTCCGCAGTAAGTAAATGAAGAAATACATTACTTCTTATTGGTGTTTATCTGAACTGGCTCAAGGCAATGTTGGTATTGTACCCTGCAATGACAGTGGAAGAATTTGTACATAGGCTAAGCAGTTATGCATACATTACAATTAATCAATGTTGTCCTTAGGGATAATGATGCCCAGTTCTTTCATCAGAAGCTAAAAGAGTATATTTGTATTCCTGCATGGCCCTTTTGACTAGGGGGTAGGTAGCCAAGCTACTGTTCTCTTGGAGATCTGCCTGTCAAGACTCAAGGTAATGACAAAAACCCTAGCAAACTTTCCTAATTATTCTTGTCTGACTTCTTACTGGTCGCTTTCAACCCATGAGTGAAGAGAAAGAGAAAGAGAAAGAGCGTGTGGCTTCCTCTACTCACTCAGTCATTCATTTAACTAGCAAAAGAAAGTCAGATAACATTTACATTGAAATGGGCTGCCTCAGAATGTACTCAGGAAGAGGTGTGCACCTAACCATCAGGAAAGGGTGATTTAGGGAAGTGTGACAGAATGAGTTATGGCTCCCCAAATATGTCTGTGTCTTAAACACCAAGAAATGTAAATGCATTGCTTTAAATGTAAAAAATGGACTTTGCAGATATGATTAGGGTAGGAATCTTGAGATGGGAGATTATCCTGGATTATTTGAGCGGGCCCATATAAGAGGTCTGTATAAGGGAAGGAAGTAGAGAACCAGTCAGAGTAGGAGATTGGCTGATAGAAGCAGAAATTGAGTAATTTGCTTTGAAGATGGAGGAAGGGGGCCACAAGCTAAGCCCTGAGAGCAGCCTCTGGAAGCTGAAAAAGGCAAAGAGACAGATTCTCCCAAAGAGCTTCCAGAAGAAATGCAGTTCTGTTAATGCCTTGATTTTAGTCTATAAGATCCATGTTCAGCTTCTGACTTCCAGAACTGTAAGACGATACATTTGTCTTGTTTCAAGCCACAAAAGTTGTGGTAATTTGTTCTAGCAGCAATAGGAAACTAATACAGGAGAAATCCTATATTCTATGAGGGTTAGACCAGGAGATATGTATGTATGATTCTAAATTACAAAATGTGAAATGCTAATTGATTGACTACTTCAAATTCTGTGCCCAGCATGCTCTTCCAAACTCAAAACTCTGTCCCTCCTTCTTCTTAGTCATTGCTCTTGGTGTTCGTGTGTGTGTGTGTGTGTGTGTGTGTGTGTGTTTTCTACAACCTACCTCCATTTACAAACTGATGAGAAGCAAGTCAAGATACAGAAACAGAAGCCATTTCTTTTCTATTTGCCCTCATTAGTTCTCTCCTTGCCCTACTTTGGCCACCAAACACTTAAATGCATTCATTCACTTCCTGTGTGTCTGTTATGTCCTGTATCCTTGTGTCCTCTGCCCTGTCTTCATGTAACTGACAGCCTCACTCCCTACCCCCAACCCGTAGGGGACTCCCCATTCCCAAGAACGTACCTACTAACTATTTCCATTACTTGAAACAACTGGCAATTTGGCACAGAAGCTAGCTAGCATTGCTTATGAAATCTAGAGAAGCAGTGTTGGTGCCCCATTCTAAGTGGGATAGAGAATGGGCTTCTAGAGGGCCAGTCTCATGCGATTAATATAAGTAATCATTAAGACATGAGTTCAGCTATGGGACAAAAATAAAAGTTTGATCACTGATGTTGCCTCTGGCAAATCTTGGCCAGAAGAGGGAGAATGTTAACCGAAAATAAAGTTCTAAGCTCCCCATCTGACTGAATGACCCTCCCCTCCTTGGCCAACGGGATTCCAAATTAACCTGAAAAACTAGTTCAGGTCACGACAGGAAATGAGAATCAGGCATGCCTCATTATACTCTCCTGCTTTTAGAGTTTAGACACAACTGACCAATATTAACATGAAAACGGAGATCTTAAAACAGCCTCTTTGTAGCAATGACATACAAAATTCCAACCTGCCTCTGGTATAACATCACAGGACAAACAGTAGGCTCTGAAGGAAACCAAAGTATTTTATTTCTTTGACATATTTTGAAATGGCCCTGCAAAGCTGTTTCTTGTGGGGGAAATTTGCATTCTGTAAAGAATCTCCTTCCATGACTAGATATTTTCTGGAGAGTCTGTTGCCTTTTGAGGTGTGAACAGAGACATTCACCATATATTCTCTCTGAGGCCTGCTGCTTGGAGGTTTCATATACTTGACAAGAACCTTGGCTTTCAAAACCCCCTTTATCTGAACTCGAACTGACTTCAACTCTTCAGGCAGCATGTAAGTCTTTCAACCAATTGCTAATTAGGAAATCTTTGAATCCACCTATGACCTGGAATCCCCTACCCCCTCTGCCCCCATCATGTCCCTTTTTTCCAGGCCAAACCAATATTTGCTTTATGTATATTGATTTATATTTTTGCCTGTAACTTCTGTCTGTCTAAAGTGTATAAAGCCAAGCTATAACTCAGCCAACCTGGGCACATGTTCTCAGAACCTCCTGAGGCTGTGTCATGGGCCATGGTCCTTAACCTTGGCAAAATAAACCTCTAAGTTGATTGAGGAAAAACAGAAAAGACAGGAGGGGTTTTTTTGTTGTTTAAAAAAAAAAAAAAAAGAAAAAGAATAGAGACATTAATTCAGCATTACTGTGCACCAGAAAGATTACATAAACATTCATTTTATCTTTAAGTGCCCCTGCAAATTGTTATTTTCTCTTTATAGATGAAGACACTGAAGCACAGAACTGTTAACTTGCCCAAGGTTACCCAACTAATAAAATGGCAGCACTAAGACCCAAACTCGGGTCCTCCCCAACATTCTTTTTAGCTAAGTAACAACTAACTCCACAAGAACATTGGGTAGAATGAAACACTTCCACATCTCCTTGTGTGGACCATGGTTGGCCCCCTGCTCTTTGGTGCAGTCTCCAACCACTTCCTCCTAATTCCAACCCCACCTGCTATTTGAGGGTGCATTTTTTTCCTGTAAGTCAATGAGCAGGACATGGAGGCAATCTCATTTAGCACTTAGCAATTCAGTATTTTGTAATAAATGCAAGCTCTGTTGGGTTTTCCTCAGGCTCCAGCTCTGCCACCACTTTGTCAAGTCTCCCATCAAGCACTGGATGCAGAAGGGAAAAACCGCTTCTCTGTGAGAAGCTGAGCCTCAAGGCCAGAGTCATTTCCATGGATGCCATCAATAGCTGCAGCTCTGTAGCCTGAATCAGGGGTGACTTACAAATGAGGGCAGGCTATTTGCAGCTCTCCAATTCCACAATTCTCTATGATTCTCTCCTCTGGGATCAGTAGGCCAAGCATAAGCCCTGGAGAGGAATGACAAAATGAGTCTGGATGCCTGGGAGAGACCTTGAGGCCAACCTGAAAATGGCCTCCTATTTTCTTTTTATTTATCTCAGAGAGACATCAAGAGAAATGCACTGCCCTTCCGAACCCCAGATTCCCAGAGGAGACAAAAAAACACACGAGTAGCCATTGCTTAAAAATCAATTTTGAAACAGTGGCTCCACAAAATATTGAACACGCAGTTTTATATTTCTTGATGAGTTGAGGTCAGAAAGTGTTACCATAATTGGTATATTGTATTTGCATCCCTAGAGTCTAAATGTGTGGGAATGGCGGTAGGGGAATTAAGAACTCTTGTTTCTGTAGCTTGGTTTGCTGGCAGCTCGTTTATGCTTGATGACCAGACCCGTCCATATATGCATGTGATGTTGTGCCTCACTAATGCTTCCTGACATGCTGTTGATTTAAGACTAAAATCCCTCACAATAGAGAATTTCACTGCTCTTCAAAGGTTCAAAAATAATGATGTGTTGAGGATAAGGATGAACAATGCATTTTATTCTTCTTTCTCCAACAGAGAACCAGGGAGAAAAAAAGTTATTTAAAGGCAAAGATAAGAAAAAGGCCCTTTAATACAATTACAATTTCAAAGGGCTTGCCAAGAAAATATTTTCAGCTGCCAAGTCAGCAATTTTCCAAAGATTTCCTAACAGGAAGAAAGATTAATGGAAAAGAAATTATCAGGGGAAATTTAACTATAGTTTAAAGACCAGCAGGTGATAAACAGCACAGTATTACTTTTTTATTCATTATTTGCCTCAGAGACACCCCCTAAAAATCTAACCAAACTGACAGACAGCAGCCCCGATCTGACCTGATAAATACCAAATCTGCACTAATAATCTCAGTCTGCGCTTCTGTGCTTTGCCCACCACATCCAGTACTGGTCTTCAAAGCACACAGCAGCACCCTCCCTGATTTGCAGATAAGGCAATCTGGAGCTTCAGAAAACGAAAACCTTCCCAGGAACACAGGAAAGCCCTGTGAGGAGAAAAATACCTAAAGCCCTCCCCGCTTTCACTCTCATCCTACTCCTGACCTCTTCATCCCCCACCCTCAATCCTCCATCACTAGCTTAATTCCTCTCTGACCCCCACCAAATGGATCCTTCAGTAAATCCAGACAATGGGAAACGGTGACCAGGTTTGAACCATTGGTTTAATGTGACTCCTGAGTTTTCCTTGGAGATTTTAATTTCTGGACTTAAGATTTATACCTAAGGGCGATTTGGTAAACTTTTTTTTTTTTTTTTTTTTTGGGGGGGGAGACAAGTGTCTCACTGTGTCGCCTGAGCTGGAGTGCAGTGGCACAATCCCGGCTCACTGCAACCTCCGCCTCCTGGGTTCAAGTCATCCTCCTACCTCAGCCTCCCAAGTAGCTGGGACTACAGGCACCTGCCACTATGCCTGGCTAATTTTTTGTATTTTTAGTAGAGACAGGGTTTCACCATGTTGCCCAGGCTGGTCTCGAATTCCTGAGCTCAGGCAATCCACCCACCTCAGCCTCCCTAAGTGCTGGGATTATAGGTGTGAACCACAGCGCCTGGCCAGGGTAAACATTTTTTATAGCAAAGTGGGCAAGAATCTTGGCAAATTGCCATGGGAAATATAGGAGTTCTATTCCTGAGCTAATTAACTTTCAATTTACTCTATAGTAGCTTATCCAGTTTGTGTGTTATTTATATTTTAATTCTCCTCTCTCTTGCCGTTTACATTTTTAGCCATTTCAATGTCTTCAAAACTTTTACAAGACCATGGCAAGGAACATATTTTGCCATTTTATAGTATGGAAAGAAATTTTAAATCCTAATTACTTCATCAGTTTGATACTATATATGGTGAGAAAGAAGTATAAATCACAGTTACAATTAAAATTGGAAAATTTTGTATTTTATTTATTTTGCTATTAACCTTTCAAACATTATTTGTGAGGAGCCTACAATATGTAAAATATTATGGAAAAAAATTACATGATAGAAGGGAAAACAGAAAAACATACACGGTTTGCAGGTTGATAATCACACCTTATATTTGTTTTATAGAATTTCCAAAGTGTTACTATTTATTCTTTCATATATATTGAATGAGATATGATTTATATATTTATATATTATTTATTATTATATTATTTATTCCTTCAGTAATATATATTGAATGCCTACTACGTATCAGACTCTGAGATAGGTTCTGTATATACCTTAAATTGCTCACTAGCAGAAATTTGAGTCTCATTATTTTCAAGAAAAGGTCCACCACCACAGGGCACAGTGATTCACGCCTGTAATCCCAGGACTTTGGGAGGCCGAGGTGGGCAGATCATGAGGTTAGGAGATCAAGACCATCCTGGCTAACATGGTGAAACCCCATCTCTACTAAAAATACAAAAAAATTAGCCGGGCGTAGGGGCGTGCTCCTGTAGTCCCAGCTACTCGGGAGGCTGAGGCAGAAGAATCGCTTGAACCCGGGAGGCAGAGGTTGCAGTGAGCTGAGATCGCACCACTGCACACTAGCCTAGGTGACAGAGCGAGACTGTACCTCAAAAAAAAAAACAAAAAAAAAGAAAAGCTACCATTATTCATAGCTACCATTTTACTAGGTACTTATTATATGCTAGTACAATATTAGGTACTTTATTAACAATAAAGACAGCCAAAATTCATTGAGCTCATCAGATGCCAGGTATTGTGTTAAGAGACAATTCTCAAATGTTCTTTTGCATTCTTACAAATCTTGTAAATGAATGCCCCCTCGCTGTTTTTGTTCTGGGCTTTTTTTCTGATGTTTGTAAAACTACAAGCATTGAAAAATAGAGATATCTTCTTCCCAATAAAATAAAAAGGTTTACTTACTGCCTATTATTTTAAAATGAGGTTCCCATCAACCAAGTGGTGGATAAAGAAAATCTGGTATATATGTACCATGAAATACTACTCAGCCATAAAAAGGAATGAAATAATGGCATTCATAAGCAACCTAGATGGAATTGGAAACTACTATTCTAAGTGAAGTAACTCAGAAATGGAAAACCAAACATCATACGTTCTCACTCATAATTGGGAGCTAAGCTATGAGGATGCAAATGCATAAGAATGATACAATGGACTTTGGGGACTCAGTGTAAATGGTGGGATAGTGGTAAGGGATAAAATACTACACACTGAGTACAGTGTACATTACTTGGGTGATAGGTGCACCAAAATCTCAGAAATCACCACTAAAGAACTTATTCATGTAACCAAACACCACTTGTTCCCCAAAAACCTATTGAAATAAAAGACAAACTTACAAAAAAAAAATAAAGAAAAAAGATACATCAGGCATAAAAAAGTAAAAATAAATAAAAATGGGGCTCCCTAAAGTCAGACTTTCTCTCTGTAACACAACCCCATTGCATGTGCAGGCATCATCTGGCCCTCCTAGCTTTGCCTTGTGGGAAGTGGAGCTCAAGTGACCAGCATAATTTCTGATCCTCTGGCTACCACTGTGGTTGTGAATAATAAAGTCATTTGTCTCTGACCCAGGAGTCTTGTGTCTTTTGGCAGCACCCATGGACATGTAGCAGGCTAACTTGTTAGCTTACAAGTAGGGTAAAACCTCAGATCCTTCTTAGTTCTTGACACTGCTAGGAATTTTACATATGTGATTTCCCTGAATTTTCTCAGCAACCTGTTCATATTATTTCTATTTTATAATAAAGATTCTCAAGCTTAGAGATGTTAAAGAACCTGCTCAAGGTCACTTAGCTGTCTTCTCCCTCTCATTTCCCAACATTTTTTGTTCATAGTGAATGTCCTGATTCCAGCCCGGGTCGAAAGAGTCTAAGGGTATGAGGGTGAGAAATCCCTCTGAGATTCCTCAGAAGTATTTGGAAACAAATGAAAACATGTCCCATGCTCATGGATGGGTAGAATCAGTATTATGAAAATGACCATACTGCCAAAAGCAATCTACACATTCAATGCAATTTCCATCAAAATACCATCATCATTCTCCACAGAACTAGAAAAACTAATCCTAAAATTCATGTGGAAGCAAAAAAAAAAAAAAAAAAAAAAAAAAAAAAAAAAAAAACCAACCCTAATAGCCAAAAAAAGACTAAGCAAATAAAAAAACAAATCTGGAAGCATCACATTACCTGACTTCAAACTATACTACAAGGCTATAGTTACCAAAACAGTATGGTACTGGTATAAAAATAGGCATGTAGACTAATGGAACAGGATAGAGAATCCAGAAATAAAGCCAAATACTTAACAGCTAACTGATCTTCAACAAAGCAAACAAAAACATAAAGTGGGGAAAGGACACCCTATCCAACAAATGGTGCTGGGATAATTGGTAAGCTACATGTAGAAGAATGAAGCTGGATCTTCATCTCTCACCTTATACAAAAATAAACACAACATAGATCAGAAACTTAAGTCTAAGATCCAAAACTGTAAAAATTCTAGAAGATAACATCCAAAAAACTCTCCTAGATATTGGCTTAGGCAACGAGTTCATGACTAAGAACCCAAAAGCAATGCAACAAAAACAAAGATAAATAGATGGGACCTAATTAAATTAAAAAGCTTCTGCACAGCAAAAGAAATAATCAGCAGAGTGGGAGAAAATATTCACAAACTATGCATCTTACAAAGCACTAATATTCAGAAGCTACAAGAAACTCAAAGCAGCAAGAAAAGAGCAAGTAATCCCACCAACAAGTGGACAAAGAACATGAATAGACAATTCTCAAAAGAAGATATACAAATGGCCAACAAACATATGAAAAAATGCTCAACATCACTAATGATCAGGGAAATGCATATCAAAACCACAATGAGATACCACTTTACTCCTGCAAGAATGGCCATAATTTAAAAATAAAAAAAAAAAAGCAGATGTTGGAGTGGTTGTGGTGAAAAGGGAACACTTTTACACTGCTGGTGGGAATGTAAACTAGTACAACCACTATGGAAAACAGTATGCAGACTCCTTAAAGAACTAAAAGTAGAACTACCATTTGATCCAGCAATTCCATCACTGGGTAACTACCCAGAAGAAAAGAAGTCATTATATAAAAAAGACACTTGCACGTGCATGTTTATAGCAACACAATTTGCAATTGCAAAAATATGGAACCAGCCTAAGTGCCTATCAACCAACAAGTGGATAAAGAAAATGTGATATATATATATGTATATATATATATATATACACACACATATATATCCACACACACACACCATGCAATACTACTCAGCCATAAAAAATGAATGAAACTATGGCGTTCACAGCAACCTGGATGGAGTTGGAGACCATTATTCTTTTTCATGCAACCAAACACCATCTGTTACCCCAACACTATTGAAATAAAAATACAAATAGGAAAAGAAATACCTCTGAGATAATACATTGACTAAGGTGCAGAAGCCAGTAGGCCTGGAAGGGAAGCAATGGGACTTTTCCCAGTGAAATGAGTCGTTTTGGCTCTGGAGGCCAAACCCAGCTTTGCACTCGACAGGACAGACTGGACTAAAGTACTGAGGCAGAGGAAGGTCGGAGAGAGTCATATTTTGGAAATTGATTCTATTGAAAGAGATGTAATAGGGAAAGGAACAGACCAGTCTTGAAAGAAAGGAAGGGAACCAAAGTCAGAGGAAGGAGAGATAGAGGCAGAGATAGAATCAGGGAGGCTATGATTGCAGCTCACCCATTAGCTTCACCTTTCAGGCTCACCCAAAAACAAAATTTGCCCATCAGAGCTCAGAGTAAGGTGTCCTATCAAATGCTCCCAGATATGACTCATACTGAGAAACTGCTCTGGAAATAAACTAAGCCTATCAGTTGCCAAATCTGTGAACCTAGATTTGCTTTCCCATATGACTCAGAGAGGTGACAGAGGCCACATGAATGAGCTTCTTACTATCCTCTCAAACACAGATGTACTGGCCAAGAGAACAAGGGTTTGAACACTTCCAATGCTGAAAAGCATTGTGTGCAAAGAGAGGAACCCTGTTCTCATGAGAGAAAACAGAGAGTGGGTCCCTAAAGATTTAGACTTCTGCCACTAGAAGACAGTGTGGCAGTCAGACAGGGAGAATGGATTATCAGCATAGCTTTCAGTAGGAAAACAGGGCATGCCATTCAATCGAATGATTTTCCTCAGATCTGATGGCCTAGCATGTCCAAAACTTGGATTGCACCCAGGGGTGAGCCAGAATCCTGAATACCATATTTAAAATGATTTAACGTTGGAAAAAAAAAGGACGTGGGGAGAGTTACGTAGCATCAGAGGGCACAGACTACCAGTCTGCATCTGCCCAGATCCAAATGCATGGACAATTCTGATTTCTGCACGTTAGACTTTTGTTGTGATCCTTTGGGAAAAACTCACAAGTGCTATTCATAGCCTTTGATCATATATATATATATATATATCTCGTGGCAAAATAGAAGTTACAATTAAGTGGTGCAATTCAAGAGATAAAGGTCAGACAATGCACTAAAATACTGCTTAATACACAAAGCACTGTGCAAAAGTGCTGATACAGGAGAAATGACTACTGATTAAATCCTGGGCTTCAAATCCCTGCTAATGCCATAAAATTTAATGGATTACAAAGGGAACAGACAAAACACAAGGAAAACTATGGGAAGCACAACTTCAGTGATTTTCTTAATTAACGCAAGTTCAGAAAATATACACTGTTTTTTCTTATTAAGCTAATCCTTTAAAGATCAGAGCAAAATGGCATCTTTATTTATACTTACCTAATGCAGCTTTCTATCCCCTCTTCTTGAGGAGAATTTACTATTCACATAAGGAATAGCCCTGGAGACTTCAGGGCCTTTCCTTTATGGCCAGCATCATTTGGGCTTTGAAAAGTTCAAGCCAAATGTCCCCACAGGCCTCCATCACACTCTCTGCCCTGTGCTATCAATGTGTCCAACAGCAGCAGTGGAGGGCCAGCTGGGGTCACCTCCAGCATATTGTCATTCTCTGTGATTACACAAGGCCTTAAGAGGGACAATCATGGGCAGGTCTTGTTCTCTTTATGCTTTGCTTAGAGAGGAGGATGATTGCAAATGGTCTTCACAACTCCTCTCAGAACACAGCAGAAGGACCATGCCACCCGGGTGATCCAACTGAAACAAGCCTCAACTGTGACTTCACCTTACAAACAAAAGTTCTACTGAAAGGATTACAGAGAGGTAAATCAATGCATAGCCTAGAGAACCAGGCTCAGAAACAAACATGTATCAGGGGAGACAAGGTACAGCCAAGACTGGGCCACAGGAATGGTCTGCTTAGAACTTTGTTCTAGACACCACCACCTCTGGCAGTGCTACAGCTCACCACCATGCTCACACTCCTCCCTTCTCTCCCTCAGAACTTAAGGTCCCGGGCCACAGCATCTATCTGGCAGAGACAGGTCACATGCCTGCCCCCGACCTGCCTGATAGCTGTAGGAGGGGATATCTATTCCTATAGGAAAGAATCCCTATAGCAAAGAATATCCAATTCCATGAACAGGAAGCATATGCAGATGCCAAGCAGCCACAAACTCAAAACTCTTCAATACATTTTCATTGCCTGCAGCATAAAGTCCAAGCCTTTTAACTTGTCATAATTGTAGGGTGAGGATGCCTCCCAGTTTTCCTGAGAGGGTCCTAGTTTTCCATTTTTGCCCTAGGATAATTATTAGTGAGACTGCTTTCACTCTCAAAAGTGTCTTGGCTGGGTGCGGTGGCTCACGCCTGTAATCCCAGCACTTTGGGAGGCCAAGGCCAAGGCGGGAGGATCACTTGAGGCCAGGAGTTCAGGACCAGCCTGGCCAACATGGCAAAACCGCATCTCTATATTAAAAATACAAAAAAAAAAAAAAATAGCCAGGCGTGGTGGCACAGGCCTATAGTCCCAGCTACTCAGGAGGCTGAGGCAGGAGAATTGCTTGAACCCGGGAGGCGGAGGTTGCAGTGAGCCAAGGTCACGCCACTGCACTGTAGCCTGAGTGACAGAGTAAGACTCTGTCTCAAAATAAAAAGCATCTGGGTTTAGAAAAATGGTACAGTCACCCTACCTTTAACACTCTTCATGATAAGGCACCTGCCTACCTTTCCAGCCTCACTCTTCATTATTCCCTGATTCAATTTTATCCACTAGCATAACAAAAATGCTTATGGTTCCTTACATTCAACGTGTTGTTTTTACTTCCAAGTCTTTGCTCACATTTGCTCTCTGTCTGGAGTTTCCTTTACATTACGTCCATCCCATTCTTTAATATCCAAGTCTTTCTTGCATTAAATGGGTTGTCGAGCTATATGCCCCTCCCCACTCATGATCTTCTGTCCACACATATATGGATCCTTGTGCTCATCAAGTTACATTGTGATCATCTATTTAGAAGCCTAGATGCTCCCTTACACTGTAAGTTGCTTGTGAGGAGGTACGACTTACTTATCTTTGATCTATCAGGACCTAGCACAGTGTCCGACACATGGAAGGTGGAGCTCCCCAAAATAACTCATGAATGAATGAACCGTACAAATTTGAAATAAGAGATGAATTGGGGAAAGACCAGAGTACGGTAGTAAGTGGAAAGAAGAAAGAGTCAAGAAAAATTATAAATGAGAGTGGCTTGAGTGGTCAGCACAGGAATTTGCTTCAAAGGTGGCTAGTAGTCCATATCCCAGGCCCCAGTCATTCCAAAAATCAAGGTCAGTGCTCAAAGGGGTTTGCTGATGGGTGGGATGGAGCAGGGTAGAAGAATACTGTACCCAGCTGATTTGTTAGATTTTAGCGCAAGACTCAGCCAAGATATGAGAGTACAGTAGACAGGTCCAGACCCTCGGGAGCTAGGCAGAATGTTGGCCTCTGCGGGGGAACTATGGTGCAATCCAGAGACAGGCCACATGCATAGGAGGATAAAAGAACCCCAAGGCCTGGGAGACTCACTCGTACCCCAGTTACTCCAAAGATAACAAGCTGCCTAGAGCAAGACTACTTCATGATGTTCCAGCTGCCATGATCAAGTCTGACTTCAGGCCCTGACCAGATGAAACTTCAGGTTAAAAAGCCACAACACTCACCATCTAGCAGGCTGGCAAAGGCAGAGACTGTCATCTGCAATTAATGACAACTGGGAGCAAAGCTTTAGATAAACAAGATCTATTTGGAGGGGGCGGGAGCATCTATATGCTTACCCTCTGAAGAATCCAACGCATACATTTTGGTCTATTAAACTACGTGTTTATCTTCCTTCAAGGCAAAAAGGAACATCTGTCACTGAGCCCTTGTACTTAATTTCCATTTTGAACACTGGGCTTCATCAGACACCACAGTCAAATCACAGAAAGCAGAAAGCTCACAGGGCAGGGCGGCAAGAAAAGGCCCACAGAATTGCTTTTCAAAGTTCTTAATGGGCTAGCACGTGTCCCCAGTGTATGTCCTCTGTCCTGCATTTCGTTATCTGAGCTGTGCTCCATTGTTGTTCATTTTGCTCTCTGTTTGGGCTTCTCTGGGAGCAAAATAGCACTTTTCTCTCTCACTTCTAGCATTGGTGCTTCTTGGTGAGGAGGGAACAGAGACTGAAATGGTTAGGAGACTGCAAAAGAAACATGAGAAACTTCTGTTGATTGCTAGCTGAGCATCATGATAGGTTTTAATGTCACACCGTGCACTAGTCTCAGCTCTCCCATTTGCTAGCTGCATGTTTCTTAATGAGCTTCATCCCAGAGCCTTTATGTAACTGACTTTGCATTGACAGTTCTTAACACATGGTAAACACGCAGTAACTATTAGCTGTTATATGAACTTGTACCCGAAGTGTACTGGGTAGTATTGGCCTCTAAGACATATAACTAGTGGGAGAACAATCCTTCCTCTACAAAGCTTTGGACTGCATGCACCTAGTTCTGTATCATCAATACTTTTTAAAATCAAACTCCAAAACCCAGACTCTAATACTTCCAGAGTCTGGAATGATAACCAGAGAACCATAATTTCATCAGTAACTTTGCTTTAAGCCCCTGACATTTTAATAAACTTTCTGTTTCCCAGGATGTTTCTTTATTATTTTAGAAGCCCAACAGAAGGAAAGTAGCACCTCTAAGTACCTCCCTAACTTTCAAAGCTCCCCTGTGAGAAAAATCATAAACTCTTATTCAAAAGAGATGGTGTCTGGTTGGGCAGAACCAAGCTGTCTCACTGGCAAAATTCCATCTGCCTTGAATCATTTTCCTTTTTGGCCTGGAAAATTACAGATGATTAACTTGTCCTCTAATAAATACCAGGAAGGCTTTCCTACAGAAAAATGTAAACAGTTAATTTTGAACTATATTATAATTATTACAATCACCCTCATGCAAAATACAGAAATGCAGGCCATGAGCCTCAATTTCTCCACTCTAACTGAAAATGGACCAGTTTGAAGACAGTCAGACTGCAATAAGCACTTGTAGCCTGGCATATTTGGCTTCTCTCTCTGAGGCCTGCCTTCCTGCCCAGGCCACCATCTCTGACTCTCCTGTCTAGGACAGCCTAGACTCCTGGTCATTACATGTTTCTGCTACATATGATTCACCAGCACCTTTATGAAATCAGGGTGCTCTCCTGGGTTAGGACTCTAGAGTTTGCCAAAGATTCTATCTAGTTCTCTGGTCCCTAGTTTCTGACTTTTTTATAAAAAAATGTATTATAGAAAAAAAATCTAATTACACAAAAATAGAGAACAAAGTATAATGAGTCCCTGTTTATCCGTCACACAGCTTTCACAGTTATTATCATCTTGCTGATCTAGTCTACCTCCACCTTTTCTATTTCGCTTGAAAATGCTAAAGAAAATTCCAGACTTTGTATAATTTCACTTCAATAGGTAGCTTCAGTTTTTGAACATACACAATTTGAAATATCTACCCTAGTTATGAGACGATAGGATCTTTCCATTGATGCTTTTTTGTTCAAAGTGATAAATACCACTGCTTTAATAGGCCATTATTCCATCCTGACCTTTTAAAGGTCAAATGATTCTCTGTGTTCCTGGTCATCGCATACTAACTCAAACATGTTAAACAAACATTAATCTTCAAAAAAAATCACAGAAAGAGAACCCTCCCATCTGACCTACATGACATGCCCCTTGGGAAATTACTAAGCATATTTCAAACTATGTAGAAGGCCCAGGAATTTAAGGCTACAGTGACCCATGATCACGCCACTGCACTCCAGCCTGAGCCACAGAGTGAAACTCTATCTTAAAAAAAAAAAAAAAAAAAAAAAAGGATTAAAAGTCTTTACCTACCAAGAAGTCAGATCTCCCCATTCCTCAGTGATGCACCATTAGTCCAACTTATTCCATTTATTAATACCGGGTACTTGGTAAATGACAAAGCATAAGTCAATCACTAGAGAATTAAAAATACATCTTGAGACTAAAATATCAATGTATCCACTTTCAGGGTCATGTCTTACATAAGCAGAATAACCCAAGCAGATTTGGCCACTTAAAAACTCAATTCCAATCAGGCAGGACCCACAGGAAGCAGCATTTGCTATGTCCTAATGTTCTTATTAACCCACGTAAAGGTAGAGTTTTAAACTTCAGAAAGCACTCAGTCACTTGATATTTATTTTTTTAAAATCAGTAGTGGAGACTAAATTGTTTCTTTCTTTAACCATTTGTTTTTTATTCCCAGCACAGTAGGAGGTAAGTGTAGTTCCAAGGAGAATGGGGCAAAACCCAGAGGCCAGCCCTCAAACTCAAGAAACACAGCACAAAGCTGTCTTTCCAAAGCTATGTGGTTCCGAGCCCAGGCTTATGGTATCCAGCTTTTCCACTGTGGTTTTGAAACGCTGGCATCTCCTTCTAGGTCCTCCATGAGCTCACACTCAGAACTAAGAGTTATGTTTGTCTTAGTAAATTCCTATTTTCTGACACTAACATTCTTGTTATGGCTCTTCCATCCTGGCATCCCCTCCAAGCTCCGTCTGCAGGACATCCTCCCTTTTCTAATGTCACCTTGTGTCCTGTCTCCTGTCTCCCATGGAGTAGACATCCTTTCAGCTTCCTTATCCCCCTCTGGACCCAAACAAACGGACTTCCCAAATGTTGAGGGACTTAGAGGCCTTTTCCTGCTCACCTAACGTCTACCTTTTCCTCCTAAAAACTTATCTTGTTGGAAACCCTTCATGGGACTAAGCCAGCTTTGCAATTTAAGATGCTGAGCTGCACAACAGGAGAGGTCAGGTGACAACAGAGTGGAAAAATCAGCAGAGCACTTGGAGAAAGAGCCAATGGACAATTTCCTTAATCCTTCCATCTCCTTATATGTCCTGTGATCTTTTTTGTCACTGCTTGGGCAGTTTCCTATTACAATTACACTGCATTTCAGCATCAGACAGCTCATCTCTTTTCCTTTTTAGGAGAAACTAGGGAGATACTGTCCTTCTATAGCCCCTGACCCAGCAGTTCCCCTGGCCTCTGGAGCTCCAGCCTAGTGCCAGATCAACAAGGGCTTGCAACCAGAAGACCCCTGAAGTTCTCTAAGGCTGTCTGTCTTTTCACTCACTACTAAAATAACTCCCCTTTCAGCAACACATATAAGTCATCCTGACAGCTCCAGGATTTATCTAGAGAAAGGGTTTAGTGGTGACAGTCAACCTGAAAAGGGAGCTGTGGGACTGGCTGTGAAACTACATTTGCATAGCAGGTCCATGGTTTAGGGGTGGATTATATGTTCCAAATGAGTTTTTAAGATACTATATTTTTGTACGGATATAATACACATAATACATAACATTGTTTTAATTGTCTTTGTCAAAGGATGGGCGATTCATGAAGATTGTGAAGGTAAAAGGCCCTAAATCGTCCCTTGACTACTACCATGGTTCCAGTCTTTCCTTAGACACTGAATATACTGAGTGAAAAGTAGTTTCTTCACTTCTCCCCCATCATATGGCATTTCCTCAGGGCTGAAGGCTATAAGCCAGCTTGGGGTAACACCACAATGGAGGTGCTGCTGAGCCTGCATTGTCTGAGGCAGATGCTTAGCAAGGGAAGCTCCTCACATTCACCCACAGAAAGTGAAAAAACACAGGGGCTCAGGCCCAGCTCCCAGATTTACTGAATCAGACTCTCAAAGGCTGAGGCTCAAGCACAAGTATCACAAGCACCCCAGGTGATTCTGATGCATAGCCCTGGACAAGAGGCCTGGCCTAATGAGAAAAATCAGGCAATTTGAGTGGGGATACCTAGGTTCAAGTCACACCTCTGCCAAGTGTTATTCACATGGCTCAGAATAACTCATTAAACCCTGGGCACTTTTCTCATGAGTAAAATGAAGACAATAATAGTGCCTGCTCTGCTCTCCTCTAAGGTCATTATAAAGAGCAAATGAAATGACAGTTGTGACATGTCTGCAGCCCTTAAACTCTCAGCTCTGTCCAGTTGACCACTTGAGGGACCTGCACTCTCGCCATCCAAGGACTTGGAGGCCTTCCTTGTCTATGATCTCAGGAAGGCATGTGTTTCCCTTATCTCTGCTGGATCTCAGCTATTTCCATTGTATTAGTTCATTTACATGCTGCTGATAAAGACTTACCCAAAACTGGGAACAAAAAGAGGTTTAATTGGACTTACAGTTCCACATGACTGGGAAGGCCTCAGAATCATGGCAGGAAGTGAAATGCACTTCTTACATGGTGGCAGCAAGAGAAAATGAGAAAGAAGCAAAAGCAGAAACCCCTGATAAACCCATCAGATCTCGTGAGACTTATTCACTATCACGAAATTAGCATGGGAAAGACTGACCCCCATGATTCAACTACCTACCCCTGGGTCCCTCCCACAACATGTGAGAATCCTAGGAGATACAATTCAAGTTGAGATTTGGGTGGGAACATGGCCAAACCATATCACTCTGCCCCTGGCCCCTCCAAATCTCATGTCCTCACCTTTCAAAACCAATCATGCCTTCCCAGCAGTCCCCCAAAGTCTTAACTCATTTCAGCATTAATCCAAAAGTCCACAGTCCAAAGGCTTACCTGAGACAAGTCAAGTCCCTTTCACCTATGAGCCTGTAAAATCAAAAGCAAGCTAGTTACTTCCTGGACACAATGAGGGTATAGGTATTGGGTAAATACAGAAGTTCCAAATGGGAGAAATTAGCCAAAACAAAGGGGTTACAGGGCCCATGCAAGTCTGAAATCGATTGGGGCAAATTTTAAAGCTCCAAAACGATCTCCTTTGACTCCAGCTCTAATATCCAGGTCACGCTGATGCAAAAACTTTCCTCTGGTCTTGGGCATCTCCACCTTTGTGACTTTGCAGGGTACAGCCTCCCTCCCAGCTGCTTTCACGGGCTGGCATTGAGTGTCTGTGGCTTTTCCAGGAGCATGGTGAAAGCTGTTGGTGGATCTACCATTCTGGGCTCAGGACGGTAGCCCTCTTCTCACAGCTCCACTAGGCAGTGCCCCAGTGGGGACTCTGTGTGGGGGGCACTCACGCCACATTTCCCTTCTGCACTGCCCTAGTGGAGGTTCTCCATGAGGGCCCTGCCCCTGCAGCAAACTTTTGCCTGGGTATACAGGCGTTTCCATACATCTTCTGAAGTCTAGGCGGAGGTTCTCAAAACTCAATTCTTGACTTCTGTGCACCTGCAGGCTCAACACCATGTGGAAGTTCCAGCTTTATGTCATAACCTTATTCGGCGAGGCTTTGATCGCTTTTCACTTCCGCCAGATATTACAGTGGTCCGTTACATTGATGACATTATGCTGATTGGATCCAGTGAGCAAGAAGCAGCAAACACACTAGACTTATTGGTGAAACATTTGCTTGCCAGAAGATGGGAAATAAATCTGACTAAAATCCAGGGACCTTCTACCTCAGTAAAAGTTCTAGGGGCCCAGTGGTGTGGGGCCTGTCTAGATACTCCTTCTAAGGTGAAGGATAAGTTGTGCATTTGGCTCCTCCTACAACCAAGAAAGAGGCACAATGCTGAGTGAGCCTATTTGGATTTTGGAGGCAACACATTCCTCATTTGGGTGTGTTACTCAGGCCTATTTATCAAGTGACCTGAAAGGCTACCAGTTTTGAGTGGGATCCAGAACAGAAGAAGGCTCTGCAACAGGTCCGGGCTGCTGTGCAAGCTGCTCTGCCACTTGGGCCATAAGACCCAGCAAATCCAATGGTGCTTGAGGTGTCAGTGGCAGATAGGGTTGCTGTTTGGAGCCTTTAGCAGGCTCCCATAGGTGAATCTCAACAGAAGCATCTAGGATTTTGGAGCAAGGCCCTGCCATCTTCTGCAGATAACTACTCTCCTTTTGAGACACAGCTCTTGGCCTGTTACTGGGCTTCGGTGGAAACTGAACTTTTGACTACGGGTCATCAAGTCACCATGCGACCTGAACTGCCTATCATGAACTGGGAGCTTTCTGATCCATCTAGCCATAAAGTGGGTCATGCACAGCAGCATTCCATCACCAAATGGAAGTGGTATATATGTGATCAGTTTTGGGCAGGTCCTGAAGGCACAAGTAAGTTACATAAGGAAGTGGCTCAAATGCCCATGTTCTCCACTCCTGCCACCCTGCCTTCTCTCCCCCAGCCTGCACAGATGGAATCATGGGAAGTTCCCTATGATCAGTTGACAGAGGAAGAGAAGACTAGGGTCTGGTTCACAGATGGTTCTGCACAATATGCAGGCACCACCTGAAAGTGGACAGCTGCAGCACTACAGCCCCTTTCTAGGACATCCCTGAAGGACAACGGTGAAGGGAAATCTTCCCAGTGGGCAGAACTTGGTTGGGCAATTTTCATGGAAGGATAAATGGCCAGATGTGTGATTATATACTGATTCATGGTCAATAGCCAATGATTTGACTGGATGGTCAGGGACTTGGAAGAAGCATGATTGGAAAATTGGTGACAAAGAAATCTGGGGAAGAGGTATGTGGCTGGACCCCTCTGAGTGGGCAAAAACTGTGAAGATACTTGTATGCCATGTGAGTGCATGCCACATGCACCAACGGGTGGCCTCAGCAGAGGAGGAGTTTAATAATCAAGTGCATGGGATGCCCCACTCTGTGGACACCACTCAGCCTCTTTCCCCTGTCATCACTCAATGGACCCATGAGCAAAGTAGCCATGGTAGCAGGGATGGAGATTACACATGGACTCAGCAACATGAACTTCCACTCATGAAGGCTGACCTGGCTACAGCCACTGCTGAGTGCCCAATTTGCCAGCAGCAGAGACCAACACTGAGCCCTCAACATGGCACCATTCCTTGGGGTGATCAGGCAGCTACCTGGTGGCAGGTTGATTATGCTAGACCTCTCTCATCATGGAAAGGGCAGAGGTTTGTCCTCGCTGGAATAGACACTTACTTCAGATATGGGTTTGCCCATCCTCCATGCAATGCTTCTGCCAAGGCTACAATCCGTGGACTCATGGAATGCCTTGTTCACTGTCATGGTATTCCACACAGCATTGTCTCTGACCAAGGCACTCACTTAAGTGGCTAAAGAAGCATGGCAGTGGAATCATGCTCATGGAATTCACTGGTCTTACCATGTTCCTCATGATTCTGAAGCAGCTGGATTCACAGAACGGTAGAATGGCCTTTTGAAGTCACAATTACAATGCTTACTAGATGACAATACTTTGCAGGGCTGGGGCAAAGTTCTCCAGAAGGCTGTGCATGCTCTGAATCAGCATCCAACATATGGTACTGTTTCTCCCATTGCCAAGATTCACAGGTCCAGAAATCAAGTGGTGGAAGTGGCACCACTCACCATCACCCCTAGTGATCAACTAGCAACATTTTTGCTTCCTGCTCCCGTGATCTTACGTTCTGCTGGCCTAGAGGTCTTAGTTCTAGAGGGAGGAACGCTGCCACCAGGAGACACAACAACAATTCCATTTAACTAGAAGTTAAGATTACCACCTGGACACTTTGGGACCCTCCTACCTTTAAGTCAACAGGCTAAGAAAGGAGTTACAGTGTTGGCTGGGGTGATTGACCCAGACTATCAAGATGAAATCAGTCTACTACTCCACAATGGAGGTAAGGAAGAGGATGCATGGAGTACAGGAGATCCCATTAGGGCATCCGTTAGTATTACCATGCCCTGAGATTAAGGTCAATGGGAAACTACAACAGCGCGATCCAGGCAGGACTATAAAAGGCCCAGACCCCTCAGGAATGAAGGTTTGGGTCACTCCACCAGTACAAAAACCACAACCTGCTGAGGTGCTAATTGAAGGCAAAGGGAATACAGAAGTAGTAGAAGAAGGTAGTTATCAATACCAGCTACGACCATGTGACCAGCTGCAGAAATGAGGACTGTAATTGTCATGACTATTTACCCCTTCTTTTGCTAAAAACATGTTTGTGCATGTATATATACACTTGTACTAAGAAAAAAATCTTTATTTTATTTCCTTTTCTTTTATCATGTGACATAAGATTTATTAACTTCATATCAGCATTTAAGTATTGTTAACTTTATGTAATAGTATTTGGGTTGGGGATTGGTGTGTTTCTGGTTGTACAAAGGATAGTTGTATTATGTTAGGCATAATTATGACCTTATTATTGTCTTTATTTGAAGATTATGCATGACCTCAGGAGATGCATATAGGTTCAAGTCGACAAAGGGTGGACTTGTGATGGTTAGTACTGAGTGTCAACTTGATTAGATTGAAGGATACAAAGTATTGCTCCTGGGTGTGTCCGTAAGGGTGTTGCCAAAGGAGATTAACATTTGAGTCAGTGAGTTGGGAAAGGCAGATCCACCCTTAATCTGGTGAGCACAATCTAATCAGCTGCCAGTGAATATAAAGCAGGCAGAAAAACATGAAAAGGAGAGACGGACCTAGCCTCTCAGCCTACATCTTCTCCTGTGCTGGATGCTTCCTGCCCTCAAACATCAGACTCCAAGTTCTTCAGTTTTGGGACATGGACTGGCCCTCCTTGCCTCTCAGCTTGCAGATAACCTATTGTGGGACCTTGTGATCCTGTGAGTTAATACTTAATAAACTCCTCTTTGTGTATATATATATCCTACTAGTTCTGTCCCTCTAGAAAATCCTGACTAATACATCCATTGCAAGGAAAAGACATTCAATTGACCTCAAAAGATGAGTTTGTTTGTAAGCACAGATGTGGAGCAGAGCAGAACTAGAACTGGACCTGGAACCAGGAAGCCATCAGAAACTAAGGCAATTCTAGTGATCGTCAATTTTCTCTAGCACTTTCCTCTCGGCGATATAGTCTCTGGCAGGATATCTTTGCCAGCTCCTGCTTGTCCTCTCTTCATAACCCCACATGGAGCCTCTATGCATACTTTCAGCTTCAGCTACAGTCACCGACTATCTAATATTCTCAGTATTTTCCATTTCAAACACCTGAAAGAAGAAATACAACTGGATGGCAACCTCTGTCTAATGTCAAGTCAATAATCTAATATGTCACTAGCTAATTGTGGATCAAGTGCTCGTCTCTGTCCAAATAATAGTTACAAAGTAGGCAAGGAAGGGAGGAGAACAGAATGGCCCTGGCAGCACAGGAAAGTCTGCTCAGCAGTGGCTACGCACAGGTCTGTTTCACTGAGGAAGGACAGAGGGCCGGCAGCCTCCATGATTGACATCTCTAATGTAATGCCTTAGTTCTTTTGTCCTCAGGTATAAAGCAATGAGACAAAATGTTCATTTTGGCTGTGATAAAATCACAAGATTACTTTCCTAGAGTGTGAGGTTATAAAAGATTATAAACTATACGCAGGTCAGCAATTTCAGCCACAGTTAGAGCCCGGCTTTGAACTGCCTGGGCTTATTTAGAGCTCTTGAGCTCAAGATATCAATGTTCAGTCACTTCTGCTGCCTCTTGTGCCTCCTGGAACCCAATGCTCCGTTTCTGGTTCCTTTGTTTATCTCTGCCCTCTCTACTTCCTAAACGCAAAAAGTCCTTCTTAAACTTCCCAAGCTATTGGCGATTGTTAGTCATGATCCACAAAGCTCAGTTAAGGATAAACACTAAATTCAAGTTTTCCTGGTTGTCTAAAGAATGCTCTTCCCGTGGTGGCTCATACCTGTAATCCTAGCTCTTTGCGAGGCCGAGGCGGGAGGATCCCTTAAGGTCAGGAGTTCTAAACCAGCCCGGCCAACATGAAGGAACCCTGCCTCTAGTAAAACTACAAAAAAAATTAGCCAGGCGTAGTGGCAGGCACCTGTAATCCCAGCTACTTGGGAGGCTGAGACAGGAGAATTGCTTGAACCCGGGAGGCAGAAGTTGCAGTGGGCCGAGATCACGCCACTGCACTCCAGCCTGTGGGACAGAATGAGACTCAGTCTTAAAAAAAAAAAAAAAAAAAAAAAAAAAAAGAATGTGCTTCTACAATCTCCAGTTTCTGCAAGTAACCTTCCCTTTCCCAGGCTTGGAAATAACTAAAGGCTCGGGTAACTATCCCAATATAATGCTATTTTCCCAGGCCACAGTGACCCTTCATTAGTATTGTACTGAAAAAAAAAAAAAGGCTTTATCCATCATGCTTTCACCTCCAGCTTGCCTCCTGTCCCCAAAACCCCAGTCTCCTGCAAGCTACTGCAGACTCCTATTGGCTGGTCTATTGTCCCAACTATTGCTATTCTTTACTCTGCCACATGGTGGCACTGTTCTCTGACAGCTTCTCCCCTACTCCTGGTTTAAAAGATGATGATATCAGATTTGTGAGAGTTTCTCCCTCAGTCTAGTGTGGGAATGAATATTGCTCTGTATCAGACTTCCAAATGCAGGCTTTTCTCTCTCTGTTTTTATGCCCCCCTCTTTTAAGGATCTGCATAAAGGAATGTTTGAGCCTCATCTGCCTTCATTGAACTTAAAAGAGACTCCTCTCCTACTGAATGTGAACCAGGACCTAAAGACAGGATCCAGGCTCCTTGACTCTCCTAACTTAAATTCAGTTCCCTGACTCCTGCTGGAAGATGTACATTCTGACATCCTCAGGTGCATCCTTTAGTCACAAGTCAAACTAAAACTACATCCAACTAAAAGGCTTCTGCACAGCAAAGAAACAACAGTGTGAAGATACAATCTACTGGTTGGGGGGAAATATTTGCAAGCCATACATCTGATAAGGGGTTAGTATTCAAAATATATCGGAAACTCGAACAGCTCAATAGCAAAAAAAAAAAAAAAATTAAAAAATAGGCAAGGGACTGCAATAGACATTTCTCAAAAGAAGACATACAAATGGCCAAAAGATATATTTAAAAATGCTCAACATCACTAATCATTAGGAAAGTGCAAACTAAAACCACAATGAGAAATCACCTCATACCTGTCAGAATTGCTATTATCAAAACAGGCAAAAGATAACAAGTGCTGCTGAGAATGTGGAAAAAAGGGAACCATTGTATACTGTTAGTGGGAATGTAAACAGCCCTTATGGAAAAACGTATGGAGGTTCCTCAAAAAACTAAAATTAGAATTACCAGGTGATCCAACAATCCCACTTCCGAGTATTTACCCAAAATTGAAGTCGGTTTTTTGAAGAGGTCTCTGCACACTCATGTTCATTGCAACACTATTCACAATAGCCAAGTTATAGAATTAACCTAGGTGTCCAAAAACAGATGAATAGATAAAGCAGATGTGGTAAATACACAATGAAATACTATTTAGCCTTGTAAAATAAGGAAATTCTGTCATTTTCAAAAATATGGATGTAATTAGAGAGTGAAATAAGTCAGGCAGAGAAAAACAACACAAATATTTCATGTTCTCATTCATATGGGGAATCTAAAACAATGAAACTCAAAGAAGCAGAGAGTAGAATGGTGATTACAAAGGCGCGGAGTGTGGCGGCTGAAGAGGGTGTGGGAATGGGGAGATTATAGCCAAAGGGTGCAAAATCTCAGACAGGAGTAATAAGTTTGTTTTTTTTTTTTTAATCTAATGCATAGTGTGGTGAATATAGTTAATAAGAGTGTATTATACATTTCAAAATTGCTGACAGAGTAAATTTCAAAGGCTTTTACTGCACACACACACAAAAAATTTGCATCAATAGATACATTAATTGGCTTGATTTAATTATTCCACATTGAATTCAAAAATCATAATATGTTTTACCCCATAAATGTATACAATTATAAAGTGTCAATTTACAATTTTTAACAAAGTCATTTGTGCCATTTTCCCCAGGAGGCTCCCCACTGGTGACCGCTGGGATGTCCTCCCTCCAGCTCTTCACCACCCTCAAGATCTCCCTCCACCCTCTCTTCGAGCATACAGGGAGAAGAGCTAGGTTTGGGGATCAGAACTGCAGCTAAATTCCGGTTCCACCCTTACTGGCCACTGGCCAAATTCTCCTTGCTAACTCAGTTTCCTTAGCTACAAAATGAGGATAACAGTAGTAAACTTTAGAATTAAATGAGGTGTCATATGTAAAGCCGCTGACATAGTACTTGGTATATAGTAGATGCTCAGTAAATGCTAGCTCCCTTTTCTTGTCTCCTTTATTCAAGCCTGGCTCCTGCATTCTAAAATCTGTGTTTGTCCAGGCTCCAGGGCCCCTCAGTCTAATCCACTTTCCATATATAGCTCTATTGGTTTACTTATCTAAATAGCAATAACCAATATGATACACAGAAGATAAAGGTTTGACTACAGGATTATGAGAAAATGCAAACTTGTATTTTTTTTAGGATACAGTTTTAAATGATAAGACCTATTATTATCCAAAATAATAGTGGCTTCAACAAGGTTAAAGTTTTTCTCTCACAAACTGGAGTCAGGTGGTAGTAGCTCTGCATGCAGGGACCCAGGCCCCTTTTATGTTGTCACTTGTCTATCCTAGAGTATTGCACTAGTCTCTAAAGTCCAAGGGGCCTGCTCCCATATCTGCATTGCAGCCATCGGAGAAAGGGAAAAGCACAGAAGAAGGGTAAGCCACCTCCCGCTTAGGACACACAAGAGTTGTACAGCTCTCACTTCCTTCATATTTAGAATTCAGTCACTCAGCTCCAAGGAGGCTGAGAGGTCAAGGAGGCTGCTATGTGTCAGCTGAAAAGCCTATTACTACGGAGGAATGGGAGAAAACTGGCAGTTTCCGCTACAGAGCTAATTAGGAGTTTTTCTCCACCAAAACAAATAGCAAAGCCAGAATAATCCATGGAAGCCAAAAACTATCCAAGCTGCAAGTAATGACCCATTTGTTTCAAGCAAATCCATAAAGAAAATTTAACATCAGCTCCAAACATATATAAATGACAAAGACTTTCAGCTCAATCAAGGGAATATGGCCATATAAGAAAACACTAAACATTTTATCCTATAAAATCACCAATCCCTAAAACTGGTGGGAATCTTAAAAGAGATTTAGTACAAACTTCTGCTCTGTGCAAGAATTCCCTCTACAGTAATCTTGACTAAAGCTATCACCAAACATTTTCGGGTGATGACTTGAAGGTCGCCGTTGCTGGGAGTTGTGGGCAAAGGCAGAAAGAGGGAACCAACAGGAGACAAGGTTAAGAGCCTGCACTCGGGGCGCAAAGCCATGGGCAAAGCAAGGTGTGAAAGCCCCAATCCCAGGATCAGGCAAAAGTACAAAACACAGAGGGGGCAAGGGATTTTCATTGGTTCAGGTCTAGAGGTAAGTTTGCAAAAAGGTCATATCTTTCCTGCAACATAGTTTTGGAAGCCCCAGAATATACAATTTTGCCACAGGTGTCTATAACTAAAAAAGTAGCTCTGATAGGCTGGGCGTGGTGGCTCACGCCTGTAATCCCAGCACTTTGGGAGGCCAAGGCAGGCGGATCACGAGGTCAGGAGATCAAGATCATCCTGGCTAACAGGGTAAAACCCCGTCTCTACTAAAAATACAAAAAAATTAGCCAGGCATTGTGGCGGGCGCCTGTAGTCCCAGCTACTCGGGAGGCTGAGGCAGGATAATGGCATGAACCCGGGGGCGGAGGTTGCAGTGAGCCGAGATCGCGCCACTGCACTCCAGCCTTGGCTATAGAGCAAGACTCCGTCTCAAAAAAAAAAAAAAAAAAAAAAAAGTAGCTCTGATAATACTGAATTCAAAGAGACATTTGGGTGGAGATTTCAAGTAAACACCTAGAAACGTCTATTTGGGGCTCAGGGATAATGTCAAAACTGGATATATTTAATTAGCTGTGCAAAGGTTAGGCTTGAGATAGAGTTCAAAGAGCAAAAAGATACAGAAGTAGGAGAAGCTGGGAAATAATCTTGCTTTTAGAAAATGGAAAGTAGAAATATTACAAAAGAAGAAAGATGAAGAACAGTTTTTAAAATAAATAAACAGAAGAAAGGAAGGAGAGATAGAGAGAAGAAGGAAGAAAAACAAGTGGCTCTCATATGAAGTCCATGGAAACTAAACTGTAATAGTCATTCTAAAACTTGGCAGCTGGGTCTGCTTTCTAAGGCATCATTTTGGGGTGGCCTTTGTTCTGCATGATGTTATGGATAAAAACTGGAAGGAGCACCTAGCTCAGAAGGATTCCACATCCCTTTGTTTTGATGAAATTCCCCATCCTCCAAATCACAGGCTGGTTCCTACCCAGTTAAATTAATTACAGTGCCTCAAGGCTTTACCACAATGACTGAAGCTCAGGTGGGCTCATGACCCAAGCCAAGCCAGTATCAGTCTTTCCCTGAGGTCTTTTATAAAACTGGAACTAGAATAGAGAAGCTTTTCTCCTCGTGCTCTGTGTTGTAAGAATGTGGCCCTGAAAGAGCCAGTGGACACATGGACACATCCCCTGCCCATGTATAAGCCTGAGCCAATAAAACCAAATAGCAAAGCAGAGAGGTACAGACAAAAGTGGAGTTAGAGTCCTGAGTGAAGGCACTGTTTGACATCGGTGAAGGGTGTACATTTCTGCAGGAGCCCTCCTTATGGGGCAAGGTATTCCCCAAGTGCCAGCCCAGTAACGTTTCCTGAGGTCAAGCTTAGACCTACATTTGGACGACACAAGAAGTCATTTTTAGTAGTAATTGAAGGATCTGCCCCATGTTTTAGAGGGGACACAGTTAAGAGAAGAAGGATCTCCTCCCTGAAGCTGATTAAATGAGTAAATAGGAGTTACCAGCAGGATACATAGGTGCTCAGGAAAATGGAATGTCACCAAGGTCACTGGCAGTGGAGGCAGCAGTCTGGTAATGAGGCAAGAAAACAGGATATGGAAAAAGGCAGTAGCCTGGGGTAAACCAACTCGAGATGGCAAGAAGACACGTACAGAAATTGATACAACTGTGTTATTTGAGGTGGCAGGCTTATAAAAACATATAAATGATTTTAAACATTTATATGTTTTTAAAACATTAAAAATGTTTTAAACATAAGCATAAAATGCTTATAAAAACAAATGATTTTATTTAGTCATATAAATGTCGTATTACACGACAGAATAAAACAGAATTTATATGACAGAATAAAAATCTATGAAACATAAAATAATTCCCTGGAAATTTCCAAAGATGTTGGGAAAGAAAATTCAGTGAAACACTAGAATTCCTACAGGTAAGCATAATAATTCAAATATAAAAGGTTATTGTTGCGATTATAGCTTGGTAAGGGTTAGGATATACAGATAACAAGGAAAATGTTTCCAAGGGTTGGTGTAAGTGAGGTCTCATACTCTAGACAGAAAGACAAGGATGAAGATCAAGAAAATGCCATTGGACAGAATGACCTCTTTTATTAGTGACCTTCAAAAGAGTTTTCGAAGTAAAACGATGGGGCAGAAAGCAAATGTCTTGACCTGGACTTGATACTTACACGTCAGAGAGGGTGCTTTAAGAAGTAAATGAGGCCCGACGCAGTGGCTCACACCTGTAATCCCAACACTTTCGGAGGCCAAGGCAGGTGGATCATCTGGGGTCAGGAGTTCAAGACCAGCCTGACCAACATGGTAAAACCCTGTCTCTACTAAAAATACAAAATTAGCCAGCCATAGTGGCACATCCCTGTAATCCCAGCTAGTTGGGAGGCTGAGGCAAGAGAATCGCT
Organism: Homo sapiens; assembly: GCF_000001405.40. Lineage (NCBI taxonomy): Eukaryota > Metazoa > Chordata > Mammalia > Primates > Hominidae > Homo > Homo sapiens. The sequence continues at coordinate 101,352,194 of NC_000001.11, read as the reverse complement.
TGAACATAGAAGGCAGAGGTTTCAGTGAGCTGAGATTGTGCCATTGCACTCCAGCCTGGGCAACAAGAGTGAAACTCCATCTCAGAAAAAGGAAAGAAAGAAAGATAGAAAGATAAGAAAGAAGAAAGAAAGAAAGAAAGAAAGAAAGAAAGAAAGAAAGAAAGAAAGAAAGAAAGAAAGAAAGAAAGAAAAAGAAAGAAAAGCAAATGAGGTGACTTCTGATAAATCACTTAGCACAGAGCAGAGACAGGATGCCAGGAGCAAGGGATAAGTGGGGACAGAGGGAGAGTTGAAAGAGAGGCAAACCAGGCAATAGACTCCTCCACTTGGGGCCACAGGAAGTGCCTGTTAGGAAAGAAGGGAGGAAAGACAGAAAACCATCTGTGTCTCTTGTCAAGTGATCTTCATGAGTGGATGCTCACACTGCCATCCAACACCCACACTGAAATAAAGTGAGAGGCAGAGAGATGGCATCTTGTGTTCCCACCTTCCTACTAGAAAGAACACACACATACAGAATTACCCAGAAGGCTCAGAGAGCTTTGTCCTCAGAGATACCAGTAATAAGATACTACATGTGGGGGAATTATAAAGTTGGGCAATGGTCACTAGATAAATGAATAAACAAAATGTATTATATACATACAATGAAATATTATTCTGCCTTAAAAAGGAAGTAAGTTTTTTGATACATTTTACAACGTGGAGGAACTTTGAAGACATGCTGAGTGAAATATGCCAAACACAAAAGGACAAATATTGTATGGTTCCATTTACATGAGGTAGCTAGAATAGGCAAATTAAAAGAGACAGAAATAAAATTGGACATTACCAGGGGCTAGATGGAAAATAGGGGAATTACTGCTTAATGGTTATAGAGTTTCTGTTTCAGTTGATGAAAAAGTTTTGGACATAGTGCTGATGATTGCATAACATTGTAAAGGTAATTAGTCCCACTGAACTGTACACTTAAAAATGATTAGAATGAAAAATATTATTTTATATATGTTTAACATGATAAAAATTATTTTAGGCAAGGCAAAGTGCTCATGCATGTAATCCCAGCACTTTGGGAGGCCTGGGTGGGCAGATCACGAGGTCAGGAGTTCAAAGCCAACCTGGCAACATGGTGAAACCTCGACTCTACTAAAAATACAAAAATTATGCAGGCGTGGTGGCGGGCACCTGTAATCCCAGCTACTCAGGAGGCTGAAGCAAAAGAATCACTTGAACCCAGAAGGCAGAAGTTGCAGTGAGCCGAGATTGCACCATTGCACTCCAGCCTGGGCGACAGAGCAAGACTCTGTCTCAAAAAAAGTATATATATGCATATTATATCTATAATATATAATATATTCTATATATAGAATATATAATATATAATATATTATATATAATATTTCATATAATGTATATAATTTGTATATATTTATATAATATATAATATATATAATTTATATATGTTATACTTATATATATTATACATAAATATATATATATTTTTAAGTTGAACACTGGATGTTGAGCCTCTAATTAACTAGTTTATCTCACTGCAGCATGAAAGAGCAAATGTATCAATAGCCAGACTTCCAGGAAGTCCCTGATAGGCATTGGGTAGGCCAGCTCAGAGAACTTCTTTCTCTATATACACTACCCTTTCTCCTTTCATCTGGTTCCATGGCCTTTTAAACTTTCTGTTTCTTCTCAGAATTCTCTAGTGTCCTTCAGTTCCAAAGCTGCTATGTTTTTCCTTGACATAACTTCTAAGCCCACTCTTGCAAAGGCATTTAGCCTCTGGCATGGCTTATGAAAATACAATCAATCTCACCTACCACCATTTCCAGTGCTTCATAGTAGGATGAAGGTGTCCCAAGGTAGAGTAGTGATTACAGTTTCTCCCTAAATAGCTTAAAAATTATTATAACACATAGCCTTTCCCATACTGCAAAAAATTAACTGTCCTGGAAAAATGAACTTTCATTGGTTTTTCTTACACAATCATGGCTTACCTGATAGCATCATTCTTACATGATTTTGCTGGTATTTATCCTTGTCTTGACCTTCAGTTATGTTGTAATGATCTCTTTCATCACCTGCACTGACAGGAACCATTTCTCTTGTTTAACTCTTGAATGATTCACGTGGGAGCTGGGGAGTGAGATGGCGGAAAGAATGGGAAGGGCAAACGTTATATATATGCTTCCAAAATAAAATAAAAGGATACAAGATGAAAGTAAAAATACATGGGTTAATAATGGAGAAGAAATGAGATACTTTTTACGGTGAGTTGAGATGGTGGTAGAAAGATTGGCTGAAGATAAATAGAAATCTCAATGTGGAAAAGAAGTCAACAAGATCAGGTAGCATGGTCTCAATCATCTGTTAAGCCAGACACTCTGGATATCACTGTTCAGCAAACTATGAATCCAAATTTTTCCATCTTGCCAGCAAAAAGAATCATTTGTCCTTTATTAACATTAATTAAGCATTTATATGGAGTTTGTTTTGTTTTGTTTTGTTTTACAGTCAAGGTCTCCCTCTGTCACTCAGGCTGGAGTACAGTGGCTTGATCTCAGTTCACTGCAGTGTTGAGCTCCTGGGCTCAAGTGATCCTCCTGCTTCAGCCCCCTGAGGCTGAAGACTACAGGCTTCAAGCTGGGACTATAGGCACACATCAGCACACCTACCTAGAGACGGAGTCATACTATGTTGCCCAGGCTGGTCTTGAACTCTTGGCTTCAAGTGAGTCTCCCGCCTTGGCCTCCCAAAGAGCTGGGACTACAGAAATGAGCCACTACACTTGGCCTAATTGAGCATTTATATGTAACACGCTAGTAAGGTGGAAAGAGAAAAAATACATTTGGCAAAGTCTGGCTCCTGAAGATCTCAATGGCTAGAAAAGGGGGGAAGAGTAAAGAAATAACTTCTATGCTATCTAATAAGTGCAATAATAAAGATATATATATAAGCTGTTATATGAACATAAGAAAGGGAATACCTAGCTCTCCCTGAAGGTGTCAGAAAAGGCTTTACACAGAGGTGACACTGGCTTTGCATTGAAGTATGAGGAGGAATTTGCTAGGTAGAAAAGGAGTTCAGAACATAGTAAACAGAAAAAAGAATGTTAATAAGGGCAAATAATTGAAAGTTTAGTGTGTCAAAACAAGACTAGCAAAATGATTAGGGAAGCAAAATCAGAGGTTTATGCAATGCTCCGTAAGGCAATTGTTTTGCTAGGAAAGCCAGAAACAGACTATGAAAGATTTGCAGGTTAAACTAGGATGCTGGGATAAATTCGTGAATGGACATCAAAGAGCCAACAAAGTTCTAAGTATAATCAGCTCTATTTTTAGATAAATCTGGTAGCAACATGGAGTGTGATTCAGAGTGTTGAGAGAAAGGTGAGACATTATCACAGCAGTATAGGAGAAGTGAGGAGCAAAGCACCAAGGGTAACTAGGAGGATAGCATCTTAGAAGACTGGAAGTTTGACTTAAAAAGCACACACTAGCAGATTAGAGAAAAAAGAAAAAAAAAAAAAAACAAGACCCATCGGTCTACTGTCTTCAAGAGATCCATCTCACACTTACTGATAACCACAGGCTGAAAGTAAAGGATTCACTGTTGTTGGTTTAAAGTCTGTTTTATCTGATATAAGAATAGTGACCTCTGCTCTTTTTTGTTTTCCATTTAGGGTGGAGGTCACTGTTCTTATATCAGATAAAACAGACTTTAAACCACCAACAGAAAAAGCACAAAGAAGAACATTACATATTGATAAAGATTCAATTCAACAAGATTTAACTATCCTAAACGTATATGTACTAAACACTGAAGAACCCAAATTCATTTCAAAAAATGCTTGTAGATCTACAAAAAGACTTAGTCACACAATAATAGTGGGATACTTCAATACCCCACTGACATTAGAGAGCTCACTGAGCAAGAAAACTAACAAAGAAAATCTTCACTTAAACTCAACTCTTGACCAACTGGACCTAATACACGTCTACTGAATACTCCACCCATCAATCACAAATTATACATTCTTCTCATTGGCACACAGAACATACTCTAAGATAGACCACATGCTTAGCCATAAAACAAGTCCCAATAAATTCAAAAAAATTGAAAGCACACCAGCCATACTCTCAAATCACAGTGAAATAAAGACAGAAAATGATACCAAAATGATCTCTCAAAACCACACAATTACGTGGGAATTAAACAGCTTTCCCCTGAAAGACTTTTGGGTAAACAATTAAATCAAGGCAGAAAAAAATTATTTGAAATAAATGAAAACATAGACACAACATACTAAAATCTATGGGATGCAGCAAAAGCAGTGTTCAGAGGAAAGTTTATAGTGCTAAACACCCACCTCAAAAAGCTAGAAAGATCTCAAATCAACAATCTAACATCACACCTACAAGAACTACAAAAGCAAGAGCAAACTAACCCCAAAGCTAGAAGAAGAAAATAAATAACTAAAATCAGAGCAAAACTGAATGAAATTGGCACACAAAAATCCATACAAAAAAACAACAAAACTAAAATTTGGTTCCTTAAAAGGATAAACAGGATTGATAGAACACTAGCTATATTAACAAACAAATATAAGAGAGAAAATCCAACAAAACACAATCAGAAATTACAAAGGTGACATTATAACTGATCCCACAGAAATAAAAAGGATCCTCAGAGACTATTATAAACACCTCTACTTATACAAACTAGAAAATCTAGAGGAAATGTGTAAATTCCAGGAAACACACAGTCTCTCAGAATTGAATCAGGAAGAAATTGAAACCCTGAACAGCCCAATATTGAGTTCCAGAATTGAATAAGTAATAAAAAACCTACCAACCAAAAAATGCTTTGGACCAGATGGATTCACAGCCAAATTCTACTGGATGTACAAAGAAGAACTGGTACCAATTCTACGGAAACCATTCCAAAAAATCAAGAAGGGAGGACTCCTACCTAACTCATTCTGTGAAGCCGGCATCACTCTGATATTAAACTGGCAAAGACAAAACAAAAAAAGGAAACTACAGACCAATATCCCTAATGAACACAGATGCAAAAATCCTCAACAAATATGAGCAAACCAAATCCAGCAGCACATCAGAAAGTTAATTCAGCATGATCAAGTAGGCTTCATTCCTGTGATATAAGGTTGGTTCAACATATACAAATCAATAAATGTGATTCACCACATAAACAGAATTAAAAACAAAACCATATTGTCATCTCAATAGATGCAGAAAAAGCTTTTGATAAAATCCAACATTCTTCATGATAAAAATCCTCAAGAATCTAGGAATCAGAGGAACATACCATAAAATAGTAAGAGTCATCTATGACAAACCCACAGCCAACATTGTACCGAATGGGCAAAAACTAGAAGCATTCCCCTTGAGAACTGAAACAAGACAAGGATGCCCATTCCCACCACTCCTAGTCCACATAGTAATGGAAGTACTAGCCACAGTAATCAGGCAAAAGAAAAAAAAAGGGTAATAAAAGGCATCCAAATAGGAAAAGCAAAAGTGAAACTATCTCTCTTTGTGATAGAGTGATATACCTAGAAAACTCTAAGGCCTCCACCAAAAGGCTCCTGGAAATGATAAACACCTTTGGTAAAGTTTCAGGACACAAAATCAATGTAAGAAAATCAGCAGTATTTCTAGACACCACTAACATTTAAGCTGAGAGCCAAATCAGGAACACAATCTTATTTACGATAGCCACACACACAAACAAAAAAATGCTTAGGAATATATCTAATGAAGGAGGTGAAAGATCTCAACAAGGAGAACTATAAAACACTGTTGAAAGAAACAGATGACACAAACTGGAAAAACATTCTATGCTCATAGATGGGAAGAATCAATATCATTAAAATGGCCATATTGCCCATTCCATTTTTCCTGCAATCTCACCAACATCTGTTATTTTTTTTGTTGTTGTTTTAGTAATTTTTAAAGTAATAGCCATTTTGACTGGCATGTGATGCTATCTCACTATGGTTTTTTTCATATGCTTTTGGCTTCTCAAAAGAAGACATACAAGCTACTAACAAACATATGAAAAAATGTTTAACATCACTAATCAGAGAAATGCAAATCAAAACCGCCTTACTAGGTCAGCATAAGTAAGAGAATTAGTTGTTTATCTTAAGCGAATTAATGTAGGAAAAGAAAACTATATACCACATGTTCTCACTTAGTGGGAGCTCAACATTGGGTAGTCACGGACGTAAATATGGCAACAATAGAAACTGAGGACTACTGGAGGGAGAGGGGTGAGGGTTGAAAAACTAACTATTGAGTAATATGCTCAGTACCTGAGTGACAGGATCATTCATACTCAAACTTCAGCATCACACAATGTACCCAGGTAACAAAGCTGTACATGTACCTCCTGGATCTAAAATAAAAGTTGGAAAAAAAGTTACTATAAAAAAGTTATTTAAAAAAGTTACTATAAAATTAAATTTTAAATAAAGAAGGCTGAAAATTTGGACAGAACTTGAAAAGAGAAAACTCTTCTCTGAGGGAAGACTAAATTCAGCTTGGGTCATGATGTGTTTGAGAGGATGATGTATTCATTAGACAGTTAAAAGGGGATATCATTAGATACAAATACCGTAATAAATTCAAAATCAAGTGCATCTCAAATGCTCCTCTCATCCTCCAGTTGGTGTCTTTTCCAAAAAGAAAATGAGCTTGATTTGGTATAAATTACTTTAAGTGGCATGGATGTCATGAAAATGGATGCAACAATGGGTAGTGACAATAGATGACAATGAAGGACCACCACTTTTTTTTTTGCAGTTTGCAAGCCATCTGCTTAACAATCTGTTTAATAATAAAAACCAATGGTTAGCCTAATTTTGCATCATTTTTAGAAATTATCTTTTGCCCTTTTTGGAAGATTAATACAACATTGCACATCTCTAAATGTCTTCATTTTGTTATTGACCATTATTCCTCGAAGATAAATGATGACAGTCTGGCTTCCCTGCATGTCTTCTCACAGCCCAGGGATATCATCCATCTGGGGTGGAGATTCGATCTTATTAAAAACAACTAATTCTCTTACTATGCTGACCTAGTGAGGATTGCCGTTCCCTTTTAATATTACTTGTTTGGGCTTTCCAATCTGAAATTATTTTTGTGGGCAAAGAATATGAAAACAAAATAGGACTTAAATAGTTTTGCTTTCTCTTTGTAATAGACAGTCAGCATTACACCATCTGTTTCATTCAGGTCAGAAACATGCCTTGTTTTTGTGTCTCCCACATGTTAAATCAAAGTTGAAATGTTGCTGTCCTTGGCATTTGGGGGAGTCTGCGTGCCTGCAGGTTTCCTAACACTGGTCTTATTGATTTCTGCCAATCTTTTGAATTCCCTCTTAGCCGTGGGTCCCTCCTTCTGTGTTTTGTGAATATGCTGCCTATGGGTCCTTTATATAAACTCCTCTTTATATCCTTATTGAAGTCAGTTGTAATTGCAATGTCAGAGAAATGCTTTTTACACTGTGTTTTTTTGCCAGTTACTATTTGTAATAATGGAGTTAATACCTATCTTTCCTCTTCACAGTTTTCAGTCTGATTTCCTGAAGTTCAGTTTATAAGTCTGATAATAACCAGCATCCTTGACAATCATGAATACCAAGATCAATTTCTTTTAAAATTCAGATCACCATTACTTTACTCATATGCTCTCTTCTTTGTTGGTCATAGTTAAGCTCCAAGTAGCAGTGCATTGTATTCTCAAACTTCTGAGAGACTGAATTATCTCCAAGACAAGAGGATTCTAGTGCTCCGTATTTGTCGGATTAGAGCTCCCAGCAAGATGGATTAGAGCATCTTGAGATGCTCCCATAGTGATGCTTGGAGCTGTAATCCAAAAAATACAAAGCACCAGTACCTTCACCCTCCCATCATATCACCTTGCTTCCATGCTGACCTTGAAGTTTCCATTAAGAAATCATCATCTGTGTTTCTTTCCTGCATAAGTGTTCAACAATGCCCACTACCTTTTGTCCTTAGAAAAATGTTCCATACCATTTAATTATTAATTTAACAAATCCATATTAAGAATATGTATAGTGCTATATTAGCTTGTGAGGGCTGCCATAACAGAGTACCACAGACTGGGTAGCTTGAACAACAAAAATTCATTTTCTCACGGTTCTTGAGGCTCAAAATCTGAGATCAAGGTGTCATCAAGATTGGTTCTTTCTGATGATCATGAGGGAGGATCTGTTCCAGGCCAGGCCTCTCTCCTTAGCATGTAGATGGCCATCTTCTCTCCGTGTCTTCACATCATCTTCCCTCTGTACATGCCTGTGTCCAAATTTACCCTTCTTAAAAGACCACAAGTGAGATTGCACTAGGGCCCCCCTTAATAACTCTAATAGCTTCATTTTAATTTAATTGCCTCTGTAAAGATCCTGTCTCCAAATATGGTACATTCTAAGGTACTAGGGGTTAGAACTTCAACATATGTATTTTTGTGGGGATACCATTCAGCCTCAGGGCGGTCTTATGTACATATACTCTAAGCCAGTCACTGTTCTAAGCCCTGGGAATATAGAAGTGAATGAAACAAAGTCCCTCCCTTCATGGACTTTATTTACACTCCAGTGGAAACAGGGGAAGATAAACAATGAACAGTAAGTATATGCTGTAATGCCAGCAAACAGTATTTAGAATCCAAACAGGGCAAAGAAATAGAGAGTACCAGAGAGGGGATGGAGCTGGGAGGGCTGTAATTCTAAATGAGGTCAGAATGGAACAGAGAGAGACATGAATAAAGAGAGGGACAAACCACCTAGTTGTGCAAGAGACCTGCATTCTAGGCAAAGGGAACAGCACATGCAAAGATCTGAGGCAGGGTTATGGTAGGCATATTCAACAAACAGAAAGGAAGGACCCTGAGTCAGGAAAAGGAATGGCAGAGTATTAGTCCATTTTCACGCTGCTGATAAAGACATACCCGGGACTGGGCAGTTTACAAAAGAAAGAAGTTTAATTGGACATACAGTTCCACATAGCTGGGGAGGTCTCACAATCATGGCGGAAGGCAAGGAGGAGCAAGTCGCACCTTACGTGGATGGCGGCAGGCAAAAAAAAAAAAGAGTTTGTGCAGGGAAACTCCCACTTTTTTTAAACCATCAGATCTCTTGAGATTCATTCAGTATCACGAGAACAGCATGGGAAAGACCCACCCCCATGGTTCAATCATCTCCCACTGGGTCCCTCCCACAACATGTGGGAATTCAAGACAAGATTTGGGTGGGGACACAGCGAAACTATATCAGGCAGGAAATGACATCATCCATGTATTGGGTCCTGTAAGAATTTGAATTTTGGCTGGGTGCAGTGGCTCATGCCTGTAATCCCAGCACTTTGGGATGCCGAGGTGGGCAGATTACCTGAGGTCAGGAGTTTGAGACCAGCCTGGCCAATATGGTGAAAGCCTATCTCTACTAAAAACACAAAAAAACTAGCCAGGTGTGGTGGTGGGCACCTGTAATCCCAGGTATTCAGGAGGCTGAGGCAGGAGAATCACTTGAACCCGGGAGGCAGAGGTTGCAGTGAGCGGAGACAGCCCCATTGCACTCCAGCCTGGACAACAAGAACAAAACTCCGTCTCAAAAAAAAAAAATTGAATTTTATTCTCAGTGTTATGGGAAGCAATTTGAGGGTTACAAGCAAAGAACTGATATGAGGAAGAAAATTGTACCAAACCTGGATTTAATGAGATAAAATTCACAACCTCTTTTGAGAATTACAGAGAATCCCTGATAAAATGCTTACTTAAACAACTTTCTGGTACACTTTATTGAAATTAGAAATTCTTTCTGAAAAAGAAATTCATCACCCACCTACCTGACTGTGGGTCTCGTGACGGCCTGACAGTCTTAAGGTCCTTACTTAAACATTCATGTAAAATATCTCTATTAAGCAGGAGTCTTTGAGTTGGCTTTTTCAAAAGCATCTTCTCTTACCAAAGTTTGAAATTGAACTTTGACACATGCCTGTCATCAAATTGTCTAAGAAGTTGCTTGAACAAATAAAATCATTTTTGAAGGATCACTGTAGGTTCCGGATAACTCACTGTAGAATTTCCATTTGGGTGTTGATCTTCTTCTATTATACCTGTTTCTTTTGCATATTCCAGGCATAGCTCTCTTAATTGTGCTAGTTCCTTTCCAATCTAAATTTAATACTCAGGTCCTCTGTCTCTAACATAATCTATTTAAATTTCAAGAGGATAAATGATTACAAAATATCTGAAAGCCAAAGCAAGTCCATTTCTGATAGAAACTGATCTTTCTGGAATAATAAGAAGCCACCTAACTCCCCTCCTCTGTCTTACAACTTCCTTCTTCAAAATCATAGTTAAATATATGCTAAGAGCCAACAATGATTTGAAGACAGTGAAACCAATTAAATAAAACTGATAATCCTTTTCCTACTAAAAAAAAAAAAAAGGCAAAAGACTGTTATACTTAAACGATTTACGTTTTCTGAGCTAAGCATAACGTTAGTATTCACTAAGGGAGTCCCAGCCAACATCAAGGAGAAATCACACTGTCAACAGAAGTCATGTCTTATATCATCTGGTAGTACGGAGTGTTGTCAGTCTCAAATTATAAAGTAAGTCTTATTAATGAGAAGGGACAAATTAGAAGTTTTTAGATATTCCAAGGCTCTGCGGGGTTTTGTTTTGTGTATGTATACAAAACATAAAATTGTCTCCTAATAAAGGACTTACAAAAAACGAAATTTTTTAAAAAGTCAAATGAAATCCAGCTCTATTTCACCAAGATGGGCAAGTACAATATTAGCCATTATTGGAGCTTTCTCCCTCCGCAGGGGTTCCATAAACCTGGGAACCAGGTAGAAACAGGTTCCTGATTGCTATCTTTTACCACACCCACCCTCTCAACTTTGTTTATTGAAGAGTAAGTACCTGTTGGAAATATGAATTTATTATCTAGTTGAGATTTTATTTATTTATGAAACCCGCAGGGAAAAAAATGGATGAGGGACACAAAGAATGGATAGAAAGGGAAGGCAAGAAAGAAGAAAGGAAGGAAAAAGGAAAAAAAGGACAGACAGAGAGGTAAAATTGAGGATTTTAATAAAGAATCAGTGCATGCGAAGTAGTTTACACTCAAGAGATTATTTACTTTAACATAAAATTACCTGAGTATATTGCAAGTTAAAAATTATTAGTGCTACATTAAGCAACTGGGAAATTAGGGGCTTGCACTGACAGGCAGCACATAGACTAAAAATTGGAACCTGGAAATTAGTAATTAATGTCAGAGTAGTGATGCATTTTCTTCCAAATGAATTGTACCATTTTTTGCCTAGATATTTCAAGCATTCTGTATGCAATGTTACTGACAGTCCTTGTTAATTCCAGCTAAATATATCTAAAATGTATTATACAATATACCAGATCCCCCTCTATTACTAAATTTCTAAGTGAAGAGCATCATAGAAAATGCTTTCACATTACGGCTGATTTTTATTTGATAGCTTTTATTTAACAATCAACTTCTCACAGACTCATCTTAAATTTGATATAGCCCATATTACAAAGAACATTTGCATTTTTGTCCCCTCGCCCTCAGTTAAAATCTACAGATCACTGTGGGTAGCAGCATCTGAGCAGGAAGCATGACTTCGCATGCACCATCTTTCCTTGAGCTCAAACATTCTGTACGATGCACTGCTGTGATTTCCTGGAATCTGGCTTTGTCCCTCCACAAAGCCATATCTGTGGATATTTTGGGTCATAAACTACTCATGGTGCATAAGAATTGGGGCTTAACTAGGTTATGAGGTCAAAACAAAGATCGTTCTTTCATATACATTGAATGCACATAGACCCATCTGTCTATGCCCAGAGACAAATCCATCTGAGATAAACCAGTGGAATTCAAATAAACATTTATTCCACTGTTTTCAAAATTTTGGTGGACTGAAATTAATTAAAAATAAAAACCTAAGTTTAAATGCAGGATCTTAGTAATAATCTTAAAAATACTTTACACTTTATTTGAGCCAAGTCACTTGGCATATGACGGGTTAACTGAAACATTTGGAAAGGTTCAGAATAAGACTGCCGGGCTTAGCCTAGCTCAAATTCTGAGGTTTTTTTTTTTTATATTGACTAAGGAATTAGGAATTAATTATCCACTTTCAAATTTCAAGGTAATTGCAAAGTAGAGATACTGAAAGTAATTACTTAATTCATGTGTTGTCAGTCACCCAGAGTTTGCTGGAGCTCCAACTGTACTGATTCCATGTCAAATTGGGTAAGCCAGTCTCTGCATGAACACTTAATTATACCCCCTTTGTTATGCTGTAGAAAGTTAAGTGGTAGATTCATTGAACTAAATAGCCTTGATAAACACTACCAAACTCATTTTAAAAATCAATAAGAACCAAGTAGGCATTTCTACTGGACATTTAAGCGAAAATTTAAATGTGAGCCAAGTGTTCTTCTTGTTTTATTCATGTTAATTATTTGAATGTTACATTTATAGCCTGACTAATGTTACCCTAAGTTGATTTCTGGTGTGAGACCTTGTCACTCAGACAACCTATAGCCCCAGGCCCCCAAATTAGAACACTCTCTCCAATTACAAGGAACAATTTATGGTTATGTTTCACAAAATAATAAGAGGTTCAATCTCCCTTCCACCCTTGTCTATCCCCAACTTTTTTCAGGACAGTTGTTCTCAGAGAATGACACCAACCATTAATCTCTGCAGCCAACAATTGCAGATGCAAAAAAATCTAGCACTGGGAGGCCAGATGCAATTTATTCTTCACCTCAGAAAAAATATCTTGACATGCCCTACACCATTGGACCCCTAAATTTCACTGAGGTAGAATATAATCACCCGATGAGTTCTTACTGACCACTGCACAGATACAGCCAACTTGCCAAGACAGTGGCATTGCAGTAAAGAAAGAGTTTAACACACACAGAGCCAGGTAAGCAGAAGGACAGGAGTTTCAGAAGCCCTGAAAATTTGGAGGCTAAAGTTTTTTAGAGATACTTTGGCAGGCAGGGGGCTGAAGAATGGGGAATGCTAACTGGTCGGGTTAGGGAGGAAATCACAGGGAGTCAGAGCTTGTCTTCTTGCACTGAGTCAGATCCTGGGTAGAAGCCACAGGACCAGATGAGCCAGTTTACTAGTCTGGGTGGTGCTAGCTCGTCTATCAGAATTCAGGGTCTGAAAAATACTTCAAACACCCATCTTGGGTTTTATGATAGTGATGTTATCTATAGGAAAATTTGAGAAGGTTAGAAATCTTGTGGCCTCCGGCTGCATAACTGCGGAGCCACATTTTCTAATCTTGTGGCTAATTTGTGAGTTTTACAAAGGCAGTCTGGTCCCCAGGCAAGGAGGGGGTTTGTTTTAGGAAGGGGCTGTCATCATCTTTGTTTCAAAGTTAAACTACAAACTAAACTATTCTAATAGTTCATCTGGCCTATGCCCCAGATGAACAAGGATAGCTTGGAAGTTAGAAGCAAGATGGAGTTGGGTAGGTCCTATTTTTTCCAGTGTCATAATTTCTTATGTCAGATTTTTCTCACTGTTATAATTTTTGCAAAGGCAATTTCAGGAGGGTCCCTGAATTTTAGTCATATTTATTTCCCACTTCTGACATGCAAATTTCTCATCAATAAGTGTAAAGTAGCTGCTACTTCTTGCTCACTAGGTCCAGTCAGCTTAATGTCATCAATGTAATGGAGCAGTGTGGTATCTTACTGAAGGGAAGGGCAATGGGCAATCAAGATCCCTGCAAACTAAGTTACAACTTAGGACTGAACTGTTTACCTGTTTACATACCCATGAGGTAGAAGGTGTATTGCTGGCCTTGCTAGCTGAAAGCAAACTGTTTCTGGTGGGCCTATGGACAGACATGGAGGAAAAAGCAATTGTCAGATTAACAGCTATATAACAAGTACCACGATGTGTTAATTTGTTCAGTCAATGAAACCACATCTGGTATAACAGCTTCAATTGGAGTCATAACTTGGTATAGTTTACAGTAATCCACTGTCATTCTCCAAGATTCATCTGTCTTCTGCACAGGCCAAATAGCATAATTGAATGGGAATGTTGTGGGGATTAGCACTGCTACATCATTTAAGTTCTTGTTGGTGGCACTAATGTCAGCAGTGCCTCCAAGAATGTGGTATTGTTTTTAATTTACTATTTTCCCAGATAGAAATAGTTATAATGGCTTCCATTTGGCCTTTCCCATCATAACAGGTGAGACCCAATGTGGGGATTTTGCCAACTACTAGGTATGTTTATTCTAATTGTGCATCTGGCACTGGGGAAATAACCACCGGATGGGCTCAGGGACCCACTGGACCCACTGTGAGACTGACCTGAGCTAAAACTCCATTGATCACCTGAGCCCCATAAACCTCTCCTGTGACTGGAGGGACACAGTGATGTTTTGGGTCTCCTGAAATCAATGTCAGTTCAGAGCCAGTGTCCAGTAGTCCCCAAAATTCTGATTATTTCCTTTTCCCAACACACAGTTACCCTAATAAAAGGCCATAGGTGCCTTTGGGAGAGGCTGGGAGAAAGATTAACAGTCTAAATTTGTAGTAGTGTACCAAGGGCCTTTCTGGAGGGGACTCAATCTCCCCTTTATTCAATGGCTTCTGGGTCTGTAAACTTGCTCAAGTTTGGCAACCGACCGAAGGGCCATGATTCTTTGTTTCTGCAATTTGAGTTAGACTTTTGTTTACAAGACCTAGAAGTTTTCTGCTTACACAAATCAACAAAGAATTTAGTAGGCTTCCTATCTGTTTCACTTCTAGGAATGCCATGATTACTCGCCAGTGTCATAGGTGTGTGCAAATCAGACTGTTCTGACTACTGCTTTGACTCTGCTATTACAGTACCCAGAACTACTTTGCCTTCGGTAGTTGAGTGCCACCATTTAGCTCCTGCTACACCAGAATCCCAGTTACTCCCATTGATTTGGGTAATTTAACTGAATGGCTATGGTTCTCACTGTAAGGTCTGGTGTACAAAGAAGACATATTTATTTCTCCTCCCATATTTATTTCTCAAAGTATTGGTAAGGATATGTTTTTCAGACCATCCCAGTGTTGGTGAATAGGTCTTAAATTACAAATCCACTCTAACATTCCAATCTCCAAAAGCCTTTGAATTCTCTTCTCTACATTAAACCAAGGCAGAACAGCCATTTCCAATTTTCTCACAGTGGAACACCTTTTGATCCATGTCTTAGCCAATAAACCAAACAAAATGTGAGAGCCCTTTCTAACTCTCCAAGCTGCAGTATTAAATGCAGAATCTCTGCCTAGTTAGCCTCTATCAATAAATTCAGCCTGATCTAACTTTATGTTCCTTCCACTGTTATCCAACACCATTAATATCCGTTCCCACATGTATGCCTGGATTTCTACTTATATACCTTAGAAAACTCAACTAGTTATTTTGAAATGTAGCACATTACCTCATGCATGGCGCTTTGTACCTCATCTTTAGGGGTCTACCGGGACTTGAGTCTCATTATAGGACTAGAACAAAGAGGGGTGATCCAATGCTGGATCTGAAGAGAATCAGCATTGTCTTGTATGGTGTCTGCCTCAGCAGAGACTATTACTGTTTCCTCAGGCAATGTAAAGTAATCTTCTCAGAGTGAAGGGAAAAGGCCACTTTTCACTGGGTGGGATGCTACTTTTGCTGGGAGTCGGGGGGCCACTTCCACAAGTAAAAAAAACCCATCAGAATTTAAGGTCTTAATGCCCCCAACTTTAGAATATAATGGACACATGAAATTATCACCTAGCTTTAAAAATAGCATTACCATTGCAGTTGAAGTCCCCTGGGTAACCACTATTCAGATTGTTATTTTTTACATGCATCTCATTATACTTTTCATAATTGTCCACGCATACATTCTATAGAAGTCTTTTAAGTATATAAAGGTTAAAACAGTGCATATATATTTGGCAACATCCTTTTTTCCCTCAAGCGTATGTTTATAGGTCATATATGGGTATTTGTAGTTGTTACTCATTCTTCTTCATTACTGTACAATATTTCATTTTATTTGAATATACCACAATTTACCCATCCATTCTCTTGTTGATGGATGTTGAGGTTATTTCCAATTTTATGTTCTTACAAACAATTCTTCCACAAAGACTCTGTCTTTATCTCTTTCCGTAAGGCAGAGACACTAAGTCAGTATGCTGATCACTTGGGGCACAGAGGGGTTATAGATGTGCCAAGGAATGTATTCTCCTGCCCCCACATTGGCTAGGTCAGGGCTTAGGTTGACCGAAGCCCATCAGTGGTCCATTCTACCCGGGCTGCTTCCCCTGTTTATGCCAGTGTGCACTATGAAATGAGAACCTAAATAACCTCAGTAGGGACACCAAGAATGGAAACCAGATGTGACTGTCTACATTCATATGACTTTACTATTCTACTACACGAGCATTACTTTACCTTCCCAGATGTCTGTTGTCCAGGCCACTGCTTTGATTGTTCATGTCAAAACTTCCAAACGGGCCCACTGACTCTTCAATGGAAAGTACTAACAAACAGTCTGTGCTCTAAGATTCTTTGAATCTCTTGCCTCAAAATCCTTGCCTTGCTGTTTCCATCAATCCTGGACTGTTGTGTCATGATCCTTACCCAATCCTAATAAAATCCCCGCATTGAAGTACTTGGCTTAAACCAAAATTACCATCCTCAGTAAATTCTCACCATGCCTTTCACCTTCGAAGATACCGTCAAAATTCTGTATAGGTGGTAAACTATAAACTAAACTTTGTCTTCTCAACAGGTTGTATTTGGGGAGTTGGCATTCACTTTCAATAGGAACACTCATATTTTCAACATGTGGCAGGACAAAAAAGCTTTGAGAAACATGCCTCTGATGATATCCCTTCCCCATCTAGGATGCCCCCTTCTCTCATTTTTGTCTACCCTTCAGTTGGCCATTTCCAAGCATAAACTCAACTCCAGTCTCCTCTGTGAAAGATTCTTGGAAAATTTTACATCCTGGTCACCTGTCCTATTTGTAAACTCTAGAGGCACATCAGCCTGAAGACAACCCCAGTGACTGGCCATTCTTTACATAAAAATGCTCTTTGGTGCTTCTGTGCTTTTGCATATATTTTCTTGAAACTTAGACTCTCTTCCTCTCCTATGTCAGCCTGGCCAACCTCACCCTTCAAGATTAAGTTCAGGTGCCACGTCATCTGCTCCTTGAAGTCTGATAAATGCCTCCTTCAAAAGTTAGGTATTCATTACTACTCAGCCATAAAAAAGAACAAAATGATGTCTTTTGCAGCAATGTGGATGGAGCTGGAGGTCATTATTCTAAGTGAAGTAAATCAGGTATGGAAAACCAAATACCGTATGTTCTCACTTATTAAGTGGGAGCTAAGCTATGGGTAAGCAAAGACATACAGAGTGGTATAATGGACTGTGGAGACTCAGAAGGGGGAGAGGGAGGGAGGGCAAGGGATAAAAATCTATGTATTGGGTACAATGTACACTACTCGGGTGACCAGTGCACTAAAATCTCAGATTTCATCTCTATACAGTTCATCTGTATAACCAAAAACCACTGTACCCCAAAAGCTATTGAAATAAAAAATTATTTCTTAAAAAAAGTTAGGTATTCCCTTTACTCAGCTCCCCAACCATCCTGTGTTTTCCTCTGTTATAGCAAGCATCACATTGTCCTGTAGCTGTTTAATTATCTTTCTTCCCCAGAAGACAGTAAGTCCTTTGAGTGCTGGGATTTGCATTCACGACACCTATCACAGTACCAGGTACAGGGTTAGTAGTCAAGAAATATTTGCTGAATTAAAATGAAATGAAATAAATTAGATTTACTTCAACCTATAGAACTAGTTCAGCTTTCTCAGGAAACTTGTGGGGTTTTGTTTTGTTTTGTTTTGTTTTGTTTTGTTTTTTAAGACAGAGTCTCGCTCTGTCACCCAGGCTGGAGTGCAGTGGCGCGATCTCAGCTCACTGCAAGCTCCGCCTCCCGGGTTCACGCCATTCTCCTGCCTCAGCCTCCTGAGTAGCTGGGACTACAGGCGCCCGCCACCGCGGCTAGCTAATTTTTTGTATTTTTAGTAGAGACGGGGTTTCACCGTGCTCTGGATCTCCTGACCTCGTGATCCCCCCGCCTCAGCCTCCCAAAGTGCTGGGATTACAGGCGTGAGCCACTGCGCCCAACCGGGGATTTTTTATGGAACAGAATTTGTTGATAGAAAACTGTGGTTTCATTTATATAATTCTGTCAGACTTTTGTCATAAATAAGTTCACAGATTAGGGAAAAGGTCTTTTGCCAAATTCCATGCCCTCATCTTGGTGGATGTATTGTCGTCACTGAATACCACATAATTGCATTTGCTGCAGGATGAACGATTCCTTAGGAGCATGACCTGATCTGCTCTTCTTTTTCCCAGACAATAGACTCACTGGTTGTTGTTGGATGTATATACTGTCACCTGTGAGGAATGGAGGAAACATGATGACCATCTAATGCAGTAAACAATCAAGAACAATCCCCCAAGTCAGTGTAACTGTAAAAATATAGGACAGGCAGACAAGGACCTGGCACTTTAGTTGGTGCAAAATGTTGGATGCTGGAGAGAACATTCAAGAAAGAACTATGGAGTGATGAACTATTTGGAAATATATCGCATGGTTGGTCAAGAGTAGAAAGGAGATGCAATCAGCTGTCTTCCTGAGTAATTGTTTTTTGCAGCAGGTCATTTTTTTAAAGGAAACAGTGTGGGAATTCGTGATGAGGAATAGCTGAGAGAGAACATTTCTACTCCCCAGATTTATTTTGCAGCCTATGTCCGACTAAAGTTGGAAAAACAGAATTACATTCCAATGAAACTGCTTTCTGTACGATGATCAGCAAAAAGGATTCATTTTGGCTGTAAAGGTTTAGGAATTATGTACAGTTACTCCTGAAGTAGGAAGCTCAAGACTAATAAGGGATCTCCCAGCAACTGTCAGATTATGGTCCATCAATCTCGTTTCACCATTATGGTAGCCAAAGCAACTGGATCAATAATTTTAAAGTCCAACTCTTTGTTGTCTTGGAAACAGGATGCCTTACTCCTGAATGGAACGGATCAATTTCTCAGCAATCAAATTGCAAATAATGCTCTGACTAGAATGTATACTTGTTAGTTTTCAGGCACAGTAATTAGAATTCTAGGCAGGTTTTCCTCTCACAGAAGGTTAAGGAGACTTCACCAACACAAAGGACTGAGGTGTTATATATTTGAAATTACTCATTTTTCTATTTCCTTTGTGGCTTCCCAAAGTCACAATTGCTTTCAATAAAGTTGCATGCTTAATTGGTTTTGCTGAAACTAATAAGACTGGTTATTTCAATCTAAGAACTGAAGGTAATGATTATAAATACAGTATTTGAATCACTTGTCATGTATATTCAATTTCTGAAAAAATTATAAACATCTTTCTTATATTGAATCTTTTTGAAAACAGCAAAAATATTTTGTGAGAGGGTTTAATTTTGAGGTGTTAAGCAATTTGCCTCAGTCCTATACAGGAGATCATGAGTGAGAATTTGAATAAAGGAAAATGTTAATGAATCTGTTGGAAAGAAAAATGAAGAAAACAGAAGGTTTAAGGAGAATGTAAGTGCTCTTTAAAATAAGAAGGAATAATTTTAAAAGCAAAATAATTGGGGAAAAACGTTTCTTCCCTCCCTGAAAGCCTAGGATTGAAAGAATTATAATGAGTAAATAATTATAAGAAAGAGAGAACCAGTGACCTTCCAAACATGTGTACCCATATTCTGCCTCATTCTTCCTCTTATGTTAGAGGAAGTGACCCTCCTCCCAGGCCCATTCATGTACCCATGCTTTGGAAAACTCACTTTCCCTCATCCCTGGGACCTTCTGTCTTCTGCAGAAATCAATCTCTCCCTTTCAACTGGATCCCTCTCATCAACAATTATACATGCCCATGATTAAACCATCTTAAGAAAAAAAAAAAAAAAACGCAACTCTCATCACTACAGTTCAATTTAGCTGCTGCTCTTCACAGCCATTCTCTTAAAAGAGTTGTCTAAACCACTGTTTCCATTTTCTCACCTTCCACTCACTAAAACTCACTCCTAAATGGTCTCTGTGACCAACATGCCACGGCATTTAATTGCCAAGTCAACAAATCCAAAGGGCACCTTTTAGCATTTAGGACATGTGATGCTCCCTCAACTTAAAACACTCCTTCCTTCAGATTCCAGGACACCCCACTGGCCTGATTTTCCTCTCTCATCTCTCATTTTTATTTATTTATTTATTTTTGCCTGCTTTGCTGTCTCTTTTTCCTTTGCCAGTCCCCATGGTAGAGTTCCTCAAGACTGTGCCCTCTACCGCCTTTTTTTACTCTTTGTTCTCTCCTTAGGCAATTTCATCTAGACCCATGCTTTTTCCCAGCATCTCTAGTCTCTAAGACTCTCAAACACATACTGCCACCCAGACCTCTCCTCTGAGCTCTCAAACAAGATGCCTAACTCCAACCATGAAATCGCTAATCGAAAGTCTTGAAGGCAACCCAATCTCAATAGGTACATGGCAAAACTCATGCTCTGTCCCTAAAACCTAATCTTACCCCAGAGTTCTCAATTTCAGTGAATGGCACCAAGCCAGATAATATGGTTTGGATTTGTGTCCCCACCCAAATCTCATGTCAAATAATCTCCAGTGTTGGAGGTGGGGCCTGGTGGGAGATGACTGGGTCCTAAGGGTGGATTTCCTCCTTGTTGTTTTTGTGATAGTGAGTGAGGTCTCATTAGATCTGGTTGTTTAAACATGTGTGGCACTTCCTCCTTTGCTCTCTTCCTCCTGCTGCAGCCATGTAAGACGTGCCTCCTTCCCCTTTGCCATCCACCATGATTGAGTTTCCTGAGGCCTCTCCAGCCATGCTTCCTTATAGCCTGCTGAACCCTGAGCCAATTAAACCTCCTTTCTTTATAGATTACCCAGTCTCAGGTATTTCTTTGTAACAGTGTGAGAACAGATTAATACACCAGAATCTTGGCTTCAGTATTTTTCAAATATGTTCGCTCCTTATTATGTCCACTGCTTCTACCCTCACCCAAGCTGCCATCACCTCTTGCAAAGCCTACTACTAGATGGTCTGCCTGTATCTTAACCTCCTCCAGCACATTCACCACATATCAGCCTGTGTGATGTTTTCAAAACCAAAATCTGATGATGTTGCCCCTTATAACACCATTATTGACTCCCCACAAATTGCAAATTAAGGATCAAAATTTTTCGTGTAGACTAAAAAGTCCTGCATTTCTGGCCCTTCTTCACTTTCGAGCATCAAGTAATACCATCCTTTACCTTGTTCTCTATTCTGTAGCCCCACTGACCTTCCTTCAGTTCCTTGGGCTCAGCAATTTTCTTCCACCACAAGGTTTTAACACATGCCACTCCCACGGCTCCCTCTCTCCACTCCTACCTCTAGCTTAGTTAATAATCTACTCATCATTTGTGTCTTAGCTAAACCATCACCTTCCAGAAGATTTCTTGCCACTCCAGTCTAAGTCAGCTTCGTTGTTACAGTTTTTCACAGAAACTCATCCCTTCCTTCAGAGAATTTACCTGTGTTTATAACTGTATATCAATTAGTGCCATCATCGATTAAGTGTCTGCCTCACTGACCTGACTGAAAGCAGGAGTAAGATCCAGATTTGCTCCTGCTCTCCACACTTTCCAAGGAGCCTCGCAGAATAGCCAGCACATAAAGATAGCTTGACAAGCATATGTTTAATAAGAAGTGTTTTTAAAGTATTTCACTATACTTTATCTTCCTGTCATGAAAATTGTGATAAAATATCTCAGAATAGCTGTTAGATGCCTCACACAACTACTTTGCATGAAGGCAAATACCACAAATGTAGAATAAATGTTCTAGAAACTGGAAAATAACTGAGTCCAGGAATTTTAAGGTAAAAAGGTGGAGAATCCATTAAATAATTCCTCAACAATAGTCACTGTGCTCAATGAGAGAAGTTGCTAATGAGAATGTGTTGTGACTACAATGTGTAGAGTAAACAAAAGATGGTCATATTTTTGAGTCTCATCCTCTCAACTTACAAAGTAGATGACTTCCAGAAAGATAAAACAACCTGTCCAAGTTCCTATAATGGAAGAACCAATGGCACCACTACATTTGTATCCTTCCATGCACCTAATATCAGGCTGTGTTCTCAGATGACATATGATAAAGTATATTAATTAAAGGGAACATGTGGCTGGGCATGGTGGCTCATGCCTGTAATCCCAGCACTTTGGGAGGCTGAGGCAGACAGATCACCTGAGGCTAGGAGTTCGAGACCTGCCTGGCCAGCATGGCAAAACCCTGCCTCTACTAAAAACACAAAAATTAGCTGGACTTGGTGGCACATGCCTGTAATTACACCTACTTGGGAGGGTGAGGTGGGAGGATCAACTGAGCCCAGGAGGCAGAGGCTACCGTTGAACGAGATCACGCCACTGCACTCACCCTGGGCAAGAAACTGAGACTCTATCTAAACCAGAGCTTCAAAAAAAATTCCTCAGTTTACTCATCTGTATAATGGATATCATAATAGCATGTGACTTACGAGATTGTTGTGAGGATTGACTAATTCTCACTTACAGGATTGTTGTGAGGATAGAATAAACCCTAACTTTGTGGCTCTCTCCCACTAATTTGTAGGAAATTTACTAGCTTATTTTAAGGGACTGTTGCACTAATGCCTTGCTATGGTCAGTAGCAGAAAGCTACAGTATTCATGCACCAGCTATTATTCCTTTTGCTGTGAGGATTGAATAATGCAAAAAACTATTAGCAAGTACCTGACAGAGAGTAGGGGCTATTTACTTTGGCAACACTGTGCCATTCCTAAAGAATGCCTGCCACCCTTTGCACTGAGAAGACCCTTCAGGAAAGGGGCAACACAGAAGATGTGAAGGACAAGAGCTATATGAAGGACAAGGGCTGGGGGCCTAAGAACCAAGCCTTTAGAGGAGCCCTTTGCCTAATTTCTAGAGTAGTGACAGCATTAAGATCCCAATCATAGAGAAATCTTTTAGTGTTGGGCTTAGAGAGTTCCCCTAGGCCCAATTTGTTATCTATTTTCTTCTTAATGTTCAACATCCTTTCCTGGCAGGATTTCAGAGCAGAAAACATGGTCTTCCTTGTACCAAGTCCTCAGCAGTTTAGGACTTACTTAGCTCAAGCAAGTCATCAAAGGCAAAGCCAAGTCCCAACCCTTAGTGCTTTGACTCCCAAGTCCCACACTCTTCCTCCGAAAAAAGTCACATCGTGTGAGATTGATTTTACCCTCTACTATGCTTCTGTTCGCACAGTAAATGTCAACATTTCTGTTAATTCGGTTCGTGCATTTTTGAGCACTTTTTCTGTTCTTGCAAGACATTGTGATGAAAGTGAAGGACTGAGGTAGCTAATCAAAGGAGAATCAAAAATAACTCCAAAGTGCCTCTTGAATCTGCCTGCTTCTTCAGAGTCACTGCCCCTGCCTCCATTGAGATCACACCTCAAATATTGCAAGAATCTCCTAAGTGGTCTCCATCTCTAGTTGCTTCAATCCTCCATCATTTGTACACACTTCAAAAGTTGTCATTGACTTCATTAAAAACCTTGATGGCACCTCAGTCACTTTGTCAGGGTCTTCCAGTCCTACCTATACAGTAGAATTACCAGGGCATTAACTGTCCAGACCCTATCCCAGAGATTCTGACATTAATTGGTCTGGGTGGGGCCGTTATCTTTTTTTTTTTTTTAATCTCCTGGTGATGTTAAAGTGCAGCCAAGAGTAAAAATTCCTGGCCTACCAAACAGAGCTAGACTTTCTGAACATTGCATTTGAGGCCCTTTACAATTAAGCAACAACCTACTTTTCTCATCTTATCTCCCCCTATTTTATTCCTACCACAACAGCATTTGCTATCATAACCATTTCTTCAGGTCAGCCAGGCGTGGTGGTTCATGCCTGTAATCTTAGCACTTTGGGAGGCCAAGGCAGAAGGATCCCTTGAGTCTAGGACTTGGAGACCAGCCTGGGCAACGTAGGGAGACCCTGTCTCTATAAAAATAAAAATAAGTAATAATACTACTAGTAATAATAGCCATCATTAAGGTATCAGTGGTCTTCATTAGACTATGAGCCCAATAAGGCCAAAAACTATGTCATTTATGTCTGCCTCCCTAGTATCTGTCACAGTGCCTGAAATATAAGAACTGCTTAATGAATATTGGTTGAATGGACAGATGGATAAATGGATGAACAGACAGATAGGTGAGTGGATAGATGGATAAATTCTGAACTAATCTGATCAGGGTCCTATGGGACTGCTCTTCTACAACTGAATTATCAGGCCTAAAAATGAAGGTTCTTATGTCAATATGCCTCTACTATTTATTTCAGAAAATTCTTGCCCAGGAAAGTAAAAGTGTGAATTATTGGTCTACAAATCCTAAAGTGTTATAATCTGAACTTTGTCTGATCCAATCAGACCACTACATTGAAAGTGAACCTACTTTCAACCAGACCTCCAAACCCTATAAATTTATGCCCCTAAGCTCTATCTTCTGAAACCTTAGACATTGTCAAGGGGGTGTTCTCCCTAAATCAGCAAGTAATGAATTCAGCTTTGTTTGATCAGTAGTTTATTCACTTGTCTTTTGGAAATATGGAAATAAGCATCTACATTCTTTCCTTGTAGTGCTTTGACTAAGTCAGCTACATTGTCAAATGTCTCTACCTGTAAAATGAGTCCAGTAGTATTTGTCACATGTCTTCCTCATGGTCTTCTTTGGAAGAATTAAATATGCTATAATTTTCTACAGCACGTTGAGATCCAAGGATCTCAAAGCCTTTTCTTTCTGCCAAGTATTAAGTATGTTACATGAATAGCACTGCTTCTGAGAGTGGCAGAGAAAAGGATTTCATAGCTCCAAGTACTGTGCTGTCAAACTGGTCATTCTCCAAACACAATGACTTTATCATACCATTACATAAGAGCAATACGATGGGAAGGACTGGATGAAAATTATGACTGTTAACTTGCTGCTAGTTTCCTAATTAAGAACTAAAGAATGCTTCCCAACTGCTGATTTCTTTATTTGACTTCATTAGAAAATCACTCATGGATGGATTCATAATTACTCTTAAATTACAAGTACTTGTTTATTAATGTTACCAAACTCAGAAGCAGTACAACTGTCTATGATATGTCAATTTTAAAATGCTGTGAAGCAAACTGTTACTCTGTGTTAATTATGTTGAACTTTTCACATTTTGGATTCTAAATGGCACTAATGCTTTTACAGACTTGGAACATTCTATCCTTATGCTTCACAGTGAGAAAGAAAAACTACCTACTGTTCATTATCTAACAAATGGGTAGATAGAAAATAGTTAATACCACTAAAAAAAGATCGTAAACCAAGCTGCATTCCATTTCAATAAAATCTGATTAGAGAATAAATTAGCATTAATTTTTATTTTTTTTGAGACAGAATCTTGCTCTGTCACCCAGGCTGGAGTGCAGTGGCACAATCTTGACTCACTGCAACCTTCGCCTCCCAGGTTCAAGCGATTCTCCTGCCTCAGCCTCCCGAGTAGCTGGGACTACAGGTGCACGCCACCACGCCCAGCTAATTTTTTGTATTTTGTTAGTAGAGACGGGGGTGTTTCACCGTGTTGTCCAGGCAGGTCTCGAACTCCCGACCTCAAGTGATTTGCCCACCTCAACCTCCCAAAGTGCTAAGATTACAGGCGTGAGCCACTGCGCATTAGAATTTCTATGCAAGAAAAAAAATGCAATATTGGTTTCGACAGCGACAGGAGTTAGCCAAAGGTCCCCGGGCGAAACCCCTCCTTAAAGCCTAAAGCAGCTTGAAGCTGAAAAACCAGACTGCTGGTCCGGATGAAGCCTGCCCTTTCCCAGCTGATTCTTTCTGAATAATGCCCACCTGCGCACTGGGAGGACGGGGAGGAGCCTGGTCTCTCCGGTTCCCACGTAGTAACCTGGGATTCAATCTGTGAGATGGGAAACCTGCTAGCAGGACTTTCTCTAGCTTTGCAGAGAGTTATTTTTCCCTTTCCTTTTTGTCCAATACATTCCGTTCCCCCTCACACTTCAAAGTGTCTTCGTGCCTAACTTTTCCTGGTCGTGTGACAAGAACCTGGCTTTTTCTACAGTTTCGTAAGTGTCTCTACCAATTCTTGTTGCCTGGGTATTTAAGATGCAAAGAAGAGGTCTAGAGATTTAGTGAATAAGTCTTTGGAGAAGGACTCTACTAAAGTTTCTAAGTTTATCCATACATGTTGAGGTGTGTATAATTCAAAAGATATAATTTGACATTAAAATTATAATGCAGAATTTACTGGACAATACTGAAAAACATGAGAACTGTGAGGTTTTCTACGAACTTGAAGTAATTGCTTTTATCCTTGTCAAGATTCACTGAAACTGGATTTATAATCACCAAAGAGGGTCCTGTAGGAAATAATTATGTACTCTATAAGACCTTTCCAATTTGTACTAATTAACTAAAACACCCATGGTGAATTATAAAATTTTGTGAACTGAAGAAATAAATAATATGATTAAGACCCCAAGGCAATGAATCAAGCCCAGTGTCTTCATTGTACATAGAACAATGCCCTTCAATGGTGACCAGACTGTATCTTAGCAACACAATAAGCTCTTCACTGGTAACAAAGAACATATAATAGTTAAAGCAAATAATTGCTCATCCCCAGTTTTGTATTCTAGTCTTGGTTTTGCTACTAATTTGTAGATCTAGTAAATCACTAATCTACCTTCATGTCTCTAGGTCTCTTTCCATAAAATTAAAGGAAATGTTGTAGGATATTTAGCAAGGAGAGCAAAGATCTGGACTACGTTAAATAATATTAATGTAACTCAAATTTGAGGTCAATCAGAAAAGAAAGAAAGGTAAATGTTAAAGAAAGCTCAAATGTCCCCTTAACATTCGACATGGTTCCACAAAACACTGCTTGTTCTTTGGATAGTCTCCAGAGAGCAGCCTTCAAATCTTTATTATAAAGTATTGTCAAAGCCCAGCCACATGGAACAATGGTGATTTTTTTTCCCCTCTCTCCACTAGCCCTTTTGGCTCCGTATTTCCTTCTTCCTGCCTTGACAGTGGGATGATTTCAGGAGCAAATTAGGGCCAAGGGAAAAGATTTTGGTTCCTCATCTACCTCCCTCCAAGCTCCTCTCCTAAGTATCTGTCCCACTCTGAATACCACCTTGTTACAGAAAGGGCAAGCAAAACCCTGGAAAACTCCCACCACTATTACTCCCTCTGCCCCATACCCATCCACCTAAGGAGGCCAGGAAACCCCATTGTGTTTGGCATCCACTCCTAGGCATGTCATAAAAACACACTATCAGAAGGCATCAGTGACTTTTTTTCATGTCTATTAAAGGAATATGAAGTTTTTTTAAAACAAAACAAAAAAAAACTTCTCTTTGCCCCTCTCCAGGGTGTTACTGGTGGAGGGTGTCAAGGTTCTTGGCATTTTGAACAAAGAATTGGACAAAATGCACAAACAAAGCAAGGAAAGAATGAAACAACAAAAGCAGAGATTTATTGAAAACAAAAGCACACTTCACAGTGTAGGAGCAGCCCAAGCAAGCGGATCAAGAGTGCTGGTTACAGAATTTTCCAGGGCTTAAATAGCCTCTAGAGGTTTCCCATTGGTCACTTAGTGCACACCCTATATAAATGAAGAGGAAATGAAGTTACAAAGTTATTTACTCAGTGTACACCCTATGCAAATGAAGAGGATGTTTTCTGCCATAGTTAAGGTAAAGTTACAAAATTACTTACGTGGGTGAAGAAGGTTGGGATTTAGTTCTAGGAAGTCCTTAGTTTCCCTGCCTCCAGACCCTATTCCCCTGCCTCAAGGGTATTATCTTTTGCTGCTAAAGAATCCAAGTCCAAACATTGCAATGAGCCCCAGAAAACGCAGCTACTAAGAACTACACTCAAATCTTACCAAAGGTGTCACCGTGGTGGCCGTTCTCGTGGTCCTTTCATCAGATGAAAATCCATCTCAGAGAGAGGCAAAGCACTCATTTACAAATTAGTTCCCTTGCAGTTAATATATTGTTGCTAGAATTTAATGCTATCCTTATCTTTCATTACTTACAGCCAATGTATTAATATCCCATGTTTCTTCCAATATGATTTCAATCTTCTTATTTAGCTTGTTCTAAACTCAACCACTTTGCAGTAATAAACCTGCTTCCCCTAATTAACTGCTCATGGGGGGCCCACACTACCCTGCAAGGAAGTGATTACTAATGTGAAGTGTTCAAATGGCCCCAGTGGGGGGCCAGGATGCCAGCAAGCTCAGTATTCACAGTTCCATCAATTTCTTCATAATTATGAGCTTGGATTCTCATAATTTGGAGTAGCAAAAACCTTCTAACTGGTACCTTAAAATCTACCAAATAAACATTTACATGCCGATTCACTCCATGGCCAGGACTGCAACAATGAACACTAGAAATGTATTTATTATTACTAAATTAAAGAGCTCTTATTGATATGCTTACCAAAAAACATCACTATGCAAGGCACTGAAGATTAAAGCACACATAAGCCACAGTCAGTTCTCCAAATCTCACTGGCAAGCAGGGGAACTTCACAGGAAGGGTATTTCCAACAGAAGATAACATTAAAAGTCCTGTGCACATAAAAATATCATAAACCGTTACAAGATTAATTGCCAAATAAGTAGATTCAATGATTCACAATAGTAAGAGATCATTTGGGATAGAACGGACTGGGAAGGTTTCAAAATTTTGAAGATGCTTAGGCAAAATATTGACTAAAGTGTGGGAGTTGAGTGGTTACCAATGGAGAAGGACATTCTTAGTAACTGCAAATTGCTCATTTAATAACTATTATGTGAATACCAATCAACTCAGGGCATTATTTATACAAACTTATTTATACTTCTAAACATGGACAGGTAGGTTTTATACCTTGATTTTTTTTTTTCAAAAGAGAACAGGCATAGAAAAATCATACAGCTAATTAGTGGCAGCACCATAATTTAGGCACTCTGACTCCTAAGTCAGTTTATTCACTCAGCTATAATATGTCACCGTTTAAAGTTAGGTGGAAGAAACTGAGTGAGGAAGAACCTGAAGACCAGATACTTTAAATAGATCAGTTTGACGATACAAAAGGGCCCAGGAAGTTGAATCAAGAGAAATAAGAATACAGAGGCAGACTTTGGAGAGCTCTGAACACTATGCAACATGGAGTCACTGAGTAGGTTGAAAAGCTCACTTTGGTTGTTGGATCAAAATTCATTACAGGAGAAAAGACTAGACATAGGAAAACAACTTAGAAGACAAATCATTCAGCAAACATTGTGGTATTCCACATACAACACAATAAGGGCTTGCACTAGCACAGTAGCCATGGAAATGGGCAAAGGACATGGATGGGAAAGACTACAGAAGAACAATCTGCGTGATTTGGCAACTGGCAGAGACTGGCCAGCTTCCTTGCATTTGTTCCTTTTCCAGGACACACAGCTAAACTATACATTCCAATCACCTTTACAGTTACATTGGTGAGGTGCCTAAGTTCCAGCCAAAGGAGCATAACATAAGTGAGGGGCAAGGCAACACTTCCAGGTCTGAGCCGAAAACCTCCCACACCTTACCCTCCTTGTTCTTTTCCCCTTCTATCAAGCAGCCACAGAGCCTAGGACATGATAGAGTGAAAGGATGGAAGGAGCTCAGGTCCCTTCTGCCTGTTTAAAGGAGAGCTACCCAGTGACTAGGGACTCTTATTAGGGATGTAATATGATTGAGAAATGTGCTGCTATCATGAGCTATTATCCATGATAATAGTTTTTACTTATTTTCTATATCAATTAGCATTATCTTAACTAAAACTGCAATAGATCAGATATAGATATGAGATTAAGTGAGAAAGATAATTCTAATAATTTGCACCTAGTGCCAGGAATGATCATTTTAAACACAGAATTGATAAAAGGTAAATAAAGAAGTGGGAGCATTAATTAATTAATTGACAGTTTCATGTCAAAGAGAAGGCAACAGCGGAGCAGCTAAATTGAAATATCCACCTGATTGTTCATGTTATAGGTAAGATAGAGCAAGGCTAGACAGAGATATTTGGGAGTTGCTGCAAAAGATAATGGTTAATGTCCTAGGAGCTGTTGGGCTCCCAAATGTGTGTAGAGAAGAGGATAAATGAACGATAGCATCCCTGGGGCAGAGGTAGGGAGGGTGCCAATCAAGTAAAAGTTCCTGAGAGGCAAGTGAGGAGAGGTTTAAGAAGGTAGTTGTGTTAGTCTGTTCTCATGCTGCTAATAAAGACATACCCAAGACTGGATAGTTTATAAAGGAAAGTTTAATGGACTCACAGTTCCACATGGCTGGGGAGGCCTCACAGTCATGGTGGAAAGCAAAGGAACAAAATCATATCTCACATGGCAGCAGGCAAGAGAGCTTGTGCAGGGGAACTCCCATTTATAAAAACCATCAGATCTTGTGAGACTTATTCACTACCATGAGAACAGTATGGGGGAAACTGCCTCCATGATTCAATTATCTCCACCTGGCCCCGCTCCTGACATGTGGGAATTATTACAAGGTGAGATTTGGGTGGGGACACAGCCAAACCATATCAGTGGTTAAGTGCTGGGGTGGGATGAGAGGCATACACAGATCTTACATAATAAAAACAAGACTTGCCGGGTTCTGTGGCTCACGCCTGTAAACCCAGCACTTTGGGAGGCCGAGGCGGGCAGATCATGAGGTCAGGAGATCAAGACCATCCTGGCTAACATGGTGAAACCCTATCTCTACTAAAAATACAAAAAAAAAATTAGCCGGGTGTGGTGGGGGGCACCTGTAGTCCCAGCTGCTCGGGAGGCTGAGTTGGGAGAACGGCGTGAACCTAGGAGGCAGAGCTTGCAGTGACCCCAGATCGCACCACTGCACTCCAGCCTGGGCGACAGTGCAAGACTCCATCTCAAAAAATAATAATGATAATAAAAAATAAAAACAAGACTTTGCTTTCTACAAGGACTGAATTGCATGCAGGAAGGAAGAAGGCTAGGGCTCACCAATAAGTTTCTGGGGTCACCACACCCCAGTCATTCACACAACGAAAGCAGAGGGTTATTTTTAAACACATGAATACAACGTAAGACCCCCTCCAGGAGCTGCCTTTGGATCAGAAGTCGGGGAGAAAGTATGAAACCTCATGACAGGTGGTAGAGATGAAGATGGAACTCGTAGTCACAAGCCAGTGGAACCTCAGGAGGGACTACTTGACAGGGATCCAGTACCATTTGAGAGGGATCATGGTATTTGTTCAACATAGGATCTCTAATGGGATTACAATATTTAATCATGGGAGAGAAACATTAAATATCTCTTTATTAAGTTTTTGCCTTTTATGGCCAAGCGTGGTGGCTCATGCCTGTAATCCCAGCACTTTGGGCAGCTGAGGAGGGCAGATTACCTGAGGTCAGGAGTTCGAGACCAGCCTGGCGAACATGGTGAAACCCTGTCTCTACTAAAAATATGAAAATTAGCTGGCAGCGTTGGTATTCACCTGTATCCCAGCTACTCAGGAGGCGGAGGCAGGAGAATCGCTTGAACCCAAGGGGTGTAGGTTGCAGTGAGCCGAGATTGTGCCACTGTACTCCAGCCTGGGTGACAGAGTGAGACTCTGTCTCAAAAAAAACAAAAAGAAGTTTTTGCCTTTTAGAATATATGATGCACAGTTCTGTTAATAACAGGAGTTGCTTTCCTTATCACAAGAGGTCACAGATGAACTAGCAATATTTTATATTAAATTTAATGAATCACATGAAGACATAAGTTTAATATCACTATGACTTTTTTTAATTTTTTTTTTTTAAATAAAATTGAGGCCATTGAAAGTTTATTTTATTTTTTTCTTCTATCTTATTTGCCATATCATTAGATTGGGCTGGTTTCACAAAACAGACTTAAGACTCTTAGATTTGAATGTTATCATTTATTAGGCAAAATGCTTTAAAGTTATGCCAGGCACAGTGGCTCATGCCTGTAATCCCAACCTTTTGGGAGGCCGAGGCGGGCAGATCACCTGAAGTCAGGAGTTTGAGAGCAGCCTGGCCAACATGGTGAAACCCCGTCTCTACTAAAAATACAAAAATTAGCTGGGCATGGTGGCGTGTGCCTGTAATCCCAGCTATTCGGGAGGCTGAGGCAGGAGAGTTGCTTGAACCTGGGAGGTAGGAGTTGCAGTGAGCCAAGATTGCTCCACTGTACTCCAGCCTGGGCGACAGAGTGAGACCCCATGGCAAAAAAAAAAAAAAAAAAAAAAAAAAAAAAAAAAAAAGTTATATGATGTTATCAACACTAGCCTAGAAAAGGGGTCACTACAAAATAGTCATTGGATTTGGTAACTGTATGTCACTAAAGAACGTACATAGCAAAAAGGTGGTAAGGAAGGAACCTGTCTATAAACGACAGGTAAAGGAGTGAGATACTCCAAAACCCTAGTCAGTGTACAAGTGTTGACATAGATAGAATTGAATATTTGTGTGTGATAAATATACAAGAAAGAATACATGCAAAGGTGTTGACATGGGAGTGATTGTGGGGAAGCGAGAAACCAAGACAAAAAGAAAAAAAGGTTGCACCAACAAGAAATCTATATTTTTGCATTTACACACTTAAGAATAATTATCTATGCATAAACATTGATAAAACTAAATTAAACTTAACTTGGAGGCAGTGGTTATATAGCACTCATTGCAAATGTTTCCCAGATAAAGAAAATGGCAAAATAGGATGTTAATTATAGGGGAAGATTGGGTAAATTGAAGGGTTTAGCCATTCATCAGATGAGCTGGCAATATTTTATATCAAATTTTATGAACGTCATGGAGAACATAAGTTTAATATTAATATGACTATTTTTCAATAAAAAAGAAGCCTTCAAAAGCTATAATTTATTTTTTCCACTATCTTATTCGCCATATCATTTAGACTGAGCTGGTTTCACAAAACAAGCTTAAGACTCTTAGGCTTGAACACTATCATTTATTGGGCAAAATGCTTTTTAAGTTATACAATATTACCACCACTAACTTAAAAACGGGGTCACTGGCTTGAGTCCCATTTTACAGATAGGCATACAAAGGTCACTTAATAATTTGGGATCCTTCAGAGCATCTTTGCCCCATCCTTTGCAGAGTCTGCTCTGAAATCTTGGAACTAAGAAGTTTCTCCAGTTCTGAGCCCTCACGCAATGTTTGCTACTGCTAATATACTTAAAAATAAAAAGGGGTGAATTGAGGAGATGAAGTCTTTTTCTGAGAAGACCCATAACACACTATTACGGAATGAAGTTCCCAAGAAAGTTCCCAAGCCACAAGTTTTCCAACCAAGTGCAGGTGCCATGTAACTTGTGTAACTTTGCTATTATTTCTGCTGCAGAGGAGAAAAAAATAGTATCTTTTCCTAACCCATCCCAAAGTTCACAGCTGAGAACCCTATAACAAAAGACAGAGTAACATGAGAAAAGCATAACGAATTTAATAAAATTTTTACATGATATGGGAGCTTTAGAAATGAAGACCCAAAGAAACAAGGGAAAACTGTATTTTTGTGGACAGGTGTGTAGAAGTTTGGAAGACAAAAGGATATGATCTGATGGTAATAAGCTGAGAAAACATAGCAAGTCCTGTTTGTTCAGATTCGTCTTGCCCTCTGGGTATAAGGAAGGAACCCTCCAGAACAAGGGTCTTAAGACCTCCTTTTAGAGAAGATAAATAGATAATTCTCTTATGGTCTGCTTCGGGGGAGAAAGGCAGAAGAAGGTTAGAGAGTGACCATCCTGCTTCTGCAGTTTCCAGCAGCTTAAAATAATATACCAAGGTGCCATATTTGGGGGTAGCATGCTCTGCACCCCATCACTGCTCTCGAAGCCCCCAAAAGCAATCAGCCTAGGTAGTTTAAAGCTGCTTGCTATATGATACAAAGCCTCAGAATATCAAAGCTAGAAGGACTCAGAGAGATTCTCTAAGTCAAGCCCCCTTATTTCTGGGTTCTCTCTGTCTCACGCAAACCTCTACATCACCTGCTAGGGTCAATAACTAGATGCAAGACTGTTCCCCACACTGCCCCCTTCTGGCCATCTGATCTTGAACCCAGGACTTGTTTTTTACCTAAATCTCTCTGTCTATAGTGTGATCTCTATACTTGCTGCGCAGACAGCTTACGCAATCTCTAAACACCTCCTTAGACTTCTGATACCCTAGCTCCCAAAATGTTCTTGAAACTTCTTTACCCATCTGGGGAAACTACAGAGTACAATTTCCAAGATATTTTGCCTACAAGAACCCTTACCTAACATTAAAAATTGTTGATACCCCTCCCCCATTATAGCAGATGTTTGTTTTGTATCTATTGACTGAAAAAATAATGGCCAGAAGCTTCTAGTAATTTAGCTACTTTTGAAAATACATTTGCAGCCAGGCGTGGTGGCTCACGCCTGTAATCCCAGCACATTGGGAGGCCGGGGTGGGCGGATCACTTGAGGTCAGGAGTTCGAGGCCAACCTGAGCAATATGGGAAGCTTTGTCTCTACTAAAAATACAAAATTAGCCAGGTGTGGTGATGCACGCTTGTAATCCCAGCTCCATGCCTGTAACCCCAGTTACTTGGGAGGCTGAGGCAGGAGGATTGCTTGAACCCAGGAGGTGGAGGTGGAGTGAGCCGAGATCCTGCCACTACACTCCAGTCTGGACTACAGAGTGAGACCTTATCTCAAAAAAAAAAAAAAAAAAAAAAAAAAGGAAAAAAAGTAAATACATTTGCACTTTGCTATTTGAAACAGTATCTAGTCACAGTTCAAAAATAAAATGACCAATCTGTGGGAGTCATTGTATTTATTCAGACTGTCGACATAGTGATTCTCTAATAGATTTGCCACACCTTGCACTGACGTTTATGCCCTTCCAAAGATATTCAGCCCTCTCACTGGGAACCACCAACCAGAAATATTTAACTTAATTAGGTAATTATTATCTTCAGAAAGTTAATTTTTCCTATAGATCCCTCATTCATTGAAATGGGATGTTAAATGCCACTGCTGTTACAGGAGCCACGCAATCTGACTTGTTTGACGTAAGGCACTGTAAATTACAAATATAGAAATTCTTTACTCACCTTGATAGTACAACTATATTCTGATAAAGAATTTAGAAAGCAATTGCTTAAAGGGCAGAACTCATGTTTTGTTGTTTGCTAGTTTTCCCTTCTGAAAAGCCTCATTAAGCACAAGAAGCTGAGCAGCAGTTTAGAAAAAAAAAAAAAAAGGGGGGGAAGCAAAACTGCCTTCCCAAATCCAAGAGTTCAAATGAGATTGCATACAAATTGCTGGGGTCTCTCTTCCTTCAGCCTAACAGCTATTATTCCTCCTTCTATGTGACTTGCATGGCAAACAATGGAAAGAACTCGGAGACAAAGAGCCACGACTGGTGAAGACAATAAAATCGCGGTATACATTGCTCGGGCAGTCTACCAGGCTAGTCACTGCCTCGCACATTTCTTCCACATGCTGCTGTCCATCATACAGGTGGCTTTTAAGAAGTGGGGGAAAAAAGCCATCAGTTGTCATAGAAACAGTAGCAATTTGTGCCACCTTTGTGCAAGCAGATAGGAGAGGCTTGCTGCTGCTGTTTGGCTATTGTCCAAGGACCCAGATTGAGAAACATCAACCGGCTTAAAAGGGAGCCCCTGAATTTCTGCCAAGCAAGCAAATCTGCACCCTTCAAGTGGGCTATCACATATTTGCTTAGGATTGAGGGTTAATTAAAATACAAGCCTCGATGTGGGAATGCTTTGAGAAAGACTCAACCCCCAATTCCCCTCTCCAAGGGCCACTGAAGCAACGGTAACCTTTTTACACCAGCGTCATCCTACGGGGAACAGCAGGGGTGACTCTGCTGTTAGAATTGTTAGAATATATAGCAGGTGTAACAACAACAGAGGTGTGGACCTCAGCCTGATGGGATCTGTTCTCATCAGGAGAAGCTATAATCATCTCTAAGAAATCATAATTAAATTGGTGATGAAGGCTAGCATTGGGAAAGGAACAGTTCCCAAGGGTGAGGCTGAACGGCCAAGGATCACGCTGATAGAGCCCAAGGCCGGGTGGCCATGGCTTTCTCTTAACTGATGGCCTCTTTGCGTCTGTTGCAGAATGGTTTCCCCATAAATCAGTAACCCCATCCTTCCACAGTAGGCTCTAAATGGCTGGCAATCCCTGGTGGCTCACCCAATACTGAACGCATCTGCCTGAGAGATGGGACAGAGTGGCCTTAACTATATTAACCTCATGTAAAAATTCAGGTCTGTTTGACTCATGGAGAAGAGATATGTTAGCAGACCTTCTGGGAGTCTCTCTCCTGCTCTTTATGCTTTGTCAGTACTGAAGGAAGCTGAGAGTATCCAAGGTTTGTACATACAGATCAGTGAGCCGGGAGTGGAGACTTAGCGGTTTGGTGTTAAAGCCATGGGTGACACGAGCTGGGCGGCCGGTCTGTCACCAGGCAGAAAGTCAAATCCAAATGAAGGGTAGAAGAAACTAGAGACCTGAGGGAGTGAGGTTGGGAATCACATGGAAACAGTAGGAGGCAGGGGGGCAGCCATTCGCAGGGCAAAGTTTCCAGAGGCTACAAAACAACACAACCTCACACCAGGCAAGTGGGTTGGTTTGAGGCTCGATTCTGAGCCATGGTCCAAATTCATTCAGAAGCTTTTCGCATGCTCCTGCTGGGACGAGAACAAATTGCACACCAGATCAGTCGGATTTGGCTTAGCCGCATGAGACAGAGAGTCAAAAAGAGCCCTATCTTCTTGAATTCTAGGTGTTTGGTAAGAAATAAAATATTAAAATAAGTTAAAAAGAGCCCTGACAAAAGCCAGAAATTGGCAGACCTGGGCTGCTATGGGAGTTTTGCCATAGTTGGGGACCCAGGCTCCTTTCAGCTTTCCTTTCCACTTTTAGGCTGAGGGCCTCAGCCTCAGGGTCCACAGTGGCTGTTATTTCCACAGCAGTCACAACCACATTCCAAACAGCAGGAAAGAGGGAAAAAGGCACACTCTTCCCTTTCTACAAAGGTTTGCCAGAAGTACCAGCCAACACTTCCGTGTAAAACTCACTGGCTGGAATCTAATTATATGGCCATACCTAGCTGCAAGGTGTATGGAAAACACAGTCTTTAGGCTGGATTCATTGCTACTTTGAATAAATTACTGCTGCTAAGTAAAAGAGGAAAGAGATATTTATAGGTAACTAAACGTCTCTGACAATCAAGGTATTTCTTCTAGCACTTCTGATGAGCCTCTGAGAATAGCTCAGTCATAGTCACACATTCTACAGCAAGAAGGTCTTTGCACAGTCCACAGAACAAAGCACCCTCTCCCTGAGCTGTGGAGGACAGTGCTGGAATCATGGATCCAATGGGAGGAAAGAAGTTTCAGAAAATCCCATCTATCAGAAGAGGCTCTGGAAGGTAAAGCCCCAGCAGTGAGTCATCACCACCCAGGGACTGAGTCAGTGTCAGAGCAGCTCCTGGCTTGAACCACTCTGGGTCATGCTAAAGGAGGGTCAAGCTTGGCTCCTTTAATAGCTGAGGAAACCAAGGTCATAATCATAACTTTACAAGCAATGGAATCCTTTCGCTGAATGAGTATTCACTCTCCGCAAACACTGTTCTAGGTGCTGTAGACTCAAACACTGAGAAGCATCCCTTCCTCTGAAGATGACTCCTGTATTGCAGGTGAAAGAATAGGTCAATTACAGGTTAAAAGATGGCGTGATAGTAGATGTTGCTTGTGTAGTATGGTAGAATCATCTAAATCATATAGGAAGCAAAAGAAGACTTCTCTTAAGCCGAAATCCTGCTGGGTTTTGAAAGACAAGTTGTTGAAATAACACATAAACAGGTATAAACATAAACCATGATATGTTCAAGGGGAATACTGGTGGTTCACTCTAGGTGGAACATGTGGTAAAAGTGGACAGCTAGAGATTCAATCTTGAAAAATGATAACAGCTAACAGCCTATGATGTGTCAAATTCTGTTCTAAGTGTTTTAGGTATATCAACTCATTTAATTCTCTTGACTACCTTAAGAGTAAATAGCACCATTTTATAGGTAAGGAAACTGAGTCCCAAGAGCAAGTTCACACAGCTAGTATATGACAGAACTCGGAGACAAAGAGCCACGACTGGTGAAGACAATAAAATCGCGGTATACGTTGCTTGGGCGTTCTACCAGGCTAGTCCCTGCCTAGCACATTTCTTCCACATGCTGCTGTCCACCATACAGGCGGCTTTTATGAAATGGGGGAAAAAAGCCATCAGTTGTCATAGAAACAATAGCAATTTGTGCCACCTGTGTGCAAGCAGATAGGAGAGGCTTGCTGCTGCTGTTTGGCTATTGTCCAAGGACCCAGATTGAGAAACATCAACTGGCTTAAAAGGGAGCCCCTGAATTTGAATGTAGGCAGTCTGAACCTAGGATCTGTGCTCTTAGCCACTACACAAAACTGTATCATACTACAATCTGGTAAAGGATGATTATAACTTGGAATTTGAACTTTCTTTGAAAGGGAATGAGGAACCTTTGAAGGGTTTTAAACTGAATGGTGCTAGGGACAAATTGGTGTTCTGAATCTTTTCTAAAGAAAGTGTCTCTAAGCAAGGTGCAGTGGCTCACACCTGTAATCCCAACATTTTGGAAGGCCAAGGTAAGAGGATCACTTGAGCCCTTGAAGTTCAAGACCAGTCTGGGCAAAATAGAGAAACCCTGTCTCTCCAAAAAAATAAAAAATTAGCTGGGCATGTTGGCACATACCTGTAGTCCTAGCTAATTGGGCGATTGAGGTGGGAAGATCTCTTGAGCCCAGGAGTTTGAGGTTGCAGCGAGCTATGATCTCACCACTGCACTCCAGCCTGAGCAACAGAGCAAGACCCTGTCTCAAGGAAGTCTCTCTGAAGGTGTGTGAAAGTCAGAAGGGGTGAGACTGAAGTGATGAGCCAAACTAGGACAGCTGGGACCTGAAGGCACGCAGACCTGTTTGGGTGAAGTCAGTACTAGGAAGAAGTCCCTGGGAGTACTGACATCATGAAGTCCAGTTGCATCCAACAGGGTAGACGGGCAGCTGGAGCACTGCCTCAGAGAGCCAAGTAATTGTATCAGAAGAACCCAGAAATAGACACCCAGCACAGCGTCCAGCATTTAGGAGCAAGACTCTGGTCCCAGGATAACTGGGCACAAGGAAGGCGAGAGAAGGTGATCAAAAAATGCCAGAA
This sequence comes from Homo sapiens, assembly GCF_000001405.40. Lineage (NCBI taxonomy): Eukaryota > Metazoa > Chordata > Mammalia > Primates > Hominidae > Homo > Homo sapiens. Next base: position 101,312,647 of record NC_000001.11, on the reverse strand, counting down.
GGTGAGGGCAGGTGCTGTGGCTCATGCCTGTAATCCCAGCATTTTGGGAGGCTAAGGCAGGAGGATCCCTTGAGCCCAGGAGTTTGAAGCTACAGTGAGCCATGATCCCTGTACAGGGAAAGGGTTCAGGAGCTCAGGCCCTGTAGGTAACAAGACTAGGACTCAGTTACCAGAACAGCAGTATAAGCAGAGCTTAGACACAAAGAATCGGGCAAGAACCTAGTTCCTAGAACCTACTCTTAGAGTTACTACAAAGTGAAAGGGAAACCATCACAGGCGAACTCCATGAAGTAACATCAAAGCTCCCAGCTTAAAGATCCCACTGTCCTAATGTTCTGGACAAGAATTTCAGGTCAGGCTGAAAAATTGGTTCAGGAGGAGGCTCAGGGGCCTTGCCCAGGCTGCTGGAGGAAGCAGCCAAGTAGCGTGTCCCTGAATTTCTGGCCCAGTCCTAGCCCTAAGCCAACCCAACCCCCCGAACCCAGAAGTTTTCACCACAGGGCATGGGACACTAGAAACACAATGACTTAAATAGATGCTAAAAGGAATCTGGGTGAAACCACTGGAAACATTCAAATGACCGAGCCCAAGAATCTTGTATTTAATCAGGGTTCTCCAGAGGAATAGAACCAATAGGATATATACAAGGGCAGGGAAAGACCAACGTCCTTGCTCAAGCAACCAGGCAGGAAGCAAAAGGTGGCAAACTCCTTCCCCTACCTTTGTTCTACTCAGGTACTGAACAGATTATTGGATGATTCCCACCTACATTGGTAAGTATGGACCTTCTTTACTTGGTCTTCTGATTCAAATGGTAATTGCACCCTCATTGACTGTTGCAGAAATAAATTACAAATACATATAGGAAAAAGGACTTCAAAAGGCTGCGGTATCAAAGTGGCAGTTAAAGAGAAGGCAATACTCAGAGTTGCAGGTGGAGCAGCGGAAACTATGTTTATCAGCTTTACCCAGCCATCCCTCAGCCCAGTCAAGTTGACACATACAATTAACCATCTCAGAACTTGTGACCAACAAATGGATTTTGGATGCTGTCATGCCAAGTAGGCTTTCTTATCCCTAGTCTTTCAAGCGAAGTTTCATCTGGCTTTTCTCAGTAGGACCATCAAGTCCACAGAAGCCACGTCTTCCCCACTTTGACATGAGCAAGGAGATCCCAGGCATATAGCCTATAAAGGGGGTCAGACAGGGAAAGAAGCTGGAAGTGGACCAGCCAGAGTATCCCACTGGGATTTTGACAGCTGGAAGGCATGACAGAGATCTACTGTGAGCTGCACAGTGCAAGCCATCTGGATCTTGAGCAAGCAGCACAATCTTCTGACTCCCAAGAGGAGTCTAACCTCTGGGTGGTTAGTGAGGGGGAAGGTCCCTACCCAGAAAAGGTGTTGAAAAGGTGTTGCCATGTGAGAAGGATCAAGATGCAAAAGGAAGTTGGCACAGTGGAAAGAGCACAAGCCTTGGGATTGTTTATTTATTTAGGAAATATTTCTTGAGCTCCTAATACGTGTCACACTCTTCTGGGGATGCAGCAGCAAGCATTGACTTCTTGGCATGAAGTGGAAGGGAAATACCTTTACCTTCAATTTGTGGAAATGAAAACAAAATGAGGGTAGGAAGACATGGTTCCCTGTTATCCAGAAACTGACAGAGAAGCTTCAGAATTTTAGACCATTGTGAGGGAGGGCAAAAACCATAAAACAAATAAACTATACAACAACAAAAAAACTAGATTGTATCACAGTGACAAATCAAGAACAGCTGTGGAGTATCCCTTGCATTTTCTCTATTTTCTTTCTTATTATTCTAAAGTCAAGATAACAACTCTGCAGTTACAAACCATCATTTAAATGTGTATACACTACACACTGGAGACAACCTGGCCCTGAGGAGCAAAACATCATGTGTGTTCATTGCCTTGAATCTGTCACCACAAAACCAAAACCCGTGCTCTCAACGATTTCACTCTTCCTTTTCCTGTCTCTCCTGCACAGTGAAGCCTTTTCCATTTGAATTTCTTGTTTAGAATAAATATATGAGCATCCCAGTGTAAACTGAGAACAGATGTCCCTTGTATATTCTTAAAATTATAAAACATGTCTCTCCTACACCTATAGGCATTTGTTTCCTAGTACAGATCTCCACACAATCCCCTTCCCTGCCCCCCTCCCCTGAGAGAAGGAAATGCTCTGGTCATTTAAAAATGAATGAAGCCTTATTATTTTGAACTACATTTTTTGGAAGATGCAATTTTCTGTTGGGATGAAATCTGCAGAACACGACTGCAGAAAGGTTTCTAGACTGCTCAATAGCACATACACACAGTATAATAAGGCACCTGGTATGCTGATTCTTTTCAGGAGTTAAATATTTCTCTTTCCCTGTAGCTCAAACAAATGCAAAAATCCCCCAAATCGTCCTGTGCCCACTACCCCCAAAACCAGACTTCCTGATGGGGGTGTGACTTGGTGTCAAGATGAATATGCAGTGCTAGAGAGAGAGAAGAGGACCAGTGGGGAGGTTTTGTTTTTCTTACCCCCATTCCCCGCCCCAGTATTCAAGGCTGTACTAAGTTCTGGCCCTCACGGCCTCTTTCGTGCAAAACCCCGCTGTGCAGGGACTGGGGCCGTGAACAGCTCCACAATGAGGGACTCCAGGGAAGCTGGAGGAGAAACGGGGGACACAAGTGCAACACAAGAGATCAAAAGGTGGTCGCCGGCTAAAGGTGACGGGTCCGAATGAGGAAGTGGGTAGGGGGCCTTCCCTGCCCACACGTGGCCGTGACCTCCGCAGAGGGCTGCAGGAAGGAGCTCAATGCGGAACCGCGAAGGCTGCTGCAGCCCTCAGATCTAACGCCTTTGACGCGTTGGAGCTTGTCAGCGATAAAACCTGACGTGTGAAAAAAGAACAAAGGGAAGTCGGAAGGCTAGTGTATATCAAAGGAAAGGGGCTCCACGAAATGCTACAAAGAAATACTTCAGCCCAAAATGTTTTCGCAATTTGAGACGCTGATGCAGCCGCCGCTGCTCCACCTGCAACTCTGAGCGTTGCCTTCTCTTTAACTGCCACTTTGATACCGCAGCCTTTTGAAGTCCTTTTTCCTACATGTATTTGTAATTTATTTCTGCAACAGCTAGAACTTACTGTGGCTGCTGTTTACCCTCTAGTTGGGCTCTACTGCGAGGCAAGGCAAAAGTCAGGTCCGTCGGCGCCCTCTCCTGGTAAAGCTGCGAAGCTGCAGCAAACAGAGCTAAATTGGTATTTTCCCGTTTGCTGCGGCAAATTTTTATTAAAGTGTACCCTATATTTATGATTATTAAACTTTAGTGTTCGCCAGAATCGCCTGCAGGCCTCCTTAAAACAAGATGTCTAAGTCCCCACCCCCACCTCCCCCCCCCCCCCGGATTTCTGATTCACTAGGTCTGGAGTGGAGCACAATACATTTGCATTTCTAGCAAGTTCCCAGGTGATGCTGGTAGAGCACACGCCCAGAACCACCGCCAGGTACACAAGTCACTGGACAAGGTGGGAAGGCATCTTACTCAATCAATGGACCTTATTCTAAAGCGGGAAGGGCACTGAGAGTAAGTAAACTGAAAAAGGTTGCTACTTGCCAGAGTCGTAAGGGATGAAATATGTTTTCTCAGTCGCTGCTCAGGGGTTTGTGGCTGAGGCCCCAAAAACAAAAGACAGACTAAAAAGAGAAAAGCATATGAATTCATTTAAGTTAAAATTTAGGCCAGGCGCAGTAGCTGACACCTATAATCCCAGCACTTTGAGAGGCCAAGGTGGGAGGGTCGCTTGAGCCCAGGAGTTCAAGACCAACTTGGGCATCACAGGGAGACTCCACCTCTACAAAAAATAAAATATAGCCAGCCCTGGTGGTGCGTGCCTGTGGTCCAAGCTATATGCGAGGCTGAGGCAGGAGGATGGTTTGAGCCCAGGAGTCGGGAGGTCAAGGCTGCAGTGAACTGTGTTTGTGCCACTGCACTCCAAGCCTGGGTGGCAGAGCAAGACCTGTCTCCAAACAAATTTTTTAAAAAAGTTTTACCTGACATAGGAGCCTTTGGCAATGTCCCAGAGGAACAGGGAAACCTGTGTGTTTTCATTCTTAGGTTTGATGAAGAGAGTACAGTGCTGTGAAAGTATGATTGGACAAGGGGCTGTGATCTAATGGCAATAAGCCGGAGGGAACTTAGCAAGGCTTGTTTGTTCAGATTCTTCACGGCATTTCTGTGTCTTCTGCTCCTTTCCTCGAGGTATAGGGAGGGTATCTCTCAAATGAGGAGTCTACGACCTGCTTCAGGGGAAGGCCAACAACTTCTTGGATTTTATGACCTGCTTCAGGGGAGAAGGACAAGGGAAGGTGAGAGAGACCTTCCTGCTTCTGCTGTTTCCTCAAATGCCACAGTGTCATATTTTGGGGTATTGTGTTCTGAACCCCCAGCAGTGTCATTCAAGGTCGTAAATGGTGCCACCTCAATGAGCAATCAGGCCTCTTAACCCCAGCCAGTGCACTTTCCATTACGATGTGCTGGGGGCCTCAACCCTGAAATGACATTGATTTAAATAATTCCTGTGACTGCCACCTAGGAGGAAAAACAGGCCTCAGAATGTTGCTGAGACAGTCAAACTTACCATCTCCACTGCTTGCTAATCACATTCCCCTAGCAGCATCCACCTCTCTCCTGAAAATCTACAGCCTGAGAGCACAGCTCACAAGAGTCACAGCCATAGGGACATAGTCAGGTCGTCAGGAGCAGGTGTGAGAAAGCCAATCTTTGGCTGCTGTTCCAGCCACTGCTGGCTTCCCATTGCCCTGAGGACAGGCTTTCTTGGGGGCCCTAAAGTAACACCCTCTGATTTCCCTTTTTGTCCCACTTTGTGCCTTACCACTCTAAGTAATTTCTAGTTTCTTCTCTCTCCCTATTGAAGCTTTGCACTTGTGTGTTTTCCACTTGGAATGCCCTCTCTGCACCTGCTCAGTGACACCCCTTCCTATCACCACACTTGTCTGAGGAACTCCTAGTCATCCATCACAGCTTCAACTTTATCTTTGGACAGCCTCCCTTCACCCCTGCCCCCGACTCCCATACTAAAGTGCTCTGCAAGGAAGAAAAGATTGATTCCTTCAGGCATGGCAAGTTTCATGACTGAGACCCCACAGCCAAAGACAGATTAACGAGAGAAAACCATACACATTTATTTAAGTTTTATGTGACACAGGAGTCTTCAGAAATAGAAACCCAAAGAAACATGGAGACCTGCATGTTTTTATGGACAGTCGTGCAGAAGTGTGAGTGGAGGACAAAAAAAGGGTGTGATCTAATGGTGATAAACTGGGGGAAATTGGCAAGGCTTGTTTGTCCAGATTCTTCCTGGCACCTCTATGTCATCAGACATGAGGATATCCCTTTTCTCTGGGTAGAGGGAGGACTTCTATGGAACGAGGGTCTTATGACCTATTTTAAGGGAAATTCAGCTAGGTTTTATGGCCCTTTTCAGAGGATAAGGGATGAGGAGAATTCTTTCTAGAGTCTATGGCCTGATTCTGTTTCCTCAAGTGCCAAGGTGCCATATTTTGGGGTAGGATGGCCTGAACCTCATAAGCTCCCACAGCACCCAAGCAGACCATGAACCTCAGCACTCTATAGCAATTGCATGTTCATGGTGGTCCCTCCACTAGACTTCCCTGAGGGCAGAGACCATATCATTTTCATCTTTGTTTCCTTCAAATTTAGTACAGCGCCTACAACAATGCAAAGGCTAGAAGGAATGAAGGCAGGGACATGGAATGGAGAATTTCCATTTCACGGATCCACATAAACTGAAAAGGAACAAGAGTCGGTGAGACCAAAGAGCACTGAAGGCCATGAACCACCACCATTCTCAACCCCTGGGCCAGGCAAGAAAAGCCACGGTTCCTGGAAGGGATGACGACAGGTACGTTATGCCGAATCCTGGAAATCCTGGAACAAATCATAAACTTTGAAATGTCGTGGTTGGGAAGGACCTTGGAGATTTCACAGAGACACAGAAAGGTGGCATGAATTGTCCACAAGGTCCAAAATTTTTAGCAAAGCAATAGGAAATGGTACTCAGGTCGTCAGATTCGTAATCCATTATATTTTCACCACACCTTACGATAAAGATACTGGATATAGGCAGGGCATGGTGGCTCATGCCTGTAATCCCAGCACTTTAAGAGGCCAAGGCAGATGGATCACTTGAGGTCAGAAGTTCAAGACCAACCTGCCCAACATGGCGAAACACCATCTCTACTAAAAAATACAAAAATTAGCCAGGCATGGTGGTGCATGCCTATAATCCCAGCTACTCAGGAAGCTGAGGCAGGAGAACTGCTTGATTCTGGGAGGTAGAGGCTGCTGTGAGCTGAGATTGTGCCACTACACTCCAGCTTGGGAGACAGAGCAAGACCCTATCTCCAGAAAAAAAAAAAAAAAAAGATATTGGATAAGCCCAAGGATGAAAAAGTGAGACTGAGAATAGCAGGAGGCTCCCAATAACAGTGCCAGTTGTGGCAGCCATGGGGTGTGCTGTCCATACCTCCCTCCAACAAATCACTTGCTGGCAGCTGCCAGGAGTGTAGCTAACTGACAGCTTACAGCTGTTAGAAACTTCAGGCTTCACCTAGGCTTTTAAGTCTTGGCTATGCTCATCCTCAGAGGCTCCCAGTCTCAGCACAGCAGGTGGACTATGGGACCATGCTAATGGGCAACCTTTGAGAACTCCCAATTGGGTTGGCCAAGACAGTCAGATCTGTATAGCAGTCTGAGGCTTTCCCTGCACTATCCTGTTGCTTCTCCCTATCTTTCACAGGCCTTTCCTCTCATTAAACCTTTTGTACTCCTAACTCCATCTTACCATCTGTTTTATGGAGGACCTAACAGACACAGTGACCAAAGCTACAGGGGCCTCCAGAGGAAACGGTGAGAACCACAGGAGAAAGGGGGTCTTTGCTGCTGACGGCGAGCACCCAAGCCCAAGCTCCCAGTGGTGATCTCTCACAAGACCACACAGCCGATTTCCCTGGAGACAGCACAACCTGTTAAGGGCATCTTCCATGCCATTAAGGGTCAGTTCTCATTTTTTTAACCTAAATCTCCAGAACTATATATCATGTGACCTTGCTTTCCTACCATGGAAGAATTTCCATGACTCTTTCTTTTTGTGTGAGCGGAATTTGGATAAAGAAAGAGAAATCAGGGGTTCCAAAAGAAAGATCCCCAAAATTTCATTTTTAAAGGCAAGCTCACATTTAACAATGGAGCTAAGGGATTCTCTCCAAACGTCATACCACAACCAGGCACACAAAATCATCTCCTTAATCCCAGTGAACATTACCAGTGCATAAAGTAAAAAACACCAGGCGCTCCATCTCACAGCATAGCCTTTCACCCATGTACCCTTTTTTAACCTATTGCCAGTTTCAGAGTTCTTTCCATTTAGGTGACATGTTCTCAAAAAGTGCTAAGAGGCCAGGTGTGGTGATGCACATCTATAATCCCAGCTACTCAGTAGGTTGAGGCAGGGGGATTGCTTGATCCCAGGAATTTGAGACTGCCGTGAACTATGATCGCACCACTTCACTCTAGCCTGGGCAACAGAGCAAGACCCCATCTCAGAAAAAGAAAAAAAAAAGAAAACTAAAAGAATTAAAGAATTATCTTCTCTTATAACTTCAAATGTTCTCAAATCTACTGGCAAATTTTCAAATTTTCTGACATCCTAGAACATATTGGTTAAAAAGCTGGAGCTGAGATGGGTAAAAAGGCAATACAGTGAGCAGGCTTACCTTGGGAAAACTCACTCAAATATCTGTTTACCTTTGTCCACCAGCAAGCCATCTTCAAAGCCTGTGACACGAGAGATTTCAAATATATCTATGAGTATCTTCCCAGCAACTCCAGCCTTATAGGGCTAAATCCTTTCAAGGTTCCAAAGAGAGAAGAGCAATTCGCCTCCAGTTGGGAGTAAGGGTGGGCTAGAGTAGTTCATTTCAGGGAGAGGATTGCCCTTTGGGAGTTAACTAAAAAATCAACCACAGAAACCAGCCACATACTTCATACTTGATAGATTTTTCTTAGCCCTCCATTTTATCATAAATTAATTTTTAATCCAGATTTTTAATCTTTAGCCAGCTGAAATTTCAGATGTGTGCCTATCTTTAAATGTGTCCCTACTGGCACTTGCTCCATTCATAGTGATGCAGGATAGGCGAGCTCCAAAAACTAGGGCTCAGCCCAGGCGGATTCTTGGCTTTGCCCAGGAAAGAATTCAAGGGCAAGACAGAGGTGTTAGCAACTTTTATTGAAGCAGCAGTGTACACAGCAGCAGCCGAGGCACTGCTCCTTGTGGAGCAGGGCTACCCCAAAGGCAATGTGCCCAGAGCAGCAACTCAGGGCAGTTCTGCAGTCACATTTATACCCACTTTTAATTACATGCAAATGAAGGGGTGGATTATGCAGAAATTTCTAGAAAAAGGGTAACTTCCAGGTCATTGGGTCATTGCCATGGAAAGGGGTCATAACTTTCGGGTGTTGCCATGGCAATAGTAAGCTGACATGACAGGCTGGTGGGCATATCTTATGGAAAGCTGCTTCTGCCCTGGCCTTATTTTAGCTAGTCTTCAATCTGGTCCAGAGTCTGAGTTCCCACCTCTGGAGTTCAGTCTCACCTCCTCCCTCAATAGCATCTCCAAAACAGCAACATAAGTATACCTTTAAAATGCTGTGTTCCACCGCAATCATTATTTGTTGTCCCATCTGGCTCTCAAAGACACATTGCTTGATAGATGAGGTGATGGATATGCCAAATACCCTAATTTTATCATTATACATTATATACATGTATTAAAATAACACTATACTCCATACATATGTACAATTATTATGTGTCAATTAAAAACAATATTAAAAGCAAAAAAATAAAACACATTTCTTGGTCAAAGTAGACCTAGGAACAGATACTGAACTGGATAGTTATTCTATTTTAGCTCTTACTGTCAAAGACAGTTTAGAATTAGGTTCATTTTCTTTGCCTCCAGGCTTTTATAGAACTCTGGGAATCAGAAGGTGGCTAACAGGGCACCTGGTTCGTCTACCATGTTTAAGCAGGGCCACGCTTAAACCTTACAGACAGAGGAGAATCTATGTTTTAAAATAATTCTCAAGATACTAAATGAATGAAAGAGGTCATTTCATGAATTATATGGTGAGTAATGGACAGTTGTGCACATAGATGATACAGCCATTGGCTGTACTGCCTGTAGAGATTCAGACTGCACAGAAGTACTACACTTAGGCATGTAATCTCATCTGGGATGCATTATCAAAAGATAACCACATAATGGGGCAGAAGTTATAGAGCATTTCCCAGTTTCATAAATGAATTGAATTGACTTTCTAAAGTCCTCTGAGAATGTGCATAAAAACCTGAGAAAAGGAACATCCTTATCTCACCAACTGTGATCAACTCTCAGTGTATTTCCCGGGAATTCACAGCCGGCAAGTCCACTCACTGACCCAATTGGGCATGTCATGCCATTAACTCAAAACTGGACACTCATTTCCAGGAAATCTTTTGAGCCTGAATCATCATCACTATAATCAGCATAAAAGAAGAGGGCACAAAGGTTTCACTTGGATGAAGCTTTTGACCTAGCACTAGAGAGTTGTTTGCAAGGCCTCAGCCTGGGATAATTCTTCCAGTCTTCATGACTCTTCTTAAAAGAAGATAATGATTTGTTACAGACTGCACTGGGGAAAAAAATAGAATCTCATGTGTGCTCCTGTAGCACTGGATAGAAACTCAGCTGACATTCCAGGTGGCTCATTTATTGCATGTATATCTATGGGGAAGCTGTTTAACCTTTGGGAGACTCAGTTTTTTTAATCTTTGTAGTAAAGGTTATATCCTGTACCTTATGGGGGGCTGCAAAGATTGAATGACATTTAGCATAGCAGTAGGTTTAAGAGCTGCTCTTTGGCACCAGATTCCCTGTGTTCAGAATGTCTTCTTACCAGCTCTGTCAGTTTGGTCAAGTTACTTGCCCTCTCTTCATCTCAATTCCTCATAATAATAACATCTGCTTATGGTGCTGTTATAAGAATGACATGAGTTAACAAAGGGAAAGTGCTGAGAGCAGTGCCTGACACATATTAAGCACTCCCAAAGTGTTCGCTATCATTTTTACTGTACATTAAGAACCAAGCAGGGCTGGGTGCAGTGGTTCATGCCTATAATCCCAGGGCTTTGGGAGGCTGAGGTGGGAGGATTGCTTGAGGCCAGGAGTTGGAGACCAGCCTAAGGAACATAACTTCTCTACAAAAATTTTTTGTCAATTAGCTGGGCATGGTGACATCACCTGTAGTCCCAGCTACTTGGGAGGCTGAGAAGGGAGGATCACTTGAGCCTAGGAGTTTGAGGCTGTAGTGAGCTATGATTGTGCTACTGCACTCCAGCCTGGGTGACAGAGCAAGACTTCATCTCAAAAAAAAAACAAGGCTGGGTGCGGTGGCTCACACCTGTAATCCCAGCACTCTGGAAGGCTGAGGTAGGCGGGTCACTGGAGCCCAAGAGTTAAAGACCAGCCTGGGTAATATGGTGAAATCCTGTCTCTACAAAAAAACACAAAAATTAGCTGGGTATGATGGTGCATGCCTGTAGTCCCAGCTACTCAGCGGGTCTGAGGCGGGAAGAGGACTTGAGTTTGGGAGGTCAAGGCTGCAATGAGCCATGAACACACCACTGCACTCCAGCCTGGTTGACAGAGCGAGACCCTGTCCTCCCCCAACACACACACAAAAGCAAAACAAAAGAACCAAGCAAAATCAACGCCTGCACTGCACATTCTAGACACTCAATAAACAGGAATTGTCTCTCTCTCCACTACTCTTTTGGCCAACTCCAGGGGGAAATGTTAAGCAACGTTATTCAGCACTAGTTATTTGTCAGCTCCTCTCATAAATCAGGGTTACAGCCAAAGACAGCACTCTCATCTTCATGGGCCTAGGCTTCTCTGTCTCATTTTACAATGGAAACATATCAAATGTGGCTGACCCCAAGCCCAAAAAAAATGACCTCTAAAGCACTCCTGACAAAAAATACACATCCCTATAGCCCACCTGGCTCCAAACAAAAAACACACATCCCCCACTCACTGACCCACACATGTGCTTCCAATCCCCATGATTCCATAATTCAACAAATACTTGCAAAGCACCTGCCATATGTAAAGCCATAAGAGGAACACAAAGAAGAAGTCAGCGACCTGCCTCAATGACCTGATTGTTAGTAGGGGAGAGGAGAAACAAAAGACTGCAAGCATTAACCACCTTGCAAGATAAACTGAGTGCTAAAGGAGAAACGCAGTTCAGTAAGGGGTCAGAAAAGACTTCAGGAAGGAAGTGAAGTTTGGACTTCATCTTAGCTCATGTGTGGAATTTCAAATGGGAGTGATGTGAATGGGGAATTCCAAAAGGAAGGAAAGTGGGAGTAAAGGTTTAGCTGTTGGAAAGCTTGGGGAAAATACCAGGAAAAGTATGTCGTCTCACTATATGTCATATCAGGCAGGAACTTGGGATAAATAAAAAGTTGGCCCCGGGCGTGTTGGCTCACACCTGTAATCCCAGCATTTTGAGAGGCTGAAGCAGGCGGATCACCTGAGGCCAGGAGTTCGAGACCAGCGTACCCAACATGGTGAAACTCTGTCTCTACTAAAAATACAAAATTTAGCTGGGCATGCTGGCGCACACCTGTAGTCCCAGCTACTCAGGAGGCTGAGACAGGAGAATCCCTCAAAACCAGGGGGCGGAAGTTACAGTGAGCCGAGATTGTGCCACTGCGCTCCAGCCTAGGCAACAGAGTGAGACTCCATCTCAAAAGTAAATAAATAATAAATTTAAAAACCTAAACGTTGTAGATAAAATGTTAAGGATGTTTTAGGGCAGAGCTGAAAGAACATCAGAATATATTTAAAGTGGGGAGCCAATGAAGCTTATTGAAAGGCAAGGAGGTGACATGATCAAAGCTGGTCCTTGATGGTAAATCCAATGTTATGGAGGCTGAATTTGAGAAAAGAGAGAAAGGAGTTAGGTGACTATCACAATAGTGTAAGTGAGAAATTAGACTGTTTGGTGGAAGGAATGGGAGAAGAGAATGACATTGGATACAGTATCCACAGATCTTGACCAGTGATTTAATTTGAAGTTGAAAAGAGAAAGAAATCAACAATGAGCCCCGGATTTTACACCTAGCTGCCTGATGGAACAATGAAACAATGTCTTCTGCAGAAGTGGGAAACAGGAGTCTGGTTCTGGCAAGAAATAATGACTTAGGTTTATCCCTCTGAAAGAGCTAGTACTGCCTCTTCTAGGCATCCTTCTATGAAACTGCAAATAGTGGGAATTTATTTTCTCAGCTTTCTTTATTTACAGGAGTCCCTATGAAAATCATGGAGTCTTGGGACTTCTGAGGCAAGAGGAAAGACGGCAAAAGCAGAGGCAAAGACAGAAATAAATCTTCTCTTCTTTTCTTCAGTTTGTCTGACAAGCTTATCTTTTGATCACGAGGGAGAAAGAAATAGATGACAAGAGGAGTTTCCCCCACTACAATATAAGTTCCATAAAAGCAAGGATTTATATTTTCTTTCTCTTTTGTTCACTGATGTAACCTCAGTACCTTGGACAGTCTCTGGCAATAGGGAGAGCTCAGTAAATGTTTGTTGAATGAATGAATGATCTCCTTCTCTAGGCATATGAAGAAATAAGGAAGAGTGGTCACTCACAGCTAACTCAAGATTCCCCTCCCACCCCAATCATCTACCCTGTTAATTCTTTTTCATCCTTGTTCAAAAAATACCTAGAGGCTGGACACGGTGGCTCGTGCCTGTTATCCCAGCACTTTGGGGGCCAAGGTGGGAAGATGGCATGAGGCCAGGAGTTCAAGACAAGACTAGGCAACATAGGGAGACCCCATCTCTACCAAAAACAATTCTTTTTAATTAGCTGGGCATGGTGGTACACACCTGTGGTTCCAGCTACTTGGGAGGCTGAGGTGGGAAGACTGCTTGAGTCCAAGAAGTCGAGGCTGCATTGAGCCATGATTGAGCCACTGCATTCCAGCCTGAGCAAGACCTTGTCTCAAAAAAAAAAAAAAAAAACCCTAAAAATAATTCTCAAAGAGCCCTGCTTTGTATTATCACACTCTAGCAAAGTTATCAGGAATTGACACTTGCGGGTAGATACAGCCAAGGAAATGGCAGCTCCCTGAAGAGCAGGAAGCAGTTTATGACACCAAGCAAATCTGGTTTCTCGCTGGGAAGGGAGGCTGGTTTTGGAAGTATGCAACAATTTGACTTATTTTCTTAATTTTATTTTCTATTTATAGGCTTACTGAATTATTTTCATCCATGCCCTTTTAAAATATGGTTGGTAGAAATTTGCCATTTGAGACTAGAATCCCATTCGGAATCATGTAAGTCTCTTTTGACTCCACGAGGACATCTTTCACCCAGTTTTGGGAAATCTGAGGAATGGATTCTTCTACAGACTGATAAAATATCACAAGGTCCAAGAGTTTGTGTGAGAAAGAGGACATCAAGGTAAAATTTTTTAAGTGGATAAAGATGGAGAAGTAGAAGGATGTTATTCAAAAGTGTAGTTTATGATTAAGGTTGGTCGTGACATCAGAAGCCTTTAATATCAGGCCCACCCATCCGGATTCATTAAGCAGATTGTGTCTTATCTTGCATTTCTGTTTCCTGAGACTTAATCATGGTTTCCTCAGTGAGTATCATCCGCTGCCTAAACTTCATAAGAGGATGTTTTCTTTTTTGGAAGCTACTACTCATGGGCTGAAACTGACTTTCAAACCTACAACTTTAAACTATGTAATACTTGATATGAGCAACTCATCCCACTCCTTTCAGATTATTCCCTAGGATCATTTATTATGTGCCTACTGCATGCAAGGCACAGTGGGAATACAGATACAAAGATAAATAAGATTGTCTCTGCCCTGAAGAAAACTATAATTTCTGTGTGTAGAAAGACACACAACTGACTTTTCTATCACAGACCATCCAAGTTCTGACATAGAGTCACTAGAGGTTTCTGAACAGTAAGTATGATCATTCAGGCTTAGCCTTTGTAGATGTGTTTTGCTTTATCTCTGTCATGACTAAATTCATCCCTACCAAGAAAGTACATGGGAAAAGATAAGTTATTTTGTTCATTTCACAGATATCTATTGTTCAATCCATTTTGAGGAGTTATGTAGGCACCGACTTCTAGTTAAATCCTAATGAGAACTAACACCATGGCAGAGCTAGAGCTGATGGTGAGAAAAGTAGTCAAGGCCAGGAAAAAAAAAAAAAGTTAACCAGGTGAGGAAGCCAGGAAGAAACAGGGGAAATAGGGGTCAGGGAAGAGATGTGGAAAGATATAGAAATGTGAAATCTAGGAAACAGAAAAAAGAATCTAATTTAGAGTCATGGAAATACCAAGACACATCAAGATGCATGAGTTGGGGCCTCACATATGGTATTGGATAAATATTTGGGACTGAATGTCCTAACAAACAATTAAATGTATCTTTTTATAATCCTTATATTTATGATTCATACTTGTTCTCTTTGGAAAGCAAAGCTTGAACTCTGTCATCTCTGTTTAATTTCCCATGTCATCTTAACATATACTAGGTTAATGTATCATGATGTATCATTTAGGTAGTTTCCTGTTGTAAATAACCTATGTCTTATGTTACTTGCAGTGATGGATGTGAACGTGGTAGACATACAATGGAAGGCAAGAAGGTATCTCAACACAGCAGAACAAGACCCCATGAGGAGCCCAGAAAAAAAATAAAGAAGGTTCCTCACTGGTTAGGAATTCAAAAGCAGTCCTGGCAACCTCATAGCATCTTTACCTCAGAAGCAGGCAGCTCTGGTTACTCCACCATTTTCAGGAACAAGGTTTTTCTCTCCCCCTCTGCTGCATTTCCTCTGCGGCTCCTGATCCATCTGCCTCTACCTTCTTCCTAGCATCAAATTTCCTCCCAGGAGACAACATGAATGGGTTAAGAAGTACCCAATGAGGGCTGCTCCAACTGGACAGCATCTTTGAAACTGGGACCTCACAGATGGTCATCACAGGCCCCTGATGCCTGGGTACCCAGCGACCAACCCCAGTCTAGTCTGTCTATAGCAACATAGGTGAAGGGGAGTCTCAGGGGCTGCCTAAAGGGCTCAGAATGTGGTGAGTACTTAAGACTGCATGGATTTTCACTGTTTACATGAATATAGGACAAGTATTCACAGAACTATTAGCTAGATCTGTGAACAAAACATTAATAACATTGTATGTCCATGTCTGAACCCCTGAAATTCCAACAACCACCACCCGCCTACCAACTTGCAGCAAACCGGCTCTCTCCACAGTCTTCCCCAGATCAGGGAGAAACAATTCCATCCTTCCAGTACTCAGACTGTAAAACTGGATTCATTCTGATTCCTCTCTCACACATCCCACACCTGATCTGACAGGAAATCCTATAAACTCTGCCATTAAAATATATCCAGAAACAGGCCAGGCACAATGGCTCATGCCTCTAATCCCAGCACTTTGGGAGGTCGAGGCGGGCGGATCATGAGGTCAGGAGTTCGAGACCAGCTTGGCCTACATGGCAAAACCCTGTCTCTACTAAAAATACAAAAATTAGCTAGGTGTGGTGATGCACACCTGTAATCCCAGCTACTTGGGAGGCTGAGCTAGGAGAATCACTTGAACCCGGGAGGCACAGGCTGCAGTAAGCCAAGATCGTGCCACTGCACTCCAGCCTGGGCGACAGAGTAAGACTCTGTCTCAAAAAAAAAAAATATATATATATATATATATATGTCCAGTAATGTGCAACTTTCACAGTCTCCACCAGGATCATCACAGTCTAACCACTGCTTCCTCCAGCCTGAACTTACTGCAAGAGGCCACTCACTGGTCTCCAGGCATCCACTCTTGCTTCCCCCACGCACCCCACCACCAGTGTCTATTCTCAACAGAGCAGCCAAAATTGTCCTTTTAAACATTGGTTGGATTGTGTCTTCTGTCTGTTCAAAACTCTCCAGTATGTCCACATGGATCTCAAAATAAAACCAAAGTTCTGGCCAGGCACAGTGGTTCGTGTCTGTAATCCCAGCACTTTGGGAGGCTGAGAAGGGAGGGTGGCTGGAGCCCAGGAATTCAAGACCAGCCTGGGCAACATGGCAAAACCCCATCTCTCCAAAAAATACAGAAATTTGCTAGGCGAGGTGATGTGTGTTTGTAGTCCCACCTACTCAGGAGGCTGAGGTGGAAGGATCACTTGAACCCAGGAGGTTGAGGCTGCAATGAGCTGTGATCACGTCACTGCACTCCAGCCTGGGTGACAGAATGAGACTCTGCCAAAAAAAAAAATTCAAAGTTCTTACCACAGCCTACAAGACCTGCCATGACCTGGTCCTTCCTACCACCTGTCTCATCTTTGCACTCTCACTCACTCTGTACCAACCACACTGGCCTCCTGGATGTTTCTGGAACATACCAAACATGCTCTAATCACCAGTCTTTGCACTGGATTTTTCTTCATTCTGGGATGTTCTTCCCTTGGAACTCCACAGGGCTAACCCCCACAGTTCCTGCACATCTATCAATGATGTTTAACAAACCACCCCACTTCGCCTCTGCAGTATTCCCAATCGCCACACCTGCCCTGTGTGGTATTTTATCACATACCATGTAATTAACTTATTTGCTATCTTTAGGAAAAGGGTTTTTTTTTAAATTTTTTGTTTGCATGTTTTGTTTTCTTTTTGCTTTTGGTATCTCTTCCCCTGGTAGAATGAAAGCTCCGTGAGAAAACCTAGACGAATCTCTGAAACTTAATGCTCAATAAATGTTTGTTGGTGAATGCCTGATTTACAGGACAGCTGAAGCAGTTTATTAATTTAGAAGAGCTTATTAATTTAGAAGTTATCAACTATTGTAAAACTTCCACTGCAGTTTGAAGTTTGATGTGATGGGTTGAAAAAAACCACAATTAGCAAAGTGCACTCTCCTTTTTTTCTATTTATCTTCTAATCACCAGTCTGCTCTGATGCTGATTGACACACAGATACTGATGTGTTGTTTCCCATAAATTCACAAGCCAGTGAGTCAGTCCTTCAGGTAATAAACAGATGGCTGTCGGCCAGGTGAGATGAAAAGGCATGGTTGCCATCCTCGAGGAATTTACGTGTAGCATGCGTGATTTATTGCACTAAGGTATAAATATAAGGTATAAGAAATATCTTACTGGTTTGTTGTGGTGGTTTCTTGTGATTTTTTCTGTCTCTAAATAAAATTAAATCTGCTCCATTCCCTCTGAACCAAGCTTAGGCTGAGATTCTCTGCTGTGGGTCCCAAGGCCACTACTCTTAGCGTGTACCACTCTAGCTTCTATATGTCCTCCTTAGTGGTCCTCTTAACTCCTGAGGTGCTGTGAGGGATGTGACACAGGTCCATGACACCCTCAGAATGTTCTATTACCAGACACCCTTCCTACATCAGGGAAGCTAATCCTCCACAAGGTAAACTCTTTTTTTCAACAAAGGCAACTTCTCGTCCCTCCCTCTCAATAATCCTGAACTCCAGGCTGGCCGAGGAGACTCACGCCTGTAATTCCAGCATTTTGGGAGGCCAAGGCAGGCGAATCATGAGGTCAGGAGTTTGAGACCAGCCTGACCAACGTGGTGAAACCCCATCTCTATTTAAAAAAATACAAAAATTAGCTGGGCATGGTAGTGCGCGCCTGTAATCCCAGCTACTTGGGAGGCTGAGGCAGGAGAATCACTTGAACCCGGGAGGCGGAGCTTGCCGTGAGCTGAGATCCCGCCACTGCACTCTAGCCTGGGCAACAGAGTGAGACTCTGTCTCAAAAAAAGAAAAAAATAATAATCCTGAACTCCCAAAGATTTGTTACGTCAGCCTAAAAGGTGTTGGGCAAGGGAGGTGCTCATGTGACACAAGGAATTAGATCTTAATTCATCTCTTTACCTGATAATATGTCTGATAAGACAAAATAGCTTCACAACTGTTACAACAAAAGAAATTCTATAATGAAACTTCTAGGCTTAATGTATAAATTCTCAGACAATAAAAATTAAATATGCTAGAATTTTTTTTTTCTTGAGACGGGGTCTCACTCTGTCACCCGGGCTCCAGTGCAGTGGCATAATCTCATCTCACTGCTACCTTCGTCTCCCGGGTTCAAGAGATTCTCCTGCCTCAGCCTCCCAAGTAGCTGGGATTACAGGTGCCCACCACCACATCCAGCTATTTTTTGTATTTTTAGTAGAGACGGGGTTTCACCATGTTAGCCAGGCTGGTCTCAAACTCCTGACCTCCAGGGATCCACTTGCCTCGGCCTCCCAAAGTGCTAGGATTACAGGAATGATGCACCATGCCCAGCTAAAATAGGCGAGAATTTATCAGAGAAGTATTCCTGGAAGAAGCTGATTTTGAAACAATCCTGGAACCAATGGAAAGAGAAAGAAACTTTCCAATAAAGAGGGGACAATTTAGGGAAAATTGTTACATTATAGGGAAAATAGGGGGAGGGCACTAAGGCAGGAAATAGTGAGTCATAGATGGGGGAGGAGTTAGAAGGTTACAATGTGGGGTACCACAGTCATCAGGGGGATTCTTCACCACCGCAGAAAGGCAAGTCTGTGGTGCGTGGACTCGCCTGGAAATCAGAGCACACCAAATATGACTCAAGACCAGGTTAGATTCTGGGAAGATAAATAGGGCAATGAAATGTTCTCATGCAGCATTAGTAAAATAAGACCCACAGCAAAAAAAGAAAAGAAGACCAAATACCACAATGAAAAGTCCTGAGCATGGCATTGGGTGCTCCCTTCCAACTGAAGCATAAAATTTCAACCACATTGCTTTCCCAGAGCCACTGCAACCACTGGGTTCATCAAATCCAATTCCTCCTTTTGGTGGTCAAAAAATTGAAACCACAGAGATGCACTGACGTAGAGAAACCTGAGGCCATCTGTCCCAATTTTCTGAGATGCTGCTAGACTTTGTAGCACTTTTTTCTGCTGCAGGAGCTCAAAGCCCTTTTGAAAATACATTAATATCACAGAGGATATGCTTCTAGCAACAGGAAGGGCCTTTAACAAAGAAAAGGCACACTGTCCCCCTTCAAAGTATTTTACTGGGAGGTTATATACTTAGTCCCAGCTGCTAGTGCTTAGGGATATATCGTTTCTTTAACTTTTTTTTTTTTTTTTTTTTTTTTTTGAGACAGTGTCTTCCAGGCTGGAGTGAAGTGGTATGATCTCAGCTCACTGCAACCTCCACCCCCCCATGGCTCAAGCAAACCTCCCACCTCAGCTTGCCGAAGTGCTGGGATTACAGGTGTGAGCCATCACGCCTGACACATTTTTTCTTTATTCCTAAAATTCATTGAATCTTTATCCTTTAAGATGAATGATTGTGTGAAATAGCTTAAAGTCCTTTGTTCCTAATTACAGTGATTAAAGTAGTGATCAGACACGGTATAATACCATTTTTAAATAATAAACTAAATAAACTGGACATGGTGGCTTATGCCTATAATCCCAACACTTTGGGAGGTCAAGGTGGGAGTATCGCTTGAGGCCAGGAGCTCAAGACCAGCCTGGGCAACACAGCAAGACCTTGTATCTAGAAACAAACTTTAAAAATTAGCCCAGTAGGCCGGGTGCGGTGGCTCACTGCTGTAATCCCAGCACTCTGAGAGGCTGAGGTGGGCAGATCACCTGAGGCCAGGAGTTCGAGACCAGCCTGGCCAACATAGTGAAACCCCCTCTCTACTAAAAATACAAAAATTAGCTGAGTGTGGTGATGGGCGGCTGTAATCCCAGCTACTTGGGATTACAATTGTCCTGCTGAGGCAGGAGAATTGCTTGAATCCAGGAGGTGGAGGTTGTGGTGAACAGAGATGGTGCCACTGCACTCCATCCTAGGCAACAGAACAAGACTCCATTGAAAACAAACAAACAAACAAAAAACAAACAACAAAACAAACAAAAACAAACAAACAAAAAACCATAGCCCAGTATGGTGACATGTGCCTGTGGTCCCAACTACTTAGGAGGCTGAGGCAGGCAGATCCCTAGAGCCCAGGAGGTTGAGGCTACAGTGAGCTATAATTGTGCCATCCAGCCTGGGTGACAGAGTGATAAATAAACTAAATAGGTAAACTCAATAAACACATAAACTAAATAAATTGATTTCCTCACTTGGTTCCTTATGGAGGCTCTTCATAGACAGCTGTCAACCTCTTACTGTGTTGGACACTGAAAGAGGAATGGATGGTTTCCATGGTCCCTGCTGTCAAGAAGCGTACATTAGAAGGGAATACTTACTCAAGCAAACATGCTTCATTACCAGCAAAAGTGAAATACTATGACATGTGAGAAGAAAGCAAGCCATCTTTTTGATTTGAAGAATAAGGAAAAGCATCATAGGAAAAGTAGCATCTTAGTTGGCCGTTGGAGGAAAAACAGAATTTTAATAAGGAAAGAAAGGCATAAAAAGAGCAATCCAAGCTGAATAAGAATAACAAAGTCATGGAGATGTGAAAGTGCAGGGTAAGTTCAGGAAATAGGAAACTGCTGTGTGGTTAAAGCAATGGGCACGTGGGAGATGGTGGTGGAAGATGCAACCCGATCAGGCAGGAGCACAAACATCAGACTCTGGATTGCATCAGACCCAGGAGAGTGTTTTCAGTCAGATTTTCAACAATGACAGCCTTGTTAGAATAAGTGGGTGGCTTCCCCTGATAACTACTTTGAAGGACAACATTCACTGAGGTGCTTAAGTTCTAGGACTGCTTAAAACCAAATCAGGTCCCATTGCTTGATAATTACAGCTGATAAAATCATGTCTCTGTACAGGAAAATTTAGCACCAATTAGTTAAATCATCAGGCTTCAGAGCAGAGTCATCAGCAAAGCCACAAAGGAGGAAGAGGCTTAGTCCTGCTGGGCAGTCTGGCAAATGAAGTTACTAAGTATAAACATAAAGTCTTCCAGGCACTCCCCTTGGGAAAATCTGTTTCTCGCTTGGGGGAACTGGAGAGGTCTCTCCTAGGATCAGGAGTTACAGGGGATGAGGATGGTGGGGGTAGGGGTGCATGGACTGAGTTTGGGAAGGACCTAGCATCGTGGAGTGCTCAGGTGCAAAGGAGAGAAATCAGGAAAGAAGCCCAGTTTATCTCTAGCACCAAGGTAAGATGGAAATGGTGGGGGCACTGAAGGAAGATTGCAACTTGTTCAGCCTCTGGGTGCCCAACATGCATACCAAAGCCTCAAGATAGAGCACCCATGACAGCACAACTAATTCCAAATGCTACAAGCTTGTGGTTCAAGGCTACCAATAAAATACCCTTAGTCCCACCCACAAAGTTTCTAATTTAGTGAGCTAAATTAGACCTGAGATGGGCTGAGAATTTGATTTTCTAAGAACTTCTGAGGTGGTGCTGATGCTGCTAGTCTAAGAACCTCCGACCTAGAACTTATGAACCACAGCCCTCAGGTGACATGTTTAGTAGCTGAATCTGAGAGAAACTGCAAAGGGTAGGAGTTGACAGTTTCCAGCTCAGACTACCTGAGGGGGATCTGTATGCTCCAGAGACTGATAAACATCAAAACAAGCAACAATCCAAGACAGATAGTGATCATGCAATAAAAAGAAGGCAGAAAGGGAAGGTTAAAGGAAGGAAGCAGAGAAGGAATCTGGGCCATTTGCCTGGAGACAACCACCCAGTAGAGCAGAAAGGAGCTGCATCACTAGCCAGTCACTCGGAAGCTACAGCTCTGTTGTCACCTGGCTGCATCTAGAATCATCTACGGAGCTTTCCAAAAATGCCAGGTGCTAAGCCTCACCCCCCCAAACAAATTAAATCAGAATCCTACAGATGGGGCTCTGACTGTGGGAGTTTCTGAAAGCTCCCAGATGATTCAAACGTGCAATTAGGGTTGAGAGTCGCTGTTCTAAGGGAAATTTGATCCTGTTTAAAGAAAGAAAGAAAGAAAAAATCCAATAGAGAAATCTGTGGAAGAAGCAGTCTATCTCTACTTAACTTAAAATGTAACAAGATTTCTAAAGTGATTGCTCCTCACCTTCTTACTCTATCCTTCCCAAACCTTCAAATTCGTTTACAGCTGTGGATACATCCAGCACTGTGCCTGAGCAGTTTCTTTCTTATTTATTTATTTATTTATTTATTTATTTATTTATTTATTTATTTTAAAATAAAGATGAGGTCTTGCTATGTTGCCCAGGCTGGCCTCAAACTCCTAGGCCAAGCGAACCTCTTGCCTCAGTCTTCCAAGTACTGGAATTACAGGTGTGAGCCATTGTTCTCAGCCTATGGAGCAGCTTCTGTGCTGTTGTGCTCCCCCATGCTTTGCTTACTGTGGATCATGATTACGGATTATGGTTAACAGCAGTCAAACAAGCCTTGTAGCTGAAAATATTGAAAGAGGCCTTCTCCTAGGGCTCACTCTCTTCCTGTCTCTCGGAGGTCTGACACCAAGACAAATGGTTTTTGTCTCTGCATAGCTACAAATCTATGGATCATTTATTTTATATTAGATTAAAAATGTGAGCTTAAGAGTCAATGCTGCCAAGCATGGTGCCTCATGCCTGTAATCCCAGCAACTCTGGAAGCAGAAGGATCTCTTGAGCCCAGGAGGTCAAGGCTGCAGTGAGCTATGATCACACCACTGCACTACAGCCTGGGTGACAAAGTGAGACCCTGTCTCTAAAAACATTTAAAAGAGTAAAAGTAAAAAAGGGTCAATGCCCTTACAAAAGAGATTTCTAGAGCATCTAGTCAAATTTTATATATCTATGTCTGAGCATACTGAAGAATAAGTGAAATGTTATATGAAACTGCAATATATAAATAGATAAAAAGAAGCATTATAGAACTGTGTATGATGTTATTATTTGTGTTAATAAAAGAAAGAGGTGGGGCAATATGGGGGAATATCTCCAAAAATATAGATAATAGATTGTGACATTGGTTTACTCTAATGTGGGGCAGATTAGTGAGGAGACTTTTTGCTATGTGCTCTTTTCTACCTCTTGAATTTTGAATCACTTACATGGATTACCTATTCAAAAATAAAATTTTTTGAATTAACTTTTTATAGTGGGGCCTGTTCTGGTTAAAACAGTCTGGACCTTCCTTTTCAACCTCTTCCCCTCATCCCAAGCCCTCACACCCAGACAAAGATCCATGAAGATTTCTAAACCCATGATGTTCCTCAGACGACGCCTCCCCCACATGGGGTTTGGTGGAGAACTGCTAAACCATTTCACTCCCACATTTTTGTTTTCTTATTTTTTGTAATGACAGGTCTCACTATGTTGCCAAGCCTGGTCTCGAACTCCTGGCCTCAAGCAATCCTCCCTCCTTGGCCTCCCAAAGTGCTGGGATTATAGGGGTAAGCCACCACATCTGGTCCAACCGCACATTTTTGAGCAGCCAGAACTGATAGAGAGAGAGACCCAGTGACTTGTTCAAAGTCACACAGCTAACATATACATCAAAATCTGATTATTTCTCCAGTGTTTTTTTTTCTTTGCCCCCTCAAACATTTAATCCTTTCAACACAGCCTCTCAGATACTTGATGAACTTCTATACCTATGCCAAAGAGATAGCATTAGTACAAACACAACAACAGCGGCAGAAAAAAATGTACGGACCAGACACCAACTAAGTAAACACAAGCCGCCCAGTCACAACATTAATTATACAACAGCAACAGTCCTCACCACTTGTGAGCTGTTTACCACTGCAGTATAAAAAGGTTTATGTAGCTTATCTGAGTGTTTTGTGGCATGCGTCACAAGACAAACATTTGGAAGATGAAAGCTCCATACACAGATTTCTTTGGTGCTGGCACAGCCCTAATGACCACTAGGTGGCAGTAATGTCCTAACAACAATACTGCTGCTGACCTAGAACCCTTAGAAAGTGTAACAATGAATTAATATCACACAACTGACTACACATCTGAATACACAGCCTTAGTACAAAGCTCCAAATAATTCATTCGTTTGATAAGTTGTGCTACCATTGTAACAGCTAAGAATGTTTTAGTTTATGTCACAAGTAGGCTCAAATCAACAGCCTTTGGGCAGAATCTGGTCAGCAATGTGTTTGTCTAGGGTAGTATTTGGTTTTGTTGTTTTGTTTTAATCTGTAATGCTTTTTGGCAAGCCCTCTCTAATTTGCCAGAACTCCCATCATTCTTCAATATCTTATTCCATGCCCCACACATGTGTATGGCCCTGGAAGGCATTTGAGATTGGGATCCCTGCTAGAATATCTTTGTCTGAAATACACAGTGACTGTGCATTGCAGTCTAGCTGGTCTGGTCAACTCTCTTGGGCTTTTCCACCTCCATTTATTTATTTATTTATTTTGGAGACAGAGTCTCACTCTGTCACCCAGGCTGGAGTGCAGTGGCATGATCTCGGCTCACTGCAACCTCTGCCCCCAGGTTTCTAGAGATTCTCCTCCCTCAGCCTCCTGTGTAGCTGCGACTACAGGTGCATGTGCATGCTTTTTTTTTTTTTTTTCAGATGGAATCTCCTGTCCCCCAGGCTGGAGAGCAGTAGCGCAACCTCGGCTCACTGCAACCTTCGCCTCCTGGGTTCAAGCAATTCTCCTGCCTCAGCCTCCTGAGTAGCTGGGATTATAGGAGCCCGCCACCACCCCCAGCTAATTTTTGTACTTTTAGTAGAGACAGGGTTTCGCCATCTTGGCCAGGCTGGTCTCAAACTCCTGACCTCAGATCATCCACCTACCTCGGCCTCCCAAAGTGCTGGGATTACAGGCATGAGCCACCATGCTCGGCCCTCCATTTATTTTTCCCTAAGTCATTTTGGAACTGTCCTCACAGAGTCGACAAGAATTGCATGCTGGGTTCTGAACAGAAATATAGATGTAATGAAATATTAATCAAGCTGTAATTTGATCCACTTTCTTGTTGCTGAAAATAACGTAGCACTAGATATTGATCATTGGCATCCCCATCGTTCCTATAGATAGGATTTCTTTTTTTATTATTATTATTAATTTATTAATTTATTTTTTTGAGACAGGGTCTTACTCTGTCACCCAGGCTGGAATGCAGTGACACAATCGCAGCTTGCTGCAGCCTTGACCTCCTGGGCTCAAGTGATCCCTCCCACCTTAGCCTCCAGGGTAACTGGGACTACAGGTGCATGCCACCATGCTCATCTAATTTTTTTTTTTTAATTGTAGAATTAAGGTCTTGCCACGTTGCCCAGGCTGGTCTCAAACTTCTGGGTTCCGGCGATCCTCCTGCCTCAGTCTCTCAGCCCAGCCTAGATAGTATTTCTGGCATTAGGATCATAAGACTTTAAGAATTGATTTGCATCTCCACTGCTCCTGTAGACAGGATCTCTGACATTAGAATCATAAGGCTTTTGTTTAGGAACCGTTTAAGATGTTTTTCAGATCCCAAATTCCAGCAAAATAGCTGATGCTAACCAGTTTGAAGACCCCCACTGAGGAGGAATGGAATTGGCATGAAAATACAGCTTCTTCATCTCCTTGCCCTGACTTCACCCTCCACTCTTTGATCAATCAATGATCTCCAAATTTCAGCCTACTCCCAAACCTCTATAACCCCTAGCCACAAATTCCTTTAGGAGGTGGATTTGAGGTTCCTTCCAATGTCCTCATTTGGTGGTCCTGTTATTAAACCTCATTCTCTGCTGCAACCCCATGTCTCGATCTATTGACTTGCTGCACATGAGGGGCAACAGGTGGCAAGGCAACAGACCTCCGATGGCTGCAATTTCTCTATCTATCTACAATGTTCTTCCCCATGGTTTTCCTTTTTTCTTTTTCTTTTTCTTGTTTTTTTTTTTTTTTTTTTTTTGGCAATCTTTCTCATTCCTGAAGGCTCAGGTCAAATGTCACCTCCTCCTTCCATCAGGAAGCTTATACCAGGCCTCTCTCCTCTAACATCCCATGGCACACAGAGCCTCTACTACTTTGTTGGTGCTTGTTTTCTGCTCTGTATTGTTAGTTGTCTTTTGTCTGTCTCAGCTCTTTGTAAGTTCCTGAGGAGAGCAGAGAAGTCGGCTACTTCTTTGTGTGGGCAATGGTTTCCAGTACAGTGTCCTACTCATGCTTGTATTTCTTCTGACTCAACAACTCTGCCAGAATCTCCTCCACATGGACTAAAGGGAGGCAGGATGATTTAGAAAAAGCTTTTTATAACATAGGACTAAAGGAATACAAGTCTATGAAAAATTAAAACTAAGCTAACAATTCCACTGTCTCCTAAAAGTACTAAGAGGATATATCATAGGGTACAGGATAAGCTCTAGAGTCAGACAGCCTGAGTACATAGCTTTGCTCCACCCTTAACAAGTTGTCTCACCCTGAGTAAGCCAACTTACTTGAGAAAATATTAATAGCACCTAGTTAAAAGGGATTTTTATTTGTTTGTTTTTTACTGTGGTAAGAGTACTTACCATGAGATCTGCCCTCTTGACAAATTCATAAGTGCACAATACATTAATGTTGCACAGCAGATCTCTAAAACTTATTCATCTTGCATAACGGAAACTGTACACTCATTAGAACATGAAGGTTTTTTTAAGAAATTCTACTTTGAAATAACTTTAGACTTACAGTAAAGTTGCAAAAATTGTAGTTTCTATATACACTTCACCCAGTTTATTGAAATATTAGTATCTTACATAAATGTAATGCAATTATCAAAACCAGGAAATAGACATTGATACAACAATATTAACCAAATCTACAGACCTTGTTTGAATTTCACCAGTTTTCCCACAGATTTCTTTTTTTTGATCCAATCCAGGATCTCATATTGCATTTAGCTATTATATCTTCTTCATCTTCTTCAATCAGTGATAGTTTTGGAAAATCCAGGACAGTTATTTTCAAAATGTCCCCCAGGTTTTCTCATGAATAGATTGAAGTTATGCATTTTTGGCAAGAATGGCACAAATAGGATATTGTGCCCTTCTCAGTGCATCATATCTGGAGGTACATGATCTTGGTATGTCCTATTATTGATGAGGTTATTCTTGACCACTTGGTTAAAGTGATGTATGTTGGGTTTCTCCACTGTTAAGCTTACTATTTTTTCCCTTTGTAATTAGTAAATATCTTTTAGGGAGATACTTTGAGACTATACAAATATTCTATTTCTCATACTTTCACCAACTAATTATAGTATCCATCCATGGGGCTTGCCTACAGCAATTACTACTATGGCATTTGCCAAATATTAATCTTCTATTTTTCTGATTCCTTCTACATGTATCAACTGAAATTCTACTGTAAGGAAGAGCTATTTCTTCTTCCCTATTTGTTTATTTGGAGGCATTTTATGAGGATTAAATGAAGTAGGACATTTACATGGTGTCTGGCACACGGTGAAGGCTCAGTAGGTGTGAGTCATCTTTAATATTATTATTACTGAGACAGTATGGAAGTTATGTAACTAATTGTTATGTGACTAATATTTTCTAGTTAGAAATGAGTATTTCTAACATGTTTAAAGGTGTTCCAAAATGGTCTACTATATTAGTTTGCTAGGGCTGCCATAACAAAAGATGACAGATTGAGTGGTTTAAACAACAGAAATTTATTTCTTGCAGCTCTGGAAGCTGGAAGTCCAAGATCAAGGTGTCAGCGGGTTTGGTTTCTCCTCTCTCCTTGGCTTGGAGACGGCCACCTCCTTGCTGTGTCTTCACGTGGCCTTTCCTCTGTTATGTTGGCACCTCTGCTGTCTATCTGTGTGTTCTCATTTCCTCTTCTGCTAAGGACTGGTCAGATTGAATTAGGGCCACGCTAAGGGCCTTATTTTAGCTTGTTCAAGTCTTTAAAGGCCCTGTGTCCCAATACAGTCACATTCTGAAGTACTGGGGCTTAGAGTTTCAACACATGAATTTGGGAAGGGGGAGACGTCATTCCACCCATATCTACCTATTTGCTTTGAAAAACTATTGTGAGCAAATCATTTAACATGTGAAAGCACTTTCAGAACTGGAAAGCACCGTACAAACATAAGGCAATAGTATAACAATACGACAAATTTTGGTAAGCATTCATGCACTTTACATTTCAGGTACTGAAGCATTCCTTTACAATGTTATTGCCATTATTCATTTAACTTTCCTTTCACGGCTGCCACGGAACTCTGGAAGGCCCACTTCAACCCGGGCACTGTCTGTGTTATCGCACATCCTCAGCGAGTGTCAACCACATCAGTGTGTTTTGCTTGCTTTTTGTCTTTCTGAAGCGTGGGCTTTCAGCAGCTCATTTCAGGCTATCCCAGCTACCTCTTCAGAGGCCCGAGGCACCTCCTTCCTCACAGGGAAAGCTGCCTGCGAGGCGGCCGGCAACCGCCTCATTTCCCCGTCTACCAGCTGCGTAGCCTTGGGCAAGGCCCCTCCGTGCAGCACTTCGTCCCAATTCCACGGCTGAAAAAGAAGGATAACAATCCTCACAAGGAGGCTGAGGATTAATGAGTTAATCTTTATAGAGCATTTGGAGAGCACACAATGGACAAACCCCTATTTATCTCTTTGTAGAACTAGCCTACAAACTAAACTCCCACTAGGAAACTAGGACCCTTTTATATAATGTTTACTTGAAGGAAGCAATCTGCAGATTCTAATAAATCTTAGCTTCCCAGAAGTGGGAAAAAGCACACATTTCACTATATCTGAGTAAGTAAAAAAGTAGAACAATTTCTCCCCACCGAAGGTTTTGCTTATCAGAGGCTAACAGAGGCCAGGGAGAAACTGTGACCTGTGGTCTGCCTTGCCTGTCATGGATAAGGAAGAACCAGAGACTCTCCCCAGGGCTGTCAAATGTTTTTAGAGCTGACATCCTTGCGGTCCACAGCCTCCAAACTCAGAGCGTGTGGGAGGAGGGGATGGATACAATTTAATTGCCTCCTGCAACTTGCCAAGCCCACCACCATTTTCCCAGGCTAGCAGTAGCCATTCCTTGCTTAATAGTAGTGCTTTCAAGCCCTTCAGAGACAGGAGTACTTCAGCAGCCAAAGTGGGAAGTCCTTCTTCCAAGTCTTCCAAGGCCTTTGGCCACTGCCAAAGCACCCCAGAAAAGTCTGTCTGTAGGAACTGTCTCTGTTTACCATGTTGCATTACCTCTTTGCTCAGAATCAATCACTCCACCTGTGATTGATTGCCAGGGGCCACCAATACTGCTTTAGGGGGAAGCTTTTCTCCACACCACATCCCTTATTTTCCTTGCCTCACTCCCAGGCAATTTTCACCACAGGTCTGGCAACAGCCTTCTAAATGATCTCCATAATTCTGCTCCCTAATCCCTACTGCATGGTCTTCCCTGCTCCTCTCCACCTATCCAACTTCTAAATCTGAAACAATAAAATCTTACAAATCCCACCTCTATTCTCATATCCCTTGGAAGTTCTTGTTTAAAGGATCAGTAGAGATTAGCCAGGCCAAGAGAATGCCTGTGTGTGAGACGGGGCGAGGAGGGAGAGAAGAGGGCCAGAGAGCAACAGGGACTGCAGAACAGCACATACAAAGTCGTGATGTGAGAACGTGGCTCACGTATGCAACTACTCGGGACTCAGCAAAACTGGAACCTAGAAGGAAATAAAGCTGGCGAGGATCAGCAAAGCCAGGCCCCCTGTGAAGGAGTTTGGACTTTATCTAGGAGAAAGTGGGGGCCATTGAAGGGTTTTAAGTACACAAGTGTCACAAACAAGTTTGCATTTAAGAAAGATTTCTCTGGCAACAGAGCGGAGAATACATTAGAGGAGAAATACTGGAAGCAGAGAGACCATCTGAGAGGCTGGTACAATTATCCACAGTTGATGACAGCAAGGGGTAAGAAGGAGAGGGGATGTTAACTTCAGCAGCGTTACTCAAAAGTGTTGTCCTTGGGCAAATGCCAACTTCTGGACCAATGTCTGTCCTCCAACTGTTTTTCCTGATCTGTTATGAGATAAAGAACTTGTGCCAGAATGTAAAGTCAAGGCAGGCACTTATTGCTTCATCATAAAAAGTCTTGCTTTAGGGGGGAAAATAAGTCAGTCATACTACACAGTGTGCTTAGTGAAGTATTTGATTTACATTCTGGCCCAAGTCCCTTATCTTTGTGAAACGGTAACAGTCTGCAGACCAGCACTGTAAGTGGCACTGACTCCAAGGACTTTCTGGATTGATGATGATTTGGATCCAAATGAGAAGTTTATAATCATGGTGGGTTCGGTAAATGAGGGAGACAATACATGCTTATAAGAAAAACAAGTAACCCAACTGTGGACAGGGTGATAACCTGAATGAGTGATGCATTATCTCACTCATTCTTTGAGGACTCCAACTGAGAAGCTGGATCCCTGAATGGAATGACCGTAGGTTTTTGCATAAGTCAGAACTGAGTTCAAATCCTAACTTCATGACTTACTGGGTAAACTTATGTTAGTTAGCTGACTTCTCTGAACCTTATTTCCCTGCGTATAAAATGGGAGAAATAATACCTGCCTCACAGCGATGTGAGCTCATGACCTAGCACATGGGAGGTGTTTGTTCACTGTTCCCCAGATGTGGCACATGGTGTGAATTCTTTGAAAAAAAATGTGCTGAATATCATTTTTAAAATAAACAGAAAAGTAATGAGAAGACAGTTTTTAAAAAGTGATACAAACACAGAGTTGGGAGTGTGTAATCAGCTCTTCTGGAATATCAAACTGTAAAAAGATAGTAAAACCGTGCAGCTAAGGTCTGTCTGCAGCCGAGTTGTAAAATCTACTTTTCTTACCCCATCTTCCTCTCACAGACACTTCTTCCTACCTCCATCCTCAGCCTCACATTCTGGGGCCCAGCTTTGAGTCATCTTGACTAAGGATCCATCCTCAGCCTTGGGTCTTGGTCTGGTAACAGGGCTCTGCCTTGGTGCCTGTTTTGGTCCTGTTCATGCTGTTATAGGTATTGTCCCAATACTCCAGGTCCCTCTGCTAGAACACCTGGGCTGCTCTTGCCAATCCCCTCCCAAAGAGATTCCTAAGCTGTCAGGCCTATGGCTATTGCCCTGGTGCCTACTTGCAGACAACTGTGCTTTGAGAACATACCAGAAGCCCACTGCCAGCTTGTATGGATCTCTTTACAATTTGCCTGCTGGATTCTGATGCAATATGCTGTCCCCTCAGGCCCCAAACTTTGCAGTCAGATGGAAACTTTCCCAGAGCCTGAGGAGTCCAGGGGTCCCCCATCCCTCAGTGCCTGCCTTAGCCCTAGTGTCAAATTCAGTTCTATAGCCAAGCTTTTTGCTACATGTACCTGAGACAAGAAAACAAGACAAGCGGAATGTATTTTATGTCTATATAGCAGTTTATAATTTACAAAATTCTTTCACATTATCTCATTTGACCCTCACACCAAACTCACGATACAAAAAATAAGAAATTTCCGTATTTTATAGATAAGTGCAAGTGACTAACTGGGGCGATCAACTGTCCCAGTTTGTCCAGGATTGAGGGAGTTCCCAGACTGCAGGACTTTCAGTGCTAAAACCAGGACAGTCCTGGGCAAACTGGGATGGTCAGTCACCCTAGGTCACATAGCTAGTAAATGACTGAGCTAGGATTTGAACCTAAGGCACCTAGCCTGTACTTATTACACTTATTGAGTTATTGAACTCAATAGTTATTATTGCTAATATTATTTAACAGTTATTGAGTTATTGAGCTCAATAACTGTTAAATGAATGACAGACACCTAGTCTGTCTCCTTTCCACTGTGCCATGTGCTTCTCCTAAACAGCAGTCTCTTCAGACTAATACATAAAGGTGTTGCTTGCCTTCTTTCTTCTTGAAATGCCAATCAGTGGAAAGGAGAAGGGAAACACTGCTTTGCAAGAGAAAAGCATCCTTGCATTAACTCCATGTCAGAATAATCACTGACAGTAATAATTTCAACAAAGGGATTAATTACAGAGTCTGTAATTATCTTAGCAAGAGCTTGAAATCAAAAATGATTGTGATGGGCCACTAACCCAATCAATATATGCACTCTGCCCTGGGATAATCTAAGACTGACTGCATATATGAATATTCAGTACATGTAAATTTTAAATCCTACCATCAGATAAAAACAAAGAGTTGTAAGAGATTTAGTGGTCAGTATACGTCCTTCCATTCAACCTTGACTTCACTGAAACCATCTCAGAAAAGATAACAATTGGTGCTCCTTTTAAAGATGTCCCTCTGAGGCAAGCCCAAGAGCTTCTTCAGGTGCCACTTTCAGCCACCACTGAATGATGAGTACAGCTTAACCTAAGCTTAACCTTTACTTAGCTTAAGCTAGTAAAAGGAGTTCTGGATATCAGAGCTTGTTTACTTTCCCTCTACCAGACTCTCTGTGCAGGACACAACCTCCAGTTTCCTATCCCCTCAAACCCCTGCCAACTCAAGCTCTCCTCTGTCACCCAGGATGCCACTATCCCCCAAGACTATGTCTAGCCTTTCTTTTGACATATTTCCTTAGTTAACTTATATAATCTTCTGGGATAATTTTTTTAAGAGATAGAGTCTTCTCTGTTGCACAGGCTAGAGTGCAGTAGCACAATCATAGTTCATTGCAGCCTCAAACTCTTGGGCTCAAATAATCCTTCCTCTTTCAGCCCCCCGAGTATCTGGGATTACAGGTGCATGCCACCAAGCCCAGCTAATTGTTTTATAGTTTGTAAAGACAAGGTCTAGCTGTTGCCCAAGCTGGTCTGGAAGTCCTGGCCTCAAGCAATCCTCCCACCACAGCTTCCTAAAGCACTGGGATTACAGGTGTGAGCCAACACACCCACATCTTTCGGGATAGTTAATTCCAGAGATTTGTATGCACCCAACATTTAACTTTTTTTTCTTTCTGGATATCCATCATTCATTCAGCAAACATTTAGGAAATGACTATAATGTGTCAGGCACTGTGCTAGGTACTGAGGCTAGTCGCAGAAAAGTTACAGGAGTTCCTAAGGCAGTTAAGGGAATACAGAATAGAAAAGTCATTCCTGGAAAAGAGGACAGCATCACATATACAAGACAATATGCTCAGACAACTACAAAATAAGTTCAAAAAAGCAGGAGGCAGGAAGTCTTTAGGAGTTGGCACCCATGGCCAACTGGATAATTCGGTACTTTTCCAGGAAGTCTTCTCTGGCTAATCTCGAGAGAACCAATAGCTTCTGCCCCTCACCTTGAATAAACATAAGGCATTCAAGACCTCCTGAGGCCATCCTCTCTTATTTTCCAGTTTCCAATTGTTTTCCACTGTGAAAATATCTTAGCTCCTATTTGCATTTTCTTTTCCATCACTCTCTGTATATACCCTATATACTAATCGACATCAATGTTTTCTGCCAGCAACCACTGGGAAGGGTGGAGTAGCCGTCGCTTCCTGAGACCCAGGAAGAAGAGAAAACCATGAGGTTATCATCTCTGTGCTATGATTAAGCTACTGTGTGTTTCCTTCAAAGTCTGGTTAACCTAACTTAACACAACCTCAAATACCTGTCTCTGTGAAGCATGCTCTATCAACTGAAGGAACAGAATCCCTTACACTCCCAAAGATGCTTTCCAATGGCAGAAAGGGAGCTAAGCAGAGGACTGGCTTAATTCAGGCTGTATTAAAAGCAATACCAAGAAAGGGAAGGGAACTGAAAGAAGGCTAGGAAAAACAAGGGAGGAGGAGAAAGTGGCTCTCTAGAAAATGTTCCTGGTTTTCAACACTATTACGGGCATGACAATCATGTGCCTGCTCCACACACAGGCTTAGCTAGAAGTTATTCCCCAAATCCTACCTGCCAAGCCTAAGCTGATTGGAAAAGTGATAGGATCTGATCCAAGCTCTGTCACCCCACGGGCTGGACAATGGCCTGTGAAGCAGCCTCAGCATGATGATACTGATGGCTGTAATAATAGCAGCTATGATGCATTAGGGGTTACGATGTGCATGGTAGATAATTTATCTCATTTAATCCTCGCAACAACTCTATGGGGTACATACTATTATTATCTCCCTTTCACAGATGACAATACATGTTTCAAGAGGTTTCACAAGTCTGCCAATCTTAGAGGATTGAGTCAAACTCTGGTCTGTCTGATTTCAGAACCAAACCCTTCCTCACCTTTCAGTATTGCCTTTCATTCATGTATTTATTTATTTTAAAAAAATTTCTTCTGTACCCGCTATTAACCAAGCCCTGTGGCAAGTGCTGGGGATACAATGGAGGCCAAGACTTAAAAAGACCCTGCCCCCTGGGGCTTATACTGCACAGAGGAGATAGATACACAGTAAGCAAATAACACAAATAAGTACAGGCTGCATTCAGTAGTATGAAGAAGACGAAGAGTTTGTTATGATAGGTATAGGGGAGGCCGGGTGTGGTGGCTCATGCCTGTAATCCCAACACTTTGGGAGGCTGAGGTGGGCAGGTCACTTGAGTTCAAGAGTTTGAGACCAGCCTAAGCAACATAGCGAAACCCTGTCTCTACAAAAAATAAAAAAATAGCTGGGCGTGGCGTTGCATGCCTGTCATCCCTGCTACTCAGGCGGCTAAGGCTCAAGGATCACTTAAGCCCAGGAGGTGGAGGTTGCAGTGAGCCGAGATCGTGCCACTGCACTCCAGCCTGGGTGACAGAGCAAGACTCCGTCTCAAAAGAAAAAGAAAAAAAGAGAAAGAAAGGAGAGGTGTAAGGAGACTTACTTAGATAGGTGGTTAGGGAAGCCCCCTCAAGGAAGGGACATTACACTGAGATCTGAAGGATGTGACAGAGCCAGTTATAAGGTGACCTGAGAAAAAGGCAAGGGAACAAGATGCAGAACAGGCAAATCAAAGAAGAGACAGAGGTCAGTGAGGCTGGGTGTCTAGAGAGCTTGGCAGAGGCTGGATGTCACGGGGCCTTAAAGTCCACCAGAGGAGTTAGAACTGGCTTCCAAGTGCAATGGCAAGCTACGGGATAGAGTAAAGCAGTGGAGAGTGGAGATGGCTGGTTTACTTTTTATTAAAAAGAGAAGGGGCATAATGCAGTAGTTAAGAAGATAGACTCTGGACCGATAATGCCTGCACTCAAATCCCTGACTTGCTGCTTACCAACTCTGTAACTGTGACAACCTCTTCTGTGCCTCAGTTTCCTTATCTTGGAAATACAGACACTAACCAAACCTGCCTCAGAGGGCTGTTGGAATGATTAAATTAATTGCTATTTGAAACCACGTAGAATACTGCTTGGTATCTAGTAATAAACATGCTTACAAAATACATTAATAAACATAATTAATAGATGTCTTTACAAACATAACAACATAAATTTGTTTTGCAGACGTACAGAAATGTAATATCAAAAGCATGCTTTTCTTTCAGTGAAGCCTTTCTGCATTGTTCTTTCTCTTTCTTCCTCTTTCTCCCGCTCCACTACATCAGCAACTGCTCCTCCTTAAGGTAATTTATGTCAGGAACGCCATATGTTTCCGACCACAGAATTCTAAATAGGCAGACATAAGATTTATGTGCATACACATATGTGGCATTCTTTTATCTTTGTTTTGCAAAAGTTAAATTATTATGTACAATTGACCCTTGAACAACTCAGGATCTAGGGACGCCGACCCTCTGCACAGTCAAAAATCCATGTATATCACCACCACTAGAAAAAAGAAAAAGATATTTTGTATGTTATATGGATTATATATGTATTCTTACAATAAAGAAATAAAGAAAAGAAAATGTTATTAAGAAAGTCATAATGAAGATAAATATATTTACTATTCTATTCATTAAGTAGAAGTCAACCATCATAAAGGTCTTCATCCCTCATTGTCTTCATAAGTAGGCTGAGGAGGAGACGAAGATGAGGGGTTGGCCTTGCTGTCTCAGAGGTAGCAGAGGTGGAGAAGGTGGAGGAGGTGGAAGGGGAGGCAGGAGAGGAAGGCACTTCCTTGGTGTAACTTCTATTGAAAAAAATAAAACATGTAAGTGGACCCACACAGTTCAAACCTGTGTTGCTCTAGTGTCAACTGTATATCTTTTTCTCACTCAAACCAGTATAACTCCATTTCATCATTTAAATGAGTGTATTCCGGTCCATGGAGGCAGATGTACCATAATTTATTCAGCTGTCCTCAACCGATGGACATTCATTGGTCCCCACTTCTTTTGCTGTTACTAACACTGTCTCAGTAAACATTATTGTTTAAATGACCTTGCAGTCTAGTGGTTTCACCTCTATGAAGTAGATTTCTAGGAGTGAGTAGATTTTTAGGAGATTGCTAGACTAGATGACATAATTATTATTTTTTAAATAGATATAGATGAAAGATCGCTTGTTTAAAAGACTAATACTGTTTTCATTTCCTGCAGGAAGATATGTGAATGCTCATTTGCCTACATCCTTGCCACAGCAGGTCATTTTTGGATGGGTGCAAACTTATGTTACTTTTTTTATAAAAATGTTTGTATTCAGTGAAAATGTACATGTAGTAAAAATACACAGATTATAAGTATACAGTTTGAGGAGTTTTCACACGTGTTTATACCACGTTATACCATGTCACCAATACCACGATCAAGATATAGATATTTCCAGCACCCCAGATAATCTCCCTTGCAGCCAAACCCCACCCTCTGTAGGCAACCACTGTTTTGATTTCTATCAACGTAGATCAGTTTTGTGTGTAATTAAACCTCCTATAAATAAAGTCATGTAATGTTCTTTTTGGTGTCTGGCTTCTTTTGCTCAACGTAATATTTTTGAGATACATCCATGTTGTTGCACATATCAATAAGTAAACAGTAGATAATCAGGGCTGGGCATGGTGGCTTGCACCTATAATCCCAGCTACTCGAGAGGATCACTTGAGCCCAGGAGTTCGAGGTCAAAATTTAAATAGAACAAAATGTACTATTCCATATGTTCCATTGAGTTTTGACAATTGTATACACCCATTTAACCACCATGCCAAACATTTCCATAATCTCAGGTTCTCTTGGCCCTTCATGGTTAATTTCCATGCCACCTTACTCCATCCACAGTCTGTTCTAGAGCTTTATGCAAATGGAATCATAGAGTATGTACTCTCTATATCTGGTTTCTGTCACTAAACATAATACTTTTTAAAATTCATTTGTGTTGTTTCAGTTAATGGTAGTTCATTCCTTTTTATTACTGATTAGTATTTCATATAGCACAATTTGTTTCTCCATTTTCCTGTTGCTGGACATTGGTGTTGATTCTCATTTTTTAGATTTTCTGTATAAGACTGCCATAAACTTTCTTGTGCAAGTCTTTTTGTTGACATGTATTTTTATTTCTTTTGTATAAATACCTGGGATTATAATTGTTAGATTACAGCCGGATGTATAAATTTGTAAGAAAATGACAAGCAGATTTCCAAATGTAACATTTTGCACTCCTACCACAAATGTATGAGTTTTAGTTGCTCCACATCTTCCTCAACATCTGGTGAGTTATAGGATCTTTTTATATATTCTAGAAATAAGTCCTCATATTCATATATATATTCATATTAATATACATGTACATATAGAGAAAGAGAAAGAGAGAGAATTATGAGTATTTTCTCCTGGTCAGGGCTTGCTCTTCCATTTTCTTATTCACGTCTTTTAACGAAGAGAGGTTTTTCCTTTTATGCAGTGCTTTTTTCCTAAATATTTGTCTGCCCCAAGTTCACAAAGATATGCTTATTTCTATGCTTGCTATGTTTACTTATAGAAGTGTTCTACTTTTAGTTCTACATTTAGGATTTTATTCATCCTGAATTAATGTTTGTGTATGGTATAAGGTAGGAATCAAAGGTAATTTTCTCCACATTTATAGAGTTTTTACAAAATGATTTGGTGAAAACTTTTCTTTCCCAGTTAAAACTGCTGCAGTGTCTTTTATTAAAATTGAATTGAACATATATGTATGCAAATATTGCTGGATTCTCTAGTGTATTGATCCTGTTTGCCTATCCTTATGCCAGCACAATGCCACATTTATTACTGTAGCTGTGTAGTCGGTCTTAAAATCAGATAGTGTATTTGTTTTTTTTATTCTAATGAAGATTTGTTTTGGTTATCCAATATGCATTATGCATTTCCATGTAAATTTTAAAGTAAACATGTCAATTTCTACAAATAAAATCTGTTTTCATTTTGACTGGAATGACATTGAATCTATTAATCAATCTAGGTAGACTTGACATCTTGACAATATTTAGTATTCTGACCCAGTTATTTAAGTCACCTTTAATAGCTCTCAGAAATATGTAGTTTTACTGCAGAGGTTTGGCATATCTTTTGTTAAATTTATTCTCTAGTATTTTATGCTTTTTGGTACTATTGAAAATCTTTCATTTAGCAGGGTAGAAAATTAAAAAAGAAAGAAAAATGAATTTGAGTTGTTCTCTTCTGTATGCTTTCCAATTGTTTGCCGCAAGTATATAGAAATAAAGACAACATTCAAATTGTCCCTGTTTGCAGATGACATGATTGTATATCTAGAAAACCCCATCGTCTCAGCCCAAAATCTCCTTAAGCTGACAAGCAACTTCAGCAAAGTCTCAGGATACAAAATCAATGTGCAAAAATCACAAGCATTCTTATACATCAATAACAGACAAACAGAGAGCCAAATCATGAGTGAACTCTCATTCACAATTGCTTCAAAGAGAATAAAATACCTAGGAATCCAACTTACAAGGGACGTGAAGGACCTCTTGAAGGAGAACTACAAACCACTGCTCAATGAAATAAAAGAGGACACAAACAAATGGAAGAATATTCCATGCTTATGGGTAGGAAGAATCAATTTCGTGAAAATGGCCATACTGCCCAAGGTAATTTATAGATTCAATGCCATCCCCACCAAGCTACCAATGACTTTCTTCACAGAATTGGAAAAAACCACTTTAAAGTTCATATGGAACCAAAAAAGAGCCCGCATCGCCAAGTCAATCCTAAGCCAAAAGAACAAAGCTGGAGGCATCACGCTACCTGATATACTACAAGGCTACAGTAACCAAAACAGCATGGTACTGGTGCCAAAACAGAGATATAGACCAACAGAACAGAACAGAGCCCTCAGAAATAATACCACACATCTACAACCATCTGATCTTTGACAAACCTGACAAAAACAAGAAATGGGGAAAGGGTTCCCTATTTAATAAATGGTGCTGGGAAAACTGGCTAGCTATATGTAGAAAGCTGAAACTGGATCCTTTCCTTACACCTTATATAAAAATTAATTCAAGATGGATTAAAGACTTAAATGTTAGACCTAAAACCATAAACCCCCTAGAAGAAAACCTAGGCAATACCATTCAGGACATAGGCATGAGCAAGGACTTCATGTCTAAAACACCAAAAGCAATGGCAACAAAAGCCAAAATTGACAAATGGGATCTAATTAAACTAAAGAGCTTCTGCACAGCAAAAGAAACTACTATCAGAGTGAACAGGCAAC
The DNA here is from genome assembly GCF_000001405.40 of Homo sapiens. Lineage (NCBI taxonomy): Eukaryota > Metazoa > Chordata > Mammalia > Primates > Hominidae > Homo > Homo sapiens. The sequence continues at coordinate 101,272,998 of NC_000001.11, read as the reverse complement.
CTACAGAATGGGAGAAAATTTTTGCAATCTATTCATCTGACAAAGGGCTAATATCTAGAATCTACAAAGAACTCAAACAAATTTACAAGAAAAAAACAAACAACCCCATCAACAAGTGGGTGAAAGATATGAACAGACACTCCTCAAAAGAAGACATTTATGCAGCCAACAGACACATGAAAAAATGCTCATCATCACTCGCCATCAGAGAAATGCAAATCAAAACCACAATGAGATACCATCTCACACCAGTTAGAATGGCGATCATTAAAAAGTCAGGAAACAACAGGTGCTGGAGAGGATGTGGAGAAATAGGAACACTTTACACTGTTGGTGGGACTGTAAACTAGTTCAACCATTGTGGAAGACAGTGTGGCGATTCCTCAGCGATCTAGAACTAGAAATACCATTTGACCCAGCCATCCCATTACTGGGTATATACCCAAAGGATTATAAATCATGCTGCTGTAAAGACACATGCACACATATGTTTATTGCAGCACTATTCACAATAGCAAAGGCTTGGAACCAACCTAAATGTTCAGCAATGATAGACTGGATTAAGAAAACGTGGCACATATACACCATGGAATACTATGCAGCCATAAAAAATGATGAGTTCATGTCCTTTGTAGGGACATGGATGAAGCTGGAAACCATCATTCTCAGCAAACTATCGCAAGGACAAAAAACCAAACACCACATGTTCTCACTCACAGGTGGGAATTGAACAATGAGAACACTTGGACACATGAAGGGAAACATCACACACTGGGGCCTTTTGTGGGGTAGGGGGGAGGGGGGAGGGATAACATTAGGAGATATACCTAATGTAAATGACGAATTAATGGGTGCAGGACACCAACATGGCACATGTATACACATGTAACAAACCTGCACGTTGTGCACATGTACCCTAGAACTTAAAGTATAATAAAAATATATATATATATATAAAATTTCAAAAAAAGAAATAGGGTTAATTTGTGTATTTTGACCTTGTATCCTACAATCTAACTATTCACATAGACTTTGTAGGTTTTTATAAACAAGTTTTTTTAAGGTAACAAATCATGTTGTCTCCAAGTAAATACAGTTTCATTTCTCCCTTTGCAATCACATGTATTTTATTTCTTTTTCTTGCCATATGTTATTGGCTAGTGTCTCCAGTGCAGTGTAAAATAATAAGTAATAAACACAAACTTTCTTGCATTGTTTCAAGACTTACAGTGAAAGAATTTAATATTTCTTTATTATCATTATTTCTTAAGACAGGATCTTGCTCTGTTGCCCAGGCTGGAGTGTAGTGGCACAGTCATATCTCATTGTAACATCAAACTCCTAGGCTCAAGTGATCCTCCTGCCTCAGCCTCCTGAGTAGCTTGGACTACAGGCATATGTCACCACACTTAGCTAATTTTTGCATTTTTTTGTAGAGATAGGAGTCTCCGCATGTTGCCCAGGCTGGTCTTGAATCCCTGGCCTTAAGGGATCCTCCTGTGTTGGCCTCCCAAAGTGTTGAGTTTACAAGTATTAGCCACTGTGCCCAGTTTACATTCAATATTTCATCAATAAGTATAATGTTAGCTTTGCAGACACCACCACCACCGGGAGCCCAGTACTACCCACCATGGTCAATTCCACTGTGTTCTTTGACATCGCCATCAACAGCCAGTCCTTGGGCCTCATCTTTTTCAAGCTGTTTGCAGACAAATTTCCAAAAACAACGAAAACTTTCATGCTCTGAGCACTGTAGAGAAAGGATTTGGTTATAAGGGTTCCTGCTTTCACAGAATTATTTCAGAGTTTATGTGTCAGGGTGGTGACTTCCCATGCCATAATGGCACTGATGGCAAGTTCATCTACGGGGAGAAATTTGATGATGAGAACTTCATTCTGAAGCATACAGGTCCTGGCATCTTGTCCATAGCAAATGCTAGACCCAACTCAAACGGTTCTCAGTTTTTCATCTGCACTGCCAAGACTGAGTGGTTGGATGGCAAGCATGTGGTCTTTGGCAAGGTGAAAGAAGGCATGAATATTGTGGAGGCCATGGACCGCTCTGGGTCCAGGAATGGCAAGACCAACAAGAAGATTATCATTGCTGACTGTGGGCAACTCTAATAAGCTTGACTTGTGTTTTAACTTAACCACCAGACCAATCCTTCTGTAGCTCAGGAGAGCACCCCTCCACCCCATATGCTTCAGTATCCTATAATCTTTGTACTCTCATTGCAGTTCCCTTTGTGTTCTCTCTTTTCCTTATTCCCTTTCTATGCCTAGCTGGATTGCAGAGTTAAGTTTATAACTATGAAATAAAAACTACATAACAATAAAGAGCATAACATTATCTGTAAGTTTCTCATAGATGCCCTTTATGAAATTAAAGCATTTTCTTTCTATTCTATTCTTCCTTTAGTGAAGGTTTCTAATCATGAATTGATGTTTTATTTTGTCAAATGCTTTTTCTGCATATATTGAATATAACTATCATAGTTTTCTCTTTTTCTCCTTGATGTGTGAGTTTCATTGATTGGTTTGAAGAAGACCTTGAACTAAGCTTGCATTCCTAAGATAAGCTCTACTTGGTAATAATATATTATCCGTTTTAGGCATTGCTCAATTTGATGTACTAATGTTTTGTACAGAATTTTTGCATCTGTGTTCATGAGGAATACTCATCTGTAATTTTTTATTTCTTTGTTTTATTATCTGTTTTTAAAATTTATTTGACAGGCTTTGATGTCAATATAATTCTGGCCTTGTGAAGGAAATTTGGGGCAGTTCCCTTCTCATATATTTTTTAAGAAGTTTGCAGGCTGGGCATGGTGGCTCATGCCTGTAATCCCAGTCTGAGGGAGTCTGAGGCAGGAGGATCACTTGAGTCCGGGAGCTTGAGACCAGCCTGGTCAACACAGGCAGACTGTCCCTACAAAAAAATTTGAAAATTAGCCAGACATGGTGGCATGCACCTGTAGTCCCAGCTACTCAAGAGGCTGAGGTGGAAGGATTCCTTGAGCCCAGGAGTTTGAGGGTGCAGCGAGCTATGATTGTGCCACTGCACTCCAGCCTGGGCAACAAAGCAATAACCTGTCTCAAAAGAAAGAAAAAAGTTTGTGTTAGATTTGTATTATTTCAGCTGGGCATGGTGGCTCACACCTATAATACCAGCACTTTGGGAGGCTGAGGTGGGAGGATCACTTGAGATCATGAGTTTGAGACCAGCCTGAGGAACATAGTGAGACCCTGTCTATACAAAATATTTTTTAAGGCTGGGTGTGGTGGCTTACACCTGTAATCCCAGCACTTTGGGAGGCCAAGGCAGGTGATCACTTGAGGCCAGGAGTTCAAGACCAGCCTGGCCAACATGGCAAAACCCCATATCTACAAATACAAAAATACACACAAAAAAATTAGTGAGGCATGGTGGTGCACATGTGTAATCTCAACTACTTGGGAGGCTGAGGCATGAGAATTGCTTGAACCCGGTAGGCGGGGTTGAAGTGAGCCGAGATCTCACCACTGCATCCCAACCTGGGCAACAGAGCAAGACTCTGTCTCCAAAATAATAATAATAATAATTTTTAAAAAGTTAGCATGGTGTGGTAGCACACGTCTATAGTACCAGGTACTTAGGAGGCTGAGACGGGGGATCCCTTAAGCTCAGGAGTTTGAGGCTGCAGTGAGCTATGATCAGTGCCACTGCACTCCAGCCTGGGCAACAGAGTGAGAAGTCATCTCCACTAAAAAAAAAAAAAAAAAAAAAAAAAATTTATACTATTTCTACCTTAAATATTTGATAGAATTCATCATTGAAACTATCTGGGTCTATGAGATCAGCTACTTCTGGATGATGCGGTATGAGAGAAAAAAACATATTCATGGGCTCACTCCTGTGCCTCCTTCTTTGAAGTGGGTTCCCTGCTCAAATGCTGTGTTTGTGAGAGTCCAGGCCTAGATGTCAGTAATTCTGTAAGCCCCCTAGAGAGTGGTACTAGCTGAGATTTTGCATTCCTGGAACCAGTATTTATCTCTGTGAGAATGAAATTCTGACCGTTCCAGAATTTAATAGTTGATTTGGTGGCAAATCAACTACTTGGATAGAAGGGGCCCAAAGTAGCTGACTTGCCACCAAGTTACGGGTTGTCTTCCTGGAGGATCAGTGCCATATATTGCCATATTAGTGGTAGGCACATTGGTCTACGCCACTGAAAGTTTGAATATTCAAAAGAGGCAATAGCTATATCGAACCTGGTAAAAAGTCCATGCTGTTGACCTATACGTAGCTTCCATATCTGCCACTATAGCATTTCTTGTGCTGGTTGCAGGGTGGCCAATGACAAAGACTAGCTAACATCAACTGTCCAAATAATGTTAAATAATTGGTTGCTCAGTGCCTCTTTGCTGGTGGATGTGTGCAAGTGAGGGTTAACGTGTGATACAAAAATCTTTACACTTTATGCCCACTTTCATATTTCCTCTGCCTCCATATATCTACCTGAGACTTCCTTGTCTTCAGTCTTCTAGTCCTTTTCCTTCCAGCCCCCTTAACAGACAGTTAGGCCATTTTCCACTATCTAGGATTTTTCATATATTTTTGTTTCAGGCGACTTCTTTCACAAAAAGTGGATGACTCAGTATACTTACAACAGGTCTGCCCATTGGAAATTTCACTCTCCACTTTCAAGGCCAACTCGGATTGTACCTATAATACAGTCACTGTTTATAGTCAGCTTGCACACACATACTGAGACCAATCATTGACAAACCAAGATCATGCTTTTTCCTCCTCTATCAGCTGGTCGTATGAGACCCCTTATGTGGCCATAGGTGTAAGCTGGGAAATAAACACTTGTGCAACTACGGAGAGTGATGTACTGTATACTCATGCCCTCTGGTCATACTTGGGCTTAACCTCGGAAAAACTATTATGATGAACAGCAGCTGGGCCTGCTCTAATTTGTGATTTGGTAAGTCCCACCTCTGACATTTCCAGCAAATTTGGGGTCAGTCATGGGCCCGAATGACAGAACTGCTTGCACCACAGCCTTGCTTTAGTGGACAGCTTTTTCCTGCTCTGGGCCTCACTCAAAGCTAGTGGTACTTCTAGGTGTATAGTGTGTTATCTTATACACCCACAAATGAAAGATGCCTGTCACACACTGAGCTTCCTTCTTTGTGATAAGGGATGCAAGATGTGCCTCTTAATTTGAAGGGGATAGTCCAATGTTCCCCAGACTACTAGATCCATACAAACTACATCAAAGTGAGAGGTCAATAAATCTTCATAGTGTTTATCTTGCAAGTGTCTTATGAAGTCTTCTAGAGTATTATCCAGTCGGCATAATGTCATTGATGGAATGAATCAATATGACTTGTAGCGAAATTTCAAGAAGATCCAAATATCTTCAGATTATATTGTGGTAAAAGGAAGAGGGTCAGCATAGCCCTGGATCAAAGCTGCAGTTGAATATTACTCACATCACATGAATGCAAATTATCTCTAATCTTCTTTCTAATTGGAATAGAAAAGAATCCATTTCCCAAATCAATGACCACACACCACGTACCTGAAATCTCATTAACCTATTTTATCTCATTTATCTAGCAATAAAACCACATCCAGCACAGTAGCTACAACTGGGGCTATCACTTGTTTGAGCTGTGGTTTTCTGCTGTTATTCTCCAGAATCACCCAGTTTCTGCAGGATCCAGACTGGTGCTGCTAAATGAGGATATGAGAGTGAGTAGTGACCACCATCCCTGCATTTTTAGATCTTTAATAGTAGCATTAATCTCTGCTATTCCTCTACTCCAGGGTGCAATTTTTCTCCATTTGCTGCCTTGGCTGGGGGAAGGGGTGTATGGACGGTTTCAAGAGGTTTCCACTTGGCCTTCTCCACTATGATATGGCCTTCCCCACAGGTCAATGATACAAAGTGGGGTTCCTCTGACTGCCAGTATGTCAATCCTAGTTATGCACTTAGAGATTTGAGAAAGGATCACTGGGGGTGTCTATGGACCCACCGTAGCTAGAATTTACACAGGCATTTATTTGTTACCTGGCCTCATCAAACTCCAATCTCACGGGGGCAGAAGGAGGACCATGATGACACTGTGTCTCTGGAGATGAATCAAATTAGACAATGTGTCCTTTTTTTGGGGCAGGGACTTCTGAATTAAGATGATCCTTCAGTGCTATCCCAAGTTGAGGTGAGAGAGTGGTGCCTTTGTACCCCTACTGGATCAGTCATTAGGTGTTAGCTGCCCTGAAGAGGCCTTATCTCTGAATATGTTTGCCCAAGATTCCCAGCACCATAGCTATTAACTCCTTGTTCCTGAAGGGACATTTGGGCAATGGATCACAGTATCTACTACAGGAATGTCCTTAGAAACAATGTCTGTAAGAGAGTAAAAAAGCATGATTGGGCGGAGGGAGAAGTTGAAGTGTGATGCAGTTGTAACAGAGTCCTCAGCAAATCCAGGGAGCTCTGGAACTGGCATGACCCTTCAGAGTTGTCCTGAACTCTTGTACTCTTTGTACCAGAGTTTGTACTCTTGCTTCAACCAGCATTGAATGCAGGCTGCCCATCAAAAAGGGATATAAAGCCGGTTGCCGTGGCTCATGCCTGTAATCCCAGAACATCAGGAGGCTGAAGAGAGCAGAGATCATTTAAGGCCAGGAGTTCGAGACCAGCCTGGCCAACATGGTGAAACCCCATCTCTACTAAAAATACAAAAATAATCTGGGCATGGTGACACATGCCTGTAGTCCCAGCTACTCAAAAGGCTGAGGCACCAGAATCAGTCGAACCCTGGAGGCAGAGTTTGCACAGAGCTGAGATGGCACCGCTGCACTCCAGCCTGGGTGACCCTGTCTAAAAAAGAGTGAGACCCTGTTTAAAAAAAAAAAAAAAAGGAAAGAAAGAGAGAAGTAGAAAAAGAAAAAGGGATATATAATCTTAAACCGAGGACAATGCTCAAGGAGGGAATCCTTGTGAGCTGCCAACAGTCAATACTCTCAACAGTTGGGAAAATGAATGCCTTAGTCTTAGAGGGAGTCTCTGGGTGGTGTACCACAATCTCCATAACAGGAATCAGCAGCATATAGACACTAACTCATGCCATGAATACGGATGAGATCATTAGGGAGAAAATATGGAGAGTAAAGAGAAGAGCATCCAGAACCTAGCCCTAAATCAAACCAAACCAGTAGAAGTCAGTTAGAGGACAGCTGGCAAAAAGAGATGGAGAAAGAGCAATCAGCATGCTAGGAGAAAATCCAGGAGAACAAAGTGTAACTGAAGTCAGAAAAGATAGAATTATCTACCAAGTGGAATAATACTGAAGGGCTAACAAATAAAAGACAAAAAACATGTCCATTGTTTTGTCAATATGAAGTCCACTGGTAATTTTGAGCAAAAATTATTTTAGCAAATGCAATACACAGAAGCCAGATTACAGTGTGTTGAAGGATGAAATGGAGTTCAGGCAGTGAAGACAGCATACATATTTATACAACTTTTTTAGTTTTACTGTACAAGGGAACATAAAAATGGGGGGAGGTGGTAGCTGAAGGGAAATAAGGGTTTACAGAGGATTCTAGGTCTTTTTGTTTATTTATGCTTGCTTCTTAATTTGGTATCTATTAGAGTGTGTTTGTAGTTGGGGAAAGAGACGAATGATGGTGGAGAAAAAATAAGAGAAGAAATAGGGACAATATTTGGTTGATAGAACAACTCAGTCCCAGGACAGAATTGGAGAGGATAGCCTTTGGTAAGCACAAAACTATGACAAAAGAAGATGGGGAGAGATGCAGGCAAGATTGTTGATTTGATGGTGGAGAATGAAGAAATTCCCAACTGATGCCTTTTATTTTCTCAAAGAAATATAGTAGTCTTGGGTAGGCTCTGTTTTATGCATTGCAGATCTGTCTCCATCCTAAACTATGATGGCTCAAGGCTCTGGTTCTCATCATTACACAGGAAGAGAGAAACAAGGTGTGGCTCTGAAGAGCTGACAGCCACTTGGCACATGTCACTTCAGTTTTTTGCCTTCTTTCTTTTTACTTCCATTTACAGTCATGTGTGCCAGCTTTCAGACTGGTAAACAAAGGGTGGGGCTGAAGGTCAAAAGGTGATGAGATCTCAATCTGAACTTACTGGCGTGATCAGCTGTGCTTCCTCATTATAATCAGGAAATCCTGGAATGACCCATCCAGCAAGAGCGCATCTGGAGAGAGGGGGCAGGGTGTATGGTAAGGAAGGGAGGGGCTCATCTCCCTTTTCTAGGCTCAAAATGGATGGTCATTTCTTTCATTCATATCTGTGCATATATTCCTATAAATACATGCACATTCAATCTCTGCAATATTTTGTTTGCCCTTTAAGGCTCTGTTGTTTTTATGATCTCCTTCCCCACTAGAGGAGATTTCACTGAATTTATAGATGAGGTCTGTTGATTTACAGATAGAGCAAAGATAGTCAATATTCTGTCTTATGTCATAAAAGCATACAGATATTAGTGGTAAAACAAAGAAAATAAAGCAAAATATATTTCTTTTTTGTTTTCTGTTTGTTTCTTGAGAAAGGGTCTTGCTCTGTCACCCAGGCTGGAGTACAATGGTGTGAACATGGCTTACTGCAGCCTAGGCTTCCTACGCTCAAGACAGCCTCCTGCCTCAGCCTCCTATGTACCTGGGACTACCATTCAGGCTAATTTTTTTCTTTTTTATCTTTTTTTTTTTAATTAGAGACACGATCTTACTGTGTTGCCCAGGCTGGTATTGAACCCCTGGCCTCAAGTAATTCTCTTGCATTGGCCTCCTAAAGTGCTGGGATTATAGGTGTGAACCACAGTACCCAGACACAAGATACATTTCTTGACATGAAAAAATATTCCCAATATATTGCTCAGCAAGGAAAGTAGATTTTTTAAGTGGATATAGGCTGGGTGTGGTGGTTTACACCTGTAATCCCAACACTTTAGGAGGCTGAGGGGGGAGGATAGCTTGAGGCTAGGAGTTTGTGACCAGCCTGGGTAACATAGCAAGATCCCTTCTCTACAAAAAATTTAAAAAGTATTCAGTCTTGGTGGCATGCACCTGTAGCCCCAGCTACTCAGGAGACTGAGGCAGGAAGATCATTTGAACCCAGGAGTTCAAGATTGCTATGAGCTATGATTGTGCCACCACACTCCAGCCTGGGCAACAGAGAGAGACCCTGCCTCTCAAAAAAAAAAAAACAAAAGAGGGCCTGGCACGGTGGCCCACACCTGTAATCCCAGCACTTTGGGAGGCCAAGGTGAGTGGATCACTTGAGGTCAGGAGATCAAGAACATCCTGGCCAACATGGTGAAACCTCTCTCTACTAAAAATACAAAAATTAGCTGGGTGTGGTGGCGCACACCTGTAGTCCCAGCTACTTGGGAGGCTGAGGCAGGAGAATCGCTTGAACCTGGGAGGCGGAGGTTTCAGTGAGCTGAGATCACACCACTGCACTCCAGCCTGGCAACAGATCGAGATTCTGTCTCAAAACAAACAAACAAACAAACAAAAACAGATATACATATATATACAAATATACACTTTTAAATGGCTAACATCTCTTAAGTGATTATTATGTGCCAGTTATAATGTTAACTCTGGATATTGAAAATGAAGGTTACATTTTTTAGATTTTAGCAGTAGTTATTCATTTTTCTATATGCATTGCTTATGTAAATAAAAGTTAATTTTAGAGCCAATATCAGGTTGCTGGTAGACTTTGCCATTTACATGCAGATTCCATGGTTCCTCCTCCCCATTTGCAGCCTATAATTGTATCAGACATGAGGTTTGGGAGTTCTTTGCTCTAGCCTGACTGAAGCTTTTCTCTGCTCTTTAACACTTGCCATGGTTTTGGGGCTAAGTTTGGAATGCCCTGTAGAAGCTGATAATTTCCTGAGCTCCGTAATTTGCTAACAACAAATTTCATGTGTTCAGCAACATTAGCTTAATCTAATTCCTGTTCTCTTCTAAAAGAAGCTCCCGGGCTTCAGAGAGCATATGCATGGCTTCCCATTACTTCAGGGTTTGTGGCTTTGACCTCAGAAGTCTCTTAACTGCTTGAATGCCAGAAGCAGTTCCATCCTGTGACTGCTTGCTGTCAGAAAGAAGGCAATAAATGCCTCCTCCACACTCTTAATGGTCTCGTTTTCCACTCTACAACGTCTCTGTGTACAAGAAATAAAACTTCACCTTTTCTCTCTTATCAAGTCTGAGCCCAAGAGAGATTGTAAAAGTGTGCTCAGAGGAACCAAGTATGTTTTCACAACTTGTCTATCTTATTCCAATCAGGAAGTTACCCGACAACCGAATAACTGCTTTTTTTTTTTAACCCTACCCTTTGTCTTCTATAAACTGAGTTTCTTCTTAGGGAGTTAGCCTGCCTGCTAAACTCTGAAAACCATATGATTCGTTTTTAAGCCTGCTGACAATAACAGGCATATTGTTAAAATTGTTGGAAATCTTTGTCCTGATTTCCCTCTCTTGAAGTTGAAAATGATCTGAATGTTGGCATCCCACAGTTCCTATTAAACCTCCCTGTTTCCTTTGGAGATCACAGCTGAAGGAAGAGGGCTGGCAACACATCCCTAAAGGTGATGTTTTAAAAAGAGTAATCCAGGTGAACAAAAAAGGGACAGAAACCCACTATTATCATGTTTCCTGATTCGTCAAGGAGGCTTTCTGACTACCCTATTGGCTGATCTTTTGGATATTGTGCTATTTCGCCATAGTTTCCTAGGGAGTATTTTCCTGAACAACTAGTTACGCTTGTTTTACGTAACAGGAAAAGAATACTCTTTTTAATTCTAAACTTTTTTTTAATAATTCTAAACTTTTCTTTCTGAAAGCTACTTAAACTCTTAAAATAAGACCCTAATTTGAATTAAAAAGAAAAAAAAGTAAAAGTACAAGAAGACTCAATCAGAAACTAAATTGTTGTCTTTTATTTCCTAGCTTTTTTATCTGCTCCGCATCCCTGTTCCTGATTACTGATTTTCCCTGCAGTTATTTGGATCCAATTACCTCCACCAGTTAGTTGATTTTCCTCTATTTTAATCCAAAGGGCCATTATTGACCAAGGGCAGGGCTGGACCTCAGGAATGGGAGGCACAATGGTTAAAGCTAGGCCTTGATCACAACTAGAAAAATGACTCAGAATGCACGTCCTTTTCCAAGTGGGTTGGTGACCGCTTCTTTGTCTACAAAGGTCGGCATATTCACTGCATTCTTTTTCCTTTTCTCTTTTTTTTTCTTTTTCTAGGCAACTGTGGCAGGGGGAAATGGTATTTCTTCCAAAGAGTATAAAGCAGAATACTTGGGGAAAGGACCAGAAGCAGATTTGCCTGGACATCTCACTTTTCTGCTTGGTGGATCTTGAGAGTGAATAGTCTCAGCCACCATCTGAGATCTGTGCACCACCGCCTGTCACCTCAGGCTGATATCGTGATTGCTTTAAACGCTTAAGGATCACCTGCACACGTTGTTCTTCATGGGACCCATGAGTCAAATGACATGTACAGAGATACAGAGGCTATGTGAGTCAAGGATATCCCTATGTTTATACAAACAATTTCTTAAAATTTAACAGTTAATAAATATGACATATAGAAATTGATTATTATTAATACCTTATGCCCATCAATAGCTGCAGTATTGCACACTAATCAAATGGATTAGCAAGGATCATTTCTTCAAAGTGCCTCTGATATCACCAGTGAAAAGTTTCCTGAAAGTCACAGCAGCACAAGGGCAAAAAAAAAAAAAAAAAAAAAAAAAAAAACTCTATTTCAAAATGATAGAAACTCTAGGAACTAACATTGTTCTCTTTTAAGATAAAAGGATGTATCCCCATCCTCTGAAACAGGAACCTGTGAAATCTTTCTTTATTATGAGATAGGAAGCTCTAAAAGAATCCTCTTCATTTTCCCTTAGAGACAAACCAATCAAGGAAATCACAAGGAAGAAGGATATGTCAGTGTGAGATGAAAGAGATTAAATAAGCTTTAGTTTAGTTTATATAATTCTTTGAAGACACTCCTTCTTTTATTCCTTTCTCCTCTCTAATTCTTAAAATGCCAGCCCCATAACCACTCTGAATCATCATTTTAATCTGAGAGAAAGTTCACTTTGATTCCAGAGGATGCTGAGGAGTACTTCATATCAAATACCTATACATTCTTTAGGGAGAATTCATCTCTCTACATTCTCGAAGATACCCCCCACCATACACACACAGGAAAACACACATACATGTTCATGCCCACACACTCAGTCACTCACATTTTTTTTTCTTTAGTGAGTGCTTAATCAGGTTTTTCCTTGACCCACCCATTATCATTTAGCAAAACCTCAGAGAATAAAAAAAAAACAGCAGGGCTCTGTACACCACCTCCAAATGCCACAATGGCACAACTGTGACTGATGAATGAATTGTCCATCCTTGCACAGAAGTTGAAAGCAAACTCCAAAGAATCCTAGTTGTGATGGCCAGGATTTTAGAGATTAGAATTCCAGTACATTTTATTTTCGGTAACCTAATGGGGCAGAGCACTATGAGCAAGAATGCACAAAACAAAGCCAGAGACAGAGAAAAAATATGAACAAGAAAAGGGAGAAAATAAGGATAGATGGTAGCAGATGCTTTAAAATGGAAAATTAAATATGATATTTTAAATTAAGAATAATCTAAACAGAACAGGGGAAAATAATTTAGCCTGCAAGAACAAAACAGAGGCCAGGCATAGCTCATGCCTGTAATCCCAGTGCTTTGGGAGGCTGATGCTGGAGGATCACTGGAGCCAGGAGTTTGAGACCTGCCTAGCCAACACAGCAAGACTCTGTCTCTCAAAAGACATTTTTAAAACTCAAGAATGGAGGAGGAAGTGGTGAAATTAGCCTAGGGGGAAAAAAAAGAAGCTGGAACCAAAATAATATGGAGACCTTCACTGTTAGCAATTTTAAGTGGTTAAAATCTGTATTTTTTTTTCCATTTCCTGGCATGTAAAGTTCTCTTTACCAACACCAAGATCAAAATAAGTAGTCATCAGACCATTAGTCAGCACTTCTAATAGAATTGCATCAAGCATTAATCATCTCTGAAAAGGAGTTCCCCATTCTTCCCTTCAAAGTGATAGCTTTTAGACCAGTCATCATAAACTAAGTTTTGAATTTCATGTTCAAGGTTATTATAGGATAATTCAATTTACATAAAATCTTTACTCAAAAACCTACATTTCTGTTCATAATGATTTTCTTTTGTGGAATGGTCTTTAGGGCCAATGAAACCTAGATTCAAGTCCCTGTTCTGCCAATTACTAGTTCTGTATCCTTGAACACAGTTTTTAAAAACTTCCTTGAGCCTCGGTTTCTTGCTACACACAATGGTGATTCTAAGGATTAAATGAAAGAGGCAATATAAAAGGACCTTTCTCATCACTAGTATATAACAGGTGTTCAATAAATTACAGCAATGATTATCATCATAGTAAAGAATCAATATTCACATATATAATAAATGGATGAAAGAGAAAATCCTGGAAAAAGAGCTAAAGCCACAGGGGACTGTAAATGTACATATACGAACAAAGAGGAGGTGATGATGTATGTTTTCGTGTGTATGCGTATGCCTGTATGTGTGTCCAGTGTGGGAGCAAACTGCAAGTGCAGGATAAAGAAAGAGAGAGAGAGATCTGACAGCAAAGATGGAGAAGAGGATAAGGAAAAATAAGAGGAAGGGAGAACCTTTTAGAGAAAGCGAAGGGCACATTGGGATCAAGAGGAAAGGTTTGACTTAAAGGTCTGCAACCACTGTCAATTCCAAATCAACAGACAGACAGACAAGTTCCAGGGCCGCCAACACCTGGGTGCAGTCCAGTCACCTGGATAGTCAGAGAACCATAAAGCTAATAAACAATGAGTTCCTTAAGGCACCAGCCATGCTTCTGTAACAAGTAAAATTTTGAATATTAAAATGCATTTTTTTTGCCTCCTTGAGTAGAAACCTTCACATTAGTCTGCCCTAGCCAATGACTTGCCCAGATGGAGAGTCTGAATTTATTATAGAAGAAGAACAAGAGAATGAGTAACATTCTGCTTCTGTCTTTCAGAAAGTAGGTTTATACAAGCCTCTTGAAAAGGGATTTGCTGAACTCCCTTGTGAGGCATTAGTATTTTAACAACCAAGCATGGAGATTTCAGATCAATGTGGTTTAAAAACAAAAATAAAAAGAAGGTAACCTGCTTGTCATTAAGATTAAGCTAGGAAGAGTCAGGAAGAAGATAGAATAGAAAGAAAGAAAGAAAGAAAGAAAAAGAAAGAAAGAAAGAAAGAAAGAAAGAAAGAAAGAAAGAAAGAAAGAAAGAAAGAAAGAAAGACAGACAGACTAGCCCTTTGTTAGTGTGGAGAACTGTGGAAAGCAGAGAGAGAGGGAAATGAACTGGTGAAGGTTGTCCTAATCTCCCCTCCCCCAGCTCTTCTGAGTTTGGCCCAGGTAGGGAAAGGGGCACAAGGGAAGCAAAGTTAACTCCAAAGGCAGAGTGGGGGCCACTATTAAAAAGACTCCTCATGAACTCAAAAGAGGGGGCTCTGTGTGTGGCATGCTCCCATACAAACCTAGGGACCAAGCCCACCCCTAGGTAGGTCAGACATGGTCAGTCAGAGCGAGGTAGAGAGGACTCAGAAAGAGCAAGCCTCTCTGCTTATCAGAGGCAGGTAAAGCCAGGGCTGGATGAAAGGCCAACCAAACTTCAAAGGGATCTCTAGCACCAGGGGAAACTGAAATGAGGGCAGGTCAGCCAGAGCACACAACAGGACTTTAACCAGACCCAGTGAGACCAACCACAGGTCACACCCACTCAAGCAATCACCCCAGGGCAAGCAGTACCAAATGAGAAGGAGATAATTGGCTGGAGGAGAGCCAAGGCAAGCAGGGAACTGTGGCTGAGGACACCACCTCCTCCCCACCAACATGAGGTTGCATAGACCTCAGCCCTTCCCCAGGACTCTAGGCAAGCAGAAGAGGAAGAGCCTGAGAGCCTCAGTAATTTTTTTTTTTTTTTTCAGACAGAGTTTCACTTTGCCACCCAGGTTGGAGTGCAGTGGTACAATCTAGGTTCACTGCAACCTCGACCTCCCGGATTCAAGCTATCCTCCTGCCTCAGTCCCCACAAGTAGCTGGGACTACAAGTTCACACCACCACTCCCAGCTCATTTTTGTGTTTTTTGTAGTGATGGAGTTTTGCCATGCTGCCCAGGCTGGTCTCCAATTCCTGAGCTCAAGCCATCTGCCCATCTTGGCCTCCCAGAGTGCTGGGATTTCAGGCATGAGCCACCATGCCTGGCCTAGCCTCAGCTTTTTTTTGTTTTTGTATTGTTTGGTTTTAGCCTCACCATTTTTATCCAAAGGAGGCAGAACAAGCATTCAAATGGATTAAATTACTGACTGGGACTACATTTTAAACCAGTCATTTAGTTAACGTTATTCCCCCTTCTAACTAGAACGTAAATGTCTGTGAGGGAAGACGGAATAGGATAGACTAAATAAATTCATTTTTCTGCACATCCAAGTTGCAATGTAGGTCAAATTTTGCAATTTCATCATACATTCTTTTTTTGATCTCATGCAAAAAGAGAATCTGAGCACAAAACATAGTTGTTGACTAGCAGAACTTCCAACGGAATGAATTCTTTGAAAAAGCAGGAATATTCATCTAATGCGGCCTGGCTTTAGTGGGGAGGGTCAGTGTAAAGTAGGAAAAAGAAGAGAGGGAACTGATCGTGGCAAGGGTTTTGTCTATTTTGCTCACTGCTCTAATGGCAGTACATGGAGCATAGTAGATGCTTCATAAATATGCGTTAAATGAATGAGTAAATGAACATTTGTTGACTATCATCTATCTTGGGCCAGACATTAAAAAATATAATTCTATTTATTTATTTATTTATTGAGACAGAGTCTCACTCTGTCACCCAGGCTGGAGTGCAGTGGTGCGATCTCAGCAAACTGCAACCTCCACCTCCCAGGTTCAAGCAATTCTCCTGCCTCAGCCTCCCAAGTAGCTGGGACTACAGGCGCATGCCACCATACCCGGCTAATTTTTTGGTTTTTTTTTAGTAGAGATGGGGTTTCACCGTGTTAGCCAGGATGGTCTCGATCTCCTGACCTCATGAGTCGCCTGCCTAGGCCTCCCAAAGTGCTGGGATTACAGGCATGAGCCACTGCACCTGGCCAAATATAATCCTATTTAAATCACACAACAGTCTTTGAAGTTAGTTATTATCATTATTTTATTTTTTTAACAACTTGTAATCAATTTATTAAAATGGCTTACTTAAGCATCTGCAATGGTGCCTTCCACCTCAACTCCTGGCTCAATACTGATGGAAGTAACCTGCTTAACAATCTCAGAAGGACTGTGCCAGTCAATAAGTCGCTTGTGGATTCTCATCCCGAAACAATCCCATGTCTTAGAACATTCACAAGGGGTTTTTCTTGTAGTGATTCTCAAAGTCTTGGTAGGCATTCGAACTGGTCCTTTCACTTTGAGATTCTTTTCCTTTGCTCCTCTGATCAAGTCAGCACACACCTTCTCCAGGGATTTTACTTTGCGGCTTGTTACAGTGATTCGAATTCGGTGAATTGCCACCTCTGGCTCCACGAGTGTGTTTCCGGAATTCTTTTTTTTTTTTTTTTTTTTTTTTTGAGATGGAGTCTCGCTCTGTCCCCCAGGCTGGAATGCAGTGGCGTGATCTCGGCTCACTGCGAGCTCCGCCCCCCGGGTTCACGCCATTCTCCTGCCTCAGCCTCCTGCGTAGCTGGGACTACAAGAACCTGCCACACCATGCCCGGCTAATTTTTTTTTTTTTTTTTTTTTTTTTTTTTTTTTTTTTTTTAGTAGAGACGGGGTTTCACCGTGTTAGCCAGGATGGTCTCGATCTCCTGACCTTGTGATCCGTCCACCTCGGCCTCCCAAAGTGCCCGGTATTCTTAAAAGCCATGGCTGCTGCGCGGCTTCCTGACCAACTGTTCCTCACAAGAGCGAACAGTGGTGAGTCAGGAGCAGGAGCTGGCAGATCAGCGATTCTTTTTTTTTTTTTTTTTTTGAGACTGAGTCTCACTCTATCACCCAGGCTGGAGTGCAGTGGCGTGATCACGGCTCACTGCAACCTCTGCCTCCCAGGTTCAAGCTATTCTCCTGCCTCAGCCTCCCAAATAGCTGGGATTACAGGCATATGCCACCACACCCGACTAATTTTTTGTATTTTTAGTAGAGACAGAGTTTCACCATGTTGGCCAGGCTGGTCTCGAACTCCTGACCTTAAGGGATCTGCCCGCCTCGGCCTCCCAAAGTGCTAGGATTACAGGTGTGAGCCACCAAGCCAGCCTATCACTATTTTACAAAGAAATGAACTGCATTTCAGCTAGGTTGAATAACTTCTCCAGGGCCACATACCTAGTGTGCGGTAGAGACAGAATTCAAACACAGGCCAAACTGACTACTCTGACTTAATATATTTCCTCGTATGCAGGGAAAAATCTTCATATACTAGAAATTCCATTGATATTTCTCCATTCTGCTTTATATTACAAGAAAGATCCTGATGTTCGTTGGGTGACCAGAGTCCCACTGCAAAAACGATTCTTCCTGGCTGGGTGCTGTGGCTCACACTTGTAATCCTAGCACTTTGGGAGACAGGCAGATCATTTGAGCTCAAAATTTCAAGACCAGCATGGACAACATGGCAAGACCACATCGCTACAAAAAAAAAAAAAAAATTAGCGGGGCATGGTGGTGCCCACTAAGCCCCAGCTACCTGGGAGACTGAGATGGGAAGATCGCTTCAGCCCAGGAGGCAGAGTTGCAGTGAGCCAAGATCACACTACTGCACTCCAGCCTGGGTGACAGAGCCAGACCCGGTCTCAAAAACAACAACAACAACAACAACAACAACAACAACAACAAAAAACTCCATGATTCTTCTTGTGCATCACACCACGAAGGCAGCACTGATATTACAGCATTTGTTATATATCTATGTGGAAATGCTAATAATTTTCTGGCTAGAAAGAAATCACAGGAAAGTAGAAAGAAGTGTGTAGGAGACCACAGTGCAATCCCAGAAAAAGGAAAAGAAATTTTTAAAAGGGAAATTGTAACCCTAATCTGGACTTTAGCTGAAATAAGCATTTTTAATGTCAAAAGAGCCCTTGAGCTTGGTGTAATCAAAATAAACAACAACATGGGCCAAATTGCGCAAAATAAGTTCTTTCTTGGGTTTCCAGTGACGTTACCGACCACACAAAACTCCACCGTCTACTGAAATTATAGCCTGTGATTTTATCCTCTGGTGGGTTGTATTTGGTCAAACACCACCATTTTCATTAACATTTGCTACGCCCTTCTGCTTGGATCTGCCACTCCCCCTAAATTCAACAGACATTCACACTGCTGCAGAAGCAAAATCATTGTAATTTCAAAGACTTGCATTCCATTTATCTCAGTTTATAAAAGTTAGCAAGGGCCAGTAGCCTAAGGGTCTAAAGACAATCTGGCTGGATCTAGGAGAAATAAATCTGGAGACGTAAGAATACAATAAAACCAGCAACACAAACCTTTCACTTTTCAACATTGCCTTACTAGCACAACTATGATTTCAAACTAGACAAGGACAAGAGAAACGAGTAGGAGTCAAGAGCGAGTCACTTATCTCTGAAATGAGACAGTTGGGCAGGTTAATCTCTAAGGTTCCTTCCAACTCAGTGAGTCTATGATCATAAATCTGGGGAAGCCTGAGGAAGTTTTCCAGGCTTTACTGTGTAATGGAAAAGCAAAGCCAACTTCACTGGTGACTCGTTATGTGGGGAATTCGTTAACCTCCCATTTGCCTCAGATGCGCTGCATCCTCTGGGCACTGATAGTAATACACACTTCACAGTATTGTTGTGTATAGCTAATTGAAAAGGACGAAAGTCAGACTTGCCAATACATTTATAAGCTTTTATATATACATATAATCTTTTATATATATAAGCTTTTTTAAAATATATTTATATATATATTTATATATATAGTTATATATATTTATATATATATTTATATATAGTTATATATATTTATATATATAGTTATATATATTTATATATATATTTATATATATAGTTATATATATTTATATATATAGTTATATATATAGTTATATATATTTATATATATATTTATATATAGTTATATATATTTATATATAGTTATATATATTTATATTTATCTATATTTATAGATATTATATATATTTATATTTATCTATATTTATAGATATTATATATATTTATATTTATATATATTTATAGATATTATATATATTTATATATATTTATAGATATTTATATATTTATATAATTATTATTTTATTATATATTATATTAATAAATTTATATAAATAATACAATAAATATATTATATATATTTATTATTTATTATATATTTATTTATATAATAAATAAATATTATATAAATATATATAAATATATGTTTATATATAAATATAAATAAATATATTTATATATGTATCTATAAGCATAAATAAATATATTTATATATATTTATACATAAGCTTTTATATATAAGCTTCTTATATATATAAGCTTTCTATATATATATAAGCTTTCTATATATATATAAGCTTATATATATATATATAAGCTTATATATATATATAAGCTTATATATATATATATATATATATATATATATATATATACACATATATATATACATTAAATAGATACCCCGCTGGGTGGGGGGGGTCTCACTATGTCATCTAAGCTTTTTTTTTTTTTTTTTCAAGACAGGATCTTGCTCTGTTGCTCAGGCTAGAGTGCAGTGGCTCAATCATAGCTCACTGAAGCCTCAAACTTCTGGGCTCAAATGAATCTTCCCGCTTTGACCTCCTGAGTAGCTGGAACTACCACGCCTGGCTAATTTTTTTTTTTTTTTTTTTTTTTTTTGGTAGAGACAAGGTCTCTACCAAACTCTCAAACTCCTGGCCTCAAGTGATCCTCTAGAGTAACCAGGATTACAAGCACATGCCACTGCACCCACCTGAAGCTTTTAATTTTTGAAGAAATTTTAGAATGGGAAGATGAAGATGGAACCAGCATTTGGAAAGGGTCTGGTATGTAGCATATGATGTGCCTGTCTGAATTTCCCATTATGCTACTACAGTGTACAAGATGTCACCTTTTAGAAAGGTTGAAATGTTGGGAGGCCAAGGCGGGTGGATCACGAGGTCAGGAGATGGAGACTATTCTGGCTAACACGGTGAAACCCCGTCTCTACTAAAAATACGAAAAAATTAGCCAGGCATGGTGGCGGGCACCTGTAGTCCCAGCTACTCGGGAGGCTGAGGCAGGAGAACGGCGTGAACCCGGGAGGCGGAGCTTGCAGTGAGCCGAGATAGCGCCACTGCACTCCAGCCTGGGCGACAGAGCCAGACTCCGTCTCAAAAACAAAAAAAGGAAGGTTGAGATGCCACTGTTTCTGTGCCCATCACCATACATTCCATTCACCATACAATGGAAATCAGGAGCTGAAGATGTTTCAGCCAGATATGAAGTAGCCGCAGATGATCAGATATGCCAACTAAGACATCTCCCCATAGTCCTAAAACCTGAGCTAGCCTGTTCCCCATCTCCACCCATGCTTGTCACACTCCAGGCCACCAGACAGAAACTGCTCCAGTGGGGAATTGACTTAGTACCCATAGTGGACCTTCAGGTGAATAAGCTCAGCTCTGAGAGCTCAGTTGTTTCAATTTATATTAGATGCCAAAGAGGAGCCCTGGGGTCAGGTGTGGATACCATTGTGTCATATTTTGCCTGTATAGGAATTGTTTTTAATCAAATTAGCATCATTTAAAAATTGGGAGATTATACATCAAAGCCCATATGTTCCGCACGCTTTGGAACACTGACAACACTGGGCCAACATCTCAGCTAGCAACAAAGAGCTGGAGTGGGATAAAGACTTCTCCACTGAGATGGACATTCACTCTCAAGCTCATCAGTTTCTCCCCAGGCCACTTGACTCCAGTAAGTCCTCTGCCTGGTTCCTGCAGGTATTTGAGAGCAATCACTGATTCAGAATATCTGAATATCTAAGCAGACAAGAAAAACTACATCTGAGTATACCAGGAAAGCTTCTCAAGTCTCCTCAACTGCCTAGATGATGCAATGGCCTCAGGATTTAAGTGGCTACCCTCACCTAGTCTTGAAGCTGAGATCTATCCTAGGGACTCCTGAAAACCAAATGATAGAGGTACACTGGCTAGCTCAGTGCTGTGGCAAACAGGCTGAAGATCATTACAACACTCTAACAAAGAGATCAGGGCCAGGCCAGAAGTTCTGTTTTAATATTACAATTGCTTGTCAACTGCTTTGCCATGCATGGTATATAAAATGCCATTTTATGAGATATGTTAATTAACAAACAATTATATGGAGACATTTCAATCATATAAAGAGCTATTTCAGTCTACTTAAAGCTGAATTCAAATAGTGCTTCACTTAAAGTCAATGCTTTCTAGATCCTATGATTCTCTTCAATAAAAATATACCGTTTCATGGAAAGCACTGTAAATCAAAGATCCTGATCTTAGCAAAGCTAACAGATCCTTATTTTCCCAAAGCCCATAACTTGGCTCATTTTAGGGAAATTACTTTCGTTTCTATTACAGTTTCTTGTATATGGTGGTTGTCAGCCTGAATGCCAGTCCCTGAGTCAGGTCCTACTTGTGGGAAAGAGCTCCAGATACTTAGACTTTTACGTTAGTTCATCCCATTAAGGGGCTTATGCTTTGTTATCCTTTTCTGAACCTTGGCAGGGTCTCTTCATTATCTTACAAGTTAAGTGAAAAGCAAAACTCTGCACTGAGCTGTTAATGATTCCTAGTGAGAGCCATGAAATGTGAATGGTGTCTGTCCTAAGGGATTGTTCAAGTAGGCAGCCACAAATCCCAGGGACACCCTGCCAGTTCAAAACTACGGGAAACAAAGTTGCACCCTCAATTTGTGCTCCTTCTTAAACTTAACCAAAAAAGGAATTCGGGAAGAGGAAATGATGCTGCCAACTTCAATAGCTTTAGCCAGGATGTCACAGCCTCTGATATAGAGTGAATACTATGGATTTCCTCCAAATTAAATAAAAGTTCATGGAGTGACATAAAGAATGGAGATCGTTTATAACACAGAGAAACTATAGTAAGCCCCAATGTCTAAAACTTCTTTTGTATGGAAGACAAAATCCTCTTTTTTCCTTTAGATAGATTTAAATGAAAGTAGGGAAGAAGCAAAAGTACTTTAACAATAAGAAAATGTTCCGATTACTATGCTTCAAATAGAAGTTTCCTGCCAGTTACCAGTGCATTCTTGATAATGAAATGCAAAGACTAATGTGAACTTACTATGGTAACACAGACATTTAATTCCATATAAGTCAAAATTCAGCAAACCACCGGTAACATCAGCTGGCAGTGCCAGAACTCAACCGTGACATGACCAGAGGCAGGTGTGGTAGACTGAAAACTGCCCTCACCAGGGAAGAAATCACACCATTTGATGACAGCATGACTTTACAATAAAAGTCATCCCTTGTGTGCTTTTATATCTTCAATGTTTATTTAATTCCTCCAAATACCCCACAAGTTTTTCTATCCATTAGCAAAAATTATATAGAAAGAACTGTGTTTTACAAGAGACTCTGAGCCCTAGAGAATTAGAAAATCATAGATTGCTTTCCAAAAGCCACCTATCTGAAGAGCGTGTTGTATTTTATTTATTTATTTTTACTTCCATCTCCCTTTCCTGGTACATGTTGTATTTTAAAACACAAAGAAAAATAACTGTCCATTCTTCAAGTAAAAATGTTTAGATTCAAGTGTGTGAAAGGTAAAAAAGGAAAAGAAAAAAATAAAATTATAAAAATACTTTAGATTTTTCAAACAATGTTGAACATTGCATTGAATTAATACATTTATTCTAAACTGTTACTTTGGGGGCAGAACTAGTTCATTAATTGATTCCTTTTTGGAGAAGACAAACAAAAGATTGATGAAAAATCCGATGTATATTTAGGTATCCTAAGTGTTCAGAGCAGCTAACTACTGGCAGCTAACTAGTGACACTAGTAGTTTGTTGCCCCGAACACATAGGTGTTAACACACAAACTTCAAATATATACTCTAGTGCCTTGATTAGCGTTTAACCTAGACTTTGTCAGAATGCCCAACACTGGCCTTTTTATAAATCTAAGAGAAAACCCAGATGAGTGTAGAAAGATGCCAAATAATTCTAGGAATCAAACGCTTCTCCATCTCTGAAGACCACATAAATCTCGGCACAACTCTTGTGCCTACAGTACCCCTTTAAGGAAAGAACACTGCAATCCAGATATTCTTCACGCTGGTATGAAGTTCAGCAACAATACTGGCTTGCATCAAATTTCTTAGAAAATGAACTGAGAGTAGAGGCTGGTCATGGTGGCTCATGCCTGTAATCCTAGCACTTGGGATGCCTAGGCAGGAGTATTGCTTGAGCTCAGGAGTTCGAGACCAGCCTGAAAAACATAGTGAGACCCTGTCTGTATTAAAAATAAAATAATAAAAGTTAAAAAAAAAGAACTGAGAGCAGACTCCATTTGATACAAAATCCCTTACAGATGTTTATATTATTTTAATACATTTCAATTTTCGCTAATTAGGCCCACAATTCAAAATCACTATTTTTTGAAAAAACAACATAAAACACTAAACGAGCATAGTTTTTTTAACAGAAAAATTAATACAGTGGATATATAAAGTGAGATGATGTATATTATGTATATATTATGGTGTATATTATGTATATTATATGGGCCTTTTTGCTTCTTTACAATTAGAAGGTCCAAGGCTGGGCACGGTGGCTCATGCCTGTAATCCCAGCATTTTAGGCGGCGAGGCAGGAGGATCGCTTGAAGCCAGCAGTTCAAGACCAGTCTGGACAACAAGGTGAGACCCCTGTCCCCAAAACCATCTCTACTGGAAAAAAAAAAAAAAAGTAGCCAACATGGCATGCACCTTATAGTCCCAGCTACACAGGAGACTGAGGCCAGAGGATCGCTTAGTTTGAGGCTGCAGTGAGCTAGGATCACGACACTGTACTCCAGACTGGGTGACAGAGCAAGACCCTGTCTCCTTAATAAATACATGAAAGAAAGCTCTTGTGGTTGTGTCTTCTAAATTTCTTTTTTTTTTTTTTTTTTTTGAGATGGAGTCTTGCTCTGTCGCCCAGGCTGGCGTGCAGTGGCACAATCTCGGCTCACTGCAACCTCCACCTCCCGGGTTCAAGTGATTCTCTTGCCTCAGCCTCCCAAGTAGCTGGGATTTCAGGCACATACCACCACCCCTGGCTAATTTTTGTATTTTTAGTAAAGATGAGTTTTCACCAAGTTGGTCAGGCTAGTCTCGAACCGCTGACCTCGTGATCTGCTCATCTCGGCCTCCCAAAGTGCTGGGATTACAGGTGTGAGCCACTGCACCCGGCCCTAAATTTCTTATGATTCTGCAACTCCTACTTTTATAGTATAAATAGTATATATAGTAAAAATAGGTTCCTATTATAGTATAAATATGTAGCTGGAAAAAGTGTTGATATAAAATATTCAGTCAATTGAGGCAAAGCATTTTACAGATTGAATAATCTAGGTAATTCTTTGGTACCCTAATTCACTTTGCACGTGTGAATGGGAATATGAAAATCTGTGTTTTTCTAAACGCTGCCTTGACCAGCATCTAGACAAGGAAGAGAAACCAAGAACTATTTCTGCAGGTGGCCACATGAAGCTCGCTGAAGCAGAACAGCATGTGAGAACTAACCACTATTTCTGGTACCTCAAAAGATCTGCAGAAGCTTGGTGAGAGAAGACTTTTCAGGCAGATGATAGTTAATGTCTTTACAAGTGATTTAGCACAAGTCTTCTCTTATTATAGAACATAACTTTACTGGTGACCTGAATTTGTTTTTCTCTGAAGTGTCTAGACAGGAGCAAGAGAAACTCTGAAATTAGAAATAAATATACTCTCCTTTGTACAAAACACTGAAGCTACTCATCCTCCCACCAGCAGACATTATGCTTTGAGGGGTAGATCTGGTAATGGCGAGCAGGTATCTGAGCTATTGGCATTCTCAAGAGACTTCCTGATAGAAATGGCACACAAATGTGAGCAGGTCAACTTGGATTCAGTAGAGCTGGTGTATAAGATGAGTGCAGAGTTCTTGGGCTGCACAAGGAGTTATCCCCAGCTCCCTGGCCTCAAGCAATCACTGAACATACAGCACACAAACGACCTACCTAGGCTGCTCTCTCAAGTCCTCTACATGACTTTCAATGGCTCACTAGTAGATAAGTCTGCTTATCCTCTTGAGTTGTGAATTTTTCTCTCCTTTCCTTTTCATCCAAGTTGAATAAGGACACCACCTATGACTTATTCAAACGTACACTTCATCTGCACATTATAAACCAAGCAGCTCCACCTAGCACAGTTCACAATAGGGATCTAGGAAGAAAAACACAAACTAAGGAGAGATAGAAACTGAAGACAATGTTGAATGCTTTTATTTTACGGAGTTGCTTCTTGATCACATGGGGACTAGATGCTGAAAAATAGAATACAAATACTGATATTTACAACACCACCCAATAACACAAGGAACTTCTCTCCATTCCAAATATGAGTTTATTCTTCATTATTTAATTTTAAGTAATTTAGAGATATAAATTAAATAAAAGCCAATGATGAAAAGCTGCCAATATTAATTGTATTTGTTAAATGAAATTATTTTAGACTGCTAAAGAACTCAATATATTAGAGGAAGTGTACAACAATGAACAAACTCATGGGAAAAAAAGAACTGTTTCTTGGCTGGGTGCCGTGATGCACGTCTATAATCCCAGCACTTTGAGAGGCCGAGGCAGGTGGGTCGCTTGAGCCCAGGAGTTCGAGACCAGCCTGGCCAACGTGGTGAAACCCCGTCTCTACTAAAAACAGAAAAATTAGCCTGGCGTAGTGGCACACGCCTGTAATCTCAGCTACTCATGAGGCTGAGGCAGGAAAATCGCTTGAACCTGAGAGGCAGAAGTTGCAGTGAGCCGAGATCGCATCACTGCACTCCAGCCTGAGCGACAGAGTGAGACTCCGTCTCAAAAAAGGAAAAAAAAGAAAGAATTTTGTCTTGCCATATCAAGGTCCCTGGACCCCAAAGAGAGGGAGCCACAGGAGTGCCAGAGCTGAAGGAATGAATCCTGTGAGCTCTAGGAAGGCAGAACCTCTGTTTATATTTGCCCCTAGATCCACAGCACAGAGCACAGGGCAAGCATTCTTGTTGAGTGGATGAGTGGGTAAGTTTGCCGACCTATCAAGAGGAATGGGAGTAGGAAGCATGACCCACACCAGTAACTTTTTCCAAGGTTTTTCTTTCTGCCCTGGTATCAACAAAGCAGCAGAAAAGTGGAGTAATAATAGTAGTAGAGCTCTGGGGAAATGGATAAACAATTTCCTACGTCTCCCTGCTCCTTGTTAGCTGAGGTAACCATGCCCCCTCTTCCCTGTTTCTATTTCTGCTTTGTATCTAATCAGTCTGTCCAAGGAGCAGTGCAGCACCTGAGGCATTTCTTCTCTGTCCAGTTACTCCCAGAGATGGCTGAAAGAAAGACCCCTCAGACAGGGGAATGCAGGTAACAATGTGTCTGGCTGCAAGCTTATAAAACTCACAGGATGGGTACACGTGGACATAGAGATGGAAACAGGCTGGTCATGATGGCTCACGCCTGTAATTCTAGCACTTTGGAAAACCAAGGTGGAAAGATTGCTTGAGGTAAGGAGTGTGGCAACAGCCTAGGCAATAAAGTGAGACCCTGTCTCTACAAAAATAAATAATTAGCCAGGTGTGGTGGCACACACCTATAGTCCCAGCTACTCTGGAAGCTGAGACGGGAGGATTGCTTGAGCCTAGAAGTTCCAGGTTGCAGTGAGCTATGGTCACACCACTCCCCTCCAGCATGGGCAACAGAGTGAGACCCTCCAAAATAAATAAATAAGGGAACAATAGACACCGGTGTCTACTAGAAGGGAGAGAGAGGGAGGGGGACAATGGCTAATAAACTAGTTGTTGGGTACTATGCTCACTACCACAGTGATGGGATCATTCACACCCCAAACCTCAACATCACAGCAATATGCCTATGTAACAAACCTGCACATGTTCCCCTTGAATCTAATATAAAAGCTGAAATTATTAAAAAATAGATCCACAGGAACATAAGCTTGTCTTCCATATCCTTTGTGCTCTGCTATCTCTTCTAACAATGCAGTGCTTACACCCAGGGCGAGTGTTATTATCTGAATGAATGCCTTTTATAGGTTTGGTCAGGTGGCCATGATAAGAAATTGGCACACTCCAATTTGTATGTCTCCAGTACTAATATGTTTACATATCCTTGCAATGTATACAAGGTCCATTCTTCATAAGGCTATTTACAACCCATCATATATTCCTAAAACTGAAATCCAAATGTCAATAAACTTTTATTGTGACAGTTTCATTACATCTCTAGACTCTTTCAAGACACAGAAATTCTTCAGGGATTACAAATACCAATACTAAGCCAAATTCTCATCCTATGGAAGCAAAGAGTATCATCATGTCACAATTATTTAGCATTCTAAAGTTTTATTTCTGGGTCATGGGATAATACTTAAAAAGCGTATTTCCCTTTTATGAAACACTTTGGAACCTTTTCCACATTCTTTTTTTTTTTTTTTTTTTTTTTTTTGAGACAGGATCTCACTCTGTCACCCAGGCTGGAGTTGGAATGCAGTGGCCGGATCTCGGCTCACTGCAACCTCCACTTCCTGGACTCAAGTGATTCTCCAGACTTAGCCATCCAAATAGCTGGGGCTACAGGTGTGAGCCATCATGCTCAGCTAATTTTTTTTGTATTTTTTGTAGAAACGGGTGTTGCCATGTTGCCCAGGCTGATCTTGAACTCCTGAGCTCAAAGCTATCCTCCTGCTTCGGCCTCCCAAAGTGCTGGGACTACAGGCGTGAGCCACTGTGCACGGCTGCCACTTTCTACTGAACTTCATGGAACCTTCCCACAATTTCACAGAGAAAGTCTCATATAGTCCTTATACTCAGAAGTGAAAGTCTAGCATATTGATATTTTTAAATTTCACTGGTCTTAAGAATATGATTACATAAGTTTAGACAAATATACACATCTGAGTGAACAAGGTCCTAAAAATTAAGATAAAGAGCTTTGCTAACAACCTAGAAAGTTCCCTCGTGTTCCTTTCCAGTTTATCCTCTTACCCCAGGCAACCACTGTGCAGATTTATACCTCCATATATTAGTTTTGCCTATTCTGGAACTTTTACATAAAGGAAATCATGACGTATGTTCTCTTTTGTGGTTGCATAAGAGGTTTAAAATTCATGAAAACGGTTGCAAGATTAGTAGTAGGTCCTTTTTTGTTGCTGAATAATATTCCATTGTATTAATTTACCATGGTGTATTTATCCATTACTGATATGGAAGCTTCTGGTTGGATATATGAAGATACTTCATATATCAAGGTTGGATTACATAAAATGTAGCAATTCCTGTTCACTCAAGTCCACAGTCCACACTTGGCTCTTGCTAATGACTATAACCAGAGCTAAGTCTAATTTTTTAATCCTTTAGTCCTCAAAGGGATAAAAAAGAGAGCACGGGAAAAACAGAAATTACTTGAGAGTCTGAATCCAAGAAGAAAGTGTAGGGAACAAGAGATCGGATGTATTAGGAGAGATATATTCAACATGAACCCAAACTACTCTGGGTCCTGGTTCTTGTCAAAGATTGTGAAAGACTGAAATAAATGCAGGTCTAACCCCTCACTATGCTCTTCCTCCTATCTCTCCCAGCTTTTTAAACCACCGGTTTAAAATCCTCTTTATAGATAATCCATATAAGGCCTTTAGTTATTCAAGTAAACCTTGCTTGCTTGAATGTTCTGAGAGACAACTCTAGTTCCACTTAGTATTGCAGTGAAGGCAATGGTGTATGTTAAAAAGTATTTTGAGTCCCTTTTCTTGGACCACGTGAAGTACACATCAAAAGAGCAGGAAGGAAGGTTGGAGAAAATGTTGTAGTTTATTATGATTTCTCATCATCATACATTTACTGTGTCCACAAGGAAATAATACTCTGATAGTCTCTACAAAAGTTTCTTTTAGTTATTTGTGATTCCTCCCTCAAGGTATTTATAACCTATTTAGAGAAAACACAGACAAATCTATGGGAGGATCACTTGAGCCCAGGAATTAAAGACCAGCCTGCGCAACATACTGAGATCCTGTCTCTACAAAACATTAAAAAAAAAAAAAAATCAGCCAGGCATGGTGGCACGTGCCTGTGGTCCCAGCTACTTGGGAGGCTTGGGGCAGGAAGATCACTTGAGCCCAAGAATTCAAGGCTGCAGTGAGCTATGATTGTGCCACTGCATACTAGCCTGGGCAAGAAGGCAACACCTCATTTCTGAAAAATAAATAGAACATTTTTAAAACAATTGAATGTTTCTCCTTCTAAGGAGATGTAAAAGCAAGAATAATAATTTGTCTTATATAACATTTTGATTTGAATATTCTGTAAAATTGTAATCACATTTAATATTGTTGGGGATAAAGTATTATATGATGTTACTTCATAACTTTCCTGACTATTTTGAGTCAATTGAACTTTTTACAAGAATATGTCAAGTATTGTCCAGGATCTGTTTCACTCCTCTTGAAAAACACTACAATTTTAAAATCAAAGCCTTATATGTGTATTTTTTAGTACAAACATATAATTACTAAGATTTTTTTCTCATTCTTACTTCTGAGAATACACTGAATTAAAACCAGATATTCATGTTGGGAGACAACCAAGGATTCCTTCTTCTTATGTCTTTGCTTCTTGGTCTGATCTGGGGCTCTACCACACATGTGCCCAGGAAAACCACAGTCCATGACTACCCAGCTTTCTTGGAATGAAATGCACAGTCTGGAGTTTCCAGGAAGAAAGTACATCTAATCACTGGATAATGTGGTCACAGGGGGAAAAGTGTCACCAAAGAGCTCCCCATCTCCCAAAGCCAGCCACCTTATCCCATCTTTCCCCATATCATGAATCACTACTGTGCTTATGAAGATAAGTCGGAGAATATGAACATTTTATCTTCCACAGAAACACAAAATGGACATACTTTTCCATTATGCTTGACTCTGTAATGAAAGTCTAGGAAGTGAATGTAACATGAAATCATTCCTTCCGCCTTAGCAGACAGATGGAGAGAGACATTCCAGTTTGTTTCCAGCCTTTTGTCTTTGGAGCATTTTTGGCATTTCCTTCAGGAAACTGGAGGTTGTGACCTAAGGTTTCCTTAGTGAACACATTTCTGTTTCCCACAGTTAACCTTACCCAGAAATGACATCTACTCTATTAGGTGAGGTTTATCTTCATGTCCCAACTGTGTCCTGTGCATATACAATGACACTTGAAAGCACAAATTCTGAAAGTAGCGAAAAGATTAGAGAGCCCAACATGCCAAAACACTTTAATCCCCCAAAAGATGACAATAATCAAAAACAAGAATTAACTATTACAATAAGTCTGTGATGCTTGCAAAGTGCCTTCATTTTGTAGTTGGAAAAATTAATGACTGAGAATATTAATGCTTTCAGATACTATGAATTGAAGGTTTTCAGATAAAAGTGTTATGCTACTCAGCCCACATTTTACAGCTAGCTGCTTCACTGATACTGTATACTTCTATGTGGTTCAGAAGATAGGCTGGGAGAAGCCAAGACAGTGTCCTGAAAAAAAAAAAAAAAAAACACATGATTTAATACCCATATCCATATCCCCACTTCCCCAACATGTTGGTGAAAGGCCAAGAATGTATGCTTTTTTGATGGGTTTTGAATGATGATTGAGTCTCATCATTTAAACTAGATTTACAACCACATTTTTGTGTATAATTTCTTTAAAAGCCCATATTTGATGACAGAATTATTGCATTTAATTTATTTGGCTTAAATGCAGTTTAAAACTCAAACAATTCTACTTACTAGCCAATGTGGTATTCAGAAGGTTGGTGGTTTTTATCTCATTCTTTACTACTCTTCAGTGTTAACTTATTGAAGTTTCTCTTCCTGAAAAAGATAGAGTGGTTTCTAAACAAACCACACTTTTTTCACACCCTAGTTAAGGTAAAAATCCTTTAAAGAATAATAGAAATTTGTCCTTCACTTTGATTCCAAAGAGCTACACAATCCAGTAGATGACTCAATAATTATTTTTAAGAATGCTCTTCACAAAGGGATCTTTAAAAAAATCAGTTTATTAATGTTTAAAAGTTGATAAAGCTATGTGCAAAATGATCCACAAAAGTCAGAAACCTATTAAATACTATTCTTTTTAAAAAAACAAGACATCTCTCGGTTTAATTGCACTGAAAACCATACTAAAGAGACAGTAATATATTTTTATTCTTTGTAATATTTATACATATCTTCAATTACTATCTAATGAATAGCTGGACTGAAAAGTTTCTGGCGTTCCCTACCAGTTAAAGTAATGCTTTTAAGGGCACAAGAGGGTGGTATTTTCTTAAGAAATACACATTCAATGGTGTTAACACGGGTTAGAAAAATCCAATAAAATGACTTCTGCTGAAACAAATACATTCAAAAATCAAGAAAAGTACTTTTAACACAACAAAATACAACCATGTTGTTGCTTGAAATGAATCACACAACATTCTGAAATAAACATCAACAAAAGTGCCAAAGACAGATGTCATATTTGTTAGACTCATTTGCTAAGAAATCTCCCTTGGTTTGCAAAAGTTAATCCATTCGGTTTTCACTTTGTTTTGCTTGTCTGTTTCTCCTAGGACACCAAGGATCCTGGCTAATATCATTTAGATAAAGTGGGCTTCCTTATGCAGATTTCGGCTTCAATGGATATGAAATGGTAACACATTTCATTGAAAAGATGTTTTTTAAAGAAATCAAAGTGACTTCAACCAAATTCCAAAAAACGGATCCCGCTTACATGGAAACTTTGGCCTCAGCGAAGGACATTGTTTTACACCTCCAAACCATCTTCATCTTCCCACAGCCTACGTACTCAACATAGCCTATTTGCTATAGATGATCGATCATTCCACAACCCCAGCTCTGATAACTCTCAGGTAGTTAAAGTATAAAGTAAAAGAACGTTGAGGAGGGGTATGAAGGGAAGGGAGGGTGGGGTGTGGGATGTACAGGGCATCCCTAAAGAAGCAGAAGTGCACACACTCACTTGGGTTTGAAACTAAAGTGAAGGAAAACATCTCCTCAAAGCTCCAGACAAAGAGACGCTTTCACATGGGGACATTAGTCTTTGAGGAGGGGCCAAATGAACCCTTTAGGAGCTTGACAATGCTAGACCTTTGGCTCAGTGCAAAATCAAAGCTCCAGGGGGGTAGAAAATATATTCCAGGCCGGGACCTGATCTCCACCCTTCCCAGTGCATTGTTCACAGGAACTAACTCTACCCACCAACACCCGACACCACCAGGCTGTTCGTATTCTCCCCCTTCCTCCCTCTGGCTTGCAGCAGCTCCTCCCTGGCAGCAGTCGAAGCCCAGAGATTTTTTTCCAAACACTGGGGTGGCCAGCGACCAAGTAAAGAGCGCTTCCGGTGGGTGGACAGCTTCCAGTTCTAGGAAGAAGAGTTGACGTTTCCAGAAGACATAATGGTCTCTGGGTTGTCCCCTTCGTCTTTCTGGGGGTGGGAGGAATTGTCCGATTTGCTGCGGCTGAATTCCATGCCGGCGATGATGGGTCGCTTGAATTTGCCAGCAGAGTCTCCGCTCGGGCACTTGCAGCAGGACATGATCCGGATGAAGGCCCGACGCATCTCCTTGTTGGTCAGAGTGTAAATGATGGGGTTGGTGCCGGAGTTGAGCACAGCTAACACCAGGAAGTACTCCGCTCTGAAGAGGATGTCACAGGTCTTCACCTTGCAGCCCACATCCAGCAGGAGCAGGATGAAGAGCGGTGCCCAGCAGGCGATGAAGACGCTCAGGACGATAATTACGGTCTTGAGCAGCGCCAGCGACTTCTCAGAGCTGCGGCTGGCCTTGGAAATGTTCTTGCGGAACGTCAGGCGGCGGCTCCGAGTCCTGACCAAGGAGTAGATTCTGCAGTACAGAATGACGATGGAGAGCAGAAGCAGAGTGAAGACCGTGGTGCAGAAGAGGATATAGTGCTTGTGGTAGAGCGGCAGCACGGTGGAGCAGCTGGACAGCGCACTGATGCAGTTCCAGCCCATGATAGGCAGGCCACCCAGGATGAGGGAGATGACCCAGCAGGCGCTGATTAGCAGGAAGAGGCGGAAGTTATTGCTCCCGTTGTGGAGTTTCATTTTCAGCATTGTGATATAGCGCTCAATGGCGATGGCGAGGAGACTGAACACGGAGGCTGACAGGGCCACAAACATACTCCCTTCCCGCAGAAACCACTGGGCGGGAGTGAGCTTGTAGGTGGTGGCCCCAGACAAGAGCAGGTTAGCTGTGTAGGCTACTCCTGCCAACAGGTCTGAGAGGGCCAGATTGCCAATAAAATAGTACATGGGTCGGTGGAATTTCTTGGTTTTCCAAATGGTCAGCAAGACAAAGATGTTCTCCAGGATGATAAAGCAGCAGATGAGAATGAACACCACCGAGGTCAGTTTAATGCTGTTCTCCTTGTCCGCGCTGATATTCAGCTTTCCCGTGTAGTTGTAATGCCGGACGATGATATCATAGTTGACGTAGTCAGAGACCGAGCTGCGGTGGGCCTTGACCAGCGGGACGCTGGTGGGCCCCATGGTGCCAACCCTGTGTCCCCAGGAAGCCGGGGTGGCGCTACTCCAGACGAACGCTAGAGGGCGAGGCGAGAGAGCCTTCACTGGCTTCAGGGGTGGTTCGATGAGTGATCCAGGCTTTTTGTGTAGCTTTTCCTTGGCTGGAGAGGGCCTCGGAAACCGCAGCCTTAAACAAGTCAGAGGAGAGAGTCAGGGAAAGAGCCACAGCATACTGGCATAATTCATTCTAGCTAAGGCACTGCTCCAATTGTGTTGTTGTTGATTTGTTTTAAAGAAACTTGGGGAGAGCTCAGGGAGAGAGATTTTTTTTAAAAATCAAATTATCTTTTTTCTTCCTTTTTTTTCTTTTTTCAAAAAAGGAAGAGGGGGAAGAAAAAGAGAGGGAGAAACTCTATGGCCACATTCACTCAAAGGGAAATGGGAATTACGATGTTGGCTGTGGGTTGACAAAAAAAAAAAGATGATGAAAAGGAAAACAAGGAGTGGGAGGAATGGGAAACCTAGAGAACTACACCCCATTTTAACTCCACTCCTGCCCTCTCACCACCCCACACCCCCTCACCCCCGGATTTCCAGCCATGAGATTCTCTGAAGCAGTCACCAGCTTAGCTGCACGCTCAATACCAGCCCACGTCTCTCCTCGGAAAAGACTCAACTGCCAGTCTGAGGGCGAAGACACACACCTCTGTCCCCCATGCCCACCCCCAGCCCCCCAGTTCAAAGATACTAGCACCACCTCCTAATTGCCATGTGCCATGCAAGAAATCAGATTTGCAGGAAAATCATTTGAAAGCGTAAGCCATTTGGGGGCTCTATTAATAACTCTCTAGGAGCAGGTGTGCTTAGGGTCCGAGGGCGCAGTGAGGTGTGGGCAGCCAGGCCCGCCCCGCCTTGCTGTAAACAGGAAAGCTTAGCGCCTCCGTGAAGCGACTGCCTTTTCTTTCTTCTTCTTATTCTCCCCGCCTCCCCCCGCGCCCCCCCACCCCACCCCCCACCCCAAGCCAGGGCAAGTAAATTTAAAGGTATTCAGTTAAAACCATTCATAACAGATTGCAGCAAATCCCAGAAGTTTCGTACATTAGTTGATTGCATAAATATTTTTTGCTTTGTTTAGTTTAGCCAAAACATACACAAAAGAGAGAAATCAAACTACTCATGACAGCCATAATACATGCTACCACATTTCTAATTTCGATTGCAAAACTACTCTTCAGAAACTCACATTAAACTGCTCCCTGGTGCATTGCTAAATTTGCGTGGGCAGTTTTATTTACTGCAGTCCCCCAACACGTTGACTCCTCTCCTAGGACTAGAAAGTTACAAAGAAACTTTCTAAGACGGCACTGGTCAGCAGAAGTCTACTTCTAAGTTGCTTAAATATTTCAAGGTAATGCAGCAATGCAATAAAATGAGGTAATAGAGATGAGAACAATCCCAGCAACTCCGCGAACAGCAGAGGCTGCTCAAGCCAAGAAGCTCCGCATTTTCCCCCAACTAATTTTATACCCTGCTCCTGGGCAGTACTAATTTAAGCCATTACCCACGCTCCACACCACCCACCATATTCTTTGTCTATAGGATTTCCAAAATTTAACGCCTTCCCTCCTATTCCTCCGACCAACTGCAATTTTCACTGCCCCTACACCCGTAGGTTCCACAGTTGGGAATTAACCTTTTTTCTGAACTCCATAAATCACAAGTGCCCAAGAACAATCTGATCGAGATGGGCTCCTTAGTAGCCCAGAGATGCAAATTTTCAGCGCCCGGAGATGCATGTTTTCTAAGTTTTTGTTTGCCTCGTTCGACTTAAAAATTCGTTTCTGACACCTAAGCCCTACCACAACCGGGCTCCCCGCGCCCGCGACCCCCGCCATTCGCCGCCCCCTACCTCGCTCAAGCAGGGCGAAGTTGCGTTCGGAGAGCCCGGGATCTGTACGGCTCGCTTCGCATCTTGCTGCTGCCCCCGACTGACTGCGTAGTGCTCTCGCAAACTTACTCGAGTCGGGGTCCCCTCCCTCCGCAGCGGAGCACTCCAATGGCCAGTCCCGCTCGCCGCGGCCAGTTCCCTGCCTGCTACGCGAAGTCACCCAGCGCCGCGCCAAGGCTGGGTGGTTTCTTCAGGAAGAGGCTGGGAGGGGTTAATGCCTTAACCCCCCACGCCCTCTGTCAGCTGGGGGCCCCCGGATCTGAACTGCTGAGACGCACTGTCCAGGAAAGATCTGGGGCAGAAGCAAAAAAAAAAAAAAAAAAAAAAAAAAGAACCCCTCCTCCCCAAACAACAAATGAAAGAAAAAAAGAGAGAGAGAGAAGGGGCGGAGCCCGGTAACCCCTGGATTCTACTGTATAAATCACTGCCCTCGCCCAGATAGACGCTGATCCCTGGCTGTGGAGAGGATTCTCCCGAGCCCCTGAAAAAAAAAAAAGGTGGAGAGACTTTGAAAACTTTTCTCTCGAAAAGTCTGAGGAGGCAGAGGACGGCCCGGAGTCTCGTAGCGCACCGCCCTGGTCCCACACCCCCCGCAGCCCTAGGAGGATCGGTGTGCTGAGCTTGTGGCCAGGAGCTCCCCGAGCCACTTTCGCGCGAGCAGCAGAAAACCTGAGCCGCGGCCCGGCGAGTGTCGGCGGCGCTCTGGGGAGGAGAGGCTGGGAAGGGGCTGCGAGAGGTACGGAGGAGACAAGCAGCCCGGGAGGGAGAATGAACCGGGAGGTTCCTGTACTCCCCCCGCCACCCCAGATCCTCGTGCTACTCGCAACTGCGGTCTGAGGGGCAGTGGCTTTCCCAGAGTGCACAGAGAAATGAACCAGCGCCGGTTTTGGTGTTGGGCGAGGGGTTTCCCTCAGCTGAGCACAAAGTCAGGCTGTGTGTCCCAGATTCTGGCCAATGGAGAGGTCGTTGAGGGGGTGGGCTGCTGCTGAGTCCTGAGAGATTCAAAACGCCTGGGCAGCTCAGGAATTTCCAAAGGGGGAGATTCTCGGCCAGGAGCTGCGGAGCAACTGCAGCTGCCCAGCAGGAGCCGGCACCCTTCTCTCACATTCTGCTTGGGAGTCGACTCAGAGGCCTCAAATCTCATTACTAGCACTTTGCCCACCCTTTTCTTTTGCTTAGATGCTACTTAAGAACGTGAGGCTGAGAGGCGGACTTGGTCAGATCTGCCTGCGTGACAAGCTCAGGACAGGACGCTTCTGCCCTTGCATTACTGTTGTAAAAGTTTCCACCCAGTCCCTGGTCGCACTGCGTTCCCATCCCGGCAGATGTGAACTCAAAAACTTCCTCCGCTGTGCAGTTTCAATTGGCAGACACACCCTGTACCTGAATGACTCAGAAGGAGGCAGAATGAACAAACAACAGACCCCTGACTTCTGGGATTTTGTGAGTTTGCCAAAAAAAAAAAAAAAAGAAGTGACAGTTAATTCACAGCTGTTTTAAAGCATTCATCGACAGCGACGCACCCAATACATACCCACAGCTTCAACAACAGTACAGTGCATATAATGTGGAAACCAAGATAACGGTCCTCTAAGACTCCAGAGTAGATCCTAATTGGATTTGAAGACTTATTTCACTTAAAGGGGAAGAGGTATATTGTGTCTACCCAGCACAACAAAACGGGGGACTTGGCATTCCCCCCCTTCTCCCGCCTCCACCCACACTAATTTATGCATTCTTTAAAGCCAAAGGAATCAAAGTGAAATTTCACACCTAGTCTGTATCAAGCATGTGCTAGGTTAATTTAACCTTACTGCTCTGTGAAGTAAGTAAGCATTGCTGGCCATTTTATTGTTGAGAGAAGTGTCATTCAGACAACTAAGGTGACTTGTAGATTTCCCAGCTAGTGAGTGGCAGAGCTGGGTTCCAAAACCTAAATATTGCAAATGCCTTGCCTTGTGGCTCAAACGCTATCAGTCAATAAATAGTTAAGGAATTGAAATATATGTTCCTAGAGGGAAACAGACTTCTAGATTTAAAGTTTTACATTTGCTGCATTTCTGACTGTACAAGTCTACAAAATGCATATAAAAGTATGCTAATGAATGTCCTTTTAAAACCACTCATTTTCTACGTAAGCATACAAAGTGTATACATATGCATATTAATGAATGTTTTCTGAAACTTCTCATTGTCTGCCTATGATATCTCATGTAACATTGTACTTTTAGTATTTGCACATAGTGTTACACATATTAATCCATTTAATCTGACAAGTTAGGCACTATAATTATTCTAATTTTACAAACAAGGAAATTGACTCCCAGACATATTAAGCAGCTTGCTTAATGTGGGACAGGCTGCAGACTCTTAACCACTACTCCAGACCACCATGATAAACCTCAAACAGGTTCAAGAATTTCCTTGGGGATATCAGTTGTTTTCTTGTGAATACCACTGGTTTTTAACATTCAATATTGATAAAGTGTTTTACAGAGTCCAAAAACCTTTCAGATTGTTATTTAATAATATTCATCTTTAGTACACACCTATGAGATGTAATTGTAGATGATCAACTTAGGTAAAATTAGATAGTAGGCAAATGTTTCCAGCAATGGCGTCCTGGCCAATTCCAAGTCTCTAGTTCCCATATAAGTCTCTTCCCATTGCTCTCCAAGGAGGCCCTAAAAATTGCATTCTCAAGCTATCTCCTGACTGCCAGTACAACTCCCTGTCTGCTGCTGCCTAGAAGTCAAGCCCAACATTCCTACCTTAAGTTTGCTCCATTTCCAATTTTTGATTTCAAAGTGGCTTTGTTGTTCTTTACACATGCTTTAGTGTTTCTCTTTAAAAGTTTACAGATAAAATACCACACAATCTTTGGAGCATACACTAAACAAAAATTTGTCATAAATGTGCCATTCAAATGTAACTGTGTGAGCTATCTTTTTTTTTTTTTTTTTTTTTTGAGACAGAATCTCACTCTATTGCCCAGGCTGGAGTCCAGTGGCGTGATCTCAGCTCACCGCAACCTCCGCCTCCCAGGTTCAAGCAATTCTCCTACCTCAGCCTCCTGAATAGCTGGGATTACAGGCATGCACCACCACACCCAGCTAGTTTTGTATTTTTAGTAGAGATGGGGTTTCACCATGTTGTCCAGGCTGGTCTCGAACTCCTGACTTCAGGCGATCCACCTGCCTTGGCCTCCCAAGGTGCTGGGATTACAAGCATGAGCCACCGAGCCCAGCCATGAGCTATATTTTTTATCTGCTAAATATTGCAACTCTACTCTTTTCCCTTTCCTTTTTTTTTTTCTTTTTTTCAACTGAGACAGGGTCTGGCTCTGCTCTG
Source organism: Homo sapiens (assembly GCF_000001405.40). Classification (NCBI taxonomy): domain Eukaryota; kingdom Metazoa; phylum Chordata; class Mammalia; order Primates; family Hominidae; genus Homo; species Homo sapiens. Next base: position 101,233,709 of record NC_000001.11, on the reverse strand, counting down.
TCATCCAGGCTGGAGTGCAGTGGCGAAATCATAGCTCACTGCAGCCTTGATCTCCCGCCCTCAAAGGATCCGCCTACTTCAGCCTCCCAAGCAGCTGGGACTACAGGCACCAGTCACCATGTCCTGATAATTATTATTTTTATTTTTTGTATAGACAGGAGTCTCACTTTGTTGCCCAGGGTGATCTTGAACTCCTGCGCTCAAGCAGTCCTCCCACCTTGGACTCTCAAAGTGCTGGGATTACAAGCCTGAGCCTTACTCTCTTTCCTAATTGCTCCAGTCACTTTCCAACTCCCTTTTCTCCCCTCTTCCCTCCCCTGACCCAGTCACTGGTAAAAATCCAGGCTTTCCCTTACTTGTCTATTCACAGGAGAATAACTAGCCTCTTATTTCAAGGAGGAAATAGTATGACCATCTCAATTTCCCTCCTCTCCAAGCTCCAGCTTAATAGCAACTTTACCCACCCTTACCTCCTTCCCACCTGTTTCAGAAATAAAAGCAACTTTACTCCTTTCCAAGGCAAACTCTTGCCCAGGTCAGCATGCTGCTTCCTCCAAACTTTCTGAGACTTGGCTCAATTATTCTTATTCTCCCTTGTACTTTCAGTTCTTAGCTTCTGAGGACTCTTTACTTTCAACTTACATAAATGTTTATGTGTTTTCTCTACCAAAAACTCTTTCTTCCCTTCATCCTAGGTCCCAATATCTCTCTCTCCTCGTTTGCCAACATTCAAAATTAGTGGAACATGACTGAGCCTTGGAACAGACACTTAGGTTCAGCCTTGATATTGCCAGTTCTAAGCTATGTGACTTTAGGCAAGTTCTTTTAACTTCCTTGAACCTCAGTGTCCTCATCTGTAAAATGAAATAATGATATTTGCCTCTTTCATTGTGAGGATTAAGGAGCTACATACCTGTGAGAATTCCCTACACTACAGAGAAAATGCTTCACCCATCCACCACCTCCATCTTTTATTATTATTATTATTATTATTATTATTATTTTACTTTAAGTTCTGGGGCACATGTGCAGAATGTGCAGGTTTGTTACATAGGTATACACGTGCCATGGTGGTTTGCTGCACCCGTCAATCCGTCACCTACATTAGGTATTTCTCCTAATGCTATCTCTCCCCTAGCCCCCCACCCCCAACAGGCTCCAGTGTGTGATGTTCCCCTCCCTGTGTCCATGTGTTCTCATTGTTCAATACCCACTTATGAGTGAGAACATGCAGTGTTTGGTTTTCTGTTGTTGTGTTAGTTTGCTGAGAATGATGATTTCCAGCTTCATCCATGTCCCTGCAAAGGACATGAACTCATCCTTTATTATGCCTGCATAGTATTCCATGGTGTATATGTGCCACAGTTTCCTTTTCCAGTCCATCATTGGTGGACATTTGGGTTGGTTCCAAGTCTTTGCTATTGTGAATAGTGCCACAATAAACATATGTGTGCATGTGTCTTTATAGTAGAATGATTTATAATCCTTTGGGTATATACCCAGTAAGGGAATTGCTGGGTCAAATGGTATTTCTAGTTCTAGATCCTTGAGGAATCGCCACACTGTCTTCCACAATGTTGAACTAATTTATACTCCCACCAACAGTGTAAAAGCGTTCCTATTTCTCCACATCCTCTTCAGCATCTGTTGTTTCCTGACTTTTTAATGATCACCATTCTAACTGGCATGAGATGGTATCTCATTGCGGTTTTGATTTGCATTTCTCTAATGACCAGTGATTATGAGGTTTTTTCATATGTTTGTTGGCTGCATGAATGTTGTCTTTTGAGAAGTGTCTGTTCATATCCTTTGCCCACTTTTTGATAGGGTTGTTTGGTTTTTTCTTGTAAATTTGTTTAAGTTCTTTATAGATTCTGGATATTAACCCTTTGTCAGATGCATAGATTGCAAAATTTTTCTCCCCTTATATAGGTTGCCTGTTCACTCTGATGATAGTTTCTTTTGCTATGCAGAAGCTCTTTAGTTTAATTAGATCCCATTTGTCAATTTTGGCTTTTGTTGCCATTGCTTTTGGTGTTTTAGACATGAAGCATTTGCCCATGACTATGTCCTGAATGGTATTGCCTAGGTTTTCTTCTAGGATTTTTCTTGTTTTAGGTCTTACGTTTAGGTCTTTAATCCATCTTGAGTTAATTTTTGTATAAGGTGTAAGGAAGGGGTCCAGTTTCAGTGTTCTGCATATGGCTAGCCAGTTTTCCCAGCACCATTTATTAAATAGGGAATCCTTTCTCCCTTTCTTGTTTTTATCAGGTTTGTCAAAGATCAGATGGCTGTAGATGTGTGGTGTTATTTCTGAGGCCTCTGTTCTGTTGCGTTGGTCTATATATCTGTTTTGGTACCAGTACTATACTGTTTTGGTTACTGTAGCCTTGTAGTATAGTTTGAAGTCAGGTAGCATGATGCCTCCAGCTTTGTTCTTTTTGCTTAGGATTGTCTTGGCTATGTGGGCTCTTTTTTGATTCCATATGAAATTTAAAGTAGTTTTTCGCAATTCTGTGAAGAAAGTCAATGATAGCTTGATGGGGATAGCATTGAATCTACAAATTACTTTGGGCAGTATGGCTATTTTCATGATATTGATTCTTCCTATCCATGAGCATGGAATGCTTTTCCATTTGTTTGTGTCTTCTTTTATTTCCTTGAGCAGTGGTTTGTAGTTCTCCTTGAAGAGGTCCTTCACATCCCTTGTAAGCTGTATTCCTATATATTTTATTCTCTTTGTAGCAATTGTGAATGGGAGTTCACTCATGATTTGTCTCTCTGTCTGTTATTGGTGTATAGGAATGCTTGTGATTTTTGCACATTGATTTTGTATCCTGAGACTTTGCTGAAGTTGCTTATCAGCTTAAGGAGATTTTGGGCTGAGATGGTGGGATTTTCTAAATATACAATCATGTTATCTGCAAACAGAGACAATTTGATTTCCTCTTTTCCTGTTTGAATACCCTTTATTTCTTTCTCTTGCCTGACTGCCCTGGCCAGAACTTCTAATACTATGTTGAATAGGAGTGGTGAGAGAGGGCATCCTTGTCTTGTGCTGGTTTTCAAAGGGAATGCTTCCAGCTTTTGCCCATTTAGTATGATATTGGCTGTGGGTTTGTCACAAATATCTCTTATTAGTTTGAGATACATTCCATCAAAACCTAGTTTATTGAGAGTTTTCAGCATGAAGAGGTGTTGAATTTTGTTGAAGGCCTTCTCTGCATCAATTGAGATAATCATGTGGTTTTTGTCATTGGTTCTGTCTATGTGATGGATTACGTTTATCTATTTGCATATGCTGAACCAGCCTTGCATCCCAGGTATGAAGCTGACTTGACCGCACCACATTTGTCTTTAACTGTCTTTAAGTGCAATCATTGCTTTCACCATCCCACTTTCCATTTTTTTATTCACTTTGCTTTTTAATTTTCCAATAAAATTTTAAAGTCAAAATAATATGTGCATATCATTTTAAAGAGATCAAATGGTACAAAACTTGAAAAGAAGAGCATTAGTCCTCCGAGGTTCCCTGGTTCACCAATTTTTCCAGTCACTGTGAAGTCTTGTTGATTTTCTTCTGGTAGCCATTTGCAAATCTTGAAATCCCATGTTTTATACCTCCATTTCTTCATTATCAATCTTATAACAATATCTATAGGTTTTCTGCCATGTTGAAGGAGTATTAATTAACTTGAAGAAGGATGCTTATATTATAAACTTTCTGAATTCTTGCATGTCTGACATTTTAAATATTCTATTATTTACTTGAATAATATTTTGACTAGGTATCAAGTTAAAAGTTGTAAGTCATTTCCCCTGAGAATTTTGAAAGCATTACTCTTTTGTCTTTTAATTTCTAGGGCTACTGATAAAGAGCATAAAGCTATTCTGATTTCAAAACTTCACAGCTGACTATTTTTTGTCTCTGGATGTTTTTAGAAACTTCTCTGTCTCTTCAGTATTCCAGAGTGACATGATGATATACCTTGATTTTCTAAGTCCTTTGCAGTTCTGAAAATTATCTGAAATTATTTCTTTAATGACTTCATCTTCTCTCCAGTTTTTCTATTTTCCCTTTTTGCAAATCCCACTATTCAGATTGTGGACCATCTATCTAGCCTGATTTTTAAATTTCCTCCTATTTTATTTTCCTTTTTGTACTTTCAATCCTTCAGTTAATAGCTCTCTTTTCACTCTCATACTTTAATTTCCAAGGGCTCTCTTTTTCTTTTCTGAATGTTACATTTTTACAGAACTCTGTTCTTATGTTAGGGATACCACATCTTTACTTATCTCTGAGGATATCAGAGTGTTGTTGTTGTTTTTGTTGTTGACATTTTCTCCTATTTTCTTTGTTGTCACACTTTCCTATTTGTTTTGCTCTCAGTTCTTTGTGCCATTGGCTTTCCCAATTGTCAGATGATCTCTGGCCGTCCATTTATATTTCAAACAGAGGCTAAAATAGAGGCAAATCAGAAAGCTAATTTAAAACTTTGTGTGGGGGCTTGTCAATGGAGGGGTGGTAAATGATCAGGATAAACACTTTCGTTGAGTATGCCAAATGTCAATATCTGGAGTTCTCAAGTTTTGGGCAGGTCAGTTTTGCCAGACAGAAATTCTAAAATCTCTTGTCTGACTTCTAGCATTTTCCGGAGTGAACCAAGAAAGAAAAGTGGGAGAGTGAAGGAGGGAACACCTCACCATTTGATATTTAGATTTGAACTGAATCACCATGATGGGAACCCCCTCTACACACTCAGCTCCATCAGGTGTCTCTGACTCCAGTGACCCTCTGATTTAACCCATTCAGAGAAGAAACCTCCAGTCTTCTCCTGGAATGAGCGTACCGACACTTATCCTATTGTACAGGTTGGAGATGAAGGGCTGGATATTTGGCAGCTTATTTTAATTAAAACAATTTTATTTAAAAATCAAAAAGGAATCCTTTTGTAGTTCATAAGCGTGATCACTGGGTGTTTACGCACGTGTGAGATATGCCATCCTTGAACCTTGTTATGATGTCAGCACATTACCCATCTGACATAAAGAAAAAAAATCAAACAGGAAAATAAACAGAAAGTAAAATAATGAAGGCAATGACTACAACAGGGCTAGAGAGAAGTGGTTGGGTGAGTGTGAAATATTTTCTCACTGCTATAGTGGATACCCTATAATCAGGCTTCTTGTTTTCAGATAAGCATTTATTGCCATTTTCATAAATACCTGGAGCTTCTAAGTCCTCTTATTTGAGGATCTGTAGTGGGAATTTGGTTTGCTTCTACAATCCTCCTGCTATGGGCTTAGGTCTCAACTTTCTCTGGTTTGTCAAGCCACTTACACACAGTTTGTTTTCTAAAACTTTATTGCTATTGTTAGAGGCAAAATTAACTTTGAAACCAATGTAGCTTAAACTTGAGTCCTACACTTCCAAATCCTGGAAGGAACCCAGCAATATGTCCCCAAGATTATATGTTTTTGTAAAATATTAAAAGCATGGTATTTTAACCAAAATTGGCTATGACTGACACAGATCACTGTCTTCTTCCATTAGGACGTTCCCTCTGTCTCATTTTCTCTTGTGTAGGAGTGATTTTGGAGTTGTTGAAGGTATTTTTGGTTTATAGGACTATTTCAACTACCCTCTATGGCTGCCATGATACAAAAGTACAGGGCTGGTGTCACGTGACTGAGCCAGGAGCTAGTCTGGGGGAAATTCATCCAAAATACCATATGCAAATTATAATTTGAGGATTTGATTCTCATTGACACCTAATTAAAACAAAAGTTCTATTCTTCTCAGAATATATTTACTAACTCAGTATATATAATTATAAACACATCACACTTGTTTTTCCATCTTCTTCTTTTTTTTTTTTTTGACACAGAGTCTCACTCTGTTGCCCAGGCTGGAGTGCAGTGGCATGATCTCGGCTCACTGCAACCTCCGCCTCCCAGGTTTAAGCAATTCTCCTGCCTCAGCCTCCCAAGTAGCTGGGACTACAGGTGCACATCATCACACCTGGTTAATTTTTATATTTTTAGTAGAGACGGGGTTTCATCATGTTGCCCAGGCTGGTCTCAAAATCCTGACCTCAAGTGATTCACCCGCCTCAGCCTCCCAAAGTGCTGGGATTACAGGCACTCACTACCAGCTGGAATTTTTGTATTTTCAGTAGAGACAAGGTTTTACTATGTTGGTCAGGCTGGTCTCAAACTCCTGACGTCAAGTGATTTGCCCACCTCAGCCTCCCAAAGTGTTGGAATTACAGGCGTGAGCCACCACACTTGGCCTTTTTTTCCATTTTTAATAAGAATCACATAAAAAAAGATTAATCAAAATTTTCATATATTCGTATGCTATAGCTATTATAATTTGGTTATAAATTTAGGATTATTTCAATGAAATATATGAGAAATTACAGACTGGCCTTATATAAAGAATATTTTGTTATCTATAAATTTATTAAAGGATTGAGAGAAAATTTATATTAAAAATGCATAAAATATGAAACAAAAACAATAAAAATGAGCAATTGAATAAATAAAAATCATTCTGACTTTAGATCATATTGAGAGCATGTTACATTATTAAAAGGAAGATGCATGTTTTGAACAGAAACAGCAAACATATGTTATTTGATTGTTCATAACCTATATAATGAAGAACAATTAATCATGAGAACTAGAAAAAGGTAAATTTCCTGCTGATTTGACACACAAAAAAAATCCCTGACATGAACAAAGACACTGTAAAGGTCAAAATATGTCAGTATGACATAAAGACATCAATAACAGATAGGTTAATAATTATCTCAATCTAAGTGTATTTATGATTAGAGCACAAGAAAACTTGAAATGCTTTGAAATTTCACTATTTATCCATGAAAAACAAGTTATAGGCATTTTCCAAAATTCAGCAACAGTCCTAAAAACTTACCATGATGCTATCAATAATGAATTTTGAAGCTGAAAGAAACTTTTCTAAGCCATCAATTTAAAAAAAATTTTTAATCAAACCTGACAGAAAGAAGACTAAATTACCTTTCATTTCTCTCTAAAGAAAATTATATTTTAACATTTTATTTTCTGAACGGAAGACTGAAGGATATGTAGCCAAGGATGTAAGGAAAAAAAGTCATAAAATGTTTAAGGCAGTTAGTTAATTAAAATATTGTTATTTGTATGATTCATGATGTTTGTTCACTTTTTTTTTTTTTTTTTTTTTTTTTGAGATGGAGTCTCACTCTGTCACCCAGGCTGGAATGCAGTGGCACGATCTCAGCTCACTGCAACCTCCGCCTACCCAGGTTCAAGCGATTCGTCTGCCTCAGCCTCCCGAGTAGCTGGGACTACAGGCGCACACCACCATGCCCAGCTAATCTTTGTATTTTTAGTGGAGACGGGGTTTCACCATATTGGCCAGGCTGGTCTTGAACTCCTGACCTCGTGATTCGCCCGCCTCAGCCTCCCAAAGTGTTGGGATTACAGGCATGAGCCACCGCACCCGGCCACTTTTTTAAATTAGTAATTTGTTGTGATATCTTTTCTTATTCTAACTATATTTACTTTCATACCTAATTTTGTAGTCTTTTTCTAAACAAAGGTTCTCTATCACTAACAGTATAAACTTCTCCCTAGCTCTTGTTTCTTCTTTCATTCTCTTTGTCCTTTTAAGTTTATTTGCTGTAACCAGTAGGACCGAGAAGGGGAAAAGACATGGGTGCAAACCTCCATATTTTAGCAGAAATATCCATTCATAATTTCCTAAAATAGTAATAATTTTTATTTTAATCAAATGTATACACGATTTTAAATGAGATATTTTTGTAAAACTTATTAAAGAATGATTCCTGCCCCACGGTTTTTGCTCCCCAATGGTAACTACTTTTACCTCTTTCACTTTTCCTTTGTGTATTTTCCTCTTATTTCCTAATTATGTTGACACTTTTTTTTTTTTTTGAGATGGAGTCTCGCTCTGTCGCCCAGGCTAGAGTGCATTGGCAAGATCTCAGCTCACTGCAAGCTCCACCTCCAGGGTTCACGCCATTCTCCTGCCTCAGCCTCCCGAGTAGCTGGGACTGCAGGCGCCCGCCACCACACTCGGCTAATTTTTTGTCTTTTTAGTAGAGATGGGGTTTCACCGTGTTAGCCAGGATGGTCTCCATCTCCTGACCTCGTGATCCGCCCACCTCGGCCTCCCAAAGTGTTGGGATTACGGGCGTGAGCCACTGCGCCCAGCTGACACTTTTTTTATTTTTTCAGTTTTAGATATTATGTGTTGACTTTGTCCTGTGAATATTAGGATTTAGCTCTCTTAAACACACTGCTTCTTTCCTGTAGGAGATAAAGAAAAAACCAACCAAACAAACAAAAAACAAAAAAAAACACACTTCTGCCCCTTCCCCCCCACATACATAATTTTCCACTCTTTATAGGTTAAATATTAACATATATTCTTATGACTATGCAGATTTTACTTACAGTTTGGCCATGCATGTACTATGATATATTTGTGTATATATAATGTATGTACATGTATATCACATGTATATATTACATGTATGTACATGTATATTACATATATTACATGTATATACATGTATATTACATATATTACATGTATATACATGTATATTACATATATTATACATAATATTCATGTATATACATGTATATTACATATATTACAAATATTCATGTATACTTTTTGGTTTTTTTTTTTCTTTACTCAGTTTTCTATGTACTTACTGCAATTTATCCACACATTCTTGGAGCATTAAAACACATGAGAAAATATATCAAATTCATGGATACATCACTCCTGAGTTTTCTGTCTTCCTCTCCAGTCCTAGGTGCTGCATAATTTTCATCCTGGGGGTTGCTTTCACCAGTCTCCTGGTTGGAGTTTCATTTCCTGAATCTCCTTCATTCTTTGGTTAAGCCTTTCTATTGATGGAGCTCAGCTTCCAGAAATTTCCTGGTTGATATAATATGGAAAATAAATTCCCTGAGAAGTTGAATGTATAAAAATGTATTTATTCTGCCTTCATTCTTTACTCATAGTTTGACTGAATACAGAATTTTAGGTTAGAAGTTATTTCCCTTGAGGATTTAAAAGGCATTTTTCCATTGTCTTCTGGTATCCAGTGTTGCTATTAAGAACTTTGATGCCATTCTGATTCCCTGTTCTTTCATGTAGGCTGTTTTAATTGCTTTTTTCCCTTTCTACATGCTCTTCTTACAATATAACATTTATACTCCTCCATCAAAGCTGGAATGTATGTTGCCTCTACTTGAACCTGGTGGACCTTTGTAACCAGAATGAGATATTAATGATGCTACCTGACTTCCAAGGCTAGATAATAATAATAATAATAATAAATGGCTAATGTGGTCTCTCTCTCTCTCTCTCTCATGCCTGTGCATGTGTGAGCACCTTGTGAGCTCACATCATGATTGTCTTAGTCCATTCCTGCTGCTACAATAAAATATCTCAGACTGGTTATTTATAAACAACAGAAATGTATTGCTTACAGTTCTGGAGACTGAGAAATCCAAGATCAAGGTGTTGGCAGATTTAGTGTCTGGCGAAGGCTGCTCTCTGCTTCCAAGATGGGTATCTCAATCTAAGTGTATTTACAAGATGGTATCTTTTTGCTATGTCTTCACATGGTGGAAGGGGAGAACACTGTGTCCTCACATGGCAGGAGAGATGGAAAGGCCAGGCAGTTCTCTGGGGCCTCTTTTATAAGGATGCTAATCCCTTCTTGAGGACTCCATCCTCAATCACTTCCCAAAGACCTCACCTCTTAATACCATCAGCTTGGGGTTTAAATTCCAATATACAACATATGAACTTTAAATGAACACATACATTCAAACCATAACAATGATATAGATACCACATGAGAGGAGGAGGAGGAGGAGGAGGAGGAGAGGAGAGAGAGAGAGAGAGAGAGAGAGAGAGAGAGAGAGGGAGAGGGAGAGAGAGAGAGAGAGAGAGAGAGAGAGAGAGAGAGAGAGAGAGAGAGAGAAATGTGAATGGTACCTCAGCTATCTCAGCCCTAGCTGGTCAAGTCTTCCCAGATATATGAGGGAAGGCTTTGAAATGTTCAAGCCCAAGCCACAGACTAAAACCTCTTGAGACACTGAGCCAGAACAACCCAGCTGAGCCACTCTGCATTCTTGTCTCTCAGGAATCGTGAGAGATAGTAAGTATGTTATGGTTTTAAGCCACTAAATTTTAGAGCAATTTGTTGTTACACAGCCACAGTAAATAGGACAATTTATCACTCCACTTCCCACTTCCATCTACGCTTTTAAGATTCTCTCTTTGTCTTGAGTTTTCTGAAAGTTCACAGTGATCTGTCCGAGCATGGCTCTTTGACTCTTTTTCCATACATTTTCTTAGGCACCCATTGAAAAATTCAACTTAGAAACTGCCTTCAGTTAAGATGAGTTATTTAAATTAATTAAATCTTCAAATTATTTTTTGTTAATTTCACTTTCCCTATTTTCTTTATTCTTTTACTAAAAAATTTATATTATTTTGATGATAAAACTCCTGAATCAATCACATAGGTCACTTTTCTAACTTCATGTGGGAGTTTCTTGACTGCACTTCGCAAGCCTTTATCTCTCACTCAACAAATATTTACTAAGACCCTACTCTGTGCTAAGATGCAGCAATACAAAATAAGTTAACTGAGATTTTAATTTCTACTATCAAATATTTAATTTTAAGAACTTATTTTTGTTTTCTGAGTGTTACATGTTGTTTTCTCCTTTTTTGTTCTAGGTTTTCTTCATCCTCATTATCGCATTTTTTGTTTTTTTTTTAGTCTCTAACTTTCATGTTAGCAGCTTAGCTAACATCACTGATGATTCTTGGATGTCATTTGTTAATATTTTAGACGCACACACAACTATGGGAGCACTATATGTTGTTAACAGGTAGACATTGCTGCAAGATTATCTGGCTGAGCCATTTTACTGGGAGACTCCTGATTCTGGGATATTCATTTATTTAAAGAAAAATCTTTCACTCTTCTTTCTAGAAGATATAAACCGATTCCAGCATTCCTGGAAGAGTGGGTGAATGTAGCTGGGCTATCTCATCACTCAGCATATAGACTTCAGCTTAACCCTCCCGTTTCTACTGTGGCCTTCCACAGAGTCATTCCGTTCACTCTCTCTATCCCGTCTTCTGCCCCAATATGGAAAAAACAGTCCTGGCTCTGCTGGGTTGGGGATGAATCTTGGTGGGACAGGATGAAGGAGAGAGGACGGTCTAACTACTTCTTAAGCAGACTTTCAGTTTTCATCTTAAGTCTCACCCCTACTTTCAGAGGTACCTACAACCCCTAATTTGGAGGTACCTACAACCCCTAATTTGGAGGCCTTCCTTGGGTTCTATTGAGCAACTCAGCTTCCTTCTGTGCTTCCTTCATTACAGCTCTAGTTTTCTATTTTCTCAGTTGCACTCAGCAAATTAACACTCATCTACCTGCTTTTCAGTTTCCAAAATTTGGTTGTTGTCATCTGTCTTTTCCTTTTCTTTGTTTATGAAAAAAAAATCCCTTTACTATTGTATCAGTGAAGTTTTAAGACTGGAGGGAAGTGAAAGTGTTCAATTCACCATCTCTGAACAGAGGTCATTTTCATTTTCTCTTCAACCCATCCATACAGCTCTCTTGACCTTACTCTTTCTGAGGACACAAATGACTCCCTAATCATCACAGCCAAGGACCCCTACTGACTTCTCATTCTAAAGGATCCCCCTGTGCCGTTTGACACTGTTGACCACCTCCTCGTTCAAACTCTTCCCTCTGTTTTCTGTGACACTGCTCTGTCTCATTCTCTTCTGACTCAGATCACTCTTTCCCAGTATTCTTACTTGGCTTCTTTTTCTATATTACCTTAAATATCCTTACTCCTGGGAAAATAATGATATAATCTGGATTATGTGCCAGGCACTGTACTAAATAGGCACTTTGTGTGTAATACATTTATCTTCTCAACAACTCAGGTAGGTATTATTAAGTAACCCATTTCACAGGTGAAGAGATCAAGGGCACAAGAAACTTAAGTAATTTGTCCAAAGTCTCGCAGCTTTTTACCACTGTACCTATTACCTCTACAAATGCTACATTTTTTAGTTTTCCCTCTTATTTGTTTGCAGTTTGCTGGACTTTCTCATCTACTTCCAGAACTTAATCTCTCACATATACCTATATTCAGACAACTCTGAACTGTCCGTTTTCAGTCCTACCTTTCTTCTAAGCTCCAAAACTCAATGTCCAAATATTTATTGGAAACTTCCATCTGCATGTCCCACAAACACCTCAAAATCAAAATATCTGAGGTCCAAACATGTCATTTTCACAACTCTTTCTTCTCAAAAGAACTCAACTTGTTTGGTTTTTATATATATCAGTTAATGGCATCAGCATTTACCTCCACGGGAAAGTTAGAACACTCAACGTTTGTTCCGACTGCTCACTCTCTCACCTTCTGTGTGAAATTTGCTGCTAAGACTGTTGTTCTCTGAAGGGCCTTCTGATTTCATTGCATTTCCTCATCATCCTCCCACTATCCTTGTCAGGCCCTTACGTGCTCTTGATAACAGCTTCCTCCTAACTAGTCTCAGCTCTAATCTGCCACATCACCATCAGAGCTATCTTTCTAAATACTTTTTTAAGATCTGTTCATTCTACTTATTTAGGGTTGACAGGTGATTGACTCTAAACAACCAAGTCTTGGGAAAGAAGGGGCTCCTCACATACAAAAAAATAGCAAGGTACCTTAAAAAACATCTCATGTATACGTTTACAGATTAATACACATATACCAGGAAAAAATAAAAGCTGTAATGTTCCAAAGCATCGGTGATTAAGGACCAATGAGAAACTAAGATAAAGCAATTCTGAACTTATACTGATGAGCTGGACATTCATTTATTTATTAACAATTATTTATTGAGCACCTACTGTGAACCAGCAGGCATTCTTCTAGGAACTGGGACTGCTGCCATGAAAAAGACAGATAAGGTTCCTGATACCATGCAGTTTATATTCCTGTAAAGAAGACAAATGAATAAGCAAATAAATATGTAAGAAAATATCGGATGACAAGGAGTACAATGCTGAGAGCTAGGACAGGATGACTGCCTTAAGTCGTTCTTCTGGGTGGCCAGGGTTGGCCTCTCTGAGTGGGTGGCATTGAATACTGATGTGCCATGACAGGCTCAGGCCTCCTGAGCATCAGGGAGGCCTGAGAAAAACTCTGCCCTGTCCTGAGAGGCAGCAGGCCTAGTGAGGGGAATTTTGAGGCAAGCACCCTGAGGCCTATCTGGGGACTCATTTAGTGGCCTAGGGCAAGTCTCCCCCTCTCTGGGCCACTGAAGTCCTTTCCGCCCCTAGCACACTGTTACTTGCCTTCCTGGGCCCTGCTTCCCTCAATTCTCCCCAATTTATGATTCTTTCAACTGCAGAGCCTGAAATAAAAAGGCCTGGCTGGGCCTCTATTCTGTCAATCATGGAGCGTTGCTTGGCCAGTGCGGCGGGAGCTCCAGGCAGCCAGAGCATGGGGTGGCAGATGCCAGGAGCTGCTCCAGGCAAACACGTGGCTGTGGCTCCCTCACCTGCCAGCCACACCTGCCAGGCAGTGGAACCCCGGGGGCAGCCCTAACATTCAATTTCACCTTCTCGTCAGGCAAATTTTGGAAGTAATCTCTGCCCAATTGTGGAATTACGTTTACATGTCTGTAAACTAACATGTTGGCGAAACCTAAGTATTCATGATCGAACTTTTAAAAATAGAGGATGAGGGAAAACAACAAAAATTACTCCGTCTACACACACACACACACACACACACACACACACACACAAATTCAGTGAATACAAATACCAGAAGAAACTTTGGTATATATACAAAGTAAATCAAATTTGTCAGCTTTGAAAATCTGCTCAATAGATGACTTTTCTAAGGAATCACTTCTCTAGCTATTTTGGAAACAGTTTGGAGACAGATTCTCCAACAGGTTTTATGTTCTATAGACTCCCTCTTTCTAAAGTTTCCAAACTAGTCTTACGGGCCTGAAATTTTGTGTCTTTTACATTTGTATTCTCTCTCGTTATGTCATTCTCACAAGTCTCTAAAACGATCCAATTCTTCATGCTAATTGCTAATGTAATTAAGGGCCCTTTGGGACTATCAGCATAAAGAGAGCCTCTCATTCTGCATCATCCAGCAATCCAGGCCATGTGGAAGAAAGAACAGTGATTGCTCTCACATTTACATGTTTAAAGAGATTGACTGAGGCCGGGTGTCATGGCTTATGCCTGTAATCCCAGCATTTTGGAGGCTGAGGCGGGCGGATCACTTGAGGTCAGGAGTTCAAGACCAGTCTGGCTAACATGGTGAAACCTTGTCTCTACTAAAGATACAAAAATTAGCTGGGCGTAGTGGCACATGCCTGTAATCCCAGCTACTTGGGAGACTGAGCCAGGAGAATTGCTTGAATCCAGGTGGCAAAGGTTGCAGTGAGTCGAGATTGCGCCACTGCACTCCAGCCTGGGTGACAGGGCGACACTTTGTCTCACAAATAAATAAATAAATAAACTGAATTGTGCCTACATAAAAAAGAAGTACTTTTAATTGGTAAGAAATATAAAGGCATTTTAATATCACAACTCTGGTTGGCAAATAGAAGGGATTACTCTGCTTTTAAGCAAGTTCACAGCTTTGAATTTATTTGTTCCCTGTGTTTTACCAGAAATACCCCTAAGATGGTAAGTGAGTTGCTAGAGGTCACTTAGTGAATCTATAGCTGGGCAAGATAACAAATTGTAGGCTCCTGGCTTCTCACCACACTCAAAAAGCAGTTCAAATTAAAAATGTGGAAGGAAGGGAAGGAGGAAGGGAAGAAGGGAGGAAGAGAGAGAGGGAGGGAGGGAGGAAGGAGTGGAGGAAAATAAGAAAGGCATGAAGGAAGTAAAAGAGGGATGGAGGAATACCCAACAGTATTCATTCTTCTGTAATCGTTATCTATTTGTTTATTGTCTGACCCTCCCACTAGAATGTAAGTTCCATAAAGGCTGACATTTTGTCTATCTCTTACTACTGTATGCTATACATATATTAGCACTTAGTGCAGTCCCTGGTACATAGATATTAATTAATAAATAAATAAATGTCTTTCATACTCATCCTGAAGTATGTCAAATGGAGTGGACCATTTGAAAGCAGCTAGAATAAATCACAGTGTCCTGCTTTTTTATTGAATTTCAAATAACAGAGGCACCATTTGTTGCCTCAAGTCTATAGTTTTTTCTCTTGTAGCCAGAAGTTTTATCCCTCCTTGTCCCATTGTTTCAGTTGTACTGAAAGATGCTTATCCAGTCTTTCTGGGGCCCTTCAGGTCCTTCTATTTATTTTAAGTCAGACCATCTTAATTTTATCCTCCCAGTTTGAAAAAAATTGGCCAGCAAATTCCGCATGATGAAGTAATAAAAAATTTTATTTACATAAATTATAAATATTATGGTCCCTGAAAATTTAATTGTTAAAATCAACATCGCAAAATCACATTAAACCTTATTACCTGGAAAAGACCAAATTAAATAAGTGAGACATCTCAATTAGAAAGAATTTAAAAAGTAAAATTGACCTAATTTCTTTACAATCCCCCGGATTACAAGAATGAGTGTAATCAAGGATTGTTGAGGAGATAGCCTTTACCAAATGAAAGAAATGGGTCAAAACCAGCTCTCATAAACTTGAAATAAACCAATGCTTCTCAAGTGCTTAAGGGATCTTAACATGTTTACTCAGAGCCCTTTAAGTCTTTTAAGTATCATTTAAGTATTGTTTAGACTCAATTGGCTTACTAAATTTTGTCTTCACATGTTATTCTGCCCCCATGTTCATCCTAACTCTTACATATTCCATTGTCTGCAATTTTTAAATCTGTCCTCTGTGGCAGGAGGGGCACTGACAATTGAAGAGAAAAACCAGAGATAAACAGGTGAAGTACTTTGTGTACGTTCCCACAATTCAGACAAGGATATGCAATTGCTGGAGTTTTATCTCTGCCACTAAATGTGAAGTGCTAAACACTGAGGAATTTCAGAAGGTTGTATGGTAATCACTCTCTTGATGTCCTGCTTATTCAAAATGCAAGTGTCTGCCTTAAATAATAAAAGGGAAAATAATTGAAGCTCGTGGATTTAAATACACTAAAAAATAATTGTGTGCCAGTCTTGGATGAGGCCTTTGCACTTGCTATTCTCTCTGCCTGGAATGTTCTTATTCTCAAATAGCTCACACCCTCACTTCACGCAGGTCTCAGATCAAATGTCATCTGAGAGAGGCCAGCCCTGACTCCTAGCTAAAAATGCACACATCCCCTCTACACTCCATCTCCTCAGGCATACTTTATTTTTCTTTAGCACACTTAAATTATCACCCAACAAATGATTTGTTTGAAATTTATTTGTCGACAATTTCCCACCAGAGTGCAAATTCTAGCAGATAATTGCTTTGTTGGTGACCAGAGGAGTCCAGTAACTCAAATATTTGTTGACTGAATGATTTAAAATCACAAAAATCAGTGATATTTCTTTCTCCTTAATTGGCATTCTTTTTAATTTAGAAAGTGAAAATTCTCTGCTTTGAAAAAAAACCTCTCAGTAAAAGCCAGAAAGAAAGCATCAAAACCTCTAAATCACCAATGTAAAATCTAGAGCTTTCATAAAAGTATTTATGGATATACTTAATGTACACCTAATACTGATACTGTATGAGCCTTAGTTAAATTACTACCAGGTTCTTAAATTCAGTTAATTCAGTGCAAGAAAGCAGTCAAACTGGTTGTTTGCCATTGCATAGAGAAATCAACTCGTTGCTTGGTTACGTTTTTTCAACAATGACTTGGCTTCAGGTAAGACAGCATTGGACCTCTAACTGAAAACCCAGTGGCTCAAAGTTGGCTTTCTTCTTGGACTTCCCAGTTCCCTGTCACATTTAAATTTTTGCACTTCACTAATGAGTTTTATGACATCAAAAAACATATACCTTTATAATAATCCAATTCACAAATATCTAGCACTGCATATATGCTACTACTAAAGATATAAAATTCCCATTCCTAACATGTTTACAGTGTAGTAGAGATGCTTGAGAAAGAAATATATATGCACCATCCAGCATAAAGTTCCGCACTCCCAGCTGAGCGTGCAGTCTTAGGCACGCAGGCTCTGAGGGTGTTCTTACAGAGGCTACTAGAGGGAGACTTTCTTACCTGAGGCTGAGCTGTCCGAAAGTTGACTTCGAAATTATTGAAACCTCAGTGGGAATAGCAATGGAGCTGGAAAAATTCATTTCAAAACTGCAAGCAGTTTTCTGGAGAATTTGACACTTGGATACTCTTAGAGTCAGATTATTCTTTTATTTTTGAAAAACTATCTAAATGGGCCCTTCAGTTATACAAATGAAAAATTTTAAATCCAAATCAAGAAAGGTCACTTTTGAGAAGTTGGTAGCTTTAGGGAGTTAAATTGCTATTGCTACAAAGTTAAAACAGACAAACAAAAATAATCTACTTGATATCTCCCCTTGACATCTCAGACAACTCAAACTCAACAACAGAACTTATGATTTCCCCTTCCAAAAAACCCTGTACTTCACAGTCACCCACCACTCACTCCCATCTTCTGGTTCTCAATCAAAGGTACTTCTAGTCATTATTGATTGTCTTTTGCCTGTTCTGGCAGATCTGATCCTTCGGCAATTTTCGTCAATTCTGTCACCAAAACACATCTCACATCTGTCCACTTGTCTCTTTTTCTACTGCCACCCTGGGTCCAGGCCATCATCACCTCTCACTGAATTACTACAGTGGCCTCCTCACCTTCCACTCCTGCTCATCTCCACTGAGTGGTTCATTCTCCACTTTAGTCAGAAAAGAGCTTTCAAAAAATTCTTTAACTTAGTAATCCCATTTTTAAAAAAATTAATAAACCTCATTTTTTTAGAGCAGTTTTACAGTCATAGCAAGATTGAGTGAAAAGTACACAGAATCCCTATATACCCCATTACCCCCAACCATGCATAGCCTTTCTCATTACTGACATCCCACACCAGAGTGGCACACTTGTTACAAATGACGGACCTATGCTGACATGTCACCCAAAGTCCATAGCTTGCTTTAGGGTTCATTCTTGGTGTTGTGCATTCTATGGGTTTGGATGAATGTATAATGACTTATATCTAACAATTAGTGTTTCACACCTGTAATCCCAGTACTTTGGGAGGCCGAGGCAGGCGGATCACGAGGTCAGGAGATCAAGACCATCCTGGCTAACACAGTGAAACCACGTCTCTACTAAAAATACAAAAAATTAGCTGGTTGTGGTGACGGGCGCCTGTGGTCCCAGCTACTCAGGAGGCTGAGGCAAGAGAATGGCGTGAACCCAGGAGGCGGAGCTTGCAGTGAGCCAAGATCATGCCACTGCACTCCAGCCTGGGCGACAGAGCAAAACTCCGTCTCAAAAAAAAAATTACTTTTGTACAGAATAGTTTCACTGCCTTAAAAATCCTCTATGCTCTGCCTATTCATCCTCTCTGTCCTCTAACCCCTTTCAACCACTTGTCTTTTTACTATCTCCATAATTTTGCTTTTGCCAGAATGTCATATAGTAGGAATCAGACAGTATGTTAACTTTTCAGATTGGCTTCTTTCACTTGGTAATATGCATTTAAGTTTCCTCTATGTCTTTTCATGGCCTGATAGCTCTTTTCTTTTTATCATTGAATAATATTCCATTGTCTGGAGATCACCCAGTTTATTTATTCATTCGCCCACTGAAGGACATCTTGGTTGCTTCCAAGCTTTGGCAATTATAAATAAAGCTGCTATCAATATCCACGTACTGGTTTTTGTATGGATGTAAGTTTTCAGTTCATTTGGGTAAATACCAAACAGCGTGATTGCTGGATTACATGATAAGAGTGTATTTAGTTTTGTAAGAAACTGCCAAATTATCCTCCAAAGTAGCTGTATCATTTTGCATCCCCACCAGCAATGAATGAGGGTCCCTGTTGCTTCATATCTTTGCCAACATTTGACATTGTGAGTCTTCTGGATTTTGGCCATTTTAATAGGTGTGGAGTGGTATTTCATTGTTGTTTTAATTTACAACTTTCTAATGACAGATGATGTTGGATACCTTTCCATATGCTCACTTGCATTCTGTATATCTGCTTTGGTGAGGCGTCTGTGAAGCTCCTTTAACCCATTTTAAAATTACCTTGTTTGTTTTCTTAATGTTGAGTTTTAAGAGGTCTATGTGTATTTCAGAGAATAGTTCTTTATCGGACGTGTCTTCCAAAAATACTTTCTCCCAGTCTATGTCCTGTCTTCTCATTCTATTGACATTGTCTTTTCCATAGTAGAGGCTTTTAATTTTTAAAAGTCCAGTTTATCAAGTATTTCTTTCATAAATTGTACCTTTGATGTTGCATCTGAAAAGTCATTGTCATAACCAAGGTCACCTAGATTTTGTCCTCTGTTATCTTCTAGGAATTTTAGAGTTCTATGTTTTATATTTCAGCCTATAATTCACTTTGAATTAACTTTTCTGAATGATATAAGTTTTGTGTCTAGATTCATACTTTTGCATGTGGATGTGCAGATGTTACAGCACCATTTGGTGAAAGGAATATCTTTGCCCCATTGTATTTCCTTTGCTCCTTTGTCAAAGATCAGTTGACTATGTTTATGTGGGTCTATTTCTGGGCTCTCTGTCCAGTTCCATTGATTTATTTTTCTATTCTTTCACCAATATTACTATCCCAATTACTGTTACTTTATAGTAAGTCTTGAAGTTTGGTAGTGTCAATCCTCTAACAGAAGGAACTTTTAAAAGAAAAATTTGGGCTGGGTGTAGTGGCGCACACCTGTAATCCCAGCACTTTGGGAGGCCAAGGCGGGCAGATCACTTGAGGTCAGGAGATCGAGACCAGCCTGGCCAACATGGTGAAACCTCATCTCTACTAAAAATATAAAAATTAGCCAGGTGTGGTGGTGTGTGCCTGTAATCCCAGCTACTCAGAAGGCAGAGGCACAAGAATCACTTGAACCCAGGAGGTGGAGATTGCAGTAAGCCAAGATGGTGCCACTGCACTCTAGCCTGGGCGACAGAGTGAGACTCCATCTCAAAATTAATATTTTTAAAAAATAAAATAAAAGCAAAATTTGGTGGGATCTGCCATCTCCTCCCATGGACCATAATGGCTTTTGTTTGACACAATTGGCAACACTGATTATTCCTAAGGCTTTGACTAGAATGGCATATTTTCATATATGATCAGACTGCTTTGAGGAACTGAGATTAACTTGATACATTTATAATTCATTTCCAGGGACTTATTTTATTCCTTCATTTGGGCTTTAGCTCCCTGATTCATTGCATGCCTTGTGATTCTTTTTGAGATTTAGGCATTTGAAAAAGAGTCACCTTCCCTTTGAGAGGTCAAGGTGGGAGGATCACTTGCACTCAAGAGTTCAAGACCAGTCAGGGCAACATAGCAAGAACCCGTCTCTGATGGATGAGAATCTCAAAGGAATCCTGCTTCAAATGCAGAAGTGTCATACTCCAGAACTTTGAAAGCCTTGTGAAGCTGCATGAGTAGTGTGGTCTATGGAGGTGCATGGGCTTTGGAGTCAGGCAGAGTTAATCCTGAGTTCCAGCCCAGCTGCTTAGTAGCTGTAGGGCTTTGGACAAGTTTCTTAACTTAAAACAGTTATACACACCTCATTTACATTTACTGGCTTATAATAAAGGACATTGCAAAGGATACAGATGAAGAGACGTGCAGGGCAAGGTATGGGGGAAGGAATGTGGAGCTTCCATTCCCTCCTTGGGTATGCCACCCTCCAGGAACCTCCGTGTATTCATCTATCCAGAAGCTCCAATTGTCTTCAAAGAGTCAATAAGAATCCCCATAGAAAGACTGGCCTGGTACCTTGTCTAAATAGTTCCCTTACAAAGTTCCTGACCTGTGATAAGCCAAGAATGTCACTTTCCAGCCCAGGAAGCTCAAGATATTTTGGGACCACAAGAAGACAGGAATTCATACAGGTATTATAAGCACAGTCTGATGGTGAATTCTTGGTTTGGCTTCTAGCCTTGGGGCTTTTAAAAAGTTGAATTTAAAATTGTTTATAAAAGTTCCAGCAAAGCCAACTTAAAAGTCTATATGACCTATAACTACTCTTGCTATATTTTATACAAATAATCAGGCCAAGTACAATAGACTAAAATTTATTTTGCAAATAAATTGGTCCTTATATGATTTATCTTTGGTATAAATGGAGAAACTGGAGAGAGAAAAATTTAGATTCTAGCCCTGACCATTGTTTTTCAGTTTTTATTTTTTGACTATACTTTGGGCTAAATCCTGAATTATTTCCTGAATTAAGAAGAACCAGGTTTTAATTTTTGGTTTTCATTTAACAATGCTTTTAGTTGGCTTTCTAATGGAAAAGGGGTTTTTTTGTTGTTGTTCTTGCATACAAATTCTTTTTTGATTATAATCTTTGTGTGTATTATATCAAATTATTAATGCTGTGTGTCTTTCATTGTTTTACTTCCAACAAAACCAAAGTTTCAAAGACTAGAGATGATTCAACCAAACCTGTGAATCTCCCTCATTTGAAATCCCACTGGGCCAGATCTGTTTTCCACTGCCAATGCACTGCTGCTAAAACTATACAATATCAAGCACCCTCTCTAACGGCCCAGGGGCCATTGCGGAAGACGAGGGCATGTGAAACTAAGAGCTGCGTTAGTGGGATGGAGCGTGGAGGCTAAAGCAACTCGATCGTAGATGCTGATCTTCCATATTAACCCCTGTTCTGGGAAGGCCTCTGAGATTTCTATTTTATCTACTGTTCCTTGTGTAAGAGCATGTACTTACTGTAAATCTTCCCCTTAGGCAGATTCACATAACATTCTTGCCTTTCCCTAAAGAGTGTACTTCAGTTGTGCTACATATTCTTCTCCTATGGTATATAAGCGCTCTGTCTGGGGGAGGTGGGATGGGTAATGGTGTGGGGATCTGCCATCTCATTTTGTGGCCACCCAGACATCATGACTTCTGTCTGTAGGTCCCTATTAAATGTTCCTTTCTGAGAAGGAGAAAAAAACCACGAATCCTTTACAGCCTGCTTCTTATCTTTAGTATAAAGTCCAAAATACTGGGCTGGGTGTGGTGGCTCATGCCTGTAATCCTAGCATTTTGGGAGGCCAAGGTGGGTGGATTGCTTGAGCCCAGGAGTTTGAGACCAGCCTGGGCAACATGGCGAAACCCCGTCTTTACCTGCCGTCCTCACTCAAATATATATATACACAAAAATTACCTGGGCATGGTGGCACACACCTGTAGTCCCACTGGGAAGCTGAGATGAGAGGATGGCTTGATCCGGGGAGGCAGATGTTGCAGTGAGCTGAGATCGTACCACTGCACTCCAGCCTGGGCAACAAAGCTGAGATCCTGTCTCAAAATAAATAAAAATAAAATTTTTAAAAGTCCAAAACATTTAACAAGGCCTCTAAGACCCTCTGCCAACCTTTCTACTTCTGTCTGTTGCTCCTCCTACCTCCTCATTTTTCATTCTCCAGTCATAGCAGACTTCTTTTCTTTTCTAAATATGCACACTCGCATGTACCTTGTCTTGTTGCAAGAATATTCTTACCAGCCCTCTCTCCCAGCCCAGCAGTCTCCCCATACTAGGCCAATTCCTTTTTTATCCTTTGGGTGTTACCTTAAACATCACTGGTCAGGGAAGTTGTCCCTGATCCTCGTAAGCGTGTCAAGTCCAATGTCGCATGCTACATTTCTTCTCTATTCTCTTTTGTAGCACATACTAACTCACACTTAGTTTATTTGTCTAGTTATTTTGCAAATGGGTATCCCTACTAGATTACAAGCTATGTGAGGCCAGGGACATTGTCTTCCTGATCACTGTGGTCTTCTTAGCACAATGCCTGGCACATGACATGGCATCAATAAGTACTAGCTGAAGGAACAAGTGATTGAAGCCTATAAGGTCCATAGTTACAATCACATGTACATTTGAACAATATAAGTATGTTCCAAAATTACTACTGGCAGTCTTTTCAATACTAGAATAAATTCACAAGAACAGAATTCATGCATAAAGAGTCATTATATTTGACTAGTAATTAGGTAAAATAGACATTTTACTCTTTTTTTTTTTTTTTTTTTTTTTGCTTGTAAAATAACTACAGCTGTTACAACAAGACAGATAATGTCCCATTACTTTTCTCTGAAAATGGTATTCTGCAGAGAAGAAAATTATACCCAGTTATAATGCTATTACTAAAACTTGTAGGGCCCCTGGAAAAAAATTCGTGAAGAACCCACGCCTTTATTAATTATATAAGAAGCAGGACTCCAGCTGCTACATAGGTGCTATCTTTTACCTATGAAAGCAGAAAAGGAAACTAATTGTGGAGAATGATTTTCTTTGCTCAGTTCTACTTTACTCTTTAATATTTTTTGTATTTTCTGTAGATAATCTTCATCAAGCTAACTGATTTTTGGAACACGAGCACCACTGGTTCATTTTTAATAAGGATTAAACTTAAGTAGGTATTATACAAAAATGTAGTTTTAAAGAAAACCTTTAGGCCAGGCACCATGGTTCACGTCTGTAATCCCAGCACTTTGGGAGGCCGAGGTGGGTGGATTACTTGAGGCCAGGAGTTCAAAACCAGCCTGGCCAACATAGCGAAACCTGTCTCTACTAAAAATACAAAAGTTAGCCAGGCGTGCTTGTGCACGCCTGTAATCCCAGCTACTCGGGATACCGAGGCAGGAGAATTGCTTGAACCTGGGAGGCGGAGTTGCAGTGAGTCGAGATGGCACCACTGCACTCCAGCCTGGGTGACAAAGTGAGATTCTGTCTCAAAAGAAAAGAAAAGAAAAGAAAACCTTTAATGTTTTATTAAATACTATAAATAACTTCTTGAACCATGAATTCGAGAAGATAGAGGCTCAGCCAGAACCCACTCTGAAATTATTCTTGGAATGGAATAGATTTCACTGGGGCTCAAACCTTCTGGGAACTCTGCAAATAACTAAGAATATGGTCCTATCATATATATTCTTTTTAAGAGCTATCTTTAATAGGGAAATATTATGCTACAACTTGAGCAGTAAAAAAGAAAAACACTTTCTAGCACGTAGAAATAGACAACATTATAAGCAAGTAAATTTGACAGTATGTTAAAAATAGTTGAAACAAATAACCCTAAATCCAAAACAGGATGAAATTGTTGAAATGTATTTTCTTTCCAAAAGTTTCAAAGATTCTATACACTCTAAAAGCAAAAACTGCTCACTTTTTAATAAAATTTTCTGGAAGAAAGTTCTATTCATATAAAGTTCCTTATGTATTTATTTATTTTTAGAAACAGGGTCTTGCTCTCTTGCCCAGGCTGGAGTGCGGTGGTGCGATAATAGCTCACTGGAACCTGAAACCCCCGGGCTCAAGCAATCCACCTGCCTTAGCCTCCCAAGTAGTTGGGAATACAAGTGTGCACACCATGCCCAGTTAATTTTTCTGTTCTCTTTTTTGTAAAGACACGGTCTTTCTGTGCTGCCCAGGCTGTCTTTGAATTCCTGGCCTCAAGGGATGCTCTCACCTCAGTCTCCTAAAGTGTTGGGAATACAGGCGTGAGCCACTGAATCCAGGCTCTTTTTAAATAGTAGGTGTATTCATAAGTTGTTGATCCATTTACTCTAAAATATGTATTAAGTGCCTACTATGTGCAGAAGATATGGCAGCAAGCAATATTAACACAATTTCTGCCCTCATGAGTAAATATTTTATTTTAATCCAAGAATTTCATTGTGGAGAAGCAGATCTGAAAAAGCATGCATCATCTGCATAGCACATTTACCCTAAAGTTAATAGCTACTTTTCAAAGGCTCTTCATGTTTGTTTTGTCAACTGAGAAGCTCCTGAAATCCAAACCACTGTTTTTAACTGGAGGGGTGGAGATAGGATAAGTCTTTGTTGCTGCCGGTACTATAATATTATATTTTTGTTGTGACAAGGAAAACTTGCCAGTAGCTGTGCACCTCTTACTTCTCCTTATCCAGGGCATGTTAACTGAGCCATGAAGGATGGCATCAGGGAAAATGTTTCCTGACTGCCGACCCCCCAGGGCAGTCCAGGTGAAGAAACTTCAGTTTCTACAAGAATTTTTCAGAACCAAATCTGGGGCCACCTTTCAATCCTAGGTTCATGAAATATGCTTAGTGTCCCAATGTTCAAATTGTAGAAATTGTTTTAAAGATGAAAATATCTTTAAAACATATCCAATATCTTAATATGTCATAAAATGCTCCAAAGACATTTGTGGGAGAATCTGTTCTTTTTACCAGCCTAGAATCTCTTGCCGCTTTTCCTGGTCCTAGCACCCTACTTTTTTTTGGCAAAGCATCCTTCTCCATGACATGCCAGGACTGCCAATCAAGCGACCCAACTCCCTTGGCCAACCTGTGTGCCTGGGACCTGAGCCAGTCCAGACTGATTTTCCTAGGATTTGAATTGAGCAGGGTGACTCAGAGTCAGAAAACATTTGCAGCCAAGACTTTCTGATGGCAGAATCCTGAAGAAATCATCCATTGGTTCTTGCCATCTAGATCCCCAAACTTAACTGAGCTACCCCATATATCCTTCCTGTAAAATTGCCTTGCATTGTTTCTGTTGCTTACAATCAAGGAATCCTAATATATCTTCCCATATAAGTAGATTGAAGTATGTCATTAAAATAATTACTATACTTTTAAAAATACAGTATATAGTTCGGGTACAGTGGCTCCCACCTGTAATCCCAGCATTTGGGGGAGGCCCAGGCAGGTAGATCATGAAGTCAGGAGTTTGAGACCAGCATGGCCACCATGGTGAAACCTCGTCTACACTGAAAATACAAAAAATTAGCCAGGCGTGGCAGCGCGTGCCTGTAATCCCAGCTACTCGGGAGGCTGAAGCAGGAGAATCGCTTGAACCCAGGAGGCAGAGGTTGCAGTGAGCCGAGATTGCGCCATTGCACTCCAGCCTGGGCAACAAGAGCAAAACTCGATTTAAAAAAAAAAAAAGAAAAAAAAATTACAGTATATATGCTGAAACAGCAAAAATGAGAATTCATTTTTCCTTAGGAGTCATCCAGAAGTTCACTCCTCAGACACAAAAGTAGTTTTAACGTGCATGTAATAACCATGGTTTTTCTGAATGTATTGAGAAAAAGGTTATTCTTATTTTAAAAACCATTATTTTTAAAAAGTAATTGTAAGTAGCATGAGATCTTTTTATGAAAAACTGCTAATGTTCAAATACATTTTACAATGAATAGGCCGGGCATGATGGTGCAGGCCTGTAGTCCCAGCATTTGGGGAGGCCCAGGCAGGCAGATTCCTTGAGGTCAGGAGTTTGAGACCAGCCTGGCCAACATGATGAAACCCCGCCTTTACTAAAAAAACAAAAATTAGTCGGGCATGGTGGCATGCGCCTGTAATCCCAGTTACTCAGGAAGCTGAGACAGGAGAATCACTTGAACCTGGGAGGTGGAAGTTGCAGTGAGTGGAGATTGCACCGCTGCACCCCAGCCTGGGCGACAGAACGAGACTCCGTCTCAAAAAAATAAATAAATAAATAAATAAAAATAAAAATTACAATGAATATAAATTCTTACCTCCAAAATGAGATATTTACACCAGAAATAAAATGAGTCACTACAATGGCTGTGTGTGGCAGTAATTGCCACTGTCTTTTTGCTAAAAAAATACCGTATGTGTGTATGTGTATATAGATAGATACACACAAACACAGATACAGTCCTATTTAGATTTGTACAAAAACAATATCTACTTATTCCACATGTAGGCACCTGTTTCTTGAGGATAGAGAGTTTCATTATCAGATAGGAAATTTTTCCATTCTGATAACTGTTTAACTTTCTGATCATTTCTTAATTTATAAAGAGGAAGCACATTAGACTCAGATGCCCTTTATTCTATGTAAACTTGATCACCAGTTTCTGACTTTTTAAAAAATTTATGGGCTGGTACAATATTTAGATACAACCAGAAAAGTTTTGCAAACTTCAGAATATAGTATTGATGGTGAAAATATGGCATAATAATAATAAATAATAACTTGATGACCTGGGTTTCCCCCTTACCTTTTTCTTTTTCGTGTTTTGAGATGGAGTCTCTCTCTGTCACCCAGGCTGGAGTGCAGTGATGCAATCTTGGCTCATTGCAACCTCTTCCTCCCAGACTGAAGTGATCCTCTCTCCTCAGCCTTTCAAGTAGCTGGGACTACAGGCGCATACCACCACGCTGGCTAATTTTTGTATTTTTAGTAGAGACAAGGTTTCACTATGTTGGCAGGCTGGTCTTGAACTCCTGACCTCAAGTGATCCTCTGGCCTTGGCCTCCCGAAGTGCTAGGATTACAGTTGTGAGCCACTGTGCCTGGCCAATGACCTGTATTTTTATCAATAGTGCTCTATAGTTTTGAAACCCTTTCACAGACTATACCAGTCAGGTTCCAAGCAAAAAATAGAATTTACGCAGAGGGTGCAATGAAGAGACTTTAATGAAGGAGCTACTTACAGAAGTTGTGAGATTAAAGAGCAAACAATGGATGTTGAGGCACCCAGAGAGTAGCAAGAGTAAAAAGCCATTACTTGCCCTAGAACCTAAGGGATATGGAGTGAAAACGGTATTACCCAGAGCTCTATGAAAAGCTGAAGCCAAGGAAGTTGGGCCTCCCAGTTTGCTTCCCAGTATATGGTACAGAAGCAGTGAGCAAGGGCAGAATCATTTTGTTCCCTCTCTCTTCCCACCTTCTGATCTGCTGCTAAAATCAACTAGAAGCCAGATGGCAAGGGAGTCCTGGCAATGTGGTTAGTAGGAGGCAGCAAATCCTTAGAGTATAGAAATGAGTAGAGAACTGGGAGTTGTGGGGAGAGAGAATGAATCTGGGGGAAAACCATAGAATAACCAGACACATACATTAACTCAGAATACAACAGGCTCAGAGAGATTAAATGCCTGATTAAATTTACACAGCTCATGATCCCTGATCTGGGACTTAAATACAAGTTGCCAGACCCCACAAAGCCAGTGTTTTTCCCAATATGCTTTAGTTAATGGCTTAGTTACAGATGATTGAGGGGTATTGTGTTGCTGAGTCAAATATAATATTTTATTTTAAACTGAATCAACTAAATGAGGGTTCCTACAGAGGTTCTTTCTTGCATATCTGCCATGGGAGTTTGACCCAACAGACAGATTGTCCAGTGAACCAGGTGAACACAGTGATGATGACTGTCTTGTCCTGGTGAGATCAACAAGGAGACAGTAGAAATCATGGGAGCAATAGAGAGGAACAAGCCAGCAAAGAGGAGGCTCCGATGCTGTCAGAGAGAAACATCGTAATGTGGCTAAGAGTCTGGTCATAGAAGTCAGCAGCCTGAGTTTGAATTCACTCGCTCTCACTACCCAGGGTATTGGGTAATTAATTCGAGTTTCACTTTATGCATCTATTATTGGGGGTAAAATACCTACCTCACAGGGTTGGCATGAGAACTAAAATAATGTTTATAAAGAGCTTAGTATAGTGTTTGGCATACTAGTTCTAATTAACCATAAAGCTCCTATTTATTGGAGTGTTGACATGCTATTGCTATCCATAAAACATACATGAGGTAGAGCTTAATATCTCTCATTTTACAGGTGCAGAGATTGGGGCTTAGAGAATGATTTGTGTAAAATCACATAGCTAATTCAAGTGTTGAGATCTGAATTGAAAAGCACATGCTTCTACTCCACTGCACCGTTCCAGACAAAGATGGGGTTCCAGTAATTTTTCCAGTGGGGGCTCAGGTCAGGCACTTTAAAATTGTGCCTAAACACGTATTTTCTTGAACTTTTCCATGTTAGTGTAATGTGGGGGACATGAATTATACACCTTTTTCTGGTTATTCCTCTCATTAGCTGGCTGTGTCCATTGTTGACATTTCAGGGCTAGCATCAGCAATGTTACTGTTTTTTTTTTTTAAATAAAGCCCAGTGTGCCCTTGAAGAATATGCCTTTCCCTATGAGATAATTGGTTTGGAATCCTGATGCCATTATTTATCATCACGTGGAGCTGATTTGCAAGGAATATGGTTTTGATGCTTGAGGATTGGCTTTGCGCCAAGAAGTCATTGTTGGGGATTCTGGCTGTTTGATGTTAAGATGCAATCTGCTGAGATGCTGACTAGGCCTATTAATAGAAGTTCAAACACAGTGTCACAGGCTTAACTATGAGGGCCTGGAAAGAGAGGCCTGAATAACAATTCTGACAGAGCCAGGAGGTGTCACTGGACAGGACAGTGTGACCTCGACACCATGTTAAGGACTCACGAAAGCATCTGAAACATGCCGACAGTTCCTCTCCATACTCACTCTCACTCAAATTCACTATTTTGGGCACATGGTATGCCCCAATTAGGTGTCTTTCTTTCCCACAGGATAGAGCTCCTTAGAGGCAGGGATTATGTCATTAATTCAGAAAGCATTCACTGAGTGCCTCTTGCCACTGCCAGGCATTGTACAAGGAGCCAGTAGTCT
Organism: Homo sapiens; assembly: GCF_000001405.40. Classification (NCBI taxonomy): domain Eukaryota; kingdom Metazoa; phylum Chordata; class Mammalia; order Primates; family Hominidae; genus Homo; species Homo sapiens. The sequence continues at coordinate 101,203,985 of NC_000001.11, read as the reverse complement.
TATTCATCTTTGTACCCAGCATCTCACACAGAGGCTAGCACATGGCATGCATTCAGTAAACGTTATGGACAAAATATTACCCACCAAGGAGTCTAAACACAAACATTATGTTCATTTGAACAATGAACATATTTTAATGTGTTGTTTTCTCAAAATTTGCTATAATACCCAAATTTTTAAATTACAAAAAATCAAGTTCTGGCAAATATGACAGAACTATTAAACACATTTCTATTTATCTCGTGGTTAAAGACTTAGAGAATTCTAGTCGATCAAATATTATGGTTGAGAGTGAAGTTCATATTTGGCACTGTCAATTCATAAAAAAACCTCAATACCCAAACAAAACATAAATCATTCCTTGATGATCAAAAGGTAATATGTGTCTCAAGGTCATCTTCAAGGAGCCATTCCTTGTTGTATAGGCTCTAGCTATAATGGGGTTAAGAGTCTGGATTAATAAATGCTTTCCCTCTTACTGCAATTTATTTTTTATACCCAATTAGTGATACATAATTATGATGAGGCCCCTAGGCTACAGTCAATCATTTAAACTAATAATAATAACAAGAAGAACCTGATATCAATGAAGAGTTTTTTTGTAAAAGCAACAGAAACGAACTCTAATTAACTCAAGCATAAAAGAAATTCATTTGAAAGATAACAGGTAGCTCTCAGAAGGGAAGGCTGGAAGCCCAGGTTCAGAAATAAATGGCAGGAACCAAGGGAGGTTAGGCTGCAGGAAACACAGCCAAGGAGCTGGATGGATATCCTGCCATTGGACCCTCCTTGCCACTACCCTCCTGTGAGCAATGCCTAACAGTCTCTATGACATGGAGTTGGAGCCCACATGGGCTAAGCCACAGCCATAGGATCACAGCCTAAGTGCCAGATATGAGGAAAGAGAGGATTTGGCCCCTTATCTACTGTAGCAAGAATTTGGGCCCACCTTCTGTAAGCCTTATCCACTGCGGAGTCAAAAATATGCAATGTCCATTACATAGAGTGAATAATTTTAAAACAAGTCAAATATATTGTTTGTTATAACACCTAATGGCAAAAAATAAATGTGTAAAAATATAATACAGTAGAATAAAAGTAGACAGGTAACAAGGCCATGATAGGTTGAATACTGTCTCCCTCCCCTAAAGATGTCTACATTCAAAAATCCTCAAAACCTCTCAATATAATGCTTTAATGGCAAAGGGACGTTGCCCATGTGGTTAAGTTAAGGATCTTAAAATAGGGAGATTAACCTGGATTATCTGGGTGGGCCCAATGTAATCACAAGGGTCTTTATAAGCCAAATTCTTTGATGATGGGATCAGCATGGTGGTATTTTGGATACAACTTCATAAGCCCATATGTTCCCATAACCTAGCAGAATGACTGCCAAACATATAAGATGGTATATCTATTATCAAATATAATGTGAAGGCAAAAATTAGAACAAAATACTATCTGTTATGCTTAATTTTTAACCTGGCTTTGGTGATTCTTCTAATATCATAAACCTCTTTTACAGTGATTGAGACTTGACAATGTACTGGCTCAAGTATGTAGGAGAAACAAAGTAAGGACAAATACTTAAACCTTACCCATTTTTAAATAATTCAATAAGCCAGAGAAGTTAACATTGAAACTGATCATTTAAAGAGATGCAACCTTATTTTTTAAAGTATGTTTTTCAATATTTGCACAGAATTTTTTAAAAAGTTCTATTTAATAAGCTATTTAAAAGGAAGGCTCCTCATTTTATAATAAAATGTCTTTCTTTTTGTCCTCCTTGGCAACCGTTAAAAACCATTTCTATCTAGAATGCAGCTGTCCTTTTGTATCCGAAAAGGATTGGTTCCTGGGCCTACCTTCCCCTATACTCAATTCCACAATTACTAGTCCCCTAGTCCACTAGTCCACCCTCCGTATACATGGGTTTTTCATCCCCCGAATACCGTATTTTCCACTCACCTTTGGTCGTGAAGGTGGAACCTGCATATAGAGGTCCAGCTGCACTTATTGAAAAAAAAAATCAGAGTTTAAGTCGAGCAGTACAGTTCAAACCTGTGTTGTTCAAGGGTCAATTGTCATTCCTAGTCATTTTAAGAGATCTGGCCTCTCTACTCCTATCCAGATCCTTTCTCTAAGAGAACATGTGATACTGATTTTTAAAATCCATTGTTATGTGGAAGCATTGTATCAAAATCAATTAAGTCAGTGAAGGTAAAACATATCTCTGCATGCCTGTCCTTTCCTCTCATTTGTCTATGTGCTATGGTTATGTGTAAGGACTTCCAAATGCAGTAGTCTTTTCCTCCTACGGTAGCTGAGTTAAGACTAAACACTTTAATACTTAAAATAATCCTCTTATTGAAGTTAAGTGACAATAGAGGGTTCAGTTCCTTAAAAGTAATTTGAAAACTAAATATCAGATGCAACATTCTGTTAGATAGAGATAAAGGCAAAAAGGGAAATCAGTGATAGAAATGTATATATAACATGAAAATAATGTTTAGCATTTTTAAAAGAAAGAGAGCAAATTGATTAGAAATGCTCTTTATTTTACGATAATGAATCTGTTTTTGTGTAAATACCAATCTCAGTTTTGTGCTATCTTTCCTATAATGGCTAGGGAAGACAGATCAACTTTTCGTTGCAGTTCATTGAGTTTAACAATTTCTTATCCTCTTTTTTCAGAAAAAAATGAATACCTAATTCAAAGCAAAAAAAAAGTTACATTTGATTGACTAAAATGACATAAAATTCATAGAGTTACACAGCAGCTTTTGAGAGTCAAACTATAGTGTTTGTTTTTCTCTCCAAATTGCAACATTTAAAAAAAATGCCTAATCACATCATTGATAAAAATCATAGTCTACAAGAATAAAACCATTATGCTCATTTCTCTGAGCAAGACTTCACTCAAATAGCATTTTGGCTTTTAGTGAATCTTGGAAGCAGTGGTTTAACTTTCATGGAATTACTATACATTGGTATATTTTAATGTAATGTAAATTATTCCATTCAATGATAGTGAAGTTAACAGTTTATATTTCCATGTGATTCTACAGACCTGAATTTCCTGGAATTGGGGGCAACCCCTGGGTATGCTGTTTCTTGCTCCCCAGAGTTAAGGCTCACTCCTCTTCCAGACTCCATTGCCAGGGGGCAGGCAGTATATTAGGAGCACTAAGCTCAATGTGGGGGTGAGGCCTAGAACTGAGTCTTGCTGAGAGCAGCCTGAGAATCTGTGTGGTCAGGCCTAGGCCTGGGTGCTGAGGAGCCTCTGGATTTCTGCATTCCCTGCATTCCTGCAGTTATGCCTCACTTTCCGTGCCTTGCCCAACTCTCCGTTCATCACTGAGGTGGAGCTTGATCCTGAACATGAACTTTACAGTTGCCTATGTCTTATCAATCTTCTCCTTTACTCCTGTTCTCTATATTCCTTGACTATGGGCTGCATCCAAAATTGACAGAGAGATGTGATACTACCGCTTTTCCTTACTTTTAGAAACCATCTTCCTTCTTATTCCCTATCTAGCTACAAATGCTTTGACAGAGGTCTGAAGAAGACCTCTTTTAAAATTTTAATTATGAAGTTTTTCACTGGCAAGTATGGAGACCAATGAAGAAAACCTTTTTTAAGTAGGATAACTTTACACAATTTATTGTGCAACTTGGGTACATTGAACAAATATAAGATTTGTGTTTTTAAAAGACCACTCTGGTGGTACACGGCAGAGGGATGGCTGAGTAGGGGGACGAAGATTGAAGACTGAAGGTCTCTTGAAAAGACTTTGGAAAAAACTAATGAAAGCCTTCCCGAATGAAGGGAGATGCAATGGGAGTGGTGGAGAAGACAGATGCGAGGGATATTAGGAAAATAGAACTACCAGGACTTGATCACAGACCATATGTAGGAGGCAAAAGACAAGCCAAGAAAACAAGTTTTGCCTTGGGTTACTTAGTCTATGGTGATGTCATTTACTGAAATGAGAAATCAGGAGAAAAATTAGATTTGGGGAGGAACTTACATTTATTTTTGAAAATAGCTAATGGTGGCCCTGGATATTTAATGCTTAGGTTCCGATTCTAGACTAGAATATAATAAAGTTAAATTTGATTAAAATTAGTATTTAAAAATATTTGTTACAAGTGGAATATATTGACCATTTTTGATTTGGGTTAAAAAAAGAAATAAGAAAAAAAGTTGAATACATTTCCAACTCCTGTTTGAAAAGATTACTTAATTTAAATAGTAAAATAATGCATCAACCATAATTTTATATTTCCCAAAATTCTTCTAGATAGTAATGACAATTCTTACATTTAAATAGCTTATATTATTACTAATTTAGAAACTGAGAACATTTCCCCTTGCTGGGGATGCACGCCACCCATGCTCAGTACAGAAAAGATTTGGTAATGTCAAGTTTTGACTGTTTGGGGTGGCCGGAAGATTTGGTCAGTGAATAGTGTAACCGGTTGTTTACTTGCTTCTTGGATGATCAGTTATCAAGAACTTCCCTTTTTCATGATTCATCAGCTTTTCAGTACCTTTATCAACAGAAGTCATTCATTGATCCTTTCAAGAAATAGATGTAAATGAGCCTGCCTGCTACCTGGAAGTCACCAATAAGTCTTGGAAACACAAATTTAAGGAGATGACTAATGTCCTCAAGTTGCTCAGCCTGCGCGAGGAAACCTGTTGATTGCCTTAATGGAACTATGCACGGGGAGCTCTGGCAATCCTTAGAGAAGAAACAGGGTTACCTCTTGTCACCCCAGGCCTACCACAGATCCATATTTTAAAGAACAGGTTCATAAATCCTCACATTTCTTAGTAGAATTACAATGTTATTTCTAAAGTTGATTAAAGAAGCAATGATATAGACATGCTATTTAAAGGTATGACACTAACCACAAGAAGTGCTAAAAACAGAAAACCTTTCAAGTGATAGCCCCAGTCCCTGGGTTAGGAACTGGCAGTCGGGAGAGGAGGGACAGGGAATTGCTGCTTTTCACTATAAACTCTTCTATTTCATCTTTCTACCATATACATGCATTTGGTACAATAAGCAAAATAAAAAGCCCGTGTAGCTCTTTCTCTTCATTCCTTTCTTCCCCTCATGGCTTCCACAACTATCCCTCAGTTGTTGGAAGAGGGAACAGACCGACTTAGGAGTTCCCTGGTCAATTTTTGCAATTCAGTTCATTTCAACACATATTTGCTGCCTGCTTACTATGTGCCAGGCATGAGGAATATGGTTTTTGGCACTATGGAGCTTACATTACTATTACTTTTTAAAGGCTATTCAGAGCTTATACTACTGGGAAGAATGAATATAATCAAGTAGCTGTTTAATTTAAGTCTCCTCTCCCTCTCAACTTAGCTGAATAGTCAGATCAGAGCTACTACCAGGCAGTCATCAGAAATGTGTGAACACATGGGGAGGAATGAGCCCAGGGATGGAGCAGCTACCACCATGATGGAGGAGAAACTGTGAGGACATAGCAGAAAAAGTCACAGTCTGCTTGGGGTGGTGGCTCACGCCTGTAATCCCAGCACTTTGGGAGGCTGAGGCGGGCAGATCACGAGGTCAGGAGATCAAGACAATCCTGGCCAACACGGTGAAACCCCGTCTCTACTAAAAATACAAAAATTAGCCAGGTGTGGTATCATGTGCCTGTAAATCCCAGCTACCTGGGAGGCTGAGGCAGGAGAATCGCTTGAACCTGGGAGTCGGAGGTGGCAGTGAGCCAAGATTGCCACTGCACTCCAGCCTGGTGACAGAACAAGACACCGTCTCAAAAAAAAAAAAGGAAAAAGAAAAAGAGAAAGAAAAAGTCACAGTCAACGGTATCCCGTCTCAGTGAACAGCAACATGAAGCATGAATGATACAAGCTCCAGAGCCAAATTCCCTGGGTCAGCATCCCAGCTCTTCTACTTATTAGCTGGAAGTGTGACCCTAGGTATATTACCAAACTTTGATAGGGGTACAGTTCCTCACCTCTATGAAGAGGATAATAATAGCAGTTACTTCAGAGTTGTAAGAATTAAATAACTTACCTGAAGCACTTAGAAGAGTGCCTGGTAGAATAAATGTTCAAAAAATACAACATTATTATTAAGAATATCTACATACTCAAAATGATTATTATAATGATACTGCTTATGAATATTTCATATCCATGTGTACACTGATTTTAAACTTAGAATTCAGCATTCTTTAAATATGTTTTGATTTATCCTTCATGAATGCAACTACTTATTTGTATAGATATGCAAAAGCACAGGGATGGATCTGGAAAGACATACATGGCACAACTGACTGTGACCCTCTTTGTGGAGAACTAGATTGGAGATGGTCAACAGCCTTCAGCTTTTCATTAAATATTTGATTTCTTTTTCATGATGAAAATGTGTTAGTCAATTACATGTAATTCTTTTTTTTTAGTTAGAAAAAAATTATTTAAGACAAGGTCTCACTATGTTGGCCAGGCTGATCTTGAACTCCTGGCCTCAAGGGATCCTCCCACCTCAACCTCCCTCCAAAAGTGCTGGGATTACAGGCATGAGTCACCACGCCTGGCCAAAACATAATTTTTAAAAGGTGAAAAGATTATATAAAAAGAAATGTTAGCACTGCATTGGATACATTAAGGAGGGTATCTTTACATTCAGATAACATTTCCACATTCACTGATTGAAAACCTAGTTTGCATTGGTCACTGCACTAGATATTACAGAGTATGAAAAGTACGTGTAGAGTTACCCAATCTCTTGCAAAGGCCTTTTTCCCTCATTCCTGACTGATACAATTTGAATTTGAGCTGGACCTTGGAGGATGGCGGGGTTTCTATTGGAGTGGCTAATCATGACAGACAGTGTAAGCAGAAATGCGGGGGTAACAGAGTGTGGGAAATGTTCAGGAAACAGTGAGTAGTTGTTTGTGTGGATCACATGATGCTGAAGAGAATAGTACCATATAAATTCAGAAAGGTAGATTGGATTTAGTGTACCAAGAACTTTGGATGCTGGGGTAGTTGTTTGTCTTTATCACTTTAAGAGAATGGGAGTCACTGAAGGATTCTGAGTAGATGAGTGACACAGTGTATTTTTTTCTTTTTTTTTCTTTCTTTTTTTTTTTTTTAGATGGAGTCTCTCTCTGTTGCCCACGCTAGAGTGCAGTGGTGCCATCTTGGCTTACTGCAACCTCCTCTTCTTGGGTTCAAGTTATTCTCCTGCCTCAACCTCCTGAGTAGTTGGGACTACAGGCACACGCCACCATATTTGGCTAATTTTTTTGTATTTTTAGTAGAGACGGGGTTTCACCATGTTGGCCAGGCTGGTCTGGAACTCCTAATCTCAGGTGATCCACCAGCCTCGGCCTCCCAAAGTGCTGATATTATTAGGTGTGAGCCACTGTGCCCAGCCACAGTGTCTTAAGGAGAACATTTTGCCAGCAATATATAGGACAGATTCAAGTGAACTTCCTTAGAGAATTTTAAATGGTCAATGTAAGAGGGGATGAAGGCTTGACCTAATAGTAAGGAAAATGGGGGAAAAAAAAAGTATAGATGAGAATTAGCATGTAAGAAATAGGATAAAATGTTAATTGGCTAAAAAAAGTCAAAAGGTTGAAAAGAAATGAAGAGAAAAAGGATTTAGTCTATGTATGTTAAGGTTTTCAGGAGTAAATTTTTTAGACTGTAATGATGTCGTCTTCTGCAAACAGAGAAACCACCAGGAAGGGCTACCTTAGAAAAGAAAATGGCTTCTTTTAGGACATGTTGAGATTAAGTTGCTGCACAGGCATCTTGGCAAAAACAAATACCAGTCATTTGATGATCCATCTTTAGAATCATCTGCACGGAGAAGATAGTTGAAAATGTAGTTGTGGATAAGATTGCCTGGTAGAAAATGTAGAAGAGAAGGGTGATGACAGAGTCTTGAGGAATTCTTTACTTTGAGTATGCTGGAAGATTGGAAAAACTAGTAAGAAACAGAGATCACCCAGAGAAGAAAGAGGATAATGAGAGTCACATCATGGATGGATCCAAGGCAAAGAATATTGCAAAAAATGAAAGCTCAACAATATTTAATGTAGTAAAATAATTAAAGAAAATAAGGACTAAAGGGGTTGATTCCTTCTCTGTCACCAGAATTCTTTAGAAAAAGCTATTAGAATAGTAGGTGAGCCTACTATTAAGTGCCCCTGAGGGCACTTAACACAGGTCTCCACACATTTTAAAGATTGATGGTAAAGTCAAGTCAAGAAGAAAATGTAGGGTCAGGTGCAGTGGCTCATGCCTGTAATCCCAGCACTTTGGGAGGTCAAGGCGGGAAGGATCACGAGGTCAGGAGTTTGAGACCAGCCCGGGCCAATATGGTGAAACCCAGTCTCTACTAAAAATACAAAAATTAGCTGGGCATGGTGGCAGGCACCTGTAATCCCAGCTACTCGGGAGGCTGAGACAGGAGAATCCCTTGAACCAGGGAGGCAGAAGTTGCAGTGGGCCGAGATCACACCATTGCACTCCAGCCTTGGTGACAGAGGGAGACTCCATCTCACAAGAAGAGGAAGAAGAAGAAGAAGAGGAAGAAGGTAGTTTCAGCACTCTAGGACGCTGAGGTGGGTGGATGCCTTGAGTTCAGGAGTTCGAGACTAGCCTAGGCAGCATAGTGAAACCCCATCTCTACAAAAAATACAAAAACCTAGCCAGGCGTGGTGGTGCAAGTCTGTAGTCCCAGCTCCTCAGGAGGCTGAGGTGAGAGGATCACTTGAGCCTCGTATGTCAAGACTGCCGTGAGCCATGATTGCACCACTGCACTCCAGCCTGGGTGACAGAGCAAGACTCTGTCAAAAATAAAATAAAATAAAATAAGAAAGAAAGAAAAAGAAAAAAGAAAAGAAAATGTAAAAATACAGCTGAAATAGAGCTCAGAGTAAAGACAAAAAAGGATCTGGAGTGAAATGAAAACAAGGCCAAGTCTGCATGAAAAGCTGAATATCCAGAGATGGAACATTTTTCTTTGGCTCCTCTCCTCAAAGGCTTTGTTAGAGTATATACAGAAGGCCTGTCTCCAGCTGAGTCGCATAAGGCAGTGATTCTTCAGTGGAATATAGGAGGGGATCAATTTCCTTTAAAATGCAGAGAACATTCTCCTGCTCAACCACTTTGATACCTCCTTACAATATTGTATTACCCAAACAATAGTTTCTAAACTTCTTATCCTGGCAGTGAAGATCCTGAATAAGCTGGGTGTCTCCCAATATTAATTTCCAGTTTCTGAAAACAAATCCAGGCTGGTCTACTCACTGTCACCTAAAATTTCTTTTAATTCCCATACTTACACCTTGCCTCATACCATTTCCCTTGCCTAGTGAGAGAGATCACCTACAGAAGCAAGAGGATAACGAGGGTCATGTCATGTATGGATCCAAGGAAAAAAATATTGCAATAAAGGAGAGCACAACCATATTTAATGTAGCAAAATAATTGCTTCTCTCTCTTTTTGCTTCTTCAGTCCACTAAATTCTAATGTTTAAATCAGTACCATGTTCTCTGTGAAGTTTTCCTTTACAATCCAATTACCATAGCCTTTGTTTTGGGGTTATTTTCTTGGCACTTAAATATTGCCTGCTATTGTTCCATATCATGCCTTCTTCAGATTGTAAGCTTCTGGAGAGGGGGAGAAAACTTGAAAAGTACCTAGAATAACATCATTTTTTAAAAACTGAGGTATTTTTAAATTGAGCTATCTACATATCTAGTTTGATGAGTGCTAAAAGCGTCTACACCTGTGTGACCACCATGTAGTCCATGTAGAGAGCATTCCCAGCACAGTGTCTCACACAAAGTGCTCCAAGATGTCAGGTTCAGCACGGGTAGTAGGAGGCAAGTTTGGTCAGGCAGGAGTAGGTGAGTGAATCTTAAGTTTGAGCCTGCCTAAAGGGGTTGAATCACCTGAGGTCAGATGAAATAAAAAGTCAAATACTGAAGTCGGGGGTGGTGGGGACAAGGGGGCAGTATTTTGTAAGTCAGAGCAGGTTTGGGATTGTGCAATCTTGTGTGTCATGCAGGCAAGGTCCAGTGACCTCAGCAGTGATCCAAGCAGCGGTGGAGGCCAGGGCACCAGGGTGGCAATATCAATGTCAACTTTCATTCTCTACCTGGGAGAACTTGCCGTCTATGAAAGTTAAGAGTTGCAGGTATGTGGTGCTCCTGTCTGAGGTCTGAGGCAATGAGATTTCTGGGAGCTTCTTATTAAAAACCTTTGCTCACTGACTGACTGCTGATAAAAGTGAGATCTTGGCTGGCTTGGTTATTTTCCTGTAGTTATATTAGCAAATTATTCCACTCAATTCCCCAAATGGGAACTGCATTTTACTAAGAATTTGGGGAAAGGCTGATAAAGGTTGATTTCAGCAGAATATTTTGTTAACATAATGCTATATTGTTTCTACTTTATATTTAAACAGAGCTGCCTGTTGTCAAATATGAAAGAGCTTGGAGTGCCCACCAAATGTCTCTAGCTATCTATGTCAATGTGACATCTTGAACTTAATATGTTCTAAGCAGAATTTTTTTTTTTTTTTTGAGACAAGGTCTTGCTGTATCGCTCAGGCTGAAGTGCAGTGGCATGATCATAGCCCATTGCAGCCTCCATCTCCTGGGAACAAACAATCCTCCCACTTCATTCTTCCAAGTAGCTGAGACTACAGGCATGCGCCACCACTCATGGATAATTTTTCAAAATTTTAGTACAGACAAGGTCTCACTATGTTAGCCAGGCTGTTCTTGAACTCCTGAACCAGTCCTCCTGCCTCAGCCTCCCAAAGTGTTGGGATCACAGTTGTAAGACTCTGTGTCAAGCCAAAGCAGAATTTTTGATTCCTGCTCTCCTGCTTAGTCTTCTTCATTTTAATAAATATCACACAGTTGCTCATGACAAAGTCCTGGGAGTCTTCCTTGATTCTTTTCATCTCCTTCATACTCAACATTAAATCCATCAAGATCTGTCAGCTGTATCTTTAAAATCTTTTCTGATTTCTTTCTAGCACAGAGATTAAGTAGGCAAACTCTGGAGGCAGATTGACTAGGTTTGAACTCTGGCTCTAAACTTACTAGCTGTGTAATCCTGGCCAAGTGACTTCACCTCTCTGCTTCATTTTCTTCATATGTAAAATGGAAATAACGATAGCACCTACTTCATAGGGTTGTTTGTAGAAATAATGTTAATGCATATAAAGTACTTAGAATTAAGCCTGGATATAGTAGGTGCTCAATTAAGGTTAGTTGGTACTAGCTCTCAACCTGCCATTTTAATCCCACCCTCATTTTCTCTTACCAGGAATACTAAAATCATTGATCGCAATCATGTTTCCCTGCTTTTACTTTTGCCCTTCCTACTGTTTCTTGTATATGCCAAGTCATTCCTGCTGCAGACCTTGACACTTGTTTCCCTCTCCAAGGAGTTTCTTCAGTAAGCCCCTGGTATTAATGCGCCCTTACTTCATTCGGCCCTCACACAGACACAGAAAGAAGTCTGCCCAGATTACCCTATTACCCACTTTATTCCTCTTCAGAGTTCTTATCGGTACCTGAAAATACACCCTATTTAAATTGTTTAGTTGTTTATGGTCTGTTTCCCTCACTACAGTGTCAGGTTTTATGGTCTGTCTGGTTCATCATTATGTCCTCATGACTAAAACAGTACCTAAACATCATAGGAACTCATAAGTATTTGTTGAATAAATGAGTGAATGGGTTAATTTTCATATCTTCCCATATTCTCCACCCACCCACCCTCTGCTTCAAATTAAACACCGCAGAGATCATTTAACGCAAAGCTTTCGTTCCACAGGGAAGAAAGCCACTTGCAGAGGTGAAGGTTGGCATGGGACTACCTCCTTCTCCAGTTCCAGCACTCTTTGATACACTGCATTGCCACTCACCTTCTTCCATCATGATTCAATGCTATCATCAGTGCATGATATCATGAGAACACATAACTAAAAGCATTTTTCAAAGGCTCTTCTCTTCTACCTTCTACTTTCCTGGAGTCTGTCCGTCTCCTCTCTTCCTCTTCTCCCTCTGCCTTTCCTGCAGTGAATCCTCAGCCACTTTTGCCTCACCTTCCCCACTGATTCCCCAGGGAGTCTCATCCATTGCCATGGCTTCAAACATCATCTGCATACTGATGAATCTGTATCTCCAGCCCAGATGCCTCTCCTTTTCTCCAACTCACACTTTTAACTGCTTACTAGAAATCTTCATCTGGATGGCCCTAAGCATCACAAATAGAGTCCATTTTCCATCCAAATTGTTCCTCCAGTGCTCCCTATCTGAAGAATGGTAACCAGTTATCCAAGCTTGAAACCTTTTCACTGTGTCTGTTCCCTTCAAACAATCCTAAGGACATGTTGATTCTACTTCTCAAATAAGTATCACATCTATTTCTCCCATTTCCACTGCTACTACATTAGTTCTGCTACCAACATCTTTCACATGGATTACTATAGCAATCTCCTAATCTAAGAGTTTCTCAAAATGGGTTATGACCCATTAGTGTGGTATTAAATCAATTTAGTAAATCATGACAAGCTTTGTTTTTGTCTTTCTTGCCACTGAACAGATGTCACAAAACAAAATTTTAAGAATTTTTTAAACTTACATACATAATCCAGAAATTAGCAGGATCAAAATGAGAAGTTACTGGCAGCTTCCCCTTTTTTGTAAAGGTCAAAACCCTCAAGATACTTCTAATGAATATAAAGATCTATTTAACTAAAAAGCCTGCCCCTGCCCCCATACACTTTTAACCTAAGCAAAGAAATGTTTTATGTGAGTATCTCTTAGTGAATAGCATTATCAAATGCAGTGGTAATTTAATTTTAGTACTATTTGCTATACACACATCATGATTGTGAGAGACATTTACAGAGTTTGTTTCTCTGTAATGCCGCTCTAGGTCATCCATACTCCTCAAGTCTCCTGCCCCAAAGAGATTAGCTCCCCTGGGATGTCTACTTGGACTATATTTTTTCTTCTTTTCAACATACTGGCTCTAGCAATATATCTACCTTGGATTTGAAATAGCAATAAGGTATTCTTGTTTAGTGTTGGTCCTACAGTTTTATTCCTCAGTTCCACGATTTTATCAGGGGTTAAGTTCTCTGGACGTTGAAATTTCCCCAATGCCAACGAGCCCAGTAATTGCTCCCTGCCTCAAATCTTTCAGCTTCCCAAAACCACTTCTGATTTTGAACTGGAGCTGTTCCCAGCCTTTCCACCAGCAGCTCTCCCCAGATTCCATCTTCCTAGGGCTTGTGAGCAGCCATGTGTACAGCATTCTCATGACAGTTTCCGTGACTCACTAGTGAAGGAGCCTGTAAAATCTTAACTTGGCTTAAGACAAAACCAGAGTAGGCTGCAGGAAAAAGAGATAGCCAAACTTCATCTTCCTCATCTGTCTGGCCCATTAATATGACTCTTGTGCCTCTACTATACTATTTAATTGTTTTCTTGGTTGTTTCAGGTTAGCTCCATGAGGGCAGGAACTGTTTTGTTCACTGCTGTACACTCCTGGGTACTGTTTGCATTCTGACCATTTGCTTGAGTTACCTGCTTTGTGGCCTGAGGAGGCTCTGCTCTTCGATTTTTCTCAGTTTCATGAAGGGCCAGGCAAACAGGTACTGACATGAAAGGCACCTACTCCTGGCAGCCAGGGCCCTGTTTTCCTGTCTCCTGACCTACCGGGCCTGTGAATCCTGGTGCTCTAGGCTGACCTATACCTGTGGCCATGCAAGGGCCAGTCCTCAGCTCCCTGAAAATGGGTTTACAGTTTATTCACAGGGCAAAGACCGCTACCAGATGAGGAGACCGAGGCTGCAGAGACAGCAAAGAGCTCTGCCTGGTGACCTGTGACTGAGGTTGTTAAATGACCCATGCATCTCAACACCTCCCCAGGCCCCCACCATCCAGCTTGCTATAATCAGAATTTTTAAAACATGAAATAGAATAGAAAATAGATACCTGACTACAACATGTGCAGTAAGCTTCAACTGTTTTGTATAGTTGTATGTATTCAGGGTTTACAATGTAATGTTGTGGGTCATGATCAAAAAGTGTGAAAGGCACTATCCTCATTTGTTACCTGCCTTCTTTTTGTGCCCCTCTTATTCATTATCTACCCTGGACATGACCTTTCCAAAAAGTGATCGCAATATAAGAAATGTTAGACACTGGATTCAGAGTCTGATAAAGCTGGCATTGAACCCTGCCTCTGGCATTTAATGGCTGTGTGATCAGGTACGAATTACTTCAATAATGATCCGTTTCTCTTCATCTGTCAAGTGGAAATAGCATCATGAATTCAGGGCTGTCAGCCAGCCCCTTGCCAGCCACTTCAAATCATTTATGTCTAATCTTTGCAATAATGCTAAGGCAATTATTATTATCCTCATTTTTAAATTAAATTTTATTTTTTATTATACTTTAAGTTCTGGGATACATGTGCAGAAAGTGCAGGTTTGTTACATAGGTATACACGTGCCATGGTGGTTTGCTGCACCCACCAACCCGTCATCTACATTATGTATTTCTCCCATGCTATCCCTCACCTAGCCCCCCATCCCCTGACAGGCTCTGGTGTGTGATGTTCCCCTCCCTTTGTCCATGTATTCTCATTGTTCAACTCTCACTTATGAGTGAGAACATGCAGTGTTTGGTTTTCTGTTCCTGTGTTACTTTGCTGAGAATGTTGGTTTCTAGCTTCATCCATGTCCCTGCAAAGGACATGAACTCATCCTTTTTTATGGCTGCATAGTATTCCATGGTGTATAGGTGCCACATTTACTTTATCCAGTCTATCATTGATGGACATTTGGGTTGGTTCCAAGTCTTTGCTATTGTGAACAGTGCTGCAAAAAACATACATGTGCATGTGTCTTTATAGTATAATGATTTATAATCCTTTGGGTATGGACCCAGTAATGGGATGGCTGGGTCAAATGGTATTTCTCATTCTAGATCCTTGAGGAATCACCACACTGTCTTCCACAATGGTTGAACTAATTTACACTCCCACCAACAGTGTAAAAGCATTCCTATTTCTCCACATCCTCTCCAGCATCTCTTGTTTCCTGGCTTTTTGATGATCACCATTCCAACTGGTGTGAGATGGTATCTCATTTTATTAAGAAGATTGAAGCTCAGGGAAGTTAAGTAACTTCCTCATGGTCACATCGCTCGTATATTCCTGAGCAAGGATTCACTTCAAGCTCCTCATGCTCTTTCCTTGGAGCATGAATTTCTAATCATATAGTCTGAGGTTTGACAGTTCATGGCTACTTCTATTGACTTCTCACAGATTCACATAACTCAATCAATCAAGTATTTATTAAGCATCAGTTCTGTACTTAGCACTGACTTGGGGAATGTAAATAAAAAGAGAAGAGTACAAATGTGGTTTGTGGCTGGCTGTGGTGGCTCATGCCTGTAATCCTAGCAATTTTGGAGGCTGAGTCAGAAGGATCACTTGGGGCCAGGAGTTCAAGACCAGTCTGGGCAACAGAGTGAGACCTCATCTCTAGCAAAAATAAAAATAAATTAGCTGGGTGTGGTGGTGCACACCTGTGGTCCCAGCTACTTGGAAGGCTGAGGTAGGAGGATCACTTGAGCCCTGAAGTCGAGGCTGCAGTGAACTATGCTCAGTGTCACTGAACTCCAGCCTATCTCCAAAAAAAAAACAAAACGTGGTTTGTTGTTGTGGAATGTACATTTAACTTAGAGCGAAAACACTGATAGACACAAGGCAATAGCAAGCTTCTCAGTGGTGCTGAGTATTTAAAGCCCATTAGAAATTTAAAAATTGTAACAGGTGTTGTTGTATTATAAATTTACATAACACTTAATGAAAGAAATTAATTTATATTTTATGCAATTCATAAAGGATCCAGTTTATGGATTGAGTTTCTAGATTAGGAATCTATATGAATATGAATGAGTATCAGTTTCTTATTAAAACGTAGCAGAAGATGACCCATTTTACCAGCCTGACCAATATGGTGAAACCTCATCTCTAATAAAAACACAAAAATTAGCCAGGAGTGGTGGTGGGCACCTGTAGTCCCTGCTACTCAGGAGGCTGAGACAAGAGAATTGCTAGAACCCAGGAGGTGGAGGTTGCAGTGAGCCAAGATTGCGCCACTGCACTCCAGCCTGGGGGACAGAGTGAGACTCCAGCTCAAAAAAAAAAAAATAGATGAACCGTTTTAGAGATTATGACTATTAGAATAACATAGTCTCTATTGCATTTTTTTTAAAAAAAAAAAAAACCCATATATCTGTGTTTTACCTAACTACCAGCATCTTTTCAAGTTGATCTGCTTTTCTAAGAACTAATAGGGAAGAACATTTTTTAAAAAATCATTTTTTAAAGGGCCCACAGGAAGCTGCCTGCTTAGTCACTCCTCAGAGTAAGCCTCACCCTTCCACATTTTGTTTACTCTTTCTGCTTTCCCTATTTATTGTTTTAAATTGAATTTCCATTCCTCTAGTGAGCACCATGTTCCAAGAAAAGCTGGGAAATTCAGTTTATATACACAGTACTGACTTAGCAGTAGGAATATAAAAATTTAATTTATTATTCAAATTAATAATATGTCATATGATACAATGAAAAAGAATTCAATGGGAGAACTAAAGAGCTAGGCATGTAGACTTAGGGGACAACCCTGAAAGGGTGCTGGTGCTCTTCTGTAGCCCATCTGTACGGTGTGGTGGAATGAAAAGAGCCAACAATTTGTCTTAGGACTTTTGCAGGGGGTGGTATGAAGAAAAGAGTCAGATAGAGCTGGGTGTGGTGGCTCATACATGTAATCCCAGCACTTTGTGAGGCCAAGGCAGGAGGATCACTTGAGGCCAGGAGTTGGAGATCAGCCTTGGCAATATAGTAAGAGCCTATCTCTACAAAAAAAAAAAAAAAATGCTGCATGCAGTGGCATGTGCCTGTAGTCCCAGCTACTCGGGGGGCTGAGATGGGAGGATCTCTTGAGCCCAGGAGTTTGAGGTTGCAGTGAGCTATGATTGTACCACTGCATTTCCAGCCTGGGTACAGAGCAAGACCTTTTCCAAAAAGAAAGAGAGAGAGAGAGAGAGGAAGGAAGGAAAGAAGGGAGGAAGGAAGGAAGTAAGGAGAAAAAGAGGAGGGAGGGAGGGATGGGGAGAAAGAGAAAGAAGAAGGAAAGAAAAGATAAAAGAAAAGAAGAAAGAAAGAAAGAAAGTATTAGTTCATTCTCACATTGCTGTAAAGAACTGCTTGATACTGAGAAGTTTATTAAGAAAAGAGGTGTAATTGACTTGCAGTTCCATGTGGCTGGGGGACACCTCGGGAAACTTACAGTCATGAAGGAAGGAGAAGCAGGCACATCTTACATGGTGGCAGGTGAGAGAGATGGTGTGTAAGCACAGGAAAAACTACCATATATGAAACCATCAGATCTTGTGAGAATTTACTCACTATCACGAGAACAGACCCCATATGGGGGAGAAACCACCCCCATAATCCAATCACTTCCCACCACGTCTCCCCCTCAACACCTGGGGATTAAAATTCAAGATGAGATTTGTGTGAGGACACCAAGCCAAATCATATTAGAAAGAAGAGAGAGAGAAAGGAGAGAAAGAAAGAATCAGACAGAATTCCTTTCTGAGATATATTTTTTTAAAACTGACATGACCTATGTCATTACCTTGGTTTAACTGGCATTTAAAAATTATACTATGCTATTACTATTTCTATTTCTTGCAGCTAAGCTCTATTGTTTCTTAGCTACAAACTATGAGGAAAACATACGAGGAAATCCCAGGAAGAATTAAGCTTTCAATTTTCTTTTAATTTCTTTGCTCGCAAATAAAATCAGCGTTAAAGCCTCTAGAAGAAAATCAGTACTGGTCATATACTGTTTAGGTAAGTCAAATGATATACATATTTATCTAGAAACCAAAAGTTCATTTTACTATTTTCCATACTAGAGTTTCAAAGGATCTTAGAATATTTTTCAAATAGTTGCAAATTTAGGTAGGTGCATACACTCAGGGGTAAAACATCAATGAGGTTGTCTGGTTACTGAACTGAAGAACTACATTTTTAAAAAATTATTTGAAAAATTAACAGATCCAAGTTAAAATATACAAAAAGGATCTTTAAAAACACTGTCAGAAGTAAGAAAACTAGACAAAACATTTGGCAAGTAAAAGAAAACTTGAGCTATAACCCATACAAACCTCCCTGCTGCCATAATATTCCCAGCTAGCACAAGATAACAGGATTCCATTCTTGTGATGTATCGGAGTTAATACATATCAAAGAAAACAATGGTTTCTGGTTAGTGAAGGTGCAATGTAAAAATTTACAGATCATATCATTCCGAACTGGCAAATAATATACATCAGGTTTAATCCACTGTGAACTTACAAAGAATATGGTACTGGCCCTATGGGACCGTAAAAGGCAACCTTTCTTAGGCTGTGTTAGTTGATGTGCAAAATAGTGAGTCAGAAACTAAGAAATAGAAAATAGTCACCCATGCTTTCTCCAAAACAGTATAAAAAGGCCTAAGCTATGTGAAATAGAATAAAAAGATTAAAATATAAAGGCACACACATTGAAAAACAAAAACATATTAATGAACTTTACAAAAATTTCAATCAGATAAAGAACACGCTCTCTTGAAGGAAGTTTTAACATTGGCTTCTCAGGTATACCAAAGTAAGGAGACATGGTATCAGAGAAAAAGCAGTCAAAGAGCAGAAAGTTTTGTTTCATTCATTTGACAAATATACACTGAGTGCCTCTTCTGTATATATCTTATGTATATATCTGAAATATACATATATTTGAGATGGAGTCTCGCTCTGTTGCCCAGGCTGGAATGCAGTGGCGCGATCTTGGCTCACTGCAACCTCCGCCTCCAGGGTTCAAGCGATTCTCCTGCCTCAGCCTCCTGAGTAGCTGGGATTACAGGTGCGTGCCACCATGCCCAGCTAATTTTTGTATTTTTAGTAGAGATGAGGTTTCACCATGTTGGTCAGGCTGGTCTCAAACTCCTGACCTTGTGATCTGCCCACCTCGGCCTCCCAAGGTGCTGGGATTACAGGCGTGAGCCACTGTGCCTGGCTGAAAAAATATTTTTAAAAAGTTAAAAGAGGTTATTTCATGACCTATTCTAAGTTTTGCATTTTACAGGTAGAATCAAATAGTGTCAAGGTTTGGATATAATGATACTTTTAAAACTATCTTTAATTTTTATCCTTTTTAGAGATATAACAAAATTAAAATGGTAATGTAAAACAATTGCTGAACTAAGCTGAGCTAAAAGCAATTTATGGAAGAAAAAAGTGTAGTATTGTTTATATATGCATATGTGTGAGTATTTGTGTGTGTGCATATGTGTATTTGTGTTGAGGGAGCAGCCTCCAGTTTAACTATCTTAAAGAAATACAGAAGATCACCCTGTGTCCTCTAATTTCCATATCTCATAACAGCTGCTCTTTAGCTTCCAATTTTCTAGGTTATTTGGCCACATTTTTCTGTGAGAGGAGAGTCTTTTATCAATGTCTTATTAGTGTTCCCTCAAATATAGACTTCTCAGGGAACATCACAGATCATGTGTTTTGGTTTATAAGTTCGAAGAAAAATTGCTTTGATTACTAGATCAAAATTTTCTATCTGAGGCACAATGAATAATTATACTTAAAAAGTTGAGCATCACTTCCATTGTTGGTATGTATAATGCATACAATGTTGTGTAAATAAATCCAAAGTTTCTTATGTGTAACAAGTCTGATGACTTACATAGAATATAATTTAGTTAAACATTTTACATCTAATTT
This sequence comes from Homo sapiens, assembly GCF_000001405.40. Lineage (NCBI taxonomy): Eukaryota > Metazoa > Chordata > Mammalia > Primates > Hominidae > Homo > Homo sapiens. The sequence continues at coordinate 101,184,082 of NC_000001.11, read as the reverse complement.
TCAGAGTAATTTTGCTGAATGGAAGAAGCCAGGCAAAAAAGAATAGATGTTGCATGATTACACTTACATAAAATTAAAGACAATGAAAGTAATTATAGTGAGAGAAAGTACATCAGTGGTTGCCAGGGGGAGAAGGAAAGGAAGAGAGAAAGAGAGAGAGAAAAGAAAAGAGAGAGATGAAAAAAAGATACAATGAAACCTTTGGGGTGCTGGAAATATTTGTTATCCTGATTGTTAATGATGGGTTCACAAATGTGTGTGCGTATGTTATATATTGTACACTTTATGTATATGTAGTTATAGTATGCCAATTGTATTGCAACAAAGCTTTAAAAAAATCTAATCTTGACTGCCAAGTTATTCCTGTCCAAATGAACTGTGCTAATATAACTACTATATATCACACATATCTGTGAATTAAGGTGAAGAATAAAAATAAGAAAGCAAAACCAGAGGCAGGAGGACAGGTCTTTCTTTTGATGTTGTATCTGGAGGTCATGTCTCTAGTGACTTATCACCTTAAGCTTTTCCAGCAACACCGAACAGTCTGCTTTCATCACCATAGAAGAGATAGCTTGCCAAGTCCACACGTAACACTATTTCCTATGGTCTCTCAAGAAGCTAATGCTGGATGATACCCTACACGAATGTACTGCATAAACCATGGAGCAGATTTAGTAGCTTTTACTGATAAAGTGAAAGGGAATGAAAAGCAATGATTCATGGACAGGAAAGACAGTTTGTTATTTTTATTTTACCATTAATATCTAGAAGAAGGAAAATGATTTCTGAAAGAACCCCATCACTACAGCCAAAGTGATATTTCTTCTTTCTTCTTTTCTTTCCTTCCCTCTCCCTTCCCTCCCTTCTTTCCCCTTCCCATCCTCTTTCTTTCTTTCTTCTTTCTCTTCTTTTCTTTTCTTTTCCCTCCCTCCCTCCTTTCTTTCTTTCTTTTTTTCTTTCTTTTTCTCTTTCCCTTCCTCCCTCCCTCCTTCCTTCCTTCCTTTCTTTCTCTTTCTTTCTCCCTCCCTCCCCTCCTTCCATCCCTCCCTCTCCCTCCCTCCCTCCCTTCTTTCTTTCTTTCTTTCACAAGGTCTTCCACAAGAAAGAAAGAAAGAAAGAAAGAAAGAATTAGTTCATTCTCACATTTCTATAAAGAACTGCTTGATACTGAGAAGTTTATAAAGAAAAGAGGTGTAATTGACTTGCAGTTGCATGTGGCTGGGGACACCTCTGGAACACTCTGTTGCCCAGGCTAAAGTGCAGTTGCACAAACATGGCTTACTGCAGCCTCAACCTTCCAGGGTTGACCTCCAGATACAACATCAAAAGAAAGACCTGTCCTCCTGCCAATCATACATCTCTGGTTTTGCTTTCTTATTTTTATTCTTCACCTTAATTCACAGATATGTGTGATATATAGTAGTTATATTAGCACAGTTCATTTGGACAGGGTTCAGGTGATTCTCCCACCTCAACTTCCCAAGTACTTGGGAATACAGGCATGTGCCACCACCCAGCTAATTTTTAGATTTTTTTGTAGAGGGGTTTTGCCATGTTGCCCAGGCTGGTCTCGAACTCCTGGGCTTAAGAGATCTGCTTGCCTCAACCTCCCAAACTGCTGAGACTACAAGTGTGAGCCACCGCACTGGCCCCAAAGTGATATTTCAAAACTGCAAATCTGATTATGTCATTCCTGCTTAAAATTCAACAATGGCTTCCTACTAGCCACTGTTTTTAGGGAAATCCTCAACATGGTTTACCAGATACTTCATGACTTGACCCACGTCTTCGTTTTTGGCCTGGGTTCATCTCACTATTTCCCACACAGTCTACAGCCATTCTGAATGCTTCTTAGCATCTTACTCATCAAGGCTTTTCATGCCGTAATGCACATTGAGTTCTCCAGGAAGCACACTCTAAGGCAGAGTTTAGAGTTCAGGATGTTTATTAGAGAGTGCTCTTGAGTCAACACCCAGGGAAGGGAGGAGGCGGAAGCAGAATTGGGAAGAGGGAGAAATCAAGCTGAGACGCAAGTCTGACAGCCTTAGCCAACAGCACACAGTGCTCTGTAACTGAAGTGGCTCATCAGAAGTGGCACACAAATGGGTGGAAGGGTGTGATCTTGGGTGAGGTGTCTCCCTGTAGCTGAGGCAATGCCTGAAAGGGCTGGCACTGCTAGCTCCAGGGGCATCAAGTCCTTCCTTAAAAGGGGATCTGAGCTTGGCATTTGTATATCACCTCAGCTTGGTATTTACCATGCATGAAACTCTCCAGTTCACTTAGGTCATTTTAACTCATCCTTCAGATCTCAATACAATCCTCATTTCTTCAGAGAGGGCTTCCCAAATTCCCAAACTCCGTTGGCACTTCCTTGTAACAATAACTCCATGAGGTATGGATCACTTCTGTAATATTCACTCTGTATCTTCAATGCCTACCACAGTGCGGACAGATATAGGTACTCTATTAATACTAACTGAATAAATGAACAAATCTGAGGATTAAGGAGCACTGCAAAGAGCAAAGACCCTTCCCAACACATCTAATTTGGCATATTCTAAGATTTTGTGGCAGTATGATGTTGAGGAAAGGACTTCAGGCCCCATCATCAGTCAGTGCCCAGTTAGTCAATCCCAGCTCAATCACATTTCAGCTGTGTGAGCATGGATACATTAATTAAACTCTCTAAGTTCTAATATTTAAAGTCAATAATGACAATGGCAATGTTAGTAGTAGTAAGAGTATCTTTCCTATAGGCTGTCCGGAGGGTTCAATGAAATAGTCTATATAAAGGATTTATCATAGAGCCTGGAATATAGTGAGGCATCAGTAAGTTACTAGATATAGATCCTATTAATATTTGACCTTTTGCTGGTATTTAAGTTCTTTAAATTTAAGGTAAATTTAAGTACTAAAATTTAAGGTATTTAAGTTCTTAAAATACCTTTAAAAAGAGAAGAATGTTAGAAAAAGACTTTTTTATATTTGCTCTTAAAAATGCATCAAAATAGTAATCTTAGAAAAAATTAGAAACTTGTTGGATTTCCCTACACTTACTTTACAGTTTAGAATTTATTTTTATTTTGCATTATATATGGGAGATGGAAGACAGTGTTATCTTCTCTTTACTTATGATCTTCTAAATTTTTTATTTATTTGTTTGTGTAGATATGTATGTATGTATGTGTGTATTTATTTATTTATTTTGAGACAGAGTCGTGCCCTGTCACCCAGGCTGGAGAGCAGTGGTGGGATCTCGGCTCACTGCAACCTCCACCTACAAGGCTTAAGTGATTCTTGCACCTCAGTCTCCTGAGTGGCAGGATTACAGGCACATACCACAAGGCCTGGCTAATTTTTTGTAGTTTTAGTAGAGACAGGGCATCACCATATTGGCCAGGCTGGTTTCGAACTCCTTGCCTCAAGAGATTCACCCACCTTGGCCTCCCAAAGTGTTGGGATTACAGGCGTGAGCCACCGCACCCAGCCTGATCTTCTAATGATTTCTTTATATACTTATTTATTTTATTTGTTATATATTTTTTTGAGACAGGGTCTCGCTCTGTCACTGAGGCTGGAGGGCAGTGATGTGATCATGGCTCACTGCAGTCTCGACCTTCTGGGTTCAAGCAATCCTCCTGCCCTAGCCTCCCAAGTAGCAGGACAACAGGTGTGAACCACTACGCCTGGCTAGTTTTTTAATTTTTTTGTAGAGGCAGGGTCTCACTTTGTTGCCCAGGCTAGTTTCAAACTCCTGGGCTCAAGTGATCCTCCCAAAGTGCTGGGATTACAGGTGTGAGCCACTGCACTTGGCTTTCTAATGTTTTAAATAAGGTCTGCTTCTGAACTCTCCACTCATACCACCTAGAAGTGTACAACTTGGCAATACTGATCTACGTGTAACTTACAAATAGTGGGGTGATGCTTTCGCCTATGTATGAAATGCCTTTTCCTACATTAGGAAATTTCTACTTCAGTATGAACTGGCTAATTGGCTCAAAAGTCACCTCCTGAACAAAACCTTCTCTTACTTCTTCCATGCTACTCCTGAATTCCCATTTTTACTATGACACCATTTACATGCCCAGGCTGTTGTTCTAACCCCGTTGCATTATATTTCCCCATTAGACTGTAAGCTTCTTGAGCAGTTTTTCACCTTTTGTATCTTGCACATTTGGCCACTCGATAAATGTTTGTTGAGTTGATTTGAATTAGAAGAAAATCACCAGATCTCTTCAGAAAGACACAAATAATGACTGGTTTAGGTAATCTAATGGTCTCAAAGAACACAGTACAAAATTGAATAAGTTGGAAGCCAAATATTTATTATTTGCTACTCTTTCATTTTTAATTGAAATATAACACTCACACAGAAAAGTGCCCCAAATTAGTGTATTACTCAATGAATCATCCCAAAATGCATAATTGATCATTAACAAAGTCAAGAAATAGAACATTGTCAGAAGCTCCTCCCATGTACATTTAAGCATCAATTTTTGTAGAGTATTTTCCTTTACACCAGAGACCTTATCTGAGCCTTTCAAAGTTATTCATTTCAAAGTATTCATTTCAAAGAAATGAATACTTGTCCACCCGGCTTTCATTATGGTCTATCGTGGTAGTTGATTGCCAGCCACTGTCACTGACGTGTATTTTCAAATCTTGTCATCTTTGTGAAGAAATATAGACATTTGGCACTCCACTTCTATGTCTTTATGACTCTTGTTTCCACGGGGCCCTACTTCTTCCTTTGTCTCCTTTTATTGTGTGTTCTTTAACCCCACACTCTTCCTCAATGAAACACTTTACCCACTTCCTGTCAACCATCTGACCTCGCTTCTCCTTATAACTCCTCCACTATTGAAAGCTTTTGAAAAACTCCAAAAGGAATTGAATTTTTGATGAGGACTTAAAATAAGATACAAATGTGATTTCTTCATTTGTTCAGACTGCAAAAGTTAAGGGAAATTAAAATATGAAGACGGGTCTATAACAGAGTAGAAAAGATGACAAATTTAGAGAAAATGATTTACTTTTCTGCGTGACAGGCAGAAGAATATAAAGAAACTGAAACCACTGGCAACCTCAAAAGGGTTAATTTTAAGAGTTGTACTCAGGAGACTTATGTCACAGTGATGGAAACAATGCTGCTACAGAAAGCTTCAAAGGTGCAAGTAACTGAAAATGCTATTTATTAGTCAGTTTAGAAGGAAGAAAATTAATAATCACAAGAACTGACTACTTCTCTGGAAATGTCTCATTTCTTTCTATGTCACTGTAAGTTAGCTTTCTCTTTTTTATTATTCTTAACGGTTCTTTCCATTTCTTGTCAGTGTCATGTCATTTGAAGAACTGATATTTGCTGAGATTTGTGAGTATAAGCCATTGCATGCAGGGAGTAAAAGTCTTCTCTTAAATCTTAATGAGGGCTGGGCACAGTGATTCATACATATAATACCAGCACTTTGGAGGCCAAGTGCTCCCAAAGCACTTGGCAGGAGGATCACTAGAGTCCAGGAGTTTGAGGCCGGCCTGGGCAACATAGGGAGAGCCTGTCTGTACCAAAATAATAAAAAACATTAGCTGGGTGTGGTGATGCACCTGTGGTCCTAGCTACTCAGGAGGCTGAGGAGCTACTCAGGAGGCTGAGACAGGTGATGCACCTGTGGTCCTAGCTACTCAGGGAGGATCACTTGACCCCAAGAGGTCAAGGCTGCAGTGAGCCTTGAAAAGATTAGGATCTTTCCATGGCACTCCAGCCTAGGGGAACAGAGTGAGGCCATCTAAAAAAAAAAAAATCCAAAAAAAAAAACCTTAGGCCAGGAGTGGTGGCTCACGCCTGTAATCCCAGCACTTTGGGAGGCCGAGGCAGGAGGATCACGAGGTCAGGAGATCGAGGCCATCCTGGCCAACGTGGTGAAACCCCATCTGTACTAAAACTACAAAAAATTAGCTGGGCATGGTGGCACATGCCTGTAGTCCCAGCCACTCGGGAGGCTGAAGCAGGAGAATCACTTGAACCCGAGAAGCGGAGGTTGCAGTGAGCTGAGATCGCACCACTGCATTCCAGCCTGGCGACAGAGGGAGACTCCGTCACAAACAAACAAACAAATCTTAATGAGATGCCTCTAATTATATTTTGAACTTAAAAAAATGTCCTGGTATATACGCTTCAGCTATTATATATAATGGCAATGCCCAACCTTTTTGGCACCAGGGACTGGTTTTGTAGAAGACAATTTTTCCACAGAGTGGGTTGGGGGAATGGTTTCAGGATGAAACCGTTCCACCTCAGATGATCAGGCATTAGATTCTCATAAGGAGAGCACAAACTAGATCTCTCGCATGCGCAGTTCACAATAGAGTTCCTGCTGCTATGAAAATCTAATGTCGCCCCTGATCTGACAGGAGGCAGAGCTCAGGCAATAATGCTGTCTCTCCCACCACTCACCTCCCACTGTGCTGCATGGTTCCTAACAGGCACTGACTGGTACCCATCTGTGGCCTGGGGGTTGGAGACCCCTGCTCGAGACTGTATTAATAAAAAGCCATTAAAAACCACATGACAAAAAGAGGAGATCTTTTCAGAAAGATTAAATTTTCCCATTTCTGTTTTAATATTTAGGGGAAAGATTTAAATCAGAAAGATCTTATGCACAAATAACCAGTAATGTTATTAAGACTAAGCTACATCATAAAAAAGTCCATAATACTATGCAGCCATAAAAAGCAACAAGATCATGTTGTTTGCAGGGACATGGATGGAGCTGGAAGCTGTTATTCTCAGCAAACTAATGCAGGAACAGAAAACCAAACATCGCATGTTCTCACTTATAAGTGGGAGCTGAAGGATGGGAACACATGGATATATGGTGCGGGGGAACAATACACGCAGGGGCCTGTGTTGGGGTAAAGGTTGGGGGAGAGCATCAGGGAAGAATAGCTAATGGGTGACAGACTTAATACCTAGGGGATGGGTTGATCTGTGCAGCCAACAAACATGACACACATTTACCTATGTAACAAACCTGCATATCCTGCATATGTACCCTGGGACATAAAATAAAAGTTGATGGAAAAAAAAATAAAAGAAATTCTATAATGTTTCTATGGTGTATGGTTAAGGAAGGCAAGTAAGACTCAAATTACAAGAATTAAATGGAAAGAATACAACATAAACACCCTTTTATCAAGTGAGCATCTACATATTATTTGTCTAGAACTATGGTATGAGCTTTAAGGCTGGACGTGGTGGCTCACGCCTGTAATCCCAGCACTTTGGGAGGCCAAGGCAGGCAGATCACCTGAGGTCAGGAGTTCAGGACCAGCCTGGCCAACATGGTGAAAACCCATCTCTACCAAAATACAAAAATTAGCCGGGTGTGGTGTCACATGCCTGTCGTCCCTGCTACTCAGGAGGCAGAGGCAGGAGAATCACTTGAACCCAGGAGGTGGAGGCTGCAGTAAGCCAAGAACGTGCCACTGCACTCCAGCCTGGGTGACAGAGCAAGACTCTCTCCCCCCCAAAAAAAAAAAAAAAAAAGAACTATGGTACTTTAGGAATACAAAAGAACCGTAATAAATGTTTCCTGTCCTGAGAAACAAACACTGATGTAAAAGATGTGTCTTCCCAAGTAACTATAGATAATAAAATCTTTAATTACATAGTACAGGCAATAAATGCAAGTCTGGAACACTATATATGTTAAATAGTCAGGTTATTTATTTTTGAAAATAATTTTGAAAATTGAACTGGGAATTCCTTTTCTCAAATGCTTACAGAATTATCCTCCCAGCAAGAGAACTTTTATAAAATAAAACTGCTATTACTATAAAATTCCATAGAAATTAAGCTAAAGAAACAACAAACAAAACTGAAATACAAAGTTCTACACTGAATTCTGATTAAAAAAAAAAAAACACAATAAATGAGCAAGCTCTGTTTCATGGTATGACTAAAATGGAATAGCATTAGGAAAACTGCCTCAGGAAGTCAGAACACAATATAAATCAGTAAGACTTTCCATACCTTTCTAGTTGCAGGAAATCTTAAAATATTACTCCATTCTGCCTGTGTGCAGCAAAGACAAGTTTCTAAAGCATTCAAAATATTTTATAAGGTATACGTTATGTGCTTTATTAAAGTAATAACTTGTGTGTTAACCTTATTTTTAAATGTCATTTTCAAAGAAAGAAGTCTTATCAAAATTGAATGAAAGAAGAAAACTACAAGAAAATGACCTAAAGGAAAGGGAATAAAAGAAAACAAGATCTTTTCTGGACGTTCAGTATTAAAAGTTTTCATGCTCATTGAAATGAAAATTACAAAATCAGAACTACATAGTAGATTTTGCAAGCATGCAGCCGGAAGTGTAAGGGCTGGTGGACTTTAGGGGCCTATGACTAGGAGACAGACTGGAAAACCAGAGACAGTACTGTGAACATAAGCTACCTTTGCCAAATAAATTCTGGAACTTACTTCTTGAACTGAGAAGTTCAGAGATGTTTTGGGACAGGACGCCAGACAGTTTGGAATGACTTACTTGATCTTACTGAAAAAAAAATACAATGTCTTTGATTACTCTTCTCAGAGTTAGTCTCATTTCCTACTTTAATTATTAAGGTTTTCCCTTTGCATATTATTGTATACTTGAACATTCATAATAATTCTTAATTTTTTCATAAAAATGTATTTATCTGCATGTATGTGTGTACGTGTGTGTTGTTTGTGCATGTGTGTCTCTATGTTTTTATAAATATCCCCTAAATAGATTGTGGTAGCTTGTTTCTTGTTTTCAGTTGGCTACCATCAATTTCTCTCCTCCCTGTATCTATCTATTGCTCTACTCCCTTGAATCTGGGCTCATTTGTGACAGATTTGCCAAATAGAATATAGTGGAAGTGACGCTGTATGACTTCCAACACTTCCCACACTTTGAAGCTTCTACCTGGGTCTCCTGGAATTCCTGGTCTTGAAATGCCACGCTGTTTGAAACCCAAGCCACACTATGGCTATGTGGAGAGACAAAAGAGGGAGAAATCCTGACCAGCCCACAGGTATTCTAGCTATTCTAGTCTAGGAGCCAGGCATGTGAGTAAAGAAGCTTTCAGAATTCCAGCCTCATCTGTCATATTTCTGCAACCATTTGAAGGACACAAAAGTGAGTAACGCTCAGCTTCGTCAACCCCCAGAAAAATGGAACATAACAATAAATGACTGTTTTAAGCTACTAAGTTTTGGTGTGGTGTGTTACACACAGCAATAAATAACTGGAACATACAATAGACATCCGAAGACAGACCTAACATTTCTTACTTACGTCATAATGCTATAAAATTCATCACCACTCTGTCATTCCAGAAATGTAACTAAATTCTTATATCTATCATATATTTAGCTGAACAATATCACTTTACTCCACTTATTTCATTGGTCACAAAAATACATTTTTACATTTTGTTGAAATTTTTAAGGGCTATAAAATGATACAATAAAAGTAATACATGTATGTAACACAGAAGTTTATATTAATAAAAATGGTTATACATTCTTTTAAAATTGACTTCATTTTATTTATTTATTTATTTATTTATTTATTTATTTATTTATTTATTTAGAGATGGAGTCTCACTCTATTGCCAGGCTGGAGTGCAATGGCGTGATCTCGGCTCACTCAACCTCTGCCTCCCGGGTTCAAGTGATTCTCTGCCTCAGCCTCCCAAGTAGCTGGGATTACAGGCGCCTGCTACCATGCTGGGCTAATTTTTGTATTTTTAGTAGAGACAGGGTTTCACCATCTTGGCCAGGCTGCTCTTGAACTCCTGACCTCGTGATCCACCCTCCTCGGCCTCCCAAAATTCTGGGATTACAGGCGTGAGCCACCATGCCCGGCCAACATCTACTATTAACGTCTCCCACCAGAGTACATTTGTTCCAACCAATGAACTACACTGACACATCATAATCACTCAGTCCATAATGTACATTAGAGTTGACTTTTGGTGTACATTTTACAGGTTTTGACAAATGCATAATGACATGTACCCACCATTATAGTATAATACAGACTAGTTTCCCTGCCCTAAAAATTTGATGTGCTCTGCCTGTTTATCCTTTCCTCCCTGCAATCCCTGGCAGCCGTTGATCTTTTCATTGTCTCCATGGCTTGCCCTTTCCAGAATGCCATGTAGCTCGAATCATACAGTCATGCAGCCTTTTCACACTGGCTTCTTTTACTTAGTGGCATGCATTTGAGGTTCCTCCATGTTTCATTGCTTGATTATTCATTTTGAAAAAATACTGTCACATTTTCTTATACTTCACTCATTCCTTAATCCTTTCAAATTTCGTTTCTGTCCTCACCCTTCTATGGAACCCTGTGCTCTTAAAGGTCACGAGACTTCCTACTCATAAAATCTAGAGCCTTTTCTGCGGCACTGAATATTGCTGCCCACTACTTCTTTAAATCCATGTTTTTGTGAAATTGTTCTTTTGCTTCTCCTTAGCTCTCTCTGCTGATTCCTTCCTTTCTACACTCTTCAAGTATAAGTATTTCCCAACTTCAGGAAATACAAGTATTTCCTTGGCCTTCTCTCTACTACCTACTACCATCTTGGCATCTCTTTCTTTCATGCCCACATTATCTGAAATATCTAACAATTATGATAGTCTGTCTTGCTTCTTATATTCAACCAGTTATCCAATTGCATCAATTTTCCCTTCATTACATTTTAAAACTGTCCCTTCTTTCCATTTCTTCTATTTCATTCCCAGTTAGGAAACTCATTAATTCTTGTTTAGATAATGGCAATGGAGTCCTAGCCAATATATTTCTGCTTTAAGCCTACTTTCTTCAAGCCCATTTTATTCAGTCCTGCCAGATTAATTTTCCTGAACTGCTTTGCTGATTAATGCCTACTTTTCTGTCATTTGAAGTATAAATGTATATTTATCATATTAATAGTATAAGGATGGAACAATTGACATTATAATGATGATGAGACAGCTGTTGTTTTTATACATAAAGCAATTATTAATAATTTACAAATAGATAAAAATAGTGAAATACAGTTGACCCATGAATCCTTTGAATAACATGGGTGTTAGGTGTGCCGACTTCTACATGGTCAATTACCCATGTATAACTTTTAGATCCGCCCAAAATTAACTACTAGTAGGCTACTGTTGACCAGAAGCCTTACCAATGACATAAACAGTTAATTAACACATATTTTGTATATTGCATGTATTATATACTGTATTCTTACAATAAAGTAAGCTAGAGAAAGTAAAATATTATGAAAATCATAAGAAAAAATATATTTACTATTCATTAAGTGGAAGTGGATAATAATAAAGTCTTAATTCTCATTGTCTTCATGTTGAGTAGGCTGAAGAGGAAGAGGAAGAGAAGGGGTTGGTTTGGCCGACTCAAGTATTTCATGGCAGTAAATGATAAAATAGATTAGTGGCTACACATATTTATGTATTTATGCACTCATGACATACCCAACTTTTTCTATTCCTATTTTTTTCTTTTCTTTTCTTTTTTTCTTTTTTCTTTTTTTTTTTTTTTTGAGACAGGGTCTCATTCTGTCACCCAGGCTAGAGCACAGTGTTTGCGATCAAGGATCACTGCAGCCTCAACCTTCCAGGCTCAAGTGATCCTCCCACTCCTGAGGAGCTGGGACTTCAGGAGTGCCACCACAGCTTGCTAACTTTTTACTTTTTATTTTTTTGTAGCAATGGGGTACCACTATGTTGCTCAGGTTGGTCTCAAACTCCTGGTCTCAAACTCCTGGTCTCAAACTCCTGGGCTCAAATGATCCTTCCGCTTCAGCCTCCCAAAGTGCTGGGATTGTAAGTGTGAAGCACCGTGCCTGGCCCTAACTTTAAAATTTATTTATTTATTTATTTATTTATTTATTTATTTATTTATTGAGACGGAATCTGGCTGTGTCACCCAGGCTGGAGTGCAGTGGTGCTATTTCGGCTCACTGCAACCTCCGCCTCCCGGGTTCAAGTGATTCTCGTGCCTCAGCCTCCCGAGTAGGTGGAACTACAGGCGCCCACCACCATGCCCGGTAAATTTTTGTATTTTTAGTAGAGACGGGGTTTCACCATGTTGGCCAGGCTTGTCTCAAACTCCCGAGCTCAGGTGATCTGCCCGCCTCGACCTCCCAAAGTGCTGGGATTACAGGCCTGAGCCACCGCGCTCGGCCAAAAAAAAATTTTCGAAAGTATTTCTATGCTATGCAGTTTGTCTGCAAGTTTTTTCAAGTTGTTGCAAATCTCCAAAAAATTTTTCAATATATTTACTAAAAAAAATTCACGTATAAATAGACCCATGCGGTTCAAATCCATGTTGTTTAAGGGTGAACTGCAAATGGACATCAGATGAAAATTCATCGGAGGAAATAGAATGGCATCCTATTCAATAAATTGGATATTAGAAGGAAGTAAGTTAGATGGCTCAAAGAGAAATTTATTTCTTTATGACCCAACAAATATTTACAAAATTTAGAATGATAATGCAAGGCAGAATAATAGATGTTATGGTATATCATAATTCTAATATTTGATAACAGTACTTGTGTCCTGACATTTGTAACTTCAATAAAACTTTTATGTTTTTCAATTTAGGTCATGAGTGTTTTATGAAAAAGATTCTACTTGGCAATTATTGATGTCATGAGTGGATGTTTCATAAAGCAGAAGTTTGCTTCCTCAAAATTTCCTCAAAATGTAGAAAAAAATACAAACTTGTATACAATATACATAATTTTTATATATGTGAACCCACATAAAAGCATGTATAAAGAAAAGGTGAAAGAATCTGGAGAAGCATCAAATATTCAAAATACATTTACAAGTTCTCCTACCTAAGTTCGTATGTAAGTTGCTATGTCATTCTTGATCTATCTGCCCTACCTTCTTATTTCTGATTTTTTAGTGGTATAATATATGTATAAGTAAATATATACATATGTAGATATTGATTCATATTTTTCCCCAGTGGGGACCCCTTAAGTGTTTTCAGGCACAGGAGTAAAATAACGTTATTTTCATCATTTTCACTCATAACATTTTAATAGATTTTAAAGAAAGTTGTTTTTCTTGGCCTTGGAATTATCTGGCATTCATAATACTAGTCTTATCTAGGTAAGAAAATACTAATCTAAAACTCAGGAAACACTATATTATTCTTGGTTCCATCATTGATTTTTCAATCTGACCAAATGTTTATATTTTCAGTTTAAAAATAAATTTTTGAAAAGCACTTATTAGCCCTAACTCTTGTTTTCTCAAAGTTTTAACATTTAAAAAATAAGAACAGAGGCCAGGCGCAGTGGCTCATGTCTGTAATCCCAACACTTAGGGAGGCTGAGGTGGGTGGTTCCCTTGAGCCAAGTTCAAGACCAGCCTGGCCAACATGGCGAAACCCCATCTCTACAAAAAAACACAAAAATTAGCTGAGTGCAGTGGTGTGTGCCTGTAGTCTCAGCTACTCAAGAGGCTGAGGCAGGAGGATTGTTGGAGCCTGGGAGTTTGAGGCTGCGGTGAGCTGTGGTCATGCCATTGCACTTCAGCCTGGGTGACAGAGTGAGATTCCGTCTCAAAAAACAAATAAGAACAACAGAGGAAGACTAATAAATTCAAATATATTAAATTGATAGAAAATATTCATTTGCTTATTCCAAATATTTGATATTTGTTGAGATTCACTAGATACCAGGCAGACAGGAGGAATCAAGACTGCCTCCATAAAGCTCACCATCTAGTGGGGCATATCAGCTAGCAAGCCTCATGTCTGTTCAAGCCAGGTTTTGCACAAAATAAATTTTGGTACCAATCATAAAACAAACTTCTGGTTTTCAGAGCTTTATGGATTTGTGGTTGCAGATAAGAGACAGTTGACTTGTATTATGGTGTTATACATACATATTCTAGGATAGATGTAAGAAAAGAATACTATGTATGTGAATACATAGATATGGCCCCAACACAGACTGGTGAAGAGTAGGAGGGTTGGTTGAGAAACAATAGAAATTGGCTCATAGGTGTCAATTGAATAAAAAGGTTATACTGTATTATTATTCCAGGGAGCTGTGAGTGATATTCAGGAAGAAATTATTCCCTGATGGGGAAATTTGAGAATACTTTTGAGCTTTCTTACTTTATTGTTGTGTTACAGATTATCAGAAACTTATTGTTACAAAGTTAACAATGAAAACTTTATTTACCTATTCAATTCTCCCACTGATAGACTTTTAAAAATTGCAAACAGCACATTAAACAGCAGCATTTTCATTTATTTCTTGCGTATCTATGCTATAGTTCAAGACTTTTACACTTTCTTACACTGTTCTGTTGTCTCTCTGGCCACAGCCATACTCTACCCTATTCCACCACACAGAGGGATAGGGTGGTTATCTTACTCCCATGCCTGAAAACCTTAAAGATCTACCCATGGGAAAATAAATTATATATCTATTTCTATCAATCAATCATCAGTCAATCTGTCTATCTACCTACTTACATACTAAAAGATAGGAAATAAAAACATAGGGAACATAGACCAGGAATGAGACAGCAACTCACACACAAACTCAGGGAGGGGCACATGCACAAGGAGACCTTATGAGGATTGAGGGGCAAACAGGACAAACTTCAAAGCTCAAGAAAGGATGCACGAAGCGTTAGCCAGGCCAGTCAGGAGCTACGCTGAAGATGTCCCTTGGAATTGAAGAATATGGAAAGCAGATCTAGAACTAGAATCCCTTTATCATGGGCCTTGAAAATCTTATCTATTAACAGCCACTTCTAAAGTTTGTTTGGTTTAGTATTTTTATGATTTCTTTCTCCCTATCTGACCTGAATAAATTATTTGCACTATTTTTCAAGGTGGGCCTTACTAAGCAAATGCAAATTCAGTACCTGATCAAGTTATACATTAATCAATCAAAAGTGTTCACTGGGAATCATTTGATAAGTGACCAGCATATAAGAGAAATATCGAGGTATTCATTAGAAAATAAATCAGGGGAATTTGAACAAATATGACTTTACTAGGTAGTCAACATTATATTGAACATAAAAAATATGTTCAGGCTGGGTGCAGTGGCTCATGCCTGTAATCCCAGCCCTTTGGGAGGCTGAGGTGGGCAGGTCACTTGAGGTCAGGAGTTCGAGACCAGACTGGCCAACATGGCGAAACCGTATCTCTACTAAAAATACAAAAAAAATTAGTCAGGCATGGTGGCACAGGACTGTAGTCCCAGCTACTTGGGAGGCTGAGGCATGAGAATCGCTTGAACCTGGGCAGCAGAGGCTGCAGTGAGCTGAGATCACACCACTGCACTCCAGCCTGGGCAACAGAGCAAGACCCTGTCTCAGTAAAAATTAAAAATAAAAAATATTTTCAAAAATCCCAGAAACTTATAAAATAGTTCACTTGCTATACCTCTAAAATATTTAAAAAGCTTTATAGCATTACTCAGTTTTCATACAACAATTTGGAAAAACAAAGCATCAGATATTCATTTCTCCTAGCAGAGAAAAAGAGCACTAAAAATCAAAACTCCAAAAATGGTCATTTGAATTATATTATGAGTATGCAAACCAGAGGAGCTTGGCTAAAGATGAAAAATGCAAAGTCTGTTTTGGTATTTATTTGGCTTAATTTGGTATTTATTTCAGTGGCAATTTAAAAAAAAATCTGCTCATACAGAACTTAATTTTCCTGAGGTGAGGTTTACATAAACCATTGATTGTGGGTACATGGAAGGTATGTAGAAATTAACTTCTTTCATTGTGCAAGCATGAGACTGCACTCCATAAGATAATCTATATTTGAACACTTTACAGCTCTGGAGGGTAGATTTTAAATATTAGAAAAATGAGGCTCA
This sequence comes from Homo sapiens, assembly GCF_000001405.40. Taxonomy (NCBI): domain Eukaryota; kingdom Metazoa; phylum Chordata; class Mammalia; order Primates; family Hominidae; genus Homo; species Homo sapiens. Next base: position 101,168,170 of record NC_000001.11, on the reverse strand, counting down.
GAGAGGTGAAATGACTTGTCTACATAACCTTGTACATAGGATGCTGAGTCAAAACTAGTTTCTAGATTCCTAATTCTCTGCATCATATGCTTTTATATTATAGTACCATATAAGGTAGTAAATGTCATTCATTCATTTATTAATTTACACAAACATTAACTGAGTGCCTACCCAAAGCCAGGCTCAGGCCCAGGGGATAGAGAAGTGAACAAATGAAACAACAATCCCTTCCCTTATGGACTACATTTGAGTGGGTAAAACAGAAAATCAACAAGAAAGGCAAGCAAATATAAGTCAGATGGTGGTAATTACTATGAAGAAAAGTAAAGCAGGAAGGGAGACAAGGCTTTAGACAATGGGAGACTGTAAGTTTAAATAGGCTGGTTAGAAAACCCTCATTGAGAAAGTGGCATTTGAACTAAAATTTGAAGGAGATAAGGGGCTGGATATGTGCGTATCCACGAGGAGAGCATTCTGGGAAGGGAAACAAGTGCAAAAGCCCAAACGTGAGAGTGTGTCTAGCATGTTCATGGAAAAGCAAGAAGAGCAGTGTGGCTGGGCTGAATGAGCAAGGAGGAAAGCACTAGGAGGTGAAGCCAGATTGTGCAGGCCCCATTTGGTTTTACCCTAAGTGAGGTAGGAAGCCATTTGCAGGTTTTGAGCAGAAGTGCAGCACGATCTCATTGGTTGCCATTTGAGAATAGTCTGGATGTACAATGGCGAAAGCAATAAGACTGGTTAGGAGTTTCTAAGGATGGTCAAGATGAAATCTAGGAGGACAGACTGACAGAGGAGAAGGGGTTGATTAGTGGTTAAATCCTGGATAGATTTTGAAGGTTGAGGCAACAAGATTTCTTAATGGTTCGTATATGGGTATGAGAAAAGAGGACAGGGTCAAGGATAACTCCAAAGTGTCTTAAAAAAAAAAAAAAAAACCTCGTATATATTTATATGAGGTTTTTATTGATGGAAGACATGAAAATAGTTGAATAGATGTGGATATGCTTTGGAGAATATGAATTAAAATACAGATTACATGTATGAAAAAGTCACTTTCAGGGAAGGAGGGCCTATCTTGGAAGATAGGCAACAGTTTAGTCAGGGTGAGATAAACTGCTATAACAGAACAAAATCTGTAATGTTCGAACATAATAGAAGTTTATTTCTTATTCATCTGTAGACTAGGCTGGGTATTCCATGTCAGTGGGCTTCTCTCTTCCTTGTGGTGACTCAGGTCTGAGGTATTTTGCATCTTGTGGCTACCTCAAAACCCAGGGCCTTATTGTCATCTGTATCCCACCAGAACAAGGGGAAAGAGAGCAAGGGAAGGCTGCCCTGCTTCTTCAAAGCCTCCAATTGAAGGTGGTGCACTTTGTTGCTATTCACACTTAATTGGTGAAAACTGGTCACATGGCCACACTTAGCTGTAGGTGCAAGACATGGGGCTGAGAAATTGTATTCCTGGTTGGTAACTGTATTGCAGCTACAAGTCAATTACTGTGGAAGATAGGAAGCACAGCATGAGGACAACTCCTATGTCTGCCACAGGCAGCCATTCTCCAGAGCAGGTAAACAGGTTCCACAATTTTAGAGAGATGCAGCATGCATATTAAGGTGCTTTGTGTGTTTCTGGGGTCTTGTGTCCCTTCTCCTCTGATTCTTCCCTTGGGGTGGGCTGTCCATATGTCTAACTCCAAAGTTTTTAGCTGAGCAGCTAAATGATAGAGAAACAGATTTTTAGGAAAATCAAGGTGTTCAGTTTTTCACATGCCAAGTTTGAGAAACTACCTAAGACATTCAAGCAGAAATTGAACAGGCATCTGGATAAACAAGTCTGGAACTCACAGGAGAGATGTGAACTGGAAATATATATTTGAGAAGTCAGTAGCATCTACATGATAGTAAATCTCCAAGATTAGATGAGGTCACCAGGGGAGGGGTTATGGATAGAGAAGAGGCCAGAGGATGGAGCCCTGGAGCCCTCCAATGTTTAGAGATTAGGAAAACAAAAAAGGGCAGGCAGTGGAATGCAAGATTAACTTTTCCAAAGGCTGCTGAGTGCTCAACTCTGATGAAGACTGAGAACTGGCCACTGCATTTAGCAGTGTAAATGTCATTGGTGACCTTGTCAAGTGTAGTATCAGTGGAATGGCAGATTGCCTGACTGGAGTGGGCTTAGGAATGAATGGTGGGGAGTGGAGTGGGGGATAGCATAGTCAATAGTCAGTTTTTATGCATTTGCCATGACATTTTGTATGTAGTTATTATAATCATATACAAAAAGTTTTAGTAATTATATAAACCATATAAAACTATAGGCCCTCTACTATACACTTAATTCATTTTGAAAAAAAGTCATTCCAACAAGATTTGTCTTAGAAATGAGGAAACTGATGGTTAAAGAAGTGAAGTAACTTGCCCATGTTCCCATGTGTGGTAAAGGGTGGAGCTGGCATTTGAATTCAAGTCTGACTCCTAGCCTTCACCCTTGACCACTGTGCTACTTTACCTTTAAATATTACAATGAATAGCCACCCACATGCGATTGATTCTTTCTTGGGGTTAAATACTAAATTGGAAGAAATAATGCAGAACAGCTAACAAAGATCCACCCTCCTTACTGGTCAAGTTATTCTTAGTCTCTGGCAGGCACGATGGGCAGAACTAAACAGTATTGTTCATCATTTCAGCTGTCAGCCAACTCACAGCAGGTCACTGTCCATGAAGCCCTTTTCAATATAAAACGGTTTGATGAGCCAATTTTATCAATGTTGCTAAACTCAAATAACAACTTCTATTGCAAAGAAATTCAGCTCCATAGCCATTAATACAGTAGGAAAACTAGGTCTGCCTACAAGTCCAGTAAGCCAAGCAGAAGGAAAAGGAGTGGATTTTTTTTTGACCTGGTCTTCTATTTGTATGAAAAGCCTTCCTACTTACCCTTCAGCAGAGAAGGGGTTGTATTAAACTGGGCAGGACAAATCTCATAATAACCTGTAAGCTCACTCCTGTTTCACACAGTCCATTTAATTTTGACTGGTATTTTAATTTACCCTCAGACTCAGCTATTGAATTCTCCAACACCCTGGCTTGAGTTCAGTGGATAAGACAAAGGTAACATCCAACAGAATCATGATGGAACTTCACATGGTCATATGGCCATCAGGATAAAAACACGAGTAACAGAAGGCTCTGTTCTGAAAGCATGAGTCGTATAATTCCATTACAGCTTGGTCCAATACTTATGAAAGAAAAGTACTAAACTATTAAAAACTTACATTAAGAATTGCTGAAGAAATTACAACTGCTGGTTTCCTGTTTTGTGTGTGTGACTTGATGGAAAAAAAAAAACACTGCAGTTTAATATGATAATCACGTATTAAGACAAGAAAACCAGAAAAGCTAATGTAATAGTTTTGTAATCTTACAAATTAGGTAATGTATGTAAAATCGCTTTGGGAGTTCCAAAGGATTTACAAACGTGAGCTAGTGTTACCAGGTAAACAAATTCAAGGGATATCATAGCTATATAACAGGATCTATTGACCACACACTTAATTATAGTTTTATGGAAATAAAAACTTACAGTAAAAATAGTTGCACTTGTACAGCATTTCTCATTCTTTTTAAAAAAGTTATACATGTACAAGAAAAAATTCAAATACTGCAATAGTACAAGCTGTGCAAAGTATTCTTGAAACAGGTCCTCAACTCTTATCCTCAGAAGCAACCAGACTTCCTAGTTTTTAGTATATCCATATGTTTTATGAATTTTATGTCAATATATCTGTTCACATTTTTTTTTTGAGATAGAGTCTTGTCTGTTGCCCAGGCTGGAGTCCAATGGTGCAATCTTGGCTCACTGCAACTTCTGCCTCCTGGGTTCAAGTGATTCTCCTGCCTCAGCCTCCCAATCTGTTCACATTTTTACCTAGATCTTTGAAATAAAAATAATCGAGTCTCACCTGAGAGTTTTCCTTTATACTTTCACATTCTGTGGATTTTTGATATAGTAATTACACTTCATTCTGAAAAATAAATAACATTAATTTTTTTCTCTAAAGTTATTCAAACAATAAATGTAGAAGTAAGTTATGTTTTCATCTTTAACAATTGACCTGTACAATCTACCAAGGCAATATATCTGACATTACTAGAGATCAGAACTTTAAGTCAGTATTCAGTCAGACAAATCCTTAAATGTTTGCTGTTCAATGTTCTTCTAATCAAAACATGGTGAGAAACTGATACCGATTAACACTGGGCCTTTGATAGATCCTGATTTCCTAGTTTCATCTAACAGAAGTTGTGTTGGGTGAATCTTGCCTTCGATTCCAAAGTCTTTATTCTTTATGTAGTCCCTAAATATTTTATGAATCCAGAGAACATTTCAATACAAAACTGAAATACACAACTGGGGAAGGAGAAGAAAAATGAAGTCCCTTTAGCCTTTGAATATGAAGTTTCAACACGAGGCACAGAAATACATTGCATTATAGTTTTACCTTTCGTTTCTTCACTGGGTGTCATTAATATGATGCTCCAACTTACGTAGATGCTTAGCACATGCAGATCTGGGCAAGATTTTTACCACACTTCTTTACTAGATGGAAAACCTTTGAATGATTCAGGCTCTTTCTTCTGGCTAATAGGCATTATCAGCAGCCTTCGAAAACAGTGTTTCTCCTTTCACAATAATCTGGCAGCTTTTGAAGTCTTTGGAAACAAAATTCAATCTGTTAGTGTTACAGAAGGGAAAGGCATCCTGAAAAATAAACTTTTGCCCTATTTATAAGTTATCAATTTTATAATTTAATATGAGAAAAGGCAAAATGCAACCATTATGATTGGTTAAAATAACAGATTACATTTAAGCATCGCTGAGGTACTTCAGGAAAATGTGCACAGAGCCCTCTGACATAGGACTTCCTTTCACTCCAATGTCCACACCATCCCCCTCTTCCTAAAACAAGATGCTCATTGACCTCACTTGTTTCTGAAATGGCTATTAAAAATAGTTTCTCATTCAAAACTTTTCACCATGGAGCTATATAATGAAAATTCAAGTATTAATGTACATGATAAATATACCCGGTAATTCAATGAGAAAAAATTTTCCCAAAATATAGAAATAGGTTGTTCAAAGCCACAAAGATAAACAACAGACTAATTAATTTTTTTTTTCCTTCTCACCTGACTTGTTTTTGGTCATGGAAAGACATAGGCAAAGCTTGGCTGAATACCAATCATTCGTTTTCTATAGATGCACTTAACAATTCATTCTGCACAAAGTATGCTAGGATAAAAAGGTTTAAATTGGCATTAGAAATATTACTACTAGTGATAGCATTTTAACAGAAGAAAAGGATTTCCTGGATTCTGTAAAACTATATAGTAAAAAAGGACAACTAAAAAAATGGATGAAATGGAGTCTGTCAGATACAGAAGATATAGGATTAAAAACAGATCATGGATTCAAACAAATATAAAACAAGAATTAAAGTTACTCATTATAATGAAAGAGAAAAAGGACCTGAATTATGCCTGAATATCTAGTTCCTGATGCTCATATAAATCAAATATCACGCTTAAATGTGCGAGTGAACTAAATAACTAATTGGCTTCTGCTAGTTCTGAACCAGAGGTGTACAGTGGTTGGGGAAAAGCTCGTCAGCACCATTTCCTTTCTTTCACAGAGTATAGCCTGTTGCTTTTCATTTCCAAAGGAGAAAAAAAGCACCAGGTTTGTAAGGGTTTTTTCCCTCCTCACTTCATCCCTAGACCCCATTTAAGATTTAATCCTTATCCCTTCAATGAGTACAGCATTTCCATTCATTTCAAAGTATAATATTGGTGCTGATAAGAATAGGGCCAAATTTTAAAAAGAGATTAATTATGCTGAGAAATGTCCATTGTAAGTACTGCAAGAACACTGAACAAACAGCCAGTGTATACTGAAGTTGTTTGCTGCTGTTTATAGGAAATTACATAAAACACAATACTGGAACAGAAGGAAGTAAGTTATGTGGTCATAGCTTTGTGGAAAAAGGAAAATTTTTCTATGTAAAATAAATAAGGACCTTCCAAAAGAAGTAAAGGTTAAGACATAGAAATATATATGTTACATTTCACACACACAAATAAACCAAGCAAATAAAAAGAACTCCTAAAACCTAATTAGAAAATAATATAAAACCTGATTGCAGCAATTACAGTGCTCTATTCCTCTAAACGGGAGATGATAAGCCATATGCTATGCCTGTGACAGCAAAGACAATTGTTCTAAGGATCTACCACTTTAAAAAATAAAAATAATTCTTAAAATAATTACATCAGCATATGAACTCTGGAAAATTTCTTCTACCGTAATAAGGTCAGATGGACATTTCCTGTCTCACATTTGTAGTACACGTTGTCTTTTAGACAATAATAGTGAGAAACAATAGTTTGGCATGAGTTCAATGCATACTAAGAAATGCCTGGCTCTGCATATGGCTAGCCAGTTTTCCCAACACCATGTATTAAATAGGGAATCCTTTCCCCATTGCTTGTTTTTGTCAGATTAGTCAAAGATCAGATGGTTGTAGACGTGTGGCGTTATTTCTGAGGCCTCTGTTCTGTTCCATTGGTCTGTCTGTCTGTTTTGGTACCATTACCATGCAGTTTTGATTACTGTAGACTTGTAGTATAGTTTGAAGTCAGGTAGTGTGATGCCTCCAGATTTGGTCTTTTTGCTTAGGATTGTCTTGGCTATATAGGCTCTTTTTTGGTCTGGTCCCATATGAAATTTAAAGTAGTTTTTTCTAATTCTGTGAAGAAAGTCAATGGTAGCTTGTTGGGGATAGCATTGATCTATAAATTACTTTGGGCACTCTGGCCATTTTCACTAGATTGATTCTTCCTATCCATGAGCATGGAATGTTTTTCCATTTATTTGTGTCCTTTCTTATTTCTTTGAGCAGTGGTTTGCAGTTCTCCTTAAAGAGGTTCTTCACATCCCTTGTAAGTTGTATTCCTAGATATTTTATTCTCTTTATAGCAATTGTGAATGGGAGTTCATTCATGATTTGTCTCTCTGTTTGTCTGTTATGGTGTATAGAAATGTTTGTGATGTTTGCACGTTGATTTTGTATCCTGAGACTTTGCTGAAGTTGCTTATCAGCTTAAGGAGATTTTGGGCTGAGACGATGGGGTTTTCTATATATACATGTCATCTGCAAACAGAGACAATTTAAATTCCTCTCTTCCTATTTGAATACCCTTTATTTCTTTCTCTTGTCTGATTGCCCTGGCCAGAGCTTCCAATACTATGTTGAATAGGAGTGGTGAGAGATGGCATCCTTGTCTTGTGCCAGTTTTCAAAGGGAATGCTTCCAGCTTTTGCCCATTTAGTATGATATTGGCTGTGGGTTTGTCATAAATAGCTCTTATTAGTTTGAGATACATTCCATCAAAACCTAGTTTATTGAGAGTTTTCAACATGAAGTGGTGTTGAATTTTGTTGAAGGCCTTTTCTGCATGTATTGAGATAATCATGTGTCTTTTTTTCATTCATTCTGTTTATGTAATGGATTACGTTTATTGATTTGCACATGTTGAACCAGCCTTGCATCCCAGAGATGAAGCCGAGTTAATTATGGTGGATAAGCTTTTGGATGTGCTGCTGGATTCGGTTTGCCAGTATTTTATTGAGGATTTTCACATAGATGTTCATCAGGGATATTGGCTTGAAGTTTTCTTTTTTGTTGTTGTTGTGTCGCTGGCAGGTTTTGGTATAAGGATCATGCTGGCCTCATTAAATGAGTTAGGGAGGTGTCCCTCTTTCTCTATTGTTTGGAATAATTTCATAAGAAATTGTACCAGCTGCTCTTCATACCTCTGGTAGAATTTGGCCGTGAATCCTTCTGGTCCTGGACTTTTTTTTTTGGTTGGTAGGCTATTAATTACTGCCTCAATTTCAGAACTTGTTGTTGGTCTATTCAGGGATTTGACTTCTTATTGGAAACTGGACCCCTTCCTTACAACTTATACAAAAATTAACTCAAGATGGATTAAAGACTTAAGTGTAAGACCTAAAATCATAAAAAACCCTTGAAGGAAACCTAGGCAATACCATTCAGGACAAAGGCATGGACAAAGGCTTCATGACTAAAACACCAAAAGCAATGGCAACAAAAGCCAAAATTGACAAATGGGATCTAATTAAACTAAAGAGCTTCTGCGTAGCAAAAGAAACTATCATCAGAGTGAACAAGCAACCTATAGAATGGGAGAAAATTTTGGCAATCTATCTATCTGACAATCGCTATTATCCAGAATCTACAAGGAACTTAAACACATTTACGAGAAAAAAACCAAACAACCGTATCAAAAAGAGGGCAAAGGATATGAACAGACATTTCTCAAAAGCAGACATTTATGTTAGCAAACATAAGAAAAAAAGCTCATTATCACTGGTCATTAGAGAAATACAAATCAAAACCACAATGAAATACGATCTCATGCCAGTTAGAATGGCGATCATTACAAAGTCAGGAAAGTATGTGGAGAAATAGGGATGATTTTACACTGCTAGTGGGAGTGTAAATTAGTTAAACTATTGTGAAAGACAGTGTGGCAATTCCTCAAGGACCTAGAACCAGAAATACCATTTGGCCCAGCAATTCCATTACTTGGTCTATACAAAAAGGATTATAAACCATTCTACTATAAAGACACATGCACACGTATGTTTATTGCACCACTATGCACATATAGCAAAGACTTGGAACCAACCCAAATGCCCATCAATGATAGACTGGATAAAGAAAATGTGGCACATATACACCATCTAATACTATGCAGTCATAAAGACATGAGTTCATGTCCTTTGCAGGGACATGGATGAAGCTGGAAGCCATCATTCTCAGCAAACTAACACGAGAACAGAAAACCAAACACTGCATAGTCTCACTCATAAGTGAGAGTTGAACAATGAGAATACATCACACACCAGGGTCTGTTGGGGGTTGGGGGATAAGGGAGGGATAGCATTAGGAGAAATACCTAATGTAGATGACAGGTTGATGGGTGCAGCAAACCACCATGGCACGTGTATATCTATGTAACAAACCTGCACATTCTGTACATGTATCCCAGAACTTAAAGTATGGTAAGAAGAAGAAGAGGAAGAGGAAGAGGAAGAAGAAGAAGGAGACGAAGAAGAAATGCATGGCTCTTGATCACTGGGATGAGTTAGCCTCGAATGGCAAAGATCTCAATGATGACAAAAATACAAAGATAGTGTCTGGGGACTGGTGGCCCTAAAGAGTAAGATTCAAGAAGTGGACATATCTCTGACATCAATCTTTAATGTCTCTTGATCATTGAAAAGCTCTTGTGTTTAGTATTTACATTTACACAGATGGCATTTATGCTTGTATATGAATAGGTTGGTATTTTTGCTTGTTGGTTTGCAAAGCAAACTGTGATAAAGAAAAATAACGAGTTGGCAGTTCCTCTTAGATTGTTAACTAGGATTGGCCATTACTTTCACTATTGCGCCTCCTCTCCTGCCCTGAACAATCAGTTCAGACAAGTATGAGGGTTGCCTTGCTCCTTACCAGACTTTGCAATCTGTTGGCAATCTTTACCCCATCCCTGGACCTCCCAGCTATTTTGAACACCCTGAGACAGGTCCACTTGGTACTGTGTCCCTCATAAATTTGTTCATCTCCCATCTTCTCTGATGCTAGGTTGGAAGCCTCATTATAGGATGCTGCCATCAAAACAACCTGTACTGGTATAAGAATATTGTGTCAGTCATTTCCAGCACCATGTCTCATCTCTAATCCTCTGCCATTCAGTTAGGGAAAACATGGAGAAAGCATTCTGAAATAAGGTAACGGATGCAGAGGGGCTGTTAGCATTGGAACAAGCATTTCAGAGAGTCTAGGGACAGTCTTAGGAGGAGACGAATCTGGATGAGAAGTTGCAAAGCAAAAAGAATGACAACAGGGTAAAGGGATAGGAGAGAGGATAACTGTCTTTCATTCAGTGCCAGTGAATTATTACAAGGAATGAGAGAATTGAAAGTCATCTTTGCCCAGTCCTTCTCATTTGCTCTCTATAATCAATCAATCACCAAGTCCTCATTATTTTTTACACCCTTGGAGTAAAAAATACCTACTAGCTTTTGTTTTTCCCCCAAATAATAAGGCTTTGTTTACTTAAAAATTATATGAATAGTGCATGGTGTCTATTTTAAAATTCCAAAATGATGTGGAAAAATACAGAGAAAAAGGAAAAGCTATCTGCAATTCTACCATCCAGAAATAAGCATGTTTTAATATTTTATTGAAAGTCTTCTAGGTATCCCTACATATGCAGATATATGTTTTGCACACACACACACACACACACAAAAAGAATTTTACATAAAGTTGGCATGTTATACTTGAAGTTTGATAACCAGTTTTTACTTAATAATAGGTCACAGGCATTGTGATGCACAAACAACTTTCTATTTCAATATTATATATCTATGCAATAATTTTTAATCATTACCTAATATTCCAATAGGGGGATCTATAATAATTTATTAACAAACCTTTCGTTGAAAGAATTATTTTCTCAATTTTCATTGTTATTAACAGTTCCAAGATGAATACTTTGTACATATATCTGTACTGTATTCTGTGACTATCTTCACTAATATGATAATGAAGATTGTATTTTTATTTCCAGTATTTTTTTATCTTTGGTCAGGTTTTAACATTTTGGAGGTCATGTTTATTCTTTGATAAATTGCTGAGTTCATTTTTATATTAGAATACTTTTCTCTTATTGTTAAGAGCTCTTAATATATCCAGGATGCCAACCTTTCCCATCTTTCTTATCATTCATATCTCACAAGTGTTTTTTACAGTTTGTCCCTTACTTTTTAAACTTAATTTTATGATGTTTTGAAGAAGCAAAACCTTTACTGTTTACATAGTCAAATTTATCAATAATTCTTTTTTGGTTTATTTAGCTCTACTGATTTAATCTCCAAACATTCCTACTATCACCAACCTAGATCAGATCCTCTATCGTCTTTTATCCAGATACCTATAACAGTCTGGATTGGTCTCCCTGCTCCCAGTCTCTGTCTTTTGGAATCTGCACTCCATGCAGCTGTCAGAATGTCCTATTTAAAATGAAAATCTGGCCAGGTCATTCTTCTACCTGACTGTTTGTTCAGTGCTGTGTGTTCCAAGTTGGATATTCATACAGCCAATGCTATATGAGGTGGCTCTTCATAAAAATGAAATAAAACTAAAATAAAAACTAACTTCACTAATAAAACTAATAAAAACCGTTCTTAAATTCCAAAATGATGTGGAAAAATGCAGAGAAAAAGGAAACGTCATCTCCAATTCTACCATCAGAAATAAACATGTTTTAATATTTTATTGAAAGTCTGCTGGATATCTCTATATATGCAGATACATAATTTGCACATACCTGCAAAGAATTTCTCCCACAAAGAATGGAACATATTCCTGGAGCATTACTTATTTGTATAGATTTTTGAAGAAATAAAGTACATTATTTTATTTTAAGAAAAACACACGTATATGGAGCAGGATGCATGATCCCTATGAATTTGCAAAATATACTGGAAGACTTCAAAGAAATATTCGTATTTAGGTGAGCATGTTCAAAAGTCAATGGATATGGAGAATAAAGTTTTAAACCTCTTGACATGTGCAACAGAAACTGCCTTGCATTCGACAATATCCATTGCCTTTTCCTCTTGATCACATAGGATTTCCAGCATCCCTTGAAGTTAGGTGTGACCATGTGATTGAATTCTCACTCATAGAATATGGGAGAAATTAATGTGATCATGTAATTTATTGTCCAAACCGAGACACTGTTAAGAGTGAAAGAGGGCACTATTAATTGTTGTGCTGAGAATTCAGGCATAAACTGGGTCATATGATCACCATGGGAAGAACTGATGTGTGCCACTCCAGGGTGGACTCAGGCCTAACTCCTCCCTCTCTTCTCCAGGATGTAGGCAGATGCAGGAGGTCTAGCAGAAGACTCAATACTCTAGGTAGGGCCACAGTCTGGAAGGCTTGTGCTAAACTGTCAGGGAGTGTGAACTCCATTTCTGTTATTTCAAATCATTGTTCATTACAGCATCTTTGCTGGACTGACTTTCCACAATGTGCCCTCTCCCTACATCTCCAGCCTCTCCTTTCATCAGTCTTGAGCTTGAATTTAAACTCTAGCAAACTGAATGCTCATACATTTTTAAATGCCTGTTTATATGTCAGTTTTTCTCATTAGTCAAGGAGCTACTTGATGGTAAAAGCCTAATTATCTTCACAGCACTTACTACCTGGCATAGAATAGACTTCATAAATATCTGTTGAATGAAGAAATGTCTAGCCAAATGAGGAGTAAATCTTTCAATAGAGGTTATTTCACACCTGGAACTAAAAATACCAGAACTATACACCTAATGGAAGATATTATATCTGCAGACAAGTATTCAGATTCAAGATTTTATAAAAACAAGCTACACATTTTAGTAGTCCTAAAATACGAATGCAAAAATATTCTTCCTCTTTGCCTTCAGTGTTTTTTATTTTCACCCCCTTCCCCCCGCCATGTGCAAGCACCCACACATTCACTCATTTCCTAGGGGAATATTTGACTTAATTAACAATTGTAGAATAAGTTAGAAAGAAAATAGAGAATTCAGATTTTAAGTTCAGATCCTAATGCTGGCCAATAATCCTTACATGAGGTGCTTTGGCTCAGCAGCGGGATTTACCTCTCCTCCCTCCCAAAGTGATTAAGAGTGTATGTATAATTGACAATGATGCACACTAGTGCATGTTATCAACTCAAGAAAGGGGCTTTGTCGCCTGATTTCCGTTAACCTTAATAGTAGTTAAGCTGCACACACAAAGCATAATGTCCTCATGCTTTAAAAAAGGAGGGGCTTTCATCACCTAGATTATGAAATATTGATTAATTCATGTATGCTCAGACATCCATCTAAAAATGGAATCATTCAATCTGTCATCCTTCTCCCTCATCCACATATAAAAACAAAATGCAATTCTGAGAAGAACAAAAGGAGTGATGAGAGGGTAGGAATTAGGAAGAAGGATAAGAGCAGACAAAGAAACAGGCTGAAAAATAAAACATGTCAAACTATGCTTACAGACAGACACGCCACATCCACACACAATCACACACACACAACAACCACTCTACTAATTAATACAGCTTGCTTTTGTGCCAGATATTAGGGACACATTAATTAGAGAGAAATCTCATTCATCCATTTTTCAGTTCATTAATTATGCATCAATGACAAATTCGTATTGGCCTGCTATAAGACAATCTGTTCCAACAAAGATCTGATGCTGCACATGACACAGCAGTTATGGGGCTTTCCTGCCTCTTTGGATGGTATTTGGGATCTACTCAATTCCTATGTGATGTGTATTTGTGTCCCCTACTGAGTATTCTGTGATTATGGAATGTCCTTTAAGCTGACTACAATTGTTTCTTAGCTAATACTTCATTCATCTCTGTCACAGGCACATTGAGAATCCCATTCAGCTAGACAAAAAGCAATGCAATATTGTGAATGTGCTTAATCCCACTGAATTATATACTTAAAAATGGTTAAAATGGTAAATTTTATATGATGTATATTTACCGCCATAAAGAAAGAAAGAAAAAAATTTTAAACCAAATGAACATGTCTATAAACTTTTAGAAAAGTTAAATTATATGGGGACTATAAAAGTGAAAAAAGAATTTGAAAGTTCTCGAACAGTCTCAGACCTCAGAATGTATTTCATTTTATGCAGAGAATATTATAAGATGAACTTCAGAGCCCAGACAACCTCCAATGTGCTGCCTGCAAAGGGATTTGGGGAAAGAAAGGATGTATGCGTATGAATGGCCTCATCAATAAATATTAACTGAGCATTCAGAAGAGTCTTAGCACTGTACTAGTTAATTTGGAGCTACCTATATTTAATTACATCTGTTCTCCTACCATACCATTCCTTATGTCCCTGGCTTATTTCTTTATCACTGCCTTGATGTCACAGCTCCCTCTGACCCAAGTACAAATAAAGGTGAAAAAATTCACCAGAGTTTGAGTAGTAAGCATATAAAAGTTTCTTTTTCATTGAATAAGTCTCACTTTCGAGGAGTCCTTCAGATCCATGAAGTGCCTCATACTTAATACTTACTACATAATAATACTTACTACAGAGTCACACTCTCAGTGGGCACACAGCAAATGTCAACTGACTCAATGACCTTTTCCCAACCCTTTGTATCAAGAGAGTCAGTATTAAATGTCATCAAATCCTATTTCACAGTGAAAGTTGATTGAACATGCAGTTTAGAGGGGAATTTTTAACTTAACACGTAACTAAAATTACTTCAGCAGTTGCTGTGTAGCATTGATTTGAGGCAAACTTCTGATTAATAAATTGAAACCTTTCAAAATGAAATCTTAAGAAAGAAAAATAGAAAAAATACAATAAAGTTTTTGTTAAATATTTTGCTCTTTGTCTAATTTTTCACTATATAAATACTGCTAATAGATATTTTTATAAAAATAAAAATAAACCATTAATACCCCAAAGAAAGCTGCATACCTTGTTAAAATCTGTTTTGTCACTTTCCCTTAAGCTTTCTTATTGTAAGTATTTATTTTTATCTAGATTTATTTAGTGAACAGACTGAGTTATTTAAATTCTCTTCATCATTGTATCTCCAGTTGTGTCCATATTTATCCAATTCCCCATCTCCAGTGAAGGCTTGTCTGGGTTTAGTTCAGCCTGAAAGAGGCCAAGAAAGAAGACAGGAGTGTCTCTTGCCCCATACTATATAATGTGTGGAACAAGAGGGAAAGCATCAAAGGTTACCTGAAGAAAACACTGCTGAGGTAAGAACATCTCAGGGTCCAAATGCTCATCTAAACAAGGCGGACCTAGGTGGTCAATGAGATCCTTGCTCATTAACTGGGAAACCAAGTGGCTAGAGAATAAAATGCAGGTCCAAATGGCTGGGCCACATTTTTGCATGTGTCTTAGCATCATGTTCTATGAGCAGATCCGGTTTATGTAATGAGGAGATCAAGATTGGGACAGATCATGTTCAAACATCCTCAACATGGGGCTACTAACATTTGTGTAATATTTTAAAGTTTTACGTATAGCAACTCAATGGAACATTGAGTTAACCCTAAGAGGTTGCTATTAATAGTAATCCATATTTAACAGATGAGAATAGGGCAGAGGAATGTGATGCCATTGTAGGACAGCATCTGGGGCTTGGCTTCCACTCATCTAGTTACTGAGAAGCACCCATGGCTCTGTCTCAGGGCAGGATCCCCTCTCCAGTTAGAGGAGCCAGTCTGTGAATGTGTTGCTTGCTGACGACCTGCCGACTGGCACTACTCAGAGAAGAAGCAGTGAAACGAACTGCATTCAGGCTGAGAGGAGCATGGGGCCTGGGAGGTCTTGGTGAAAGTTTTAAGATCTGTTTCTCACTTAAGAGGTTCTAGAAGAAAGGCAGTAGGAAGTAGTAGCCAAGTGTGAGACTTCATGAAGTTGTGCACTGATAGATCTCCAAATTGTTATTATTTTAAGACAGAGTCTCACTCTGTCATCCAGGCTGGAGTGCAGTGGCACGATCTCGGCTCACTGCAACCTCTGCCTCCCAGGTTCAAGAGATTCTCCTGCCGCAGCCTCCCGAGTAGCTGGGACTACAGGCGCCCGCCACCACACTCAGCTAATTTTTTGTATTTTTAGTAGAGTCGGGGTTTCATCCTGTTAGCCAGGATGGTCTTGATCTCCTGACCTCGTGATCCACCCGCCTCGGCCTCCCAAAGTGCGGGGATTACAGGCGTGAGCCACCACGCCTGGCCTCCAGATTATTTTTTAATAAAAGATTGCTGAGTGACTTTGGATATATAGCTCAGAAGCAATTCAAAGAGTTTAAGTAAAATTTCATCTCCAAAATAAACACACAAAAAAAGCCTTTCTTCAGTGCCATCTACTTATGTATATGGTAAGACTTCTCAGGACATGCATGTATAACAATATAAAATACGGACTATATCAATGCTGAAATTATCTCGTTCCAGCAATAAGCAATAACTATTCAGCAATAAATACACACAAACCGATTGTCAGGCAAAACAAGCCCTAAAACAACAGAAAATAAAAGAAGCAGAATTTTAAAAAATTAAAAAGCCCAATTCCCTGCACATTTATCTCATTAACAGATGTATTTCTAGTAAAATTACATTTACTTCTTAGTAAACATTTACTTACATTAACTCTTTTTGTCAATGTTTAAAATCATTTGGATCAATTATATACTGCTAATAATTGTAATGTGAGCCCTCTAGAAGTTTGGGTGTTATGATTACAGGGAAGTAAATTTACACAAATTTTTATTTATATAAATATTTTTGTTGAAGTGAAACATAGGGTCATCAATTTGTTCAAGCATAAACATATATTGGAACAAAATTCCTTGGCAAAGTGGAATGGAAACATGAGTTTAAGGAAAAAAATGATGTAAATATCTATTAAAGAAAGCTTAATAATATGTATAATGTGTTTTTAAATGGATAGTAGGGGTATTGAATTGCCATAACATTTAGATTACATTAGTTATTACTTAAAAAGTGATGTAACAGTTATATTTTTAAGGAGAATATTTACAACACCAGGGAAATCACATCCTCTGTGACTATTTGAACGTATAAGAAAAGTTTTCAGCTGTTAACAATGTGCAAGGGGGACACACCATATTTTTCAAAATTCTATTAGGCTGTATGTGAGCAGGAAAAATTAAAGCCCGCTATGCTACAGGAACACATCACTAGCTCTAGTATTTTCACAAGAAATGCAGACATTTCTGAAAGTATCTCCAAAACCTACTGAAGAAAGCAGAAGACAATACCTTGAGAGCACAAAATCATGGCAATTCATCCCCAAAGCGAATATGACCAACCTAAAAATTCCTATCTCAGCTAAAATCTCCACAGTTTTCTGTTGGATTCTTCTGCTACTACATCTTAAAACCCACTGGTCAGCTCACCATACATATCATTCAAAAGATAAGAATGTGGGAAGTTGATGTAAAGTTATCACGCAGTGATAAGCCAGAGTATAACTTATATGACAAAGAAACACACATACATGCGATCACATAATCTTTGATCCCAACGTAACTCACCTGGCTGATATGTGGGATTGCATCACAGTTTCCCGGGAGTTGCTCTTAAATGACTAGTTAGAAAGTTATTTACCCTGATGGAATGGCATAGGCCTAAATAAAAAAGACTGACATTGTACACAGGAATGAGACTTCAAACAGGAAATGACAATCTCTCTGTGTGTCTTAATTTATCTTTGGGGAAAATTGACAAAGTTAAAATGGAATTAAATTTTAATGAAAATTCGTAGAGAAAAAGTATTAAAAACAACTTTGCCGGGGCTATTAGAACATGGAGTTCTGCTACAAAAATGCTCGGAAAAAGTTTTACAATTTAAACACATTGGAACTCCCCAGTGTAAAACACTCTAAGCTAAATTATGGGAAAAGTCAATGTTGTATCAGCACCAAACAATCACCCTGCATAAGAATGAAAAGAAGGAAATGTTGTTCTGAATAGCTTGCCAAGGCTAAAGAAAAGTAGAACAGTTGTCGCAGACGAAGTGGTTGTGAGTAATAGCCCAAAAGGATGTATTCTAATTTGTGTTTGCCACTTAAATTATGAAATAGGTCATTATCTTCAAACTTAAGGTAAATAGCACTGGATTAGAGAAAAATAGAGACAGGAAGAGAGGGAAAAAGGAAAAAGGGCATAACAGGTAATTGTGATAAATGCATATTAATTTTTAGGCTTTTCTCAGTCAATAGATCTTATAATCCATTGTGGGTACACAAATGCTATGTTTTTTCTTTCCAATATTTGATGTGAGATAAAAATTAGATTAAGTGTAAAAACTAGATCTGGGCACCCCTATAGTAAGAATATTGAATTGTATCTCTTATGTAGCATTCCGTAACCCACTTTAATATTTGCTTTAACAACTTGACTACTCTCATATTTGTCATCAATTGGGTACCCAGTGCAAGAATTTTTAAGCAAAATTACTTGATAGTTTAGTATAAAAGCAGTGGTCTCCAACCTTTCTAAGCATAATATTTTTAAGCTTATTATTTTGGAAAATAAAAAAAAAAATCCTAAGTTAGAGACTGTTTAACAAACCTCCATGTATCCATCACCCAGCTTTAACAATTATCATCTCATGACCCACCTTATTTTATCTGTGCTTTACTTACTCATCCCACTTCAGATTATTCTGAAGCAAATCTAAGATATGAGATGATTTATTTTTGTTCTTAATAGAAAATATTTGAGGGCCCTTCCATATCACATTACGATGGTTGCATTTTTAATACCACTCAGTTAAAACTCCACATGAACATGAGGATTATTGCTCCCTCCTCCTTTCTTTACTACAACTCTGTGCCGCCTTCCCCATCTCAAAGGTATGTAGCCCATGAGTGGGGAATCCCTGGCACAATGAAAGTAGCTGCTAGCATCACTCACATTTGTGCTTGTTTAATAGCACATAAACATAAACTCACAACACAAACACTGCTTCTACTGCTTTATTTCTCAGGAATATATTTGTCATTACAGGTTTACAAGCAGAGTAGAAAATATAGCATTAGAATTCTCAACAGAACTTTTTCTCTTTATCCACCAGACTGATGTTTCTCTGCTAAAAATAAGTAACACAGGCTACTACTTTCTAAAAGTTGTTGCTCTCCAACATGTGTTTAGACAGCTTTATGACGTTGACATTTTTACCTGTGGAAAAAAAATCCAACTCCTGTGAGCTAGAAATCTTTGCACAATACAGCTTGAGAGCTGGCCTGCTTGTTGGCAGTCTCCCCGAGGAGCTAAGGAACAAATGAGCAAAGACTGTGTTCACACACTTGGAAATGACACAGGCCTGAGAAAGCTCCTTGTCTCACTACACCATGTGCACTTCCTTTAGATGAAAAACGAATATTCAGTGTTATTAAACCAGGACTTCAGTTACATATAGAATTCACTTTTGTATGAGAAAAGCAACAAAAAAAAGACCTGTTTTTTTTCCATATGAAACAGATAGTTTCTTTTGTTTTCTTGGTAAGGGGCACTAAACAAAATTCTTTCTTGATTTCTGCTCAGTGCACACATACAGCACTGATTAATGCTAATGGGATTCAGACATTTTAAAAAGCGTGCACTCAATCTCAGGATTATAAATATCATCCAGAAAGTTTGTGATTGGAATTTATTGGCATGCATCTAATCTAGATCAATTTTAAGCCCTTAAACTTTTATGTTTAAATGAACAGAATTATCTCCATTAAATCATATTCAGTACTGCTTGTGGCTATATAAAGAGAAAAATTATAGTAGTGCTATGTTTGTACTTTATTAGAGAAAAAGCAATCTTCTCTAAATGAAATTATTCTTTTTCTAGTTTCATGGAATATCTTATTTTTTAATTTTAAATTTCCGAAACAAGATGTCATCATTTGAAGATTCCAGTTTGGGCTTTATTTTTCTAAACATGTCCATTATGGGGCTGAGTAAACAGAATACATAAGATAATGAAATCTTTCTTACATAATACAATGTTTTTCTAAACCACATTTCAAACATGAAATTAGACAATCTAGTTTTCCACCAGGGAAATTATTATCTGCTTTATATGTACCGTATTAATTAGATTAGGCCCAAATCCTAGTAGTTTGCATAATTATATTTAATTTGCCAGAAGGGGTCAAATTGTAGCATTGGATCTTAACTAAGAGATAATGCTGTTTAGTCAGAAAAAGTATATCACATTCTAGAAATACTCAAAAGTATTTGTAATGTTAGAATAATAAAATGTAGTGTTGTTCTCTTCAGAGGCCCAACTGTTTATATTTGAATAGTAAAAACCCCAGAAATGCACCTGGCTTAATATTTATAATCATGAAATATGGTTAAACGTTAGTTAGAAGCTCATTTATTTCATCTCCTTCCAATTTAGTGTCATTTCCTTAAATCTATTTTCTGATCATTTAGCCAATCTGTCATTAAGATATAAAATTTCAGACACTAAACTTTTGCCATTACTTCTTTCTCAGTATAATTCCTTCTCCTGGAGTTGATATGCTTTCTCTCTATTAAGTTACTTTTTTGACTCCTTATCTCCACATCTCAGAAATAAGATACTCTATTAACTTGCCATATAAAAAATCAACTGAAGAAGAGCTTTGGGAACTCATTTACAATGGAGCAAAAAGGATCACCAAAATTATGCAAAAAGGAAAAAGCTCGCTCAACAGGAATCTCAAGATGTTCCGGTAAAACAATATTCTTCCAGATTTTACTGGACACTGCTTTACTCCTGGGAAAAAAGTGCCCAAGCCAACTTTGTGATGTTTGGTATTCAGTGACTTTGGTATTCCACCAGCCACCCTGAAAATCATGCCAGTTATAAAGAGCCATGTCCGCCCAGGAATTCTGGGTTTCAACATGTTTGACCTAGTTCTGGGTTAGTTCTTGGCCAGCCCAACCCATTTCTGGAGCAGTAACAGCCAAACATGCATTATCACAAGAATGACTGGGGGCACCTTTGATAAAATACAAATTTCCAGAGAATCAGCCCAGATTTATTGAATTGGAAACTCAGAGGTAGGAGTTGAGATGGAGGTGTGGGTGGGGTGAGGCAAAGTCAGGAATCAGCATTTTTTAAAAATCTCCAGATAATTTCTTAAAAACAATTGTGTTGAGATATAATTCATATCCCATGTAACTCATCCATTTAAAGCATACCATTCAATGGTTTTTAGTATATCCCCAGATATGTGTCACCATCAGCACTGTTAATTTTAGAATATTTTTATCACCTCAGAAAGAAATCCCATCCTCTTTAGCAATTAATGCATTGTCCCCCGCCCCACCCCCGCCACCTTCATCTCTAAACAACCATCTTAGTCTCTATAGATTTCCCTGTTCTGGACCTCTATATGAATGGAACCATACATTACATGGTATTTTTTGATTGGCTTCTTTCACTTGGCATAATGTTTTCAAGGTCCATTCAAGTTGTAGCATGTATTAGCATAGTACTTTATTCCTTTTTATGGCCAAAAAATATCCCATTGTGTGGATATGCTACATTCTGTTTATTCTTTCATCTGTTGAAGGACATTTGGGCACCCAGAGAATTTAGATCATTAGCCATTTTTGGTAACTACTGATAGAACAGGACCAAGTGTTGATCTCAGGGCAGCTCCCGGCTCTCCTCAGAAAGCAGCTTGGGTCCCGCACTGCAGGTGGGAAAGCCAAACGTGACTGGCAAGGCGGGACTTGGGACAGAATTCTGGCTGTGCAATTCTTAGTCACATGACCTGGGCAGAATCTTTAATCCTCTTCGCCTCTATTTGCTCATTTGTAAAATGGGAATACGAATCTTTATTTCATAAAATTCTTGTGAAGATACATGAGATTATCTGAGTAAAGTGTCTAAAATTGCCTGACACACATGTATTGTAAACATGAGAGCTATTATCCTTATTTTTCTTGTTGAATTAAACCAAAACAGACATTTAAATGTGGAGTTTTAGAAGCTGGATAGATTATTTCTATCTAGAAAATAAACTATAATAAAGAAAATAAGTCTTTCTAAGTTATAAGAGACCAAAAGGACAGATAAGAAGATGCAATTCCTTCACTTTTTTGACCTAAGGCCAAAGCAATAAGTAAAAGTCCACTTTTTTGAGTAAATAGTAGAGCAGGGGATACTAGAGTCTAGGAAGGTAAGAGACAGGGAAGAACAAGGAGAGATTAGTTAAAGGATACAAAATTACAGCTAGATAGGAGGAATAAGTCTTAGTATTCTGTATCACTATGGGATGACTATAATTAACAAAAATGTAGTTTCGAATAGCTAGAAGGAGGATATTGAATGTTCCCAACACAAAGAAATGATAAATGTTTGAGATGATGGATGTGCTAATTACCCTCATCTGATCACTATACATTATATGAATCCAAACATTGCTATGTATTCTCTGAATACGTACAATCATTATTTGTCCATTAAAAAAATAAATTAAACATTTTTTTAAAAAGTCCAGTTTTTCATGTTGGAAGCAATTCCTTCTAGTTAAGATTACAAAGATACTTTTCTTGTTTTATTGCATTTTCGAAGTCTACATATTCTGTATACCCTGTGAATCTTTTAAAATTTCTACCCATGTAGATATACATATGTATTATGTGCACACACACATAATTATAGTTAACACTTATTAAGCCCTTGGTATATACCAGGCAATGTACTTTACATGCATTAACATACTTTTCCCAACAACCTTATATAGTCAACTAGGGTAATTCAAGCATAGTGTAGTTAAGAACCTTGCTCTGAATCATAAAGCATGTGAGGAGCAGAACCCAAGCTCTTACTCATGACACTTGTAATAGTTTTTCTTCTACATTTGCAGATAAGATAGCAGAAAAGAAATTGCACATGATCTACAAAATGATGTTTCTATGGCTTGAAGGAGCTTTTATTGGTCCCTAGTGAAATCCTCTGAATTCATACATGAAAGAAGAACAAGGCACTGAAGTAGCTAATCCAGTATGTCTAGTTCCAGTCCCCTGTCTTCCAGCTTAGTCTCTTATCACCACACTACACTGTCCAGGCACCAAGTTTCCATTTTTGTTTTTAAAGGCAATGAAATGTGAGAATGCCAAATGTGGTCAGGGTATTTATGTTGCTGTGGCTGCCTTCAGAGTTCATACTTCATTCTCCTGTTGGAAAACCCCTACCCGTTCTTAAGATGCAGGTCAAATGTAACCTTCTCTGTGGAAATTACTTTTCTTTTATAAAATTTAGTTCTGGTTCCTCCTTTTCTTTTAGTTCCCAAAATGCATTGCACACGCTACACTATTTATACTATTGCACTTTGTACGTTATTAAAAGGCCAAACCAAAGAAAAGCAGCATTGCGAAGTGCATGGTTTCCAAATTGAGCTCTGTGGTGTCCTGTCAGAGACCTGGGGATGGAGGTAGGTAGGGGTTCTGGGCTGGGTTTCACATCTGATTAATCAGAGTTCTGCTGTTATCTGTTCGGCTTATTTCCACTTCAATAATAAGTTTCTTGACAGGAAAGAAAAATTTTAAAAACCTCTGGTGTTATGGAAAAACCATGAGCTTTGGAGACAGGCCAGAGTCTGAATCCCAGTTGTACCACTGCCATCCCAGCTGTAAGGGGTAAATACATGCAACAGCACAGTGCCTGACACATAAAGCCTCAATAAATGAATCCCCTTCTCTGTTTATGATCATTATTTCTTTGTTTCTCTACTGTACTTTGTAGGGTCTTTATACCCTTTCTACCTAGATCAAAATACCCAATCCATGTTTACTAAATGGAAGCAAATGTGATGGGATACTAGAATGAAATCACGAAGGTCAGTTTTGAGGTTAGATATGGATAATAAAGAGTCTTGAATGCTATGCTAAAATCTTTAGGCCAGGCACGGTGGCTCATAATCCCAGCACTCTGGGAGGCTGTAATCCCAGCACTCTGGGAGGCCGAGGCAGGCAGATCACCTGTGGTCAGCTTGACCAACATGGTGAAACCCCATCTCTACTAAAAATACAAAAATTAGCCAGGCATGGTGGTGCGTGCCTGTAATCCCAGCTACTCGGGAGGCTGAGTCAAGAGAATCACTTGAACCCAGAAGGCGGAGGTTGCAGTGAGTCAAGATTGCACCAATGCACTCCAGCCTGGGCGACAGAGTGAGACTAAGTCTCAAAATAAATAAAATAAGATAAAAATAAGTAAATAAAATCTTTAACAGAAAGTTTGGAAAAGTAGGAGTATGATAATATTTATGTTTTAGCAAATAAATAATCCTGGCTTCTTAACAGAAGGTGCTGGGTTACAGTTTGGCTTAGTGGTTGAGAGTATAGAATCTGAGTTTATATCACAGGTCCCTCACTTACTAATTTAATTATATGACTGTGGGCAAGTCACTTAACTTCATTTCCCTCATCTGTAACATTGGTTTAATAAGAGCGCTTACACAGATTAAAGTAATTAACATATATAAAGCACCTAGAACAATATCTGGCACATGGTAAGAAGCACGTAAGTGTTATTGTAATGACAATAAAAAGGTTATTTTTGTTACTTTTTAAGAGACAGGGTCTTACTCTGTTGCATGATTATGACTCACTGCAGCCTCAGACTCCTGGGCTCAAGTGATCCTCCCACCTCTGCCTCCCAAGTCACTGGGATTACAGGCAAAAAGTTTTATTATGATGATGATCCCATGCCCCCTTAAAGTATATAAAAAGGAGATTGCAGAACTATTTGGGGATGAGTAATGGAGGCTCAGAATCATCTAGGATTCTTTTGTAAACCTAACAGACTTTGCGTTGAGAAGTACCGCCATTATGAAGCACTGTTACTAATGGAAGTATAGTGGATTCCTCAGGGATGTTAAACACTAAAAAGTTGAGAATTCCCATTGTTCTGATAACATAAAGGATAAGATATCATGGAGAGAGACTGGAAGGAGGGAGATGAATTAGAAGGCTACTGCAATAGTCTAGTAACTTAAATCGATGGTCCAGACCCACATAAAAAAATGACCACCAGAAAAGTCTGCTGGTCAGACTATTAGAAATAACTGGATTAAATCTGACCCTCATTGGAGTCCACCTAAAAGTAACTTTGATCCCCTAGAGAGACCCACAATTAGCATGTCCTATTGTTTGGAGTAGGGTCTCCTGAAAGGCTATATACTTCTGGAGAACTGCCATAGTTCACCTTGAACATTTAGAGCAGTTTGTAAGATCCAGATATCAGACCATGAGGTCAGAAACCCAGGAGACTCTTGATGCTTGTTGGCATAATACCCTAAATAGGAGAGGCCAACAGACCTTCTAACAAAAGAAAACAATGCCAGTGTGTCATGCTTCCTAATGGGTGTCTTCTTCAACTGCACTGTAAACCATTAAGTTATGCACTGTAAACCAGTAAGCATGTCATTTCAAGAGTTAGAAACCACTTACAGGGACAATGTTTGGGAGACGCATTGCAGAAAAAAAAATGGTAAAACATAGTTCTTTCTTAGATAATTTTTCTTCCCTCCACCACCCATGTGCTTCTTCATGTGTGGTAGATAGAATAATGGCCCCCAAAGATGTCCATGTCCAAATCTCTGAAACTTGTGAATATGTCATCTTACATGGCAAAAGGGAATTTACAGATGCAATTAAGGTTATGGACCTTCAGGTTATCTGTCCTGAATATCCTGGACAACCCAGGTGAGTCCAATCAAACTACATGCATTTTTAAAAGCAGAGAACTTTTTCTTGCTGTGGTCAGAAACAGATGCAACAAAGACTCAACCCAATATGGCTGGCTTTTAAGACAGAGGAAGGGGGCCATGAAACAGGGACTACAGTGGCCTCTAAATGGCCACTGTAATGGCCCTCAGTTCACTATCAGAAGGAAAATGAGGACCTCAGTCCTTCAGCCACATGGAACTGGATTCTGTTAACAACTGAATGAGCAAGGAAGTGATTTTCTTCTAGAGCCAACAGGAAGGAACCCATACCAGACTTCTGGCCTGTAGAACTGTGAGATAAGACATCCGCATTATTTTAAGCCACTAAATTTGTGATAATTTTTATTTATTTATTTATTTTAGAGACAGGGTCTGGCTGTGTCACCCAGGCTGGAGTGCAGTAGCACAATGATAGCTTACTGCAGCTTCAAACTCCTGGGCTCAAGTGAAGTTTCTGTCTCAGCCTCCTGAGAAGCTAGGACTACAGGTGTACACCTCCACATCTGGCTAATTTTTTAATTTTTTTGTAGAAACAGGGTCTTGCTATTGTTACTCAGGCTGCAACTCGAATTCCTGGCCTCAAGTGATCCTAGATTACAGGTGTGAGCCACTGAATCCGGCCTGTGAATTTTTTTTTTTTTTCCTTTTGAGATAGAGGCTCACTCCATCACCCAGGATGGAGTGCAGTGGTGCAATCTTGGCTCACTGCAACCTCTACTTCCCAGGTTCAAGCAATTCTCAAGCCTCAGCTTCCCGTGTAGCTGGGATTACAGGTGTGTACCACCACGCCCGGCTAATTTTTGTACTTTTAGTAGAGAAAGGGTTTTGCCATGTTGTGAACTCCGGACCTCAAGTGATTGACCCACCTCAGCCTCCCAAAGTGCTGGGATTACAGGCATGAGACCCTGCACCTGACCCAGTTCATGATAATTATTTTACAGCAGAAATAGAAAAGCTAACATTTTATGTTACTCAAATTTGATATAAAAAATGATTCTAACGAACTGTGGAAAACACACAAAAATGTAATTTAAAACTAGTTATTTTAAATTAAATATTAATTTTCTGTTGCTATTAAGCATGACTCTAATTTACTTTAATTAGCTTGTGGGACCATGGGGAGCTTTTAACCATCATGAAATAGATTTCTCTTGTCTCATGGAAGATAGTCATACAGTGCAGGCATGTGCTCTTCCCCAGACTGTTTGATTAACTAAAGTTAACTAAATTTAGCCAAACAAATATCCAAATGTTTGCAAAATAGGATGTAATTAAAAGGATTCATTAGCATGGGGATCCTTACGGTATTGAACAACTACAAAATGCACAAGCTTAGGTAACAACACTAATAAGTTGCTGTTCTTGTTCAAAATGGTGATATGACTAGGAACATCAAACACACGGGGACACGAAGCAAAGTTGAGGAAAATTTTTTAAAAAAATAATATATATGATGCTATGGTCTGAATGTCTGTATCCCTTCAAAATTCATATGTTGAAACCTAACCATCTAGGGGATGGTATTAAGAGGCGGGGCCTTAGAGGAGACTCACCCTTATGAATGGGATTAGTACCCCTATAAAGGGCTTGAGGCAGCCTGTTTACTCCCTCTGTCTCCTCTGCCATGTGAGGACACAACAACAAGTTGTCATCCGTAAAGCCCTCACCAGACACTGAATCTGCTGGTGCCTTGATTTTGAACTTCACAGTTTTCAGAACCATGAGCAATAAATTTCTTTTGTTTATAAATTACCCTGTTTAAGGCATTTTGTTATAGTAGTCTAAATAGACTAAGACACATGGGAAATGTTATTTTAAAAGCCATGCTTGGGCATTTCAGAGGACTGTAATTTTTTACTTTAAGTATTGCCATTTCCTATTATCTTCCTCACTAGCATCTCACACACATATGGGGTATGCCTTATAAAATGAACTCTATAATCATTTCCATTATTGACTGATAAAATATAACAAATATGATTTTAAAAAAATTGACTATCATTCCGAGATTAAGCTTAGAAATGATGTCTTTCTATAGAGGAGTTTCTTGTAATAACATTTGTTGAAACTAAATTTGAACTATAACAGTCCTTAAGTTTCATAATATCCAGCATCTGATTACAATTCCCATGTTTAAAACAGTTGACATTCCAAAGAGAATTCTGTCCATTTTTTATAAATATCCTACCATGGATTAGATCTCTGCTTATGTTTATTATCTGATCATCGTTTCCATGATGATTTGTCAAAGCATGGCCCCACAAGACAGCTATGCCTAGCTCTTTCTTGCTTGTTCTCAGATGAAGATGAACCATGAAGAACCATGAATAAATTGTATAATTAGTAAGGCCATCTTTCCTGCCTCCAGATTGCTCTGTCCCCTTCCAGGGACCCAGGGCTTCTAACTGTCCTCCTCCATCAAAACAGGAAAGAGTTTGATAACATCATTTTTAGCTAAAATGAAGTCTGGTATTTGCTTTCAGAAGGTCCTTATCTCTAATTGTGGAATGAGAGGATTTATCTACAAAGTAAGGTTTTTTTCCTTTTAGGCAAACAGAGTTAGTGGGAGGGAAATGTGGGGTTACATGCTAACCCTGAAGACAAAACTGTTCAGTTATATTAGTGTGCTGTGTGTTGGAGAAGGGGAAAGTTGTGGTGAGAGATGTCTGTGTGAAGAGGAATGATCATAAAGAACACCAGGCTACATAAGGATCTCTTCTTATTCCATATCTTCTCTTATCTTAAGCCTAATGTCTCTCCTATCATTCTTTGGCTCAACAGTCTCAAATTTTGGAGCTCCAGAGTCCATTTGACTTGATCCTCTTCCCTCACTGCATTTTTTTTTTTAACTTTTTAAATAGAGACTGGGTTTCACCATGTTTCCTAGGCTGGTCTTAAACTCCTAGACCCAAAGGATCAGTCCACTTCAGCCTCCTGAAGTGCTGGGATTATAGGCGTGAGCCACCAAGCCCGGCCCCTCACTGCATTTTGCATAACATTTTCAAAGATTAGCAATTAAGAGCATTGGCTTTATGGTAAAATTTGAATCCTAACTTCTACTAGTAAGCTGTATGACCTGGAGTAAGTTATTTAACTTTGCTATGCTTTGGTTTACTCATATGTAAAATGAGGAAAATCATAATACATGCGAAGCTCATTAGATAGCGACTGGCATTTAGCAAGTGGTAAATATTAACCATTCTTTGTATTAAACTCCAGCTAAATTAATCTTCTCTTCCTCCTCCAGGTTCCCAAAGTGCTTCTAGAAACCCTATTAGGGAGGTTATCAGAATGTGCCTAATAGTTCTACTCTTGTTTTTCTTAGCCTGAGTTCCCTAGGAAACAGACCCTGAGGCATGGATTAAATGATTAAACTTTGTATGGAAGGTGCAATCCCAGGGCAGTGAGAGTGAGGGAAAAGGAAGTGAGTTTGGGAAGGATGAGAAGGAATAGAAGGTTATCATGCTAGCTACTGCTTCAAAATAAGCCACAGAGAGACTGAATCGCTTGCTATGCATATTGCTCAGCCACTCTGGAAAACTGTGGTTGGAAGGAAGAGAGGAGAGAGAACTATTATTTGTTTCCCTTCTTTGGCTCAAATTGATCCCACAGGGAGTTAATTTTCCTGTACTTCCAGATGTAATATCTGGCTGATCAGGAAGCCAAAAACCATGCCCTGTGGTGAAATGTTTCATCTGAACCCATAAATGGCAGAAGCAGCCAGAGACTCTGGGCATATGGCTGGCTACCTGGTTGCACAGTGGCAACCACCGTGGAGGGCTGATATTCTTGGAGAAGTAATTAGTTGGCTCCATTCAGCAGAACTACATGAGTAATAGAGAAAGTGTACCGCAGAGGCCTCCAAGGAGAAGCTAATGGCCTGAGAGGCAGGCAGGGCAAGGCCACTGGGATCCAAGGAGATGTATAAGTTATGTCTGATATGATATTTTCTATTTTTTAAAGATTATAAGTTGTTTTAGGACAGGACTATTTCTTTTCACCTTTGATTCCTCTGTAGCTATAATGATGCATGCCCTACCTTAGGTGAGATGTTAGGCAGAAGTGGGTGATGTGCAGCAACCCAGCCAGAGGCTGAGCAGCGGTTAGGGACAAGATCCAGTCCCCTGGAATAAAACAGACGGCTAACAATCCGGAAAATTGGACTGGGGATCAAAATAGGGTTTCACACAGGGAACTGAAATTAAAAAAAAAATAGTTATAAAAAATAAGCCAAGGTAAAATTCTTCATAGCTGGACAGTACGAACACGGCAGGGATTTTACCAATGGATGAAACTATTAATAGTATTTTTATTAATAGTGATGACAACTTATAGCTAATATTTATCAGGTATGCTAGCCATTTCTTTAAATTACATTATGTATTTTTCTCCAAACTTCTCTTAGATATTTTTATTATTTTCATTTTTACAAGTGAGGAAATCAAAAGTCCAGAAAGTTAAACAACTTGCCCATGGCCACACAGCTAATGAATAAAGAGGCTAGCACCTAACCCCAGAAAAGTCTATTTCCAGCGCATGCATCTCCAACTACTACTGAAAGTGTTACATGAAATAAGGCTTACAAAATCCTTAGCAATCACTTCTTGGGCTTTTGGCTAAGATCAAGTGCAAAATTCTTTTCAGAGTTCCATCCATACAGTAAGTACTCAATGAATTTTATCAATTCTCATTGTTAGTAACAGTAACATTGTAATAGAACTAGTGCTATTAACTGTAGCAATAGTAGTTGTAGTAGCAGCAACACAGGTATATGGAACTTAGGGTCAATGAGTAAGACCTGTTGAATGTCTTGGTTCGTAGAAGAGGACTGAGGAAAGGGAAACTGTATTGGGGAAGACTGATCCAGGTGTTATGGGGGGAGTCCAGATAGAGGAACATATAATGCAGAACCTTGCCCTTTTAACAAATGTAATTGAGCACTAACATAGAATAGAGGTTAAAAACATGGACTTTAGAATTACAAACGCCTATGTTCTGTTATTTATTAGCAATGAGACCTTGGGGGAAATTACTCAACACTTGTGAGCTTTAAGTAACTCACAACTGTACCTAGCATAGTGTCCCACATACAGTAATCATTCCTTAAATGCTTGTAGAATTAACATACTGCTTCATTTCCATACTTTTCCACCCCTCTGCAAAACAAAACAAAACGCTATCCTCAGTACCCAGTTGCTGAGTAAATGTAAATACCTAGGCAAATTCATCCCACTGAGTGTAGCTACTTTTTCAACCAATATAATTTGTCACCCATATCAACCTAACATTTCAGCAGCTTCCTGATCTGTACTAAAAAGCTGTCTTGCACAACTAAAGAAAAATGTGTGATTTGCTATTTCTGGCATCCTGATTCTATGTGGCTACAGTGAGTATTCTTGTGGTCTTCGCTGATCTGAAGCAATTTTAATTTGACGAGGAGGAGGCCATTTCTAAGAGAGTGCCTATTTTTTCCCCAAAGCAGGTCAATTTAAAAGGACAAAGTTCTCATTTTAACTTTGGTGCAATATGCATGAAAATAAACAGATATTAAAAGGAACAGGTCATCTCTTTCATTGGCAAATTTCACTGTAATATTGAATTCTATTTGTGGGGGCACAAAGAAAATAATGGTTTAATTTACAATTGAGAGAGAGAGGGAGGGAGGGGGAGACAGAGAGAGAGAGAGAAAGACCATTACTGCCACCTCTCGCTCACTTCTTCAGAACTGAGAAAATGTTGAAGAAAGTTGGCATTTGCTTGCCAAAGTTTCACACAGACAGTCTGACTTTTGTTTTTACTTCCATGACCTTTAATGGCTTTCAGTGCAGTCAGACCAACTCTGCATATATATTGACACTATGAAAACCACACAGATAAGCAGTTTTGGGTTTTCATGCTTTATTTACTTTGGAGCTTAACAATCATACACATATTTCCCTGTTAGAGGTCCCAAAAGCTTTGTTCTGATCTTGAGTTGCTTTTGTCTGTTATTCAGCGTTTGGATTGCTTTATAATTACTCTATGAATGTATGTATTTTAAACATTTTTTTTTTCTAGGAATAGTTCTATTTTGTTATTGGGTGCACTGTATTTATGTTTCCATTAACAGAAGTATGAAGAGTCCAGTTCAAGCTGAGAAACTCACACTCCACTGCCATACATCTGGGGAGATGCAAACAGACAAGGAAGGAAGGAATTTCTGCAATCACTAGAGGGACAGGTTTTGCAGCAGATCACCCTCACATCTACAGATGCTCTCTATTTCTTTTCACCCAGAGGCTTCAAATTGCCCGTTGACATCTCTGATTTTGCCAAGAGATCACGTGCTTCAGTTAGTTCCCATTCCCTTGTATCATTTAGGACAGAGTAAATTCTTCCAGAACACTAAAGAAATGAAAGTTTTGAAAAATTCGATTTTTTTTTAATGTTTTTAATTGTAGGAAAAGGTACATAAAATTTACCATTTTAACCATTTTTATGTGTACAATTCAACAGCGTTACATACATTCATGTCGTTGTGCAAATATCACCAGTATTCATCTCCAAAACCTTTGTTATCATCCCAAATAGAAACTTTGTATTCAGTAAAAAATAGCTCCTTGTTATCCCTTCCCCACACCTCCTGGAAGCCACTATTCTACTTTCTGTTTCTATGAATTTGACTATTCCAGGTACCTCAGATAAGAGGAATCACATTTGTCCTTTGTGTCTGGCTTATTTCACTTAGCATAATGTCCTCAAGGTTCATCCATGTTGTAGTAGGTATCAGAATTTTAATTTTTTGAAAGCCAAAAATATTGCATTGTATGTATGTATATACCACATTTTGCTGATTCATTTATCCATTGATTGTTCTTTGGGTCATTTCCATTTTTGGCTATTGTGAATGATACTCTTATAAACATTGGTGTACAAATATCTGTTCAGTCTTTACTTTTAATTTTTTTGTGTATAGACATACAAGTGGAATCGCTGAATAGTATGAGAATTCCATGTTAAATTTTTTGATGAATCGCCATTTTGCATTCCACAATGGCAGCACCATTTTACATTTCCAATGGCAGTGCACAAGAGTTCCTATGTCTCCACATCCTTGTCAACACTTGTTATTTTCTTTGTTTTTTAGTAGCCTTCCTAATAGATGTGAAATGCTATTTCATTGCTATATTTTAATTATTAATAAATCAAATTTCTGGCCTAAATTTCCAGATGTTCTTAAAAAAGATTTGGAAGTTACTACAGACAGTTTTATAGTAAATAAAGAATATTTTATAAGATTCTTAATGTGGTGCCATCTTATTTGAGGAAGTGAATAGTTAAACAACTATTAGCTAAATAGCTAAAGAGCCATGCAGGATACACAAATAAGGGAAATAGTCTTAAAGACATACTTTATTGAAATGCACACAACACACAATCCTAATTGGATTAGGTATTTAGAAAACGAAGACAATAGAATCTTTTCCATGTTTCTACATGGGCACTTGATAGCCAGGTACCAAGCTATGGGAAACAGGGGTTGGGGGGTAGCTCAGGGGAAAGGGAATTATACTGCACATCCAGGTGGCCATGTTCAGTTTGCAACTGAGTTTAGAAAACGGGAGAATGCTGAGGCTGAGGGAGACATTTTGGAGTCATTAGCCTATGGTGATGCCATTGGCCTGGAATTGTCAACTCTGTGCAGGCTGAGAAGGGACTCCAAAGGGCAAAATAGGATGCACAATAGTTGAGGGTAGACAGAGGAAAAGGGACAAGGAACAATTATAGAATTAAGAGAAGTGGTTCCCTGGAATCCAGGGAAAGAAAGATTTTAAAAACCAACTTGTCAAAACTGCAGACAGATTGGATAAATAAATAATGAAAACTGCCTACTGGATGTGGCACCTAAGCAGCCATGGGTAACATTCATAGAGCACTTTCAGTTGAGGGGTGGCAGGAGCCTGTAGGAGTGGGAAGAAAGTGGAGAAAGTGAACAGACCTCAGTCTTTCAAGAGGTTTAAGAATGAATAGAAGGAGAAATTCAGGATGGTGAGAAAAGCACTGTTTGTTTTGCAAACTGCAAAAGACTGGAGCTTGTTTATAGGCTAGAGGGAAGGAGCTGAAAGAGAGGAAGAAGCTAAAGACACAGGAAAGAAAAGAGGCAGCTGATAGCTGTAGGTCTTGGAGAAGGTGGGAGGGAATGAAAGCCGGAGCACAGGTGGCTGGATTAGCCTTAGCTAGGAAGTAGGAGTGTGAAACTCTCCTTCTGGAACAGGGAAAGCAGGCAAGGTCACAGCATGCAGAGATGTTTATAGAAGTATCTAGAAGTAGGGGAAGGGCAGGAAGTTAAGAGCACCCATGCTTGATATAACCTTTGTGAAATCGGAAATAAAGTCATCTATTAGGAAAAGGTTATGTTTCAGAAAATCAATATGGTTGAATAGTGCAGTATACATTGAATGAGCTAACTGTTAAAAGTAGAACACTAATATAATTGTCCAGGCATGAAGTTATATGAGACTTAATGGAGTGATTAGAAATGAGGTTGGAGAAAGAGAGGTGGACATCATGCTTTTTTCTCATATTCTTCTGAAAGTCAGAAGCAGTACTTCCGATAAACAAATCCCAATAGACAATATCCATGCAATGGGAATTGCCACATGACATCAGTATTTAAAGCTGTCTAAAATTAGGCCAGCCGCAGTGGCTCACGCCTGTAATCCCAGCACTTAGGGAGGCCCAAACAGGCAAATCACCTGAGGCCAGGAGTTCGAGACCAGCCTGGGCAACATGGTGAAACCCTGTCTCTACTAAAAACACAAAAAGTAGCCAGATGTGATGGTACATGCCTGTAATCGCAGCTACTTGGGAGGCTGAAGCATGAGAATCGCTTGAACCCAGTAGGCAGAGGCTGCAGTGAGCAGAGATAGAGCCACTGCACTCCAGCCTGGGCAACAGAGCAAGACTCTGTCTCAAAAAACAAACAAAAAAAAGCAAAAAATAAAAATAAAAAAAAAATAATGAACTAGAACGAAGCATATTTGGAGAAATAAGACTCTCTAAAGACCAAGTTGTGAAATTGCAAAGAGATTAATGTATACTTTTCCTACCTATTTCAGTCTCTGGATTATCTAAGTGCCTACACACACACACACACACACATACATACACACACACACACACGCCATTTTTATGTGTGTACAAATATACAGGGGATATACAAATTAATTTGGGTGGAAGTAGGGTAAAGGCAAAAGGAGCCTGACCAAAAACCCCATATAAACCAGAAATGCAGATCACAATTATGAATAATTCACTTCTTTATTATGGCAAAATATACATTACATACAATTTACCATTTTAACCATTTTATTTATTGTTTGTTTGTTTGTTTTTGTCCTGTTTGCAGTTTCATACATGATCATCAAACTGCTGCTAGGATGCACACACCTATTACTGCAAATTCACAACCTAGGAAAGACTTTTCCTGGGAATTTACTTTAGGTCAGGGTTGGGCTGCCTGGTACAAGGCTGCACCCACAACTGAGCAGGTTCAACAACACAGGAGCCTTTCCCAAGACCATCATTTTAACCACTTTTAAGTGTAAAATTCAGTAGGATTAAGTATGTCACATTTGTGTTCATGCATCACCACTATCCATCACTAGACAGTTCTCGTCTTCCCAAACTGAAACTCTACCCATTAAACAACTCCCCGTTACCGACACTCCCACCCCCTGGTAATTGCCATTCTATTTTTTGTTTCTATAAATGTGGTTATTCTAGGTACTTTATGTAAGTGAAATCATACAATATTTGTCCTTCTGTGTTTGATTTATTTCACTTAGCATACTGTCTTCACTATACCTGGTAAGGCTCTTTTGATTAGGGAAAATTTGCACAGAAAAAAATACTGAATTCTTTTCCAAAAATTTCCAAAAATACAGAACAATATATTTGTTCATTCATTCATTCATGCATTCAACAAGTATTTATTGAGCCCATATTGTGCCAGGCTCTTCTTCTAATAAGCCATTGGCAGGAGATAATAAAGGAATCATACTAATCTCCTTACTAGATCACAGTTATTCTTCAATCAACATAACTCAAATTATCTGTCTCAGATTACTAATGCCACCAGTGGCTCACTTCCTGGATCTTCTTACATTGGCATATCATCGGCTGAAGAGAACAGTGGCAGAGTATCAAAAGAATCAAGCCGGTTTCTATCATGATAACTCCTGTGCATGGAATTTTTGCTGCTGTCCCTTCTTTCCAGAAATACTGACACTCAGCTAGCACTAAAAATCACAGAGGGAGAACTGGCCTATATGTTATACCCTTGTTAATATCTGACTTAACCGCATGTTAATCTGCTTTATCCTGTACAGGTGCACTGGACATGAACCATGCTTCTTCCAGCCAAAATATCAAAAAATTCACAGAAAAATCTGAGTGTTCAGTTTTTCTTGAAAAGGTAGAAAATCTGGTATTCCTGGGCCCATGTTCTCATGTGTCGAGAAATGACTAGGGCCAAGGAATAGCTGTCTCCTGTAAACAAGGTTTTCACCACAGTTCTCATTACTTCATATATATATATATATGTGTGTGTGTGTGTGTGTGTGTGTGTGTGTGTGTATTTCATATATATAGTTCATATATATGCTTATATATATAAATACATATATACGCTTATATAAAAATACATATATACTTCATATATATACACATATGTGTATATATATGAATATATAATTTTAAACATCCAGTTCTATATATACATAACTGGATTTTCATTTGTCCATTCGCTCATGTTAAGTATCTACTATGATAAATCATTGTGTTAAGCATTATGGATTGTTAAACACTGTGACTGTACAATTAGCTCCAGGCACTTTGGGGGAAGAACAGAGCAGAAAACAGACATAGCTGACCTTGGTCAGAAAAACTACCCTGGCTGTAAGGTCATTCTTCCTTAACATAGTGGTAAGCAGTTCAGTCTGCAATATTAGGCAATATCTGGTTGAGCACTGATTTCTAAGGTGGGGTAGAAATACTAAGAGCAGAAAGATAGAATGTAATGATTCCTGCAAAATCCTCTCATATGGAATAGGCCTCCCAGATAAGGGCTATACAGTTTCAGTTTCTAGAGAGAGAAGGCTGGCAGGTAAAGATAGGAGAGCTCTGAAAAAATGAAGGAGTTGTTATTGGTGGTGGTGGTGGTGTTGAGGGGGGTATGGTAAGACACTCACTGGTGGGTCTGAAATCACTGCTGCAATTGCTTCCTTTGTCAGGATTAAGCCAAGGCACTGAGCAGGGCTGAGCCTGCAAACTGAAGTCCCTCAGTTCTACGCCTGAGCAAGGTAAGAAACTGGGTATAACTGATGCAGTAGACTTGTGTGTGAACTACTGTGTTATAGAGGAGAGAGTAGCCCCTGACCTGGGGGAGTCAAGAGGTTTTTCAGAAGTGGCATTTTACCCAGATCTTCAAAGAAAGTCCAAGTTTCACATATGGAAGTGGGGATAGACGAGCAACCATCTAACAAATGTATATTAAGTGTCAACTAAAAACAATATGCTAGGCATATAAAGATGAATAAATTAGAGATCTTACTTTCAAGCAGCATAAAGTCTAGTGGGGAGAAACATATTAAGCTCATTAGAATGAGTAGAAATTAATGAAATTAATGTTGAATGAAGTGGCAACATGAAAACAAGAGCAATGAATTCTTCTGGGAGGAGTAAGAGGAGGTTTTATAGAGAAGCGGAGTTTAAGGTGGGTGCTGACCGATATGGAGGAGTTCACCAGGCAGATTGTAAGAGCATTCCAAGCTGATGATAGCATATGACAGGGCATTGACCCTTGAAAATGATTTCAGAGAACTGGCAACGATTCATCACTGCTGAAGCTTAAGGTAAGAAATAGGACGCTACGGAGATAACGCTGCAGAAGGATAAGGGCTGAAGAACCTCTGTAAGTTGAAAAGAATGCCAAGTAGCCTGCAGTGACTGGAATGCAAGATGCATGGGGAAAAAAATGGTTATTGCTGAGGTTATGCAGATAGTATAGAACCGCTTAAAACCAACGTGTACTGTGGATCTGTTTTTAACTTTTTAACAGGTATAGTCCCCTCAAGAATAGATAATTCCTATGGATCCACTCCCCAGAAACCTATGGAGTATCTCAAATATCTTAACGCCCATACATTGCTCTCCTGGGAGTTCTCAGGTCTCAGCTAAGAACCGTTGCTTTACAGCAGTGCTTTTGGAGCTTTTATGTAGTGACCTAAATAAAAATAGTAATATTTGTATAATATGCTGGGTTACCGACAGAAGCTGCTTCAGGTCGGAGGCAATTAACTGGGGTTCTAGCTGCTTTCTCCCACCCAGGTGCCTCAGAGGCTAAAGTGATTAAATATCATGTCACTCTTGTAACCTATTTTGTTTTCACTCTTCTGAAGGTTCTTAAGAAGAAGAGTGAAACTATCAGTGCCACTTTTAAAAGGACGATTCCATCATCAATGTAAAGAGTAGACAGGAGGCAATCAGATGAGTTAGAAGCTTTCCTAGAAGTGACTTCAAAGGCTTGTCATGTGTCATTAGTGGTGAGGATAAAAAAGAGGGTATTCTAGAGCTTTTTAAGGCTAGAATCAAAAGATCTGATGACAGTGGTAGCTTCCAAATTTCTATATACTAGGAATTTAAGGGCTTCAGTTGGGTTAGAAAAAGGACTTTGGTTTATAGCAGCAAAATTCACAATTGCAAATACATGAAATCAGTCTAAAAGCCCATCAAATGAGTGGATAAAGAAAATGTGACACACACACACAAACACACACACACACACACACACACACACACACACACACCATGGAATGCTACTCAGCCATAAAAAGGAATGAAATAATGGCATTTGCAGCAACCTGGATGGAATTGGAGATCATCATTCTAAGTGAAGTAACTCACGATTGGAAAACCAAACACCAAACATCATATGTTCTCAATTATAAGTGGGAGCTAAGCTATGAGGATACAAAGATGTAAGAATGATATAATGGACTTTGGGGACTGAGGGGGAAGGGTGGGAGGGGATGAGGGATAAAAGAATACACATTGGGTACAGTGTACACTGCTCAAGTGATAGGTGTACTAAAATCTCAGAAATCACCACTAAAGAACTTTTCCATGCAACCAAACACCACCCGTTCCCCAAAAACTATGGAAATAAAAAAAGTTTTTTTAAAGAAAAGAAAAAGGACTTTGGGAATTTGGAGGACCATCAAATATGTTAATGTAGATTGTCCACTGCACAAGTGAAGTTTTATTGGTGTATGCAAAATAACTGTCAAAGTAATTTACCTGAAGAGGTGCTGTTTTAAAAACTCAAATGTAAGCATGAATCAGTGAAGACTTCTTTCAGCTTAGATGCTGCAGGAGGTTTTAGCCCAATAAAAGGTGACTTGATAAGCAATATTACTGTTTAAAGTGTTGCCACAAACTTAATGAAAAGTCTAATAAATAGATTTTCATCTCAGATATCTGATGTCTTGTATATTTTTATAAGCACTGGCTAATGAACATAGGGCTTTTTCTCCCCTCATCATCACATTTTAGTTTTATCTGATGAAAAAGGTGTGGTTCATGATCCACAATAACCACTAAGCTGCCTGAGAAGGAGCAGCACAGTGTGTGAAATTCTTTTAAGTATGCAGTAATGAGTATAAATCAAGTAGACTATGTCCAGTGCTCTTGTACCTGATCCTGTGAACATCAGTGATCTAATTAAAAATGTGTTCACCAAGTCCTTCTTCTGCATTATTTTTGTCAGCATGGAGGTGGCATAGACATAATTTTATTTTTTCTAAATAAAACTGTTGAGGGGATTTCCTTCCTGCTTCTTTCCCTCTTTAAACTCTCTGAAACAGACTTTTAAAGGTTTCTTTTTTTCATAAATGATTACATTAATACTCTGAATTTTAAACTGATTTTTTTCTCTCTCTCCTGGAATCAAACCATGATCAGATTTTCTTGAACTCTGGCAGTTGAGAATTCAGGTAATCCTCAAAGAAGCAGACTGCAGCTTAGGAAGGGGCGGCTGACCACACTGGTCTATGACCTGGGTGCTTTGCTGTTATCTGTTACAGACAGCTGCTCTGTTTCATACAAAGTTCATTTGAAGACTATGAAAAACATTGAAGTCAGATGCATGAGAAGGCAAAGCTGAGCGTGTCAACAAAGAGAATGAGCTTGATCTAGTGCATAGCTCACAGGGAGTTAAAAAACAAGGCAGGGAAATAGAGTGGTTTCAGAGAGATTCCCACCCCACTTTACAGCAGGAAGGAAGCCCAACCCTCAGAGACTCAGGGAGGAAAGCAACGCTAGATGGATTCTCCTGCATAAAGTGCCCCCACACAGAGTCATGTGAATTTGCATAGATGCACAATGCATGCAGCACTTCCTCCTCTTCTAAAACCTGTTGTGAAGATGTGTTTCTACACCAGGCTTACTGTGGCTATTCTTTATGTGATTCAAGAATCAGAGAAGGTTCCCCAAACAAAAAATAGTGTGACTTTGTGCTTCCCCAGCCAGATAGATATGCAAACAGTTGTAATCGCAGTCTCCAGAAGCCCAAGTCTTGTCAAAAAGGGGTTCTGAAAAATCTATAATCTTTAATATTAACATAATTGTTAACCCACCCCAGGATTTTTCAAATTTTTCAATATTATGCCATGGTAGAAAACAACTTTGTATTAAATGTATCAAAACTTCTAGTACTAAAATAATCTCATCCATGTCTCAGGATGCGATTCATTTCCATCAGAAACCCTTGAGATTGCTAATAAATATAAATTTCCCATACGGATTCCTTTAGAAGCAGTGGGATATTAGACCTACATTCATAAACAGTGAGGATGTAACTAAACATGATACAAACTGGACTGGGCACAGTGGCTCACACCTGTAATCCCAGCACTTTGTGAGGCTGAGGCATGCGGATCACGAGGTCAGGAGTTCGAGACAAGCCTGGCCAGCAT
Organism: Homo sapiens; assembly: GCF_000001405.40. Classification (NCBI taxonomy): domain Eukaryota; kingdom Metazoa; phylum Chordata; class Mammalia; order Primates; family Hominidae; genus Homo; species Homo sapiens. Next base: position 101,127,701 of record NC_000001.11, on the reverse strand, counting down.
AGTGAAACCTCATCTCTACTAAAAATACAAAAATTAGCCAGGTGTGGTGGCACGCGCCTGTAGTCCCAGCTACTCTGGAGGCTGAGGCAGGAGAATCGCTTGAACCTGGGAGGCGGTGGTTGCAGTGAGCTAAGACCATGCCATTGCACTCCAGCCTGGGTGAAAGAGGAAAAAAAAACAGATGACACAAATTGTCAGTGTATCATAACCAAATCATAATTTCATTGCAATGGAAACTCAAGCTTGATTTCCATCCCCGCCCCCCCCCATTTTCTGGCCCTGTTTACAGCATGGCCCAAAAGCAGATCAGACATTATAAACAGTAATACAAATAATGATTTGATTTTTTTGAAGGAGAGGTAAGATTTAATTTCCTTCAGTTGTGCATCTTTAAATTCTTCATATTAGAGCTTTATTTATTAAAATATTGAAAACAATATTAGAAATGTAATTTTTATTATGAAAATAAAGACCTAGAAGTATAGGATGCGATCTATACAATTCCAGTGGTACCTTTTCCCTGAGTAAAAATGTACATTTCACTCCAAAAATGAGTATTCTACTTTTGTTTTGATATAACAAATATGATAATAAATTAAACTTGATTAAAATTATGATACGTTAGGTAACTCCACAGTATATTACTGTGAAGAGGGTTAAGAAAAAGATGACCCAGAGGGAATCTGAAATCTTTTTGTTGTTGTTGTTGAGACAGAGTCTCGCTCTGTTACCTGGGCTGGAGTGCAGTGGTACAATCTCAGCTCACTGCAACCTCTGCCTCCTGGGTTCAAGCGATTCTCTTGCCTCAGCCTCCCGAGTAGCTGGGACTACAGGTGTGTGCCACTACACCCAGCTAAATTTTTGTATTTTTAGTAGAGACGGGGTTTCACCATGTTGGTTGGCCAGGATGGTCTCGATCTCCTGACCTCGTGATCTGCCCGCCTCGGCCTCCCAAAGTACTGGGATTACAGACGTGAGCCACCGCGCTGGGCCGGGAATCTGAAATCTTAATGTAGACTGGGATAATTCTAATATTTATAATTTACAAATAAGCTCAAAACTTCCATTTCAACCAACTTTGTCGATCTTCTTTCTCAATGTGGCCAAATCTATAGTTAAATATAAATACAAGTATATGTTAAACTTCAATAGAAACTTTAAAAACTAGGCTAATATGCATATTTTACCAGTATATTTGGGAAATAAGTTGTTTTGATTGAATGAATTGTCTAGTTTAGCAAGGATAAGAACACTCTTCTTTTGTTGTTTTGACCTACATAGTGAAAAACCTAGCTAAAATATATTCATTTACTATCTTCCCTTCATAGGAAGAATATGACAACCATAAATAAGAAAATTATCCTGGATCTTAAATTGCTGAGGCTTTTGCTTTTCTCATTCCTTAATTTATTCATTTATTCACATATTTACTGAGCACCTACTATGTGCCAGGCACTATTCTGATACAAGCTCTATTTAATATTATTATACATGCCATAGAAGACAATATAAACCATGGAGCTCAATGTGTAAAAATTCAAAGTTATACCTTGGAAACATCTCTTAAAAATCCTTTGTGGGCTGGGTATGGTGGGTCATGCCTGTAATCCCAGCATTTTTGCGAGGCTGAGTCAGGAAGATGGCTTGAGGCCAGGAGTTTGAGACCAGCCTGGGCAACATGGTGAGACCCCATCTCTACAAAAAATTTAAAAAGTAGCCAGGTGTGGTGGTACATGCCTGTAGTTCCAGCTACTCAGGAGACTGAGACAGGAGGTTTGCTTGAGCCTGGGAAGTCAAGGCTGCAGTGAGCTGTGTTTGTACCATTGTGCTCCAGCCTGGGCAACAGAGTGAGACCTTGTCTCAAAAAAAAAAAAATCCCATCAGCTTGTGTTTGGTGGTAATATGGCTATTTTGCCTTAAACTTTGCAATGTCTTTCCTCCGAATGCTCTTAAAACAAACTCTGTTTAATTGAAGATTCTGGTTAATTACAGTTTTGCTGCAGTGCAAGATAATTTTGTAAAGCAATTGCTACAACATTATTGGAATCAGAGATTATTTACTTCTGCATGACTGACAGAAATCCACTATGCAATCAGCAGTCTTTCTTCACCGTCTGCATGAAAAGGCCATCTTTGAATAGAAAAGACAGGCAGTGTGACATAGAAAGGGTACAGCTTCAGAAGTCAGACAAACCTGGCCATTTAACTGTGGGGTAAGTTCTTAAAGCTCTTTTAGCCTTAGTGCCCTTACCTGAAAAATGGAATAATGTCCAACCTTAAAGTTATTCTGATGATTTGAAAAGATAAATGTTGTTCATTCACTCTGCAAATATTCACCAACTGCTTTATCCTGAGGGTAATAGGCAATCACTGTAGGTCTTAAACAGGAGTAGTAACGTAATTGAACTTTGGAAATATCACCCTGGCTGCAGTATGGCGAATGAATGAGGGTGAGGTAAGATTGAAGGGAAACCAGTTAGGACCTGTTATTGTTAGGACCTGTTACAGTTAGGACCTGTTATTGCTCAGAGACAAGTGTAGCTTTCACGTAAAAGTAGAGGCAGTGAGGATGAAGAGAAGTAAATGGATTTGAGAAATTTTAAAAGTCACGTCAAGAGGAGAGGGTAAAAGGTTGGATGCGGATGGTAAGATGGAAGGTATAATGAATATCTCGGTTTCTTGCTTGGTTGTTTGTGGATGGTGGTGCCATAACTAGGAGAGGGAAAATAGGAAAAGGTCTTGTGGCAAAGATGACAAATTCTGTTCTACACAGGTTGTTTTTGAGGTGCTTGTGGGACCCCCCCACCCAAGAAGTACTATGCAACATGCAACCCATGACTAGAAATACAGGTCTGGAGATAACTCAGGGGAACATGACAGAGTAGAAGCTAAGCATTGGGGGCTATTACTGTGCAGACTTCCCAGTTGGTTAAGAACACCTCTGCTCCTTCCACTGGTCTGGGAACATCCCCAGCTCAGTGAACATGAGCAAGTTATTATAGTGTAGTATAAGCAATTCATTATTTGGAATTGTTTTGCAACTATTAGCACTACCTGAAAAACCTGTCTGCGTTCTGGCTCAGCCCCTTAGTTTTCTCAATGCTACTGAAAAAAGAGTCTCTCTATTGTCTCGTTTCTAGTAGTCTGTTTATTAGTTCTCCACTACAGTTTCTTAGAAGTTCAAATTTTTTGCAAATCACAACCACAATGAGATACCATCTCACACCAGTTAGAATGGTGATCATTAAAAAGTCAGGAAACAACAGGTGCTGGAGAGGATGTGGAGAAATAGGAACACTTTTACACTGTTGGTGGGACTGTAAACTAGTTCAACCATTGTGGAAGTCAGTGTGGCGATTCCTCAGGGATCTAGAACTAGAAGTACCATTTGACCCAGCAATCCCATTACTGGGTATATATCCAAAGGATTATAAAACATGCTACTATAAAGACACATGCACACGTATGTTTATTGTGGCACTATTCACAATAGTAAAGACTTGGAACCAACCCAAATGTCCATCAATGATAGACTGGATTAAGAAAATGTGGCACATATACACCATGGAATACTATGCAGCCGTAAAAAAGGATGAGTTCATGCCCTTTGTTGGGACATGGATGAAGCTGGAAACCATCATTCTGAGCAAACTATTGCAAGGACAAAAAACCAAATACCAAACTCCGCATGTTCTCACTCATAGGTGGGAATTGAACAAAGAGAACACATGGACACAAGAAGGGAAACATCACACACCGGGGCCTGTTGTGGGGTGGGGGGAGGGGGGAGGGATAGCATTAGGAGATATACTTAAAGTAAATGACGAGTTAATGGGTGCAGCACACCAGCATGGCACATGTATACATATGTAACAAACCTGCACGTTGTGCACATGTACCCTAAAACTTAAAGTATAATAAAAAAAAGTTCAAAATTTTTAATCTGTTTTCAGGATAGGATTAAAGTGTATGTTCTTCCTCATTTAGGTTTTTCCATACAGCTGTTGAGAGTAACATGTTGGAGTCAAAGTAATGAAGTATAGCTATACTTCATAACTGGGGTTGGGGGGGCGCATTTGAGTTAGAGAAGATACAATTAGCCCCAAGACGGAACACATCTAATGCATTCAGGACCTATGTGGAGTGATGCTCCAGTGAGGAGATGCTGAGATGACGCTGGGGAGGCAAGAGGGAAATGTGCAAAAACTCAGAGGTAAGAACATCACTTATTCAAGGAATTGAAGTTTCAGTAAATAAGAGGGTAAACGAGTGAGTCTGGTGTGTGGTATTTGTTGAGGGAGGTTGAGATCTTGGAGGGCCTTATAAGCCACATAAGGAAGAATGGACTTCATGACAGCAGCTGCAAATTATTGAAGAGTTTTACATGAGGGAGATTTGCAGTTTAGAAAAATCACTTTGCCACAAGGAGAATGAACTGGATGAGGCCAGAGTGGCTGCGGTCAGGAGGCTATTACAAAATTTCAGGTGAGATGCAATGGTGGCCTAATTTATGTTAGAGAGACAGGGAGAAAGAAAAGTGGATACACTCAAGAGATACTGAATAGGCATCATTTGCAGAGCGGTGAATATCTGGATGTGGGGAATGAAGGAGAAGAGAAAGGTAAAGCATCACTGTTATCCATGTTTTCGGGTGTGGGCGACATATGGTGTCAGGGTTCTACTCTGTCCCCTCCTTGATAATAATGGTCCCTGTGTCGTCTCACTTTTAGGGAAATAACACCAAGAGACGCAAACCTTGTTCAATGTAAGTTCCCTATTGCTTCTGCCAAAGTATAAAGCATAGATTCATAATTTTGTTAAAGTTATCAGAAAGTACATTCCTTTTAGCACAAACTGTAATATTCTATAAATTGAGTTACCATGTAGAGAAAAATACCTGTGATCGCCAATTCTGAGATTTGATTCTTGAAACCCTGAGCATTTTGAATTTCTCACACGCTGACCACTAGTATGAGCCACTCTTTCTGTTTAACAGGTATTTAAAAACGACTGTGGCTTACCACAGCCCTCAAAGGGTTTTTTTTCTATTATTACACCAAAGACTTTCCTCTGGTATGTTCAGAGCTACTTTTTAAAATGTAATATATTTTTTAATCCAGTTACCCTGAAGTGCTTGCTTTTAGTTTGTTAGTAATTCTGCTTCAGACAGGATGTACTTCATTTGAAAAGAAAAAGATAGTAAAGGAACATTCAAGAGTTTCTCTGAAACCATTTTAAGAAGCAATAAAGCTTCATTACTTTTTTCCTAAAAACACAGAATTGTTTTTAGTAAATACTATAAAGAAAATGTGCATAATTTTAAGAAAACAGTATTTTAGGATGTATTTGGTAATAACTGATTGTATTTGAAATTTTTTGTAGAGGAAGGAAAATAAGAGAATTGTATGTGAGTCTTTTGTTTGCCAATTTAGTTGTGGGAGACAGACAATGAAAATTCATTACAGTTAAATGTGCTGCTTATTTATCGTAGGAGGAATGATGATAGTGATGTTGAAAACAGAAAAAGGAAGTTTTTCTACAGCTTTACCTATGTATGTCATGCTTTCCAGTTTTTATTCAATTGTTTTTATAATGAAAATAGTATATGTTCCGTGCTCTCATTTAACTGATAGAAGTGGTTGATAGATAATAGATTAGCTGGGCCATTATTAATGTTTTTGTTACTTTAAGCACTTTTTTTGTGACTACTTTAAATGTGGCTTTGTTTTGTTTTTTCACTTTGGGAATACAAAGCAAAAACTTCAGCACATTTTACTTACACTGATAGCAAATATTTTGCTTTCAGAATCTTACTACATTTTATATTTAATGAGTTACACTGGAGTAGAAAATGTTACATTTGTTAAACATAACCCATAATTATCCCAAATTTTAAATATTAATACATCAAAGCTCTTTCTTTTTGTGGAAATGAAACCCTTCTAAGTGTACAGTGGATAGAACCAGGTTTACATCTATTATGTTACTTACATTTTCCATATCACTTGGCATTGTCTCCAGACAGTCTTACATGAGATAATTCCATGCGCCCTTAGAATATTTTTTATAAAGAAATACTGATACTCAAGATGATTTTCCTCATTTTAGCCCTAGCCTCTAGAGGATATGTTAAAGTGATTTATATTAATAACCATCCTTTTTTTAGATAGAAGACTTTATAACCTTTGATTTCTGTAATACACAAGGAGAGCCCTGCTATCTATCTACTTGTTAGGGAGACAACAGATGGGATTCTTTGCACTGAAAAGAAGGCTTAACTAGGTGACCTTTCCTAGGATTCATCAATAACAAGGAGATCATAAGGTCTTCATGTATTATTTTATTTATTCTTTTAACCTTCCTCTGCAGTAGAGGAGCAAGTACTTACTATATACTTAATCTCATCTTATAGCTAAAGAAAAGAGCTATAACTTCTTCCAAATCACCTAACTATTCCCTATAGATCTGGATCCTAAATCTTAGTTTTCTGACTTTCTTTTCTTACAGAATAACCATAGTAGCTTATAATCAGCTTCCTGCACACTTTTTTTTCTCAGTAATTATACTAGTTCTATAATATTCTGACAGAGGTATGAAGATGAGCTAATCTGACTTTAGATGACTCATCAAAGCAAGCCAATGGAAAAATGTAAAAAATAAATTTTAATCTTCAACTTAAAATCTGCTTGGTTAACCATGCAAGTAAAGGATTTAACACATTTATTTGGGATCACTGGTTTAAATCTTCATGACAGTTAACACCATATATTCTTTTGGTAAGACAACCTTACATTTTGAAGTTCCTTACCATGATGTAAAATTGAAACATGTAAAAATACGTTTCTAAGATCAAAAGAGTGATAGGGACATCAAAACGCATTGCAAGATAATGGTTCAATGTCATTTTGGCATATTTTTATAAATACAAACTATTTGAAAAACTGTAAGTTCTCTGTTATCTAATGTTTTATCTTTCAAAACTTACCATCATAATAACAAAGGAGCAGTGCTATTCTAAGTAGAACTTTATTTGTTAGGAGTTAGTTGTTTTTCTCTCCCAAGAGATATATCTAGAACAGGGTCTAGTACACAGCCAGGGCCCAGCAAATATTTGCTGGAGGAATAATAAAAGAATACATGAGTCTCAAGTTCTGGAGAGAAGTCTGGAATGCAAAATAGGTTTGAGGATCACAGCTAAAAAGAAGGATTCTTGACAAATGGAAGAAGAGTGTGTAGAATGAGAAGTACTCAAGAATGCATATAGATAAGAGATACGAACTTGGAAGAAGGATATATCACATCATCTGTAAGTAGAGTTCAATAAGGCAATTAGTACAAAAGAAATATATAAAAATCAGTGATTCTCAGACACAAAATTAGTTTGAAAATGTGAAATAAAATGTGTCATTGATAATAGCATACATATATAAAAAATTTCAGAAACATATTCAGGACTTACTGGAAAAAACTACAAATCTCCACTAAAAGACATAAAAGAAGATTTGGATAATGGAGAGCTAACCTCAAATTAGATGATAAATTTTGAAATCAAGGTTTCAATGGCCCATTACACATCTTATTAGAATAGCCAGAACCCAAACACTGACACCACCAATGCTGGCAAGAATGTGGAGTAACAGGAACTCTCATTCATACAAAATGGCACAGCCACTTTGGAAGACAGTTTGGCAATTTCTTACAAAATTAAACATACTCCTAACCATACAATCCAGCAATCGTGGTCCTCAAATGAATGAATTGAAAACTTATGTCCACACAAAAACCCACACACAAATATTTACAACAGCTTTATTAATAATTGCCAAGGCTTGCAAGCAACCAAGATGTCCTTCATTAGGTTAATAGATAAATAAATTGTGGTACATCCAGACCATGGAATATTTCAGTATTAAAAAGAAATGAGTGATCAAGGAAAGGAAATAGAGGAAACTTAAATGCATATTACCAAGTGAAAGAAGTCAGTCTGAAAAGATTCCTCAGTGTCTGATTCCAACTATGTGATATTCTAGAAAAGGCAAAACTGTGGAGACAGTAAAAAGATCAGTAGCTGCCAGGGATTCGAGGTCAGGGAGAAATGAATAGGCAGAGCACAGATAATTTTAGGGCTGTTAAACTGTTTCGTGTGATAAGACAATGCCGGATACATGTCATTTTACATTTGTCCAAATCCACAGAATGTACAGCACCAAAAGTGAGCCCTAACATAACATAAACAATAAATACCTGGTGATAATGATGTGTCAGTGTAGGTTCATTGATTGTAAGAAATGTGTCACTGTGGTGCTGGCTCTTGATAATGGAGGAAACCGTACATGTGCAGGGCAGGGGATATATAGGAAATCTCTGTACCTTCTGCTCAGTTTTGCTATGAACCTAAAGCTACTCTAAAAAATAAAGTCTGTGTAAAAAAAATAAAAAGCCTTAACAAGGAACTTGAATAAGAGATTATAATATTTATCTTGTATAATAAACATAGAAGAATTTCCAGGAAAATTCTGAAGAGGAAGAGTTCTGGGAGTGAAGAATTGATCAGGGAAACTGGCCCTACAAAATGTCAAAGTATGATATAAACCTACCTTGCATAAAATGGTATGGTGTTGGAATATGGTGTTGGAATAGGGAGAGGCAGATGGAACTCTGGGCTAGAAAAGAATGTCTAGAGAAAGATTCAAGTGAATATAAGAACATATAATATTATTAAAAGAGACATTTCAAATAAGTAGGTCAAAACAGGTTAATCATTTAGACAGTGGGGTGATAGAATAGTCAGCTGGTAAAAAAAAACAACTGAAAGCTCATTCCTACCTGATTTCTTCAACTAATTGTAAATGGACCAAGGATTCTTTATACAGTGTGATTAAATAGACATAACATAATACTTAGCATTTTAAGGTATACAGTTTACTGTGTTGTATAATCATCACAACCAGAAACTTTTCATCATCCCAAAGAGAAACTCCATACCGAATAAGCAGTCACTCCCCTCCCAACAGCCCCTGGCAATGACTTATCTGCTTTCTGTCTGTATGGATTTACCTACTCTGTATATGTCATATAAATGGAATCACATAATATGTGCCTTATATATTTTTGTATACATATTATACAAATGTATAAATGTATGTGTGTATACATGTGGGAAGAGGGAAAGCTAGCTAATGTTTTACGGAATAGTCACTGTATTCTTTGTATTGTTATAACAGAGACTCATCACTTGTGTGTTTTGTTTGCCTTTTTTCACTTAGCATAACGTTTTCAGTGTTCACCCATGTTACAGTACGTATCAGTACCTCATTCCTTTTTGTGGCTGAATAATATTCTTTTATACAAAGATACCGCATTTTGTTTATTGATCATCAGTTAATGAATCAAAGATCTTTCAAAATGCACTATTACAAGAACTAGAAAAAAAATTGAATATTTTTTATAATCGGAGTAGATAAGATCTTTGAGGCATGAAATTTACATCTGTGAAATAAAACATGTAAATGAGGCACATTCTATGAAAGGGTGGAGGGAAGTTATATTCTTCAAAAATATTAATGTTTTGAAAGACAAAATGGTAGAAAAGCTATAGATTACAAGAGACTAAAGAAACATGACAATTAAATACAATTTTATGACCTTAGGCTGGAATCTGTGCTGGAGAGGAAAAAGTGCTATAAAGAACATTATTGGATCAATTGACAAAACTGGAATACAGACCGAGTGCAGTGGCTCATGCCTGTAATCCCAGCCCTTTGAGAGGCCAAGGCAGGAGGATCTCTTGAGTCCAGGAGTTCAAGACTAACTAGGCAACGTAGTGAGACCTAGTCTTTACAAAATAAAAAAATTGGAATACAAATGGTAGATTAAAGTATTACATGAAGATCAAATTTACAGAAGCATATAACTGCCATGTTCGTGTAAGAGAACATCCCAATTTCTAAGAATATATGCATTCAAGAATATAAGGGCTAGAGGCTACTTACCTTCAAATAAAATTTATATATATATATAACATATAGAAAGAGAAAAGGAATGCTGCCAAGAGTTGTGCTAGATGCTTTACATATTTTATCTGATTTAATCCTCACAACAATCCTTTAAAGATTTATAAATGAAGAAGCTGAAGTAAAGTGAATATAAGTACCTTGCCCAAAGCCACATTTGATTATCTGACTCTAAAATCCATGCTCCTTTTCCTACAACAGCCAAATTGCGTCTCAATAAAATGTAGAAATAAAATATTTTAATAAAATATGTATCTTATAAGAAAATTTAATTCTAACACTAAGAAATATAGTATATTCAGATAAATACTATTTAATTTTAACTGTAATATACATGGAAAACTAATCTCTATTATGCAGTTCTTCCGTGGCTGCCCATGTTTCTGCTTGCATTTCACCACAGCTCTTTCCAGTAATCTGCCCTCCAGCCCAATGTATCAAATAAAGATCTAAAAGCAACATAAAATCACTTTTACATCAGTAAAGGGCTCTCAACTGGGGAGAAAAATAAATTATCCTACCTTGCATGTGTATGCAAAGATTACATATTTGGACTCCTCATTCTTCCATAAGAGCAAATTCAAGTTTCATTACTTTATTGTCAAGCTTCTGAACATTTACATAAATGATAGGTTTGTTATCACTTATTACTGGATTCAGGAGATTATATGCAAAATGTGCAAAGACCTGATTAAAAAGTCTTTGATCTTTTAATCAAAAGGGTAAGCAGTATTAATTCATTTGGCAAGTATAATATATATACCAATTGTAGCACTACTTTGCATTTGAGATTACCACAGTAAAATAATTACTCTTCATTAATGAAGGCTCGTTGCTATGTAATTCCACTGTGGCTCTAGGCAATAAAATCCTTTCTAAAGAATTAAGTTATATTTGGTGAGAAGTTATTTTGTAAAATAATCATATTCTTTATAAATAAAATAAATTTTACCATCATGGTGTTTGATTGTATAAAGCTCATAGACAGAAATGTCATTGAGAACTATATAATATAAAAATAGAATAACCTTTACATGGAATAACACATGAGCTTCAAATTCAAAGCCCCCTATATCTCTGTTAGTACTCATTTTGTGATGTCAAAAAAAAACCCTCTCAAATCCTTTTCTTGTCCCAATTTATAATGAAGATAGATACATACATAAATAATTATAACAAAAGCAGGATGCACATTAATGTTGTCACAAAAGAAGTGACAGGCTTATTATTCCTAGAAGGATCCTGGAAGACTTCATGAAAAAGGTATTATCTTAATTAATCTTTGACAAATGGGCAAGAAATCAGGAAGTAGAGGAGGAAGGGAAAGCGGAGAAATAGGATATAAAAGGCATAGAGTCCTGACTGCCAGTCTAAATGGTGAGTTTTTTTCTGCAATAAATAGGAAGCTATAGGATTTTGAGCAAAAAAAAAAAAAAAAATGTGATCACATGAAGATTACTCTCTGAGGGAAGCTAGGCATAGAGGCACATGCCTGTAATCCCAGCTATTCAAAAGGCTGAGGCGGGAGGATCATGCAAGCCCAGGAGTTTAAGACCAGCTTGGGCAACATGTTAAGACCCTTGTCTAAGCGTGCTGTGAAGGAGTCCTAAGATTAGGGGAAAACCATGGGATGGAAAATCAGTGAAGTTACTTGAATGATTGTTTGTCTATCTGTCCCCTCAGTGAATCATCATGGGCTTCTCCAGGCCAGGTGACATGTTTCCCACAACTTTATATCCCCCAAATCACACATATTTCACAAATACCACTGGATGCATAAATAAAAGAGAATAAGCTCTTGTATTATGCTAACAGTGGTGGAGAGGAAAAGAAATAAAAGAGAAATACTACTATTGAGGAGGTAGCATTGTAAAGAGATGTTAGCTGGTTGGATATAGCTGCTGAGGAAGACAAAGGAATAAAAATGCTGTGCAATTTATCACAATAAAACCAAACACCGCATATTCTCACTCATAGGTGGGAATTGAACAATGAGATCACATGGACACAGGAAGGGGAATATCACACTCTGGGGACTGTGGTGGGGTGGGGGGAGGGGGGAGGGATAGCATTGGGAGATATACCTAATGCTAGATGACGAGTTAGTGGGTGCAGCGCACCAGCATGGCACATGTATACATATGTAACTAACCTGCACAATGTGCACATGTACCCTAGAACTTAAAGTATAATAAAAAAAAAAAAAGAAAAAAAAAATTTATGGAGCACTTACTTTGTGCCAGAAGTTTGGTAGGTGCTAAATATCAAAAGATGAATTAATATCTGACCCTATCAAACAGCTAGGGGTGTCACAGAGTGGATAGAACAAAACCAAGAGATAGGTGGCAAAACTGGATACACTCAGGGACATGGAATGTGAAACAGCTGATTTCCAGATTTTTGGCTTGAACTACTAGGCTGAGAGTGGTGCCACCAAATGAAGACCCAATTTGGGAAATGCAGAGCCTGAAGCGTCTGTGGCACACCCAAGGGAACATTTCTAATAGAGAAATTCATGCTCATGACTTAGGGAAAATTTTAATGCTCATTTTCAAGTTACATACATCAAAGGATAGTGATACTATTAACTAAATATATAATACAGTTTAGAGATATGCAACAGTTTAGAATGAAAATTATAACTTGGGGTTTTGTTTGTTGAGTGTGATTAGCTAGTGGAATAACCACGCAGAGATGTGCATAAAGAATTTAGAAGTATAGTACTATGCAGCCTTTTAAAGAATTAGGTGTCTTCATATGCGTTGATTAGGAAAGATATTCATGATTTTCTTTAAAGGAAAAAATAAGTTGTAAAACAATGTTTAGTATGACCCAACTTTTGTAACAAAATATACATGTATATACATATATGTAAATACAAATATATAAATGTATGTGTGTATACATATAGGAAGAAGGAAAGATAGCTAATTTTGTACTGGATAGTTTACTGTACTCTTTATATTGTTACAACAGACATTCATTACTTTTGTGTGTTTTTTTCTTGATAACAATGGTATTTATTTTTATTTTTATTTATTTTATTTTTTTAAATTATACTTTAAGTTCCAGGGCACATGTGCACAATGTGTTGGTTGGTTACATATGTATACATGTGCCATGTTGGTGTGCTACACCCATTAACTTGTCATTTACATTAGTTATTTCTCTTAATGCTATCCCTCCCCACCCCCCACCCCACAACAGGCCCTGGTGTGTGATGTTCCCTGCCCTGTGTCCAAGTGTTCTCATTGTTCAATTCCCACCTATGAGTGAGAACATGCGGTGTTTGGTTTTCTGTTCTTGCAATAGTTTGCTCAAAATGATGGTTTCCAGCTTCATCCATGTCCCTACAAAGGACATGAACTCATCCTTTTTAGGGCTGCATAGTATTCCATGGTGTATATGTGCCACATTTTCTTAATCCAGTCCATCACTGATGGACATTTGGGTTGGTTCCAAGTCTTTGCTATTGTGAATAGTGCCACAATAAACATACGTGTGCATGTGTCTTTATAGTAGCATGATTTATAATTCTTTGGGTATATACCCAGTAATGGTATCCCTAGGTCAAATGGTATTTCTAGTTCTAGATCCTTGAGGAATCGCTACACTGTCTTCCACAATGGTTGAACTAGTTTACACTCCCACCAACAGTGCAAAAGTGTTCCTATTTCTCTACATCCTCTCCAGCACCTGTTGTTTCCTGACTTTTTATGATTGCCATTCTAACTTGTGTGAGATGATATCTCATTGTGGTTGTGATTTGCATTTCTCTGATGACCAGTGATGATGAGCATTTGTTCATGTGTCTGGTGGCTGCATAAATGTCTTCTTTTGAGAAGTGTCTGTTCATATCCTTCGCCCACTTTTTGATGGGGTTATTTGATTTTTTTTTCTTGTAAATTTGTTTAAGTTCTTTGTAGATTCTGGATATTAGCCCTTTGTCAGATGGGTAGGTTGCAAAAATTTTCTCCCATTCTGTAGGTTGGCTGTTCACTCTGATGGTAGTTTCTTTTGCTGTGCAGAAGGTCTTTAGTTTAATTAGATCCCATTTGTCAATTTTGGCTTTTGTTGCCATTGCTTTTGGTGTTTTAGTCATGAAGTCCTTGCCCATGCCTATGTCCTGAATGGTATTGCCAAGGTTTTCTTCTAGGGTTTTTATGGTTTTAGGTCTGACATTGAAGTCTTTAATCCATCTCAAATTAATTTTTGTATAAGGTGTAAGGAAGGGATGCAATTTCAGCTTTCTACATATAGCTAACCAGTTTTCCCAGCACCGTTTATTAAATAGGGAATCCTTTCCCCATTTCTTGTTTTTGTCAGGTTTGTCAAAGATCAGATAGTTGTAGATGTGTGGTGTTATTTCTGAGGCCTCTGTTCTGTTCCATTGGTCTATAGCTCTGCTTTGGTACCAGTACCATGCTGTTTTGGTTACTCTAGCCTTTTAGTATAGTTTGAAGTCAGGTAGCATGAAGCCTCCAGCTTTGTTCTTTTTGCTTAGGATTGTCTTGGCAATGTGAGCTCTTTTTTGGTTCCATATGAACTTTAAAGTAGTTTTTTTCCAATTCTGTGAAGAAAGTCATTGGTAAATACATATATGTATGAATATATGATATACATATATGTAAATACAAATATATAAATGTATGTGTGTATACATATGGGAAGAAGGAAAGACAGCTAATTTGTTACTGGATAGTTCACTGTACTCTTTGTATTGTTACAACAGACATTCATTACTTTTGTGTTTTTAAGTTCATTTTAGCATTTAAAAAAAAAAGCTGTGGAAGAAAATAAGTGAGAGAGGAAAGAAAAGGTCCAAAGACATTCAGCACAAATCTAAGAGTTAGAGTGGAAAAGAGGACTGAAAGATATTTGCGAGTTAACAACAGTAAAGAGAAGAGTGCATAGATAGTTGGTGTTGAAGACTTTAAAAAAGACTGATAAAATGATTACCTGAAAGTGGCCAATGAGGTTGGGAGATGGGCAAGCTTTGATTAAGCAGTTTGTTGAGAGCAGGGCCAGATTGCATTTGCTGAAGCATGAAATTAAAATGAGGCCACAGAAGCAGCAGTGCAGTTAGTTACCAAGGAAAGAGTTTGAGGCAAAGGGAAACAGAGCACACTTGTAATCTAAGTCTGGAGAGCTAGTGTTCTGATAAAGATTAAAAATGCAGAAGGAAAAGGGTGTAACTGTGCTGCTTCATCAGATATATTTAAATTTATTTTAAAAAGGAATCAATACTGTATGCACATTTATATTTGATTTCAAAAACAAATGTGCTTTTGCCAACAGTTACATTTGATTACAAAGAATTACATTTGGGGGCTCTTACAACTAATTTTTAATTCCCAACTTTGCCATTTTCAGACAAAAACAGGAACCGGAAAGAAGTGGCTGGGCAGGCTGTCTGTGGTGTGACGCACGCTGCTGGCCCAGACAGCTGTAGTAGATGTTGTCTTGGTTCTCATGAAATGCAGTCTTCTAACGTTGGATCAAACACCCTTGATTGTTCAAAGTGACCGAAAGTGTTAGAATAAACCACAACAACTAAATCCGTTGGCAGTAGTGTAACTCCACCCAAAGGTGGGTTCTAACATACTACAAGTGAACACTATAGTTACATGTATTGTACACCTCTTTGGTACAGAAGTTAGACTATTTTTATGCAAGTTGTTTGCACACACACACACAAGAGAAAAATGTGTCATTTTAACATATATCTGATTATGCATTTAGGGATAATGCAAGACAATGTTTAGTTGTTAAACAGTTTCCTTCCTCATTATCCATCAGAAACATATCAACAGTGGCATGTGGTTAGAAAATGTTTGTTAACATTAAATTGTGATTGTTAACATTAGCCTAAAAAGGGCAAAACTATGGGATATCCTTCCTAGGAGAGATGGCAGAGCAGGAAGGCAGAAAATACATTGTAAACCTGCACGTGACTTTAGATTATCTGTGAAACTACATTTAGATTATTTGTCATTATACATAATGCTAGCAGAAGGCTGACTATATTTAACACAAAGTTACCCTATCAAAATACCTTCCCAAAATAGATCAACCTTACTTTGCCATGTTGAATTACAAGACTATAGAAATTACAAGCTGTTGCCATAGCCCTTTTGGTATTCATGGAACTATAAGAAAATGTATCCCCAAAATAAACTGTCTAAATTTCATAATGGGCATCTTCTATGGTAGTCTTACCTTTGGTTGGAGTTTAGAGTATGTAACAGTATAAAGAAATAAGGTTGGAAAAGATAGGATAGGGCGGGTTACGGAGAGCCTCGGATGAAGTATTTAATATTCTTGGTTTGTCAGGCACTCGGTGTTACCTTTATGACTGCATTTCCCTTTGCTTTGTTACTATTGGGCCAGTGTTCAATTGACATATTTATTTTATTATCCTGTAATTATCACTCATGGAACTATCTTTCCTTCCCAGATTATAAGCAATTGGAAGAGCAGGGGAAACTTCTTTATTCTGAAATATTTTATTCTAGAGCCTAGCATAGTGATTGGTGATCAGAAAGAGCTCAATAAAGGCCAAAAGAAATAAATGAAAGGAAGAAGGCATGCATGTGTGGACTCATGTGGTATGTGTATACTAGGCTATGAAAAGCGGCATTAAAACAAAGAGATGTTTTCAGATAAAATTGTCAGGGTGGTACTCTGGACTCTCTCCCGTGACTCTTTTATTTCTCTCGTGAAATTAGGCTGATATTTATCATGGCACTGCCTTATACATCTCTCCCTACCTTTAGGCCTGACCCCTCAAAGCAGTGTGGGACATAAGAACCAACACTGAAGCATAGTCTGGGGGGTCAAAGGCTGGCTCAGAATGTAGTCACTTGAGATAAAATGGCAAGAAGAAGACGGAATAAACTGTGTGTAAGGAGGAACACTGAGGCTCACAGGTGAATGGACCAAATCCACGGTGAGGTGTTTCCGAGGCAAGTTCTAGGCTAGAAATGGGAGCAGAAGGCAGAGTTTGTAGTCTAGGTATGCAATGAGGAAATAATAATTGGGGAAAACAAGGGAGAAGAGGTTTTAGAATCTGGGATTGATAAGGGCTACTTTCCTGAAGTTCCTCCATTTTGAGTGCAGCTTGGGTAAAAGGCAGGACACAGTCAGGGTACAAAGGCACTCCCTCAGCTTGACTTCTGGAGTTTTCTACAGTCTCATCTTTGTCTACATGCTCTATTCAATGATGCATGCTTCATTCATTTATTAAACAATCATGTTTCATTGCCTATGGTGAACCAGGCACTAAATGCATGTGTTAAGGGGAGAAAACACAACTGTAAACGAGCAACAGTCCCAGCACTCAAGAAGCTTCCAGTCCAAAAGGAAAAACAGACATATAAACAAATAATGAGTATGGAAGCGATCTAGGGAAGTATGTACAGGTGCTATGGGAGCTCAGAGGAAATCTTTGCTTGAGTCTACTTGGGAAGGTGGTGGTTGATATGGGAAGGTCTTCAGGGAAAATTCAGTAAAACTGAAACTGGAAGTTTGGAGTAGAAGTTTACCAAGCAAACAAGAAGGACAGCAGTGATTGAAGCAGGTAGAAAGATTAACTAAACAGCAACATATTAAAAGCTAAGTTACATGAAAATGGAGGATATATTCAGAATTTAGGTAGCCCAGATAAAATGGGAATAAGTCGTGAGATATATGGCTGACACTGCAATTAATGGCCTACACTTGATATCCTATGGTGAGGCAGGGTGAGGGTAGAAGGCCATACAGATTTGTCCCCTTTTGTGAAGCCTAGCAGGCATCTTTCACCAGTGGGTCCTTTTCACCTGCACCTTTGTGCATCAGCACCTAACTCTTTTGCAAGATAGGTGATCCTACATTATATGAGCAGACCACCAGATGGTTACAAGTTTCTGATACCCAGGATGGCCCGGGAAAGAGAACAGAAGCCCCATATTCCTGATGTAGCTTCCCCCATCTCCAGCCAATCAGCACCAAAAGCCCAAGAAGCTATTAGCTACAAATTCCTGCCTGGAGGTTGGGGGACAGGGACTTCTCCAGGATCCCACATATGCAACAAGTGTCAAGTTTTAGCTTATATTAATAGTAACATTTTCCTCATTTTAATAGTAAAAAAGACAGCCCTAGGTGGAGATTTTATTTGCTAATGTTACATGTGATACCTGTTAAAGCATGTAGATACTGAGTACATGTGCCAGCTGCAGGTCTACCTTTACATACTTGACCTCACCAGTATTTTATGAATATGTATGTACCACTCCCATAAAAGAAATTCCTCCTAAGGCACTAACTGCTGTCTCTCCCTTGGAGTAACCCATTCTGCCTCTCAAAGTGCACTTTTGCTTTGCAATAAACTTCTTTGCTTACTCTTACTTTGGACTCATTCTCAAATTATTTTGTGAAGCAAAAACAAGAACCTGAACTGGCTTACTGGCAACAATGGGACCTACTAAAATTAAACTAAACTGCAAGATAAGTTGGGTGGTGAGAAATACAGATACCATGAATTTGAACCAAGATATTAGCAAAAGGGAAGGGAGGAAGGCACACATTCAAAAAGCAAGATGGAGGAAGAATTGACAGAATGTAGTGGTATGACAGCATGTGTAGGGTAAGATATGGAATGATCATCTATGAATCCTGAGTTTCTGGATTATGTGACTAGATTGGATAGTGGTGCATTTATCAATATTGGGAAAACAGGAGAAGTAGCAGGTGTGGAAGAGATGAGTTCAGTTTTATACATATTGAGCTTGAGCTCAACCTCAGAACGCCCCAAACTGAATGCATTGATGTAGGAAACCATGTGAAGAGGCTAGTTAGGTAATTGAAAATACGGCGGGGTCATGACCTGAATGCAACACTCTTCTCTAGTTCTGCAAAGAATGTGGAATGCACTCTTACCTTTTGATTCCGACAAGGCTGTTTCACACATGACTTATTCACAAAGGTTCATCATATATTAATATTTCACTCTTCAATGCCAATACTCACTTTTATTTCTTGTTTAATGCCTAATTCAACATAAGAGTTTTGGCTAAAGGAAGAGTAAAGTCCCTTCTAATGTTGTGATATGTATGCTTGAGTAAAACCTATGCCATTAACAAAATTCAAAATTATTTTTAAAAGACGAAAACATATGTTTCTGCTTCTTGCTATGTAAAAGACACTTAGCCAGTTTCTTCTTGGGGAATTAACTGTGTAGTCTTAAAGTGAGAACTAAGACTTGGGCAGCCCAGCACATGAGTGAGGTGAGTCAGATGGTTGCTCATGGCACTTCGTAGGTATGAGTGATGCCAGGACTGGAGGACGGTGGCAGCAGTGGTGGTGGCACCCTGATCAGACCATCCAGCGTGGATGCAATAACTCCCAGCTGCTTCATGCTTTTTGGCTCTGGTGACCTTTTGGTTCCTGCCTATTTACAAGCCTCCCATGCCCCAGTCTCCTCTAAGTTCTGTGACCCTGAAGCCTTCTCTAGAAATTCCCTTCACTTCAGTTAGCCAATTAGTTTCTGCCACTTTTGATAAGAAACCTGGCTGAACATCAGAATAAATTAAGTCATTCAATCAATAAGAAAATACTATTTATTTCCTAAGTAAATCTACAATTGAAATAAAGTAATGATTACTACTAAACCCATGGAACATAGCCCATAATCAGAAAAGACCTTAACAGTGAGTTAGTTCTTTTTAAAAGATGATTTTATTCGCTTATCTTTAATTCACTGCAAGACACATTGCTTCCTGTCTGGTTTATACTCTCTACAGTGAGTCAGGCATAGGTAGGATGTTTCTAGTAAAACCTGTTAAGCTGATTAAGGAGTAATTTCAATAGCATTTTTTATTTTGTTTTAAATTATAAAAGATTTATTTTTCTGCAGGTCAATATCTGAATAGGAAAGGGATATCACTCTTATAAATTTAGTGTGTGTTAGAACATGTGACCTATGAGTGAGAACAGCATGTTCTCACCCATAGGTGGGAACTGAGCAATGAGAACACATGGACACAGGAAGGGGAACATCACACACCAGGGCCTGTGGTGGGGTGGGGGGAGTGGGGAGGGATAGCATTAGGAAATATACCTAATGTTAAATGACGAGTTAATGGGTGCAGCACACCAACATGTCACATATGTAACAAACCTGCACATTGTGCACATGTACCTTAAAACTTAAAGTATAATAAAAAAAAAATTTTTAGTGTATGTTTTTTTCACCCTACTGCACTTGCTCAGGCCTCTAGAACAAGGCTGAATATAAGTGGTGATAGTGATTATCCTTGCCTTCCTCCAGATATTAAAGATAAAGCTTTTGGCATATCTCCAGTAGGTATTATATTTGCTAATTGTTTCTTTGTAGAGACCCTTATCAGATTAATGAAGTTCCTTTATATTCCTAGTTACAATTTTTCGGTTTATCAAAAAAGGATGTTATATTTTATCAAATGCTTTTTCTGCATCATTGAGATAATAAAATGTTTCCCTCGTAATTTTCTCTTCTCATAATGTCCTTGAATTTGGGTGACAAGGTTATGCTGGTCTTCTGAAACAGAAAGAAAGTTGCTTACTTTCTATTTTATGGAAGAGTTTGTGTTAGAACAGATCCTAATCTATCAGAATAGATTCTAACAGAAGAGATTCATCTTTTCCTTAAATTTTTGATGCAATTCACTGGTAAAGTTATCTGGACCTGGACTTTTCTTTGTGGAAAGGATTTTGAACATGAATTCATTTTCTGTAACAGTTATTAGAATGGTTACTATTCAGTTTTTTGTCTTTTTTCTTTGCCTTTAGTATAGTATGTTTTCCTAGGAACTTGTCCATTTGAAATTTTCATCTAAATTTTCAAATTTATTGACAAAGTTGTTTATGATAATATAATAAAAATATACTCTTATTATCTCTTTCAAGTCTGCATTTGTTATTTGTGTTTTTTCTCTTATTTTCTTGGTCAGTCTAGTCAGTGGCTTATCAATTTTGCCAATTATTCCAAAGAACCACCTTTGGGGAGTAACTGCTAATGGCATAGGGCTTGTTTTTGGATTGATAAAAATATTCCGAAATTAAATAGTGATGATGGTTGTATAACTCTGTAAATATACTAAAAACCACTGAATTGTACATGTTAAAAGGATGAATTTTATGTATGTGACTAAAACTGTTATTTAAATATGTATCTATCAACAATGTAACGCGATCTGTGTAACCTACATAGGTAGCAGTGAAGTTTATAATACTTGATTACATCAAGTCTTCCAGTAACATTGCTTGTCTTTATTTTTGTACATTATAATGTTCTTTACATCATATAGTTCAAACAAATTAACCATATCGATAATATCGCTGCGTAGGCTAGAATAATTAATATGACTTCTTTAAAACCTTTAAATTTTGAATAATAACTGTTAATAGTCTCCAGAGAATACTGCTGCATGTTCTATCCATAGAGAGCAAACTGATCTAAGGAAAGTAGGTCACAGAACACAATCCCATTCAAACTTGGCACTAGATAACCCAATGTTTCTTTCTTCACATAATCATGATGTCCTAATCAGTCTGTGGTTCTGACCTTTGAGGCAGTGGGTAGTCTATTATTACTTAGTGGCTGCTAAATCCAGAGTCAACATTTTGGAAGCTAAAGAATGCCCGTCTTCTTTCAAAATTTTTTGGCTTGCTAAAAGCTGAGCCCAGCTAAAAGCTCTTGCCAGCATTCAGTTACTTCATGCATATAAACTAAACAACAAGCGGGATACAATTAGCAGAGAATGAAAAAATAGAGAGAATATATTTATTTGCTAACATACTAAAAACACATTAAATGTACTAAACATATTTAGAGAGAAATTATGTTGTGAAGATTGTTACAGTCTTTAGAAAGTATAGATCAGATGTTCCTGTTTCTCAAAATAGGTTATTCTTTCATTTTTTTCTATAGATACTAAACCAAAAAATTTTAAATCAAATTAGAAAACAGCAAATTTTAAAAATTCAAGTGACAGAATATCTGTACTATTTACAGGCTGTCAATAAGACACATTCCTTACTTCTCAGAGGTATATAACCCATTAAAACATTGGCTATGATTTTTAATTTAATAACTTTTGAAAAAGTGTGTTCTTTTTCTTGTACACATAATGTTAAGCATAGTTTTCTCTATATAGAGAGCAATTATTCTTTTATATTAGCAATATATAAAGAATCCAAGCTATTATTTAATAGATTATCAGTTTTTCTAGGATTTTCTCACCTTTCTATCAATCACATTCAAAGTTTCTTTCATAACAAATTCTAGAAATAAAACAAATACTAGAAACAAAAAACTTCTAGAAATATGCCAAGAGACACACTAGAGGTACATATAAGAACCTTTGTTAATGCCGGGCATGGTGGCTCACGCCGGTAACCCTAGCACTTTGGGAGGCCAAGGCAGGCAGGTCACCTGAGGTCGGGAGTTAAGACCAGCCTGGCCAACATGGTGAAACCCCATCTCTACTAAAAATACAAAAAAAAAAAAAAAATTAGCCAGGTGTGGTGGCACTCTCCTGTAATCCTACCTACTCAGGAGGCTGAGGCACAAGAATCGCTTGAACCCAGAAGGCGGAGGTTGCAGTGAACCAAGATCGCGCCACTGCACTCCCGCCTGGGCGATAGAGTGAGACACTGTCTCAAAAACAAACAAACGAAAAAAAACGTTTGTTAAGAAAGGTGATTTGAAGTCTTGAGAATTAATTTAACTCTAAACTAGTGTAATTGCACTTTTACTGAAGAATAGATAGCTTTTATATAAAGATTCATTTGATATAGAAATAAATTGCCTCTTTGGAAAACTAGATACACACCTCTAAAATGGTCCTCTAAGACTACAGGGTTCTTAGCAATTTAACACCCTCTGTCCATGAGAATGAAAAAAATTAAGCACAAATTAGTTGATTTGTAGGTGCATATCCACAAATGGAAACCAAAATGGCAAATGCAGTTTTACATTCAGTAATCCAACCGCTTTAAATAACCTTTCTGTAAGAGGTTAAAATACTGTGAGGAAATATGTGTGAAAAAAATAGCTTATTAAATATTAATTCTTGAACCTTACAGTATCTGTACCTTCAAGCATTCAGTGATACATAAAAAACTTTAAAATAATACCCGGAAGAAAATCCATGTGACATATAACAAAGGACTTATATATCTGTTTTATAAAGAATTACTACAAATTAGTAAGGAAGCATAAACAAATCCAGTAGTATCAATGGGTTTTGTACATGAAAGGGCAATTCTCCAAAGAAATACAAGTACATAATAAATATATAAAATTGTGCTAAACTTCACCAGCTAAGAAATAGAAATTAAAATAAATATAAATTTTTTCTAATCAGATTAGAAAAATTAAAAATATTGAAAACAACAACTGTTGGATATGTGCTGGGTCTGGGGAAACGAACTCTATTATACTGTTGGTAGAAGTACAAATCTACACAAACTTTTGGAGGATAATTTAGTTTTTTCTGTTCAAATATGAAAAGTATACATCCTATTACCTACGAATCTCACTTCTAAGAATTCATCATGTAGGCACAGCTACATGAGAATGTAAAAGTAAAATAGAAGATGTTCATTACAGCATTATTAGTAACTGCAAAATATTAGGGGCAACTTAAATATCTATTGATAAGTGAATGTGAAATGAATTAAGATATAGACATAAACTGGAACACTATTGTAGCTATTAGATAGAGTTTCTGATATACTGGCAATGTTCTTCTTAACCTGAGTAATGGATGTATGGATGTTCACTATATAGCTACATATATCATTGTACATATGTTTTTACATGCTTCTGAATTTTCAAAAGAAATTAGAAAAGAATAAGGTGATGTCTATATGTATTAATCAAGTAAGAAGTACGTGATATGAAAAAACACAATAGAAGATCATTATGAGTGGCAAATCCCAATTTTATGAGAAAAAGCATCCTGTGTATGCATATATATAAACACATAGCTATGCTTACATGGCATATAAAAAACTAGGGGGAATATGAAGCAAACCTCTGGAAAATGGGATTATAAGGATACTTATCAGAGGAATAGAGTAGCATTGGAGAGATTTATACTCTTTATAAAATATGTTTTTTGTCATATATAGAAGACTAAAGAAGATATATATATATGTGTGTGTGTGTAATATATATATATATATATATATATAACTTCTGTGTGTATATTTCAATTATCCAAAAAAGCCTGCCACTTAAGCAAGCAAAATAAATTTAAAGAGACTAAATTTTAACACTTATCCAGCAATAGAAAGTCAGCTATGCAGTTAATTGACAACAAGCAGGTATCTATTGAGCACATAATAATGAATTGTCTGATGTACTTGGTGGAGCATAGCTTACAGGAAAGTTTAACACACTCTGGTTATACCTATGTTTCTTGCATCACAATTAGAGAAATAAAACTATTTTATCAACTCCAGTAGATCCATTTTTATATTATATTTTAGATAATAAATCTGAATACAACAAAAAATCATGATACATTGAAAATTTTCCCCAAATAATAATATAAGCAGAAACTTACCCAGTGCTAATTAAGTTCCAGGCCTGACTTTAAATGCATGATATGTATTAATATATTACAACCAATTATTGTAATCATTCCTGTTTTACAGATGAAGAAAATGAGACACAGAGAGGTTAAGTAACTTGACAAAGTTCACACAGCTTGCAAGTGATGGGGTCAAGATTCAAACTTAGGCATTCTGATTCTAATATTTCCACCATGCCTTATTGTTTCTCAAATAACTCCAAGTAAAACCTAATATTCGTTATTAAACGATGTTATAACATTAAAATGTGTTTTGTTTTTACCTTCAAAAGGCACATAAAAACATTTTTGTAAAACATAGAACACAGTAAAATGTAAAATATGTTTATTGCAAAACTTTAGTTATTGCTTCCCTTTCCATAACACAAAGATTTTTGTTTTGATACTACAGTGGATTACAGTGAATGTTACACATGTCAAAACAAAGTTCTTTTCTTGAAGGAAATAGTATATAAGTTTGAGAAATTGATCATAATTAACTGTTTCTTGTTTACTTAAGTAGACTAATATGAATTGAGCCTACAGTAATGTTTATACATTCCAATGCAAAAGAACTGCAGACAAAGCTAAATCTTGAATAATTTCTTAAGACTTATTCTGCATTAGTAGATAAAACTTTGAGAGTAAATGAGACTATGCAATCATTTTTTTCGAGTAAATTAAAATTCAGTTTAGAAGATGGAGGACATTTCTTAAAATTCTAGAGAATAACAATAACATTGTGTAAAAGAAAGTATTAGAATAAATGTAATAAGTTATATGAAATATATAAAGAACAGTTCAGAGGTAGAAACTGTTGGGATATGAAATAATTACAGGAATTTTTATGCCTAATATGGAACTTGGACCTAATATGGAACTTGGAACAAGAGAAGGAATGAATTGAGGAGGCATAAAAGAGAGTACTTTACTCTTTTAAAAAAACAAAACATATAATATTATTTTACTTACACTCTTAGGACTGCTGAAAAATTATTATTATTATTGAGGTATATTTTGAAAAAATATCTTACACTATTCAGCAGGAAGGTCTTTTTAAGCTAATCATGTTATAATGTTTGAAAAAACTGTTTTTTCTTTAATTCAAGCCAATTAAATAACAAGAATCCCTTTCTTTGCAATTCTTTTATGCACTATTTACCCAGCACTGTTTCTCTAACTTTACTTACACTTATTTGTCAAAGCAAATGTATAGATCAGTTGATTTCTAGTTATTATACATGTGTTTCACCAATAAGAAGTAAAGAGGTTATTGACTAATCAAAGTCAATCTAGTAACATTCAGACCTTCTAACTTGCATTTCAAAGCTTCACCATACTCAGAATATTATGGCATGAGAATATGAAAGTGCAAACTCTAAGAATTAGGATCCTTAAATGAATAGTGGGATGTAGAAAAGAGAGAAGAGTCTACCGTGAGCTGCATCTTCCAACTCCTTAAAATACAAATGTTTATACCAGGAAAACTCATGTGAATAAAATGCTTCATGCTGTCAAAGGGAAAAAGGAAGTTGCGCAAGAATTGACTATTAAGGAAAGTTTCAAGGTAGAAGCAAATTTAATGATAGAATGGCTCAGAAGTGGTTTAAGAATATTTTATTTAAAAAAAGTAAAGCAACTAGTTTTATTATCCTTAATAAACTCCCTAGGCCTTATCTATGTCTACCCAGAAATTTTCTATAAATACTTAAGTTTATAGAGATTGTCAGAAGAACTCCCACTCTTCCCAGTACATAAGGGAGAAAGGGTAGATGTATGTCGGTCATACTGTGGGGAGGAGAGGGCAGGACGGGGGTGGCAGGTAGGTATTTGTGCCAAGAGACTGAGAACTTGTCCCAAAATAAATGCCTGGAAAAGATCCAAACTTTCAGTCATCAACATTCAGTGCCTTTGCCACACAAGCAAAAAGGAATAAAATACACAAGAAAAGCAGACAAATTAAAAAAGAGAATCCATCAGAGACCCACCAAAAATTGTTTATTTTTAAAGTTGGTTGAAGAAGATGTCAAGGTCAGCTCATTACATATACCAATTATCCTTTTGATGATCTCAGGCTACAGCAAAAGCAATATAGAGCAATAACCTTAAACGCTCATATAGGAAGTGGAGGAAAATATTGTTTATTAAGGTTGTTCATATTTGGGATCCTCAAGAAACTGAATAATACTGAAATTTGAGTGCACTGGGGCATGAAAGCAAATGCAAACCGCATATTAAAAATTTCAGCTTGAACTAACTAGAGCATGCAAAGCAGCCATTGGGATTTTTTGCATGTGGATTTTTCAGTCAGGCTTTATTATTTTAGTCAATGAATAGACTGCTTGATTTTTTACAGGATCGAAATGATATATTATTTGTTATCTATGTCCAACAGTATCAGTAACAATTAAAAGGATTGTTTCCTTGAACTCAGAGAGTGTTTTAAGTCATATATATTCCTTGTCTATTCTTCCTTTCAAAATCTCCTCCCTCCCAGATGTGGAAGTAAACATTACCTTATTGAATAAACAATAACATCTTCTTGATTCTCATGCTCTTCTCTCAGTTTCACAGATTTAAGTGTGAAAAGGACAGCCTGTAGTCTACAATGGGGATGGAAAATATTAGTGATCAAACTTGGTGAATAAAATGTTAAATAATATACTTTATGATGGATGAGGCTTTAAAAGATTGGTGAAGAATATGACACAAATCATAAAAAAACTGGAAACCAGGAAACTAGTTCACTGTCCAGTTGTGTTACCTTGTACAGATGACACTTTCTGGGCCTCAGTCTTGTCATTTAAGAACCTGCTTTAAGGGTGGTTGTGAATAACTAGATGAGGTTAATATCTTGAAACAAATACAGAACTGTATACAAAAGGCTGACATTGACTCTGTATTCTAATTTATTATTCATTAGTTAGCATGCAAAACAGTTTCTTATGAAGAGCATTAGATTCAGAATCTGAATGGAAACTTCTCTGGCCCTTATTTTCTTTATCTATAAATAAGGGATAATGCCACATACGGTTTTTTTTTAGTAGAATGCTACTGGTAGAAGCCAGTTATTTGTGGCAAGCAACAGGTTTACAGGGATTTTCCTGGGAATTTCAGATTCAATGTCTGTATTAGTTAAGATTAGGTTTTGCAGCAAATAACAGAAAACCCTCCAAAATGATAAATTAAAGAACATGGAAGTTTATTTTTTCTCATAGGGATGTCTCGGAAGTGGTTCATGGCTGGCATGATGCTCCATGTTGTCAGGAACTCAGACTCCATTCATCTTGGTATTCTTTCCTGAAGGCTTCAACCTCACAGTCTCAACATGGCAGCATTACATTCCAGAGGAGCAGAACAGGGAAAGGGTCAGAAGACAAGAGAGGAGAGGAACATACCTCGCTCTCCTGCTATTTTCTGTGCCTGGCTGCAAGCTAGAAATGCCGTGTCCGTTGCAAATGGCCACACATCTGAGGCCCTACCACCATGGGAACAGCCACTGGGAGATAACTAGCAGGTTTTACCATTTGTCATTTAATTATTTTAAAGTTAGAAACTTTTTCTTTTTGAATGTCTGAAAGAGAATGGCCTGAGAAATATTTTGGAAAAGTTAAATGAAGCTGCTTTGTGACTGTTTATCACTGTGTTTTTAATTTTGAAAAAGTAAGCTCCAAGACTTCCAGTTTCCAATTTCACATGTAAGGAGCTGGGAATTTGCCACTCTGTTCTAACAAGTAAAAGCTGAGCTAACTGAAAAATCAACAACTCTTCTTGAGTCCATAAGAGAAGTGAGGTCACAGGGCAAACCGTTGCCCCCAAAATTAGCAAGATGGACAGGCAGATATAGAGAATCACAATATACTGGAGCAGAAACCTCCATGGGAGCCACTGCTGGGGTAGGAAAACCTAAACTGTAATTGGTGAATTGCTGGAGGCTATGTGTACACAAGTCTGAGAGATAAAAACTCTGGAAGACCTAGTCACAAGGGGGCCACCATGCTTTTGTAAGTTTTACCATCAGCAGCATGACCAGATTATCAGACTAACTATTGAAGAAAACTACATTGTGCTTCTGGCAGTAGGAAGGAAAGAAAAATCATTTTGATATATGCCAGAGCGCTCTGTTCTTAACAAGGTCTGCTCTTAGGAGAAACTGTTTAACCAAAGCCTAACCTGCTGGGGTTTTATCAGAGCCTAACTCACCTAAGGGAATTGAAATAAACAACTCCAGCCTATTCTAGCTGTCCTATTCCACTTAGAAAGGGAAGGCCTAAGAAACAATTGTGATGTTCAGAGTCCAGAGGAATAGGCTTGCTAAAAGATGGAGACCTAATCATAGGACTATAGAAAGTTTCCCCTCTTCCAACACCTTATCACCATATTAGTAAAGGCCTATTTACAGCACTTCCTTTCACCCAGTACACCATGTTCAGCTATCAAGAAAAAATTACAAGGCATACTGTTTCAGCCCATTTTGTATTGCCATAACAGAATACCTGAGACTAGGTAATTTACAATGAATAGGTATTTATTCAGCTTGTGGTTTTAGGGGCCGGGCAGTCCAAGGTTGATGGGCAAATCTAACAAAGGACTTCTTGCTGTGTCAGCCCATGGAAGAATGGCAGAAATGCAAAAAAGCATGCAGGAGTGGGAAGGGGGCCAACCTCATCCTTTTATCAGAAACCCACTCCTGCGATAACAGCATTAAGTCATTCATGAGGGGAGAGCCCTCATGAACTAATCACTTCTTAAAAATCTGAAATCTCAACACTGTTGCAGTGGGGATTGTCTTTGTTTTGTGTTGCCATGAAGGAATACCTGAGACTGGGTGCTTTAAAAGGAAAAGACGTTGATTTAGCTCATGGTTCTGTAGGCTGAGAAGTTTAAGGGCTTGGCCGTGACTCTGGTGAGGACTTTCATGCTGTATCACAACATGGCAGAGAAGGTCAAAGGGGAAATGAACGTGTACAAAAAGAAGGAAACCTGAGGGTCGTCCTGGCTTTATAACAACCCACTCTCTCAGGAACTAAATCCATTCCCATGAGAACAGCACCATATCGTTTGTGAGAAATCCATCTCCATAACCCAACTACCTCCCGCTAAGCCCTACTTCCCAGTATTATCACACTCGGGGTCAAATTTCAACATAAGTTTTGGTGGGGACAAACAAACCATATCTAAGTCACAGCAATGATTAAGTTTCCAACACATGAACCTTGGGAAACATATTCAAACCATAGCATATACTAAAAGGCAAAAGCAAAGTTTGAAGAGAAAGCAAGCATCAGAGCTTGGATGCTGCCACTCTGTTCTAACAAGTAAAGAGCCAGACATGGCAGGGATGTTAGAATTATCAGACAAATAATTTAAAACAACTGTGATTCACACCAAGGCCTGTTTGGGGAGTTGGAGGCTAGGGGAAGGATAGCATTAGGAGAAATACGTAACGTAGATGACGGGTTGATGGGTGCAGCAAACCACCATGGCACGTGTATACCTATGTAACAAACCTGCACGTTCTGCACATGTATCCCAGAACTTAAAGTATAAAGAAAAGAAGAAAAAAAACTGTGATTAAGATGCTAAGGGCTCTAAGGGATAAATGACACATGCAAGAGCAGATGGGCAATGTAAACAGAGAGACGGAAATTCAAAGAAATAGCCAAAAAGAAATGCTATAGATAAAAAATACTTTAAGAGAAATTAAGAATACCTTTGATAAGTTTATTAGTAGATTGGACATGGCTGAGGCAAGAATCTCTGGACTTGAGGATATATATCAAGAGAAACTTCCAAAACTGGAAAGAGAAGAAAACAGACTGAAAAAAATTAAAGCAGAACAAAATATCTAAGAGCTGTGGAACAATTACAAAGATAGAAGATATGTATAATAAAAAATACAAGAAGAAGAAGAAAGAAGAGACAAACTACTATATACTGAATGTTTATATCTCCCCCAAATTCATATGTTGAAAGTTAATTGCCAATGTGATGGTATATGGAGGTGGAGCTTTGGGGAGGTGATTAGGTCATAAGGATAAAGCCCTCATTAATGGTATTAGTGTCCTTACAAAGGAGATCCCAGGTAGCTCTCTTGCCCCTTCCTTCATGTGAGGACGCAGCAAACAGAAGGTTGTTAATGAACCAGGAAGTGGTCCCTCCTCAGATACCAGATCTACCCATGCCTTCATTATGGATATTTTAGACTCCAGAACTGTGAGAAACAAATGTCATTTAAAAGCCGCCCAGGCTATGGTACTCTTTTCTAGCAACCTGAATGAACTAAGACATAAATTGGTACCTGGAAGTGGGGTGCTGCTGTAATTAATACCTAAAAACATGGAAGCAACTTTTGAACTGGGGAATGGGTTGAGGCTGGAAAAGCTTGGAATGCATGCTAGAAAAAGCCTACATTGCTGAGAACAGAACTTTAAAGGTGATTCTTGTAAGGTCCTGGAAAAAAAAAAAAAAGAGAGAGTGGTAGAGAAAGCCTCAATCTTCTTAGAGCATGCTTAAGAAATTCTGAACAGAATATTGGTAGGAATACAGACTGTGAAGGTCATTCTGATAAGGTGTCAGAAGGAAATGAGGAAGATGCTTTTGGAAACTGGAGGAGAGACTAACCTTGTTAGAAAGTGGTTAAAAAAAAGTTGGCTGAATTGTGTTTGTGTTCTAGTGTTTTGTGGAAAGTAGAACTTGTGACCAATAAAATTGGATATATTCAGCTGAGAAAATTTCTAAGCAAAGTCTTAAAGGTGCAGCTTGGCTTCTCTTTAGTGCTCTTAGTAAAATTTAAGAAATAAAGAAATGACTGACTTAAAGACAGAATTATTAAGTGAAAAGGAAGCAGAACTCAAAGATTTGGAAAATTCTCAGCATATCCCTACCGTAAAAACAGAGAAATCATGGTCAGAAGAAAACACTAAGGGTGTAGCCCGGCAACTATTTGAAAAGGATGTTAGTATTGATCAGCCATCTCAATAGAAGCCAGAAGCTATTCCCTAAGATGATGGAATAATAACAGTTCAGATGTTATCAGGACTTTACCTCCCATCACAGACCCAGAGTGCAAGGGTCTAGGTCAGAATAGTTTCAAAAGGGTGGGGCCACGTTTCCAGTCCAGATGGGCCAGGATACCCCTGTCCAGTGGCTCAGGGGTGGGGCCCACACAGAGACCTGTGAAAAGGGGTGCACCCAGCAAAGCCAGGGGGGCCTTGCTACCTCCACCTATATTTCAAAGGCAGGACTTCTCAGCAGAGCCATGGGCACAGGACTCCAACCAGGATAGCCAAGAGGCCCAGGAAGAGAGCAGCAGCATGGGTAGGGCCGTGGCAAAAGGTTCCCACTAGGGCAATGCCCAGTGGAGACAAGGGGGTGAGGCTGCCTCCGTGACATCAGACCAGCAGAGCCACCAGTGTATGATTCCAGCCTGGGGAAGGTGCAAGCCTGGAACCCCATTGAGCCAGAATTGCTGCCTACAAGAGTCACAAACATACAACTCTCACCCATGAGAGATGTGGATTTGGGACCACAAAAATAGTAGGTCTGGAAGGCAAAGCATTGAGCCATAAAGGATTATTCTCAAGCTTTAATGTTTCATGTTGCCTGCCCCATTAGGTTTTACATTTACCTTAGACCTGTCACTTCTTTTTTCTTTTCTATTTGTCCCTTTTAGAATGACAATGTCCATCCTATGCCTGTCTCAACATTGTATATAATGCACAGGACATGTTTGATTTCACAGGTTCTTCATAGCTGGAGAGCAATTTACCTCAAGATAAATTATACCTCAAGTGTCACCAATACTTGACCTATTTAAATGACTTAAATTCCAGCATTGACTTAAAGTTAATGCTGGAATGAGTTAAAACTTTAGGGCTATCGGGATGGAATGGGGACATTTTGCATATGAGAAAAACGTAAACTTTAAGGGACCAGGGATAGAATGCTATAAATTGCATGTTTGTGTCCCCCCAAAATTTTTATGTTGAAACTGAATCCCTAGTGTGGTGGTATTTGGAGTTGGAGGTTTGGGGAGGTAATTACATCATGAGGGTGGAGCCCTCATGAATCAGATTAGTCCTTTATGAAAAAGACCCCAGAGAACTCCCTCACTCCTTTTGCCATGTGAGAGCACAGTCAAGAGACAGCCAAATACGAACCAAGAAGCAAGCCCTCACCAGACTCCAAATCTGCTAACTTCTTGATCTTAGGCTTCCCAGCCATCAGAACTACGGGAGAAAAATGTTTGTTTTATATATAGGCCAACTAGTCTATGGTGTTCTGTTAGACCAGCTTGAATGGACTAAAACTCAGACAGAACAAATATTCAAAATGGTAATGACCGAAAATGTCTCAAAATGAATGCCAGACACCAAAGTTCAGATCCAGAAAGCTCAGAGAACGTCAAGCAGGATAAATGCTAGAATAGCTACACATACACATATCATTTTCAAATTACAGAAAGTCAAAGATAAAGAAAAAATTACTGAAAGAAGCCGGTGGGGGGGAGGGGGAGAAAATATGTTACATATAGAGCAGTAGAGATAAAAATTACATTTGACTTCTCCTCAGAAACCACGCAGCAAGAAGAGAGTGGAGTGAAATAGTTAAGGTGGTAGAGAAAAAACCACCAACCAAGAATTCTATGTCTTGCAAAATTTTCCTTCACATATGCATCATTATAAATTTGTCCAAACTCATAGCGGGTATGATGCGAAGTGTGAACATTAAACTATAGACTTTGGGTGACTACCATGTGTCAATGTCAATTCATCAGTTGTAGTAAATCTAACACTCTGATGAGGGATGTTGATAATGGGGAAAGCCATGTATTCGGAGAGGCAGAGCGTATATGGAAAATATCTGTACCTTCTGCTCACTTTCGCTATAAATCTAAAACTGTTCCATAAGAATAAAGTCTTTAAAAAGGCTTTAAAATGTACCACTCTCTGGAAGAGAAAGATAGACTTCTACAAGATTTTAAAGTCATATTTGAAAATAAAAATATTTGGTATAAATTGTGCACTGTGCTATAACAAAAAATTCATGAGATATTACTTTTTTCCTGCTATAAAATCAAGAAATTAAGCATTAGATTAAAAAATAAAATCCTTAGCCTGTGTCATGTAAACCTTGACAAAATTGATAAGATCTAACAACTTAAAAATTTTAAAACCTCTGTTATTTTTGTCATTACAGGCATACTTCATTTTATTGTGTTTCAGAGATACTGTGATTTTTATAAATTGAAGGTTTTTGGCAATCCTGTGTTAAGCAAGTTCATTGGCATCATTTTTCCAACAGCACGTGCTTACTTCTTATCTCTGAATCATATTTTGGTAAAGTTTGCAATATTTCTAATTTTTTATTATTATATCTGTTATGATGCTATGTGATCAGTGATCTTTCATGTTACTATTGTAATTAGTCTGGGGGCACCATGAATCGTGCCTATATACTACAGTGAACTTAACCCATAAATGTGTGTGCTCCGACTGACTGACCGAAACGACTGTTTCCCTGTCTCTCACCCTGTCTTTGGACCTCCCTTTTCCCTGAGACACAGCAATTTTGAAACTAGGCCAACTAATAACCCTACAATGGCCTCTGGGTGTTCAAATGAAAGGAAGAGTCACATCTCTTGTCTCTTACTTTAAATTAAAAGCAAGAAATAATTAATCTAGTGAGATATTCATGTCAAAAGCCAAAATAGTCAAAAGCCAGGCCCCTTGAGCCAAACAGCTAAATTGTGAATGCAAAAAGTTATTAAAGGAAATTAAAAGTGCTACTCCAGTGAATGCATGAATGATAAGATAGCAAAATAGCCTTATTGCTGATATGAAGAAAGTTTTATTGGACTGGATAGAAGATCAAACCAGCCACAACATTCTTTTAGGCCAAAACCTAATCCAGAGCAAGTTCATAACTCAATTCTATTCCATGAAGGCTGAGAGAGGTGAGGAAGCAGTAGAAGAGCTTGCAGCTAGCAGAGCTTGGTTCATGAGATCAAGAAACTGTCTTCATAACATAAAAGCTCAAGGTGAAGCAGCAAGTACTGATGTAGAAGCTGCAGCAAGTTATCCAGAAGATCTAGGTAAGACTATAAATGAAGGTGGCTACACTAAACAACAAATTTTCAGCACAGATAAAACAATCTTATATTGGAAGAAGATGCCATCTAGGACTTTCATAGCTAGAGAGAAGAAGTCAATGGCTGGCTTCAAACCTTTAAAAGAGGGCTGACTCTCGTGAGAGGCAAATGGAGCTGGTGACCTAAGTTGAAGGCAACGCTAATTTACCATTGTGAAAACCCTAGGGCCCTTAAGAATTATGCGAAGTCTACTCTGCCTGTGCTCTATAAATAAAACAACAAAGCCTGCATGACAGCACATCTGTCTATAGCATGGTTTACTGAATATTTTTAGCCCACTGTTGAGAACTGCTGGTCAGAAAAAAAGATTCCTTTTAAAATATGACTGCTCATTGATAATGCTCCTACTAACCCAGGAGCTCTGATGGAGATGTACAAGGAAGTTAGTGTTGTTTTCATGTCTGCTAACACAACATCCATTCTGCATCCTGTGGATCAAGAAGTAATTTTGACTTTTGAGTCTTATTATTTAAGAAATACATTTCGTAAGGCTATAGCTGCCATAGATAGTGATTCATCTGATGGATCTGGGCAAAGTAAATTGAAAACCTTCTGGAAAGGACTCACCATTCTAGGTGCCATTAAGATCATTCGTGATTCATGGGAGGAGGTCAGAATATCCACATTGATATGTGTTTGGAAGAGGTTGATTCCAACCCTCATGAATGACTTTGAGGGGTTCAAGGCTTCAGTGGAGGAAGTAACTATAGATATGGTAGAAATAGCAAGAGAATAAGAATATGAAGTGAAGCCTGAATATGGGACTGAATTGTTGCAATCTCATTATAAAACTTGGATGAGCAGTTGCTTCTTATGAATGGGCAAAGAAAGTCATTTCTTGAGATGAAATCTAATCCTGGTGAAGATGCTGTGAACATTGTTGAAATGACAAAGGATTTGGAATATTATATAAACTTAGTTCAAAAAGCAGTGACAAGATTTGAGAGAACTGACTCAAATTTTGAAAGAAGTTCTACTGTGGGTAAAATGGTATCAAAAAAACACTGCATACTACAGAGAAATCTTTTGTGAAAGAAGTCAACTGATACGGTAAACTTCATTGTCTTATTTTAAGAAATTGCCGCAGCCACCCCAGTCTTGACCACTCTGATCAGTCAGCAACCATCAGTATGAAGACAAGACCCCCATCAGCAAAAAGATTCACTCACTGAAGGCTCAGATGACCGTTAGCAATTTTTAGCAATAAAGTATTTTTAATTAAGTTACGTGCTTTTTTAGACAATGCTATTGCACATGTAATAGGCTATAGTATAGTGTAAACATAACTTTTGTATGTACTGAGAAACCAAGAAATATGTGTGACTTGCTTTATGGCAATATTCACTTTATTGCACTTGTCTGGAACCAAATCCACAATATCTTCAAGGTATGTCTGTATATAATTATTATTCCTATATTTCTGAATTTCTAAATTGCTTAGTTCTGTCTTCACAATTGACCTAAACATACGTAATAAAACTCAAAATAATGTAACCATTAATAATGATATTATGAACATTCCCATAATATATAAAGGAACCACTAAGAGGAGGAAGCGTGGCATTGTGGAAAGAGCACAGGCTTTGTAAAGAAAGTTCTGGGATGAATACCACCATTTACTAGTTCATTCATTCATAGCACCTATTGCCATTATATGTATCTGTTTCATGCAGCATGGGTTAGGCATGGAATTTATAATCTATTTAGGGATACAGATATGAAACCTACAATTATATAAATAACTTAATTACAAATTTAAATTTGTAAGTAACTTAAAGTAGGAGTATAGGGTACTGTAAACATCTAAAAGTAGGCTCCAGCAATTAAACAGAATAAGGTAGATTTATATTTGCTAGTCTTGAAAATCTTTTGCACTTAAAAGTTTAAATACACTATTAAAAAACTGCAAAATAGTATGTGCAGTATGATTCAATTTCACTTAAATAATTACATCAAAATTTCCAACAATATTATTATATTAAATTCATAGAAAAAATTGTAGTAATACATTGAATTATTAACAGAAGTTATCTCTGGTATTCCTGTTAAATATATTTATAATGACCTAATTGTTTACACTGAGCATATATTACTTTCATGCTCAAAAAATAAATAAAAATGTAGTTTTGAAATAAAATCTAGGAACATACAACTGCAACATCAGTCTGGCCCCTGAACATCTAGAAATGCCCAGCAAAAGCTTTTATTAAACTGGTAAAAAAGAAATACATTAACAAAGAAATCTAATATTCTTCAAAAAAACAAAGAATGTTTTAAGATATTTTGTCAATAAATTATTTCTTGTATAGTACAAATTCAAGATTTGGTATCCATCATTAAGGATAATTATATTTTTCCATATAGAAAAGAGAGAGAATACATCCTATCTGTTAGTTTTCAGAAACATTGAAAGAATTAAAAATGATTTAGGCTCTCACAAAATAAAAATACATTCAGTATTTATCATGAACAAACTCTGTACTGTGCTATTGGGAAAATTTTGCTAAGAAAGAGTTTATTAACTCGACAAATATGAATTGGGTACCTACTATGTACCAGGTCTTGGGGGTTCAGATGCAATGCTCTGGGGATTCAAAAATGAAAAGGACATAGTCCCTGCCTTCAAAATACTTTTGATTTAGTAATACAGACAGAGACATAAATAATTTTCTAAATATATTACTGAAAAAACTCAAATAACCATAGAAAATTTTTAGATCTAGACAAATCTAAAGCGCTTGCACATACACATTCTTCCATGGAGTTGTCACAGAGCCATACACTTTACAATCACAGAAACCAAAGAGCTTGCATAGCTTCCCAAGAAAACAGAATGAGCTTGAATGGCAAAACCATCAAAACAGAGAAAAGCCTATTTAGGCTATGGAACAAGAAAAAGGAGAAAGATACATTTTGCTCAAATGACTGTCATAAAGTTTGGTAGCTCTTTTGAAAATAGTCACTTTCCCGGCTTTATGTAATAATCCTGAATACTGAAACAGTTTAGCTGCTGACAATATAAACCATTCTAAGAAAAGTTCATCTTATATCTCAGAATAGTTCTGCTTTTCTCTTTTTGTCAGTTTTTCTAGTGGTGACTGTGGTAACAAAAAAAGCCCTAGATCCATAGTGATAAGATAAAGTGGTTATTTTTCTTTCTTGGCAGTCAACATGAGCATTTACATTAAGAGTCCACTAATAAGCATTTTCATTAGCAGTGTAATGCAACTCCTTTGTAATGGTGTTTGGGAACAGAACTAGCTCTCACTGAGACATTCACCAATTCATCTGAACAACATTTTTCTCTCACCTACAATATACCAAACAATTATTGGGCACTGGTGGTAAGAAATTAGGAAGGCATAGTCCAGGCCCTTGAATTTACACAGAAGCCTGTTGTATAGGCAACAAATTTCCTATAATCTGGCATTTTATGGTTGGTTAATGTTATTAATCATATTTCATTGATCATATAAACTTCATTTCTTAATCATTTAATAAATATGTATGTTCTTTTTTTTCTTTTTTGAGATGGAGTCTTTCTCTGTCACCCAGGCTGAAGTACAGTGGCATGATCTCAGCTCACTGCAACCTCCGCCTCCCAGGTTCAAGCAATTCTCCTGCCTCAGCTTCCCAAGTAGTTGGGACTATAGGTGTGCACCATCACACCTGACTAATTTTTGTATTTTTTAGTAGAGATGGTATTTTGCAATGTTGGTCAGGCTGGTCTTGAACTCCTGACCTCAAGGGATCTGCCCACCTCAGCCTCCCAAAGTGCTGGGATTACAGGCTTGAGCCACTGTACCAAGCCTCTATGTTCTTTGAAATACCCAGAACTATGCCACAGAAAAGTGTGTAAAAACAGACATAGCCTCTCTTCTTAAAGATCATGTAGTTTAGCTGGAATAGAAGGAGGCAGAAATAGTCGGTTTCCTAAATATTTTCCATTCTTCTTTCTTCCCCTCTAAAAAACTAATTCTTGTCTAGGGAGCAATATGTCCAGCCCAGAAAATAAACGATGATTAGTCTAAGCCCATGGTTCCCAAACTGTGTGCCCAGCCCTCAAGGGTGCTAAAGTAAACTCACTGGGGGAGCTATAATATATTCAAATTTTCAAGGGAAATAGGGACTTAACTTCTGGCAGATAGCATGCCCACTATTAGCTTGGGGTGATTCACAGTTTCCACATTAGACCATGCTACATTTCTTTAGAATATTATGTCATTGATGTCATTGCAAAGCTGGGTTTTCAGTGGTTGCTGTGATGAAAAGCAAGCACTGTCTGGCAAGACATAGGGTGGCACCATCCAATCTGAGTCCAAGGTTTGAGAAGTTGTAGAGTGCCCAACAGGTATATATAGCCCAGTAGTAACTGTGGTTATCTAAGAATGAACAAGGTATTACTTCTCTTTCAATTTATGTGTCATAGTTCAAATGCTTATTGAATTGTATATGAAACTTTTATGTATTTCTTTTGGTACCACGAAAAAAATTAAGAACCCAAGGGAGCTGTGCACCAAGAAAGTCTGTGAAACTTTGGTCAAAGCCAATCATGTCAATCCTGTTTCCTGCTTCCCCAGCTTTTTTAAATCTAGGAGTAACTATATGCTCAATTATGGCCTAAGTAGAAATCTGCTGCATACAGATTTCATAAGGGTCTATCTGCCATAGATGGTGATTCATCTGATGGAATCACTCAGTGGGGCAGGGGAGGAGGGTCTGAAAGAACATTTGCTTTCCTGATAAGAGAGCAATGGCAAAGACTATTACTTGTCTTTCAATAGTCCAATTCCTTTAGAATCCTCGAAGTTTCAGCTAAAGGCCACATATTCCAGCCTCCTTTCCTACTACCTGGGACAAACTGATTAAGCTCTGGCCAAAGGTACATGAGCAGAGATGATACACGGAAATTCCGGGTCATATTCTTAAAAGGAATGGGCATGCCTCTACTTCTTTTCCCTTTTTAAATAAAGCCCATTTAAATAATTAGCCTTAAATACACATAGCAAGTATCAGCAGAACTGAGATAAGCACGTCAGATTGCCTTATTTCTAATCCACTGCTCTTTTTATATACCACACTCATTCAGGTCTTGGAACTAGCTGCACTGTAATTTTATATTCAATATGCTAATATGATAAGTTCTCTTTGATATGATGGCATATTGTTGATTCAAAATGATAATGTGAGAAATTGACATTGTTATGATGATAGACCATAGTGTTTTTGTTAAGAATCAAGATTTAGTTAGTGGGTCATTTGAGTTTGTTAACCTGTATAGCTAAGAACTAACTCGTGATAGGTTTCTTCTTCAAGATGCAGGTCATGTGAGACTTGGACAGTTCTCTGACTAGGAATTGCAGAAAGGTAGAGCATTAGCCATCACTCTGTGAATGAGGGTTTCTATTAGGGTAAGAATATGAAAAACATTGCTTTTTATGCTATAAGATGCAGGGAGTTCTTGTTTTACTTTACATTAAACAGCTCAAATAAACATGACATACACAGACATAAAAACAAATGAACACTTAAGGACAGACACAAATAATAAGATTATAAAATAGCAAAAGATTTTATAAATAGATTAGCAAGGACTGAAAAATCATATCTGAGATAGTTTACTTGGTAACTAAGTTGTTGGGAATTTTGTAAGAAAAACAGTTAAAGGAATTTTAAAACATAATACATTTTTATTTCTTTAAAAACGTATGACAAAATTTCTTCTGCCATCGGCCATGCTCAGATTTATACATTATAAAATGATTTAATTCCCTAAAGTACAAAAAAGAATGGCTGAATCTCCAAAGAGTTGATAAAGACTGAAGATGTTTATAAGGCATGCTTATGTATACTATTTCAAGCCATCTACAGGACTTGAGACAGGAATGTTTAGTGTTTGCAAAGCCATAGTCACTGAGCCAGACTTTGTGGTGATCCAGAGATCCTTTCATTTCACAGAACTGTCCTTGACGGCTTCTCCCAATAAAGATTTACAACCTTATCTCTTGGCTGTGGCAGTATGAGAGGATCTTCTTTCAGTACATATACTAAAGCTTCATTGGAGTAGCCACGCTTAGGAAGTACCTAGGAAAAAAAATAAAGGAAGATGATGATCACTAACATTTTCTAGGAGTTACATTTTTAATATTATTTCCTATTAAAATTAGGTCTCTTATGTCATGTGGATGACTACTTCATGTAACTAATTTTTTTTAAACACAAGGTTGAAAGCGAATGTATGGTGAATTTATCTAACAGCTAACTGAAAAAACAGGGACATCCTGCGTATAACTGTATAAGGTAACATACGAAGAAAATACAAATGAGATTCAATGAACTCGATGTAGCAGAAAAACAAATGTGTGTTTAAAACAGACACTTTAAGGGAAAAGTACCTAGTATCATTTGTTTACATCATAATAATATTAGTGATTCCCTTCTGAAAATGGCTTTGTATAAGTACATTAATTCTCTTAAGTGTGAAGCAATCCCACTGGAATGAAAAGAAGTTCTGACTGAAGAATTGAAGAGAAATTCAATAACTGGACTAAATATCAAAGGTACTAAGAAGCTGGAGATCTGATCTACTGAATCCTACCACTAATTTTCTGCTCTGTCTTCTATCCCCATTCTCCTTCCAAACCTGTGAATAGACCTAGACATACTAACGCTTCCTACATTTTTTTTTTTTTTGAGTCTCACTCTGTTGCCCAGGCTGGAGTGCAGTGGTGCTATCTCAGCTCACTGCAACCTCTGCCTCCCAGGCTCAAGTGATTTTCCTGCCTCAGCCTCCCAATTTGCTGGGATTACAGGCACGTGCCACCATGCCTGGCTAATTTTTGTATTTTTAGTGGACACAGGGTTTCCCCAGGTTGGCCAGGCTGGTCTCAAACTCTTGATCTCAGGTGATCTGCCCACTTCGGCCTCCCAAAGGGCCGGGATTACAGGCATGAGCCACCATGCCTGGCCATACTAACACTTCTTACATTTTAAAAGAGAGAGAGGACTCCAGAAAATTAGCCTCATTCATTAATTCCAAAAATTGTTGTTTTGTAGCATGTAGTTTGCTGCTTGGTTTTGGTGCCTTTCTTTATGCTGCTAAAGTGTCATGTACTCTGTGGCATTCAGCATTCAGTGTTTGTCAAGTGACATATAAGATGAATTCATAAATAAAAACCCCTGATCAAAGATTAAAGAAATAAAATAAGAATAGCAAAAAAGACTTCTTTCTTTGTAAACATTCACCCATATTATTAATAATAATATAATTGTTAATCCATAATAAGCACCCAGGGAAACTACAATTGGTATAAAGAATAAGATAATTATATAAACAACTATAAAATATGACAGAATATAGGAAGTGAGAAAGTGTTACAAGAATTAATGAGAAATGGGATGGAGGGCTCACTGACTAAAAAGTACTACTCTTCTAGCTGGCTAGGTCAACTCTATCACCATCCTTTTCCTCAAATTCATCAGGGCTTCCAAGCACTCTGTTTCTCCAATTTCTCCCTCTTTTTATTTATCCTCGCCCCTTACTTTAGTTCCAGTACATCTTCAAGCCTATGGGTCATCAATCTCTCTTTTGCTAATATCTCAATTTCCTGTGTCCCATTATTCATGTCACACAGCATCTGGCTTTCCACAGTGGCCTTCTCTCAGTTCTTCTCTCAGTTCCTTGTTCACTCCCACCTCAGGGCCTTTGTATATGTTGTTCCCTCTGCCTAGGACACTCTTTCATGTCCTTGCATTCCCTTAATCCGCTCCCACTTAACTTAGCTGGACTCTTCATTCTTCAGATCTCTGTGTAAACCTCACATCAGGGAAGACATTCTTGACCCCCAGCCTAAGGTGTAGCCTTCTAAACGCCATGCACAGACCCTTGGAAAATGCGTGAAACTTGAAATTAGTTATCAATGCCACTTTTGTGTTGTATTATAACCTCCATTAGAGTGGGTAATAATTCTGTCCTAGTTATTGCTAAATCCCCATCATTAGTTTATCACTTGATATACATTAGGCATTTGATAAATATCTGTTCCATAAATGAAACAATGAAAGGAGAGGGAGACCCCACACATTCAGCTGGGATGATCAAGGAAGGATTTATGGAGGAGGAGGAGGCCTGTGAGACAGGCTTTGGGCAATGTACACAGTAGTGATAAGCAGTGGGGATAATTGGTGCTGAGGCCTGGAGACAAGTGAGTCAGTGGATGCTCAGGGAAGAGTGGAAGGTTCATTTTGGCTATAAAGGATGGACCATTAAGGCGAGTAACGGAAAAGATTGGGCTGGAAAACAAGGTAAGCATAATATGGGGAAGGCAGGCCTGTTTTGGAAATCAATACTTAACTTTGTAGTTGATGCAGAGACAATAAAGGAATACAGTTCATAGGCTAAGCAAAAGAGGAAAGAGAATGTATATAGAAAACTTATTCTTGAACTCACAGTGATACTACAGACAAGAAAAAATGGCAAAAGCCTAAAATGGACTGCTGACTGCATGAAATAAACAGAAAAGAAGTGATAGAAAGAATTACATGTTTAAGATGGATTGTATAAAGAGTAAAATATTTAACTAAAATATCTGGGGGGAGGCAGGAAAAGAGATAAACCAGCATGCCTCTTGAGGTTCCTGTGAGAGTAACTAGAAAGAATGGAATAATCTAGATGTATATATGGTGAGAGGAAGGAAATAATCAGTTTATTTTGTAACACTATTGAGCTAGATTTTTAACGTTTTATCTAGAATATAGTAATATTGGGGTAAACACTGTAAATCAGTGGCTGAAGATCAATGCAGAATTTCTGCTCTAATGAGATATTATATTTACATTTCTGGTAATTTCCGTTACCAGAAGCATGTC
The DNA here is from genome assembly GCF_000001405.40 of Homo sapiens. NCBI lineage: Eukaryota > Metazoa > Chordata > Mammalia > Primates > Hominidae > Homo > Homo sapiens. Next base: position 101,084,067 of record NC_000001.11, on the reverse strand, counting down.
TGTTCACATGCTTGTATACTATAAAAGTATGTTTAAAAAAAAAGACTGCTTCAAGCCATGAATAAACAGTGTGTGTTTTCCTGGAGAAATAATTGTATAAAAAATTTGAGGCAATAATCACCAACCCACTTAACCCCCTCCTCCAACTTAAAAGTATTTTTATATTAAAACAAACAGAAATGTATTATGGAAGAGAATACAAGATTCACATGGATTTTTAGATAACACTCTCAAATTCCAAGAGATTTTGTATTTGGCAAACTGCTTTAGGGTCTACCTTCCTTGCCTCAATCTCCTACCCTTCAGTTCAAGTTTATTTTGCTAAGTAAATTATCTAAATAGCCTGTCCACATCTATATTGCTAGCAAGTGGCAGAGCAAAACTTTTAAATCAGATCTCTCTAGAGCCTGTACTCTAAACCACTATAGTAGACACTATCCAATAATTTAATGGTCTTTTAATTTTAGTTAATATTATATTTAGCTTTACTTACCAAGTAAATGACAACATAAGGCCAAATGCAGGCAGCAGGTATTTTTCAATAATGAATTAGCAGGGGCTCCAAGAATACAACAAGAGAAAGTGATTTTTCACAGTGCTTGAGAGGCTGAAGATGGGATTATCGCAGAGAGAAAAAGGTTAGAGTGGTGTTTCCTTAGTCCACTACTCACAAATTAGATGGTTATGTTACATATTCTTTTAAGACACAAGCCATCCTCCAAACTTACAAAAAACAGAAAGTCTACATCATTTTCCTGTTCAAAACCTTGAAAGCACAGTTTAGAAAGTCCTTCACAATCTGGCTCTAAACTACCCTCCAGCAACTAATCCCCATAGAATCTCAGCTCCAAATACCTCAGACTATTAATTAATTAATTAGCTAATACAATTAAAAGTCTTCCTGAAAAGGCAACCTTAACATAAAGACTTCAGGATAAGAAAGAGTTGTACAGATTAAAGGAATGAAACAGGGTTGGGAGGAAGAGAATTCCATGCAAGAACATGCAGAAACAACATCTCATAGGTAGAAAGAGCGAGGCCACTGACAAAAGTTCATTCAGGGAAGATGGCAGAGATGAAGCTGAAAAGGCAGGCAGGCAGAAGCCAGAAAGAGGACTTTGCAAGGCCCATGCTCCAGTGGGCCTTCCTTTTAGGGAAATGGAAAATCAACAAAAGATTTTAAGAAAGGAGTGGCATGCTCAGATCAGATCTGTGATTAAGAAAGTTTACTCTAGATACCCCTTGGAAATCATATTAACACACATTGTGTACCGCCACTACTACTTCCAGATGTATGCCCTCCACTGACTTTTACAGGTAAATGTGGAAACTGATTACGGGGTTTACCTAAGAAAACTAGTTTTGCACTCTCAGATTTCAAAATACAGTAATGAAAAACACAAAGCCTTTCCTCTTAAAATCTTGGAGTGCATGTTAGGGTATTCTTTAAACTTTGGTAACCATAAGAAGCAAATTACTTTGGAGTACTCCATTTCAAAAATGTTGTATAATACATGAAATGTGATATTACAGCATTACTGATCCACTTTATGATGTTTTAAAAAATGTACTTATTTAAATACAGAAATATGATCAATGAATACAGCATTATATAATCACCAAGAGAACTTACTAGAGTTTTCATAATGGTCTCTTGGCTCTTCTTCTGCTGATATTGGCACCAAAGAAATTAGGTTATAACTATTGTTTCTTTTTGTGGCTGAAGAGACATTTCCAAGTACAGAATGAATGGAGTTCATTCAGAAGCCTTGCAAATGGGCTGTGGCCCCTTTTTTTATGTATAATAGGCCCAGCAAGGATATTTAGGACAAAACCAAGTTTTATTTTTAACCAGTTGGCAAGGTCTTCACATTTTAAAGGAGCTCCACACGCTAGATTTACTTAGGCTTATCTGTTCTTTCATCACAATTTCTATAGAAGAATATTAAGGATGCCAGAGAGTTGCCCACTTAGGGAAGGCAGATAGTTTTTTTAAAATAACAAGATAAATCATATGTTGCTTAAAACCTAAATTACAGAGGACATAGGAATTTCCAGTAGACTAAACTTGTCACAGTGACATGAAACAATAATATTTGAGGAAAAAAAAAAAAGAAAAAAAGAGCTTAGTGGAGAAGCAAGTCACTGGGAAAGGGAAAAAGCTTAAAAGTCACGCATATTTAAAGAAAACTAATGTTTTGTCATTGTTTCAGCCACATCTGAGTACATTAGAATTTAACGTACTTAAAAAAATTTTTAAAGGCAAAACATACAACAGTTGGGAGACAAAGTGGTTGTAACCCACTTCCTCCACACCCTCTTGATACTTAACATTGATACTTTGTGTGGTCTTTGGCTTATGCAGTATCCTGTCTCATTATGACTGGACTATTAAGAATCAAGTAACTGTCCCTGGGCGTGGTGGCGGGTGCCTGCAGTTCCAGCTACTCGGGAGGCTGGGGCTGGAGAATCCCTTGAGCTCAGGGGCTCGAATCTAGTCTGGACAACATAGTGAGACCCCCCGTCTCTAGAAAACAAACAAACAACAACCAAAAACACCCAAACACAAACACACAAAAGAATCCAGAATCAAATAATGGTCATCAACAATACAATATCCAACGGTAGTTCCTTTTTTTTTTTAAACGCACAGAACAACCTTTTGAAGGTGCCAAATTTAAAGATGGTAAAGTAACAGAGAAGTAAACTGTAACCTAATTGCTATGGCTTCAGAATAACCCAGTCAAAAGACTTTCAACATGAAAGGAAAGGAATTTAAATTAGTTGCCCTTGAGTTCAATATTTAAAGGTTCTGTATTTTTTTTCCTACTTTAGCAAGGGAACAAATATAGTCCTAGATTGGTCCAGGGGTGTATCTCCCCTTCTCAAAGTAATTTGCAGGTTGGACTACAAAGGAGATATAGTAACCCAATGAAAACAGTAGAAGCAAGACAGGTTCTTGGCATCTGCTTATGCTGCCGCCTGTATTTCTGCCCATGTTGGCTCAGGCCAAACAGTGCAGCATCCAGTGGACGGCTGAGGGACCTGTGTCCTCCACACTTCGCTCACCAGCAGGGAGTCATTATTACTCCTTCACATTGGGTACTTTTGAAGCACTTGATAGAAGCTCTTCTTAATGGAAATACTGAGGATTAAAGAACAATTCTGAGACTCAATCATTCTGAAGGGAAAAAAACACAATTGTCTAAGTCAGGGGAAACCATCTCTGACAGATGTTCTGCTAAAAGAGAAGACAGCTCCTCTTTTCTACATGATTCTCGAGGGCTAAAGGCTGCAGAGAGATACTGCTAATTAATTCCTCCATGTTTTCATGAAGGAAATATTTATCAAACATATCTAGAGCCATATTTTATAAGTAGTGTTTAGTTACTGTGTGTATATTCTAAGCATTTTATTATATAATAATATATACTGTGGAAGTAATAGTATTTACCTCACTGGGTTGTGGAGAGTATCTAACTCAGTGAGTTGTGAGATAATAAACATAAAGTGCTCATAAGCCATAATCCTGGTGCACTGCAATTGCTCAGTAGATGGTCATTCATGTTATTGGTGTTATGGAAGCTGCTAATGTAAAGCTTTATTTCTGGGTCCAGAAAGAAGTTGCCTTTACTGGAGATATCAAAGGCTAAATAGTAACACTGACGTTTAACAGGATCTGGAAAAAAAGAGAAATTTTTGACTCAAAGGGATTTATAAGGTTTCGAACCACCCTAAAACTTAAGATTTCTGGTATGCTGTGGAATTCCTGAAGTTTGTGAGAGACTTGCACTTTCAGGAATTTAGGCTTTGATGTTGAATTAGGAAATTTGAATCCTGGCTCCATTACTTATTCTTTGTATACTTTAGCTCTCTTATGTGTAAAATGAGGCTAATAATTCTACCTACACGTCAGAGTTTTTGAGAGAACAATATATGTAAATACTTAAAACAGTGCTTGGTACTTAGCTAGACATATCTCAAATCACTACCATCATGATCACCAAATGGCAGAATTGACAAATGGGATTTGTGTCTTGCTGCCTCAGATTATCTTTGATTTTCCATACTCTTTGATGTCTAAAATAATTTTGATTCCTATTATTCTATAGCTAAATATTCTAACATGAGGCAATTACTACCCTTTCTGTTTCTAAATTGGAAGGATATCTTACAACACAATATTGCAAGGAAAATAACCACACATTGGTAGGTTCAAAGAAAAGAAGAGGAGAAACCATTAGGAAATGAAGGCACCTTGTCCATCTTAGGGGATGCTCACTCCTATCCTTCATTTTGCTTCTATCAGCTCTCAGTTTTCCCTCCTTCTCCATTGCGCCTCCAGTCTTAGTCTACATGACATTTAAGCCAAAAGTCATTCATAACATTTGTTTGTTTGTTTGTTTGTTCTTGAGAGACTCCTGGTGGCTTAGTTTGCCCTCTAATAGATTGCTATGGTAACACTTGTTTCCGTTTGTCTACCACTCTCCCTGCATCCTCTTAACTCCAAATTCTGATTTAAAAAAAAAAAAAAAGGAACCACCTGTTTCCTGAGCACAGAATTAGATTATTGAATCAAGCTGGCTTACACAGATCCTTCGAATTTGAGTCTTAAGTGGAGGTGCCTTGGGGTGCTCTGGGTCAAAGAGTTCATGAGTTCTCAATGCTCGAGTCCTCAGAATTGTCCTGGTTTCTAACCTCCTGAAGCTTGCTTGTTCAGTGATACCTTTCTGTGAGCTACTCTAATAATTCTCGTGTTTAAGATGGTCTCTGTTGCATACGCACCTTTCTGCTTTTTGCAACCAAAAAAGAAAAAAAACCTATGTGGCTGTGTGGCTGAGTTCCCTTGGGGGAATTTAATCAGCCATCAGCTTTGGTCAACTAGGGGCTTACACAAGACAAATTAATCTGGAGGAGATGTTAAGGGTGGTAAGTAATTTGATATATCCATAACAGGGGAAAATGGTAGTTATAAGAAAAGAATCAGACTTGTGTCTACATCTACTACAGTCTTAGCAGAATATAACAAACCCCATTTAATTAAATTCCATTTAAGTCAATAGGCATTACAATTAGGCATTCACTAGATAAGCACTTGGGGGATATTTAGACGGATAAGGCTAAAATTTTGCTCTCAAGTAATGGCTAGTCTGGGGGAAGACTACATGTACACATATAAGTATAATACAAGGCAAAATATGCTGACTACTGTGATAAGATCAAATAAAAACACTTTGGGAGGCCGAAGCGGGCGGATCACGAGGTTAGGAGATTGAGACCATCCTGGCTAACACGGTGAAACCCCGTCTCTACTAAAAATACAAAAAATTAGCCAGGCGTGGTGGCGGGCGCCTGTAGTCCCAGCTACTCGGGAGGCTGAGGCAGGAGAATGGCGTGAACCCGGGAGGCGGAGCTTGCAGTGAGCCGAGATGGTGCCACTGCACTCCAGCCTGGGCAACAGAGCGAGACTCTGTCTCAAAAAAATAAATAAATAAATAAATAAATAAATAAATAAATAAATAAAAACATAGAGGAAAGAACAATTAATTTGGGTTATAGCATTAGCCAAACAGGTCAGCCTGCTGAAAGATTCAAATAGCATGTTGCAAGCCACCAATACAAAGGAGAGAAGAAGCCCTTTTAAAGAGCTGTGGCATTTTGAGATCTTGAGTAACATACAAATGGAAAAAGACTCCTCAGGTTTGTAGGCACTTGAGAAATATTGCTTTCTCACTTCTTACCTCATTTAAGTACAGGTCTAAGTAAAGGTCTGTAGAGGCAAAAATCCTTTCTTACCAATAAGTGAGTCCTTCCCTAACCCTAGTCTTGGGCTGGTAGGAAGTATCCCTATTCAGTGTCCCATTTCCTCACCAAGAGTGTTTTCCATTCCTGAGTTAGTTCAACAAGGGTAAAATCTGGATTAATGGCCCCCACGTCTTTGAAGTCAAGAAATGTACATTATTTTTTCCCAGATCTTAAATCTGGTGACTCAGCACAAATTCTAGCCTTGCATGTATCCCTCAACCAGACCGAGTATCCATTGCATGAACAATGACCCACGGACACCAGTGTAACCCCTGCCTCCTCACCTCCTGCACTGGCCCTGCAGAACTGAGATTCTGCCTTTTACGTAGCCTTTTTGCCTGAGAACAAGTTAGCCTAATTCTTGGCAGTCTTCTCTCTGGTTATGGCAGTGGAGTCTCTACCATGTGTTTTAAACCCTAGTTCAACAAGCAATTCTGTTAGAACCCGACTAATATCCTCCTTACAATGGAGCAGGTGTTGGCAAACTTCTTTAAAGAGCCAGATAGTGTATATTCTAGGCTTTGAGGGCCAGAAGGTTTCTGTCACAAGTATTCTGGCATTTTAAGTCCTAAAGCAGCCATAGACCACATTTAAATGAATGGGTGGAGCAGTAGTCTAATAAAACTTCACTTATAAAAAGAGGCAATGATTTGGCCCTTGAGTATAGTTTGAAGACCCCCTGCTTTTCAGCATCACTGTTCATGCATTCAGAATTCCTTATTCCCATGACCCATCTGTTTGCGAGAAAGCTCACCTTAATCTTTCCCAATCCTCCTTTATTTGCAAAGGTGTAGGCTTGCCCATCTCAGTTACAATATTCAAGACGTCCATGTACCTTACTTCAGTTCCTGGTATACTCCAGAGCCCACATGAACATTTATGCATACCCTATCATTCCATCTAGAGCCAAAGTAAAAAAAGAGAAGCGAGAAGTAGTGGTATGTATATAGTTATTAGCAGTTTGAGGGAAAAGAAAACAAAACAAAACCAAACAAAAACAGAAAATAGCCTAAAAGAAGTAACTGTTGCTTCTGGAACAAGAGAAAAGGAGAAAAGTTATAAGACAACAATCTGTTATATTCTGCAGGGAGCAGAGATACCTTGGCCAAAAGTAAAGAAAATTGTTTGGGTAACTCTCTAGACAATGGGAAGAAAACTGAGGCTCATAAAAGTTAAATGAGAGTTCCACATAGGCCTGTTAAGGAATTCCTGCTAATTATATTCATCTTGAAGCAAAGGTAGAAGATGTATCGCAATATCCCAAATTGGAAATCTAAATATATTTTCTGAATAAAGTTGTTAAATAGAGCGATTTTTTAAAATGTAGTAGTAGGTTTAATAGGAATCTGTAAGTGGCACAAAACACAATAATAACTGCTATTTAGTTAAGTGACAGTGTAGTGGACATTTTTTTCTGATTTTACCATCTAACATTCACTCCCCTTTCTTTTGGTAACACTATCAACAATTTTCTTTGGACAACCGTGCTTCCTGTGCCTTCGGTCCCCCTGCTTTGGATTGAGCTGAAACTATCCGATTTCAGGGACAGGCATGTGATCTAGGTTTGGATAATCAAAATATTGAACCCCCCTGGATCTACAGTTGTTTTAGGAACAGAAACATGCAAGTTTGTCTCATCAAAGTGAGGCCAAGACTTCTATAGGTATTTCAGGGAGAGTTGCTCTTTTTTATGTTATATTAGAAAATGGCAAGATGTAAGTTTAGAGTTGCTAAAGGATGACATTAGGAAATAACTCCTTTGACAGTTAAAGCAAGTATTAAGAAAAATAGGCTGTAGAAATGCAGATACCAAGTCCTGAGAATACTGTTTGAACCCTTAATATTTTAGTAATGAGTTAATTTTTTTAGCCAATTTTCTTTTATAATTCCTTTCCTCCTTCCATTATTCTTTCCTTCCATCCCTCCCTTCTTTCCTTCCCTTTTATCCCTGCAACTGAGAGTTGTAAAAGAAAGTAAAATAATACAGCTTATTTTATGTAAGTATATATAGCTTTCCTTTAACTCACAAAACAATCCTATGGGTGGGTATAATTACTCGGTCAACTGAGGAATTGCATAGTATGCCGCTGGTCATGCTATGCATAGTATGCAATTCCTCAGTTGACTTCAAAGTTATGATTCAACCTCAGGCCAGTATGACTCAAAGCAGGTGATCCTCACTATACCTCCTGCCCTCAGGTAAAAAGTCTTCTAAGGGAACTAAGCTTTTAGGTCTCAACAATTCAAATCTGCTTCTAATTTAGGGGCCATCTCTATACTAGGGGCCTAATGTGATGATAATAGATCAACTTTGGCCAGTGATGTGAAAATAAATGTACTTTTGAAAATGCAGTGACTCCTTGACAGGTGCCCTTTAGAATACTGGTGAATGGCTGTTGTAGAAAAGTCATTTCTGAAAGCTATTTTTATGAGGCAAACTGCATTTTCCACTTTTATCCCACACCTAATGTCAGGGATATGTTCTAAGAGAATACTTTTATTCTCATTCATTCTGCAACAAACATTTAGAGATATTTAGAGCTTACCAGGCATTGGAGAAATGTACTGGGCTGCCTAGAACAACAATTTGGACCAACGTTTGCATGTTCCCATCCCAGAAACACTTGTAGGTCCAGGGTGGTTCAATATTTTGATTGTCCAAACCTGGATCATCTACCTATCCCTGGAATCAGGGATGGTTTCAGTTCAATCCGAAGGACAGGAAGGCCATCTTAGATTGATAAGCCATCTTATGTTCCCAGTATCTGTCTGAAATAATTATATCCTGAGAGCTCTCGTAGTGTGAAGCTTTCTTCTACATGTAAAATTTCACAGGGAACCATGTTTTTCAAACAAAGGCATAAGAACCTGAAAGACAGTACAGAATAGTGATTAACAGGGCTGGCACTGGAGTTCAAGTCTCATCTCTTCTCAGCTGCATGACCTTGAGAGAGTTATTTAACGTCTCTGCGCTTCATTTTCCTTGTCTGTAAAAAAGGAATGATAATAATAGTACCGTTATTGTTAGTTGCCCATCCTCCCCTAAGTTTCTCAACTAAATGAACTACTGACTTGCTATCTAGTTTTTAATTTGAATATTAATAGATTATATTCACTTATATTGTGAATAAGTGAACGTTTCACTTATTTCTCTTATCTCTGTCACAATCTTTTACACACACACATGCAAATATGCTACATAAATTAGCTCTAAAAATGAGCAACTTGTAATACATGCCCAGCACTGTAATGTAAGTGAAATGATATTTTATTAGGGAGCAACCAATGATTTTTATCATATAAAATAAACAAGGAAATTTATCAAGATAGTTTTCATCATAAAATATATTTTTAAATATCTTTCTTCCCAAATTTTCTATTAAATTTGACCTAGCCATATGACTTACATAAATTATATTAGCAAAACTGAAGCCAATTATCTGAAATCATTTAAAGTATGGCTATTTCAGAACAATAATATGAGTATCATTTAAACAATGTTATAGTGTGTACACACATATCTGTCTTTCTATGTACCTTAGGGGTGGGAGGACAGACTGAGGCAATAGGAAAATCTCTCAAGTTAGTTTAGAAGTCAGAGAAATTTCCCTTTACCCTTTTCATCAGAATAAATTAGAACAGATCATTGGAATCTGTTTCAAACAAATAACAACTTTCCTAGTGTTTTTGGAATGCAAAGACTAAAATGTCTAAATTGTCACACAGAAAACCATACAACTCAGATTCCTAACACAGTTTTATGAATGAAGAGCTGAATCACTTTGTTATGTACAAAGGACTAGATAAATGCCACAGAAATGCTATAATCCTGGGGATTAATTCTTTTATTACTATTTAACTAAGTTGTCCTAGTGATTTACCAGTTCAAATGTGATATTAAATGCTATATTGTATGTTGCTCCATACTTGATTTTAAATGAATCAAATGCTTAATTACAGTATTTGGAATTTTTTGTTATTTTTAAAGGATTTTTAAAGTTTTTATGTACTTGATAGTAAGCTGAACACTTACGTTAGCTTCAGTTACACGATTGTAAGATTTTTTATTGTACAATTATTCTTTTAGAATTGAAATTTATACCAACTTTTGCATGTCTCCTTCCCTTAAACAATTGTAGGTCCAGGGAAGGAGGGTTCAATATTTTTATTGTCCAAACCTAGATCACATACACACCCCTGAAATCAGAGTACAGACAGCTGATGTTCAGTGTAGACAGCTGTCTAAACAATAAGAACTCTATGTATCAGGACAGGTGCTGTTATTATCCTCCAAATCTACAATACAAGTGTTGATTTATAAAAGATTTGGAGGGATAAGGCTTAAACATTAAAACAACAAGCAAATATCCCAGTAAAACAAAGCTGCAAATTTCAATCTATTCCTTACACAAGAGTCAACTATTCAATGAAAAATTTCAAGAAAAGTATAGGGGTTTTCCACTGCTTTGAAAGTATTTTGATAACACATAATAATATCCAACTTTGGAAATTTATCACAGCTATCTAAGAAGCTCAAGGTACCACTTCAAAGAATTATCAAGAATCACCTAGCATATTTCCAAAACCTGAAAAATCAACTTAGTTTACAAATTGTTAGACTATGAGTTTCTTCAAGACATGGACCACCTTTCTCCTCATGGTTTGCTGCTACCTTGCACAAATTAGGCACTGAGTATATGAAGGAGCATGGCAGACTGAAGTCCTACACCTACCAGAAGAAAGGCCACACACCCTTGTAGTCACATAGCTCCATCCTATTGGCCAAAAATCAATGGCCAGATGATCAAAAGCAGTGGTTCCCAACTGGGGATGATTTTACCCCCCAGGGATATTTGGCAATGTCTAGAGTCATTTTTGGATGTCAGAGATGTGCAGGGATGCTGTCATCTAGTAGGTAGAGGCCAGGGATACTGCCAAACATCCTACAGCACACAGGACAGCCCGCACAACAAAGAATTATCTGGCTGGAAATGTCAGCAGAGCTGAGGTTCAGAAACGCTGATCTAAGAGTTAATTGAATATTTGGCTGGGCACAGTGGCTTACGCCCGTAATCCCAGCACTTTGGTAGGCCAAGGCAGGTGGATCACTTGAGGTTAGCAGTTTGAGACCAGACTGGCCAACATGGTAAAACCCCATCTCTATTAAAAATACAAAAATTAGCTAGGCATGGTGGTACATGCCTGTAGTCCCACCTACTCAGGATGCTGAGGCATGAGAATCACTTGAACACAGGAGGCAGAGGTTGCAGTGAGCCGAGATCATGCCACTGCACTCCAGCCTGGGCGACAGAGTGGGACTCCATCTCAAAAATAAATAAATAAATAAAATAAAATAAAAATAAAATAAAAGTTAATTGAATATTCATGACGGCATCAGACAGTCATCCATAGCGGAACACGCTAAAATATACCTTGTTTAAGTTAAAAAAATTTCATTGCAAGATTCAGTACTCATCTTCCAAAACAGAAAAGCTGCTGGAATGAAAATGTGGAAGTAGAATGAAAAGCCTTCCATTTTCTCTCAACGAACACAATTTTTCATACATCTTCATGTTTATCACCACATGTGATATATTCAGGAACTGTGGAAGAACAGAAGTGATAATGATATGCTGATACATAAGGAGTCTCATGTCACCTAGAAAGTAGACTGACATTTGTTAATGAGACATTTAAAGAGGTCAAATATGGAAGGGCTAGATTTGTATTCAATATCTGGCATAAGAACAGTGAAACAGGAAAGGTAAAGGTAATAATGGTAAAGCAGGTAGTTAACATCTTTTATGTCCTCTCAGTCTGCCAGATACAATGCTACAACACCTTATGTGTATACTCATTTAAATGGTAAGATCTATCAATCTCAGAAGTTAAGTGTTTCAGAAAGAATATGATTTGATCATTTCTATAAAAATTGTACTATAACTTCCATTTTACAAGTCTCACTCCTCCACTAGACTGGGACCTTCTGGAACCTGCCCTCCAGAAGGTCCCAGTCTAGTGGAGTGGGACTCGTAAAACAGACTGAAAAAGTAGAAGTCCTAATGATGTCTTATTTATCATTAGGACTCATTCATCATTAGGACTCGTACTATACCACCAAATAGGCTTTTCATTAGAGATTAAGAGAATAAGAGTAACACTGTGCAACAAAACAAAAATCTAGGGGAAACCATCTAAAGTCCTCCAAATTCTAAGGAGAAGAGAGGTTATCATAAGTCTAGTCTGTGAGTTCTTCCATGAGCAAGATACTTCATTATCTCTGTATTCACAGTTACTAGTGAAGAGTCTAACACAGAGTAGACACTTAATAAGAATATTTTAAATTGAACTTGAGACTGTAAATATTTTCAAGTGTTTCCAAGAAAGGGAAATGTGATCCTCTCCTTTACATGGATCTTGACTCAGCAAATACAGTTACTTCTTTTTCTCATGTGTACTTGTTTACAACTCTTATGTGGTTCCTGCCATTTACTGTTCAGCTCTGATAACAACAATGAATGGCACTCAGACAAGGTCAAAGGGAGGCAACATTTTGCTTGAGCGATTTCTTCATTCAGCTATATATGTCAGTGTGGATGCAGAGTGGGTTACATAAGTAATGACAAATACTCCTTTCTTAATTCTAACACAGAGATCTACAGCTGCCCCATTAGATTGCTGCCTTATCTGGGGAGCTATCCTGTGGTGCTGCAGTGGATACTGTGGAAAAAGGAGGAAGCAAAGAAGTGGAAACAAGACAGATGTGCCAAGGCAGAAACTACACTCTAATTTTGAGTATATTATTTAGATACCACCATCAATCTATCCTCCTGATGTTTTATCAACGAAGACAAGACTTACATCTCTTCCCTTTTTTAGCCACTCAAAAAAGATCTCACTAAACTTCAAACTCAAGCATATTGGCATAATAACAGCAACTATTAAGAATTTGCTTCCTATTTTTTGACTTAGAAAAGATGTTTTCTTCATTATCTCCATGAACTAATATTTATGAAGTACTCTCATGTATTGTACATGCATATCTATCATATACTACTCTGAGAAAGTTAGAGAAGTTCCTGCCCTGTGGGGGTTTTTGTGTGTATTGTAGGGAATGAAGGAGAGTTAAAAAAAAAAAAAGGCCATATTCTCTCCCTCTCAAATGTCTTAATCAAAAATATTATAACCGGGCACAGTGGCAAGCGCCTGTAGTCCCAGCTACTTGGGAGGCTGAGGCTGGAGGATCGTTTGAGCCCAGGAGTTCAAGGCCAGCCTGGGCATCAGAGTGAGACCCTGTCTCTAAAATATTATATATACATCATATAGTCATATATATATATATATATAACTGTAACTTGACAATATCATAGATCTGACCAGACCAAATGATAAATATATACCTCAGAATATGGAGTGGGTGAGTAAACATAAAATATCACTTTCACAGTTCTTTTAACACAAATGATTTATAAATTTATTGATTCTAAGATGACAAAAAAAGTGTCCCTTAGATAAGCTCTGGTCACCTAGGGTCAGTTTCCAACAACAGATTCCTTCTCAGTATACTACCCAATGGTGAGAAGACCCCAAAGTGGACAGCCGGAGAGCTGCAACACATGCAAAACACTTGCAACCCTTCTTGTTTTCTTATTTTTCCTGTTTTCATTGGCAGAATTTTTTCCTTGCTCAAAGCAGAGCTGCAAATGAAAGCAGCTGCCCAAAGTGGAGGAAGTTCAAAGACCAGAGAAGAAAGAGAAAGGAGGTGGGGGTCAAATGAGGAAAACAACGGAAGACAACATGAAGACTATTGGCAACTCTGTCTTGTATGAAAGTCTAAAGCAGAAAACACACTTGTGGACAGATGGACTGATGGCAGCTTTCGGCAAAGCGATGTACCAATAGGCTTTCAAGTGACTTAACAACTGAGTGTTATATTTTTAAACAGACTTGAAAACTTATAACAATCCCAAAGCAAGAAATATTTCTAAATATTTTCCTCTGAACTTTTCTGATGGTCACTTTTTTTGGTTCCTGTCATATATTCATTCATGTTTCTGAATCATGCTACAGATGAAAATCTATTTAAAGTTATTGCATGAGTTTCCTTGGCTTTCACTACTTAAAGATTATCAGGAAAATACAGGTGTAGTTATTTTGGAATCTGGCTTCAATAGGTACATTTAGAAGAATTTGTATATATTTAGCATTTATTTTTTAACTACAAGGTTTAGTGCTTCATTAGATATTAAAATTTAATCTTGAAATTCTTATAAAAGGATTATAGTTAAAATATTCATTGCAATTAATTATTTTATTTTTATGCAGAAATTAAAGAAGTAAAATAAATACAACTTATGGGACATTTCAGAATACATTTTTAAAATGTTTTAAAAATATATAAATACCCTACTGTATTTTAGGATTTTTAGAAATATTTTATGCAAAATTAATTTACTTATATTTTAATGCTAACATATAAATTCTAGAATGTTGCAATTCCAAAACTGAAAAATTCACCGGAGTGCACAGATTCTGGAAGACAACTTGTTTGAATATATTTTTGCAAGTTCAAGTATCTAAACTTTTAGACAAAAACTTTTCTATTGCCCTAGCTTCTTTAAAAAATATATTTACAAGCGAGAATAACTGCAAAATGGGACCTAAAAATGTTTGCTCTATGTAGAAATTTCATAAACGTTAACTGTAGAGCGGTAAACACTTTTTACAGACTGACCGCTAACTCCAGAAGCCTTTTCTTTCAGTCAACACTTTCCCACCGTGAGAACCATTTCTCATTAACAACTAAATTGTTTTCCAATGCTGTGCTATAAGGGGTTTCCTTAGAAACCATTTGGTAAAAGACTGTGGCTTTCTTCCACAGAAATCTCAAGCAGTGAAAAGGCAGATTTTCTGGCATAAATCAAACCCAATTTCTAGGGTTCACTAAACCCTTTCTCCTCAAAATAATGTTTTGTGACTTGATCTTAGCAGTTAATAGAACACGCAGGAGAGCTGGTGTGAACCAGTTTTAAATGAATTTTATTCCATCCCTTTTGTCATTCAATTGAAATCACTTTGAGGGCTTGTTATACCTTGATAAAGGTTTAACTGCACAACTAATGGACAAGATAATACTCTTTACTATGTGGCAAAATGTATAATTTTTTTCCCACCAAATGTGCTCTGTGAATTAATCTTTGTATTATTAGGACAATGTTATCTGTTCTGATTTCAGAGTTGTTCTTGCTTATAAATATACTATTTAAAATAAGTTGTGGCAACACAAGTTTCTGTGCTAAAAACATAAATATTTCATCTGGCTAATATATATATACATCTACCAATAGCATTGTAGAAAATTTCTAGATGCAAGTAGATTCATACGAAATACACAAAAAGAAGCATGTGTACCAACAATTATGTCTCTAGTGTATATGTGACAGAGTACTTTAAATGAAAATCCAAAATTATTACTGGAATGGAATAATACATTTCCACATCTCTGTGCCTTCTGTATACATTGTTCCCTTTACAAGCAATGTGCTCCTGCCTCCTAAATTTTACTCCTGCCTTAGACATTGTTCAATCATCCCCTCATTCACTCATCCATTTATTCATTCCATACATTTTTACTGGGCACTGATTATTTGCTGGATTCTATGCTAGATGCTGGAGTGAACAAGATAATGCCCTTTCCCCATTTTCCCGTGGAGCTAATGGTCAAAAGTGATTCCTTCCCCCTTCTCTGACTTCCTCGGACAAAGATAATCATTTCATTCTTGGTCCTACCATCATTCATCCATTAAACAAGTATCTAATGAGCAACTACTATATAGTAGGCACTTGCCATATCATCTTGCAATTATTTATTTACGAATCTGTTTTGAGGAAAAAGCCTTTCTATATCTTTGTATTTTGAGGACCTAATACAATTCTGGAATATAATAAATGCAAAGTAAATGTTTATTGAATAAATAATTGAAGTAAATGAAACTATTCTAGCTAATAGACTAGATTTTCTCTTATTTGAAAATTATCAATAATATACCATAAGTTTACAAAAATATCAGCTCTGCTTCACTAAAAACTTGCACTGAACATTTTAGAGATGTGAAAGATGGAAAACCTGAGAAATAGTCAAGCTGTTCTAAGACTTTTTGACAACTAGAGCTTCTGCCATATTACCAGGCAAGTCTTTTCCAAGATTGAATTAATATGCTTATAGGATGATCCATCTAAGTTTGAAAAATAATTTAAAGTAGAAATTAGTCTTCATAACCCATTTATGCCTGAGGTTGCAATTTTTTGAATTTTTGCATAAAATTCATATATGTAACCTGCAAAAATTTAAGGAACAAGAATTTGAAGAGAAAAAGTTTTTATTGTGTTTCACATAATGTTATGTGGCAATCAAAAAATGGAACACCGGGCATAAATGGCTTGGTTAAGGCCAGTATTGTGACAATTTGGTTTGAGGGCATTTTAGTTAAGAAATGCAATCCTCACCTACAGAATGGGAGAACATTTTTGCAATCTATCCATCTGACAAACATCTAATATCCAGAGTTTACAAGCATCTTAAACAAATTTACAAGAAAAAACAATCCCGTTAAAAAGTGGGCAAAGGACATGAACAGACACTTCTCAAAAGAAGATATTCATGTGGCCAATGAACATATGAAAAACAGCTTAACATCACTGATCATTAGAGAAATGCAAATCAAAACCACAATGAGATACCATCTCATGCCAGTCAGAATGGCGATTATTAAAACGTCAAGAAACAACAGATGCTGGCGAGCATGTGGAGAAATAGGAATACTTTTACACTGCTGGTGGGAGTGTAAATTAGTTCAACCGTTGTGGAAGACAGTGTGGCAACTCCTCAAAGATCTAGAAGCAGAAATACCATTAGACCCAGCAATCCCATTACTGGGTATACACCTAAAGGAATATAAATCATTCTATTATAAAGATACATGCACACATATGTTTATTGCAGCACCATTCACAATAGCAAAGACATGGAATCAACCCAAATGCCCATCAGTGACTGATAGACTAGATACAGAAAATGTAATATTCCATGTATCCACCATGGAATATTATGCAGCCATAAAAAGGAATGAGATCACCTCCTTTGCAGGACATGGATGGAAGTATAAGCCATTATACTCAGCAAACTAATGCAGGAGCAGAAAACCAAACACTGCATATTTTCACTTATAAGTGGGAGATGAACGATGAGAACACATAGAAACATTGAAGGGAACAGCACACACTGGAGCCTGTTCAGGGGGTGGAGGGAGGGAGAGCATCAGTAAAAATAGCTAATATATGCTGGGCTTAATACCTGGGCAATGGGATGATCTGTGCAGGAAACCACCATAGCACATATTTACCTATGTAACAAACCTGCACATCCTGTATATGTACCCCAGAGCTCAAAATAAAAATTGAAGAAAAAAAATGCAACTTTCTACTTCTAAAGGCATCTCCCTGGGACTGAATGCCCAAAATATCTTCTGTAGACTGTAAACCTGACAAGATCTGCCATCCTACCCCCACCTCTCTAATCTCATTTCCTGCCACTCTCTCCCTTCTCATCCTGCTCCTACCAAACTAACCTCCTTGCTATTCCTTGAATATGCCCAGCAATTCTGCCTCAGGATATTGGCACTTGCTGTTACCTCATCTGCTCTTCCTCAGATACCTTCAAGGCTCACTCCCTCACTCCTTCAATTCCTTCAGGTCTCTGCTCAAATCACCTTTTCAGAGAGGCCTTCCTTGACACCATATCTCAAGCAGCATACCTGCCCCATCCACTGTGGATCACTCCCTAACCTTCTCAGGCTGCTTTAATTTTTCATAGCATGTATCACCATCTGACATACTATTTACTTTTGGGTTTTTTGTCTGTCTGCCCTATTAGAATTTAAATTCTAAAAGGCTAGAGATTTTTGTAAATTCTACTAGCCATTTTGTAAACTCTACAGGGCTAATATTTTGACAATATTCCTAGTGATTAGAAATGTTTCTTAAACATAGAAAGTACCCCATAAATATTTATTGAGTGAATGAATTTGATCAATTTATCTGTAACTGTATACTCAGTATGAATTGTCTCTATTGTGGTATATTAACAGCTAAGGACTAATATGGTAATAGAAACCCCCTGAACTTATACATTCAGAATTTACTTTTTTGAATATCTGATATGCCCTTTGTTACTGACTTAGAAGCCCAAATTTACTTAGTAAAACTGTAGTTTTGTCTCCCCAAATCATCTTGCCTCAAAATCATTGCATTAGAAAAGGCAGTTCTGTGAACACCAACAGATTTAAACATTTAAAAGCCTATATGAAACATATAGCCTATATGTGAACATTTAAAAGCCTATATGAAAATGGGGATGGTAGAGGGGACATGATCCTTCCCATAGATAGTTTTATTCTAGTGGAGAGCCTCAAAGTGAAAGTACTGTTTCCTCTGTAGAGAAATTCTTGTGAGAAAGTCTTAAGCATAGCTAATTAGTTCTGAGTGGAAAAAAAGCGCTCTAAGTTAGGAAACTCATTTCATTGACTATTTAAGGGAACTTTTTATAAAATCAGTTATGGAAATAAATCTGTGGTTGTAATATGTTTATTTTATTTTATTTAAATAAATAAAATTTATTTAAACATTTTGTAATATGTTTATTGATGTTTAGTTAAAGTCATCAAATGCAAGACCAATTATAAAGTTGTGAAGAAAAAGAATATCAAAAGTTTCTAAAACATTTTAATTTAAAAATATCAATTGCACAAATGTTCTAAATAAATGCTTCTACTATCCTTTTTTTTTTTTTTAAACAAAGACAGGGTCTCACTATGTTGTACAAGTTGGTATTGAACTCCTGGGGTCAAGTGAGCCTCCCACCTCACCCTCCCAAAGTGCTGGGATTACAGGCATGAGCCACTGCACCCGGCCCACTCATCTTTCTTTCCCTATTTCTGACAATTATTTGATGCATCTCAGACTTGCCTGTGAAATATTGATATATTAAGTTAGAAATAACCAATCACCTGCTTTGGATTTATATCAGGTATTCTCTTATACTAGATTATCATAGAAACGTAATAAAAGGAACCAAGGGCTTACTTAAATTTATGATAAAAATAAATTTGAGAATAATTTATTAATTAATCCATTTTCCTAGTTAAGTTGCTCTTCCTTGCTATATCCAGTTATTATCTTAGTTCTACAATCTGATTTTTCCAAAATTTGTTCATAGCATTTAACTTTCTCCCTCATATTCATGTACACACACGTGCATGCCCATCTGCACATGTGTACACACACAGAAAAGGGATCCTGGTCAAACCCACTTACCAGCTTTATCTATGACATCATATAAACCTTTCACCCCAGCCATCTGGCTGCCGTTCCAAGTCCTTAATTTTTTTTGAGCACCAAGAAGTTTTAATTTGCAACCTGCTATTGCTTTTAGTTTTAAACTGGCTTGGCATTCTCAGTACTAACTAATACATTTTGGGAATCAGCTGTCATATGAATGTCTTTTGACCTTCAAAATATTAAGAAGGTAGCTGGGTGCAGTGATGTGCGCCTGTAGTCCTAGCTACTCAGGGGGTTGAAGTGGGAGGATAACTTGAACTCAGGAGTTCAAGGCTGGCCTGGGCAACATAATGAGACCCCATCCCACCTCCCCGTCCCCACCAAAAAATTGAGAAGACTGCCAAACTTGGATTAGGTTAAGCAGCAGATATGTCGACACTTCAGAAACAAGGGCTAGAGGCCCGAAGCAGGCTAGTGTTAGGATGACTAACTCATCCTGTTTCACCTGGGATTCTCCCAGTTTTAGCACTGAAATTCCCAAGTTCCAGGAATCCCGAGTCCTGGGCAAAAGGAGACAGTTACCTCGTGAGTGAGAGGTGGAAGAAAACTGAAATGATAGCATCCTGATATTTTGGAGTAGTCCAATGAGCTACTTTGAAAAGAATGGTAAGTGTAGATGTGGTTTTGAGAAGAGTCAGGGCCAGTTAATTTAGCTGGTGAGGCAGGATGGCAATGACTGTAGACAGACATCAGGAACTGGAGCCCAGGAATCTGGACTGGGTTAATGTAGCCTTGGTAAGGAGCAACGTGATACAAAGCCTATGGTGGGAAAGACAGTCCAGGTTCCATTTACTTGATAGTACAGCTGGCAGTGAAATTCTCTCTGACCTGGTGGGAATGAGTTTGCTGATGAAGAGCTTCAGGTTGTATGTGTGAAATACAGTGGAAGATAGACACAGATAAAAGTAAACTCAAAGGAGCTGAAGGTTACATAGCTAAGAAGAGGCAGTGCTAAATTTTAAGCCCAGATCTTTCTGACCCAAAGTGTGTTGCTCAGGCAACCTTTAAATAAAAGGTTATGATATAAATTCTATTCATAGAAATCCTCTATCTAGTAGTAGTTTTGTCAATGTCATTTCCCATTTCCTAGATTATTAAATTCTTAGAGGGTAAAGACTATTCCATATTTATTTTTGTATTTTTAATTAGAAAAATACTCGGAAGACAATAAGCTTTTGATATATGTTGTTGAATTAAAGAAAATTAAATAAGACCTGCACATTCCTACCTCTTTGCCTTTACTCTTATTAGGTGTTTCTGCTTGCACCATAGAATGTCCTTCTTCAAATTCTGTTCAACCTTAAAGCCCAGCTTGAGTTCTAGAATCTTTAGGTCATAGAGATCTCTCCCTTGTCTGAAATCGGCCTCAGCATTGTATCTTTTAATGTATTTAAATCTTATTATTTTGAAGGGTATTACTAGTGGCTTTATATCCATCACTATTATGCTTACAGCAGACAGTCAATCAACACTGATACTTGAAATCAAAAGCAGAAGTCTGTCAATAAATCTGTTCTCTTAATCAACAATTCAAAGCAGGAATGAACATTCAAAACAGGAAAAGGATTCTAAACCTCCTATCAGCAGCCAGACATGACTATAGTCTAGGTGCTGCTATTAAGTGTGCAAAAGAATTCCATTTGTCCTTATTTTATTTTATTTTTATTTTGTGAGATGGAGTCTTGCTCTGTCACCCAGGCTGGAGTGCAGTGGTATGATCTCGGCTCACTGCAACCTCCACCTCCCAGGTTCAAGTGACTCTCCTGCTTCAGCCTCCTGAGTAGCTGGGATTACAGGCACACACCACTACGCCTGGCTAATTTTTGTATTTTTAGTAGAGATGGGATTTCATCATGTTGGTCAGGCTGGTCTCAAACTCCTGACCTTGTGACCTGCCCGCCTCAGCTTCCCAAAGTGCTGGGATTACAGGTGTGAGCCACCACGCCCGACCCCATTCGTTCTTTATAAGGGACTAAGTAGCACCACATCTGAAACTTAGAGACTGTTGCCATGTTGATAAAGTTATCTTTAAAAAAAACACTTGTTTATGAAAAGGGATTCTCAGCATTTTTATAAGAGAAAAAATTAAGATATAGTTGCTATCAAAGCTGTTAAAACTGGAATACTTGCAATAAAAACTAATAAAAGCCCAGTTACTTTGGGGGGCTATATTGCAGCAAACCAAGTTGTGAAAATCAAGTTTACATATTCATTATTTATAAGTGACAGACTGAGGGAACAAATGAAACAACAAACAAGTGAGAACTATACCACTTATTAAGTACAAAAGTGAAATGAAATATACACTTTCTACTTTTGAATCAAAATTTTTGCTTAACTTATTTTTGTTTTGTAATCATTAACACCTCTATTTTTTTTCTTCTTTTTTTTTTTTTTTTTTTTTGGGGAGTGCAGTAACGCGATCTCCACTCACTGCAAGCTCCGCCTCCCAGGTTCACCCCATTCTCCTGCCTCAGCCTCTCGAGTAACTGGGAGTACAGGCATGCGCCACCACACCTGGCTATTTTTTGTACTTTTAGTAGAGACAGGGTTTCACCGTGTTAGCGAGGATGGTCTCGATCTCCTGACCTTGTGATCTGCCTGCCTCGATTTCCCAAAGTGCTGGGATTACAGGCGTGACCCACCGTGCCCGGCCCCAATCATTAAGACCTCTAAACTGCAAAAGGGATTTCCTTTTCTTTAACCCAAATCTCTACTAAACTCAATTTTTTTTTCCACTAGGCTGGGGAAACAGTATATAACTGAGTACTGACTTGGATTTTGTCAGAATCAGATAGCTGAAGTAAGAGACACATTAACAGCACGTTTCCTCATTCCTGTTTTCAGTGCTGAACAACAATTTCTATTACAGCCCAAGATTATACTAGTGTGTGACACAGAATGATCCTGCTTTTAAAACAACAATGGTAAAGTCAGAGCAGAATTAGTGTAAAGTGAATGAAACATAAGTGACAGGGCGTCTCTGCACAAGCCCCTCCCAAGGCCCAGAGAGAAACACCAGCATTATATTTAGTGATCATACACTTTTGTACAATTTGTAACAGTAAGATATATTAACTGCAATCAATTAATACCAGCGTCTCTTTTCATTATGTCTTTTCCATTACTTCTCCTCATGGTAGGTATGTTGGAGTGGCTACATGAATGTTAATATCCACCTGGCTGGGCATGGTGGCTCATGCCTGTAATCCCAGTGCTTTGGGAGGCCTAGGCAGGAGGACTGCTTGAGGCC
The DNA here is from genome assembly GCF_000001405.40 of Homo sapiens. Lineage (NCBI taxonomy): Eukaryota > Metazoa > Chordata > Mammalia > Primates > Hominidae > Homo > Homo sapiens. The sequence goes on along the minus strand of NC_000001.11, from coordinate 101,061,614 downwards.
AGGAGTTTGAGACCAGTCGAGGCAACATAGTGTTACCCCTTCTCTACAAGAAAATTTAAAAAATTAACCAGGTGTAGCGGCACACATCTGTAGTCCTAGCTACTTGAGAGACTGGGGCAGGATGATTGCTTGAACCGAGGGATTTGGGGTTACATTAAGCTATTATTGAGCTACTGCACTCTGGTCTGGATGACAGAGTGAGACCCCATTTCTAAGATAAAAAAAAAAAACAACAACAAAGATCCAGCTAAATGGAGATTGAGTTAGGTATATATTTAGCTTGGATTTAATGGGATAGGCTTATGAGGCCTGCAGAGTCTTGTATATGGTTATATTATAACTAGCCAAGAAAATTCAAGACTGGCTTCTAGCAATACTTCTATCACCCTGAGTACTGACTCATCTAGAATCATGACACAAAGATGCAGGGCCAGAGGTGGTCATGGTATATGAACAGGTCCTTTGGTGTCGGGCACTGAAAGTATGTGGTTAAGTCAAGAAAAAATGAGAGAAGTTTTCTCAAATTTGACAACAAAATCTGAAAATTTTGGAAGACATAATTAATAACATGTTTATGACTTATAAGTGAAAAAGCCATCTTCTACCAATAATAACAAAATAAGACTTCTGATTCCACACATGAAATATTACCTGCTGTTATCATCTGAATGTTCATGTTTCCCCCAAATTAATATGTTGAAACCTCATCATCCATGTTATGGTATTAGAAAGTGGGTCTTTGGTAGGTAGATTAAATCATGAAGGCTCTGCCCTCATGAATGGAACTAGTGTCCTTATAAAAGAAGTCCCGGAGAGTTGCCTCATGCCTTCCACTATGTAAGGACACAGTGAGAAGGCACCATCTATGAATTAGAAAGCAGACCTCACCAGACACCAAATCTGCTAGCACTTTGATTGTGAACTTCCCAGCCTTCAGAACTGTAGAAATACATTTGTGTTGTTTATAAACCAATCAGTTCATGGCATTTTGTTATAGCAGCCCAAACAGACTAAGACATCTGCCATGGGCATTGCACTTTCACTGTAAACAGCTAGTAAACCAGAAAAAAAATACGTAAATCAAGTTTTCAGATATATCCAAGAATCTCAATGACTCCAAGCAGAAGAAACAATGAAAACCACTCTAAGGCAAATCATAATCAAATTGCTGAAAATCAGTGATAAAGAGAACATCTTAAATGCCCAGAGGAAAAAAGACACATTATATTCAGGGGGACAAAGACAAAACCGACAGCCAATTTCTTATCAGAAGCCATGCAGACCAGAAGATAATGAAAAGACCTCTTTAAAGTGCTGAAAGGAAACAGAACAAAATAAAACTGTCAACCTACAATTCTGACCCAGTAAAAATATCTTTCAAATACATAGGGAAAACATTGACTTTTTCAGATGAATTCTTTCAAGAGAATTTATCACCAGCAGTCCAGCACACACGTTCACATGAACACACACACAAATACACATGCACGGGTACACATGTGCACGTGCACGCACACACACCCACCCAACTGTAAAAAGAAGTTCTGCAGCCAAAGAAGAATGATACCAGATAGAAATATGGACCTACAGCAAACAATGACAAGCAACAGAAATGGTAAATATGTGAATATATATAAAAAATATTTTTCTCATTTTTAATTTCTTAAAAAGATATTTATGTCTGTTTAAAGCAAATAATAATGTATTATGAGGTTGATACTACATATATAGCCTTAAAATGTGTGACATAATAAGAGCATAAAGGATAGGAGGAGTATTATAATTTAAATGTCGACTATGACAAGTTAAAGATATGTACTAAAAATAAATCAGCAACTAAAAAAAATCGTCAAATAGTAGAAATTAAATACCCAATTAATAAGTTTTTTAAAAGAGAAAAAAGGGAAAGACCAGATGAGATAAATATAAAACAAATAGATGGTAGACATAAAACAAATGGTATCAATAATTATATTAATTCTAAATGCTCTAGACACTATAATTTTAAAGTATGTCAGACTGGATTTCTGAAAAAGCAGGATCCAACTATATGCTGTTTACAAGGAATCCACCTTAAATATAGAGACAGAGATTGGTTAAAAAGAAAAGAATATAAAAAGATATACCTTGTAAATATTACTCAAAAGAAAGGCAGAGTAGCTATATTATTATCAGCTAAAATAGACTTCAGAACAAGAGATATAGTAGATATAGAGAGACATTTCACAATGATAAAGAAGTCAATTAATCAAGAAAATATAACAATCTTAAAGTACATGCATCTAATAACAGAGCTGAAAAATACATAAAGCTAAAACTAACAGAACTTGAAAGAAAAATATATAAACCTACAGTTATAGTTCGATATTCTAACACTTCTCTCTAGTAAATGAAAAAAAATCATTAAGCATGTAGATGACCTAAACAACACTATCAATCAACTTGGCCTAATTGACATATATAGAACACTCTAACTAATACAGAATATCCATTCTTTTCAAGTGCCAATGGAACATTCACCAAGAAAAAACAGATTTTGGGTCACAAAAGAAGTCTCAATGAATTTTTTAAAAGTAAATCAAATAGATTATTTCTCTTACCAAAATTGCATTAAACTAAAAATTAATAACAGAAAGATATCTGAAAAAATCTCTAAATATTTAGAAACTTAAAAAAACCCTTCTAAACAATCATGGGCTGTAGAAGAAATCATAAATAATTTAAAATATATTTCAAAAATAGCCAGGCATGGTGGCATGCACCTGTAGTCTCAGCTACTCAGGAGGCTGATGGGGGAGGATCACCGGAGCCTTTGAAGGTTGATGCCACAGTGAGCCATAATTGCAACAGTGCACTCCAGCATGGGTATCAGAGTGAGACTCTGTCTCAAAAAATTTTTTTTGAATCAAATGAAAATGAAAACATCAAAACCTCATTAACCATAGCTAAAGCAGTTCTTAGGGGGAAATTTATAGCATTTAATAATTATATTAAAAAAGAAGAAAGTTCTAAAATTAATGACTTAAGCATATACCTGAAGAAATGAGAAAAAGAAGAACAAATGAAACCTAAAATAAGCAGAAGGAAGGATATGACAAAATTTATGGTATAGTTCAATGCATAGAAAATGAACAAACAAGACAAGATATCTTCTTTCAGCCCAACTTTGAAAAGATTAATCAAATTAATAAATTTTGTGATAGACTGAACTGGTCATATAGTTGTTTTGATTTCTCTGTCACTCACAGCAATCACCAACTCCAATCTTTGCAATGTCTTTCTCATCTGTTCAATGTTTTCCCTTAACAAAATCACTTCACCACCTGACTTTTGTATTACCTCCCAAAGAGAGATCACTCTCCATCTAACTTGTTTCCTTACCTCTAGACTCACCTTCCTAAAAATCCTTCATATATAAATTGGCTCATTTATTTATCCAAAAGTATTATGCAGCACCTACTATGTACCAAGTAATGAACTCTTCACTGAGGTGAATACAACATGGTTCCTGCTATCGAAGATCTATCGAACGTCTCAGTCCAGTGAAAGAGATTGGCATTTACATAAATAAATGTAATTCAACAAAATCAGTATATTACACCTAACATATGTGAGTGTGTGTAGTAGTAGTAGTAGTAATAGTAGTAGTAGTCCGTTCTCATACTGCTATAAAGAAATACCTGAGACTGGGTAATTTATAATAGAAAGAGACTTGACTCACAGTTCCACATGGCTAGGAAGTCCTCAGCAAACTTAGAATCATGGCAGAATGCAAAGAGGCAGCAAGGACCTTCTTCACATAGTGGCAGGAGACAGAAGAGCATGAGCAGGGGAAATACCAGATGCTTTAAAACCATCAGATCTCATAAGAACTCACTCACTATCACAAAAAGAGCATAGGAGAAACCACTCCCATGATCCAATCACCTCCCACCAGGTCTCTCCCTAGATAAGTGGGGATTATGAGGATTACAATTCAAGATGAGATTTGGGTGGGGACACAAAGCCTAACCATATCAGAAGGTTAAATGGTTTCAGGGTCTCAACACTGCCCTTTGTAGAAACTGGGAGCATAGTTAAGTGCACTGACTGAAAGGAAGAATACCTGGGTTCAAATCCCAGGGCCATCACTTACTAGGTGAGGGTTCTTGGGTGACTTCACCTCTGAATGTTTATTTTTTCATCTGTAAAATGGTGAATTTAAGAATTAATAAGTTAATACATAAAATGTATGTAAACTGTTTAGAGCAGAGCTTGGCATATAGAATCCACTATATAATTATTCTTGGCTCTGGGTAACCTACTGCTCTGAACTGTCATTTCTTGATCTGAAAAAGGACACAAATTGATAACCTCTATGGTCCCTCACAACTGTAAATGCCAATGTTTTGAATCTTAATATTATAAAATCAAGCCATATAGTATCTCAAGAAACATATTCTAGTATATTGAAGTTTTATTTAAATCTATTGTTATTTAACAAAGCCTAACCATGTGAGAACAGCCTATTTTCTCCAGCTGAGAAGGCAGTGTTTAATTACATTCTAGTGATTTAAAGTAAGTTGAACAAATCTGTAAAATAAAAAGTTGGAAAGAAAGGTTTTAAATATAAATGTATAATCTGAATATATTGTCTCCATGGATGTATATTTATTCATTGATTTGCATAAACAAATAAAACTAAATCAAGACCCACAGAAACAAAGCCATTTCAATACCAGGAAACTTCACTTATTTAAGCTGTATTTACCCTCATGAAGACTCCCACAAAGGGTGATATCATGCTGAATTTAACCATGCTAAGGAAGAGCATCAAGTTGCATTTTAACATTCAAAGCTTTGAAATACACATGCCATCACAGAAATACACATTTTGTAATTGACTAGGATTTAATCACTTGCACACTTTTATTAAAAGAACTATTTTTTAGTAGGCTTACTCTGAAAGAGTGTGAAATTATAGGTTCTAACTACACTAGACTAAATTCCTTGGTGGGCCTAAAACATTTTCTGTAAGAAAATTATCAAATACACTTTGGATTCCAACATGTTGGCTACAGTCAATTTTAATTATAAGCTTTTCAGATTTGCTTTTGAAAAAAATGGATCTCTTGGATAAATATGTAACTGACATCTACAACTTAAAATCAGACAAACACTCAAGTGGATACTATTTTAAATAATATATGATTAATAATAGTCATTTGTTTCTTGAACTGTTACTGGAACTGCTGAATGCAGTCTGTCCCCTTATTTCAGAGAAACAGGTATGCTGTCTCCTATCCAACTAACCCCCTCACAATTATACCTGATAACCTTCCCTCTGTCACCCACTTTTGCCTAAAAATATGCTTAGGTTACATAACTATATAATATCTGTGTCTATATATCTATTTCTGAATCTCTATTTCTGTATAATTTATCATGTGTCCAAAATGGAATGTTTTTTTCTCCCCACCTCACTCCTTTCTCTCCTTATTTCTAATCTGAGTTAATGGCATCTCTACTCCTAATCATCCTATGTATGAGCTGTTCTTCATTCCTTTCTCACTTTCATCTTGACTTAATCAGCCACTAAACTCGGACGGCATTTTCCTCCTTAGTAACCCTTGGATTTAATCCTTTCTCACCACTTCCACTGCCTTAGGTTAGAATCTCCATATTCATCTCTTGCATGGATTTTATTCTTACCTGATTATAGTAATTTTTTACCTGATCTCTGTGTTCAACACAGTACTTTTCTTTCATATTATTCTGCACAGTTCACAAAGATTATTGTTCTTGTCATAACTGTTGCATCATATTGTAATTTTTGGTTTACATGTTTTGTCTTCCCTTCTGGATTTGGAGTCATTCACTACATTTGTCATTCACTACATGCTCAAATGAATAAGCATGATGTTCACTATTTTCTTTAAAATAAAGATCTACTAAATTTGCTAAAATAAATTACACTTTCCTGGAGAATCAAACTGATGAAGAAAATTAGACCATTGAATCTAGCTATATTTTTCTTATTACTATTATATTTATTGTGACTCAGTTCTTTCCAAAACAGATGTTTTTTGTTCAATTTCTGTTTTTCTCTAGAGACAAGGTCTTGCTCTGTTGCCCAGGCTGGAGTGCAGTGGTATACTCATAGCTCACTGCAGTCTTGAACTCCTGGGTTCAAGTGATCCTCCATCTCAGCCTCCTAAAACTACAGGCATGTGCTATCACACCCGGCTAATCCAGTAAAGGTGTTCTTAACCTGGGATCCATAAAGACTTCTAAGAGATGTATGAACTTTCTAATATTTTATAGGAAACTTTTTGTATTATTTTTGTGGTGAACGACCATAGTTTTCACCATATTCTCAAAGAGGTCTGGGTTGCCTATGTGCTTAAAGCGCACTATGGTGGGTTTGTATCCCAGCTCCACTACTTACTGACTGTCGTACCTTTGGCAAGTTCTTTTACCACTCAGTGTCTTACACAACTTTCTCATCTTTCAATTGGGGGATAATAAGAGTAATGGCCTCATAAGGTTTTTGCGAATATTTAACATGTATGTAAAGTCTTTAGCATACGGGCTAAGTGGCTATGTGGCTCTTGCTAGAAAAATGCCTATAATATTTTTTAAAATACAGAATTTAAAATTACTGTTACTGAAAACATAGGATTTAAAGGTAAAAAGATAGGTCAAAGTTGGAAATTTAGGTTTAGAAGTTAACATAGAAGCAGTGATTAAAATCACTAGATTGGGAGTGGTCCCAGTGGGAGAAAGAATGAAGAGAAGGGCAAAGGGTTTTGGATTAATCCCACAGTAAAGTGAAAAAGGAGGGAAAAGAGCTCATGAAGATCTTAGTGGACTCTTAAAATTTAATGAAAGAATTTTATTATGAAAGATACGAGGCCTGTGTAGTTCCAACACTTTGGAAGACTGAGGCAGGAGGGTTGTTTGAGGCAAGGAGTTCAAGACAAGCTGGCCAACATAGCGAGACCCTGTCTCTAAAATAAGTAAAAATAAATTTTAAAAGGTACAATTAAGTCTTCCTTAAAACAAGGAAAATGAGGAATATGAAGGGACTATGAATTTTGTACTAGTTTTCTAGTAACAAATTACCACAAACTGGGTGGCTTAAAACAACAGAAAATTATTCTCTCACAATTCCAGGGGACAGAAGCCTGAAATCAAGGTGTCTGCAGGGTCATGCTCCTTCCAAAGGCTCTGGGGAAGAATCCTTCCTTGCCTCTTGTTTCCAGTGGCCTCAGGCAGTCCCTGGTATTCCATGGCTTAGAGCTGTGGCATCACTCCAGTCTCGTCTTCCTTCTTCACATAGCCATTTTCCCTCTGTGTGTCTCTATGTCCAAATTTCCCTCTTCTTTTTATGATACCAGTCATTGGATTTAGTGCCCACTCTAATCTAGCATGACCTCATCTTAATTGGATTACATCTACAAAGACCCTGTTTCCAAATAAGGTCACATTCATAGATTCCTGATGGACATGGATTTTGGGGGAACAGTTTTCAACCAAGTACAAAAAACTTCAGCTGCTTCAGAGTTCAGATAAAGTTATGAAGAATAGCTCAGAGATCTCTACACAGGATAATTAGGTGTAGAGTTGCCATTAATTGAGACTGGAAATAGGGAGAGAAGGGAGTTGAGGTGGGGATTTAAAAAACCATTTCATTTGGACATGCTGAATTTAAGATGGGATTGGGACATCAATATAGGGATGCATAGTAGTTGAAAATGTTGATTAGGAGTTCAGATAAAAGACTGGCCGGGCGTGGTGGCTCATACCTGTAATCCCAGCACTTTGGGAGGCTGAGGCGGGCGGATCACGAGGTCAGGAAATCGAGACCATCCTGGCTAACACGGTGAAACCCCATCTCTACTAAAAATACAAAAAATTAGACGGGTGTGGTGTTGGGCACCTGTAGTCCCAGCTACTCGGGAGGCTGAGGCAGGAGAATGGCGTGAACCCGGGAGGCAGAGCTTGCAGTGAGCCAAGATCGCACCACCGCACTCCAGCCTGGGCGAAAGAGTGAGGCTCCGTCTCAAAAAAAAAAAAAAAAAAAAAAAAAAGACTGAGGTAAATATTCTGAGGTAAAAGATATACTATGAACATAGTTGAAGAAGTGAAACGGAAGAATTATATAGACAGTGCATGATGAATAAAATGATAAAAGGATTTGTAATCAGAGTTCTCCAGGAGAACAGAACAAATGTAGTTGGTCCTCCGTATTGGTGGGTTCCACATCTGCTGATTCAAAAAACTATGGATTGAAAATATTTGAAATATTGTATCTGTAGTGAACATGTACAAGCTTTTTTTCTCTTGTCATTATTGCCTAAATAATATGGTATATTTACATAGTATTTACATTGTCTTGGTTATTATAAGTAATCTAGAGATGATTTATACAGGAGGATGTGCATAGGTTATATGCAAATACTATGCCATTTATATCAGGGACTTGAGCTTCCTTGGCTTTTGGTATCGTAGGGAGGACATAAAACCAATCCCTCATAAATACTAGGGCATAATTGTATCTGATCTGTATCTGTACATGTATACGTATATGAGAGTGTGTATTTTTTTAAAGAGATTTATTTAAAGGAATTGGCTTGTGTGGCTGTAGGGGCTGACAGTTTGAAACCTGTAGGGCAAGAAGTCTGAAATTTTTAAGGTGGGCTGATCAGCAGGCTGGAAACCCAGAAACTCAAGCAGGAGTTAATGCTGCAGTTTTGAGACAAAATTTCTTCTTCCCTAGGAATTCTCAGTTTTTGCTCTTAAACCCTTCCAACTGAGTGCATACAACCTACTGCATTATCTCTTTTAAAGTCAACTGATTGTAGACGTTAACCTTATCTACAAAATACTTTTCACAGCAGCATCTAGATTAGTGTTTGATTAAATAACCAAATACTACAGCCTAGACAAGTTGACACATAAGACTAACTTTCACAGGAGTAAAGAACAAATCTAACAATTAACAGGAAAACAAAGGTATAGAAATACAGATGCTCCTCAATTTATGATGGGATTCTGTCCCAATAAACCCATCATAAATTGAAATTGTCTTGAGTTGAAAATGTATTTAATACACCTAACCTACTGAACATCATAGCTTAGCCTACCCTACCTTAAATGTGCTCAGAACACTTAAATGAGCTGTCAGTTGAGCAAAATCATCTAACACAAAGTTTATTTTATGTGTTGAATAGCTCATGTAATTTACTGAATACTGTACTGAAAGTGAAAAGAAGGGATACTCAAAGCACACCTTTTCTAAACATGTATCACTCACCATCATAAAGTTAAAAATCATAAGCTGAACTGTTGTAAGTCAGGGACTGTCTGTACTGACAAGTAGTAGTCAGAGGGGCAGAGAACTTGAAGAAAGGGATCAGAGAAGCCAAAAGGCAGAGATCATCAAGATGATCAACCGTGTCAAGCCCTATTAAGAGGTCACATAAGTTAAGAGCCTAAATTTCTTCGTGGAATTTGACACTTAGTTAATTGTGACCTAGCATGATCTGCTTCAGTATAGTTTAGAGAAGGAAGCAGGATAGCAATGAGCTGATAAATGAAAGGGAGTTGAGGGAGTAAGGACATTATTGCAATACATTTGTAGAAACAATAATTGAAATGTTCTAAAAACCATTTTCCCTTCCTTCTACCACCAAATTATTTGGGTCTTCCCCCAGGGCTAAAACCACTCCCTGAGGGGATAACCCAGCAACAGGTGCAGTCACGGCTGTTCAGATGCCAAGCATTATGGAAATTAGTTTCATGTCACAGATGACAAATTAGACATTATTAGTAATACTTTAAGATATATTAGAGAATCCCTAGAAATTTTTTTTAATTTTTTTGTATAAAGACATGGAAATATATTCATTATCAAATAATATTACTTTAAAAAGTTAGCTGTCATCTATATTCTTTTCTGGTATCAGGAAAGATTGCAACTATCTGTGACATACCCAGTTTTGTTAAGTGGTCATACTTAAAGTCTGGCTGATTAAAAACAAACACACTTCATATAGAGTACACTTAGGACAAATGGGTGCATAGGATTATTTCATCATGATTAAATAGAACTTAAATTGGTTGTTTATCAAGGTAAATATTCATTTGTCTCTAATGCAGTCAAGAAGAACTATTACTTGGAATAAAAATGCCATCTAAAATACTTAACTTTCACAATTGGTAGAAAGTTTTTTGACACATAATCTTAATATCTATTCAGTAAGAATAATCTTATGTATGTTTCTTCTTAACTAAAAATATATACACAAATTATTTGGGCCTCCCTAAGGCCAAAACTATTATCTGAGAGGCTTCTTCTAGCATTCATGAGAAAGTCCATCGGCTCTATAAATTAAAATTTACAAAATATTTCTTTTGTTAAGAGTGACCTTTCTGAGCCTCTCCTGGCTATGAAAGGTCACTCTTAACCTCAGACTTACAGCTATTGTTATCAGTCCTCCACATTAAACAGCTGTTGTGTTTGGATGAAAGCACTGAGTCTAATTTCTACCAAAAAGAACTGATCATTTCTGAGCCTTTTTCTATTTGTAATCAGTCAAAAATTGCTGAGTGTACATTACATGCAAAATACCATGCTAAACATGGTGGAAAGAGGACCGCATGAGTGGTGGCAACCAAAATGCAATGATAAAATACAATCCTCCTTACAAAGATTATGATTAATCTGTTTGGTTCCTTTCACTTGAATGCAGCCAGGCCTAAAATGTAGTTGGCATTGAAGATAAAGATAAAAGTAAGACAATAATCAAGTCCTCTGACTTTCAAGGATTTACATCTAACTTTAATCTATTTATTGATCTGATTCAAGGAAATAGAAACTTAGCATATTAAAGTTGAAGGACCCATAGATAGGCAAAATAACACAGTGGTTAAAAGCTTTGGAACCAGATAGAGTCAGGGTCAAATCCCAGAATTAACACTCTGAATTTTAGTTTCCTCATTAATAAGATAGGCAATATCACACACACACACACACACACACACACACACACACACACACCCCAATTGTGAAAACTTAAAACATCTAGTGTGGTTCCTAGTATATGGAAGATAATCAATAAAATATAGTGGTTATTATTATTAGAACATATATAGTCCAAACCTCTCATCTACTAGATGGTAACATTTGAGTCTCCAAAAGCATGTCTAAGGCGAGTGGCAGACAAGTTAGGAATAAATTCAGAATGCTTTAACTGGGGCAGGCTTCACTCTGAGAACTAAGCATTTCCTCAAAGTGTGCTGGTGCGCATTTCATATATTCCACATTAGTCTAAACATTCAAAACATTTATTTAATTCTTAATACTTTACCTAAAATAACAATAAGCCACACTTTACTTCTTTCAAGATCTGCACAAATACCAATATTTGGTCTCAGAGTCAGCAACTATTTAATATCATAATTCTTTCCACTGCTTTTCATTAGAACATGGTTTTCTTTAAAAAGCTAGACTTCATAGAAAAATACACCTGTTTCAGTATACTTTCAACTGTCTTTAAGTCTACCTTCCCATTTGTCCTTTGTTTTTCTGCTTTTCTCTTCCACTACTCTTTATCATAATATAGAAACACAGTATATTCCTCCGCTATTGAGGAATGTATTGCACTGATTTACCTTCACTATTCCCCTTGGCTCATCTCTATTTTCAGTACTGATGGATCACATCGGTACAAGTGTAGCTGAACTACTGATATATGGGCCAGCTTTTGAATTTCAGGGCACCCAAAGGAAAATGATGAGGTGCAGAGATTACTTGGAGGCCTGGGTCTGGCAGTGGAAGAGATATCTGAAGGGGCAGTCAAGTAGTCCAGGCCCTTAGGCCTTACTGGAATGATCTATCCTTCAGACCCTACTGTATTTCAGCCTGTAAATCCTAAACTGCTTTTCTATCCCCTTCTCACTGATCTCTGAAATATGGGGTACTCTGGACAGAGCTTAAATTTTGAAATCGGTTGAACTAGGTTCAAAAACTGAGTGTCAGACACTTACTAGCTTTGTGTCTGTGATCAAGCTGCTTAACCTTTCTAAACCTCAATAGACTCAACAGTAAAAGGGAGCTTAAACCTATTTACCAGAGTTATTATTATGGTTAACTGAGATAATGAACATAAAACATCTAATTGATAGTACGCTCCTCTCATGATCCTAATTTTGACTTGACAGTTTGATGCTGATCTCCTGTATCCTTTATTTTTATTACTCAGTTATAGGCATTTAATTTATGATGAAGGTAAATTGAAGAGAACATGATTTATTGATTTTATTTTTAGACAAGCAGCTTTCCATTTGGAAATTATTTTTTACCCTATCACATAACATGCCATTTTAAAAAATAATGCAATATGTATAATGGTATCCAGAGGTACTAGTTAACTAAAGTGCTAAGCAAGATCTTTGCTCTAGATTAGTCCTAGGAATATTTTGATTGTAAGTTATGTGAATACCAAGTTTTTGTTTTATTTTGCTTAATAAATTTACACAGTGAAATGCACAGATTTATTTTATTATTTTATTTTAGATTCAGGGGGTACATGTGCTTGTTTGTTACATGGTATATTGCATACTAGTGAAGATTGGGCTTCTAACATGCCCATTACTCAAATGGTGAACACTGTACCCGATAGGTAATTTTTCAACACTTGTCCCCCTCCAACCTCCCCCTTTTGGAGTCCCCAGTGTCTATTACTTCCATCTTTATGTCCATGTGTATCCATTGTTTAGCTCCCACTTATAAGTAAGAACATGCAGTATTTGTTTTTCTGTTTCTGAGTTAGTTTACTTAGGATTATGGCATCCAGCTCTACATTGCTGCAAAGGACATAATTTCATTCTTTTTTGTGGCTGCAGAAATGCAATCTTAAGTGCAAAACTGGATAGGTTTTGACAAGTGGATACACACATATAACCAATAACCAATCAAGATTATCACTCTGGGGCTTGGCACAGTGGCCAGCCTGTAATCCCAACACTTTGGCAGGCTGAGGCAGGAGGATCACTTGAGCCCAGGAGTTTGTGACCAGCCTGGGCAATATAGTGAGATCTCATCTCTACAAAAAAATTTTCATAAAAAGATTAGCCAGGTGTGGTGGCTTGTACCTGTAGTCCCAGGTACCCAGGAGGCTGAGATGAGAGGATTGCTTGAACCTGGGTCGAGGCTGTAGTGAGCCAGGATTGTACCACTACACTCCAGCCTGGGTGACAGAGTGAGACCCTGTCTTGGGAAAAAAAAAGGGGGGTATCATCCTGGAAATTTCCCTAGAGCACCTTTCCAATCAAGCCTCACCCCTGTAGGCAACCACTTACTCCATCAGCATAGGTTAGTTTTGCCTTTCACATTATAAAATTTCACATAAACAGGATCAAACAGTATTTATTCCCTTGCATCTGGCTTCTTTTGATCAATATAATCTTTCTGATATTCAGTCATCTTTCAGATTGTATCAGTTGATCATTTTTAAATCGCTTATAGTATTCTGTCACATGATTGTATCGCACATATATTTTTAATCCATTCTCCTTCTGATTGGTATTTCCATTGCTTTCAGTTTGAGGCTATTACGAATAAAACTGCTACAAACGCTCTTGTGCAAGTCTTTTTGTGAGCACATGTATTCACTTCTCTGAATAAATACTAGGAGTCAAATGAGTTAGGCCACAGAGTATACGACAATTAACTGCTAAACAGGTTTCCAAAGTCCTTTCACCATTTTACACTATGCCAGTTATGTATGAGAATTAATTTTAGCCTTGTTATATTAATTTGCATTTTTCTAATAACTAATGATGCTGCACACCTTCTTCCTGTGATTACATACATGAATATATCTTCTCTGGTGAAGTGTCATTCAAGTCATTTTAAAAACCGGGTTGTCGTATTTTTAAGCAGTCGAATTTATTTATTTGGATGTAAGTCCTTTGTCAGATACACATATTTTGAATATTTTATCTCAATCTCTGGCTTGACTTTTTTCTTGCAATATATTTTGGTAAGCATCTTTTAATTTTAATGAAGCCCTATTTATCAATTTTTTTCTTTTAGGGTTAGTGCTTTTTGCCCTCTGTAATAAATTGTTTTTAAATTTGTTCTTTAGCTTAAAAAAGTAATAGTTAATGAATAAGAATGTATTTCTACTAAAATAAAAATTCAGTAAGATATTTTGTGAATAAATTTTAGATCAAACATGTATTATACCTTAAAGTTTGCACTATTTCATTGTTTTAAAGTTTTAAACACAAAGATTCAAAGTGGTCACAAAGAATAGCAGAATTAAAGTAATTTAATTTCTATTTCTTTGCCTTTACAATAACTGTGCTATTGTTTATTTTGAATCTATTACTTAAACAAAGGATTATGTAGAATTATCACATGGGTTAGAGAGTCGAACTAAATCTGAAGAAAACTCAAACTATTTCTAACCATTATAAATCCTAAACCAGAGTTTGGTGAACTTTTTCTGTAAAAGGCCAGATAGCAAATATTTTAGGCTTTGCAAGCATTATGGTCTCTGTACAACTACTCAGCTCAGTTGCTATGGTGTGAAAGCAGCCACAGACAACACATAACTGAATGAGCATGACTGTGTTCTAACAAAACTCCATTTATGGACACTGATATTTGAATTTCATAACAATTTTTACATCACTAAGTACTGTCGTTTTTATTTTTTTAAATCATTAAAAAATATAAAAGGCCGCGCTTGGTGGCTAACGCCTGTAATCCCAGCACTTTGGGAGGCCGAGGCGGGCAGATCACGAGGTCAGGAGATCAAGACCATCCTGGCTAACACGGTGAAACCGTCTCTAATAAAAATACAAAAAACTTAGCCGGGCGTGGTGGCAGGCGCCTGTCGTACCAGCTACTGGGGAGGCTGAGGCAGAAGAATGGCGTGAACCCGGGAGGCGGAGCTTGCAGTGAGTGGAGATCGCGCCACTGCACTCCAGATATATATACCATTCTTAGCTCATGGGTTGTACAAAAACAGGCAGTAGGCAGATCTGGCCCAGGGGTTATAGTTTGCTGTCCCATGGCCTAGAGAAAGTTGTTTCTGTCAGTGTTTCTTGTTGTCCCCTTTTGTGAGACAGGTTTATTTCTAGTTCACCCCAAACGTGCTGGTAAAGCCATTTGGGTACAGATCTCTTTACAACAGAGGTATCATTAGATTCTTCGGTAGGCTTTAGACTTTGTCACCTCCCTCAATGTGCAAATTGAGCTCAGGGTAAAGAAAGAGGATTTTGCACAAATCCCTGGAAAAGGCAGCTTGAGTCCTACCTTATCTCTCTGGGTTTCTGTATTCATTTTGCTTTTGACCTGTGAATTTCTTAAATTTCTTCTCAGCTCAGTTACATATTTCTTCCAGCATCTGTGGCCATTTTCAGTAGCAGAATTATACAGGGTATTTTGCCATCCTGCTAGAAACAGTGACCCTCCAATCACAAGTGATTTTTACTCACATTACTTAAATCACTGTGTTTGTCCACCCTCTTTTCTTACCTTACATAATTTTTCAAAGTTTTGGAGGTTAATGTCTTAGAGAGACTTTTCAATTCCTTCCCAGGAATTATACTTTACACTCGGGCTTTCTTAATAAGAAAGTGTCACTATTGGTACAATGAGTTTAACTGGGCTACTTAGGATACCTATAATGCAAGCAGAAACTTTAATCAAGATTTAATTAGTTTAATTGTAAATGAAACCTAGACATACTTGTCTATTATAAATAATAGATTTTAAATTTATTAAATCAGTAATATCAAATAATAGGAAATAACACTTAATGGATAAAGATTACTCTATTGAATCTGTTTGATGTAGGCAGAATTTCACAGACCATCAGCTTTATAAGGATCATTCAGTTTTATTTTCTTAACTGTCCACACTAACACAATTTCTGAAACATTCACCAAATAAAATATGTGTAATCTACTTTAGAGATAGTTGCAAATTCTGATAAATTCTTCCTGTATGAATAACCTCTAGCAGACTTTTCCAAATGGAAATTAATGCTGTCAACTCAATTTTATAGTGCCATTCAGACTTCTAATCTGTACATGAATTCCAAATTCTTTGGACTTTTCTTAATGATCATATGATTAAAACAGATAAATGAACAAGAATTCTGGACTACCAATATAATTTAGGTTTTGCAATTTTAGTTTTGATGGTCAGATATGTTTTTTATTTTAGGTGATCAAGGCTGTTATTGTAAAGAAGGTACTGTAATCCCAGCACTTTGGGAGGCTGAGGTGGGCGGATCACTTGAGGTCAAGAGTTTGAGACAAGCCTGGCCAACATGGTGAAACTCCGTCTCTACTAAAAGTACAAAAATACAGGCATATTCCTGTAATCCCAGCTCCTCAGGAGGCTGAGGCAGGAGAATCGCTTCAACCCAGAAGGCAGAGGTTGCAGTGAGCAGAGATTGTGCCACTTCACTCTAGCCTGGGTGGCAGAGCTAGACTCCATCTCAAAAAAACAAAACAAAACAAAAAAAAGCATGTAGCTGGCCTTTGTCCCTGGTCCCCAGGAGAGAGACTGTAAGTTCTTGAAATTTCTCCATGATCAGAGTGTCTTCATTATTTATGGTGGGCTAATGATAGTTTAACCTAATGTGATGACTCAAGATGGGGGCTGGACATTCCAGAAAGGGCAACCATGTAATTAGAAGGTTGGTACTTTCAGCCATGTGATACCAGCCTGACCTGCAGGGAGGGAAGAAGTATGGAGGTTGAGTTCCACTGCATGGTTATGAGTCAGTCAATCATACTTACATAATAAAACCCCAATAAAAACTCCAAACACCAAGGTTCAGGTAAGCTCCCCTGGTTAGCAATTGTCACACAACAATCTACCAGAAGATGATGAATTTTAACTCCATGGAGAGAGGACATGGAACCCTCATATTTGGGCCATCCCAGACCTCATAAGTGTTTCTTCTTTTGGCTGGTTCTGATATGTACTCTTTTTGATATAATAAAAGTTTTATCATAATTATAGTGCTTTCCTGTATTCTGTAAGTCTAATAATTCTTGTTAATGATTGAAACTGAAGGGTTTGTAGCTATCCTCATGTATTTGTAAACAGCTGATCAGAAGTGAGAGTAGCCCTGGAAGCCCCCAAGCTTGTGGCTGGTGTCTGAAATGAGGGCAGTCTTGTGGAGAACTATGCCCTTCACCTGTGAAGTTTAGCTTACCTCTGGGTAATTCAGGTCAGAATTGTATTGCAAAGGCTTTATCATATTATTATCACTTGTAGTTACATTTACCCTGAGGTACTTTCTCATATCTCTAAGTTCATATAGGAGTTGGGGCCATTTTAAAAGGGTGAACCTATTTTGCATTATACAATGAAAAAGAAACCACTGTAATTGCAGGTACTATTGATTATTTTTGAAGTAAATTAAATACAGACATTATTCATCGAACAAACTTTTATTAAATATGTTCCACAGTTACATTCTACTTGTCAGGATACAAAGATAAAGCACATAATTCCTGCTGTCAGAAAGCTTATAGTTTAGGAAACACTCAGAGAAACCATTATAGTTGAATTAGTCAGTGCTATAAAAGAAATACGAAATAGGATGAATAGCAATGTCAGATGAGTGGATGGGGAAGAAAAGCAGAGGCTTGGAAGTAGTGACATCAGGCTTCAAGAATGAGAACTGCACAGGAGGAAAAGGTCAGAGGGGGGAAAGTGGGTAGCATGGAAGGTAGACAGTAGAGTGTTCCCTGAGACCTGATATAAAGTTGACTAGCACACAGGAGAGGCAAAAGTTGTGGTTTCACAGAAACACTGGGGCCAGATCATAAATTGACTTAAATACACTGTGTACATATACTTAAATACATTTTATCTTGAATGTAATGGGAAGCACTGAAATGTTTCAAGCAGAGGAATAAAATAAAGATGTGTTTCAGAAAAAGAAATCATTTTGGGAGCAGTGATGAAGATGAAGATTAAATGTCAGATGAGACCGGAATCAGTCTTAGGAAGTGATGAAGCAATTCTGGAGGAAAGAAATAAGGTCTTGGAATTACAATAGGAAGAGGAAAAGGGAAATCAGAAAGAAAAGCATATACAGTGGGGAAAGGGGAGTTGAGTTTTGCACACACAGTATTGAGGTGCTGTGGAAAATGCAGTTGAATATATGGGATGGCAGCTCAGGAAAGAAATCCCAAGTAAAAAAACATATGAAACTCATAACTTTAGCTGGGCATTACGTGGCTCACGCCTGTAATCCCAGCATATTGAGAGACTGAGGCAGGGAAATCACTTGAGGCCAGGAGTTTGAGACCAGCCTGGGTAACATAGTGAGAACCCATCTCTGCCAAAAAAATAAAAGGTAGCCTAGTATGGTGGCATGAACCTGCAGTCCCAGCTACTGGGGAGGCAGGAGAATCACTTTGGCTCATGAGTTTGAGGCTGCAGTGAGCTGATCATACTACTGCATTCTGGCCCAGGTAACAAAGTGAGACTCTGTCTCAGAAAAAAAGGAAGGAAGGAAGGAAGGGAGGGAGGGAAGAAGGGAGGAAGGGAGGGAGGGAGGAAGGGAGGGAGGGAAAGGAATGAAAGAAGGAAGGAGAAAGAGAGAGAGAGAGAGGGAGGGAGGGAGGGAAAGAAAGAAAGAGAACGGAAGGAAGAAAGGGAGGGAGGGAGGAAGGAAGGAAGGAGAGAAAGAAAGAGGGAGAGAAAGAGAGACAAAGAAAAAAGTAATAATTTTAGAAGTGATTTTGGAGCCATGGGAGTAAATAAGATCACCAAGTAGAAATTTTGTAGAGTGAGGGAAGAATAAGATCTAGAATGGAATGCTGAGAATACCAGTAGTTGAGGAGTAGACTAACTTAGAACAGATAGAAAGAAATTCAAGAGAAAATGGTGTCAGACAAACCATGGAAGGATTGGTCAGCAGAATCAAAACATGCAGAGATCCAGTAGCAGACTGTCACTATTTTAATAATATGTAGATCATTAGAGTTCATGGCAAAAACAGTTTCACTGTAGTAGGGGTAGAAGTCAGATAAAATGAATTAAGAAAACAGCAGAGATGATGAAGAATTTGAGATGATCTCTGAACATTTCTTCAAAACACTTGTGATGAAAAGGAAAAGTATTGAGAAATAGTTAGAAATGGGCAATGATTAGAGGGCAGTTGTTTTGATTATTTTTAAGATGGGAGTATTCTAATATGCTGAAGGGTAAAAGTCAGTGGGGAAGGAGTAGCTGAAATTATGGAAGAGGATAACAGGTCTCTGTGAAAGTGGGAGAAGAAATTCAGAAAAGGGGTAGAGGGATCTGTGTTTGGCAAGATGAGGAATACTGTATTCTGAGTGAAAATAAAACAAAACAATGGTGGGAAGGGTGTTAGAAAGAGAACACTTAAATTAAAACTGGAAGATGAAATTCACTGACAACGGAAATACTATTGAGCCTGCTAATCTTTGAAAATGATACAAACCAAGTAACAATTTATATACATTCTCTACAGAGGAATATCATGCATAAATAAACCAAAGAGTAAGAAAGAGTTCCATGCTGTGTTTCCTTTTAACTATTGAAATGAATATGCAGGTTACGAAAAGTTTCATAAAAAGTCCATGAAAATGGAATAAATTCATCCTGTAACTAAAATTTTACAATACAACTGATATGGTTTGGCTCTCTGTCCCTACCCAAATCTCATGTTGAATTGTGATCCCCAGTATTGGAGGTGGGGCCTGGTAGGAGATAATTGGATCATGGGGGTGGTTTCTAATGCTTTAGCACCATTCCTCTAGTGCTGTCTTGTGATAGAGTTCTCACAAGATCTGGTGTTTTTTAAAAGTGTATAGCACATCCCCCTTCTACCCCCTCTCTCCTGCTCTGGCCATGTGAAGAATGTGACGGCTTCCCCTTTGCCTTATGCCATGACTGTGTGCTTCCTGAGGCCTCCCCAGAAGCAGAAGCCTGTACAGTCTGCAGAACTGTGAGCTGATTAAAACTCTTCTCTTAATAAATTATGCAGGTTCTGGTATGTCTTCATAGCAATGTGAGAATGGGCTAATACAGAGAATTAGTACCAGGAGTGGGGCACTGCTATAAAGATAGCTGAAAATGTGGAAGTAACTTTGAAGCTGTGTAACAGGCAGAGGCTGGAACAGTTTGGAGGGCTCAGAAGAAGATAGGAAGATGAGGGAAAGTTTGGAACTTCCTAGAGACTTGTTGAATGGTTCTGACCAAGATGCTTATAGTGATATGGACAGTGAAGTCCAGGCTGAGGTAGTCTCAGACAGAGATGAGGAACTTATTGAGGACTGGAGTAAAGGTCACTCTTGATATGCTTTAGCAAAGAGACTGGTGGTATTGTGCCCCTGCTCTAGGGATCTGTGGAACTTTGAACTTGAGAGAGATGATTTGGGTATCTTGTGGAAGAAATTCCTAAGCAGCAAAGCATTCAAGGTGTGGCCTGGCTTCTTCTAAAAGCTTATGCTCATTTGCATAAACAAAGAAATGACCTGAAACTGGAACTTATATTTAAAAGGGAAGCAGAGCATAAAAGTTCAGAAAATTTGCAGCCTGGCCATGTGGTAGAAAAAAAAATTCATTTTCTGGGGAGGAATTCAAGCCAGCTGCAGAAATTTGCATAAGGTAAGCTGAATGTTAATAACCAAGACAATGGGGAAAATGCCTCCAAGCCATTTCAGAGACCTTCTCAGCAGCCTCTTCCATCACAGGCCTGGAGGCCTAGGAGGGAAAAATGGTTTCGTGGGCCAGGCCTAGGGACCCACTGATCTGTGCAGCCTCAGGACATGGCACCCTCTGTCTCAGTGGCTTCAGTTCCAGCTGTGGCTAAAAGGGCCCCAGATATGTCTAAGGCCACTGATCCAGAGAGTACAAGCCACAAGCCTTGGCGGCTTCCACATGGTGTTAAGCCAACAGGTGTGCAGAGGGCAAGAGTTGAGGCTTAGGAGCCTCCACCTAGATTTCAGAGGATGTACGTAAACATCCGAAAGTCCAGGTAGAAGTCGGCTGTAGGGGCACAGCCCTATGGAGAACCTTTACTAGTGTACTGCAGAGTGGATATGTGGGGTTGGAGCCCCCAAACAGAGTTGCCACTGGGGCACTGCCTAGTGGAGCTGTGAGAAGAGGGTCCTCCAGACCCCAGGATGGTAGATCCACTGACAGCTTGCACTGGGTGCCTGCAAAAGCCTCAGGCACTCAACACCAGCCTGTGAAAGCAGCTGTGAGGGCTGTAACCTGCAGGGCCACAGGGGCACAGCTGCCCAATCCCTTGGGAGCCCATTCCTTGCATCAGTGTGGCCTGGATTTGAGACATGGAATCAAATGCTATTTTGGAGCTTTAAGATTTAATGACTGCCCTGAAGGGTTTTGGACTTGCATGGGGCCTGTAGCCCCTCATTTTGGTCAATTTCTCTGTTTTGGAATGAGAGAATTGTACCCCCATTGTATCTTGGAAGTAACTAAGTTGTTTTTGATCTTACAGGCTCATAGGTGGAAGGGACTTGCTTTGTCTTGGATGAGACTTTGAACTTGGACTTTTCAGTTAATGCTGGAATGAGTTAAGACTTTGGGGGACTATTGGGAAGCCAGATTGTTTTGAAATGTGAGAAGGACATGAGTTTTGGGAAGAGCCAGGGTAGAATGATACGACTTGGCTCTGTGCCCCTACTGAAATCTCATGTTGCGTTGTGATCCCCATTATTGGAGGTGGGGTCTGGTGGGAGGTGACTGAATCATGGGGGGTGGTTTCTAATGGTTTAGCACCATTCCCCTAGTGCTGTTGCATAATAGAGTTCTCACAAGATCTGGTTGTTTAAAAGTGTGTGGCACCTCCCCACTCCCCTCACCTGTTCTGGCCACCTGAAGGCCATGCCTGCTTCCTTTTTGCCTTCCACCATGATTTTAAGTTTCCTGAGGCCTCCCCAGAAGCAAAAGCCTGTACAGCCTGCAGAACCATGAGCCAATTAAACCTCTGTTCTTAATAAATTAGCCAGTCTCAGGTATGTTTTTATAGCAGTATGAAAACTAATAAAAGAACCTTGACAATTTCCATAATGAAAAAAGCAAAGCCACTCTGAAAGGGCAGCATCAAGTAGCTGGCTAGAATTCTCACAAGGTTAGTGACTCATTCCTACATACCAACCCCATAGGGCACTTGCGTCAAAGTTATGCCTCTGCAAATTATAATACAAATTAGTACAAGTGATGAATCTTCAAGGTTGCTTGCAAGCTAGGAAATTAAATCCAGAATGTCAAGTGCCTACTCTACTTCATTCAAAAGAAATATTATCACTATGTTCTAGTACTGTGACAGTCACAAAAAGGAAGAGACATTGTCTCTATCTCTCAGAAGTACAAAGTCCATTGGTGAATCCACAAATAATTAATTACTCTAAGACAGCATGTGTTATTAGACATAGGAATGGAAACAAAAAAGACATCACATTATGTCTGGGAGCATAAGAAAGATTTCCTGGAGCAAGGAATGTCTAAGATGACTCTTGAAAATAAATAGAAATCTACCTGGAAGATGGTCATGGGAGTTCTCTAGAGAGTGAAACAGCATGTGCAAAATGGTGATGGCAAGAAAAACCCTACTTCTGGAAGTGAGTTCAGCATGGCAGGAGTAAAAGGTATACAATAGGAGAATGGAGAAAGGACTGGAAAGATAGGCAAAATCTAAATAGTAAGGGTCTGTATATTATTCTAAGGAATTTGAACTTTTATATAAGATATCATAAAAGGATTAAAAAGTTTAAGATTATATGATAAATCTTTTTAGAGAAAACACAATTGCAGTGTAAAGATGGTCTAGGGCAATACTTGAGATAGGGAGACTAGTTAGCAGGCTACTCTATAGTGTAGGTGAAAAAGGACACAGGCCAGAATTAAAGCTTGAGCAGTGGGCATGGAGAATACTGGAATGATTCAAGAGATAAGCAAGAGACAAAATTGACAAGACAGAGCAATTACCTGAGAACACTCAGGGTGATTCTAGAATCTCTGATTTGAGTAACTAGATGCATCCTGTGTGATTAAAGCATTAGATCATAGATCTTGGAGCAAGTGTTATATTAGTGCCACTGTAGTTCCAGCCAACAAACTAACTTGAAACAAATTTTTTGAATGGGGCTCATGTAGTGGCTGAAATATTTTTACGTTATTGTTAGTAAAACTGTGGTTATTCAGGAGTACCAGAAAAGAATAAACGAGATCCTAATTATAAACATTAAAACTTAAAGTACAGACTGTAATAAAGGGATGGGCCTAAGAGGACAGAGAGCTGGTCAAACACACCTACACTTAATGGGATGAGGCTGAATTCTTCCAGGCCCTCAGAAACAGCAACTAGACTGTAGCTTAAATGGTATTTTTAACGGAAAGAACGAATGTGAAAAGGTTAGTCCAGAAAACAGAGTTCAGCAAGGGCACTTACAGGGCTCAAAAGAATTCCATTAACTAGGACACTATGTAGAAGAAAGATATTTTCTGCATCTTCCAAGCATCTAGGTAATTAGACCCACTTACCTGTTATGATTTTATGTTCATCAAGTAACCTGCAAACTGGCATCTGAAAGAAGGGATGTCCTAATTAGAAATACACATTACTGGCCCGGTGCGGTGGCTCATACCTGTAATCCTAGCACTTTGGGAAGCAGAGGCAAGCAGATCACAAGGTCAGGAGTTCAAGACCAGCCTGGCCAGCATGGTGAAACTCCGTCTCTACTAAAAATACAAAAAAATTAGCCAGGCATGGTGGTGTGCACCTGTAATCCCAGCTACTCAGGAGGCTGAGGCAGGAGAATTGCTTGAACCCGAGTAGCTGAGATTGCTTCACTGCACTCCAGCCTGGGCGAAAGAGCTAAACTCCATCTCAAAAAAAAAAAATAAATAAGAAATACATATTACTCACCTCTTCCTAGACCCTAATAGAAGTGGATAAAATGGCAGCCAGACTTTTGTATACCAGAAACAGATAAACATAGCTAGTGTTAGTCCATTGCTAAGCAACTGGTATTGTGGGTATCCTAAGAAAAATCCAGTTAGCGTGTTTGTAAGGATGAAGGTCAACTGCAATGCTGCAATGCTGTCCTATCGGCAACATGTCTGGGCTTCCTGGACAACATTACACCGATTTAGTCTTTCTAAACCATGACATAAACAAACTTTGGTTATCTTGTGATAAGTCATCTAAACCATCAAGAATCCAGAAATAGCTTCCATGTGTTACCTAGATATTATAAACAATAAGGTCAGATCAAGCTATTAGAACAGTATCCAGTTTAATTAATCTTTTTCCTCCTTTTCTGCCTTACTGCTTGCACTTCTATTATAGCATGTATCACTGTACATATTGTGATATCCCTATAGGGCACAGGTGTGCTGTGTTCTTCATTTGAATATAATCCCTAGATGGTACAAATAGTGATTTATGCTTCTTTTTATCCCTGAGAATAAAGAGCACATAGCCTTATGCATGAGACATAGTAAGCATTTGTTGGACTGAACAAGACACAATTAAGGTCAACTAGGTATCATACGACTTCAAGTTAGTTGTGCAAGGAATTAAGCTAAATCTCTTCATGTGATGACCACTGAAGAATGTGCAAAAATCTGTCAAAATGTGATGCTCCAAAAATAAATAACTCTAGCTCTCAAAAGGCTTTTTGGGAAGGGAGTGCAAAAGTATTTCAAATGATTTTCAAAAGTGAGTAATAATCTCAACTCTCTTTGCCTATTTATTTGTCTATCTGGTTGCAAAAGAAAAATCCCATAGCTCATTCCAGTTTTGTTGAAATTTCACCATTAAATGGAATTTACATTTATAGTCATCAAATATTATGACAGCTCTAGAAAGACTAAATGAGAGGTTTTTAAGGATCCATTTCTACATAGTTTTAAACATTATTACACTGAATGTAGAATACTGTTAATTTAAATTTGAACTTACTTTTATTTTCTTGACACTTGATATAAACTTCTAAAAGTAAGAAGTAGGATCCAGTTTGCATCATCCTCTGGCTTTAATCAATCCCTTTCCTCCCCTCCCCCATTTAATTATGTTCATGGTCATCCCCACTGATTTATATAATTAACACATCTCAACTTCTTTTGACACTGAGTATACGCAAGACTTACTATCACCTCATGTACAGATCACTGCAATAGTTTATCATGTCATTTTCCTTGTTTCTAGCCTCTCCTTTCTCAGTTCATTAGCATACCTTGACTTGCCTGCTTTTGTTAAGTAGCACTTTCATCAAGACATACTACGAATATTCATTTAACATCTATTATGAGCAGAACACCATACAGGAGTTACAGAGAATATAAAGATAAAACATTGGCCTTGCCCTTAAAATCCATAGTCTTAAGAAAAACATATAATAGCAATAGACTATTAAAGAAAATCAAAATAAGAAAAAAATTTGCAGTTATGTGAGGTGGGAAAACACTATAGATGAGAGGTTTCTGAACTAGAATTTTAAGGATAATTCCTATGAGATAAAGTAGGGAAGTATTCCAGGTAGAGGCAACACACTGAGCAATGGATGGCCATGAAATTTGAGATAAATTAACCAGAAGCAAGATAAAAGCAGGTGAGATCACATAATTAAAAAAACTGAAGACCACAAACATGGGCAAGAATCTCAGCCTGAGCTGTCTAATGAAGACCACCAAGCAGGAACACAGCAGGTGATCAACCATAGTTCGAGAAATAGGCAACTGGCCACTGAGCCACCACATACAGCTGGGCAGCTGTATGTCATCTATGTGAACGGTACCTCTTGAAGTTGTGCCTACACCTGTTCAAAAGTGCTCAATGACCCTGGCAATTTCAGATAGGTGAGTGTCTTCCTTTGTGGGAGCCTAGCTTTGTAAAAGGGAACCCAATCATGGGTAGATGGGGCCAAGGCAAGAACTTAAGTCTCTCAGAGGAATGAAATCAGTAGCAAGTTCAACCTCTTGAAATAACAAGGCAGAGATGCAGGTCCTGATGACTAGGAAGAAGGCAAGGAACTCTATTACTGAGATGGCAGGGAGGCCAGGCAGGAGCACAGATAATAGGAAAGTAAATGACATCTAAGTGATGCAAATATCAAAATTAGTGTGATACTAAGTAATTTCTACATAGGATTTCTTATAGCTTCTCTGTCTAAGAAAATGACTGGCCTCAGTCTCAGATTACCATGCCCTGAACACCTTCAACCTACTGATGGGTTTAATCGGTCACAGGACAAAGTTATTAGGAACTAAACATCACACCTTATTCAAGAAAAAATTTATCTTTAAAATTACTAACACCACTTTCTGTTTCCTTTCATGTGCAAATAACATTGCAGCTACATTATAATTTTTAAAAGGTTTGAGCTTTAGCCTGGATGTCCATGTTTTCTTAGTACTAAATATTCTAATTACAAATTCACTTTTTGTTTGGTGTCAGGAGGGATGGATGATGGTCCTAAACTGCAATTTTACCTAGAACACACAGAAATTCTGTAAAACCAGCTAGCTAGAGAATATTTTTGGTAGTAATACTAGCTAATGTTAATTGTGCACTATATTGCAGGCCTTTAGATATACAGTTTACTTATCCCATTTAATCTTCACAAAACCCTAAAGGTAATAATATTTATAATGATTGCTAACATTTATTGAACACTTACAAAGTGCAAAAACACTGTTCAAAGACACTGTTTATGTGTAGTATTACTTCATTTAATCATCATGATGATCCTATAAGTGCCTTTATTATATGTATTTTACAGGCAATATAACTAAGGGTTCAAGAACTTTCCTAAGGTCACATTGCTAGTAAGAGAAGCCAAAATTCAAATCCTGTAGTCTGACTCTAAAGCCCATGACATTAAAGTCCAGGCTTTTAACCACGCTATTCACTGCTTCTGCAATTGGTATGCATGGAGAAAACAATATTTTTGATACCACTAATACTACTACTAATATTTTGATATGATAGGATTTCATCAGGTTTTATTTAATAAACACCAGAAGAGAGGCAATAGCCAGAAGCAAAGATAAGATTAAAATAGAATCTATATGAGTTTGAGTCTGAATCTCAATAAGCCTTTATCAGAAAATGTAATGAGCTCTGATAGTAAGGTGTAAAAATTGCTGAAGAAAAAAAACCAATGCTACTCAAAGTATACAATAGAAAATATTACTGCAAAACAAGCAAAAGACCCTAATAACATAAAGCAAAATGTAAGGAAATAAGATTAGGGTGAATCATATTCTGTGACTACCTAGGATTTAGAAATGCAAACAAAAATCACTCTGAGAAAATTAAATCTGTGAAAATTCTGCAACTTGATATAGATATCGGTTTAATTTTGGTTGAAAAAGTTTCTAGTTATGAAAAACATCACTGTACTTACAGTGAAGTACAGTTATGTGAAGAATAACTCAAGGTCTACAGTTTATTAGTATAAAAAATTTAGTAACTTAACGTTTTTTAAAAAAAATTTATATTGGTTATGCTAATTTCCAGGTTTAAGGAATTACTGTATTGCTTGCAATTTTATATCGAAATCTATTAAAGGAGGAAGGGTAGAAAAGGAGGAGGAGGGGAAAGATACTTCTTATTGGGTTTTGAGTCATGAAACAAAGCAAAGGTCCACAAGTGTAAATAACTTACATTGACTGATTACCGGTCTAGTGTTTTTTCCATTCTAACCAAAAAGGAAGCTACTGAATCCTACAATGTGACTTAGAAATCATCTAACTAAAAGCATTCATGTTACTGATAGCAAAAAATGGTCCAAACCCACATAGTTATTGGCAGCAGAGGCATAATGAGAAGTGGGTGTCCTGACAACAGGTATTCTCTCCAGGCAAAACATATATATATATTTTTTTTTTAAAGTATATTTTAATTATTTTAAAATAACTTTAGCACTTAGTATGTTTCAGGCACTAAGTGCTTTCAATACATTAAAACATATTTCACACATATTTATTAGTGAATCTATTAAGGCCCCTTTAAAGGAAGTATCTTATTCACAAATGGATTTACTCAACTACAAGTATAGATTCCACATTTAAATATTGCTGTGGTGGGAGAAAGAAATATTTTTGTCTTCAAAAATAAATAAATTGACTTTGAAGAGGTTTTAATTAATACTGACTTTAAAAGCACTTTCGTCCAATACAAAAAGTGATATTGATTTTATTCATACTGAATAAAGAAAATAACTGAAAAATTAAATAACTGAAAATTTAAAATAACTGAAAAAAATTACATATGAGGCAATTGACACCACCACAGAGCTGCAAATTAAAACCACAACGATATCTCACTACACACCCACTAAAATTAAAAGGTATCACAATACCAAGTGTTGACAAGGATACAGAGCAACTGTAACTTGCATCTATTGCTGGTGGGAATGTAAATTGTACAAACACTTTGGAAAACTGTTTAGCACAATTTGTTAAAGTGAAAACATATATCCTATAACCCAGCAATTCCAATTCCTAGGTAATATAACCCAACAGAAATGAATACTTAAATGTCTAACAAAAGACAGATACAACAATGTTCATAGCAGATTTATTCATATTGGCCCCAAACTGAAACATCCATCAAAAATAAAGAAGATGAATAGTAGTACATTCATATAACAGAATTCTATTCAGCAAAGAATGAACTACTACTACACAGAACATGGATGAGTAAAGCAGAGCCAAGGAAGCCAGACGCGAAAGGGTACATTTTACATGATTCCGTGTATAAGAATAGCCAAAACTAACTTACAGTCAAATAGTGGTTCGGTTACCTTGGAGAGGTGGGGCGGAGGCGGGGGGGCATTTACTGGGAGAGGATAAAAGGGAACCCTCTGGGATGCCAGAAATGTTCCACATCTTTATCAGAATGATGGGTACATGGTTATACACATACGTAAAAATTGTATACTTAAAATTTGGTGGACTTTGCTTTATGTAATCTATATCCCATTTCTGTGAGATTCATCCAGGTTGTTTCATGTAGCAGTAATTCATTCTTTTTGATTGCTGTATAGCATTGTATTATATGAATGTATCACATAACACAATGATTCTTTTTATTGTTGTTGGGCATCTAAAAAGCTTTTTTAAAAAAAGAATTCAGTTCCCAAATGAACATTTTCTCTGCTCACTAGCAGATTTTGTTTACTAAACTACTAAGAAGCAAAGTCCATTCACTTTTTTTTTTGAGACAGGGTTTCACTCTGTCACCCAGGTTAGAGTGCGGTGATGTGATCATAGCTCATTGCAGCCTCAAATTCCTGGGCTCAAGCAATCCTCCTGCCTCAGCCTCCTGAGCAGCTGGGACTACAGGTGCATGCCACCATGCCCAGCTAACTTTTTTATTTTTATTTTTAGTAGAGACGAAATCTTGGTATGTTGGCCAGGCTGGTCTCAAACTCCTGGGCTCAAGTGATTCTCCCTCCTCAGCCTCTGAAAGTGCTAGGATTATACAGCTGTAAACCACCACATTTGGCTCCATTTCCTTTAAGTTCTACTTTAAGTTTTAACAAATTGCCAGACAACATTTCTTTGGTGCCAACCAAGTCTATAGTGTTGAACTCAATGACAGAATAATTGAAATGAAGAGCTTCTCTCAGAAAGAATACCTCAGAGAATAATATTAAAATAATAATGCTTGCTTAAGATGACTTTTGTCAATCAGTAAACTATTTAGTGGATTGGTCTATAATTACTGAATTATGTAAATGATTCATATAACTTTTGTGAATGGGGAAAAGAATAAGAACCAATCTAGGTGGACTTGACTTTCATATTATAATCTGACAGACACTGTAGATAATTCTAAAATTAATTTCAAACTCTATATCAATATTTGTCAATGTTTTCTGAGTCTTTACTAGTTGTCTGAAAGTATGCTAAACCCTTTATATGTATTTTTTCATTTATCCTCACAATAATCCCATGAAAGATGTTACTATTATCTCTATTTTATAGAATAGGTAACTGAGGTTTAAAAAGGGAATGCAAGGAATACACTACTGAGTGAAAGGCCTAGACTAAACACGGTCTGAATGACATCAAAATGTGAGTTCTCAATCATTATAAAAAATCCCCTCTGTTCAGTTCTTCTCCTCCAGAAATTTATTTATAACTTATTACCATGTGTAGATGTATACTCATTCATTCAATATATATTTACTGAGCATCAAACACTGTTCTAGCTGTTTGTTTCACATTAGAGCATAACACAGACAAAAAAATCCTGCCTTTGTGGTGCTTATACTCTAATAGGATGTGGACAAAAAACATCATAATAAATAAGTAAACTAGACAGTTGTGTTACAAAGTGAGCAATGCTACAGGGGCAAATAAGCGGATAAAGTGATTAGAAATGTTGGTTGTAGTTTACATAAAATAGCCCTCACTGAGGAAGTGAATTCTGAACAATGACTTCAAGGAAGTGGAGCCAGAGCCACACAGCTATCTGTAGGGGCCAGGGGTACGGAGACGAGGAGGTGAGGCTGGAGAACTAGGGGAGTGGTGTAGATAGTGGGGGTATGTGTGTGTGGCTAATATACAGCCTGGTAGTTCGCTTTTATGAATTTTGGCTTTTGAATGAAAGGGAAACCACTCCCCTTCTCCCACCAAATCTTGGCTAGTTTAGCTATGTTTCCCTAAAAAACCTTAAAGGGACACTGTAAGTTTTTGTTTTTGTTTTTGTTTTTTATTTGAGACGGAGTCTCGCTTTGTTGCCCAGGCTGGAGTGCAGTGGCACGATCTTGGCTCACTGCAAGCTCCGCCTCCCAGGTTCAGGCCATTCTCCTGCCTCAGCCTCCCAAGTAGCTGGGACTACAGGTGCCCGCCACCACGCCCGGCTAATTTTTTTGTATTTTTAGTAGAGACGGGGTTTCACCGTGTTAGCCAGGATGGTCTGGATCTCCTGACCTCGTGATCCACCCGCCTCAGCCTCCCAAAGTGCTGGGATTACAGGCGTAAGCCACCGTGCCTGGCCTGTAGTTTTTTTAAATGCAAAAAGAGTGAATTATGTATCCCTGATTCTACCTTTTTAGCAATAGACTTTGGAGGAAGGACCTGCCATATACGAAAATGGGTTAGAAACAAACAGAAAGTTTACACATACATGCACATACACACAGGCACTTAAGGGAACATTCTGGGAGCTCCTTTACACAAAAACGCAGGGCTCTAGGTGACTTCTTTACGACAGTCCATATTGTTACTGATTCAATCTATTAAGCTAGGATGAATGACAATAAAAATTTCCACACTTTACACAGAAAATAGCTCTAGATTTGTTTTTTATGCATTTTTACATCATATGATTAACATATAATGTATGGATGAGTACTTAAAATCACTGGGTTTATAAAAAGTGACTTTTTCTCTAAGTAAACAAGTGTACAATAAAGTAACTTCAAATCTTTTAACCTTAGTAAATACAGGTCCTTATCCTAAAGCAATGTTATCTTTAATTATCACTTATTTGTGAATTGTTAGAAAATAATGACTTCAATCAATTAAGAGTCTGAGCTCTACAAATATTAACCAAGATTTCCTCTAACAAAGGCAATTTCTGGGAACATGTAGGTTAAAAGGCCAGCTTCATAGTAAAATAATATTCTTCATTCACAGTAAGGTCAGATGGAGTTTAGTCAGTCACCCTGATGTCTTCTTTTCAATACACAAACTGCTTAAACAGGACAATTGAAGGATGACTTCTCTTAAATGTAAGGTAATTATAATTTGTCCGTAAGGTAATGCAGTGACTCAACTATGTTATTACTTCAGAATAAAAGTAGCATATGATGTGTCTATGACAATGAAATGGAAAAGCCATCAGTATTAATTTCTTATGACTATCTGCATCTCTCTCACATTTTATGACTACTGACTGTAGGTCTCAAATATAAGGAAGAATTTGCCAGTAAAAATGAGTTACTGGCAAAGGTTATAAAAACATCTTAAAGATCCTTCATAAAAGCATAAATGTTCACCCTCAGGGATGACTTGGCATCATCTGACCTGAAAGCAAGAATACAAAGTAGAAAACTCTTCAGGTCTAATCTATCCATGTTATTCTTGAAGCCAAAAAAGGCTAAAAATCTTTCTTTTTTTCTTTTGTCCTATAATCACCTTTCTCTTTAACCATCACTCTCTCTTCTGCTAGACATGAGACTACAAATTTGCTGACATAAAAGAATTTGTCCTCTAACTGCTTTCATTATCATTATAAAACTATAATATTTGTTAAAAACTAATTTGAAATCGTTTTACAGCAAAATTTTCAAAATCCAGCCTAAATTAGGTGAAGCAATGATATCATTTAATCAGCTATATGCCTAGGTATGTTTTGTTAATCTATTACCTAGGTGAGGAGTTTATGTTTCAAGCAAAATGTAATATGTGTATTGATGGCTGCAACTTCCCTGGAAATGCATCAACAAATAAGATGGGTTGACATCTGGGTAAAAGGATAAATAAGTGATAAAGCAAAAACAGCAAAATGTTAAAACTTTAGAACCTTGGAGGTGGCTATATGGGTGTTGACTGTGACACTGTTTCAACTTTTCTATATGTTTGAAATTTTTCACAATAAATTGTTGGGGAAAATGTAATCACATTTGAAACCTGTTTTAAATGGCAAGGGAAAAATGTCCAAATCCCACAGAATTCTGCAAAATCCAATAGGCAAGATTTTTGCAGCTTATGTTTGTTGAGCTGAGGAGGAAAAACAAAAAAGATTACCATAATCCCTTTATCTGTCTACCTCCAGAAAAGTACAAAAAATTTACACTCTTATTGAGAAATAACGGCAGGTGAAAGGTTTGTTTGTTAAGAATTCTCCGTGGTAAAACTAAGTTCCTCTGGCTACATTTTGAAGCTTAAAAACAAATTATTACTGTTATTTCAGGCAATGTTTCACTTCCTTGATTACCCAGAATAACTTTATTTTCAATATAGATATATTTCCTGAAAGGAGATAAACCACACCTTCTTCAGATTACTTAATCATCCTTTTTGGCAGTGTCCTTGCACTGTGAATCTACCTGAAATTATTATTTTTTTAAATCTGAAAACAAAAAACATAAATGATCAACACATTGGAAAATGTGTTTACCTACTCAATAGCATGCATATGAACTATATGTTTTGTGTGTTGCAAGCCTTTCAATACAAATGACCTTCTAAAGTGGCATGAGACAGGCATATTTATATTTGATATTCCATTAATGATTTTTTTGGTAGTTTTTTAAAACATACCACCCTCTGTATTAATAAAGATGGAAAAATACGTAGCTCAGCTACTAGTGGATAATAATGATTTATTCAACAAACATTTATTTAATACCTATTATGTGCAAGGGATAGTGCTAAACCTAAGATGAGCATACAAATAAGATGCAGTCCCTGAATTAACTAAATCAATAGTTTGGTAAAGAAGAAATACAAATGAACAAATATAAAATCTCATAAATTGGTTAGTAAGTATATGTAGAGTAATACTGTAATGAAGAGGAGAAACCTAAATTAGCTTAGGGGGGTGAGGGTCTCTGGGAAGGCTTCCTGAACTTGGTCTTAAAGAATGGGTATTAGTGATCTAGGCAGGAGAGAATGGGAGACAATATTCTATGATGAGGCAGCAGCGTAGAGGAACAAAGCAGCATGTTGTGGGCAGAGAACTACAAGCAATTCAGTATTGCTGGAGAGAAAGCGAGAAAGCTCATGGTATGGAGTGGAGAGAGATGATGCTAAAAAGGTAGGCAGTGGCCACACCACGAATGATCTTGTGGGGTATGTTAACAAACCTGGACTTTCTCTTGGCCTCAGAAGGATCTAGAAGGGGTGTAATATTTTCAGATTGTTAACTATAACTCTCTGACCCCCTTGAGTGAAGGAGACATTATTATCAGCTACAAGAGTGACAAAATGAGGACCTGAGAATCAAGATGGTGATAGACG
The DNA here is from genome assembly GCF_000001405.40 of Homo sapiens. NCBI lineage: Eukaryota > Metazoa > Chordata > Mammalia > Primates > Hominidae > Homo > Homo sapiens. The sequence continues at coordinate 101,027,605 of NC_000001.11, read as the reverse complement.
GTATGGTTTCTATTGAGATATACAGGCAGACATGACAGACGATGTGGGGGTGACTCCCAAGTGTCTGGCTGGGGTTAATCTGTTGATGACAATACTCTCCTCACCCACCCCCACCCCCGACCCATCCAAGTAGATAATATGGAAAGAAAAGCAAAATGGAAAGGGAAGGTGATGGATTCAACCTTGGATGTGTTGAATATGCTTCCGGGTTATCTAGGTGAAGATTTCCAGCAGAACGTTAACATGAAGCCAAGAGGGAGGAAGTCTGGATAGGAGGCTGAAATTTGAATCTACAAAATATTAGCGATACTAGGAATTCTGAGTGAACAGCCAGTTTTTGTGAGGTTTTGTTTGTTTTACTTAAGCCATTCTAATAGGTGGGTTGTGGTAGCTCATTGTGATTTAAATGTTTATTTTCCTAATGTCTAATGATGTTTAGGATCTTTTTTTGTTTGTTTAAGATCTTTTAAAATAATTATTTGCTATTTGTGTATCTTCTTTGGTGTCTATTCAAATCTTTTGCCCATTTTTAAACAACGAACTGTTTTATTATTGCTTTCTGAGTGCTCCTTATATATTCTCCATACAAGTCCTTCATCAGATACATGCTTTGTAAATATTTTCAGTATGTGGCTTCAAGTCTTTTGAAGAGCATAAATTTTTACTTTGTTGAAGTCCAATTTATCAATTTTTTTCATCACGCTTTTGGTTTAAGAAATATTTGCCTAAATAAGGTCACGAATATTTCCTCCTATGTTTTCTTCTGGTATAGGTTTAGGTTTTCCATTTACATCTACGATCCATTTTGAGTTTTTTGGGGTGTGTATGTGGTGTGAGGAATAGATCAACGTAATGAGAGGGGATAAAACACAGCCACGAAGAGTTTATAGATAGGAAGTGCAAAAAGGTGGATGGAACCTGGGAATGAAAAAAAGCCAAGGTTCAAGGAAGCGGAGTTGGGCATTGTCGGGGAGGCAACAGGAAAATTCTGAGTAACCAACACTGCCTGCTAAGAAAAGCAATGACAGCTGTCTTTTTTAACTTGGATGAGGTCACCTTGGGAAGAGCATTTTCAGTCAAAACAAATCTTCCCTATTTCTAATTACATGTAACCAACAGCTTTATAAGAATTCCCCCGGCAGAAACACTTGAGAGGTCTGAAATCCCTGAGCACTATTAAAGGTCACTTCTTTAGGTACAGGAAGGTCTGGGATTCCTGACACTGAGGGTGACTGAAACATCCTTGGGGCACTCCAGGCATAAGGTCTTGGGGACAAACCCAAGGAGTCATTGCCTTGTTGGGAAATCAGAAGCACACTCACTGCTGGGTTTGCCAATCTCACGCTTCACCAGGAAGACACCTAGTTGAACTACAGGAGGATGAGAAGACTGGAATTAAAATCTGTGCACTCGGCCAAATCCGGGGACAAATCAGGAAAATCCTTCCCAGCCCTCCCTGTTTCTGGAGAGGAGGAGTAGGGCGCAGGGCCCCTCCCGACTCTCTTCCACGTGGCTCCTCTCGAGCGAAGAGCTACTGCACTTACCCAGGCTTAGGAAGCGGGTGTTTAAGCCATGGGTTAGAGGGCTCGTGAGCACGCCCGATCCTTTCCCTGAGGCTATGAAACGGTGGCTCCACGGACTCCTCTCGGCCGACTGACCTTTCGCCGCCCTGCCCCAGCAGCCGGCGGGTTTCTTCAGTGGAGCCGGGCTCTGGTCTCCGCAGCCCAGTAGCCCGCTAGCCCGGCCCCCTCCCGCTAGTCGTAAAGTGCAGTAAAGGCACCAGCATTTTGCGGCACCGTAGGTGAGGCCGGCGGCGTGGGCCTTTTCTCTGCACGGAGCCGGCGCTTTTGCAGTTGCTTCTGCGGAAAGGTGGTAGTTAAGAATTTGTAAAGGCCAGAGAACTACCTACGATTCTCTCAGCGGGTAATTGGCTGCTCCTAGGTTTGTGTAACAAGAGGCAAAACTGGTAGGGTTGTTTAAAACCTCTTATCCCAGTTCTTAAGCGTGACATAAGGTTCCCAAACCCCTCCTTGTGACTTGCCTCTTCTCTTGTGCTACTTTGGTTGTCATCGTGTTCATCACTAGATTTTAGATGTCCTCGGTGTTACTGACGGTTTTTCTGTCCACTTCGTCTTGCAGTCTCTCTTCTCCTCAAGTTTGAAATGCTTTATCTCATCGGGTTGGGCCTGGGAGATGCCAAGGACATCACAGTCAAGGGCCTGGAAGTTGTTAGACGCTGCAGTCGAGTGTATCTGGAAGCCTACACCTCAGTCCTAACTGTAGGGAAGGAAGCCTTGGTAGGTGCTGAGCGTTCCCCAGCCTCCTGGGAAGAAAGCTATCTAACATCTGATTTTCATACACTAAGCTGAACAGAATTTTCAGGTCTGCTTGTTTAAACCCTTTGAAACGCATCCCTTGTTCATTAATGATCTGAGGAGCAGAAGAATGGAAATTTTACACCAACCAAGTGACTTGGAAAATGAAAGGGTGCTTTGTCCTATTTTACAAGTCTAATTTTGTGGCTTTCTCCAGTAAATAGGAAAGCTATTTTATACTCCTGGGGGATAGTTATCAAAACCCCTTATTTCATGAGGTAGTCAAGAAACCCTTTCTGAGTTGAGTGCTAATGAGGAGCTGACACAGCCTTAATGAGTTGGTTATATATATTCAAAAACCAAGCTGAAAGCTTCCCCCTTTGAAGTGTGTCCATAGGGAATGGCGATTGCCTTTTTGTATCCTATCCAGAGAGATCTTATCTTAAATAGACTATCTCCCAATAAGGCTTATACTGATACACTTGTATATATTGAGTGAGCCTGGACTTAATATATAAAAATGTATGAGTATACACTTACATGAGTATACACTAAGTAACCAAAGTATTTGTTAGTATATTATACATTTATAGTTGGCCCTCATAAGGGCCCAGTAAATTTGGGGGAAGGGTCAACTTCAGGTTCATTGTCAAACTCTAAGTAGAATGTAAATCAAAGGATTAATACATATGTTATGGGAGGAGGGAGCAGATTTATTGTCATGTCTTCCAAACAAAAAATAGACTTAAAATTTTTAGGCCTCAGATTACTTTAAAATCTTATAGAAGGAATTAAGAACTGCTACTTGAATTGGCCATGCATTTAAATAAAAGTTGTGTGTAAAGACCAACTTTGATATATACATATATGTGGAGAGAGAGAGAAAATAAGTCTTGCTCTGTTGCCCAGGCTGGGGTGCAATGGTATGATCATGGCTCACTGCAGCCTCAGCCTCCTGGGCTCAAGTATCCTCCCACCTCAACCTCTCGAGTAGCTGAGACTACAGGTGGGTGCCATCATGCCCAGCTAATTTTTTGTATTTTTTGTAGAGACAGGGTTTTGCCACATTGCCCAGGCTGGTCACAAGTTCCTGGACTCTAGTGATCTGCCCACCTCGGCCTCCTAAAGTGCTGGGATTGTATAGGCACAAGCAACCACACCCAGCCTAAGGCCAGCTTTGATTTAAAAAACATTTTTTTTTCTCATTTTTTCACTCTTAGGATAGAACCAAAATATCTAAGCTCGAAATGATGGAAATGTGCGTCTCTAATCAGTGATTAAGGAAAAGTAAAAGGAACTTAACACCTTCAAGAAAAGACAGACAAATAACAAAACAGCAGTTTGATAGAATGAGATATCAGGGGATGGCATAGAGGAAAGTTTGGTTATAGTTTTATCTTTGTTACATGTTAATGTGACCTTGGACAAGTCCTTTAACTTTAGTGTCTTTTTTAAATGGGGTAAAAAACATCTACTTTAGGTGTTCAGCATAATTCTTAGCATAGGTTCTTAACTATGGTATATGGCACAAAACTGTTCAGAAATAGAAATTGTCAATGTTCACATTTCCAAACTTCTCTGAACCTCAGTTTCTTCATTTGTCAAGTGGCAATTACCAGTTGGAGGGTTATGTAGTGTTTTATTGAGATGATGTATATGAAAGTGCTTTGTAAATTTTCAGTGCTAGCTAAATGTTAATTTTGGCTGCTGTTATTTTGTAAAGTATTTTTTTCCAAAGACAAAACTTCTGGAGTTACTACTTACAGAGTCAAGACCTGAAGCTGGACCCAGCCTTACCTACAGTAAATTATGTGTACTTTGTTAAGGTGCTGGAATATCTGTTTCTTCACAGTAATAAGTACTGACATTTATAGAACAGTTACAGAACAGTTACTGTGCACTGTTTTAAATGCTTTACATGTAGATTAGGATTATTATTCTAATTACTGTTCATTTTGCAGGGATAGAGAAGTTAACAAACTTGCCTAAGTTCATGCAGATAGTGAATGATAGAGCCAGGAGATGAACCAAAGCAGTCCTGAGTTGAAGTCTGCCACTCTTTTTATTATTATTATTATTTATTATGTTTTTTTATTTTGAGACGGAGTCTTGCTATGTTGCCTAGGCTGGAATGCAGTGGTGCGATCTCGGCCCCCTGCAACCTCTGCCTCTCGGGTTCAAGCAATTCTTCTGTCACAGCCTTCTGAGTAGCTGGGATTACAGGCGTGTGCCATTGCGCCCGGCTAATTTTTGTATTTTTAGTAGGATGAGATTTCACCATGTTGGCCAGGCTGGTCTCGAACTCCTGACCTCAGGTGATCCACCTGCCTCGGCCTCCAAAGTGCTGTGATTACAGGTGAGAGCCACTGCGCCCGGCCGAGGTCTACCACTCTTGACCTCTACACTGTACTGTGTCTCTGTATTCTTAAGGATAGATAATAGCTACACAAAGTTTAACTTCACAGAACACCTACAGAGAAGGTAGGATTCAAGCAAAATGGTCAATGCTGGATCCTGCCCTGCTTAATAATTTGTTCATGTACTCATTTGTTTGACAGATATTATTGAGTACCAGATACCGTTGCACTACAGCAATCCTTATAAATTTTAATAACTCACTCAAAGTTCTCAGTATGTAAGAAACCGTATTATTTATCTATGCATCCAGTTTTACTCCATTTGAATTACTTATTACTTCTCAGGAAATCAGTTTTAAGATTCATGATCCTTCATTCTGTACTGGCTGACGAGATGAAAAAAAAGAAAAGGATTCATGATCTTGCATAATAGCCCGTAACCACTATCAGATGACTACTAGCTTACTAGCTCACTCTCTACTGGATTTGTTCTCTAGAGTTGAGCTGCAGGGAATTAAATCACAAAGCAGTTTGTTTGCAAACTTCCTACATATTTAGAATTCAGTTACTGCTCCTGCAACTCTGCCTTTTTAGCAGAAACTAAGGAATATAGTTTTAAATTAGTATCTTCTGCATTTATGTAGGAATGTTCACTGGTTCTGTAAACAGCTAATTTTCTATTGTTTCTCATTGGTGCTGCCTTTTTTTTCTAGCTGAGTTGCCATATGTTTAACCATTGAAAATTTAATAAAAGCTAAACCACCATGTTTGTTTAAACTTATTGTTTAATATATTTATTCTGTATTACATCATGTTTCTGAAGTAGGGCTCATGTGTACATATTCCGCATTCATCCTACAGTGTTCTATTTGGCCTTTAGAACCAAATTTAGAAATAAATTTAAAATGCAAAAAGCCTCAGATGTTAAGAGTTCCGCCTCCTTTGGGATATTAAGACAGCCCCAAATACAGAGTTTAATTGCAACATGACATAAAGTACTGGCTTACTGATGAGTTGTATTGAATGATCTGCATTTGGGTGGTTGCCAACATATGCACCAGTCCCAAACAAAGAGTGTGTGTGTGTGTGTGTGTGTGTGTGTGTGTGTGTGTGTGTTAGAATGGTCACCTGCTGTCTCTTTATCTTGATATTGGACTTATATCTGTAGGAAGAGTTTTATGGAAGAAAATTGGTTGTTGCTGATAGAGAAGAAGTGGAACAAGAAGCAGATAATATTTTAAAGGATGCTGATATCAGTGATGTTGCATTCCTTGTGGTTGGTGATCCATTTGGGTAAGTCAAGGCAGATATTTTGAGTTTTTAACTCATTTACTTTTTTTTAATCAGTAAGAATTATTCTATTGCATTTAACACTTTTACCTGCCAGGTCCTGATAAGGAACTCTGGTTACTTAAGCGCTATCTAAAATGTCATAGTTTAAACTTTCATGATCTTTGAGATTAGTGAAGAAAAGCTAGTTGGTAAATATATCATCATATGTATCACTACATTATCAAGTGTCAACTCTAAAGTTTGTATCATTGCTTCTGCTGTTTTAGAAGGTCATGTAGGGCAACAAATGCCTTAACTGCTATATCATTATTAAATAGTTCATTACATTATCAAAAGTCATGCCTGCCATTTTCTGCTGATAATTTCAGGCATCTTCGACTTCTTTTGTCCTAGGTTTTTTTTCCTTTTGTAATCATCTACTATTTGGCAATACTGCCGTCACTTTGCTTGCCTTGAATTTATCATTTATCAAGTCTCTGATTTCAGTTTCTTATATCCATTGGGAACCCTGTTCTTTGTCATTACCACGAAGATGGGCATCTACTGCCTAGTCAAGCATCATCAATCTCTAATGTCAAGCCAAACAGAAGAGTTCTTTGTCTACAGCTGGTTACCTAAGATTTATATCACAGATTTAAGGAACATAAGGACCATGTAAGACCTTGGAGGGGACTAGGAATTTAATTTAAATACAGTGGTAAACTTTTGCAGGATTCAAAGCAGGAAAAAGTCAAAATCTGATTAGCATTAAAAGGTCACTTTAAGTGCTTAGGTAAATGGATTTTAGGGAGGCAAGAACGTTTTTGGTGGAAAAGAGAAAAAGATGGGAACATATTTAGAAGAAGAATGCCAAGATGAATGTGGTGGATAAGGAAAAGGAAAGGAGTAAATCTGATTCCCAGGATTCTAGCTTTACAAATGAGTGGTTGGTAGTGTCACTTGAAAACTGGTAGAGAACAGGATTTGGAGAAACAAGAATTGGTTCTGGAAATATGTTTACTTTGAGATGTCAAGTAGGCAGTTAGCTGCTGCTAGAGCTTGGGATGGGAGGTCATCCTAGATAAATGGCTTTTGAAGTCATCAGTATGTTTATGGTGTTTAAAGCTGGAGGAATGGATAGAATCAGCTTAGGAGAGAAGAGTGGGAAAAGAGGACCTAGGATGGCCCTAGGAAACCTTGGAATTTCATCGTGTACCTGGAGCCAGAGGAGGAGGGAGAAAAAGCAAGAGAGTATGTTGTCACAGAAGCCAGGAAAAGAGACTATTCAAAAAGGAAAGACTGAATACCTTCAATATAATACTGAAAGTTTGACTGTAAGATGAGGACAGAAATATGTGTATGAATTTAAAGACATGATGTTTGGAGTTGATTAGTGGTGGTTTTATGGAGGAGCTGGAACTTGCGCTGGGTCTGGATAGGGTTCAACAGATGGAGATTATAGGGTGGGCCAGGAGAAAGGTAGAAGGAAGAATGCTCATATAAATGAAAAAACTGAGGCACAGAGAAAGTACCTTGATGTAATTAATTGCTCCCATGCTCAAAAACCTTCAGTGACTTCTCATGGCCTTAAATCTTGAAGTCTTTCTTTTTTCTCTAGCTACTCTTTAACCGCTATGCTAAAACCAAATGGTACAACTTTCCATTTCATAAGTGTTTTGTAATATTCTTCCCCTATTTCTTTGCTCAAGCTTTTTCCTTAAAAGAGTTCTTCTCAGTTCCTAATTATACCTAATTGTACTATAAAATTAGTATACAGCTCAGATGCTACCTCTTTCATTCCTGTTTTATTCCGGAGTGCCTTTTTTTTTTCCATTTTAGACTTCTTTAATTTGCCCTTTCTTAGTGATTCATCGTATATAGCCTTGTATTTGAATTCAGATTTAAGGAATATTTACTGTACTGCAGTTATTTTTTATTTACCGGCAGATTATAGTTAGGATATGATAGTTGGAAATGGCATGATGGGGAATGTGTAATTTTAATTGGAATATGAGTGGATTAAATGGAGGAGAAATCAGGTAAGGAATATAGAATGCAGCAAGGCACTGAAATTCTTAGATATGAGCAAAAAATATCCCTTATTTAATTTTAAGACCCCTTCTTATTTAAATAAAATATATAAAAAGAAGATTGTTTAAGATGCTGAATCTTAAATTCTTTTTTTCAGTACTTTTAAAATGGTAAAATGACACATGACAAAATGTGTCATTTTAACCATTTTAGTGTACAGTTCAGTGGCATACTAAGTACATTCACATTGTTGTGCAACTATCAGCACTGTCCATCTCCAGCAATATGAAGTTCTTGAAGACAATTTAAAGTCATAGTTAAGTAAGTTCATGTAGTCTCATCTTTGTTCTTTTACCCAGGTTATTGAAAGGAATATGGAAATAGATCACACAAAGAAAGTAAATGAGTCTAAAAATATATACTAAATCAATAGAACTTAATCACTGTGAGAGTTGACAGTCTCAAACATTCTATCCCTAAATCTCTGCATAAGAAGTCTTTATTAAACACACTGTTTCTAATGATGGTTCTGTTTTATTATTCCATTCTGTATTTCAATATGCTCTGTAACTATATTATTATAATGAATACAAAATTTTTATCCCTATGTTGTATGCCTTTTCCTTAGTGGCATCCATATACAGATAATATGTCCTGATGTAGGCTGACTGCTTCCATTCCATGTAATGAATGTGAACAGTGCTTGATACCTAATAACTATAAAATCAATGGCAGCATTATTATTAGTCTATTTTTCTTCAATATAAATAAAGCTGTCACATGTAAATTTATGTATATGATACCTTCCTGCCTCCCACTTCTTTATCCCCATGTTTTAGGTTGTTTCCTTATGGTAGATCCTCCAAAATAGGTTTTTAGGAATAAAATATCAAAAGGTGTGGACATGGACATTTTGTAGAATAAAGCATATTGTCAATTATTTTTCAAAAGGATAGTGCCAAGTGTTAGTGCTTCCATAGTTCATGAAAACGTCATTTGCGCTATATCATTGCAAACATTACTAAATTTCTGGCCCACCAGCCACACTTATGTCAAAAACGGAGACACTATAAAATTTAAAACAAACATACCAGCCGGCGCAGTGGCTCATGCTTGTAATCCCAGCAACTTTGGGAGGCTGAGGCGGGTGGATTGCCCGAGCCCAGGAGTTTGAAACCAGCCTGGGCAATGTGGCGAAACCCCATCTCTACTAAAAATACAAAAAAGTAGCCAGACGTGGTGGCAGGCACCTGTAATCCCAGCTACTCAGGAGGCTGAGGCAGGAGAATTGATTGAACCCGGGAGGCGGAGGTTGCATGAGCCAAGATCGTGCCACTGCACTCCAGCCTGGGCAATGGAGCAAGACTCTGTCTCAAAAAAAAAAAAAAAAAATCAAATTTTGTATATTCAAATTGGTCACCTTTGTGTACTTTATTTTATTGATTCCATTAATCAAAACATTTTTGGATCTCCTTTCTTGAAATTGCCTTTAGAACAATTTCAAGTAACAAGCATGTTATTACAGACAGATTTATTACTATTTCTGAGCATACATACATATACACATATATGATTTTAGATAGAGCCATATACCTAGAAATAGTAAATTTGTTTGTGTGTATATGTATGTGTCTACTCATTTTAAATAAACTTGTGATAGAGATGTAATTTTGAGCCAGTTTTTCATTTGCTTAAATAACTCACCAAGTAACTAATTTAGTTTTCTTTACTCTTAATGTTAAGTAGTGAGATTCTGTTGAAGGTGATATTAAAAACAATTCTTTATAATTGACATTCATGTTATTTTTTAAAAGCTTATTTGAAATCAAATTAATGATTATTTTTCATACCAGTTTTATTTTATGTATGTGATTAAAAACAGGCTTCCCTGGTGGGCATTTGTTAATTTGTTAATATATATCTGACTGCTCCATGGGGTGAAAGCCCTTTATCTTCCTACTTGGTATGCATTGACCAGTCCACAGGTTCTACTTGTTTGCATGTGGTTTCTCAGACATGCTAATGTTGCTTTACCCAGTAGGGCCTGGAATTTTTATCAGGAGGGAAAAAGGCCTTTAAAATGAAGTTCTAAATTGATAAGCGGTTACATTTCACTGTGTCCATGTTTATATTTATCTATAGTCTCTCTTTACTCCAATCTACCTACTTACAATCTTGAGATTTTATCTTAAAAATGGAAAGGCAACAGGTCAAATATGCACACATACGTACATACGCATACACACATCCTAATTACACACAGTAACCAAATAAAAACAGTTAAAATGACTGCTGGACAGATATAAAATCCAATATTATAGGAGATAGGACTCTCATATAAAGACTGAGTGACAAGCTGTGAAAATTTATGTACAGGCATACCTCGTTTTATTGTGTTTTGCTTTATTTCATTTCACATACATTGCATTTTTTAAAAATTGAAGGTTTGTGGCAACTTTGCATTGAGCAATCCTATTGGTGCCATTTTTTTCTGACAGCATGTTCTCACTTCCTGTCTCTGTGTTACATTTTGGTAATTATTGTGATATTTCAAGCTTTTTCATTATTACATCTGTTAATGATGATTTGTGATCAGTGATCTTTGATGTTACTGTTGTACTTTGGGTTGCCACAAACCAAGCGCATATAAAATGGCGAACTTAATTGATAAATGTTGTGTGTGTTCTGACTGCTCCCCACCAACCAGCCATTCCCCCAACTCTCTCTCTCTTCTTGGGCCTCCCTTTTACCAGAGACCCAACAATATTGAAGTTAGGTCAATTAATAACCCTACAATGGCCTCAAAGTGTTTAAGTGAAAGAGTCACATGTCTCTCACTTTGAATCAAAAGCTAGAAATGAGGAAGGCATATAGAAAGCCAAGAGGCTGGGTGTGGTGGCTCACACCTGTAATCCCAGCACTTTGGGAGGCTGAGGTGGGCAGATCACCTCCAGTCAGGAGTTCAAGACCAGCCTGGCCAACATGATGAAACCCCGTCTCTACCAAAAAATACAAAAATTAGCTGGGCGTGGTGGCGGGTGCCTGTAATCCCAGCTACCCGAGAGGCTGAGGGAGGGACAATTGCTTGAACCCAGGAGGTGGAGGTTGCAGTGAGCCAAGATCATGCTACTGCACTCCAGCCTGGGTGATATAGTGAGATTCCGTGTCAAAAAAAAAAAAAAAGAAAGAAAGAAAAGGAAAGCCAAGATAAGCTGGAAACTAGGCCTTTTTCATCAAACAGCCAAGTTATGTATGCAAAGGAAAAGTTCTTTTTTTTGAGAAGGAGTCTCATTCTGTTGCCCAGGCTGGAGTGCAGTGGCACAATCTCAGCTCACTGCAAGCTCCGCCTCCCGGGTTCACGCCATTCTCCTGCCTCACCCTCCCGAGTAGCTGGGACTACAGGCGCCTGCCACCACGCCCAGCTAACTTTTTGTATTTTTAGTAGAGACGGGGTTTCACCGTGTTGGTCAGGATGGTCCCGATCTCCTGACCTCGTGATCTGTCTGCCTCAGCCTCCCAAAGTGCTGGGATTACAGATGTGAGCCACTGCACCTGGCTGGAAAAGTTCTTAATGGAAATTAAAAGTGCTACTCTTACGAATGCTCTAATGATAAGGTAGTAAAACAGACTTATTGCTGATAGGGAGAACGTTTTAGTGTTCTGTATAGAAGATCAAACCTGCCACAATATTCCCTTAAGCTAAAGTCTAATCCAGGGCAAGGCTCGAACTCTCTTCAAGTCTATGAAGGCTGACAGGGGTGAGGAAGCTGCAGAAAAATTGTTCCAAGCTAGCCGAGGTTGGTTCATGAGGTTTAAGGAAAAAAGTTGTCTCTATAACATAAATGTATGAGCTGTGGAAACAAGTTATCCAGAAGGTCTAGCTAAGGTAACTGATGAATCACTACACAGTAGATTTTCAGTGTGGATGAAACAGCCTTCTATTGGAAGAGGATGCCTTGTAGGACTTTAATTGCTAGAGAGGAGAAGTGAATGCCGGACTTAAAAGGACTGGCTAACTCTTGGTAGGGCTAATGCAGCTGGTGACTCTAGATTGAAGCCAGTGCTCATATATATAGCCTTATGAAAATCCTAGGTCCTGTAAGAATTATGCTAAATCTATTCTCCCTGTGCGCTGTAAGTGGAACAAGAAAAGCTGAATGACAGCACATCTGTTTACAGCATGGTTCACTGAATATTTTAAACCCACCCTTGAGACCTGCTGCTCAAAAACATAGATTTCTTTCAAAACATTATTGCCATTGACAATGCACTTGGTCACCCAAGAGCTCAGGCAGTGTACAAGAAGATTACTATTGTTTTTATGCCTGCTAACCCAACACCTATTCTACAGCCCATGGATCAAGGAGTAATTTTGACTTTCAAGTCTTTCTATCTAAGAAATATATTTTGTGAGGCTGTAGCTGCCCTAGATAGTGATTTCTCTGATGAGTCTGGGCAAAGTAAATTGAAAACCTTCTGGAAAGGATTCACCATTCTAGATGTCATTTAAAATATTCATGATTCATGAGAAGAGGTGAAAATACCCACATTAATGGGAGTTTGGGAGGGGTCGATTCCAACCCTCCTGAATGACTTTGAGGGCTTCAAGACTTCACTGCAGGAAGTAACTGTAGATATGGTAGAAATACCAAGAGAACTAGAATTAGAAGTGGAGCCTGAAGATATGAAGGAATTACTTCAATCTTAGGATAAAACTTGAACAGATGAAGAGTTGCTTCTTATGGACAGGCAAAGAAAGTGGTTTCATGAGATGAAATCTATTCTTGATGAAGATGCTGTGAACATTGTTGAGATGACAACAAAGGATTTAGAATATCATATAAACTTAGTTGATAGATTACTAGCAGGGTTTGAGAAGATTGGCTCCAGTTTTGAAAGAGGTTCCACTGTGGGTAAAATGGTATCACACAATGTTGCATGCTACAGAGAAATCTTTCATGAAAGGAAAAGTCAATCAATGCAGCAAATTTCATTGTTTTATTTTAAGAAATTGCCACAGCCACCCCCATCTTTAGCAACCACCACCCTGATCAGTTAGCAGCCATCAACATGGAGCCAAGACCATCCACTAGCAAAAAGATTAAACTCACTGAAGGCTCAGATGATTGTTGGCATTTTGTAGCAATAAAGTGTTTTTAAACTAAGGTATGCACATTTTCTCGACATAATGCTGTTACACACTTAACAGACTACAGTATAGTATAAACATAACTTTTATATGCACTAAGAAACCAAAAAAATTAATGTGGCTGGCTATATTTTGATATTCACATTATTGTGGTTATCTTGACCCAAACTTGCAATATCTTCATGGTATACGTGTATATTCTGCCTTATATTTTAAATACAAAGACAAAGTCTTCAAAATAGAGCAGTGATTCTAGTTATGCCCTAATTTAGAATTTTAGAGCAGTAATTTTAAGAATTTAAAAGGGCTCTGAGACCAAAGAGCTTAAGAATTGCTGCTCAAGAGTTAAGTTGCTGAGCTTATATTTCATAGATGTCTTTTTCACGTATTTACAGGACAGTGGGCAAGTAAAGGTCCCTTTCTTAAGTAGCTGCCAAGGCTGCTTTAGGAGTGTTACAGTAGCAACTCAGCATTTTGAAGGGCATGTTTAGTCTTGCATTTTCTTGCTAAAAAGCTCAGATGAAAGCCTTATGCAGGTGTGTGGAAGAATTTGAAGAAAGGCAGTGCTCCTGCCTCTTTAATTGACATGAACTCAGGAAATATAGCTTTACTGTCTTAAAAGTGTTGTTTGCTTTAATCCAATCTAATCTTTTCTCACTACAGGGCCACAACACACAGTGATCTTGTTCTAAGAGCAACAAAGCTGGGAATTCCTTATAGAGTTATTCACAATGCCTCCATAATGAATGCTGTAGGCTGCTGTGGTTTACAGGTAATGCAACAAAGGAGGTTTTTCAGTGGAATTAAATAAAAATGTTTTATTTTTCCACAAATTGAAAATACATTTAATTGTATTTTATGAATCATAAAACATACTACTATTTGATACTAGGCTGCTTAGTATATACATAGACTGAATTTTTTAACACTAATTTTTTTATGCTAGGTTTTCCCCCTTATTGGAATCGAATGTTTAGATTTAGCTAGAAAATGATTTTAACCTTAAATCCAACTTGTACTTACATAAAAAGGAAAATATAAACTAATCCAAATGACATACTCAGCATTGTCGAGGCCCATGATTTTTCATATAGTATTGTTTTGTGTGCTGTCAAGAGCATTGTGATGCTGCATTTCTTAATAGAATCAGTATAAAAGCTAAAAGCCAGTGATATGGGCTTTTAAACCAGGTTTGCAGTTATTGATGTGTAAAGTTAGTTATTTTTGTGTCCAACAGTCTTGGTTCTGAGGGGTTAGAGTGCCCCACAATTGTTTCCAAGATTTACTTCTTAGCTACTATCATTTATATCTTTATCATTTATATCTTAGCTACTATCATTTTCCAAGCTTGGTGTTTGTATTCTGATGTTCACACATGGATAATCCATGACAACTATGACTGCTGCTTGGCTAACAGTGGTTTTAAGACATCATCAATTGTTAAGACACATTCCTATTTTCAGATATATCATAATAGGAAAACAACATGCATCTTAGAAGCTGTGAAATAAGTATTTCCCAGTGTGTCTTCCTGAAACACATAATTTAAAAATAGATATTTTCAAGAAGATACATTAGCATCAGGCACCAATGCTATGTCTGTAGCTTTAGAGGACTATATTTTCTGTATGACTTGGAGAGAATAGTTCAATTTAATTGACTAATACTGGCTTTTTATGTCAAAATGTTGCCTGTGTTTATGAAGAACTAGAGAAAAAGTATAAATGATTGACCTGACCTGACAGTATTCACCACTTGCTCTTAGTTGTTATGTTTAAATTAGCATGGAATTTTGCTATCTTTTTTGTCCAAAATGCATACTTTTTAAAAAACCTTGCCCATTCAAGTCTTTTTTTCCCATTTTGAAACCCTTCTGAACATTTCTGTGTTGGAGTAAGTCAAATGCTGTTCATAGAACTATAAAATGTTAGCACTACAAAGAATGCTATAGGGATGGAGAAAATGATGCCAAAATATGTTCCCAAGGTCATTCAGGTAGGTAGATGGAGCTAAAACTCTTGATCCCTAGTCCAGTATTCTTCCCTTCTGGGGGTGTCCAAGGGAGAGAGTACAGTCATGGGTTCTTAGTTTCTGTTGCTGGTTCGGCCAGTAAAGCCCCTTCCTCATCCCTCTTTTCTGCTTATCACTAGAGACAGAAACTAAAAACCATGGCTTCAGGCTGCTAAAAGCCTAAAACAAAACAAAACAGAAAAACAACAACAAAATAAGGCAGACTGGACAAGCTTGTGACAATGCTGCCTTTTAAGAACTGATGACGGATGGCTGGGCGTGGTAGCTCACGCCTGTAATCCCAGCACTTTGGGAGGCCGAGGCAGGTGGATCACCTGAAGTCAGAAATTCAAGAACAGCCTGGCCAACATGGTGAAACCCCGTCTCTACTAAAAATACAAGAATTAGCTGGGCGTGGTGGCAGGGACCTGTAATCCCAGCTACTGGGGAGGCTGAGGCAGGAGAATCACCCTAATCCACAAGGCGGAGGTTGCAGTGAGCTGAGATCGCGCCATTGCACTCCAGCCTGGGTGACAAGAGTGAAAACTCCATCTCAAAAAAAAAAAAAAAAAAAAAGAATTGATAATTGCTAGAAGAAAGAAAAAAAGGAGAGAAATTATCATTTGATAAATAAAGATATGTAAACCTTAAGCTAATAGGACATACATTTTTACCATATTTCATATAATTTTGTGTCTTGTAAAGAAAGTTAACTAGCCCTTTCTCCATATTTTGCTCTAAATTAAGCTATTTTTAATTAATTTTTTTGCTTCTTTATTAAGCATAAAAATAGAACACATCCCATATAAATCTGTTTTATAGACTGGTTAAAACTAAACCTGGGTGACCCTGTCCTTCTGATCCTCCACACTGATAGACAGGTAAAGTGTAATTGTTCTCGTGTCTAAATTGGGTGAAGGTATTTGAGTGGGAATTTACGGTGAGAATTAGCAGTCTTTATGTAAGCACCTACAGTCATATCCACATATATTATTTTTCAAAAAACTTTCTCACAATTGTGTATGGGATTTCTCTAAACAGCCACACACCATTTTCCCCCCAGCTTAGTTTTATTATCTAATCTGGATATGAAATGGCTATTTGTGTGAAAAACAGGAGGTGCCTTTTAAGGTTCTGTCTTATATAGTGATCACATTTCTATGAAGATATACTTCTTATACCACTGAAATTATTCATATCAGAAGAGGTAATTGTTGATTCATTTTTGTACAGTTTTTTAACATAAAAAGCATTAAAAATCATATGCATGACACACTTAAATTTTAAAATAAATGTATAGATATCCTGCATAATGCAAGTACTTTGACAAAGTCTTCTTCCTTATAATAGCTGGCCTTTTTCTCTTTACTTTTTGGACTAGCGCTTATGGAAGAAAAAATAACCTAAATCTGTGGTTCTCAGACTTAGTATTTATTAGAATCACCTAGAGGGCTTGTAAGACAGGTTGCTGGGCTTCATATTCAGACTTTCTGATATAGTAGATCTGGGATGGGGTCTGAGAATTTGTATTTGTAACAAAGTCTCAGGTGATACTGAAGCTATTGCTACAGGTACCATACTTTGAGAATTACCAACCTAGACAAATTAAAAACTTAGAAAGTGAAAGAACTGTGTTGTCTTTTTTTTGGCATGGCAGGATTGGAAGAGTAGGTTTTTAATTCCCAGTATACACTTGTTAAATGTAGGATGTTGAGAGGTTATCTTGCCATGCTCTCTTGCTCAATTTTTTAAAAGGGAGATAAGAACCACTGTGAAAAGGCATTCTGTCATCTCCATGAAAGAGCTTTCCATGAGTTCAAAAACAGCCATCAAGTTATTGAACAGAGTAGATTAAAGAGTAGCAGTATGAAATTTCTAACCTAGAAATAGACAGACTTTTCAGCTATCAATTTATCAACCCCCTTTGAACTATTCTGTTGTTTTTGTTATTTTCTAAAGAAACAACATGCAGAGTTCAGAATCAACCACTGAGTATTGTTCATTACCTTTGTAGTTTATTAGCCAACAGAAAATTTTTGTTTATCACTATGATGGTAAAAATTGTTGTATAACTATCTAACACTCCTTCATACACACAGACATTCACACACACAGCCAGTTGATACACACTATCTTACAGACTTGCCATAAAATAAAATTCTCTACCACAAACTCCATATTCCTGATGAAAATTTTCCTTGTAAAATAAAAAGTGTATTAGAGGCTTCCAAGTTAGACATCTTTAAAGAGAATAGTGATCCATTCATTCAACAAATACTGTTAACCTACTTATTTTTCTAAGTGCCTTTGGATACAGTGATAAACTTGACCAATAGGGTCCTTGCTCTCAAAGAGATTCTATTTTAGTGGGCAGAAGAGACAACATCAATAAAATGATAAATATTAGATAATGGTAAGCATAAGAAATTCAAGTAGACTGGTATTTAGAGAGTGACTAAGTCACTACTGAGGTCGGGAAGGTATCTCTAAGAAGGTGACATTTGAGATTCGATATGAATCAAGAAGGAACTAGCATATTCCATACAGAGGAAACAGTGCAAAGGCCCTGAAGTGAGAATGAGCTTGGCTTGTTAAAGGAACCAAGGAAGGGCTTGTTGGACCATAGCAGGCAAGGGAAAGAGTGACCTGAGGTTGGATAGGTGGATAGGGCTGTATCACTAGGCTCTCATTCAACATTAGGAGTTTAGATGTTATCCTAAGTGACATAAATTGACATTGAAGGGTTTTAAGCAGTATAAATACTTGATCTGATAAATTTTTTAAAACATAAGCTTTGGCCAATATGTGGAGATTGAATTACTGCCAGGCAAGATTGGAATTGAGGAAATTCTCTAAATTACAGTCATTTAGAGGAAAGATGATGGTGGCTTGTACTGTATGGAGTAGGGCATAAGAGAAGATTTAGAAAGTGAACTTGTAAGAGCATTTTCTATTAAGAGAATTGAGATTTGGGGAGATGTAGAGAGCCATTTCTGCCTTACTGATAGTCCTAGGAAAGGAATTGGGGTCTTTATGCTAATGGGTCCTTTTCCACCATCTCCACTACCACAGTTATTATGGTTTGTACCCCCAAAGACTTGTCTATAGGCCTGGATTCTTCTATTACTACTGCTCGATTGGCTTCCTACTTTGATTGGTTCTGTTAAACTTGTTATTGCTAGAGCAGTTGCCTCCTGTCACTAAGAGCCCTGTGCCAGTCTTTCTGTGCTTTCAGGACCATAGATTAATCATAGAATTGATTATGTGGAAGAGTATGATTAGGTTTATCTTACTCCTAGACTCTTGAGGGTATGGATGTTGCCTTGAAGTCTCTACTAATGTCTTGGGAAGAGTTAAAGTCATGGGGTAGGTATTAAATACATGTATGTTAAATGAAAGAAGCCAGACATAGAAGATCATGTATTATTTGATTCTGTTTACATGAAGTGTCCCCAAAAGGCAAATCTGTAGAGACAGAAAGTAATTAATGGTTGTTTGGGGCTGGGCATTACAGGGATTGACTGTGAATGGACATAAGGGGTCTTAGTTGGGTGATGAAAAATGTTCTAAAACTAAGTATGGCAGTGGTTGCACAGCGTGGTAATTTACTAAAAAGCATTGAATCATATGCTTGGAAGAGTTATTGTTATGTGATGATAATGCAGTAAAGTGGTTAAAAAAATGAATTATACGAAGTTAGCTAGATAGGCAAGAGGGCAGAAGGCATTCCTAACAGAGAGAGAAGTGTAGTTAAAAGAGAGAGTCTTGGAAGCACTTTAGGGAATCTGTAAGGTATTGCAGTAACACACACACACATACAAATATGTGCATACATAAATACCAAAGAAACCTTGGCTGTCTAGGGAGTCAGTTAACACGAGGCTTAGAATATATCTATGTTGAATAAGAATAGACTACATATTGGGTAGAATTGGTAGAGGAAAAATATAATGGAAAAGATTTAGAATTGAACTTCAACTTAAAAGCCCTTGTTTTACTTCTTGCCTAGGCAGTAACTAAGGCGTCATCTTCTCTGGATCTCAGATTACTTTACTGTAAGGGTATGTGGTGAGGATTGGGAGGGAGACTGGATGAGAATGTTGGTTTTCAAACCACACCATGATGTATGAAGATGCTTTAGGGATTCTGCAGACAATGAAGTAATGACATAACACTAAATAACAGAGATTTAGATCCTCAGGGAGCCCAATCATTATCTTTAACTCTATTGATGTTTTACTTAAGAGTAGTTCATTTAGAAAAAAAGAACTAAATGTACACTAAGTGCCAGTAAGATGTATGAAAATTACTAAACTAGATAAGGTCTAATATAGATTTGGAAGCCAAAAAGCCAGCCTCTTTTCCAACATTTAGCAAAGATTATCTTGACTGAGATACTTTAGGTACTCAAATTTTCATTCAATAAATTTTAGGATTTTTCACATTAAAATAATAGTTATAAACACATATACTTTAAAATCATGTTTTTAAATTCCTAACATATTTCTAACACTTGTATTTGTTTAACATTTTGCAGATTTTTCTAATGAAAGAAAAGCCTATTTGTATGTCTAAAGCCAGGCATGTTGGTTGTGTTTAGATGTCCTGGTAATGAAAATTTGCTTAATAAATTGAGGATCACTCTTAATAAATCCGAGATTTTTCTCAATACACAGAAGATAGGAGAATAAAGCACTTTTCTTTGTTTTTTTTTTTTGGTTTTTGTTTTTGTTTCTGTTTTTTTGTTTTTTTCGGGGGGGACGGAGTCTTGCTCTGTCGCCCAGGCTGGAGTGCAATGGCGCGATCTCAGCTCACTGCAAGCTCCACCTCCCGGGTTCATGCCATTCTCCTGCCTCAGCCTCCCGAGTAGCTGGGACTACAGGCGCCCACCACCACACCCAGCAAATTTTTTTCATATTTTTAGTAGAGACGGGGTTTCACTGTGTTAGCCAGGATGGTCTCAATCTCCTGACCTCGTGATCTGCCTGCCTAGGCCTCCCAAAGTGCTGGGATTACAGGCATGAGCCACCGCGCCCGGCCAAAGTCCTTTTCTTGAATTCTTGAGTTTAACATTTCTGCAGAAGCAGTTAGCTTAGACATACAGAATCAGAATTGCTTCCATTTAGCATTGTTCCTGCTTTAGAAGAACCATTTTCCTTGATAATAAATGATTTCTATGCTCACAGAAAATTAGGAAGATATATTGAGTATAAAAAGAAAATAAAAAAGCATCCATAGTACCACCACCTAGAGATATCCACAGTTACCAATTTTGGCACATTTCAGTCTTTTTATTCAACACTTAGTATGTGTATATTTACTTGATCTTATAGGCCAAACAAATATTAGAAAAAATTACAAATTCTGAAATACTTCTTTGTATAGAATTTTATTATCTTTCTTAATCATTTGTGTGATAGAATATATTAGTTCTCTTGTAGAAATTTGGTGACTGAAATGGTTTTAAAACATTTTAAAAGGCAGATAAATGAGACAGTTCCATGAAACCAGGTAGCAATGATTTCAGATAAAAACTGCATTATCAGTTGTGGCTGACTTCAGAGAAAAGGTTGTATAATTTCCTATCATTGTGAAATGTTTCCACTTTCTCTTGCTATTGCATGAGTGACCTTGAGTATTGCCATATGTTCATCTGTTTATATAATGCATTTCTAGTTTGGAAAAATGTATATTACTTTCAGAAAGTAACAACTCATTTCCTCTCTTTTTTTTAATACCACAACATTCATTGTGATAGTCAGCATTGTCGACCTTGTAGTGATTCTTATCGTTACTTTTCAGAAGCATTAATTGGTTTCATTGTTGTCCAGGGACTAATGTAGTCATGAAAAACCCTAGCTTAATACAAAGAACACCTAGTTTTAGTGTTCTTTGTATTAAGCTAGATTTTATCATCTAGAGTTCTATATCCTTCCGTGGTCTTAGAAGAAAATAATCTAAGCTCTTTCTATTCTTTTAGTCACTTAGGAACAGTTTTTGACTACCTGCTAAGTCATGAGCATATTTAATTTTTTTTCTTCCTTTCTGTTTCCACTTATTACTGGTTCTAATCATTATTTTTTTAAATAGCCACCTTACCATCATTTTTTTCCTACTTCATAGTTTTCTTTTTAAATCGTAAATATAATTGTGCCATTCTTCTATTAAAACAATTTTGGTAAATTAATCCCCATCCTATATAGAATGTTCAGTTACTTGTATGTTGTATTAGTCCATTCTCATGCTTCTAATAAAGACATACCCAAGACTGGGAAATTGACTTTGAGGTCAATTGTGACTCAATTTTGAGGTCAAATTGACTTTGAGGTCAATAAACTGTGGAGTTTAATTGAATCACAGTTCAGCATGGCTGGGGAGGCCTCAGAACACTTACAATTATGTCTGTAGGGGAAGCAAACACATCCTTCTTCACATGACAGCAGCAAAGAGATGCGCAGAGTAAACGGGGGAAATCCCTTTATGAAACCATCAGATCTTGTGAGAACTCACTATCACGAGAACAGCATGGAGGTAACTGCTCCCCCCCTCACCTCCCCCACTACCGGGTCCCTCCCACAACATGTGGGGATTATAGGAACTACAATTCAAGATGAGATTTGGTTGGGGACACAGCCAAGCCATGTTATATATGTTTATGACTTTATCATATTATAAACTCTTTGATTTACTCATTTTCCTATCTGCCATTGCATTCTATCACAGTGCCATGCATATAATGAATATGTCACAAGTACTTGCTGAGTTGAATTTCTTATTTATTTTTTCCCCCAACCCCCTGCCTTCCACCCTGGAGTTCGATCTTGTCTTTGAAATTATATGCTGTAAATTGTCATTTTAAAATTTAATTTACAAGTGGCTCTCATTTATGTGTGAGAATAAATCTTGTAGCTCTTCTGTCTACGTAGTCATTCAACTTTATGTACCTAGTGTGTGGCCATGTGCATACTCTTCCTTAGTGTCATCAAAAATCAATGTTACATCAATGGCATGCAAATTGTATGTGGGGATAAAAACAACAACAAACAAAACCCATCCCCAAGAACAGTATTCTGTATAGAAGAGAAAACTAGTCACTCTTGATTATGTGGTTTTGTGGTACAGTTTTTGACAGTTTTGCTGGCTTGGCTTTCTTTCACTTCACAGATTTAACTGATTTAATTTAGGATATAAATACATGATACTTGCAGGGCTTAATAGAGTTCTTAGCAAGTTTAATTTTTCTTAACAGATTTTTTTAGCTTTAATACCACAGAAAATATTTTTATTTGTTATACAAAATAACAAAAGCATTGAAATCTAAAATGGAGTTTTACAAAGCATCTATGCTTCTAAAAGGAAAGAAATATTGATGGCTATGAGATGAGTTAGGAGACTGTTAAGGTTATTCAGGCAAGTGATATTGAGGGCTCAAACCATGGTTGTAGGGAAAGAAATGAGTAGTCAGCTACATAAAATATACAGCAGAATTTACAGGAATTGGCACTAAATAAGATGTCAGGAATTAGATATATGTTTAGAGAGAAGTCAGGCACAGTTAGCTATTTCTGGGTAATGGCTTAATGCCATTTTAAATATTGCCCAAGACTTCCCGCCTCTGTTACTTTGTTCATAGTATCTCATTCTTTCCCCATGTTCGGCTTCTCCAGTCTTAAATCTTAACTGTCTTTCAAGGTCTAGCTTACGCCTTGTATTTTCAGAAGATGCCTTCAGATGCCCTCTTAGTGGGGGAAATGCTGAATCCTTATAATGCTTAGAGTCTATAGCATATTTAATAATAATTACTACTACCTACTATTGTCTTTCTTGAGCATCTTCTAACTAGATTGTGCCTTATGCCTAATGAGTGGATGTTTTGAGTTTTTTTGGGTTTTGTCCTAGATAAAACATAATCCAATATAAGTTAGGTAAACTGCTTTCTCTATAGGTTACTCCAGGTTAAAATTTAAAAAGGCCTGTGTTTACCTACTGTTTCTTACAAAACAGCTGTTTTTTTAGTCTTTAAATTTAGATTTGCAGCAATAATGTTTTGGAGGAAAAATGATCACAGCACAAAGGCTTATATGAATATTATAGGATGGTTCAATACTTAGGCTTCTGCAATCTCAGTTCTCATCACTGTGTGACTTTGCTCTAGTATAGTTCACTGGTAAGCCCTTCGATTGTGAAACACAAAGAACTGGTTCTTTTGTTCTTTGAGGTATTGACATATGGTGAAATTGTTTGCATAATGTTCCAGGATTCACTGAAGAAGTTTGCACCACAGCTACAGGAGTGGTTACAGTTTATAAATCAGGGTCCTGGAGAGCAGTGCTTGTGTGAGGTTTTCTTTAATCTCTCAAATTAGACAATTCAAAGACACTGCTACACAAAATGCTTTAGTGTTTATATGTGACTTGCATCTCAATTCTTTCTTAAGTGGTCTGTCACTTTCTTTTTGAATGAAGAACTTATTTCCTTCCATGACTGTATTCCCATGACTCTTAAAGTATTTAAGACTCATTTAAAGTATGTATTATTGCATATATAATTTTTTTAACAGTTTTACCTTGAAGCTTTTTTATGGAATAATACTAATATTTCATAGTTTGATCTGAGATGTGAAAAATCCTTTTTAGAATGTAAACAGTTGAACTTGTCAGAATGAAATCATAAATGTAGTTTCAAGTATTTAGTAATATTTTTGAGCTTACTCCAATAAGGAAAGCAGTTGGATTAAAGCAGGACACAGCATTTTAGAACATCTTCATTATTAAAACATTATCATTATTATATCATCAAATTCCTAACACTAAGACTTTTCCATGTGCAAGGCACTACTAGGCACTCTGCATACTTTGTGTCATTTAACCCTTAAAAACCACATTTTTATGTTTACAGTTATTATACCCATTTTGTAGAAGGGTTCCTCCCAAGGATTGGGAATGTTACTTGACTTGTCCATGATTAATCATAGTAAGAACCAGTGCCATGACTGCAGAGCCTTTCTCTGCTGTATGAGACATGAGCAAGACTGCACAATCCATGAGAGCCAGAGCTGTGTTTTGCCTGTCATTTTAAACCTGTGACTAGCATAATACCTGGTACATAGTAGATGATCTGTAATAAGTATTTGTTGGCTAAGTTTGCCTCTCATCACCCAATAATAATAACAAAACCCCTCAGCAGGGCCAGGACCGATCCTGGTAGCTTGGCACAGAGTGAACATATTCCTGGCATTCCACATTGGAACTAGAAATACATTGTCACAGGGAAACCTGTCACATGTGGCAGGAAGTTTCATGACTCAATACTTGGAGTTACATGGGTCTTTGTACACTGACCTGTGAATTTGATTGCTACTGAATAGCATAACTTCTATGAGATAATATGTTTTTAGGCAGCTTTCAAATGGACTTTGGGAGTAAACCTTGTTGGTAGGTAAGATGTAGGCTGTGGCCTATGAAGAACATGATGAACCTTCCCTTTAGAACTCAAAGTCACCATTATGAGTGTTGATTATAGTTTATAGGACCTCATTATGTAAAAACTGAGAAACGTTGAGCTGCTGCTCTAGGGAATTAGGGATGAAACACCTGAATGCCCCACCTTCTCTGTTTCCTTCCTGCTTGTCTTCCCCTCATATCTTGCTGAGCCTCTGAAACTGATTTGAAAAGCCTTAGGCTACTGGAAGCAGAGGATGACTAATCCTTGCTCCAGACCAGGTTCTGCATTTTTAATTGAAGAACCCAAGGCTGAGAAAAGTGACTTCCTGAAGTCACATGGCTATTTCAGGCACACGGTTAATTTGTGGCAGAGGACTAGATGTGAGTCTAGTGCTTACCAGTTCTATTATAAATTATTTCAAGTACTATTTAAATTGAATAATTAAATCTTTATACAACTTTAGTATTCTGTTTTATATTGTCTTTGAAAATAAATGTCCTTTGCTCAGTGCTGAGATAAGAACTAATATTAACCTATTGTTTCACAGTTTGAATAACTTTTTACATGTAATATGATCCTCACAACCCTAGGAGTAGGAAAAACAGAATTTTATCACTATTCCTATTTTAGATATAAAATCTTACAGTAATATCACACAGCCAACAAGTTGCAGAGCCAGAATTCAAAAGTAGATTTTCTCACATAAGATTTGAAATTGGACTCACTTAAGTGAGCTAGTTCAGCCAGTCTGGATCAGAGAAGCCAGCTTCTTGGTTGTAGTGATGGTGAACCTGGGTGGGCCACTTGTGGGTTAAAGAGAAGGTTTGGAAAAAGGCCCTCATCCCTGAACTCTATAGTGAGGGAACAAATACAATCTTGCCAAATTAAGGGACTATAGGTTTGGAACAATGACAGGAGTGAGCATATGCTTTGTTTTCTTGAGATAGTGTGATGGAAGGGAGCATTCCCTCAGGCTAGATTTAAGTGTTTATTTTTATATTAGTTAGCTATGTGACTAGCTAAGTCAGTTGCTCTTTCTAAGCCTTGATGGTCTCATCTGTAAAATGAGAACAATATTAACCTTGTGAACCCCGCTCTGATTGCTCAGAACTCTTTTTTTTTTCTCCTGGGTTCTTTGCATTTCAGTATTTTTAGCAACTATATAGCTAAATTATGAAATTGTTACACATGTTCCTATACAGAATGCAGAAATACTAGAAACTTATTACTGAAACTTACTTACTACTAGCATCAGAAAGACACCAGCTACCATGAACCAAAGAGAAGTTCCTGTTACCTTTTTTGGTGACAGATTTGATCCCCAACCCATTTCGAGTTGGATATTCACTTTTTATTTTGGTTGTAAAATGATTAAATTCTCTCCTTATCTATGAAATAGTAGTTAATTGTTCCATCATTAATTAATGTTTTTTTTTCTAGTTATATAAGTTTGGAGAGACAGTTTCTATTGTTTTTTGGACAGACACTTGGAGACCAGAAAGCTTCTTTGACAAAGTGAAGAAGAACAGACAAAATGGCATGCACACATTATGTTTACTAGGTAAGGGTTTTGGAATTTCCTTGAAGTAACAATATGGAACTATCATACTGTTCTCATTTTGATTTTGTGTTAAGGTCTGTGGATAATTAGCTAGAGGTAAGAAAAGACACAGTCTAGCCATTCTATGCAGACCACACTCTTTCCCATGCTCTTAGAGAGACACGCATCTTCTGCTTCAAGTACCACATGGCTATTTCTGCATACACACCATAGTTACACTGCTCCCTCTTATGCCCTGCCCTAGTAGATCCTCTCCAGTATTCCATATC
Source organism: Homo sapiens (assembly GCF_000001405.40). Classification (NCBI taxonomy): domain Eukaryota; kingdom Metazoa; phylum Chordata; class Mammalia; order Primates; family Hominidae; genus Homo; species Homo sapiens. The sequence continues at coordinate 101,001,197 of NC_000001.11, read as the reverse complement.
TTACTCATTTGTCCATCAAGGATTTACTGCAATCCAATAGACATGCACTGAGCAAGCCTTACCAAGGACCATCCTGCATCTTCCTAGGGAGGTTCTTTGAATACTGCAGTATTGATGCTATCAGATTCACAATGATAGATCTGAAAGAGACTCTGGAGATCATCTTATTGAGGCCTGTTTTACAGATGAAGTTGAGGCCCAGAATATTGAATTATTTCCCCAATGTCACCTAGTCAATTGTTGGCAGAACTGGTAGAATCAGATAGCCTTTTAATAATAGCTCATTTCACTGTACCTTCTTCCCCAAATCCTATTTCCTTTTTAGTGTGGAAAGAGCTGGGATCACTGTCTTTGTTTTCCAAGATAATAGTACTGAGTTTCAGAAAGCCATGGTGTTTTCTTTCTAGCAGAGGCACTGAAATTTTACCGATTCACATTTGCTAATCAGCCCCTATTCTAGTAGCATATGTTGTAGAAAGAAATACTGGTATCAAAGACTTAATCTGTGACTAAACAGAACACAGCTAACTGACATTTTTGATGACTTTGCAATGATACTTCTACTTGGAATCAGAAGACAAAATCCCAGTGCTACTACTTACTAGTTAGAGAGTACTGTAAACATTCCTTAGCCTTCATATTTATCAAATAGGAATAATTCCTCCTACTTCATGGAGTTATATAGAGCAGTACTTCTCAGACTATTTGTGGTAAAGAACCATGGTTGGGTTGTTTAAAACATATGTTTGATTTTTAAATTTTCGGTCTTTTATGTCAGTGTCAAGTTACTATAAATTTTGTACATATTCTTACTCCTGTAGTTACTTCATCATTTACTGGCAACACAAAGCTCACATACTGGCATTGGTCCTGAGATCATACTTTGAATTGTACTGTGTTACTGAAACTGTGTGTGAAGTCACTCACCAAAATGTCTATCACATAGCACAAGATCAGGGCAGAGAATAAGCCCATGATTTTGGCCTCTGTATATTAAATACAGATATTCAGAATATAAGACAAGATTTCTGTTTGCCACTTTTTTTTTTTCAAGACAGAGTCTCAATCTGTTGCCCAGGCTGGAGTGCAGTGGTGCAGTCTCGGCTCACTGCAACCTCTGCCTCCTGGATTCAGGCAATTCTCCTGCCTTGGCTCCCTGGGTAGTTAGGACTACAGGTTCATGCCACCACGCCCGGCTAATTTTTTGTATTTTTTTTAGTAGAGATGGGGTTTCACCATGTTAGCCAGGGTGGTCTCCATCTCCTGACCTCATGATCCACCCGCCTCGGCCTCCTAAAGTGCTGGGATTACAAGCGTGAGCCACTGCACTCGGCCTTTTATTTTATTTTTATTTTTTTGAGACGGAGCCTTGCTCTTGTTGCCCAGGCTGGATTGCAGTGGCGTGATCTTGGCTCACTGCAACCTCCACCTCCCAGGTTCAAGCGATTCTCCTGCCTCAGACTTCCGAGTAACTGGGATTACAGGTGCCTGACACCACACCCGGCTAATTTTTGTATTTTTAGTAAAGATGGGGTTTCGCCATATTGGCCAAACTGGTCTCGAACTCCTGACCTTAAGATCTGCCCGCCTCTGCCCCCCAAAGTGCTGGGATTACAGGTATGAGCTACTGCACCTGGCCAATTTGCCAAAAATTTTTAAGCTATTTGCATAATATAGCCAATCTCTATTATTTAACAATATTTAATTTTAAGCAACAAAATAAATTTTTTGTTTGTTTGTTTGTTTAAGAGACAAGGTCTCGCTCTGTCTCCCAGGCTGGAGTGCAGTGTCACAATCTCAGCATACTGCAGTCTCAACCTCCCATGCCCAAGTGATCCTCCCACCTCAGCCTTCTAGGTAGCTGGAACCACAGGCATACGCCACCACACCTAGCCAATTTTTGTATGTTTTGTAAAGATGGAGTTTCGCCATGTTGCCCAGGCTGGTCTCGAATTTCTGGGCTCCAGCGATCCACCTACCTTGGCCCCCCAAAGTGCTGGGCTTAGATGAGTGAACCACGGTGCCTGGCTGTATGTCTTAATAGAAAAGATTATAATACATTTTTACTAATGATTGGCATTTCTTAGGATAGAAATTAATATCTACAGCAGGGATTAGCAAACAAGTACCCATGGATCACATCTGGCCTAATGTTTTGTAAATAAGGCTTTATTGGAACATGGCCGTGCACCTTCATTTATATATTATCTATGGCTACTTTCATGCCACAACAGCAGTGATGAGTAGCTGTGACAGAGACCATATGGTCCTCAAAACCTAAAATATTTGCTGCCTGCCCCCTTTCAGAAGTTTGCTGGCTCCTGATCTTGAGTGAAATTTTATTTAATCTCATGTGCTGCACCCTGAATCCCTTCAGTGATGTGTTATAACCTTACACTACTTTCTTCATAGTCTTACCAGCCATATGAATTACCTTATTAACTTGATTTCTTCACTGCTTCATAAGAGCAGAGACTTTATCTTGCTCATTATTCTCTTCCTAATGTCTAGAAGTCTAGCACAGTGTAGGCACTAAATAAATATTTATGGAAGTTAATGGAAGTTTTATTTAGTCTATATTCTCAGACTTGGTCTTATGACCCATTGGCACAGAAAATCTTTAACTCTTGCTAGTTCAGTCAATTGCAGCCAGAATACACTCCTTTTAATTCCTTTTTTTTTTTTTTTTTAAGATAAGGTTTACCCTGTCATCCAGGCTGGAGTGCAGTAGTGCAGTCTCGGCTCACTGCAACCTCTGCCTACCAGGTTCAAGCAATTCTCCTGCCTCAGCCTCCTGAGGCTGGGATTACAGAAGTCTGCTACCATGCTTGTTTAATTTTTGTGTTTTTAGTAGAGATGGGGTTTTGCCATGTTAACCAGGCTGGTCTCAAACCCCTGGCCTCAAGTGATCTGCCCGTCTCAACCTCCCAAAGTGCTGGGATGATGGGCTTGAGCCACTGCACCCGGCCCCCCTTTTATTCTTGGCATCTAATTAATTATAGATCTAGATTAGGCCATAAACGCTTCTCTAACACATTTTCTTTGGTCTTATGCCAATATTTGCAATCAGCTAGTATGATGTTTTCTTATTTTAGTTTATTGCCAGTGTGATTTAGTGCTTCATTCATCATTAATTATCTTTATAATTTTGTCTTTGAATTTTCCTTGTAAAAAGAGACTGGTCTTACTTTTTTTATAGTCCTTACTAACAAGGACACTGTAAGACTTGTGAGTTGGTGTGGACTATGCCATCAGATATATCCATCTTGTTATCCCAAAGTTAGATCCAGTTAAGGCCAGCTGTGGGTAGAAGGTCAAAGTAGATGACGGGCGAAGGATAATTTTTAAAAGGACTTTTGCTAAAGAAGTAGATGTATCTGAGGGATGAAAAATGGGGATTCATTGGAGCTCAGATACTAGAATATATGTTTTATAACAGTACTGAAAGGTTCTAAAACAGAACAGGGAAGGAAGAATCTGAGAGGCAGGCTACCTGATAACCTCCCCATATATCCATTAAAAATGACAGGAAAGGCCGGGTGCGGTGGCTCACGCCTGTAATCCCAGCACTTTGGGAGGCTGAGGCGGGTGGATCACGAGGTCAGAAGATCGAGACCATCTTGACTAACACGGTGAAACCCCATCTCTACTAAAAATACAAAAAATTAGCCGGGCGTGGTGGCAGGTGCCTGTAATCTCAGCTACTCGGGAGGCTGAGACAAGAGAATGGTGTGAACCCAGGAGGCGGAGCTTGCATTGAGCTGAGATTGCACCACTGCACTCCAGCCTGGACCACAGAGCGAGACTCCTTCTCAAAAGCAAAAAAAAAAGATAGGAAGGAGAGGAAGCAGCACTTATCTTTTCAGAAGCTTTGGAAAGGCAGATAGAAGATCAGTGTACAGGTATTTATTGAGTGCTTACCCTATGCCCCATGTAGAGTTAGTTTCTTTTGGAATACTAAGGAAGTGTAGACGTGGGTCCTGCTCTCAAAGCTTTGAAATCTAGTTTGGAACTAATGTGTTGTGCACGTGAAAGTTTAAAGAACAAAAATTCTATTGTATGGAGAGGCAGGAAGGACAAACTAGAAATGTGGCTCTTGAGTTGTCCTTCTAAGAGCTGCCCCTTTTCTTAGCTTTCCTGGGAAAAGACAAACAAGGTTAAACAATGTATCTTCCTTGCTCCATTAACAAAAGCAGGAAGGAACAGAGTGTGAAGTATAGGATGTCATGATTTCAAATCCTCAAACCATAGTTCTCATCGTTTTATCATCTGGCATTCTCATTATTTAAATTAGTATGTATTTATTCAATGCCTGCTGTGGGTTAAGTTCCATAGGGATTAGTGAGGATAAACCATGGCAGGAAAACACAGAGAATTTAAAATTTACTTAGAAAGACAAGACCAATATATATGATATAATTAGAGGTTAATAAAAGATAGCATTAATTGTGTAGATCTTTCCAAGAACAAAAAGCATTTGAGGAGAAGTCAACAAAGACTTTATGAAGGAGTTAGGACTTACGTTGCCCAGAGAGTGGATAGTTTAATATGGGCTGGTGACTGAGTGGTAGGAGAGTCACTTGAGTAAATTTATTCAGTAGACATTTATGGAGTGTCTTCTGGGTACTTCACATTATGCTAGGTCCTGGTACTAAGATGAATCAGAGAACCTTACATTCTAGCAAGTAGAAATAGAGAGGAATAATTATGGACTGTGTGAAGACAAGGGAAAAGTAATGCGGGGTCTGGCTTGAGACGAAGTCACGAATGCACTCCTTGATTAAAAAGGATTTGCGTCTAAAAATTCTCCTCAACCCTCTTCCTTTTAAAAATCAGATTCTATAGAGCATATTTGAAAAGTAAAGACAACTGAAAATATGAAAAATCTCATCACAACATTTCAGAAGCTCAGAGTGAATGAATTAATAAACGGGTTAAAATTTTTAAAATCTTAGAAACGTAATTTAAAGGAAATCTGAAAGTTGACTAACACCATTGATTATAGGGAGGCCACATTCTTAATAACAGGCATTCGTTTTTTTCTCCATAATGTGACAGACAAGTAGAAATATTAAATAAATAATGATATTTCAAACCTGAAAAAGGCTTTCAATGCTGGTTCCAAGAACATTTAAAAATATGTATTTAATATTAACTCTGCTATAATTTCCAAGCAAACTCTTTGATATCCTTTATAAGAAACACTTCTATAATCACTTAGGAAATCTGCATAAGTCTATTAAAGACTCCTCAGTTGCACTATGTTTATTTTTGCAAAAACAAACTTTGGCTGAACCATTTGTTTTCAGCATGTAAAGCAGGAAGCAGCTGTTGCTGTTGCTGTTGTATACTGAGTTCCTTTGAGGATGTAGAGTGATTCTGCTTTTTTACCTTTTACCAAATAGTTCAGTTGAGCATGAGTGATTAAAAAGTATACCGAATCAAATATTTGTGATGCTTGGACTGTCAAGCTTCTAGAGAGCAGAGTTTATATCTGGTCAGGTCCCTGTGGTATCCCAGTCTCTGACGCAGCGTCTGACACACAGTCCATGCTCAAATCCCTGTTAAAAGCATGAATACTTAGAATTAAAGTATTTATTCAAAATTATGGCATGTGTTAACATTCGTCAGAAAGCAAAAGACTTTTTTAAATGTGGAAAAGATTTTTTTCTACTTACATTACATCTATCAAAGGGCTTTCAGATGGGTCTGTGCAGTTACTAGCTGGTAGAAATGAAAACAAAGATTGTGATTAGCTGTTAGTAGTGTATATGCCAATGTTTATCTAATTCTTTCCCTTGTCTTCTTTTCCAAAAGGAAATTAGATGTTAGCAGGATGGTCTCAGGGCCAAGTTCATGTTTGTTTTCTAACTAGTGGCACAACCACAAGCTTCCATTCTTCTCTATGTTACTGTAAGAAAGTGGCTAATTAAAATGTGAGGGAAGAGTGTTTCCCCAAAATTTAGGTGACTCTTAACTGAGGTTTACACATAGGGTTTTGGATAAAGCTTTTAATTAAATTAAAAGAACTATTTTTACTTCCTACAGACATCAAAGTAAAGGAGCAGTCTTTGGAAAATCTAATCAAGTAAGTTATTATTCTGAGAATGCATACATGTGTTTTATTTCCTTGAACAATTCAATACATTCTACTTAAATGACCTGAGTTCTAAAGATGGTTGAAAATGAGCTCTCATTAACAGTGTGAACATTAAGCATTTTTATTCTTACGAAATGATAAGCAGTATAATAGAGTAGAAATAGCAATATATTTTGTGGATTCAACACTGAGAACAGTGGTTGGCATCTAACAGACACTCAGTGTTTGTGGAATGAATTAATGCGTTGGGATTCTGAAAACATGGGTGTGAGGCCGGGTGCGGTTGTTCATGCCTGTAGTCCCAGCACTTTGGGAGGCTGAGGCAGGTGGATTGTTTGAGGCCAGGAGTTCAAAACCAGCCTGGCCAACATGGTGAAACCACGTCTCTACTAAAAATGGAAAAATTAGCTGGGTGTGGTGGCACGTGCCTTTAATCTCAGCTACTTGGGAGGTTGAGGCACGAGAATCGCTTGAATCTGGGAGGCAGAGGTTGCAGTGAGCTGAGATCACGCCACTGCACTCCAGCCTGGGTAACAGAGTGAGAAAAAAAAAAAAAAGGCATGGGTTTGAGTCCTGAGTCTGCCTCTAGTTGAGTGCTCTTGGGCAAGTTACTTCCATCTCTGAGCCTTATTTTCTTCAGATGTATAATGATAGTACTAATCCTTTTTTACTTAGAGAGGCAGTGTCTAATACAGTACCCCCTACCCACTTGTGACTAAGGAGCATTTGAAATGTGGCTAATGTGACTGAGGAACTGAATTTTTCATTTAATTTTAATTAATTAAAAAATGATACTCTGTTATTGGAAAACTTTTAAGTATGTTTGGAACAGCTTTAGTATATAAATCAACTGTTAAAACCATAAATTTTATGAAAGTTAAATACAGATCAACTATTTCCAATGAAAATTTAATATCCAAATTAAGGTGTGCTGTAAGAACATATCAGATTTCAAAGACTTAATATAAAAACAATCTCTTTAATAATTTTTATATGAGTAGGTGTTAAATTACAACATTTTGGATTAATTAAAATATTAAAATTTTTGCCTTTTTTGGCTGGGCGTGGTGGCTCATGCCTGTAATCCCAGTACTTTGGGAGGCCGAGGCAGGTGGATCACGAGGTCAGCAGTTCGAGACCAGCCTGGCCAAGATGGTGAAACCCCGTCTGTACTAAAAATACAAAAAAAATTAGCCAGGCATGGTGGCAGGCACCTGTAATCCCAGCTACTCGGGAGGCTGAGGCAGAGAATTGCTTGAACCCAGGAGGCAGAGGTTGCAGTGAACCAATATCACGCCACTGTACTGCAGCCTGGGCAACAGAGTGAGACTGTCTTAAAAAAAAAAATTGCCTTTTTACAAACTTTTTTGTTAATATGGCTACTAGAAAACTTGATTCTATATATGGCTTCATTTATATTTCTATTGGATAGCACTGACAGAATTTTTTTGAGAGTCAGTAAAATAATCTATTTGAACTGTGTTGTAAGCCACAATAGCTATATATATATATATATATATATATATATATATATATATTTATATTTTCGACAGAGTCTTGCTCTGTCGCCCAGGCTGGAGTGCAGTGGTGTCATCTCAGCTCGCTGCAACCTCCGTCTCCCGGGTTCAATTGATTCTCCTGTCTCAGTCTTCTGAGTAGCTGGGATTACAGGCGTGCGCCACCAAGCCACGCTAATTTTTTTTATTTTTAGTAGAGACGGAGTTTCACCATGTTGGTCAGGCTGGTCTCAAACTCCTGACTTTGTGATCCACCCGCCTCTGCCTCCCAAAGTGCTGGGATTACAGGCATGAGCCACCACGCCTGGCCTGCAATGGCTATATTTTTGTTAATATGATAGTTCGGCAAGCCTGATAGGCTTTTGAGGCATACAGAAATAAACGTATGCCATCACCTGAGATTTTTAAGCATCCAAGATGCTTTAGTTTACTTTTCTTAGAGGAAACAGTGAAAAGAATATGTGGTTTAAAAATGGTCATAAAAAGGACACTAAATAACCTGATTAAGCTAGAGTATAGACCAAATTGCCACTTACTTTGAATTGTTTTTACCAAAGGTATCACTTTGAATAAAGATAACTTTCATTTAGACATCTATCTTTATGTGTTCCTGCCATCATTTCAGTGAGATCAGAGGAAAGTTAAATTAGAACAATGAAAAAGCTTAAGAAATGAACAATCATCATGCTTTTGTGTATGCTTAAAGTGAGTACATGTAAAAAAACATCAAACAGAATGTAGACTGTGGTACTTGAGTATACCTGGGAGAGCTAATTGCATTAATAACATATTATGTAGTTTCATGGCTAAGAACAGTGGCATCTAGTTTTCTGCCTATAGGGGAAGGAAGATCTATGAACCTCCACGGTATATGAGTGTAAACCAAGCAGCCCAGCAGCTTCTGGAGATTGTTCAAAATCAAAGAATACGAGGAGAAGAACCAGGTACTCAAGACACTAGAAGGGCTCTCATATTATTCCTCTGTTACTACATTTAGATGTGTATATGACTTAATATCTCATACCACTATGGAAGCAAGAGTCAGTATTTTTGTATTGTACTATTTCTTGTCATTTTTGTCCAACTTTAACTTAAATCCCATAGGCTTCAAGTTGTAGTGAAAGAAAAAAAAATTGGCATTCTTTTATAGTATAATTAACACCATTCCAGAAAGTGAGGATTTTTCACAAATTAAACATAAGTCACATTTGATATAAATATATTACTGTATAAATATTTTTGTAAAATATATCTATTATGTTATCCCTAATCAATGGTGAGATCTATCCTGCAAAAATATACTTATCGTTCTTTTATTCTCCCTCCTTTCATTCTTAATATTGAGACTAGGAATAGTTTTCTTCAGGGTAAATATAAGAGAAAATTTGTTCTTATATTCCTAATATGTAGACACAGTGTGTGGTATATAATAGAAATGTTTATTGTCAATAAATCTTTATGGGAGGTTCTTTTTTTTTTTTTTGAGAGAGGGTCTCACTTTGTCACGCAGGCTGGAGTGCAGAGGCACTATCTCAGCTCATTGCAGCCTCCACCTCCTGGGCTCAAGTGATCCTCCCACCTTAGCTGAACTACAAGTGCATGCCACCATGCCCAGCTAATTTCTTTGTGTGTTTTTGGTAGAGACAGGGTTTCACCATGTTGCCCAGGCTTTTCTCGAATTCCTTGGCTCAAGCAATCCTCCCACCTCAGCCTCCCAAAGCCTCCCAAAGTGTTGGGATTACAGGTGTGAACCACCACGCCTGGCCCACTGTGAGACTTTTTTTTTTTTTTTGAGATGGGGTCTTGCTTTGTTGCCCAAGTTAGAGTGCAGTGGTGCAATCATGGCTCACTGCAACCTCTGCCTCCCGGGCTCAAGCCACCCTCTCACCTTAGCCACTTGAGTAGCTGGGACTACAGGTGCATGCCACCACACCCAGCTAATTTTTTTGTATTTTTGGTGGAGATGGGGTTTCACCATGTTGCCCAGCTGGTCTCAAACTCCTGAGCTCAAGCGATCCGCCTGCCTCAGCCTCCCAAAATGCTGGGATTACAGGTGCGAGTCACCGCACCCAGTCAAGAGATTCTTGAGTGATTGTTGCTTATTTTATTCTCATTGGTAGGCCATGTTAAAGTCGTGAAACAAATAGTCTGCAAGGATGTTCTATATCCATAACTTTGTACAGAAGTTTCCTGCATTCCTGTTTGTCCTTGGATAAACCATTTGCCCCCTTTTGATCATTGTTCAATCAAGACCCCTTTCCCAACTAAACAATACAACCATTAAAGGGTCAGCTCTTTAGCTGTAGCACCAGAGTGAATAATACTAAAGCTAAGGCTGGCTGTTTTTAACTGAAAAACATAAATAGTGCCAAATGCTCATTATTTGTTAAGGAATCTATAGTCTACTAGTCTCATATCTACTATCTTAGCTCTCATTACCATGATTTAAAAGAGGGAGTATTACATTTTAAAAAATGAGAAAACTGAAGTTTATCACACAGCTAATTGGATGGCAAGGCAGAAACTCAAATCTGTGAATTTATTTCATAATCTCATGGTTTCTTCAGTATATCTAGGTCAATATGAACATTATCTCAAGCAAGTTATTAAAAACCTGTGTGTAATAAACATTGTTTACTCAGAACTTATTTAAAAACGAATGCTGTGCAATTGTAGAGTGTAAGTATAGCTTGTCAAGTCCTAAAAGCTTAGTGTAAGCCTTTGTAATTCTGAAAGGGTAAAGTTTGGAAGTACTCTTTTATATTAGGTAATACAAATGATTTAGAAAATCCCTTGGATGAATTAATGGATAACTGGTCCATAAGTGGCAAAAGAGATTTAAGATATTTGGGGCTTCTTGAAATGTACTTGTGGTACTAATGTTTGTTTGACTGTTGGATGGATGATGCATTTGCTGAATTGAATAGCAGTATCTTTTTTTTTTAATAGCAGTTACCGAGGAGACACTTTGTGTTGGCTTAGCCAGGGTTGGAGCCGACGACCAGAAAATTGCAGCAGGCACTTTAAGGCAAATGTGCACTGTGGACTTGGGAGAACCATTGCATTCCTTGATCATCACAGGAGGCAGCATACATCCAATGGAGATGGAGATGCTAAGTCTGTTTTCCATACCAGAAAATAGCTCAGAATCTCAAAGCATCAATGGACTTTGAACATAGATATTTACCATTGTCTGATGTAAATTTCAGCCATATATGGATTGATATGGTTTGGATGTATCCCCACCCAAGTCTCATCTTGAATTTTAATCCTCATAATTCCCAGGTGTTGTGGTAGGTAATTGAATCATGGGGGCAGTTTCCCTCATGCTATTCTCATGATAGTGAGCTTTCATGAGATCTGATGGTTTTATAAGTGCCTGGCATTTCCCCTACTGGCTCTCATTCTCACTCTTGCCGCCCTGTGAAGAGGTGCCTTCCACCGTGATTGTTAAGTTTCCTGAGGCCTTCCCAGCCATGTGGAACTGTGAGTCGAAAATTAAACCTCTTTTATAATTACCCAGTCTCGGGTATTTCTTCATAGCAGTGTGAGAATGGATTAATACCTGGATGCATGCATGTTTGTGTAACAAACAGGTCTTTTGGCTTATCTAGTAAGTATAAAACAAGTGACCAAAAAGAAGTTGACTCAACAATGCTTGGTTTCTTGTGGCAGTGAGTTTTTTCCCTATGATATCATCAGTTGTTGCTGCTATTTTGGCAAATTTTCAGGATGTACACATAAAGCAGACCAGGCTGGAAAGCTTGTGGATAGACATCCACTGACAGAATCATTTAAGAGCAGTTTTTATTTATGAAACCAATTTATACAAGGTGGTTGTTAACAGAATATAACTTAGAGGTAACTGGAATTTGAATCACTTGAATCTGTTTTAAAGGGTAAAAAATGTTATGAGTGCCAAGAAAAGCAAATAAAAGATTAGTAAATGTTCACAAAATATGTTTATAATTTTCTTCTTTTTAAAAAAGTTAGCTGTCCCTACTGCATGAGGAGTTGTCCTGACAGCAGCTGGTATTAGTGTATATAAACAAAGGTAGAAAGATTACATTTCCATCCAGCAGTCTGACTTAAAGCTCAGCTGAGCACATGCCACAAAATGACATTCTTCTGAATTCACTGTCTTGGTTAGCTGACATCCTAATTACGTGGCTCATACTCTGCTGTATTTTGGAGGTTATAAGATTGTTTAATTATAAATGTTCAGCCAGCCTTGTACAGTTGCTGTTTGGTTTTAAATAGCATCTTTCACATCCAAGCAGACAAATGGAAAACTTGCTGACTACAAAATAAAATTTTTAAAAATGTAAGTTTTAAGGCAACAATGGATTAGTCAAGATATGCCATATAACTTAATTCAGTTAATATGCCATTGTATATGTGCGAGTAGTCACACTCTTCTTACTAGTATTAAATAACACTCCATTTATTATATTTCATTTCAAAGAGTTTCAGTTCTGAATAGAAATAGCTTTCTTATATCCTAGTTCAGTTGGTTCAACTCTAAGTATTTCCATGGCCTAACCAATTTTTCTGAGCTCTTTACTTAGTAAATTCATTGAAATTTGAACAGATTTCCCTATTCCCTGGGATCATCAATTAGCTAAAGATTATTTGACTTATTTTACTTCATTTGAGATAAGAAATATTTATATATATATGAAACATCTCTTTTTTCTTTATTATTTTTTATTTATTTATTTATTTATTTTTGAGACACAGTCTCACTCTGTAGCCCAGGCTAGAGTGTAGTGGTGCAATCTTGGCTCACTGCAACCTCTGCCTCCCAGGTTCAAGCGATTATCCTGCCTCAGCCTCCCGAGTAGCTGGGATTACAGTCATGTGGCGGCACCACACCTGGCTATTTTGTGTGTGTGTGTGTAGAGATGGGGTTTCGCCATGTTGGCCAGGCTGGTCTTGAACTCCTGACCTCAAGTGATCCACCCACCTTGGCCTCCCAAAGTGCTGGGATTACAGGCATGAGCCACTATGCCTGGCCTCATTTTCAATCTGTTAGACACAGAAGGGGAGAGAGCCAAGTACATTTAAATACCAGTTGTATATTATTTTCTTCTCATATGTTAAACTAAACATTTAAGAACTATATAATGAAGGACTTCTGGTTTTGGTAATGGTGTAATAGCTTGTAATGTACAAACCCTCCCAATTATAAACTGTGGACAAAATATAATAAACAATGGTCTAAAAACTCTAGGGAGTCACTGAAACCAGCTGTGAACTATATATGGTTTTTCCCCTTCGGTCTTTCCCAGACTGTGTGGTAAGGCGTGGCTAGAACTCAAGAGAAAGTTGCAATCTTACTGGCTTGAGGTGTTAGGATGGAATTAAAGGCCGCTAGAAGAACTGAAAATTAAAGCAGCAGATCCTAGAAATGAAGGTGTCAGAAATGGAGGAGGCTTCCTGTCTGCATATGATCTCTCCTTAAATCCTTAGCTAACTCTCAAACCGTGCATGCCCCGGGAAGACTCCAAGGACCTTGGTGGAAAGCCACAGTTGGAAGGCTCAAGAAGCTGAACAGAGACGGCTGTTTTCTATTGCAATAGAAGACACAGTTTCAAGTTTGAATTCTGACAAGTTAGAAGGGCTTGATAGAACCTTGAGCTTCCCAAACCCCAGAATGGCCATGTATTAGTAAAGGCTGTGCACAAGACTAAAGATTTATGCTAAAACTAAGGATGAAACCTTTAACATAATATAAAATCAAGGTGATTAGCCAATACTTTAAATGAGATCAAAGCTTAGCACTCTTCAGAGTATGATAAAATGAATCTGTATAACATATAAACAATGACTGGAATACAATAAAATGCTATAGGGTATCCAGAGAAATAAGGAAATACAGTTTATAGCTTATGGTTTAAAAAAAAAAAAAAGAGCAGACAACAGAAAAAAAAATCCGAACATAAACTAGATGATGGTGGAATTGGCAGACAAGGATTTTTAAAGCAGTTTTTAGAACTATGTTCATGGACAAAAAGGTAGGGTGGTTGTAATGAATGAATATAGATATATATTCTCACCCAAAATGTGGTAACATTAAAAGAAAATGGTTGGGTTTAACCGTAGCATAGAGATGACACATGAAAGAAATTGTCCAATCTGAGGAAAAGAGAAGAAAAGATTAGAAGGAAGACAACAGAAAGCCTCAATGCCATTTGGGGAAATATCAAGCTATTTAACATATGTAACTGGATTTCCAGAAGAATAGAAGGAAAATAGGGCAGAAGAAAATATAAGTAACTTACAGGCCAGAATTACCTCAAATTTGGTAAAGCTATCAACTCACAGATCCAATAAACTGAGTGAACCCCAAGTGGAATAAATAAAGAAAATCATAACTAACGTAACAGGTAAAACTGATGAAAACCAAGGATAAAAGAAAAAAGCTACCAAGGGTGGTAGTAGGGAACCTACCAAATTTTTATTTGAAATTAAACTTAACCAGGTTCCTCTGTCTGCTAAATCTGGCAATTCTGTTCTGTATGTAACTTAACCTCAATTTAAATGAAATTGTAAAATGAACACTGCACTACTCAGCAGGGAAAGGATGAACAATAGTGTTTTCAGTCTGTTCTCTGAAATCCAATGTTAGTTAAAATAGAAATACCTGAAGGCTGCATACATTTGATTATTTAATAGTGTTTAGCTCTTTAATACTATAAAGTTCTTTAAAATTATCATGTAGTGAAACACTATTCCATAATCTAGATACAGAACGGTTTCATCACCCACAAGATCTCCCACTGTCCCTTTATATTCATCCCTCTAGTTCATTCCTCTTTATTGCTAAGTAGTGTTCTCTCATATGGATAGACTACAGTTTATCCATTCACTATTTGAGAGATAATTGGTTTGTTTCCACTTTTTAGCGATTGTGTATAAAGTTGTTAAAACATTAACATAACAGGTTTTTGCCTGATATTTTATCCAGAGGGATTGCTGGATCACATGGTTAAGTGTGCACCTAATTTTATAAGAAACTGCCAAAATGATTTCCAAAGTGCCTGTACATTTTGCATTCTCACCAGCATTGTATGGGTTCCCATTGCTCTGTATCTTTGCCACCACTTCATGTTGGCAGTATTTTGAACTATTCTGATAGGTGTGTAGTGGTGTCTTTTTTTTTTTTTTTAGACAAGAGTTTTGCTTTTGTTGCCCAAGCAGGAGTGCAATGGCACAATCTCGGCTCACCACAACCTCTGCCTCCTGGGTTCAAGCTATTCTCATGTCTCAGCCTCCCGAGTAGCTGGGATTACAGGCATGCACCACCACGCCCAGCCAATTTTGTATTTTTAGAAGAGGCGGGGTTTCTCCGTGTTGGTCAGGCTGGTCCCGAACTCCCAACCTCAGGTGATCTGCCTGCCTTGGCCTCCCAAAGTGCTGGGATTACAGGCATGAGCCACTGTGCCTGGCCGCAGTGGTGTCTTTGTTGTGGTTTTAATTTGTATTTCCCAATACCTAATGATGTGGATCATCTTTTCATGTGCTTATTCACCATTCTTATATCCTATTTGATGAAGCATCAGTTCATGTCTTTTGCCTACTTTTAAATTGGATTGTTTCCATATGGTGAAATTTTGAGTGTTTATTACATATTCTGGATAAAACCTTTTGTAAGATATATGACCTGCAAATATTTTCTTCCCATTTGTAGCTTGTCCTTTCATTCCCTTAACCATTTTTGATAAAGCAAACGTTTTAAATTTTGATTAAATCCAGTTTATGTTTTCTTACATAGATTATGCTTCTGTTGCCATGTCTAAGATCCCATCACAAATTCAACAGACTCAATATTTGTATGAAGTGAGTTTTAGATCCACACTCATTTTTTTTTTTCATGTAAATGTTTAGTTACAACATCTTGATAAGAAGACTGTTCTTCCATTGAATTGTTTCTGCACCATTGTAAAAATCATTAAGCCCTATTTATGTAGGTTTCTTTCTGAACTCTTGCTGTTCTATTGATCTGTGCATCTCTCCCTTCTATGATACTATGCTGTCTTAATTACTTTAGCTTTATGGTAAGTCTTAAAAACAGGTGGTGTGGTTCCTTTAACATTCTTTTTTCAAAGTTGTTTTAGCTATTCTAGTTCCTTTGCCTTTCCATATAAACGTTAGAATGAGCTTGTTGACATATACAAAAGAGGTTGTGAGATTTGGATTGGAATTGTTTGAGATGGTGTGGATATTTTGGGGTTTATTCTGTTTTGGGTTTGCCCAGCTTCTTGACTCTAGGTGTACATCACCAAACTTGGGAAGTTTACAGCCATTATTTCTTCAGATCTTCCTTCAGCACTATATACTTTATCCTCTCCTTGAGAAATTCTGATAAATACAAATGTTAGACATTTCTTACTGTCCAACAGGTTCCCGAGCTTTGTTCATTGTTGTTGTTATTTCAGTCTGTTTTCTCTGTTGCCTAGAGCTGATAATTTTTATCCATCTATGAATTCATTGACTCTTTTCTCTGTCTTCTCCATTCTGCTGTTAAGTCCATCTGTATGTTTTTAAAATTTTGGTTACTGGTCTAAAATTTCCATTTGGTTCTTTTTATGTCTTCTGTTTTTTATTTTAACATTTGTTTCAAGATTATTTGTGATTTCTTTGTCATGTATTTTTCTGTAGGTGTTTGAGCATTTCATATAGCATTTTTGTATTGCTCGCTTGAGCATTTTAAATATCTGCTTTAAGGTCTTTGTTAGATAATTCTAAGATTGATATCTCAGCTTTACCATCTATTGATTTTCTGTAAGTTGAAATTTTTTGCAGCACTTTATCAAGTAATTTTGGATTATAGCTTGGACATTTTGAATATTATGTTGTGAGTTGCTGGGTCTTGTTCAGATTTAATGGAGAATATCAATCTTTTTGTTTGAGCAGGCAACCAACCTGTTAGCTTCAGGATGCAATTATCAGATTGCTCTTTATGGGCCACAGTTCCAGTGTAAGTTCGGTTTTCAAAGACTGCAGTTCTCTTTGGATCTATTTCAAGTTTGTGGCACACAATTTGGGACTTACGAAGTCGTCTGTTGGATAGTTTAGTTCTCAAGATTCTCAAGGCTAAATAGAATCAGATCCAAGCATTAGTGATTTGAGGATGATCCTTGGGGTTCATAAACAACTTTATGAGATTGCTTTCGTGGTTTCCTCCCACTCCATAATCTCTCCACTTCCTGGTTCCCTGGGCTCCCCTTCTTGGTTGAGCCTCTGGCCAGAAAATTGGGCATCTAGTTACTCTACTCTGATACTATTTCATACTTTCATGGCTGGGCCTGCATTCTGCTCCATGTGGTGGGGGTACAGAGAGAAAAAAGCAACAGGGTTGCTGTACCCTTTTAAAACCATAACTCTACCAAACAGAAATATTCCCCTCCCCCAAAGTTTTAGTTCCTATGGGCTTACATAGCTGTTGGCCACCACCATAGGATTGCCTGGCCAAAGCTTTTGGAAGCCAGTGGGAAGTCTTCCCTCCAACTAATGTAACTACAAATGTAGTAACTTTGCCTTCTTCTGAGGTCTGTAGAAACCAATATGACCTGTGTACAAATTATTGCTCACGGGGAAAGTAGTATGATGCACATACAGGACAATAAACCCTGTAAATCTGAACATTATGATCTAACTTATTGTCTAGGGTGGAAGACAGCGACGGCTAATCAGATGGACCTTATTTTATTTGTAATTTTACAAGTCACAATGACATACTCAAAAGTCCAAGCCAAATGGCCAAGCCAAGCCTTAATTGCTATCTAAGTGCTCCTGCTTATATGTGAATCTGAATATCTTGTTTACTTAAAAAATACCACATTTAAACAATGCCATTTGGTGGCTACATTCAGGAAATAATTTTTATAAGGTCTTTGTATTATTTTGCTTTATTCTTTAGTTTTAGCAGTTGCTCTTTCACAAAAAGAGTACTATTCACTTTAACAATTCATACAGAATCACTTTTCAAAGAGGAGTTAAAGTTTACATTAAAAAGCAAAATTCATCCATTTCTTCAATAAACTGATTGCCTTGCCTACACTGTGCCAGACTATGCATTTCTTACTGTCAACATTAGCAGATAAATTTGAATTGTGAATTTAAATGTTGGTAGCATGTGCTAAGCCTGAATTTCATGGTAGTTTTTTTTGTTTTGTTTTGTTTTGTTTTTTTTTTTTTTTGCCTCAAAGTAGAACTGGATGAGCTGATAATGTTTTAATGAACTAGAATCCCATTAAAATGCTGTTTCTTTTTTTTGGAAAGAATGAAAAAAAGTAGTAAATTGCTGTCATTCTGTCTATATCTATTGAACCT
The DNA here is from genome assembly GCF_000001405.40 of Homo sapiens. Lineage (NCBI taxonomy): Eukaryota > Metazoa > Chordata > Mammalia > Primates > Hominidae > Homo > Homo sapiens. Next base: position 100,983,242 of record NC_000001.11, on the reverse strand, counting down.
GTTTGCTCCTCCTTGTCTCTGCTGTTTTTTTGCTCTAGACTAATGAAAAGTTTGGTGCCATATCAAGGGTTTGATTTAAGGAGGGAATGAAATGCATTTAAGTTTCGAAAGTTGTTCAGAAGAGTTTACACTTGATAAGCATTAGGGAGCCACTCAAGATTCCTGAGCTAGAGGACTGCAAGTGGAAACTGGGAAAGCAAGACCAGTTTAACATGGGGTGGCTTCTGCGGTTAGGAAAGCCAAAACTCTACATAAGATTGGCCGGTGCAGTATTGTACCAAACAACTTCCTAACCCAGTGTGTAAACAGAAGAGGCTGCTCTGTAGGAGTGTTGACAGGCCACTGTAGAATTAGGCCAGAGGCTAATTACAGAGAAGACAGGATAGGTAGGGAGTCTCAATCTAGCAGGTATGCAGAGGGGCCAGCTCCCGGCATTCAGGAAGCCAGGACAGGACAAATGCTTCAAAAGCACCTGGACAAAAGTTGGATTCAACAAAAATTCCTTGTACTCCAGGCCAAAGCCAAAATTGTTTGGGTGGGGGCTGAAATGGAGGTGGCTAGAGTTGGGCAAGGAAAGTGATTCTGCTTGCAGTCATCAGTGAAATCCTGGAATAGGGCAGTGGGAATGGAAAAGAAAGTAAAAGATTTCAAAGGAAGAAAGACGTTTTATGATAAGGGATTCAGGAAATGGAGGTGACAGGGCATTGCTTAGTTTTCTAAGAATTCTATGAAGAATTCCGACAAATTGGTAGTTGAGAATTGAATGGGAAAGATTTGTTTTCTTCAATTTTGAATTTGATATGCTGGTAGTTCTGCCATGAATGTGACGAGAAGCCACTGATGGCCTTGAAGCAACTTCTACGAAATAGGGAGGAGTGAAGCTATACTACTAGGAGCTATGGAAATGGTTAGAAAGGAGGTAGAAGCAGCAAATGTAGACCACATACAAGGAATCTGACAGCAGACATGCTGAGGATAAAGCCTTGAAGTATGGCAGAGATTGATGATAGTAAAGAAGCTGCTTTGGTAAGAATACCTTTGAGAAGGAAGGTGACATGAGTGGTGCATGGGATACTGTGGAAGAAGTTATTTTAAAAAAGAATTGCATCTAATCAGAGGGAAAAATTTGGAAGGATAATGGAGGCTCACATCAGATGTTTTGGTCTTCACGTCATATAAGACAAAGTCATCCATAGAAACTGAGATGAGAGAACAACTTGGGAGTGATGGAAATATCTGGAAGTAAATACTTCGAGACATGTTTATGAGGTCAGATGCTGACTAAGAGCCACAATGAGGCTGTTCACAATGTAAAGATACTTCCAACCTCCTAGCATCTCTTCTCTCCTAGTAAGTTCTGCTGTTTCTTGGCTCTGAGAATCATTCTTTGCCTTTCATTCCTTAAGTCCTCTAGTATCTATTCCAATACCTGTAAGATTCACAGTGTTTGTTTCAGTTCGTCAAACTGATAAGACACAATTCAGGTAGAGATTTTTAAATAGAAATTTTATTGAAAGAATTTTGATACAGTTCATGATTCTTTTTAAATACATATGAAGTTTAACAAAATATATACATGAATGTGTTCAAGTAGAAAATGTGAAATATACATTATAGATTTGTTGTATTGCACTTGGGCAAATCATAATTGCTCACTTCAGCATATTCAAACCGAATCACAACATAGTCTTTGAAAGTTGACATTATAACTTAGCCTTGTACTCAAACATTTTAAGAAATGTTTTGATGCCTTAATCTTCACCAAAGGAATCAAACCCAAATACTAACTTGGCCATATGTTTAAATACCACTAAAGGCAGGGAGGTAAAGTGTTGTAGGGTGCTTAAAATATACTAAGAAGGGATTTGGCAATTTTCCATTCACAGTATTTCCAATATAAAAGACTCATCCTATTTATCAAACTCACAAAAGTTGGGGGAAAATATCACTTGGGAAAAAATTTCACTGAATTGCTATCAAAGGAAGCAATGAAGTTACTTGACAAACTATTGACAGGATGTCTAGTTCAAAATAGAATCTTCATTGAGGCTAACTGTAGCACAGTATGTGATACATAAACAAAATTCAAATATTAAAATTCTAAATAAAAAAATTTTCCCCGCTAGTATAAAGTAGAAGTTCTATAGTGGAAATAACAATGAAAACAGATGAAAAATCAGTGAAGAAATAGAGGGAGGTACTACTAAAATTTTGTGTTTGAGAGGAAAAAGAGAAAGGTAAAAAATAATTCTGGGAATATTTAAATCAGTAATTGAATACATGTAGTGATGTCTTTAAAGCACCTTCAAGAAAGACCTCTTTCATTTTGGATGACAATACATTAGGATAAATGAAATATGTGAATATGGCAATTTTCCATAAAAACAAAGGAGACTATGGAGACTGTCTGGTTCCTGATTTGGCCATACAAAATATAGAAAATTCAAGTGACCCAGGTTCCACAGTCCCAATTCTGTCAAATTCCGATCCAACAATTTGTAAAATGGATAACATCTGTATACTTCCACTGTATATGAAAAAGAATGAGCAGCTCATAGGGCTACTTAAAAAAAAAAATGGCCAAGGTGAATATATAGTCATTTATTTGTGCAAAAATGCCAAAGAAATGCTGAGATGTCTTCTGTAAAAAACAGTAAATTACTGGTTTTACCTATCCCTAACCCTTATTTTTGACACAACTATCTAAAATGTTCACTAGTTAACCAAACATTTACTCAGCATGTGAATCCATGCTAAGTTTGAGGATAAAAGGATGCAGAAGAGAAAGATATTCTTTATTACAAGCTTTCCAACATCATGATCAAAATTACAAATAATTTTCAAGGCTGTTGTAAGAAGTCAACATTAAATGTTAAGTTTAAGCATAGATTACTACTATTTATGAAACAGATTTCTTCCTTTTGAAAGGTGTGTATAAAATGTGATGTAAATCAAATCTACTTATCCTTCTCCTGCAGTGCAAAATTACTTGTACTTTTGGGGAAGATAATTCCCTAATAAACTAAATTAAGGTCTCTTGGATAGAAATTCAGTTTCTCTCTTCATACAGCCACAAAGGGTACTATCTTTTCATTCAGTCCCTTAAGCAGCTTACTCTTCAATGCCAACAAAACTTTATTTTTTAAATAGTCTTAAAAGTGCTTAAGGGAGTTCTGGTTCCTCTTTTTAGCCTGCACAGTTTAAGATCAATGGTAAAGGTAGGAAATAATCATAAGGGCACTGGAAGAAGGAATGAGTCTAAATAATGTATAATGACTGTTCCGCCATACCAATTTTGTCATGGTGATTATTCACTAATTTTATAGGAGAGTGTATTGAGATCTGCTACAGCTTCTTGGATCTTTGAAGCACTGCTGAATTACATACACAAAGCAGAGCAGATGTCAGCACCTGATTAATCAGTACTCTACTACTGGCTAGATTCCCCAGGCAAGTCACTTAAATTATCTCCAAACAGCTTCCTCATCTGTAAAATAAGGATAAAAATTCCTTCCTCACAGAGATGTTATGAGAATTAGAGGAGATTTGAAAATGCTCCGTCAATCATAAAATCATGCAAAATTATTCCTTTGTAGAAATTTGAGGATTAAATGTAATAACATGAAGGCCACACTAACCGCCTGGCACATAAATACTTAATAAAAGTTATTCCCCATTCTCACTTTCTGTGTAATTTGCAGTTAGGAAATATAAATCAAAGACACCCTTGTCAGACTCACATCCATTTGGCTTTAACTAGAACTGTCCTTCCCTGCTCCTTTTCTTTTTTTTTTTTTTTTTTTTTTGGATACATAATCTTTCACTGTATTTGAGGCTATCTTGAGTCTCTGGTTGAGATCTGGGTCACTAAGGCTTCTGGGGGATCATGTCTTCAACAAGCCTTCCAATGAATGTCCAAAGAAAAACATATAATTTCCTTTTATTTTTTTTTTTACCAAAGTTCTTATGAATTGGAAAATAATTTGTTTCAAAGACGGTGATGAAAGGAAAAAAAAAGTTTAACTTTCCAAAGGTAATGCTTTCATGAAGAGTTAGAAATAGCAGTTTTAGTAATTAGTTGTAGGAATTCTGGTTAAGACTTCAACATTTTACCTTACTTAAAAGATTTGCTTTATGCAACATTTAATGCCCAGTTTTGCATGGCTCTAAAAATCTTTAAAATGCAAAAGCTTTTCCAGTGACTGGAAGCCAACACGACAAGAATGAAATGGTATGACCTGTGAATTAGCCTGGTTTATAAAAAAATACCAGTTCAGAGACCATAAACAAAATAAAGAAACTAAGCAATCCTTAAATTGGATTTAGCCTTGGGCAATTAGCAGAAAAATTCACTCATAAAAGGATCCATTTTACAGATATTGTTTTTTAAAATGTCAGGAACTGGTTTTATAAGAGTAAAAAAGTTAAAATTAATTGCATCTTCCATAAAGAATATGATGGAAATAATTATATACGAAAAATGAGACAATAAAAGTCCATTTATAAAGTGCCTTAATGTACCAAAAAAGGAGGTCAGATGTCCTTTATTTACAAATCATATTTAATCCCATTTACAGAAAGGCAAATATTACACTGGAGAGGCAGCATAATAGAGTATAAAGAACTCTCAACTTCGAGTCAGAAGATCTGAATCTTTTTGGCTTTGCCACTAATTTTCTCTGTGACTTTGAGCAAATGAGAGTTTTTCTGGGCTTCGGTTTTCTCATCTGTAAAATGAGAGGTAGAACTACACTGCTTCTAAAGCCAGTCCTTGCTTAGATGTAAAATTCTGTGTTAAGCAATGTAAATATGGTTCTTAAGTTTTGGAATTACATAACAGGGTTCTACCATATTAATAATCTCTGTAAAAACTGATTATTCCATAATAGGTAGGTAAAAACATTATAGAACTGTGATCAAATACATTTTGAGTTCATGATTTGGCTGCTGTACAAAGGTGCAAAAAAGGCATAGCATTTTGGTTACTGATATACACGTGTAGGTTTTCAGGAATGCTGACAAATTCCAGATATAAGGGAAATGACAGCACAAGGAACACTGACCTACAGATAAACTAGATACTGTCCTTCACAAAGATGCATGGGGAGTTAGCAAACTGAGGAAGCTGTGGATATGTTAAGCCCTTCATCTTGAGGAATATAATCTATGTTTAAAAAACCAAAGCTAGTGGCTGAGCACGGTGGCTCACACCTGTAGTCTCAGCACTTTGGGAGGCCGAGGCAGGAGGATGACCTGAGGTCAGGAGTCCAAGACCACCCTGGCCAACGTGGTGAAACCCTGTCTCTGCTAAAAACACAAAAATTAGCCGGGCGTGGTGGCGTGCACCTGTAATTCCAGTTACTCAGGGAGCTGAGACAGGAGAATCACTTGAACCCGGGAGGTGGAGGTTGCAGTGAGCTGAGACTGCGCCACTACACTCCAGCCTGGGCGACAAGAGTGAAATTCCATCTAATACAAACAAACAAAAAAAACAAAAAAACAAAACCAAAGATAGTATAGCTATATTTCTGTTTGGGAAGGTTTACCAGGCAAGGTAAACTGTCCCTGAGCAATACAAATTTGTTGTCCAGAGAATATTTTGGCTTTTAAAATATTGGCAAAGTTACACTCAGATACGAGTTTTGTTTGGTTTTTTTAAGAGTTAGCTCAATATCAGGGACATTGTAAATTAATTTTATAACAATAATCTGGTAGTATTTCTCATTGGAATTATCTACTTTAGTAATATACATGTGCCAAGAACACTAATAAGACAAAATATTTCCTAAGAGTGACAAAAAGTTGCTTTTTCTCACTAATTTTTTACTGCTGCACACATAGGTATACTGGCATTTAATTAAAGCATAAATGTTAATGCCAACTTGCTAAATGATATGCGCTGGCAATGTAATGTAACAAATGCAAATTCACATCAGTCTAACACTGTATAAACATACTCATGCATTTGTGTACTGATAGTACAGTCAAATAAAATGATTCATATTTTGACAAAAACTAAACTTGGAATGGAGGGCTCTGTGAAAGGCAGACTTGGGTCTTCAAATATCTCCGTATGTGAAATATCAGTATTTATACATAATCAGTTTTTAAAGGCACACATCCAAAAGCTCCCTTCATCTAGATCTGTCATTTTCTCTATCTAATATGCCAAAACCCACAGAATATCCCAGAGTTCTCTCAGACTTGGTGGTGGTTGCAAACTTCTAATGACTACTTATATTTGTAGAAAAACCAGTACCATTATCAGGACACTTCCTTTTGAACTTTCCTGCTTAAAAGACCTCAACAGTTGTTTTAAGCACATACTACTGCAGTAAATCATAGATTTCAAACCACCTGGCAGTAAGCAAACATGTTTAGAAAATGCCACTTTGCCTGCGGAAAAGAGACTATTGATAGAGTTCACGGCAATCTGCAGCAGTTTAGAAAAGAATGAAGAAAGTGGTCTAGTTCTCCTAATAGAGAGTAGTTTATAGTTGTAGGTCAGAAATAGGGGAAAAGACACTCTAAAACTTAGAATCAACAGGGATTTCTGCCACATCACTAAAAAGTACTTATTGATCTACATTCTTAATAATTGTTTCCATCCTGCAGGGTTTTTTCTCCCACATTTACAATTTTTTTAAGTTAAAAGGGAATATGTATTGTAAAATGAAGTATAAGGGAAAATCAGATCATTTTCTCTTCATAAAACACAGAGAATACTTAAGTAGAGTGCTCAAGCACTTATCTCGAATTGCAATTTTATTTTTCAAATACGTAAGAACCTAGAAAATCAACTCAGCACTTACTTCCTAGATACCTGTGTTAGGAAAAGTTCTACATCACCACATTTCCTCTGTACCTTTAATAATTCAAACTCAATAAAATGCTGCTTTAGGATTCCTGAAAGCAATTGTATTTGTGCAAAGCCTAAACAGGAAAACAAAGTGGATGACTTGGCATTTGAAGAATGAAAAAGCCAAACAGCACTGTCACAACCATTTCTGCCTTCAGTCTCCAATGCCTTTTTCTTTCATTATAAAATCCATAGAAATGGCAAGGAAAGATATAGGAAAGTTTATCACAGATACAGTAGCTATTACAGAAATTTGGAATTCAGCAGATGTTTTAAGTCAAAATTTTCTGTGTAACAGATGAATTTGCAAAGTTTTGAAAACACAGTCCACAAAGTAATTTAAAATGTGATAATTAAATTTGTTTTAAAAAGCAAATTAACACCTTTTATTTTCTGTGAAGATAAAACAATAAAAGAAAAATGTTCATATATCCAAACCTATGCTGGAAGTACACAAAAAGACAATTTGTATACATTACTGGCAATAGTCTTGTTTTGTACAGGATATTTTACAGAATATCCATTGTTAAAAAAAAAAAAAAAAAAAAAAAAAAACATAGCCGGGCGTGGTGGCTCACACCTGTAATCCCAGCACTTTGGGAGGCTGAGGTGGACGGATCACGAGGTCAAGAGATCAAGACCATCCTGGCCAACATGGTGAAACCCCATCTCTACTAAAAATGCAAAAATTAGCTGGGCATGGTGGCACACGCCCATAGTCGCAGCTACTCAGAAGGCTGAGGCAGGAGAATAGCTTGAACCCGGGAAGCAGAGGTTGCAGTGAGCTGAGATTATGCCACTGCACTCCAGCCTGGCTACAGAGCGAGACTCCATCTCAAAAAATAAAAAATAAAAACAAAAATAAAACATACATGACTCTTGATGGTACATTTCTATGCTGGCAAATACATTTTTGGATACAAAGGCACTTTGAAAACCCAATATGGTTTGGTTCATAAGTTTGCAAGGTACAAACAATTTAACAAACATGATTATACTGAAGAACGTCAACAATTATGACATTACGTATAGCACAGATTTCCAATTTCTTTCTTTTTTTAAAAAAAAGTAATACTGGTTTTGTGGGAATGAAAGCAGTGATTTCCAGCAGCTGCAGTGAAGACATTCCAGAAGACTGGAGGCCCACAACTGAAATTCTTACTGGCTGGGATGAGAGGATGGTGGTGTGGGCATTCAACATGAAAACAAACAAACAGAAAACAAAAACAAAAAAAGAAAGACAAAAGGACAAATTAACATCCTAAGCTAAAAACCTCAGAAGTCAAAAAGATTTGGAGGAAAGAGCACAAAAGAAAAGACCAAAAGTCCAGGAGATATCCTCTTAAATCTGATCCCTTAGCTGTGAACTCCCCACAAAGCATGAACGGCTGACTCTACCCCGTCTACTTAGTGCTCGGGAGTTGTAGTGATAATTTCTCTCTTTTAAAAAGCTGGGTACAATGTTTTGGATCGTACAGTACCAGAAAAATTTGGTCCATAAAAGGTGCATAATTTCTTTCCATTCACTACATGGCTGCAAAGTCAATCTGTACGTAGAGCTGTCTCACTCCAGCCTGAAAAGTAAGAAAAAAAAAAGTTAGAAAATCTAACAAGCTAATAACACCCTACACATTTCAGGAAAGTATTTTTTTTCTTTTACAAATCTCACTTTTTTAAAAAAAGAAAAGAATCATTTCAGAAACAAATATATTCATAAGCTACAAAAAATAATCTCCATTTACCACTACAAAAAAACAAACAAAAAAAAAAGAGCCATGTTAACAGTCACACACCCTATCCAGATATCCAGGTGATACTTAGAAAAATGCAGTTCACCTTCTACAGTTACTCTGTTAGAGGACACCATGATGCTTGACTGGTTGGCTCCTAGTTGAAATTGATACATCAACCCTGTCTAAATCCTCCTGTGATAAATGATTAGTAAACAATTTAGCAAGTATAACCATCTATTGGAATTATTTTGCACTCCAAGTTCTCTCTTCTGTTTTGGATATGAACTTGCTACTCAAGGATACTGCTCTCTAAATTCTCCCCAATATCTTCTGTATTATCAATTTACTTCCTCTCAACTAGATCACTTCTATTAGCATACAAACACACTGTAGCTGTTTCTATCTTTGAAAAAACCTCATGAGAAATTATCTTTTGGGTACAATGTACACTATTCAGGTGATAGTTGCACTAAAAGCCCAAACTTCACTACTACGCAATATATCCTAGTAACAAAACTGCACTTGTACCCCCTAAAGCTATTTAAAACAACAACAAAAAGCAACAAAAATCTTTACTTAACCCTACATCCCCTTCTGGGCTCCCCATCTCCGCTCTTCTTTACAGCAAAAAGCCTCAAAAGAGTTATCCATATTTGCTGTCTAAAATCCTTTTTCTCACTTCTCTCTTGAACTCATTTCAACCAATCTTTTGCTTCCCAACACTTCCCCCAAACTGTGTCCAGGTCACTTCCACATTGCTTACATTAATATCCAATTCTCAGGCCTCTTCTTCCTACTTCACCTATCAGCAATAATACAGATGGTCACTCCTGCCTATAGATATATATATTTTCCCTTTTGGCTTCCAGAGAATATTCACTGGCTGCCCTTTTACCTCACTTATCAGTCTTTCTCAGTCTTCTCTGCTAGTTCTTCCTCCTCTCTGAAAACTGAAATCGCCAAAGGCTAAAGAAAAAAATAAAGCTTGGTACAAGAGCTGGTAAATACCTCAGCACTCCCAGTAAACTTATCACCTTGCGATGTATTATACAACTTATTCACGGTGTTTATTGTTTATTATTGACCTCTCACTATAATATAATGTCTCCGAGATAAAGGATTTGGTCTTCTTCTTTACATTGCTGACTCCTAGAACCTCAAGTGAGAGCCAGCACACAGTAAGTGATCAATAAGTATTTGTTGAATTAACTAAAATTCTACTAATTTCCTTCTTTCAACCCAAAATGATCTATTTTTAATTAAAGGAACCCATTAGTCACAATAAGCCCTTTCTTCTCAGTACCACAGAATAAAAGGTAAATTGGAATATTTAATAGGAAAAAAATCAGAGTGAGGAAAAAATCTATTAGCACTACCTTCTTACAGTAATTTCTGGACTCCTCAAAGCACTGTTTCCTAGCTTGGCTTTTTTTCTAGAATTCAGGTAGGAGGGCTCTGTACAATACTGAGTGCTTGAAAGGATTCAGGAACTACTCGAATGGATAAAAGGCTTGCAGGCTCTAGAAGCTTGTCAGCAAAAGAAATATATTTTAATTTTGCTGGTGCTTCTCCTTTTTTTTCTTTTTTTTTTTCCTGTGGAAAGTTAAAGCCTCTGTTATTCAAATTTAAGAAAAATATATTTAATAGCATCCTCTCCTCAGTTAAGATGATGTGGCAGAAAAAAAGACAGAATTCAGTATCTGTATGTTCTTGAGTTACAAATTAAAATCAAACTTAATTTTTTCTCATTTTAAAAGCATTGATAAACACCAGCCCTACTAATCTCACACAATTGTTACATATTCATCCAATATTTGACAGATATTCAATAAATCCTTGCTATATACCAGGTACTTATAAAAGGCTATTACAAACAAATTATTAAGATTGATTACAATTATATGATCTGACATTATCCAGATGACACCTGAAATGACTGTACTTAGGAACTCTTTAAAAATTCTTATATATCAAACCATAAGAGGAAACAAATATTGTTCAAATAAATTGTCTTAATTTCTTTTATTTTTCAACAACATTGTTAGTGAAAGCAAAATGGGCAAAACTTGGGCTCTTTTTATTGTCTCTGTCATTTTCCTTACTCCTAGCCCTAAACAGAGAAGATGGTAATAAAAAATGAAGTAGCCCAAGGCAATAACAAAGAAAGGAAAAACAAAGAGGCTAGGTAAATTTTCTTTGCATAATCATGAGTTAATTACTCAAGCTGATATCCTTCCCCTGAGGGCTTACAGCTTTCCACAAAAGCTCAGTCTAACAGAAAAAAAAAAGAAAAAAAAGTCATTTTGCTTTATCCATCTGGCCCGATGAGGACAGCTTCAAGTTTTACAGATTCTCATTTTCCTCTTCCAGTTTCCTTTAAAGTAAAGAGAAAAGTGGAAGAATCCTATGGTAAGTCACCTACTCTCTGAATGCAAACTAAGTTTTCTACAGTTTATTCACATCACAAAGACATGACAGACACTCCAACAGATGAAAACACTACTCAGATCCATCATAAATTCTACCCCTAGAATGGGACCAGGAGCCAGAGGCTGGCTGACAGGTCCTTAAAATGTGAAAACCATATAGTACTCACTGCATATCCTGAGAATAATGTACAAACCATACTCCAGTCAACATTTTTATAAATGGGAAAGGCACCTATTTTGAACACTTTCATGCTCCTAAGAAAATAAATGTTAACCTGGTGCTATAGGCTTAGAATATCTTCAATACATATTTATTGTTGTAGAAAGGATAACAAATCGGAAGTAAAAAATTTAGGGAAATAAACGGGAATATGACTATAGAAAATTATTTCGACTGTACATATATTCATCCTTATCCCTTTAAAATGAAGTCTTGAAAAACTGCCTTACTCTTCCTTGTGAAACCTAAATCATTTCAGAGTTAGCAAAATAATGAGTAACTGTGACTAAATTACAAGTCAATAACAGTAACTTGAGTGTGGGTTTTTTTGTCTGTAAATTGTCTTTTGAGGCTCATTTAATATGTTAGGTACTGATCACAGTACTTGGCACATGATGAGCTCTCAATAAATACTAGCTGCTGGTGCTGTTATTATTTCCACCACTATTCATCAACCAGTGAACACTTAAATCATATGGATTACTTAAAAACAATAAACCTAGGGATCTGTTGGCCTCACAACCTGTGGTTGTTCTCTCCAACCTCCAAAGGAGGTCAGATTCTGGCGGACTTCAAATACAAATGATGAAGAAAGATAATGGGAAGATGGATAAGGAAAAACTGCAGAGCAGGCAACCAAAATCAATACTTAGGAAACATTAAAGCCCTTGACCAAAAGCTTAGAGAAAAAAAAAGGAAAGGTGGAAAAATAGTAATCCACTTTCTCCTACTCTGTACCCCCTCCCTCAAGAAGACAGAGCAAAGTTAGATAAAGCCACAGGAAGGGATTATGATCCTAGGAGAGTTTACGGAGGCAGAAAGTATCTGAAACTTGGAGCACTCTTACTTGGGCTTGTGAGGAGGCTTTTTGGTTTCTTCCTGAGTATCAGTGTTAACTTCTATTTTGAGGACAGAGAATAGAGCACAAAAAGCTGAAGCAGGAAGTTGGGGGCTTAGGACTTATCAGGCACAAGTGAGAAAGGCAAAAGAGTAGAAAAGATGGAAGAAATAAAGGTAGAAGTTCTATCAAGGAGTAAATATGTATTAGGAGAGACCATCTTTTGTGTTTTGTGGAACTGATAATGGTAATAAACCCCAAGCGTATTATAGACTTTTCTTCAAACATATTTCTACATGTTTCTTTAACATGTTTTCTTCAAACATTATTTCTAACAAAAAAGGTATATTAAAATTTTTAGGATTACAGTTATGATTGTGAAGTGTGCTATTTAAAAAAATTAACAAATACTATTGGCCAATTTAAAACATAAGATGTTAATTGCCTTCCTAATCTAGTATCCCATTTTTTTTTTTTTGCTGTTTGTACACTAAACACAAAAGGTAAACTCTCCATTTTATCAATTCCCAAATGATAACTCATTAAAAAAAAAATTAGTGCAAGGGGAAAAAGAGGGAGAAGACTTTTTGTATGTCAACAGAAAACCTGGTACTTTAAAAACTGTATTGTCACTTAATCCCAAAGCAATCTGAGTACTGAAGTGGCTTTTAGCAATCCACTTGCATTAGTTTATATTCACGTACAGCAAGCCAACTTCTTTAGCAGTTAAAGATTAATTGGTAACTCTGGAAAATGAAATTAAAAAGGATATTGCCTAAGATATAGTCACAAAACTATAGTTTTATTAACCAAATAGAAAGTTATAATTCTCCAACTTTTAGATATTGGTCTTCTCAGTTTAAAGTTATCCTCATAAAAGTTTTAACAAAACAATTTTTAACCAAAAACTATCACTTACATTGTAATTTAAGACTGGCTATAAGAAAGATACCTAAAAATGTAATAAATCAAAAGCTATAACTTATTATTGAAAAAAATCCTTCTTTTGGTATTTTGGAACTAAGGCCACCAGTATTTTGAATCTGTCTGTAAGAAATACACCTGAAGCATCTATGTGATCGAAAAGGGAGCAATTTGAGTTTTCTTATTTTTGATAAGTAAAATTTATAAGATGTAATTTAAGATCAAAATTTTTTTTAAATTTAAATTTCATTTCATAAAATAAAAATGCTCCTGCAAGCCTTGGCATATACTAATTGCATAAGGACCATGCATTACTAGGGTATATGCAGAAAAGGAAAATAAATTCATGAAAATTTCAATCTGCATAAGTCAGAACTAAAGCAGTGATCACAAAACAATTTTAAAATCATTAAATGTAGGAATGAAAGTCATTAGTAGGGTGACTCCCCTCTCCCCTAGGAAAAATGTGTTGAGCCACCTTCACTGCAAGTCTCAAAGAATCCCTGGTCTCTGCAAGGAATGAAATAAAGTAGACTTGACCTTAGGTGATAAAAAGGCTTAAAATATTTTTTCAGGGCTTAAAATATTCAAAGCTCAAATGCAGTTTCCAAAACCAAAGAAGCAGCTGAATAAACTTTCAATTTCAGCCATTTTAAAAGCCAAAATTTCTAAAGTTACCGGAAGAACCTCCTTCCACTTACTTGAATGAAAACTTCAAGAGTTCCTAAGCCCGGACACAGCTGCTTGCACATTTCTAAAACTAGAAATTGCATTCCTTTTCAGAGGGCAAATTGTGAGTAAATGCCAAAGTCTTAGGAGAATATGGAGTGTCCTAGAATTCAACAGAAGCTCACACTATAAGGGTAAAAGGACATTGCATATCTAGGAGAAAATTCAAGGTAAAGGAGGGAAAAATAATCTGGAAATGTCAGTGAAAAGAAACATTACTGCTAGCCTGGTTATCTTGTTGTCCCTGAAACATGTAGAAGGTGTAAGAAGGATTCAGACACATTGTGAAGGTCTTGCATGCTTCATTATGAATGTCATGATATAGACTTACAGTGTCTGTTAAGAAAGACACCTGGTTGTTAAAATTCTGAAATAAATAAGTGGTACCAGCATATTGTTTGTAGTAGTGTATGTCTTGATTACACATAAGATTAGCACTGGAGTAAATCCTAATTATACGTAAGATTATTTCATTAATTTACTCCCAAAGGGACCTAATGACACATTTCTCTTTATCAGAAAGACAGATTTTAGATCTCATTAAGATCTTTTTGAGCTTGTGGTTAAAAAAGACCAATGGGAACCCAACGATATTTTTCCATACTTAGCATATATAAAGATGGCTTTAATCAAATACAGTTTTTAAAATCTGTTTATATAACAAATTCATTATACACATATACATCTTCTAAGCACTGGGAATGCAAAATCATGACAGCTGGTAGGAACTTGCACACAAGTTGTACAATGTGATATGTATGACATAGGATAAAGTAATTCTGCTTTGTGGGACACTTAAGGCTTCAGAGAGAAAGTAACAATTGCATTGGATATTTTAGTTAGAGTAGGATTTTTGTCCCTCACAGAAAAGTAAACAGTCTGGTGGGTTTGGAGTATAAAGTACGTGGCAATGAAAAGCAGGAGACAGACTTTAAAAGTCTGTTGGTTCATGCTAAAAAGTCTGGGCTTTACCTGGATGGCAATGAGGCGCCACCAAGGTTTTTATTTTTCAACTTTTTACTTTGGAAAAAAACATTTTTTTTTTTTTTTGAGACAGAGTCTCACTCTGTCACCCAGGCTGGGGTGCAATGGCATGCTCTCAGCTCACTGCAACCTCTGCCTCCTGGGTTCAAGCGATTCTCCTGCCTCAACCTCCCGAGTGACTGGGATTACAGGCATGCACCACCATACCCAGCTAATTTTTGTATTTTTAGTAGAGATGGGGTTTCACCATGTTGGTGAGGCTGATCTTAAACTCCTGACCTCAGGTGATCTGCCTGCCTTGGCTTCCCAAAGCACTGGGATTACAGGTGTGAGCCACCATGCCTGGCCTATTTTGAAAAAATTTGAAGTCAAAATAATAGTACAATAAATACCTGTGAACCCTTCAGCTATATTTACCAATTGTTAATATTTTACCATGTTTGCTTCATCTCTCTACATATGTATTTATATGTAATTTTTTTTATTTTTGCCAAAACATTTGAAAATTAAACATCTGGATACTTTGCCATTAAATCCTTCAACATGAATCTCCTAAGAATTAAGAACAGTCTTCTATACCACAATACCATTATCACATCCAAGAAATTTAACCACCCATACAATTAAATGAACTACTACAGTCCATAATCAAATTTCTTTGATTATCCAATACTTTCCTTTGTGGTTGCTTTTTTTCCCCAGTCCAAGATTCAATCAAGTACCACACATTGCATTTAATTGTGAAGTTTCCTCTAATCTAGAATTATCCCCTACCTTTTTCTCCTTTCATGACATTGACACTTTTTAAAAGAATCCAAGTTAACAGCCTTGTGGAGGCTCTCACAAGCTGTACTTGTCTGGATGTTTGCTCATGGTTAGATTCAAGTGAAACGTTTTTGGTAGGAGTACCACATAGGTCATGTTCTGTATTCCCCATGGTATCAAATCAGGAGGAATATAATGTCAGTTTCAACCACAGATTTTTAACACATGGAACCTGTTTCTTCATTAGATCTATGTGTTAGATCAGGGGTCCCTAACCCCTGGGCCACGGGCCAGTACTGGTCCATGGTCTGTTAGGAACAAGGCCACTCACAGCGGTGAGTGGCGGGTGAACTGTGGCATTAGATTCTCATAGGAACTGCACATGTGAGGGATCTAGGCTGTGTGCTCTTTATGAGAATCTAATACCTAATGATCTGAGGTGGAACAGTTTCATCCCAAAACCATCCCTCCCACCACCACCTCCAACCCCTGTTCACGGAAAAACTGTCTTCCACAAAGCCGGTCCCTGGTGCCAAAATGGTTGGGGACTGCTGTGTTAGATGATTCTGACAGTGGTATCAATGTCTAGGGTTTTTTGCCAAATGTTTCCAACAAACTAGACTGAGAACAGAATTTATATTCTCTCTGCCTCTTTCTTAGATGTTACTGACATGACCTTCTTATTCTCCCAATATATACACAATACATACCATAGTAATCAGTCTTTAATAGTCAGTTACATAGCTATGTTAACTCATGATGGCATGAGCCTTAACTGAAATAACTTGGTTGTAGACCATGCACTGACTAATTCATGATTCCAAATGCACTATTAAGAAAAACTCAACAGCATATAAAGGTATTAAATCACTCAGTAGGTGACCATAGTTTTGCTGTCACACAAAAAAGTTAACAGTCTGCTTTTAGCTAAAGCCACTTATTCTTATTCCAAACACTGTTTTAGAATTCTTGGCTTCAAATAGTACCTAACATATCTTATAAGAAATGTGCAGTAAAGGATAATATACTTTTTCTTGAAGGAACTCAAATAAGTACAATGATGAGCATATAGGAACTATCTTTCTATTCCTGAAGAATATTAACTAAAACAGGTATTTCCCAAACTTGACTCTGTCTGTGTTCGGAAAAAAAAAAATGTGGTTTTCTTTTTTCTTTGAGACCGAGTCTTGCTCTGTCGCCCAGGCTGGAGTGCAGTGGCCGTGATCTTGGCTCACTGCAAGCTCCGCCTCCTGGGTTCATGCCATTCTCCTGCCTCAGCCTCCCAAGTAGCTGGAACCACAGTCGCCTGTCACCACACCCGGCTAATTTTTTCTATTTTTAGTAGAGAGACGGGGTCTCACTGTATTAGCCAGGATGGTCTTGATCTCCTGACCTCGTGATCCACCTGACTCAGCCTCCCAAAGCACTGGGATTACAGGTGTGAGCCACCGCACCCAGCCAAAAATGTGGTTTTATGCTTACCTTATAGTTCAGTAGTATATATATTTATTATGTTAAATGGCAATTTTTTTTTTTTGAGACAGGGTCTTGCTCTGTGGCCCAGGCTGGAGTGCAACTGGATCATAACCCACTGCAGCCTCAAACTCTTGGGCTCCAGCAACCCTCCTGCCTCAGCCTCCCAAGCAGCTGGGACTATAGGCGCATGTCACCATGCCCAGCTGATTTTATGTTTTGTAGAGACGGGGTCTCACTATGTTGCCCACACTGATCTAGAAATCCTAGCCTCAAGCCATCCTCTCACATTGGCCTTGTAAATATTTTTAAAACTACTAGTTATAAAAAATGTTAAGGCCCTTAAAAGAAGTTAGTAAAAAAGACATACCTGAGTAAAAATATTATGTGTTTGGCTTAAAATCCACCTAGCATCAGCATCAGGTGCTACTATTAATTTCAAGGTCCCAACATAAACGTCAGAACATAAAGTCCAGAAGTGCTGTTCCTGTAAACTGTAAACTCCTTGCAACTGCTGTACCTGAAATATAAAGGAGAGATATTAACATCATAATCAAGTTAAGCACTCCCTTTTACTTAAGTTATTATGCAACATATCAGTAAACATGGATTCTATCGTCCATTTTAAAAAAAGGAAAGGAGGATGTTTGAATAAATAAATAAATAAATACTCTTGAGTACTAATTATGTGCCAGGTGCCATGACAAGTATTTGGGAAATATAAACAAACATGTATCAAAATTTGTAGGACACACCTGAGAGTGTGCCCCACAGGGAAATTTACAGTAACAATCACTTTATAAAGTCCAACACTTATTTATGACTTGGAAAAAAACTATTAGAAGGACACTTCCTTAACTTAATATAGGCTAACTACCAAAAATGTACAGAAAATACGGATGAAACATTAGATGTATTCCCTGAAGATCAGGAAAAAGACAGATACCCAAATCACTGCTATTGTTCTGCATCCCCATATTGATCTGGAGGAGCTGAAATAAGATCAACAACCAAAAGTTAAAAGAAAAAAGCTCAATGTGAAAAGATCTTTATAACAATTACAGCAGTTTACAAAGAAAGAGGGAGCTTCTCTGTGAGGGTGTTAACTACCTATCTCCAGAAATGGTCAAGAAGCTGTAATACCAACTTGATGGCATAGAGGAGATTTTGCAACAGACAGAAGGCTGGGCCAAATGCACAATAAGATCTTTTTCAGTTCTGAGATTCTGATTTTTACATAATCTACCTGGGAAGTTAAGAAAATGTTGATCTTATATCTATCAAAAATATTTATGTTTTGTCAGAATTTGATGAATGTAGTCATTATTTTCTATAAACTCCAAGACAGTTGATAGGAAACTGAGATAGTATCTACCGTGCCTTCTTTAAAAACTGCTTTTATTGGGGAAAAAGATCAAGGTGTACTTTTTCTTCCTCTTTTTGGACTCTGACAACATAGCTGTTTTAGCCAGATATCCCTCCACTCTTTCTACATGGCATCCTCATGGATGAGGCCTTAAGCTGAGCTCCACTGTTAATGAAATAACCTGGTTGAAAAGATTTCTCCTACTTCCATATGTGGCAGTACAAGTACATGACTGCAGTTATCTTAAAACACAAAGTAAAGAATAATTCCTGTAGAAACTGGCTTAATTTTACAAATTAAAAAATGGGAGGACAGTGTAGTTACAGATGAAAAGGGCAGTGTGATACAGTAGAAAGAAGATGACCTTTAGAGTCAGAGTGACGTGGATTAGAATCCTGATTCAGCCGCTAGCATTTGGACCTAAGGTGAGCCTCAATTTTACCTAGGGAAAGGAAGACGATACTCACCCTGTAGTTTATTGTGAAGAAGAGAAACTCTCCCTCTCTCTATATATATACATACACATATATAGGTTATATAACATATGTTATATATACATATACATATGTATATGTATATATAACATATATACATACATGTATATAACATATATAGGTTACATAAGTTATATAACATATATGTTATAGGTTATATAACATATATTGTGTATATATACATATACATATATATATATAAAACAATTAGTAACAATTATGCTGATTGATGCTACCTTAAAATAATAACCACAAATCTTGAATGGGCAATATGTAATTTCCCTGTATCAAAAGATTATTTTATACCTTCTCCTTTTTCCTCTAGCCTTCTGATCTCTCTGCATGATTACACTGCCTGGTACATTATAGAGAAAACAGAAGTAAAAAGAAAATCCCTTATCCTTTACCATTAAATCTACCAGTGACCTCTCATCTATGTCAGCATTTCTGCATTCCCTCAGAGGATCTAGTACCCCTGCTACTATCAACAGTTAATCCTTCCATTGTGCTTTGGGTTCTAGCCTTTCTCATCTACTCATGATGTCATTCCTTTAATAATGTCCTTTAGTACTATAACAATTTCTTCCTCTCAGACTGTTACCATCAGTTAATGCACATGTTCTAGAACTATGCTGTGCAATTCAAAAGTCACTAGACATATGTGACTATTTAAATGAATGGAAATTAAGTTAAAAAGAATCAGTTACACTAGCCACATGTGGTTTGTGGCTTCCATATTGGACAGTGCAGATCATAGAACATTTCCATTATTGGGGAAAGTTCTGCGGGATAATGCTGTTCTAAACATCCTACTTTAAAAACAAAAAATACCCTCTTTCCTGATAGTACATCCATATCCGCTATCAACTCATTTCTCTGCCCCCTTTAACAACACTTCTTAAAGGAGTTGTCACTTCTCCATTCATTTTCTCCTTAATCCACTCAAATCATGCTCCCCTCTCCAACACTCCAATGAAATTGCTCTTAACAAGGTCAGTAATGGCATCCAGAATGCCAGTCAATGATCACTTCTTGTTTTTACCCTCCTTGACCCCACAGAAATATTCAACACAGTTAATTACTTCCTCCTTCTTCAACTCTGTGATCCTACACTCTTCTGGTTTTCCAGCACACCACTAACCACTACCTTTCCTGGCTTTCTCACCTATGCTCCAAATTTAGAGTTGAAAGCAGAGCTAAAAGAGTAGAACTAGAACTTCTCCGGAGGTAATAAATACAATCTTGATGTTTTAGATGTTATTCATATATTGATGACTTATAACTCTTTCTGGTCCTAATCTGTACCCAAAACTCAAGATTTTCATATCCAACTACTTAAGTAACATTTCTCCTAGAAGTATAGTAGCCATTTCCATTTTAACATATCCAGAATAGAACTCTTCATTTGGGGAGATTTTCCATCCTCAAACCTGTACCAACAAGGCCTCAGTCTCAGTAAGTGGCATTACCATCTACCAAGTAATAAGCCAACACTTTCTCTCCCCTCTGCTAATATAATCCACTCCCAAAAACATATCCCAAATGTGAAGAAGAATATTTATCTTCACCGTTACAACTGTAATCTAAACCACCATTGTTTTTCATTTAGAGGACAATAACTTCATAACTGGTTTTCTTTGCTTTCATCCTCGCTAGAATATGTTCTCTTCATAGAAAACACAATAATCTCTTAAAAACATAGGATTTATGACACTTCTATTGCCTAAAAGCTTTCCAATGCTTCCCACTGAGTTAGAATTAAATCTAAATCTATGACCCAAAACCCTAAGTGATCTTGCTCCTGCCATTCTCTCCAGGCTTTCAAGCCATTCTTCCCTTTATTTAATATGCTCCAGCCACAATGGCCTTTTTTATTCTGTTCTTCAAACACAAATTAAATCCAGCCATAGCACTTTTACATTAGCAATTTCCCTTGCCTGGAACATTCTTCTCCAGTATTTTCATATGGCTAGCTCTTTCTTGTCTTCAAGGTTTCAATTTCCTTGAATATAACTTCCTTAGTGAATCTAAGGTAGCCATCCATGACTATCACATCACTTTGTTTTATTTCTACTATATTCTCATTGATATTTTCTTATTTATCTACTTACTGTTTAGTTACTGTATTTCCCCACTGGACTGTAAGTCCCATGAAACAGAGGCACTGTCTGTCTTGTTTACCATCACCTCCCCAGTACTTTAGAAGAGTATCTGGTAGAGTGGGAGCTCAAAAACTCTATGTTGAATGAATATCTCTGCTATAGATATTCTATATTTTTAAAAACTGCTCAATTTCTAGATCAGAACAATTTCTACCACATTTTCTTTAGTAAAGTTCAATATTTTCCGACAATTTTATTCTGGTTTGTATAAATGACATTTCATGGTCAGCATTCAATCTTGGAAGAAACAGTCAATTATACACACATGTTACCCATATTTGTGAAAGCTGAAAATCAAGAGATTGAAAACAGCATAAAATCCAATGGTTTGGAGTATTTGAAACTCACCCTCTGATAGCACTGAGGCAGACTATTTTCTAATAGGGGAGGAGTTCTCTGCATTAATATTCCAACAGATTCTCTTAAAAGAGGAATAACACTAAGGAAAAGGAAGACAACAATTTATTAAAGTCACATTCTGCTAATCCCATCCAGCAAGAAAGTAATAATATGCCTCCCTACGGTAGAATATAATAGGACTTACGGGAATAATATGAGAAAAAACAATCAACCAGTCATTGTTTTAGATTTTCCACGTGATCAGTAAATTATCTGAAGTAAAAATAAAAGAGCTAGAGAAAATGTATTAATGTATGAAAGAGTAAAGCTATAAAACTGAAATAATATCATATCATCTAAACCCAGCACATTTTCAACTGTTAGTTAAAATATGACTCCACGTGGTCAGAACCTTCCAAAGTAATCATAGTAGCACTGATAAGGAAAATACAAAAAAATGAATACATCAGCCTATTTGTCCAATATCAGTCATATTTCATTACTTAAAAAATATAGAAGCCTGGCGATAACCACAGATGCAGTGAAATGAACTCAGCTCCTCTAGGGATGGTGCCCAAAAGTCTGCATGTGTTGATGTAACTAGTCCTCAATTAGTATTTGAAACTACTGCTTTAGGCTATTTGGATGATTAAATGTACACAAAACAGGCCGGGCGCGGTGGCTCATGCCTGTAATCCCAGCACTTTGGGAAGCCAAGGCGGGTGGATCACAAGGTCAGGATATCGAGACCATCCTGGCTAACACGGTGAAACCCCGTCTCCACTAAAAATACAAAAAAAAAAAAATCAGCCGGGCATGGTGGCGGGCGCCTGTAGTCCCAGCTACTGGGGAGGCTGAGGCAGGAGAATGGCATGAACCTGGGAGGCGGAGCTTGCAGTGAGCCGAGATCGCACCACTGCACTCTAGCCTGGGTGACAGAGCGAGACTCTCCGTCTAAAAAAAAAAAAAAAAAAAAAAAACACACAAAACAATTAATAGTAGAATGGTGAGGGTGACTCTAATGCAATGCCTTTCTAATCTAGCACATATCCAATTCACCTTAGAGTTTTATTTTGTTTTCACTTCTGATATATTGAATCAGAATCTTTGAGGGAATGTCCAAAAAGCTCTCCATGTGATTCCAATGATTCAGACTGGTAATGTACTGTTCTACTGCTTGAAGTAGATTGAGAGGGGAGGTCAGAAATAGCTTCACTACACTTAATAGCTTAAATCAGTGCTCACTTTTAAACTTACAGAATTTCAAAATTTTCAAAGTAAAACTTCAGATAATAGCTGTAGGTGAAGAAGATAAAAAGAACATCCATCTTTCAAGGAAGAGCTCATAAGAAGAGTAGAAGCAAGTATACTTTCAGGACTGGTGTTATTTTGACAGATGGAAAGGAAAGAGAGGTACCAAGAAAGACCCAAAAGAATAGAGACAATGCTTATCTGGCTCACTATTATATTCTCAAGGTCTAGCAAAGTGCTGGTCATAAAGTGGGCCCAATTGTTGGTTAAACGAATGACAGAAAGATAATCAAATGTTTCAGACTCTGCCCTGAAGAAGGGCACAGGGCACAGGAAAGAAATGAGGAGACTGTTTTCATACTTTAAGTGCATAGTGATAAGAATTTGGACAAGGAGGGTAACCATAGGAACAAAGACAAATAGGAAAATTAAGCAAATAGAAATAACTGGTGTCTAACTGGATCTAATGAAAGACACAGTGAGAGCAATGTTAAGGACAAACAGATTACTAAAAAATATGGAGAAGATGGCAGTGATGAGGATAGAAAGCTAAATGTGGACAGGAGTTTCAGTCACATTCAAGTAAAAATATTATTTAGTCAATAGTGATTTAAGAACCAAGAAAAATTAGATGTCACCCTTAATTCCTTTTTCTCCCTTAAATCACCAAGTTCTCGTGATTTAATATCCTAAATATTTCTTGACTCAGTTCCTTCCCCTTCATTGTACTATGC
Source organism: Homo sapiens (assembly GCF_000001405.40). Lineage (NCBI taxonomy): Eukaryota > Metazoa > Chordata > Mammalia > Primates > Hominidae > Homo > Homo sapiens. The sequence goes on along the minus strand of NC_000001.11, from coordinate 100,959,942 downwards.
ATGTCCACAATAATATCCGTATCTTTTACGTGGATTATTATAATAGCTTCCTAAGTGGTCCCTTCAGCTCTAGTCTTATTTCCTCAAGTCCACGTAACAGGCAGCTTCAGTGATGGCTCCCAATGACCCTGCCCTATGTAGTATTCATGCCCTATGTAAAGTTTCAGGACTTAGTGACTTGCTGCTAATGAACAGAGTATGACAAAGTGATGAGACATCACTGCCAAGATTAAGTAAAAAGACTCTGGCCTCTGTCTTGTATACCCTCCTCGTTTGCTTTCACTTGCTCTCTCATAGCTGCTGTGTTGTGAGCTGTGCTATAGTGAGGAACATGTGGCAAGAAATTGAAGGATACTTCTTGAGAAATACTAGACAGACCCTCAGTTCAACAGCCCAAAAGGAACATAATCCTGTCAGTAACCACTTGAGTGAGCTCAGAAGTAGATTCTCCCCCAAATGAACCTTGGAATAACTGCAGCCCCGGCTGCTACCTTGATTACTGCCTTGTGAGAGATCCTGAGCCAGGCAACATAGTTAGCTATGCCCAGGTTCCTAAACCACAGAACGTATAAGATAATAATGTGTATTATTTTAGCTACTAGGTTTTTGGGTACTTCATTATGTATCCACAGATAACTAATACAACCATATTTTATAGAGACGTTAGACTAATCTACATAAAATAGGTATGTGACCCTATCCCTTTACCACTAAGAAATGTGTCAAAAGCTCCCCACTGCCTAGGGAATTAAGTGCTGGCTCTTTAACACAGTATATTTTTGGATCTGGCCCCTCTACCTTCACCTCCTATTAATCCTTGCTTCATATTTTAAACTCTCCAAATATAACATACTTGTACTTTACCTTATGCTGTTTATTACTTTCATGGTTTTGCTCAAACTATAACTTCTGCTTAGAATGTCCCTAAGCTGCCCTATAGTCTTACACTCCTTCTTTAAAATTTCAAGTGTCACCTCTTTTAGGGTATATTTCCTGATCCCAAACTGTCTTCTACACTGTATGAAGTGTCTTCTCTGTGTTCCTATGAAAAAAATCTGTGCTACCTATACTATTACTACATTGCGTGATAATTACCAGATTGTGTTTCCCCCTCCCTCTAACCAGAAAGCTGCTTTAAGGTAGGAATTATCTTATTTATGTTTGTAAACCCAGCATCTCAGATGGTGTTTGGCAAATAAATGTTTATGGAACAGAATTTGTAGCTGAATCTGTTAAACATAATTAATTCATAAATTTTAAAAGTATATCTAAGGCTAGGGATCAATACTAAATCTTAAATAATATATGGAATCATTAGCAGTTAAGAAAAGAAAGTAAAGTAAAGAAAGTAAAGTCACAGTAAGTAAAACATCTGGAAAAAGGGGAAACATTTCCAGCAACAGTAAATGCCTCAATGAAGAAAAACAGAAACAGAAAAAGGCCATTAGATTAAACAATGCAAATACTGGCCGGGTGCGGTGGCTCACGCCTGTAATCCCAGCACTTTGGGAGGCCAAGGCGGGTGGATCATGAGGTCAGGGGATCGAGACCATCCTGGCTAACACGGTGAAATCCCGTCTCCACTAAAAATATAAAAAATTAGCTGGGCGTGATGGCCGGCGCCTGTGGTCCCAGCTACTCAGGAGGCTGAGGCAGGAGAATGGCGTGAACCCGGGAGGTGGAGCTTGCAGTGAGCCGAGATAGGGCCACTGCACTCCAGCCTGGGTGACAGAGCGAGACTCCATCTCAAAAAAAAAAGAAAACAACAACAACGCAAATATTGTTTGAGGCCATCCACTGTAACATTTCAGGAACAGTAAAAGCCAGGTTGGAGAAAGAGAAAAAAAATGAGTAGAAAACAACTGCAAATGGACTTAAGGATTTTGACAGTGAAGAATATTGGTTATTCATTCATCTAAACTAAAGAGTGGGATCTGTTTCTACCTACTGTGTTGCTATTAAATAGCTGAAGACTTCCTGTGTTTACAAAAAAGGCAAAGAAAAAAATGATGGCATATTAATTAGGTACAATTCAACCATCATTTTTCTTTACTCTCTCCATCCTCATTTCTCAGGAAAAAAAAAGAATCCATCACAGAATGTTTTCATATATTAAACTTAAAATTTTTATCTTTTCCTAACTGTACTCAGAAAATGGGCACAAAAATTGTTCTCCTTGAATTATGTTTGAGAATTAGAAAAAAGGTTTTTTTCCTACCTACCTCGTAAGTTTAGTTATTTTAATAATTTCTTCTCCAATCTCAATCTAGGGAACTATTAACAATGTTTAGATATCTGACGTGAAAATTACACTCATGGAAACCATGACACTTGGGTTCTGATTCTGCCATTAAATAGCTTTAAGCAAATCACATAGTCTTCCAGAGCATCAGTTTTCTCATCTATAAAATGAAGGAGTAGACTAAACATCCAGGCAATTTCTTTCATCTTTTATATATTTTCCATTCAATAAGAAAAAGTGGTTAAACTATAAAGAATACTAGAGAGAGAATATATTTGGAAATGAAAGAAAATATAAATTGTTTTTATATACTAAGGGGAAAAAAGCAGTGTCACCAAATGACACATAGATATACTTGGCAAAATGATTTATTCTATCATGATAGAAAATCCAGCAAATGAATTTTATTAAGCAATCAATATTAAGCGATTATTAAGGATCTACTACTATATATCTGGCATCAGATTTTCTGGAACCAGGTGGGACCTTACTCTCGAGTTGTGGCAATGGTGACCTAGAGCACCAAAGTAACTTGTTTAAGGACACAGCTATTAAGCAGGAGAACTAGAACAGATCAGGTCGTTAGACTCCAAGTTCAGTTTTGAAAAGTTCAAGTCAACAAACATCTGTTATATGCCAACCATGTAGCAAGCATGTGCTAGACACTGGAAATACAAAAATAAATAATATAGAATATTTCATCTCAGAGAAATTCATAACTTTATTTTTAATAAGCCTGCAGAGAAGGCAATGGAAATCAGTCATCAAACTTATTTAGGGCCAACCATTTAGAAGAAGGCACATATGAATTTAAAGCAACTACATATTATGCTTGTATCCATTTTCATTTTCCATGAACTTTTGGTAAATGGTTTTCTTAATTGGTATGTTGATAACTTCTTTTTAAACATACCTTTAAAAGTAAAGGGGAAGAGAAAAAGGAATAGAAGAGGCACTGACTCAACTGCAACAGAAGGCATACAGTATGAGAAATAACATTACTTAAGCAATAGGTGTGAATAACTTTTGTGAACAACTTTTAAAAATTTATTGTTTTAGAATATTCAGGTTTAGTCTAGTTGTTTCCCCCAAGGAGCTAAACACAGTAACAGATGGTGAATCCCATCTATAATAATCCTTGAGGAGATCAGCCTTAAAACATTAAAGACATTCCCTTAGACAGTCCAACAGTCTCTTAATAAGTCACCTAGAAAAAACATCTACAGATTTATCCAAATCTTTGTTCAAATTTTTATGTGTGTATTCCATGTGTGTTGCCTTCCAAAGTCTGCTACTCCCTGCCACCACCTTTTTAAAAAATAACCTAGTACTTCCTTTTTTCCTCCTAAAATTCGCTTTCACATGAGGCCCTTAGTTTGAGGACTCTAGAATTAGTAAAGAAGTTACATGATCACAAATAATATCATATTAGAATTAAAAGGAAATTTAGAGATCACTCATTTTAACACCATTCAAGAACAATATGTAGATAAACATTTTAATAAAATGTTAGAAATAAACATATATTTTAAAATTAACTAAATTATAAGACATCATCACTGATATAAGGAAATAAAATTATAGTGCATTTTTATCTCTTTTTTTCATTAGGATCAATTGTGGTTTTTATTGATTTGCTTATACTGAAATTTGGAATGGTTGTCTTTTTAGGTAGAATTTTAATAAAATCTTTACACTCAACAGCAGCAAGCATTTCACCAAAGCAAATGGATATGTCACACTAACTTTCTCCAATAGCAATTTAAAAATAATGCAAGAATTTCAGCTGTAGGAGCAATAACTAGGTCATAAAACTATGGTAGAGAATAAAGGTACTTGCTAAATCACACGGTGATACACAATTTAGAACAAGGCCAATTTCTATAATAATTTAAAGAGTCATAAAAATGTAAAAGAAACCTTTAGAAACTCTAGTTTTTGCCTTTTAAAATTGTGTTTAGCTCAGGAGTTTGTGTCCATATTTTTCTGATTAACTATTGTAATAGAGAAGCATAAACCAGATTTTAGCTTGGATCTATCTAGCCATAATGAAAGGAAATGTAGAAAACGACAAGCTTAGCAAATTCCTGACTGAGCTAAGACTTAGAGCTACATCCAAACCCAAAAAGTAAGCATTTGGAAACAATTAGAGGTTCACTTCTGGTTGACTAACCCAATTCTAGCATTCACAATGAAGCACCATTTCCCTATCATAAATAAAAAGAGATGAGTCATTAGGTATGAGTTTACCAGTAAAACAGGGCAATGATTTTATTCTTCAAAAGCTGAAGGTAAATCACAGTTATAATCTTACAATCATAAACATAATATTAATTTGAAAGCTTTACCCTTAAATGCTAACAGATTAAATAAGCAGTAGTTACTTATTACTCTTTACTGCCAGTAATTTTTTACAAGTAAAAATATATTCAAATCTTACTTCAGAAGCAGCTTTTAGTGAAAGAGCCTCACTACTTCAACAGTAAATAAAATTATCTACCAGTAATTATAAACAAACCAAACAAAAAAGGGTATGCATTACGAAAACTTCTGAAGAACAGTCTACTGACAATCACAATGTTTAACAATAAAAAATTTCAGTTAAAATTATTACTTAGATCTGAGAATAAATGTCAAGTAATATTAATTAAAACAAGATTACAGATTCATCTTGATGAATCAGCTTATGAGCTAAGTTTTCCTATATATTGTAGGGGTTCTTACAATCTACAAACACAAAGAAAGAAAATTATAGTTTTAAAAATAAATTTTAAAAATAAATTTGGCTTATGTTGTATATCATATTTTCAGGGGACAAAAAAGCCAAAGAAAACTGGCCCATAATGGTAACGCAATTCACATTTAAATTAAATATTCAGTCACATTTGCATAAATATAATTAATTCATAGTGATGGATAATTACCTATTAATCCAGAATTTCATAAGCCTTCTATAGAATAGATAACCAAAAATCTTATCACCTGGGATTGTGCTTTACTTTATAATTATACTGTGTTTCTGAAACCTCTGGCTCAAATCAATGCATATTTATAGAGAACATGCTTTACCAATAATGGGGATATTAAGATGTCCTAAGGTACCCCTAGAACTTAGAGCCAAAGTCATGAAAAAGTCATCCTTTTCCATAAGCTTCTGGAACTTAGTTATAACACCTAATGCATCTGGTCTTTGGACCAAAAACACCAGTGTATAATGTCAAATTTGTAAATAATTAGTAATGTCATTGTTTAGATAGCACTTAATAGTTTTTAAAATGCTTTCATAAATTTTTTTTAATTTAATCCTCACAACAACCTTAAGTAACCTTTAAGAAAATGTTAAAATCACTCCCTCATTTTACTGATGAGAAAACTAACTTGGAGAGGTTAAAATAACTTGTTCTTTGTTATACATAGGTAAGAGTTAGTGGCAGAGTTGGGTGTGACATTGCCAAGACAAAAGCTCTGCACACACTGCAGTATCTCATCACAGTTATGTTCTCTAGAGTGAAGAGAATAAGAATGAAATGCCATATTCATTTTATTCCCCCAGCACAATGCTTAGAACATAATAACCACTTAACACGTCTGCTGAAGAATGTATTATATACTTAGAAATTCCAAATGGCAGATTACTGACATCTAAACCAGCCCTTGTTTGACGTGACTTTCAACCCTTCACAATAACAGCTAAATAGCATAACAGTGAAGAGCCTCCCAATTCAGTCATATCTAAAAAAGAACCTCTAATAAACAGAAAGCAAAGTATCTTATCCTCCATTCAAACATACATTGGAAAGAATTATACTTAGGAACAATCAGCATTCTCAATTCTCAATGTGCAATTTATCTTAATAGAATCTCTTCTCTTCATTTTTATGAATAAGAAACTAAAATCACACCAGCAATATAAGTAAAAATTAAATCTTAAAATGGGAAGAGACTAAAGTCAATACAGTATTGGGCAAAAAGCTCCAGAAAATATACACGGCTTTGAGAGAAGATCAGACAGGAATAAATTCATATTATTCATATTAAATATGGTAACATTTGTATTGAAATGCTAATGAGACCTGGAGGAACTGCCCCACTCCATCTGAAAGCAGCGGTTAGGTAAGGATGGACACAGGCAGGAGAACAAGCTCTTTAGGCAAATCTGCATTTTAAAAAGCACAGAAGTCAAGAAACAGGACCTTGTTTAGAAAAACCAGATGAGACAACAAGAAGTACTTGTTAAGACTATCAAAATTGAATGAATTACCATTCAGGTAGCTTCAGAAATGACAAGTATTAGCCCAGAACAAAAAGGTCAGCAAGAAAAATCCAAAAGGAATAGGACCAAAATGCTAATTAATCTCTGGTTTCAACTAGCTATCAGGAATCTGAGTTAAACTATGTCTACCTAGTTGTATTTGTCTGCCTTCATACTGCTATAAAAAACTACCTGGGACTACGTAATTTATGAAAAGAAGAGGTTTAATTGACTCACAGTTCCACAGGCTTAACAGGAAGCATGAGTAGGAGGCCTCAGGAAATTTACAGTCATGGCAGAAGGTGAAGAAGACAGGACCTTCTTCACATGGTGACAGGAGAGAAAGAGACAGTGAAGGAGGAAGTGCCACACACTTTTAAATCATCAGATCTCATGAGAACTCACTATCACAAGAACAGCAAGGGGGAAATCTACACCCATGATCCAATCACCTTCCACCAGGTCCTTCCTCCAATGCTACATGAGGTTTGAGTAGGGACACAAATCCAAACCATATCACTAGTACAAGTTAAAAATGGTATACTTATATTTGATCCAATCTACATAGTGTTCAAACCCTATCATTTCCTCACAATATGGTAATAGAGCTTTGACTCTTAATGGCCGAGTATGTTGCTGTGAAAAAATTCAGCATCTAGGAGGGACACTGCAGAAAAGGAGAAAAGGGCATCTTTGAAAGTACAGTTAATCTTTTGTCCTCTTAAATGATGCAGGTAGAACCTATCCAGGATTTGGTTTAGGAACTGGCCCATCAGGTAGCCAAGAACTAGTCATTCCAAAGTAACTAGGGAAGATATAGATGAACTATATCTCTTTGTTTTTTTTCTTGCCTTTTTTCTCTCTGTCTTTCCCCATTTGGTGATGAATGAGTAAGAGTCAATTACATGAAACAACATGTCACGGTAGTAAGAGAAGACTACCTTTAAGTGGATGGTGTCTGCTTCCCAATAGCCTTCCTTTAAGAAAGGCAGGCAAGAATTAGCACTTTTACTGAAAGTGTGGCAGGCGCTGTTCAAGACTTTATATACACATCTTAACCCATTTAAGTCACACACAACAAATTATGAGGTAGGTATTATCATTGTCCCCATTTTAAAGATGAAAAATTGAGTCACAGAGAAGCTAAGTGACTTGTCCAAGCTCACACAGCTAAAAAGTTAAAACAGCATTTGAACCCAGGCACTCTGGCTATATAGTGAATTTGTGCGTGTGTGTATGTATGTGTGTGACTTAAAATAGCACAAATTAATTATCTTGCAGTTCTGGAGGTCAGAAGTCCAAAATACGTTCCATTGGGCTAAAATCAAGGTGTCACATGCTCTAGAAAGAATCTGTTTCCTTGACTTTCGTGACATCTAGAGGTCACCTGCATTCCTTGGCCCCGGCCTCTTCCTCCATCTTCAAAGCCAGCAGCATAGCCTCTTCAGATTTGTCTTTGACTCTGACTCTTCTGCCTTCCACTTCCATCTTTTAAGATCCCTTTTTTATTATATTGGGCCCACTTGGATAATACAGAATAATCTCCCATCTCAAAATCTTTAACTTAATTACATCTGAAAAGTCTCTTTTGTGAAGTAAGGTAATATATTCACAGGTTTCAGGGATTAGGACTTGGCCATCTTTGGGGCCATTCTTCTGCCCAGCCATTCTTCTTACCCTAGCCAGGTGGGTAAGGAGGGAGAAATCAGGAGGTTGTTGGCAGGACCTCACTGGCCAGAGGAGGGTCTGAGTTAGGTCCTCCAGGTGGGAAGACTTTTCACAACATGGAGAGGATTGCAGGCAGGCTGAGCAGCACGAACAAAGGCACAGCAGTTACCACGAGCCTGGCATGAGCACACTGGGCAGTAGGGAGACAGTGCTAACTGAAGAAAAGAGGTGCACCTTGGAGCATTATGGGAAGTAATGCTGTGGAAAAGTTGGGTTCCATTCTTCTTCAACTACGAGACTTGGAGGGTAGTGCCTCCTTTTTCACAAGCAACATGTTAGTATAATTTGTGGATCTTCTTTGCTGAAAATTAGGAATGGATTAACTAAGATTCTATAACAAAGCTTTTTTTTCTGATTAGCATTTTTCTGTCTTTTCTGATTCCTTTAACCTGATTCCCTTTTTCGCTGTTATTTGTTGTTATTGCTTTGCTTTTTCTAAATGAGTTCTAGCTTTGTAGTAGACAAAGGGGTACTTTGTGTCAGTACCCTGACATACCCCTCCCCTGCTTCGCACCCCTTTTCCTTCTAACTGCCAGCATTTCACCTAACATCTTTCTCTAACCCCAAAGCTTGCTTTGCATATCTGCCAAGTGGAAAAAATCTGATTCACACTCCCTCACTTTTCAGCAGCTGTCTTCCAACGACTGAGGAGTTGGTCTATAAATCCCATTTCCCTTCTTCCCCTCCAGTGGGATAACTCTGAAACATGACTCCTACGCTGGCTCCCCGAGTTACTCAGCAACTTAAGCTCCTGTTGCCTATAGTGGTAACTTAATTGACACTGAACCCGATGCTGGCTCCTTCCCTTCCCTGTCTCACTTCTCCACTCCTCTACAGGTGTTTGTTAGGATCACCTCCCAGATAAACTACTTGCACTTGAATCCATGTCACAGGGGGACATGAATCATGTCTCTAGGGCAACCCAAACTAAAATAGGATTTCATCAACATAGTGAGTGCTTTTAACTAGTCGGGGTTAAAGTTATAAAAGTGACTTTGTGGGCTCTTTCAGAGAACTTTGCCTACAGTAAAGTCCTGATTTTAGGAGAAGCTGATTTTTAAAGTGTATAAAAGGACCAGCCCACAGAAAAAAATGCAAAAGCTCAGGAAAACATCAACAGTAAAAATAACCCCAGTGGACCTTGGCAAGAGGCAGTGATAGAAAACAATGTGAAAGTTTTCTGCCATCATAGAGCTGACTGGTACAGTCAAATGACATGACCAAAAACAAATCTCTGACACCCAATTTCCATTCTGGGCCCAAACTCCATGCTGACTTCCAAAGTTACATGTTTAAGTAAACCTAAATTGTGAAATAAAAACAAAGAAAAAGAACTCTTATTTAACTGATTACCTAAAATACAAAATTTTAAATAACACTGTGAGAATATATTTTTTATTGAATATCTCAAAGTAAGTTAATTGCTACTTACACTGGATGCTAACCATATTAAAATATTTAGTTGCTGAGGTATGACTGGAATTCATGTTTCCAAAGGATTAATTAAGCAAAACAACAGATTAATTTAAGGGCAGGCTATACCCAGTGGTGGAGAGTTTGAAATTAACATACAGATTAAGAGTGACCATTAAAACTAAAGAACCACTGCAGCTCCCAGCGTGATCGACGCAGAAGACGGGTGATTCCTGCATTTCCAACTGAAGTACCTGGTTCATCTCACAGGGCCTGGTTGGACAGTGGGTGCACCCTGCAGAGAGCGAGCTGAAGCAGGGTGGGGCATCACCTCACCCAGGAAGTGCAAGGGGTTGGGGGATTTCCCTTTCCTAGCCAAGGGAAGCCATGACAGACTGTACCTGGGAAAAGGGGACACTCCCACCTACATACTGCACTTTTCCCATGGTCTGAGCAACCGGCAGACCAGGAGATTCTCTCTCATGCCTGGCTTAGTGGGTCCCATACCCACAGAGCCTTGCTCACTGCTAGTGCAGCAGTCTGAGATCGACCTGCAATGCTGCAGCCTGGCTGGGGGAGGGGCATCTGTATTGCTGAGGCTTGAGTAGGTAAACAAAACAGCCAGGAAGCTCAAACTGGGAGGGGCCCACCGCAGCTCAGTAAGGCCTACTGTCTCTACAGACTCCACCTCTGTGGGCAAGGCATAGCTGAACAAAAGGCAGCAGAAACTTCTGCAGACTTAAACGTCCCTGTCTGATAGCTCTGAAGAGAGCAGTGGTTCTCCTAGCATGGTGTTTTGAGCACTGAGAACGGACAGACTGCCTCCTCAAGTGGGTTCCTGACCCCCATGAAGCCTAACTGGGAGACACCTCCCAGTAGGGGCTGACAGACACCTCACACAGGCGGGTGCCCCTCTGGGATGAAGCTTCCAGAGGAAGGATCAGGCAGCAATATTTGCTGTTCTGCAGCCTCCGCTGGTGATACCCAGAAAAACAGGGTCTGGAGTGGACCTACAGCAAACTCCAACAGACCTGAAGCTGAGGGACCTGACTGTTACAAGGAAAGCTAACAAACAGAAAGGCATAGCATCAACCTCAACAAAAAAAGACATCTACACCAAAACCCCATCATAGACCAAAGGTAGATAAAACCACAAGATGGGGAGAAACCAGAGCAGAAAAGCTGAAAATTCTAAAAACCAGAGCGCCTCTTCTCCTCCAAAGGATCGCAGCTCCTCACCAGCAACAGAACAAAGCTGGACTTAGACGAGTTGACAGAAGTAGGCTTCAGAAGATCAGTAATAACAAACTTCTCCAAGCTAAAGGAGCATGTTCTAACCCATCACGAGGAAGTTAAAAACCTTGAAAAAAGGTTAGATGAATGACTAACTAAACAGTGTAGAGAAGACCTTAAATGACCTAAGGGAGCTTAAAACCATGGCATGAGAACTTCATGACGCATGCACAAGCTTCAATAGCCAATTTGATCAAGTGGAAGAAGGGTATCAGTGATTAAAGATCAAATTAATGAAATAAAGCAAGAAGACAAGTTTAGAGAAAAAAGTAAAAAGTAACAAAGCCTCCAAGAAATACAGGACTACGTGAAAAGACTAAATCTACGTTTGACTAGTATACCTGAAAGTGACAGGAAGAATGGAACAAAGTTGGAAAACACTCTTCAGGATATTATCCAGGAGAACGTCCCCAACCTAGCAAGGCAGGCCAACATACAAATTCAGGAAATATAAAGAACACCACAAAGATAGTCCTCGACAAGACCAACCCCAAGACACACAATTGTCAGATTCGCCAAGGTTGAAATGCAGGAAAAAAATGTTAAGGGCAGCCAGAGAGAAAGGTCGGGTTACCCACAAAGAGAAGCCCATCAGACAAACAGTGGATCTCTCAGCAGAAACCCTAAAAGCCAGAAGAGAGTGGGGGCCAATATTTAAATTTCTTAAAGAAAAGAATTTTCAACCCAGAATTTCATATCCAGCCAAACTAAGCTTCATAAGCGAAGGAGAAATAAAATCTTTTACAGACAAGCAAATGTGGAGAGATTCTGTGGGCCTGCCTTACAAGAGTTCCTGAAGGAAACACTAAACATGGAAAGGAACAACCAGCACCAGCCACTGCAAAAACATGCCAAATTGTAAAGACCATCGATGCTATGAAGAAACTGCATCAATTAATGGGCAAAATAACCAGCTAACATCATAATGACAGGATCAAATTCACACATAACAATATTAACCTTAAATGTAAATGGGTTAAATGCCCCAATTAAAAGACACAGACTGGCAAACTGGATAAAGAGTCAAGACCCATCAGTGTGCTGTATTCAGGAGACCCATCTCACATGCAGAGACACATATCGGCTCAAAGTAAAGGGATGGAGGAAGATCTACCAAGCAAACGGCAAGCAAAAAAAGAGCAGGGATTGCAATCCTAGTCTCTGATAAAACAGACTTTAAAACAACAAAGATCAAAAGAGACAAAAGAAGGCCATTACATAATGGTAAAGGGATCAATTCAACAAGAAGAGCTAACTATCCTAAATATATATGGACCCAACAGAGGAGCACCCAGATTCATAAAGCAAGTCCTTAGAGACCTACAAAGAGACTTAGACTCCAACACAATAATAATGGGAGACTTTAACACCCCACTCTCAATATCAGAACAAGACAGAGGGTTAACAAGGATGTCCAGGACTTGAACTCAACTCTGCACTAAGCGAAATTAACAGACATCTACAGAACTCTCCACCCCAAATCAACAGAATATACATTCTTCTCAGCACCACATCACACTTATTCTAAAATTGACCACATAATTGGAAGTAAAGCACTCCTCAGCAAATGTAAAAGAACAGAAATCACAACAAACTCTCAGATCACAGTGCAATCAAATTAGAACTCAGGATTAAGAAACTCACTCAAAACCACACAAGTACATGGAAACTGAACAACCTGTTCCTGAATGACTACTGGGTAAATAATGAAATGAAGGCAGAAATAAAGATGTTCTTAGAAACCAATGAAAACAACGACACAATGTACCAGAATCTCTGGGACACATTTAAAGCAGTGTGCAGTGGGAAAATTATAGCACTAAAGGCTCACAAGAGAAATCTGGAAAGATCTAAAATCAATACCCTAATATCACAATTAAAATAACTAGAAAACCAAGAGCAAACAAATACAAAAGCTAGCAGAAGGCAAGAAATTCCTCTATGCAAATAAACTAGAAAATCTAGAAGAAATGGATAAATTCCTTGACACATACACCCTCCCAAGACTAAACGAGGAAGAAGTTGAATCTCTGAATAGACCAGTAACAAGCTCTGAAATTGAGGCAATAATTAACAGCCTACCAACCAAAAAAAGTCCAGGACCAGACAGATTCACAGCTGAATTCTACCAGAGGTACAAAGAAGAGCTGGTACCATTCCTTCTGAAACTATTCCAATCAATAGAAAAAGAGGGCATCCTCCCTAACTCATTTTATGAGGCCAGCATCATGCAGATACCAAAGCCCGGCAGAGACACTACAAAAAAAAGAAAATTTTGGAACAATATCTTTAATGAACATCGATGCAAAAATCCTCAATAAAATACTGGCAAACCAAATCCAGCAGCACATCAAAAAGCTTATCCACCATGATCAAGTGGGCTTCATCTCTGGGATGCAAGGCTGGTTCAACATATGCAAATCAATAAACGTAATCCATCACATAAACTGAACCAACTACAAAAACCACATGATTATCTCAAAAGATGCAGAAAAGGCCTTTGACAAAATTCAACAGGACTTAATGCTTAAAAACTCTCAAACTAGGGATTGATGGAATCTATCTCAAAATAATAAAAGCTATTTATCACAAACCCACAGCCAATATCATACTAAATGGGCAAAAACTGGAAGCATTTCCTTTGAAAACCGGCACAAGACAAGGATACCCCCTCTCACCACTCCTGTTCAACATAGTGTTGGAAGTTCTGGCCAGGGCAATCAGGCAAGAGAAAGAAAGAAACGGTATTCAATTAGGAAAAGAGGAAGTCAAATTGTCCCTGTTTGCAGATGACATGAATGTATATTTAGAAAACTCCCATCATCTCAGCCCAAAATCTCCTTAAGCTGATAAGCAACTTCAGCAAAGTCTCAGGATACAAAATCAATGTGCAAAAATCACAAGCATTCCTATACACCGATAACAGACAAAGAGAGAGCCAAATCATGAGTGAACTTCCATTCACAATTGCTTCAAAGAGAATAAAATACCTAGGAATCCAACTTACAGGGGATGTGAAGGACCTCTTCAAGGAGAACTACAAACCACTGCTCAATGAAATAAGAGGACACAAATGAATAGAAGAACATTTCATGCTTGTGGATAGGAAGAATCAATATCATGAAAATGGCCATACTGCCCAAGGTAATTTATAGATTCAATACCATTCCCATCAAGCTACCAAGGACTGTCTTCACAGAATTGGAAAAAACTACTTGAAAGTCCATATGGAACCAAAAAAGAGCCCGCATTGCCAAGACAATCCTAAGCAAAAAGAACAAAGCTGGAGGCATCACGTTACCTGACTTCAAACTATACTATGAGGCTACAGTAACCAAAATAGCATGCTACTGGTACCAAAACAGAGATATAGACCAATGGAACAGAACAGAGGCCCCAGAAATAATACCACACATCTACAACCATCTGATCTTTGACAAACCTGAAAAAAACAAGAAATGGGGAAAGGATTCCCTATTTAATAAATGGTGCTGGGAAAACTGGCTAGCCATATGTAGAAAGCTGAAACTGGATCCTTTCCTTACACCTTATACAAAAATTAATTCAAGATGGATTAAAGACTTAAATGTTAGACCTAAAACCATAAAACCCCTAGAAGAAAACCTAGGCAATACCATTCAGGACATAAGCATGGGCAAGGACTTCATGACTAAAACACCAAAAGCAATGGCAACAAAAGCCAAAAGAGACAAATGAGATCTAATTAAACTAAAGAGCTTCTGCACAGCAAAAGAAACTACCGTCAGAGTGAACAGGCAACCTACAGAATGGGAGAAAATTTTTGCAATCTACCCATCTGACAAAGGGCTAATATCCAGAATCTACAAAGAACTTAAAACAAATTTACAAGAAAAAAACAACCCCATCAAAAAGTGGGAGAAGGATATGAACAGACATTTCTCAAAAGAAGACATTTATGCAGCCAACGGACACATGAAAAAATGCTCATCATCACTGGCCATCAGAGAAATGCAAATCACAACCACAATGAGATACCATCTCATGCCAGTTAGAATGGCGATCATTAAAAAGTCAGGAAACAACAGATGTTGGAGAGGTTGTGGAGAAATAGGAACGCTTTTACACTGTTGGTGGGAGTGTAAATTAGTTCAACCATTGTGGAAGACTGTGGCGATTCCTCAAGGATCTAGAACTAGAAATACCACTTGACCCAGTGATCCCACAAAGGATTATAAATCATGCTACTATAAAGACACATGCACACGTATGTTTATTGTGGCACTATTCACAATAGCAGACTTGGAACCAACCCAAATGTCCATCAATGATAGACTGTATTAAGAAATTGTGGCACATATACACCGGGGAGTAGGGGGTGGGGGGAGGGATAGCATTAGGAGAAATACCTAATGTAAATGAGGAGTTGATGGGTGCAGCAAACCAACATGGCACATGCATACCTATTTAACAAACCTGCAAATTGTGCACATGTACCCTAGAACTTAAAGTATAACAAAATAAAAAATAAATAAATAAAAAAACTAAAGAACCAAAAGGAGCCAATTTTTTTTTCTTTTTGCAGCTAGTAAGTTAAAAAATCTCAATATGCTTTTCACGTTTTTGACTTACTTTTCTTTGAAGGGCTAAATATGTGGATGATTCCAAAGTCAAAAATATTTTAAAAACATATTCTGTCTGGGTATGGTGTCTCACACCTATAATCCCAGCACTTTGGGAGACTGAGGAGGGTGGATTTCTTGAGTCCAGGAGTTTGAGACCAGCCTGGACAACATGGCAAAACCCCATCTCTACAAAAATTAGCCAGGCGTGGTGGTGTGCACCTGTAGTCCTAGCTACTTGGGAGGCTGAAGTAGGAGGATGGCTTGAGGCCAGGAGGCAGATGCTGCAGAGACTGTGCCACTGCCCTCACTCTAGCCTGGGTGACAGAGCCAGACCCTGTCTCGAAAAAATATATAAATAAAATAAAATGAAAATTCAAAGTCTCACTTCTAATCCCTTTCCTCTGCCGAAAAGGTAACTATATTTGCTTTTGATTTATTCTTCCAGTGTTTCTTTTCAAAATTATATGAAAACATTTAGATTATATGCATGTCTCTTCTTCTTATATAAAAGGTAGCAGTGCTTTTATATAGTTTATGCTATAAACCTATATATCATGTGCTACATATTAAGTGCTATCTTGTTTTCTTAATAATATTCTTGAAAATCATACCACATTACCACATAAAGATCATCTTTATTCTCCTTTTTAAGGTTGCACAGAACTGCTTTACTGATGATGTAATATTACAAAATACATATTTGGTCTTTGACCCATTTCCTGATATACAGCTCTTAAAATCCTTGGACTCTCTAAAGTGATGTCTTTCTAATGAGTTGACTGATGGCTGGCAGCCTGTAGGTAGCTTCAGGATGTGGGCTGGTCATGCAGAAAGATCAAGGCATGATTAGAAAGATCCAGATAGGGAGAGCGGCTGAAGGTTAAGTTGATCACCAATGGCCAATTAATCAATCATGCCTATGTAATGAAGCCTCCATAAAAACCCAAAAGGACAGGGTTTGGGAAGCTTCCAGATAGCTGAAGACATGAAGTTTCCTGGAGTGTGGCTCACCTAGAAATGACATGGAAGCTCTATCCTTCCCCCATACCTCACCCCATGCATCTCTTCCTCTGTATCCTTTGTTATGTCCTTTATAATACGCTAGTAAACATGCTTCCCTGAGTTCTGTGAGCTGCTTTAGTAAATTAATCGAATCCAAGGAGGGGGTTGTGGGATCCCCAGTTTATAGCCGGTCAGTCAGAAGCACAGGCAAACTAACCTGGGGTTTGCAAATGGCATCAGAAGTGGGATCCCTCAACCTGTGAGATCTCACACTGTCTCCAGGCAGTGTCAGAATTGAACTGAATTAGAGGATACTCAGCTACTGTCTGCTGGAGAACTGATTGTGTGAAAATAAGTAATTCAAAATCTAAGCTGTTGGAACTTCAAAACATTTTGAGCCTTAAAGGAATGTGATTATAGGACCTCAGTCACGTAACAGGGAACTGTAACCACTGTTTCTCTGATTAGATTTGCCTTCTCTCTTACCCACATAGTTTTATAAAATGTTGTAAATGATTAAAGGGCACCTAGGCAGCCCCATTCTCTCTTCACTGTAGATTAACTGCCCTTTTACTTTTTTCATACACAGACTATCATGTCTAAGATGAAATGTTAAAAACACTCTTTTAAATTGAAAAGGAAATGAAAGCAAGCTGTAACTCATTAGATTGTTATAACTCATAAACCAGCCTTGCATAGAAAATGCTATAACCCTAATACATTTGTTTTCTGCCTGTATAAGCAAGAACTTAACTTTTAATTTGGGAGCACAGACTCCATTTCTCTGGAGTTTGTGTTTCCCAGATGGCCATTCTCAGCTTTTCACTTGAATAAAGCTAGACTCTGATTCTTTCGATTATTTCAGGTTAACACTTGCTTGGTGTCTGGGGAAAAAACCCCACACATTTCACAGAAGTCTACTGTGTTGATTGTTGCTGGGTGAGAGAACAGAAAAAGCACTTTGAGTGTTTTTTCCATAGAGATGGCCATTTGTGTTCTTTCCAATCTTTTGCTATTACAAATAAAGGCACAAAGAATGACTTTACAGATATGTTCTTTTATATTTTTTGCAAATTTGCCTTTGGGATATATTCCCAAAAGTGTGATTGCTTAATTAAAGGTATATGCATATTTAATTTTGCTAGACATTGCCCAATTCCTCTGAGTTAATACTATTCTCATTCCTATCAGCAAAGTATGAGAGTACCTATTTTACCCATAGCCTTGCCAAAAGATTATGCAAACCTTTGGACATTTATCTACTGATGGGTAAGAAGTGGTGTCTCAATGCAGTTTTAATTTCTATTTCTTCCTTATACGTTGAGCTAAACTACTCTTCTAAAAGTTGTTTGTGCTTCCTGCCAGAGGATGCCGTCAAGGAGGCATTGTTAAAATCTCTCTTCCCACTGCCGTCACGTCGCAGTCAGTTTTCTAAAGAGCCCGAATGGCTGTGGAAGCTCTTCATTTTCATTGGAGGGTTGGCTTTGAAACAAAGCTGAGGAAGATCTGAGGAGCCATTCCGAGCAATGGGGAACACTCACAGAGTGTGTGGTAATGGGAGATCCAAACACCAGGCACTCCAGGGGCCTTGGGTTTGTCACGTATGCCACTCCAGGGGCTTTGGGTTTGTCACGTATGCCACTGTGGAGGAGGTAGATGCAGTCATGAATGCAAAGCTACACAAGGTGGATGGAAGAGTTGTGGAACCAAAGAGAGCTGTCTCAAGAGAAGACTCTCAGAGACCAGTGCCCACTTAACTGTGAAAAAGATATTTGTTGCTGGCATTAAAGAGTATACTGAAGAACATCACCTAAGAGATTATTTTAAACAGTATGGAAAAACTGAAGTGATTGAAATCATGACTGACCAAGGCAATGGCAAGAAAAAAGGCTTTGCCTTTGTAAGCATGACTGTGGATAAGACTGTCATTCTGAAATACCATACTGTGAATGGCCACAATTGTGAAATTAGGGAAGCTGTGTCAAATCAAGAGATGCCTAGTGCTTCATCTAGCCGAAAAGGGTGAAGTGCTTCTGGAAACTTTGGTGGTGGTTGTGGAGGTGGTTTTGGTGGGAATGGCAATTTTGGTTGTGGTGGAAACTTTAGTGGTCATGGTGGCTTTGGTGGTAGCTCTGGTGGTGGTGGATATGGTGGCAGTGGGATGGTTAAAATGGATTTTGTAATAATGGAAGCAAATTTGGAGGTGCTGAAAGCTACAATGATCTTGGCAATTACAACAGTCTTCAAATTCTGAACCCATGAAGGAAGGAAACTTTGGTGGCAGAAGATCTGGCCCCTATGGTGGTGGAGGCAAATTCTTTTCTAAACTATGAAACCAAGGTGGCTGTGGCAGTTCCAATAGCTGCAGAAGCTATGGCAGTAGCAGATTTTAATTACTGCTAGGAAATAAAGTTTAGCAGGAGAGAAGAGCCAGAGAAGTGACAGGGAAACTACAGGTTACAACGGATTTGTGAATTCAGCCAAGCACAGTGGTGGCAGGGCCTAGCTGCTACAAAGAAGACATGTTTTAGACAGTATTTGTGTATATGGGCAAAAAACATGAAAACTATATTTGTGATTAATTATGTAACAATTAATAACAGGTTATCTTAGTTTATGTTCTGTGGAAAGTGTAAAACAGTCCACTGAAGGGTTTTAATATAAGATTTTATTTTTTGCATCCATGCTGTTGATTGCTAAATGTTATAGTCCGATCATGACACTGAATGTGTCTTTAAAAATAAATTAATTAATCACATTAAATTTGTATTTCTTTTCCTGTAACTTAAATAAACTTATACTTTTACCCAGTTTTCTATCAGGAAGTTAGTCTCTTAATTAAATTACATTTTTATTTTTAGAAGCTCTCTTTATATTAGAAATGTTAGTCCTTCATGATCTAAGTGGCCAATACTTACTCTAATTTATTGTGTCTTGTGACTTTCCTTATGATGCTTTCTTCTTATGCCAAAATTCTTCTTTTTAAAAATGTAGCTTAATTCATTAATCTTTTCTCTTACTGATTTTCTAGTTTTGAGCCACAGCTACCCCTTAATATTCTCATGCTACCGTAAATATTTCAGCCATGCCTTCTTTTAATACTAGCATGGTTTCATGTTTTACTTTTAAAACACTAACCCATTTGAAATGTTTCCGGGTATATAGTATAACATAGAGCTCTAAATTTATCTTTTTCCAAATGGCTATCCAGTTTTTAGGGAAGCCATCTTTTTTCCACTGATTTGAGGTGCTGTCTTTATCATTAGTAAGCCACTATATATATATAAACCCATCTCTGGACCTCCTAATCTGCTCCATTAGTCTTCTTGCTCTTTCAGGTATCTCATTATGTTCATTACAAAGGCTTTATATTTTACATCTTCTTTTCCAGGATTTACTTGGCTATTCCTCCTGTTTGTTTTTTCCTTATAAACTTTAAAATCAATTTTTACTACTTCCTCCTCAGAATAAAAGGACCTACTGGTATTTTTATTTGAATATTTTAAAACTTTTATAAATAAACACAAAAAGCATTGACATGTTGCTGTTTTTTTTTTTTTTAGACGGAGTCTCACTCTGTTGCCCAGGCTGGAGTGCAGTGGCACGATCTCAGCTCACTGCAAGCTCCACCTCCTGGGTTCATGCCATTCTCCTGCCTCAGCCTCTCAAGTAGCTGGGACTACAGGTGCCCACCACCATGCCCAGCTAATTTTTTGTATTTTTTTTTTTTTTTTTAAGTAGAGACAGGGTTTCACTGTGTTAGCCAGGTTGGTCTCGATCTCCTGACCTCGTGATCTGCCCACCCTGGCCTCCCAAAGTGCTGGGATTACAGGCGAGAGCCACCGCGCCCGGCCAGCTGATTCTTCAAAAATGTCATAGTTGACAAAAAAGGCTCTGTTCGAGTCGACTTCTGTGTTTTTTAAAGGGTTTAAATTCCTTGTGTAAATTTTACTCATTTAACCTCTACGTTATCTTTGTTGTTGCTACTGAAGAGGTGTCTTCTCTTTAATTACATCATTCAGTTGGAATTTGTTTATATATATAAAGAACATTGATTTTTGCATATCAATCTTATATCTGTAACTTTGCTAAATTGTCTGTCATAGTTTTCCCATCAACTTTCACGGGCTTTACAGACATATAATTATACACTTGGCATTAAAAAAACCATTGCTCCAATTTCTAAGTCTCAAATACTTTCTCTTGTTTAATGTTACTGGCTAATGATCACTAATACTATGTTAAATAGCAGAGGCAACAGAGAGAATCCTTGTCTAGTTCCCTATTTTGGTAGTAATGCCTCTAGTGTTACACCTTAAGAAAGGGATTTAGACTTTAGGGCTGTGATGCATGTAATTTATCATGTTAAGGAATTATCTATTGATTTACACATGGCCATAAACATGGGAACAACAGACTCTGCAGACTACTAGAGAGAGGAGGGAGTGGGGGATGGGCTGAAAAACTACCTATTGGGTACTATACTCTCTCTACCTGGGTGCAATATACCCATGTAACAATCCTGCACATGTACCCCTTCTATCTAAAATAAAAGCTGAAATTGAGAGACAGAGACATTATTCCAGGTAAGCCTGATTTAATCAGATGCAAAGCCCTTAACAGATAGACTGGAGCTCTCCCTGAGATCAGATGCTCTCTTGCTGACCTTGGAAAGGTAAGCTGCTATGTGTTACACAGCTATAATGAAACAAATTCTGCCAACAGCCATATAAGCTTGCAAGATGGTCCTGAGCCTCAGATGAAACTATGGCCCCAACCAACACTTCAGTTGCAGTCCTGTGAGACCCTGAACAGAGGAGACAACTAAGCTGTGCCCAGACTCTTGATCACAGAAACTGTGAGATAATAAATGAGCATTGTTTTAAGCTGGAAAAATTGTGGCAATGTGTTATGCAGCAACAGAAAACTAATACACATGGCAATTCTTCAGTCTAGTAAAAAGAAACAAGTAAGTTTAACGAAGTGTGATAGATGTTAGAAATGCTTAGGGGACAAAATAAAAAAACAGTTAATTCTATATAGTAGTTTACAACAGGCTTCACAAAGGAGATGCCCCTTGAGATGAATTTTATAAGAGGTATTCAAAAGGTAGACATTAGCTACCTATCAAAATCCCAGTGACATTTTTTTCTAGAAATAGAAAAATCTATCTTAAAATTCCTATGGGATCTCAAGAAACCCATAATAGTCAAAACAATCTTGAAAAAGAACAAGGTTGCAGGTCTCACACTTCCTAATTTCAAGTTACTACAAAGCAATAAAAACAGTGTGGCACTGACATAAAAACAGACATATAGACCACTGGGATAGAACAGACAGCCCAGAAATAAACTCTGACATACATGGTTAAATGGTTTTCAACATAGATGCCAAGGCAATTCAATGGGGAAAGGACAGACTTCTCAATAACTGGTGATGGGAAAACTGGATTTTTACATGCAAAAGAAGGAAGCTGGACCCTTACCTCACACCATATATAAAAATTAACTCAGAATAAAATGTAAGACCTAAAACTATAAAACTCTTAGAAGAAAACATAGGAGAAAGCTTCATGACATTGGTTTGGTTGATTTCTCAGATATGACACCAAAAGCTTAGGAAACAAAAGAAAAAACATGAAAATTAAGGCAAATCATGGAAAAAGAGAAAATATCTGCATATTATACATCTGATAAAGAGTTAATATCCAGAATATATAAAGAACACCCACAATTCAACAACAACAAACAATTTAAAAATGGACAAAGTATTTGAATAGACATTTTCCCAAAGATATACAAAATGGCCAATAAGTACAAGAAAAAATGTTCAACATCAGTAATCATTAGGGAAATGCAAATCAAAACAATAAGACCACTTGATACGCATTACGTTAATGGGTTTTCTGGTAGATAAAAACAGAAACAAAAAACAAAAATAAAAACAAAAACAAAACAAAACAGAAAATAACAAGTTTTGGAAAGCATGTGGAGAAATTACAACCCTTCTGCATTGTAGGTGAAAATGTAAACTGGTGTGGCAGCTATGGAAAAGAGCATGGCAGTTTCTCAAAAAATTAAAAACAGAATTACCATATGATCCAGCAATTCCACTTCCAAGTAAATACTCAGATGTTTAAATAAATAATTCAAAACCTCCCACAGATGTTTTGAATTATTGACACAAATTTGCAATTGAGCAGTTTCTTACATGGGTACATAGTATGTCTGCAGGTAGTAATAGCAGATTTTTATTTACTTTTAACATTGATTTATTTCTTAGGAATACTGAGAAGGTAAATAAATAATAAGAACATGTAAAATGCTAAGCAAAAATGAAGAGCTACACAGGCATTCCTACATGCATAGATATAGATATAGATACAGATAATCTATGTGTATGAGTATGAGTAAATATACTAAATCTATGTGTATAAGTAAATATTCAGAAGTGGAATCATTCAGTCTTAAAAAGAAAGGGTATTCTGACATATACTACAAAGTGAATGAAACTTGAGGACATTATTGTAAGTGAAATAAACTAGTCACAAAAGGCCAAATATTGTATGACTCTACTTTTATAAGGTACCACTTATATATTTCACAACTTCATAGAGACAGAAAAAATAGTGGTTGCTAGGGGCTGAGGTGCAGGGTGAATTGGGAGTTATTGCTTAATGGTTACAGAATTTCAGTTCTGCAACATGAAAAGAGTTCTGTGGATGGATGGCAGTGATGGCAGCACAACAATGTGACTGTACTTAATGCCACTGAACTGTATACTTAACAGTGATTAAGATGGTAAATTTTATATTATGCTTATCACAATTATTTTGAAAAGGTAGACATTAGTAGGCAAGATTTTCTAAGGAAAAGATACTTGATGAGCAGAGATACAGAGGTATAAGCTAACTTAACATGCTCTAAAAAGTGCAAACAATTTGGTACCACTGAGACTTAGGGCAGGAGTCTTCAAATTAAGAGTACATATAGGAGTGTGTACTACATTTCACAATTCTGGTGACATTAATCACAAAAAAATACCCTTGGGGATACCCATATACTTTCTGAAAGATGTTTAGAATAGTTATAAGAGAATAAAATATCAGATCCTCCACTTCCATAGGTACTCATTCCAAAACTGACCAGACACCAGACTGAGACAATTGGTCTAGTAAATTAGTAAGTTCTCTATTGCTCCCCTCCCATTTCACAATTACCACTTCAGCCGCTTGACAAAAGAAAAGCATGTAATTCACCCATAGAAAATACTACTATGGTAAACTGTGCCAGAGTTTGAAAATCACTGGAGTAGAAAAAAAAAAAAGAAAAATGAAAAGAAGACAATTTAAAATATTGGTATCTGGTAAGCCTTTAATAAAACCCTTTGTCTCTGCTCATAAACCTGAGGTATAGTTTTATGGCTTCTCTGTTTTATGTAATTCCTATTAAGGGCAAAGAGTGGTATTAGGAACAAGGTATTCTGGCCCATATATTAGGAACGTTCTGAGTTCAGACATATTGTAAAGTGGGATGACTAAAGTAATGATAGGTTTAGTAATAATCCCTCTTCTATTGTCCCCCAGATACTGACAAAGAATATGTCACTCCTGAGAGAAGTCCCAAGAAACCTTTGTCAAACAATAGTAAAAACCCGTATCTCTTTAATGTCATTTATTTACACAATATACAGACCTTAAAATAAAGCTATTAATTTTTTTTAGAGGAAAGCTGGGAGTATTGGTTAAAAAACAGTAAACAGCTTGAACAATTCCAAGCCATCATCAAAGTTGGCTTTAAAAACCTCATATAAAGTATTGTCACTCACTATGATAGTTAAGAAATCACATTTGATAGTGATTATTCCAGTGCATAGGTGATAGCCAAAAATAAGTTAGTCACCAAGTCTATCACTATAGCTCCATTCCCTATTCCAAAACCACTCTGCTTCATAAAATGCATAAAATGGCAGAAGACACACTTCACCAGATTGTAGCAAAAATCGTAAAAAGAACTAGTTTTGGTTTCTGAAAAGTTTAAACTGACTTGCATAAAGCACTGGATGTAACTATTAGAAACATACTAGAATTCATGCCTATAAAAAGTACTATGTGAGGAACCCAGGTTTTGATGCAGTCAAAAGACGGTTGTCATTTGTGTAACTGAAAAATGAAGCAAGACTTTCTCTGACAGAAAGAACTTTCTCTGAAAGTATGATTTGACTGATTGGGTTGACAATGAAGGCTAGTTCTGACAATTAGGTTATATAGAGGGTATTTCTAAAAATAAATGAGCTAAATTTGTAGTGGGAAGGCTTTGATTAGCATATATTAAACACAAATAGTTTGAAGCTTCAAATATGAGCTAAAAATAGAAAATCATGGCACTGAATTTTTTTTTCTTTTTGTGGGACAGAGTCTTGGTCTGTCACCCAGGCTGGAGTGCAGTGGCAGTGGCGTGATCACGACTCACTGCAGCCTCGACTTCCCAAGCTCAAGCGATCTTCCCACAGATGTTCTGAATTATTGACAAAAACTTGCAATTGAGCAGTTTCTTACATGGGTACATAGTATGTCTGTAGGTAGTAATAGCAGATTTTTATTTGCTTTTAACATTGATTTATTTCTCAGCAATACTGAGAAGGTAAACAAATTACAAGAACATGTAAAATGCTAAGCAAAAATGAAGAGCTACACAAGCATTCCTACATACATTTATATATATAAATATATATATATATAGGTATTGATATAGATACAGATAATCTATGTGTATCCTCACTAGATGTGTTCTGCTTCTTCCATTTACACAAAGAGATAGTTTAAATAGTTTCTTAGGAAAATATTATATTTCCACACCTTAAGAAGATGTAACCTCTGACTTCCTTATTCTTTTTACCATAATATGAAAATATCTAAGCAGTTTATCTGGATAATAGAGCAAAGAAAAGATGAGAGTCCTATATTCTTATAGTTCATAACCTAAATGGCCCCTTATTGCCTTCTCTAAGTGTGCAATATTTAATTTCTACTTTCTAGTAATCTCTGTTCTCAGGTCCTGATAACTTCCTGTCTCTATATCCTTGAAGTAGGCCATATTCTGAGAATTCTTATTTTCCATTATTAGCCTTGGCTTTTAACATGCTAAAGGTATCATGTGTAAACACTCCATGAAGTGGTACTTATTTGTACAACCATGAAAATTAGAATAAAGTCAAAAATCCACACTTGAGAAAACAGAGGGGTCCAGAAACTTGAGTGTCACAAAGCCAGAACTACAAGTCAAGCCTGCTGAATCTCAATCTAGGTCACCAAAATTCCACAAATATTACTGTGCACCAAGCACAATGATATGATACAGAGCTGAACAAGACTCAGTCCTATGCTCATGTACTGGTATGTACACGTATGTATATAGAGATACACTATGCCACCATTTATGAAAACAATAACTTGACAAATTTAAAGGTAAAAACAAACAGTTTAGAAATGGAAGAAAAGGCTTCATGGAAGAAACAGTATTAGAACTGAACCTTAAAGAATTGTTAGGACATGCCTCCAGCAAAGACTTGGAACCAACCCAAAGGTCCAACAATGATAGACTGGATTAAGAAAATGTGGTACATATACACCATGGAATACTATGCAGCCATAAAAAAGGATGAGTTCATGTCCTTTGTAGGGACATGGATGAAGCTGGAAACCACCATTCTCAACAAACTATCGCAAGGACAAAAAACCAAACACCGCATGTTCTCACTCATAGGTGGGGACTGAACAATGAGAACACTTGGACACAGGAAGGGGAACATCACACACTGGGGCCTGTAGTAGAGTGGGGGGAGTGGGGAGGGATAGCATTAGGAGATATACCTAATGTAAATGACAAGTTAATGGGTGCAGCACACCAACATGGCACATGTACACATATGTAACAAACCTGCATGTTGTGCACATGTACCCTAGAACTTAAAGTATAATAAAAAAAATTAAAAAAAAAATTGTTAGGACAATGATGGGAATCATGAGGAAGAAAGGCATCAAGATAAGAATACTATGAGCAAAGGTACAGGGGCAGCAAAGTATAGAGAGTATCTTCCATAAATAACAAGTGATAAAGCTAAAAAAAATTGTGGTGGCCAGGCACGGTGGCTCACACCTGTAATCCCAGCACTTTGGGAGGCTGAGGCAGGCAGATCACGAGGTCAGGAGATCAAGACCATCCTGGCCAACATGGTGAAACCCCATCTCTACTAAAAATACAAAAATTAGCTGGGTGTGATGGTGCACGCCTGTAATCCCAGCTACTCGGGAGGCTGAGGCAGGAGAATCCCCTGAACCAGGGAGGCAGAGCTTGCAGTGAGCCGAGATTGCGCCACAGCACTCTAGCCTGGCGACAGAGCGAGACTCCGTCTCAAAAAAAAAAAAAAAAGAAAAAAGAAAAAGAGTGGTATAATATATACAAACTGCTATGGAAAATAACTGGCTGGAAGGGAGGTTGGGGCAGATGACAGAGCTCTTTAACCATAAGATTTATTCTGTAAACAGAGGTAAGACATCAACAATTTTAGAAGAGGGGGCCCTTGATTAAATTACCATCTATACTGTACCTTGTTCATTTTTATAGTCTAGCTCTGTATTGTTTTTATTTGTGTATAGGTTTCTCTCTCTCATATTACTTGGTGAGATCTTTGTATTCCACTTCTCTAGAACACTCTAACACACTCCCAGTAAGTTTCCTTAAATGAACCTACACAAACCAAGCAATCCCATATCAAACAATGATAAGGCATAAATAAAAAGGAAAAAGTGTTGGCTTGATTTTTAATCACAGACCTACACATATATACCATCATTAGATTTTAAATTACTAACGTATATATCTAGTTATATTATACCACTCACATTTCTATTTTTCATGCTTTGTAATAGAAATATCAGTTGCAAACCACAAAGAGGCCATATTAAGCAGTTTCCTATTTATTTATTTATTTTTGAGACAGAGTCTTGCTCTGTCACGCAGGCTGAAGTGCAGTGGCGCAATCTCGGCTCACTGCAACCTCCACCTCCCAGGTTCAAGCGATTCTCCTGCCTCAGCCTCCCAAGTAGCTGGGATTACAGATGTGTGCCACCACACCTGGCTAATTTTTGTATTTTTAGTAGAGATGGGGTTTCACCATGTTGGCCAGGTTGGTCTCAAACTCGTGACCTCAGGTGATCTACCCGCCTCGGCCTCCCAAAGTGCTGGGATTACAGGCATGAGCAACCGTGCCCAGCCATTAAGCAGTTTTTTATGGGACTAACCGTTCTAAAACTTTTGTGGAAAAGGAATAACACTCTGATTTTTAAATTTCTCCCTTCATTTTAGCTTTTATACTCCAATAAAGTCAATGATGAAACATACAACATTTCTTAGAAAAACTACAGTTCAAATATAGCAACAACAAAAATGGTAGGGTTAGATTAAAAGCAGAAATAGCACACTCTGGTGTTTGTACACAGCTCTTCTTATTTGACTTTTTGAGGAGTTTTTGGCTTTAGGGTAAAGGAAAAAATAATACAGTATGTTTGATGTTTAAAAGAAACCAAATACATTTCAACAATGAATTCCTGAATAACTCTGATTGGAAGATGGTATCTCAGAACACTTTAACTCCAATTTACAAATCCAGTTTACAAATAGACTCCTAATTTACAAATTGGTAGTATTTTAAGGTATTTTTAAGTTGGCTGTTTAAAAATCACCGATTTCCCACAAGAAACAATGCAAAAAGCAGTTAGGTTTTACAGTGAATATTTTAATAAGAGCACAGTACTAAACTCTGGTACTAAATTCTGGTAACTGAACAGTAAAAATTAAAAAAAAATACTCAGTGAGTTTCAAATAAGAGCATGGAAAATAAAATCCAGTAAGCAATCCTAGTAACCAAAAACCCTGCTCCCTCTTCATTGGCCAGGAGATAACCTTATCTCTAATACTAGCAGTTACAACCTTTTGGAGGCATTGACAGTTAAGGCATATTTACGAATTGTGCATGTGTGTGTTTATGTGTGTAGTAATGTAATGGCAGAGAGAGGAAATGAGTGGAGATTTTGCTTAAGTCAGGAATTTTTAAAATATACTTAATGGCAGTTTATTGGTAGTTGTACTGAATTAATACCTGATACTGTATCCTCAGATCCTAAGAAAGTGTTGAGGACAAAGCAGATGTTTCAATAAAAACTACCGAATTTTTGCTGAATGATATTCTTACATAATTAGGTTCTTAAGTTCAAAATTCTGTTTACCATTACTATGCTCACTGTGTTCTTTCCAGTATTATAAAACCCTCTGCCAGCCTTTAACTAGGGTTCCTCATCTGAACCAATGAACACAGAAAATGATTTTAGCGACTATTTCTCAATTGCCCCAAGGATAATACATAACTGTAATTTTCTAGATACATAGGTAAGAAGTTAATAATTCCATACAAATTGAGGCTTTATAGTATTAGGGTGTTCTTTCCCAATTGAGAAAGGCTGTTAGACTAATCAGTTTTTATAAATGTTCTTACTATGATGGTTTTATGCATGATTAAAGAATACAATAACTATGCAATAATGTTCCCATATGTTCAATTTTACAATATGGGCACATATACAAGCAGCAAGTTAAAATCTTGGTAAACTGTTTATCTTAGTCCCCAAAAGTAATAGTTCACAAATTATAACCACTTGAAAGGCAAACCACAAAGGAAATTGTTAGGGAACACCCAAAAACAATTTTGAAAAAAGTAAAATCTCCAGAATTTGTCATATGGTAACTTTCTACATATTAAAAAAAAAAATGCTTACTTTTTGCTTAATACAGGCCACAAATTTATTCTATTCAACTCTTTCTATTTAAATATGAAATCAACAAGATTTATCAAAATCAGTACAGGGTCTAAATCCTATATTCATGAACAATGATGATTTCTTATAATTTAGAATTTCAAGTTTATAATTTTGTTTCCATTAGTATACATTCTATTTTATACAGACCATTATTTATCATTTCTAAAGTCTGTACCTCAGTTTGCCTCTAAAAATTTGTTTCCTCTAAAATTAAGCTGCTATTTTAAAATTTTAGACCTAACAAAAAGACTTGTTTTTGGTTAAAAAGCTTTTCTTTGTACTTACAAATGATTTTGTGGTATGTATATATATATGTATATAAAAGTACAAAGCACCACAAGATGGTAACTGGTGAGTTGCAGAAAATTGATTTTTTTAAAAAAATCTAGCAAGGCTTCAGAAATATCACACCAGTAACAAAGTATATTTCTATATCCTGCTTAGTTTTATAATTATCCATCATGCATAGGTAACCCTTTCATTTAAGTGAATAAAAAAAAATCAAGCTACAGATCTATGTAAATTGCCTCGTCTCTAAACTGCAGTGAGATTCAAAGCTACAACTAATTGTTCAGATTTCTGCATTCTAAGTTATGAATTCATCTTCTATCCCAACTCACCTTAGGGAAAAAAGGAGCAGAACTACTCTGAAAGCTCTTATAGGAATCATATTTTCAGAAAATAAAAAATCACACTCTTACATTATATTCATTCTCCTGTTTTTCATTGCAAAACAAAATTCATCACAATACAACTCAGTTTTACCCCAAAATTTATTATCACCCTTTGTCTGTGTAGAAAATGTTGAAAAAAAAAAACCTGTCTTTTTCTAAGAAATAACTTTCACTGTGGAAGTGAAAATGGAACGCTGGGCAAGCTAGAAGGGATAGACATATATTTCCATGGCACGTTTTCAACTGAGCAGCAGTAGACCCAGAGAATTTAAAAGAAGTGCCACTATTTCTCTTGCTATTGATGAACTGCAAATACTGAATATATAAAAATTAATGGTAGGGAAAAATACTTCTTTATACTCTATTTAGTTGATTTTTTAAGAGTTTTCACTATTTCCTAAAATCAGGCAAATTTTTACCAATTTGAAAAACATCTCAGAGTGATCTCCTTGCAAATAGTTCTTTATCAGGTGTACATTTAAATAAATTCAGTTTGTTTTCTTTTTTAAATGAAAAAAATGCTGAACTAGAATTTCTTTATTTTGTACTTTGGAGCTACTTTTTAACTGACTTTCATTAAAAAACTTATGCTTTTTTAAAGTCTAAGTCAAAAATGTTACCATAGAGAAATTAGGCAAGAGATGTAATTTTAAAATTACACTACCCAGAGAGAGCCAATTAACATTCTGGGAAATATATTCTCTATATATATGAATGCTAATTGGGATCTGGTGTGTACAGGCACGCACACACACACACACACACACTCTCTATATATAGTTTCTCCCTCATACATGTAAAGATAAATGCGTAGTTTAGACACAGACCTTTTACAAGAATTTTTCTTATGTGTTGCTCTGTACCTTGTTGTCATTTATTACCATTGAATCTAAGCCTTTGCTGACAACTTAGTCATCCAAAACTTAATATTGACTTAAAATAATGACTATACTATTACCTTTCATCTGAAACCTGTGAATGCTCTCTGATGCTGACCAAGCTTAATAATCTACATATAGTAGAAGTTCAATAATTTTTTTAAAAATGTGCCTAAAAATGATTGTAAAGAAATACTGCTAACAGTGGTTATGTGACCTCTGCGTGTTGTGATCCTAGTTTTTCTTTACTTCATATGCTTTCCACTATTTTCAAAATTTTCTACCATGATCATATTTTATAATCAGAAAACTATTAAAAATTTTCTTACAAAGAATATGTCATATGCATAATACAAACAAAAATATTATGAAAAATAAAATAAAATAATCTCAGAATAAAAGAAAAAATCCAAAAGAAAACCCACAAAAATATTAACATGGGTCTCTTATGGTAATTTTTCCTTATCTTTTTCTATATTTTACCAAGTTTCTTTGTCAACATAATTATTCCCATAATTAAAAAAACTACTTTTAAATATGCAATTTCATTAAATCCTCAGCCTCTTCTCTAAATAGCCACATAGCATGTTCATGCTCTACCTGAAAACTGACCAATGGAGGGCACTGTCTTCCCTAGAGCACTATTAAGAAGCGCCGTTTTCTCTCCTACACTCCAGTACTGTTGGGGCTTGTGGTGAGGCAGATGTCCTTCTTGCTTGTCACTACCACTATTTATCACAGTTCCTACTACTTCTTCCCTACAGCACAGTTTCCTTAAGGCCCGTGCCATTAGATCATTACACCCTCTACCCATCTTGATTACCAGGGTTACAATTCCTGATTGCCCCCCTTCAGTCACTGAAAAATTTGGTAATGGGCTTATTATCTTTCCACCTCTACTCTTTTCATTATTCTTGATTTAAATTATCCATGTGGGCAATCCACCCATCATCAGGTCTCTATATGCTAAGCTTATCTTCTGCCCCTATAATCACACCTTAAGCCTTAAGATCTCAATTCCAAGCATCTCATAATCTGAACAACCCTTTCTATTTCTGGATCAATTCCCCTAATACCTCCATTCTTAATACTTCTTCCCAAACAGGGAAGATAGGCTCAGTGGATTAGATTGACCCTATCTTAGGCCACTAAGTGGATTAGACCACTGAACCTAACACTTTTTTTTAAAGCATGCATCAATTACCTTTATATCTTAATTTCTCACCACTCTAATCCCTGCCTTGCCCCTTTCTCACTGTCAGTACTCACCTGACAAAACCCCAAACCTGTTAAATCTAACTCTCTGTCTATTCCATACCTCTTACCAAGTAGCTGAACAAGACTGAAGAAAAACACAACTATTCTGGTTGTTTGCACTTTAAATTCATGACCACAAACCTCAAAGTGGGCCCTCTGTGCTGCCAGGCAATCACACTGCTCCCCTTTACAGCAAAAGGCTTTGAAAAGGAGTTGACTTAGTTGCTATCTCCATTTCCTCCCCTCCCATTCTCTCTCGAAGCTACTCTGTCTGATCAGGCTTTCATTCTCATCACTCTTCTTAGT
This sequence comes from Homo sapiens, assembly GCF_000001405.40. Classification (NCBI taxonomy): domain Eukaryota; kingdom Metazoa; phylum Chordata; class Mammalia; order Primates; family Hominidae; genus Homo; species Homo sapiens. Next base: position 100,927,419 of record NC_000001.11, on the reverse strand, counting down.
CCCAGCAGCATTTAGCAGAGTTGATTAGTCCTTCCTGTTTAACAGGTTTCTTTACAAGGCTTCTAAAACAACATATGGTTGTATCTTTCTTCCCACCTCGCTGGTCATTCCACTTTACTCTTCTTGGTTGCACCTGCCTCCTGACCAACCCCAGGGCTCAGTTCTCAGGCCTCCCCTCCTCTATCAATACTCGGTCTCAGAATAAACTGTCTATTAAATATGGCTTTAAACAACATATATAATCTGATGACACCCAAATTTCTATCTTCCACCCCAACCTGCTCCCTGAACTCTAGAGATGCAGATATATAAACATGTATCTACCACTCTCTGCCCTGCTCATTGCGCTCCAGTTACACTGCCCTTCTTGTCATCCTTGTATCTGGCATGCTCCTGCCTCAGTGTGTTTATACTTGAAGTTCCCTCACCAGGGATATTCTTCCTCTGAACAGTCCCATATTCCTCTCCTCCACCATTTAGTCTCTGCTCCAATATTACCCTATGCAGAAGACTTTCCAAGCCCTTCTAAAATAGCATCTTAGCCTACTCTATGGCATTTGTCACCAACTGACAGTCCATTATCTATTTGCATGTTCGTTTGCTTTATTGACTGTCTCCCTATTAAAATGTAAGCTCCATGAGGGTAGGCTATTTGCCTGGCACAGAGTGGGTACTAAAACATTTGTTGAATTTTAAGATACATGAAACTTTTCTGTTACCTTCAAAGGGTGGGCTTATGAGAACCTTTTAATAGGTAAGTTATACATTTCAGTAATGTTTAAAATTTTCACAATAAGAATGTTAATATAGTTTAGATATGTGTGCCTGCCCAAAACTCATGCTGAATTGTAATCCCCAGTGCTGGAGGTGGGGCCTGGTGGGAGGTGTTTGGATCATGGGGACAGATCCCTCATGGCTTGGTGCTGTCTTCACAATAGTGACTTATTTCCAGATTTAGTCATTGTTTTTTCTCTCTCTCTCTTTCACCACGCTACATGCCTGCTCTGCCTTCACCTTCCACCATGACTGTAAGATTCCTGAGGCCTCCCCAGGAGCTAAGCAGATGCCAGCACTATGCTTTCTGTAAAGCCTACGGAACTGTGAGCCAATAAAACCTCTCTTCTTTATAGACTACCCAGTCTCAGGTATATCTTTATAGCAATGCAAAGTATTACTTTGGTTATCAGAAAAACAAGAGCAAATAATAAAAATATCAAAGCTTAACAATAACAAAAAGAAATCCAATCATATGACCTGAAACTATGTATCTATGTAAGTTACAGAGAAGTTTATAAGTAGGTCAGTAGGACCTAGACAAGGATGACAAATAAGTTTTACCTTGGAAGCCTACTGTAGTTGACTGGTTGTGGTTGCTTGAAGCACTATATTGAAAGGGCCCCTGACGCTAAATCAGTTTTAGCAGGCAGGAGTACCATACTGAGGGATATCTTCCAGGAAAACAGAAGGGGTGGGAATTGTGGCATTCATGCTAGATGAATTCCAATGCCAGATGAATACCAACCACTCCATGACTTTAAATCCAGGTGTGGACTATTTTCAACCCTTTCTGTTCAGTTGATTGCTCCCAAGAATGCCTATTTGTACACTCTTTGTCTATTTGAACTCTCCATATCAATGTCTGAGAGATCTCAAACTTATATCCAAAACAGAATTTTTTATCTACAGTCCTCTTTAAAAATAAAAACATTACCTTTCTCCCAGTCCCCTCTCTTTTAGTAATGACACCTCATTCACTCAGTTGCCCAGATTAAAAACTCTAGAAACTATCCTTAATTCCCCTCTTTCACTCAACCCTGACCCACACATTTATATTCTCAAGCAAATCTTGTTAGCTGTACCCCAAAGCATTTTCTAACTTTTCTGTGTCTCTCCATTTCTAAGGTTAGTACCTAAGACCAAGCCACCATGGCCTCTCACCTGGTCCACTTTAAATAATAGCCTTCTAGCTGGTCTGCCTGTTCTCACTTGTGCCCCCTTATAATCTATTATCCACACAGCAGCCAAAATCATTTTTTAAAACAAATATCCTTATTGTGTCCCATTGCACTTGGAATAAAATCCAAACTCCTAACCCTAGGTAGTCTTCCCCAGCCTATTTCTCCAACTTTATCTCAAACCACTCTCCTCTTACTCCCTATGCTTCAGCCATGCTGGCCTCCTTTCAGTATCAAAGCTGCTTTTACCACAAGGCTTTTCTACCAACTGATACCTAGACTAGAATGTTCTTCCTCTGACAAGCTTTTCTTACGACAATAAGATCTCAGGTTAAAGGCCTCTTCTTCAGAAGTCTTCCAGATCTACTCAATTTAAAGTGGCAACTCAGTCACTATCATATAATCCTATCTTAAATCCACACAATACAAATAACTATTTGGCATTTGAGCCGTCTAATTTATTAATTTGTTTATTGTCTCACTCTCCTATTATAGGATCAAGACAGTGAAGATCTTATCTACGATTAAGTAGGTGAGAGGGCCTGCTTAATAAATATTTGGTGAAGATGATTTGTGCAGTTTTCTTCATGTGTGTTATATTCAGTAAAACAAGTTTTCTTTGTGTGTCTGTGTATGTTTACTTATTTATACTAGAGGAATAAATGAATGAGAACAGAACTAAGTAAGAATTCCCAATTTGGAATTAAAGTAATTCTCTGAGGTTGAAAAAAAAAACCCACAAATTTATTTTGATTCAAATTCAAAGTGTACCAATTTTTTTTTTCTTTTTTTTTTTTGGCCAGGGAGATTTAGGTGCTGACTTTAAAACAATGAAAAAACAATTTGCCCTAATGGAGCTTGAGGGCAATAACAAATAGGCTATGGTAAGTAAATGCCATGAAAAGGGTACTACAGTAGAAGGTGCTATACATGCAATCAACCCAGCCTGGGAGGTAGAGAATCAGGAAATGCTTCCCAAAGAAATGCCATTTAAACTGAATCTGATCTGAAGGATGAGTAATTGTGATACATACACATATGCTGGTGGGAAGGGGTGGGGGGTGTGGCAAGAAAGACATGAAGTATAAGAGTATTTTGAATAGAGGAAATATGAGCAAAGCCCAGAATCCAGAGAGCTGATAACATACTCAGGGAACTAAAACTAACTTACTGTGGCTGAAGAGCAAAGTATGAATTGAGAAGTACTGAGAGAGACCAAAGAGGTCAACAAGGTTAATATATCATGAAGCCTGCTAAGGAGTTCAGACCCTATCCTAAGGGTAAGAGTCATTAAAATATTTAAATACTTTTATATGTAATATAATCCTTATTAACAAAAGATAATTTTAGCCAATGTGATGTGTTTAGAGGGAGACAGAAAGGTCAACCTGGAGATTGTTACAGTTTTCCAGGTAAGACATAATTATAGCCAGAATTAGAATAGTAAGAGTGGAGACAAAAGTGAATATTAAGATCCTAGTCTAAGAAGAATTAGAAGCAGTTAAGTGAACACTAAAAGCACAAATAAACAGGTATAGTTGTAACAGTGAATAAATTACCAAAAGTCAGATTTCACAGAATATGGGACATCTAAGCTGAAATTTCAACAAGGTACAGTAAGATTTCCAAAGAAGAAGAAAAGGCATTTCAAACTTTACGAAATCCTTTTATTTTCCTTTTTATATAGAGACAGGATCTCACTCTGTCACCCAGGCTGGAATGCAGTGGCACCATCATAGCTATCTGCAGCCTCAAACTCCTGGGTTCAAGAGATCCTCCGGCCTCAGCATCCCAAGTAGCTGCAACTATAGGTACACAACCACCATGCCCAGCTAATTTTTAAATTTTTTGTAGAAACATGGTTTCACCATGTTGCCCAGGCTGGTCTTATACTCCTGGCCTCAAACAATCCTCCTGTCTCAGCCTCCCAAAATGCTGGAATTATAGTTGTAAAGCACTGTGCTGAGCTTATAACAGACTTTTATATAGCAGAGTTATTTCCCTGTTCAAATAATTTGAAAAAATTAAAAAATAATCTGTATGTTTAAAATGTATATCCTATTTTTTTAGGCAGAAACTTTAAAAAAAAATCTCCATTTATGACTCATCTTACATTATGATTTCATCATACTTTATTAAATCTATTCTAGGCTGGGCGCGGTGGCTCACGCCTGTAATCCCAGCACTTTGGGAGGCCGAGGCGGGCGGATCACGAGGTCAGGAGATCGAGACCATCCTGGCTAACACGGTGAAACCCCGTCTCTACTAAAAATACAAAAAATTAGCCGGGCGAGGTGGCGGGCGCCTGTAGTCCCAGCTACTCGGGAGGCTGAGGCAGGAGAATGGCGTGAACCCCAGGGGGCGGAGCCTGCAGTGAGCCGAGATTGCGCCACTGCACTCCAGCCTGGGCGACAGCGAGACTCCGTCTCAAAAAAAAAAAAAAAAAAAAAAAAAAAAAAATCTATTCTAACAAACTACAAGCTATAAAAATCTTGAGTCTGGCCTCTAGCAGATCTTAGTTATCATTACAAAAAAGTTCCTGACAGTAAAATCACAATGAAAAAATAAAAACAGTCCAGTCAAGACATATACAGTGTATATGTAAATTTTTAAATAACTTTAAAATGGAACATAATGTCTTATCATTATGATAAAAATTAGACCAATAATAAAATGTATCTCAGGATGAGTTAAACTTAAAAGATAACAACTGTACAATCTAATTCAGCAAATATTTATTGAGAATTTATACACCTACACACATTTATCTTTCCATATACATTGTCCCTGTAGTAGGAAATAGAAAGATAAAGAGCTACGAGGCAGATGCTTCCTCAAGAATTTTGTAAGCCAGATGGGAAGACGGACATAATTCATTTCAGGTAGCATTTTTACAAGACTTCTACAATGATAATGTGACTTTATGAATAAAAATGGTTCTAGCAGAGGAGTCTTTGATATTCCTTTGCATTTAATAATGTAAGATGCAGATGTCAAAGGATTAATACACTAACTATAGTGAATATATTTTATATTTCCATTATTTTACTCTATAGATGTAATGTTGCATTCAAGAAAATTACTATTGATTTGAATTATGACCAAAAATTTAACTGCCAAATATCAAAAAGAAACATCAAACTCTAGGTAACAAATACATGGCAAACACAGAAAACATATAAAAATGAAAAGGGTATCTGGCCGGGTGCGGTGGCTCATGCCTGTAATCCCAGCGCTTTCAGAGGCTGAGGCAGGTGGATCACCTGAGGTCAAGAGTTTGAGACCAGCCTGGCCAACATGGTAAAACCCCATCTCTATTAAAAATACAAAAATTAGCTGGGCACTAACGTACAGCTGGTTGCAGTTGTCTGTAATCCCAGCTACTTGAGAGGCTGACGCAGGAGAATTGCTTCAACCCAGGAGGCAGAGATGGCTATGAGCCGAGACAGTGCCACAGCACTCCAGCCTGGGTGACAGAGCGAGACTCTGTCTCAAAAAAAAAAAAAAAAAAAAAGCAAGCAAAGGAAAACCAACATAATTATTTGTATTTTAGACCTATAATTTAAGTAACATATTTCTCTCTCAGTCTCACTTTAATACTTGAAAGTAACAATAACACTTACCTTACAACTATAAGAATGGCTATAAGAATTGAACAGATAGGATCTGCTATCATCAGACCAAAATTTTGCATCATGATGGCAGAAGCAATTACACCAATACTTCCAAGTGTATCTGCTAGGATATGTAAAAATACACCTAGAAATAAACCATAATAAAAATCAAAACAGTCTTTTGGTTAATTTAAAATACGAATATATCCTAGAGCTATACTCTTAATTTTATATATAAAAAACTAGATATCAACTTCAAAAATAAGTAAGCATGTATATTCACCATTTAGTAACCATGTAATAGTACATTTATGAATTAAAATCACTTTTTCTGTTTCAAATCAACAGGGGTTGAAATATCTGACTGGTAATTTATACCTTTTCTTAATGATATAAATGAAGTAGAGAAGCAAGTTGATTTTAAAAATTGTTTGTGAACATTCACCTCTGGCTAACAGGAGTCCAAAAGTCAGTAATTTGTTATGGGATGGAAATTGCATTAGGCTAAAAGAACTGGTCAAGAAAACATTTTTAACTATAGATATACGTACATACAGAGCCCTCTGCTGGTGATTACAATTATTACCATTTGGGACTACAATTTCCCATAAACCATAATTTCACTTATCCTGTTACACTTATTAATTATCCTAAAAGCTCTATCTAAACTGGTTACATACTACACTCAGAGGTGACGTGAAAGCAGGCACTGATTTGAATATTTTTAAATAAATATAAAATACATGTTGAACTTTTAATAATTAAATATTAAATTGGTAGGATACTGATGTTATACTGATATTCTAAAAACTTAGACATAATAACATTTAGTAAGTCAAAGTTGCCCAGAAAACCATTTAAAATGTCAAGAAGTAAGATTTATGTACAATACTTTCTGAAAAAACTCAACTGAGACAAATTATTCAACGTTTAGATCTTTAATACAAAATTTCTATACCACAAACATTCTTTTAAACTTCAATCATGTCTTGCTAAAAATAGAACATTATTCAATACCATCATCTGCCCTATCTGAAAAGAAATAGTTAATGCATAAAAAGCATGTATGTAGTTGAGAAATACTTGATTTTTCTTTTTTAGTATTCACTGCACAATAAAGGGTGAACTGTAATTATTTTTAGGTATATAAATACAAACAAACTCAAGAAATGTTCTAATAACTTAAAAATTGACTGCTAATGAGTCAAATCAAATCTTGTGTTCTGGAAAATTATACTTCATTTTATCTGCCACTGATGGAAATTTATATCAAATATTATATTAAATATAAATCATCCCTCACTACCTACATATAACTTTTCGTTTATATACAGTTTAACTCTATTATTATAACTGTTCTTCAAAAAGAACAGTCCTTTAAGAACAACTTTCTTAAAAATATTTCCAAAAGAAATAAATTTTGTCAGACATACTTATAGAATAAATATTCGGTTCCTATCACGTATTTCAAATAGCAGTGAATTAAATAGGTTAATAATGTTGGGGCCACTTTAACTTTTAAAACTACAACTGGAAAAAAAATACACATCAAAGCAGATTGAAGGTCCCTAACTACAAACTCTTATATATGATACATGCTTTTAAGCCTTTATATTCTTTAATCAGTGTTTTGGTAGAATAAAAAATGAAAATAACTCTAAACATGAAAAGAAAAAGAAAATAATGATTTGTAAGAAAATAATGATTTGTTCTTGATTTTCCTTAGACTGGAAAGTCCCTGGCTACCATTTATTTGCTAACCTGAAAACTGGTTTTATTAGTAAGTGTCATTAAAACTACCTAAAGCCTTCTTACTACATAAACTGTTTAAGAAAAAAATCACTAAGAAAGAAACATAAACTAGGATGTTTAACTTATACAAAGTTAAAAGCCTTAGAAGATGTGGTAGGATACTGATAACCTAACCCCCCAAAACCTTAGTAAGCCAGGAGTCAAGATGTAGCATATAATTGAAAAACATAATTAATTCAAGTTTTTCATGTATGAGTATCTATCTACCTGGTCATTTTACAAGAAGTTTTTAATGCCAGGTAGTTTTCTCTGTTCTTCAGCTATTTACTGGGCTCTTCAGCCACCATAAATTGATAAATATTCAGAAAATATAAATTTATTTTCACAATAACTTATATAAAAGAGAATTAGAAAGGCAAATCTAACTTCCTTTCCTCCAACTTGTGATGACTTTCAAAATTAAATTCTTATTATCAAGGCTAATTTATAGTACTTGATATAGATGCATCATATATGCATGATTATATGTTATTTCAGCAAATGTTATTCTAAAACAATTCCATATCTTTTGTAAATGGAAAACCTGTGATTGGAAGACACATTTAAGCCTTCTGAAAATAAATTTCTCAGTATGAAGGAATATATTCACAGTGAAAAAATAAAAAACGAGAGTTATATAAAGAAATAGTGAAGACAAATAGGTGCAGTTGAGATTGGATCAGAAGCCATTCAGAAAGTCAGACTGAAGTCAAAAGTTAATAAAGGCAAGTAGATAGCTGGGAATTAGGAAACCCTGACAATAAAGTCTAAATGGAAACTCAGAGCCAGAGATTGATTAATAACCTACCGCCCCACCCACAAAAACAAAACAAAACAAAAAAAAATTACTATAATTCATAGACAGGATTTTCTCTGGCATGTAAAACTTTGTAATATACAATTTTACACATGTATTAGCTATTGATGGCCTACAAATATTATGGAGTTCTCACTTTGCATTAAATCTTTAGCTCTAAATTTTCCCACAACATAAAAACATATTAAATATTATTCTTGGAAAAACTACATAATAATCCTGTAAAAGCAAACATACTCCTACAGACAGTCCTCGACTTAAAATGATCAACTTATGACTTTGGCTTCATGATGGTGTGAAAGCAGTATGCATTCAGTAGAAACTATACTTCAAATTTTGAATTTTGATCTTTTCCTGGGCTGGCAATAATGTGCTATGATCATCTCTCATGATGCTGGGCAGCAACAGCAGGCGGCAGCTCCCAGTCAGCCAAGCAATCACAAGGGTAAACAACTGATACTGTACTCTACAGTGGACTGTATTAAATAAATTACATGAGATATTCAACACTTTATTATAAAATAGGCTTTGTGTTAGATGATTTTGCCCAACTGTAGGCTAATGCAAGTGTTCTGAGCACATTTAAGGTAGGCAAGGCAAAACTATGATGTTCGGTAGGTTAGGTGTATTAAATGCATTTTCAACCTACAGTATCTTCAATTTACCACGGGTTTATTAGGACACAACCCCACAGTAAATCAAGAAGCATCTATACAATGTTTATAGTCACAGGCATGGGTATTACTTATATTCAAGCAGAATAGTTTCCGAATCTTTTTGAGATACGAGTCTCATATGTTCCCCAGGGTGGTCTCAAACTCTTGGGCGCAAGCAAGCAATTCTCCTGAGTAGCTGGGATTGTGGGGACATGCCAAGTGCACCCAGCTCTATATTTTGCTTTTATTATCAAATCAGAGAAAACAGTCAAGTGACAATTAAAAGAATGTCTGCTAATATATCTAATAGTATATAAAAAACAATCACTAGAAAGGCTAACACTAAACACAAACACTATGTTTTATATTTTTCTTAAAGGAAAACTTCAGACAACTAAAACTTCAAAACTATAAAAGCAGTTTCAAAAAACTAAGAAACATAAAAATTGCTTGTCATACCTTGTAAAATCTGTCTGCTGGGTCCTGTTGTTTCTTTTAAGGACGGGCCATCTGTAGAGAATTAAGTTATTTTAAAACATGTTTTCAATTCCTCATTCAAGTTTTTACAATTCAGAGTCCTTTTCATTCAAATGCATCATCAAGAATGCATGGCTATATAGCCATATCAAACTTACAAATTTATTTTTTAAATTTAATAAAATAATTGAGTGGAGGTAAATTTAGTGGCAGTAGTTTTAAAATTCATCAAAAGTATGGAGTATTTCAGAAATTATTGTATTAAAAAGATTAAAAGCACAGGAAATTAAAGACATTGTGAAAATCTTCCAGTATTCATAAAATATCTTTTAATACTCTTACAATTGGAAAATTCAGAGAAACCCAAATGTACTGCTTGAAGTTATGAGGTCCAAGAAATGAAGCCAGGATAGAAAGATAACTTGACTATGGTAAACAGTAGTTTTCAACAGCTTCTAGATTAATGTGGCAAACTCTTGATACAGAAGAGATAAAAATAATTTTTTTCATTTTGCTTTTATGATGACAAAATGCTATAATTTCTATCTCTAAACATCTTGAAAATTACTATTCAGCTTTAACATTAAAACAGAAAATATAGGAAAACAAGGCAAAAGATGAGCAATATTTGTTTAAACAGATCATCAGGAAGACTGACAAGCTTTCTGATCACAACTAACAATGTACCTACTATCATCATTTGTTCATGGCCCACAGCACCAAAAAGGTCAAGGTACCCTTATCAGTACAGCTTTGATAGAGCATTATAACAATGTTCTGCAATAATGTAACAAAGAAATATAAAAGCATAACACCATATAATATTTCCTATCTAGATATTGTACTGCTGTATGGGAATGAAGAAGTAGCTACCCTGAAAAATCCAGCTGATAGCCAAAAGTGTAAGAGATATGCAGTTTTTCAACATTATTTTGGGATGCATGTGAGCAAAAAAGTTGGAAAAGCAAGGTTTTAAAGCATACCAGTGTAACTGTTATAAAAATACAGGATATTTTAGAGACTGACACAGGCAACAGGCAAAAATAGACAAGAAGGATTACATCAAATTAAAAAGCTTCTGCAAGGCAAAGGAACCAAATAACAAAATGAAAAGGCAACTTACAGAATGACAGAAAATATTTGCAAACTATGTATCTGATAAAATATATACAGAACTCACAATCAACAGCAAAGGTAAATAAATAACCTGATTTTAAAATGGTCAAAGAGTTACAGAACGACAAACATTGCATGTTCTCACTTATTTGTGGAGTACAAAAATTCAAAACAATTAAACTCATGGAAGCAGAGAGTAGAAGGATGGTTACCAGAGGCTGGGAAGGGTAGTGTGGTGCTGCAGGAGTGAGGATGGTTAATGGGTACAAAAAAAAAAAAAAAAAAAAAAGAATGAATGAATAAGATTTACTATTTGATAGCACAACAGGGTGACTACAGTCAATATTAATTGTACCTTTCAAAATAACTAAAAGAGTGTAACTGGATTGTTTGTAATACAAAGGATAAATGCCTGAGGAGAAGGATACCTCATCTCCATGATGTGATTATTTCACACTGCATGCCTGTATCAAAACATCTCATGTACCCCATAACAATATACACCTACTGGTTGGGCACAGTGGCTCACACCTGTAATCTCAGCAGTTCGGGAGGCCAAGGCAGGTGGATCACGATGTCAGGAGATTGAGACCATCCTGGCTAACACGGTGAAACCTCGTCTCTACTAAAAATACAAAAAGTTAGCTGGGTGTGGTGGCACACGCCTGTAATCCAGCTACTCGGGAGGCTGAGGCAGGAGATTCACTTGAACCCGGGAGGCAGAGGTTGCAGTGAGCCGATATCGCACCACTGAACTCCAGCCTGGGTGACAGAGCGAGACTCCATCTCAAAAATAAATAAATAAATAAATAATAAGAATATACAGCTACTATGTACCCACAAAAATTAAAAATAAAAAAATTTATTAAAAAAATAAAAAAGTAATAAATGGCCGAAGGAATAAAATAGACATTTCTCCAAAGAAGACATACAAATAGCCAACAGGTACATTAAAAGATGCTCAACATCACTAATCATCAGGGAAATGCAAATCAGAATCACAATAAGATATCATATCATACCTGTTAGGATGTCTATTACCAAAAAAGCAAAAGACAGTAAGTGTTGGGAAAGCTGTAGAGAAAAGGAAACCCTTGTATACTACTGGTGGCAATGTAAACTGGTGCAGACACTATGGAAAACAGTATGGAGGGTCCTCAAAAAAACAATAATGGAACTACCGTATGATCAGCAAACTGGGTATATATCCATGAGAATTGAAATCAAGAGCTCAAAGAGATATCTGCACTTCCGTATTCACTACAGCATTATTCACAATAGCCAAGACATGGAAGCAAGCTAAATGTCCATCAACAGATGAATGGATAAAGCAATGTGGTATATACATACAACGGAATATCATTCAGCCTTAAAGAAAGAAAGAAATCCTTCTAATTTTGACACATGAATGATCCTGAAGGACATTATGCTAAGTGAAATAAGCCAGACACAGAAGGACAAATACTACATTTATATCACTTATATAAGGAATCTAAAATAGTCAAACTCATAGCAACAGAGAATAGAATAGTGGTTGCCAGTGGTTGGAGGAAGTTGGAAAAGGGGAAATATTAGTCAAAGGGTACAAAGTTTCAGTTGTGCAAAATAAATAGGTCCTAGGGATTTGTATGGCATAGTGCCCATAGCTAATACTGTATTGTATACTTAAAAATCTGCCAAGAGTGTAGATCTTATGTTAAGTGCTCTTACTGCAAAAGTAGAAAGAAAGAAAGAAAGGAAGAAAGAAAGAAAGAAAGAAAGAAAGAAAGAAAGAAAGAAAGAAAGAAAGAAAGAAAGAAAAGAAAGAAAAGAAAAGAAAAAAGAAAAGAAGTGAGGAAGGGAGGGAGGGAAAGAAAGAAGAAAAGAAAAGAAAAAAGAAAAGAAAGAATTGAGAGTAGGAGGAAACTTTCAGTGGGAACGGATATGTTTATTGGAGAAATCATAGTGATGGTTTCATGGGTGCATACTTACCTCAAACTCATCAAGTTGTATACATTAAATATTTATCTGTTTTCATATGTCAATCATATCTCAATAGAGTAGTTAGAAATTTTTTTTTTTTTAGACAGAGTCTAGCTCTATTGTCCAGGCTGGAGTGCAGTAGCGTGATCTCAGCTAACTGCAACCTCCGCCTCCTGGGTTCAAGCTATTTTCTTGCCTCATGGAAAAATTTCAAAGACTGAAAAATGAAGGGCTTAGAAGGCTCACTCTTCAAGGTCCCTTTCATATTTTCAATTCTAAAGCTTTAGGATTCTGTCTATGTTGCAAATACAAGATAATACTTAAGCATACACTCTACTGAGAGTAATCAAATTGTGTCACCCAAGCAGCTTCTATTAAGCTATACTTTATAAACTATGTAAAATATAATTCAAAATAAAATATTAAGTTGATAAACACCTCATAACTTAGTACCCAATGCTACATAAGTTAGCATCCAAAGATTTCTAAAAAAAACATAGAGGTAAACATCAGGTGACAGACATCAAAAATTATAATACAAATGTGAAAAATTGAAAACCTCCACCATATTTTTATAAGCCAATATAGCACAAAAGGCCTCGTGATGCTTAAAAAATTATGATTTTCATTTCCTAAAATGCAATTGTTCCTCATTCACTAGTACTCATTTAAAATAGTGGCATTTGAGGGGAGGGAAAGGGGGACGGTTAATGAGTACAAAAAAATAGTTGAATGAATAAGACCTAGTATTTGCTAGCACAACAGAGTGACTATTGTCAATTTGTAATTTCATTGTACATTTTAAAATAACCAAGAGTATAATTGGATTGTTTATAACACAGGATAAATGCTTGAGGGAATGGAAACCCCATTTACCCTTACGTGATTACTATGTATTACATGCCTATACCAAAATGTCTCATGTAACCCATAAATATATACACCTACTATGTACCCACAAAAATTAAAAATTAAAAATAAATACATAAAAAAGTGGCATTTTATTATGATATACCCTCTGGAAAAAAGCGAACATCCACTGCCTTATACTGAGTTAATTTCATGCTATACAAAAAATAAACTAGCCCTGGGAACCATTTAGACTGATTCATTAGAAAAGAAGTTGATTTGGTATCTTTTTAATAAACTATTTCAACTAGGAAAAGTAATCCACAAAACTCTTGTTTATTTGGAGGCTGTCCATTTGTCTCTAGGCTGTACTCACCATGAGAATGAAAGTGTCCATGTCCATGAGCATGATCATGGCTATGTGCAGCACCATGTTTCACTTCATGGCTATGGCAATGATCGACATGGCCATGTGCCTGATCTAGAGCACCATTAAAGAGGGAATGACTGTGTCCGTGGCCTAGAAAACAAAGTGTTAGGACAGAAGGTATGTAAAAATATATTATATAAATGGTTACAATTATACTGACACTAGCGCAAAGAATCAGCTCTAAACTCAGATCAATTCAATAAACATTTACTTGTAAAAAGTGTTACACATTTGTTAAAACAATCCTGAGTTTCTGCTATGGAGTACCAGAAGGTAATGAAAGCATAGAGGAAAGTGATAGACCTTACTGGAAATGAAAATAAGTACTGACTGGAAGTATACAGATATCTCCAAAGAGGTCAGATAATGATATTCATTCATTTGAGAAATATTTATTGGTAACATTTTCTATTATAGGAATCATTCTAGGCACGGGAGATGAGGCAGTAAACAACAAAGACAAAATTCATGCCCAAAATTTTTCAAAGTACTATTACACACACTAACAAAGATTAACAAGACATATGCAAATGCTCACATTAAGGCAGACACAAGAAAGCTGCTGCATTTGGTAACAGAATCAGTAAAATTACATTAAAGCAGGTAGAAAAAGCTAAATGCAAAAGAATGCAGAATCCTTTCTCCACAGCATACCTAAAAATGACTAAACCACCGAGCAACATCTTATACAGGCTATTCTAAAGGACAGAAAAAGAGTGGATGCTATCCAAGTCAAAAATATCACTTTTACAAAAATTCTAAATACCAGTAAATTAAATCCAGCACTGCACTATATGAAAAAATCATGACTATGAGGATCTCCAAGACATATTTACATAGTACATTTCATAAACACACACACTTTTTTTTTTTTTTAGACAGAGTCTTGCTCTGTCACCCAGGTTGGAGTGCAGTGGCATGATCTCGGCTCGCTGCAACCTCCACCTCCCGGGCTCAAGCGACTCTCCCATCTCAACCTCCTGAGTGGCTAAGACTACAGGAATGCGCCATCATGCCTGTTTTTTTTGTTTTTTTTTTGAGATGGAGTCTCACTCTGTCACCCAGCATACCTGGCTAATTTTGTATTTTTTTGTAGAGATGGGGTTTCGCCATATCGCCCAGGCTGGTGTCAACCTCCTGGATTCAAGTGATCCATCTGCCTTGGCCTCCCAGAGTGCTGGAATTATAGGTGTAAGCCACTGTGCCCAGCCCACACAAAACTTTCTGATAAGTAGATTTGTTTTGTGGTTTTCTGATATTTGTCTATTTTATATAAATGATATCACACTAAACAGATAAGCTACTGAGGTCTGGTGGGATCCATGATACAAGCACAGCTCTGAGAAGGCACTGAGATGGAGGGGCATAAAGAAGTGAAAGGGATAGTTCAGGAAGATATTCACATAGTCTGTTGACATCAGAAATCAGTATAGTTTAACTTAATTCTCTCAAGTAAATAATTATGACAGAAACCTAGTAGAAAATGAAGAAACAAAGTGTCCTAACCATCATACCAGAGCCATGAGAATGTCCATGACCTCCATGTTTGAAAACAAATATTCCTATTAGGTTTACCACAAACCCAAGAATGGAAACAAGAAGCAGTCTCTCATGGTGGACATCTGGAGGGGCTAATGCTCTCTAGAAAACACATAATACAAACAAATAGCATAGATATTATTTCTGATTGATCAACTAACAAAATCATAAGACAACATTAAACACTTTCAGTTATTTTTGGAATTAAAAACACTAAAAAAAATCTCCCAAAACAGTTGATAGAAATAAAACCAGAGCTCACATACTGTAGAAAAAGTAACAATTACTATTTTAAAATAAATACAAATATTTAAAAGCATAAATATTTGGTCCAAAACTTGTTCTTATGTGGTATCTTGAAATACTGCCTTTCATGGCTCACACTTGTAATCTCAGCACTTTGGGAGGCTGAGGCAGGCGGATCACTTGAGGTCAGGAATTCAAGACCAGCCTGACCAACATGGTGAAACCCCGTTTCTACTAAAAATAAAAAAAAATTAGCTGGGCATGGTGGTGGGCTCCTGTAATCCAAGCTACTCAGGAGGCTGAGGAAGGAGAATCGCTTACACCAGGAGGCGCAAGTTGCAGTAAGCCGAGATCGCGCCACTGCACTCCAGCTTGGGCAACAGAGTGAGACTCTGTCTCAAAAACTAAATAAATAAAAAATTAAAAAAAATACTGCATTTCATTTTAAGTTCACTAATCTTTAAGTCTTCTTCCTTTTTAAAAAATACGCCAAATGTTAAAGATTGACTGGTTCTAATTTCTTTAGAAATATTTCCCTACTGACCTCACTATCCAGATTGTGCCTCTACATTTCATAGTATTAACACTTCATCTATAACTTGTAAAGCACTATCATTTAATTGTTTTCAATTCCAAGAAGATTCATATATATTTAATTTTTCAACTATTTTGTAAGCTCCTCTTGTACGCACATATCTAATCTAAGATTGTCCACAATATTTAATAATAGTTGAAAAAAACTTACATATATCTTTAATTAATAAACATTTTCATTACAGAAATGTAATTTACTGACTTTAATAATTATCTACTATACCTCAACTCCTTCTGAGAAAATAAAAAAAGCAGTGAAGATCAAAAATAGGCCATTGACAAAGCCAGCCAGAACTTCCGCTCTAACATACCTAAAGAGGAACAAAGTAAATAACTGAATTATTATGTTATTTCTTAAAAATTAAATCGTAAAATTACATACATTCAGAGATTCCAAACCATATTACATGGTTATAAGTGGCCAGCGAAGCCCTAGTGTTTATAGTACAGTGCATTTTATTTTATATATAGTAGAAATGAGGAAACGAATTAGTACGAATTGTTCAAAAGCAGAATGCCACAAAACAGATTTTTACAAGCCAATCCAAAGATCTTCTTAGAGTAAGTAGTTTTAGAAAGACCTTTCACAGAAATTTAAATCTCAAGTTGCTAGTGGAGAAGGAAAAACAGAACCAGACAAGTGGACAAAGAAAGAAGGATTAACGGCTAAAAAGTAGAAGAAAGGGTCTGGAAAAGGGGGTTTTTTAAACTTATTAATTTCTCTTTTTCTAAGAACTCCTTATGCTTTCTGCTTTGTACTTTTTAGCTTTCAAACCTTTGGAAAGCAGAGCTTCGATCTGAAGGAAAATAAAATTATTTCTGACTTATGCCAGAGACAACTTGAGATTTATATTTCTAACACTTTTTCTAAGATTAATAAATCTAGCATAAACTTTCAATTACCTATTTTTAGAATCAATTTTAGCTTCACATAATTCTAATTAAACTATTTTTAAAATACCTGTCTTTTGTTCCATTGAGTTCTGAAGCTTTCTGCTTCCTACCTGTGTGAAGCATTGGGGAAAGATTTTATTTTTCTGTATCGTATATTTGGCTTAGTTAAAGTCATCAGAAACAACTTTAACTTAGCATTTTTACATGTTCAAACATCATTCAAAGGGTGCTAACAGCAATTAACCACTCTGGTCCTTAAACAATATAATGAGAGCATCAAAACTCGTGCTTTTCCTAGGTTTCTATGTTAACTTCTAGGTAATAACGATTTTTACTGTAAAAATATTTTTAAAGAGAATTCTTGAAAATGTACTCTATCAAGTTATGTTGGAGTTTGTCCTGTCAAGTGCATTCCAACATAGTATGTATTTCTATGCCAGAAATAATGCATATTTCTATCTTCTAACACATCCAAATAACGTATTACTTGTCAAAACATATTTTTTTTTCCTGGAGAAAAGTTCATTAAATTCAAATAATTTGCAACCAGCATTCCACAGCCTACACTTAGGAATTTATCTAATAAATCAGCAGGGTTACTATCCAAAAGTAAAAAGTATTTTCTTTTAATCTACCCTTGTAGTCCCATAACTAATGCTTGACTGAAAACCTTTTGTGCTTGACTTCTACCAGATTTCAAGATCAAAGGCAAGAATGTTTTTCAGGCATCTTTTTGTTTCTAATTCCTAGCTTAGTAGGTGTGCTATCTAAGTTCAGATAAAATGTTGGAGTGATTTAATTAGCTTGAGTTTAAGATATATTTGTTAAACTTGGTTGTGGGCTCAAAACAAAAACACATGAAAACTAAACACATTTGCCTTTACAAATATCTGTGTTTACTTAACAGATTGAGTAGGTCTTAGAATTAGAACATGTAATTCATGAATGTGCTGTTGCCTAATTAAGTATGGCTAGTGTTTAGATTCTTGAGCCAGGAAGAAAAATAGAAAAGATTTAAGTATAGGTACATATGTATATACGCATGTATGTATGTATCTATCTACCTACTGGATGTATATTACTTTTAAGCTGTCTTTGCTCTTTAAAAAATAAGAGTGTGGCAAGACACAAAGATGACTTTTATATAAAGAAATACTTAAAAGTCCTTGCTTGCTCTCATATTCCCCAACTCTTTCTTCTATTGCAGAGTCAGTCAGCTACAGCAGTCATCCTGAATTGGGGTGGGAGGTTATGAGAATTCAACCCTATGCTTAACATGAATTAATCAGTGTCATTTTGATTCACTGACACCAGTAGTTTACAAATGAAGCTACTTATTACTATACCAATTATTCATAGTGTTAAATATTGTACCAGCTTTTATTCTTTAATCTTTCCCAAAAGAAAACACACACACACACACACACACACACACATAAAGAGAGGAGAGGATTAAATTAAAGGTGGAAAGAATATTATTCTCTTACATCAACTAGCTAAAGCTGAACATTAAAATCTGCTATGGTACTGAAGGTATTCAAAGCTATTTCTAAAAACCATTTTAGAGCAGGAGACAATACATTCTAAATTGGAAACAATAGAAAATCTAAGCGTTAAAGAACTGAGAATTTTCAATAGTCAGCTACTGTTTATTCAGAAAGATTGTAGAATAAGCTATTCTAATTAGATTTCTGATATATAATATAAATAAATTACTAATTTTCCAACAAAAATTATAACTTTGGATATAATCTTTCTTTAATAATCTAAAATATACTTAAGAATCTTTTAGTAGCTACTGTTTAAATTATTTGCATATCACCAATATCATGCCATAAAAAGCGTTCTTATCTGAGCTGTCAAGCTGTTTGAATTTATAGATATATAGGATCTACTGCTCTATACTATAAAATGTACAATGAGTATTTTTTGGCTCACTTTTTATAATTTCAAAAATAACCATATCCCTTGCTTATAACTAAAATCAGCAAGTTCTGCCACAGAACTCCACATCTCCTTTTTGGCAACTGTCACAATATATAGCTATTATTGTATTTTTACAGAACTGTTTGCCCAAGAGACAAGTTCCGGCAAGGCAGGAGGCATGTTTTTACATCATTAGATCATTTTTACATCATTAGAACTAGAAAAGTATTTGACTCATATGGACCCTCAATAAATATCTAAACAGAACAAGAGCATGTGAAAGAAAGAGTGTGTGCCTGCTAAAGAAAGAAGCCAAGCCAGGGAGAAAGGGGGAGCAGTTAAGGACAGAGAGTAAAAGACATAACAAGAGGCCTAAGAGACAGTACATGAAAGAAGATGGCTGTAAAAAGGACAGGGAGAGAGTGAGAGAAACTGCACCGGAAAGGGAGAGCTCAGGGAAGGAGAATCAGTGAAGGAAGGAAAGAGAGACTTGGAAAGGGAGACAAAAAAGAAATAGAGCTAAAGAAGTTAAGAGAAGAGGAGGAGGAGAGATTGAGCCTGACAGATAAAGGGTTAAAAGGTAAAGGAAAAGAGCAGGAGAAAACAAAGAATAAGACAGGAAAGGTATAGGGGGACAGAAGAAGGAAGAGAGAGGAAAAAAGAGCATGAGCACAAGCCCAAGCGACAAGAAGCAAAGACAAGAGAAGGAAAAGGGAGTTCAGGAGAAGATAAGAGAGAGTAAGAGGCTGAGGAAGGGAACAAGAGTGAGAGACAGAAAATATGAGAGACAGATGAAGAAGGAAGAGAATGTAAAAGAGCACTCACAGGGGAAATGAAGAGAAGAGGAGGAAAAGGACAGAGGGGAAGAATTAGTAAGAAAGCAGAAGAGAGAGGGAATAGGAAAGACAAAGGGGTGGGGAAGAGAAAGAAACAGAGTATGCATCCTGAGCTCTGCTTACACATATATATAGCTATACTGCAAAATATTCTATGAACTCAAAAAAGGAAACACTCAGGCAGTGTAATCAAATAATGAAAAATCCACTGCTTCCTCCAATCAGAGGTGGCAGAAATCAAATTATGCCTCTAAGATGATCCAATGTAGTCCCTTCAGCATACAGATGCTCTACAAATATTTGATTAATTGTCCAACTCGGCAAGCATATAAGAACTGTTACATAAAAGCAGAGCTAAAGAACATAATATAAAACCATATTAGAAAATGATTTTAAATAAATCAACAGCAAAGTATCCATTCAAAAAGAAAAAAGCAAAAGCAAAAAAAAATCCTATTTTCATATACTAAAACTTTCTTCTTCAAAAAAAAGTTGAGAAATTCCTCTATATGGTAACAATCTCAACAAATTACTGTAGATTCCAATTATATACTATTCAAAAACTCATCCATGAAGTCATGAAAGTGGTTACCCTTGGGGAGGTAGGAACTCGAAGAGGCCTGAGTGGGGGCTTCAAAGATTCAAAAGTTACACCTGTGTTCAATTGGTAACAAGTCACTGAGCTTAAGATTAGTGTTTTTTTGTGTATATCTTATACTTCAATAAAAAGATTTTTTTTCTTAAAGTCTTACCCATAGGAGAAAGCATCATTATCTCTCCATTTTGAAATAACAGAAGCTGCCAGTCCAGCCAAAATGGCAGTGCTATCGAAAAACATGTGAAAAGAGTCGGAAATCAAGCCTAAGCTGGAAAAGAACAAACACATTGACAAATTATAATAAAAACCAAACAGTAGGCATCTTTCTCTGAAAGTCTAAGATTCAGCCTTTGTTCATCAGGAATTAACCATCTAAAACAACAATTTAAATATGCTATATAGATAGCTTTGAGGATAAGTTTTAAATATCTAAAAAGTAAACCCTCGTACCTCCTGCACAAGGAAAAGCCCAGCTGCTGCGAGAGAGGTAGAAACAAAAACCATCTGCTGCTGGGTGAGGGGTAGGAATGTGACCACTCCTTGGTCACTTGCAAAGGTCAGCTGCCACTGAAAGAGAGGTAGGAAAAAAAAAGCCATCTACTACTGGGACGAGGCTGATACCTGCTTGCACCCAGGATCTTACAAAGCAAAGGTCTGCTTTTGTTGAGTATCCTGCTCCACCCTTTTGATACCAGGCTGAGGACAGTGGGGACAGGCTGGGAGAGAGGGAGAGCGGCAAGATCATTAATACTCACCCTGACACTGAGGTGCACAGGCTTGCCTGACTAGGGATACAACAAGAGAACCTAGTCCCACCCTCCCCACCAAGTCTTGAATAAAGTATAAGGAACAGCAAACTACCAGTGAGAGCACAAAGAGATATGTGCAGAACTTGCTAAAAGCTGAGAGTGGAGCAAGAACCCTGAAAAAATCCTGCAGTACTCCAAATCCAATACTAATCACAAAGTAGTAGGAACCACTGAAAAATTCAAAGACTGTGATTTGTGGAAATCAGCAATAACAAAACACAAAACCCAGCTCAACCCCAGTTTGACTACTGAGCAAATAGTTTCGAAAGTCCCATACTAACGGCCAAACAGAAAAATAGGTGTGCCCATTTCTGGACATATACAGTCTCTATTATTCTTTTAAACAGAATGTCCAGCACTCAATGACAAAATCAAGAAAGAAAAAAAGAGAGACTCATTGTTAAGAGCTACAACAGTCAACAGAACCAGAAATGGCCCCAATGTTGGAACTATTAGATAGGACTTTAACAACAAATACAATTAATATGTCAAAGGATGTGGTATAAAGTCAGAGAAAATTCATTAACAAATGAATAATTTCTGCAGATAAAAACTATAAAAGAATATAATGGAAATGATAATTTTTTAAAAATTACAATATGGAGGAATAACAGTCATGGGCTTCTGAGCAGACTGGACACAGAGAGAAAGAATCAGTTAGGTCAAAAGAAGTTAAACAAAGTGCAACACAAAGAGAAAAGAGAGTGGAAACAAACAGACAAACAAAAAAAGCAGAGCATCCCAAACCTGTCTGGACGTATCAAACATACTAAAATACATGTATTTAGAGTCTCAGGAACAGAAAAGAAAAAAAGAAAGGGATAGGAAAAGTATTTAAAGAGAAAATGTTTCAGAGTTTTCTGAAATTCATAAAAGAAAATAAATCACAGATCCAAGAAGCTTAATGAACCCAAGCGAGGAAAAAACCCTCCACACGTCACAAACCACTAAACATCAAAGAGAAATAAAAAAATCTTTGAAAACCAGAGGGGAAGAAAGAGAAAAATTAAATTAAAAAAATAAAGATAAAATTTATAGCATGTTTTTCTTCAGAAACTATTCAAGCCAGAATGCAATGGAGCAACACCTTTAAAGTATTGAAAGAGAAAAAAAATACTGTCAACAACCTAAGGTATGACAATAATAGCACACAGAATGGAATAAGAAAATCAAAGTGTATTATTGTAAGGTTCTTATCAGATACATGAAATGACATATTATTTGTGATAATTTAAAGATTAATATTATACATACTAAAGCACCCACTAAGAAAAGCCACCAAAAGAAGGGAAGGAAATCCTCTACCAACACAAAGCAGACGTTCTGCTACCACTGAGAATGGAGAAGGAAAGTTGTCTCCATCCAGGACCATAAACATACACACAGTAGAGTTTGGCTATTACAGGAGAAGGAGTAAAAATGTTGACAAAATCATACCCCTGAGGTTGAGGCTTACAGAATCTACCAAAGACAGAGGCTTTGGGTTAAAGTTAACAAATACCCCTCTGCCTTCACCATAAACTGGGTACTGAGTAACAAGCAACAGCAGTCTATAGCTTGGGCAGGAGTAAGCGCATGAAGAAAAGAGCTTCTGTGGCACAGGCACCATACAGAGATTACTAAAAGCACAAAGTCCAACCAACTAGTGGTCTGACAGACAAGGCATACCTATTTCCGATCATAAATACTATTACCTCAGTATCTACTGTTTTTTACTCATAATGTCCAATATTTGATAAAAAAAATTTCAAAATACACAAAGAGCCAAAAAAAAAAAGAAGTCACTGTGGAGAAAGCAGTTAACAGAACCAGACCAAGATATTGACCCAGATACTGGAGCTATCATAAACTCTAATTAATATGTTAAAGGATCTATGGAAAAAGTGGACAAAAAAATATGAACCAGTGGGGAATTTGGTAGAGAAGTGGGAAATATAAAAAACAATCAAATGGAAATACTAGAAACAAAAAACAAGTTATCAGCGATAAAGAATTCTTCCAATTGGCTTATCACAGACTGGACACAGCTGAGGAAAGAAATCCGTGAACTTGAAGAGAAGTCAATAAAAATGTTCTGAAAGCAATCATCAGTTCAGTCTTTAAAAACAAGCTTCTGAAGTCAGAGTACCTGGGTTCAAATCCCAGCTCCAAATTTACTAGTTCCGTGACCAGTAAGTTACTTAACTTCTTTGTGCCTCAATTTAGCCATCACTTCAATAGAGTATAGTATAAAAGTGTCATAATTGTTATAATAATTGAGTTAATATATATGAAACATTTACCACAATGCTTGTCACATTAAAACCACATTAATATTCCTATTGCTAATTATTAATAAATCACATTATTAATTATTAACTATTATTAATGCTTATAATACCTGGTGTTCCCAAGCACAACCCATACCTCTTAATATTTGGCTAGATGCTAGAGTTTTCATCAGTTGGAAGTGCTACAAACTAAAAGTCAAAAACATTCTTCACACATACAGAAAAAGCATGGTTTTAAATTTTTCTCA
Organism: Homo sapiens; assembly: GCF_000001405.40. NCBI lineage: Eukaryota > Metazoa > Chordata > Mammalia > Primates > Hominidae > Homo > Homo sapiens. Next base: position 100,903,792 of record NC_000001.11, on the reverse strand, counting down.
TAATTTGGAATAATTATATAATTAGAAACTAAGTCAAAGCACATCATTTACCAACAAGAAAAAGCACAATAATTTATAAACCTCTGCCAAATCATTACAAAAGATTTTAGAAAATGTCTTAAACTTTTATCATGAACCTTATTTATTCCACTGAAATATAGATATATTAGAAAGTTTAAGTGCAGATAGTACTTTAACCATCTCATCTGACATCTAACTCAAAGCAGAATGAGAATTGGTGAATAAATGATAAAGCAGAATAATAAAACTGATACATGAGGACAAGGTAAGGGGCATATTATTCATGCAATTCTCTTAGATTTAATATTTTAAGATTTGTCCTTGTATAGTTAGATTACCGAAAATTACACACTTGAACCATAACATCTATGTAACATGGAAAATAATGATTTAACTTTATTTTGAAGTATGAAAGACTCATGTGAAGAATTTCTCTATACTGTGATAAAACCATTAATAAAGACATTGTCTATGATTTTGTTTTCGATCCCCCAAGAAAAGATTAATATGGCAAAATACTGTTAAAATTTGATTTCAGAAAACTGTCTTTCTACTCTGATAAAATGATAGAGTTGTGTTCACTTTATGGAATTTTATAACTAAATTTAAAAGTCAATTTTGGGAGCTAAATTAGACTATATATTTAATAGATTAATTTTTTCCTCCCTAGGTATGGTTTCTAAATGTTTTTATTTCTTAATGTGTTTTATTAGTATATATAGCTTTTATTTTAAATTACTGTAATCAGTTTTAGAAGGCAGGGCATTCATTGTAAATAAATATAAACAAACATTTACTGATTTATTGATCTATATTTTACTATCTATTTCACTATTATTTAGTAAAACACTGTCATGGGTTGAATTGTGTTCCTGCGCCCAAATTCATATGTTGAAGTCCTAACCTCTAGTACCTGAGAACGTGACTTTATTAGAAATGGACTCATTGCAGATATAATTAGTTAATATTAGGTCATTAAGGTGAGCCCTCATCCAGTGTCCTTATAAAAAAGAGAAATTTGGAAGAAGATACATAGATCACAATGCGAAGATAAGGCAGAGATCAGGTGATGCTCCTACAAGCCAAAGACTGTCCAAGATTACTAGAAAACCAACTGAAGCTACAGAAAGATCATGGAACAGATTCTTCCTCAGAGCTCTCAGAAGAAATCAACCCTGATGACACTTTGATCTCTGACTTCTAATCTCCAGAACTGTGAGACAATAAATTTCTGTGGTTTAAGCCACCTAGTTTGTGGTGTTTTATTACACCAGACTAGCAAACTAACACACACTCCTTTTTTTCAACAAATTTACTTTATATGCACCCAACATAAACCAAATATTGCCATAATGCAAAAAATAAAAATAAAAATAAAAATTCCTTTTGCACAGAATAGCAGTCAGGTTCCTTTTAAAGAGGTGTGGATATAGCACGGCAATTTTAATACTCATCAAAATGAAATTTTATTTAAATTTTAAGTAAATTTAATTAGCATTAAAATGTTATTTTTAGTACTTAATAAAATGTGACTACCTGAAAAACTACTCCCTCTTCTGAGATGGAAGAACATTATGTTCTCTTAAAACACTGCAATATGAGATCTTTTCCCTTAAACTTGATATCATGATTTAAAAATTACCTAGCTGCAAATACACAAACTCATGGGAAAAACAGTCTACTTTTAGCTCTCTGCTGACCTATCACATGTAAAAATATTGCTTATGAGGAAGGTCAATTTTACTGCTCATATTCAATCTTAGCAAATGTTTCTGATTATGAATTATATTTAAACTATAAATTTAAACTATAAATTTCCTTAAAAAATAAAGGTAGCATAGAGAATACCTAAGGTTACATGACTGAAACACCAAAGGTAACTTCAGTAAACCATGATAAAGTAAAGCTGGTTGTGAAAATCCACTTACTTGTCGTAGACTCCTCTTTAAGCACTGCTAGTTTCTCTAAAATGTATTTGTAAACTCTTTTAAATGACTACCTTCTAAAGACATTTTAACATGGAAAACCAGCCGGGTGCAGTGGCTCGTGCCTATAATCCCAGCACTTCCGGAGGCTGAGGTGGGTGGATCACCTGAGGTCAGAAGTTCAAGACCAGCCTGGTCAACATAGAGAAACTCCCATCTACTAAAAATACAAAAATTAGCCAGGCGTGGCTGTACTCCCAGCTACTTGGGAGGCTGAGGCAGGAGGATTGCTTGAACTCAGGGGGCAGAGGTTGCAGTAAGCCAAGATCGCGCCACTGCATTCCAGCTTGGGCAACACAGTAAGACTCCGTCTTAAAAAAAAGAAAAAGAAAACTTCTACGTGTATAAAGGAGAAACCTGAATACATAAATACAGAAGCAAAAACAGCACAAATGTCAATAGAATATATGGCAAAAGAAACTTTTGAAAAGAATTTTATTTAGGGTCTATTGGAGGCAAAAACAAAGGAAGGGAGAAAGAGAACCTATAAATTAAGAGCAACTTAAGAGACATATAAGCTAAATACTATGTATGGATCTTGTTTGATTTCTAATCTGTAAAACCAAATGTAAAAAGAATTTATGAGACAATGAGGGACTCCTGAATACTCGTTAGCTGGATATTAATGAGTCATTAATTTTCATGGGTGATAATGGTTTTGGGTTATGTTAAGGGGGGGTGGATTTTATCTTTTAGAGAAGCATAATGAAATAGTTATGGAAGAAATTACATCTTGTGTCTGCTTTAAAACAATCCAATGGTGGGACAGGGACAACAGATGAAATAAGATAGACCATGTATTGATAAATGTTAAGGCTCAGTGATGGGTACATGAGGTCCATTAAATGCTCTACTTTTACATATGTTTAAAATACCCAGTGATAAAAAATTGTTTAAAAGGTCTATTGGTAACTAAGCTAACGGTATATTTATATTGTTTGTTAAACGTGTTCAAAATTGAAAATAAGGAATCATCATAATTCAGAAATCCCTTACCAGGTACTTTCCATGATGTGGAAAGTCAGGGAAAAACACTGTCAATTTATTATCAGGAAATTAGAAAATTCTTAGAATCCTGACATTAGCAAAGTCAATAAACTAAATGAGTTACAGTGAAATAACCCAGAACTCCACTACATTCCATTATATAGTCCCTTACTTTAAAAAAAATTCTAAGCAAAATGGAATATTTATCTATGTTTTTAAGGTGGGAAATAAAATTATAGGAAAGCAAAAGCCATCACCATAAGCTGGTAAGTAATGCTGCCTTTTGAGAAGGAAAAAGTTGATTTTAAAAGACTAAGATATATGAAAATTTTAATAGAAAAACATGTGATTGATAGAAGTATTTTTCTTCACTAAGGAATTACTTTACAAACATCTGCTGTGAAATATCACACTGAAGTAGAACCAAATAAATGTCTGGTATTGTCTTAAACATTTCTTCAACAAATATTTACTTTGTTAACACAAAGACATTAACCTTTAGAGTTACCTGAGTGTCTTCTATGTCTAAGGGAAAAATGGTTGCAACAGCTTTGGTAAGAAATACTACTGAAATTAAATCTGTTAAAAATGAAGTAAAAATGTAAGAACATAAAAACACAGAAACTATATTGAGATACTAGAAAAAACCAGTGTGATGTTTTTTGGACATCAAACTTGGACAATAGGTGCTGTAGGCTCTGCTGCTCACTTGGGAAGTAAAAAACTCTAGGCCTCAATTTTCCAACTATAGAAGATGACAGGTTAGTTTGTCTCTCTCTCTCTCTCTCTCAAGTCCCACTTCCAAAACCTACACTATCCACATATTCTCTTTCTTCCTTAGTAAAAAATCCTTGACTTTCCGCAGAATACATGGCTGAGTGGAATAAAGACTACATTTGCAACTAGGCATGACCATGTGATAAAATTTTAGTGAAAGCATTGTGTGTTAGCATCCAGGTAAATCTTAAAAAAAAAAAAAATGTGCACACCTTTTACCTCTTTTTATCTGCATTCCAGACATTATGCTGCCAGGGATGACTGAAACACTAGCACCCATCTTGGAAATGAAGTTTTATCTTGTGTAAGCAACCATTATTTTAGGTTTTTGTTTTGTTTTGAAACAGAGTATTACTCTGTTGCCCAGGCTGTGGGGCGGTGGCTCAATCTCGGCTCACTGCAACCTCTGCCTCCCAGGTTCAAGGGATGCTGGTGTCTCAGCCTCCATGTAGCTGAGATTACAGGTGTGCAGAGTTTTTCTGTAACTTGAAAACAAACTTAACCGTAGATGATACAAAACCACATTGTTACACTATGTTACCTTGAGATTAGTCAGTTACTCAACAATAAATTAGTAAATGAAAAATAAAATACTAGAAGGAAGGGAAAAATCACATAGAATTTCTACCATTTTCCTCCCAATTTCTAAGAGTGAGAGAATGGAATTTAATGTTTTGTCATTGCTGTTTTTCCTTAACGGGGTAGTTACCATTTTTAGTATAGGTAGTGTAATTCCATACATTAATTATTCCCTCATTCTTTCATTTAGCAAATATGTATTAAGCATCCACTATGTGCTATGTACTGAAGTGCCTGCATAAGATAGAAAAGATCCCTACATTAATACAGTTTACGTTCTAGTGGGAAGGTGAAAGGTAGCAGATATTTATTGAGGGGAAAAACACACAACAACTACCTATTGTTCCACTGAAGAGACCTACTCATCATCTAAAATATAAATCAACTATAATTAAGTTCTTCCTTTAAAATGAAGGCTCTGAAAAAGAACCAGAACAATTTAACATTTGTTAAAATTAGATCAACTGCTTCTATGAACCTTTATTTGTGAAGTGAGTGTTTTATTCACGTTTCAGTCCTCTATAGGAAAAAAATTCTTGGTTATTTCATGTTCTCAACAAGTTGAAATTTATTTTTACAGAATGAAATTCAACAAGGAATTGACTAATACACAAAATGAGTTTTGGAAGAAATTTAATCAAGGAACTGAAAAGCTAATATAACCTACAGGAACACAGATAATCTTCTGGTCATATAAAGAAATTATTGATCAGTCAACAAAAGGAACTAAAAATTTTGGTGTCTAAATAAAACACAGAAAGCCAGATTATTAAAAGGCCAGAGAAATGCCTAAATCTGCCCAAATATCAATGACAAGAGATCTGTATTAAAAATTAATATTTAAGAATAATTGGTTGTAGATCTGGAGATTAACATAAATAGGCATGAGATGACGGATACGTGCTAAATGAACTAAGTACAACATGCACTGGAGCTAGATTTCAAATCTAGCTAGAAGACATAACACAATGAAAAACAGTATATAAGCTGCACTAGTAAAGAAAAGCAAGTCCCCTAAGGGTAAAAGAACAAGTCGACTACAACTAATGTTTTTGTTATGCACTGATGCATACTGACTTAAAAAATAATGGTTCTGGTAATCTCCCCAACAGATCTCTACAGATCAAAAGAGTTACTATATACTTAACTTTCCATGAAAGGTGGTTTAGGAACTTCAAGTGTGAATCTCTTGAATGAGATATTTCACAGAGTGACTTATGTAATGGAAAGCCATAGTGAAACACTGCAATAGAAACTATCTGTAGCAAAATATGCATATATAAGCTATGATACACTCTTGATACAAAATATGCATATACAAGCTATGATACACTCTTGATACAAAATATGCATATATAAGCTATGATACACTCCTGATACAATCAGCACATATCCCAAAATTAATTTGGCATAATTTAGGAAGAGAAAAATGTAAAATATACTGTAAATATTATATATTTATGATAAAGTATGATTATTCAAGTACAAGTGCTTTCAACATCTACAGTATATTAAAGTGTGTTAATACTATGGGATTAAAAAATTAATCTATGATGGGGTATCCTTCAAATTAACACATCTGATTCCCAAAGGATTCAAAATGGTTATTACATATATTAAGATTTCATTGTGCCAATATGCCTTTATACCCAACTGTTGACTAAACCAATAACCTTCATAATCTGCTGGTTATTGAGTATTTTTTATAGAACTGAATTGACGGTTGAATTGAAAGAAGCCCAAGCATTATATAAAAGTATACATGTCACAAAACCTGGTGATATTACCTGTCAATGTTTGATCTCAACAGAAGATCAAGGACAGCGATTTTCTCTGAAAATGGGTCTTAAACAACAGAGACTAAGTCTATTTAATAAATAGAAAACAGGTTCTTAATCTAGAGTCCAAGATTTAGTACAGGGAACCCAACAACATCCTGAAGCTTTATGTACAATTCTGAGTATTGGCTTTCATCAGATTTTTGAAGGAGTATGGGATCTAAAGACAGAATTAGTACACCTAGGAGTGTGACAGTCTTGTTAGCAGAACAACTTCATAAGACCTTAAGTTACTCAACAGCAAATACCTGAATAATAGTAACTTCACTGCCACAGAGTTACACACTAGATTTTCCTCCTCCTAAGGATGTTTCAAAAAAAACAAAAACCCTCAAAGGTGCCACCAAAACCCAAGAAATGTTGTTTCTAGAAACTATATGGGATTTTTACATCGCAGTTAAGACTACAGGAAAATCATGAGACAGTTTCGGCATTAAAGAGAGAAGAGAATGACACATATTCCTCCCGATATCACTTTATAAAACCTCCCATTCCAAGCCCCAATAACAAACTAAGTAGAACATCTCAGATATACTCTCTCAGAATCTTAAGGGTGAAATCCAAATGCCACTCCCCCCCGAGAGAGGCAGCAAACAAGTTTCTCCCAATTCCAACAAAGTGGGTAAACCTAAGGCCTACAATTAGAAATGAAAGATTCTGCCCATCTGCTAAAATAAGGAGGGGCTTGTCAGTCTTGTCTGATGGAACTGGAGGGGAGCGTGACAAGAGAGGTTGCACAGGATAGGCCCAGATCTTACTCAAGAACTGTAGCCCTACCAGATTGGTGTGGGTATGAGAAAGCAACTCAGCAGCAGAGGTAGGTAACAAAGGTAGGACCTGAACCTCCTAGTGAGGAGCTACGTGGCATTAAGCAAACAGTGCTTCGTCTCCCTCACACCCAGCTTCCGCCCAAACCATTTTCCCCTTTGGTTACCAGTTGCTCCAGATGCCGTAGAGTAGTTCCACAAAAGCGAAAGAGAGGTTCAGGCACAGGAAGAAAAACAGGTTCCGGGAAGTCTTGTCGGACAGTATAGACCTGGGAATGATACACGTGGAAAAGAGCCGGGAGAGTTAAGGAGGTGCCGGGACCCCGAGGCTGGGTACCCTCTTCAAGACCCTCCCAGTTCACATGCTCCTTTCTTCACAGCTAGGGGTTGACGGGGAGTTTTTGACTCTCCCTCACTGGACCTCGGGCCATCCTGAGGTCTGGGCCTTCTCCCTTTCTGCCGGACACCCCCTCCCCGCAAACACAGCACCCCGCACCTAAACCAGCCCGAGATCTTGCCGAACAAATTGAACTTGGGTGGTTTGTATTCATCGTCTTTGATGGACAGGGGCAACATCTTCTCTGCCCGGCGAAGGGCCGGGTCTACTCCCCTCTAGAAGTGGCTCCGTGGGGTGATGGCAGTGACAGTAGTGACGCCTCAAACGGGAATCCCCAGCGCTTGTCCGGGGCCGCGCGCCGCTGCGAGACACAGACAGACACAGACACACACCCGGGAATTCGCTTACTTCCGGCCCGGGCCGCGCAACGCGTCCTGGGACAGGAAAGGAGGGAGGCCGGTCGCGGGCGGGGCCTGCGCGGCGGAGGGCGTGGCTTGCGGCGGGGGCGGGATGAGAAAGGTGCTGGAGCTGTTGGAGGGACGCCAGGAGGTGGCAACTACCAGGGGGTGTGAGGGGCTGACCTGGGATGGAATCCTGCCACCCGGACTCAGGAAGAAAATCCTGAGGTGGCGACCTGCAGACTGGGCTGGGAGATGGAGAGCCCGCTCACGCCCACCCGACCGCCTACCACCAGTGTTCCCGGATGCATGGGCTCCAGCGCCTGCCCTTTCGCCATTTCCTCCCAACTGGCATTAAATCCTGGTGTGGTAGATATCAGTGATTAAGAGTCTAGGCAGCCACGTGTTCTATTGCCGCCAGTCCGCAGGAAACGCAAGTGATCGTTTTGCTGCGTTAACTCTATGGGCGCCCAAATCTTAGGAATCCATTCCACGCCACCCCGAAAACAGCGCTTGACCCTTCTGGACTGCCACGCAGGAGGCGATCAATGTTTTTCTTTCTTTATTTTTTTAAGAGACAAGGTCTCGCCCTGTCACCTAGGCTGGAGCACAATGAGGCTCACTACAGCCTGGAACTCCCGGACGCAAGTGATCCTCCTCAGCCTCCGGAGTAGCTGAGACCTCAGGCGTGCGCCACCATGCCTGGCATCAATCAATGTCTTTCAAAATAAAGGCTGTTAAACGTAGTATAGGAAAGAAGCTTTTTAATGGTAGGTTCTACCAGACGTGTTTGTTTGATTTTTAGGTTTGGTTAATGCATTGTTTCCCGTACAATCTCAACCCGCGGAAACCCCGAAACTCTAGAATTCGTGCCGGTCTCTTTCGCTTCCAGGTCATCCCCGGGGCAACGGCCGCCGCTCTAATTCTTGTCAGAACCTCCAGGCCAGTTTCAGCAACGTGCAGGCAGAAGCTGGCCCCTCGGTGGGATGCGAGGGCGTGTGGAGCGCGGGGAGGAGAGCCCCACAGGCCTTTCCTGGGCACCCGCGGTGGATGGGAAGGCTCCTTCGGGCGCCTTTCAGGGAAGTTGTTTGGCTGAGGGAAGGTGGTCCGTCACGTGAATGTTTAAAAGTTGTTACCTTGGAGAAGAAATGGAGGAAAGGATTGGCTTTCGGAGGTGGGCTGGAAACTACAAAACCGAGCTTCCTGGGAATGCCTTTTAGGCCGACAGGAAGTGGAGCGTCACCGAAAGGGAGGGGCGGCCACTCGGGGACTGTCCCTTGCTCCAGGCGCTCACTTTGCGGGCGGCACTTTTTCCAGGTTGTTAATCCAGCTAATGGAGAAGGATAGATGCACGCTACTTGGTTTAGAAAAAAAAACAAAAATGAGCAAACGAGACGCCCCTTCCGTTTTATGATAACTAAGCTGCAGGGAAATAAATCGGCTGGCCCTACTGCAATCTACTGCACTCGAGGTAAGGAGACACAGCAAAATGCTCCAGTATTAGTATTTTTCTTTTTGTAGTGAGGATATATGCATGTTTTGCTCTCGTTCTGAGAACTTTGTGTGTGTGTATGGAGTATTCGGTGGTTTTATTTTTGAAAATATGTACTTATTCTACAATTTTGAAAAATGTTAATTAAAACTGCTGTGTAAAAACAGCTAGGTTTCAGAAGTAAGTTCTGGGAAGAGTATTTTGTATTTGCCTTTGTTAGCGTATATTTCATTCTTTTAATTTAAGTGTAGAAATATTTAAAATTAGTAGCATTTACTCTTTTTTTGGAAGGAAGTTTTTGTATTAGCAGTAGACCTTGAATTTTACTCTACTGCACTGCTGAGGAAAAATTAATTGGGTGCAAACTAGATAGTTTAAAGATAAATAATTCTATGGTAATTGGATTTTTCTCCAAAACGCCCTTATTCAATATGATTTAACTTGGGAGAAGGCGGGAGAAGTAATAGAAATAATTAAATTTCAGCAACTGATTTCCAGCATAATCCTAACTCATCAAGGTCAGCTGCATTTTGAACTTTTTTGTATTCTGCCTTTGAAAATAAGTCCTATATTTTATACTGTATTGCTACAAATCAGAAATCGCTTAAGTGGTTTATGGAGAAACCTACATTACCTCTTTTCAAATAGTTTTGAAATGGGTACGAGAAATTGAAGTTTAATTTCAGTTACATCAGTTTCCAGAGACTCCCAAATTCCCCCACTCCCCATCCCCCAAGATATATGATAGGTATTCCCATGAGGACCTTCTCCTTTCAAAAAGTGATGGTGATGTCTTCACATCTTTCAGTCTTAAAGAGCATAATGACCAAATTTAAAACTAAAGGCATTTTATTTGCAATATAAAAGTGTAGGTGGACACTATTTAAATCAGGAAAAGTTCTATGAGTGAAAAACGTCAGGCTGTGCCTCACTTCTTTTGTCATTGTCAAATAATGTTTGTCCCATATATGTTAACCTATCTTTGTTGTCATATCAAATTTGTTTCTTTCATTCATTCAACAGTCATTTAATGAATGTCTTCTATGTGCCAGGCTCTGTGCTGGGTGCTGGGGATACAAAGCCAGATAAATAAAAAGTTCCTTCCCTGGAGGAATTTTATGGAAAAGAGTAGTTATGAAGAAAGGGGGGGGTTGTGACAGGCAAATCAGTCTCGTCTTTTAGAACTCTGTGATGTTTAAAATTTACACAAGGGATGCCCTTGGAGCAGTGTGAAGGGACAGCTGTCACTCAGTAAGTCTTTCCATAAATACTAAGCCATTCCTTTTGCCCTTTCAATATGTCGTATTGGAAAATCAAAAATGATTCTTCAACTCTGTTCAAATGGTATCTTGCAAGTCACCAATCAGAATTCTTAATTCCTTTGTATGTTACAAGATTAAATCGGTTTATAAGATCATAAAATACATATACTATTGAACATTTTTAAACTAAAAAATGGATTTCTACCCTGAACTTTTAAATATGTTTTTATATCTCTCCTACCAACTAATTGCATTAGGTTAGCTATGCAGACTCTATGGGTGGAAAAACCCCAGCTGCTCAGACGTGTGACTGAGGATTCTGAGAAATGAAAGCAGAGAGAATTAAGGGGCAGAAGCTCATTTCAGTCATGGTTTCAGCTCCTTTTGGGCAATGGTCAGCAAGGAATAGGAAAGATGCTATCTGTCATTCCTCAGTAATCAACCCTGGCATTTATCTGCAACCCTGTTTGACCCTTTTAGATGCTTCAAATTGAGCGCCCTGGGAACTGCTGGTTAAAAAAGGAGTTGTAAAGGTACATAAGAATACAAATTCATATAAATCTAGAAACTGGATACAAGTGCAAATTGCTGACATGTTCAAATGTTTTGCTCCATGGCATACATCCTCTGGTTTCAAATGTGTAACATTAGATAGTTGGGATCGTGTGCATTTATTTTGCTTCTGGATCCTTATATTAGGGTTCTCTGGAGGGACAGAACTAGGATAGTTCTGGTAGGATAGATGCGTATATGAAAATGAGTTTATTAAAAAGAACTGACTCAAACAATCACAATGTGAAGTCCTACAATAGGCCATCTGCAAGTTGAGGAGCAACAAAGCCAGTAGTGGCTCAATCAGAGTCCCAAAACCTCAAAGGTAGGGAAGCCGACACTGCCGCCTTCAGTCTGTGGCCAAAGACCTGAGAGCCCCTGACAAACCACTGGTGTAAGTCTAAGAGTCTAACAGTCAAAGAACTTGGAGCCTGATGTTCGAGGGCAAGAAGCATCCAGTACAGGAGAAAGATGAAGCCCAAATACTCAGCAAGTCAGCTTCTCCCACCTTCTGCCTGCTTTTCGTAGCCAGGCTGGCAGCCAATTGGATGGTGCCCACCCACATTGTGAGTGGGTCTTCCTGAGAGTGGGTCTTCCTGTCCTAGTCCACTGACTCAAATGTTAATCTCTGCTGGCAACACCCAGAAACACCCAAATACACCTAGAAACAATACTTTGCATCTTTTAATTCAATCAAGTTGACAATATTAACCTTCACAAGTCCATCCCTTGTCAACTTGAACCCATACACATTTCTTGAAATCATACCTAATCTCCAAATAAATGAAACTGCCTTTGCAAAAATTATAACTGAGGAAATTATGACAGTGAAAGATATCAGACCTAACCAACTCCGTCTTGCTTCTAACCTCTAAACGTCCATTCCTGAATGTAAGCCAAACTAGCCTTGGGAAGGAATTTAGTTTATAGTTTAAATAATAGCCCTTCCCAAAAGCTAAACTGTTGTTGTAAAATGATTGAAAGGCCACCAGGCACCAAGTTAGGATGAGAGGGGCTGGAATTCTAAATATTACCAGCCATTATTCCAGAGGTCATAAGATTTGCAACTTTTCCAGTTACTCTTGAAGATAACATCACTATTGTGAAACTAAGATTGGCCTTTTGAGATGTCTTTTCAGGTTTTTGCATTTCTGATAACTGGATGGCCCCACCTGGACCTGCCAACCAGTTCTGTGGCCCCCACCCTGGAGCTGAGTCAGCATAAAAGGACAGTTTTGACTCCCTAAGATTTCATCCACAAGCCAACCAATCAGCACTCCCAACTCACTGGCCCCTTACCCAACAGATTATCCTTAAAAACTCTGATCCCTGAGTTTTCCAGGAGGCTGATTTGAGTAACACTAAAACTCTGGTCTCCCGCACAACCAGCTCTGCATAGATTACTCTTTCTTTTTTGCAATTCCCCTGTCTTGATAAATTCGTTCGGTCTAGGTAGCAGGCAAGGTGAACCCATTGCATGCTTACATAAAAACAATAATACGGTCATAATTATGCCTAACAATACAGCTATCCTTTATACAACCAGAAGCATACTAATCCTTAACCTAAATGCCATTACATAAAGTTAACAACACTTAAATGCTGATATGATGTCAATAAATGTCACAGGATACAGGAAAAAGAGGGGAAATATAGATATATTCTTTATTCTTAGTACAAGTGTATACATGCATAAACATATTCTTAACAAAATAAGGAGGAAAACTCATGACAATTACAGTCCTAATTTCTGCAACTGCTTATGTGGTCATAGCTGGTATTGATCACTACCTTCTTCTACTACCCATTCTGTATTCCCTTTGCTTTCAGCAAGCACCTCAGCAGGTCATAGTTTTTTACCTGGTGAAGTAAATTGGTACTGCAGAGAGTAGGGCATTGGTATAAAAATATCCAAAAATATGGAAGAGACTTTGGAACTGGGTAATGGGTAGAGGATGGAAAAGTTTGGAGAGCTCAGAAGACAGGAAGATGTAGGAAAGTTTGGAACTTCCTAGAGACTTGTTGAATGGTTTTGACCAAAATGCTGATAGTGATATGGACAATGAAGTCCAGGCTGATGTGGTCTCAGATGGAGATGAGGAACTTATTGGGAACTGCAGCAAAGGTCACTCTTGCTATACTTTAGCAAAGAGGCTGGTGGCATTTTGCTCCTGCCCTAGAGATCTGTGGAACTTTGAACCTGAGAGAGATGATCTGAATTTGGAACTTGTGTTTAAAAGGGAAGCAGAGCATAAAAGTCAGGAAAATTTGCAGCCTGACTATATGGTAGAAAAGAAAAACCCATTTTCTGGGGTGGAATTCAAACCAGCTGCAGGAATTTGCATAAGTAACAAGGAGCCTAATGTTAATCACCAAGACAAAGGGGAAAATATCTCCAGGGCATGTCAGAGACCTTCACAGCAGCTTCTCCCATCACAGGCCCAGAGGTGTAGGAGGGAAAAATGGTTTCATGGGCTGGGCCCAGGACCCTACTCCTACTCTGTGCAGCCTTGGGACTTGGTGCCCTGCATCTCAGCCATGGCTAAAAGGGGCCAACATACAGCTCAGGACATTGTTTCAGAGGATGCAAGCCCCAAGCCTTGGCAGCTTATACATGGTGTTGAGCCTATGGGTGCACAGAAGTCAAGAATTAAGGTTTAGGAACCTCTGTCTACATTTCAGAGGATGTATGGAAATGCCTGGATGTCCAGGCAGAAGTTTGCTGCAGGGGTGGAGCCCTCATGGAGAACCTCTGCTAGGGCAGTGTGGAAGGGAGAAGTGGGGTTGGAGTCCCCACACAAAGTTGCCACTGGAGCATTGCCTAGTGGAGCTGTAAGAACAGGGCCACCATCTTCCAGACCCCAGAATGGTAAATCCACAGACAGCTTGTACTGTGCGCCTGGAAAAGCCACAGACACTCAAACGCCAGCCTATGAAAGCAGCCAGGAGGGGGACTGTACCCTGAAAAGCCACAGGAGTACAGCTTCCCAAGACTCTGAGAGCCCACCTCTTGCATCAACATGTTCTAGATGTGAGACACAGAGTCAAAGGAGATTATTTAAGAACCTTAAGATTTAATGACCGCCCCACTGGATTTCGGACTTGCATGGGGCCTGTGGCCCCTTTTTTTTGGCCTATTTCTCCCATTTGGAATGGGAGCATTTTTCCAATGCCTATATCCCCACTATATCTTTGAAGGAACTAACTTGCTTTTGATTTTACAGGCTCCTAAGCAGAAGGGACTTGCCTTGCCTTGGAAGAGACTTTGGACTTGGGCTTTTGGGTTAATGCTGGAATGAGTTAAGACTTTGGGGGACTGTTGGGAAGGCATGATTGTGTTTTGAAATGAAATTTAGGAGGGGCCGGGGTAGAATGATATGGTTTGGCTGTGTCCCCACCCAAATCTCATTTTGAATTGTAATCCCCATAATCCCCACTTGTTGTGGGATGGACCCAGTGGGAGGTGATTAGATCATGGGGACAGTTTCTCCCATGCTGTTCTTGTGATAGTGAGTGAGTTCTCACAAGATCTGATGGTTATAAAAGTGGCAGTTTTTCCTGTGCTTACTCACTCTCTCCTGCCCCCTTGTAAAGAAGGTGCCTGCTTCATCTTCCGTGATGGTCATAAGAGGCCTCCCTAGCCATGTGGAACTATGAGTCAATTAAACCTCTTTCCTTTATAAATTACCCAGTCTGGGGTATTTCTTTATAGCAGTGTGAAAACAGACTAATACAACCCTCAATAGAAAGATGAAAACCAAAATATAGCACCAACCTCACTGGAAGTCATTAATCATCTACCTCATTGCCTAAATATAATTTTTAGAAGACAGAATAACAAATTTTAATTTCTAAAGTAACTCAAGGCTTATGGACAATGGCATTGAAAGCACCATTTTTTGTTTTGTTTTTAAATTTCCTGCTGACTGACAGAAACATCACAGAAAATTCTTTGATTTATCTTAATAGTGACAAGTGAGCCTGCTTCTGTCAATTACTGAAGCTATAAGGAGATTTTTTAAAAATTAAACTTCAACACAATGAGGTAAGTACCAATATTTTTTGGCTTTTGTTTAACTGTTGTAAAATACGTATAACACAAAATTTATCACCTTAACGGGTTTTAAGTATATAGTTCAGTAGTGTTAACTGTTTTCACATTGTTGTGCGGCCGATCTCTGGAACTTTTTCATCTTGCAAAACTGAAACTTTATACCCACTGAACAACAACTGTCCATTTCTTCCTACTCCCAGCCCCTGGCAACTGCCATTCTTTCTGTTTCTATAAATTTGACTTTCCTAGGTACCTCATAATAAATGGAATCATACAGTATTTGTCTTTTTGTGACTGCTTATTTCAATTAACATAATGTCTTCAAGATTCATCTATGTTGTGGCATGTATCAGAATTCCCTAATTTGTAAAAACAGAATAATAATACTCTTTTGTACCTGTGTATCATATTTTCTAAATGTATTATCCATTCATCTGTCAATTGACCTTTAGGTTGCTTCTGCCTTTTGACTCTTGTAAATAAGGCCACAATGAACATGGGTGAAGTACCAGTACTTTTGTCTGGGAAAAATTATCTCCTATAGAGTTGGTTTTATTTCCTTGGAAACACTAGTTCTTACTTAAGCCAAAATCTTAGAAAATACTGAGAGACCTCTCTTAGGTCCATTGAAATAGTATTCCAGGTTACAGAATGAAGTCAGTATGTATAGAGTTGAATATTCTTGTAGACCAGAACAAAGCTGGATATAGAGACTATTCAGAAGACATAGAAAATACAATGTGGCGGGCAGGGCGCGGTGGCTCACGCCTGTAATTCCAACACTTGGGAGGCCAAAGCGGGCGGATCACAAGGTCAGGAGATCGAGACCATCCTGGCTAATACGGTGAAACCCCGTCTCTACTAAAAATACAAAAAAATTTGCCGGGTGTGATGGCGGACGCCTGTAGTCCCAGCTACTCGGGAGGCTGAGGCAGGAGAATGACCCGGGGAGGCGGAGCTTGCAGTGAGCCGGATCGCGCCACTTATCTCCAGCCTGGGCGACAGAGTGAGACTCTGTCTCAAAAAAAAAAGAAAAAAAGAAAATACAATGTAGCTCAAGTGAGAGAGTCGAGAGTTTGATTTAGACTTGCCACTCTTTCTGTGGCTCAGGAAAAATCTTTTAATACTGTATTCTCAATCTCAAATGTCTTCTCTGCAAAATGGGATGGATACACTTTATTTCCTTTCTTTCTAAAGATTTGAAACATTGTCAGTTTGAGGTAATCTATAACATGAAGCAGGGAGAGCTCTGACAACTTTCATTAGTAATGCTCAGCTCTGTGAGGGCAGAAATTGGTTCTTCTTGCTCACTACCATCCCTTAGTACTTAGTGCTGGGCACGTGGTAAATACCTATAAATATTTGCTGGATATTTTTACCTTCCCCTAATAAAGTAAGAAAGCTCACATGAAGTGGGATTGCTTCCATCTTAGATTCAATACTTAAAAATATTTTTAAGCCATAATTCATCTGTATGAAATCCATTTCTCTTACAGAAGTGATTTTGGAAAGTGAGTTAATGGCTGAAAACCAATATTGGATAAAAGAGAAAGGGTTCTATAGAACAGAACAGGGATCTGTTGCCTGACAAAACAGATTCAAATGAAAATCTCTGGTATCCTGGAATGGTAAATGTACAATATTTGCAGAGGTACTTGGTTTCTTTTTGACCCATTTCTAGAACTAATTTTGCATGGCACTGTACTGAGCTAAAAATGCTTTTCTATTTCTAGGCTTTCCTCTTAGGATGCGTTGACTCCTTGGATCCTATGAGTCATGGATATGTTCCTCTTAGGAATAAGGCCTCTCTCACTCCTGCCCTAATATATGTCCATGGAATTGGTCATCTCCAAACATCATCATCATTATCATTATCATCATCAATAGCTACAATTAATTCACTATTCCAAGAGATAGGTGCAAAGCTAGAAAGAACTTTTATCTAGCATAATTCAGACCTGCGCAGTTTGAAAGTAGAAAGGACCTCATTGTCTACCTCAGGAGCAGATAGCTGGATTGAAGGAAGCAAGTGGTGCTTGAAAACGACTTTATGCATAATATTTATGTTATTTCCCTGTAAATAAGTGATAACAAAGCAAACTCTAGTTAATTGATAATAGCTGCCTGAAGCATTGTTGAGAAGGAATAAGATCCTTTGTATAGGAAAGGGGAAGAGGAAAACTAGAAAATGCTAGAACTGATGAGCAGCTTTTGCAATGCATAAGAGCTTAGGATTGAGGAGGGAAATAGAAACACAGGTACTTAATGCCTGATATCCCATTTTCAGTGCTGCCCTTGTTCATTCTAGCCTGATTTACCTGTTAAGAAATGGCTCATTCAACCTGTCCGCCAGATGGAAGACGTGATGTTTAATGTAATCAGCACAGAGATGCTTTCCTCACAGCTTGCAGTGCTAAATGACCTATTGCAGCAACATCATTCTATTTAAATGTGATACTGAAGTTTGTGTAGCTACTTCTCAATATTTTAGCAATTGTTTCAGAACTGTAGTCTAAAAAGGGCAGGACTAGGCCTTCTAAATAACAAGGTTTAAATTGGCTATCAATGATCATATATATGCGTAGCCATTCTATTGTCAATAGAAAAGATGGATCACTTCCACCCTAATAACTAGTCCGTAACACAGTTGATCCAGATTGTAGTCATCTAAATGATCCATTCATATCACTGTAATTGGCCATAAACATAAGATCACAAGATGAATCTCTGACACTACATGGACTCTTTTATTATTATAAGTCTATTCCTATTCCTGCCTTTACTGCTATATTTATTATTAACACAAACTAATTTAAATTATTTTGTTTTAGATTTGTGAAAAAAGTAACAGGAATTAAGAAGAACCTCGTAAGAATAGAAGAGCTACTTAGGAAAAAGGGAGGGGAAATCATTTTGGAAGGAGAGCATAGAATTGGTAGAAAATGAGAAAAGCTGTATGGCATTTCTAAAACAACAATGAAAAGAATGACTTTCCTGAATGTGGGTAAAAACCTTACATCAAAAACTCTTCCCCGAATCTTGTATAGCACCTGGAAAAGACTTGTGAAGAAAAATGACCTTTCATGTACCATTTCTGGCATTTTGTATTTTGCAATGCAATAAATTCTAGTTTATGCTGCTTATAATTTTAATGGAAGAAGCTTACCATGGGCAATACTGAATTGAGTTGTGTAGTGTTCTGACTTAGTTTTCTCTTTCTGCCAATTGTCATGAAGTCTGTAGTTTTTGTCACTTTCTGAACCCAAACTAAATTTTCTTTTCTCAACCAAGTAAGAGGTTTTTTGTCTGTTTAAATCATGTATGCTGCGTGCCGGATTAAATAATATAGCTTCCGGTTATCATGACCTGCTAAACTTCCTTGGGGAAATTCACAAGGATGATATTATCCATCAAATGATGCTTTCCCCCCAAGGCAAATCAGCTCATTCACCAAGAGCTTTCATAGAAACAGGGATGTTCAAATATATTTTAATGCAGAATATCTTTGAAAAGATGTGAAAAAAAATCAGAGATCTGAGACATCTTTTGTTTATCAAGTGGCTTGGCCACAGAACTGCATGTAGAAAGGGGGCCTGTGTGGTCTGTGTTTGAGGTCACATTTCATGACATGCTCTTCTAGTCACCAGATGGGTGATGACCCAGCTCTTCTATGTAGGGAACAGTTGCTTTGGTACTGTCTAGTCTTAATTGGGCCTTAATTTACATTTAATCTGCATTTATTCTGTTAATGTTTCAGGCATTCATTGACATTTAGGACAATTTAGACATAAATTCCCTCATTTAATTCAACTATAGTGATGTGAGCACTGAGTCAAAAAATGGGCCAGACACTGTTCTGGATTATAAAGAAGGACAGAAACTTCCCTCAAGATACGTTAAGACTGAAAAAAACAGCAAAAGAACAGTCGATAGTTGAAATACCTGAAAACAAGGACTAGAAACACAGTAATCAGAGTTCACTGGAATACTCAGGGTGGAGAGTGGTGAGGGAAACATTTATAGGAGATGTGATATTTGAAAGAGATTTGAGGGGCAGGGAGTAAGAGTTTGTCAGATAGAAGGGTTTTGGAAGTAGAGAAAATAGCATGTACCAATACATGGAGTCGTGGATCGGCTCACTGTATGTAGGTACCATTGAGGGGAAATGTCTTTTTGGAATTTGGCACCACATGCGCCTTTGCCTTAGTTTAAACAGTGTTGGTTATCTGCATGCCATAAACCTGGTCAGAAACTGGTCATTGGTTGTAGAGCCGTCTCTTCCAATTTTCTTTTTGCATCTTCTTACGTGCATCAGCTCAGGTTCTGCATTGGCCTCTGTATTCAACCTTGGAATGATTTTATCTCTTGGCAGCTGAGGCCCCTTTTCTGAGCATCTACATTCTATATTCATCAGTTTATAGGCAAGTAAATATTCTAGAAGATGAGCCAGAGGAGAAACAATCTGGACAGTATGAGGCAAATCTCGTAGTGAAATGGCAGAATAGTTATCGTTCTGCTGCCATCTGTGGCAGCAAAATAAAAATGACAGCTTCTCATTGTACAACACCACGTTGCTCATTGCTTTTCTACCTTATGAGTCAGAGAACATAATCTTTGTTCATGCTGTGCACTGGCATGTTTGTTTTCAGCTTCTCTCTGGATAATTATTGCTTTCCAGTCTGAAGGAACTAGCCTTGAGGAAAGAATCCTTCAACGGTGTTTCTTCTAGGGAACTTTGATAGATTATGTAGTAAGTAACTCTATAGCAGATCTTTGGAAATTCAAATTGCCTGGTCCATTTAAAGACATCCATGACAGAATTTGTACTGTTATTTAATATACTATATATTATTTACTTTCTTATTCTATGTCCACATTTAAGAAAATTACTTGTAATTTCAAATAATGCTCTTTGAAAAGCTACTTCAGTTCTCAGATATTTAAATATTACTGACATAATGACCCAGCAATTCTACTCTTAGGTAAGCACCTAAGAGGACTGAAACCATAGGTTCACATAAAAACTTGTACATGAATGTTCATAGCAGCATTATTCATAATGGCCAATATGTGGAAACAATTCAAACGTCCATTAACTGATGAATGAAGAAAATGTGGTCTATCCATAGAATGGAATGTTACTTGGCAACAAAAAAAATGAGGTACTGATATATACCTCATGATATATACAGCATGGATGAACCTCAAAAACATTATGCTAAGTGAAAAAAGCCAGATACAATGGTCATATATTGTATGATTCCATTCATATGAAATATCCAGAATAGGCAAATCCACTGAGACAGAAAATAAATTAGTGGTTTCCTGGAGCTGGGATGGAGGTCAGGGGTTAAGGGAAGTGAAAATAGGGATTGGCTGCTAATGGGTCTGGGGTTTCTTTCTGAGGTGTTGAAAATGTTTTAAAATTAAATTGTGGTGATGGTTGCAAAACTCTGTGATTATATTAAAAGCTACTGAACTGTATACTTTAAATGGGTAAATTTTATTGTATGTAATCTCTCCTTAAAGATACTAAAAAACTCCAACATAACAAGTATAATTTTTTATATTATCTTGCAGGTTAGTGACAGTCTTCCTTATTAATTTTTTGACACATCCTTGCAGAATTTACCCTAGCATAGTGGAAAGAGTTGTGGACTGTGCCATCAGAAGGTTTAGAGTCTTCTCTTGGTTCTGCTGCTGATTAGCCACATGCAGCTGCATGACCTTAGGCAAGTTCCTTATCCCCGGACCTTGAGTTGTTTATCTGTGAAACAAGGAAACTGGCTAAGGAGGACCCTGAAGTCTCTTTCAGCTCTCTGAGTTTCTGTGTTTGTGCAATAAGTCATATAATTATGTAATTATTGGGGCAGTATTTTTTAGTTGGTTTGTTGTGTTTTTTGTTTTTTGTTTTTTTATGAGATGAGAGTCTCACTCTGTTCCCCAGGCAGGAGTGCAGTGATGCAATCACAGCTCACTGCAGCAGCCTCAACGTCTTGGCTCCAGCTATCCTCCTGCCTCAGCCTCCTAAGTAGCTGGGACTATAGGCATGCACCACTACAGATGGCTGATTTTTTAATTTATTTGTAGGAATGGGGTCTCATGACATTGCCCAGGCTGGTCTCAAGTTCTGGGGCTCAGGCAGAATCCTGCTTTTGCCCCCGTAAGTGCTGGGATTACAGATTTGAGCCATCATGCTGGGCCTCCCGGGGCAGTTTTAGAGACAGGGCTTTGCCCTTTATTGTTTGAGTATAACTAATGGCAGTAGGATTTTCAGAAGCCACCTCTCTAGTAGTCCTCATCATGATGTTTAAGTGTGTTTTATTAGGCAACCTATATGTAGATCAGGGTTTCTCAACCTTGGCATTATTGCCGTGTTAGGTCAGATAATTCTTTGCCATGGGGGGCTGTCCTGTGCATCGCAGGATATTTAGCAGCATCCCTAACATCTACCCACTAGATAGCAATAGTATCTCCCCTCTAGTTGTGACAATCAGAGATATCTCCAGACTTTGCCAACTGTCCCTTGGAAGACAAAATCATCTCTAGTTGAAAACCCTTGGTGTCCCCAGCAGTGGTCCCCAAGCTTTCTGGCACCAGGGACCTGTTTTGTGGAAGACAATTTTTCCATGGATGGGTGGTGGGGGATGGTTTTGGGATAAAACTGTTCCACCTCAGATCATCAAGCATTAAATTCTCATAAGGAGCATGCAGCCTAGATCCCTCACATGCACAGTTCACAATAGGGTTTGCACGCTTGTGAGAATCTAATGCCACAGCTGATCTGACAGGAGGTGGAGCTCAGGTGGTAATGCTTGCTTACCCATTGCTCACCTCCTGCTGTGCAGCCCAGTTCCTAACAGGCTGCAGACCAGTACTGATGTGTAGCCTGGGGATTGGGGACCTCTGGTGTAGAAGACGCTAAGTAACAATGTATCAAAATAACTAAAAGGATGTGTTCTCTACCTATAAAGAACTAATGAATTAATGTGCAGAAAATATCATTGGGGGAAATCTTGGATTTTTTTCGTTCATGAGGAGAAGAGGAAGGATTTTTGTTTTGTTGGCATTTACTGTATTTATCAAAGTTATATTTACTGCAGTCATGGGGATGGGTGAAGGACAGAAGGGGAATAGACTAAGAGCTGTCAGATCCTTTTTGGAATGAGGCAGGGTGTCAGCAAATATATAAAGACATAACTTAAAAAATGAAAAACCAAAACCTAAAAGGGAAAGTTTAGGAAATGAGGGCAAGAGAACTGAGGTGCTTATGTTTACTTCTTAGTTCTTCCCAAGTACGACATAGGTCATCCAGATGTGTTTTTTCTCATATCTCTCATTCAAAGCTCAAAGCTGCAAATTAGATGATAGGTTCTTTCTCTAAAAGAAGAACAGAAGAACGCCAAAAACTGTGAAATCCTTCTAGCCATAAAGTCATCATTATTCTCCAAATTGTACTGAAGCTGTTTCTAATGGGCCTACAATGGAGTTCTAGACCTCAGCTATTGTCAAAGTACAGTGTGCCACTTGCACTACAGTCTATAAAGTCCTTGCTTTTCGTACTTTACTATGCAAACTAAAATTTACATAATTTTATTGGGTTGCATTATTTAATAAATACCTCATGAAATATTTACACTATGTTTCTAAAGACATAAATTATTCATATCTCCTGAAACCTTTCTGATACAGGTAAAATTGGGGGATTAGGAGCTATCTGAAAGGAAATGTCTGTGATGGATACAGGGGATAAACTCCTACTTAAAAGAATACATGAGAAGGAAGCAGTCACTCATGAGTGTCTTCAACGGTGTATATTTATAGTAAGCTATAGTAATTAATCTTATTACTTTTTCTAGATTAAAACTGCTAGATAGCAAGTTATTAGTGTCTAGAGATCAGAAACACTTCTATGTAAGTTTTAAAATGTGCTATTCCTACTCAGCTGCAGAAAATGAATATAAAGATCTTAATCATGGTATACTATAATGCAGTTAGTCAAAGTGATTGTTTATTCTCAGTACTTATAACCAGTCATTTTTATGTAGAACTGAAAATATGTGTTATGGGACCTACTTTTCCTTCAATATTAAAAGGATTTTCAAGGACTTTGAACCAAGATTGTTAATTCGTAATGATTTGTCCTTGACCACATTAACATTACATGTTTTAGTAAGAGGGTAGATAAAATGAAAACATGGTACACTAAAGCTTTAAGTTATTATCCTTGTAAAATAATCATGGAAAAGCTGAGGTTACCTTGAAAATAATTTATTTGTTTATACCTTAAGAGTGAGGCCGTGATAGAAGCAGAAACACAAAATTGCTCTTTTTAATAGAACAAGCTGCAGAGAAAGTCCAGGAGAGATACCCTTGAAATCACTCTCAAAAGCTTACTCTAAAGGTGACATTACTTTTCAAATCTGGACTGTTGAAAAGTGAGAGCTGCTGAATGACAATGATCTTCTCCTTGTCTTTGTGAACAAACTCTTCCTTTGCTTGCACATGCCTGAGCATACTGTCCTATCATGGAGAGTATGCTCTTGTCCTTCTTTGCAATTCTCTAAACTTAAACTTCAAAGGAAAATGTTAAAGACGGGGTATATATGATCTCTCTATGTCCTTGAACTATAGAGAGGAAACTTTCTACCATTACAAAACACACACCACAACATGAAACAAGCTTACAGGAATATGATGGTTACTAACCCAACCACTGCCAAGTCTCCTCAGTGAAAAACAAAATGTTGAGTAGATATCATTAGGAAAGTAAAATGAGATTTAGTTTGGAACAGAATATTCCAAAACTATTCTATTCTATTCCAAACTAAATTTAGACTACAGTCTTAGGATTGCCTATGGAATGATGGCCTAGCTTCAATTGCCTGACTTTAGCCACAAGACATGAAATCAAGAGCTTAAATATTACTATGTAAGTATACATACAGTTCACTTTTCCAAGAAGAGGGGGAGTACCAAAAATAAAATGTACAGAGGCAGTGTTATACCAAGAAGAAGAGTGACAGTAGCTCTTTGCAGTTAGTATACTTCAGCTGTGGTTAGCAGTGAAAAGTCTTATCCAGCTGTATTACATCTGTCAGTATTAAGCAATAGATGAGAGTAACTGTTTATCATAGCCAAGAAGAGAAATTGTACCAGAAGTGGGGATGAGAAGGGATAGACTATGGGTTAATTAAGGTCACCAAGAATAACATCTCATCTATTCTTTCTCAGAGATCTATTTTTTTCCTAAAGGTGTTTTAAATATGTTGTTTAGAAACTCCTGATTGGTTTTTGTTTCCAGTCTTTCTTTTCATAAGTAAATTTCTTTGAATAGTTCATTTTCCTCACTTCTGGCTTTGCACTTGAATAGAGTAGTAAAATAGATCCATGATGTGCTGAAATGGCTATGAAGACTCAGTTGCCAAAGTACAAAACAAGGACCATACCTAAAATGCTTCTGGTGGCCTGTGGAAGAGTAAGTAGCCTGGAATCAGAAGCAGAAATAGCAGAAGATTGAAAAACAGAAATAATTGAATGCCAACAGTACTACAGCAGGAGTCAGCAAGCATGGAAATGAAATGTTATTGGAATCCAGGGAATAAGAGTTTTAGGCATCTATAAAACTGTCTGAGATTTAACCTTTTCTCATATAAGCAAGGGATTTGATTACACAAAATTTTTTGACAGTGGATAGCTAGACTGTACTTATCAATTTGTTCACTACTGTTCTATGGCTATCTCTGGAAGACCCTTTAGGTACAATAAGGAAGATGGGAGAGTACATAGCTGATAATAATACCTTGTGATTTGTACTGTGAGAGATCGAGTTGTGGAAGCTGTAGGGCTGTGCCTCAGTTCAACCTGGATGTAAAGCCAGGCAATACACCCCCAAGCCCATGAACAACCTAGGCTCTCGGGGCAGATTTTCCTGTTGGAAATCCTAGCACTATTACTGAAATTACTTGGTAATCTTGGGAAGGGCATGTAATCTCTGTAAGCATCTAAACTATTAAATGGGAATAATAATAATAAATAATAAATTAGATCCAAGAACTCTCCAATGGCTTCTCATCTGGCGTATAGTAAAATCCAGACTCTAATGAGGGTCAGAGGTCCCACATAATCTGGCCCTTGCTTATTCTGATTTATTCTTTTTATAAACAGATTCTCTTCATACCCGCTACCCCAGATTATCTTTTGAATTTGTTTATTGTGTTATCTGTTTCTCCCTATCATCTCCTCTGCTACTAACAGCAGACACCTTTTGTATCTCATTAATTGCTGTATCCACAGAACCTGGAACAGTGGTGGCACAAAGTAAGTGCTCAGGAACTATCTGTTGAATGAGTAAGTACATACTGTGGTATATGAAGCACATAGTACAGGGCTGGTAAGTAATACACCTACCATAATTGTTTGCTGCCTCATGTATTATGGCTCTGTATGATTTTGTTTGGGAAAAAGTCTGCTACTACAGAAGTGTAGATTCGAAATTAATATATTACTAAGGGAAATAAAATCCCAGTTGAAAAATAATCTCAGTTCTGGAGATATAGTGATAAAATGATGGCAAATTTTTAAATGCTTAATTTTTCCAATTTTGTGTGTATAACATCTTTTGTCTGCAACTGCGTAACAAGCAGGGCAAGAAGGAAGGGAATATTAAACTGGTTTTTTAAAATCTCTTAGGCCAAATTACCTTATTGAGGAGGAAGGGAGAACTGAATTTGAATCAACTAAAATAAGATTGATATCTTTCCTCATTGGAAAAAAACATGAAAACACAGGGACTCGTAAGAATGCTAACATTTGTATGTTGTTTCCATTTCTACTCCAGGTGTTGCCACATCTGCAAACTTCCTGGGAGAGTAATGGGGATTCGAGTGCTTCGATTATCTTTGGTGGTCATCCTCGTATTATTACTGGTAGCTGGTGCTTTGACTGCCTTACTTCCCAGTGTTAAAGAAGACAAGATGCTCATGTTGCGTAGGGAAATAAAATCCCAGGGCAAGTCCACCATGGACTCCTTTACTCTCATAATGCAGACGTACAACAGAACAGATCTCTTATTGAAACTTTTAAATCATTATCAGGCTGTACCAAATCTGCACAAAGTGATTGTGGTATGGAACAATATTGGAGAGAAGGCACCAGATGAATTATGGAATTCTCTAGGGCCCCACCCTATCCCTGTGATCTTCAAACAACAGACAGCAAACAGGATGAGAAATCGACTCCAGGTCTTTCCTGAACTGGAAACCAATGGTGAGTTGCAGTGTAGTTCTCAGCCTGGAAAGGCTGCCGCTGTCCAGAGCTGGGACAGACATGTGAATTTCTGGCCTTCTGCTTAACCGTCTGGAGAAAAATGAAGGAAGTTAGTCCTAAGAAAGCACTTTGGAAAGCTTGAGGGACAATTTCCAAGATGTCAAGAAGTGGTTTCCTGGCGAAGAGGTTAATATTGTAATAAAGGATATGCTATAATTACATATGATTGCATTACAGTTGATAGTAAGATGCCATTTAGCTTATGCTTAATATATTTTTTTGCCACTCCTCTTTTCCTCCCATTCCTGACAGTTTCATGAGGTTGCAATTTGCTTAAAAGAATCTTGGCTTTATTCATTTATAGGCCCAATAGTTTCTAGGATGATGGATAATAACTGCTTGATTATTTTCCCTTCAGGCAGTTATACAATCAGTTATGATACCAAAAAAATTATTTTCTACTGGACAAATCTCCCCAAGAATACATTGCTTATTTATTGTTGGGTCAGAAAATACTTCATTTGAATGATCTATATAGACACTATTGTATTTTACTACTTTTGTTTTCATTTCCGAACTATTCAACTTAAATTTTTGTCCTTTCATTTTAGCAGTGTTGATGGTAGATGATGACACACTCATCAGCACCCCAGACCTTGTTTTTGCTTTCTCAGTTTGGCAGGTAATGTTGCTGTCTCTTTTATGAAACCGTCTTTATAAGATCTTGACTAGTACTTAACCACGGCAACATGGTTAATATAGAAGTTACCTAAAATATTTTAGATAATATTTATCTAAAAGATGGATGAATTTGTTATAGGCTAATCAAGATTTTCTGAGCTTAGTTCAGCCATCCTGAAAGTTATAGTATCTTTTATCTAGATTTAATTTATATTTTGGTGTATTGGGGAAAAGAGCTAGAACTGCCTTCCAGAGAACAATGGGGAAATGATGTGGTCCAGCAAAAACTAGAATGAGGAGATGTTTTGCCTAGACCACAGACATGTGTCTCAAATGATAAGCCTATTTCTATGTTAATAATGTGTATAACTTTTTGTAAAAGGAAGTATTTATTACCTCCACAAAATTTAATCCTGGTTCTGAGAGCATTGTTTAGAAATTTTGCAGTAATAATTTTACATGTACCATTGTGGTAGGAGGGTTTTGTTTTATTTTGTTTTGTTTTTTCCTAAATCATAGCTTGAATAAGCAGGCATAAATTGGTCAGTATCCTATAAAAGCCGCTCTCTCCTATTGAATATGTGTTAGTAATAGCTAACTTTTACAAGTTGCACTGCCATTACCTGAAACCGGAACTGCATGGAAGTACTTCGAAGCCGTGTCAAATAATTAAACACTGTGCTACCCAGTAAATGATCGAATTTATGCCATGGTAACTTTTAAAATTAGCTTCTTGGGATATAACAGCATTCGATATTAATGGTAAGTGATCACAATACTCAGCAGATATCAGCATTTTTAAAACTTCAGTTTTTAATTTCATGCCTAGTGTGCTGACCAACGAAATTTTTCCATATCAACAATTTTTTTTTCCAGTCCTTGGAATGAAATGAAATACATGAAAGCTTCTTGGACAAAAAGTTCTAATGTGATAATTCAACTGTGAGATTTCTATTGATGCTTAAAAATCCATTTGCCCAAAATGTAAAAATGGAGGCAGAATATGGGGACTGTGGTTAATTGGAACCATCTGAGTAAACTATAAATTAAAGATATATAAATATGATTTCAGGTTTTATTTTTAAAAATATCAAAAACAATTTCAGTCCATTGACCAACTTAAATTCAGTCCAACCCAAACCCTGCATAGCATAATGATCTGAGGTTTGTGTATAAGCAAGCAAGATTCGAGTAGACATTCATCTGTGTCTTTGTATTTGCCCATTACCTCCACTTTTAGTGTTTTCCCTTTTCCCTCTCTAGCCAATTGTGAAATTTCTTTCATTCTCCTAGATTGTATAAATAGCGCATCTTCTCTGAAACCTCCCAGCCTTTATCCCCCATCCCCTGACCTTCCCCTTTGCCTCCCAGCAACACAGTTGTCATTCTACCCTCAATGTGCCCATTGAATTTACCCAGCTGCACTTAAAACAACTTTCTCACAGTATTGTATTTCCTTGTTTGCATATCCATATTATACCCCTCTACCCTCTCTAGACTATAAGTGCTTTGAAATAGCATTTAACTCAGCCTCGTGTGTGTGTGTGTGTGTGTGTGTGTGTGTCCCTAGTTCTGCATCTGTTCAATAAATGAATGAAACTCAAATTATTTATGAGTGAATGAAACTTTCAACCCTATAAATTCTTACCTCTTTCCCATGCTTCAGTGTTTTTCTTTTGTTTGCTGATTGTTGTTTTATTTTTAGTCATGCTCATCTACCATCTATCCTTTCATCAAAGATTCTGATGCATCTCTCTCACATATACATAATATAAACATTTATGTTATATAGATAAGTATAAACATTTATTTATATTATCTCATTTTTTAAAAAAAGAAACACCCAAGCTGAAATGGGATAAATATAACATTGTTTAAAATCAACAGTAATTTTTATGAACATCGAAATCAACATGAAAAAGAGACAATCACACATGTAGGTCCATAATTTTATATACTCCTAAGAGATTAGAACAAATTTTCAAAACGATCCCATTATCTCTTATTTCCTACAACAAATAGCATTCAGGCAGTCAACTTTTCTCGCAGCACATTTTGAAGGATTGGACTCTTTGGTGACTGGAATTTGTTAATGTCAGATAATGTTTGAATTAGGAGAACATTTGTAAGGGTAGAATATTTGTTTTCAGAGATGTTTGGGTTGTGATGCCATTTGACCTGTAAACATATCAGAACACAGATTTATGAAGTTACCTGGAGCTAGATAAAACTGAAATGTAGAAACCAGGAATAAGGAAGAGTTGACAAATCAGTTTCATTCTCTCTGTAATAAATCATTGCCTTTTTCACTATGTCTTCTCTAAAAATATGTGACATTTTATTGTTCTTTTTCCCTCTTTTCAGCAATTTCCTGATCAAATTGTAGGATTTGTTCCTAGAAAGCACGTCTCTACTTCATCAGGTATCTACAGTTATGGAAGTTTTGAAATGCAAGCACCAGGGTCTGGAAATGGTGACCAGTACTCTATGGTGCTGATTGGAGCCTCATTCTTCAATAGCAAATATCTTGAATTATTTCAGAGGCAACCTGCAGCTGTCCATGCTTTGATAGATGATACTCAAAACTGTGATGATATTGCCATGAATTTTATCATTGCCAAGCATATTGGCAAGACTTCAGGGATATTTGTGAAGCCTGTAAACATGGACAATTTGGAAAAAGAAACCAACAGTGGCTATTCTGGAATGTGGCATCGAGCTGAGCACGCTCTGCAGAGGTCTTATTGTATAAATAAGCTTGTTAATATCTATGATAGCATGCCCTTAAGATACTCCAACATTATGATTTCCCAGTTTGGTTTTCCATATGCCAACTACAAAAGAAAAATATAAAAGTAAAACAAACAAAAACAAACCTGAAAACTGCTTGGCATTTGAGTAGCTTCTCCATGCTATGTATTTTTTTAAGCAACATCATGAATTTTATCTACTCCAGAAGTCTCTACAATAGAAAAAAAAGTGCAGTGCTTCTAGGATATAAAATTCACATTACTTTTGAAAGCCAAGAAGTTGGTCTTATCCAGTTAGGTCTTCTTATGAAGAGTTTTCATCCAGGGATATAACTCCTTGGTCAGTGATTTTATTGTTTACATCCTGAGACTGTTCTACAGTTTCTTTGACTCCTGGCATTTGCCTTAAGGACCTATAGCAAGCTGTTTCTAGGATCAGAAACTCAAGAGAGGCATTTCTCTGCTTTTTCACTAAAGGTCAGTTGTTTTAATTTGAAACCTGAAATGCCTCTTTAGCAAAAGCCTGTGGTATGGGGTAAAGCCATGTAAGAAGAGAATAGTCTCAGTCACATATGAAGAGGAAAATTTGCAGCTGCCAGTGCTTTCCTTGTGGCCCTGCCAACCAGCTCTTCCAGGACGAACTCAGTCCAGCATGGTTTTGATGTAACCATCCATGCTTTTATTTTTGTTAAGTCTTTTGTGACTGGGACAGTTAATTTTAGTAGCTGAAGAACGTCTAGTTGTTTGCTTGATATTTGTGAACATTTACTGCATGGATCACAAAACAATATACCCTGTATTTCTTACACGCCACTTATATGCAGCAAGGAGTAAATGTGTTACTAGATTCGGGTAGTGCATTTTGTCACTGAATCTGACCTTGAGAATGTACATTAATTCTTATATTTTACATAATGTATGTGTTGTTTAAGAAATGTATAAAAAACCTGAAAAAAATGAGTAAGAACTGGCAGAAGTTAAAACCCTTTGTATCAAAAGATCTTTATTGGTAGAGCACTGGTTATCTTCTGGATACTAAAAAGTTGTATTACAAAGCCAAACACTTGCATTCACAACTTTAAAAAAAGATCCAAGGAACTATTCATAATGATGAAATTTCAACTACATACAAGGAGGAGAAAATAAGAACCCAGTCATAACAGAGGAATTCTATAGGAGTCTGCATCAATTCATTCTTAAGGTTGCCTACTCTCTGTTATGTGAATTAGCGTCTGTGTTTCACCCATTGTCTGTGTTTAGTCCTTGTTCACCACTAAGGCAAGGAATTCTTAACTAGGCCTCTGTTTACCAACTTCTCTTTCTCCTCCTTTCCCTCTTATTCCTCCTTCTCCTCTTCCTTCTTATATAATGCTAGTATATTCTCAAAATTGCAAAGCTGTGAGAATATTAAAATAATCATGGCTAATGTTCCAATAATGAGGTCTTTGTGCATTTAGTTCCGCATATGATGGTTTTTTTTTTACATTAAAGAGTATATGTGTCTTAATGCAGTCAGATTGTAAAAAACAAAAACAAAGAAACTAAGAATCTTACTAAAAATCGATAATGTCAGTTATCTGTTTTGTCCAATATTGGTAGTACTTTTTTGCCTCTTATGATTCCTCTAGCAGATAAATAAAAGAAACTTTTGCCATCCATGTGTTCTGTGTTAACTAAGCAGACTCATGTTTTTGTGATTGGTGTTCTTACACATTTCTAGATATGATACTCTAATATGTTGCTGAGAATAAGGTAGAGACATTAGCCACATTACCCATGAAAAAATATTCCCAAATTTTATTTCCCATCTTGTGTCTTTAAACTTGTCTTAAGCATCACATAAGTTAATCATATCATGGTTTCAGATATTATAGAGCAAATAATATGAAACCAAAGTGCAGTTCAGTCTACATTACAAAGACTCTTGCATTGTAGATAGACTCCTATTAAAGCTGTCTTTCCCTGAACGCCTCTTATTCTTGCCTCAAATGATCTGGAGAAGAGATGCTCAGGCTTAAAACTTTGTAAGAGAAGCAATGCAACGTAGCGGGTCAATTGTGCACACTTTGCCATTAGAATACTTGGGCTCAAATCCTTGCTAGACCTCATTTTCTCTTTACTCAGTTTCCTTATCTGCAAAATAAGGATAATATCTGCCTGGAGTTTGTTTTAAGGAATAAAAGAGATAACTTGCATAAATACAGCACAGTGCCTTGCCCATTTTAGATGTTCAGTAAATGAAAGCTGTTGGGATGACAGTGTTATTGATAATAAGGACAGAATTAATCCTTCCACTCACCACCTAGGTGTTAGGAAGCCCCTGCATCCACCAGGTGAGACATTCAGGAAATTATTTGCATTTAACTATGGGTAAGGAACCATGGCAGTTTCATCTCCTATTCATTATTTATTTCAAATACTGTTTTTCCTTTCTTTTTTTTTGAGACGGAGTCTCGCTCTGTCAAATACTATTTTTCTTATGATTAAAGCAGTATATATTCATTCCGGCAATTTTGGCATATTCAGAAAAGTATAAAGAAGTAATTAAAAGCCCACTACCCCAATTAACAATGGCATTTTTGTATGTGTTCCTGCAGACTTTTCTAGGCATATATTTTACTAGCATGATTTATCTGGTATTTTATTATATGAATAAACCATAATTTATGCACTCAATCATACTACCATTTTATTTTATACTTTTTTACCATTATAAAAACATTTGGATAAGTATCTTTGCCTTGAAAAGATATCTTTGAGCATATCTATAATTATTTCTTTAAAATCAAGTCCAACAAAGTTCAATACCTGGGTCTATCTAGTAGTGTGTGTGCTTTTAGGGTTTTGCTACATACTGCTAAATGCTTCCAGAGGTGTTGACATGGCTAGCCTATTCATACCACATCTGAGAGCACCTGTTTCCTGTCAGTTTCCCAAAATTGAGTATTATTTAACAGGTTCTTTCATATATTTTTTCTACATATAAAATACTCAAATAGTGCTGGATTTGAAAGGCTGCTCATTCATAGAACTCTGTGTTGAGAAGACTGAAAAGGCAGGCAATCAACTATCAAAAAAACTGGAGGGCAATATAAGCTTCAGGAAGCATTTGACAGCTTCTAAAAACTTTACTCCAAGGTTTAGAGTATAAACAATGAAAATTTCCTGGTACCAGCAATAAACCGTTTGGAAGCAACAGAAATGGCCACATTTGTTTCCTCTGGGAAGACCTAAGGCTTTGAACCTGAGGCCAGGAAGGGATATCTGTGTGTGCTAGAATACATGCACTTGAGGGGGTAGGAGGGACAGGGAGTGGAATGTGGGAGAGGGAGTGGAGGATATTGCTGTGATGGAGGATGAGTATGAAGGTACTGAATCTCAAAGGTTGCCACAATGACTTAAATGGTGAGATTATATCATCCTCTATCCCATGCCAGCTTTTATCGTTTATTGTTCCACTAAGTTGCTTTCAACTTTGTTCACTTTCTCCCTTCCCTCCTTCTTCCCCTCCCTCATTCTTCTTTCCTCCACTCCTTGAAAGCCTTCTTAATATACAACTCAAATATATAGCTACCATAGATGAAAAAAAGACCATTTGGTACCCTAGAAACATGCACTGAGTCCTGGGTTGACTTAATTTCATCTGAAGAATAGGGATGAAAATACCTGCCCCAAGATTCACAGGCCATAACGTGTAAAGAGAACTTTGCAATAGCAGGAAAATTAAAGAATATTGTAAAAGCCATCACTGATAAACAGCAGCTTGGCCAACAGTTAAAAAGAAAGCTTGGTTGTGAAGTAGTAACTGTGTCAGAATTATACCTTAGAGTATAAAAAGAAGCGAGAGTAAGTATGCAAGTACTGAAAGCAATTTAAGGGGCCCACTTTAGCTCTAGCTCAGAAGGAATATGTAAATGAAGTATTTATTTAATCTAGAGAGGCCTCAAGTCTCTTTTCTTTTTCATATGTCAATATTTCTTTTATCTAAAAGGAAAAAGAATCAAATTCTTGATTGGAATATTTTCAGTAGTTTAAAAATATATATATCTGAAGCAATCAGTCTTACTTTATAGCCGTAGGTCCTAACCTGGACTGATTTTGCCCCCGAGGGGACATCTGGCAATGTCTGGAGACATTTTTGGTTGTTACAATGGAGGGCTTGCTACTGGCGTCTAGTGAGTCGAGGCCAGAGATGCTGCTAAGCATCCCACAATGCACAAGACAGGCCCTCACCACAAAGAACTAAGTGTCCCAAAATGTCAGTAGTGCTAAAGTTGAGAAAAAATATATTTGGCATTATATTATGGAATATTTCATCAGTCTTGTATCATATCACACTACTTATCACAATGAAAGTTGCATTTTTAAAGTTTTATCCTGTATAACAATGCCTATTGGAACAGAACATTAAGGGAAAATGTGCTTGTATTTCTGATAAAACATCTGATGCATGATGCTATGACCCTCAACCTCATCAAAGAGCCAGAAATTTCCCTGGTTAAGGTTTATTTTTGATTCATTTTCTTTTTCTCATCCACATACCTCTTTCTATTTTCACATATTGAAGAAATAGAGAATGGAGCTTGATTTTCTGGGAGGGAACATATGAATGAATATATATATTTCTGAAGCACCACAGAGAAATATTATATAATATGCTGTGTGTTTTAATAATGTCTCAGAGAAAGTCGGCATGGTTGAGTTAAAATAAGCTAAATATAAATTCTCAGGTAAGCATACTTATGTGTGAGTATGTGTGTCCAAATATTTTTGGTTTAAACAATAAATAATATACAGCTAGTGAAGACAATTTATATAGAAAAGAATCTTGCGATGGGAGAATCAGGGAACTTTCTTTCTAGTATCAGCTAGGTGACTAAGTTAATTAAATTTATCTGGGTCTCA
The DNA here is from genome assembly GCF_000001405.40 of Homo sapiens. Classification (NCBI taxonomy): domain Eukaryota; kingdom Metazoa; phylum Chordata; class Mammalia; order Primates; family Hominidae; genus Homo; species Homo sapiens. Next base: position 100,869,139 of record NC_000001.11, on the reverse strand, counting down.
ATTTCCACATATACAAAAGAGAATGACAAACTAAATGGTCAGGAAATTTATTTCCCGTTTCAAAATTCCATAACCCTAAACGTGAGTATTGAATTAATAGGTTTTAAAGTAGCTATATTATACTTCCCAGCAAGAAAAAATTATCCCGTAGAGTTTAGCTCTGTTGGAACCTCCCCTACATCCTAATCCTATCTCCCCAGAAACACTGTCTCCAAGTGAATTCTAACTTAATAAACATCACTAGTTGTTTGCTGCGTTTTAGGGCCAAAATACGTGATGATGATGTCATCACGCAGTGGTAAACACCGACTGGAAGAGGTTGTGATTTCACAGATATTTTACTTCTTAACAAAGCTATTTAATGGATACCACTGGCCATTATGAAGAACTCGAAGACAGTTACAGCAGGCTAACAAACCACTTGACTCAAATTGAGCTATGAATCAGAAATGATCATATACAGCAGCTAATTTTTTAAACCCAGAATGCAAATACGAATTGTAAAAACAATTAAATTATTTGATTTCATTTACACTGGTGAAACATGATTTTTATGGAATTTACTGTCTGACCAGCAGATGTCAGTGCAACCTAATTAACTAACATTTTTAGTAGTTTAAATACCTGCCAGTAAACTAAGTGAAGTAGTCTTAAAATAGCAAAGTCAAAAACCTACTGTCAATGTTTTTGATTAAGAATATCTAAGTAGAGCTATAGAAAATATCAATCCTTCAAAAGTTAAATTAAATGGGTCCTTGCCTAGGTAAATCATATTACATAAGTTATGACACCTTGTTATCATAATTTCTGTGACAATAGCATTTCTCAGTGACATATAGAAGACATGACCTTAATTAAATACAAAATGCTAATCTGTGGCGAAGTGTTAGACTAGCACGTTATTTTAAAAACTCACATATCATAGACACTTGAGTCAAATGTAACTTAATTGTCTCTGAGTGGTGTATACAAAGCCTTGGAAGAACCCATTAATTCCCAATGAACACTAAACATTAGTAATGTGATACCATTTGTTTTCTACAATGCAGCCTTTTGCATTCAGCAAAAATTGTAACTGTAATGACAATAACAGCAGCACCTATTATGTGCTGAACATTCAGCTTATATTATCCCATATAATCTTTGTAACAACCCTGCCATGTAGAGGCCTGTGTCACCCACACCTTGAGGATAAAGTAACTAACATTCAAAGAGGTTAGGTAATTTTTCTAATAAAAGTTACACAGCAGCCAAAATGACAAACTTCAGATAGTTCCAAGGCTGTACTCTTCCCTTTATGCAATATTCCATTCCTTTAAAAATGCTATTTTATGACCTTTTATTGAAAAGGCCTCTCATCATTTATCACACTTAATGCTAAAACTATATTTTATACAAAATATTTCTACAACAATGATATGGCACACAACGAGAAGTAGACTAAGAATAAATGAAGGAGTATGTGTACAATTACTTTTGAAAAGCAAAAGCCATAATTTCTTATAAAGTAAAACATGCCCTCACCATATAGTAGCAATCCCATGCCTAGGTATTTACCTAAGACGTATTAAATATATGTCCACACAAAGACCTATACTCAAATATTTATCAAAACTTTGTTCATAATCATCAAAATTTGAAAACAACCCAAATTTCCATCAGCTAGTTAGAGGATAAACATATTGTGGTTTATCCATACAGTAGCATGCTGCTCAGCAATAAAAAGAAACAAACTACCTTTACATGCAACAGCATAGCTGAACCTCCAAAGCATTAAGCCAAGTGAAGGCAGACAGACACAGAAAGCCATATACCATATGCTTCCATGTATATGACATTCTGGAAAAGGCGATACTCTAGGGACAGAAAACAGATCGGTGATTGCCAGGGCCTGGAGGTAGAAGTGGGGGGTTGGGTATGAAAGGGCATGAGGAAATCTCCAGGGATGATAGATATATTCTAGATCTGATTGTGGTGAATGGTGATAAGACTATATACATTTATCAAAACTCATAGAATTGTACACTTAAAATTGGTGAATTTTACTTTATGTAAATCTTACTTCAACAAATCAGACTTTTTTAAAAAGTGAAAGACATTAGACATATAGAAAGTATTAGTGACGTCACCATTAATAAAATTTCTGAAGAGTTGAGCCAAACAATAAGAGATAGAAGAAAAGTTAACAAACAACCCGAATCTTTGCCTAGTCTGGGAATGTAGGAGAACAGAAACCAGGGCTCTGGTATTAGCTTGCCAACCTGCTTGTGTGATCTTGAGTGAGGCATTACTTCTCTCCAAGTCTCAGTTAACTTACTATTAAATAAATTGCAGTAAACATTTAAATTCTTTAAACTTCTTGAACTCTTCAAGCTAGAAAAACAAACCCCAAAAAGTATAAGGTTCACTGTTCCAAAAATTCTCCCCCTTGCTGATCATTAAAGAAAAGCCCAAGTATGACATGTAATTGCTTTGGTAGAGAAATGGGGTTCACAGTATTCACTATTAGCACTCACCATTCCTTCAGAGAGGGTAATTATTCTATGTGGCCAGCAGGTGTCATTCACTCATTTATGAAACCTGATAATTCTCATATCCAAATGCTTTTTTAAATGAATGTTGGCTTAATATTTTCATTTGTAGCGATTATGAACATTGTTTCTCTCGGTAAATGCTTACAGGAAGGAAGATATCCTAAAAATTCAACCTAGTCCTCCATTTTTTTCTCAGTCCTCATCAGGTATGCTAATTAAATCTATATATCAAGATGAAAAAAACATCTTTTACTCCGTGATGTTTAATGTTTCAAAGATTTTTAGGAAACAAAGCAATGGCTTTATGAACATTACTTACCCAGTCTTGGCACACTCAGTCCTTTAACAACATTCTCGTCATTCTGTGTCACTCCCTGCCTGAAGCCTTCCCCTGGCAACTCCGATACCACAAAACTTTGTTATCCTAAGTAAAGCAACTTCCACACTGTCTTATAACTATTTATGTATAAATCTACTTCTCATCTCTTTTGACTACTCTTCAAACCATAAATTCATAGGTTATACCAGTGCTGTGTACCCAAGCATGCAGCATAGCATCTTGTGCTCAATAAATGTTGGTTGATGGTGAACAAAAATGTAAATGAATATTTGAAACAATTTTACCATCTCAAAACAGATGGTGTTTCTATGACCAGGTGAAAAGTAAAAGGACTAAGGGATGGTGAGATCAATTGAAAAACACATAGAGACACATGCCTATTTTCCCTGGAAAAGCATATGGGATAACTGTGACTTATAGATAGAAGAGTAAGGGCAGCAGCATATAGAATCCAAAAATTTGAGATAATAGGGCAGATACATAGCTTACGGAATGAACTAGCAGGAAGTCTTAACCTTTTTGTGCCAAAGACATTTGAGGATGCCTATCAACCCTTTCTCCAAATAATGTTTTTAAAAACATAAAACACATACGATTACAAAGAAAACTAATTGAATTTAAATATAGTTATCAAAATATTTAAAACTATTTATAAGATCTAGCAGCAGACTTAAAATAACTTATAATTTCATAAAAGTGAAGAGTGTAAATGATATTTTGAGAAATCTGCGACAACTGTAACATGATATGAAAAAATATTTTTGACAGTCACAGGTACTGCTGATCTTCTGTAGTTTTTGCCTAAATTCACAATTGGTGAAAATGCTAGATTTCAGTCGAGTGAAATTGAAGTTGTAATTTTTTTCTGAAATTACATAGATCCCTTAAATTCTATTTGTGAACCACTTGAGGTGGATCTATGAACCCAAGGTTAAGGGTTAAGAACCCCTGGGCTGAATACAGGTTAGGATGGTGGGAAACAAGGAGTTATGAAGGGTGAGGGAACAAAAGGATTTTTCTTCTACAGACAGAGTTTATCTCTCTCTCTCTCTCTCTCTCTCTCTCTCTCTCTCTCTCTCTCTCTCTCTCTCTTTCTCTCTCTGTCTCTCATTCTCAAACTCACAATATTGGCCAGGTGTGGTGGCTCATGCCTACAATCCCAGCACTTTGGGAGGCTGAGGCAGGAGGATCACTTGAGCCCAGGAGTTCAAGACCAGCCTGGGAAACATAGTAAGACCTTATCTCTAAAATAATAAAATAAAATAAAAATGGAACAATAAAGCTCACAATATTCACTTCCCCACCTCTCATTTTTTCTTTACCTCATTACAATAGGGATTATATCCCTATCACTCCCTAAAATCATCCTTTTCCAAGTCTTGCCTGATATCTAGGCATTACACAGTCTGGTGGGTATGGCTTGGTTCTTACCTTATTTGATTTCTCTTTGGCTTTTTCACTGTTAACTACTCTCTTTTCAAATGTCTTTCCTCCCTTTGACTTCACTTTTTCTTTTTCTCCTTTCTCTTTGTAGGCTCCTTTTTAGCCTCCTATCCTGTCTTCTCTTCTTCTGATGGTGGATATGTCCCTGGAGTTCTACCTCTATTTTGCTTCTCTTCTCACTCTGCACACTTTCAATGAAATGCTTTATCAATCTAGTCTATGTCTCTAGCCCAAGCCTCTTTCCTGAATCTAGATCTCTATATTCAACTCTCTATGAGATACTCTTCTGATATGTACCAAGTATCCCTCAAACTCAACGTATCCAAAATTAAACTCATCCTCTTCCCCTCCCTGGTTCTTTGTTTTCATTTCCTACTTTGGTGAATGACATTACAATCCAAAACCTGCCCGACTCAAAAGTCTAGATGTTATTTTTTACTTCATCTTCTCTCACACCACCAAACATAAAATCAATGGCCAAGTTTTAAAGATTATTCATCTTTAAGATAGCTCAAGCTTGTCCCTTTTTCCCAGCTCTACTATTACTGCCTTGGATATTCTAATAGCTACCGGCAATCGTTGTTTCTAATTTGTCAAGTATTATGCCAAGTATTTTACACATGCTGTCTTATTTAATTCTCATATTATCCCCTGAGGTAAGAATCATACCTATAATTACAAATGAGGAAACAGAAGCCAAAGAGGGGTAAGAACTTGTCCAAAGTCATAGGGATTCTAAATGGCAGAGCCTGGATGGGAACCTCAGTCTGTTGGACTGCAAAGCTACATGCTTCCTTGTTGCTCTCAGGATCTCTGGTGTTCCTCACCTACACTCTACTCATCACGCTACCACTAAAATTCTTCTCGGAGGCAAGTCTGATCACCTTACTGTGCTGCTTGTGATTTTTCAGTGTTCTTGAGAATCTTCACCATAGTGCTCACACTCCTATCCTGGCCTTTATTTGGTCAGGCCTAATGAGCTCAGACCTCCCAACCTCTCCAGCCTCCCCTCTAACAACCATACAGCTTGTGCTCCACACCCAGGTGCTTCCCACCCCACCCACACACCTCAGTTTCCCACTCTGCTGTATTCATTTGCAAGGGCTACCCTAAAAAGGACCACAGACTGGGTGGCTTAAACAACAGACATTTATTTTCTCACAGTTCTGGAGGCTGGAAGTCTAAGATCAAGGCGTCAGCAGGGGCAGTTTCTTCTGAGAGCTATGAGGGAAGATCCGTTCCAGTCCTCTCCCCTTGGCTTATAGATGGCTGCCTTCTTGTTGTGCCTTACATGGTCTTCCCTTTGTGTGTACAACCCTGATGTCTCTCTGAGTATCCACATTTCTTCTTCTTATAATAAAGACATCAGTCAGATTAGATTAGAGCTCAACCTAACAGCCTCATTTTAAGTTAATTACCTCTTTAAAGGCCCCATCTCCAAATACAGTAATATTCTGAGGTACTGGGAGTTAGAGCTTCAACATATGAACTTGGGAGGGGACACAATTCAGACTCTAGCACCCACTAACCCAGCTAACTCTCACTCACCCCTCTGGATGCATTTGCTCATGTCACCCTCCCTAGGAAGTCTCTGAAGCCCTAGATCTGAGTTAAGCTTCCCTCTATTGTAGCACTTCGTATTCTATATTGTAATTTCCTTTTTACTTCTCCAAAACCTCCATTGGATCTAACTCCTTGAGGGCAGGAGCCGTGTCTTATTATTTATTTTTCTAGCCACAGCCCCCAAACCCCAAAGCTGAATCACATAGGTGTTTAATCAGCTAATTAATCAGACAAAAATATATTGGTTCATATTTTCCAGATCCTTGTTTTGGTCAGGCACTTTTCAGGAAATTAATGTTAAAGTGGCAAAAGGCAAACAAGTCCAAATAAAGCCCCTCCTCTCATGGAGTAAATATTTTCACAGGAGGACAATAAGTTGGTGAAAATACGTGATATAATCTCTGGCCCCGATAAAGAAAATAGAGTAATGTGATGGAGAGTAGCTATAGGAGACTTCTTTCACTGGTGGTTCAGGAAAAGCTGGAGGAGGATGTGAGGTGTGGTTTGAATGATGAGTTGTTAAGGCATGCTCTGTGGGAAGAGAATTTCAGGCAGAGAGAACATCAGGGGCAAAGGCCCCAATATAGGAATAAACTTGGCAAGTTTGGGGGATGACAAGAATGCCAGAGGACTGCAGAGCAGTAACTGAAGGTGAGAGTAGAAGGAAATAATGCCAGAATCTTGAGCTGTGGACTAAGTACAAAGGAAGCCTCTGAAATGTTTTCACCGGGGATGGGATATGACGATTCATATGCTTAATAAGATCACTCTGGATGCTGTATAGGATGTAGATTTTAGAAGGGCAAGAGTGGGACAGGGGGACAAATTAAGAGATTGCTGGCACTAATTCAGAGAAGTGGTTCTCAACTGGGAGTGATTTCGACCCCCCCAAGCCCCATAAGGGACATTTGGCCACGTCTGGAGAGATTTTTGGTGTTCATAACTGTGTAGTGGGAATGTGACTAGCATCTGGTGGGTAGAGAGAAGGGCTGCTGCTGAACAGCCTACAGTGCACAGGACAGCCCTCAGAACAAAGAATCACTTGGTCAAAATGTCAATAATGCCAAGACTGAGAAACCCTGATCTAGAGAGAAATAATGGTAGTTGGGACCATGGTGGTAGTAATGAAGTTTGTCAGAAGTAGTTAGACTTAAGGTATGTTTGGAGTTAGCCAGTAAGACATACAAGACTTGTTGAACAGATTAGATGTGGGCTCCTGGGTTTTTCGCTGAAGACATGGGGTAGATGTTGGTAATATTTACTGAAATGAGGAAGACTGGAGATCAATCATTAAAGCATAGATGATATTAAGAGCCCTCAGAGTTGGTCGAATCATTTAGGGGGATAGCATAAATAGAGAAGGAGAGAGGGCTGGGCAGAGCCTGGGACACTCCAGAATTGAAGTTCTAGTGAACAGAAGAAGCCCGTACATGAGTACAGAAGTGCGGTGCCTGGGAAGGCCCGAGAGGATATGTTCCAGGTGCAGGGGAGGGTGGCCAAAGGGGCAGGAACTCTGTTTTCCTGAAAAAGGAGGGAAGACAAAGTTCATAAACAAGGATGTAGGAAGGCAAGTGGATTTTGTGATGAGAAAGAGGGCATTTTGCATGTTGACATTTATTGTCTATGACGAAAGTCTGAGTATGAGTATCAGTTGAGTGTGAGTGTGTGTGTATGTGGGAGGTATGGGGATTTGAGAGAAGAGAACATTGTGAAATAGCTCTCTTGGAAAGGAGGAAAATGAAGTTACCAGGGCAATGAGATAGAATAATCTGGGACTATTTTGAGTCATTTGAGATTTGTAGTTACAAATTTAAAGTGAGTCCAGTCAGCACAATTTCTGGATTCATAATTTATCAACAACCTTTATTGAATGAATAAAATATCATAATAATAGTAATATTAACATCTACCATGTTGAGTATTTACAATGTAGCATGCATCATGCTTTATGCAATGTTCTTATTTAATATTCTCAAACAAATCTTATGAAATAGGTATTATTACCTTATTTAACTGACTTAAAAAACTAAGAATTAGAGAGGTTAAATAATTTGTTCAAGGCCACAAAGTAAAAAGGTCAGGATTCAAACCTGGGTCAGTCAGTTATAAAGCTTATATTCTTAACTATTAATAATATATCCTACTCAGGCTACCATTAATAAAAACCACTGCCCTGACCGGGGCTTTGTAATTACCCTAGTCTTCAGAAAGCCAAAGATACTAGTAACTCTAGGAGTAGTGGTGGGAATAAATGAAGATAGTGCTAAAAAAAGAAAAAAAACCTAAGTTTCATTAAAAATGCATGTAATTAATTGCTACAATTTACTGCTTTATGATTCTTCTCTTGCAAGATTCTCCTTGAGGCTTACTTAAATCCAGTTTTATCTGTTTACTGAAATGGGCTAGGGAAGGGCAAGTGGAGTTGGAACAAGGTACTGGAGAAGGAACAAGGTACACAGTGTGATTTGCCCTTAGCCTCCAACCCCCGGTGGGACAGTCTTGAGTTCTGATAAAGGATTAAAATTACTTGCACAGAGAAAACATTCTGCTTCTCCTTCAATCCCCTTTAGTTGAAATGGAGATGTGAGGGCTGAGAAGAGGTTATCTAAGACCTCAAGAGAGTATCTGAAGACAATGGAGATTTTCCTTTGTAATTTGACTCCTGCAATGCATTTAGCTCACTACACATTCTTGGCAGCAATGTGATTCATGACATGATGCGGAGTTACAGACTAAATGCAAAACATAATAGGTCCTTTTAGTCAGAACATCTGATATGGTTTGGATTTGTTTCCCCACCCAAATCTCATGTCGAATTGGAGGATGGGCCTGGTGGGAGGTGATTGGCTCTTGGGGGCAGATTTCCCCCTTACTACTCTCATGATAGTAAGTGAGTTCTCATAAGATCTGATGGTTTAAAAGTGTGTGACACTTCCCTCTCCTCTCTCCCCCTACACCATCATGGGAAGAAGGTACTTGCTTCTTTGCTTTCTGCCATGATTGTAAGTTTCTTGAGAACCTCCCGGTCCTGCTTCCTGTTAAGCCTGTGGAACTGTGAGTCAATTAAACCTCTTTTCTTCATAAAATACCTAGTCTCCAGTAGTTCTTTATAGCAGTGAAACTAATACAATGTCTAAAACAAAGTTCTCTGTGCTCCATTGAGTTTCCCTCATTTTAAATAGTTGTCAGCCATAGTCTTTACTTCCCTCTTCACAACAATTTTAAAAGTTTAGAAACTTCTTGGGTCTTTTTTTTTCCTTTTTTTTTTTTTTGCAGGGATGGTGGATGAGGAAGGGATGAGGACAGAACCAGAACCAGAAAATTTCTAGTTTTGATGAATTTGCATATAGCGTTATTGATATAGTTGCATATCACATCAAAAGTCAGATTTAGTTTGTATCTCTTTGTTTCAGTAATATTTACCTATCACTTGCCATTAATCACTGTGTTATTAAAAAGCTGTTTTTTAAAAAAACAACATTTAACTTTCTTGATATATTTATTTCAATACTTATCAAAAATCAATTAAAGCTCACCAGTTTAGATCTATGTATTTTGTTTTGAGCAATGTATATAATTTAACCATGTATTTTCTCACCTTATTTGTCATGATGAAAAATATATTGACTAGGATGGGGTACCCTACTTGACACTGGATGTGTTGAGATCTCTCTTTTTCATGCATTAGGTTAAGCTCCTATGAATCTGGGTCTTCGTTTCTAGGAAAGAGGTTAAATAATCTTTTAGCATTCCACAAGCACTTATTAAGCACCTACTTCCTAGCACTGTGTTAGGTGCTCAAGATACAGAGAAGGACAAGAAGTGGCCAGTGTTCTCAAGGAATGGAAGGAAACAAGCACTCAAGTGTTACACAGAGTAAAATAGTTCCATCTGAAAGGTAGAATGGAGCAAAAGGAGAAAATACATGGCCTACAGAATAATTTGGCCATTCTCTTCTAAGATGATGTTGCCTACCCTCTCTCACTGTGAACTTTCATGTCCAACAGGATTTTCAGAGAGGCTATCAGCTGATAGCATCTGCCACCAGGGAATCAGGATCAGGAGTCAGATGAACTTGGGTTCAAAATCCATAGCTATCACTTACTAGGATGTGACCTTGGCAAGTTCTGTAACTTCACTAAGCCCAACATTCTTCATCCTCAAAGTACAGCTTACTGCAAGGGAGGCAGTATTGTATATTGGTTAAGAGGTAAAGCTCTGCAGCCAGACTGCCTGAGTTTAGCCAGGTGACCTTGGACAAGTGATTTAGTCTCTCTATTCCTCAGTTTCCTCATTTATAAAATGGGGACAATAGTTTTATCTATTTCATTGGTTTGGGCATGGATTAAGTGATGAAAGTGCATAAAATAGTGCCTGGCACGTTGTAACTAGTCAATAAATGCCAACTATTCCTATTGCTGTTATTATTGTTTGTTATTGTTATAGCTTTCTCATTGAGCTGTTGAAAATTAAAATAAAATGTTTGAAAAGTAGCTAGCACAGTGTCTAACACCTAGTAATCGCTTACTAAAGGCAGCAAATGAAACTAAATGAATCTAGCATTCTTGAGTTTCTCTCACCAAACTCCTGACCCTGGCCTTAATAGAGGGCACTTCTAAGAAGATAAGATGGACATATTACAATTCTTCTCATGGCTCTCCAATGGCTTTTTGTTTCACTCAAAAGCCAAAGTTCTTAGGGTGACCTACATGTCCCTAAGTGATCTGGTCTCATCTTCTCTCCTGACCCCATGACCTGCCACTGTGTGCCTCACTTATCTTCCTCTGCCACATCAGCTCTGGACTGTTCTTTAAACATTTCAGGCATACACCTTTCTCCAGTCTTGGCTGTTCTCTCTGCCTGGAATGCGTATCTTCCCTCAGATTACATATCAAAGCATAAAGGACTTAGCAAAAGCAGTTTTTAGAGAAAAATAGCCTTAAATGTTTGTGTTAAGAAAGAATGAGTAAGTTGTGCATGCAACTTCAAAAGTCTGCAAAAGGGCCGGGCGCGGTGGCTTACGCCTGTAATCCCAGCACTTTGGGAGGCTGAGGCGGGTGGACCACAAGGTCAGGAGATCAAGACCATCCTGGCTAACACAGTGAAACCCCATCTGTACTAAAAGTACAAAAAATTAGCCGGGCGTGGTGGTGGGTGCCTGTAGTCCCAGCGACTCAGGAGGCTGAGGCAGGAGAATGGTATGAACCTGGGAGGTGGAGCTTGCAGTGAGCCAAGATCACACCACTGCACTCCAACCTAGGCAACAGAGCGAGACTTCATCTCAAAAAAAAAAAAAAGGAACAAGACAAAATAAATTGTAAGGAAGAATATGATAAAGTTAAGAGCAAAATTCATGGTCTCAAAAACAGAAGTACAATAAATAGAATCTATAATGTTAAAAGTTGGTTCTTTGAAAAGACTTAAAATAGACAGAACAGGTTGGGTTCAGTGGCTCACACCTATAATCCAGCCCTTTGGGAGTCCAAGTCAGGAGGATTGATTGAGCCCAGGAGTTCAAGACCAGTCTGGGCAACATAGTGAGACCCCGTCTTTACCAAAAATAAAAAAAATTAGCCAGACATGGTGGGGTGTGCCTGTAGTCCCAGCTACTAAGGAGGCTGAGGTGGAAGGATGACTTGAGCCCAGGAAGTCAAGGCTACAGTAGGCCTTGATTCTGCCACTGCACTCCAGCTTGGGTGACAGAGTGAGACCCTATCTCAATAGTAATAATAATAATAATAAGATAGTCACAACTAACTCAGTTGAAACTATTCCAAAAAAGTGAGGAAGGACTCCTCTATAATTCATTCTACAAACCAGCATCAATCTGATACCAAAACCTGGCAAAGAAACAACAAAAAAAGAAAACTACAAGCCAATATCCCTGATGAACATAGATGCAAATATCCTCAGCAAAATACTAGCAAACCAATCCAACAGCTCGTTAAATAGTTAATTCACCATGATCAAGTAGGCTTCATTCCTGAGATACAAGGTTGCTTCAACAAATGCAAATCAATCAATGTGATTCACCACATAAACAGAATTAAATCCAACCATATGATCATCTCAATAGACATGGAAAAAACTTTTGATAAAATCCAACATTTCTTCATGATGAAAACCTTCAACAAACTAGGCATTGAAGGAATATAACTCAAAATAATAAGAGCCATTTATGACAACCCACAGCCAACATCATACCAAATGGGCAAAAACTGAAAGGATTTCCTTTTAAGAAATGGAATAAGACAAGGATGACCACTCTCGCCCCTCCTGTTCAACACAGTATTGGAATGGACAGCCAGAACAATCAGGCAAAAGAAAGAAACAAAAGGCATATAAGTAGAAAAAGAAAAAGTCAAACTATATCTCTTCAAGGACTATATGATTCTATACCTAGAAAACCCTAAAGACTCCACCAAAAGACTCCTGGAAATAATAAACATTTTCAGTAAAGTTTCAGGATATAAAATCAATGTACAAAAACCAGTAGCATTTCTATACACCAAAAACATTCAAGCTAAGAACCAAATGGAGGATGCAATCCCCAGTTACAATAGTGACAGAAAAAAAATAAAATACCTAGGAATACATTCAACCAAGGAGATAGAAGATCTCTACATCAGAATTACAAAACACTGCTAGAAGAAATCATACATGACACAAATGGAAAAACATTTCATGCTTATGGATTGGAAGAATCAATATCATTAAAATGGACATACTACCCAAAGCAATTTACAGATTCAATGCTATTCCTATCAAACTGCAAACATTATTTTTCACAGAACTAGAAAAAACTATTCTAAAATTCCTGTGGAACCAAAAAAGAGCCTAAATAGCCAAAGCAATCCTAAGCAAAAAGAACAAAGTGGAAGGCATCACATTACCTGACTTCAAACTATACCATAAGGCTATAGTAACCAAAACAGCACGGTACTGGTACAAAAATAGACACATAGACCAAGGAAACAGAGCAGAGAACGCAGAAATAAAGCTGCACACCTACAGCCATTTGATCTTTGACAAAGTTGGCAGAAATAAGCAATGGGGAAAGGACTCCTTATTCAGTAAATGGTGCTGGGGTAGCTAGCTAGCCATATCCTGAAGAATGAAACTGGACCCCTACCTGTCACCATATACAAAAATAAATTTGAGATGGATGAAAGATTTAAATGTAAGACCTCAAGCCATAATACTCTTTGAAGAGGCCGATTGTGGTGGCTCATGCTTGCAATCCCAGAACTTTGGGAGGCCAAGGAAGGTGGATCACTTGAGTCCAGGAGTTCGAGACCAGCCTGAGCAACATGGTGAAACCCCATCTCTACAAAAAATACAAAAATTAACCAGACATGGTGTTGCACGCCTGTAGTCCCAGCTACTAGAGAGACTAAGGTGGGAGGATTGCTTGAGTCCAGGAAGTTGAGGCTGCAGTGAGCCATGATCACGCCATGTACTCCAGTCTGAGCAACAGAGTGAGACCCTATCTCAAAAAAAAAAAAAAAAGAAAAGAAAAGAAAAGAAAAGAAAAAAAATCCTAGAAGAAAACCTAAGAAACACCATTCTAGACATCAGCTTTGGGAAATAATTTATGACTAAATCCTCAAAAACAATTGCAAGACAAAAATTGACAAGTGGGACCTAATTAAACTAAAGAGCTTCTGCATAGCAAAAGAAACCATCAACAAGAGTAAACAACCAAACTACACAATGGGAGAAAATATTTACAGCCTGTACATCTAAAAAAGGGCTAATATCCAGAATCTATAAGGAACTTAACAAGCAAAAAACAAATAATCCCATTTAAAAATGTGCAAAAGACACAAACAGACATTTCTTAAAAGAAGACATACACATGGCCAACAAACATATGAAAAAACATTCCACATTACTAATAGTCAGAGAAATGCAAATCAAAACCACAATGAGATACCATCTCACACCAGTTAGAATGGCTATTTTAGCAAGTCAAAAAATAACAGATTCTGGTGAGGCTGTGGAGAAAAGGGAATGCTTATAGACTGTTAGTGGGAATGTAAATTAGCTCAGCCACTGTGGAAAGCAGTTTGGAGATTTCTCAAAGAACTTAAGACAGAACTACCATTCAATCCAGCAATCCCATTACTGGGTATATACTCAAAGGAAAATGAAGCTACCAAAAAGACACATGTACGTGTGTGTTCATCACAGCACTATTCACCATAGCAAAGACATGGAATCAGCCTAGGTGCCCGTCAATGGTGGATTGGATAAAGAAAATGTGGTACATATACACCATGGAATACTACACAGCCATAAGAAATAATGAAATCATGTCCTTTGCAGCAACATGGATGCAGCTGGAGGCCATTATCCTTAGCAAATTAATGCAAGAACAGAAACCAAATACCACGTGCTATCACTTATAAGTGGGAGCTAAACACGGGATACTCAGGGACATAAAGATGGCAACAATAGAAACTGGGGACTATTAGAGAGTGGGGAGAGGTGGAGAAAGGAAAGAGTTGAAAAGCTAACTATTGAGTACTATGCTCAGTTGCTGGGTGATGGGGTCATTCATACCCACACTACAGCATCACACAATTTATCCAGGTAACAAATCTGCATGTGTATCCCCTGAATCGAAAATAAAAGTTGAAAAATAAAATAAAATAGAAAAACCACTAGCAATATTAAAAAAGAAAATGAGATATGGCACAAATAAATAATTTTAGCAATGAAAAAGGAAAATAACTTCATATCCAGCAAGATTTTTAAAATTTAAAATAATACTTTGGTTAATTTTATGCCAATAAATTTGAAAGTTTAAAAAAATATATAGGCTAGGCACAATGGCTCATGCCTGTAATCCCAACACTTTCAGAGCCCGAGGAGGGAGAATTGCTTGAGCCTAGGAGTCGGATACTGGCCTGGGCAACACAGGGAGACCTTGTCTCTACCAAAATTTTTTTTAAAAATTAGCCGAGCATGATGGCATGTGCCTGTGACCCCAGCTAATTGAGAGACTAAGGTGGGAGGATCATGACACTGAACTTAAGCTTGGGCAACAGAGCAGGACCCTGTCCCCCCCCAAAAAAGTGTGTGTGCGTGTGTGTGTGCATGTGTGTGTAAAACTTCAGAAATGTTTAGTCACAATTACAGACACTGATAAAGTAATTGAACATCTTCTCATAAAAAAAAGTCCCAGATGGTTTTGTTGACCTGTCTACCAAATTTTTAAGCAAAAGTTTATTCTAATCTTTTGCAAACTCCCAAAGAAAATAGAAAAAGAGGGAACATTTTCTACTACATTCTGTGAGTTCAGTATAACCTTGATAATAATCAGACAAAGAATGTAGGAGAAAGAAAAATAACAGGCCAATTTTACTAATGAGTGTAGATGTAAGAATCCTTAAAAAAATTAGCAAATTGAAACTGTCAATGTACGATGTACAAAATGGTTATGAAACATCATGATCAAGTTGAATTATCTCAAAAATGTAAGATTTATATAACTTTAAAAAATTCTAGAATGCCATTCATCAGAAGCATAGATTAAACGAGGTATATTCTATAAAATTTTTTCTTTGATATTGGATGTTACCCCAAGGAATATTTGGGATGGTGTAAAAATAATGAATTGTTTGAATTTAAACACAAAGCTCTTAAGTTTACCTGGATTTGTGTATGAAAATAGTTTTTTTAATCACTTGAAAGAAGGAGAAAATAAAACTGAGTTAAAAGTTAAAGAAAATGTATCTCTCATATCTGAGTTTTATCCTCAAAACATATTTACTAGGCCTGCCACTGGATATATACTTATTTTATTTTTTTATGAGATTTTCCATCCAGATTCACACAAACTTTGCAAGATGATTTTTGAGAGGCACTATTTTATTACTAAAGTTTGGTGATCAACACACACTTCATTCTTTTACCTATTAATTTGAAAATTTGAAAAGAAATTGTTAATTGTGCAGTATGACCTGTCCTGTAAAAGATATACTTTGCTTATGTTGTTCATATTTCCATCACCAGTTTGTTGCATATATATATGACATTGCATTTGAGATACGTCATTCAAATATGTATATACATACATATTCGAATATGTATGTATATACATATTTGAATGACGTATCTCAAATGCAATGTCATCCATAGAAGGATAGCAATTACCAAGGATATTCTCTTTCTTAAGAAGCTATAGTATTGTTTCTAGTCATCTGGATTATCTCCAGTTGTCAGTGATTCCTCAAAACTCATTTTAAATGGATTAGTGAATATGTATGCAAAGTCCTTGAATATATTATAATTAAAGCTAGACTAGTGAATTTGGCTATGTTCCAATTGTTATTGTTTTATTTACTGTTATTTTATAACATTTGAAAAACATTTTTCAAGTATTTTTTTCCTAATATGTTTGGTTATATGTATAAGAAAATATATTTAACTATTTATTATAATTAACATAATTCTCATTACAAGATCATATCGAATCGGTTCAAAATAAATTACTCAGTGAATGCCAATTGCTAGAACTGATCTATTCAGTCTTGTGTTGGGACCTACAATACTCTTGTCTCATGAACAGCATAAAATGGCCTTAGGTAACCACAACAGTCAGTTTTCAGGCATCGGAATGATCACGCACACACACGCACATTTTAAAGGTACACCAAATCAATATAGTTTATTTTATTATTTTATAAGCTGGGGCAGAAAACATATCTTGTGCTTTTCTGTATGCCTCAGAGAGCCTAATGCAGGTCTATGAAGATAGTTGATGCTCCATGCTTGGATAACTGACTGAAAGTGAGTGAGGGCATCAGTAATACACCTAGAAACTGCAGCCTGGTGCTTGGGTTCACATCCTGGCTCCATTATTCTTGAGCTGTGTGACTCTGAGCAAATGACATAAACTCTCTGCGCCCCGGTTTCTCAGGTGTTCACTGAGTAATAATAATTATACTTACTTCATAGGATTTTTTGTGAGCATTAAATGAATTGATACATATAAGTATTTAAAATATTACCTAACATATAATAAATATTCAATTTGTATCAGCTATTATCATTTGGAATAGATGGGCTAAGATGGAGCACTTTTCTTTAATACGTTGAATACACATCTTTTCAAAGCTATTCCTCCAAAGTGATCCGCACAGAATGGCTGCGGAATGAAGTTTCTTGCTGCTGTGAACATTAATGAACATTCAAGTTTTGGTTCAGTTCTAGACATCAATAAATGCCAGTTTTCCTTTTCTTTTCTTCCGTGCCCTACCATGTTCTTTACCCCATGTCTCTGTCTGATAGTTGTTATTCTTATTACTGTGTTATGACTAAGTTTTTGGCATTGCTAATCCCACATCTTTGATCTCAAAACATTTATTATTCTTTGGACCTTTCATCTTCGTTTACAAAAAACCCAAAAACTTGACTCTTTGTAACTACATAAGCCTGAATTTAAACCTTGGCTCTACCACATAACCTCTTCAGTCTTTATTTACTCATCTACAAAGCGGAAGAATTAAATCTATTTACAGGGTTGTTGACAGCATTAGGGCAAGTTTATGTTATTGTGGGTGCCCATCACAATGCCTGGCACATAGTGGATAATCAAAACATAGCAATTCCTTCTCTCCATGAACTGATTTTTCTCATTTTTAACTTTCTGCATTATTTCTTTAAAAAACTGAGATAAAATTTTAATTTAATTTAATGTAATTGACTTTTAATCCATCTTTTCCACAACATTTCAAATTTTTATTTTCCAAAAGAAGTTAAAATCGTTTTGAATCCTCCAGCCTCTTTAAAGTACTGTCCTAGGGCCTACATGGAATACGAGACTCTATAAAACATCACTTTCTCCTCTCAAAATAAACCTGTAATTTACTGGTAGTTTTAATTTTCATGTAAATTACTATTTGGGAGCATTAACCATCAAATTTCTTATGTATATTCTATAGTGAGTATGAAGTTCTTGGGTCATAAGTATGAGCATTTAAGAACATAATTTTATTTTTATGTAACAACTTGGTTTTGATTTTAAGATCTTTTTTTTCCCCAGTAGCAGATAAAATAATTAGATCAGTTCTGGGTAAACTCAGTTGTTAGGGTCTTCTCTCCTCTCTGATGTGAAATTTAATTTCCAGGAGCTTTTGGCATGGTGGTTTCTGATGGGGGTGATGGAAGGATAACTGGCTCATGCTTGCATCTGTCCTTCATATTGGCTCCCATGAAGATGTTCTAGCCCATGGAGACTTGCACAAACCTTCCTGATGGCATCTGCAGAGGTGTCCCTGTTCCCACCTGCACCATAGTGGTGTGGTCCCTACTGCTTCCCCCTCATCAGGGAGTCCCCTCATTATGACCATGAGCCCCTTGCCAATTCTCTGGCTAGTTTCTGCACCCCTTTTGAAAAGCAAGAAAATTAATTCCTCTCATACACCACTATTGGCTCTTAGGAAGCTCAGTAAGGTGACCTTGGGCTTTAGGTGCCCACACCCACATACACAACCACATCTGCTACTAAGCCTGTTCCATGACGGTAGACGGAATTTCTGGAGACAAGGTTGTCTTCAAAAATTCCCCATGATCTTACTATTCAAAGAGTGGACCATGGATTATCTGCATTAGGATCAACTGGGAATGTGCAGACTCCTGGGCCACATTTCAGAACTACTCAATTAAAAGTGTATTTTAATAAAATCCTCAGGTAATTTTTATGCACATTGAAATTTGCAAAGCACTGATCGGAGATACAGCATAGAGTTTCAATTTACCCTCAGAACCTTGACTTCATCTAAGGATTCTATTGCTCTCATCTCCCCGAGGGGCTAATTACTGAGGGAGAGGTATGGGGAAGTAGGGTCTGGTGATCTTTTCTAAGAGAGTTTTGTCAATGTCTTAACAATCTTGTTTCCCATCTCCACTATATCCCTTTTCTTCTCTTAGTCCAGATAAAGGTTTAAGTTATTTTCTTCTGAGAGAGGAAAATGCTCCAGCAAGTATTTGATTTAATCTTTCTATCACATAGGTGGGCATTTTAAACTGAAAAGCCAAGAATGTGTTATATTTATTTTCTGATTGTGCTGTAATTCCCTCTCCTTCCCTTCTTCCTCACATCTCTGCTTGGGCCATTGGAACAATTCAGTTTAGTTGCCTGGATAGGGGAGGTTCAGGGTCAAGGTAATATAGGAGAAAGCAATTAATACTTGTCCATATCATCTCATGGGGATAAGGATTTTATTTAGGTTTTAAAATATTTTAGACTCAAATGGATTTATGTTTTCTAGAAAGCCAAACTACATTTCTGAAACTGTAGTTCATTCTGTCATATTGAAAGTCCTTCTATAAGGCTGTGTTTTCTGAAAATGGGCTTTGCTCATAGAATTTTTGTGTGTAGATAGTGAATATTGGGCAAGTAGACTGATAGAAAGGACTTAAGCCTCTTCTGTCTTCAACAGTCCAGTTTGGTGCAATAGTTGATGTTTCAGATAGGTCTTCTTTGACTCTTTAAGAGTGAGCTATGCTCACTTTGAGTTCCAGGTATTTACTTCGATGTTAGCATTTAACACTTTGGTCACTGTATCCCTTATTAGACTACAAGATTACTGAGGACAAGGATCAGAGTCTCTTTCACTGTTTCATCCCCAATGCCTAGCCCAGTTCCTGGCTCATAGGAAAAACAAACCTGCTTGGATGAATAAATGAGCAAATTTATTGGTATTATTCAAAATTTTCCTCACTGAGCCTCAATACATGAGAGGGAGAAAATAAATATATAAAGTGTCATGGAAGTCTTTTAGTCCAATCACTGACTCAAAGTAAGAATCCTATATATAGAATCTCTACAGAGTCAAGCTTTTGCTAAAATATTTCCAGAAGAGGGAATATACTTAGGTTTTTTCCATTTATGGATCATTCACATTTTTAGAAAGTTCTTTCTTTATTGAATCAAAATCTGCCTCCTTAATTCTGTCTGCCCTTTGGAGTTTTATAGATTTCCATTTCTATAGTATAATTCTCCAAGTTTGCTAAAAAGACACAAGTTCAAAAAGATTTAAAATGTAGTAAGGATGGCTCATCTTGCACAGAAATCACCAACAGCTGGAACATCTGCTTTCTCCCTGATAAAATAAATAGGCTTTGCTTTGAATTTAGGTATTTATGGAACTGTCAGAAATGGAAAGGGAGAGGAATATGTGGGTTTGGCTACCACATTCAAGGAGGGAGAATTACCTTGATTTTTAGCCTTTGATGTGAGAGCAGCATCGTTTAGGTGCTTTATGATATCTGTCATATAACACAATATGGGGATTCATTTCTGGTTGTGGTATTTTACATTTGAAAATGCTCATCAAAATTTCTCTATGTGCCCTTGTTCTATGCCCATATAGCTACTCCCTACTGTCATTATCACTCCAAATTCTACATTTGAAAGACCAGAATTACCTCCTCCTCTTAACCAACTGTTTCTACCAACTACTCTATCACTGGCACTATTATTCTCCCAAGAGCAAAAAATACGTGGTTCATTTATCCTGCTCATCCCCACATCCTCTCAGCTACATAGTCGTGAGCATTTCTCACCTGTAGTGTTTCTTACATTTACTTCTTCCTCTCCAGTAATGATGAGGAGGCTCTCATTGCTACATGATTCATTTGCTGCTTCCCTTTCTCACTCCTGCTCCTATCCTGTTTTCGTGAAGAAGACATAGCACAGCTACATTATTTTTTTCTTGAATTCCATTGTCATCAATCTTTCACCTAATTTAAAATCCCAAACATATGGATGACCTGGTACATCAGTCTAAGCTTCTCTACTTCCATCTCAAGGTCCTCCTTCAACCCCAAAACCCTTAACTCTCAAATTGTCCAGGCTCATGTTAGCTACTGCACCACCCCATACAACCCACCCCAAACTCCAAGCCCACTCCAGTTGGTACCCTCTTTCCTTGCAACCCATCTGCACCCCAACTCATCCACAGCTGTGCTACATTTGCATTTGTATTGATCTGCTCTCTCTTCTGTGCCAATTCTTAAGTTATATTTTCCCCACAAGTTTTTATTCCAGTTATTCCAGGCCTTATTCTTCTCCTTCTCTTTCTATCACTTAACATTTTTATTGTGAATTATGATTTTAAAACAGGTAAATAAAACATGTGCACAGTTTTAAAACAGGTTGTGAAAAGAATACCCATGTAACTACCACTCAGATAGGAAGGAGAGTATTCTGGGAACCCAGTACATTTTACAGTACTAATAGTCTGTACCTCATAATTTAGTACTTATGGTAATTAAGTATCATCTTGCCTTGTCTTATGGCTTAAATGTGCCATTGTATTCCTCCTACTCTATTGTAGGCTATTGAAAGGCAAGGGCTCTACAGATTATTCTTTAGAATATCCCACAGTGTCTCAAACTGTGCTAAGTAAATACTACATATTCAAGAGATGCTTGTTCATTGATTACAGACTAGGAAAAAGCAACACTTAGTACAAACAATATGTATGTTTATGTCCAAAAACTAACATTGTTATATCTTTCAAACACATGTTAATCTTTAGGAAATAGCACAGTTCTAACGTCTTAGCTTCTTTTTTTCCCACATATTGTCCTCCTTGGTTTCGGTTTTCTTTTCTTTATATGGCATTCAGCTTTCCTGGTGATTTCTCAGGGAATTTCCAGTTTTACAAAGCAGAATATAAAAGAATGCCTTGATAATAAATAGAAGTCCCTGGCAACACAGTAGAAACACCAATGATTGCCTGTCTTAATTCAGTTAAAGAACTGCTATAATCACAAAGCAGTCTTCTCTCTTCCACTGCACAATTCTCTCATGAAAAGAAACTCTGCATTGCATCCAAAGGTCTTTAGCAAATGTTAATAACATTCCACATATTGGAGGTTTTATCACACAGGACCTCCAGCAAAGATTCCATAACAGCAATAGGAAGAAAAATATACATATATATATATATATATATATATACACACACACTCTAAATATATATACTAAGGAAATAGTAAACCTAAGAAATGCACATTTGAAAAAAAAAAAAAAACTAATCCCTGAAGGAGTTCTCAGTGCAGGACATTTGACTTAAGGAATTGTGCATTGTAAATTACATTAAAAATGTATAAAATATGCTGATAGTGATATACAGCAAAACAGCATACATATTACAAGACAACAAAGAACTCTAATGTTTGGTCAGATCTATGAATCCCTGAGATGTTGGGTTAAGTAAGTATTCCTTACATAGGAGAATCTGTGATTCAGCAGCAGAAAGAAGGAAATCTATTCTTTTGTCCTATCTTACAGTTTCTATGACTGAGGCAAAATTCATTATATTAAAGAAGCATTTCTTGTTCCAGCTAATTATAATCAGACAGTGGAGAAAAGCAGAAAGAAAACTTACATTATCAAAATGGATATATTTACAAGAGCTTAGTTCATGCATAGAGCATTAACTAAGGCCACAAGTGAAATAGCTGTATTAGGTAAGGTAG
This sequence comes from Homo sapiens, assembly GCF_000001405.40. Lineage (NCBI taxonomy): Eukaryota > Metazoa > Chordata > Mammalia > Primates > Hominidae > Homo > Homo sapiens. The sequence goes on along the minus strand of NC_000001.11, from coordinate 100,846,759 downwards.
TAAACCACCAAAAATGGTATCTGACAATCATGGTGTTCAATCAGTTAAGCAACTAAGCCTAACTGTCAAGCTTCAGATATGAGGAAATGGACAAAACTATTTGGAAGGCTTATATTTTTATTAATTTAGTTAACAAATATTTATTGAGTGCCTACCATGTGCCAGATCCTTTTATAGTTACTTGGGATATATCAGTGAACAAAATAGACAAAAGCCTTTGCTCTTATGTAGCTGACATTCTAGTGAGGATATGCTGATGGCCCTTCATGTTGTGTGATATGCCGTTTTTATGAATTTCAAAACCAAAAAAATACATTGCTGATTTTGTGGTGAAACCATAGAAAGACTAAAAGTAAACATAAGCCTCAAGATAGTGGTTAACGCCTGGGAGAAAGAGGGTAATAGGATCAGGGAGGAACAAACAGGTAGCTTCAACGATATTGGTGATAGTAAATTTCTGAGGTTGGGTAATGGATTAACAGGTGTTTATTTTATTATTTTACTTTTTAAGCTAGCACAAGTTATATAATTTCTTTTGCACATATAAAATATTACATCATGAAGTATTTTTATATTAAAATAGGAATGTTTTTAAAAAGAGCAAGTGGACAGGGCATGGAACAAGGGAGATAGCCCATGTAATTTAAAATGGCCGAGAAAGTGGCTGGCAAGATGGCCGAATAGGAAAAGCTCTGGTCTGCAGCTCACAGTGTGATCAACGCAGAAGGTGGGTGATTTCTGCATTTCCAACTGAGGTACCTGGCTCATCTCACTGGGACTGGTTAGACAGTGGGTGCAGCACAAGGAGGGCCAGCCAAAGCAGGGTGGGGTGCCTCACCCAGGAAGTGCAAGGGGTTGGGAAACTCCCTCCCCTAGCCAAGGGAAGCCATGAAGGACCATGCTGTAAGGGATGGTGCTATCCAGCCCAGATACTATGCTTTTCCCATGGTCTTTGCAACCCACAGACCAGGAAATTCTCTTGGGTGCCTATGCCACCAGGGCCCTGGGTTTCAAGCACAAAACTGGGCGGCCATTTGGGCACACACTGAGCTAGCTGCAGGAGTTTTTCTCATACCCCAGTGGCACCTGGAATGCCACCAAGACAGAACTGTTCACTCCCCTGGAAAGAGGGCTAAAGCCAGGGAGCCAAGTGGTCTAGCTCAGCGGATCCCACCCCCAGGGAGCCCAGCAAGCTAAGATCCACTGGCTTGAAATTCTCGCTGCCAACACAGCAGTCTGAAGTCGACCTGGGATGTTGGAGGTTGGTGGGGGAGGTGCGTCAGCCATTACTGAGGCTTGAGTAGGCGGTTTTCCCCTCGCAGTGTAAATAAAGCCACAGGGAAGTTTGGACTGGGTGATGCCCACCACAGCTCTGCAAAGCTGCTGTAGCCAGACTGCCTCTCTAGATTCTTCCTCTCTGGGCAGGGCATCTCTGAAAGAAAGGCAACAGGCCCAGTCAGGGGCTTATAGATAAAACTCCCATCTCCCTGGGCCAGAGCACCTGGGGGGAAGGGGTGGCTGTGGGTGCAGCTTCAGTAGACTTAAATGTTCCTGCTTGCTGACTCTGAGGAGAGCAGCGGATCTGCCAGCACAGTACTCAAGCTCTGCTAAGGGACAGACTGCCTCCTCAAGTGGGTCCCTGGTTTGCATGCCTCCTGACTGGGAGACACCTCCCAGCAGGAGTTGACCAATACCTCATACAGGAGAGCTCTGGCTGTCACCTGGCGGGTGCCCCTCTGGAATGAAGCTTCCAGAAGAAGGAACAGGCAGCAATCATTGCTGATCTGCAGCCTCTGCTGGTGATACCCAAGCAAACAGGGTCTGGAGTGAACCTCCAGCAAACTGGAGCAAACGTGCAGCAGAAGGGCCTGACTATTAGAAGGACAACTAACAGAAAGGAATAGCATCAACATGAACAAAAAGGACATCCACACAGAAACCCCATCCAAAGTCACCAACATCAAAGACCAAAGGTAGATAAATCCACGAAGATGAGGAAAAACCAGTGCAAAAAGGCTTAAAATGCCAAAAACCAAAACTCCTCTTCTCCTCCAAGGTATCACAACTCCTTGCCAGCAAGGGAACAAAATTGTATTGAGAATGAGTTTAACAAATTGACAGAAATAGGCTTCAGAAGGTGGGTAATAAAAAACTCCTCTGAGCTAAAGCAGCATGTTCTAACCCAACGCAAGGAAGCTAAGAAGCTTGAAAAAAGGTTAAAAGAATTGCTAACTAGAGTCACAAGTTCAGAGAAGAACATAAGTTACCTGATGGAGCTGAAAAACACAGCACGAGAACTTTGTGAAGCATACACAACTATCAATAGCCGAATTGATCAAGTGGAAGAAAGGATATCAGAGATTGAAGATCAACTTAATGAAATAATGCATGAAGACAAGATTAGAGAAGAAAGAATGAAAAGATATGAACAAAGCCTCCAGAAAATATGGGACTATCTGAAAAGATCAAGCCCACATTTGATTGGTGTACCTGAAAGTGACAGGGAGAATGGAACCAAATTGGAAAACATTCTTCAGGATATTATCCAGGAGAACTTCCCCAACTTAGCAAGATAGGCCAACATTCAAATTCAGAAAATTCAGAGAACACCACAAATATACTCCTTGAGAAGAGCAAACTGAAGACACATAATCATCAGATTCACCAAGGTTGAAATGAAGGAAAAAATGTTAAGGGCAGCCAAACAGAAAGGTTGGAATACCCACAAAGGGAAGCCCATTAGACTAACAGCGGATCTCTCTGCAGAAACCCTACAAGCCAGAGGCGAGTGGGGGCCGATATTCAACATTCTTAAAGAAAAGAATTTTCAACCCAGAATTTCATATCCAGCCAAATTAAGCTTCATAAGCGAAGGAGAAATAAAATCCTTTATAGATAAGCAAATGCTGAGAGATTTTGTCACCACCAGGCCTGCCTTACAAGAGTTACTGGAGGAAGCACTACATATGGAAAGGAACAACCAGTACCAGCCATGGCAAAAACATACCAAATTGTAAAGACCATCAACGCTACAAAGAAACAGCTTCAACCAATGGGCAAAATAACCAGCTAGCATAATAAAGACTAGATAAAATTCACACATAACAACATTAACCTTAAATGTAAATGGGCTAAATGCCCCAATTAAAAGAAACAGACTGGCAAATTGGATAAAGAGTCAAGACCCATCGGTGTGCTGTATTCAGGAGACTCATCTCATGTGCAAAGACACACATAGGCTCAAAATAAAGGGATGGAGGAACACTTACCAAGCAAAGGGAAAGCAAAAAAAAAAAAAAAAAAAAAAAAAAGCAGGGGTTGCAATCCTAGTCTCTGATAAAACAGACTTTAAACCAAAAAGATCAAAAAAGACAAAGAAGGGCATTGCATAATGGTAAACGGATCGATGCAATCTGAAGAGCTAACTATCCCAAATATATATGCACCCAATACAGGGGCACCCAGCTTCATAAAGCAAGTTTTTAGAGACCTACAAAGAGACTTAGACTCCCACACAATAATATTGGGAGACTTCAACACCCCACTGTCAATATTAGACAGATCAATGAGACAGAAAATGAACAAGGATATTCAGGACTTTGAACTCAGCTCTGGACCAAGCAGACCTAATAGACATCTACAGAACTCTCCACCCCAAATCAACAGAATATGCATGCTTCTCAGCACCACATAGCACTTATTCTAAAATTGACCACATAATTGAAAGTAAAACACTCCTCAGCATATGCAAAAGAATGGAAATGATAAGAAACAGTCTCTCAGACCACAGTGCAATCAAATTAGAATTCAGGAATAACAAACTCACTCAAAACTGCACAACTACATGGAAACTGAACAACCTGCTCCTGAATGTCTACTGGGTAAATAACAAAATTAAGGCAGAAATAAATAAGTTATTTGAAACCAATGAGAACAAAGACACAATGTACCAGAATCTCTGGGACACAGCTAAAACAGTGTTTAGAGGGAAATTTATAGCACTAAATGTCCACAGGAGAAAGCAGGAAAGATATAAAATCAACACCCTAACAACACAATTAAAAGAACTAGAGAAGCAAGAGCAAACAAATTCAAAAGCTAGCAGAAGACAAGAAATAACTAAGATCAGAGGAGAGCTGAAGGAGATAGAAACAGAAAAAAACCCTTTAAAAAAATCAGTGAATCCAGGATTTGGTTTTTTGAAAAGATCAACAAAAGAGATAGTCTGATGGCCAGACTACTAAAGAAGAAAAGACAGAAGAATCAAATAGACACAGTAAAAAATGATAAAGTGGATATCACCACTGATCCCACAGAAAAACAAACTACCATCAGAGAATACTATAAACACCTCTTCACATATAAACTAGAAAATCTAGAAGAAATTGATAAATTCCTGGACACATACACCTTCTCAAGACTAAACAAGGGAGATGTCGAATCCCCAAACAGACCAAGTTATAAAATTGAGGCAGTAATTAAAAGCCTACCAACCAAGAAAAGCCTAGTACCAGACAGATTCACAGCCGAATTCCACCAGAGGTACAAAGAGGAGCTGGTACCATTCCTTCTGAAACTATTCCAAACAATAGAAAAAGAGAGACTCCACCCTAACTCATTTTATGAGGCCAGCATCATCCTGATACCAAACTCTTTCAGAGACACAACAAAAAAAGAAAAATTCAGGCCAATATCCCTGATGAATATTGATGCGAAAATCCTCAATAAAATACTGGCAAACCATATCCAGCAGCACATTAAAAAGTTTATCCACCACGATCAAGTTGGCTTCCTCCCTGGGATGCAAGGTTGGTTCAACATATGCAAATCAATAAACATAATCCATCACATAAAGAGAACCAATGACAAAAAGCACACGATTATCTCAATAGATGCAGAAAACGCCTTCAATAATATTCAACACCCATTCATGCTAAAAACTCTCAATAAACTAGGCATTGACAGAACGTATCTCAAAATAATAAGTGCTATTTATGACAAACCCACAGCCAATATCATACTGAATGGGCAAAAACTGGAAGCATTCCCTTTGAAAACCGCCACAAGATAAGGATGCCCTCTCTCACCACTCCTATTCAACATAGTATTGGAAGTTCTGGATAGGGTAATCAGGCAACAGAAAGAAATCAAGGGTATTCAAATAGGAAGAGAGGAAGTTAAATTGTCTCTGTTTGCAGATGACATGATTGTATATTTAGAAAACCCCATTGTCTCAGCCCAAAATCTCCTTAAGCTGATAAGCAACTTCAGCAAAGTCTCAGGATACAAAATCAATGTGCAAAAAGCACAAGCATTCCTATACACCAATAATAGACACAGAGCCAAATCATGAGTGAACTCCCATTCACAACTGCTACAAAGAGAATAAAATACCTAGGAATACAACTTGCAAGGGATGCGAAGGACCTCTTCAAGTAGAACTACAAACCTCTGCTCAAGGAAATGAGAGAGGACACAAACAAATGGAACAACATTCCATGCTCATGGATAGTAAGAATCAATATCATGAAAATGGCCATACTACCCAAAGTAATTTACAGATTCAATGCTATTCCCATCAAGCTACCACTGACTTTCTTCACAGAATTAGAAAAAACTACTTTAAATTTCATATGGAACCAAAAAAGAGCTCATATAGCCAAGACAATCCTAAGTAAAAAGAACAAAGCTGGAAGCATTACATTACCTGACTTCAAACTATACCTCAAGGCTACAGTAACCAAAACAGCATGGTACTGGTACCAAAACAGATATGTAGACCAATGGAACAAAACAGAGTCCTCAGAAATAACACCACATATCCACAACCATCTGATCATTGACAAACCTGATGAAAACAAGCAATGGGGAAAGGAAAGGATTCCTTATTAATAAATGGTGTGGAGAAAACTGGCTAGCCATATGCAGAAAACTGAAACTGGACCCCTTCCTTACACCTTATACAAAAATTAACTCAAGATGGATTAAAGACTTAAACATAAGACCTAAAACCATAAAAACCCTAGAAGAAAACCTAGGCAATACCATTCAGGACATAGGCATGGGCAAAGACTTTAAGACTAAAACACCAAAAGCAATTGTAACAAAACCCAAAATTGACAAATGGGATCTAATTAAACTAAAGAGCTTCTGCACGGCAAAAGAAACTATCATCAGAGTAAACAGGCAACCTACAGAATCGGAAAAAATTTTGCAATCTATCCTGACAAAGGGCTAATATCCAGAATCTACAAGGAACTTAAACAAATTTACAAGAAAAAACCAAACAACCCCATCAAAAAGTGGGCAAAAGTTGTGAACAGACACTTCTCAAAAGAAGACATTTATGTGGTGAACAAACATATAAAAAACACTCATCATCATGGGTCATTAGAGAAATGCAAATCAAAACCACAATAAGATACCATCTCACACCGGTTAGAATGGCAATCATTAAAAGGTCAGGAAACAACAGATGCTGGAGAAGATGTAGAGAAATAAGAACACTTTTACACTGTTGGTGGGAGTGTATGTTAGTTCAACCATTGTGGAAGAGAGTGTGGCAATTCCTCAAGGATCTACAATCAGAAATACCATTTGACCCAGGAATCCCATTGCTGGGTATATACCCAAAGGATTATAAATCATTCTACTATAAAGACACATGCACACATATGTTTATTGCAGCACTATTCACAATAGCAAGGACTTGGAACCAACTCAAATGCCCATCAATAATAAACTGGATAAAGAAAATGTGACACATATACACTATGGAATACTATGCAGCCATAAAAAATAATGAGTTCATGTCCTTTGCAGGGACATGGATGAAGCTGGAAACCATCATTCTCAGTAAACTAACACAGGAACTGAAACCAAAGACTACATGTACTCACTCATAAGTGGGAGGTGAACAATGAGAACACATGGACACAAGGAGGAGAACATCACACAGTGGGGCCTGTCAGGGGGTAGGGAGCAAGGGGAGGGATAACATTAGGAGAAATACCTAATGTAGATAACGGGTTAATGAGTGCAACAAACCACCAGCCATAAAAAAGAATGAACTCGTGTCCTTTGCAGGTACAAAGGACATTGAACTTTCCATTGAAAATAAAACATTATTATTTACAGTAAAAAAAAAAAAAGACAATATTAAAACAATACTGTGGCTTTACACCGATAGTCTAACCAGCATCAATTATTTAAGGTGAAATCCCGGTAACAAATATAAATATAAATTGAGCCTCTAATGGTTCTGCTTCTCTTATTGATCTCAGACTGATACAAGTTTTGGGCAAGTTTTTGTAGGTGTCCCATGCCTCAGGGCATCAGAAAAGCCCCAGGCAAGGTAGAAAGTGAGAGGCACATAGGGAGAGACTGTCAGTTTGCTCCTGGATGAAACTGACCAAAGCAGGTATTAGTTAGGTAGCCGCAGCAGTGGCTGGAATAAGAAGTGAGGCTGAAAGGATTTTAAGTAGTGTGCAAGAGATATCCAATAAGCATTCTATAATAAAAGTATGTATAGGGTACTAGGGAAATGCCTAATTCAATTAAGGTAGGGATTTCACAGAAAAGATTCACAGTTCTGTGACCCAGCAGAATAGTGTCCTCAAATAAATGTCATCACACTTGTTAATGTAATTGTAAACTTCTCTTTATATTACTAAAGGTCATCACCTTCATTTTTTAATTATTTCAGATTTCAATTGAATATCCATATTTGGTAAGGAGGCTGATGCTTTTGTTGCTGTAAAATCATGCAGTGTATTGACATGAAGTTGGAATTTCAATGTACCTATTTTGGTAGTGTGAAACACCAAGTTCATAAAATTATAGTCTTCTACTCCCCCAAAGGGTTAATCTTGCCTGCTTCCTAGAAAAACCAGTGCACTGAGAACAGCAGGTTTTTGCAATAGAGAAAAAATTTAATAATCGCAGTCTCAGCCAAGTGAAAGGACAGGAGTTTATTATTACTCAAATCAGCCTCCATGAAAATTTGGAAGCTAGGATTTTTTAAGGATAGTTTGGGGGACAGAGGCTAGGGAATGGGGAATGCTGATTGGTTGGGTTGGGGAGAAATCATAGGGAGTCAAAACTTGTCTTCTTGTTCTGAGTCTGTTCCTGGGTGGGGGCCACAAGACCAGATGAGCCAGTTTACTGGTATGGATGGTGCTAGCTGGTCCATCTGATTGCAGGGTCTGAAAAATACCTCAAACACAAGTCTTAGGTTTTACAATAGTGATGTTATTTACAGGAGCAATTGGAGAGGTTAGGAATCTTGTGGCCTCTGGCTACATCACTCCTGAGCCATAATTTCTAATCTTATGACTAATTTGTTAGTTTTACAAAGGTGGTCTTGTCCCCAAACAAGGAAGAAGTTTGTTTTGGGAAGGGGCTCTTATCCTTTTCTCAAAGTTAAACAATAAAGTAAATTCCTCCCATAGTTAGCATGGCCTTCAGCCAGGGATGAAGGGCAGCTTGGAGATTAGAAGCAAGATGGAGTCAGTGGAGTCAGTTTGGTCAGATTTCTTTCCCTGTCATAATTTTCCTATGTCAAATTTTTCTCATTGTCATAATTTTTGCAAAGGAGATTTCATCATGAGACCTTCTGAAGTATTTAAAACTAAGATTTTTTTCTTTAGGGAGATGGGAGATTACTAGCATTTCTCTTATAAACATAGGTTTCAACAATTTATTTTATAGAACTTCCCTTTCTTTCTTAACTTACATTTAGCAACAGAAGGAGATTTTTGTAGCTGTAACGAAATGATGAGGAAAAAAGTAGACTGAGCTTAGTATATATCAATGGTATGTGCACAATGTTAGCAAAATTCTTGCTTACATTTTGCCTAAATATAAATATTTTTGACATAAATCAAAGCCTATTATAAGGAGCTATTTTTATACTAATAAATAGAAACTACCATGTAATCAGATCTTTCATTAACTAGCTTTGTGCCTGCCATAGAGATGGGATGTTTGTGTCCTCCCCAAATTCATATGTTGAAATCCTAATCCACAAGGTGATGGTATTGGAAGGTGGGGCCTTTGGAAGGTAATGAGGTCCTGAGAATGGAGCCACATGAATAGAATTACTACCCATATAAAAGAGACCTCAGGGAGCTCCCTTGCTCTTTTTGCCATGTGAAGACACATCAAGAAGACAGTAGTCTGTGGATCAGGAAGTAAACCCTTAGATATTGAATCTGCAGGTGCCTTGATATTGGACTCCCCAACTTTCAGAATTGTAAGAAATAAATGTTTGTCATTTAGGTCGCTCTGTCTGTGGTATTTTTATAGTACTATGAACGGACTAAGGCAGTATCATTGGGTACATAATGTAAACTCTTTGGGCCTCAGCATATATATATGTGTGTGTGTGTGTGTGTATGTGTGTGTGTGTGTGTATAGAAAGAGAGACGTAAATATAAATTTATATAAATATAAATGTTTTAGTTAAATAGGTTTTCTCCCAGTTCAAAAATTCAATCATTGGCCAGGCGCAGTGGCTCACGCCTATAATCCCAGCACTTTGGGAGGCCGAGGTAGGTGGATCACTTGAGGTTAGGCATTCGAGACCAGCCTGGCCAACATGGTGAAACCCCATCTCTACTAAAAATACAGAAATTAGCTGGGCTTGGTGGTGCACACCTGTAATCCCAGGTACTTGGGTGGCTGAGGCATAAGAATCATGTGAACCCAGAAGGCGGAGGTTGCAGTGAGCTGAGATCATCCCACTGCACTCCAGTGTGGGTGACAGAGTGAGATTCTGTCTCAAAAAAATATATATTATTATTATTATTTAGGCTTTCATTTTGCAATAAAATTTCCAATTAGTAAAGAAGCCCAGGAAAATCAGAAAAAGTAACATTATATCAATTATTTTTGTTACTGAGTTTCAAGTCCCACTGGAATTAATAATTTGATTTAATAACAGTTTATAAATGGGGTTGTTTTTTCTCTTAACAGGAAAAAGTAACACCCAAATGCTTATTATACTAAGACCTATTGTGTTTAGATTTTTATCGCTTAAAAGCGGCAGAAAGCGTTCCCTTTAGTATTGTCTAAAGGAAATGAAACAATTCACTTTTAATAGCAATACATCAGCTAAGTGAAATTTTGACACACATACTCCCCATGAAGAGTACCTTGAAAGAAAGATCAAAACCTTTTAAAAACTTCGTAGCACCAAAATTCCCATTTTCCTTGGGAACTTCCCATGATTCATGAGATTCCAAAAGTGTAAAGATTCAGATCTGTTGAAAACTGAAGGAAAATTCATTAACAATTGTGTTTATCAATATTTTAAAAGAACAAAGCTTAACATTTTAGTGAGTGAGGGAGGCCGGATGTGAGACATTCTGAAACCATCTTCTGTGACCTGATTCCCATTAGATATAAAAATAAATCCAACCCAGTGGCCAGGAAGACTGCGCTGCTCTGCATAAAACTGAAAGCTAATCAAACTCTCTGATAATAATGAATCAAAGGATGAAAAATAGAGAAGTCTGGAAGAAGAGAGAAAGGAACTTCTTTTAAATCTTAGAAACAAGAAAAAAGAACTTACCATATAAGCTGCGGTGACTACCTTTCCCACCAGCAGCACCACTCGTTGTGGGACCTGTTTCCCAGTGCTCCGCTAGGTGCTGTACACACACATGAGAGTATAGCTCAGTTTGAGGCTAAGTGCATCCACATAAGCAATTCAGGCATGTCTGAACAGATTTGGGCAAATCCATTCTTATGAAGGTGCTGAGGAGATCCTCCTGGAAAATAACTCACCTTAAGGGCAGAAAAAGTAAGACATCAATGTGCCTAACCCAATATGAAAGCCTTAGTCATCAGAAGAGAGGGCAACTTCTGAGTCTACTCAGTCTTCAATAATACTGGGTCACTTGGAATTGTCTCCTGCTCATGGGCCCTGTCTCAGTCAGGGAGAGAGAGCAAGCAATAAAAGGGCATTTCCACTAAAACTCAGTAAGGTATTGGCAACAGCAACACTACTTTGGTAGTCTTTGAATTCAGTGTAACATAAAAAAGGGAAAAGAGGCATGCTCCCTTTTTATCACAACCCAACAAATAGTTTTGGCACGTATTCATCCGCTCTCATATTGCTACAGAGAACTATCTGAGCCTGGGTAATTTATAAAGGGAAGAGGTTTAATTGGCTCACGGTTCCACAGGCTGTACAGGAAGCATGGCTGGGGTGGGGGGAAGCTCAGGAAACTTACAATCATGGCAGAAGGCAGAGGGGAAGCTGGCAAGTCCTACATGGCTGGAGCAAGAGAAAGAGACAGAGCAAAGGGGGAAGTGCCACACACTGCCAAACAACTAGATCTTGTGAGAACCCACTATCACAAGAACAGCAAGGGGGAAATCTGCCCCCATGATTTAATCACCTCCCACTAGATCAACACTGGGGATTACAATTCAACATGAGATTTGGGTGGAGACACAAAGCCAAACCATATCAGGAGACACAAAGCCAAACCATATCAGGCATCTTGAGGGAGACAGTGAAAATGCATGTGCCCAGTAGGTGATGATAGCCCCCTGGTGGTTAGGTAGCAGATATTTCAGAAGTAGCAGTGGGATCTCCTGGATTTCCCCCGTTAACTGACGATATATTCATTGGCATTTACAGAAATTCACTATTACTTCTAGAAAGTCTTTAGGCAGTGAGATGAATGTATTAGTCAAGAGAAGTTAGGTTGTCATAAAAAACACATTGCTTCTACTTACAACTCAATAATCAGAAGCCTCATGGCCCTGCCGAACTGCGACTTGGCAAGTGGATGTGGAGGAGCAGATGGCACTCTTGCTAAGCATTGCTGTCTCAGCCCCAAGAAGTATGGAGGCTGTAAGCAAGGGATAGGAGGAGGAGCTGCTAAAATGTATTCTTAATTTTACTGCATTCATTCTCACATACTGATGATACCAGGGAAGATAGTCAATTACATACATAAGTCTTTTATTTAATCCTCATGGCAGTCAGAGAAAACAGAGAAGTTAAGTAACTTGCCAGAAGTTACACAGCTGTTCAGGTCTCCTGGACTCCAAAGCTATTTGCTTTTTATTATTCCATGTTTGCAAAAAAAAATTATATGCCTTAAAATAGCCTCAAACATTCACTGAGTTCCTACTCTGTTATTATCTCAGTTTTCTTCACAGCAACCCAGTAAGATGAGATTGCTATTATCCTCAACAGGATCACAGAGGGTTAAGTAACTTGATCAAAGTTACTGCAAGCAGAAAAGATATAATGTGAGCCCAGATCTTCTCCCTTCAACTGACTGGAATTTGAAATCCAATCAATTCCCAGCCTATTCACAGTCTGATGCTTTTTCCACCTCCTTAATTGGTGATGAAGATACTTCAATTATTCCTATTATCAATGTCATAAATCATAGGCCATAAACTATGGTTAGTTCAGTAACTGCTACTCTGGAGGAAAATAGCTTCTTTCTAACAGAAACCTTTATTTTTCATTTGAGTAAGTCATTGAACATTTCCAAAGCATAGACTTCTTTGGCCTTCACAAATAAAACAAAGATAATGGGTACATTAATTCTACTAAATACACATCAAGTACTTAAGAGAGATGCTTAACTCTAACTCCTAGGATGTTTTTGAAACAGAATCTGTAAAGAAAAAGACAATGTCAATTGACATAGTTGAGAAGAGAGGCAGGTGAAATGCTGTCAGGAAAGTTTAAAGGAAATTAATGAAGACTAAGAACAATTTTTATTTAATGTAAAGGGGAATGCATGTCATAAAAATGATAGGAAAACAAGCCATATAGTAAGACTTTATTAGGGCATAGGTACACAGAACCAAACCAGGGAAGATAAGAGTGTATTGTGCTAAAGAAAGACAACAGAGTTGTTGGGATATTCACTAAGTTACAAGTTATCTGCCATATGCAAAATCTAGCCCATTTGCAGTTAAGGTTTGGGACTTGTCTCATACAGATTAAACATTGTTTATCTGCAAATAGATTGATTTCTTTATCTGGGCTTTAAACTATATAAATTTGTTAAAAATAACCTTTATAACAGGACATATTTGCAAGATGGCTCAGAATAATTACTCTATCTTCAAATTATTGTGAAAACAAGGGGTGTTAGATTTATTTTCACCAGTTTCCTTAAAAGGCAAATCACTGGCTCAAGTCAGAGAAAGCATCAAAATGGCTACATTTAAATTGAAAGTTGATACAGAAGGGTCTACAACAGGGTCTCAACTCTGACTGCTCATTAGAATTGCCTGAGGAACTGTCAATAAACATTGCTGCCTGGGCCTGCGGACAAAAATTCTAATTAAAGATGGGGAGTTGAGGGCGCAGTACAAGGGCTGGTGACAAGCAATTATATTTTTAAAATTCTTCCCGGATAGTCTGATGTCTGATCTGTAGCCTTCCACCATCAGTAGTGTATGAAAGTACATCTCTTTGACTAATCAGTCAACCCATTAAAAAAAAGACCACAAAGCAAAAACCCTAACTCTTGAAAGATTAGCCATGTCATGCTATGACCAATGTTAGTTATTAGTGTTACATTTTTACTTTGGTATAGTTTAATTATTAGTGTATTCTTAACAAATGCATATCATCAGTGACAAGTCATATTTTTAATGAGTTATCATTACAAGTTAGTGTTAAACTTCTCACCTTGATGAACATAATAAAAATTTTGTGCACATTTTATTGTGAAATCTAAAGCTTTATCTTTAGCAATTCTCTCTGTTCAAACTTCTGAGCCCCATTCTTGTGTGTGGTGTGATGGTGCTCGGCATGTCTACTGTCTTTGTTCTTATATTCATCTATTCCTTTGTAATATGGTAATTAGTTTTAAGATGAAAGCTAATCCCGACTGTGAGAGTGCTGAGCTATTGTTACTGCTGGCTAATGTATCACTAGAAGACCACGCACAGTAAAACAGAAAAAAAGGTTTTTCTTGTGTTCTCCATTGGTTTATTATTAGGAGTAGGGGAACAATGTACAAAATTTATCTCTAAGGCATAAATGAGAGTAGCGATGGAAAAAAAAGCAAAACATATTGAGATGAGAAACAGTGAGTTTTCAGAGGGCTATCAATAAGTTTAAGTCATTTCCTGTACTGGAAGAGCAGAAGTTCAGCATCCAAACCCAGATCCACTGGTGGAGGGGGAGTCTTTGGGGTTTTATATCTCTGCTGAAAGGGCAAGCAAAATAATGTGTGTGTGTATGTGCAGTTTTCAGGAGAGCAATACCTGTTACCTTTGCCAAAGGCTTATGAGTGAGGTATCTACAAATTGATATGAAGGAAACCTATCTCTTCATATCTTCTCTTTCTTAGCAGTAACCAATACTGAGTCTTTTTCAACTAATCTTTTAGGGGTTCTTTGCTGGAATAATCTATAATACTTGGTGTATTTCTTCATTATGTCCTTACAATAATTCCTAATCAATATACAAGTATTGGAATCAGGCTTGCTTCTTCTGTATAGAAGGCTGCTAGCATCAGGGTCTTAATTTCATGAATGGCAGTTGCTGTGGCTTCTCTTCCTTTTCTGCTAATACTACCTCTCATAACATTGTTTTAATCTTCTTATTCTGAACTTTTGCTTGACTGGTAGGTGGACCAGCTAGCTGGGTGTTACAGAGGTTTAGCACCTACTCAGACCCATGCTTATCTCTCTTGCTGTACAGATGAACAGGTTAGCATCCTCTGAAAGGACAGTATCTCAGCTCTCCTGAGAGAGTGGGAGAGGTAAAAGAGAGGGTCCCCATAACATTTTTTCTTAACTTTGAGTCAGGTTTATGCATTCATCCATGGCTCTACTCTCATGATCATTCCAGTGCTATTAGAATGCATTGCATTTTTAAAAATCTGATAAATCTAGCAGTAGAAATGGGCCTATCTTGCTCTTTACTAATAATGAGTGCTCAAGGCCAGACTGGTTACACAGAGAACCTTGACATCTAAAGCATGCCGTAGGCTTCAGCCCCACTCCATTAGGAGCCTGATGCCATCATCCATGCTTATAATAATTGCTCATAGTTATTGAAACATACTGCATATCAGGCATGTAACTTGTATTATTTCATTTACTCTCCACAACAATTCTCCTAGGTAGGTCCAATGATTATTTACATATCATAAAACAAAGGTTTATTGTAATCACATAAATCGTACAAAATCAAACAGCTAGTAGGTGATTGAGCTGGGATTTACACAGTTTAAATCTGTTTCTGACTCTAAGGCCTCTATGTTAAACTATATTAACTCCAACGGTTTCTGGAAAAATCCAGAGCATCCAAAGTACGTAGAGTCGGAGTTGGGGAAATGATAGTCACTATGAGTTTGCCTCCTTGAAATATAGTTATATATTACTCATAGGTATTTAAAATTACTTACTTATAGCAAGAACAACGAAAGTACTAAGTTTTGATGTGAGCTTAGACAACATCAAAAACAACAAACAAAATCTTTATTACTACAGACCTTGAAAATACCTAGATATTTTCTACAGAATATCCACAATTCTTTATTTGCTCATCAAAATTTACAGTGACTTTTCTTCAAGTAATAACTTGATAAATTTTTAAAGTTTAATTATTCGTCATTTAATTATTAATATCAGTGAATGTTTAGAAAATATTACATGTCTACATTTGAGTAACTCTATTTTAACACTGATGATTAACATTTATGGCATGTTGCATGTGTATGTTCACTGCAGCACTATTCACAATAGCAAAGACATGGAATCAAGCCAAATGCCCATCAATGATAGACTGGATAAAGGAAATGTGGTTCATATACACATGGAATACTATGTGGCCATAAAAAGGAATGAGATCATGTCCTTTGCAGAAACATGGATGGAGCAAGAGGCCATTATCCTCAGCAAACTAGCACAGGAACAGAAAACCAAATACCACATGTTCTCACTTATAAATGGGAGCTGAACAATGAGAACACATGGTTACAGGGAGGGTAACAACACACACTAGGGCCTGTCAGCAGCAGGGAGGGGTGCATAGCGGGGAAAGCATCAGATTAAATAGCTAATGATTGCTAGGCTTAATATCTAGGTGATGGGTTGATAGGTGAAGCAAACCACTATGGCACACGGTTTACCTGTGTAACAAACCTGCACATCCCGCACATGTATCCTGGAACTTAAAAACTTTTATGGCATGTTTTAGAAACATGAAATAGTCTGATGGGGATCATTTTAGAATATGTAAAAGGGAATAGTTGGAGACACGTTGGGAAGTTTGGCTGGAATTATACTGTAAAGGGCTTGCTTATATGCCATTTATTTTTTAAGTTAAGAAGTATCACAAAAAATGTTAGCCAGAGGAGCAACATTGTTTTATAATAAGAAAGTATACATAGACTTGAAAATTCAATGTACGAATGTTAGAAATAAGCTATTTTTCTATTGTATTCATGTGTATCTCTAACATTTTTTCCTTGTTACTTATTTTAGAGAACAAGCTCATTTAGTATAGAGACCATATGAGTGGTTGTAAGTAGTTAAATCAAAAGGAGAGGGTCATCTTATCAAACTGCTAAAGAGGACAGGAATATCCAGCCGAGGACCCTTTCTCTCTAACTCTGGGCTCTGCTTCTCTGTAAAGATCAGGCTTTATTCTCTCAAACCAGGGGACTCTATGGGTTGGAATTATGGCCTCTGGCATAATACAATGTGACAGCAAACACCAAAGCAATAGACCTTGGTAGTTTTTTTAAAAAAATGATAAAATGGGAGAGACCAGTTTTCAATCTGGCATGTAAGGAGCTTGTAAGTGATCACTACATGCTCACAGGTTAAAAGCTGAACAGACTAAAAAATCTTCAGCTCTTCTTGGGTTTGTCACAGAAGTGAGGTCGTGGGGAAAATTGCTGCCCCCAAAACAAGAAAGGCAGACAAACACAGAGAATCCCAAACACCAGAGCAGAAACCCATGAGCAGAAATCTCTGTGGGAATCACTGCAGGGGTTGGAAAACGATAACTATAATTGACGAATTGCTGGAAGCTCAGTGTGGACAAGTCTGGGAGTTACAAATGCCAGAGGGCCCTGTCCCGGGGTGTAGGTTGTCCCCACACTTTTGTAAGTTTTGTCTCCAGGAGCTCAACCAGGTTCTTACAGCCAATAATGGAGAAAAGTCCCCTCATGCTTCTGACAAAGGGAGAGGAAAGGTAACCATGTAAAACATGCCAGAGCTTTCTGTTCTTAACAAGGCCAGCCCTTCAGATAAAATATTTTACCTGTGCCTAAACTACTGGATTTTTTCAAAGTCTCACTGACATGAGGAAAGAAAATGCTCAACCCCAGCCTCTGCTATCTTTCAATGTGGAGAAAGAAAATACCCAATTCCAGTCCACTTTATCCATCCTGTCACACCTAAGTGTGTGCATGTGGGTGGGGGAGACAGAGAAATACTTGTGAACTGCACAGTCCAGAGGCATTTGGTCACTAAAAGGCTGAGACCTAATCATAGGACTGTAACACATTTCCCTTCCCTCACATCACACACCGCATTACTAAAGACCTATATCCAGCAGCTCCTTTTACCCAGTACTCAAGAAAAAATTACAAGGCATACTAAAAAGCAAAAACAAACCAACAAAAAAACAACAACATGGTCAGAAGAGACAAAGCAAGCATCAGAATAACACTTAGATATGGTTGGGATGTTGGAATTATTAGATCTACAATTTAAAACAACTTTGATTAAGATACTAAGGGCTCTAAAAGATAAAGTAGACAGTATGCAAAAATAGATGAGCAATGTAAGCAAAGAGATGAAAATTCTAAAAAAGCAAAACAAAGAAAAGAGATGCTAGGAATAAAAAACACTCTAGCAGAAATAAAGAATGCCTTTGATGGGCTCATTAGTAGCCTGGAAACTGCTGAGGAAAGAATATCTGAGATTGAGGATGTCAATAGAAACTTGCAAAATGGAAAGGCAAAGAGAAAAAAATGGCTGAAAAAAATGGAACAGAATATACAAAAACTGTGGGACAACAAAAAGTGTTACATGTGCATAACAGGAATATTACTAGGAGAAAAAAGAAAGGAAGAGGAGAAATATTTGAAGCCATAATGACCGTGAA
Organism: Homo sapiens; assembly: GCF_000001405.40. Classification (NCBI taxonomy): domain Eukaryota; kingdom Metazoa; phylum Chordata; class Mammalia; order Primates; family Hominidae; genus Homo; species Homo sapiens. Next base: position 100,828,641 of record NC_000001.11, on the reverse strand, counting down.
TCATAATGACTGTGAAATTTGGACAAATCACAGATCCAGGAAACTCAGAGAACACCAAATAGGATAAATACCAGAAAACAGCACTTAGGCATATCAAACTACAGTTTGAATATTTTCTAATATTCAAAGGTATTTCTAATATTCAAGGAAATCAAAGAAAATATTTTGAAAGGATCCAGAGAGAAAAAAAAATCTTACCTATAGAGAAACAAAGGTAAGAATTACATCTGACTTCTCAGAAATCATGCAAGGAAGAAGAGAATGAAGTGAAATATTTAAAGCGTTGAGAGAAAAAAAAAACCCACCAACCTAGAATTTTGTACCCTGTGGAATTATCCTTCAGAAGTAAAGAAGAAATACTTTCTCAGATAAAAATTGAAGAAATTTGTTTCCAGTAGACCTGCCTTGCATGAAATGTTAAAAGAAATTCTTCAGAGAGAAAGGCAATTATGCAAGTCAAAAACTTGGCTTTACATAAAGGAAGAGCATAAGAAAAAGAGTAAGTAAGGGTAAAAAAAACCTTTTATTTTCTTATTTTTAAGTAATTTAACAGATAACTGATCCAATAATAGCAACAAAGTTTTTAATTATGTTTCCTTATATATCATATGTATTATTCATGCATATATATTATATACACTTAAGTAATGTTTAAAATTAACGACAGCAATGATACAAGGGACAGGATTGAGATATTAGTATTATTTTGTTATTCCAAGTTATTTGCATTACCTATGAAGAGATACAGTTATTTGAAAATGGACTTGAATTAGTTGTAAGTGTATATTACAAACTCTAGGGCAACTACTAAAAAAAAATAAGAGAAGAAGTATAATTGATATGCTACAAAAAGAGAGAAAATGGAATCCCATAAAACGCTCAGTTAATACCACAAAAGGCAGAAATAAAAGAGTGGAAGAAAAAATAAGAACAAAGCATAAAGGCAACAAGTAAAAAACAATAAATATGGCAGATAAATCCAACTATATCAATAATTACTTTAAATATCAATGGTTTAAATATACCAATTAAAAGAGAAATTGTTAGAATGAATCAACAATTTTAAAGACCCTACTTTGTGTTGTTTACTAGAAATCCATTTTAATATAAAGATGCATATATATTAAAGGAAGTTATTTAGGGAGTAGAAGTATGATACCCAATGGAAATTTGGATCTATATAAAGGTATAAAAAGTATCAGAAATAATAAATATATGAGCAAATATTAAAAATGTATTTTTCTAATTTTTAATTTTTTTGTAAGATAACTGCTTAAAGAAGCACAAATAGCTTCTTGTGAGACTTGCACACATGTAGAAGTAAAATATATGATAACAATAGCACAAAATATGGGAGAAGGAAATAGACTACTGTAAGTTTCTTGTGCTACATATGAGGGTAGAATGTGGCAAATTAAAGATATATATTGTAAACCATTGAGCAATCATTGAAAAAGAGGGAGTAGGGCTAATAAGCTAATGTGTAGATAAAAAGGAATCATTAAAGATAATCCAAAATAAGGCAATAATAGAGAGAGAAAGAACAAGAAGACGGGACTAATAGAAAATGAATAGCAAAATGATAAGCCTAAAAGCAATTATAGAGATAATTACATTAAATAAAAATAGCTTAAATTCCTCAAATTAAAAGGTAGAAATTATTAGACTGGGTGAAAAAGCAACAGCCAACTATATGTTGTGTAAAAGTAGTCGCCTAAATACAAAGCAATTCATAAATTAAAATTAAAATAATTGAAAAAAGATCATGCAAACTTAAGAAACCTGCAGTGGTTTTATTTGTATCAAAATGGACTTTAAGATGAAAAGTAATAGCAAGGATAAGGAAAACTATCTCATAATGACATAGAGTAAAATCTTAAGGAAATTATAGCAATCTTACATGGCATGCACCCAAAACCAGGTTGTATTTATAGAGCTAAAGGAATAAATAGATATATCCACAATGATAGTTGTAGATTTCAACACTTCTTCCTCAGTAGTTAATAAACAAGTAAATAAGATAGCAGCGAGGATATAAAAGGCTTAAACAAAACTATCAACCAACTTGACTTAATAATACATATTTTTCCCCTAGTCCCACATCCCCCAACAGGCCCCGGTGTGTGATGTTCTAGGGGAGGGATAGCATTAGGAGAAATACCTAATGTAGATGACGGGTTGATAGGTGAAGCAAACCACCATGGCACGTCTGTACCTATGTAACATACCTGCACGTTCTGCATATGTATCCCAGAACTTGAAGTATAAGAAAAAGAAAAAGAAAAATAATAATACATATTTTTTGAATGCTGCACCAAACAACAGAATACATGTATATTTTCTCAAGTTAATATGGGACGTTTAACAAAGATAGACTATATTCAAGGCAATAAACAAGTCTTTTTTTAAACTCTATAATTTATTTATTTATTTTACTTTTTTATTATACTTTAAGTTCTGGGTTACATGTGCAGAGCGTGCAGTTTTGTTACACAGGTATACACGTGCCATGGTGGTGTGCTGCACCCATCAACCCGTCACCTACATTAGGTATTTCTCCTAATGTTATCCCTCTTCTATCCCCCAACCCCCAACAGGCCCCAGTGTGTGATGTTCCCTACCCTGTGTCCATGTGTTCTCATTGTTCAACTCCCACTTATGAGTGAGAACATGTGGTGTTTGGTTTTCTGTTCCTGTGTTAGTTTGCTGAGAATGATGGTTTCCAGCTTCATCCACATCTCTGCAAAGGACATGAACTCATCCTTTTTGATGGCTGCATAGTATTCTATGGTGTATATGTGCCACATTTTCTTTATTCAGTCTATCATTGATGGACATTTGGGTTCGTTCCACATCTTTGCTATTGTGAATAGTGCTGCAATAAACATACGTGTGCCTGTGTCTTTATAGTATAATGATTTTTAATCCTTTGGGTATATACCCAGTAATGGGATTGCTGGGCAAATGGTATTTCTGGTTCTAGATCCTTGAGAAATCACCACACTGTCTTCCACAATGGTTGAACTAATTTACACTCCCACCAACAGTGTAAAAATGTTCCTATTTTTCCACAACCTCTCCAGCATCTGTGGTTTCCTGACTTTTTAATGATCGCCATTCTAACTGGCACGAGATGACATCTTATTGTGGTTTTGATTTGCATTTCTCTAATGACCAGTGATAATGAGCATTTTTCATATGTCTGTTGGCTGCATAAATATCTTCTTTTGAGAATTGTCTGTTGATATCCTTTGCCCATTTTTTAATGGGGTTGTTTGCGTTTTTCTTGTAAATTTGTTTAAGTTCTTTGTAGATTCTGGATATTCGCCCTTTGTCAGAAGGATAGATTGCAAAAATTTTCTCTCACTCTGTAGGTTGCCTGTTCACTCTGATGATAGTTTCTTTTGCTGTGCAGAAGCTCTTTTGTTTAATTAGATCCCATTTGTCAATGTTGGCTTTTGTTGCCATTGCTTTTGGTGTTTTAGACATGAAGTCTTTGCCCATGCCTATGTCCTGAATGGTATTGCCTAAGTTTTCTTCTAGGATTTTTATGATCCTAGGTCTTATGTTTAAGTCTTTGATCCATCTTGATTTGATTTTTGTATAAGGTGTAAGGAAGGGGTCCAGTTTGTTTTCCGCATATGGCTAGCCAGTTTTCCCAACACCATTTGTTAAACAGGGAATCATTTCCCCATTGTTTGTGTGTGTCAGGTTTGTCAAAGATCAGATGGTGGTAGATGTATGGTGTTATTTCAGAGGCCTCCATTCTGTTCCATTGGTCTATATCTCTGTTTTGGCACCAGTACCATGCTGTTTTGGTTACTGTAGGCTTGTAGTATAGTTTGAAGTCAGGTAACATGATGCCTCCAGCTTTGTTCTTCTTGCCCAGGATTGTCTTGGCTATGCGGGCTCTTTTTTGGTTCCACATGAAGTTTAAAGTAGTTTTTTTTCCAATTCAGTGAAGAAAGACAGTGGTGGCTGGATGGGGATAGCATTGAACCTATAAATTATTTTGGGCAGTAAGGCCATTTTCACGATATTGATTCTTACTATCCATGAGCATGGAATGTTTTTCCATTTGTTTGTGTCCTCTCTTATTTCCTTGAGCAGAGGTTAGTAGTTCTCCTTGAAGAGGTCCTTCACATCCCTTGTAAGTTGGATTCCTAGGTATTTTATTCTCTTTGTAGCAATTGTGAATGGGAGTTCACTCATGATTTGGCTTTCTATTATTGGTGTATAGGAATGCTTATGATTTTTGCACACTGATTTTCTATCCTGAGACTTTGCTGAAGTTGCTTATCAGCTTAAGGAGATTTTGGGCTGAGACAATGGGTTTTCTAAATATACAATCATGTCATCTGCAAACAGAGACAATTTGACTTCCTCTCTTCCTATTTGAATACCACTGATTTCTTTCTCTTGCCTGATTGCCCTGGCCAGAATTTCCAATACTATGTTGAATAGGAGTGGTGAGAGAGGGCATCCTTATCTTGTGCCAGTTTTCAAAGGGAATGCTTCCAGTTTTTGCCCATTCAATATGACATTGGCTGTGGGTTTGTCATAAATAGCTCTTATTATGTTGAGATATGTTCCATCAATACCTAGTTTATTGAGAGTTTTTAGCATGAAACGCTGTTGAATTTTGTCGAAGGCCTTTTCTGCATATATTGAGATAATCGTGTGCTTTTTGTCATTGGTTCTGTTTATGTGATGGATTACATGTATTGATTTGCATGTGTTGAACCAGCCTTGCATCCAGGGATGATGCCAACTTGATCGTGGTGGATAAACTTTTTGATGTGCTGCTGGATATGGTTTGCCAGTATTTTATTGAGGATTTTCGCGTCGATGTTCATCAGGGATATTGACCTAAAATTCTCTTTTTTTTGTTGTGTCTCTGCCAGGCTTTTGTATCAGAATGATGCTGGCTTCATAAAATGAGTTAGGGAGGTTTCCTTCTTCTTCTATTGATTGAAATAGTTTCAGAAGGAATGGTACCAGCTCCTCTTTGTACCTCTGGTAGAATTCAGCTGTGAATCTGCCTGGTCCTGGGCTTTTTTTGATTGGGAGGCTATTAATTATTGAAATAGTTTCAGAAGGAATGGTACCAGCTCCTCTTTGTACCTCTGGTAGAATTCAGCTGTGAATCCGCCTGGTCCTGGGCTTGTTTTGATTGGGAGGCTATTAATTATTGCTTCAATTTCAGAACCTGTTATTGGTCTATTCAGAGATTCAAATTCTTCCGGGTTTAGTGTTGGGAGGGTGTATGTGTCCAGAAATGTATCCATTTCTTCTAGATTGTCTTGTTTATTTGCATAGAGGTGTTTATAGTACTCTCTGATGGTAGTTTGTATTTCTGTGGGATCAGTGGTGATATCCACTTTATCATTTTTTATTGTATCTATTTGTTTCTTCTCTCTTTTCTTCTTTATTAGTCTTGCTAGCGGTCTATTTATTTTGTTGATCTTTTCAAAAAACCAGCTCCTGGATTCATTGATTTTTTGAAGTTTTTTTGGTGTCTCTATCTCCTTCAGTTCTGCTCTCATCTTAGTTATTTCTTGTCTTCTGCTGGCTTTTTAATTTGTTCGCTCTTGCTTCTCTAGTTCTTTTAATTGTGATGTTAGGGTGTCGATTTTAGATCTTTCCTGCTTTCTTTTGTGGGCATTTAGTGCTATATATTTCCCTCTACACATCGCTTTAAATGTGTCCCAGAGATTCTGGTATGTTGTGTCTTTGTTATCATTGGTTTCAAAGAACCTGTTTATTTCTACCTTCATTTCGTTATTTACCCAGTAGTCATTTAGGAGCAGGTTGTTCAGTTTCCATGGAGTTGTGTGGTTTTGAGTGAGTTTCTTATTCCTGAATTCTACTTCGATTGCACTGTGGTCTGAGAGACAGTTTGTTGTGATTTCTGTTTTTTACATTTGCTGAGGAGTGTTTTACTTCCAATTATGTGGTCAATTTTAGAATAAGTGCAGTATGGTGCTGAGAAGAATGTATATTCTGTTGATATGGGGTGGAGAGTTCTGTAGATGTCTATTAGTTCTGCTTGGTCCATAGCTGAGTTCGAAGTCCTGAATATCCTTGTTAACTTTCTGTCTCGTTGATCTGTCTAATGTTGACAGTGGGGTGTTAAAGTCTCCCATCATTATTGTGTGGGAGTCTATGTCTCTTTGTAGGTGTCTGAGAACTTGCTTTATGAATTGGTTTCTCCTGTATTAGGTGCATATATATTTAGGATAGTTAGCTCTTCTAGTTACATCGATCCGTTTACCATTATGTGTGGGCCTTCTTTGTCTTTTTTGATCTTTGTTGGTTTAAAGTCTGTTTTACCAGAGACCAGGATTGGAACCCCTGCTTTTTTTTTTGCTTTCCGTTTGCTTGGTAGATCTTCCTCCATCCCTTTATTTTAAGCCTATGTATGTCTTTGCATATGAAATGGGTCTCCTGAATACAGCACACTGATGGGTCTTCACTCTTTATCCAATTTGCCAGTCTGTGTCTTTTAATTGGGGCATTTAGCCCATTTACATTTAAGGTTAAGAGTGTTATGTGTGAATTTGATCCTGTCATTATGATGCTAGCTGGTTATTTTGCCCATTAATTGATGCAGTTTCTTCATAGCATCAACGGTCTTTACAATTTGGCATGTTTTTGCAGTGGCTGGTAGTGGTTGTTCCTATCCATGTTTAGTGCTTCCTTCAGGAGCTCTTGTAAGGCAGGCCTGGTGGTAACAAAATCTCTCAGCATTTGCTTGTCTGTAAAGGATTTTATTTCTCCTTCACTTATGAAGGAAGGAGTTAGTTTGGCTGGATATGAAATTCTGGGTTGAAAATTCTTTTTTTTAAGAATGTTGAATATTGGCCCCCACTCTCTTCTGGCTTATAGGGTTTCTGCAGAGAGATCCACTGTTAGTCTGATGGGCTTCCCTTTGTGGGTAACCTGACCTTTCTCTCTGGATGCCCTTAACATTTTTTCCTTCATTTCAACCTTGGTGAATCTGACGATTATGTGTCTTGGGGTTGCTCTTCTTGAAGAGTATCTTTGTGGTATTCTCTGTATTTCCTGAATTTGAATGTTGGCCTGCCTTGCTAGGTTAGAGAAGTTCTCCTGGATAATATCCTGAAGTGTGTTTTCCAACTTGCTTCCATTCTCCCTGTCACTTTCAGGTACACCAATCAAACATAGATTTGGTCTTTTCACATAGTCCCATATTTCTTGGAGGCTTTATTAGTTTCTTTTCACTCTCGTTTCTCTGATCTTGTCTTCTCACTTTATTTCATTAATTTGATCTTCAATCACTGATATCCTTTCTACCACTTGATCGAATCGGTTATTGAAGCTTGTGTATGCTTCACGAAGTTCTTGTACTGTGGTTTTCAGCTTCATCAGGTCATTGAAGCTCTTCTCTAAACTATTTTTTCTAGTTAGCCATTCATCTAACCTTTTTTCAAGGTTTTTAGCTTCCTTGCAATGGGTTAGAACATGGTCCTTTAGCTCAAAGAAGTTTGTTATTACTGACCTTCTGAAGCCTACTTCTGTCAACTCCTCAAACTCTTTCTCTATCCAGTTTTGTTCCCCTGCTGGCAAGGAGTTGTGTTCCTTTGGAGGAGGAGAGGCGTTCTGGTTTTTGGAATTTTCAGCCTTTCTGCCCTGGTTTCTCCCCATCTTTGTGGTTTTATCTACCTTTGGTCTTTGATGTTGGTGACCTACTGATGGGGATTTTGTGTGGATGTCCTTTTTATTGATGTTGATGCTATTCCTTTTTGTTTGTTACTTTTTCTTCTAACAGACAGGCCCCTCAGCTGCAGATCCACTCCAGACCCTGTTTGCCTGAGTATCACCAGTGGAGGCTGCAGAACAGCAAATATTGCTGCCTGATCCTTCCTCTGTAAGCTTCAGCCCAGAGGAGCACCTGCCTGTATGAGGTGTCTGTTGGCCCCTACTGGGAGATGTCTCCCAGTCAGGCTACACAGGGGTCAGGGACCCACTTAAGGAGGCAGTCTGTCCATTACTGGAGCTTGAATGCCGTGCTTGGAGAACCACTGCTCTCTTCAGAGCTGTCAGGCAGGGACATTTAAGTCTGCAGAAGCTGTCTGCTGCCTTTTGTTCAGATATGCCCTGCCCCAGAGGTGGAATCTAGAGAGGCAGTAGGCCTTGCTGAGCTGCAGGGGGCGCCACCCAATTCAAGCTTCCCTGCAGCTTTGTTTACGCTGCGAGCATAAAACTGCCTATCAAGCCTCAGCAATGGCAGACACCCCTTCCCCCGCCAAGCTCCCGCTTTGCAGGTTGATCTCAGACTGCTGCTGTAGCAGTGGGTAAGTCTCCATGGGTGTGGGACTCACCGAGCCAGGTACAGGAGGGGATCTCCTGGTCTGCCAGTTGTGAAGACTGTGGGAAAAGAGCAGTAATTTGGCAGGAGTGTACTGCTCCTCCAAGTACAGTCACTCTTGGCTTCCCTTGGCTAGGAAAGGGAAATCTCCCGACCCCTTGCACTTCCTGGGTGAGGTGATGCCCCCGCCCTGCTTTGGCTCACCCTCTGTGGGCTGCAACCAATGTCGAACTTGTCCCAATGAGATGAACCAGGTACCTCAGTTGGAAATGCAGAAATCACCCATCTTCTGCATTGATATCACTGGGAGCTGTAGATCGGAAATGTTCCTATCTGGCCATCTTGGAAGTGTCTTCCCAATAAATAAGTCTTGAGCTTAAGAGGATTTAAATAACGAGAGTATATTCTGACCACAACAGAATTAAACCATAAATTAATAATATATCTAAAAAGTATCCTAAATATTTAGCTATTAAACCATATACTTTACATGTACTTTAAATAACTCATGGATCAAAGAAGAAATCATAAGGGAATTTAGAAAATATTTTCAAGTGAATGAAAACAAAAACAAAATCTAGAGAATTCTTCTAAATCAGTGCTTGTAGCAGAAATTTTATATCATTAAATGCTTATATTAGAAAAGAAGATTTAAAAATCAATGATCAAAGTTTCCACCTTTTTTGCTCCTACAAAAAAAGTACATTAAATTCAAATAAAGAAAAAAAGAATCCATAAAGGTAAGAGCAGAAATCACTGAAATAAAAAACAGAGTAACAATAGGGAAAAGCAATGAAACCCAAAGCTAGACCTTTGTAAAGAACAATAGAATTGTTAACTTTCTAGGTCAGTCGTTCTTAACCAGAGGTAATTTTGCCTCCCAGAGGACACTTAATGATGTCTAGAGACATTTTTGTTGCCACAGTTGGGAGGTGGTACTGGAATGTAGAGGTCAGGAAAGCTGCCAAACATCCTACAATGCACGGGGCAGTCTCCCACAACCAAGAATGTCACTAGTACCCTAGTTGCCTCCCCACCCTAATGTCATTAGTATTGATTGTTATTGAGAAACTTCCCTAGTCAGACTCCTGTCAACCCTGAGAATGCAAAGTTGTATTTGTATTTAAATAAATCAATGCAATTTTTCATAATAGCACATAAAAACATCATCTCAATAGATGAATAAAATGCATGTGACACCCACTGTAATTTTTTAAAAATTTGTATTCAACTAGGAATAAAGGGAAACTTTCTTCACCTGAAAATATTTATCTAGGCAAAAGCTACAGCTAACTTTATACTTAATAGTGAAAGGAAATTGCTTTCCCTCTAAGTTCAGGAAAAAGGCAAGGATGTTTGCCCTCACCACTTTTATTTAACATTGCACTGCATGTCTTAGCCAATACAATAAGGACAAACAGGGATAAAAACCATATATATTAGTAGGAAAGAAGTAAAACTATTCTCAGATAATATGATCACCTATCTAGAAAATTCTAAGGGCTTTCCAAAAAGCTACTAAAGCTAATAAGTGAATTTAGCAAGATTACAAGAGAAATGCAAAAAGCGATTATATTTCTATAATAACAATGAATTGTTGAAAATTACTGTTTTACCTCCACAAAAAATATTTGCCAAACCCTGCTGTAGACATTATTCTATGTCTTGCTTCTTTTCACATCAAACTTCTTAAAAAAGTAGCACATAATTTCCTTACCTCCCTTTCACTCCTCAAACCAAATGCCATTTGATTTCTGTCCTCAGCCCTCCACCTGAATATGCTTGAATCAAGATTACTAGTGAACACTTAGTTGCCAATCCAAACGATGTTTTTCAGTTTTTTTTTCCTATGTAAGTTATTATCATCATTTGACACTATGGACTATGTCCTCCTTTTTAAAAAATTTTTATTTATGTATTTAATTATTTATTTTATTTTATTTTTATTTCCATAGATTATTGGGGAAAGGTAGTGTTTGGTTACATGAGTACGTTCTTTAGTGGTGATTTGTGAGATTTTGGTGCACCCTTCACCCGAGCAGTACACACTGCACCCTATTTGTAGTCTTTTATCCTTCACCCCCTTCCCACCCTTCCCCCCTGAGTTCCCAAAGTCCATTGTGTCATTCTTATGCCTTTGTATTCTCATAGCTTAGTTCCTACTTATGAGTGAGACTATATGATGTTTGGTTTTCCATTCCTGAGTTACTTCACTAAGAATAATAGTCTCCAATTTCATCCAGGAGGCTGTGAATGCCATTAATTCATTTTTTATGGCTGAGTAGTATTCCATCATATATACATATATGTGTGTATATATATACACACATATATGTACATGTGATATATATGTATATATACATATATGTACATGTGATATATATGTGTGTGTATGTATATGTGATATATATGTGTGTGTATGTATATGTGATATATACATATATGTATATGTGAGATATATATATATATATATATATATATATATATATATATATATATCACAGTTTCTTTATCCACTCATTGATTGATAGGCATTTGGGTTGGTTCCACCTTTTTGCAATTGCGAATTGTGCTGCTATAAACATGAGTGTGCAAGTATCTTTTTCATATAATGACTTCTTTTCCTGTGGATAGATAACCAGTACTGAGATTTTTCCTCTGTGTAGATAACCAGTACTGAGATTGCTCGATCAAATGGTAGTTCTACTTTTAGTTCTTTAAGGAATCTCCACATTGTTTTTCATAGTAGTTGTATCAGTTTACAATCCAATCAGCAGTGTGGAAGTGTTCCCTGCTAACTATATCCATGCCAACATGTACTATTTTTTGATTATGGCAATTCTTGCAGGAGTAAGGTTATCACACTGTGGTTTTGATTTGCATTTCCATGATCATTAGTGATGTTGAGCATTTTTTCATGTGTTTTTTGGCCATTTGTATATCTTCTTTTGAGAATTGTCTATTTATGTCCTTATCCCTTTTTGGTGGGATTGTTTGTTTTTTTCTTGCTGATTTGTTTGAGTTCCTTGTAGATTCTGGATATTAGTCCTTTGTCAGATGTATAGATTGTGAAGATTTTCTCCCACTCTGTGGGTTGTCTGTTTACTCTGCTGACTGTTCCTTTTGCCATGCAAAAGCTCTTTAGTTTAATTAAGTCCCAACTATCTATCTTTGTTTCTATTGCATTTGCTTTTGGGTTATTGGTCATGAAATCCTTGCCTAAGCCAATGTCTAGAAGGGTTTTTCCAATGTTATCTTCTAGAATTTGTAGAGTTTCAGATCTTAGATTTAAGTCCTTGATTTTTGTATAAGGTGAGAGATGAGGATTCAGTTTCATTCTTCTATGTGTGGCTAGCCAATTATCCCAGCACCATTTGTTGAAAAGGGTGTCTTTTCCTCACTTTATGTTTGCTTTGTCAAAGATCAGTTGGCTGTAAGTATTTGGGTTTATTTCTGGGTTCTCTATTCTGTTCCATTGGTCTATGTGTCTATTTTTATACCAATACCATGCAGTTTTGGTGACTATGACCTAATAGCATAGTTTGAAATCAGGTAATGTGCTGCCTCCAGATTTGTTCTTTTTTCTTAGTCTTGCTTTGGCTATGCAGGCTTTGTTTTGGTTCCATATGAATTTTAAAATTGTTTTTATTCTAATTCTGTGAAGGATGATGGTGGTATTTTGATGGGAATTGCATTGAATTTGTATAGTGCTTTTGGCAATATGGTCATTTTCACAATACTGATTCTACCCATTCATGAACATGAGATGTGTTTCCCTTTGTTTGTGTCATCTGTGATTTCTTTCAGCAGTGTTTTGTAGTTTTCCTTGTAGAGATCTTTCACCTCCTTGATTAGGTATATTCCTAAGTATTTACTTATTTATTTATTTATTTTTGCAGCTATTGTAAAAGGGGTTGAGTTCTTGATTTGATTTTCCGCTTGGTCACTGTTGGTGTATAGAACAGCTACAAATTTGTGTACGTTAATTTTGTATCTGGAAACTTTGCTGAATTCTTTTGTCAGTTCTAGTAGCTTTCTGGAGGAGTCTTAGGGTTTTCAAGGTAAACAATCATATCTTCAGCAAACAGTTACAGTTTGACTTCCTCTTTACTGATTTGGATGCCGTTTCTTTCTTTCTGTTGTCTGATTGCTCTGGCTAGGACTTCCAGTACTGTGTTGAAGAGGAGTGGTGAGAGTGGGTATCCCTGTCTTGTTCCAATTCTCAGAGGGAATACCTTCAGCTTTTCCCTAATCAGTATTATGTTGGCTGTGGGTTTGTCATAGATGGCTTTTATTACATTGAGGTATGTCCTTTGTAAGCCGATTTTGCAGAGAGTTTTAATCATAAAGCATTGCTGGATTTTGTCGAATGCTTTTTCTGCATCTATTGAGATGATCATGTCATTTTTGTTTTTAATTCTGTTTGTGTGGTGTATCACATTTATTGACTTGCGTATGTTAAGCCATACCTGTATCCCTGGTATGAAACCCACTTGATCATGGTGGATTTTCTTTTTGATATATTGCTGAATTTGGTTAGCTAATACTTTGTTAAGGATTTTAGCATCTGTGTTCATCATGGATATTGGTCTGTAGTTTTCTTTTTTGGTTATGTCCTTTCCTGGTTTTGGTATTATGGTGACACTGGCTTCATAGAATGATTTAGGGAGGGTTCCCTCTTTCTCTCTCTTGTGGAATAGTGTCAATAGGATTGGCACTGATTCACTGGTAGAATTCTGCTGTGAATCCATCTGGTCCTGGACTTTTTTTTGTTGGTAATTTTTAAATTACCATTTCAATCTTGCTGCTTGTTATTGGCCTGTTCAGAGTATCTAATTCTTCCTGATTTCAGCTAGGAGGGTTGTGTCTTTCCAGGAATTTATCCATCTCTTCTAGGCTTTCTAGTTTATGTGCACAAAGTTGTTCATAGTAGCCTCGAATGATCTTTTGTATTTCTGTGGTGTCAATTGGAATATCTTCCACTTCACTTCTTATTGAGCTTATTCGGATTTTCTCTCTTCTTTTCTTGGTTAATCTTGCTAATGGTCTACCAATTTTGTTTATCTTTTCAAAGAACCAAATTTTTGTTTCATTTATCTTTTGTATTTTTTGTTTGTTTGTTTGTTTCACTTTCATTTAGTTCTGCTCTGATCTTGGTTATTTCCTTTCTTCAGCTGTGTTTGGGTTTGGTTTGTTCCTGTTTCTCTAGTTCCTTGAGGTACGACCTTAGATTGTCTCTTTGTGCTCTTTCAGACTGTTTGACGTAGGCATTTAGGGCTATGAACTTTAGCACCACTTTTGCTGTATCCCAGAGGTTTTGATAGGTTGTGTCACTATTGTCATTCAGTTCAAACAATTTTTTAATTTCCATCTTGATTTTATTTTTAACCCAATGATCATTCAGGGGCAAGCTGTTTAATTTCTATGTATTTGCATGATTTTGAAGGTTCCTTTTGGAGTTGATTTCCAGTTTTATTCCACTGTGCTCTGAAAGAGCGCTTTCTAATTTCAATTTTCTTAAATGTATTGAGGGTCATTGTGTGGCCTATCATATAGTCTATCTTGGAGAAAGTTCCAGGCACTGTTGGATAGACTGTATATTCTGAGGTTGTGGGATGGAATTTTCTGTATATATCTATTAAGTCCATTTGTTCCAGGGTATAGTTTAAATTTATTGTTTCTTTGTTGACTTTCTGTCTTGATGACCTGTCCAGAGCTGTCAGTGCAGTACTGAAGTCCACTACTCTTATTGTTCTGCTGTCTGTCTCATTTCTTAGTCTAGTAGTAATTGTTTCATAAATTTGGAAGATTCAGTGTTAGGTGCATATATGTTTAGGATTGTGATATTTTCCTGTTGGACAAGGCCTTTTATCATTACATAATGCCCCTCTTTGTCTTTTATCACTGCTATATATTTAACTGTTTTAAGGTTTGTTTTGTCTGTTATAAGAATAGCTACCCCTACTCACTTTTGGTGTCCATTTGCACAAAATGTCTTTTCCATCCCTTTACCTTAAGTTTATGTGAGTCCTTATGTGTTAGGTGAGTCTCTTGGAGGCAGCGGATAGTTGCTTGGTGAATTCTTATCCATTCTGCAATTCTGTATCTTTTAATTGGAACATTTAGGCCGTTTACATTCATTGTTAGTATTGAGATATGAGGCACTATTCCATTCATTGTGCTATTTGTTGCCTGTATACCTTGGCTTTTTGTTTTGCTTTTTAAATTGTATTTTTGTTTTATGGGTCCTGTAAGATTTATGCTTTAAAGAGTTTCTGTTTTGATGTGTTTCCAGGATTTGTTTCAAAATTTAGTGCTCCTTTTAGCAGTTCTTGTGGTGGTAGCTTTGTAGTGGTGAATTCTGTCAGCATTTGTCTGAAAAAGACTGTATCTTTCCTTCATATATGAAGCTTAGTTTCACTGGATACAGAATTCTTGGCTGATAATTGCTTTGTTTAAGGAGGCTGAAGATACGGCCCCAATCCCTTTTAGTTTGTGGGGTTTCTGCTGAGAAATCTGCTCTTAATCTGATAGGTTTTCCTTTATAGGTTACCGGTGCATTTGTCTCACAGCTCTTAAGATTCTTTGCTTCATCTTAACTTTAGAAAACCTGATGACAATGTGCCTAGGCAATGATTTTTTTGCAATGAATTTCCCAGGTGTTCTTCATGGTTCTTGTATTTGGGTGTCTAGGTCTCTAGCAAGGACACCATGGACTATGTCCTTCTGATATTCTCTCTTGCTTCAGCTTCCACAGCACCATCTTCTTCTGATTTTGCTCTTAACTCTCTCTTCACACATTTTCAGTCCTTTTTTTTTTTTTTTTAAATAAACTCTTCATCTTCTATATGTCTTTAAAATGTTAGTCTTCCCTATTCTTGGGCCTTATCTCTTACAACTCCACATACCTTTATTCCACTGCTCCTTTATTTACCATATTCCTGGTTTTGATACCTTCTGAGCACTAGACCTGCATTCTTCAGCTATTTTTTGGATTTTCTATTTTAATATATCGAAAATGCCTCATATTGTATTTCCTAAAATATCTTGCTTTGTTTTCTCCACCTTGATCAATGATACCTTTCTCCACATTTGTGCCTAAGCTAGATATCTGGGACTCATTGCTGATTTCATTTTCTGGCAGTTTCCATGAACACTTTGTCTTTCTACCCATCCTCTACCCCTTATTTTCTCCATGTCCTTTTGCTCCTCTGCAGTATTACTGCCACCCTTTAGTTTAGAGCTTCTTTCATCTTGACTAGGCTCTTATCTGGTTGCTTTGCCTCTGGCCTTCCCTTCTTCCAACACCAATAATTGTCTGCCTTCTCTTTACAAATATATATCTGATTATGCCATTCCCCTGCTTAAAACTCCATTGTTATCTAAATGTATAGCATTCCCTTCCTGAACAGGCATTTGGAGATTCTAAAGAAGTAAATTCTGCTTTTTCCATTACTCAAAGTTCTACAAAAAAAGTTGGAGCTGAAAAATTTTGAAATGTTAATTATTTAATAAATTACTTTATCAATCAATTTACTGAAAGCTATTGAGCATTTGTTATGTGCCCAGCTATGTATTAGATGATACTATATCCATTTTATCTCAGAATATGATACAAATTTTAAAAAATTTTTCTTATCTTGTTATTTATAAGTTATATAAATATCTCTTATCCACTACTGGACTGCACGATTGATCTTCTATTGCCAGTCATGAGCAGCTGAGAAGTAATAAAATAAATAACTTTAAAGATTTAGCAAATCCACCTCTATTGTCAGTAATTGAAGAGAAAAAAAGTAATGGCTGTGATCTCTAAGTTGCATGAAAAGGACATAAAGTAATCTCCAGAAATCAAGTGGTCTGCTTTACAAATGAGTGATCATGTTTATATTTTAGTGCCAAATGTCTACTTATTCCCTTGAATAAATTGTGTTTTCTTCAAATACATAAATACTACATATATTTTCATGTTCTAAACTATGAATGGGAAAATCAGCACAGAACACAGTTTCAGAGTCATCACAGAACAAGAAACTTCTTTGATGCTGTAAATATAAACTCTTCTGTATTTCTACCATACTAGAAGAATCATCTCTTTTTGAAGCCTATTTAGCAATAAAATCCCTCTTCTCATTTCATCCTATTAGAAGCCTCCAAAGAGCACTTAGGGAAATTCTCACTCCCATACATGAACGGAGATCCATCTATACTGAATCACTGAAATTCCATCAAACTGTACAAAATATCTCTGACATTACAAGGCTAGAATAGAGCTATGAGTGTTCAACCCTTAGTGACAGACTGATTACTGCCTGCACATTTCTGGAATAGAGTCATAGCCTATATTCCTACAAATACCCAATAATTTAAGTAGTTAAATCTATGAGCTCTTTTCTGAAGGTTTGTCCTGAAAGTCCCTTTTGTGTCAGAAATCTGTTTAAAAGCCATGCTTTCTACTCCTTGTTCTGTTGTTATAGCAACCATCATACTTTAGGTATATGGAAAGAAAGGAACATCACCTAACCAATAACATTCAATTGTCATGACACTTGCTATGTTAATTACAAAAAGGCAAACCAATTTCTCACTGCAGAAGCATAAATTCAGGATTGAACTATGCATTCAGATCCCATTTGACATATATGTATAATGGTGATAGTTGTAGTGGTAGTGAGGGGTAATAGAATCAGAGAAGGGGGATTAGAAAAGAAAAAAGAAAATAATATTAGACACTTATGTAAAATAAGCTTTAAAAAGTGTGAAAAAGTTCGAATGCAATGTTTATTATACTATCCATGCATTGAAATACTAACGCTAAAGTGGCCAGCTCCTGTGAAAGTATAAAATATGAGGTCTGTGATTTACCTATCCAGTAAAAAAGCTTACCACCTATGTGCATTTTTTGGATTGAAAGACGTATCTATAAAATATCCTTAATATTATTATATCCTTAAAATCCTATTTTGGTGGGTTGTTCCACTAAAGCTAGGAGAATCATCATGTAGAACCCTAGGGTTCTAGAAAAAGTTCATGCCATCAGCCAAGAAGAATTATAAACAATTCAGAAAACAACTCCAGGCATGCTACCAGGCACACTGGTAGAGACAGAGGGCCTGACTGGGAG
Organism: Homo sapiens; assembly: GCF_000001405.40. Lineage (NCBI taxonomy): Eukaryota > Metazoa > Chordata > Mammalia > Primates > Hominidae > Homo > Homo sapiens. Next base: position 100,811,185 of record NC_000001.11, on the reverse strand, counting down.
GCAACAAGTAACCATGTGTCCAGAGCTGCTTATCATAAGTTGAGTTTTGTCAGATTCACAAAGTCATAAGATTTGGTGGGTCTAGCACCAGTATTCATTTAAGATGGAAATGCTGTATCTGGAAGCAGTCATGAGTAGGCCAGAGGACAAAAGTAGCTGCATGAACAAGTGCCACAGATTCACATATCACTGAACACTGCTGCCTGGGCTGTCATCCTTAGCTTGTATGTATAGCCACAAGAGTGGAGATTCCTTTATGACACCTGGTGGAAGAGGAAAAAAGCCACCCTTAGTTGATGGATAGAGTAGCTCAGTGTGTGGGTGCAAGCCAAAGAAGACTGCTGCTGCATTGCAGTCCCACTGAGGTATGGCCCTAAAATTCAGCAGTAAGGAGATATCCTCACAATGGACAGAGGTTTGTGGAGTGTGTTCTTTTCTTTGTGTAGAAGAAGTGCCTCAAAATAAGGATATACTGACGTTCATGGGTAATGGTGAACGGCTTCGCTGAATATTTAGAAGCTGGAAAGAGAAATACTTAAAGATCAGGGATAAGAAATTCTGGAAAAGAAACATATGAATAACCTCCAACTTGACAGAATGACTCAGCCGTTACATTATCCAGCCTCTGTCATCAGCCACTCCTGTGCTAGCACAATGGGTTCATGAATGGAGTAGGCATGTTGACAGTGCCAAAGGATATGAAGGGATTATGTGGGATCCCATTCACTAAAGCTAATTTTGCTACTGCTGCTGTCAGATATCAGATCTGCCAGGAGCTGGGTCCACATACAGCTTAATTCCTTGATGAGACCAGCCAGGCCCTTGGAATCAACTTGGAAGTAACGGGATCAATTGGAAGGTGATGACAGTCTCTTTTAGGAGCTCATTCCAGACCAAGTTATTATGCTGGGTTTATACTTAGAAGTTTTAATTTCCATTTTGATAGACAGATGTTAGATAAATTTATTTTAATATTCCCTATTAAAAATTAATTTTTGGCTTGACAGTCTATACCAAATAAAATGTTGCTGAATCTTGCTCACTAAAATGGAAACGGTTCCAGAATGAAATCAGTCATCAATCATTCCTCAGCATGAATAACTCATTTTGGTTAGATCTGGGTATTAATAAAACGAAAGTTAAAGTACCCAGTCTTTTTTAAAAATTTTATTTTAAGAAGGCATATTTTATTTTTAGAATATTTCTGTAGCAGAAAGTATCTGGTACAGGCCATTCAACTGCTGGTTGCTGTTCAAATTTCTAGTCAAATTGGTAAAGTGGGTAGAAATTGCTTTTGTATTTCCTCCTTCTTCCAGTCCCAAGTTACGGAACTCCTTGATATTATTCCTTGGGGACCCATATATCTGATGTTGAACTCAAACTGGGTCAGTGACGCTGCTGTTTTTAAGTTTAGCCAACTAATAGCAGTGTGGAATGATAGAACCAGATTTTAGATATATTGGACATGGAAAAGGTGTTTGTTGAATGAATATAAATATAAATGAATAATTTTATAAAACAGAAGTTTTTTTATAGGAACTTCAGAAAATATTTAAGAATCATGTATGTCCCATAGCCTCGATGCCCTATTAATTATCAGTTATCCTTTTACCTCCTGAAGATGTTCAATCCGTCCACTTCTCTCTGGCTCCACAGCCACCAACCTTGTCTACATCACTATCATCTACTGCTTGCAACACTGCTAATGGGTCTTATGCTCCTGCAATGTATTCTCTACAGGGCAGCTTACATGATATTAAAGTAAAAACCCGATTACTTCATATCACTGCTTAAAACATTTTAATGGCTGCTCATTGCTGTAAGAATAAAAACTGAAATACTCAGAGCCTTGACAGCCTCTAGTTTTGCCCATCTCTCTGGCAGAACTGTTTCTAGAGTTCTATTAGGGATAGTAATCTAGAAAGTGCGGCCAGGAGACTTCTCTGAAGGCTATGTTTAAGCAGGAAAAACAGTCTACCTTTACTAAGCATTTATGTTTATGTGTAGCTTGGGAGCTAATGGCACCCCTTGGAACACCCCTGCTTTCCAGCCTCACTTCTTCCCACTGCTCTGCATCCCCACTGTGCTTCCTCATTGCTGGCTTTTTTTTTTCCGGTCTTAGAATGTCCCAAGCTCCTACCATCTCAGGGACTTTTTATTCGCTGCTCTTTTTTCATTGAGATGGAGTCACGCTCCCTCACCCAGGCTGGAGTGCAGTGGTGCGATCTCTGCTTACTGCAACCTCCACCTCCCGGGTTCAAGTGATTCTCCTGCTTCAGCCTCCCAAGTAGCTGAGGTTACACACATGCCACCACACCTGGCTAATTTTTATATTTTTAGTAGAGATGCGGTTTCACCATGTTGGCCAGGTTGGTCTCGAACTCCTGACCTCAGGTGATCCACTCACCTCGGCTTCCCAAAGTGCTGGGATTACAGGTGTGAGCCGTGACCACACCTGGCCTATTTGCTGCTCTTTCTATCTGGAGTCATTTTATTGTTCTAAATACTACTCATCCTTCAATTCTCAGCTTACATGTCATTTCCTCAGGGGAGATTTTCTTGACCTTGGACTAGGGTGGCTCCTCCATCATAGGCTCTGTTTTTCAGATGGGAAGCATGGTCTCTCCCATTAGACCAAGTTTGTCCAAAGCGTGGCCCGTGGGCTGCATGTGGCCCAGACAGCTTTGAATGCAGTGAAACACAAGTCTGTAAACTTTCTTAAAACCATTATGAGATTTTTTTGTGTGATTTTTTTAAAGCTCATCAGCTATTGTTAGTGTTAACATATTTTATGTGTGGCCCAAGACAATTCCTCTTCTTCCAACATGGCCAAGGGAAGCCAAAAGATTGGACACCCCTGCATTAAACCATAGCTTTGGGGAGGCAGGGGCAATGTTTATCATCACTGCGGTATTCCTAGTGCCCAGTCCAGTGACTGTTTCACTCCATGTACGGTTTGTTGAATGAACAAATTGCATTGCATTTAAAAGAGATCTTAATGATAATGAAATTGGGTCATAGGACTGTTTCTTGTGTTGCTTATGGTCTTGTAGTTAATTAACAGTTATATTAAAACTGGAATGCTACAAAGAACTCTGATTCTGTCTGAACAAACTCAAGGTATTTGCCAGGTTCCCTCTTATCAATGAGTAAGGCTGAAGTCTCAAGTAGTTCCTCAAAGTTTTAACCAAGCTCTTCCTTTTTGTTTGCCTTTATATTGTTTTTCCTTTCTCTGAGGTTAATTCTCTCTCCCTCCACCAGACACTTTCAGAATGACTCTTTACTTGGATTTTTTTGTTTAGTTTCAAATACTTTGATTTGCCCCACACTATCTTTCAGTGTTCTTTGTCACACATTCTGTAACTCTTGGAGTAGCCTGTCTCACCTCTCACACCTAAGCCCAGCTCCGGAACCAAGTCCTTGCACAGTACCCCAGGCTCTGCTTTTTCTATACAGTAGTCCCCCCTTATCTGCGCTTTCCCTTCCTGTGATTTCAGTTACCCACAGTCAACTGAAATCCAAAAACAAGTGAGTATATTACAATAAGGTATTTTGAGAGAGAGAGAGATCACTTGCACATAACTGTTATTACAGTATATTGTTATAATTGATCTATTTGATTATTAATTATTGTTGTTACTCTCTTACTGTGCCCAATTTATAAGTTAAACTTTATCATAGGTATGTATGTATTGGAAAAAACATAGTATATATAGGATTCGGTACTATTCATGGTTTCAGGCATCCAATGGGGGTTTTGGAAAATATTCCCCACTGATAAGCGGGGACAAGTGTATTGTGTTTTGGAGTCTGAGACTTGTCCATCGAATCCAGATTACACAGAGTTACATTTGAACAATACTTTCCTAGGGCATAGGCTTATTCAGTCCTTAAGTTCTGAATATGAACAGAGGACTTGTTTACTGTGTGCCAAACATTGTTTTCAAAACTTTACAGCTTTAAACATGTTAACTCACTGAATCCCCAACAGCCATAACTTGCCTGAGGTCACACAGTAATGAGTGATGGAACTAGGACTTGAACGCAGGTGCTTCAGCTCCAGAACCCATACTGTCAACTACTATATTATACTACCTCTAAGTGGAACTGGCTAATCCAAATGCACTAGTAAAATTGAGAAAACAGACAGAAAACACCCTCATAATAGGCAGAGAAAAAATAAGCAGGTAAAATGAAAAGGCAAGGACAGTAGTAAGAATTCATGGGCAGGCAATGCTGAGCAGAACATTCTTTTAAGCTGAATATACATCTTGTGAAGTTGCACGTGTTCAAATGTGTCTTGATAATTTGGCAAGTACCATCTGGACTTCAAAAGTAAGGATGGGGCATATGTTATGGCTGAGGGGGTTGAGAATTAGCACTTCAGAATTGACTAAGACAAGCTCTGTGAAAGATGCTGATGTCTGCACCCACCCACCACGCCAAGAAAGCCCCCAACCCCAGGAGTGCACCATGAGGCTGTGACTTGAGTGGGACTAACAGACAGCTGCTACATGTTGCCACTTACAAAGACACTGTGCAACAGTCTCAAAAGCAAATGGGGAAAAACTCTTGCATTTCAGAGAAAGGGGAAAAAGAAAGAGGAGAATAGGACAAGGTGTGAAAGAGGACAGAGGAAAGGAAGTGAGAGCTGAGGAGGGATAAGGAAATACAAAGGAATGAAGAACACAGATATGACATAAAGCTGCATTTGTCATACAGAGTTTACTGATAGGTCAAAATCACTTTCTCATAGATTTCAGTAATTTAAAATGTGGATGATAGGATTAGGGAGCTTTTTGCCTTTATTAATATTTCTACTGCCATTTCTAAAACATACCACTGTCTCAATATAGTAATGACACATTTATGATCATTGTTGTTACTCTCAGTGTCTCCTGTTGGTTAAAGCACAGTGTTCATGAAGCTGCGCTTGTGGGTTAGCTCCTCAGTTCTCTTAAAGCCCCTGCAGACTCCCCTCTGCTCTGTATTTATGCTGCATCCCAGATCTCAGGCAGCTACCTTGGATACTGAGACTGTTGAACTCAGTGAATTAGGTAAACGCGTGGCACTGGGTCCATATGACCTTATCACCACTTCTAGAAGAACCAAGACCTATCCCACTACAGACTCCATTTTTGCACACTACAGCAACAAGTGATTATAAAAATGAACTTTATCCACAGTTTTGAGCATAAACAATGACATTGTTGATCTTTTATGTGAGTCTTAATTTGAACACTATGACACCAGAGAAAAGTGGGGTTCTGATTCTAAGAGGGAGAATATACTGTGGCATCCAATCAGAAGTGAGAGGAGAAGTAAACACTCTCAATTTGGAGAGTTGGTCTATGTGTCATGTATAAGTTGGGAGTTGTGGCATCTTGTCCCAAATCCCCTTTGATAATATAGATGTCATGCACAGTATGGTTGCTATATTTCACAGGTGAATATTATAATCCTATAAATGCATTTTGAGACTGCAGGATGTGAGTCATGACAAAAATCTCAACAATTATTGCCTTTTTATTTCTACCCATGAGAGCTCAATTTTTGCATCTCATCCACAGAAGTGTGTGTCATGAAGAGCTAGTAAGATGAAATAAGATGAAAACAATATTAAAATATAAAGCCTAGCATAAATAAAAATATATGGATTTCTTCATTTAAAATTATATTGGCTGAGTGCAGTGGCTCATGCCTGTAATCCCAGCACTTTGGGAGGCCAAGGTGGGTGGATCATCTGAGGAGTTCGAGACCAGCCTGGCCAATATGGGGAAACCTGTCTCTACCGAAAACACAAAAATCAGCTGTGCGTGGTGGCACACGCCTGCAGTCCCAGCTACTTAGGAGGCTCAGGCAGGGTAATCATTTGAACCTGGGAGGCAGAGGTTGCAGTGAGCCAGGATCGCGCCACTGCACTCCAGCCTGGGAGACAGAGTGAGACTCTGTCTCAAATAAATAAATAAATAAATAAATAAAATTATATTGTTCACTTTTAATCAAATGGCTAGAAGATATCAAATCTGAAATTTTATTTATTTGAAATCAACCTGGTGGCCTAAAATGTTGTCTCAATATTTTCTCCTTGTATTCTAAATTTCCTTCATAATGGAATGCATATTTGTATTCTATTTGGTCTATTTCTCAGTTTACTTTGTATTGATCTAATTTAATATATCACCTTTTTTTTGGCTTATTTAACTAGTTTTTAACATGTTATAAAACAGAATATCATCTAAACAAATCAGTAACCATATTGTTTTTCACTTCTGTCTTATACAGAAGCTAGGTTATTAACAAATATATTCCCATCCATTCATTAAAAAATTGATTCAGTAAATCAGTTATCGACTTATTCCAAACCTATTAATAGAAGCAGAAGTAGCCTAACTTTATTTTCTATACATATTTGTAAGCTCCTTAGAGTTGTTTTCCTTATGACAATTACATATTACTTCAATCTTACATATAATGGGTCAGATTTTCTTATTTTTCTATTCAGTGGCCATCACTATAACAATGGTAATTACTTTCTTGAGCACATTTCCTTCCTTCTTTCACTTTATCTTTCTGTATGTTCTATTTTTATTTGCTTTCTCTTGTTGATGTTAAATTTACAGACCTTGAACTTGACTATATTTACCCTTCCTATATGTACTTTCAATTCACAAAAGAACACTAGTGTCTGAAGACTGCATATGTTGGTATCTTTGTATTCAGGCCTGCGACAAGTATAAAATTATTTTAAACAGGAATTAGCTCATTATCACAAGTAATATATAGGACTAATTTGGTCTTTACAATACTCAGGGACTAAAGTGCCTGCTTGGAAATAATAAATATATAAATGAAATCTGTAACTATAAATTACTTAGATAAAAATATGGTCATACAAATCAACCCACAAACAGTATATTGTATCAGTTCCTCCATAATGCTTTTTGGCACACAATTGTAGTTTCAGATATCAACAGATACTGAAATTCCTTAACAATCCTGGCTCTCCATAGTTTCTCTCATATCTCTAGCAATTCAGCGATCATTCACATCTTCATTAGTTAAAAGGTGGGAGATTGTAGAACATCTTGTTGAGGTGCTCCCTCAGGAGTAGAGTCCAAGATCTGTGGGACAAGTCTTCTCACTTGTCCTGTTTGTGCTCCTGCTGTGGCAGTCAGGTACATAAGCATGGCCTAGCTTCAGCATTGGGTTAATTTCATACTGTTGGCTTGACTAACATGTCTTCCTGAATTTCAGAGCTTTTACCTAGCCACACTCCTAATTCCTGCCTATTCTCAACCTGGGTTCTTTGTGTGGTTCTATGTATATGTGTTTTGTATGGGGTGTTATCAGGGGAACCCGCCCCCAATATTTCAATATAGGTTCTTTCTATTTTCCATAAGTGTCGGCCAGCTGAGAAATAAAAAGAAAGAGTACAAACAGACGAATTTTACAGCTGGACCTCTGGGGGTGACATCACATATCGGTAGGACCATGATGCCCACCTAAGCCACAAAACCAGCAGGTTTTTATTAAGGACTTCAAAAGGGGAGGGGGTGTACGAACAGAGAGTAGGTCATAAAGATCACATGTGTCAAAGGGCAAAAAGGAGAACAAAGATCACATGCTTCTGAGGCCAGTAAAGATCACAAGGCAAAGGGCAAAATCAAACGCTCCTGATAAGGGTCTGTGTTCAGCTGTGCACGTATTGTCTTGATAAACATCTTAAACAACAGAAAACAGGGTTTGGCTACATAAATGTCTTCTTTTGAGAAGTGTCTGTTCATATCCTTCGCCCACTTGTTGATGGGGTTGTTTGTTTTTTCTTGTAAATTTGTTTGAGTTCATTGTAGATTCTGGATATTAGCCCTTTGTCAGATGAGTAGATTGCAAAAGTTTTCTCCCATCCTGTAGGTTGCCTGTTCACTCTGATGGTAGTTTCTTTTGCTGTGCAGAAGCTCTTTAGTTTAATTAATCCCATTTGTCAATTTTGGCTTTTTTTGCCACTGCTTTTGGTGTTTTAGACATGAAGTCCTTGCCCATGCCTATGTCCTGAATGATATTGCCTAGGTTTTCTTCTAGGGTTTTTATGGTTTTAGGTCTAACATTTAAGTCTTTAATCCAACTTGAATTAATTTTTGTATGAGGTGTAAGGAAGGGATCCAGTTTCAGCTTTCTACATATGGCTAGCCAGTTTTCCCAGCACCATTTATTAAATAGGGAATCCTTTCCCCATTGCTTGTTTTTGTCAGGTTTGTCAAAGATCAGAGAGTTGTAGATATATGGCATTATTTCTGAGGGCTCTGTTCTGTTCCATTGGTCTGTATCTCTGTTTTGGTACTAGTACCATCCTGTCGTGGTTACTGTAGCGTTGTAGTGTAGTTTGAAGTCAGTTAGCATGATGCCTCCAGCTTTGTTCTTTTGGCTTAGGATTGACTTGGCAATGCGGGCTCTTTTTTGGTTCCATATGAACTTTAAAGTAGTTTTTTCCAATTCTGTGAAGAAAGTCATTGGTAGCTTGATGGGGATGGCATTGAATCTATAAATTACCTTGGGCAGCATGGCCATTTTCATGATATTGATTCTTCCTACCCATGAGCATGGAATGTTCTTCCATTTGTTTGTATCCTCTTTTATTTCATTGAGCAGTGGTTTGTAGTTCTCCTTGAAGAGGTCCTTCACATCCCTTATAAGTTGTATTCCTAGGTATTTTATTCTCTTGAAGCAATTGTGAATGGGAGTTCACTCATTGTTTGGCAAAAGACACATGAAAAAATGCTCATCATCACTGGCCATCAGAGAAATGCAAATCAAAACCACAATGAGATACCATCTCACACCAGTTAGAATGGCAATCATTAAAAAGTCAGGAAACAACAGGTGCTGGAGAGGATGTGGAGAAATAGGACACTTTTACACTGTTGGGGGGATGGTAAACTAGTTCAACCATCGTGGAATTCAGTGTGGTGATTCCTCAGGGATCTAGAACTAGAAATACCATTTGACCCAGCCATCCCATTACTGGGTATATACCCAAAGGATTATAAATCATGCTGCTATAAAGACACATGCACACATATGTTTATTGCGGCACTATTCACAATAGCAAAGACTTGGAACCAACCCAAATGTCCAACATCGATAGACTGGATTAAGAAAATGTGGCACATATACACCATGGAATACTATGCAGCCATAAAAAAGGGTGAGTTCATGTCCTTTGTAGGGACATGGATGAAGCTGGAAACCATCATTCTCAGCAAACTATCGCAAGGACAAAAAACCAAACACTGCATGTTATCACTCATAGGTGGGAATTGAACAATGAGAGCACATGGACACTGGAAGGGAAACATCACACACCGGGGCCTGTTGTGGGGTGGGGGGAGAGGGGAGGGATAGGATTAGGCGATATACCTAATGTTAATTGACGAGTTAATGGGTGCAGCACACCAACATGGCACATGTATACATATGTAACAAACCTGCATGTTGTGCACATGTACCCTAAAACTTAAAGTATAATTAAAAAAAACCTAAAAATAAAAAAATTAAAAAAAAGAAAACAGGGTTCAAGAGCAGAGAACCAGTCTGACCTCAAATTTACTAGGGAGCATTTTTTCCCCACCCTAATAAGCCTGAGGGTACTACAGGAAACCAGGGCATATTTCAGTCCTTATCTCAACCACATAAGACAGACACTCCTAGAGCAGCCATTTATGGACCTCCTCGCAAGAATGCAATTCTTTTCCTAGGGTCTTAATATTCCTTGTTAGGAAAAGAATTTAGCAATATCTCTCCTACTTGCATTTCCGTTGATAGGCTCTCTGCAAGAAGAAAAATATGGCTCTTTTTGCCTGACCCCGCAGGCAGTCAGACCTTATGATTGTCTTCCCTTGTTCCCTAAAAGTCGCTGTTATTCTGTTCTTTTTCAAGGTGCACTGATTTCATATTGTTCAAACACAAACGTTTTACAATCAATTTGTACAGTTAACACAGTGATCCTGAGGTGACATACATCCTCAGCTTACGAAGATAACAGGATTAAGAGATTAAAGTAAGACAGGTGTAAGAAATTATAAGAGTATTATTAGGGAAGTGATAAATGTCCATGAAATCTTCACAATCTATGTTCCTCTGCTGCGACTCCAGTCAGTCCCTCCGTTTGGGGTCCCTGACTTCCCGTAACTCTGTGTGTGTGTGTGTGTGTGTGTGTGTGTGTGTGTGTGTGTGTGTGTAACTTGGATTATCCTGCCAGTTCTGCCTTTCTGAACCTCCTCCTTTTCATGGATCATTTCTTTGGGTAGTTGATCTTCTGAATACGCTGGTAGCTGCAAAACTTCAATTTGTTATCTGATTCTCCATACCTGTTTCTAAAAACACATGGACCCAGCTTTATTCCTTATTTTTAATGAATCACACAGATGGTATAAGTCATTTGGGAAAGGGAGGTAACAATGTGCATTTTGTTAGACATTTCCCTTCCTTCTGGGGTAATCCTTGTCCACACTACCTCACCCTATCAGGACTTGCTTTGGGTCTTATCACTCCTTCCATCTTTCAGGGGCTGGAACTAATGTGGTCACATTGAGGCAAAACAGCTAAGCATTCATATTTCTGCACTTGGCTATTGGCTTCTGGGCAGTTTCTTGTCTCAGGGCAGCTGGGCAGAGGGATCCTATCAGCCCACAGGCAGTTCTCTGAGGAAGACTTCTTGTGCCAGCCTTTAGGAGTAAAGCATGCAGAAGCTGGGAGATAGATACCCAGAACCCATAAAGGGAACCACAGGCATCTGGGTGAAATGACACAGTGACTTTTATACTACCTGGCATGCTAGTCCAGAGACCCTTTCTCCTCCTTAGTACTAAACTGAGAATCTAGGAAATTGGTCTGAGGCGGTTATTGTGAATCACTGTGTTCCTAGGGCCATCAAGCCTCTTTACAAATTGCTGTTTCACAGCATTTGACAAATCTCTCAAGTGACTGTAGCTAATAGTCATTTCAATAGCAAATATCCTGTTTCTAGCCTGGAATGTCAAAGGAATGGAGAAATATAAACCAGCTTATCTGTCTTTACATAACTGAGCTGCAAACACCAAAGTCCTTACCTCAGCATTCCCCCACTTTTCTGGAGTGGTTACAGACATAGCCTTCCTCTTCCTCATGAAATACCAAATTGCCTCTATGGTACTGCTTGTGCTCTTATTTTCTGGTACCAGGAGGTGTTTTTTTTGTTTGTTTGTCTGTTTTACTGTGGCTAGCTGGCAGTTCGCTGAGTATCTTAGAACAGTCTTAATATTCATAGGTTTAATATTTAGAAATATGGAAAGCTATGGAAATTACTGATAAGCAGATGTTGTTGACAATGGAAATATTTAGTGTAAGCAGAGATTTTTTAAATGAATCATATTCAGTGAATGCACAGCAGACAGTATTTTATTCCCAGACTTGTTTTCTTTCTCCCTGGAAAACAATAGCAGAATTGTTTTCCAGGGAGATGTTGTCAGCTCCCTGCTACATGTCACTACTAATGGCACATTGAAAGAACATGACTAAATAATTACTGGTCTGCTCATCTCAGGTGGGCCTTGTTTCTCTCTGTCTTACGTTCTAGTCTTTCAGAAGTCTGGTTACTTATCAATGTAAGAAACGTATAGATGCATGCAAACTACCTAAAGAGACAGAATGTCATAAATGGCCAAACTTAGTTGTTCATCATTCCAAGACAATTAATCCTATTTCAGACTCAATGTTAGTGGTAGTCATTGGTGCTCTTTGCCAGATATTTCTGTTTCTGTCTCTTTCTGGGCACATTATGGGCTTACACTTCCATGGCCCCTTATTGTTAGGAAGGTGATCATGTGACAAGTTCTGTCCAATAAGCTATGAGTAAGATAACATGTGCACTTCTGGGTTAAAACACTTAATTTTTCATGATGAGACCCCCAGATCTTTCTCTTTTCCTTTGCGTAGTGACTGATAAGTTTAAGATAATGGTTGTTCCATCAGCCTTGGTCCCTGATTGACTAGGATGAATTGAGTCCCCCTATTCTGACCCCACTGCCTCAAAATGGATATAAAGCATGAAAAAGAAGTAAGTCTTTGTTGCTTTAAGCCACTGAGTTTCCAGGTCATTCTAACTCATCTTTGACTGATATTTGTGTTCATGGAGAAGTAAAGTTGTAAATTACTAGTTGGATGTAACTGGAGAAGTAAAATACCTAAGAATGGTGCATATCTTGCCACAGAGATTGTTGGACATCTTACCTCCAATTTTACAATCTTAACTTGGCTTAAACTCCCATTAAGATTCCTTTAATAGTGGTATATGTCAGCACTAATTGTGCCACTAACAACATGCTTCTCAGATAGCTTCCCAGTGGGGCTTTGGGCATAAGATAACATAGAAAAGACTAAAAATAATGTGGTTAAAGTCTGTGGATGCCTTGGAATAAACTTTCTGCAATTTCCAAATTCAATTCAACGTGTCACATTTAGCACAGTGGTAAAGACAATATCATGTAAGAGACATCTTTATACTCAGGAGCTCAAACTTGTGGGTAAAAAAATTCCATTTATTTTTCTAATATATTATTCTATGGACTTATACATTTCCCTAGTGAATCTTTGAAACTTTGTGAGACAAGCACTATGATCTGCCTGAATTGGTGATGTTGGCAATTTATGGTTTTTATGTGTAAGGCATTTTGTTAGGTGCTTAACATACATTGACTTATTCATTTACTACAGCAAGTCCATGAAGAGGAAGCTGAGACTCAGAGAGTTTAAGTAATTTTCTAAAGATACACACTACTGACAGATCTAGGATTCATACTCAGGTCTAATTTCAAAGTCTACAATTGCTAATCATTGTGGTGGGTGCTATGAAATGATTGCTCATTAGGAATTCAGTATCTGTCATAGTCCATTTTCTGTTACTGTAATAGAATAACTGAGACTGGGTAATCTATGAAGAATAGAAGTTTATTTAGCTCACAGTTCCAGAGGCTGGGATGTTCAGGAGCATGGCACTGGCATCTGGTGAGGGCCTTCCTTGCTGGTCATAACATGGTTGAGGGCATCACATGGCAAATGGGCAAAGGCATGCATGTCAGCTTAGGTCTCTCTCCCTCTTCTTATAAAGCCACCAGTCTCATCATAGGGGCCCCACCCTGATAACCTTATTTAATCCTAATTACCTCTGAAAGGCCCCACCTCCAATCAACATAGGAAAATGGGAACTATCTTCCCAACACATGAAATTTGGGAGACACATTCAAAACACAGCAGCATCTATTGGGAAGATGACTAAATAATGTAGACGTTTCCTAATACGAAAGTGAGAAAACTTCTGGCAAAGCTAAGTAAACATAGCCAATAAGTTCCTTTTGTAAAAAACTATTCCTCTGAGAGTTACCATTTTCCATCTGTTCCAATCATAACATCGGTTTTTTTGTTTGTTTGTGTTTGTTTGTTTTTTGAGACAGAGTTTTGCTCTTGTCGCCCCGGCTGGAGTGCAATGGCATAATCTCACCTCACTGCAACCTCTGCCTCCCCAGTCCAGGTGATTCTCCTACCTCAGCCTCCCGAGTAGCTGGGACTACAGGCACACGCCACCATGCCCAGCTAATTTTTGTATTTTTTAGTAGAGACTGGGTTTCACCATGTTGGCCAGGATGGTCTCGAACTCCTGACTTTGGGTGATCCACCTGCCTTGAGCCACTGAGCCAGGACCCATCCATAGCATCTTGTCAGTGGTATGGGTAGCCATTACTTTATTTAACAAGCAATTATTACACATCAACTAAGGGAAGGGCCAGTTACCTTCATCTCTCCTCCTGTGCACTGGATCTCAGTTGTTCTTGCATCTATTCTTGATTCTCTCTTAATCCAGCATCTTTAGTACTTTTCGTCTCATTTACTTAACTTGTACCTGAGACTGAGAATGTAGTAACCTGAGAGTATTTTTTGGTCGTACAGGAAGTGTATCACATCTTTGCTTGCAGGTGATTATTTTTCCTAATTTAATTAGGCCCATAAAATGTAAACAAGCAACTGGGGCTCAGTCATTATTAATTTAGAATATAGACTCAAGAGATGCTGGAACTATAAAGGCAGAAGAATGCATTCTTGACATAGGTAAAATCTTTTCCTTTTTTTTTGTTCTCAGCATTTCTGAGTTTTCAGTAGTGTGTTTCTCAAATGTATCTCTTCCTACAAGTATACTGTTCTGCAACTACCTGTACCAACTATTGAAGTTTAGTGGTTTCTCTATTCTTATCACCATTTGCTTAATTTCAGCCCTCACAGTTTCTGTCAGTATTTCCCCCCTTTCCATCACATCCATCAGCATCTCCCCACTTGCTTCATTTTTGCATAGTCGTCTGAATTTGCATCTTCAAACATAAATCTAACCATGTTTCTCTCATCCTTATAAATGTTTGTTGGCTCCCTGCTACCCAAATGGGGAAAATAATCAAGTATTATAGCCTGACATACAAGACACCTTGCAATTCAATCCCAGCTTTCTTCTTGATCCTCCTTTCCCAACACTTCATTCCAAAACCCTTTCATTCCCCCACTTCACCTTTGGCTGGTTAATCACGAATGCCTCTCTCTTTGAAGAGTATTTCCTGAGTTTTCAGGTCTATGTGATTTGAAACATGGCCAGAATGCCTTCCCTTTGACTTTTTTTTTTTTAAACCACTTTATTGAGGAATGATTGACTTACAAAAATCTGTATGTATTTAATGTATACAACTTGATGAGTTTAAAGATAAGTATACACTGTAAAACTATCACCACAGTCAGTGCCATAAAGATATCCATCATCTACAATTCCCTTGACTACTCCATCTAGAAAACTCTTACTTATTCTTCAAACCTAATTCAAATGTCAGCTCTTCCACAAAGCCTTTCCCAGCTGCCCCAGGCAAAGTTCATCAGTCTTTTTATGGGATCAGCAAAGCACTTGTTCCCATTTATAGTATGAACTTAATTGTGTTATAACTGATCTGTTCTTATGTCTCTTTTCTACTAAATTAGGAGCAGGACCTATAATATCTTATGCATCTTTGTAATTCCTGTGACTTGTATAGTTCTTGGCACATAGAAAATTCTCAAAAGTGTTTGCTGGATAAAAGGAGAAAGGTTTTTTCCCCCCACCTTTAGTGGGTAAGTATACAAATTGCCAGTCTAAAATGATAGCTCAATCATAAGAGACAGACACAGTGGTCCCATCACAATAACTTGTGCTTCTGATAACTGAACATTCGCAAGAGTTCCATTGAAACAAAGCAGGTGGTTCTCCAGCACGATTTTGAGACAAATACTTAGGTAAGCAGGCTTGCTATTTTGGGCATCCTGTCATCTCCCACTTGTCTCCAGAACAATTGTAGAATGAGTTCTGTGCTGGTGCTGATGACTTAGGAATTTAAGTTCTGAGCTGCCACTGCTGTTTGTCTTCCTGTCACCCACAGCCCACTGAGAAGGCCCTCCGCATTGTGTAAGGCATCCTGATTCAGAGCAAATCAAGACAGATGGCACAGTCCTCAAGTAGGATTTTGATGGATAAGTTTTATAGCTCCAGGTTAACAGAATACTTTCCTTCCCTGGTGCATGAATATTCATCAACATCAACACTCACACACACAATCTCCACTTAGTACCAGAAATATACAGCCAGACTAAGACAACCACACATATCAACAGTCATTTACTTTGGACATATTCCTAGAAAATTTTGCTTCCATTTATCATCCTTTTCCCGTCCATAAAGGCACAATTTAAAATCTATCCAGTCCAGGAGGCTTTCTGCGCTGTTCAACCACAGTTGGAGTGTGAGATAGACTCAGAGTCGCTGTTTCCAAGAGTTCAAAATTCACCATTGTCAATATTTTCCCCAGTTATTGCCAATTATGATCATAAGCCACTGCCAAAATTCATTTATCAGTCATCTGTGAGTTTTCTGCCTTGTAGACAAGTCTGTTTATAAGCTCATATTCCAGTGACAAAGAACATATGGGTTGACTCATTCTGCTGTAGCCAGTTCAGAATCAACAGTTTGCCTCATTAAACCTTAAAATTAGATAGCTTATTATATTCTCTGCACACATAGCCAGAATATTTAGGAACAAGGCATTATCACAATCCTAACAGCTATTATGGTTTATTTTATGTTAATGGTGCTTGATTCCTGCACTCACAGTTTTACGTAGCAAGCATGATTTGGAGGTCATTTAATCAGTTCAGCATATGAAAACATGCCCCCATACTGTGCTGACTCATCAGCGTTTTAATGTGACAACACATATACGCACATAATAACAGCTTGAGCTCCCTGTTAAGCAAAATTGGAAGATGAGATTGTGCTTTTTTTCTTTTTCTTTTTTTTTCAGATGGAGTCTCTCTCTGTCACCCAGGCTGGAGTGCAGTGGCCCGATTTCTGCTCACTGCAACCTCCGCCTCCCTGGTTAAAGCAATTCTCCTGCCTCAGCATCTCCAGTCGCTGGGATTACAGGCATATGCCAATACGCCTGGCTAATTTTTATATTTTTTTAGTAGAGACGGGGTTTCATCATGTTGGCCAGGATGGTCTTGAACTCCTGACCTCAAGTGATCTGCCTGCCTCCGCCTCCCAAAGTGCTGGGATTACAGGCGTGAGCCACTGTGCCCAGCCAGATTGTGCATTTTTAAGAGTTCTATTTTATATAGTGAAAAAGATGAAAGACATGGTTAGTTTCTTTTGTTGTCTAATAAAAATTCATATCAGACCTTACTATGTAATATGGATTACCAAAGCTACCATTGTTGAAAACAAATTTTATACTAAAAGTAAAATAGTAGAGGACTGCGGAGTCAGAATGCCTACATTACAGGTCCCGGGAAGCTAGATTGTGAGATTTTGTAATCCTTAGCTTTCTAAAATTCTATAGCTTTCCAGTCAGAGGATTGAACCCCCAATGGTGTTTAATTTATTATTATTATTTTCCATTGAACCCTTTGAGAGCTAGAGAAATTATGCTTATACACAATAAAGTGGAAGAACAGAATTTTTCCCCTTAAGCTGCACCTGGGGGTGCTGAATGTACAGGGCTCACTCATGCATATTCTCTCCCTTCAACTCACAGAAAAGGGTATGAATATGCTCTGTCTAGAAATGTTACTTGGCCTAAAGTGCTCGAAACTGGTAAACTTCAGAGTTTCTGTAAGGTCTTTAATAGATGGATTTAATGCAAATGGATTTGAAATGAACACCACTTCTTTTTCAGATTTTTCCTGGGGCACTACCTAGAAACCAGAGGGTAAACAAAATGAGGTGCAGGTGGATATGACTCACACATTTGCTTTGCTGTAAGAGGCTGTTTGTTTCACAGGCAGGGGTCTTAATGGATTCTGTTGCATGTAGGAAAATTGTTTCGTCTTTAATACATGGAACTAGGTTACATGATTTCTAGGAATACGTGTGTCTTGGAGGTGTTTGTGCCTGCATGTGTGTTTGGTTCATTGACTTAGACTGGACAACCAGGAAGGACTGTTTCTTTCTGAATTTCCCACTATGGGGAGATTTCAAAGGGAATTACACTCGGAGAACCAGAGCCCCTTTGGACAATCTTGTTAAAGCTCCACCAATGGGTTAAGCCAAACTAAATAAATCAATCTCTGGAAATTGCATTGTGGGGGATTTTATATCCCACAAATTGTCTTATGGTGAAAGGAGATGAAACCTGAAGCAACAAAACTTTTGTCTCCGAATCTCCGTACAGTTGAGGTGGCAGGCAATTTAGCCTTAATCTTTTCTGTGTCCCTTCTCTCCAAATCCCATAATCTCAAATCCATAATCTCAGGTTTGTTGGGTGCTATCGTGTCTATGGAGTGTGTGAGAAAAGGTGCCTGGTCATTTGTCCACTACAGTGATTGCTGAGGACATTATTCACCATCCTTTACAGCATGGTCCCTTCCGGTCTCTCCTAATTCCATGCCTCATTTCTAGAAAATAAAATATTGTGTTAAGCGAAATGTGCACCCATTTTCCTTCATGGAGGCTTGCCACTTCCCTGTAGCACTGCTAGCAATCAGGATTTAGGCCATCCTGCCTCTAGGACACATAAAGTTCTCGAGCTCTCTCCTTCTCTTCTTTCCCTCTCTCCTGCTTCTCTCTCTTTCTCTTCTGTCGTCCTCTTTCTCTCTGGTCCAAGGGAATCTTCTGGTGTCGTTGTACTCATTTGATAGCTTCACTTGAACTTGACACATACAAAACAAGGATCCTGAGTTTGGTTCCCTAACTGCTACTTCTTCAATGTTCCCCATCGCAGAAGTGGCACTTCCTCACATTCACAAGCCAAAAATGTGGGAGTCATCCTTGATTTCTTTCTTTTTTTCATCCTCTTTATGCCAAGTCTCTACGTCTTCACCTTCAAATTCAGTTCTTACTCTTCCCCTGCTTTGTTTTGTACCACATTGAGGCTGATTGATGCAGGCTGTACTTTCCAGGGGCCCCTGGCAGCCAGATTCCAGCCCAGAGGCATTGGCACAGATTGGAGGGCAGGAAAAAGAGAGAATCCAGGGCATTTTCCCCTTCCTTCTTTGCTCCAAAAAGCTTCTTGAGTGAGCCTCAGTAGTGGCTCCCTCTCCAGCCTCCCAGTGGACCAGGCCTCCATGTTCCAGTTTCTGCCAGTTGGCCTTGACTTCCAGCCTCTGATGATGTCACTCCCTCACTTCGTTCCTCCACCATAAGAACAGTAGGGGCTTTCTGCTTTACGAATCCCTAGGATATCTCTCCATCCTCTATGGCTCTTGACTCTTCTATGAATTCCTTCTTAAATTTCCTCCTTTGCATCTTACTGGTCAGTGATATCAAATGTTTATGCTTAAACATATCACTGGTTAGGGGAAAGGAATTGACACAATTGGCTTACATCTGTTCACACTCATCCTCTGGGACTAGGGAATTCCTCATGAAGCTGTTAGTTGCTGCTATGGTCTGAATGTTTGTATCCCCTCAAAATTCATATGTTAAAATCTTAACCCCCAGGGTGATAGTATTAGCAGATGAGCCCTTAGGGAGGTGAGTAAATCCTAAGGGCTGAGCCCTTATGAATGGGATTAGTTGACTTTATAAAGAGAACCCAGAGAGACCCTTGATTCTTCTACCCTGTGAGAATACAGGGAGAAGGCACCGTCTGTGAACCTGAAAGTGAGCCCTCACCAGACAATCTGCTAGTTCCTTGATCTTGGACTTCCCAACCTTCAAAACTGTGAGGAATACATTTCTGTTGTTTATAACCTACCCAGCTTATGGTATTTTGTTATAGCAACCTGAACAAGTTAAGACAGTTTCCTAGTGTTCATTTCCCCATTTCACTTATTTATCCCCAGCAGATAGTTTCACTATTTCTCAATCCAAAAAGGAAAAAGATAAAGATACCCACTCAGTTTATGTCTCTACATATTTGGATGTGTTAGTAAGTATTCCGAGAACTTTTTCTACTCACTGAAAGGTTTCTGGGGGTGGAAGTGAGGTTAGAAACTGCTGTGCTTTTGTATTTTGCTCGAGAATTTTCTTTCTTTCTCTTGGTTGTCATTTTTTGAAATGTATTTCAGTAGGGTATACTCTTATTTGATTGTTGTAAGCAGAAAATATGCTAAATTTAAAATGCTTTTTCTCATTTTTTATTGGGAAAGATAAATTCTATGAGGAAGTTTCTATTGACCATCTTAATGCAGACATCAAATGATATTTACACAAAATTTAATAAGAGACAACAGTAAACTATATTGTGTGGGGATGCATTGTTAAGCAGTACTATTAAAAAATCAGGTAATTGAATACTCTCAATGTTAGGATGGTGGTTACTCTTGTGGGAAGAAGCTGTCATGCCTCAGAAGGAACACAAACTAGGAGTGCTTCTGGGAGTTGACAGTGTTCTATTTCTTGATTAGATGGGAAAGGCATGATCTTCGCTTTATGGTTATTTGATAAACTCTTCATATGTGTTTTATACATTTTTTCCTGTGTGTGCTATATTTCACAATTGAAAAAAGATTTAAAAATTAATAACAGCTGCACACTGTAGGAAATTATTCCTTAAAAGAAATCAGATTGGCTGGGGATGGGAGTGGTGGCTCACACCTGTAATCCCAGCACTTTGGGAGGCTGAGGTGGGCAGATCACAAAGTCAAGAGATCAAGAACACCTTGGTCAACGTTGTGAAACCCCATCTCTACTAAAAATACAAAAATTCGTTGGGCGTGGTGGCACGTGCCTGTAATCCCAGCTACTGGGGAGGCTGAGGCAGGAGAATCACTTGAACCCGGGAGGCAGAGGTTGCCGTGAGCCGAGATCATGCCACTGCACTCCAGCATGGGTGACAGAGCGAGACTCCGTCTCAAAACAAACAAACAAACAAAAAGTCAGATTATGCTGCTCACATGCTCACATGCTTAACAGTTTCTAATAATCTTCCAACCCAGTTAGAATCATATCCAACCTGCTCACTGTGGACCCCAAAACTTTATAAGATCTGGAGCCCACCCAACTCCCCAACTTCTCTCCTATATCTCACCCCTTGTTCTCTAAGCCCCTCTCACACTCGCCTTAAATTCCTTGAAGACATCAAACTCAGGCCTACTTCAAGGTTGTATAATACTTGCTGTCTCCTCTGCTTAGTATATATTTCTTCTAAGCTCTTCACAAGCTTGTGCTATCTCAAATGTCATATTCGGCTCCCAGTTTATCATCACTCAGATGCCTTCCCTTAATATATGATTTATGCTAATATTCCCCATCCCACCATCCACTCCTCTCTCTACCATAGTGGTAAGTATATGCCATCCTATGTAGAATATTCTACATCCTATTGTACATAGGATATCATATAGCATCTTGCAATTATCTTTTTCATGGGTTCACTTGTTTTATTGACACCTCTATTAGAATACAAACTTCATAAGAGTAGGAAATGTTTCAGTCTTGTGTATTGTTTTTATCTCCAGCACCAAAAAGTGTACTGGGCACATAGTAGGTGCTTGTTTGTTGAATATTTGCTGAATACATGATGTTTCTTCAAAACAGTCTCTGCCTGTGAATGTAAACTATCTTTTCTTAAGGTGTCTCCCTCTGAGGCACATAGTGTATCTCCTCAGTGGGTTTAAATCAAGGGTCAAGCGGTGCCCACGGGGCCAAGGCAAGTAACATAAGCGAGTGAAGGAAAGGATGGTGGTGGAAACTAAGAGAACTGGAGAATGTGAAACCCCCCTAAGGCTGCAGCCTCTACTCAGCTCTGGCTTCTTGTGCCCAGGTGAAAACAGCAGCCTAGTGTGGCTACATCTTCTAATTTTTAAGATAAGTCAGAAATCCAGATATCTATGTGAAATGTGCCAAATTATTAAATGTTGGTTCAAGTTTTTAAAAAATCAACATGAACCCAATAAAACATATCTGTGGACCTAATTTAGCTCTGAGGTGTCTGGTTTGAGATCTGGTTTAAGAAGTTGGAAAGAAATGGCCAGTCATAAACCTCCACTGGGGCAAAGAAGTCTGGAGTCTTATCTGACTGAATAGAGGGAAGGGAAAGAGGAAAATAAGGGTAAAATAAAACTTAGATTGGCATCTCAATATTATACTGCCAAGAGGTTTTTCAGAGTGATATTCTTTGGGACTGTTTGGTTACATCAAGGTCATAAGATAGGTTTTAAAACAAGTAGCAAGGAGATAGAATTTTATTTGGCTTTTATGAATAAAATAAGACCAAAATTGTATTAAGGAAGAGAGTATTGATGATGAGAATAGAGGGACTCCTTCTTTATAAAGCCTGTCACTAATACTTCAGGCTAAAAGGAGCTCATGTGACCAGGAGCAGAAATCCATTACAGACAACCTATGGAAGCACTTAAAGTAGACAAAGCAAAGAGGGTAGGAATTGGGTTGACTTTGATTTAGAGATATATGCACACATAAACTGGAGTAGCTTGCAAGGGAAAACTGGTCAAATAATGATATCATTCAAGAAAAAACTTTACTCTTTTTGAGCAATTACTATTTTGATTAATCAGTAAAGTTTTGATCTGTACATTTAGGTACAAGCTGTATCTATTCTATGAATATCAAATATGATTCTACTTCATATATTATCAAGCAGAATAAAACTAATTATTTACTAGGGCTATCAGTTCCCATGGGAAAGAGAAATAGACCTATTTGTCAAAAACCTGAAGTTTTAATAGAAGTTCTAAATAAACATCAAATCTTTCCGATAATGAATGCAAGAAATTACAGCCCTACTTATAGTAGTGGGTCCTGAGATTGCTTTCTCGTTGACAGATGACTAGAAATACTTTCATTTGATGGCAAAAAGTGCCTGACACAGCCAAACCTACAGTCCAAAAATAACCAGGAAGATTTGGTTTTAGTGATGGCTCAACAATAAAAACACTGACAATAAAATTTGAACATTAGAGGAGGGAATTTACATTGAAACTCAATGGGTAAGAACCAGAATAAAAACAGGAAAAGAGGGAGTATTAGAAAGGGAGGAACACTGCTAGTTATGGTGTAGAAA
The DNA here is from genome assembly GCF_000001405.40 of Homo sapiens. Lineage (NCBI taxonomy): Eukaryota > Metazoa > Chordata > Mammalia > Primates > Hominidae > Homo > Homo sapiens. The sequence goes on along the minus strand of NC_000001.11, from coordinate 100,788,626 downwards.
TAGATTGTGGGAGGGGAAAGGAAAAGGAATAGCAACATAAAAAACAGTAACAGCAAAAATGAAAACAAAAAGAAACAAAAATAGAAAGGAAGCCATAAGAAAGGAAAATAAAAGGCAAGAACAAGGTAGGAAGAGTTATAAGGTAGCAGGAAAATGTTCGACCTCAGATCTGAGAAGTCTCATAAATTTTGCAATGACGCATATGGTCGGAGAAACAGGAGGTCCCTCTGCAGAATGTATAGTTGGAACAAAGTTTTTCTTCTAAAATGTTGTTTTTCTCCTAAAATGTTGTTTTTCTCATAATCTAAGCTAACTTCTGAGTTCCGCTGCCTCTTTTACTTTGATTTCTATTCCAAATAACAAACCTTTTGAGTTGGTAGACAACTAAGAAGCAATTGATAATAGATTTGAGTGCCCAGAGTTTCAATTTTCTAAGTTCAGCTTCTGCAAGTCAGAGGCCTTTTCTTAAGGGGCAGCCCAATTTGTGTGACAAAGAACTTTCTAAGATTGCCCTTAAAATATCTTCCATTGGGTAGCGCTGGCCCCTCGCTGCACTTTGGGGCCATAGGGTCACTGGAGTACAACCAAAACCCATTAATTATAATCACAAATGTCTACTTCTTAAAATCTTTCTTATTTTATCCTGCATTGCTAAGACGACTTTTAAATGCATCATTTGACAGATCCCAGATGGTACTTCACTGCATGTTTTACTCTCCATAGGGCACCGAGCAGGCCACATAACCATAAATATGAACTACAATTTTGATCAGTGCATACGAAAAACTTAAATGTAATACAAGAAATCACAAAAAAACAATAAAAATACCATATAGAAGACTATTGTAGTTACAAAGCAAGTTTCAAAAGAGGGCAACAAGCTAGAGGAAATATATGATTTACTTTACAATATACTTCTATGTATCTTATTTTAATTTAATTTTATTTTTTTGTTTGGAATCAGAGTCTTGCTCTGTCACCCAGGCTGGAGTGCAGTGGCACGATCTTGGATCAACCTCTGCCTCCTGGGTTCAAGCGATTCTTGTGCCTCAGCCTCCCGAGTTGCTGGGATTACAGGCATGTACCACCATGTGTGGCAAATTTTTGTATTTTTAGTAGACATGGGGTTTTGCTGTGTTGGCCAGGGTGATCTCAAACTCCTGACCTCAAGTGATCTGCCTTGGTCTCCCAAAGTGCTGGGATTACAGGAATAATATACTTCTAAATTGCTAAATTAATAAATGTTTATTGTAAAAAACAAATCTGAGTGATACAGAGGATATACCCTACCAGAACTGTCAACAGTTCTATGCAGGTATAAACATGCATATCTCAAGTCTCTCTACTAGCCCCACACCCCTCTCCCATCTCTAAAGGCTGACCTCTCACCAGCATATGTAGAGGAAGAAGAGATTTTCCTTAATGAAGGTTTTTTTAGAGAAACATCTAGTCAGCAGAGTATCTTAATGTCTTATGCTCCTCCTTGGAGCACATTCATGTGACTGCTGATCACACTCTGGAGCCCTTAGATAACCTTCAACAGGATGCTCGTTACCCTCCATACACGAGCCACACAAGGACTCATGTGGTGTAGGCTACATGTCCCTCTTACCCTGTCTCCTTGTCCTCCATGGTACTACCACAAAGGTTGTAGATGGTATTGAAGTGGTGATACTATATGCTAAATACAACTTTTTCTAAGGTTTAGGGAAAACAGCAACCAGGTAGTCAAAACCTTCAGAGGAACTCTGTTCACCTGCAAGACTCAATTCCTAATCTGCTCCCCTTAACTTTATATTTTAACTCCCTTGAAGATACTTTCTTCTATCCTCCACCATGGAATTCTCATTTTTTTTAAATGAGGGAAATGTCATAGTCATACAATTTAGTTATTCATCTTAGGGTAATTCTTTCTGGGAGGCCACAGCAGGACATTCAGGGATAGTTGTTAACACCAAAGTCCCACACAACAAGCCAGGTGGAGAGAAAGTAGCTGGGCACTCCAAATTTAGCCCTTTCAAGATTTTTCTTACCAATATGTAAATCAAGGATGTCTGTTTATTTTTATGAATTCCCATTAATAAAGGGTCATATCATGTTTCAGGTCTAGATAAGTTGATTACAGACTAATAGGGAAAGTTTCACATTAAGCATTTAGCCAAACAGACACACACACACACACACACACACACACAGAGGCATACACATGCATTCCAAGTAAAATATGAATTCACAGAGACTGTACGGTGTGCACCATACAGGAGAAATAGAAGGATAGTCTTAACTGTCTCAAAATTTGCAAAGTGTATTTTTCACTTTAGAGTTAGTAATTTACATTATTTTACAGTACAAATTTCATTGCTTTCCTTCATTCTCAAATCCCCTTAATGCTCAAACTCTTTCAAAATTGGGCTCCTTCAACTGGGAAATAAAAATAAAACTCTAAGCCCCAAATTGAATGGACTCCTTCTTGGCTAAGGGGCCCTAGAGAAACCTTAAAAACTGAGTTCCCAGCAGGTCAGACAAGTCTCCCTTGTTACACCCTCTCCCTCTTTAACCACTATTAGACTTTCTTTCTTCAGCATTAAACAGAAACCAACCCTTTCAAAAGACTTTCCTTACTGCTGATTCCAACCAACTGCCTGATGCTGCAGCCATATTCTCCTCCCTTTTTGCGGTTTTAACACAACTGACTAGCATTCCTTCCTGATAAGAGACCGCCAACCACAGAATGGTTCTGGCCAATCCATGGAGCTGTGCATAGGAAACCGATGTCTTTCTTTTCATCTTTGACATAGCCTAATTTTAACACATTTAAATGTTAAGTCTCCACTCCAAAGTGAATATGAGATATATATAACATGCATGCTTGCTTACTATCACGCAGGAGCCCCCTTCATGAATATTCATAGCTTCTCCCTTAACCTGTTGAATATGTATGCTTAGACAACCCATTCAGCATAAATTGTTGTCTCACCCTTTCTGCCTGGAAGTGCCTGCTTTCATTTTCTACTAGAGGCTACACTGTAGGCTCCAATCCTTTGTTAGAAAAAAAGCTATCCTTTCCAAATTTGTAGATCTCATGATTTTAAGCCGGCAATACCTATGGGGAAAAGAAAGGGACCCAGTGAAGAGCAAATCTCACTTAAAGGCTGTGCCTTTCTATGCAATTAAAAATTAATTTGGTGTGTAATAATTTAGTTAAATTCTTAGTTAAGAATTTTCTATTTGAAGAAGGTAAAAAGACTAACTTTATTCTTCCAGTTACAGCTACACTCATTGATAAGTAATTGTTCTGTTTTGCTAAGTGATTAACACAGTACACATTCTACAAATTGTTGATATATGTATTTGAGGAAAAAATGAAACAGGGTTAATATTCTTGACAAAAAGAACTCTTATAAAATTATAAGAAAAAGGGTTTCTAATAGCTAAATGGTCAAAAGACCAATATTATATTAAACGGAAAACTAAATAAAATAGAAATATCTTTATTTTATAAATATATATCAGAATAAAGTAACATGACATCGCTGCTATCCAGCACATTTGCACAACTTTTTTTGTGATAGTCCTCATGACAATGTGTTGAGATGAGCCCTCTCATCCAATCTTGTTAGAAGTATAATTTAGTAGGACTGGTCTGAAATGTAGTTTAGCAGTATGTAACAAGATGCTTTCTTTCAGTATTTTAATTTATTAGTATCTTCTAAATAAATAATCAAAACTGTTGATAAAATCTATTCATAAAATTACTTACTTCAATATCATTTAGACTATCTAAAATTTAGAGCCAAACTGTCAAATATTAGGGGATAATGCAGTTATATTATGGCATATATATGCCATGAAGAATTATGTAGTCCTAAAAATGTTTATGGAACTTCTTATTACCAACATAGGTCAGGAAATATGATATAATGCATAATGAAAATTTAAGATATTAGCATATTTTAACAACATAAGAATGTATGGATTGATAAATAAGCAGCAACTGTGGCTAATTCTAGTTACTTGGGGGTTTTAGACTCAATACAATTTTCTCTCTTTGTTGTTTTTTCCAAATTTTTCTATAATGGCCACGTATTACTGTATTAGTCAGGGTTCTTTAGAGGGACAGAACTAATGGAATATATATATATACACACACACACATATATATATATATTCCATTAGTTATGGATATATATGTGGGAGTTTATTAAGCATTATTAAGTAAAGTATCATTAAGTATTAACTCACATGATCACAAGGTCCCACAGTAGGCCCTCTGCAGGTTGAGGATCAAGGAGAGCCAGTCCAAGTTCCAAAACCAAAGAACATGGAGTCTGATGTTCAAGGGCAGGAAGCATCCAGCATGGGAGAAAGATGTAGGCTGGGAGGCTAGGCCAGTCTCTCTTTTCACATTTTTCTGCCTGCTTATATTCTAGCCGAGCTGCCAGCTGAGTGGATTGTGCCAACCCAGATTAAGGGTGGGTCTGCCTTTCCCAGCCCCCAGACTCAAATGTTAATCTCCTTTGGCAACACCCTCACAGACACATCCAGGATCAATACTTTGTATCTTTCAATCCAATCAAGTTGACACTCAGTGCTAACCATCACAATTACTTTTATCATCAGAAAAACAAACATTTATATTTTAAAACTGTGAACAGAGTTAATATGTTAGATACAGACAATATATCAATGACACAGAGAAAAAGGTGAAATTAGAATCTCATCTAAGAGCTTTCTAACTCTAAAGCCAGTGTGTTTTCAACACATAGAAACTATGATTTGAAATATTATTCTCTCTTGGAATAAACCACATAAGGTTCACCTGTATGCCCATTGAGACATCTTGGAGTAAGGGTTTCTAAGTTCAATTACCTGCATGGAGAAAGAGTATCCATCCATATTTTGTTATCATTTACTCAGAAAAATATATTAATACCATCAAAGTTACAATGAATTAGGAACTTATATTTAGAAAAGTATCTCACTATGATACAATAGTGTGCTTGTCTTTCTAATGTTAGCTATAATCTAGTGCTTCCCTTTCTAATGTTAATTAACACTGATATGTATATTATCAAGTACATCAATAAAAAAGCAATTCACATCCTCAGATCATTTTTAAATGATAAGCTAAATCCAAACCTATGTACATGAAGTTAAATATAAGAAGGGGCCCTATAATAATTCAGATTTAGATAAGTTGATTACAGATTCTTAAGTGAAGCTTTCACATTGAGTAGACTGGATAAGTCCTATTTAATTAAACCTGAAAGTCTTGTGGCAAATCCACTGATTAGGCAGTTAACATATTAATGCTTCATGGGCAGATTGCAGAATGAATTCAGCATTTATGAAAACAAGAAGTACAATGTGAACCGAAAAAGTAGAAAATTCCCTATATCCTTTCATTTGAAGGGCAAAGAGCCAAACAAGAAGTTCATGGAAGTTGTACTTGACATTAGCGTTCCTTACAGGAAACAAAAAAAAATCATATGTTTATTTCTTAGGCTAAATAGGTTTGCTCTTCAAGATGTTTTCTAATACCGTTTAGCAGTTGAGAATATAAAACACAACAAAACTTTGCTGAATAAAATTTATAGGAGGTCATTGTTTTGGACTCAGTTCCTCCACTAGACCCCAACAGACTGAACCAAAATGCAGTCACTCAGGCTAAGTGACACATAATCAAAGTGAAGCAGGAAAATCCCTAAACTGACCAGTTTTTCCTAAAACAGGAGATTTCCAGTAGCTGGTCAAAAAGGGCCCAGTCAACCTGAGCCAGCATGGTAAGGAAGTCCCCTCTGCTTTAACCCTTATTAGGAAAGAAACCTAACTAACTCGATGTTAACCACTTCACTTTTTTTGTATTATGCTCTTTCCTTGTTCCTGTTCAAGCTACCTTATAAAAACTGATTGTTCTGTTATGCCCAGCAGAGCATCTGTCTATTTTTATAGATGGAATGCTGGCCAATTCATGAAATCACTAATAAAAGCCAATTAGATCTTTAAACTCAATTTTTTGAAATTTTGTCTTTTGACAACTCTGTTTTGCAAAAGTAGAGATATTTTCTCATTTTAGTTAATTAGTAGGTAATTAGACCAAACAATGAGAAAACTATATCTAAATATCATCTCACAATCAACAAATCTTTATTGAGCTTTTATCCTAGGGCCTGGAGATGCAGCAATAACATAAGACAGCACTCCTGTTCTCAAGGCACTGATGTTCTAGTGGGGGAGCATATAATAAGTAAATAAGAAATACATAGTGTAAATTCAGGAAGTAATATGTGCTATGAAGAAAAACAAGGCAGGATAAAGGATGAGGGTAACAATATATGGTTGTGTGAGAACCTGCTTAGGATGGAGTGCATCAGAAAGGCCTCACACAAGGAGGTTCAATTTAAGCAGAATTTAGAAGGCAGGGAAGAAACAAACCGTGATATGACCCAAAGGAAGGATGTTCCAAGGAGAGGGAAGAGTAAGTGCAAAGATCCAAGGTGGAAACAAGCTTGGCACATTTTAAACAGAGCAAGAATGGCTGAAGTAGAGTAATCAGGGAAAGAATGAAAGAGGTGGGAGAGTCAAGCGGGAGCTAGATCATTTGGGACCTTAAATGTACAATTTGGATTTTACTCAAAATGCATTGGGAAATAATTGGAAGGCTTTGAAAGGGAGAAAGATGTGATCTGACTGATATGGTTTGGCTGTATCCCAACCCAAATCTCATCTTGAATTCCCACATGTTGTGGGAGGGACTCAGTGGGAGGTAATTGAATCATGAGGGCAGGTCTTTCCTGTGCTGTTCTCGTGATAGTGAATGGGTCTCATGAGATCTGATGGTTTTAAAAATGAGAGTTTCCCCGCACAAGCTCTCTTCTCTTGCCTGCCACCATGTGAGATGTGCTTTTCACTTTCTGCCATGACTGTGAGGCCTCCCGAGCTACGTGGAACTGTAAGTCCATTAAACCTCTTTCTTTTGTAAATTTCCCAGTCTCAGGTATGTCTTTATCAGCAGCATGAAAATGGACTAATACAGTAAATTGGTACCAGGAGAGTGGAGTGCTGCTATAGATACCCAAAAATGTGGAAGTGACTGGAACTGGGAAAGAGGCAGGTGTTAGAACAGTTTGGAGGGCTCAGCAGAAGACATGAAAATGTGAAAAAGTTTGGAACTTCCTAGAGACTTGTTGAATGGCTTTGCCCAAAATTCTGATAGTGATATGGACAATAAAGTCCAGACTGAAGTGGTCTCAGATGGAGATGAGGAACTTGTTGGGAACTGGAACAAGGGTGACTCTTGTTATGTTTTAGCAAAGAGACTGGCAGCATTTTGCCCCTGCCCTAGAGATTTGTGGAACTTTGAACTTGACAGAGATGATTTAAGGTATCTCGTAGAAGAAATTTCTAAGCAGCAAAGCATTCAAGAGGTGACTTGTGTACTGTTAAAGGTATTCAGTTTTAAAAGGGAAACATCATAAAAGTTCAGAAAATTTGCAGCCTGGCAATGCAATAGAAAGGAAAATCCCATTTTCTGAGGAGAAATTCAAGCCAGCTGCAGAAATTTGCATAAGTAACCAGGAGCCTCACCATGACAATGGGGAAAATGTCTCCAGGGCATGTCACAGGACTTCATGGAAGCCCCTCCCATCACAGGCTGGGAGTCCTAGGAGGAAAATATGGTTTCATAGGCCAGGCCCAGAGTCCTCATTCTGTGTTTAGCCTAGGGACTTTGTGCTCTGCATCCCAGCCACTCCAGCCATGGCTGAAAGGAGCCAACATAGAGCTCAGGCTGTGGCTTCAAAGGGTGCCTGCCCCAAGCCTTGGCAGCTTCCGTGTGGTGTTGAGCCTGCAGGTGCACAGACATCAAAAATTTAGATTTGGGAACCTCCACCTAGATTTCACAGGATGTAGGGAAAAACCTGGATGCCCAGGCAGAAGTTTGCTGCAGGGACAGGGCCCTCATAGGAGAACTTCTGCTAGGGCAGTACAGAAGGGAAATGTAGGGTTGGAGCCCCCATACAGAGTCCCTATTGGGGCATCACTTAGTGGAGCTGTGAGAGGAGGGCCACCATCCTCCAGACCCCGGAATGGTAGATCTACCAACAGCTTACACCATGTGCCTGGAAAAGCTACAGACACTTAATGCCAGCCTCTGAAAGCAGCCAGGATGGGGGCTATACCCTGGAAAGCCAGAGGGGCAGAGCTGTCCAAGGCCATGGGAGCCCACCTCATGCATCAGCATGACCTGGACGTAAGACATGGAGTCAAAGGAGATAATTTTGGAGCTTTAAGATTTGACTGCCCCACTGGATTTCGGACTTGCATGGGGCCTGTAGCCCCATTGTTTTGGCCAATTTCTCCTATTTGGAACATCTGTATTTACCCAATGCCCGTACCTTCATTTGTATCTAGGAAGTAACTAACATGCTTTTGATTTTATGGGCTCATAGGCAGAAGGGTTTTGCCTTGTCTCAGATGAGACTTTGGAGTGTGGACTTTTGAGTTAATGCTGAAATGAGTTAAGACATTGGGGGACTGTTGGGAAGGATGATTGGTTTTGAAATGTGAGAACATGAGATTTGAGAGGGGCCAGGGATGGAATGATATGGTTTGGCTGTGTCCCAACCCAAATCTCATCTTGAATTCCCATGTGTTGTGGAAGGGACCCAGTGGGAGGTAATTGAATCATGGGGGCAGGTTTTCCCATGCTGTTCTCGTGATAGTGAATAAGTCTCACGAGATCTGATGGTTTTAAAAATGGAAGTCTCCCTACACAAGCTCTCTTCTCTTGTCTGCCACCATGTGAGACATGCCTTTCACCTTCTGCAAAGATTGTGAGGCCTCCATAGCCACATGTAATTGTAAGTCCATTAAATCTCTTTCTTTTGTAAATTTCCCAGTCTCAGGTGTGTCTTTATCAGCAGTGTGAAAATGGATGATTACACTGATTTACACTTATTTATGGGCGCTATGAAAAGTTTTTTATGGGAACAAGAATGGAAACAGAGACATTAAAGTGATTATTTCAGTTGTTCAGATGTGAAATAATGGTGGCTTGAAAAAGAGTGATAGAGATGGAGGTGGTGATGAAGACTTGGGATATAAATTGAGAATAGAGCCAACAGGATGTGCTAATGAAATGAATTTATCATATGAGATATGAAGAAAAGTCAATAATGATTTCCAGCATTCATAGTGCTATTTACCTAGATGTGGATTACTAAGAGAGGTGAGGCTTGAGGGCAAAGGAAAAGAGGTGGTCAGAAAAGTTGGGGGTCATTAGAGTATATATGGGATATAAATCCGTGGATCTAATTGAGATTGCTTAGGACGTAAGTGTATCTAGAGAAGCTGGCTGAGGACTGAGTGCTGGACCACTTCAGTAATTAGAAGTTAGATAGGTGATACAGAGCCATCAGGAGTGGGTCTCCAGTGAAGCAAGAGGAAAGCAGGTAGATAGTAGTATTTGGAAATCTAAGTGAAGAGAGTATTTCCAGGAGAAAGGGGTGGTGAATGGTCAGTAAAAGGAGAATTGACCATTGTTTTTGGCAACCTTCAGGTCACTGTTGTCCCCAAGGACAGCAGTAAGCAGAAGGTGAGGGAAAAAGCATGACTAGAGTAGGTTAAAAGATGATGGGAATTGAGGAAGTGAAGATAGCAAAAGTAGACAAAATAGACAATTCTTTCTGTGGCAGCTCACTGTGAAGGAAAGTAGAGAAATGGAGTTGTAACTGTTTGGGGAAGTGCCACTAGGGTGATTTTATACATATATACTTTAATATTGAAAGATATTAGAGCATGTGTGCATGCTGGTGGTAGGGATGATAACAATAGACAGTAAAGATTCTCCATATGTAAAAACAAGCAATACTAAAGTTAAAGTTTTTAAAAATTAAAAATCTGTAAATATATTAATATTTATTCAGAGAAAAGTTATTTGTTCCATATTTTATGGGGCAGAAATATGGAAATTTGAGAACTTGAATTCTTTTTTTATTTTATTATTATTATACTTTAAGTTCTAGGGTACATGTGCACAACGTGCAGGTTTGTTACATATGTATACATGTGCCATGTTGGTGTGCTGCACCCACTAACTCATCATTTACATTAGGTATATCTCCTAATGCTATCTGTCCCCCCTCCCCCCACCCCATGACAGGCCCCAGTGTGTCACGTTCACCTTCCTGTGTCCATGTGTTTTCATTGTTCAATTCCCACCTATGAGTGAGAACACGTGGTGTTTGGTTTTTTGTCCTTGCGGTAGTTGCTGAGAATGATAGTTTCCAGCTTCATCCATGTCTCTACAATGGACATGAACTCATCATTTTTTGTGGCTGCATAGTATTCCATGGTGTATATGTGCCACATTTTCTTAATCCAGTCTATCATTGATGGACATTTGGGTTGGTTCCAAGTCTTTGCTATTGTGAATAGTGCCGCAATAAATATACATGGAGCACTTGAATTCTTGATGAAAAGGATTGATGATACATTGGTTAAATGATTTACAAAAACGGCCTCAACTACTTCTTGAAGAAGTAATGTTATCATTTTCATTATAATAAGACAACTAAGCTGGAACATGTTAAGAAATTTGTCCTAAGTTAGTAAGAGGGAAAAAAAAAATCAAAGATTTCAATCTAGGCTTGTTTTATTCTAAAATCTCAATTTTTAACTAACAAAGGAGGTAGGTGCTTTAAAAACAAACATCTTGGTTTAATATATTCATCAGTGACCTCCACCTCTTTGAGAAGAAGGCTCTTCATTAATATCAAAAACAGTAATAAAAGCACAAACTCTTCTGATGGAGTTCTGGTTACAGTAATGTTGGAGTAGCCTGTGTAAGATCAACCCTTGTGCAGACAACACTTCTACACTCTGGACAAAATTTGAAGAAAAACAAAACTGAATGAAGATATTGCAGAGCAAGCAAAAGCAGGCAAAAGTTGATTTGACCCTTAAAAGAAGGCAACCATGCTGGGTGATACGCACATTTCTATAGCTTTCTTCTTTGGGTCATCCCCTAGGCCTTAAAATGTGGAGTAGCCAGAATGCAAGCAGAGAGCTGTAGTCTTATTAGGCTGAGGAGTCACAGCAGGAGTTTGAGACTGCCAGAAAAAATAGATTTGAGGGGAGAAGCTCCAAAGAAGGGGACTCATAGAGGGGGCAGCCTCAAAATTTGCTTATAAAATCAACTCAAGCAATTGGTTAAATTCTGACTGCACATGCATGGGCAATACTCCGATAATAGCTTGAAGGCTGAAACAGCTGAACAAAAGGTTTTAATTGTTGTCCTCCAAACAGCATTTGAAGTTTAAGTCCCACAAATTAGAAGACCTTGGTAATAATTTTGAGCTCTCAACTGAAACTCCAGAAAAACCATGCCTTAGGAATAAGACTACATGCTGGGATAAAGGAACTCACTCTAAGATCAAAGGCAAAACCAAAATAAATTTGCCCCCCAAAATCAATCTTCCATGAGTTAAGGTAATTAACTATCCACCAGAACAAAACCAAGCACCCTTCAGAGGAACATAAAAGAATTTTGGCTCTTTACATTGTATTATTCACAATGTCCAATAAATGATCAAAATAAATAGGGATACAAAAAACATCAGAAAAAAAGAAATATCAATCAATAGAAATGACCAGATGTTGGATTAGTAAAAAAGTTGTTTAAAATAACTAAAATAAATCTATTACTCTATTAGAAAAGGTGGATATAGTGGATGAAGGAATAGAGAATTTTAGAAGAGATTTAGACTCTGCAAAAAGAGCACAATAGAAATCCTAAGAATAAAAAATACAACATTTAAAATAATAAACTGTGGATGGTATTAACAACATATTGGATACAACAGAAGAAAGAATCAATGAATTTGAAGACAGGATAAAATAAATTATATAAGCGGAAGTACACAGAGGAGAAAAATATTAAAATAAAAAGTAACAAATACAAAACAATTTTTGGAAGTAATAAGCAGTGAAATACTATGTGTAATGGGAGACCCAGAGGACTGAAGAGAAGGTATACTGCCAGCAAAACACAAAAAGAATATTAGCTAAGAATTTTCCAGATTTGCTCAAACAGAGGAACCCACATATCCAAGAATCTCTGCAAACTGCAAGCAGATAAAAACAAAGAAAACCTCACCTAAATGTGTCATAGTCAAACTGCTGAAAACTAGCGATTAAAAAACAAAAACAAGCTTAAAAGTAGTGAATAGAACAAAATGTACATTTAATGAAAAAGATCAACAATAAGAAAATTGTTTGAGACATTGGAGGCTACAAGACAATGGAATTATATTTTTGAAATACTAAAGGAAAAAACTGTCAACTTAGATTTCTGTATTCAGGAAATTATCTTGAATATTGAAAATGAAACAAACAACAGATTCAACACAATCCCTATTAAAATTCCAACAGTTTTTTTTTATTTCAGAAATGAAAGAGCTCATTTTCAAATTCCTATGGAATTTCAAGGGTTTTTGAATAGGTAAAACAATCTTGAAAACTAAGTACAAAGTCATATGACTCACTTTTTAATTTTAAAACTTAGTACAAATTTACAGCAATCAAACACAGAGTGGTACTGGCATAAAGGTAGATTTAGGTGAATGGAATATTACTGAGAGTCCAGAAATACACAAATATATCTATGGCCAATTGATTTTTTTAAATTTAATTGACACATAATAATTGCGTATATTTGTATTAGGGTTTTCCAGACCGACAGAACTAATAGGATATATGTATACATGAAAGGGAGTTTATTAAGGAGAATTGGCTCGCATGATCACAAGGTGAAGTCCCACAGTAGGCTGTCGGCAAGCTCAGGAAAAAAGAAGCCAGTAGTGGCTCAGTCCAAGTCCAAAAGCCTCAAAAGTAGGAAAGCCTAGAGTGCAGCCTTCAGTCTGTGGCCAAAGGCCCTGGCAAACCACTGGTGAGTCCAAAGGTCAAAGGACCTGGAGTCTGATGTTTGAGGGGAGGAGGAACAGACAGAAGCATCCAGCACAGGAGTAAGATGAGAACCAGAAGACTCAGCAAGCCAGTTTATCCCACCTTTTGCCGCCTTCTTTTTCTAGCCACCCTGGCAGCCGATTGGATGGTGCCCACCCACATTGAAGGTGGGTCTTCCTCTCCCAGTCCACTGACTCAAATGTTAACTCCTCTGGCAACACCCTCACATACACACCCAGAGCCAATACTTTATCAGCTATCTAGGCATCCTTCAATCCAATCAAGTCGACACCTAATATTAACCATCACAATATTTAGGCAGTACAGTGTGATATGTGATATTTTATTATGTGTATCCATTGCCACTAACATTTATTATTTCTTTGTGTTGGGAGCATTCAAAATTATCTCTTCAAACTATTTTAAAGTATACAATAAATTATTATTAACTATAGTCACCATGTGGTGCTATAGAACACTATCTAACTGCAATTTTGTATCTTCTAGCCAGGCTCTTCCAATTCTCCCCCCTCTACCCTTCTCAGGCTCTAGTTACCACCATTCTCTCTACTTCTACAATGTCAACTTATTTAGCTTCCACATAGGATTGAGAACATATGGTTATTTATTTTCTTGTGCTGGCTTATTTCACTTAACATAATGTCCTCTAGACTGATCCATGTTGTCACAAATGACAGGATTTCATTCTTTTTTATGGCTAAATAGTATCTCCTTGTATATATATACCATATTTTCTTTATCCATTTATCCATTGGTGGACACAGGTCGATTTCATATCTTGGCTATTGTGACTAATGATGCAATAAACATGGGAGTACAGATATCTGTTTGACACACCGCTTCCCATTTGGATACATATAAGCAGTAGTGGAATTGCTGGATCATAAGGTAGTTCTATTTTTAATATTTTGAGAAGTCTCTATACTGTTTTCCATAATGGCTACAAGTAATTTACAGTCCCACAAACAGTGTATGTATAAGTCCCCTTTTCTCTGCATCCTTGCCAGCATTTATTTTGTCTTCTTGATCATAGTCTTTCTGAGGTGAGATGATATCTCATTGTGGTTTTGGTTTGCATTTTCCTGATGACAATTGATATTGAGCATTTTCTGTACACTTGTTGGTATGCACAATTTATTTTTGACAAGGCTAGCAACTTTGTTCGATAGAGAAACAGTAACATTTTCCATAAATGGTGCTGGGAAAATAGGACTTGCAAAATAATGAAGCTGGACCCCTGTCTCACACCACATCTAAAAATTAACTGAAAATGGATCAGTAACCCAAACGTAAGAGCTAAAACTATGAAACTCTTAAAAGAAAACATAGAAGTAAATCTTCATAAACTGGATTTGGCAATGGGTTCTTAGCTATGACACCAAAAGACAAAAGCAACAAAATAAAAAATAAATAAATTTCACTTCACCAAAATTGAAAACTTTTGTGCATTAAAGAACATTATCAAGAAAGTAAAAAGACAACCTATAGAATTGGAGTAAATGTTTTCGAATCAAATATCTGATAGGGTTTACCATCTGGAATTTTTAAAAAATTCCTACATTGCAACAACAAGAAGACAAACAACCCAACTTTAAAATGGGCAAAGAGGCCAGGCGCAGAAGCTCACTCCTGTAATCCCAGCACTTTGGAAGGCCAAGGCAGGCAGATCACTTGAGGTCAGGAGTTTGAGACCAGCCTGGCCAACACGGTGAAACGCTGTCTCTACCAAAAATAAAAAAATTAGCCAGGTGTGGTGGTGCATGCCTGTAATCCCAGCTCCTCAGGAGGCTAAGGCAGGAGAATTGCTTGAACCGATTGGATAGATGTTGCAGTGAGCAGAGATCATGCCACTGCAATCCAGGCTGGGCAACAGAGCGAGACTCCATCTCAAAAAAAAAAAAAGAAAAAAGAAAATGGGCAAAGAACTTGAAAAGACGTTTTCCCAAATAATTACAAATGGCCAGTAAGCACATGAAAAGTTGTGCAACATTATTAGTCATTAGGGAAATACAATCAAAACCACAATGGGATAGCACTTCACATCTATTTAGGATTGCTAGAATTTAAAAAAATTAAAAATCAAAACAAAGGAAAATAGCAAGTGTTGGCAAGGTTGTGGAGAAACTGCAACCCTTCTACATTGCTGGTGGGAATGTAAAATGGTGCAGCTGCTGTGGAAAACAGCTTGGCCTTTCCTTGAAGAGCTAAACATAGAATTATCATATGATCTAACAATTCTATTCTTAGGTATATACTCCCCAAAACTAAAAATGGGGACTCAAATAGATATTTGTAGACCAATATTAATTTTAGCATTATTCATAATAACCAAAATGTAGAAACAACCCAAGTGTTTATCAACAGATAAGTGGATGAGCAAAATGTGGCATATATATACATACAAAAAATATTATTTAGCCATCAAAAGGAATAAAATTCTAAAACATGTTACAAAATGGATGAACCATGAAAACATTAAGTTAAGCAAAATAAGCCATACAAAAAGGGCAAACATTACATTGTTTCACTTATAGAAAATTTTTAGAATAGAGACAGAAGCAGATTAGGCATCACCAGGGGCTAAGGGAAGAAGGGAATGGGAACTTATGGCTTAATGGTTGGTTGTAGAGTTTTTGGTGGGGGTTGATAAAAAACTCTTAGAAATAGATAATGCCAGTGGTTGTACAACATTATGAGTGTGGCTAATACCACTGAATGTACACTTAAAAATGGTTAAAATGCCAAATTTTATGACATGTTATCACAATAAAACGTTTCAAAGAGAAGTGTAAAAAAGTGAAAGCAAACAAAAGACATTTTTAGATAAAAACAAAGTGAATATGTTGCCAGTATCTCTGCACTACAAAAACTGCCAAAGAAAGTTTTATAGGCTGAAGGGAAATGATAAAAAATGGAATTCTGAATTGAAAGGGAGAAGAAATTATAAATATGTGGGTAAATATAAACATTTGGTTTTCTTTCTTAATTTCTTTAAAAGTTAATTGACTAAAGCAAAAATAGTAAAAAATGTATTTGGGGTTCAAAATAAATGTCGAAGTAAAATGTATGACAAGAGTAGCACAAATGACAGGAAGGGATATAAGTGAAAATTACATACCTTACTGCTCTAAGGTTGTTATATATAAAATAATGTAATATTAATTCTAGACTGTGACAAACTAAGAATGCATATTATACGTAATCTCTAGAGAAACCACAAAATGTAATAATACAATGAGGTAGTTCAAAAAACAAATAGAGGAAACAAGGAAATTCTAAAAAATACTCAAGGCAGAGAAGAAAGAAGAAAAAGATATCCACAAAACGAAGCAAGTAGAAAACAAAAGCAAGATGATAGTTTAGAACCCCATCATATCAATAATTAAACCAATGCAAATGAACTATAGTTAAAAGGCAAATATTGCAGACTGAATTAAACAACAAAAAAGCAAGGTATAACTATACACAGATTAAAAGGGATGCACTTGAAATATGAAGACACAGGCAGGTTGAAAGTAAAGGATGAAAAAATATGCAAGAAAGACACTGACTGATATGGTGACACCAGTTTGCTATTAGTATCAAAGAAATGAATCTTCAAGACAAAGAATATCATCAGAGATAAAATTATTTCATAACGATAAAAGGATCAATTCATCAAGAAGGTTTAATGACACTAAATATGTATGCTCCTAATAATACTGTTTCAAAACACATTAAACAAATATTGGCAGAACTAAAAGAAGAAATAGATTTATTTTTGTATATTGCTAGATTCTATTTGCTAAGAATTTTTGTGTCTACGAACACATGGATTGGAAAACTAAATATTGTTAAGACATCAGTCTTCCCTAAATTGATGTATAGACCTGAGGCAATATCATTTAAATTCCAAGCAAGCTATTTTGTGTGTGTGTGTGTGTGTTTGTGTGTGTGTGTGTGTGTGTGTGTGTGTGTGTGTGACAGAGTCTCGCTCTGTCGCCCAGGCTGGAGTGCAATCTCAGCTCACTGCAACCTCCACCTCCTGGGTTCCGGTTATTCTCCTGCCTCAGCCTCCTGAGTAGCTGGGATTACAGGCATGTGCCACCACGCCCAGCTAATTTATGCATTTTTAGTAGAGATGGGGTTTCACTATGTTGGCCAGGCTGGTCTTAAACTCCTGACCTCAGGTGGTCTGCCTGCCTCGGCCTCCCAAAGTGCTGGGATTACAGGCAAGAGCCACCATGCCCAGCCTTTTTTTTTTTTTTTTAAATGTGGTAGAAACTGATAGCTAAACCTAAACTTTATATGAAAATGCAAAGGACCTGGAATATAACCTTAAAAAATAAGAATAAAATTGTAGTAGTTACACTGACTCCATAACTTATTAACTCATTAAAAAGCTATATAATCATAATAGTAAGATGTTAATAAAATATAGATCAGTAGGTCAATAAAACTGGATAGACAGACCAAAAATAAACATATACACTTTTAAAAGTCAATTACTTTTGACAAGGTACCGAGACAATTCAATAGAGAAGGGGAAGTCTTTAAACAAATGTTGCTGTAACAACAGGATTTTTGTAAGGAAAAAATATGAATCTTAACTGCTATGTTATGTAATACATAAATATTAATGTGAAATGAATGACAGGACTAAACTAAAAAAACTGTAAAGCTTCTAGGAAAAATAACAGGAAAACATATTTAAGACTTTCTGATATGCAGAGATTTCTTAGAATTCTAAAAGCATTAAGCATAAAGAAAAATTGATACAGTGTAATTTATAAATATTAAGAACTTCTCTCAATGAAACACTGATAATAAAACAATGATGTGAGCTAAAGACTGTGGAAACATTTGCTACATGTATATCTGATGAAGGACTTGTTTCTAAGTTATATAGACAATTATGGTATTAAGTAACAATAATTTTAAAAATCAACAACCCAGTTTTTAAAATTTGGGCAGAAAATTTTGAGACAATTAAAAACAGAATATATGAATGGTCAATAAACACAGAAAAAGCTCCCAACAGCACTCGTCTTCAGGGAAATGTAAATTAAAATCACCATGATATGCCACTCTTTATCTACTAGAATGGTTAAAGTTAATACCAAGCATTGACAAGAATGTGGCCCAAGAGGGACTCTCATACTTTGGTGGTGGCAGTGTGCAATGGCATGACTACTTGGAAAAGTTTATAGTTTCTTGTAAAGCTAAATATACACAACCCCATGACCCAGCAATTTCACATCTAGTTTTTTTTTTATCCAAGGGAAATGAAAACATACTTGTTGGCATTGGTTCTGACTTCTTTAAATGACACTTTCATAAGCAAACTTTCTAAAGGGTTAATCCATAATTGCTGTTACCATTTCTTTACCTCTCATTTGCTCCTCAAATCACTGTTATCACATATCATTCTTTTGACTCCTCTGAAATTGCTTTGGCAACACTTACCGGCAGCCTCAGTAAGTGCCAAATGGAATGTTCACTCTGAAATCATTGTTTTATTCTATTTCACTGCAGTCATTGTTTTACTCAATTTCACTACAGCAAATGTCATCATTGACCACGTTCCCTGCTTGAAATTTTCCTTCCCTGGTATACTAAGTACACTCTTACCGCTTTGGTTTCCTGACTATTTCCTTTTATTGTTCTTTGTTGAATTCATTTACTCTACTATCTTTTCTCATTAAATATTGGTGTCCTTAGGATTTTAGTTTTTTTTCCCTTACTTTATACAGCCATCTGCCACATAATGACGTTTCAGTAAACAATGGACTGCATATATGACAGCAGTTCCATAAGATTATAATACCATATTTTTACGGTAGCTTTTCTATGTTTAGATATGTTTAGGTACACAAATACTGACCACTGTGTTACAACTGCTTACAGTATTCAGCACAGTAGCATGCTGTACAGGTTCATAGCCTAGGAGCAGTAGACTATACCATCTAGGCCAGGTGTGTAGTAGGCTACACCATCTATGTTTGTGTTAAGTGCACTCTATGATGTTCATCCAACTACAAAATCACCTAACGATGCATTTCTCAGAATGTATCCTATCCTTAAGTGATACATAACTGTATATGTTATCTTGGTGATCTCATGCATCTCTCTGACTTCACCAACCATCTTTGTCTGATGACTCCCAGTCTGTATCTCCAGCTCTGGTTTCTTTCTTGACTCTGATCTGTGTATTCATCTCTGTATACAGAGATTGTATAATCCTAATCTCTGTCATTAAATCCTATTTAATTACTATTTCGGTGACTATTATACCCATCTTCTCTTTCCCAAATCTGGGATTCTTGTATTTTTCCTTTATTTTGACTTCTCCCTTATTTTTCTCAGAAATCTATCACCAAGTTCTATCAATTCTACTTTTCAAATTTTCTCATCTCCATGCCTTTCTGTGGGAACTACCATTGCCTTAGTTCAAGCCTTCACCATTTTCTACTTGTATTAAAATAACTTCTTAACTAGAATATCTGCTTTTAGCCTTCCCTCAGATTCAGTAACATCAAATCACTTATAATTCCCTAGGTATGCCATTGGATTAGACATAAACAGAGATGCCTGCTCACAGTTCCCTCAGGGACAAGGTACATTTCCCATCATGGTTATGCATCAGACGAGCTGACCCTGTCTCCCTGATTTAAGATGCTAATAAGGGCAGGAATCCTGCCCTTGTTAATTGGAATCTGATTAATTATGGAAGGAATCTGATTAATTATAATTATATTGTTAATTAATTAATTAAAATTAATTGTATAATTGATTATAATTATATTATTATAATCAGATTCCTTCTATAGACATTTTCAAACTGAAGGTAAAGAAAGAGAATATTTTTCCTCTCAGATCAGAAAAGCTTCCTTCAGCAATGCCTGTCCTCCCAACTTATGGATGATCTTATCTGAAGAGTAGAAATTTGGCCCATAGAGAGGAGAAGAGATGAGAAAAGGAAAAATTAAGAGTCCTGAGTTTGTGCTTCCAATGATCTATCCTACCTTTCCCAAGGTTTAGCTAGGTAGGTTCATAGAATTCCTCTTTTACCAGATTGAATTGGTTTTTTATCTTCAACAAAAAAAGGCCTAACTATAACAGCCATACTTTTAACCATCCGTTTCTTTTTTATTTTTGACATGTAATAACTGTACATAATTATGGGGTTCGTAGTGATGTTTCAATACATATAATGTATCATGATCAGATCAGGATAATTAGCATATCCATCATCTCAAACATTTGTCATTTCTTTTGCTGAGGACATTCAATAACCTCCTTCTTTCAGGTTTCAATAACCTGAAACTATATATTAGTGTTAACCATAGTCATCCTTTGGTGCTACTGAACACTAGAACTTATTTCTCCTATCTAGCTGTAATTTTGTATCCTTTAACTATTCTGTCCCTATCCCCCCATCCCTCCACCCTTCCCAGTCTCTAGGATCCTCTGTTCTACTTTTTACTTCAATGAGATCAACTTTTTTTTAGCTTCCATCTGTGAGTGAGACCATGTGGTGTTCAACTTTCTGTTTGTGGCTTATTTCATTTAATATGTCTTCCAGTTCCATCCATGTTGTTACAAATGGCAGAATTTCATTCTTTTTATGACTGAATAGTATTCCATTTTGTATATATACTACATTTTCTTCATCCATTCATCTACTTTTGGACACCTAGGTTGATTCCATATCTTGGCTATTGTGAATAGTGCTGCAATAAACATAGATGTGCAGATGTCTCTTTGATATAATGATTTCCTTTCCTTTGGATAAATGCCCAGTAGTAGAATGGCTGGATCATATGGTAGTTCTTTATATATTTATATATTTTTTGAGGAAACTCCATACTGTTCTACATAGTGGCTGTACTAATTTACATTCCCACCAACAGTATGTCAGAGTTCCTTTTTCTCTGCATACTCACAGTTTTATTTTTTTGTCTTTTTGATAATAGCCATCTTAACTGGGGTAAGATGATACCTCATTGTGGTTTTGATTTGCATTTCTCTGATGATTAATGATGTTGAGCATAGTCTCATATATTTGTTAGTCATTTTTATGTCTTCTCTTGAGGAACATCTGTTTAGATCATTTGCACATTTTTTAATCAGATTTTTTTTTTTGCTGTTGAGATAGTTCAGTTCCTCATATATTCTAGATATTCATATACTGTTGCATGAATAGCAAACAAATATTTTCTCCAATCTTTTAGGTTATCTTTTCACTCTGTTGATTATTTCTTTTACCATGCAGAAGCTTTTTAGTGTGACATAATCCCATTTGTTTACTTTTGCATGTGTTACCTATGCTTTTGAGGAAATGATTCATAAAATCATTTCCCAGACCAATGTTCCTGAATTATTTCCCCTATGTTTTCTTCCAGTAGTTTTATAGTTTGGGGTCTTACATTTAGGTATTTGATCCATTTTGAGTTGACTTTTGTATAGAGGGAGAGTTGGTGGTCTAGTTTCATTCTTCTGCATATAGATATCCAGTTTTCCTAGCATCATTTATTGAAGAACTTGTCCTTTTACCAGTGAGTGTTCCTGACATCCATCCTTTTTTCTTAAGTTAGAACTCCTGATTAGAGGAAGTTGGAATAACAATCAGCCATCTTTCGGGAATCAACCCAGATGTCACCACCTCTGCAACCCTTTGTCTAAAATCCCTGGTGGTTCCTTAACATCAGATACAATTTGCTGAATATATCAAGAGGTAATGAATGAATTGGTCTCATACCAGCTCCTTATATAATTAAGAATGCGTCAGGAGCTAACATTGCATTCATTAAATTAGTTACTATCCACTTTGTACTCATCCAAATATTCTCCATAATCTCTTCTGTCTTTAGGTCCATAGATATCTACTCAGCCATATATCTTCTTGGCAAGTTTCCCCTCTTCTTCCCTATTAATGAAGTTTTGCTTCCCTATTAAGTAGTCTCTTACAATGTTTAAAAATATCCTTCCTTTATTATATTCTAATTTTGAATTCTCTCTCTCCAAATCTCAGTAATGATTACAAGACTTTATTTACCACCATATATTAAAAAGTTTACATCATTTCCTATAATCTTGGTATTAATATATGAATCTGTAGGATGTGCCTTGAATCTAAATACGTGGCCACTTTTCAATTCTTGCATTACTACTCTGTAGCACCTGAAACAGTAGAACACTCCATCCTTGACACTCCCTCTTCCTTTAGCTTCTGTGAGAAAATGTTTTTCTCCCCCATTGCTTCTAGGCCTTCTTGTTTGTTAACTAACCTGATCAGCTCAGATTCAAGTAGAAGTTTAAATTTAACTTTCTTCTATCATCAACTTGAATGAAGAAAGAAACCATGAAAAGAACCAAAGCCTTACATTTCAAGTGCTTGAAATTTTATAGTTATTAAGGAGTTTCTCTTGGTTTCAGATCAGCTGGGGTGAGTTTAATGGGGTTAGTTGTTCTCAACCTGTTCTGTCATATCCTAAATAAGGATAACTACCTGATGTTCCATCTTTTATTTCCCATTTTGGCTCTATACACAGCCAGCTCCATGATTCGATTAGGTAATATGTCCTTAAGTTCCCACTTTGGGTTCTTACTCAGATCCCCTACTCCTAACCTACCACCACTCCCATTAAGGCCAACATTAATTCCTTTTTTATTTTTTCAAGAAGCCTTAACTAATGGCTTTCTTCCTCTCCTGTAATACCTATCTACTCTTCACAATGCTGAATGAATAATGCTTCTAAAGCATATCCCAACTCAAATAACTTCGTATGCTTCTTTTTACCTGCAGAATGACATCCATAATCCTTAGGGTGGCATTCAAGGCCCTTCATCATCTGGTCCTGACTGAGGTTGCCCCAGTCATTTTAAATACCTCATTTTAACTCAGCTGATCAGGACAAAAGTTACAAATAATAATAGCTTATGTTTCTTGAGTGATTACTCTGTGCCAAGCACAAATCATCCTTAATGTGGTGGCCACCAGATTTGACCTAAACTGACTCTTGCTATGTCACTCTGTCATCCCATCCCAACAACCAGCTTTATTATTTTATTTCCCTTCTGCTCCAGTCCCTCTGGTTGTGACAGCCTGATTTTTTTGCTTCTCCAGTTGCCTGTGCCACATTCTTTTTTGGAGTTCTGTCTTCCCATCATCGTGGCATTTCTCCAACCTTCCTGTTTGTTAACTAACCCTTTGGCTTGTCCCCTGGATGCCCTCCTTAGAATTACTACTGAAGGAAGTCCTGCTGGCAATGGACCCATTTGGGCTCTACTCTGTTCTTTGGCTTTGATACCCGAGGCCCTGGGTATCAAACATAGCCTTCCTGATTTATCATAAAATCATACTCTAGGTTTCCCAGAATCTCAAGTTTAAAAGGAATCCTGAAGTCCTTAACAGCACAACCCCTATCTCCGTAAAAAGTTCCATATTCTTCCTATTATTTTGCCATTTTTAATAATAGCAGTTCATATATTTGAAGGCAGATTTCATATCCTCAAGTCTTCTCTTTCTAATCTAAACATCCGAGTTCCTTACCTTAATCACTGTCTCCAGCCTGATTGATTTCCTCTTGATTAGCTTCATTTAATTACTGCCCCTTTTACAATGGTTGATGAACAGGATTTTAAAACAATGTTCCAATTATGCTCTGACCAGTTTGGACTAGAATCGGATTTTATATTATCTGCAATTAACTTTTTCCTATTCTTTTTCATGATGCTGGTTGGGATCTTTAAAAATCCTTGTTCAACTATTTCCAATTTCTGCCTCATCTCAGATCCAGATCATGACACTGGGATCACAGAAAGCCATGCTTCTAACCATGAAGCCAGCAGCTTTCTCTGTAGCAATGCACAGACACACAACACATTGCCGTGGGTACCCCCAGATGCTTTAAGGGCATTTGAGGGTTGTCTTCATTTTATCCTGCTGATTGCAAATCCCATACCTTGTATCTTATTCACCTAAACCATCTGAATGTCAATGAGTGAGACATTTATTAGAGGGAAAACTTTTAATATATGTTAATTTACTTTTCAACATTAGTAACAGATTCCTTATTACACACAACTGATTAACACACATCTGTGCGCCTGTCTACTCTAGCTGAGATTCCCCCACATAAGAAACTTAAGCAACTGACCCGTTCACCCAGGGCACATTGTGCAGACATTTACTCAGTCATTGTAACTGTTCCACATCTGCCCCAAAGATTCTGATTTCATCATGTCTACCACATTCCCCTTATTTAGAGACTTAATGAGAAATTAAAATTATTTAGTTTGCTAGAACTCTTTCACCTTTCAAAGCCTGGTTAGTACACATCAATTTTTATTTTAAAAGTGTTAGGATCTTAACAAAGGTCCATGCTAAGCTCCCTATTCTATGCTGTTTGGCAATCTGTCTCCACTCACTAGGACTGCTCAAGAATTAGCAATTATTTTTTTCTTAATATGCGGGATGTGATTCTCTTCTCTGGTGGGATCACTCACCATCCCCAGAACACACCGTATCTTTTCTGTCCCCTTTGCCTTTGCTTACAGGTCCTCTGTCTGAAATATCCTGCTTGGTACTGTTGCGTGTGTATGCCTTGACTTCTCAGCTATAACCAGGGTTCTCTAAGGTGGGAGCCCATTATTATACTTCATAGTATCTACTGCGGAACAAAACACCTCATGGAAGTTCAGTAAAGACATATTTCTTTTTTTGAGGCAGAGTCTCCCTCTGTCGCCCAGGCTGGATTGTAGTGGCGTGATCTCAGCTCACTGCAACCTCCGCCTCCTGGGTTCAAGCAATTCTCCTGCCTCAGCCTCCCCAGTAGTTGGGATTATGGGCATGCACCACCATGACTGGCTAATTTTTTTTATTTTTAGTAGAGATGGGGTTTTACCATGTTGGCTAGGCTGGTCTTGAACTCCTGGCCTCAAGTGATCCACCTGCCTCAGCCTCCCAAAGTGCTGGGATTACAGACGTGAGCCACTGCCTCTGGCCAAGACATACTTTCTTAATGAATGGATGAGAACACATTAAATTTATTTTAGTTTTTTCTGTCGTGAATGCTACCAAACAAATATCTTAGCATATATGCCCTATATACTGGTGCCTTCAGTTCTATGGTAGAGAGTCCCTAGAATGAAATTAATTGTATTTTAAATAATAGATGTTGCTAGATTCCTTTCCCAAAAGGCTATAATACACATTTCTCCTAATCAAATATGAGAATACTGCTTATCTCACATCTCCTCCAGCAGTAGGCATTTTGTGTCTCATTGTAATCTTTGACAGTCTATATATTTAAAGTAATACCACACTATTTCATAATTCATTATCCTTACTTTCATATATTTTAAAATCTTTTTAGTTTTCACTTCTGTGAATTTGCTCATGTGAATTTTCACACATCTTGCTCATTTTTCTGTTCAGTTGCTTATCTTTTCCTATCAGTTTATAAGATTTTTGTATATTATTCATGTTTATTATCTGACATTAGCATTGCAAATACTCTTGCCAAATGTAGTTTGTCCATTGACTTTGTTTATTGCATACTCTCTAATTTTACATATAAAATAAAATTATCATTAAAATTTAAATTACATTTACATACAAAATAAAATTTTTTGTCTTTCGATGAGATTTTATAATTTTCCTTTTAAATCTTATTGGCGAATTTATCTCTAATTATTTTGTAGTGTTTCTCATTATTGGGAAAAAGATACTTTTCTCATTTCCATTTCCTGGCCCTTATTACCATCATAAAGAAAAGCTATTGATGTTTCAAGGTTTTACTTGTATCGAACTATTTTACTATTACTGCTTTTTGTTGTTGTCACTCAAATTTGTTGATTTTACAGGTTTTCAGTCATACCATGAAAGCAAAAGGAGATAACTTGATTCATCTTTTTTCAAAAGTTTTTTCCTGTTCTATGTTCTCATTGTTTTGCATTCTCTAGAACTTCTAAGACAATATTTACTAATAATGATGACAATGCATATGCTTGCCTAGTCACTTAATGTTACTTACGGATGTTATAAAGTGCCTTTTCCACAACTATTTGATCATAATTTTTTCTCATTCAAAATGTTTGTGTAATAGATTATATTGATAGATTTCCTGATTTGAGCCACCCATCAATTCTCAAATTTTTGGGATACATCATATTTTGTTATGAAGTATTCTTTTCATTTTTTTGCTGAATTCTACATGACATTTTACTTAGACATTTTACATTTTAATAAATGAGATTAGCTTATAATTTTCTTTTTTGTAGTAATTATTAAGTTTTGTTATGAAACCACCTTTATTAGCTTTATAAAATGAACTAGAGGAGCCTTTTATATGTTTTTTTATAACCTGGAACAATTTAAATCGTGGTTCATGAACTCGGCCTTATATTAGAAAGACAGGAGAGATTTAACAACATATGCGTATTTGAGTTTCTATTATAGTTTAGCCTCGGTTAGAGCTTGGGAACTGAGTCACTTAAAAATTTCACAGATGGCCGGGCGCGGTGGCTCACGCTTGTAATCCCAGAACTTTGGGAGGCCGAGGCGGGCGGATCATAAGGTCAGGAGATCGAGACCATCCTGGCTAACACGGTGAAACCCCGCCTCTACTAAAAAAAAATACAAAAAATTAGCCAGGCGTGGTGGCGGGCGCCTGTAGTCCCAGCTACTCGGGAGGCTGAGGCAGGAGAATGGCGTGAACCCGGGAGGTGGGACTTGCAGTCAGCCGAGATTGTGCCACTGCACTCCAGCCTGGTCCACAGAGCAAGACTCCGCCTCAAAGAAAAAAAAAAAAAAATTTCACAGGTGATTCTCACTTGCAGTCAACTTGAGAACAACTGATTTAAATAACATCAGAATTAACTGTTTTTTACAAGTCCTTTGAACTCAGCCAAGAACCCATCCGATGCTAGTGACTTTCAGTTTTAGATCTTGAATCACATTTTCAATCTTGTCTTCTTGAGTCAAATTTATAATTTATATTTTGATACAAAATCATGTATTTCCTTCAGGTTTTAAGATTTGTTGCCTGTAATATTCTTTTCAAATGACTTTAACCTTTTCTATTATTATGCTGAAATCTTCATTCTTAATCTTTTATACTTTTGCAATATCTCTTTTCTCCTTAATCGGGCTCACAGGGGGCTTCTCTATTTTAATTGTTCTTTATAAATAAGTAGCTTTCTACATTTTTGTTTGCTCTTGCATCAATTTAAGCTTTTAAAAATTAATTTCATCTTTTTAATTTTTTCCTTTAAATTCTTAACATGTATATTAAATTCTTCATTTTCTCTCTGGTCTCTGTAACAATAAAGACATTTAAGACATTTTCCCCTGACAACAGTGTTTGCTATGCCCTATGGGTTTTGGTAGAATGTCTCTCTAGGTAGGTATTCTTTTCATTTGTGATTTCCAATTGATCCAAGAATTAGCTAAGAGCAGCATCCTTAATTTGTGCATAATTCCAAATTTTTGTTCATGTTTTAATATTTATTTCTAATTTATTGGATTATGTTCAGCGATTGTGCCCTATAAATCTGAAATTAAGATTTTCTTTGTGGCAAAATATACAGTCAATTTAGTAAATATTCTACTAAATATGTCCTCTCTATTTGAGGTATTCTAAGTTTATTTCTATCTTTTTCAACAAAATTATTCAATTTCTCTATTATGTTACAGATAACCAATTCTGAGAGTGGTATATTAATGTTTTCCACTGTAATTGTATTTTTATAGGGCTCATTTTGCATTTCTAGTTTAGCAGAGGTTGTAATAGTAGCACAGGCCTGGAGGCTGGACAGAATGGAGTGAATTGAAGGGTTATAGTTGTGTCATGGTTGAAGATGATAAGAAACTGGAAGGATAGAGGGTTTGGTATGTTATTGTGAAGAGCTGGGACTTTTTATCTTTAAGTAACATGTATCCAACAAAGGTTTTGGTAGAAACACTTATAAATGTGAAGCCAGGCAATGGGTGTGGGACACACTCTAATTAGCATGGAAGGAATGGGGACAATAACCAGGAGACAGCTGTTTGAAGTCACTCAAGTGTGAAAGATGAGGACCAGCAGAGACCAAGTGGGAAAGAAAGATGCTCAGGAAGGCAGGAAGAGTAGGTAGTTCTGGGGGATAGACTAGATATTAGAGTGAGGAATAAAATGACTAGAGGAGGTATTTTTTTGCATTGTGAATCCTTAGAATTCTCTGAACTGTATGTATTCCATTAGTTTCCTATTTTTGCTTTAGCAAATTATCACAAAATAAGTGGCTTGAAAAATATCTATTATCTTTCAGTTCTGGAGGTAAGAAGTATAAAATGAGTTTTATGAGGCTTAAGTCAAGGTGTCTGCATGGCTGCATTGCTTCTGGGGGTTCCAAAGGAGATTTCATTTCCCTGCTATTTTCAGCTTCTAGAGGCCACTTGCATTCCTTGACTCGCCTCCTGTCTCCATCTTTAAAATGTGTCACTTTGCTTCTGCTGTCACATCTCCTTTTCTGACTGTCCCTCCCAATTTCCTCTATTAAGTACCTTTTTGATTACGTTGGACCCACTTTAGTAATGCAATAGAATCTCCTCATCTCAAGATTCTTAATTTGATCACATTTGCAAAGTCAGTTTTACCACATAAATTAACGTAGCCCCAGGTTCCGGGGATAATTCTTTGAGGGGCCATTATTCAGCCTACCATGCATAAAATTTGAATGATCCTTCTCTTTTCTAAAGTGATTAATTTCAGCTAAGTTTTCTTTACTATCCTATGGCCTTCTCTCTTTGTTTGGTGTTAATACCGCTGATTTGGTGTCAGGCTGTGTCTATTTGGGCAGCTTTATTTTTTCTCTTTCTCTCACGAGTACAAAATACCACAAAACACTTGTTTTGCCTTTTAAGACAATCCCCCTTTTTTCTTTTTTTTCATTTTCTTTCTCACTCCCCTTTTTACCTCTTTCTTTCAAAGTTTCCAAATTGAAAAAGTACAAATATACACAAAGATCGAACGTATGTTGTACTTTAGGTCCCAAGCAATTTCCTCAAGAATTCGCTCATGATGGCAGATGGCTGTTTAAACATTGTAACTCATACGTTTCTTTTAATTCAACAGATATAAGGTAAGTGTCCAGTGCACAGTCCTGGATGTTTAGCATAAGTACTCTGGGATTCGTATGCTCTTCAGGCAAATACGAAGCAAAAACTTATCTGAGCAATATTATCAGCCCTTCTTCCTTCCCATAACAAACTGAGGACTTAAGATAAATTTCTTTTTTAGGACTACTTACCATCTGTCCTTCAAAGATGTCTAAGCCTGTGGAAGTTTATTTCATGTATATGAATTAAAGATAGCACAGCATAGAGAATAATAGTGCAGGCTTTGAAATCAGACAAACTGTGGTCAGCCATAGCTCTATCATGTCCCAACCTTGGAAAAATTACTTAAGAGCTAGAGTTTAGTTTTCCTATCAGTCAGATAAAGAAAATAATTCATGCAAAGCACTTAATCCAGGATAACTATGTAGCAGATTCTTAATAAATACCAGCTAACAGTTCTTTGTATCAAAACCATTAAAAATGTTCCAGATGCATCAAACAGAGATTTTTGTTCCTCAGCTTTGGTCAGCCCGAAGAACTATTGCAACAGGGTCAACCCCGGAGCAATGGGATCACTGAATGAAAGAAAACTTTCAAGGCCCTTATTCTCCCCACCTCTTTCATTATGTTGGTCACAACCTCATCTATTGATTGAAAAGAAACAAGTTGGCTTATGTTTTCATTATCCTAAGATGCTGACGATATCTTTCTTCAAGAGGAAATAGGAAAAAGAAAGATCTAGTTCTCTAGAATTCCCTTGCTACTGTTAGTCACATTTCTCCTTTCTTTTTCTGGGAAAGCTCTAAAAATACCTGTAAAAGCCTTCTAAAGTTTCTTGACTTGGTTTGGAGAATTTGAAAAACTAAGACTCCAGCTATTCAGCTAAGCCATCGAAGAGCCCGTGTTCCCTTGGGATGGCAGAAAGAGGGGTCAAAAAGCAGACCTCAGTTAGGAAGAGTAAATCTGGGAGAGACAGATAGGAGGACAATTTTCTCATGTCAAAGACATAGACAAAATTTCAGAGCTACTTGGTTGAAATTTCTGAGCAAATCAATGAATTAATAAATCTTGTTGTTCACATATGATGATTTAGAATAACTATATGACACTTTTTCTCCTTTCCCTGGATTTCCATAAGTCCTCCTTAATCTGCTTCTGTCTAAGCAGATTCGCATAGTATAATAATATACTATTCAAGACTGGAAAAGAGGGAACAAAAGATGCTTGAGGGATAAAAATCAAAATTTGCATAAGGTACCATTTCGAGGCTGGATAGCTGGTGAAATGATCGTGCCTGGCAGTTTCAACCTCCATATTTCCCTTCAGTGTAACATTTTTACCAAATGGTTATGGCTGGGTCGCCCAACTGCAAGCCTTATGAGAGTGCGGAGTGATGGTGTGCAGGCTCCTCATGTTATCTTCCCTCCACTCAAGGCTTTATTTAGAAATTCAGAGGCAGCTTGGTGGTGAAAGATTATTCAAGTACTTTCCTCTCCTTTCTATTCTCTTTGGAGCAAACATTCAAATACTCCATCAAAGCAGCTGTCTCACCCCATATCTGGATCTCAAAGCCCTGAATATTTATGGGTCTTTGAGGATTCCAATTCCCAGGTTCAGGTATGATGCTATTTTTACTTGGTTTCTGTTTGAAGACTTACTTGCTGTGATTAGTGCAAAAAAAAAAAAAAAAACCTTTTCTGACTATAACTGTAAATATATTCTAATACCCTTAATGCCACTATCAATTTTAACACTTTGATTTCTTCTTCTCTCTATATATGTACATGAAGTTTCTCAGCTTCAGATTTTTATGATGCATTCAAATTATATATATAATTTTAATCTGCTTTTTTTTCTTTTTTTTCCTGAGACTGAGTTTCGCTCTTGTTGCCCAGGCTGGAGTGCAATTGCGTGATCTCGGCTCACTGGCAACCTCTGCCTCTCAGGTTCAAGCGATTCACCTGCCTCAGCCTCCTGAGGAGCTGGGATTACAGGCATGCACCACCACGCCCGTCTAATTTTTTGTATTTTTAGTAGAGACGGGGTCTCTCCATGTTGGTCAGGCTGGTCTCAAACTCCCAACCTCAGGTGATCTGCCCGCCTCAGTCTCCCAAAGTGATTGGATTACAGGCATAAGCCACCACACCAGGACTTTTCTGCTTTTATTAATTTATTAACATAAGCATTTCCTGATGTCCATAAATAATTTTGGAGAATGTCATTTAATAGTTATATAATATCCTGTTGCATACATGTATAACATAAGAAAACTGGTTCTCCTGTTTCTCAGTAATGTGGCAGCCCTGGCATTAAATAACAAAAAGGTAATTACCAGTAGAGGGAGGAATCTGGGAGGAGAGTCTGTGGGAATAGTCAGGGAGTAGAGGTATGGATAGAAAATACAAGCCCAACATGAGGTGCCAGCCTCCTTAAGACTTGTTCTGATCTTGTTAGTCCCATTCAATGGCTTTCACTGCTGAACAAGGCCCAACCCTGAAGTCTGCCATTCAAGGCCTTCAATTCATTACCACTCAGTTTTCCAACCTTGGTTCTCACTGTACGCTTTTACGCACCCTCATGTTTTTGCCAAATAGACCAATATACTCTTCTCTACATAGACATCCAAGACTTTGCTACCTTCACACCTTTGCTGAATCTTTCCCCTTTACTTTGAATATCTCTGCCATTCCTCATATTAACTTGTCTAAATCTTATCCCTTGATTCATGACACAGATCAAATAACACCTCCTCCATGGACCCATGCTTGATTACTTCAGTCCCTCCTGGCCAGAGCTAGTGTTTGCCCCCCTTTCACTTTTTATCTCTACCTATTAATCAGTCTTTACTCGAATTATGGCAATCTTATCACTCCACTTAGATTATGAATCAGTGTTTGTGGACATTTTCATGTCACAGTACCCTTTTGAGTATAATTTGTATTAGCACACTCTAAGGAATAAATAGCATCCACAATGATACTACTCACTTGTCACATTGTGTCTTTGTTTGAATAGAA
The DNA here is from genome assembly GCF_000001405.40 of Homo sapiens. Lineage (NCBI taxonomy): Eukaryota > Metazoa > Chordata > Mammalia > Primates > Hominidae > Homo > Homo sapiens. Next base: position 100,756,538 of record NC_000001.11, on the reverse strand, counting down.
CTGCCCTGACTCATCTCTCTGATATTCATCAAAGAAATGTTTTTGTGGTACCTGGCCAACAAACATGGTTCCCAACAATTCCTTTCCAATCTGTAGATGCATGCTCCCACACACATCAAGACGTGGAGCTACCTTCAGCCCCCAAAACTCAGAATCATTAGACATGGTAAACCGTCTGTTGTTTAAGCCACTGAATTTTGGGGTGGTTTGTTGCACAGCAGGTGACCCTAACACTAACATACAAGTCAAATCATGTGAATTACTGATATTGGACAGTTTCTGACTGGCAATTTCATGTAGTTCCACCTAACACAAACAATGCCTTGATATTACTCTGTCCTTCTAAGCTCTTATTCCAAGCAAGTTATAACCTTCTTGTCTTAGAACCCACTCAGCAAAGAGTGGTTGAAAGTCATCACTGTAACAGTAAGTAATAATAACAAATAAAAACAAAGAAATGTTATGTGTTGTTCAAAATTTAGCAGTCCAACAAAGAAGGAGAACCACTCTCAAGTTCAGCTTTTCCAAACTTTACTTCTTTACATACACCCTCATGACTTGGGGCACATCTTCACACACACTGCATGAGTATCTAAATTGTTTTTACTCAAACAAATTCATTCTAATGAAACACTTTATCTCTCTCCTAAATGGAAAGCCAGTGTACCTACCAAAAATATAAGGTAAAATAAAATATCTAACTATCGACATTAAAATTTTTTTCCTATGTCCACATTTTGAATGACAGTTTGGAGATCTTGACCTGTGTTTTTAATTTCCTGAGTCTAGATCAGTCGAGATTCTATCACATTTCTCATTCTTCACTGCATATACAAAGGTGCCTTAAATATAGAAGAATTGCATAATTACACATTATTAACGCTAGAAGAGATGTCAACAGTCATCAGCAAGAACTTGAATCCAGGACTCTGACTCTTAGCATGGTGTATTTCCAACTACTCTATGCCATGTCATTTTCTAGCTATGTGATCTTGTGCAGGCTACTTGGCTTCTCTGTACTTTAATTCCTTATCTGTGAAATGGAAACAATAATGGTATGCACATAATAATGTTAGGAGAATTAAATTTGAAAATGCTTAGAACAGTCCTCAATAAATGTTGGTTATTCTCAGAAGATATTGATTCATCATATTTACAGAATGACTGTTTATGAGAAGCCTGATGTCAGTCTGATGTCTATATGATTTTTCTTTCCCCATATAGATAATTTTGGGTTTGTCTTTGGTAATAGTGGAAGATTTTCCTCTCTATTAAGATATTCAAAATTTTGCTGCAATATATCTAGATTTGGGATTTTATAAATGTTTATCCTTATTGGTTCTGGTATTTCCTTCCATCTTCTGCAGCATCATTATAAGCATTATAGATTACGGAGTCTGTGTGTTTTTCATCTTTCATAAGCCTCCCAGAATTCTTATCCTGTTAATTATTAACCTTTATGTTTTTTATTGAAGCTATGCATATATTTGCAAACTTAATGTTTTTAACATTTCTGGGGATTTGTAGCATGAGTGAAGATATAGTACTAAACAACTAAAAATGGATGTTTACTCTATTTTCTTTGACCTATCCCTTATTAACATTTCAGAGAAAGAACCTATTTAAATTTTTAGTACTGTTGTGTTCAAAGTAAAAGAATGTTCCTGGCCCTCTTTGGAGCTTATGTATTAAGCTAGACACATTTATATATGCTCATATTCTAGTTAGACTGTCAGACATAGAGGCATCATAGCATGTATGATCCCACACAAAAGATCAGTGATTTTTCTTGGCAACATTGTGAACTAGACAAAGCTTGCCTTCAGCTCCAATTGCTCTTTTTTAGTATACTCAGCTCCCTCCAAACCCCGATCTGAAGTGCCCAGACCCTTCCACTGGCACACATGTTTTTGGTCTACACTATGACATTTTATCTAGGCCTCTATTCATTGGACAGCACTTAGGCTCTAGAGATTTCTTGTTGTCCTTTTCAACCACATTTATCTTATTCACCAACTCCGTGGGCCTTCTCTAAGATACAGCAGTGAGCTAATATAAAAACTTCATCTATACTATTTTATTTATGCTTATGCTTCCAAGGTACCATGTAAGTACAACTATTTTATTTGTTGGTTTACTTCTCTATATTCTGGCCTTTTCATAAAATGTTTGAAGTAACTAATAAAAATGTTTTTAATAAAATGTACACATAAAGAAAAAAACACATTGAGACAAAAAATGCAAATTCAAACTTGTATACAAATGTAAACAAGGGAGAAATAGTAAACAAACAAAATAGGCCGTAAAATAGTACACAGATGCTACAGTTAAGTTCTAAATTTGGCTAACAATATTTCGGTGATCAATGGAATTCAGAAAACAGTGGAACGTTTTCATAGGACTGAAAGGAAAAAAAACTGTCAACTTAGAATATATTTTGATACCAATAAAAGTACCGTTCAAAATGAAACACACACACAAAAGGCTTTCTCATACATAAAACACTGAAAGAATTAGTGATAAGCAAACATATACTGTGAGAAATGATAATGGAAGGTCTTCAGATGGAAAGAGATATCAGAGGAAAATTTAAATCTACAGAAAAGAATAATGAGTACTGAAAACGGTAAATATGTGGTTAACTATAAAGTTTTTCTTAATTTTCAGATACCTTTAAGAGACAATTGATTGCCTATAGTAAAAATGAAAACAATATATTTTTGGGTTGAATACATCTCTAGAATTAAAATGTCCTACAGCACAAAGGCTGAAAGGGAACAGGAAGTGTAAAGAAGTTCTGTTGTAAAGTTCTTCTATGTGAAGTGGCATAATATCATTTGAAGGTAAATTGTGATAAATTAAAGGCATGCACGATAACCCCTAAAGCAATTACTAAAAACCAAAACATAAAATAATAACAATTAAGCTAACAAAGAAGATAAAATAGAATTGTAAAAAATATACACTATCTATCCAAAAGAAGGCAGAGAAAAGAGGAAATATGGAGTAAAGAACAGATGGGATTCATCCTACACCATAAACAAAAATCAACTCAAAATGGATTAAAGACTTAAATGTAAGCCTTGAAAGTATAAAACTCCTAGAAGAAAAGATTGGGGAAAAAATTCATGGCATTGGTCCTGGCAATGAATTTATAATTATAACACCAAAAACACAAGCAGAAATTGAAAATAGACAAGTGGGACTATATCACATTAAAAGGTTTCCACACAGTAAAGAACACAAACAACAAAATGAAAAGGCACCTATGGAATTGGAGAAAATATTTGCAAACCAAATATCTGATAATGGGTTAATTTCCAAAAGATATTAGAAACTCTTACAACTCAATAGCAAAGGAAACTATCAACCCGGTTTAAAAACTAAGCTCTGGACTTGAACAGACATTTTTTCCAAAGAAGACATAGAAATGGACAACGCATATGTAAAAAGATGCTCAATGGCGCTAATCATCAAGGAAATGAAAATCAAAACCACAATGAGATATTGCCTCACTCCCGTTAGAATATATATGACAGTAAGTGTTGGCAAGGGTGCGGAGAAACTGGAATCTTTGCATACTGCTGATAAGAATGCAAAATGATACAGTCATTATGGAAAACAGTACAGAGGTTCCTCAAAAAATTAAAAATAGAATTCCCACATGATCCAGCAATTCTACTTCTGGGTATTTATTCAGAAGAATTGAAATCAGAATCTCAAGGAAAATTAGCACTCTCATGTTCATTGCAGCACTATTCAAAATAGCCAAGATGTAGGAACAACCTAAACGCCCACTGATGGATGAATGAATAAAGAAAATGTGACACATACATGTAACGGAATATTAGCCTTAAAAAAGAAGGAAATCCTGCAATATGTGACAGCATGGAGGACATTATGCTAAGTGAAAGAAATCAGTCCGATACAAATACCACATGACTCCACTATATAAGTATCTAAAATAGTCTGATAGAAGCAGAATAGAATGGTGGTTTTCAGGGGCTGGAGTAAAGGAGAAATGGGGAGTTGCTAATCAGTAGTATGATGCTTCAATAATGCAAAATAAATAAGCTCTAGAGATCTCCTTTACAAAATTGTACCTCTGGTTAACAATGTTGTATTGTACACTTAAAGATCTATTAAGAAGGTAGATTCATATTAACTGTTCTTGCCACAATAAAGTAAGAATAAAACAACAAAAGGACACATATAAAACAAATAACATAATGATAGATTTAAACTCAACTAACCATATCAATAACAATAAATACAAATGTCTAAAGATTTCAATTAAAAGGGAAAGATTGTCATGTTAGCAAGAAAAGCAAGTTCCAATTATATTATGTCGGCAATAAATCCACTCTAAATATAAATGCACAAATAGGTTGACACTCAATGGATAGAAAATTGTAACATGCTAATACTAACTAAAAGACAGCTTGAGTGACTATATTCATATGACACAAATTAGGTTTCAGAGCAAAAATTCTTACAAGGAAATAGGTTTTTACATAATTATGAAAATTAATCAATTTTCATAATTCATCAAGAGGATATAAAAATCATAAACAACTATTTACCTAATAAGAGAACTTAGAAGTACATGAAGCAAAATTGATAGAACAGAGAGGAGAAACAAATAAATCTAAAAATATAGTTGGAGATTTCAAGATCCCTCTCTAATTAATTGATATAAAAATTGGACAAAACTGTAAAGACTTGAACAATACTATCAACCAATTTAATACACATTTATGGGACAATCCACCCACAGCAGCAAACTACACATTCTTTTCATGCACATGGAACATTTATTAAGATATGTCATATTCTGGCCATAGAACAAGTCTCAATAAATGTAAAATGATTACATTCATACATTATATGTTCTCTGACAAAAACTGAATTAAACTGGATATCATTAATCAAAAGATATATAGAAAACCATAAAATGTACAATTACCAAGTAATACTTCTAAATAACCCATGAATAAAAAAGCAATTCAAATGGAAATCAGAAAGCACATTGAATTGAATGAAATATCATATCAAAATGTCTGGAATACAACTAAAGTAGTCTTCAGGGAGAACTATTTAGTACTAACAGCCTACATAAGAAAAGAAAGGTCTGAAACAAATGGCCTCCACGTTAAATTTAAGAAACTTAAAAAAAAAAAAAAAAAGCAAATCCAAAGAAAACAGAAAGGTAATAAAGGTAATAAAAATTAGAGCAGAAATCAATAAATTTGTCAACATATAAATAAAAGAGAAAATCAGTGAAATCAAAGCTGATTCTTTGGGAGCACTAATAATATTTGTAACTCTCTAGCCAATCTGGTCAGGCAAAAAGAAGAAACATCACTATAGACATTACAAACATTAAAATAGTAATAAGGGAATATCAGGAACAACTTAATGCCAATAAATGTTAAAACTTAGATGGGATAGACAATTGTCTTGAAAGTCACAACTACCAAAGCTCACTTAAAAAGAAATTGATAGACTAAATAGCCCTGTATATGTTTTTAAAATTAAATTTTTGGTTAATAATCTTCCACCAAAAAACTTTAGATCAAGATTGTTTACTGATAAATTCTACAAAGCATTTAAGGAAGAAATATTACTAATTCTCCAGAAAATGTTACAGAAAATTGAACAGGAAAGAACACTTTCCAGCTCATTCTGTGAACAACTAGGGGAACAGTTTGAGGCAGATGGAAATTGAGATGCTTATGAGATATCTATGGAGATGACCAATAGATCTCAGGAAGCAGAGAGGCTGAGTCTTAGAATGTATATTTGAAATTATGACCATTGAAACCGTAAGAAAGATGAGGTCATCAGGGGAGAGTATCTAAAATGAAAGGAGAACTGAGTATGGAATCCATGGTACAACATTCAAAGAATACATGAAAGAAGGTTGTGAGGGAAGTAAGAGCCAGAGAAACAAGAGAAAAACTAGTATAATGTGATGTAATAAAAATAGATTTAAGGATTACGGAGTGGTCAACTATCAACGCTGAAAACAGGACGAATAAAAACAGATTGCATTTGGTGCTATGACAGGCTGAAATTTTCACACTACAATTCAGATGTGCAAAAAAACCTTTATTACCTAGCATTGATTTGCTCTTGCCATGACTCATCATTTCTGTTGATACCAGAAAAAGTACTTCAATTAATTGAAAGCATTTCTTTCACTTTAAAAGCATTTTTTCATATTTACCGATCCTTTCAATATTCCTTCCCTGCCCTCCTTTCCTCCTCCCGGGTGCCATGGGGCATATGGAGGCAGTGGGAGTCTTGTGCTCCCCAAGCTGTTGCTGGCGCATTCTGACCTCTGCTGGATAACCATTGTCCTGTGCAGTGTTGCCAGTGTAGCTGGTCCCGCCTAATCTTGGCATCACATTATTAACTACTGAGAACTGTAGACCTTGCCATTTTGTCTGGTCATAATGTTCCCACACTTTGTGGTTTTCTAATTCCAGTTCCAGGTCACTTCTTGTCCGCTAACCTCCTCAGGCCTCTTTTCCTATGCTTCTCTATTGCTCCCATGCTGCATTAGAAAATGCAAGTCTTCTTTGAGAAGCTTCCACTTGTGGGGAAGGGGAGTACTAATTCCAATGCTTCTTTAGTTCCCTCAAAAATATTTAAATGATTCTACTCCATTGCCCCTCCCATATTTGATCCCAAAGCAGAGAGCAGCAAGGACATTTGTGTTTAATATCTTGTCACTTTTTTCTTTCTTGGCTTCTCTTCCCAGTAGTAGAAGAGCTTTCTCCCCATCTGTGTATCAGGGGCCTACTGTACATTTTTCATCTTCTCTATATTCTGGTTTATTACACTATATCTTGAAGCTCTTACTATATTAGAAGAATTTCTGGAATGTAGAAAAGTGTCTTACTTTCTATATAGTCTTCCTTATAAAGCCATTGTATTCCTGTGGATTTAAATAAATCTGGTTGAAATCTCAAACTGAGCAATGATTCTTTCTCACCTGGCTTCTCTCTGCCTCCATGAAACAATGAATGGCTGAGTGGAGAAACTGTGGGACAAGCAGAAATTAGAGATTATCAGAAATGAAAATAGCTTTACATTTCAAAATTATCCCCATTTTATTAGTTAAGAAAATATTACTAGTGAACTAGTCTTATAAGGGCTGGTAGAGATAGGGGTTGAAGACAGGAAAAAGTGTTTGAATGAGAGACTGTTTCCAGAAAATATAAGAAGAGGCAGTTGTAAATTTGAAAGAAAGTTTAATGGCTGAGTGTGGTGGCTCAAGCCTGTAATTCCAGCACTTTGGGAGGCTGAGGTGGGCGGATCACCTGAGGTCAGGAGTTTGAGACCAGCCTGGCCAACACAGTGAAACCCTGTCTCTACAAAAGATACAAAAAATAACTGGGTGTAGTGGTGGGCACCTGTAGTCCAGGCTACTCGGGAGGCTGAGGCAGGAGAATTGCTTGAACCCGGGAGTTGGAGGTTGCAGTGAGCCAAGATCGCACCACTGTACTCCAGTCTGGGCAACAGAGTGAGGTTCTCTCTCAAAAAAAAAAAAAAAAAAAAAAAAAAAGCTTAGCCTTAGACAGGAAAGGTCTTTTCAAAACTCAAGGTTCAATTAATACCTTCTAGGGTAAACACTTACTTTTATTAGAACAGTGTTTCCCAAATATAGGCATAAAAATCACTGCGGATATTTTTAAAAATTTAATTTCCAGGCCCCACCTAACGGAGTCTATAACAGTAGGTTTGGAATAGTGCACAAGACTCTCTATTTTTAATGAGTACCCCATGAAATTCTCATGATGAGGAGAGTTGGGAAATACTGCCAGGACACTAGTAAATGGCAAGTGTGTAACATTAAGAGTTAACTCAAAAATGACTAGACCATTTAAATAAGAGGAACTCAAACAAATAAGAAGCAAGGCTTTATGAGATTGTCACAAGGCAAAATAAACTGGCTTTTTCAGTTTTCTGCCTGGGAGCATGAAATTATTTTCACAAAAATGTCGAGTGTCCATAAAACTTGGCAAGACAACGACAGAAATCCCAGTGAAAAGCAACTCCTTGAGTCTGCTGCTTTTTAAGTAGGATTCATGTGAATATTTCTAAATTTCTAAGTACCAGATATGACCCCAAGCCAAAGTAATAATGTTCATTTTTATCATGCATTCAAGGTTCTATATTTAATAGTCCTTCTTGTTAGATTTAGCATAATAATATTCAATGTCCTGGTAATTGAATGAATTGTAATTGCATGCAGGCTGGATTAAAGAAAAGAAGAAAAGTAGTCATAACAGTCTTAATTACAAATTCTGATTTTAAAAATCTTTTTACATAGACTAAAACTTTCATTTGAGAAAGTTAGTTAAAATTCATCACAATACAATTCAATTTAGTGGTGATTCACCATGCCCGCCTTACCCACAAAATCAATGTCGTCTCCTCATTCTTCTTCTTTTCAAGACTGAAACATTGCCTTTGCAATGTTTTACTGCTCCATAATGCCCCCAAAGTCCCTTTCAATGAGAAAAGAACTAAAAACAATAAAATGCTCTCTCCTGATAGCATTGTTCTTCACTAAAAAACCCAGACATTTGGTTCCATTCAATTTGTTATACTCTTCTCAAGCAAGCCTTGCAGATTAGCCCCTTTTGAGAGAAACCATGCTCTTCAATAGCAGCAAAGCCTGAAAAGCCAGGGCACACTTTTTTTTTTCTTTTTTTTTTTTTTCAGAAGTGAAATTTTCACTATCATTGTGACTAAAACAAAAGCTTTTCCCAAGAGCATTACAAATGTTCCTTTTCTCTCTGCAGGGAAGCCTGGCCATTATGAATCCATAGCAGAAATTACTTGTTAGTGTTAGGATTAGTTTAAATATTTTATTTTTCTCCTCAAGACTCCATTGAAGTTGATTAAGCAAAGGATACAAAAAAGATTCCCTAGGCCTCTGTTTGGCTAAATGTAAGAAAACTTTATCTAAAATAAAGTGAGGGGAAAAAGTTACCCATTGGAAGGGATCTTAAAGTTTATCTGGCCAAAACTCTTAATTTTACACAAAAGAAAACTGAAGCTCCTTAATATATAAGATGATTGACCCCAGTTATTGCCTTCCCCAGTAATTTTAGTGGTCACTTTGATTGGTACTAGCATATTCCCCAAATCTGCAATTAGCAGAGCAAAAGAGACATTTCTGAGGATTCAATATGGGAAACAGACTTTAAAAAATTTCTTTGTTAGATCATTATTTGAACATGCATTTCCTCAAGAAATGTTTGTGAGCCTGTATAGACTTTTCTTTATTTGTAAGCAATCTTGATTTCTGTCTGATAATTTTCCTACATTATTCATCCAGAGCAGAAAAGGTGATGGTGATGGTTACATGATGTAGACTGCCATGAATTTTTTCAACCTGTTATTTAGTCATGGTTTGACTACCACAAAATCAGAATAAGAGATTGCAAGTTTCCCATAAATTCAGAAAATATTCTAGCAGCTGAGAACCAATACTATCAAAAGTCTACAGTGAGATTTGAATCCATTTCTAAGAAAACCAGACAATGAAATCTATGAGGTTACTAAAAGTTTACTGATATAATATTATAATATTATGAAAGTGCTAGTGTATCTCCACTGAAATCAACCATTTACTTCCTTCCCAGTAGAATATTGGACAAATAAATGAGATAGTTTCATATTCCGATTTATAAACAATATCTGCTGCAGAGGGAAAGCCCTGGCAAGTATCTTCTATGCTTCACTTTAATGGCAGTCAGCCAGAGAAGGTGATTGCATCCAACAGCAATCACTCCCACTTCAGAGACCAGGAGAGTCAGGGAAAAAAGTTTTCTTCTTCCCCAAAGTTGTCAGCTACCATCCAGGTCTAAGACTTGCCTGCCTTCCTTTACCCATCTCATTTCTGTGACGTCCCTTTAAAGGCTCGCTTTCTTTCTTTCCCTCCCTTCCTTCCTTCCTCCCTCCCTCTTTCTTTCTCTTTCTTTCCTTCTTTCTTTCTTTCTTTCTTTCTTTCTCTTTCTTTCCTTCTTTTCTTTCCTTTTTCTTTCTTTCTAGACAGGGTCTCACTCTGTCACCCAGGCTGAAGTGCAGTGGTGTGATCACAGCTTACCACAGCCTCGACTTCCTGGGCTCATGTGGTTCTCCCACCTCAGCCTCTTGGGTAGCTGCGAGTACAGGTATGAGCCATCACTCCTTGCAAATTTTTTGGTACTTTTTGGTAGAGATGGGGTTTCGTCATGTTGCCCAGGCTGGTCTCAAACGCCTGGGCTCAAGTGATCTGCCTGCCTTGGCCTCCTAAAGTGCTGAGATTACAGGTGGTGAGCCACCGCGCCCAGCCTAAAGCCCCTCCTAACCAAAATCAGCAAGAATAAAGAATCTAACCCTGTCCTTAAGGGGACTTTATAGTGCCCTGGGTTATTGACAAGGGCTAGGACTCAGCAAAACTTCAGGTCATGTACAGCATCTTACTCGAAAATGAAAAGGGTTTATAGGCAGCTGTTTACTAGGCATCCATCTCTAGGCAGTGATGAGCACAGCTGACTTGGCTTCCCTGCAAAGATGTGATGGTTTCTAGTGTAAGGCAAGTATGGTCTCTCTGAATGCCTTGGCTCAGCTTGCAGGAGTCTTCCTCGTGTTTGCCATTCTCTCTGTGTTGAAATCTCTCCTTTATCTGAGGCCTCTCTATGCCACGTTATCCCTTTGAACACAAGTTATACTGTCTCCTATAAAGTCTTATCACATAACTCTCCTTCTCATTACCCAGGATAGATGAAAAGTGGGAGGGAGGTGGGCAAGGTAATTTGCTTCTCTCTTTGCTCTCTTTCCAATGCATACACTCTAATCCCCCCATCCGTCTAGGCTCTTGATTTTCAAGAATTTGCCTATGAAATGTAAATTTTTATTAAAAATTCCACCACCCAGATCAAGCAACAGAACAAAAACAGAACCCAAAAGGAGCTCTTCTACTCCTTCTAGTCACTGTAACCAAAGGAGTAACTAATATCCTGACTTTTAACACCATGTATTAGTTTTGCCTGCTTTTGAGCTACATATAAATGAAATTATATAGTATGGTCTCTTTTACCAATTGTTTCTTTTACTTCTTTTTGTGAGAGTCACCCATGTTGTTGTATGTAGTCATAGTTCAAGAAACTACCTTTGAAGTCTAAAAAGAGTTCATTAACTGTTCTATTTGCATTTTTTGTACCGATCTGAAATCTTCCATAGCAATGTGGATATTTGTGGTAAAGAGGGGACAGATTGGAAAAGTCAAAGAAATAAAAGAACAAAACTTAACATTTCCAGATCTTATTGTCAAAAAAGGTACAATTTTTAAAATACTAGTTTAATGTATTTGGGGATATATCCACAGTATACATAATTCTATTTTATGTATTAAATGTGTATATATGATATCATAGATTCTTTTTTTTTTTTTTTTTGAGACGGAGTCTCGTTCTGTCACCCAGCCTGGATTGTAGTGACACGATCTCAGCTCACTACAAGCTCTGCCTCCCGGGTTCACGCCATTCTTCCGCCTCAGCCTCCTGAGTAGCTGGGACTACAAGCGCCCGCCACCACGCCCAGATAATTTTGTTTTTGTATTTTTAGTAGAGACGGGGTTTCACCGTGTTAGCCAGGATGGTCTCGATCTTCTGACCTCGTGATCTGCCCGCCTTGGCTTCCCAAAGTGCGGGGATTACAGGTGTAAGCCACCGCACCTGGCGATTCTTTTTAAATATTTTATTTTTTACAGCTTTATAGAGGTATGATTGATATATAATAAACAGCACATACTAAACTATACGATTTGATGTCTGACATATGTGAAATCCATGAAACTATCACCACAATTAGTATTATAAAATATCCATCATTCAAAAATTTTCTTTGTGCTCCTTTGCAATTTATCCCTCGCTACCTCCCATCCTGCCCCAAAGCAACCACTGATCTGTTGCCTTTTGTTACTCCGGATTAGTTTGTAGGTGGGCTTCATTTAATCAGTTGAAGTCCTGATATTAAAAAAAGGCCCTCGTTTTCCATTTTCAGGAAGAATTTATGTAAGATTGGTAATATTTCATCTTTAAATGTTTGGTAGAATTCACCAATGAAGTCACCTGGGCCTGGAGTTTTCTTTTGAGACCACACATTTAACTTCTTTATTAGATATAGAGCTATTCACATTGTCTATTCCATTTCAATGAGCTTTGATAATTTGTTTCTTTCAAGGAATCTGTCCATTGTTGTCAAATTTATTGGCATAAACTTGTTTATAATTTTCTTATTTTCCTGCAAATGTCTACATGATCTGGAGTGATGTGTTCTCTCTCATTCCCAATATCAGTCTGGCTAGAGGTTTATGAATTTTGCTATTTTTCTCAAATAACCAGTTTTGGGTTTTATTGAATCACTGTTTGCCTGTTTATTATTTTTAATGTTATCTTTAAATTTTCCTTTTCCCTGATTACTTTGAGTTTTATTTTATCTCCTTTCTCTAGTTTCCTATGTACAACTATAGATCATTGATTTGAGACCTTGTTTACAATGTAGACATTTAGTGCTATACATTACACTCTAAGCATTGCTTTAGCTGTATATCACAGATTTTTAATGGGATGTGTTCCCCCTTTCCTTTAGATCAAAATGCTTTGTAAAGATCTTTCAGTTATTAAAGGCATAATAATGTTTTATATTATAAACAACTTAATGGCAGTAAACCCAACTGAAATGAAATGGATAAATTTCCTGAAAGACACCAACTACCACAACTTGCTCAACAAGAATAGGAAACTGAAATAGTCAGTGGTCAAGCGAAAAAAAATTTGAATTTTTTTTTTTTTTTTTTTTTTTGAGACAGTCTTGCTCTGTTGCCCAGGCTGGAGTGCAGTGGCGCAATCTTGGCTCACTGCAAGCTCCACCTCCTGGATTCACGCCATGCTCCTGCCTCAGCCTCCCGAGTAGCTGGGACTACAGGCACCTGCCACCACACCTGGCTAATTTTTTTTTAGTAGAAACAAGGTTTCACCACATTAGCCAGGATGATCTCAATCTCTTGACCTCGTGATCCGCCCACCTCAGCCTCCCAAAGTGCTGGGATTACAGGCGTAAGCCACCGCGCCCAGCCAAAAAATTGGATTTGTAGCTAATATCTTTCCCAGGAAGAATACTCCAGGCCCAGATGGCTTCACTAGTGAATCCTATTAAATGTTTAAGGAAGCAATAAGGCCAATTTTACAGAAAATGTCCCTAAAAATGAAATAGGAGGAAATATTTTCCAACTCATTCTATGAGGCTAGCATTACTTATACCAAAACTAGACAAAAGATATTACAAGAAAAAAAAACTGCAGATCAACTTTCTTCATTAACACAGGTGCAACCAAATGAGCTAACCTCAGTAATGAAAAAAAGTTCATTCAATATTTAACAGTTAATGCCGTTTTCTATATTAACAGACACAAAAAGAAACAAGAAAAACCACATGATCATCTCAATAGATGTATACCAAGTATTTGACAAAATTCAATATCTATTTATTATAAAAATCTCTCAACAACAAAGAATAGAAGGGAATTTTCAACCTGATATAGCATCTAAGATAATTCACAGTTAACATCACAGTTAAAATACATTTTACATCATAACATTTACATCATACATGTAAATGACCTAATGCCTTTTTTCCTAAGATTAGGACTAAAGCACAAATATCTGCTTTATCTACCTTTATTCAACGTATTACTGGAAGTTCTAGCCAGTGAAATAAATAAAGGTAACAGAATATAAGTTGAAAAGAAAGAAGTAAAACTGTCTATATTCTCAGAAGATATGATCATCTATGTAGAAAATCTTAAAGAATCTACGAAAAACTACTAGAACTGAAGTAGGGAGTTTAGCAAGGTTGAAGAATACCCAATCAGTATACAAAATTGATTGCATATTCATATATTAGGAACAAACAACTGGAAATTGAAATTTAAAAACCAATATCATTTATAACCACATCAAAAACAATGATATACTTAAAGATAAATTTAGCCAAGAATGTATAAGACTTGCACACTGAAAACAGTAAGACATTGGTGAAAAAAAACTAAAGAAGACCTAAGAAGATGAAATTATACATATGTGTGTTGGAAGACTCAATATTTTTAAGATGATAATTCTTCCCAAATTAACGTATAGATTCAATGAATCCTAATCAAAAATACTTGCAGGATTTTTTACAGAAGTTGACAAGCAGATTCTAAAATTCATATGGAAAGGCAAAGGATCTAATCTAGCCAAAAATTTTTGAAGAAGTTTAAAATTGGAAATCTCACACTATCTGATTTCAAGGCTTATAATATAATGCTACAGTAGTCATGATAGTGTCATATTGTGTATGAAGAGATATATCAATCTATGGAACACAAAAGAAAGTTCAGAAATAGCCCCACACACACTGCCTGTAGTCCCAGCTACTCAGGAGGCTGAGGCAGGAGAATTGCTTGAACCCGGGAGGCAGAGGTTGCAGTGAGCCAAGATCATGCCACTGCACTCCAGATCATGCCACTGCACTCCAGCCTGGTGACAGCGCAAGACTCTGTCTCAAAAAAAAAAAAAAAAAGCCCCACATAAATATGGCCAATCGATTCTTTGCAAAAATGTCAAGGTAATTCATGAGAGAAAAAGTCCTTTCAACAAAATGTGCTATAATGGTTGAATACACATATGCAAAAATGACTTTCACCATGGCCTCACATCATACACAAAATTAATTTGGATTGGGTCATAGACATAAATGTAAAACTAAAAGTATGATGCCTCTAGAAAAAAATGAATGAGAAAATCTTTGTTGCCTTGGGATAGGCAAAGCCACTGTTAAAAAAAAAAATGAAAACGCAAGCCACTGCAATTACTGAAAGAAAACATTTGCTAAATGTATATTCCATAAAGAATTTCTATTCAGAATATATAAGAGAACTCTTAGAATTCAATAAGAAGACAAACAACCTGATAAAAATTTGGGTGATGGGTTTTAATAGATGTTTCCCCAAATAAGATATATAAAAATGATAAATATATGAAAAGATGATCAATCTAGTTATTGGGAAATTAAAACTACAGTAAGATACCATGACCCAACACTAGAATGGCAAAAATTTAAAATACAAATGCCAAGTGTTTATGTAGATGTAGAGTAACTGGGACCAAAATCCTAGGTCTCTCTCTTTCTTTCTCTCCCTCTCTCCATATATATATATATATATATATATATATATATTCACATATCCACATAAATATCTGCATTTAAATATTTATACCAGACTTATTAACAATAGCCAAAAATCATAAACAACCCAATTGTCTACTGATGACTAGATAAATAAGCTTTACCATAAGCATTCAGTGGTATGCTCTAACAATAAAAAATAACAAACCGTTGATATACATAATGACATAAATAAACCTCAGGAGAGTCAAGCTAAGTGAAGGAAGACAGACATAAAAGACTATATACTGTACAATCTCATTTATATAAAATTCTAGAATAGGCAAGAGTATAGTGACAGAAAACAGATTGATTTTTGCCAAGGGCCAGAGGAGGTGGTGGGTGGGGAGATTCACTGCAGTGGAGCCTGATGGAAATCTTAAAGTGATAAAAAAAAAGTTGCATTTCTTGATTGTGGTGGTAGTTAATGAATTTTATTGTATGAAAGTTATACCCCAAATAAATATAATTTTAAAGATACTGTGAATAATAGTATAAAAATCCAAACTCCATAGAAATAAATTTTTAAAAGGAATAAGGCGTTTATGAAATTAAAAAAAACATTTCTGTAAGACATCAAAGATAGTCTAAAAATAATAACTATGTTCATGGATTAGAAGACTCAATGCTTTAAAAATATCAGTTCTATTCAAAGTGATCTATATATTCAATATAAGTTGAGTTAAAAATCCTAATTTTTTGTTCTATATCTTAACAAAATGACTTTAAAATTTATATGGAAGTTCAAAAACTAGAATAATCAAGAGACATTTATAAAAAGAAATATATATTAATTTATGAATATAAATATATATATTCATATATATAATTAGCTTTTCAATAAATGGTATAGGGACAATTG
The DNA here is from genome assembly GCF_000001405.40 of Homo sapiens. Classification (NCBI taxonomy): domain Eukaryota; kingdom Metazoa; phylum Chordata; class Mammalia; order Primates; family Hominidae; genus Homo; species Homo sapiens. Next base: position 100,740,406 of record NC_000001.11, on the reverse strand, counting down.
TTTCATACCCACCCTGCGTTGTATAAAAAAATCCATTCCAACTATACAGCCATAAAAAAGAATGAGATCATGTTCTTTGCAGAGATATGGATGAAGCTGGAGGCCATTATCCTTAGCAAACTAACACAGAAAACCAAATGCCACATGTTCTCACTCATGAGTGGGAGCTAAATGATGAGAACACATGGACACATACAGGGGAACACACACACTGGAGCCTTTTGGAGGAAGGAGGGTGGGAAGAGGGAGAGGATCAAGAAAATCAGCTAATGGGTACTAGGGTTAATACTTGGGTAATAAAATAATCTGTACAACACAGACCCCCATGACACAAGTTTACCCATGTAACAAACTTAAACTTGTACCCCTTAACTTAAAAGTTAAAAAAAATCCATTCCAAGTGGAGAAAAATGAATGACCTATAACTACACAAATGTATTATGAAAAACATAACTTTGAGTGAAAGAATAGTTACAAGGCAAATGTATAATTGGATTGTATTTATATAAAATGCAAAATCTGGCAAAACTAAGTAATGTACTACTTAGGGATACATAGACAGGTATAAAACCTCCAAAGGGGCGAGGCGCGGTGGCTCACACCTGTAATCCCAGCACTTTGGGAGGCCGAGGCGGGCGGATCACGAGGTCAGGAGATCGAGGCCATCCTGGCTAACACAGTGAAACCCCGTCTCTACTAAAAATACAAAAAAATTAGCCAGGCGTGGTGGCGGGCGCCTGTAGTCCCAGCTACTAGGGAGACTGAGGCAGGAGAATGGCGTGAACCCAGGAGGCGGAGCTTGCAGCCAGCCGAGATGCGAGGTGGCGCCACTGCACTCCAGCCTGGGCGACAGAGCGAGACTCCGTCTCAAAAAAAAAAAAAAAAAAAAAAACTCCAAAGGAAGCATGGAAATGATCAATGTATGATTCACAATATTTATGGGTTACTGCTCAGTGAGGGAAGAGTGCTGCCATCACTATGTGGTATATAAAAGGCTCTGAAGAATAGTTTTACTATCTCTTGCTCTTAATGTTCTGTACACAGGTGTTCATTTGTTGCCCATTAACATGTGCATGTTCATCTGCATTAAATCTTTTTATGTATATTTTTCTAAATTAAAAAATTGCAGATTCCAAGGACCAAAAACTAGACACTTCTATTCAATATCTTAGTCTGGCACCAAGAAATCTACATTTTTATCAAGTTCCTACAGTAATTTTAATAATAGTAGTCTAAGGGTCACATTTTGAGTATCCGTATTATTTCCATAGTTTGAATATTTTACTCTTATAACTTAGCACTTCAGAAAGAGCTACAATGTGACTAAAGGAGGCAGTTTATAATAAATAAACATACAACCATTCTAATTCCAGAAATTATCACTTTACTATACAAAAAAACCTAAACATTTACAAAAGAAAATAAAAAGAAGTTGCATTTTTAGGCCACATTGGGAAAGTTGCACAGGAGTCTGATGAACAAACTTCGTGAAACATCTCCGTACCATGCCAGTACTATACAGAGAAACCCAGTCAACCATTATACCATAGGTTGAGGTATTTAGTACCTGAAAGTCAACCCAGTGCTCCCTTTGCTTATTATTTGTCTATAAAAATATAAAACCCGGCATCTTTACAAAACCTGAAATTATTGTCAATAAACTATATAGGAATAAAATTTTGTGAAAGGGAATAAAATAGAAGAAAGATGACAAAGGTCAGCTGTCAGCAAATATTAATGTGAAATTTTCCTAACATGCATTAAATTATAATAGTCCAAGCAACACTAGTTATTTTAACAATCTAAATATAGAGTGTTGCTATTTTAAGCAATCTTGCTATGGCATAATTTTATTTTACATATGTACAAATTATGTTATTGTATATACAGATCAAGGAACTCCTCCAGTTCTCTCATCTTGATGGCAGTTACTGTTCTTCAGGCAGCAAGTTTTACTTTGACTTCTTGCTCACAGCAAGGGACATAGATGGGCATTTCTTTCCAAGTTCAATACATTCAGGGAAGTCTGCCTCTCAGCTCATTGTTTTTCTCAAGGAATGATGAGCAGTATCAAGGATTTGCACAGATAAATAGTGTCTCCAGTTGAACATATCAAGCATTAGCTACACTTTTGACTTCTGTGCTTCTACAAGACTATATGACCCCTTCATGTTGGCTTTTCTTGCAAAGTAAATTATCATTCCAATGGCAGGTATTATTAAGGAGGATGCAAAATAGAGCACGAGAAGCTCAGGAGAAAAATAGTCTTTGTTGTTTTCTCTTCCTGGAAAATAACAAAATGGATGCAATTAATGTCTAGTACAAAAAGATAGCATTTAATAACAACAGTTACATGTTTATTATAACAGTACAACTAGTTCTCCAAAGAGAAGGGAATCAAAGCAGTGATAAGGACCATCAGGACCCAAGATGCATGTTTGTCTGAATTATCCAAATAATCAGTTGGTGGTTGCTATGGTCATGATGGATCTAAAGATGATAGTTGTTGGCTTCCACAAACTTGGATTCAAATAGATTCAGGTTCAGTTGTAAAATGGAAGGGAGGGTACAAGTTTTTAACAAGAACAGGAATTGGAGAGAGGCAAGAACAGGAATTGGAGAGAGGCACTTGCTTGGGGAAATAAAAATATCTACTAAAGAACTGGGACTCTGATGACCATGAATTGAAATGACTAACCAGTTCTCTAAGAAAATCCTTATAATATTCAGAGTGTGACCATTATAGCTAAATGCCACAAATAAGATCGTAAGAGAAAAAAAAAATCTTGCCAATGGCTTTCTCAGAGATATACAGAAGTTTCTATGTTTTTTATGTCAGAAATAGGGCATATTAATACATTTTTCCTCTTCAGCATTTATATCATCTTTTGATAAACTAGAGTTCTTTGGACAGTGTTATGTTACAGCTTAAATGTTTCTTAGAGGCATTCTCTAATCTATATCTCCCTCATTCTAAATTAAGAACCTCAATATATTTTCAAAACCCACTCGTTTTCCCTTCAAAACCCTTATTACAGCTTTTAATTAAACATTTATCCATGTAATTACTTATTAAGTTTAGTTTCCTCCCCTAAGCTAAAAATTACATCAAGACATGTATATCTATTTTCTTTTTAGTCCATCACTGAACAGCCAGCACCTGACTCACTGCTTGGCCTAGTTGGCACCAAAAACAATATTTTTTAAACACTAATAACATTTTTTTCTCTCTACATTTTGCTTTTGCCACTTAGTTGTAAATGGAGTACAGTAGGTAACAGCATACAAAAACTTTAAAATTAGTATTCTTTCTAATCTGCTAAAAAATCATCTGACAGCTGCTATACTGCTTAACATCTTAACTTTATAAGAGCAGCTGAAGAAGATAGTGTGTCATTTACTGAAGACTCACTCCTGTTTATACTTTGCACAGCATCATGTGACCACACAAGTATTAAGTTTCACTAAGTGGCATATACATTGTCTCAGTCCTGGCAGAAACTAGAGATCTGACTTTGGTGATTACTACATTCTTTCCAGAGCTTTCTAATCACTGGAGGTCAACCAAGTAAAAAGAATCACGAGCATCAGATAATGTGAAGTCACTTTTTCAAATTATTGAAGAAAAACAGTTCACCCTAAGCATAATGATAATTGTCTCACTTTTTGACTTTCCCTTGCTAGAGCTGAGCTAGTCAAAGTATAAAGGTAATATTTGAATGGGATGTCCATCAACATGATTATGGATAGGCATCAATATTGATGACATGCTGAGAAACAGAAATACTATTTCTATTTCTTTTCTTTCTTTCTTTTCAATGTAATATACATTATCTTTTGCCTTTCAGTCTTCCCCACAGGCATTGGCAGAAAAATACAAATTTGCTGCCAAGGTAGTTGCCAGGGCAACCTTCAAATACAATTTTCTATTTGTCATATAAACACTGAATATCTTTTAAAAATCCTGATGATTTCTATTAATGGAATACGTTCAAGCTAAGACAAAATGAAACAAATAAAAAATCCAGCCAAATGCAAAAGAAATCTAGTTCAAAATACCCAGAAAAATATCCATTTTTTGGTCTTCATTAAAATTTAGCTAGTTTAAACTATATTCAGTTTGGGGGCATGAGTTTCTAGCTGAGCGCTTAATATTCTTTGATTGTTCATTTAAATAATGAGTAAAAAGTAGCAACTGTGTAAGTGGCTAATTTGATAAAGCAATTAGAAAATAAAGCAATGTGTGTGAGACAGAGTCAAAAAGTAGAGAAGCAGGTTTGATGTGTCTTTAAAAGGTCACAATTAATTAACAAAAGAATTACAGAAATGTTAGGGGACCAATTTCCCAGGGCTAGGCTTAATTAAAGGTGGCCCAGAGGCATTAAGGATTAAAGAAAATAGGGATGAGTAAATTCAACCTACTCATAACTGAGATTGCAATCTGTCCAGAATCATCCCCAACCTCATTGGAAGCACTGATTACATATACCCCTGAATCATTTTGAGTGACATGATACAAAGTAAATGTTCCCTTCTTTGAACACATAGTAACTTCATTGGCTAGATCAATTCTTTTCAGGATAATCACTGCAGGTGGATGACTAGAAGTTTCATATATAATCGTGATGTTTTCCCCTTCTTTAACATTTCTAGATGGATGTATAGCTATACAGCTATTCTCATGTTTTGAGGAGGTACTGTGAAGATGGAAAACATACATACGGTAAGGCTTGCCATTTTGAGAAATTTGGGTAGACGAACAAAAATTTTACCTGTTTCTGATGTAGATTCAAATTTTCTCTGCATTGACAAGTGATTGCTCACTCCAATAGCCAAGTGCCAGACCTCTTAAGACTTGGCATTTGTTTGCAGTCCTGTTTGCACTCCACCGCCAAGTATGGCCTCCATTACACAATAGCAGCTAATTGGTGTGCAAGGGGTGTGATACTGATCAGCCAAGGCTGATGTATTTTGTTTACACCAATAAGATCAGCAGATCCTACCTACTGTGCATTCACAAGAGGGCTTAGGAGATTAAGGGGCCCCTGAAGTTTCTCCAATGAGGATACTGCTCCTCTCTTTCTCTGTCCACCAGAATAGAGTAGGATGGCAAGTGGGTTGGAATTTTAATGAGGCTTTTCGATAGTCGAGAGATTTTTTTATGTTGTTCAGGATCAAGTTTACTATTCCCAATTATTATCCTGAAAAGAGTCAATCCAGAAAATTGCAGTTACTCCATGTTCAGAAAATAGTGTTTCCTTCTGGTAGAAAGGAAGAGGGTCTGGATAGAACCCTTCTTTTTCAATGTGCCAATCCTACTTCTTTAGTTTCCTTATAACCTCCCGGGAAAAGGTTTGAAAATATGGTTAAACATTTAGCAACTGCAAGACCTCAGAGACAAATGATAAATTGTAAACTGAAAAAAGCAAGCAGGAATTCCTCAGTCACGAATGATTAATGTCAACTTCCTGGCTAAACTTTATAGGATAAAGCAGCTGTGCTTGATTTTTCCAAGAATCCTTAAGAAATAAACCACAGCTCCATTTTGCCAACTCATTCATCAAATATTGGAAACTCTTAGTAATCCTTGGAACCTCTGAACTATTACCAAGAAAACAAAAACTCAAAACAAACTCACCTTGAACATCAAGTGTTAAACTTCTTAATTGTGAGCCAACTTTGTTTTTAGATTCACATTCATATACTCCCGCATCCTTCAACTGGGCCTTTCGGATGGTATAGGCGCCATCTATAGATTTTAGTACTGTGTCTCCTGTCTCCGCTTTTTTCTTCAGGATTATCCATGTTTCTGGAACATTTCCACATGTACAAGAGATGATGACAGTGTCTCCTTCTTTGACACTCTCAGAAGGAAAAGCTGTAAGTTTTATGTCTTTTGGAGTAACTGTAAAGAGAATTTAAAAGACATCCCTGATTGAGTGAAATATAAACCAACTCCATATTAATTTAGCGACATCAACAATAGCTTCCCTGGAGCTATTTGTGCTTAGCGTTTGCATTAAATGTTAAGAAGGGCAAGTAAAGAAGTCAAGCATTGCTGGATTGTTGGAAATGATCATGTTTTAACTAAGAGAGTACATGGCTTATGCTTCTTTCATGTTCCTTAATATAATTATTTACCCAGCCTAGCACAAAGAATAGGTGTTTGATATGGTTTGGCTCTGTGTCCCCATCCAGGTCTCAACTTGAATTGTAATCCTCACGTTTTGAGGGAGGAACCTGGTGAGAGGTGACTGGATCATGGGGGCTGTTTCCCCCATGCTGTTCTCATGATAGTTAATGAGTTTTTACGAGAACTTTTGGTTTTAAAGTGTGGCACTTCCTCACTCTCTCTTGCCTGCCGCCATGTTAAGGTGTGCCTTGCTTCCCTTTCTCCTCTGCCATGATTGCACATTTTGTGAGGTCTTCCCAGCCATGTGGAACTGTATTAAACCTCTTTTATAAATTACCAATCTCAAGTAGTATCTTTATAGCAGTGTGAAAATTGACAAATACAGTGTTTGATAAAGAGCTATAGAATTCAGATGTGAAATAGAAACTTAATTTTTTGTAATACTGTTTTGAAAAAATTTCCTTGAAGTACAAAGGCCTTTACAGGTTTCTGAGTTTTGAGTTGGATTCTTCAATCAAGAAGTTAAGCTGTACAGATGTGGCTTTTTCACTATCCTTAACAATACTACTGCCATTTATTAAGTTCCAAGCACTGAGCTAAGTACTTGACATATAACATCTCTATTAATGCAACAACCACTGGAGGCAGGTACCATATCACCAATTTTTAATCCCTATTAAGGTCTTCTATTTTGTAAGTTGATTTGAAATTCTTTCCCCATCCAAGGTCATGACAACCATCCAAAAGGTTTTTTTGTTTGTTTGTCTGTTTTTTAAGGATGTGTATTGTCTTTCCAATATTCTTCTTCTAAAATACAAATCTTATTGAGTTGAGATAACAAGAAAGTCACTAATATCTTAGTGGGAATAATGCCAAGGGGTAATAGACAAAATGACAACCCTGGCAAAGAAAAGAACCCTGATACCCAAAAGGGATGGGATAGAGGAAATCCACATTGATCACCTGATGATTTTGCTCATAACTCCGTATGGCTTCAACCTGCGAACTAATAATTGTCTTGTTCTCAATCTTGGGTCTCCATCCTAAAGAGAAGGGGCCTAGATCTGTTGACTTAATCTACTTTAGTGCTTCCATGCTCTCAGGCTGATGAACCAAAGGACGGAGTCATGGCTACTCATAATCTCAGAATTTGCAAAAGACTTAAGTGCCAGCTTAGGCTTCTAAGCAAATACTACTGGCCATCTTGTGAGATTGCCACTCAGAGTTCAATTCAGCCAGATATGGTAGCTTTAATCCTACATAATCCCAAATGCAGATATTCCTCTTCCTATTCTTATTTCAATACCATAACCATTGCCTCATAAGTGTAACTGGAACTTCTGACACAGGTCCTGAAGGCTTGCATTTCACTTGAGTTTAAAAGAATCTCAGGATAAGAAACTTGTAACAATTCATGAGAAAAGACAATTTCAGGAGATTTCTCCATACATTGGAAACATCATAAACTCTTCAAAACCCTCATCACACTTTTGTAGTAAAAATTTTGTTTTCAAAGACTTTACTCATAATCAGTAACATAACCAAAAACATTACTAGCAAGGATAACTCATTACTCACACTCTGCTCACCTTGGATAATTAATTCCACTTCCTTTCTGCTTCTTCCAGCCTGGTTAATTCCTTCACATAAATAAACCCCAGAATCTTCCATTTTTGTAGAAATTAAGGTGAGAGTTGCATTCTCAGAAAGAGGCTGTAGCTCCCCGTTAGGGAGCTGCCTGCTCCACAGGATTTTCGGAGCAGGAAAGCCCTGGCTCAAGCATGTCATATTCACAGAACTGCCTTCCTCCAGGATGGAGGAAGGGCTGACCAAGACGGTTGTATCTCTGGGGGCAACTGAAAAGGCAGAGACGCTTGTTAGCTTGACCTATTATGCCCTGAGTTCCAAAGAGTTTTAATAATGTTGCAAAACTGGGCTATGGATTCAGCAGACTCAAAGAGTTTGTAAACCTTGATAATTCACCACAAGAGGTTTTGGTCCTCATTTACTTTAGCTGATACCAAATGATAGAGTAGAACATGGACACGTCATGGTGTTTTCTAATGGAAGTAAGTTCAGTATACACTTCCTTGCAACCAAAGAATGACGAGGGTCAATGATAGTGTGTACTGCCATTTATGGTAGAGTCAACATGACTGTGAATTATTTGAATCTCCTTCTGTGAAAAGATGTGGTCTATTTTTCCACCCCTTGAATCTCTAGGCTGGCCTCATGACTCACTTTGACCAATTGAATGTGGAAGAAGAAGTAACACTGTAGGACTTCCAAACCCAGGCCTTGAAGAGGCTGCTTTCATTTACACCTTCTTGAAACACTGAGCTCTGGAGAGTAAATCTAGGCTACTGTTCCTCAGGGTGACACCACATAAAGAAAGAGAGGCCAAGTCATCCAAGATATGGCTCCAGACATGTGGGTGAAGTCATCTGAGACCAGCCAGCCCTGCTAACCTTACTGAAAATGCACGAGTGAGCTCAGCTAATACCATATTGAACAGAATAACTGCCTAGCTGGTCCCTTCCTAAATTGCCTACTCAAAGCATCATAAGCCAGTAAATAGTTACTATTTTAAGTTTAGGGAGGGTGATTTGTTACAATCATCATTATTTTGAAATTTCTTTTCAGTAACGTTTTTTCTCCACAGAGGTTTTAACGATTAACCTTATGTTAACTATTGCCTGGCAAACACGATAAAGAGACAGGTATTAAACTGTAGATACCTCACATATGTACTTACCATTGACATAAAGTGTTTGCGTACTCTGCCTTTGTTTGGGTTCGAATTCCATGTCATCAATATGTAACTTAGCCTGACAAACAAGAGCTTTTCCAGTATCTTCAATGGTAGGGATGAAGGTCATTTCCAAACTTTTGTTCTCTAGAGATTTCATATCCGTATCCTCCAAAAACTCTATATTCTCCAGAATAGTCTCCCCCTTAAGTAATTCAATCTCCAGCCGGTCAAGGGGGTACACGCTAGGAACCTTGCAGCTTACAGTGACAGAGCTCCCATTCACGAGGCCACCACTCATCTCGATTTCTGGATCTCTAGGGAATGCTGCAAATCGCAAGCAAAAACGATTTTTATTCTTGATATTCAAGGAAAAATTGAGCTAAGCTTTATTAAATGTAAAGGCCTAAAAATGACAGCTTTAAGTCACCTGGGATAGAATGACTGTCAATATATAAGTAATGACAGTATTTATAAATGACATATTTATGATATTATATATGAATAATGTTAGAAACAAAAACTACTTAGTATATCCAGTCATTGAGTAATAAATTTTCACTTATTTCTTTTCTTCTTAATATGCAATCTTGCTGTGTGCCATGGCTTGACCTTTTCTAAGTATACATCAGTTTCCACCATCTTATTTAGTAAGTATATATTTCACATTTTAAAATTTGCCATGTTATGTTGAATACTTATTGTAAACTAGTCCCCTAATATTCATTATCTCAGTCTTCAAAGCAGCTGTGTAAAATGAGTATTACTTATTTTACAGCCAGGAATACTGAAACATATAGAGGCTAAGAGACTTTCTTCACACATTATACCTAGTAAGTCACTGAGATGGGCTGCAAATCCATATTTCTCTGACCTCAGAGCCCAGCTTTGGTTTTACAGAGCTGTGCAGTCTCTCAGTATCAAATAAGACAAACAAGGAAGTTCTCAACTTAGTTTAAATTTTAATGACCAAATTTAGGCAGCAAGTTTTAAATATTTCTCAGATAATACTTGTAATCAAGAACTGCCTTAACTGTATTCTTTATAATACAGTACAAATCAGTAAAATGAGACTAAGATAGCTATCAAGGGCAAGAATAATGCTTAAACATTTTTTTCCTTAACCAAAATGTTGTTAAAGTGATACATGCTCAAATATTTCTATGTTGCAATAAGACCCCACTGCTGGTTCTCATTTCTGCTGGGAATGTGCCTATCTCAGCAGATCATGGACTCTGGGTAATATGATAATGCAAATAAAATTTATCTTTCTTTGGAGAGACCCAAATCCCTTTACAGGCATACTCTAACTCATTCTGAACAAAATCCTGAAGGGTAACACAAGTTTGGGCAGGGTTTCTGGTAGAAAATCTCTACGATATGTTCTCTTGAGTTCTACTGAATAAAACAAGGCAGAGTGACCCCCTCAAAAAAAAATAACTTTATGGTCACTTTGCATATTTTGTTCTTCATTCAATATGGACTGAGGAACTCCAGCAATGTCAAGTTCATAGAGATTTGAGGTTGCAAAGAATGTTTATTAAGACAAAAGAAGAGTGAGAGAAAGTGTAGTATATGTAGGTGGCATAAATCAACATTAAGATCTAGCGCTGCTTCCTGATTCTGCTTTTCACCTGAGCCACTGACACTGACCATCCCCATCCCCAATCTAACTTCTTATCTTTAATTTTGGCTTCCTTCTGCTTCCTATTCCCTTATTTTTTTCCCATCCTGCAGACAGCTCATCAAATGTGCCTTTAAAACAGTGCCTTAAAACAGTTTAAAACTACTCATTCCCAACTGGAGTAGCTGAACAGTAGTCACCTCCACCCAGTCCTCTGAATGGGCACTGACCCCAATGCACTCACCTCCAGCATGGAGTGTGTTCAAGTGCATGATGAGAGAGTATTGACAAGGCATAAACCAAGGATTGTGGGTGCTGTGTACATATGTAATATATATTTAAGATTTAAGCTAATTATATTGCATCAAACCATTCTGATTCAGATTTAGGAACAAAATTCACAAGGCTAAATTCCTTTTCTAAACATAAGGATTTCATTGCACTTCACAGACTTGCATTCTTTTTCTTCCAATAGAACTGAAAAAAAAAAACAGTAAACAATTCTGAAAACCACTTACAGTAGAGCTCCACCTGGATTCCCTTTTCCAGTTTCTTATGTCCACAAGTCACTGTGCACAGATAAGAGTGTTCGTTCTCAAAACTCACAGGGCTCAGGGTCAGCGTGGAATTGGTCCCCTCACTCCTCACCTTCCCGCTCAGAGGGCTGTCTATCTGGGTTCTCCAGGAGAAAGATGGGGATTCACAGCCCATGACACTACATGTCAACATGACTGAGTCTCCAATCTGAGCAGCAATCCGGGGTCCAGGGGAGATCTCAACAGTAAATGGTTTCTCTGGGACACAGGTGGAAAACAAGATGAAAAGAACATAAGATTCTTTTCTTTTTTCATCACATTCTGACATATGATCTTTATTTTTCCTGATCTCCTTTCAGCTAATATCCATGCCAAGAAGAAATTACTCTTTTCCACCTTGGGACCATCAGAAATGAGCCCACATCTTTTAAGAATGAAACCACGATAGTTTGTTGATTCATTCATTTAACAAATTGAATAGATAAAAATTTGTCAAGAGAGGTTGCTATCTCTTCACAGCAATAATAGAGTATCTGCTCAAATGTAGTTTATCAAATCACTGTAAGAGTGGACAATCACTCAAATAATTTAAGTGGTTCTTGTGTGTCAAGCACTATCTAAATTACTATATATATATATATATATATATTCTCATTTAATCCTCACAACAATTTTGTACACTAGTACTATTCTTTCTTCTTTGCCTTCTCTTTCTGCTTCTACTCTTTCTCTTCCTCCTTTTCCCCCTCCTTTTTCTTCTTGAGGAAATTTAGGCTCAGAAATGCTAAATAACTTTGCCCAGTTTGCAAGTAGCAAAATTAGGACTTGATGCCAGGTGGGTCTGATTCAAGATCCCAGCTTTTCAGTTGCTACAACAACTAAATCAAGTCATCCTCATATGGTGATAAAATGGTCTAAAAGAGGTACTGGAAAAAGCTACAAAAAATGTCTTCTAATTAGATATAATGCCCACAGTGGACAAGCATTTAGAGCTTCTGTTCCAATAATACAGTTATACCACTGAAAGTCACATAGCATCATCCTGAAATCAAAGTCAAAATCTAAGCATTAAAATGATACATAAGTCACCTCCAAAATTTGCCTGATGCAATATAAAAATACTTTACAATTAATTCAGGGTCTGAAAGCCGAGATGTGAGGGCAAACTCCTAAGACTCAAATATCCAGGAATGCTCTTTGGCCATCAGCGCTATCCCGGCTGGGTGCATGGGCTTCTTTTGGATGACTGCTATTTAGGGAGAAAGGGAACACCACATCTTGGCTCTGTTTCCCTGAAGAAACTGGGAGTGTTTGGGCAACTTTTAAAGCAACAGATAAGACCCCCCCATAAAAATCACTGAAATCTTACTTGTAAATTACAGGCTTAAGGTAAAAGAAAGAAATCTCAATATATAAATAATCCAAACATATTATATTTTGCATGGTTCTCATCTATGCCATAAGTTATTTTTCTCAATAGGTTTGTCTAATTATGACATCTTAGTATTTTCTGAAGAAGATTCTCCTCAATAAACTGATATGCTATTAGATTTTGAAAGAGAGCTCATTCACAAAAACAACCAGAGCTTCTGAATTTTTTATATGCTAGTGTGAGAATGAGGAACTTTAAAAAACAGATCGACTGCCTGTCTGTGAACATTTCTCAAGTCATTCTTTACAGTGGCCACATGTATTGCCATGTGAACTTGGAACCATTGGAGGAGTAACTCTTTTAGGTAGCTGAAGGTTTCTCTGAAAGTACTTTCAGTACTTTAGGCCAGTAGTATCCCATGTGATGCAAAGTGCAAAACAACTCTCCCCAGCCCCAAAATACATGTCCTTTGTACATTTAAATAGGATACAGTTTATTATGGAGTGACATTATTCCAGGGTGAATGATTAGCTTTACACACTTTTATTAGTATAATATCTTTCCTGGTCACTTGAGAATGCTAACCTAACATCCAACCGAGATAATCCACTTAGGGTGAGTTTGATTTTTATTTTAATCATCCAAGTTTAAATACCATGTTTTCACATTTTAAAAATTTGTGTTGAGCTGGGTGTAGTGGCACGTGCCTATAATCCCAGCTACTCAGGCAGCTAGGGTGGGAGGATCACTTGAGCCTAGGAGTTTGACTTCAGTGTGGGCAACATAGCAAGATCTCATTTCCTAAAACAAACAAAAGACTATGCTGCCCATGTTTATAATCTATTCATTAATTCAGCAAATATTTACTGAACATTTATTATGTGTTAGGTACTGTGCTAAGAATCCAAACATTCACACACACACACACACACACACACACACACACACAGAATTCCTGATTTTAAGGAGTTTACAGATTTTTTAAAAATTAAATAGAAACAGGAGGTCTCACTATATTGCCGAGGCTGGTCTTGTACTCCTGGCCTCAAGCAATCCTTCCACCTAAGCCTCCCAAAGTGCTGGGATTATAGGCTTGAGCCATTGTGCCCGGAGCAGGAATTTACAGTTTAGTGGAAAGACACATTTAAAAAGATATATTATTTTGGCTCTTACTAAGGAATATTTGCGTTACCTATTTATATGCCTGTCCTTCCTTCCTAGTTTGTATGCTCCCCTAGGGCAGTTGTCATATCTTTTTCATATCTGTACCCCCAGTACCAAGTACAATTCTTGGATTCTTGGACAAGGGCTCTTAATATTTGTTGAACTGAACAGAATAGCATACATGACTATAAGGAGTGTTGAGTGTACACGAAAGAAAGAATATGTAGTTTGGTCTGACACAGTCTGGAACTGGGAGGCTGACATGAGCTTCATATTGGAGAATGGCTAAGATTTTGCCAGATGAAGGAAGGAGAAAGGCCATTTCAGGCAGAAGGAACAGCGTAAGCAGAGGCACTGAGTCATCAACAGATCTGCAAAGGTAGTTTCTGACCAGATCATAAAGAGTTCTGTGTGACAGTTTTAAGAAATGTGATGGAAGTTATAGAAAATGAGCACCTTTTTGTTTAAGGTAATAAACCCTGGGAGCAGTGCATAAGATTGATTATATTAGGGACAGAATCTTAGCAGGGAGACTATTTAAAGATAATTAGCCATAAAATATGTGAAATATTATTCAGCCTTAAAAAACAAAAGAGGAAATTCTGTCATTTGCAACAAAAGGGATGAACCCAGAGGACACTATGCTAAGTGAAACAAGCCAGGCACAGAGAAGCCAGTACCTCCTGATCTCACTTATATGTGGGATCTACTTCTAAAGTCATAGAAGTAGAGAGTAGAATGGTGGTTACCAGAGGCTGGGGCGAGGAGTGGAAGGGAACAAGGAGATGTTGGTCAATGGATACAAAGGTTCAGTTAGACAGGAGAGTAAGTTGTTTAGATCTATTGTACATCATGATGACTATAGTTAATGATAATATATTGTATATTTAAAAATAGCTAAGAAAGTGAATTTCAAATGTATCACCACAAAAGAGCAAGTGAGGCAATGGATTTGTTGACTTGACTTAATCATTCTACATTGTATACCTATACCAAACATCACATTGTAATCTATAAATGTATACAATCATGATTTATCAATTAAAAATATTTTAAAAAAGAAATAATAAAGACAATTAGCTATAAAATTAAAAAGGCAAAGGGGTTTTCATTAAAATGAACCTGCATCAAAATCATAGTAAATGCAACTAAAGAGCTATTTAGCCCCAGGAAAAGTATGAACTATGCTGAGCCTGGGTTTTTAATAGTGTTGTGGTAAAGATTAATGAGATAAAATATATAAAGCAGAATACAGAATTCCTGGGAAATATTAGGTGTACAATCAATAGGTGGTGTCATTATTAATCTCTGGGAGATTCCACTCTCTCATCTGTAAAATGAATACAAAATACTTACTTTTTAGTTATTTCTTGAGGATGGCATATGGAAAGTGCCAGAAACCTATCTGGTGTTTAGCGAATGCTGTTATGTAAGAATATCTTGCAGGAGCCCAAGTGAGAGATGATAAACTAAGGCAATGGCAAGTGGGGTGAAGAAGAGGTCATATTCCAGGGAGCATTTTGAGGTAGAACTGACAGGATTTAACAGCATGGAATTGGAACATGAATTTGGGAGTAATCAACATATTGTAGTCCAATTCCTGGGAATCTAGTGTGAGAACAGAAGAGGACCCAGGGGTGTAAACTTGAAAATACCAATATCCAAGGGGAAGGAGGAAGAGAGAAAGTGAGGGAATGAAGCAGAGAAAAAGTGATATGAGATGAAAAAGAATCAGAAAAGCAGAGCCATGGAAACTCTGGGAGGGAAGACTTCCACAGAGTACTAGTAAGATAAACATATATTTGTGCTAAAGGATATGGCAATCAGATAGGTCATCAGTGAAACTAAGGGAAGCAATTTCAGCATTGAAGCTGTGTTGACTATTGCTCAAATCCCACTGACAGCACCTTTATCATTCCTTTTTCACATTCTACTCACCTTGAACAATTAATTCCACCTCTTTTCTGTTTTTCCCAATCAAATTAACTCCTTCACACACATAAATTCCAGAATCTTCCATCCTCATAGCAATTAAGGTGAGAGTTGCATTTCCAGAAAGGTGCTGTAGATTCCCATTATCTAATTTCTTACTCCAGAAAATCTCTGGAGCTGGTAGACCCTCGCTGGAACAGGTCATGGTCACAGAGCCACCTTCTTGCAGCTTTGTGGATGGATTCACAGAAATAACTGTATTCTTGGGTGATACTGAAAGGGCAAAAAATAATATTAGCAATTGCTAAGCATCATCCCAGTGCAACAGAGGTAATGTATTTCTCTTAGTATTTATGTGCTTCCACCAATTTGATGAAATTACTCTGCCAAATTAGTATAAAGAACTGCTGAATCATTCAAAATAGTCTATCCAGTTTCTGACTAAACTGATCAAGTTTAGTTGATGTTTCATATTTTTCAGATGGTTGTAGATACTCAGAAATTAAGAAAAACCATGTGGCTTAACCTCCCACTTAAGGGTAAGAGTCCCATTTAAGCATTCTTGCCAAGTGCCCATTCAAGTCAGCTTCAACATTTACTGAGAGAATCAACCCACTGCTTTCCAAAAGAGTCAATTTGATTTTTGGACAGCTCTACATATTAGCACATTTCTCCCTATTGAGCTGAAATCTTCTCTCTATACTATTTTAAACATATTGGCCATAATTCAGCCCTGTGCTGTTACAGAATAAGGTAAATCACTCTTTCATATAACTGTCTTTCAAATGCTTAATTAGATGTCTTTTCCAGCCAGGTTTTGTTTTCTCTTCAGAAAAATATCCTCTATCTTGACTATTCTTCTCAAAATATTGTTAAAAGCCTTCCCAGCTCATTCTCTTTCAGCTAAACATGCCGTAGTTGGCAATACTCCCTTTAAATGTGGTACCCAGTGCAGAACATAGCATTTTAGTCCAGAACAGAGCACAGTGAGGCCACTCCTACACAACGCTGGGACTACAAGACTCCCACAAATCCCCTGGCAGTATCAGGGAGATTGGAGGCAATCAAACCCCGTCATTTTTCCCCTGTCCAGTGCACCTATGTATGTATGTGCATATGCATACACACACACACATACACACACAGAATAAGTGATCACCTTGTCAAGTTTCTGTACCTGTGCAACTAATAGTTCAAGGCATACTATAAGAGTTTACAAAACAATATTAAAATGTTTTATCATTTGAGCCTATTTCCCACTACCCAATCAGGTGGTATTACTATTCCCCTTTTATACACTGGGAAATAGAGAAATTAAGTAACCCAAACTCACACAGTTAATAGAGCCAGAAATTAAGCTCAAGCCTTCTCAGTCCAAATCCAGTGTTCTTTTCACTGAATTATACTATTGACAAACATTATGTTGTGAATGAATACAAATGGAATACAAACTATATACAAGTTTTTTTTTTTTTTACTTTTCTGCTAAGTTTATTGCTATACACAACCAAGGTGGGATTCCCACAAAGACTGGAACACATCGCACAAGTACTTACTGTAGACTTGCAATTCTTTTACAGCCTGCCTTACTGTGGGCACAGAATCCATTTCATCAATGTGTAATTTAGCTCGGCAAACAAGAACTTTTCCAATATCCTCAATGACAGGAGTAAAGGTTACTTCCAAACTCTTGGTTTCCAGGGACTTCCTGTCTGCATCCTCCAGAAATTCCTGACTCTTCATGAGATGATCTCCTTTCAGTAAGTCTATCTCCAGCCTGTCAAATGGGTATACATCAGCAACTGAACACTTGACTGTGATCGGCTTCCCAGCCTCCAGAGGGCCACTCAAATGAATCTCTGGATCCTTAGGAAAAGCTGAAAAGGCCAAACAAATACATGGATGGGCTTTTTGCTAATGTGATATAAGGTCTCTTACCACTTTAACACAATACAAATCAAGTCTAGCGTTTTTGTTAATACAGTCTTAATACGACAGAACTGTTTGAATAGCCTTTCATGATTTGGGGTGAGTTCAAGGCACAAGAATTGGAAGCAAACATTTTTTACAACATTATTCAATTCTGATCCTGTATATATTAAGAGTTGCATGTTATTACAGTAAAAGAAAGAAGAAAAAATAATGTTTATATTGAACCTTACATGTGGCTGTCACTGTGCTATAGATTTAACATGAATGATTTCATTTTATCCTCACAATAACTCTAGGAGATAGAGATCACATTTCACAGAAAAGAAGACCTGGACTTAGTACATTTACATAACTTGTCTAAGGTCACACACCTAGTAAATGGTAAAGCTGGGATTTAAACTCAGGATTTCCATTATTGTGTTTTGCTACTACAGATTTACATTATGTTACATCACATTTTCTTATTATAGTCAGGGCAGATATATTTCCATTTTACAGATAATGACTGTAAGCCTTGGAATGTCATTGCAAAGAATAGTTATTGTCAAGATATTCTAAGAAATGAGAAGACCAACTTTAAGTAATTAGCTTCTGAAAATGGTGCCTCTGACAGGAATTCATCCACCAGAAAGATACATTTGTGCAATCTTTATGTTCTGGAACACATATTTGCCTCCTGAAATGCCTAACTCACTATCCCAACAAGTGTTCCATTGAAGCTTCTAGTACAAGGAAATACACTACTTCACGTGGCCATTGCCTCCTTTGCAAGAGTTACCTTTTTCATTATGCATTATGATGAAGTAACATATTGGTGGATTCAAAACTGTGTAGCAAAAAGAATACAAAGGTCTCAACTCTAACCACTATTACAATCAAATGCGGAAAGGAGACAGAACTGTTATACATAATGAGAAACAGACACTCTTGGAGAAAAACCTCAGGCAAGATAATTAAAACCAGAAGCGTCTTCATTTCTCTTTCTTAAATCTTCAACTATTTGGTACTAGTGGGCAAAAGACAAAGGAGCTGGAAATTCTTTCCTATGTGAAGAAACATGGTATTTTTCATTTTTCCAGCAATAATTTCTGTCCCTCATATTCTGTAAGAAATGTTCCTCTAATCCACACAGTTCGATGTCAGGTAACATAAGAACTTGCTACTTTTCCCTGTATTTACATAAGGGAAGCTTTCAAGGAGCTCGGGAGGCTGCACAGACATAAACTATGCACATACAACCAGCATAATTGAAAGCAGCCGGCCAAGCACAGTTTCTTGGGAAGCTTGAGCAACACATGCGGTTTGTTGCAGAATCAATTAAGGTTACTGGGAAAAGTTGAGCTCCGGTACAATAAAACGAAACCAAAGTAATTATAATCAAATGAGGTCTTCATGAAGACATGACCGTAAATGGGTTCAGTTTTTTAGAAAGAGAGGCCATCAGTAACAAAAGGCAAATGATTTATGTCTGGTTAGTTTTTTACTCCTCTTGCTAACTTTGTTTGCTGAATGGAGAATGGAGTGGGATGCATTTTGTCAGGCTGGTAAACTAGGGACATCCACTCACTTTCATGAGGCAAATCTAGTTCATTATATAAATATCTTTGAAGTTGAGCGGTTGAGCACCAAGGCTTCATGGCACCAAAAAAACCAAAAAAAAATCCTAAATGTGTCAACACCAAAGTCAAATGATTGAAATGTTTCCAGATATTAACAATTATGTCTAAGAAGAACACTTTTATACTAATACATATTACTAATTATAGATCTACTTAATGTTTAAACTAATTTTAAGCATCAAATTGCATAAGAATAAATGAATAGAAAATCCCTGAAGGATGGAATTCATAAATCAATCAGACACATAAGCAAGTAAACATGTAAGGATGTAATCAAATGGAAATATTTTTTAATAAAACAAAAAGAAACTTAGAAATGATCATTTTACAGCTAAGGAAACCAGAGCCCAGAGAGGTTGAGTCTTATACATGGTCACTGTGTTTGTGGCAGAGGTAGAAATAGAAGCCAAGATTTGGATTCCTGCTCTCTCTCATGTTGGCCTTAGCTGTCCCTAGCTTTCCTGATGTTGTATGTTCTTTAGCCAAGAATCTGTACATGAATATCCATTTTAAAACTTTTTTTAAAATATCATTTTTAAAAAGTGATTTTAAAGTAAAATTGAGAGAAAAACAAAGATTTTCTAAAGCACTCACAGTAGATCTCCACCTGGATTCCTTTTTCCAATTTCCTAGATTCACAAGTTGCTGTGCACAGGTAAGAGTGTTCGTTCCCAAAACTAACAGGATTCATTGTCAGCGTAGATGTGGTCCCCTCATTCGTCACCTTCCCATTCAGTGGACTATCTATCTGGGTTCTCCAAGAGAAAAATGGGGACTCACAGCCTGTGGTGCTGCAAGTCAATGAGACGGAGTCACCAATCTGAGCAAGATATCTAGATTCTGGGGTGGTCTCGATTTTAAAAGCTTGAGCTGCAAAAGCAAAAAAAGACAGAAGCAAATTTACCACTAGTTTGTCTAGTATTCTCCTCCTTCTTCTCTGTATAATGTCTAAAATATGATCAGACTGATCTCTTTCCTAAGCTGCTTCAAACTAACTGCAAGGTAGCCAAAAAGCACCGAAGTCACTGCCAAAAAAGTTTATGGAATCATCTTCAGTAGAGAGAATTCTCAGTTCCAACCTTGATGCCCATTTATCAAAGCTGTTTTGTTATTTGCTAAGTTTGACCTCATTGTCAAGTATAGGAAACTAAAGAGACAGACCGACTAGAGACAGAATCCAAATTACTCAATTGCCTTTGGAAAAAAAGATACCAAAAACATCAATTTTCAGCTCTAACTATGACAGTACAATGGTATATAGCAAAACTCAATTGCATATTAAAAGTTAGACTAAATTAACTTTTCCTACTGTTTAAAATCCTAGTGTCTTTACTTCACTACTATCGCAAAACTGACTGAAGCCAAAACCAGGGCTAAAATTGAATGCTAACATTTGAAACAGATGAAGGGAAATAACTTACAAGCTGCAAACATTATCCAAAGTATATTTGAGGCTCCAAGGATCACGACCATCTTCCCAGGCATTTTAAGTTGCTGTCGTGATGAGAAAATAGTGGTTCCAAAACCCTTATTTGTGTCCCACCTGTGTGTGCCTGGGAGGGTATTCAGCTCCTGAAGCCAGTGAGGCCCGATGCAGATACCGCGGAGTGAAATAGAAAGTCTGTGCTTTATAAAGGGTCTTGTTGCAGAGGCGGAGGGAAATCCCTTCAAGGGGAAACCCAGGGCAGAGCCAGGGAAAAAAGTTTAACAGACACCCAGCCAAGTTCCACTATTAACCCCTTCAGTTGCTCTCACTGCTGAAGCTCCTCTCTCTGTCCTGGCAAAAGAAGACACTTCCAAGACTATAAAATACAGGCTTTTCCTCATCTTCGACTCCAAAAGGCTATCTTTACTGGAAAGATAAAGGACAATGCTGATTGCAGAATGAAGCTTTCTGAATCCAATGTGGGTTAAGGGGGTGGGGAGAGAAAAAATGGAGACAGAGTAGTAAATTCTACTCTGGTTTTTGAACTGGATAAATAACGACTATGCCATGTGAATTGATTTTCTCCATCAAGGAAATATGTTTGCAATTCTAAAAGAGATTAATTTTTTTCTCTTACAAGAGAAAGGAAAAAGTTATTTCTTTTGATGAGTCATTTTTTAAAAAAGGGACACCATAACTTCTTAGTTTTATATTTATTCATAAAAATAGTTCTTTTAGCAACAAACATCAACTTTTTGAAACTATTTTCTTGAGTAGAAAGTAAAGGACTGTAACTGAAATTGCTGCCAAAACAAGGGAAACAATTTTTTTTTGTTTTAGAAAAGTTACCAATAATTTGGTTAAATTGCTGGATAATTGGAATTTTTTTGCATACTTAAATGCAAGTGTATGGAATCCATCTGAAGTGGCAAATCTCTTGGGCTGTGAGATTTAACCGCAAACCCAGTTAAAAAATTAAAAATAATAGGTTTTTATTATAGGCAAGGGGACAATAACCAACTCTATGTTCCTTTTCCCCCCAGTGAAGTGCCTTTTTAAAAAAATCCCAATTAACTAACTGGCTTAGCCTTGCACACACATAGCCCAAGGCCTTGCAAAATGCTTGCCCATCAAAAAGAAACCGGAATAGCCACTTCCTTTTATTAAACACGTGCAGGTCTATCTCCCCCATTGGATCATCAGTTCCTCTCATGGTCAGGACCAGTTCTTGTTCATTGTTGTATCTACTTCTACAATATCTAATGCATGATTTTCCACTTAGTGGATACAAAAAATGCAATAATAAACGTTATACATTTGGAGAAGAAAATTCTAAATACTAGCAATAATATGTAAATACGGCATGAAAAAACTGTTAAATTCTACAAGAAAATTCTAAAGCTCAGAGACTCAATGGGATGTGTACAATAAACTTGTACTATATAACATTTGTACTCTGTAACAAAGGCCATAGCTGAGGTCTGGAATCTATAACTGTCCCTACCTGGTTGGAGAGGCTTCTGGATCTCCTCTTGGATACTGATGTGGCTCCCACTAAAAGACAAGGAGGGAAAAATAAGTTGGAGATGCTGTTCTAGGGTGTGGGGATATATAGGTATGACTTCACCTACCAAATATCTAGGGATCAGAAAAATTGATTCAGGAAATACTAGCTTATAAACAAGTAACCCAGAGGTCCTTTACAGTGTTTGTGTCATCATCATGTAAATTCACTACTTAACTTCAGAATAGATCAAAAGGGTATTATGGAGTTTTAATATGTTCCTTTGAGGCTCAAAGACAATGGCCAATAGGATCCTTGGGATCATTATGACCAAGCTATGTTGTTCTGAGTTTGGATATGATTCGAAGCTTGCAACATTGGAGAAATGCCTAATCTATTCATTTAACTCATAGTGGTCTTGGCAAATGTTTGATCAAGTCCCTCACTATATCTTTGAGTTGGATGACATCTGAAGTCCTACCTGCTCCTCCCAGGTTGAGAGGATTGCACCCTCCTCGGTGGCCTCACTACAACAAGTGCATATTGATGGAGCATTTATCATTCTGCATTTACTGATTAATATGCCTATATTTTCTACTTTGCTAACTCATATGGTTTCATTTTTTCATCTCAGCATTTAGCTTAAAATAAAGCATTTATTAAAATTTGCAGAATTAATGAATGATCAGAGTTGCAAGTATAAGGTTAACAGATTTAGACTAACCTGTCTGAATAAAGTACTACTGAGTTTTGTCTTTGAACTTGTTCGGTTTAACCTTTTTATTAGTAGCATAAAGCACATAATATGGTTTGGCCTTGTCCCCACTGAAATATCATTTTGAATTCCCATGTGTTGTGGGAGGGACCCTGTGGGAGGTAACTGAATCATGGAGGCAAATCTTTCCCGTGCTGTTCTCATGATCGTGAGTAAGTCTCACAAGAGCTGACGGTTTTAAAAAGAGCAGTTCCCCATACAGAAGCTCTCTCTCTTTGCCTGCCACCATCCATGTAAGACGTGACTTGCTCCTCCTTGCCTTCCACCATGACTGTGAGGCTTCCCCAGCCAGGTGGAACTATAAGTCCATTAAACCTCTTTTTCTTCCTGGTTTTGGGTATGTCTTTATCAGCGTGTGAAAACAAACTAATACAGCACGTGATTATCTAACCTATTAATAATGCAAAACTGGGAAAGACAACCTTAGAGATGAGAGAAGCAAGATAAAGAAGACCTCAAGGTATGTAATAATATTCCAGATGACGAAGTAAAATTTAATAGGAATGCATTAAAGGTCAGCATTTAAATGTTTCCAATGTTTGAGTACAGTATGGGAGAGATCTGACTTGGTCACAATTCACAGAAAGAAGGTCTTGTGATTTTACGAACCATAAAAATGAACACTGCCATGAGAAATCAAAATAGCTGTGATGAGTCCAGGTTGCACTCCTAGTAATTCAACCTTCAAGTCTTCTGAGGCCACAGTCTCTGAGCACTACACACCCACCAGATCATACTGGGAGCCTGGGTGTCTAATTCAGAATGCCACTCCTTAAGAAAGATGCTGACGAAATTAAGGGTGTCCAGAGAAAAGTAATAGCTCCTATGTTGAAGAAAAAGGACATATTTTGTCTAGAGAAGAGGCACCCATGAAGCAATGTGATAACTGAATGATTAATGCACAGGGGAAGGAATTTACTTATTACTCTGTGCTATACCAAAAGCTAAAAGTACAACTCATATGTAGGCAATTACCAGATTATTAGCTCTAGAGGAACCAAGAATGTCTATGTCTTGTTCACCATTAGTGCTTCAGCACTTTTAACATAGTAACCAGTAGATACTAGGAGCTCAGTAAATCCCTACTGATTGAATATATAACAATTTAAAGGAGATCTGGACTCAGAGTCTAATAGTCTTGTCTTCAAGTCCAGGTATTCTACCTAGGAATTGTGAAACCTTGTACAACTATATGTAGCCTCTCAGAGCAGATTTACAAATGCTCAGATAGTATTATTTCAAGTGATTCATATCATTTTATGACTATCAATCAACACTGATCATATGAAATCTCTTAAAATAAATATAGTAAAATGCTATATAAATGGTATATGGTAATAATTAGAGTAGGGGGCTGGGGGAGGGATAGCATTAGGAGAAATGCCTAATGTAAATGACAAGTTGATGGGTGTAGCAAACCAACATGGCACATGTATACCTATGTAACAAACCTGCACATTGTGCACATGTACCCTAGAACTTAAAGTATAATAATTAAAAAAAGATACAATCATATTAAGTTGATTGTAAAAAGGACTTTCCAGTTAAATCTTTTCAATAATGCAATAGATCACCTTTTGAATTCACTAGCTATTAATCACTGGAGTATTCAAGCAAAGGTTGGATGACATCTGTGAACAATATGGTAGAAGTCAAGTTTTGCCTTGAGACATAGAACTGGATGGCCATTAAGTTGCCCTCCAATGCTAAGATTCTGTTATCAGGGTCAGCACTCTCCATTGTTTCTAGTCTAGCTTCACCAACCCCTTCACTGTCCACATCAAAATTATAATCATCTTCTGATGCTGCTGTATCAGTTGGTATCTCAATCGGGCTCTGAGATACTTCAGGCATACTTCTTTCCACTTATTTAATAACTACTGAATGCATTGCAACTCCAACACTTTCAGGACTTCCAATTAGTCAATTTATTATGAGCCTCCCTGAAGCAGAGATGATTCTGAACCTTTTTTCTTGGGTGGCCTAACACATCTTAGGGAAGTGACATTCTTAGCAGTAACTGTGGCTCACTGTGGAAGCAATTCTTTCTTTTATTTTTTTATTTTTTATTTTTATCCTTGCAAGAATATGGCAGCAATTCTTACCCAGATGAGAGGAGTATTTTTTTTTGCAGGGCATTATCAGAATGGGGTAGAAAAAGTGAAAAACCATCTCAGTAGATTCTATAATGTCAACTACTTCCCCACTAAGCTAGACAGAGTCAAAGGATCTATATCTATGACTCCATTTGCCTTTATGTAACAGAAACCTTTCACAGTGGCTTAATTAAATAGAGGTCTACGGGTACACAGTTCAAGGCTGGACCAACTACCAGAGAGAAACATCAAGGACCAAGATTGATTTCAGATCCAGTTTTATCATCTTTTACGTGTAACAAACCCTCATAATTCTAAGATGGCTTTGTCATCAAACAGTACATCTGCATTTCAGTCAGCAAAGCAAGGAAAAAAGTGAGGGGCAAGAAGTCAAAGCCAGTGGAGTTTGTCTCCTTTTAAATAACTTTCTAAGAAGTCAAAGGCAGTGATTTCCACTCATATCTCACTGAAAAAGTAGGAGATTCAATATTTTAGCTGAATACATGGTGGCCTCCAAATAAATTAGGATTCTGTTTATAAGAAAAAAGGAAGAGTGGATGATGAGTAGGCAGGCAATTAGCAGCATCTGTCACAATTTCCTAATTCAGTTCAATTCATAGAATGTTTATTGAGAGACTGCTATGCTGACACCTTTCTAGCACTGAAATATACAGATGAGGACATGCACACAGTTCCTATATCAGAATGGAAAAGATCTGTGTGGTATTAGTAAAGAACTTTCACATAGTTCAACTCAGAAGAGTTGAACTTTGTGACTCAGAAGTGTCACTTTATTTCCTGATTGCAGATAAATAAATGGCACCTATTCCGAGTCACCAGAATAGGTGCCATTTATTTATCTGCAATCAGGAAATAAAATATATTTGAGTAAGCTGATAGAAGTGTGAGATTTTTCTGGAAAGTAAACTACAGGAAAGATCATTATCTGGTAGGAATCTTGCTTAACCATAAATTTATTGTGACCTTTTGTAATTTTGAAAAAAAAGATTATTTCTTATTAAGAGTAAAACTTCTATTTAATAAAACGTACACACAAGATGTGAGAGATTTACTGAATTTTAATATCACACTAAATGATTACATAAAATAATAATAGGAAGAAGACTGCCAATATGAAAATTATTACTCCCTTCCCTCTTCTAAATTTACTTAATGGAATTCAGAATTTGATTATTTATGCTTTTACTATCCCATGTGTTTAAATTTGGCATTTCAGGTGGACAGAGGATCCTTTGTATATTCCAGTTCTCCTGTTTGGGATGAACTTCCCTCTTTGCAAATCTGTCTCTGGCCTTCTTAAAAAGCATTTTGCCTTGTATTTGTTTTATTACTTACTATGTCCAGATGGGGCTTTATTTTCTCGACATATTTAACCTCTTTAAGTAGAGAAGTCTTACTCATTTTTACATATTACCTGATCTGATGCTCTGTCCACCCCAAGTGCCTATGAATTTATATGAAATAAATAAACATGTTTTTGAGGCAATAACTCAGTACACTTCTTTCAGTTACTAATAACACTTCACATTTGTGAAACTCTCTGTTGTTTTTTGTTTGCTTGCCTTTTGTTTTGAGACAAAGTCTTGCCCTTTCACCCAGGCTGGAATGTGGTGGCACGATCATGACTCACTGCAGCTTTAGGACTACAGGCGCAGGCCACCATGCCCAGCTAATTTTTATATATGCGTGTAAAGACAGAGTCTTACCATGTTACCCAGACTGGTCTCAAACTCCCACCCCAAGAGATCCTCCCACATCAGCCTCTCAAAGCACTGGGATTACAGGCATGAGACACTGTGCCCAGCCTCACATTTGTGTAACTCTTTATCTAAAGCAAGCTTGTCCAATCTGTGGCCCAGAACAGCTTGGAATGTGGCCCAACATAAATTTGTAAACTTTCTTAAAACATTTTGACATGTTTTGGCAATTTTTTAAGCTCATCAGCTATCATTAGTGTTAGTGTCTTTTATGTGTGGCTCAAGACAATTCTTCTTCTTCCAATGTGGCCCAGGGAAGCCAAAAGATTGGACACCCTTGATCTAAAGAGTTGTCCAAATGTGTCCGGAAGTGGTTCCTTCTGGTGGGTTCTTGGTCTCACTGACTTCAAGAATGAAGCCACAGACCCTCGTGGTGAGTGTTACAGTTCTTAAAGATGGTGTGTCTGGAGTTTCTTTTTTCTGGTGGGTTCGTGGTCTTGCTGACTTCAGAAGTGAAGCTGCAGACCTTCGCAGTGAGTGTTACAGCTCTCAAAGGTGGTGCGTCCAGAGTTGTTCGTTCCTCGCAGTGGGTTTGTGGTCTCGCTGACGTCATCTCGCTGACTTCAGGGGTGAAGCCACAGACCTTTGCAGTGAGTGTTAACAGCTCTTAAAGGTGGCGCGTCCGGAGTTGTGTGTTCCTCCTCGTGGGTTCGTGGTCATTCTGGCTTCAGGAGTGAAGCTGCAGACCTTCGCAGTGAGTGTTAAAGGTAGTGCAGACCCAAAGAGTGAGTAGCAAGATTTATTGCAAAGAGTGAAACAACAAAGCTTCCACAGGTGGAAGCAGACCCAAGCAGGTTGCTGCTGCTGGCTCTGGTGGTCAGCTTTTATTACCTTATTTGGCCCTGCCGACATTCTGCTGATTGATCCATTTTACAGAGTGCTGATTGGTCCGTTTTTACAGAGTGCTGATTGGTGCTTTTACAAACCTTTAGCTAGACAGAGTGCTGATTGGTACGTTTTTACAGAGTGCTGATTGGTGTGTTTACAAACCTTTAGCTAGACACAGAGCACTGATTGGTGTGTTTACAATCCTTTAGCTAGACAGAAAAGTTCTCCAAGTCCCCACCCAACCCAGAAGCCCAGCCTCTTCACCTCTTACAAAGTGCCTCAGGATTATGGCCTGTGAGCCTCACAGCAACCCTATGCGAGAGGTAATGTGGATGCTCTTATCTTCACAGTGTTGATCAGGAAACAGAGGCCCAAAGAAATTTGGTTACTTGAGCAAGCTCACGCAGCTAGTGGCAAGAATTGGATCTTTACCCCAGCTCATCTCATTCTCACTTCTCTACTTGGTGCACTATGCCAAATCACCTCAGTGTTTGTGGGAGAGATGCACCTTCCCTTCAAGTATTAATGCTGTCACTTAGAGAACCCAGATGCCCATAAGGTCTCATTCCAATCTGACACTTTGAATATGACAATGACCCAGGAGACTGCATCCACTTCTCCTCAACTTGATGACTATAAGCTTCTTATCACAACTTTCAGGGCGATTTTTGAATATTAAATACCGGGACATTTTATGATGAGCGTTCAGAATCTGCTTTAGGAGTCCAAGAAGGAAAGGGATGAGTAGACAATATGGAAACACCTTGTCCAAATTCACTCTAGGGGCCTAAGACTGTAACTCCAAAAAGGGAATTCCCTGTGCCACTCGCTGGTGCTTAGAAGGAACATTAATGGAGCCTGATATGGTCTGGCTTTGTGTCCCCACTCAAATCTCATCTTAAATTGTAATCGTAATTGTAATCCCCACATGTTGGGGGAGGGACCTTGTGAGAGGTGATTAGATCATGGGGGTGGTCCTCCCATGCTGTTCTCATGACACTGTTTTTACAAGATCTGACGGTTTTATAAGGAACTTTTACCCCCTTCACTCTGCACTTCTCCTTCCTGCCACCATGCAAAGAAGCATGTGTTTGCTTCCCCTTCTGCCATGATTGTAAATTTCCTGAGGCCTCCCCAGCCTTGTAAAACTGAGTCAATTAAACCTCTTTTCTTTATAAATTACCCAGTTTCAGGTATTTCTTCATAGCGGTGTGAAAATGGACTAATACAGAGCCCTGAGTACCAAAACATTCCTCCTCTTCATGTTCTTATGGATGCCTTCATTCAGTCCAAGTGCAATATCCTTGGAAAACAGCCCTATATGCCCATCCCACCATACTTTCTGGCCCCACATGGATTCACCTCTATAACTCATTTGCAACACAAAAGAGCTGAGGAGGTTAAAAAGTATTCAGGCCCCTCCCATTCTAAAATGATTGCAAAACATCTGTTTACATTTTTGAGAGAAGACTTGGACATTTCATGAGCTTTTGGTAGATAGGGAACAAGTAAATACATGAGGAAGAAAAGGAGCAAAGAACATGATAGAAAATTACTCTAAACAAATGTATTATATTTATTTATAAATGACTCGTAATTTGGGAATTATCTCATAATGTACAAAGCTCAGAGTTTGGTATGTCAAACAAGTAAAATAAATACTTTTCCCATTTGACTATAACATAAACATGATGATTTTTTAGTTATATGTTAAATTAAAATTACAATTTTCATAAGCAACACATAAGATTTCCTTTTGGAACCTAGAAGCCTTTCAAGAATTGTAGGTCAGCATTGTACTGTTAAACTGTTTAAGACATTTTGACACTTGCAGGGTACCATTAAGAAAGCAGAAGTAGGCCAGACATGGTGGCTCATGACTGTAATCCTAGTACTTTGGGAGGCTGAAGCAGGCAGATCACTTGAGGTCAGGAATTCAACACCAGCCTGGTGAAACCCTGTCTCTTGTATACACACAGACACACACACACACACACACAAAATTAGCTGGGCATGGTGGTGTGCACCTGTAGTACCAGCTACTCAGGTGGCTGAGTCATGAGAATCACTTGAACCCAAGAAGCGGAGGTTGCAGTGAGCTGAAATCATGTCACTACACTCCAGCCTGAGTGACAGAGTAAGGCTCTGTCTCAAAAAAAATGAAAAGAAAAAGAAAACAGAAGTAGTCAGAAGTAAAGGAACCTAGGTTCTTATCTCTATTCTGTAAATAAAAGGGTAATCTGAGGTAAAACTCTTTACTTTTAGGGTTTAAGTTTTCTCACCTGCAAAGCAGAAGAAGGCAGGCTAGATGGTCACTAAAGTCCTTCCCTTGAATCAGTATTATTTCTGAGCTAATAATGAGTAATTGAAGAACCATAGACAAATTGGCCAAATATCTGTGAAGCCAGGTATTATAACTACAAGAAAACGAACACAGGTGTTCTAACAAAGCACCTGTTCTTAGTAGGAGCTTCATGGAAATCTTATTTCATGTCTTCAGGTCATTGCTATTTGCTTTTTTATGCTTTAGACAGACTTTCTGCTGTTGGCTGCAGGATCTAGCCTCTTGAATTTACTTTGTATGTTCCAGTGTTTCTATCTGAGTCCCTAGACATGGACATGTCTATTTCCCTCTATGTTAAGGTTGGTGACAAAATGAATATTTTTTTAGTACCTCCTGTGTGCCAACCACTGCTAGGTGCTCAGGAATACAATGATGACAAAGCAAACAATATTCCAGCTTTCATGGAGTTCACATTCTAGTGAAACTGAACAGAGAAACATTGGGAGCAAAGGAACTAGCAGAGGGAGGGTAAATTGGAAAGGAGAGGGAAACAAACCCCGGGTGGAAGTACAAAATGGTTGAACAAGAAGACGACAAGCCTCTTTCAGAACCTCCCCCTCCTCAGTCTATTAAAAGAAAGAGGCAGGACGTAGTTAGTAGCCTACAATAAACAATATGGATGGTGCGAAATAAATAGTCATTAAAGAATGATGTAGTGTCACCAGAAGATACCAGGAGGCTAACGGAGATAAGATTTGGACAGCAGTGGAGCGGGAAAATGTTTTGGAAGTGGCCACAAGAAGAAGGATTCCTAATCTGACTTCCAGGCTCTGTGGCATGTAGGGTCACCATCTGACGAGTCTCAGATATAGTGTTATTTACCAACCCAGTCTTCCATTAGGATAAAAAGATAAAGGCTTAATGAAGGTAGACAATATCAGGGATTTTGCAGACGATTCTAGAGGGCACAATGAAAGTCTTGAGAGACCCAGAATTGGCTCAGAATAAGGAACGTATGGAGATATATTGATAATGAATCCAGAAGTTTGGACTTATTGAGAGAGATGTGAAGAAAGATGGGATTAGTCCTGATCATCTGTTAGAGAATGATCTGAGAGCAGATCACCATCTTCTGGGTATGGCTTCATAGGCAAATTCACAGGCAATTTGCAGTGGTAAGACCAGCAGTGGAGGGGTGATCTTTCCAGGAGCTCACTGAGCTTTGGAAGAAGAGCAGAAGACAGGAGGGTAGTCTTAACAGAAATAACAGGAACTCAGTAAGCTCCTCTTACATCCTATAGCAGAACCTACTCCAAAAAGCTAGTAAGATAGACTTATTAGAGTATAAATAAATTGTTATGATATAAACACCACCATGTCCTGACAAAGAAAAATGTCCCAGTTAATCTTGCCATTATATCCAATTTAAACATTGGGTGTTCAAAGATTAACTGAATTATAGAAAGATGTTATAAAGATATCTCACATCAGTAATGTGCTTCATAACTTTAAAAATTATTTAATATAGTTTATCGTATGTGAGCCTTTTAACAATCCTAGGAAATATGCCAGGTGAGTATTTTTTTTAATTGTCATTAAAAGGATGAGGAAACTGAGGGTCAGAAAGGTTAATTGACCTACTCGAAGCCACACAGCTAGGTAATAAGAAAACTAGGACTAGAGGTTAAGTTTCCTGATTCTACATTGAGTGCTCTTTCCATTCTAGCACACTGACTACTTTCAAAACAGTCTCAACTCAGCTCAACCCCAGACCTTTTTGAGTCTTCCTGTACTGGTGGTTGTCCAGGAAAGCTTTGTACTTAACTTAGGCATCGTCATTTCCTTTGATATGGTATCATCAATGCAAACTATTTTTACCATTTTTTCCTCTGAATTTATAAAAACCAACTTTCCATTCCCAAATCATACTTAAAATTCATTGCCCTGTTAAGCAAATATATCTGCAAAAAAAGTAATGTTGTGAAGTAAGCCAACTAGATTCAAAAATTCCCTGCTTTCTATCTCTGTATATTTTTGTTGGCTCAGAACATAAGCTGTGGAAATTCCAAGACTTCCATATAAAAAATTCTAAAAGCTTGCTTGCAATTTGCCACTTTACAGTTAAAATGGGACTTAAGGAAAATATCCTGTTTTTGAAGCCTTTGAGCCAGGATAAATAGGATAAATACTAAGTGATTAAAATGCTCAAAAAGGAAATTGTAACACAAATATTGCGTTGTACTTATGGACATTCCAAATATTTTCTAAAATTTCCCCAGGCAGGCTTTTTAAAATCCGAAAGGAAAAAAATAAATAAGGAGAAGTGCTGGATGTTAACATGTAAGTAAACAGTTTAACTTAAAAGATTTCCCCATTTGATGGATTCAGGCATCTACCATTCAGGGGGTTCTATTGTCTTCTCCATCCCAGGGCTGAGGTCATCTTTGTTTGAGATGACAATGATCTTCACAAGCCAGCAGGTACCACACAGCCTGACATTTTCCATGTCTCTTGAGATTCTGCAGGAGAAATGACGGAGTCTAGTCATTTTGTTTTCTTCTCATTGTTGCTCTCAAGTGTTTTCAAATAATAACCACTGCACCTTGTTTTCAGATTAGCACACTGGACAAAAACTGAGAAATAATTGCACCATGTAACTCATCTTCCAAGCAGTGAATCCGGAAAGACTATCATGAGGTCTGCTGGGTAAAAGTCCAAGGCTGTAAATGAGATGTTTGTGTAGGAAGGGATCTGAAAAATCACTGTCTTGTAATTCCAACCACAGAGTGGTAATCAGGTGTGAGTACTATCATCAATAACTTTTTGTTAATAATAGTGTGCTGCCTTTTGGAAATGTTCTTGATCCAGAGAATTAGAAAATGAGGGCAATCAGGGGCGTCATATTGTAGGGTCTCATTGTAGTTTGTTTATTTCCTCTAGGTTTAATAGGCTAATAGTTTTTGAACTGGGCAATATCTTGGCCTTTGTCTATCCATCTAAAGCCCAGAGTAGTTATCATGTTCCCAAATATGTATGGTTATTTGCAGCAGAGAGGGCAGCTTGAGCCCAGGCCTCTGGCCTACAATTAGCTCACTGTTTTTCCAGTAAACTAATATACTCTCCTACTTTTTGAAAAATAAAAATATCATGGCAATTGAGGGAACCTACAAGAATTTTTTTTTCTAAAATCCTAATCTGTCCCCTCAGTTAAGTCAGTTTCCTAATACTTGTTTTACAAAGTCTGTAAAGACATTTGCTCAAGTAGCTGGTGACATTGCCATTGTCTGTAAGGCTGATTGTCCTAAAAGTCACAGGATGAGGTGGAGGGCAGTTGTAACAAAATTCACTGGGGGAGGGGATCAGTATCTTTTAGGTAAAAGCTTACAGTATGAAAATCTCCCACTTCCCAAACACACATACTTTAAGAAGAGTTTTCTTTCCCTTTTCCTAAGTTAAGATCAATCATTGCTCTTTACGAAACTAGTTTCCATCCTGATTAACAGGATGCATTCTCCCTTGTAAGCAGATTCTTTGATTCAGCATCAAAGTTCAAGGCCCTTGTAAAAGACAGAAATGTCTGTATGAGAATGTCTGGAATGACTGTATCAGGTTTTCTCAAGGACTGAGAACCTTGTGTTGATAAGAGAGATATCACAATGTGGCCCTGAGGCTGCTATGTGACAGTATCAGAAGAATGTAGGGGCTTTATCTGGAATAATATTAAAAACAAACAAAACAAAGCTTATATGATGATTATGTGAACTACAAAATATGATTGTTTTAGTTCTCATATTGGTTATCATTGAATGTTTATCGAATATTTTTGAGGAATCATTATAAGGTGTCTTTACCTCATTTTCTTTTCCCAGCAGATTGAAACCTACTCTCCCCTTTCAGAAGCCCATAGTCATTTTTTCAGGCCTCCATATGTCAGACATACAAGAGATATGAATTAAAAAGCTGTATTGCCCTTGCTTTAATGGACCTGCAGGAACCAGTCATCTTGGAAATATACCTGTATGTCCTGTGCTAATAGGTTGCAGGCATTTGCTTGCCCTTGATTTCAATGCAGAGGTACTATTTCTGGTTCACCAGAAAACAGTTAAATGAGGCCACCAGAGTTGCTGTCAGCCAACAGGGAACTTGTATCTCCCACATCATTAGCTTAGCTCTGTGAGTAGCTACTTATACCATATTCCCAAAGGCGAATGTTAGCCCCCAGGAAAACAATGCAATTAATCTAATCTCAACATTTCTCAATTTCAGGGTAAGACAAGTTTGTGGAGACAATGTGATGTGGTATAAACAGTGAAGAATGCTGTAGTCAGAAAAGTAAAGTATATACCTAGGGTCTACTCTGTATTCACTGAGTGACTGTAGTATCTCACTTAATGTGTGACCCTTCCGTTTATTCACTTACAAAATGTGATGATAATAATAATAATGACAGCCTCACATATATTTCATCT
Organism: Homo sapiens; assembly: GCF_000001405.40. Classification (NCBI taxonomy): domain Eukaryota; kingdom Metazoa; phylum Chordata; class Mammalia; order Primates; family Hominidae; genus Homo; species Homo sapiens. The sequence goes on along the minus strand of NC_000001.11, from coordinate 100,706,185 downwards.
ATAAGAAAAAGTGGAACAAAAACTAGAATAGTTTAAGTGTATTTTAACTTTATTAACAGCAATTTTGCTCTTGCACATAGAGTTCAAAGTAATTCTCACACAGTTCCATAAGGGTCATGTACATGTATATTGGTTTCAGCATCATTTGGGGTGCGATAACTGGAGGTAATATTGGTCAACATCACTGGGAGAGTATGTAGGGAAAATGTGCACATTGTGTAGTGGTTAGAGGCAAGGGATTATATGTACACACAGCAACATGCATGGCTCTTAAAATATGGTCCAAGGAAAATAAAATCTAAAATGGATTGAATTTTATGATGTGATATTATTTATGTAAATTTGATGTACACAAAAATATGCATTTTGCAAGAACACATGCAAACAAAAAGGTACACATTTAATATATTAGAAGAGCTACCTGTGGGGAGGTGGAATGGGAATGAGGAACGGAAATAAAATGGAAAAAAATTTTTACAAATAAAGCCTTGCTGCGGCCAGTGATGATAATGACCCACGAATTGAATCACGAACTCAATTATCTGCATCTGATGTCCAGAAGGGAAAAAGAATTATAATATAAAAATGTTTGTTAAGATAATTGTTTTCTCTCACTACAAATTCTTCAGCTTTCTTTCAATGTTTCATTGAAGGATTTTCCTTCCTCTGATCCTTAATCAACTATTGCATTTCCTCTAGTAGAGAAACTGATATGAATAATTAATTTGTGTTACGTTATTTCGAATCCCACTATCTTATTTCCTCTATCTTTTATTATTAGATAAAAAGAAATGCTTAAAATAAAAGACTCCCCCTTCATGGTGGAATTTAAGGCCAAGGCAAATGGGGGGACTATTTGGAAGAATGGAAGGTACTCCACTAGAGCCAGGTCAAAGGCATCAAAGGTCCTCAGAGGTCAGTGACAGTGGATTGAAAATTTGGATAGGATCTCATATAATTAAGGAAAGAAGATCACAAGTGGCTGATTATTTTCTTATCTTCTTGAAAATTGGCTCCTGATAGAGGGTTTCAGGCCAAGGTGATCCCCCTATCACTCTTCCTCAGTACATATGAGGAATATGTCTGCCCTAATCAGTAAATATGTCTAATCTATTTACTCCTATGAGATTTTATGAGTGGGACAATAAAAGGAGAGATGAGGTGGAGTTGGAAGACTTCAATAACCAGGATTTAGGGGGTACAAATAAAAGACTGATGAAGGTTAAATACAGCTTGCTGGATGTGTTGCCCAGTTAAGTCTTTCACACCAGGCACCACCACACTTTCTAGCCATCTGATTTCCCTCCACCAAGGAAGTTAAGGAGTTACAGTGAGAGGCTCTCTTTTATCTATTAACAAAAGGGCAGGTGTTTGTAGGTGTACTGCGGAGGAGGCTTCTGACGTTTCTTATTCCGTGGATTATGTTTAACTTGTCACCCTGTCATCTTTCTTTTGTGTTTCTTGTATTCCTCCTTTAACATTTTCACCTTGCTCTACTGACTTCTTTGTTCTATGAGATGTTAAGGGTCATCAAGACTTCATAGCCATTGTCAAGACACTGTCATTTTGTCAGGAAAATCAGTCACTGCAATTGTCCCCTTCTGCCTGGTAACTTCTTTGTGAAGTTAAAAGTGTTGCAGACACTCTTCTTGCTCTTTGCTCCATCTTGATTACTCAGTCTCTTGGATCATCTAAGGCAATGAAGGAGCCTAGTACCTGGCCTTCCCACAAAAGGTTTATCTTCCAAAAAGTAGTTTACAATAAGAGCATTAACAAACAACAGCATTATCAGCTCCTGTTCTTTTCCTTGTTTACTTGATTTAGGAGCATTTTTGCAGTAACTCTTTGGCCAGCATGCTCTGTTACTTCCAAGAAGGATCCACATATTGAATTGTCAGGTGCTGAAAAAATAAATAATTTTAAGACATCATTATTTCTTGTATACTGAATTAGTGATTGAATTTCTTTGCAGTTATTTGTAGGAGTTTAAGTTCTGTTGTGATGTCAAAATAAGAATAAAATTTAGTCTATATCATTTGCCTGGATTTCCTGTGTCTTAGTATCGCAGGGCCCTGGAAAATTTATCTCCGAGACACACAGAAAAGTGTTGGCCAGGCTGGATGCTGCCAGTTGTTCTAACCAGCCACAAGTCAGCATTACAAGAAGGATGTTTTTTCCTTTGAGTTTCTAAGGAAATATTGCTGCAATTTATAGAGTCAAAGGGAAGAATTGGGCAGACAAATTACATTCCAAAATAATAAGAGCAGCTGTTAGTCATGCTATAGCCTTCCCTTGTCACTTTTAGGAACAATTGAGACAACCAGGTTTCCTTAAATGCATTCCGATTCTGGTATATGGGCCAAAAATACACAATTCTTCAGAATCCTGTGTTTCAAAGTATAATCTTGCTTGACCCTTACCCCTCAGGCAGATTTGTCAGAAAAGAACTGTGCCAAACAAATCTCCAGAAAAGCTAAGCGACATAATCGAAAATGTCATTCATTTCTTTCATTATTTTCTTTATATCACTTTAATAATTTCTTACAATGAAATACAAAATCTACATTTACAATGTTATTACAACTGACATGACAGCAAGTATGTGGGCTGCTAGCTTTTTCCCACCAACTTTAATGTCACCGCACATGTGATGGGGAAGAAGATGGAGCCGAAACATCAGCATAAGAATTAGAGGCCCCAGTTGAAAGGCAGTTGTGTAGCAGCTAATGGAGATGACTGGGGTTGGGTAAGATTGGGAAAGCACCAATAAAGAGTAGAAGAAAGCTGGATAATATGGCCGAGAAATAAGCAGAGGAAGAAATTTGCAGTTATTTTCTTTTCCTCTTTATTGCATTAGAAGAGCTTTCCCTATTTGCCGTGTTACCACTGCAGGACAGAAAAACCAGGCCAAGGCAGTGCTAGCCAGAAACAACAGGATAACAGTGTGCTAGTGCCAGAACCCAGCTGGGGGAGAAGCAGGTAATAACAGATGCAGGCAGAACAGCAGCCCCCTAAGAGTTCCTTCTTCCCCTTCCCTCTCCTCTCCTTTTATATGCTGAGGTTGTGGTGGCTTTGTAATATGTCAACTTGGCTAGGCTGAGCTGAATTTCCAAGGATTCCTTTCCTTGTATTTCTAGTTAGGGTTAAAGACTTTTTTTGTGCAATATTGGAGAATGAAAGTGAAGTAGCACTCAGGCTGGTTTTGTTTGTTTGTTTGTTTGTTTGCTTGCTTGCTTGCTTTTTGAGACAGAGTCTCTCTCTGTCAGCCAGGCTGGAGTGCAGTGGCATGACCTCGGCTCACTGCAACCTCTGCCTCCTGGGTTCATGCAATTCTCCTGCCTCAGCCTCTTGAGTAACTGGGATTACAGGTGTGCGCCACCACACCCAGCTAATTTTTGTGTTTTTAGTAGAGACAGGGTTTCACCATGTTGGCCAGGCTGATCTCAAACTCCTGACCTCCTCGTGATCTGCCTGCCTCAGCCTCCCAAAGTGCTGGGATTAAAGGTGTGAGCCACAGTGCCCGGTTTCTTTTTGTTCTGTGTGTGTTTGTATTTAATCCCCAGTAACACAGGGCATGATAACCAGGAACTTCTGAAACTCATGCACATTGTCATTTTGCTGGCTTATTTCATGGAGATGCAAAAGGTCCAACTTGACCTGCACCCTCCTTCACCTTCTCTGACTCATGGTCCAAATGCGTTTAGCTCCATGATGAAGGGTTTCAGCTTCTTCCTACTTCAAGGTTGAAGGCAGTGAGAACTGGTGTGAGTTCCAGTCCATCACTGTGGGTTACCACTCATGCTCATGTGTTCTAGTTTTTCCTCGCTCTCCCTAACTTTACATCCATTTTTCCTTTCTGATTGCCTTCCCTGCAAACTTCAAACTCAGGCATCAGACAGGAAGACAGCTGCCCTACAGAGACTGTTTAACCAGCTCATTCAACGTGTAGGTTTGAATCCCCTAACAAATCTCTTAATATAAAGAAATAGATGGATTTTTCTTCTAGTGATTCTTCTTAAACTGATACAGAGATCTAACATTTCACTAAGCGAAAGAAAAAGCTTTTAGAGAGCACAGTCCCCTAGAGGAAGACAGGACAGCATTTGCTGGAGAACAAGATAAACTGTTTTGGGGGAAAGAGGGATAGCAAAGAAGTAATAGAAGCATCTCAATTCCCCTCTTGTGCTGACTTCCTGACCCTACCCCTATTCCTTAAACTTACCAAAAAGTTCAGAGTTACAGCCTGGAATTTAACCCCTTCTTAAAAGTTAACTGATACATGCAGGTGAATATGAGCTCATAGGCAAACTAATAAGACATCTGACTTCCATACCAGCATTAAAAAACAAACTGGAAAAGCTATACCTGGAAAATCTGGCCTAATAAACCAGAGAGAAAGTGATTTAAAATGATTAACACTGGGCAAAATATAATGAACAATGGTTTTCAAGACTTTGGAATCAGATAATGAGTGGCAGTGACTACTGAGATACAGAATGCAAACATAGTAAACCCTGAGATTTATAACCATCAAAAAGATGAGGGAGATATTGGTGACGTAAAGGGAGAACAAGCAATTCCATAGCATAACCAAGTAGAAATAATGTAGTGGAAACATAAAATTTGAAATAAAGAACCCAGTACATTCTATGACAGAAGAATAGATATGGCTAAAGAACAATTAGTGAGCTGGAAGATGAGAGTAAAATCTCTCTGTGAAGGCACCAGAAAGATAAAGTTGTGGAAAATGTAAAATGTAAGAGATGTGAAGGATAAAATCAGAAGAAAAACATTCATATGGGAGTCACAATAAAAAATAAAAGTAAAGAAAATTTTGGAGGAATAAAAGACCAAGAAGTTCCAAGAATTAGAGAAAGATGTAAGACCTTGGAATTAAAGGCTCATAAAGTACAAAAATAGTACAAATAAGAAAAATCCTTTACTTATATATCCTATGATAAAATACTTTTAAAACTAAAATGCAAAAAAAAAATCATTTAATGTTATCGGGATAAACAACAGATCACCTCTAAAGAAACAGGTATTAAACCAATATCAAATTTTACAACAGCAACTTGGACACAAGAAAACAATAGATATTGATTTGAAGGAAAAGATATTTTACTGCCAACTAAGCTATAATTTAAATGTGATAGAAAAATAAATGCATTTTAGGTGTAAAATATCTCAGAAGTTGGCTTCACAAGAATCTCTTTAAAAAACTCTTGGAGAAAGTGCTCTACCAAGAAGAGCAAGAAATCCAGAGGATGCTATTAAATACATGGTGTTTCAGGTATCTAGGACTGTATAATAAATCACCCCAAAATGTAGTGGCTTAAAATAACCACAGCATTTATTTTGCCCACTAATCTGCAAATGAGGCAGGGTTAAGAGGACGACTCATCTCTGCTCCCCTTCGCAGTGTGGCTCAAAGGCTTGTATTTAGAATGAACTGAAAGCCCATTTCCTCATGGGCTGAGAAGACTCCATCAGCTGGTGATTGGAAGAGCCAGGGTTCCCTAAGTATCCCAAATATACTCTCCATAGGATCTCTACAACCCAGCAACTTTAAGCTAGCCGAACGTGTAACATATTGACTTAGTACTGCCAAGGCACATGCTTCAAGGCAGAAAGCCAGGCATACGTTGTACTGCTTTTTAATCTATCTTACTCTGTCTTGACTGTTAAGAACTATGAAGGATATGAGATTTTACCCTACTTGCAAGCTAACATGTTAGCCTGTCACAGGTTCATGGATGTTAGCAGAAAACTCAAGGTTCCTGGGTCAGAGACAAAGGATAGTTTATGATTCACAGAAACAGCCACAGATGAGAAATAATTATTTTATTCCATCAATTCCTTGAGCCCAAATTCTGACAGGGTGATGCAAACAGGACCAAGTGATAACTTCCTACACACTGGGTTGCATTATAGGAGAGGCGCGTTGAGCTTAGGAAGCCCAAATATATGATACTGGAAAGTAAGCATGCTTGTCCTTTGCTCTGGAGAGAGACACTATATTTTCCAATCTTTAAGCAAGCCTGCCCTTTGTTACAGAGGGAAACACTATTGTATCTTTTAAGTCATTGGTTATACAAATATTCTTCAAAAGATAGTCCAAAACAACGGTGTTCAGTTTCTCTGCTTGAAAGACATACTGAAATGCAATGAAACCCATGGATATTTAACTCTCAAGAGTCTCATTTCTACTGCATTCTGTCAGAAGTATAAATATTTATTCTTTTAGAAAGGTTGAGTCATTGGGACTTCTATTTCTAACCAAGATGAAGTAACAAGGGCCAGATTTAACTTCCTGTCTTGAGACCAAAATCTGGAAAAAAAAGTGTATGAAACAATGGTTTTCAGGACATTGGAATCAGATAATGAGTGACAGTGATCCCTAAGATATGGGAAACAAACCTGGTAAACCCTGAGATTGCCCCAGCTGCTGAGTTGAAAGAGTTTTCAGGCCTTGGCACAGGGAAAGGGAACCCAAGCAGAGCTCAGAAAATTTCCTAGACAGAGGTGAGAGTCCTGGGAGAGCAAGGTGTTTAGAGTTCCTATAGCAGAGTACCAGAGGAGAGAGCTCTGTCCAAAGAAAGAACCTAGATGTCTGAAGAGGGACCCTATTGAGTATTCATCACAGTACTGATCAGTACACGTGTGTGAGTAAGTTACCTGAGGTGAGAAAGGAAGCACCTGAAAAAATTAAAGAGACCAATAACCAGAGATTACACAAATATGGGATGAGTGCTGCCATGCTGAAAAGTTTTTTACTTAATGGGACATTAGGAAGAGTATTCAGACATGTCTTGCCTTAGTAGTGATGAGTAATTACTCTAGAAAAGATGCTCTGGTCCTGCCTAGCAAATGTTAAAAAAATTGTTATAATCATATTCTGTATGTTTAAAAGTTAGGAAAAATAATGGACCTGTTAAATAAAGACCTGGAAGGGATAAAAATGAACCAAAAGAAACTTCTAGAGAGAAAAATTATAATGTGTGGGATGCAAAATGCACTGGATGGAATTAATGACAAATTAGACAATGCAGAAGAAAAGGTTAGTAGATTTGAAGACAAATAAGTAGAAGTTTTCCAAAGAGAAACAGGGGGCAGAGAGGACTAAAAAATGAGAATGAAGAACTAGTAGGTAGTAAGGATAACTTCAAGCAGCCTAGTATATACATGTTAATGGAATACCTCTCCTTTGGAAAAGGAGACAGAAGGATGCAACATAAAAAATATTTGAAAAAAATGGCTAATTTATTCCAAATTTGATTAAAACTGTAAAAATCACAGATCCAAAGTTAATTTCTTAATTTTAATAAATGATGTACAGTTATATAATATGTTAACATATGGGAAACTGAAGGGTATATTAAAACTCTGTATTATTTTTGCAAGTCTTTTGTAGAATTGCTATAGAAAAAAAAGAAAAATTGCTGTAGAATATAGAAAAAAGACCAAAACATATGCCACCATTGAGGAATCTATTTTAAATATAAACCCAAAAATAAGTGAAGAGTAAAATAATACAAAAAAGGCAATTGCAACAAAAATAAAAATTGACGAGTGGGACCTAATTAAACTAAATATCTTTTTTGTTTGTTTTTTGTTTTTTAAGATGGGCTTTCACCATGTTGTCCAGGCTGGTCTCGAACTCCTGGGGTCAAATGATCCCCCTGCCTCTGCCTCCACCTCCCAAAGGGCTGGAATTACAGGCATGAGCCACCACACCCAGCATAATTAAATTAAAGATCTTTTGTGCAGTGAAATAAACTATCAATAGACTAAACAAACAGCCTATAGGATGGGAGAAAATATTCACAAACTATATATCCAACAAAGGTCAAATATCCAGAATCTACAAGAAACTTAATTCAACAAGCAAAAAACAAAAAATTCCATTAGAAGTGGGCAAAGGACATGAACAGACACCTCAAAAGAAGACATACAAGTGACCAAAAAAACCTGAAAAAATGCCCATCATCACTGATCATCAGAGAAATGCATATCAAAAGCACAATGAAATATCATCTTACACCAGTCAGAATGGCTATTATTAAAAAGTCAAAAAATAACTGATGCTGATGAGGCTGTGGAGAAAAAAGAATGTTTGTACACTGTTGATGGAAAGGCAAATTAGTTCAGCCATTGTGGAAAGCAGTTTGGAGATTTCTCAAGGAACTGAAAAAAGAACTACCATTTGACCCAGCAATCCCATTACTGGGTATATATCCAAAAGAAAATCATTCTACCATAAAGACACACGCTCTCATATGTTCATCCTTACACCATAACAAAGACATGGAACCAACCTAGGTACCCGTCAATGGTGGATTGATTTTTTTAAAATGTGATACATAGACACTAAAGAATATTACACAGCCATAAAAAAGAATGAAATCATGTCCTTTGCAACAACATGGATACTGCTGGAGGCCATTATCCTAAATTAATGAAGGAACAGAAAACCAAATAGCACATGTTCTCGCATGTAAGCGTAAGTACCCAATGGGTACTTGTGAACATAAAGATGGCAACAGTAGACACTGAGGACTACTAGAGTGAAGAGGGAAGGAGGGTGGCAAGGGTTGAAAAACTAACTGTTGGGTACTATGCTTACTGTCTGGTTGATGGAATCATTTGTATCTCAAACCTCTACATCATGGAATTTGCTGCACATGTAACCCCTGAATCTAAAATAAAAGTTGAAATTATTTTATAAAAGGATACAGAAACAATACTATGTGAACATAAATAGAAATTAAGAGTAGTTATACTAAATTAGTCAAAGTAGGTTTCAGAGAAAAGAATATTACAATGAGTAAAGAAATTCATTCCTAATGATAAAAAAGCAATTCATGAAGAGAACATAACATTCCTAAATGTCTATGCACATAATAACAGAGCTTCAAAATTACATGTAGCAAAATCTGTTAGAACTGCAAGGGAGAAACTATATCCAAGCATTTGATAATATTCAATATCCCTTCATGATTTAAAAAAAACCGTCAAAAAACTTGGTATACAAGGAACACACCTCAACACAATAAATGCCATATACATCAGACCCACAGCTAGTATCATACTGAATGGGGAACAACTGATAGCCTTCCCTCTGAGATCCAGAACATGACAGGAATACCCACTTTCACCACTGTTATTCAACATAGTACTGGAAGTCCTAGCTAAAGCAATTAGACAAGAGAAAAAAAATAAAGGGCATCCAAATTGGAAAGGAAAAAAGTTATCCTTGTTTGAAGATGATATGATCTTATATTTGGAAAAACCTAAACCTAAAGACTCCACCAAAAAAATCTACGAGACCTGATGAATTTGGTAAAGTTGCAGCATACAAAATCAACATATAAAAATCAGTAGCATGTCTATATGCCAAAAGTAAACAATCTGAAAAAGAAATTAAGAAAATAATCTCATTTACAATAGTTAGAACTATAATAAAATACCTAGGAATCAACTTAACCAAAGTAGTGAAATATCTCTACAGTGAAAACTATAATACACTGCTGCAAGAAATTGAAGAGGACACAAAAAAATGGAAAGATATTCCATGTTCAGGAATTGGAAGAATAAATATTGTTAAAATGTTCATACTACCTAAAGCAATCTACAGATTCAATTCAATCCCTATCAAAATACCAAAGACATTCTTCACAGAAGTAGAAAAAAAATCCTAAGATTTATATGGAAGCAAAAAAGGCACACAATAGCCAAATCTGTCCTAACCACAATTAACAAAACTGGAGGCATCACATTACCTGACTTCAAATTATACTACAAAGCTATAGCAACCAAAATAGCATGGTAGTGGCATAAAAACAGACAAATACACCAATGGAACAGAATAGACAACCCAGAAAAAAATCTACACATCCACAGTGAACTCATTTTTGACAAAGGTGCCGAAAACATATTTTGGGGAAAGGACAGTGTCTTCAATAAATGGTGCTGGGAAAACTGTATGTATATTCGTAAGCAGAAGAATGAAATTACACCCTTATCTTTCACCATATATAAAAATCAAATAAAAACAGAAGTCTTAAATCTAAGACCTCAAACTATGAAACTGCTAAAAGAAAACACTAGGGAAACTCTTTAGGACATTGGATGTGCAAAGATTTCTTGAGTAATACCCCACAAGCACAGACAATGAAAGGAAAAATGGACAAATGGAATCACATCAAGTTAAAAATCTTCTGTATAGGAAAGGAATCAATTAACAAAGTGAAGAAACAACCCACAGAATAGGAGAAAACATTTGCAAACTACCCATCTGACAAGGGACTAATAACCACAATATATAAGGAGCTCAAACAACTCTATAGGGAAAGAAATCTAATAATCTGATTTAAAAATAGATAAAAATCTGAATAGATGTTTCTCAAAAGAAGACATACAAATGGCAAACAAGCATATGAAAAGGTGCTCAATGTCATTGATAATCAGATAAATGCAAATCAAAACTACAGTGAGATATCAATTCACCTCCGTTAAAATGGCTTTTATCCAAAAGACAGGGAATAACAAATGATGAAGAGGATGTGAAGAAAGGAGAACCCTGTTATATTGTTGGTGTGGTGAAGGTCTTAGATATTAAATTTGGCAATAAAAAAGGAGAAGAAGGATTCCCTTCCAAGATGGCAGGTAGGAGACATGGCTACCATGCATCTTCCACTTAGACAGACCGAACAGCATGAGGAGATTCACACTGTGAACTTTTGCTCCAAGAACCACTGCAGAAATGTACCAGGAAAACAAAAGAATTCACAGATCCTTTGAAAGAAGTGTCATGCCACTGCAAACTCCATGAGACAGATGAAAAACTGTGAGTTCACAGTGTAAGGTGGGGGAGAACCTGCCTCAGAACACACATCCCCACTAGGGAATGTGAAAATCCAGTTCACGGGAGAAGGCTTTAGCCTTACCTAGAGCTTGAATGGATTTAGGGGGTGGTGTGAAATATAAAAGTAAAAGCAGCAGCAGGAAGAGTCTCTGTAATTGAGAGCTCCCCTAGCCACCCTCATCAAGGCTGGGACCTCGGCCCACCTTTGGATATTACATCTACCCACCTGCCTTAGCCACAACCAATGCCTACCCGGAGATACCTCCCCTATTGGCCTGAAGCCTGAATCATCAACTTTGTAAATAAAATACTGGGAGAGAATCACACAAATAAAGTGTACACCACAAGAGAATGAGATAAGCTTCAAGAGATCTCTGCCATTCCAACTCTATAGGAGACAATGAACTCACCCACATATCAAGAACATAACTACTACAACCAGCATCAGGGAAAGCCAGTGCACAAAGACTGTCTATAACTAAGAAACTCATACAAAGTCTTAACCCCTATAAGCACCAAGAATCAAATTAGGCTAAAATAAACATTAAAGTCCAGTCCTTAAGGAGGGGGCAAAGAAACTTAAATTTAAAAAAGCACAGTCAAATCAAAAATAAATTCAAGAATAATCTGAAGAAATAGTCTACCCAAATGACAAGGAACCAGAAAAGTAATTCTGTTAATATAACAAAACAGGATTCTATAATGCCTGTAAAATGCCACACTAACTCCCCAGCAATGGATCCAACCAAAGGAGAAATCTCTGAATTGCCAGATAAAGAATTCAGAAGGTTGATCATTAAGCTACTCAAGAAGATACCAGAAAAAGATGAAAACCAACTTAAAGAAATTACAAAAACAATACAGGATATGGATGAAAAATTTCCAGAGAAATAGATATTATAAAAAAAAACTTCTGGAAATGAAAGACACACTAAGGAAATAAAAATGCAGTGAAAAATTTTAACAATAGACTAGAACAAGTAGAAGAAAGAACATCAGAGCTCAAAGACAAGGCTTTTGAATTAACCCAAACAGAGAAAGACAAAGAACAAAGAATTTTAAAAAATGAACAAAGTATCCAAAAAATTAGGGATTATGTTAAATGGCCAAACCTAGTGTTCCTGAGGAAGAAGAGAAATCTAAAAGTTTGGAAAATTTATTTGAGAGAATGATTGAGATGAACTTTCCTGGCCTTGCTAGAGATCTAGACATCCAAATACAAGAAGCTCAAAAAACTCCTGATAAATCCGTCATAAAAATGGTTATTACCTAGGCACATAGTTATCAGGTTAACTAAAGTCAAGATGAAGAAAATAATCTTAAGAGCTGTGAGACAAAAGCATCAAGTAACCCATAAAAGAAAATCTATCAGATTAACAGCTGATTTCTCAGCAGAAATTTTACCAACCAGAGGAATCAGAGTCCTATCTCTAGCCTCTTAAACAAAATAATTGTCAGCTAAGAATTTTATATTCAGCAAAACTAAGCTTCATAAATGAAGAAGGGATAAAGACTTTGTTAGATAAACAAATGCTGAGAAAATTTGCCACTACCAAACCAACGCTATGGGAAATACTACAATAAGTTCTAAATCTTGGAGCAAAACTTCAAAATACACCAAAATAGAACCTCCTTAAGCACAAATCTCACAGGCCTATAAAATACTAATACAATGGAAAAAATAAGGTATTTAGTCAACAACTAACATGATGAATAGAACAATACCTCAAATCTCAATACTAACCTAAATGCTCCACTTAAAAGATACAGAATGGCAGAATGAATAAAAATCCACCAACCAAGTATTTGCTGTCTTCAAAAAACTCACCTAATACATGGCTCACATAAACTTAAGGTAAAGGTGTGGACAAATACTCTATGTGAATGGAAACCAAAAGCAAGTAGGAGTAGCTATTCTATTATATCAAACAAAACAGACTTCAAAACAACAGCAGCAAAAAAAAAAAAAAGACAAAGAAGGACATTATACAATGATAAAAGGAGTAGTCCCACAGGAAGATATCACAATCCTAAATATATACGCATCTAACACTGGAGCTCCCAAATTTATAAAACTAGACCTAAGAAATTAGATAGACACCAATACAATAATAGTGGGAGACTTCAATACTCCACTGACAGCACTAGATAGGTCATCAAGACAGAAAGTCAACAAAGAAACAATGGACTTAAACTATACCCTAGAACAAATGTACTCCACGGATATTTACAGAACATTCCAGCCAACAACTCCAGAATATACATTCTTCTCGTCAGCACATGGAATATTCTTCTCCAAGATAGACCATATAATAGGTCACAAGACAAGTCTCAATACATTTAAGAAAATCAAAATTATATCAGTTATCTTCTCAAACCACAGTAGAATAAAACTTGAAATGAACTCCAAAGGGAACCCTCAAAACTATACAAATACATGGAAATTAAATAATCTGCTCTTGAATGATCTTTTGGATTAACAGTGAAATCAAGATGGAAATTTTAAAATTCTTTGAATGGAACAATGATAGTGACACCAACTAATCAAAGCCTCTGGGATACAGCAAAAGCAGTGCTAAGAGGAAAGTTCATAGCATTAAATGCATACATCAAAAAGTCTGAAAGAATACAAATGGAAAACCTAATGTCACACCTCAAGGAACTAGAGAAACAAGAACAAACCAAACCAAAATCCAGCAGAAGAAAAGACATAAAAAAGATCAGACCAGTAAAGAGAATTGGGATTATGGAGGGTAGGAGACAGAACCAGCTTGCAGCTCTGACTTGGATGGACAGAGCAGCATGTGAAAGTTTGCATCATGAATTTTAGCTCCAGATCAACTGCAAGAACAAACCAGGAACCCCAAGAGGACCCACAGACCCTCTTAAGGAAGTAGACTGCTCCTGCAGGAACTGGGAGATACCCCAAATACTATGAGTGCCCCACCTGCAGAAGTGGAAAAGGAAGATCCTCCTCTCCCAAACACACAACCTCACTGGGGAAACTGAAAATCTGTTTGCAGGACAAGTTTCCGACCTTACCTGGAACTGAGTCAATTTAGAGAGCTGAGTGAAATACAGGGATAGAGGAAGCAGCAGGAAAGGCCCTGGGAGTTCACTGGGTCCCCAAGCTGGCCATTCCTGCCTGGTACCACACGGATTCATTGGGAGGGTGGTCAGAGGAGCAGGGGAAAATGTCACAGAGAGAAGGAAGTCTCCAGCTGAACTTTGTAACAATTTGAACTGGGCAAGAAGCCTCTTGGCCAGAACTCAGGGAAGAACATGAATCCAGTGGGCAGACTCCACAAGTGGGGGAAGAACCAAGCCATTTTCTTTAGCAGCTGGGAGGCAGGTAGCCTGGGGCAAGTTCTCAAGCCCCGTTCACCCACAGCCTGGAAATAAACTTGGTACTGTTATAGCGGATATGGTGGAAGTGAGACCAGCTCTTCGGTTCGTGTGGGAGCTGGGTGAGGCCAGTGACTGTTGGCTTTCCCCCACTTCCCTGACAACCTGCATGACTCAGCAGATGCATCCATAATTCTCCCAGGTACACAACTCCATTGACGTGGGAAGCTCACCTCTATCCCTCAAAGCAGCTGCTGCAAGCCCTGCCCAAGGAGAGTCTGAGCTCAGACATGCCTAGCCCTGCTCCCACCTGATGGGCCTTTCCTATCCACCCTGGTAGTTGAAGACAAAGGGCATATAATCTTGGGAGTTCTAGAGCTCCACCCACCACTGGTTCCTCTCCATACTACCACAGCTGATGCTCTCTGTTAAGTATCACCTACTGGCAAGAGGCCAACCAGCACAAAAATAGAGCATTAAACCACCAAAGCTAAGAACCCTCACAGAGTCTCCATTTCACCCCACTGCCACCTCCACTGGAACAGGTGCTGGTATCCATGGCTAAGAGACCCATAGACAGTTCACATCACAGGACTCTGTGCAGACAACCCCCAGTACCAGCCTGGAGCCAGGTAGACTTGCTAGGTGGCTAGACCCAGGAGAGACAACAATCACTGCAGCTCGGCTCACAGGAAGCCACAACCATAGGACAAGGAGGAGAGTACTACATCAAGGGAACATCCCATGAGACAAAAGAATCTGAACAACAGCCTTCAGCCCTAGACCTTCCCTCTGACAGAGGCTACCCAAATGAGAAGAAACTAGAAAACCAACTCTGGTAATATGACAAAACAAGGCTCTTTAACACCCCAAAAAATCACACTAGTTCACCAGCAGTGGATTCTAACCAAGAAGAAATCCCTGGTTTACCAGAAAGAAAGTTCAGGGGGTTATTAAGCTGATCAGGGAGGCACCAAAGAAAGGCAAAGCCCAATGCAAAGAAATCCAAAAAACAATATAAGAAGTGAAGGAGAAATATTCAAGGAAATAGCATAAAGAAAAACAAAACTTCAGGAAATATTGGACATACTTATAGAATTGCAAAATTATCTGGAAAGTCTCAGTAATAGAATTGAACAAGTAGAAGAAAGAAATTCAGAGCTCAAAGACAAGGTCTTCGAAGTAGCCCAAACCAACAAAGACAAAGAAAAAAGAATAAGAAAATATGAACGAAGCCTCCAAGAAGTCTGGGATTATGTTAAATGACCAAACCTTAGAATAACCAGTGTTCCTGAGGAAGAAGAGAAATCTAAAAGTTTGGAGAACATATTTGGGGGAATAATCAAAGAAAACTTCCCTGGCCTTGCTAGTCACCTAGACATCCAAATACAAGAAGCACAAAGAACACCTGGGAAATGCATCACAAAAAGGTTGCAATAGGCACATTGTCATCAGGTTATCTAAAGTTAAGATGAAGGAAAGAATCTTAAGAGCTGTGAGACAAAAGCACCAGGTAACCTACAAAGGAAAACCTCAGGTTAATGGCAGATTTCTCAGCAGAAGCCATGTAAGATAGAAGGGATTGGGCCCTATCTTGAGCCTCCTGAAACAAAATAATTATCAGCTGAGAATTTTGTATCCAGCAAAATTGAGCATCATATATGAAGGAAAGATACAGTCATTTTCAGACAAACAAATGCTGAGAGAATTCACCACTACAAATCCACCACTACAAGATCTGCTAAAAGGAGCTCTAAATCTTGAAATAAATCCTGGAAACACATCAGACCAGAACCTCTTCAAAGCATAAATCACACATGGCCTATAAAACAAAAATACAATTTAAAAAGCAAAAACTAAAATAAAAAAACAAGGTACACAGGCAACAGATAACATGATGAATGCAATGGTAGTTCACATCTCAATACTAACATTGAATGTAAATGGCCTAAATGCTCCACTTAAAAGATACAGAACTGCAGAATGGATAAGAACTCACCAACTATCTGCTGCCTTCAGGAGACCCACCTAATGTATAAGGACTCACATAAACTTAAAGTAGAAAGGTGGAAAAAGGCATTTCATGCAAATGGACACCAAAAGCGAGCAGGGTTAGCTATTCTTACATCAGACAAAACAAACTCTAAAGCAACAGTGGTTAAAAGAGACAAGGACATTATATAATGGTAAAAGGCCTTGTCCAACAGGAAAATATCACAATCCTAAACATGTATGTACCTAACACTGGAGCTCCCAAATTTATAAAACAATTACTAATAGATCTAAGAAATGAGGTAGACAACAACACGATAATAGTGGGGGACTTCAATACTCCACTGACAACACTAGACAAGTCATCAAGACAGAAAGGCAACAAAGAAACAATGGATTTAAACTATACCTTGGAACAATTGGACTTAACAGATATAGAATTCTACCAGACATTCAAAGAAGAATTGGTACCAATCCTTTTGACACTATTTCACAAGATAGAGAAAGAGGAAACCCTCCCTAATTTATTCTATGAAGCCAGCATCACCCTAATACCAAAACCAGGAAAGGACATAACCAAAAAAGAAAACTACAGACCAATATCCATGATGAACACAGATGCTAAAATCCTTAAATAAATACTAGCTAACTAAATCCAACAACATATCAAAAAGATAATCCACCATGATAAAGTGGGTTTCATACCAGGGATGCAGGGATGTTTTAACACATGCAAGTCAATAAATGTGTACACCGCATAAGCAGAATTAAAAACAAAAATCACATGATCATCTCAATAGATGCAGAGAAAGCATTCGACAAAATCCAGCAACACTTTATGATTACAACTGTCAGAAAAATCAGCATACAAGGGACATACCTCAATATAATAAAAGCCACCTATGACAAATCCACAGCCAACATAATACTGAATGGGGAAAAGTTGAAAGCATTCCCTCTGAGAACTGGAACAAGACAAGGATACCTACTTCCACCACTCCTTTTTGACATAGTGCTGGAAGTCCTAGCTAAAGCAATCAGACAAGAGAAAGAAATAAAGTGCATCCACATCGGTAAAGAGGAAGTCAAACTGTCACTGTTGGCTGATGATATGATTGTTTACCTAGAAAACCCTAAAGACTACTCCAGAAAGCTCCTAGAACTGGTAAAAGAATTCAGCAAAGTTTCTGGATACAAGATTAATGTACACAAATTAGTAGCCCTTCTATACACCAACAGCGACCAAGTGGAGAATCAAATCAAGAACTCAACCACTTTTACAAAGCTGCAAAAAAAAAAAAAAAAAGAAAGAAAAGAAAGAAAAGTAGTAATATACCTAACCAAGGAGGTGAAAAAGTTCTACAAGGAAAACTACAAAACACTGCCGAAAGAAATCATAGATGACACAAAGAAATGGAAACACATCCCATACATCCCATGCTGACAGATGG
Source organism: Homo sapiens (assembly GCF_000001405.40). NCBI lineage: Eukaryota > Metazoa > Chordata > Mammalia > Primates > Hominidae > Homo > Homo sapiens. The sequence continues at coordinate 100,688,530 of NC_000001.11, read as the reverse complement.
ATAGAATAAATATTGTGAACATACTGCCAAAAGCAATCTACGAATTCAATGCAATCACCATCAAAATATCATCATCATTCTTTACGGAATTAGAAAAAACAATTCTAAAATTTATATGGAACCAAAAAGGAGCCTGCATAGCCAAAGCAAGACTAAACAAAAAGAACAAATCTGGAGGCTTCACACTACCTGATTTCAAACTATACTATAAGGCCATAGTCACAAAAACAGCATGGTACTCGTATAAAAATAGACACATAGACCAATGGAACAGAATAGAGAACCCAGAAATAAACCCAAATACTTAAAGCCAACTGATCTTTGACAAAGCAAACAAAAACATAAAGTGGGAAAAGGATGCCCTTTTCAACAAATGGTGCTGAAATATTTGGCTAGCCACATGTAGGACAATGAAACTGGATTCTCATCTTTCACCTTATACAAGAATCAACTCAAGATGAATTAAGGATTTAAATTGAAGACCTGAGACTATAAACATTCTTGAAGATAACATTAGAAAAACCCTTCTAGACATTGGCTTGGGCAAGGATTTCATGATCAAGAACCCAAAAGCAAATGCAGTAAAAACAAAGATAAATAGTTGGGACTTAATTAAACTAAAGAACTTTTGCACAGCAAAAGGAACAGTCTGCATAGTAAAAAGACAATGCACAGAGTGGGAGAAAATCTTCTCAATCTATACATTTGACAAAGCACTACTATCCAGAATCTACAACTAACCCAAACAAGCCAGTAAGAAAAAAAACAAATAATCCCATCAAAAAGTGGTCTAAGGACATGAATAGGCAATTCTCAAAAGAAGATTTACAAATGGCCAACAAACATATGAAAAAATGCTCAACATCACTAACAGTCAGGAAAATGCAAATCAAAACCACATTGCAATACCACCTTAGTCCTGCAAGAATAGCCATAATCAAAAAATCAAAAAACAGTAGATGTTTGTGTGAGTGTGGTGATCAGGGAACACTTCTACAGTGCTGGTGGGAATGCAAACTAATACAGCCACTATGGAGAACAGTGTGGAGATTCCTTAAAGAACTAAAAGTAGAACTACCATTTGATCCAGCTATCCCACTACCCAGAGGAAAATAAATCCTTAAGTGAAAAAGATACTTGCACATGCATGTTTATAGCAGCACCATTCACAATTGCAAAATCGTGGAACCAGCCCAAATGCCCATCAATCAATGAGTGGATAAAAAAACTGGTGTGTGCATATATCTATGCATGTATATACACACATATACATATAGTATATATATACATATGCATATACATATAGTATATATGCACATGCATATGCATATACATATAGTATATATATGCATATGCATATAGTATATATGAATATGCATATAGTATATATACGCATATGCATATAGTATATATACGCATACGCATATAGTATATATACGCATATGCATATACATATGCATATAGTATATATACGCATATGCATATAGTATATATACACATATGCATATACATATGCATATAGTATATATATGCATATACATGTATATATATATAATCATATATGTGTGTATAGATACACATACACGCATATATGATGTATATATGTGTGTATATATATGTATATATACAAATACATATGTGGGATATTTGGCTAGCCACATGTAGGAGAATGAAACTGGATTCTCATCTTTCACCTTATACAAAAATCAACTCAAGATGAATTAAGGATTTAAATCGAAGACCTGAAACTACAAATATATGTGTATATATATAAATATATATATATGTGTGTGTGTGTGTACATATACACACACATATATACATACATATGTATATGTATGCACATATATATGTGTATACATACATATATATGTATACACACATATATATGATGAAATACTACTCAGCCATAAAAAGGAATGAATTAACAGCATTCGCAGCGACCTGGAAGAGATTGGAGACTACTATTCTAAGTGAAGTAACTTAGGAATGGAAAACCAAACATCGTATGTTCTCACTGATATGTGGGAGCTAAGCTATGAGGATTCAAAGGCATAAGAATGATACAATGGACTTTGGGGACTTGGCGGGAAGGGTGGGAGGGGGGTGAGGGATGAAAGACCACAAATAAGGTGCTGTATATACTGCTCTGTGATGGGTGCACCAAAATCTCACAAATCACCACTAAATAACTTACTCATGTAACCAAATACCACCTGTACCCCAATATCCTATGGAAAAAATTTTTAAAAATATTTGAAAAAGATCAGAGCAGAACTAAATGAAATTGAAACAAAAAAATACAAAAGATAAATGAAACAAAAAGCTGGTTCTTTGAAAAGATAAACAAAATTGATAGACCATTAGTGAGATTAATAAATTTGTTCTCTGATTCTCATTTCCCAATTTTTGAAATAAATATTTAAAAATACCTGCTGTGTCAATTTCACCAGACTGGTAACTCTCAAATAAGAAAATGTATGTAAAAGTGTTTGATAAAAGGTGTTTAAAGTATTATTGTTGTTCTTATCATTATATCAGCAATTTGCTCACTGTTTAGCTGTACTTCTCTAAAAATTGCAACACAAAGATGTCCTTTAGTAGGTGAATGGATAACTGTGGTATATCTAGACAATGAAATATTATTCAACACTAAAAATAAATGAGTTATCAAGCCATGAAAAGACCTGGAAGCAACTTAAATGCATATTACTAAGTGAAAGAAGCCAGTCTGAAAGGGCTATGTACTGTCTGATTCTAAATGTATGACATTCTGGAAATGGCACAACTATGGAGACAAGAAAAAGATCAGCAGTTACCGGGGGTTAGTGGGCAGGGATAATGAACAAGCAGAACACAGAGAACTTTCAGGGCAGTGAAAGAGTGAATCTTAATGTAAACTATGAATTTGGGGTAATAATGAAGTATCAATGTAGGTTCATCAATTGTAACAAAGGGGCTACTTTGATAGCGGATATTGATAATGGGAAAGATTATGCATATGTGGGGTATATAGGATATCTCTATACCTTCCTCTCAATTTTGCTGTGAACTTAACACTGCTCTAAAAAGGGTTTTTTTAGAAAAGAACAATTTCATTATTTGCTCAGTAGTCATTCAGGAGCAGGTTGTTCAGTTTCCATGTAGTTGTGCAGTACTATTCACAATAGCAAAGACTTGGAACCAACCTAAATGTCCATCAATGATAGACTAGATAAAGAAAATGTGGCACATATACACCATGGAATACTATGCAACCATAAAAAAGGATGAGTTCATGTCCTTTGCAGCGACATGGATGAAGCTGGAAACCATCATTCTCAGCAAACTAACACAGGAACAGAAAAACAATCACCACACGTTCTCACTCATAAGTGGGAGTTGAACAATGAGAACACATGGACACAAGGAGGGGAACATCACACACTGGGGCCTGTTGGGGACTAGGGGGCTAGGGGAGGGATAGCATTAGGAGAAATACCTAATGTAGATTACTGGTTGATGGATGCAGCAAACCACCATGGCACATGTATACCTATGTAACAAACCTGCACGTTCTGCACATGTATTCCAGAACTTAAAGTATAATGACAAATAAAGAACACTTTAATATAATAAAACTATCATATACATATATTGAATACGTATATTTTCCCATTATTTTTCACCACGTGAAAAGTTAGGTATTAATATTTCCAGTTTAAAGATAATGATGCTGTGGTTCGTAGAGACCACAGAACTTCACCAGGAGTGCCCAGTTTGAAAATTAGATCTAGTGTTGAACTCATATATTCCTGACACTGATACTAAAATACACTATATTCACTAAGTGAAATATATGTAATATACTATATTCACTAAGTGAAATATATATAGTAAATATTCTAACCAAATAATGAGTAAACACACTGAAAAGAGTTAAAGCTAGCAAAGGAAATGGCCCCTTAGTCCTTAAGGAGGAGTGTAGGGTGTAAGGAAGTAATTAGAGAAGCAGTCAGCTTTCATTGCACCTCAGAACCTGAGAGAAACTGCAGAGTCTTAAACAGTAATGAGGCATCTGGTTCCAAGTCCTTAGCCAGTGGTCACTAAGCATGGCACAGAAAGCCCATGTACCATCAGCCATCCCATACAATGATCTATTTCAGAAGAAATGTATGCAGATAACTTTTTCTTCCTCACATGGAGATTTCTAAGAAAGCACAAAATGAAGCCAGATGCTGAAATGAAGGAACAGCCTTTCTCAGCAAGATTGGAACCAGCTCAATCTTCTAGGCCCTGGGCTCTGTTCACTGGGTTTATCAAGAGCATCCAGGAACCTGTGCCTTTCTCAGCAGGGAAGAGCAATCAATCCATGTGCAATGGAGACAAGATGATCAGAAGAGTCTCAGTGGTCCCCTTGCTTTAAAGATAACCCAAGACATCAGTCAAGTACTTTCACTCAGTGTCAGCGAAAGGCAAGACTTAGTTAAAATTGTGAGGAAGCCACTGTAGATCCTCCGTGTGCCCCTCATCCCATGTTTCAGATTCTTCTTGCTGGGAAAGTCCCATTTCCCCTTCCCCTTGCTGGCCAGCTTTCTCCAGCTTCCTCTTTGCTCCAGAAGCATATATTTTTTTAACCATTTACACCTCAGGGTAAAAACAAAAGGCTTTGTTCTGGGGTACACTTGCTTTTGAATCTTCATCTCTAATTGGTGACTGAGAGACACAGTCACCTCCTCAAGGCAACTGTGGGAAGAGAGAGGAGGAGATTTGTGCAGAAGAAGCTAAAGGTCCTTCCCAGGCCTATGAAGTCTCAGGGCTGAGGCCACTTACTCCTAAGCTGCAGGACAAAGTGGGCAATTCCCCTTTCACTCATCAGCTGTCAGCTCCAAATTACACCATTTACTAGCTGAGGATTTTGAGGAAGGAAATTTTTTGGCTACCTGGTCAGTGGGGGAAAAAAAGTCCCATTGAAGTAGGTGGGTTGTTTACTAGCCACAAGAGGAAATTAAAATCTGTTGCTACTGAAACATGAAGCTGTGCTATTTTTAGGCCAGAATTAATGAAAGCAGAAGTAGAAGAAAAACCAACACAAATTATTAGATTTTATAATTAAATAAAATATTTCAACCTTAGACCTTTCTGCAGAAGCTAAGACTTGAGAATAAAAGCAGTCTGAGCCCTTTTTTTTTAAACTTTTAACCATAAAAGTAGAAATTATTTGGTTAATGGATTCCTCAAGAACAGAAAGTGCAGTAGGGGTAAGGAGGGAGATGAGGGACTCTTTCTTTTACCTACTAGCATGCAGTGGCCTTGAATGCAAAGATTGTGTATTATTCACCTTCGTATAATCAGTGTTTGGCATATAGGGGCTCATGGATATTGCAAAGGTTTTAACTTGGTTGTCAACTACAGTCTATTCATAGTTACTACGGGGTGTTCTGTGTTGAGGATTCCAAGGCTCAGAGGAAAACAATGCTGCAATCTATTAGTGCCGTCTTCCATGGAACGGGGGGCAGAGGGTGGAGGATGGGGCTGCAGAATTTACCATCCCTTTAGTGAAGAGTGAATAAATTTGCTTTTGGTAGGGAAGGATGTGAAGAAAATTTTAGCAATGTAAGAATTTATGTTTAGGGGACTTCTCTGCAGAAATAAATAATCATCTGGCAATGCTATCTCAGCGTCTGACCAATTCTTGTCCCCACCTCCAAAAAAGAAAAACCTCAGGCAGGGGAGTCAACATTTCTGTTCATTAGTGAGCCACAGGACCAAAGCTAAGTGTCATCTGCACAGGTGTTTATTTGATAACCAGGGAGTACGGCTAGAAGACCAGAGCTAGTAGCGGGACCTAAAGTGAATAAAGAGCGCAGAAAGGTTTTATTCATAGCTATCTTGTTTTGGTTATAAATCCTCAATAAGACCATAGTGTTATAATGAAAGTTTAGTGGAATTAAACTTCGGCATCTCAAAATTATGTTATAGAGCCAAGATGGCCAAATAGGAACAGCTCTGGTCTACGGCTCCCAGCGTGAGCGACGCAGAAGACGGGTGAGCGACGCAGAAGACGGGTGACTTCCGCATTTCCATCTGAGCTTTGAAGAGAGCAGTGGTTCTCCCAGCACGCAGCTGGAGATCTGAGAACGGGCAGACTGCCTCCTGAAGTGGGTCCCTGACCCCTGACCCCAGAGAAGCCTAACTGGGAGGCACCCCCAGTAAGGACAGACTGACACCTCACATGGCCAGGTACTCCTCTGAGACAAAACTTCCAGAGGAATGATCAGACAGCAGCATTCGTGGTTCATGAAAATCCGCAGTTCTGCAGCCACCACTGCTGTTACCCATGCAAACAGGGTCTGGAGTGGTCCTCTAGCAAACTCCAACAGACCTGCAGCTGAGGGTGCTGTCTGTTAGAAGGAAAACTAACAAACAGAAAGGACATCCACACCAAAAACCCATCTGTACATCACCATCATCAAAGACCAAAAGTAGATAAAACCACAAAGACAGGGAAAAAAACAGAGCAGAAAAACTGGAAACTCTAAAAAGCAGAGTGGCTCTCCTCCTCCAAAGGAACGCAGTTCCTCACCAGCAACGGAACAAAGCTGGATGGAGAATGACTTTGATGAGTTGAGAGAAGAAGTCTTCAGACGATCAAACTACTCCGAGCTACAGGAGGAAATTCAAACCAAAGGCAAAGAAGTTGAAAACTTTGAAAAAAATTTAGACGAATGTATAACTAGAATAACCAATACAGAGAAGTGCTTAAAGGAGCTGATGGAGCTGAAAGCCAAGGCTCGAGAACTACGTGAAGAATGCAGAAGCCTCAGGAGCCGATGCGATCAACTGGAAGAAAGGGTATCAGTGATGGAAGATGAAATGAATGAAATGAAGTGAGAAGGGAAGTTTAGAGAAAAAAGAATACAAAGAAATGAACAAAGCCTCCAAGAAATATGGGACTATGTGAAAAGATCAAATCTACGTCTGATTGGTGTACCTGAAAGTGACGGGGAGAATGGAACCAAGTTGGAAAACACTCTGCAGGATATTATCCAGGAGAACTTCCCCAGTCTAGCAAGGCAGGCCAACATTCAGATTCAGGAAATACAGAGAACGCCACAAAGATACTCCTCGAGAAAAGCAACTCCAAGACACATAATTGTCAGATTCACCAAAGTTGAAATGAAGGAAAAAATGTTAAGGGCAGCCAGAGAGAAAGGTCGGGTTACCCACAAAGGGAAGCCCATCAGACTAACAGCAGATCTCTCAGCAAAAACCCTGCAAGCCAGAAGAGAGTGGGGGCCAATATTCAACATTCTTAAAGAAAAGAATTTTCAACTCAGAATTTCATTTCCAGCCAAACTAAGCTTCATAAGTGAAGGAGAAATAAAATCCTTTACAGACAAGCAAATGCTGAGAGATTTTGTCACCACCAGGCCTGCCCTAAAAGAGCTTCTGAAGGAAGCGCTAAACATGGAAAGGAACAACTGGTACCAGCCACTGCAAAATCATGCCAAATTGTAAAGACCATCAAGGCTAGGAAGAAACTGCATCAACTAATGAGCAAAATAACCAGCTAACATCATAATGACAGGATCAAATTCACACATAACAATATTAACTTTAAATGTAAATGGACTAAATGCTCCAATTAAAAGACACAGACTGGCAAATTGGATAAAGAGTCAAGACCCATCAGTGTGCTGTATTCAGGAAACCCATCTCACGTGCAGAGACACACATAGGCTCGAAATAAAGGGATGGAGGAAGATCTACCAAGCAAATGGAAAACAAAAAAAGGCAGAGGTTGCAATCCTAGTCTCTGATTAAACAGACTTTAAACCAACAAAGATCAAAAGAGACAAAGAAGGCCATTCCATAATGGTAAAGGGATCAACTCAACAAGAAGAGCTAACTATCCTAAATATATATGCACACAATACAGGAGCACCCAGTTTCATAAAGCAAGTCCTGAGTGACCTACAAAGAGACTTAGACTCCCACACAATAATAATGGGAGACTTTAACACCCCACTGTCAACATTAAACAGATCAACGAGACAGAAAGTTAATAAGGATACCCAGGAATTGAACTCAGCTCTGTACCAAGTGGACCTAATAGACATCTACAGAACTCTCCACCCCAAATCAACAGAATATACATTTTTTTCAGCACCACACCACACCTATTCCAAAATTGACCACATACTTGGAAGTAAAGCTCTCCTCAGCAAATGGAAAAGAACAGAAATTATAACAAACTGTCTCTCAGACGACCATGCAATCAAACTAGAACTCAGGATTAAGAAACTCACTCAAAACCGCTCAGTTACATGGAAACTGAACAACCTGCTCCTGAATGACTACTGGGTACGTAACGAAATGAAGCAGAAATAAAGATGTTCTTTGAAACCACGAGAACTAAGACACAACATACCAGAATCTCTGGGACACATTCAAAGCAGTGTGTAGAGGGAAATTTATAGCACTAAATGCCCACAAGAGAAAGCAGGAAAGATCCAAAATTGACACCCTAACATCACAATTAAAAGAACTAGAAAAGCAAGAGCAAACACATTCAAAAGCTAGCAGAAGGCAAGAACTAATTAAAAACAGAGCAGAACTGAAGGAAATAGAGACACAAAAAACCCTTCAAAAAATTAATGAATCCAGGAGCTGGTTTTTTGAAAGGATCAACAAAATTGATAGACCGCTAGCAAAACTAATAAAGAAGAAAAGAGAGAAGAATCAAATAGACGCAATAAAAAATGATAAAGGGGATATCACCACTGATCCCACAGAAATACAAACTACCATCAGAGAATATTACAAACACCTCTATGCAAATAAACTAGAAAATCTAGAAGAAATGGATACATTCCTCGACACATACACATTTCCAAGACTAAACCAGGAAGAATTTGACTCTCTGAATAGACCAATAACAGGCTCTGAAATTGTGGCAATAATCAATAGCTTACCAACCAAAAAGAGTCCAGGACCAGACGGATTCACAGCCAAATTCTACCAGAGGTACAAGGAGGAATTGTTACCATTCCTTCTGAAACTATTCCAATCAATAGAAAAAGAGGGAATCCTCCCTAACTCATTTTATGAGCCCAGCATCATCCTGATACCAAAGCTGGGCAGAGACACAACCAAAAAAGAGAATTTTAGACCAATATCCTTGATGAACATTAATGCAAAAATCCTCAATAAAATACTGGCAAACCAAATCCAGCAGCACATCAAAAACTTATCCACCATGATCAAGTGGACTTCATCCCTGGCATGCAAGGCTGGTTCAATATATGCAAATCAATAAATATAATCCAGCATATAAACAGAACCAAAGACAAAAACCACATGATTATCTCAATAGATGCAGAAAAGGCCTTTGACAAAATTCAACAACTCTTCATGCTAAAAACTCTCAATAAATTAGGTATTGATGGGACATATCTCAAAATAATAGGAGCTATCTATGACAAACACACAGCCAATATCATACTGAATGGGCAAAAACTGGAAGCATTCCCTTTGAAAACGGGCACAAGACAGGGATGCCCTCTCTCACCACTCCTATTCAACATAGTGTTGGAAGTTCTGGCCAGGGCCATTAGGCAGGAGAAGGAAATAAAGGGTATTCAATTAGGAAAAGAGGAAGTCAAATTGTCCCTGTTTGCAGATGACATGATTGTATTATCTAGAAAACCCCATTGTCTCAGCCCAAAATCTCCTTAAGCTGATAAGCAACTTCAGCAAAGGCTCAGGATACAAAATTGATGTGCAAAAATCACAAGCATTCTTATACACCAATAGCAGACAAACAGAGAGCCAAATCATGAGGGAACTCCCATTCAAAATTGCTTCAAAGAGAATAAAATACCTAGAAATCCAACTTACAAGGGATGTGAAGGACCTCTTCAAGAAGAACTACAAAACACTGCTCAATGAAATAAAAAAGGATACAAACAAATGGAAGAACATTCCATGCTCATGGTTAGGAAGAATCAATATCGTGAAAATGGCCATACTGCCCAAGGTAATTTATAGATTCAATGCCATCCCCATCAAGCTACCAATGACTTTTTTCACAGAATTGGAAAAAACTACTTTAAAGTTCATATGGAACCAAAAAAGAGCCCATATCGCCAAGTCAATCCTAAACCAAAAGAACAAAGCTGGAGGCATCAGGCTACCTGACTTCAAACTATACTACAAGGCTACAGTAACCAAAACAGCATGGTACTTGTACCAAAACAGAGATATAGACCAATGGAACAGAACAGAGCCCTCAGAAATAACGTCGCATATCTACAACTGTCTGATCTTTGACAAACCTGACAGAAACAAGAAATGGGGAAAGGATTCCCTATTTAATAAATGGTGCTGGGAAAACTGACTAGCCATATGTAGAAAGCTGAAACTGGATCCCTTCCTTACACCTTATACAAAAATTAATTCAAGATGAATTAAAGACTTAAACGTTAGACCTAAAACCATAAAAACCCTAGAAGAAAACCTAGGCAATACCATTCAGGACATAGGCATGGGCAAGGACTTCATGTCTAAAACACCAAAAGCAATGGCAACAAAAGCCAAAATTGACAAATGGGATCGAATTAAACTAAAGAGCTTCTGCACAGCAAAAGAAACTACCATCAGAGTGAACAGGCAACCTACAGAATGGGAGAAAATGTTTACAATCTATCCATCTGACAAAGGGCTAATATCCAGAATCTACAATGAACTCAAACAGATTTACAAGAAAAAAACAAACAACCCCATCAAAAAGTGGGCGAAGGACATGAACAGACACTTCTCAAAAGAAGACATTTATGCAGCCAAAAAACACATGAAAAAATGCTCACCATCACTGGCTGTCAGAGAAATGCAAATCAAAACCACAATGAAATGCCATCTCACACCAGTTAGAATGGCAATCATTAAAAAATCAGGTAACAACAGGTGCTGGAGAGCATGTGGAGAAATAGGAACACTTTGACACTGTTGGTGGGACTGTAAACTAGTTCAACCATTGTGGAAGTCGGTGTGGTGATTCCTCAGGGATCTAGAACTAGAAATACCATTTGACCCAGCCATCCCATTACTGGATATATACCCAAAGGACTATAAATCATGCTGCTATAAAGACACATGCACACGTATGTTTATTGCGGCACTATTCACAAGAGCAAAGACTTGGAACCAACCCAAATGTCCGACAATGATAGACTGGATTAAGAAAATGTGGCACATATACATCATGGAATACTATGCAGCCATAAAAAAGGGTGAGTTCATGTCCTTTGTAGGGACATGGATGAAACTGGAAATCATCATTCTCAGTAAACTATCACAAGAACAAAAAACCAAACACTGCATATTCTCACTCATAGGTGGGAATTGAACAATGAGAACACATGGACACAGGAAGGGGAACATCACACTCTGGGGACTGTTGTGGGGTGGGGGGAGGGGGGAGGGATAGCATTAGGAGATATACCTAATGCTAAATGATGAGTCAATGGGTGCAGCACACCATCATGGCACTTGTATACATATGTAACTAACCTGCACATTGTGCACATGTACCCTAAAACTTAAAGTATAATAATAATAAAATAAAATAAAAATTTAAAAAAAGAAAATAACAAAAAAAAATATGTTATAAATTGCATTCACCTTCAATCAAAAGGGCCTGACAACTGAAGGCTGTCAATTAAACAATAGCAGTGGCAGCAGATAATGGTGCACGTCAAGTGTGCGGACCAAAAATTTTGAATGGCAAAGAGATTTCCAAGACAAGAACAACTTGGTTTATTCTTCTTCTAAGATCACTCCAGTTACAAAGTAAACTCACTGTAAGACATTTAATTTCTTTTTCCTAACAAAAGGATGATTGATAGCACCCAAATGAACAAGGGAATTCAGGAAGAGGAAACGATAAATGAGCCTTCCTCTGCTCAAAGGAGATATTTAAACTCTTGAGTTTAGCCCACAGGATGGGCCTGTTTCCCATCTCTATACACATACTGCAGTCTTGGAGTCCAGTAGGGAGCAATTGCCAATGATCTCCATATGCATTAGACATGAAGCACTGTGAAGCTGCCAAACACTTTCAGTGTAACAGGCATATACACCTTCCTTCAAAATGATAGTGCTATAAAAACCATTCTCACACGGTCATGGAGCCTTTGTTAAATGCTAGAAAACCGTAAACTTTTCTGCCTCTCAACCACTTTCTAGATTTGGAGAGGAAGAAAAAACAAAAAGAAACAGATAATGAGGAGTAGGAAACTTGTCAGGAAAGATTTCATAGAAGGGATAACCCTTGAGCTGAGACTTGCAAGGTGAGTAAATATTCTCCTGGAATTTTGGAAGAAAGGACAATCTGAGCAAAGATTTGGAGGTGAGAAACAGCCAGACATATAAGATTCACATCTTCCACATTATTTTCATTCTCTGGCATAAGCTTATAATTTGGGATGAAGGCATTATAACCTGCTCTATTTAAATGGTTTTTCTCACCTACTTGCTTCCCAGTGGCTGGTCAGACAGATCGATTCTAAGAATATCCACCCTCAGCAAAGAGAAGCCTCAGAGTTTTAATGGAAGAGATAACATGATCAGAGTTGTGCTTTAGAAAGATCACTCGGGCAGCAGTGAGGAGGATGAAGGGGAGAAAGACAATTTGGAGTGAAATGAAATAGCCCAAAACATAGCAAGAAAAGTTGGTAGCCTGAACTAAGATTATGCAGGGAACTTGAGTAGGCTGATTATTCCTCTTTCCTGCAAACTGATGTTTTTAAAATATTTGCTCAACATTTGTTCATAGAAGGAGCTGGTTGCTAGTCCCCACACACAAAATCAGAGCTCTACATTATCCAGAACCCATTTGCTTCCTAATGCAGTTTAGTAACTGTTGGCTGCAACTGAAGCAGGCCCCATGAAGGTTTCAGCCCTCACCCAAAGGCTTTTCAGTGTACTTCTTTCAATCAATGCAGTATCCTCCTTTGAAGGCTATTGGTATATACAAGAGGTACAATGGTCTGTAAGCACCACTTATAGATTAGCATCCCAAGCTCCTAGCTGGCACGACCTTACCCCTTGGTCTGCCTTTGCTTGAATTAAAGCATAAAGAACATTTGGCCAGGTGCGGTGGCTCACGCCTGTAATCCCAGCACTTTGGGAGGCCAAGGCGAGCGGATCACAAGGTCAGGAGATTGAGGCCATCTTGGCCAACATGGTGAAACCCCATCTCTACTAAAAATACAAAAATTAGCTGGGCGTGGTGGTGCATGCCTATAGTCCCAGCTACTTGGGAGGCTGAGGCAGGAGAATCGCTTGAACCCAAGAGGCAGAGGTTGCAGCAAGACGAGATCACACCAGTGCACTCCAGCCTGGGGACAGAATGAGACTCTGTCTCAAAAAAAAAAGAAAAAAAGAAAAAAAAAGAACATTTAGGTAGGAGAAAATTGATACAGGCACTATTTTAAAAAGTATGATCTATATGGCCCAGTGACTATAAAGCAGGAGATAAGGCAGAGGAAAGCAAAGTCAGCAATGGACACTGAGAAAGAAGAATTGGAAAATAGAAGAAACTTGAAACAGATGGACTTGAAAGTTGCATTAGACAGGATTGATTAATCGCTCCCAAATCTCAATGGCTTAACATATAAAATTCTCACTTATACAAAATCCAATGTAATTCCTAGTAGGAAGGGCTTCTTGAGAGGCTCCCCTCAAAGTGATGACTCATAGACCCAGACTCCTTCCACCTTGTGGCTCTGCCATCTCATGGTTTCAAAGTTGTCCAGGTACCACCCTGTCAGCAGATGTTTAGAGTATCATGCATACTCAGATACAATGCACACACTTCCTCTCACATTCCATGGGCAGCTGCTTGTCATGAAACCCACCTAGACATACGAGGGAGTCAGAAAGTTAGTCCCTGTCTGGGCACTGCTGTCCAACAACTCTACACCGTGGAGGGGATCACAAATTTGGTCATCACCCAGCCGACTCTGTCACAGAGTCGAGGGAAGAGAAAGTTTCAACACATGAGTGACTATTACATTTAAAATTTTATAATTCAACAAATGAATGGATAAACAAAATGCAGTCTACACACAATATGCAATATTATTCAGCCTTAAAAAGGAAGGAAATTCTGACACATACTAAAACATGAATGAATCTTGAAGAATTGTGCTAAATGAAACAAGCTAGTCACAAAAAGACAAATATTGTATGATTTCACTTATATAAGGTACATAGAGTAGTCAAATTTAGGGAGACAGAAAGTAGAATGGTGGTCAACAGGGGAAAGGGGGTGAGGGAATAGGGAGTTATTGTTTAATAAGTACAGAGTTTCAGTTGAGGAATATGAAAAAGTTCTGGAGATGGATGGTGGGGATGGTTGCACAACCAAGTGAACGCACTTAATGTCACAGAACTGTACATTAAGATGGTAGAAATGGTAAACTTCACATGTATATTTATCATAATGAATTTTTAAAAACTTTTTATGAAAATGTTTAGCCCTCTGTTACAATATCTACTATCTAATATTTATTGGCCATAAATCCTTCCAGGATAGGGTCATACCTAAATAGATAATACCTAACTTTTTAATTTTTTCATATGTTATCTGCTTTAACTAAATGAATAGTCACAGAATAATTTGTCTCCAACTTGATTTCCAACTCTTGTGGAGACTAAATACCACAGGTTTTCAGGTCTAGATGTAAAAGACAACTGGATTTCTTTAAAGCTTTGCCTTGTTCCGTCATGCCTGGATTAAATACCCCAAATTCTTGACAAGTTGGTCCAGCACAAAAAAAGTAGATCAGAATGTCAGTGGAAGAAAAGCATGGGAGCAGATCATATATACACAATATCACACTTCTTTTTCTCATATATATGATATATATTTACTTAATACATGTATCACTTAAAAAGTTAACTGTAATCTACTGTAAGCATTGTGATTACAAGAGCTGGTTGCTTTATTCTGTATATTTGCCTTCTATTTCCAAAATGTATTTCATATGTGTATATTACCTTTCCAATCCACTTGTCTAAAAAGCTGTTAGGTTGCTGCAAAAGTAATTATGGGTTTTGCCATTAAAAGTAATAGCAAAAACTGCAATTACTTTTGTACCAACCTAATGTATAGTGCTCAGGCTTTCAGACTGTTGGTATTGTTAATGCTGGGGAAAAACTTTTAGCATATACATAAGGGTTGATCTCTGAGATACATCTTTCCTCCAGAGATTTTCTATCTAAAAAAATTTTAAGTATATTTGATGCCTTCTAACCTGTGCCTGCTTAATCCTTCTATAGGCTTAGTTGACCACTGTAATTTAACATTTTTCAGAGGAATAGAAGACCTCTTACTAAGAAACATGCCACATAAACAACTTTTTTAGTGATTTTAACCTTTCTAACAAATATTTCTGTTATAGAGGGGACAGAGGAAGTGACAGGATGTCCAAGTAAAATATGCAACGATGGCAAGAAATACATTTATGAAACTCTCCCCAAAGTCCTGACAAACACAATATTTGTATTCTTCAACATTTTCGCCCTTCATTCCTCTGACTCTTTTGTTTTGATTTCCTTATTTGTCTGTTCTTCTTTAGCCATCTCTGCAGCATCTTTTCAGAGAGTCATTGGGCAAAAGGGAACATGAACTCAATGCTCCTCTCCTAAAAACAAAAGTGCCTGGTATTAAGTAAGCACTTAATAACTCAAAAAAACACAAAAAACAAAAACAAAAACAGAGCCAAGACTGAAGACTACAAAGGCAGCCATTACAGTAGCAATGTAGAGATTAGCTGTTCAGTAGACTCCTCTTTCAGAGAGACTTCAATGGGACCAAATTTGTAGAACCTTAAGGAGGAGCTGAAACAGAGTAATTCATTTTTATTACCATCCTTTGAGTAAGGGAAAAAAATTATAAATTTAATAAGACTTTTTGTTTTATACATTTTTTAAACACTAAAGTTCATATAATTGGAATACAAAACTTCTTTGGGTTCTTGTCGGATTTGATCACAACTTTTTCTTTAATTGTTTCTTACATAAGCATTGTAGCTTATATAATCCAAAGTGACTTATAGTCCTGGAGTAGCAGAATCATGTTTTGTCACTTTTCTTATATCATGGTCAGAGTTAAGCACTTTTCCAGGTACTGGTAGTTGCTTTATACATACATATCAATTCATT
This sequence comes from Homo sapiens, assembly GCF_000001405.40. Lineage (NCBI taxonomy): Eukaryota > Metazoa > Chordata > Mammalia > Primates > Hominidae > Homo > Homo sapiens. Next base: position 100,672,318 of record NC_000001.11, on the reverse strand, counting down.
TTTAATCAAAGAAATAAATGTGCTTGTAAAAGAAAAACAAAAATATTTTTAAAGCCTAAAAGACTTTTGTAGAAAAATAACACAGTTCTGTTTGAACATCCCCTATTCCCTACCCACCCTTGACTGAGGCAACTACTTTGAGTTCTTACAGCCATTTCTTCTAGTATTTCTTTCTATATTACTTTCCAATATGTGTGTTATTTCTTGATTTATTAAATATACATCTTCTCTATTGATTTTTTTTGCATTTAATGCCCTTACACCATCATTGCTCACACACTCAGTTCCCCTGTCCCCTTATCCCAATAAAGCCATATCATGATTTATGGTAAAGTAAATAATCAATAGTTGTACTACAATAATGATGTAAGTGTTATTCACTGCTGAGCCAAACAGTATGTAAGAATTATACTTTCCTTTATCAACAGCCTGTTTTGTTTTTTTTTATTTTCAAAGTTTTCTCCATGACTAATTATTCCATCACATCTGGGATGTGTTTGTCCATATTATTTTTCAAGAGCCTTTTTCTTTCTTTCCCCTAGAGCTCTCCCTTCTGGGCTTTTGCATGCTGTAGCAGTTTTCATTCTGATACTTCCTTCCCTTGGCTACTGTTCCTTAGCTAGCCATTTCCCAAGCCTTGTCTTTCTCTTCCTTGTTTTACATATTCCCCAAAAGCTTTCTGTGACAGGATGCATGGGAGTTACATTTTTTTTAGCTCTTGTATGTGCAAAAATGGATTGTTTTCCACACTTGATACCTGAGTATGAATGAACCAATGAATGGATATGGACATAGCATGTGTAAAGGCCCAGAGGAAAGAAAGCATTGGACATTTGTGGAATGGCGAAAGAGAAGAATAACAGGCTTGTATCAACTGAACAAACAATAAGAAAGTGGACTGCACCATTATTTTCATAAGAAGGCTATTTAAAAATGAGAGCAAAAGAAATAACTTTGCTTGAATATTATTTCAATAAATTACAAAAGCTAAGGATCCTCTAGAAGAGCACAGGGTTGTCTTATCTACATAGCTGCACTGAGTTACAGACAATATCATCAATGATTTTATAATCTATATTTTAAAATTCTAACAGCAGCAAGATGTTGCGAGGAAAAATTATTCACAGATACCTTTTCCTTCTGGCTTCTAGCAATTTCTCCTATAATATCTATGTGAGGTCATTGAGGCTATTAGGTCATATGGTAGTTTCCAAACTTGACTGGGCATCAGAATTACCAGGGGGAGCTTTAAAAAAAAAAAAAGAAAAGAAAAAAAAATCAAGTTCCAGTTCTTACTCCAGATCTACAGACTGAGAAGCTCATTTGGCTAGAGTTTGGGAGTAGGAATAGGGGATAAGTGGGAAAGGATCTGAGATGTTTGTGGGATTGCCAGTGAATGGAAGCTCACCTCTCTTGCACAGTCTCAGAGTCCAGCAACCCTGAATACGTTATTCAGGGGCAGAGGCTATGCCTTGTACAGCACTGTATCCAATGCCCAGAACTCTCTCTGGCCAAAGGCACACACTCAATAAACTTATGCTAAATTAAAAAAGGGTTGACACTCTTCACCTTAAACTGTAAATGCTGATTATATACCTGCTCCCACATCCTGCCATCCCTAACGAGCCTGCAAGATGCTTAAGTTCCTGAACAATATCCTTTATATTAGCACACCAAAGTAAAATACAAAAAGTGTAAATACATGCAAGCAATAAATATAATAAGGAAGTTATTGAAATATATAAGAAATATAGTACATAAACTATCAATTTTAACTAGATTTATTTCTGATATCAAAGCCATAAGCCAAGGCCTGTTGTGTTTTTGTTTGTTTGTTTGTTTTAAGAAAATGTAAGAGAAAATAAAATGTCAAGACTGGAGATAAGATTGAGAGGTCGAGAGAAAGAATCAAAGACCTCCAGAAAACTGCTCCATGCTGAAGCACTATTGCATTGGACAGAGGAAGAGTCCTGTTAAAAGGAGATTTTGCAATGTTTTTATTATACAACTGTTCCATAGCAGCATATAGTCTCTGTTGGATTTTTGAATAAATAAATGTTTATATGATGTGAACTGTATCCAACTATTATTTGCAAGAGATAATAAATAAAGAGCTGACTAATACCATCTTTAGCAAGGACATGAAAACTTCCTCATCCAGGAAGACAATGCTTAAGAGGGCAAATTTAACCAATGAGGTGCTGTGTTTTTTAAAAAAAGAGTCAAATGATAATAATTAATAACAAGCTTCAAAGCAATTTTCCCCAAAATGTAAAATTCAAGAACTAAAATTTAAGAATGTTAAGTTTCCTACGTCTAACAAAATGAAATATTTTATTTTGTGCATCATGCTATGCAAATATATAAAAGCTCCCACACACATAATTTTTAGTGTGTAAGTCTCATATGAAGGCAGATTTTTGTGGTAAGTAATTTTTCATCTATTTCTTTGGAAAGGAAATGGAAACTGTCAAAATAGCCTATGGTCATTTTTTTCCTTTCAGTTTCTAAATTTTTTTCTGATTATTAAAATAATATGTTTATTCATAAAGTACATACAAGTGTAAAAGAACAGGAAAAAAATTAGCCATTAATATCTTGCCATATTTTATCTTTTTTAATTCTTTACATAACTGAAATCTAGTATATAAATTTAGTATCTTGACTTTTTTCCACTTACCATCTTTGTGAATATATTTAGACCTGTTTCTGATTGCTGTCTCATTATACATTCCTAGAAGAATAAATAGGGTGTAAACATTTGAAAGACTTTAAAGTATACTGCCAAATTGCTTTCCAGAAATTTTGTACCCATTTGATAAGGATGCTCATTCTGTCTCACTCTGCTTAGCACCTGATTTAAAGAAAACTGTTTTTTGCTAATGTAAAAGACAAAAATGTAATTTTCTTTTTGTTTTAATTTGCACTTCTTTGAGTCCTAGTGAGATCATTTACATTTACTGGATTGTTATATTTTTATTATGTGAATGGAAGATTCACATCCTTTGCCCATTTACCTCCCAAGGTCTTGCTGCTTTAAAAAAATCATTTTGTATGAGTTATTAATAAATTAAAATTATACATCCGTCTATCATACTTCTTGCAAAAACCACTTTCTTCATTCTAAGTTACACTGACGGGAAGTTGAACTGATGAGAAAACATTACTTTTATAACAGCTTTTAAAAAAATAAAGAAGGGAGCCAAGATGGCCGAATAGGAACAGCTCCAGTCTACAGCTGCAAGCATGAGCAATGCAGAAGATGGGTGATTTCTGCATTTCCAACTGAGGTACCTGGTTCATCTCACTGGGGAGTGTCATACTGTGGGTGCAGGACAGTGGGTACAGTGCACCGTGCATGAGCCAAAGCAGGGCGAGGCATCGCCTCACCCAGGAAGCACAAGGGGTCAGGGAATTCCCTTTCCTAGTCAAAGAAAGGGGTGACAGACGGCACCTGGAAAATCAGTTCACTCCCAACCTAATACTGCGCTTTTCCAATGGTCTTAGCAAAGGGCACACCAGGAGATTATATCCTGCACTGGCTCAGAAGGTCCTACGCCCACAGAGCCTCGCTCATTGCTAGCACAGCAGTCTGAAATCAAACTGCAAGGTGGCAGCAAGGCTGGGGGAGGGGTGCCTGCCTTTGCTGAGGCTTGAGTAGGTAAACAAAGAGGCTGGGAAGCTCGAACTGGGTGGAGCCCACGGCAGCTCAAGGAGGCCTGCCGGCCTGTGTAGACTCCACCTCTGGATGCAGGGCATAGCCAAACAAAAGGCAGCAGAAACCACTGCAGACTTAAATGTCCCTGTCTGACAGCTTTGAAGAGAGTAGTGGTTCTGCCAGCACACAGCTGGAGATCTGAGAACAGACAGACTGCCTCCTCAAGTGCGTCCCGGACCCCCCAAGTAGCCTAACTGGGAGGCACCCCCCAGTGGGGGCAGTCTGACACCTCACACTGCTGTGTACTCCTCTGAGACAAAACTTCCAGAGGAACGATCAGGCAGCAACATTTGCTGTTCACCAATATCCACTGTTCTGCAGCCTCCGCTGGTGATACCCAGGCAAACAGGGTATGGAGTGGACCTCCAGCAAGCTCCAACAGACCTGCAGCTGAGGGTTCTGACTGTTAGAAGGAAAACTAACAAACAGAAAGGACATCCACACCAAAACCCCATCTGTACGTCACCATCATCAAAGACCAAAGGTAGATAAAACCACAAAGGTGGGGAAAAAACAGAGCAGAAAAACTGGAAACTCTAAAAATCAGAGCACCTCTCCTCCTCCAAAGGAATGCAGCTCCTCACCAGCAACAGAACAAAGCTGGACGGAGAATGATTTTGACGAGTTGAGAGAAGAAGGCTTCAGATGATCAAGCTACTCCGAGCTAAAGGAGGAAGTTCAAACCCAAGGCAAAGAAGATAAAAACCTTGCAAAAAAATTAGACGAATGGCAAACTAGAATAACAAATGCAGAGAAGTCCTTAAAGGACCTGATGGAGCTGAAAACCATGGCATGAGAACTACGTGACAAATGCACAAGCCTCAGTAGTCGATTCGATCAACTGCAATAAAGGGTATCAGTGATGGAAGATCAAATGAATGAAATGAAGCGAGAAGGGAAGTTTAGAGAAAAAAGAATGAAAAGAAATGAACAAAGCCTCCAAGAAATATAGGACTATGTGAAAAGACCAAATCTACGTCTGATTGGTGTACCTGAAAGTGACGGGGAGAATGGAACCAAATTGGAAAACACTCTGCAGGATATTATCCAGGAGAACTTCCCCAGTCTAGCAAGGCAGGCCAACATTCAAATTCAGGAAATACAGAGAATGCCACAAAGATATTCCTTGAGAAGAGCAACTCCAAGACACATAATTGTCAGATTCACCAAAGTTGAAATGAAGGAAAAATGTTAAGGGCAGCCAGAGAGAAAGGTCTGGCTACCCACAAAGGGAAGCCCATCAGACTAACAGCAGATCTCTTGGCAAAAACTCTGCAAGCCAGAAGAGAGTGGGGGCCAATATTCAACATTCTTAAAGAAAAGAATTTTCAACCCAGAATTTCATTTCCAGCCAAACTAAGCTTCATAAGTGAAGGAGAAATAAAATCCTTTACAGACAAGCAAATGCTGAGAGATTTTGTCACCACCAGGCCTGCCTGAAAAGAGCTCCTGAAGGAAGCACTAAATATGGAAAGGAAAAACCGCTACCAGCCACTGCAAAAACATGCCAAATTGTAAAGGCCATCGAGGCTAGGAAGAAACTGCATCAACTAATGAGCAAAATAACCAGCTAACATCATAATGACAGGATCAAATTCACACATAACAATATTAACCTTAAATGTAAATGGGCTAAGTGCTCCAATTAAAAGACACAGACTGGCAAATTGGATAAAGAGTCAAGACCCATCAGTGTGCTGTATTCAGGAAACCCATCTCACGTGCAGAGACACACAAAGGTTCAAAATAAAGGGATGGAGGAAGATTTACCAAGCAAATGGAAAACAAAAAAAGGCAGGGGTTGCAATCCTAGTCTCTGATTAAACAGACTTTAAACCAACAAAGATCAAAAGAGACAAAGAAGGCCATCACATAATGGTAAAGGGATCAATTCAACAAGAAGAGCTAATTATCCTAAATATACATGCACCCAATACAGGAGCACCCAGATTCATAAATCAAGTCCTGAGTGACCTACAAAGAGACTTAGACTCCCACACAATAATAATGGGAGACTTTAACACCCCACTGTCAACATTAAACAGATCCATGAGACAGAAAGTTAACAAGGATATCCAGGAATTGAACTCAGCTCTGCACCAAGAAGACCTAATAGACATCTACAGAACTCTCCACCCCAAATCAACAGAATATACATTCTTTTCAGCACCACACAGCACCTATTCCAAAATTGACCACATAGTTGGAAGTAAAGCACTCCTCAGCAAATGTAAAGGAACGGAAATAATAAAAAACTGTCTCTCAGACCACAGTGCAATCAAACTACGACTCAGGATTAAGAAACTCACTCAAAACCGCTCAACTACATGGAAACTGAGCAACCTGCTCCTGAATGACTACTGGGTACATAATGAAATGAAGGCAGAAATAAAGATGTTCTTTGAAACCAACGAGAACAAAAACAGAACATACCAGAATCTCTGGGACACATTCAAAGCAATGTGTAGAGGGAAATTTATAGCACTAAAGGCCCACAAGAGAAAGCAGGAAAGATCTAAAATTGACACCCTAACATCACAATTAAAAGAACTAGAGAAGCAAGAGCAAACACATTCAAAACCTAGCAGAAGGCAAGAAATAACTAAGATCAGAGCAGAACTGAAGGAAATAGAGACATAAAAAACCCTTCAAAAAGTCATTGAATCCAGGAGCTGGTTTTTTGAAAAGATCAACAAAATTGATAGACTGCTAGCAAGACTAATAAAGAAGAAAAGAGAGAAGAATCAAATAGATGCAATAAAAAACGATAAAGGGGATATCACCACCAATCCCACAGAAATACAAACTACCATCAGAGAATACTACAAACACCTCTATGCAAATAAACTAGAAAATCTAGAAGAAATGGATACATTCCTCGACACATACACATTTCCAAGACTAAACCAGGAAGAAGTTGAATCTCTGAATAGACCAATAACAGGCTCTGAAATTGAGGCAATAATTAATAGCTTACCAACCAAAAAGAGTCCAGGACCAGACGGATTCACAGCCAAATTCTACCAGAGGTACAAGGAGGAGCTGGTACCATTCCTTCTGAAACTATTCCAATCAATAGAAAAAGAGGGAATCCTCCCTAACTCATTTTATGAGGCCAGCATCATCCTGATACCAAAGCCTGGCAGAGACACAACGAAAAAAGAGAATTTTAGACCAATATCCCTGATGAACATCGATGCAAAAATCCTCAATAAAATACTGGCAAACAGAATCCAGCAGCACATCAAAAAGCTTATCCACCATGATCAAGTGGGCTTCATCCCTGGGATGCAAGGCTGGTTCAATATACGCAAATCAATAAACGTAATCCAGCATATAAACAGAACCAAAGACAAAAACCACATGATTATCTCAATAGATGCAGAAAAGGCCTTTGACAAAATTCAACAACTCTTCATGCTAAAAACTCTCAATAAGTTAGGTATTGATGGGATGCATCTCAAAATAATAAGAGCTATCTCTGACAAACCCACAGCCAATATCATACTGAATGGGCAAAAACTGGAAGCATTCCCTTTGAAAACGGGCACAAGACAGGGATGCCCTCTCTCACCACTCCTATTCAACATAGTGTTGGAAGTTCTGGGCAGGACAATCAGGCAGGAGAAGGAAATAAATGGTATTCAATTAGGAAGAGAAAGTCAAATTGTTCCTGTTTGCAGATGACATGATTGTATTATCTAGGAAACCCCATTGTCTCAGCCCAAAACCTCCTTAAGCTGATAGGCAACTTCAGCAAAGGCTCAGGATACAAAATCAATGTGCAAAAATCACAAGTATTCTTATACACCAATAACAGACAAACAGAGAGCCAAATCATGAGGGAACTCCCATTCACAATTGCTTCAAAGAAAATAAAATACCTAGGAATTCAACTTACAAGGGACGTGAAGGACCTCTTCAAGGAGAACTACAAACCACTGCTCAATGAAATAAAAGAGGATACAAACAAATGGAAGAACATTTCATGCTCATGGTTAGGAAGAATCAATATCAAGAAAATGGCCATACTGCCCAAGGTAATTTATAGATTCAATGCCATCCCCATCAAGCTACCAATGACTTTTTTCACAGAATTGGAAAAAACTACTTTAAAGTTCATATGGAACCAAAAAAGAGCCCGCATTGCCAAGTCAATCCTAAGCCAAAAGAACAAAGCTGGAGGCATCAGGCTACCTGACTTCAAACTATACTACAAGGCTACAGTAACCAAAACAGCATGGTGCTGGTACCAAAACAGAGATATAGACCAATGGAACAGAACAGAGCCCTCAGAAATAATGCCACATATCTACAACTATCTGATCTTTGATAAACCTGACAAAAACAAGAAATGGGGAAAGGATTCCCTATTTAATAAATGGTGCTGGGAAAACTGACTAGCCATATGTAGAAAGCTGAAACTGGATCCCTTCCTTACACCTTATACAAAAATTAATTCAAGATGGATTAAAGACTTACATGTTAGACCTAAAACCATAAAAACCCTAGAAGAAAACCTAGGCATTACCATTCAGGACATAGGCATGGGCAAGGACTTCATGTCTAAAACACCAAAAGCAATGGCAAAGAAGGCCAAAATTGACAAATGGGATCTAATTAAACTAAAGAGCTTCTGCACAACAAAAGAAACTACCATCAGAGTGAACAGGCAACCTACAGAATGGGAAAAAATTTTCGCAATCTACTCATCTGACAAAGGGCTAATATCCAGAATCTACAATGAACTCAAACAAGTTTACAAGAAAAAAACAACCCCATCAGCAAGTGAGTGAAAGATATGAACAGACATTTCTCAAAAGAAGACATTTATGCAGCCAAAAGACACATGAAAAAATGCTCATCATCACTGGCCATCAGAGAAACACAAATCAAAACCACAATGAGATACCATCTCACACCAGTTAGAATGACGATCATTAAAAAGTCAGGAAACAACAGGTGCTGGAGAGGATGTGGAGAAATAGGAAAACTTTTACACTGTTGGTGGGACTGTAAACTAGTTCAACCATTGTGGAAGTCAGTGTGGCGATTCCTCAAGGATCTAGAACTAGAAATACCATTTGACCCAGCCATCCCATTACTGGGTATACACTCAAAGGATATAAAACATGCTGCTATAAAGACACATGCACACGTATGTTTATTGTGGCACTATTTGCAATAGCAAAGACTTGGAACCAACCCAAATGTCCAACAACGATAGACTGGATTAAGAAAATGTGGCACATATGCACCATGGAATACTATGCAGCCATAAAAAAGGATGAGTTCATGTCCTTTGTAAGGACATGGATGAAGCTGGAAACCATCATTCTCAGCAAACTATTGCAAGGACAAAAAACCAGACACCGCATGTTCTCACTCATAGGTGGGAATTGAACAATGAGAACACATGGACACAGGAAGGGGAACATCACACACCAGGTCCTGTTGTGGGGTGGGGGGAGGGGGGAGGGTTAGCATTAGGAGATATACTTCATGTTAAATGACGAGTCAATGGGTGCAGCACACCAACATGGCACATGTATACATATGTAACAAACCTGCACATTGTGCACATGTACCCTAAAACTTAAAGTATAACAAAAAAATAAATAAATAAAAATAAAATAAAATAAAATAATTTTAAAAAAGAAATATTCATAAGATGTTGATTATAAGACATCAATACTAGCAATGTTAAAATGTATATAATGCTACAATATTAAAATATGGAGAATGTTAAAATGCAGAGTTGGCTCTGAATAGGTACAGCATGATTTTATTGTGGATTCTTGTAATTGATTATATCGTGTGATGAGTATTGTTACTAGAGAGAGTAATATGACCCAATATCTCAAAGTATACCCGGTTTGATAAAATGCACGAATTTTAATATAGCTCGTAAAATGTTGAATCAGTGGCAGTTACTTGGCCTTGGATCATAAATTACTCTAAGCCTTTAGTTGATAAGTGCTGCTTGATGATGTAGTAACTGATGGACAAGAATTCTGTTGTGAATGTTAATGCCATCTGTTGAGTTATGATGTGCTAGTTCATTCTAGTTATTGTCAGGAAACTTACACAGATCTATCTGTCTATACCTATACCCATATATCTATACATGTATATGTCTATCACTCTATCTATCTATCCTGTGTGTGTTTTTGTGTATGAAATGAGTCATTAATGTTGAATGTTTAACATCTACAAAAGCTGCCACCACAGGGCCACTTTTCCAGAACCCTTTTCATGTCCATTGTCTATCAAGAATCATAGAAAGGCCTAGAAAATGTGGTCATTTTGAAACATGAGGTTTATTGACCTGGAGTTATATATATGTAACTTATTACAGTGGAATAATCTAAATTGGGTTTCCCTTATTGGATAAAAAAGTATTTCTTGTATCTAAAGCCTGAACATGGTACTGTAATTATTCCTCCTTACTACTCACTGGTCCAGGGATATTTTGTAACCCCTCACAATAACAACAAACACAGCTATCAACTGAGGGTATTAATGTGCTAATCACTTCAGAAATTTTGTGAAGAAAGAATAGTCCACATGGAACCAATAAATTGACTTCAACTTATTTATGTATTCATTCCAACATTTTTTGAGCACCTTCTGTGTGCCAGGCACTGTTCTGTGTACTGGGGCAAACAAGAAAGACAAGGTCTCTGATTTCATGGTATTTACAATGCAATGGGTTTGGGGTGAGGAACAGACAATAAACAAGTGAACAAATAAGAAAATGTCAGAATGTGAATACATGCCACGAAGAAAATAAAAATATAAAAAAATAAAAATATGTGGTAGTGACTGGTGGGTGTTACTTTAGTCGATATTGTCAGGCAAGACCTGTCTAAGTAAATGTGTACTGATAGGGTGCCCAGGACGATTCTCTCTTGAGTCCAGAGCTCATCTGCACCTGCCACTATATAATAAAGTTTTATCTCTATGACCACAAGACAATGGTTTAAATTAATTGAAGTCTGTTGGTCTTGTATTAAAAGTAGCTTGATGCAACTCATCTGTAACGTGAGTTTATAATTAGGTATAAATATGATTTGAAATGTAAGATAACAGTTGGTTTTGGGCAATATAATTTAAAATAGTTACAAGATACCTCATACACAAGCAGTCTGGCTGACTTCCATGAGAACAACTATCTCAGGTAGCCCCTTAAACAAAAGACTGTTTGTGGTTATTTTTCCAGGGCAGCTGCTGACCTAGGACTGCTAATGGAATAACTGTTTCTCTGTGTCTGAATGAGCAAACCCAGTTCCTTTAGAATCCCATGGTTGCCAAAGCAAAGCTAATTCAGTCCCTACATCCTTGTGCTCCATCTCTTGGAATGATGGGAAAATGTAACATTTGCTCCCCTGCTGGTCTAGGAACCCTCCTTTTCTTCCCCTTTACCATGCGTCCAGGCATGGTGGGAGAGGACAATAATCCATGCTTTTGTTTTACACATTTTCTGAGTACAGGTCATTCTACTTTTAGTTAGATTTTTTAAATTAGTCTGTAATTAGCCAACACAACTCAGTCTCACCTCCCTGTTAATCCAGCCCTGCTGGATCTTGTCTTTATTTAAAATTTAGACACTTTGTTCAGTATGGATTTTTTGCATTAACTTTGAGTCTCAAAATATTGTATTAAAATATTATTTGTCTTGATCACTAAGATCTTTGGCACCCCCTAAAATTTTGCCTGACTTATGTCATACTAGTCCCAACCCTGTCTTGAATGATGTTAGAGCAGAGCCCACCAACTGACCACAATGAACTGTGAGAAATACATGTTTGTTGTGCTAAGCCACTGAGATATGAGTGCACTTGTTATAGCAGCTGATGTCATTTACCCTAACGAATACAACTCATTAATCGCTCCTGAAATCTTACTCAGTGGATATTTCTTAAGCTTTTCCTTTATTTCGTAAAGAGCTAGATTGCTGTATTATCCAAAACTTCTTTTGTGGATAACTCAGGAGAAAAGCCAACAGTTAGCTTCTATTACCATTTTGGAATCCATTAAAGACCTTATATATCTCCCATTCTAATAGCATACATATACAATTCTTGAGAAGCAGGATTGCAGAGGGATTCTATGTGTAGACTGTGGAGTCAGATATTCCACATCTGAATTTCAGTTTGGTAGAATGTGAAATCTTAGACTAGATACTAACTTCCGTAAACCTCAATTACTTCTTCTATAAAATGGGGCGCATAATAATACCTCCTGTTACGTGAGGAATAAATGAGATAAAACTTAGCATAGAGTAAGCACATGATAATTATTAGCAGTTACTATTCTAATTTTCTTTTGGTTGGAGCCACTTCTTACCTCTCTGCCTTTGTTATTTGATGGAAATTTGAATTGGGAGGATAATTATCAAACAAAATTACTTGATTTCTTTTTGCAGAATCATTGATGTTAAATGGAAATTTGAACTGCATATTAAACAAGCTGTACTATGGAGAAGTCCTGTGGCAGTCCTGTAGCTGGAGAAGGAAATAATACCGACAGGAAAGGTGACAGGAGCCTTTTGGATTGCCACATCCAGAGACTCAGGTGCCAAGGCTGGCTCCAGAGAGCCTGGTCTCCCACCCATATGGGAGCCATCAGCAGGGGAATTGTAAATAAGGATGGAGTCTCCTCACCCATTGGATTAAATTCAAAATTTGCAATGGCAGTGAGAATTAAGATATCTTTGCCAAAAAGATATCAAGAGAAACAATGGATGTTGGAATTTTCTTTTGAAGTCAATTTCCCAATGGGAACTTTTTTTCCTTGCTTGTTACCTGTAAGTGTCTCAATTCACAGAAAGGATTACTAACACAAAGAAAAATGTTACAACATTCCCCAATGTTTTAATGACTATTTATAGGAAAGATTCTCCTTTGGCTGATGAGAGAAGATGAGACGGGATAAGAGAATTAATTTCGTTTCAATTTACAGAAAATATTTGCTTCCTGGATTATAGACTCATAGAAGCTTAAAGCCAAGAGGGACCTTAGAAATCACAAAATCACTCAAACATTAATTTATTCCTTTTTTGTTGTTGCAAAAATGAAGGCCTCAAAAGGAAGTAGAAGCCAGGTCCCCTGGTTCTTGTCTAATGTTTATTCATTATGATATGATTTTTTGCCCGGTATGTTAGTCAGCTGTTTTTAAAGTTCTGCAGTTACACAAAAGCCTTCCAATGACCTTCATGCCACCCAGACTTTGCAGCAGGATATTGATATCATCTTCATAGTTGTAAGTTCTAATTCTTCTTATACTTAAAATATTTGAAGTGGAAGGGATCAACCAAGGGTTTAAAAATTAATACCAATATCTATTCAAAAGGACAAGCAATAAATTTTAGCTGCTTAGCGCTGGGACTGAGACATTCATCTGCTCTTGTTATTTAGAGCCTGAAATAAAATGATCCATGCTTTTGTAGAATACAGAAAGAAGGAGGAGCAGCTGTGGAAGGGCTAATGGCCAAAGAGATTATCTTTGGAGGCACTTGCGAGAGTCTAAGTGGCACAAAATCGAGAGAAATTATGCTGTTACACTACTTTACACATTAACTCAACAAATATAAATATGTGCCACATGCTGCATGGGAAATGGTGAACCAAAGGCTGGGCTTTAAAGGGAGGCAAGCATGTCAGAGTAAGTAATGCAATCTGCTAAGCACAGTAACTAACTTGGATCTGAGGGGTCAGGCAGGGCTATAGGGATGAAGACTGGCTTTGCAGGGTGAGTAATCACAGGTGGACAAGACAGAAGAGGTGTTCTTAAGCAGAGGAAACAGTAAATTGTAAATGTCTTTCATAGGAGATGGTGCCTCATGAGCTAAATTCTGAAGGATGAGTAAGACTAGGTGGACAAGATAGGAAAGAACAATTCTGGCAGAGGAAGAAAAGCAAAGCAAACTACTAAGCTTCATTACAGATTTCATAAGCTCCAGAAGGTCAGGGGCCGTGAGCTGCTCAACTTGGTAATCCTGACTCTAGCACAAAGCCTGGCCAAGGGTACGATATTGGAATGAATGATGGGTGAGTAAATCAATGAATGCATCTGGGAGGCAGGTATTCTCATTTTCAGTCCTCAGACTTTGGCACTGTGCCCCCAAATAGTGCCTGGGAATTTCCATATTTTTCCAAACTCCCCTGAACTTCTAGCATGAGGCATCCGTCATGCCTCTGTGACCAAGGGTAACATTTGGCAACAACTGCAGCTGCCCAAGTCTCATCGGTTTGAAGCGGAGGAAGGCACTGTTTTCTTAGCTTTGGGCTCTGCTGGGAAATGGAGTAAACCTTAATACAGAGATAAAACATTCCTGCAGGATAAATCAAGTTGTCCCTTTATAAAAACATGGACTAGGGGGTGTGGGTGTGAGTGGTAAGCATATTAAACTCTCCCCTACAGAGTGGGCAATCTTCCTTTGAAGTTACTCTTTAAATAAAGTATCGTTGATTGTAGCTGGATAAGGTTCGCTGTCCCTCTGGCTACAGAGGTGACATGAGTTCAAGAGCAAAGTGGCTAACACTCTCCAGACCCCTCATCCCCGAAGCTTTCTTGCGTGCACTAAAGGTTAAGCTAGCAAACTGTGGTTGCAAGGGCATGGGGAAATGTTACTTTCATTATGTCGGGTTTTTTTAGGTATAAAAGCAAGACATGTAAGTGGTAAATGTTTTTTCAAACAGAACAAAAGGATAGCATAATCAAGTAATATGAGTTACTGTTGAACTTAAGTGATAAGTAAATGGGAGAAAGGTCAATATATCAATCTTTCCATCTTGTGTATGCTTGTAATTTTCCATTATAAAACATTATAAAAGAGTTACCATTCCTCCTCATGGTCTGTATTCCCTTAGACTCCCTATCCCACTCTCCAGTTAGATATGATAATGATTTCTTCTATATTCTTCCCCAAATTTTCTGACCATTTACAAGCTCACTTATGCATATACAGAGCCTATACTTTTTGTAAATAGTATTTTACAAAGTATATTATTCTGTACCTTGAGTTTTTTCTTCTTTACAATATAATGAGATTTTCCACGGCAGAATATGTAGTTCTACTTCATACTTTTAATGGCTGTTTAGCATTCCATCAGAAGTAGATAACAGTCTGTAGTATTAACTTTATTTACATCTTTGCAAATATAATAGGTGAAGAAGTATTTCATTAATTCTAAGTGAGGTTCAGTCTTTTTTTCATATGTTTATTGGTCATTGACATTTCTTTTTCTGTTAATTGCCCATTTGGGTCTTTTGCTCATTTCTCTTTAGGGATGGATTTTTGGGGGATTTTTTTCCTTTTTTGTAATATCTCTCTAATAACAAGGCAATTTTTCTTTTTTCTGATGTGTGCTGCAGATATGTGGGGCGCAGTATAGTGATGTGGTTGAGAGTGACCCTCTGGAGCCAGATGACCAGCTGCCTGAACACTTGTAACTTTGTCTTGGTCTCAATTGTGACAATATGGCCATCCTACTCCATTGAAATATACTATTGGTAGATAATGTTATAAGACTTGTCACAATTGAGACCAAGAACGCCAGAGGGGAAAAACTTTTCTCAGCACACAAAGAATTATAAACCTTCCTACAAGCCTTTCCCAAGAGCTTTCACAGATGGATCCAGAACACAGTGACTGCTGTCAGAGGCTGAAAGCTTCCCATTTTGCAGACTGATGGCTCATTTGGAAGTGCAACCCCTCCAGGAGTCCCTGACTACTGAATCATCTCTGCCTCCCACCACTTCCTTCTCTTCTCTTCTCACCCACTTACTTACCTACTCCCCCAACCAGGAGATCAACTTCTTGGTGTACTCTCAGCCAGGGAAACTCTCCAAACACAGTAGAAAAAACCTTGTTATCCTTGATCCCCACCCAAGACCTAAGCCCAACTGGTATCCCGTTCTCTTCCTTCTCAACCCAATCCCCATTCCTCTCCTCCCTTCCAGATCTTCACTCTGAGCCCTCTGTAACTCTCATCCCATGATCCAGCCCCCTACAGCCTGGACCTCTTCATTGAGCCTTCCCTCCTTGACTTGATTGAAACCTGGCTCCCCCAGAAACACTCAGCAGCCATGTCTCAAGTGAAAGCTGCTCTTTTCCCCACATTCCATATAAAACCTTTGGATCAAAAGGTTAGGTCATGATCTTCTTTACTCCCTACTTCTGCTTCCAGGCCATTTCTCCCTTACCACTTGTGAAATTTTTTCTATTTCTTGCCACTAAACTTACACATTTACCTTTTCTTTCAATCCTCTTTTCCTCCCATTTCAATATTCCTCCCTGTCTAGGGTTAACATCTCCACTTGTTCTCTTGATCTTATTCCCCTCCCACCACTTATCCTACTGTTTTTTCTCCCCCTCTTGTACCTTCATCCTCTTCTCCATGGATGACCCCTTCCCATCAGCATAGTTGGCAGAACAACATGAGTGGACCCAGTGGGTAATGGTTAACAGCACAGACTCTGGAGCCAGGTAGCCTAGAGACAGATGCTGACACCACTCTTTCCTAGCTGCATGGCTATATGGTACTTTTTTTATCTGTAAAATGGAGACAATAAGAATATCTCTCTTTATGAGGATTAAATCAGTGAACATGTGTAAAGCATTTAGAACAGTGCCAGCCCATTCGCAGGTATTATGTAAGCATTTGTTAAGTAATTCAGCATTTTAAGACATCTCTCCCTTTCCACATGAACCTAACACACAAACAATATGCTCTTCCTAGTTCCCAGTGTCTTCTGCACTCAACACCCTATTGTCTTTCCTTCCCTGGACCAGCCAGCTGTACTTTTTGAGTCTCCTACATTTATTTCACCACTTTGTCACTTTATGTTTATAACCCAACTTCCAATTGACCTCCTGCAATTGGAATTCAATAAATCTAGTCTTACCAAGGGCATGACTTGCAACCTCCTACTTGAATCCATAGTCACTTTTTAGTCTTCATTCACTTGTCATAGGTGTTTAGTGTCACCAATTATTCCCTCCTTAAAAGGCTCACTAGAGCTAGAAGACTAGCTCCATGCCACCATCTCTTCTGTTTCTCAACCCAGCAATGCAGCCACTCCTCTTCCTCCTTTTTATGCTCCTTTTGTTGGCAAAATCCCTTAAACAGGGGTGTACTTAGGTTTCTCTTCTAGGTTCTTCCTGTGATCTCAGGCTTACCATCCATATGCAGTTGGTTTTCAAATCTCTGTATCTATCCAGCCAGCTGCCTCTTGGAGATCAGCATTTGGATGAGGCACTAAACTCAGTAAGTTCAAATGTGTAAATTAGTGTGCCTCCTTCCAAACATTTCCTACTATCTGAGTTCCTGCTCTTAGAGAATGGTGCCAGCATTCACCCTGTTGCCCAAGTTTGAAATCCAGACTCACTTCCTGGATGTGCCCCCTACCTAAGTCTCCACATCTTACAAATCATCTATTGGCTCTAATATCTTCTAAGTCGAATTTCTTCTCCAAAAACTGCCACTACCTTCACTAAGTTTATTTTAATTTCTGGCCTAGATTACTGTCTCCAGACTTGCCCTGTCTCCTCCTCACTAAAGCCCGGGTGATCCTTCCAAAACTGATTGGATTCCCTGTCTCCCTGGCTAAAAGCATGTTAATGACTATCCATTGCCCTAGAGTCAATCCAAATTCTTAACCCAGTAACTAGGGTATCTTGGAGGTCACTTGCACCTGCCACAGAGGTGATTTTTAAGAGGAGGAATTTTGTGACCCAATTGTTAAATTGTTGGTAGCTGAAATTCATGCCATGGAAATCAGCACATGTCCCCAGTGCTAGTTAATTAGCATACTTCATCTACCCAGCCTCATCTCTTAACACTCCCCTGCTGGAATTCTGCTGTTCAGCCAGACTGAACTACTGTCAATTGTCTCTCACTTCTGCACCCTTATACCACCACTTTCTCTGGAGGGAATCTTCTCCGCTCGCTCCTGGCTGTTTCCCAGTCATCATTTAGGTCTTACATTAGCAGCCACCTTCTCAAAGAGGACTTTTCAGAGGCTCTGCTCTCAGGTTGACCAATGCAACCCTTCTATGTACTCTCACAACATCCTGTGCTACATTAGCCACTGTCTACATCTGTGACTACTTACACATTGAGGGCTTGCTACTTTCTACACAATGTAAAAAGGGTTGAAATTCATAACCTTATTTAATCCTCACAGCAATCATATGAGATGGTTACTATCTTAGATGAAGACACGACCTAAGATCAGCTGTCATTTGTACACAGTAACACATCATTTATCAAACGCCTGGTACTTATCTGAGTACATAATACTTACCCATTCATTTGTCTGAATCACTTACTAGCCTGTAAGCTCCATGAGGTTAGGGTCTGCCTTTTATACCCAATACTGGCACTTGGTAGATGTTCAACATATGTAGATATTAAATAAATTAACTGTAAAATACCAAAATAACTGCTTGCTATATTCTTATTTTTATTTCCAACTTTTATTTTAAGGTTAGGAGTACACGTGCAGGATGTGCAGGTTTGTAACATAGGTAAACATGTGCCATGATGGTTTGCTGCACAGATCATCCCATCACCCAATTATTAAGCCCAGCATCCATTAACTATTCTTCCTGATCCTCTCCCCTGTCGCCCCCGCAATGCCCTCCAGTAGGCTCCAGTGTGTGTTGTTCTCTGCCATGTGTCCATGCGTTCTCATCATTTAGCTCCCACTTATATGTAAGAACATGTCATATTTGGTTTTCTCTTCCTGTGTTAGTTTGCTAAGGATAATGGCCTCCAGCTCCATCCACGTCCCTGCAAATGACATGATCTTGTTCCTTTTTATGGCTGCATAGTATTCCATGGTGTATATGTACCACATTTTCTGTGTCTAGCCTATCATTGATGGACATTCAGGTTGATTCCATGTCTTTGCTGTTGCGAATAATGCTGCAATGAACATACCTGTGCATGCATCTTTATAATAGAATGATTTATATTCCTTTGGGTGTATATACCCAGTAATGGGATTGCTTGGTCAAATGGTATTTCTGCCTATAGGTCTTTGAGGAATTGCCACACTGTCTTCCACAATGGCTGAACTAATTTGCACCCTCATCAGCAGTGTAAAAACATTCCTTTTTCTCCCAACTTCACCAGCACCTGTTGTTTTTTGACTTTTTAACAGTAGTCATCCTGACTGGTGTAAAATGGTATCTCATTGTGGTTTTGATTTGCATTTATTTAATGATCAGTGATGTTGAGCTTTTTCTCATATGGTTTTTGGCCACATGTATGTCTTCTTTGGAGAAATATCTATTCATGTCCTTTGCCCACTTTCTAATGGGATTGTTTGTTTTTTTCTTGTAAATTTAAGTTCCTTATAGATGCTAGATATTAGACATTTGTCAGATGGATAGATTGCAAAAATTTTCTCCCATTCTGTAGGTTGTCTGTTTACTCTGTTGATAGTTTATTTTGCTGTGCAGAAGCTCTTTAGTTTGTTTATTTATTTATTCATTTATTTATTTATTTATTTAGATGAAGTCTTGCTCTCTCACCCAGGCTGGAGTGTAGTGGCACGATCTTGGCTCACTGCAACCTCTGCCTCCTCTGTTCAAGTGATTCTTGTGCCTGAGCCTCCCAAGTATCTGGGACTATAGGCGCATGCCAACATCCCTGTGTAATTTTTATATTTTTAGTAGAGATGGGGTTTCACCATGTTGGCCGGGCTGATCTTGAACTCACATGATCTTGAACTCACATGATCTTGAACTCAGACCTCAGATGATCTGCCTGACTTGGTCTCCCAAAGTGCTGGGATTACAGGTGTGAGCCATCACACCTGGCCTCTTTAGTTTAATTAAATCCCATTTGTCAATGTTTACTTTTGTTGCAATTACTTTTGGCATCTTTGTCATGGAATCTTTGCCCATGCCTAAGTCCTGAATGGTATTGCCTAGGTTTTCTTCTAGGATTGTTATAGTTTGAGGTTTTACATGTAAGTCTTTAATTCCTCTTGACTTGATTTCTGTCAAGGATGGTGTAAGGAAGGGGTCCAGCTCAAATTTTCTGCATATGGCTAGCCATTTCTTCCAGCAGCATTTATTAAATAGGGAATCATTTCCCCATTGCTTGTTTTGTCAGGTTTGTCAAAGATCAGATGGTTATAAGTGTGTAGTCCTATATTTAAGTTCTCTATTCTGCTCCATTGGTCTATGTGTCTGTTCTTGTACCAGTATTCTGCTGTTTTGGTTACTGTAGCCCAGTATTATAGGTTTTTTTTTTTTTCTTTTTAACATAAACTCAAGATTTTATTGTCTTCATAATAAAACAAAAGATGATACTTAGAACTGGATCACTTGATCCTTTTTCTTTTTATCTCCTCATAGTTCAAAATGTTTGCATCTTTTAGTAGCCAGTATTCACTTAGATCTGCAGTTGGGCTGAACACACTCAAGCCTTAGCACAATCTTCTTTGTAGTTTTAGCCTTTTTCTGGGAAATCAGCTTAGTCTGCCCACCATAGCCACTCTGCTTCCTGTCATAATACCACTTTTCCTGGGCATACAGAAAATCCTTGCCCTTCTTGCACTGCATTACTTTGTGAGATTGGTGCTTGCCACACTTTTTACAGGAAGTCCGGCGGGTCTTAGAAATATTCACCATGTTTGCACTAGCACTATCACCACAGAAAGAAAGAGGATGGGCCAGAAATGGAAGTATATAGGTGTAGTATAGTTTGAAGTCGGGTAGTGTAATGCCTTCAGCCTTGGTCTTTTTACTTAGGATTGCCTTGGCTATTCAGGCTCTTTTTTGGTTCCATATGAATTTTGAAACAGTTTTTTTTTTAATTCTGTGAAGAATGTCAATGGTAGTTTCATGGGGATAGCATTGAATCTATAAATTGCTTTGGGCAGTATGGCCATTTTCACAATACTGATTCTTCCTATCCACGAGCATGGACTGTTTTTTTTTTGTGTGTGTGTGTGTGTGTGTCCTCTGATTTCTTTGAGCACTGGTTTGTAGTTATCCTTATAGAGGTCCATCACTTCCCTTGTTAGCGTATTTCTGGGTATTTTATTCTTTTTTGTGGCAATTGTGAATGGGAGTTCATTCATGATTTGGCTCTTGGCTTGCCTGTTGTTGGTGTGTAGGAATGCTAACAATTTTTGCACGTTGATTTTATATCTGGAGACTGCTGAAGTTGCTTATCAGCTTAAGAAGCTTTTAGGCTGCGATGATGGGGTTTTCTAGATACAGGATCTCATCTGCAAACAAAGATAGTTTGACTTCCTCTCTTTCTATTTTAATATCCTTTATTTATTTCTCTTGCCTGATTTCCCTGACCAGAACTTCCAATACTATGTTGAATCGGTGAGAGAGGGCAAACTTATCTTCTGCCAGTTTTCAAGGGGAATGCCTCCAGCTGTTGCCCATTTGGTATGATATTTGCTGTGGGTTTGTCATAGATGGCTCTTATTAATTTGGGGTATGTTCCTTAAATACCTACTTTATTGAGAGTTTTTAAGATGAAGGATGTTGAATTTTATTGAAAGCCTTTGCTGCATCTATTGAGATAATCATGTGGTTTTTGTCTTTAGCACTGTTTATGTGAGGAACCACATTGATTGACTTGCACATATTAAACCTGTCTTGCATCCTGGGGATAAAGCCTGCTTGATTCTGATAGATAAGCTTTTTGATATGCTGCTGAATTCAGTTTGCCAATATTTTGTTCAGGATTTTTGCATTGATGTTAATCAAGGATATTGGCCTGAAATTTTGTTGTTGTTGTATCTCTGCCAGGTTTTTGTATCAGGGTGATGCTGGCCTCATAGAATGAGTTTGGGAGGAGTCCCTCCTTTTCAATCTTTTGGAATAGGTTTAGTAGAAAGGTGCCAGGTCTCCTTTTTACCTCTGGTAGAATTCAGTTGTGAATCTATCTGGTCCTTGGTTTTTTTGGTTGATAGGCTATTTATTACTGCCTCAGTTTCAAAACTTATTATTGGTCCATTCAGGGATTCAATTTCTTCCTAGTTCAGTCTTGGAATGTTGTATGTGTCTAGGAATTCATTCATTTTTTTCTAGATTTTCTAGTTTATGTGCATAAAGGTGTTTACAGTATTCTCTGATGGTTGTTTGTATGTCTGCAGAGTCAGTGGTAATATCCCCTTGATCATTTCTGATTGTGTTTACTTGAATTTTCTCTCTTTTCTTCTTTATTTTTCTACCTAGCGGTCTATTTATTTTATTAGTTTTTTTCAAAAAACCACCTCCTGTATTCATTGATCTTTGGACAGATTTTTCATGTCTGTATCTCCTTCAGTTTACTTCTGATCTTGGTTATTTCTTGCTTTCTGCTAGCTTTGGGGTTTGTTTGCTCTTGATTCTCCAGTTCTCTTAATTGTGATATTAGGTTGCTAACTTGACATCTTTCTAGCTTTATGCTTTGGGTATTTAGTGCTATAAATTTCCCTCTTAACACTGCTTTATCTGCATCCCAGAGATTCTGGTATGTTGTGTCTTTGTTCTCATTCGTTTCAAAGAACTTCTTGATTTCTGCCTTAATTTCATTATTTTCCCAAAGTCATTCAGGAGCAGGTTGTTCAATTTCCATGTACTTGTGTGGTTTTGAGTGAATTTCTTAATATTGAGTTCTAATTTGATTGTGCTGTAGTCCAAGAGACTGTTTATTATGATTTCAGTTATTTTGCATTTGCTAAGAAGTATTTTACCTCTGATTATGTGATCAATTCTAGAGTAAGGGTCACATGGCAATGAGAATGTATATTCTGTTGCTATTGCGTGGAGTTCTGTAGATATCTATCAGGTCCCCTTGATCCAGAGCGGAGTTCAGGTCCTAAATATTTTGTTAACTTTCTGTCTTTATGATCTGTCTACTATTGTCAGTGGGGTATTAAAGTCTTCCACTATTATTGTGTGGGAGTCTCTCTCTTTGAAGGTCTCTAAGAACTTGCTTTATGAATCTGGTTGCCTCTGTATTAAGTGCTTATATTTAGGTATATCTAGGATAGTTAGCTCTTCTTATTGAACTGAACCCTTTACCATTATGTAATGCCCTTTTTTGTCTTTTTCTATTTTTCTTTTTGGTTTAAAGTCTGTTTTGTCAGAAACTAAGATTGCAACCCCTGCTTTTTTCTGTTTTCCATTTGCTGGGTAAATTTTCCTCCATCCCTTTATTTTGAGCCTATGTGTGTCTTTGCATATGAGATGGCTCTCTTAAAGACAGCATATCAGTGGGTCTTGGTTCTTAATCCAGCTTCCCATTTTGTGTCTTTTAATTGGTGCATTTAGCCCATTATATTTAAGGTTAGTATTTTTATGTGTCAATTTGATTCTGTCATCATGATATTAGCTGGTTATTTTACAGACTTACTTATGTGGTTGCTTCATATTGTCACTGGTCCGTGTACTTTTTGTACAGACCAGGGTGCATATTGTCACTGGTCTGTGTGTTTTTGTTGTGGCTGCTAATGGTTTTTCCTTTCCATATTTAGTGCTTCCTTCAGGAGCTCTTGTAAGGCAGGTCTGGTGGTAACAAATTCCCACAGCATTTGCTTGTCTGAAAAGGGTCTTATTTCTCCATGGCTTATGAATTAGTTTGGCCAGATATGAAGTTCTGGGTTGGAAATTCTTTTTCTTTAAGAATTTTGAATATTGGTCCCCAACCTCTTCATCAAGCTTGTAGGGTTTCCACTATTAGTCTGATGGGCTTCCCTTTGTAGGTGACCTTGCCTTTCTCTCTGGCTGCCTTTAACATTTTTTTTTTTTTCATTTTGATCTTGGAGAGTCTAAAGATTAAGTGTCTTGGGGATGATCCTGTGGAGTATCTTACTGGGGTTCTCTGCATTTCCTGAGTTTGAATGTTGGCCTGTCTAGCTAAGTTGGGGAAGTTCTCCCGGATGATATCCTGAAATGTGTTTCCAAATTGGTTCCATTCTCCCTATCTCTTTCACATAGCCCAATCAGGCATAGATTTGGTCTCTTTACATAATCCCATATTTCTTGGAGGTTTCATTCATTCCTTTTTATTCTTTTCTCTCTATGCTTATCTGTCTGTCTTATTTCAGAAAGACAGTCTTCAAGCTCTGAGATTCTTTCCTCTGCTTGGTCTGTTCTGCTATTAATACTCGTGATTGCATTGTGAAGTTCTTGCAGTGTGTTTTTCAGCTCTATCATGTCAGTTATGTTCCTTACTATACTAGCTATTTTGGCTGTCAGCTCCTGCATTGTTGTATCATGTTTCTTAGCTTCTTTGCATTGGGTTACAACATGCTCCTTTAGCTCAACAAAGTTTGTTTTTATCCAGATTCTGAAGCCTAACTCTGTCATTTCAGCCAGGTCAGCCTCAGCCCAGTTCTGAGCCCCTGCTGGAGAAGTGTTGTGATCATTTGGAGGAAAGGAGAAACTCTGGTTTTTTGAGTTTTCAGTGGTTTTGTGCTGGCTTTTTCTCATCTTTGTGGATTTCTCTACCTTTGATCTTTGAGGTTGCTGACTTTGGATGGGGTTTTTGTGGGGTTTGTTGTTGTTTTGGCTTTTTTCTTTTAACAGTCTGGCCACTCTTCTGTAGGACTGCTGCGATTTTGCTAAGGGTCTGCTTCAGACCCTAATTGTCTCAGTTTTTCCAGTACCTGGAGGTATCACCAGTGAAGGCTGTGAAACAGTAAATATGGTAGCCTGCCCCTTCCTCTGAATGCTCCATCCCAGGAGGGTACTGACTTGTTGCCTGCCTGAATGTGCCTGTAGGAGGTGGCTGGAGACCCCAGTTGGAAGATCTCACCCCATCAGGAGGAACAGGACCAGGAACCTACTTAAAAGAGCAGTCTCAGTCTGGTAGTCTCAGTTTGGTGGAGCAGCTATGCTGTGTTGAGGATCTCTTCAGCCCCTGACTGGTTTGGGCTCTCCAAGGCCTGCAGGCTGGACTGGCTGAGATGCCCAAACAGCCAAGGTGTTGGCCTGCCCCACCCCCCAGGACCTCCATCCCAGGGGGATATTAGAACTCTGTCAGTGGTAGAACATGGGTGGGGTTGCTGGGGGTCCTCTGACTGGGAGGACCCACCCAGTGAGAAGGAGTGAATCCAGATCCTGTTTATAGATGCAGTTTGGCCATGCCTCAGCAACATAGCCATGTTGTGCTGGGGAACTGCCTCTGCCCCATTATTGGCTTGAACTAAAACCATAGGCTGGAACGACTGAGTCATCCAAACAAACAAGGTTGCAACTCCCCACCCTGGCACTCCATCCCAGGGAGAGAGCAGAGCTCTGTCCATAGAATAAGGGCAGGCAGGGGTAGCTGAAGGTCCCAACTGGGAGGTCCTGCCCAGTGAGGAGGAACAAATCAGGGTTCTGATCAAAGAAGCAATCTTGTCACATTCTGTGCTGTGCTGGGACCCTTCCTCATCAGGACCATTCGGACTCTCTAAAGCCTGCAGGCTGGAATGGCTGAGTCTACCAAACAGCAGAGATGGTGGCCTACCTCTACCCACCAGGCCTCCATTCTGTCTCAGGCAGGCTCCACCCTGTTGCCGGTGGCTAGCTGGAATTCCAAGCCAGTGGAATTCCAGCCTCTTATCTTGTGAGGTACCATGGAAATGGGGCCCACAGACCAATGCTTCTCAGCCCCCTGGATTCAGCCCCCTTCCTAGGGGTATGTACGGACCTCCCGTCTTGCTGAAGATCCTGAGCCAAAGTATGTAAAGCTCCTGGGTTTCTGTGTGCGCCTGAGCAGCTACTCTGCTAAAATTTCACACAGTTCTGTGTGTTGGACCCAAGGCCCTGGTGGTGTGGACTCACGAAGGGATTGTGATTGGAGGGTTGCAAAGATCTGTGGGAGGAGCGTGGTTCCCCAGGGTCACACATTTACTCACTGCTTCTCTCAGCTAGGAGTAGGGATTCCCTCGACTCTATGTCACTCCCAGGTGGGCCATCATCCCACCCTGCTTTTCTTTCTTCTCAGTAAGTTGAGTTGTTTTCCTCATCAGTACCAATGCGAGAACCTGGATATTTCAATAGAAGGTGCTGTATTCACTTGGCCCTTTCATTCCTCTCCTTGAGAGCCACACACCACAGCTGCTTCTACTCAGCCATCCTGGACCCCTCCCCACCCCAATTTTACATTATAACATTCACAGCTTTTTTCCCAACATCATATTAATGTTCATAAATTTACCCACTAATTTCCGCAAGTAGCTGGTACAAGACTCCTTTTTCAGGAAACAGCAATCAAGAGTACACTCTAAATAGCTGTTAGACAGATCTCCCTTGATGACTTCCATCCACCCCCATCAAGCCTTAGGGGCTGGGACTTCTAAAAGCTTTGGCTTCTTGAGGCTCCATAAGACACTGAAGCTCTTTTTCAGTGTTTTGGGTTAAGTTGTGATTTCTCCATGACTACTGCTGAGACTCAATTGACGTTTTCTCATAATTCCGAACAGCAGAAATGGTTTTGAAACTAAATCAGGGACAAGGGTTATGAACCAGAGGCCTTTCACTTTGCTTTTCCAGTCTTTGGGTTGCACTGTGGATTAATAGGGTACAGCTTTAAAGAAGTCGAGTTTTATCCCATGAAGAATGTCCCCCAACGAAATTATATTCATTTGAAAATGAAATTGCCCCCAACAGACTTTACCTCTTGAATTTCTTCAGCATTCATGATTAATGTCTACAACACCCCAGTGACACATCGTCTATCAATAGCCTCCTCAGTGCTATTGTTTCACTATCTTAGTTCCCTAAACAGATCTGAAACTCCCTAGATGGCAAGAGAGTTTATACTTTTGGGAATGGGTCTGTTTACTTTCTGTAAGCATAGAAATTGTTTATTTAATTCATTAAGAAAAATCATCCAGCATAAGATAAAAGATTGTTTTCAAGTTAGTCCATTAAAAATTGCTTCTTTTTAAATGACATCTCGAACTAATTATCAAACTAATTACTCCTGAAGACTGGTTACCAGAAGCAAAGAAGCAATAATGGGAAAGCATTCTATTTTTTAAAAATTGAAGTAAAACCATTATAGTAGAAAGGCTTATTCCCCCTTTTCTTTAATCTCCCTTGGTAATGCACTTGGAACATCCAGACTGAAATAAATTTTTTTATGACAATCTCATAATGGGCTGTTTGCTTTGTTCAGGTTACTGTACTTGAAGAAGATTCTTTAACTCAGGACTATAAGAAAAGACAAAAATATTTGTTGAAAGTAAATGAAACCATATTGTATACTGTATATCATATGTATAATGAACAGTAGCTTATATTATTACTATTGATACCAATAAGTATGGAAAAGTTATTTTGATTACAATTTCCTGTTATGCTCATTTTTCTAAAATTGTGTGCCAAAAACTATATTTGCAGGGAATTATTGGCTGCAGCATCATCAAATCACTAATGTATTACCAATGAAGAGCCGGCATCTTGGGCGTAAGCTTAAATTTTGAATCTCCAAATATAAACTTCTGAACAGGATTTTTTCTTCTTGTTTTAAAAATTTGAGATATAATATACATTCAGTAAAGTGCTCAAATCTTAAGTGCACAGCTTAATCACTCTTTACATGTAAATACACCCATAGAACTACCACACAGATAAAACAGTGAGTATTTCTAGCCTCCCAGAAGGCTTCCTGATGACCACCCTGAGTTAGTATCCTCCGAAGATAGCCACTATTCTTCTATCACCATAGATTAATTTTAATTATCCTTGAACTTCATATAAATGGATTCATAGTGGTATTCTTTTGTGTCTAGCTTCTTTTCACTCAACATTATGTCTGTGAGATTTATCTTCTTGTTGCACATAGCAATAGCTTGCTCTTTTTCACTGTTTTGAAATATTCTACTGTTTTTGATGAATATTCAGATGGATTTTAGTCTTTGGTTATTATGAATAAAGCAACTGTGAACATTCCTATACATGTTTGAGGATGACATATTTCTCCTGGGTATATACCCAAAAGTGGAATTTATGGATTATAGAGGAGGCGATGTTCGGAATCTTTATCTATAGCTAATTATTTTTAAAGTAGTGGTGGGAGGAAGGAAAATTATTTTCTACTGGTGTCTATTGTATACTTGATATTCTGAGAGAGTAGTTATAGCTGAAGTTGGTCAAGTTGAACAGAAATGTTTCTAGGTAAAATCTCAAGGAGTGAGTGAATAAGGTCAGAGGGCACTTGAACTACATCAATGCTAAAGTACCAAAGATTATGGTCATTAAGAATTCTTGGAAAGATGAGAGGGCTTTAATTAGAGTCAACTTCAAGACTCGTGCTACAACACAAAGCTGCCTATGGATCCCTTGTAATTACTGAGGGATACTTTTTCACCAAGGAATAAATGATGCTCTCATCTAACTTTACCTTTTCCATTGGCCACTGTAGGATTTGCAACTTCCACATGGAAATAATCAGTGAGAATAAACAGATTTCCACTTACCATTTCATCTACAGCACACATGTTCAAATAAAATGTCTCCTCTTCTCTCTTAGAGTTATTTCTAGGTTTGATTTAAAGTTTTTCTGTGGGGAATAAATCTGGTGCCAAGAACAAGTTAATAATTAAATTTTGCTTATCCTCTGGGGAAGCTGAAGTCTGACCAACTTCCTCCACATTGTAAAACTGTTTCTTCATTCCCTTGAATGCTCCCCTGCCCTCCCCAACTCTCCTCCAATCACCACACACAAATGATATGTGTTTACCTTTTCTACCTTAGTCTCGTTTTGCAAATCACTTTATTTTTTGTAAAACCCCTTTGATAATGCAAACCTATAACTACCTTCTCACATCCCATTGATGTTAGATCAATTTTACAAGGGTTATCTTGAGGTTTTTTTTCTAGATTTAAAAAAAAAATCCCGGGAATAGTTCCAGACTTTTTGATTAACTGGGCAGTTCTGGAAAGTAAGGCTGTTCCTCACTTGAATTACAGTATTTGTTATCGGCCCTTCATACTAGGGTGTGCTGCTGAAAGTTTCTGCTAATACCGGATGTAACAGCTTGGATTCTCATGACATTGTTCATTCTGAGGTCATTTTACCTTCATTTATATATCTTTATTTAGAATTCTTACAAATGAGTCAATCAAACTTTTTCTGCAAAACTCTATCAAGTCCTTATCATAGTGACTAGTGTAGCCCTCTAATCTTTTCCTTTCTGATGAACTTAACTTCTGTTGCACCAATTTAACTTTGTTTCAAAGGAACTTGGATCAGAGCAGACTATTTTATACACTATGTAGGCAACTACTCTTCAGTGACTATCAACTTTGTTCCTAAGTTGGAATTTACATACACACTTTAGAAAACAGTGATGACTATTAATTTTCTTCAAATTAATTAGTAGCATGTGGCTACACGAGGGACCCAAATGAGTAGAGAGTCATCAACATGTTGATGACAAAGCCAGGTCAGCTCCACCTTCACGAGATGGGGTCAGGAGTCGCTTCTTGCTAAATGGCCTTTTGCATACCTTGAAACTAGAAAGGAAGGAACTAATGTTCACTGAGAATGCCACATGCCAAACACTCTGCAGGCACATTACATGGGTTAACTGAATATTTATGACCACAGGAGAGTAGTGATATAACTTTTCCTACCAAGAATGGGGAATTCCTTAACCCATGGGTGTTATGAATTTGACAGATCCTTGTCCAAGCTGGAGCTTTCTTTAGGGATGACTAGAAGGAGCTGAGCAGTTAAGTTTAAAGACTTTCCTGTCTTGAATAATTATTGGCTCATCTCATTAATGTATTTTCTCAATTGTTACTTTCTGCACACTTTGGCCTTGCATAGCTCTGGCTCATTAAGTATTTAAAGACTTTTTTTTTTTTTTTTTTTTTGAGATGGAGTCTCGCTCTGTCGCCCAGGCTGGAGTGCAGTGGCGCAATCTTGGCTCACTGCAAGCTCCGCCTCCCCAGTTCACGCCATTCTCCTGCTCAGTCTCCCAAGTAGCTGGGACTACAGGCTCCCACCACCACACCCGGCTAATTTTTTTGTATTTTTAGTAGAGATGAGGTTTCACCGTGTTAGCCAGGCTGGTCTCGATCTCCTGACCTCGTGATCTGCCCGCCTCGGCCTCCCAAAGTGCTGGGATTACAGGCGTGAGCCACTGCACCCGGCCTAAAGCCACTTATTAATAATGTGTTTATCTGCTTTCATACTGCTGTTTATTTGCTGTTCTCTGGATAGGGTTTCTCCTGGGTTACTGATCAGTTCTTATGTCCTGCTTGGGCTGCCTGACCTTCCCACTTTTCAAGAAACTCCTAGCAATAGGCTTGGATAGCTCCTGATTTTATACCTGCCAACTTTTTTGCTGATCCCTCCCAAATATCACCTCAACTCCCAGTCAGTTCTGGACTTGTACCACCTTATTTGGCTTCCACTCTTGTGTAACCTCACTCTGTGTCCGATACATAGGACATGATTGATTAGGGCTCATAGGATTGTCCATACCTACCTACTACACTTCTGTGCAGTTAATTGAAATGGGTCACGTTGACCAAAAGTTATCAGCAGAATGATGTTGCAATTATTCTTTCCATTAGCATATAGATCTAGGCTTAAAAATAAAATCAAATAGTATTCAAATAGCTCATCCTGAAAACCAACAAAAAGTTACAGGAGAATCCAGATCTGCTTATCTATTTTTGGAAGAACAGCATCTAATGATTTGCTAACATCTATGAAGTAAGGATCTATATGTCAACATCTTTTTCTGATGTTGGATACGTTTTGTAAGATGCAAAACAATTATAAGCCTCTGATTTTATAATATAGAATGGACTTAATATAATGCCAGTTATCAGATATTTAGTTTATATTTATTTACTGATTTACTCAAAAGATGAAATAAGACACACATAGCACAAAATTCACCATCTTAACCATTTTTAAGTGTCCAGTTCAGTTGTTAAATACATTCATAGTGAGTACAACCATCACCAAGATCCATATTCATAACTCTTTTCATCTTCCCCAAGTAAAACTCTATACCTGCTAAACAGTAACTCCCCATTCATCCACCAAACCCCTGGCAATTACCATTCTACTTTCTGTCTCTATGAATTTGGCTACTCTAAGTAGTCGTATAAGTGAAATCATACAGTATGAGTCTTTTTGTGCCTTGCTTATTTCACTTAGCATAATATCTTCACAGCTCATCCATGTTATAACACTTGTTAGATTCTTCTTCCTTTTTAGGGCTGAATAATATTCCATATTTATATACCACATTTTGCATATTATTCATCCATCAATGGACACTTGAGTTGCTTTCACGTTTTAACAATTATGCATAATTGAGTAATGCTGCTATGAACACAGGTATACAAATATCTCTTTGAAACTCTGCATTCAATTCTTTTGGGCATATACTCAGTAGTAGAATTGTTGAATCATATGGCAATTTTTAATTTTTTTGAGAGCCACTGTAGTGTTTCCCACAGTGACTGTCTGTTGAACGTTCCCACCAACCATGCACAACAAAGGTTCCAATTACTCCACGTCCTCGTGAACAGTTGTTATTTTCTGTTGTTTCTTTCTTTCTTTTTGACAATAACCATCCTAAAAAGTGATCAGAGGATTCATGTTTAAAAAATAGATTTTCGTAAAAGGCACGGTAATTTCTGTGCGAGATGAGAATGGTTACCTGCTTATTAAATGTAGCTCATCTTTCAAATGACTGTGATTAATTCCTTCCCTCCTTCTATATGCATGCCACACCCCCATCTGGAGATGGATTTTATTCCTCACCAACTGTGAATCTAGGCTGACCTCTGACCACTTCAACCAATAGAATATGGTGAATGTTGCATTGTGTCAGTTCCAGGCCTTGCGTTTGTGAGTATAGGAAGTTCCTGCTGCAATGTCAGAAGTCCAGGCTCCTTTTCTTGGAAGAAAGACCATGTGAAGAAGCGTGTTGTCAGATGTGATGAAGAAGCCATTGCGGATACTCAGCCCTGTTGAGACTTCACATGGCTCCAGCCTCAGCAGCTATATGACCACAACAGCACGAGAGACCCCAAATGAGGACTGCCCAGATGAGTTCATTTACCCTGCAAAACTAAGAGGGATAATACTAATGAAGCGTTGCCTCAAGCCACTAAGGTATGGTCAGTTACACAGCAGCAGATAACTCAGACAAATGAGTCCCAAGGTTCAGAATAAGGCAAGAATCCAGACCAAGTACTTCCCGTTAGTAAATATTGTCTCCAGATTTCCCTGTCCATATTCAACTTACTTGGCTTTTCTCCAGTTGTTTTATCTGTAACTTTAGTAATGAATGTGAAATATTACTGTTAAGCCTGAGTCTTATATATGTGTGTGTGTCTTTATATATAAATCTTAAAGTTTGTTTGTAAGTTTACTATACAAATACACACAATTCAGAAAAGCAATTGGCACATAACATCAGGCTTGTGGAATTAATGGTGGGGAATCCCAATGGAGATCACCAAATTTTACATATCAATGATTTATTGGGCAAGAAGGATCACCATCTGGTATATACTCTTATTCTTCTTCCGTAAGAGGACACTAACAGAGATCATTCTATGGCCCTCTAAAAATATTCAATGTGATAATCTGTTCTCTGGCTTCCTAGAGAAAATATCTTGCAAGATAATTTGCTATATGGCTTACAGGAGAAATTTATCTTTGGCCATAACTGAGAGAGAGTCAGCACCAAGGAAGAAGAAATAGAAAGCTTCCTCAATCCATAGCATGGTTTCTGAACATCAAATCAAATCCAAACATTAACCTCTCTGACTCTATATCCTGATTTCAATAACTGTACCTTTGACTTACTTATTGTGTTTAAAAATAGAGAGGATGTGTAATGTGGGGAAAAGAATAGCCAAAAATATATTTTACATTTACAACACACTAGACATCCTCCTGTGTGCTTACAGGTCATCTCCTAGTCAAGTGATATAGTTGCTTTTCTTCTCCCCAGTGCTCTACGGCTCAGCAAATGCCACTCAGTTTCTTAATCCATAATCCAAGTGACATCCTTGATGCCTCTCTCTTCCTCTCACACTTTGTATCTACCTCATCATGGAGTCCTGTCATATTCCTAAAGCCACTTAATTGTGTATTTTTAAAGAATGCAATTAAATAAAATGTTATTCTATGTAAATTATATCTCAGTAAAACTGTTATTAAAAACTTTTAAATATATCTAGAATCTTTCCACCTCTCCTCATCACCATTGCTGCATCCTCATTCAAACTTCTGTTCTTCTCTTGCCTGGATTACTGCACCAGCTTCCTAACTGGTCTCCCTGCCTCAGGTCCTGTCCAATTATAGTCTATTTCCATGTAGTAGTCAGAGTGATCTTCTAAAAACATAATCCCTAGCATGTTCTTCTCTTGCTCAAAACCCACCCAAGGAGTTTCCACCACAGTGAAAATAAAAGCCTTCAAGGTCTCAGATGATCTGGCCTCTCTTTCTGAGTTCATATCTACCTCCATATCTCTCCATTTGCTCCTTTTATTCCACCACACTGACCTTCTTGCACTTCGTAAAATGTGTCAAGTTCATTCCTTCCTTGGTAATGAATAGACTTAGCATTGGCTGTGCTCTCTGTCTGGGCCCTGCTTCCTCCAGATCATTCAGACCTCTGTTTAGTGTTTTTTTCATCAGAGACCTTTCAAGGCCATTCTATATGAAAGAGAAGTCTGCCCCACCCCCCATTTGGTCTTGATTCCTTTAACCTGCTTTCTTTTTTCTTTATAGCACTCATCACTATATGACCTTCCATTCTTACTTGTTCATTTCAATGTGATCTCCTTGAGTGGAGAGGCTCATCTTCTCCAGTGCTTAGAATAGTAGCTGGCATGTGCTCAGTGAATATGCAGAATGTTGAATGAATGTGAATGATTAGTGAAGAAATAAATGAATAAATATCAGTAAACATCACCTTTTTGCTAAGTTCACCAGTTCTTCCTGCCCAAGGACACTCTCCTCATGTCACAGACAGCAACCTAACATAACATAATTATGCTATGGTTGGTTCTTATTTCCCCACAGAGTTCTGTGGGTTGCACATATCCTAGTCACTTTGAAGAGACTCCAGCAACCTCAATCTGATGGAAAGAAAAGGTCTTGACTACACCCCAAAAAAGGCCTAAACTGCCCTCCTCTCACTAAAGTGACACTTTGATTAACAACCTCCAGGTCACAGAAATATTTTTCTGATAATCTGGAGGGAGGAGCCAAGATGGCCGAATAGGAACAGCTCCGGTCTACAGCTCCCAGCAAGAGCAATGCAGAAGACGGGTGATTTCTGCATTTCCATCTGAGGTACCAGGTTCATCTCACTAGGGAGTTCCAGACAGTGGGTGCAGGACAGTGGGTGCAGTGCACTGTGCGGGAGCTGAAGCAGGGTGAGGCATTGCCTCACTCGGGAAGCGCAAGGGGTCAGGGAGTTCCCTTTCCTGGTCAACGAAAGGGGTGACAGACGGCACCTGGAAAATCGGGTCACTCCCACCCGAATACTGCGCTTTTCCAACGGGCTTAAAAAACGGCGCACCAGGAGATTATATCCCGCACCTGCCACAGAGGGTCCTACGCCCACAGAGTCTCACTGATTGCTAGCACAGCAGTCTGAGATCAAACTGCAAGACTGCAGCGAGGATGGGGGTGGGGCGCCCGCCATTGCCCAGGCTTGCTTAGGTAAACAAAGCAGCCAGGAAGCTCGAACTAGGTGGAGCCCACCACGGCTCAAGGAGGCCTGCCTGCCTCTGTAGGCTCCACCTCTGGGGGCAGGGCACAGACAAACAAAAAACAGCAGTAACCTCTGCAGACTTAAATGTCCCTGTCTGACAGCTTTGAAGAGAGCAGTGGTAATCCCAGCACCCAGCTGGAGATCTGAGAACAGGCAGACTGCCTCCTCAAGTGGGTCCCTGACCCCTGACCCCAGAGAAGCCTAACTGGGAGGCACCCCCCAGTAGGGGCAGACTGACACCTCACACGGCCGGGTACTCCTCTGAGACAAAACTTCCAGAGGAACGATCAGACAACAGCATTCGCAGTTCACGAAAATCCGCGGTTCTGCAGACACTGCTGCTATTACACAGGCAAACAGGCTCTGGAGTGGACCTCTAGCAAACTCCAACAGACCTGCAGCTGAGGGTCTTGTCTGTTAGAAGGAAAACTAACACAGAAAGGACATCCACACCAAAAACCCATCTGTACATCACCATCATCAAAGACCAAAAGTAGATAAAACCACAAAGATGGGGAAAAAACAGAGCAGAAAAACTGGAAACTCTAAAAAGCAAAGTGCCTCTCCTCCTCCAAAGGAACACAGTTCCTCACCAGCAACGGAACAAAGCTGGATGGAGAATGACTTTGACGAGTTGAGAGAAGAAGGCTTCAGATGATCAAATTACTCTGAGCTACAGGAGGAAATTCAAACCAAAGGCAAAGAAGTTGAAAACTTTGAAAAAAAATTAGACAAATGTATAACTAGAATAACCAATATAGAAAAGTGCTTAAAGGAGCTGATGGAGCTGAAAGCCAAGGCTCGAGAACTACGTGAAGAATGCAGAAGCCTCAGGAGCTGATGTGATCAACTGGAAGAAAGGGTATCAGTGATGGAAGATGAAATGAATGAAATGAAGCGAGAAGGGAAGTTTAGAGAAAAAAGAATACAAAGAAATGAACAAAGCCTCCAAGAAATATGGGACTATGTGAAAAGATCAAATCTACGTCTGATTGGTGTACCTGAAAGTGACGGGGAGAATGGAACCAAGTTGGAAAACACTCTGCAGGATATTATCCAGGAGAACTTCCCCAGTCTAGCAAGGCAGGCCAACATTCAGATTCAGGAAATACAGAGAACGCCACAAAGATACTCCTCGAGAAAAGCAACTCCAAGACACATAATTGTCAGATTCATCAAAGTTGAAATGAAGGAAAAAATATTAAGGGCAGCCAGAGAGAAAGGTCGGGTTACGCACAAAGGGAAGCCCATCAGACTAACAGCAGATCTCTCGGCAAAAACTCTGCAAGCCAGAAGAGAGTGGGGGCCAATATTCAACATTCTTAAAGAAAGAATTTTCAACCCAGAATTTCATCTCCAGCCAAACTAAGCTTCATAAGTGAAGGAGAAATAAAATCCTTTACAGACAAGCAAATGCTGAGAGATTTTGTCACCACCAGGCCTGCCCTAAAAGAGCTCCTGAAGGAAGCACTAAACATGGAAAGGAACAACCGGTACCAGCCACTGCAAAATCATGCCAAAATGTAATGACCATCAAGACTAGGAAGAAACTGCATCAACGAGCAAAATAACCAGCTATCATCATAATAACAGGATATAATTCACACATAACAATATTAACTTTAAATGTAAATGGACTAAATGCTCCAATTAAAAGACACAGACTGGCAGATTGGATAAAGAGTCAAGACTCATCAGTGTGCTGTATTCAGGAAACCCATCTCATGTGCAGAGACACACATAGGTTCAAAATAAAAGGATGGAGGAAGATCAACCAAGCAAATGGAAAACAAAAAAAGGCAGGGGTTGCAATCCTAGTCTCTGATTAAACAGACTTTAAACCAACTAAGATCAAAAGAGACAAAGAAGGCCATTACATAATGGTACACGGATCAATTCAACAAGAAGTACTAACTATCCTAAATATATATGCACCCAATACAGGAGCATCCAGATTCATAAAGCAAGTCCTGAGTGACCTACAAAGAGACTTAGACTCCCACACAATAATAATGGGAGACTTTAACACCCCACTGTCAACATTAAACAGATCAATGAGACAGAAAGTTAATAAGGATACCCAGGAATTGAACTCAGCTCTGCACCAAGTGGACCTAATAGACATCTACAGAACTCTCCACCCCAAATCAACAGAATATACTTTTTTTTCAATACTGCACCACACCTATTCCAAAATTGACCACATAGTTGGAAGTATAGCTCTCCTCAGCAAATGTAAAAGAACAGAAATTATAACAAACTGTCTCTCAGACCACACTGCAATCAAACTAGAACTCAGGATTAAGAAACTCACTCAAAAACGCTCAACTACATGGAAACTGAGCAACCTGCTCCTCAATGACTACTGGGTACATAACAAAATGAAGGCAGAAATAAAGATGTTCTTTGAAACCAATGACAACAAAAACACAACATACCAGAATCTCTGGGACACATTCAAAGCAGTGTGTAGAGGGAAATTTATAGCACTAAATGCCCACAAGAGAAAGCAGGAAATTTCCAAAATTGACACCCTAACATCACAATTAAAAGAACCAGAAAAGCAAGAGCAAACACATTCAAAAGCTAGCAGAAGGCAAGAAATAACTAAAATTGAGCAGAACTGAAGGAAATAGAGACACAAAAAACCCCTCAAAAAATTAATGAATCCAGGAGCTGGTTTTTTGAAAGGATCAACAAAATTGATAGACCACTAGCAAGACTAATAAAGAAAAAAAAGAGAGAATAATCAAATAGACACAATAAAAAATGATAAAGGGGATATCACCACCAATCCCACAGAAATACAAACTACCATCAAGAGAATACTACAAACACCTCTACGCAAATAAACTAGAAAATCTAGAAGAAATGGATAAATTCCTTGACACATACACTCTCCCAAGACTAAACCAGGAAGAAGTTGAATCTCTGAATAGACCAATAACAGGATCTGAAATTCTGGCAATAATCAATAGCTTACCTACCAAAAAGAGTCCAGGACCAGATGGATTCACAGCCGAATTCTACCAGAGGTACAAGGAGGAGCTGGTACCATTCCTTCTGAAACTATTCCAATCAATAGAAAAAGAGGGAATCCTCCCTAACTCATTTTATGAGGCCAGCATCATCCTGATACCAAAGCCGGGCAGAAACACAACGAAAAAAGAGAATTTTAGACCAATATCCTTGACGAACATTGATGCAAAAATCCTCAATAAAATACTGGCAAACTGAATCCAGCAGCACATCAAAAAGCTTATCCACCATGATCAAGTGGGCTTCATCCCTGGGATGCAAGGCTGGTTCAATATATGCAAATCAATAAATGTAATCCAGCATATAAACAGAACCAAAGACAAAAACCACATGATTATCTCAATAGATGCAGAAAAGGCCTTTGACAAAATTCAACAACTCTTCATGCTAAAAACTCTCAATAAATTAGGTATTGATGGGACGTATCTCAAAATAATAAGAGCTATCTCTGACAAACCCACAGCCAATATCATACTGAATGGGCAAAAACTGGAAGCATTCCCTTTGAAAACTGGCACAAGACAGGGATGCCCTCTCTCACCACTCCTATTCAACATAGTGTTGGAAGTTCTGGCTAGGGCAATTAGTCAGGAGAAGGAAATAAGGGTATTCAATTAGGAAAAGAGGAAGTCAAATTGTCCCTGTTTGCAGACGACATGATTGTATATCTAGAAAACCCCATTGTCTCAGCCCAAAATCTCCTTAAGCTGATAAGCAACTTCAGCAAAGTCTCAGGATACAAAATCAATGTACAAAAATCACAAGCATTCTTATACACCAATAACAAACAAACAGAGAGCCAAATGATGAGCGAACTCCCATTCACAATTGCTTCAAAGAGAATAAAATACTTAGGAATCCAACTTACAAGGGATGTGAAGGACCTCTTCAAGGAGAACTACAAACCACTGCTCAATGAAATAAAAGAGGATACAAACAGATGGAAGAACATTTCATGCTCATGGGTAGGAAGAATCAATATCATGAAAATGGCCATACTGCCCAAGGTAATTTACAGATTCAATGCCATCCCCATCAAGCTACCAATGACTTTCTTCACAGAATTGGAAAAAACTACTTTAAAGTTCATATGGACCCAAAAAAGAGCCCACATCGCCAAGTCAATCCTAAGCCAAAAGAACAAAGCTGGAGGGATCACACTACCTGACTTCAAACTATGCTACAAGGCTACAGTAACCAAAACAACATGGTACTGGTACCAAAACAGAGATATAGATCAGTGGAATAGAATAGAGCCCTCAGAAATAACACCGCGTATCTACAACCATCTGATCTTTTACACACCTGACAAAAACAAGCAATGGGGAAAGGATTCCCTATTTAATAAATGGTGCTGGGAAAACTGGCTAGCCATATGGAGAAAGCTGAAACTGGATCCCTTCCTTACACCTTATACAAAAATCAATTCAAGATGGATTAAAGACTTACATGTTAGACCTAAAACCATAAAAACCCTAGAAGAAAACCTAGGCATTACCATTCAGGACACAGGCATGGGCAAGGACTTCATGACTAAAACACCAAAAGCAATGGCAACAAAAGCCAAAATTGACAAATGGGATCTAATTAAACTAAAGAGCTTCTGCACAGCAAAAGAAACTACCATCAGAGTGAACAGGCAACCTACAAAATGGGAGAAAATTTTTGCTACTCATCTGACAAAGGGTTAATATCCAGAATCTACAATGAACTCAAACAAATTTACAAGAAACAAACAAGAACCCCATCAAAAAGTGGGCAAAGGATATGAATAGACACTTCTCAGAAGAAGACATTTATGCAGCCAAAAGACACATGAAAAAATGCTCACCATCACTGGCCATCAGAGAAATGCAAATCAAAACCACAATGAGATACCATCTCACACCAGTTAGAATGGTGATCATTAAAAAGTCAGGAAACAACAGGTGCTGGAGAGGATGTGGAGAAATAGGAACACTTTTACACTGTTGGTGGAACTGTAAACTAGTTCAACCATTGTGGAAGTCAGTGTGGCGATTCCTCAGGGATCTAGAACTAGAAATACCATTTGACCCAGCCATCCCATTACTGGGTATATACCCAAAGGACTATAAATCATGCTGCTATAAAGACACATGCACACGTATGTTTATTGAGGCACTATTCACAATAGCAAAGACTTGGAACCAACCCAAATGTCCAACAATGATAGACTGGATTAAGAAAATGTGGCACATATACACCATGGAATACTATGCAGCCATAAAAAAGGATGAGTTCATGTCCTTTGTAGGGACATGGATGAAACTGGAAATCATCATTCTCAGTAAACTATCGCAAGAACAAAAAACCAAACACTGCATATTCTCACTCATAGGTGGGAATTGAACAATGAGAACACATGGACACAGGAAGGGGAACATCACACTCTGGGGACTGTTGTGGGGTGGGGGGAGGGGGGAGTGATAGCATTAGGAGATATACCTAATGCTAGACGACGAGTTAATGGGTGCAGCGCACCAGCATGGCACATGTATACATATGTAACTAACCTGCACATTATGCACATGTACCCTAAAACTTTAAGTATAATAATAATTTTAAAAAAATTTTTTTCTCTTTCTTTTTCTTTTTTTTTTTTTTTTTGAGATGGAGTCTCCCACTGTTGCCAGTCTAAAGTGCAGTAGCACGATCTCGGCTCACTGCAACCTCCAACTCCCGGGTTCAAGAGATTCTCCTGCCTCAGCCTCCCTCGTAGCTGAGACTACAGGCACGCGCCACCACGCCCGGCTAATTTTTGTATATTTAGTAGAGACGGGGTTTCACCATGTTGGCCAGGATGCTGTCGATCTCCTGACCTTCTGATCCACTCTCCTTGGCCTCCCAAAGTGCTGGGATTACAGGAGTGAGCCACCACGCCCAGCCACAAAAAACATTTTTCTAAAATTATGAGTCCTAATGCCCAATAATACATTCTTTAATATCTATTTATTACCTGTGAATATTTGACTGCCCAGTGCCAGATGTGGAATATATGCAAGTGAATACAGTACAGTTTGGAAGGTCTCCTCAGCTTCCCCTGACTTGTTACACATGCATGGTTTTTTTTTCTTTTTTTGTCTTATTTTTCTCTTTTTTTTTTTTTAATAGCTAACCTGGGTTTTCAATAATAAGCAATTGCTTTTTAATTTCAAAGAGTGAATACATTCCCTAAACTCTACTTTGTTAAGAAGCACCTTAAAAATCACTCCTTCTCATGGACAAGTTCTCTCTTAGTGCATAGTTTTCTCCTGCCTTCCCCAAATGGAATAGGTTCCTCTTCTTTTCAAAGGTTATCGCACTAAGCGTACTCTCAGTTCCACCAGTTCCAACTAATCCTCCATTATGCAATCTCTGTAATTTTTGTTATCAGATATCTCACAAGAACATCTCCAGTCCTCACTGAAGTTGTTTCCTTACTCATCGCCAATGATCTCCTACTCTAACCTCAATACCACTTCCTACATTCTCATCTTCTTAGCACTTTCTAAAGCATTTGACACCGCTGACCTCTCCCTGCTCCTCAGCCTCTCTCCTGCCTCAGCTCACTTGATCCCACACTATAGTGTTCTCCTCTCTGCCTTGTCAAGGTTCTTCAGCTTCCCTCCCTGGTTTGTCTTCATCTTCCCACATCCTACATGTTGGCAGCCCTCCAAGACTCTGCCTTTTGGCCACTAGTTTCCTTTGGGATTCTCATCTGCACTCATGGCTTCAACTGTCACCTCTTCAGGGGTCCCTCAGGACTACATCTTCAATCACAACCACAATCCCACAAACTCTATTCCCAGAGTTCCATACGCCTACTAAACATTTCTCTCTGAAATTCCTCGAAATCAGAATACCTCAAACAAAACTTATTTTCTCTTCCTATGAGTCAGTCCTCTTCTTATTTTTTGAATTCCATTAATGGCACCACCATTAATGGAATAATCATCTGCAACTTCTTTCACTGCCTCTCTCCTTTGCTTTCCAAACCAATCGGTTTTCAACCTTTGTACATTTCCTTTGCATCTTGCCTCTGTATGTTCTGTCCTGTTCATACTTTTCACTATTCTGATTCTGTCTTTAGTCCCTGTTTCCTGAACTCTTTGCATAGCCTCAAAAATATTTTCAGCTTCTCTCCATTGCATCCTTTAGTTAGCTTTCCAAATCTCTAGTGGTTTATAATTTCCTGCTTAATAGACTCTAAATTCCCAACTTTGAAATGTGGACCTAATTATCCACCAAAAGTGGACTTTTCACTCTTTTTTTTAGTACATTTTTTGTTTGAGTACCTTCATATCTTTTTAAATACTCTTCTATTCACCTCTTGTCCAGTTCCACTTGGCAAAATCTTACTTTTCATGTCCAATTTAAAGAACACATCTTTTATTAATCCTTCTGTGACTAATCTTAGTCCAAAGAAATCTCTCCTCCCTCACCTCTATAACATGTTGCTTGCACCTTTTTTTTATTGTATTTCTTTGTGTATAGCTTACTTCCTCAACTAAATTTTAAGTTCTTTAAAAAATAAGGATGACTTCTCTGGTAAATTATATTATTATTCCCAAAGATTCATGGCCTTTCTCATGGGAGAATTATCCTTGTCTGCCCTCCACGGCAGGCGTGGCTACATGACTAGTTTGGGCCAACGAAATTTGAGCAGAAGTGATGTTGTTTGTTTGTTTGTTTGTTTTTTGACAGAGTCTCGCTCTGCTGCTCAGGTGGAGGGTGGTAGCGCAATCTTAGCTCACTGCAACCTCCACCTCCCGGGTTCAAGCAATTCTCTTGCCTCAGCCTTCCAAGTAGCTGAGATACAGGTGCCTGCCACCGTGCTTGGCTAATTTTTGTATTTTTAGTAGAGATGGGGTTTCACCATTGTTGGCCAGGCTGATCTTGGGCTCCTGAGCTCAGGTGATCCACCTGCCTATGCCTCCCAAAGTGCTGGGATTACAGGCGTGAGCCACCGTGCCCAGCCAATGAATGCCACTTCTGATCTATCATGTGTTTCTGCCATCTCTCTTGTTCCCCAACACAAGAAAATCCCAACTAATGGCTATTTCTACCCAGATCCCCAAATCCAGAAGATGGGGAGCAGAGCTGCACCTAACTCACTATGGGCATTAACATAGATGAGAAATAAATCATTGTGTTCTGAGCTATTGAAATTTGGGAGCTGTTTGTTACAGCAGCATAACAGCCAAAGCTGAAGCAACTTCTTACCTAATTCAACAAATATTCATTTAGTCATTTATTCCACAACACTGACAACATACTCTGTGCCAGCACTACTTTAAATATCATGGTACAGACAAATACTTGTAAAGCAATTGTCTTAGTTCTAAATAGTAAGACATG
Source organism: Homo sapiens (assembly GCF_000001405.40). Lineage (NCBI taxonomy): Eukaryota > Metazoa > Chordata > Mammalia > Primates > Hominidae > Homo > Homo sapiens. Next base: position 100,629,471 of record NC_000001.11, on the reverse strand, counting down.
TTCTCAAGCTGCTACAATACAAGGCAACATGGCATAAATCTATTGGAGAACTATAAACAAAGAACTACTAAGTTTCAGGAAAGGGAGAGAGAATTTACACTAGAGGGATTAGAAAAACTGTCACGGAGGAAGTGTTACTTGTTTCTTCCTCCACATCTAGCACACAGTAGGCTTTAAAGATTTGTTGAATAGGTAAATAAATTATTAATAAAACAGAAATAATATGAACACCTAATTGTCATCAATAAAGGCTGACATTTCTGTATTAATTCAATCACTTAATTTGCCGCATCAGGGCAGGTGAAATGTTCCAGGACAAAAAGAAAATGGGAATTAAGAACTAGTGAGTGGGTGAGTTTGCCTTACCTAAATCCCATGGTGAAAGAAATCTTACTCATAGACCCTAGCATCTTTTAAGCTCCAATTATTTCTGGTTGGTCATGTGGCTTTTCATATGACCCACTGCTTTTGGCACACTACTTAAACAAATTTATCTTACAATCAGCAACCAACGGCTTCCTATTTTCAGTTTTACCCTGATGGGAACCATCAAGCAGAACCTTCTGGACCTGTACTTCCGAGTTCACTAGGGCTGGGAGAACTCAGCCCAGGGATCAGCAACGCATGTACGAGTCTCTCCAGAAGAGGCAAGTAGAGTGACCTTAAATAGCCTAGAACAGAATTTTTAGAAAAAAAAATAATTCCCTCCTTAACTCTGACACAGGCTGCTGGGATGATTCAAGTGATAAATGCCCTTTTCCTGGCTTCATAAATTACAAATTCAGAAACTGGTTAAATAGCTTAATCATGGACCCAATGTTACAGACAGGAAAATACTGAATACAGGAAGAAGGGAGGGCCATAAGTGAATTCTTGCCCTAGCTTCCCGTTAACCTAGACTGAGCAGTGCGGCAAAATGTCTATCTGAAGGTCTATCTGAAAAATATCTATCTGAAGGTCTCTTCAGCTCTGAAGTTCTGTGAGTCTGTGAAACTATGTAGATTCAGAAAGATTTGCCTCTAGGAAGTGGACAGCCTACTCTCATCTGGACATTTTTCCAAATGACAGTGGGACTGGGGACCCTCACTCCCACTCCCCCACCTCTAGGGTTTTCCTAACTAAACAGGGTAAGTAGGTTTTGTGAAATGCTGACCCCAGTAGTTACCACAGGGTGACTACAGAAACATATACCTTGGCCTAAGTTCAAGTGCCTTTGCTTTGGTAACATCGTCTGACAACTCTAACAGTCCCAAGTGTATGGAAGCAGGTTCTCTCCTTTGCAAATAGAGACTGTTCTTTAAAGATAAAGTGAGTTTGCCCAGCATGTTGAGTCTGTGATGGAGTTGCTAAGAGGAAATAACTTCATACCCTCCATAGCTCAAACCTGAGCTCAACAACATAGTCATTCCCAGAAGCTGCTTACTGTCTCTGGGCCTTAGTTTTCAGATCTGTATGAGAACAGCTTTTCAAGACAAGAATAAGGTTATTTCATGGATATGACAGTGCCCGGGGCCCAGAAACAATTCACACGAACTCAATGAATGTGAGTTCTCTTTCTCTCAGGACTCCCCTAAAGCCCATTTCCGTCCTGTCTTGGATACTATTTGATTAACTTTCTGTTGCTTCTCTTTTAGTTAAATATTCCTTTTATCTATGTTTAATATATCTCACAGTCCACTAAGAAACCATACACACACACACACACACACACACACACACACACACACACGCACAATATGAACATTCTAGGGTGAAGAAAAGTGGCAAATCTTTCAGTGTAGAACCATCACCTACTTGTAGGCGCATCCACAAAATTTGATATCTCTCATCATCCCCAAAAAATGCCTTTGGCCCATGACAAAATTAGCTTTAAAATTTCATAACTATTTACACAGAACTATTTCCTGACTCATTCCCCGTAACTACCGCAGAAGCTTCCAGTCTGGAAGCTGGCAGTCTTAGCTTGCCCCAACTCTCTTCTCTACTTCCCTGCCCACACAAATTCCACATCCACCCAATGCTCAGCGTGGCATCCTCAAACAAACCACTCTCTCCACTGCCCACGCTCATAACTCCCAAAAGTAACAATCATCATCCCTCTTACAGTCTAATGGAAAGGGGTTTCATACCCTTCTTTTTCACTTTGTCTCTGTATTTCAATATTTTCAGACATAACACTGACTGTATGCTCTACAACTAACTAATCTTCAGTTTGCAGAAGAGGAAACTAAAGGACAGGAAGTTGGCTGATTCCTACAATGAGCAGAAGTTACAGCAAAGGTCAATGCCAGGACTGAGTTCCCTGTTTTTCTCACTCACATTCTTTAAGTTGGTACCTGGGCCCCTGGTGCAGGATGGGTTCTTCATAAACCTTTATTAAATAAGTGTTCAATAAATCAATACTCAGTTTTCTCCATTGTAAAGCAAGGGTGATGCTACTCATTTCTGAAATAGGTCCAACCTTAGAGAATATCTTTTCTTCTCTAACAATGTTGTCTTCACGATTAAGTGGTGGATTTTTAGGAGTCCAGATATCTGTGTTTAGTTCTGCTGCTTTGGCTTGATTAGACTTGATAATGTGCACACAATACACACACACACATAATGATATAACTTGCAGATATTTCATAAGCTGAGACAGAAAATAAAACAGTTTATGAGAGTCTCAGTCTATGAGGAGGCAGAGGAAGGAAAATGATCACACCAAGGAATAGCACCGAAGTGCTGTAATTTATTATGTGTTTTCGTAAACCTTAGCTCATTTGAACCTCACAGCAACCTTATGGGAATGGTAGGGCAAATATCGTCATCTCCATTTCCTTTGAAAAACTGAAAGTTCAAAGGATTGAAGTGAATTTCCCTAGGTTACAAACTTGACAAGTGGTGGAACCAAAACTAGAGCCCAGGCCTTCTCTTTCTAGATGAGAATTAGTCACTCTTCTGCTATCAATCATCAGTTAGTTATAAGGCATTTAACCTTCCATGCCAAGGATTACTTTTTTTTTAATGGCATATTCTATCTTCCCACTTAAAACCCCTGAGGGTAGAACTATGTCACAATCATATTTGATTCCCTATAGCTAAGTACAGTTTCTGTCGCAGGATTGAACCTCAATGATACTTAATAACAGTAATATTATTTTGATAGATAAAAATAACATTTTTAAGAAATAGTACCTGCATATAGCAAGTTGGCTTTCCCGGGATATTTACTCGTTCCCTGGTTGCATTACCCAAGCGAGGATGAAAAGTTTATTTCTTAATGAATGTCCCATCAACTTAGTCTAAGCAAAAATTCTATGAGAGAGATTTGTTTACTCTAAGGAAATCATTTTAACTCTTTCAGAAAGTGCCTTCTTCTGGTGTCCCTAAAAGATCTCTAATTTACCAAGTGAATTAAAAAATGTATTTTCTCTTAAACTCTAAGATTAGAAACATTACTTTATCCCCCAGCTTTTTTCTCAACCCTGTTGAAACAGCTTTCTCTGTTGCCATTCAGGGGTTGGTTTCAGCCAGAAAGTTACTTCTCATTTTTAGAATGCAGGGCACGTTTAAATAAGGATCGTTATCATTAATATTTATGAAGTGCTCAAAATGTGCCATGATTTTTATCCATTATCTCATTTAACTCTTAAATAATTTAACTCAATTAAGATGTTATTATCTCACAGGATCCCTTTGGCATAGGGAATATTATTATTCTTATAATATAGTTAAGGAGACTGAGTCTTCAAGGCACCATGTGGCTTTCCCAAGGTCACATAGCTAGAAAGTAGCAGAGTGAGATTTGATCCTAAGTCTCTCTGAATTTGAGACTTAACAACTACACCATAAAGTTTCACTCACTATAGATGGTGGCAGATGAACCTCATCATCAGTGAGGTCATCAGTGGAAGACAGTCCCCGTTTCCTTTTGAATACCTGAAGGATCAAGCTATGGACTGAGATGACAAAAGGCCTAACTCATCCACTTGCTCATCCATACACCCAATCTGTGATTATGGAAATGCTTTTAACGTCAACATTTTCTGTTTATAGTATGTACAATTAGATTAAAGTTGAGTGTTTGGCAATTTATGCTCAGTGTGAACAACAAATCCAAATGCACTAGGCTAAGAAGCAGAATCACATTCGCACAATAAAATGTAAACAAGAAACACAAGAGAGTCAGAGAGTCATATTCAGAGAGGGTGGGCTTGTTATTGTTTTTTGTTTTTTATTTAGAACCTGCTGATTAAAAAAAAGACCCAGATGCACAGGATCTCTGACTAAACAATTGCTGTGTGGTAGCGGGAGGTCTGGGTGGCTCATTCATCACAGCACGGAAGGCACCCTCTCAAGAACATGTAAACGGGATGAAGAGCTCTCCCGGAATGTTACAGCAAACATGTGCCAGCCCTCTTTGTTCTCTGTCTAGGGTCATTTCACTTGTAATGATTCATCTTAATCTTTCAGGTTCTGGAAAGCATAGGATACATCAGGCAGGAGGTACCCCATTTCTAAGCCTAGAGCGGAGAAGAAATCCTTTCTGGATGACCACACCATGGGGTTGAAAAAGCAGAGCAGAGTCCACAGTTCTGCGTAGATTATTTATTCAAAAAATCCCCAATAACTAACAGAGCAGAAACTGGATTTAGGAATCTAAATTAAAACTTATTTTGATGACCTTTGAGAAAGATACTTCAAAACAAAGATTTATTGCAAGTGTTAGCTTCTTTGCTCCTTGAAATAACATTCATTACTTCAGATTAAACACTGCTTGCTATTTAGTCTTCAGTTCTACAGCCATATTTCCGGAATACGTTTTCTGTTTTTGCCACAGATTTTGGTCTGATTTTCAATGAAAAAGGAATTTAATGGGTCATGTGTCTTTAGAATTCTTCTTGTAGCTTATTCTAAGTTTCTCATATCCCGTCTCCTAGTCTGTCTGAACTATTTGCCCACCATAGTGAGTGATACATAGTTTCAAAACATCTAATCTAGATACTGCTCAATTTAAGGCAGAGATTTCCAGATAAGAAGCCATTTGGCCTCGATATAGGGATCAAGACTATGGCTTTCCTATCAGTAACATTATACCCTTCTGCAACAAGCACTAAATTTAACAAGTGACTGAGGCATTTAAAAAGAATATAATATTGCAACAAATTTATACTATATATAACCCCACAGAAAGAAGATCCATAAAATACCTAGGAAGTTATAGCACAAAGTAAACAATACACGAAAATTTTACTCAAATGTTGGTTCTGCCATTCAGCCGTTCATTCATGCATTCAGCAAGTATTTATTGAATGGCTGCTACATGCTAGCCAATATAATGGTGAACAAAACAGATATATCCCTGCAGTCACAGAAGTTACAATGTAGCAGGCAGGAGGGATACAGAGAAGTTAAACAGAAATCATAATACCTTGTAATAAATGCTATCATAATGGAGAAATTATAGTGTGCTGTTGGTACCTCAATGGAAGGACAACGCAGTGTGTGTGTGTGTGTGTGTGTGTGTGTGTGTGTGTGTGTCTGTGTGTCTGTTTGTAGGCTGGTGGTCAAAAAGGGCTTCTCATTCATGTTTATGAGTTTTAATTAGATAAATGATATAGGGGTAGTGGTGGGAAGACAAGGAACCAGCATGTACAAAGACCCAAAGATGAAAAGGAACATAACATTAACTCCGCAGTGTTTCAACAGTCTTCTAACATTTCACTCTTATTCTCTGTGACAGAAGCAGTGCCACAATCAAGGCCTTGGGTGAGACTGTGCCTGGAGTTGCCGAAAGCCTTTGCCCATAAAAGTTGCTTTTCTCTGTTAATAATTGTTCAGTGGTTTGAATCTGTCATTTATTGCACCCCCACTTAAAATGTGACCGACTTGCAGACAGGGAGCATAGCTCATTGTATTTCCCACAACCCAGCATAGCATTCTATATACATTGGAAGCTTAAGAAACGTTAGTGCTAAACAAATAGATAAATGGTAAAAAATGGTCAGCAACCAAACTGGAACTCCCGGAATTTTCAAGGGAGTAGCAATGTTTATCCAACAAGTTTTTCAGCTAATGTTACTTAAGTTTCAACTTTAAGAGCTTAGTCACAAAGATTCTCATTAGGTAATACCTTGGCAATTCAAATAATCACTGCCCCTCTGACTTGAGCTAGTTGACTTGGTTAAGGCCAAAATCTGAAGCTTCAAGTCCCATGGAAGGTTAGTTACCTTCAAGGAGAGAAAGAAGATCTGTTCATAGTCCTGCCCATCAGTCTGACCCTGAACTCTGGTGGGGCTAAGGGAAATAGCATTGCATAGTCTGTAGCCCATACGATGGGCTAGGCACTTACCTAGGGATGTTGATATGAAGATAAATAAGCAGTTCCTGCCCCCTAAGGAGGCTCTGGCACACAGTAGCTTCTCAAGAAATGCTTCTTGAGAAACTGAGTGAATACAGCCTCACATATTTAGGCAAATCACTTATAAAATATATTACAGTTTTGTTTTTATATGTGGGACTCCTTCCTGGACTATAGAAATGTTTGTATCCTATGGATTCTTTGTAGTCTCTGCAAAAAGCTAATTCCTCCTCTGAGGTTAAAGGAATCCTTACCATTGTTTTTGAAGACAGTAAGAGCTGCAGTAGCTGAAGCAGTAGCACTGAAGTGGGGATTTTCAGCTACTGAAGGGGCCTCAGTCCCACTCAATGGATACTGCAGCATAAGCCTCTGTTCCAATATTACCCTACCCTGGGAACAGCTGTTGGAACAAAAGAATTGCTCTGAGAGTCAGCGTGAGCAGTATCCCTAAATAAGTGTAGTCATCCTTTATAAGTAGCAGGTCTCCACTCCTGCCCTTAAATTGTCCAACTCCAATGCTAATAGTCACTAAGGAGAGTGCAGCACAGGCCCTGAAAGGAGCCACCAAGGACATTATTTCATGATGCAGAGGACAAATGTATGCTTTCTCCAAAACCTGGAAAATCAAGTTTATGTATGTCATGTTTATTCAAACACACTTGAAATAAGGTCTCCCTCTCCTCTGGCAAGGACACTTTCAGATCTGAGGGAGTGAAGTTCTTTTACCCACCCCAACAATACTGGTCAGAACTCTGACTTTTGAGTTCCTTGAGTCATGAGCAGGCTGTTCACTTCCAGGGCACTTTCCTCAGGCTTCTTTGGCATGAATTGAGGTCAGGTTACAGCTGTCTCCTGGGTGATAAAAGCTGCTTGGCTTCTCACACTTTTGGATGAATCATTGGAGTTTCCCAGAGAAATGCAGAGGGTACTGCCACCCCTCAGTGAGTGTTAACCTCCCACAGTGATGGAGCAGTGAAACATCAGCCAAATGGTGATGCAATAACAGGCTCAAGATGAAGCTTTTATTATGGTCTGTACAACTCATGTTGATTTGAGAAGGAAAGAAAACAATATAAACAGCAAATCCCACGACTGAGTTTCACTGTCACAAATATGTTCTTCATCAAATCCCAACCTCCTTCATTCTTTTCTTCTCTAATTCTCAACTCCCCAAGATACCTGGAAATATTTTCTGCCTGATTTCTCTAATTTGTTCACTTGACCTTCCATCATTCACTCAGCAAGTATATAATGAGCCCCTGTCATGTAACAGGCACTGGGAATCAATTCCAGTTTTTCTGCCTATTACTAGTTACATTTTTTTTTACCAATTATATTTTTTAAGTATGGAGTCGTAAGTACAATAATAAAGTATCAACAAAGCAAAAGGTCAGGGAGTGAAGAGCATACATCAAGAACTGTGTTAGAGCAGTAACTGATAATTTCCTAAAAGTAAAATATGAGAGTTGAGTTTTTCAGGACATAAAGGGATTTCTGGGCAAATAAGGGCAGTGAGAAGAGTGAAAGGTAAGAGATAGAATTCTAGGGAAAGTAAAAATAGCAGCAGCTCCCAACACTTGTTGATGGTTTAGCCACTAATGGGTTTATATTGTGCTCAGCACTGATCTAAGCTTTTTACCTGTGTTAATTTTTTTTTTCTTTTGAGACAGAGTTTCCCTCTTGTTGCCCAGGCTGGGGTGCAATGACGTGATCTCGGCCCACTGCAACCTCTGCCTTCTGGTTCAAGTGATTCTCCTGCCTCAACCTCCCAAGTAGCTGGAATTACAGGTGCCCACTATCATGCCCGGCTAATTTTTCATATTTTTAGCAGAAACGGGGTTTCACCATGTTGGCCAGGCTGGTCTCAAACTCCTGACCTCAGGTGATCCACCCGCTTTGGCCCCCCAAAGTGCTGGGATTACAGGCTTGATCCACTGCACCCTGCCTGTGTTAATTTTTTAAATCCATACAAGATCAACATGAGGTAGTCTCTACTATTATTTCCACTGTGGCAACTGATACACAGAGAGACTAAGTAAGTTGGCCAAAGTCATATAGCTAGAAAGTGGCAAAACCACAATAAGATCCAGAGCTCTTAACCACTATAGGATACAAGTACAGAAAGATATATGCAAAGGTCCAGGGATGAAAGGCGAACAGAGCTTTCTGGGGAAAAAATGGGAGTGGATATGAACGAGACCAAATAGTCATGGGAGAGCAGCAGACGTAAATGATAATGAAGAGCTAATAGGCCAGATTATGAAGAACCCGTGTACCCTACTAAAGTTTGCACTTAATTCTGAGGGCAGTTGGGAACTATGAGCAGCTTTATAACCAAGATCAGGCCCATGTTTTAGGAAGATAACTCACAGAAGTGTAGAGAATGGCTTTGAGAGGGCCAATGGTCAGGAGATCAGTTAAGACAGTAATGTTAACTATATACATGAGAAATGATAAAGGGTCTCTCTCAGTCTATTTTGTGCTGCTATGAGAGAATACCTGAGACTGGATAATTTATAAAGTATAAAAATTTACTTCTTACAGTTTTGGAGACTGAGAAGTCCAAGATCAAGTGGTCAGCATCTGGTGAGTGCCTTCTTGCTACATCATCCCATGGCAGAAGGGCAAATAGGGATGAGAGAGAGGGAGCAGGAGGGGGCTGAACTCATCCTTTTATAAGGAATCCATTCCTGTAATAATGGTATTAATCCACTGATAAGGACAGAGCCCTCATGGCCTAATTACCTCTTAAAGGTCCCACCTCTTAATACTGTTACAATGGTGGTTATGTTTGTAACATATACTTTTGGGGGGGGTCACACTCAAGCCATAGCAAAGCACAACTAAGGAAGCAGGACCAGGGCTGAGAGAAAGGGAGACTACAGGATCTGTTTAGATAGTAGAATTTATAGAACTGAAAGGGAAGCTGACTGGAGGTGAAAGTTGATTCAATAAGAGTAGAAGAATCACTTGAGCTCAGGAGTTTGGGACCAGCCTGGGCAAAATAGCAAGGTTGAGGCAGGTGGATCACTTGAGCTCAGGAGTTTGAGATGAGCATGGGCAACATGGCAAAACCCTGTCTCTACTAAAAGTACCAAAAATTAGCCAGGCTTGGTGGCACGCATCTGTAGTCCCAGCTACTTGGGGGACTGAGGCAGGAGAATCCCTTGAGCCCACAGGGTGGCTGCAGTGAGCTCTGATTGCACTACTGCACTCCAGCCTTGGCGACAGAGTGAAACCCTGTCTCAAAATAAATAAAAGAAGAATGACTTCCAGGTTTAGGATCAGGTATTTAGCCATGCCATTAACCAGAATGACGAAGGTTAGAGAAGGACCTGGGATAAGAGAAAGACAGTTTGTTCAGCTTGAAAATATTGCATTTGAGATGCCTGTTCCAGTTATCCATTGTTGCATAATATACTACCCCAAAATTTAGTAGCTTGGAAGAATAATTCATGATTATTTTTCATGGTTCTGTGAGTGGACCAAGGTCAGCTGGACATTCTTACTTGGGGTCTCTCATGTAGTTTCTGTCAGGCGTCAGCTAGGCTACAGTCATCTGAAGACTCAAGTGGGCTGGTTATCTAGGATAGTTCACTCACATAGGTGGCAGTTGATGATGGCTATTGGATAAAAGCTCTGCTGGGCTTGTCCACCTGCACGTGGCCTCTCCAAGTGGCTTGAGCTTCTCGCAGCAGGATAGCTGGATTGCAAGAGACAGTATCCCAACAACTCACATTTCAAGAGACCTGGGCAGAGGCTATAAGGCTTCTAGTGACCTAGCCTTGGGACTCACTCTCACTTTTGCAGCATTTTACTGGTAAAGAGAGAGTCACAGGGTCAGCCCGGATTCAAGGGCAGGGGACTCCAGAGAGCATAAAGACTGGGAGACATGGCTCCTTGGGGCCCATCTTTGGAGACTAACATGATGCCTTTGGGACATGCAATTAAAGTGGTTCAATATGGATTTAGATTGGGGATTTAGCTGAAGAGACAATCAATATGTAGGTCATGATTGATGCCATAGACATAGATGAGATCTCCCAGGGAGAATGTGTGAAGTACTACAAGAATAAGATGAGGGGAAGACTTCTGAAGCACCAGTATCTGAAGAGAAAGCAATGGAACACTGAGGAGAGATATGAAGAAAGTGGGACCATAGAGGCAGAGAAAACCATGAATGACTATGCTTATACAAGCCAAATGCAACATTTCAAGAAAAGGAAATAGTCAATAGAGTCAAATGCTGAAGAGAGGCAAAGTCATGTAGGGTCCACAAAGTATTTTCACCAAATTTAACAATTAGTTGATCATGGATAACCTTAGAAGGAACAATTCCAAGGAATTGGAAAAAGCAAAGGAAAAAAATGAGACAAAAAAAAGGGCAGTGAATGGTAGCTAAGAGAGAGAAGGAAATCACAAGACATAGTGTTGAAGGGAGGTTTTTGTTTTAAGATGCTTGGGGAAGGGCTTTGGGCACAGATTGTCTGTTTGCATGGATTTACTTGTTGGCTCTACCAGCTGTGCGACATTGCTTAAGTGATTTAACCTCTCTTAACCTAGATGTTCTCTGAAGAGGTAACATTTAAGCCGATGCCTGAATAATGAATCGGCCATGCAATGGATTGGAAAATGGTCTTGGCTGGGGTAACAAGGGTATGGGCAAGTTGGGGACACATTTGGCTTGTTAAGGAATAGACTGGAAATGGTGACAAGTTGGCAGGTAGGATGGAGTGGAAGATATGGTCATGGGAGCAATATGAGATTGAGCTGGAAGGGAGACAGAAGCCTGATCTTTCTGAGCTTTTACTATGGTGAGATGTCATCCTAATTACAATGGAAGTCATTGGAGAATTGAAAATAGAGGAGGGATATTATTTAACATATTTCTAAAAGGCCACTCTGTTTTAAAAATAAGCACACCTCCCCAGCAATTCTACTGCTAGGCATTTACTCAAAATAAATGGAAATATATGTTCATAAAAAGACTCATGCAAGAATTTCATAGCGGATTTATTCATTATAGCCCCAAACAGGAAACATCCCCAAAATCTACTAATAAAAGAATAGTAAACATACTGTGGAATATTCATAAATGGACTATTACTCAGCAATAAAAAAGAATTAATTTGCTGCTACAGGAAGGAAAATTTTATATGATTCCATTTATATGATATTCTAGAACAGGAGAAATGAATACACAGTGGGAAAAACTTAGAACACTGATGTCCTCTGGGAACTTTTTGGAGTGATAGTAATCTATCCTTGATAAGAGTTAAGGTTAATGGCCTGGTGCAGTGGCCCACACCTGTAATTCCAGCACTTTGGGAGGCCGAGGCAGGTGGATCACCTGAAGTCAGGAGTTCGAGACCAGCCTGACCAACATAGTGAAACCCCATCTCTACTAAATATAAAAAATTAGCTGGACGTGGTGGCACATGCCTGTAATCCCAGCTACTTGGGAGGCTGAGGCAGGAAAATTGCTTGAACCCGGGAGATGGAGGTTGCAGTGAGCTGAGATTGAGCCATTGCACTCCAGCCTGGGCAACAAGAGCAAAACTACATCTCAAAAAAAAAAAAAAAAAAAAAGAGTTAGGGTTACACAGTGGTGGAAACTCAAAAAATGTGTAAATTTGGTATTCAAATTTTACATTTAAAAAACACATAAATATTGAACTTTAATTAGTTATATGCATGCCAGAGTGTTTATGGGGAATACTACTGATATGTTCAATTCCTTTCAAATACACCAAAATTAAGATGGACTAGTGAATAAGGAGTAGAAATATGGATGGACAGAAATGTGAGAAAGCAAGTGTAAGTAAAATGCTAATGGCAGAACCTAGCTGGTAGGTACATGAATGTTTATAGTAAAATTATTACAATTTTGCTTTATATTTGAAGATTTTCTTAGTGAAATGTTGGTGGAAAAGATTACTCTGATGTCTCTGAGCATAATGGATTTAGGGGGCAACTAAGAACGTTGGAAGGTGAGAGGAGGCTATTGCATTGGCCAGAGTGAAAGGTAAAGTCAGTACAAAGAATGACATTAGTGATTATGATGTTGAGAATGGATTTAAAAAGAAATGATCTGATTCTATATTTATGTTGGAGATGCTGTGAGAAACAATTAATACAAAGCCTTTGAACTAGAGCCTTCCCTGAATAATTTCAGGCTTAGAGGGAGCTCAGTAAATTCTGTTATCTCATCCTTCCCTCAGGCAACGTCACTTCCAAATCACCTCAGAGAAATGAGAATTTCTTCTCTATTAAATAACTCATTCTAATGTTTAATGACTGTTGCAGTCTCTTGTTTTCTTCAATCTGAAATTGTCTAAATATAGTGAGAGCTCAGATTACTGGCCCAGAATGGAGTTTCTTAAAGTCCTAATATATGGTATGATCATGTTTATGTTTATCTGATATAGTAGAGTCCATGAGGGATCTGCAATACAATATTCCCAGATAAAAAATTTGGTACACTTTAGACATCTTTATTAGAATTTTGTGTTTCCCATCAGGTGTAGCACACAGATAGAACCCCTAGATTAACCATGTAGGCAGGAAAATTGGGGGGAAAATGAAAACCTGTCATCTATGTCATTATTTCAGCACTAAGCCTTCAGGGAGTAGGAGAAGTGTCACTCAGAACATCTCTGCAATTGCCTGAGCTGCACGAGTGTCACCAGCTGCATGATACGCTCACTTAGAGCTTGTTGAAACTCTCGCCTTTTCTCCCCCATCTATGCACCCCTATCCTTTCAGTGGAAGCAGGGCCGGTGTTTGTTCAAACTCAGTGGAAAATAGTAGCAAGCACACTCTCTGTTTGGCTTCTCTTTTTACAGTTAATAGTTAATAGCTTACTTGGCTGCTTGGCAAAGTGCTAGGTGCCAGGCTGAGCACCATGCAGCATCATTTTGATCAACCTTCATAGCAACAGTTCTGTGAGGTGGCATCTATTATTATCTACATTTTACAGCTGAAGTGTCTGAGGTTCCAAGGTTAAGTAATCTGCCCAACTAGCAAGTTAGGGAACCGGAGTTCAAAATGAAGTCAGATGGTTAGCAGAGGAAAATCTCCCAACCACCGTGTCCTCAGCACCACTAATGGAACATCAGGAGCCCTGATGGTGAAGAGGGTTGACTGATTCTCCTGAGCCTTCAGCAATAGCCATGAAGCTGCATATGGCTTCTGTTCTGCCTCTCAGTGCACAGCTGAATTAGCAGCTCCTGCTTTGTATGAATTCAGAGGCTTCCCTTGCAAGGCCTCCTACACAGTCCCTCAAAACCTCCCAGCTCCCAGTTTAATGCCTTAGTGCTTTTACCGGGCACAAACCTTTGCATCTCTCAATGAAGATGAAACTGATCACAAGTACTCCTTTTAAAAAGTGAAAGTGGGCCAGGCGCGGTGGCTCAAGCCTGTAATCCCAGCACTTTGGGAGGCCGAAGCGGGTGCATCACGAGGTCAGGAGATCGAGACCATCCTGGCTAACATGGTGAAACCCTGTCTCTACTAAAAATACAAAAAAGAATTAGCCGGGTGTGGTGGCGGGCACCTGTGGTCCCAGCTACTCGGGAGGCTGAGGCAGGAGAATGGCGTGAACCCAGGAGGTGAAGCTTGCAGTGAGCAGAGACCACGCCACTGCAGTCCAGCCTGGGCGACAGAGCGAGACTCAGTCTAAAGAAAAAAAAAAGTGAAAGTGGCTTAAAGCTTAAATTCACACTAAGCTATACATAACATTTATTGTGATCCATCTAGATTAGATTTAGTTAGCAGCAGAGATTGGAGAGAAAAGGAGAAAGAGCAGCTAGTTACATAGGGGTGTGGGGGGAATCAGGAAGATATTCAGAAATAAGTATGTAAGCCATGAAATCAAACTTAACCTAACAATTTTTTTTTTTTTTTTTGGAGATGGAGTTTCACTCTTGTTGCCCAGGCTGGAGTGCAATGGCGCAATCTCGGATCACTGCAACCTCTGCCCCTGGGTTCAAGCAATTCTCCTGTCTGAGCCTCCTGAGTAGCTGGGATTACAGGTGCCCACCACTACGCCAGGCTAATTTTTGGTATTTTTTTAGTAGTGACGGGGTTTCATCATGTTGGCCAGGTTGGTCTCGAACTCCTGACCTCAGGTAATCCACCCGCCTCAGCCTCCCAAAGTTCTGGGATTACAGGCGTAAGCCACTGCGCCCAGCCAACCTAACAAATTTTTGATTGCCACTCAGCCCATTTCAAAAAGTGTTAAAGGTGTTATACACTGGTCCCCAATCTAATCTTTCCAGTTTGGAGCTTTGCACTTCTAGTGTAGCACCAAAACCAAAACCAAAACTAAGCTTCAACTTTGCCCCTTGTCCTTCTTGCTGCCCTGCTGTGCACCTAGGAAACAACAATCTCCCCCACGACGTAAAGAACAGAAAGTGCAGATGGGCTGCTTTGCCCCACTTGTCTCACTCAGACCTTCTCCAGTGAGCTCCACAGGGCTGTGAGCTATTTATTCCTAGGAGAGGTTTCAAGAATAAACAGGGAAACAAAAACGAAGAGATTTGCCTAGCGGGGGGATGGGAGAATTCTATCATTTATTTAGAGTCACAAAATCAAATTAACTCCAATGAAATATTTATAAAGATTTATTTAATGTCTACCTTCCACATTAAACTAGGGCTGGATTAAGGGGCAACCCAGCCAGACAGCTACTCCAAACATCAGTCTAAAAGGGGAGCCAAATATCACCTACTGCTTAAAACTTCACCAGGATGTGGTAAGATGAAAGGAACGTAACCACTTTTAGAATACTGACTGAATGGAAGGAACATGGTCACCCAATAAAGAATGAAACACCTCCTATATTAACTGATCCAAAGGGATCAGTTAAATTGCCTTCTTACCTTTGCTGTGTGAAATTTGCAGATTTAGGGCCAGAGATATTGGTCTGTACTGGAGAGTAGGGACAGAGAACTCCCACAAAACAAGACTCAGATTCCACTCTCAGTTTGAAGGAATGCCAAATTATTCCTCTGCACAAGGTAGTCACCAGTCTTGGTGCAGCCCTGAGTGGAGAAAGAGCTCCATGCGGACAAGGGCTGCACCTGTTCTGTTCATGACTGCTCATTCAGCATCTAGCTCAGTGCCCAGCCAAAATGCACACCCTGGAGGCACGCCATTGCTCAGCTCCAGAGAGTACCATTTGCAGCTGCTTTATAAGCTTCACAGGTGGTGTGCTTCATGCAGGGTTGTACACACAGCCCCCCCAGATTTGTTGACTGACCTACTGAATGGGTAAACAACATATAGATAGAGGGAGATTAACTCTTTCCCAACAATCTTTCCTCCCTAATGCACTTCATTGCCTTAATGTAGTCTCTGGCCTTCTTAATTCAACTTGAGGAGCCAGATGTGTTCTTTCTGTCTCTAGTCTCCTTACCCAGTAAGAGTCATCTCTCTGTGGCAGGACCAGACCGTGCCACTTCCTTTCTTGAAAGCCTCTGATGCTTCTCACTGATCATGGGAAGGACAAAATTTTTAACATAGAAAATGAGACCCTCTGTGAGTGGCCCCAGGTTGCCCTGTCCAGCATCATCTCTAACCGCTCCCTCCTTTCTGCTCTGTGCACAGCCATGTCCAGGGGTCATATTCACTATGTGCTTTCTCACTTGGTGCCTCTGCACATTCTATTCCTTCCACCATAGATAATGGTCAGGGTTGTGTGGGATGCTCCTTGTCTTAGTCCATTTATGTTGCTATAAATTACCTGAGGCTGGGTGATTTATAAAGAAAAGAAGTTTATTCAGCTCACTGTTCCACAGGCTATACAAGAAGCATGGTGCCAACATCTGCTTGGCTTCTGGTGAGAGCCTCATCCTGCTTCCACTTGTGGCAGAAGGGAAGGGGAGAGGGTATGCAGAGAACATGTGGCAAGAGCAGAAGCAAGAGAGCACAAGGGTTGGAGTGGGGAGATGCTAGGCTCTTTTTAATAACCAGCTCTCCCGGGAACTAATAGAGCAGAACTCATCCCCATGGGGAGGGCACCAAGCCATTCATGTAGGATCCGTCCCCATGACCCAAACACCTCCCACCCACCAGACCCCACCTCCAACACTGGGGATCAAATTTCAACATGAGATTTGGAGGGGATAAATAACTAAACTATATCGCCCTGCTATTGGAATTCATCTGGTATTTTTATAATGATTACACGGGGTTATGGGTTTAGGGGAGGAAGACCTTAGAGGTAAAGTGCCATTCCTTTTGCCTAATATCAAGGATAAATGATATCAACCTGTCTTATCACTGTTCATATTAACCTTCATCACCTGGCTGAGATTGCATGTGCTAGTTTTCTCCACAGTAAAGTTATTCTCCTCCCCCAAGCTTCCACACTGTACTCTTTAGAAGGGGAACACTATTCCAACTCATACCTAAGGAATGAAAAATACATTCCACCTCCGTAAAGAGGGAGCATCCGTATAGATTATCAAATGAGATTTTTTAAACATTTGGTTCTATTAAATACCTATTTTTACTCACTTATTCTTAATATCACATTTGTCTTATTATCAGTGGATTGTTTTGACTTTGGGTAGTCATAATTAGGGTAAAAGGTAGATATATCATTCAGTTTTTTAATTTCTTTTCTAGAGCTTATCCTATAAACCAGAATTACTTGCTATATTTTAAATATATAACTTATAATTTTTATTTATTTCTTCCTAATATTTCTTTATAAACTTTACAGATAATATAAAATAGTATCTATTCTTTAGAAATAAGAGAAACAAAAGTCTTGAAATGTTAGTGATTCGGTTTAGCAGAAAATGAAAACTGACAAGCCATACTACTTTTGCTTTACGTAAATCCGTCTAAAAAGAAGAGGTAGAGGAATTCTGATCTGTTAGAAAAAAGAACTTAAAGTTGTACAAATGCTTTCCGACCATTAGACCACAATTCAGTGCACTTTCAAGAATTTGTTCTTGTATTCCTCAAGTTGCTTTCCAGTATGTTATTACCGGAGAATCATGATCTGAGCAGAAAGAGGTGGCTTTCTTCTGTGAGTGCCTGCAATGCATGTTCTGCAGTTACTATGCTTTACCAAATAAAGAATTTGTCATTGCCTGTTGTCGGATTCAGGCAAATTATTCTATTCTTGAATTGGCAAGTCTTTAGATTAAACATATCTTGGCAAAGCATACTGTGTTAGTAAGACCTTTCTGTTTGAAAGGCAGAAAAACCCACCACAAAGAAAAGTGTCTTGTTTTAGTCCCCAACAGAAATCAGCTTTAAAAAATGCAGCAAATCACACTCAGTTGGTAACTAGTTCATCACTAGTTGTTCCACTGAATTCAACTGTCTTTTTTCCCAAGCTGATTTATGTGTAGATACAGCCTAAATTTATATCCTTTTAAATTTATGGTAAACTTTTTATCTCTAAGTTCTCCTAATAATTTAACAGCTAGGACATAGCTCAAATGACCTGAATTTGATCCCTGGAATCCCCCTAAAAGTGCTTTCCCTGGGGTAGAATTTCCCTAAGGGAAAAAAAAGAACAAAAGAAATGAACTCAGACTTTATTTTGGAATGTGTGTATTGGTAAGGAAAAGGAACTATTAATCAATGAAAATGTGCCTTAAAGTTGAACTTTCTAAAGCAGAATTGCATAGTACTTAGTAAATTAAAAATATAAAAGTCATGGGAAGTAGATTGAGTGAGCTTCACATTTGTCATTTTATTTGGTTTTGAAGTGACCATCTGTGAGAGGTAGATCATGTCTGCCTGATTATTTCCCCACATGAACACAGGTGACACTGGGAGATTACTCAGGTAGGCACATGTCTGACATGTTGAGCCAACAACACCAAAGTACACGAGTGACTACTTATCCATTCTTTCTGCAAGAAGAGTCACTCTTGAAAGCTATACACGTCTATGCATGTTGATATGAAGTGAGAACCACAACCATTACATTTGGAAAAACAGCGTGCAAAGTAGGATTTAGTTTTTGGCAAAATAGAAATCTAAAGTATAAATGTCTCTGTATGCCAGCAAAAAAGTCTAAAAATATTTATACACTAAATGTTACTGGTTAGTGCTGAATAGTGGGAGTGTGAATTATTTTTAGTTTCTTCTTGTACTTTATTATACTTCATGAATTTCTATAATAACAATTTTTTAAAACATTTTTTAAATATATAAATCAACATATTTTTTCTCTTTCCTGCTGGGATTTTCTTTCCGTTTTGTATTCATACTTCTTAACATTCTACAAATGTGACACTTACTATCACACCCTTCCCTAGGTGTAACCTAGTGGAAGAAATGAAAATTCATTGACAAGATATATTGATGATATGATATCTGATAATTACCAGGATCGACTAGAGGCCACAGAAAAAAAAAAAAAAGGAAAATTCCATTGGTGTTTTTTTCCTGGAGAAAATTTTAAAGGCCCCTGAAGGTTTATATAACAATCTGGGTATACACCAAATTGTTGTATTTATAGCACCTGTTATCATTGATGGTAACAAACACAGCTTAATGTTTTTCCAAGAGAAAGAGAAGTGTGCAGTGTTTCTTGGTTAATTCACAAAGCTAAAAGCCTCAAAATCTCCTGGAACAGATAAAGTCTATCAAAGTTCCTTTGATAGGAATGAGGAGAAGTTTATGCATTTAGCAGACGTAAGTTGTAAGTTCTCATATTCAAGAGTTTCCAACGGTTTGAGCTTTTTTTTTTTTTTGGAATTGTTAAATAGGAGGGTTTCTGGCTGCAAAACTATAATATGCATTGACTTTGACGATGTATGAGCCAAGGAAAGAACACTGGAAGTCCCAGCAGGAATACAATCTTCACATGCCCTGTGCTGCTTCTCTACGCAGAGGCCATTATCTGGGTCCAGCACACAGCTGCAGGAGGGATAGGCAGACTCAAAGCAGTGATGGAGGAAGGAGACCACCACAGAATCAAGAGTCAGTCGGACTACGTTCTTGACACTGAAAAATTCATTGAACATAGAAAACCACAATCTAGGATTGAGAACACAGGTCCTAGAACAGAGCTTCCACTTTCAGTGTTAAATCACCCACAGAGCTTGTTAAAACACAGAGTCCTGAACATCACCCAAAAGGTTTTGAGTCAGTCTAGAGTGCACCCAAGAATTTGCCTTTTGAACAAGCTCCCAGGTATTGTTTATGCTGCTGGTCTGCAGTTCACACTTTGCGAATAGATAAAGTCAGGTGCCCTGGCCTCAGTATTGTCTTCACCACTTACATTATGCTAAACAAATAAATGAACTCAGTTGACTCCTCTGCGAAGTGGGGTAATAATAGTTCCTGCCTCATAATGCTGCTTTGATGATTAAGTGAGAGAAGCCATGTAAAGTTCCTGTCAAAACACTCAAAAATTTCAGTTATTATTAATAATATTAATATTGTTATAATCTATTGTTTTATCTAACCCACCGGATTTACAGTTAAAGAAACTGAGGCTCCAAGAGATTGTCACTGTTCCATGATGCCAGAGCTAATGATCAATGAAGCTGGGATGTAGACCCTAGACCCAGTGCTTCCAGGCTTTCTCATGACACCAGACTAAGTGTGCCCTGAGACATTTACAGAGATTGAACATTTTCAGCCAGTCTCAAACTCATGATCTTCATGTGGAAAGTAAATACAAAAACAAGCCTCAAAAGGATATAGGCATCCAACAAAGCTGACTGACATTAACCTTGTACCACTTATGCCAAATTGAAAGCAGCATACTATCATGGGTTATCAAAATGGAAACAAGGGACATGATGAATGAGGACATTTTTGAAAACCAAATAAATGAGATGTTTGCATTGCCCCTATTTTTGAAAATGAAGAGACTGGTTGGCATTAGACACCTCCCTTGACTCCCAGAAGCATGTCAGGAGCAAAATTCCCAGCCACAATCCACGCTTCCAATGAGACACTTGGGACAACAGAAAGTTATAGCCAGAGCATTGCCTACCTTTGGCCTGCTGAGAAAGAGAAAATGTCTTAACTTTTGCTGCAGTGAAATGCACAATTATGCATTTTTTAAGAGAACAGAACAAACCATCTTTTTCTAGCCAGTGGAATGTGATGTGTTTTTCAGTAAAGTTGCTGAGAAGCATAATAAATTCTAGTTTTGCAGAAATAATATGTCTAAGTTAGAAATCAAGAAATTAGATGCTCTTCTCAAGTCCCCAGTCAGCTTTCTGCTTTGGAAAATTGGGATGTTAGGGAGGAACAAGGATCCTTAGAACATTTTCTTCAAGGCAAATCTGAAAGGAATACTTTAGGTTAAGAAAAACTTCACAACATTCAGAAGATTCCAGGAATCATTACATGATATCAGAAAACTCCTTTTAATTTTACTAAATCAACAACTTACTTTATAGAATTATTATTATAATTAAATTGATTAATAGATATAAACAGCATAATATAGACTGTAGCATATAATAACTGCTTCATAAATGTTTGCTATTATTAGTATGAATAATTATAATGATTTGGTCCTGAGTTAAAGCCACAGGGCTTACAAGCTGGTTCAGATATCTGTAACTTTCATGACTTTCTGAAGTAAAGAAATATGTTTCCCAAATTGTATAAAATACAGAAAGATTGTGATTGAGGGGAAAAGAAAGATTTTGACAATAAAATTTTACTCAACAGAAAATCAGACTTTTTACCAAGAACTGAGTTTGTTTTTTGTTTGCTTGGATTATTGTTTTTCAAATTGGTCTACATGTTCTATGGAGAAATATTCAGGACTTTTTAAAACCACAATTGATTGATTCCAAACTAAGATAATCAGAACATGCAAACAAAGTCACAATAGGAAACATTCTACGTCTTTTTTTTCCCCTGACTTTTCAGTTAATCAAAATCAGGTTCTTAAAAACCTGGTTATTTTGCAGAATATTTGTCTACAATGCTTATTTCACTAACTAATTTTTCAGTGTGTCCTGACATCTTATTGAGTTTTGAATGGCCCCTTTTACTGTTACTTTTGGACAAGACAGTTCCACCTTATTTATAGTACTAGGACCCAAGGGTATGTGTTTCAACACAATGCTGGAAATATAAAACTGTGCAACTATGCATGAGGGTAGTAAAAATGTGATTCAGGGCAAGTCCAAAAACATGTTGATTCCAATCATTCTTTCACCTTCACAGAGAAGAGAATTAAAGCTCATTAAACATGAGTGATCATTTCAGCTGTGTAAAAAATAGGTCAGCATGCAACTAGGAAGGACCCTAGAAAACAAAATGGTTTCCTGTAGTCAATCTGGTACCATTAAGCCAGTCCCCTGCAGGCTCTCCTTTCTGGTCCCGCCCCTGCTTCTACTTCCATTTATTACAATTGGGTTCTTGACTCTGTTGATCTATTACAGCCTTATCCTGCTTTATGGACTGGGGTTGCAGCTGATCTCTCAAGCTTCTCTACTCTCTGCTGCACTTCAAAGATTAGCATAGAGTCACATTCCCACTCTCTGTACATTGTACAATCCTGCAGAGTTTACATCTCTCCTCAGCTGACTCTTACTGACCCCAAATAAGCTCTCATCCATGGTCAGTGGCCCATCTAGCCCCTTATTATTATTATTATTATTATTTGAAATTGATGTTTTAAGTAAAATTGTGGTTAGATGCTTTGTACAACTTTATTAATTTAGGTAATATAATTTCACACCATAATAACTAGAAGTCAGGAGAAAAATGAGGAGGGGAAGATTTTAGTCTACCAAATGCCTCTCTAAAATAGGTTTACTGTTAGATAAGTCTGCTTTATCTTCTCCATTGTATTTGACTTCTTAAGAGGCAAATTTATGTCTAGACCAACATGTTCTATCAGTACAGAGTGTCTAGACACTTTCCCCCGGGCTCACTCTCCTCTGGAGGCAAGCACCTTATTTTTACAACAGGTATAGGGTACTATTAAATTACCTGAGTTCCTCATGCTACTTTCCTCAGGAAAAAAAAAAAAAACTTCAAGAAAATCAAAACAGCAGCAGCTTATCCAGGCAAACGCCTATTTAGCTATCATTAGCCCTCGGTGGGATTACTAATTCTATCACTAAGTGGCCTGGGGGAAAAGGCAGCTTTATTTCTGTCTTTTGAATTCTAGCTGAAAAACAAAAAGGACAGTTTTCCCTTTATGGAAGGTTAGAAAGAGATAGTGACATATCTTTAATAACTTCAACACTTTCCTTACAGAATATAATAAAGAATTTCCCAAATAGCAAAATACAATGTGATCTTCATCTGCTGATAGAGTTATGCCCTTGATAGCAGAATTCAGGCAGATCAGCTAGCTAATTTTGGGCCAAATAACAATAGTTCATTACATTAAAATTTACAAAAGAAACAAAATTCCTTTCTCTAGACGGTTTCCAGGCCATTTTTCTCACTGCATGGTTTTATATTCATCAACACTGATTTAAAACCAAAGGTTCCTGAAGGAGCAGTTGCTGGGCAGTAATGCAGTGCCACCTAGCTTCCCTCCTGCGGGATGGTAGTGCATCACCAGATGTTCTCCATAATTGAAGGAACCAGAGTAGAGACAATAATGTGCTAGGGCTATCTGAGGCAGAAATAGACAAAGGGGAAAATATCTTCTTTCATATTCATCCGAAGACAATTAAACATCAGATATATACCCTGGAGTGAGGCACAATCCTCTACAATCTAGTCTGATCACTCCATCTAGCCTCTCTCTACCCCATCACACCTACAACGCCGCAGAAGAAGGCAACTTGTACATGTACAGTGCTTAAGATTAAGACTGCTCATATCACGTATTTCCCCTAATCATCCCCAGCATATGCCATGAATATTCCTGCCTCTGTTATATACACTTTTCCCAGCCTAAAATCTACACCATTTGTTCTCTTTCAAGTCTTTTCAAGTCCCAATTCCTTTATGCAGCCTTCCCTGACTACATCAAACCCCAGTGATAATCTCATCTTTGAATTACATTGTATTTTCAATTCTCTAACTGAGTCTTTTACTACTCTGCCTATTCCACCCATGTATCTAGACTTTCCTATTTATCCTTCAAGACTCAGCTCACCTATCTACAGCTGTTCTTGATCACCCATATTCCCTCCATCAAACAAACTGGATAGTTGCCTGTTTGGTGCTCTCATAGTGTTGTGTACACACCTCTCTTAGAGAACTCATTTTTATCTTTAATTTTTAAATAAAATTTTATTTTAACTTTTGTAGGTACATAGTAGGTACACATTAATATATTAATGGGGTATATTAGATGTTTTGATGCAGGCATGCAATGTCTAATAATCACATCATGTAAAATGGGCCATCTATCCCCTCAAGCATTTATCCTTTGTGTTGCAATCCAGTTATATATTATTTTAGTTATTTTAAAATGTAGAATTAAATTATTATTGACTATTCTCACCCTGTTGTGCTATCAAATACTAGGTCTTATTCATTCATCCAATTTTTTGCACCCATTAACCATCTCCACCTCCCCAGCCCCTCCCTCACTACCCTTCCCAGACTCTGATACCGATTCCTCTATTCTCTATGTTCATAGGTTAAATTGTTTTAATTTTTAGATCTCATAAATAAGTAAGAATATGCAAACTTTGTCTTTCTGTTCCTGGCTTATATCACTCAACATAATGACCTCCAGTTCCATCCATGTTGTTGCAAATGACTGGGTCTCATCCTTTTTTATGGCTGAATAGTACTCCATTGTGCATATGTACCACATTTTCTTTATCAATTCATTTGTTGATGGACGCTTAGGTTGCTTCCAAATCTTTGCTGTTGTGAACAGAACTGAACAAACATGGGAATGCAGATATCTCTTCAATACACTGATTTCCTTTCTTTTAGGTATATACATAGCCATGGACTTGCTAGATCATATGGTAGCTCTATTTTTCATGTTTTGAGGAACGTCCAAACCGTTCTCCATAGTGGTTGCATAAATTTACATTCCCACCAACAGTGTATGAGGGTTTCCTTTTCACCATATCCTCACCAGCATTTGTAATTGCTTGTCTTTCAGATATATGCCATTTTAACTGGGGTGAAATGATATGTCATTGTAGTTTTGATTTGCATTTTAAAGAACTTGTTTTTATTTTTTTCTCTGTTAAACTTAGAGTAGGACCTGTGTTTTAGTCTTCTGCTTTGGAATAAGCATTAATAAACTATTGTTGAATTAATAGTGGTTGAATGAATGAAATATAGCCATGTAATTATTTCATGTGGTACTCATTGTTTCTCCAATTAGTTGACATTTCTTGGGAAAAGACTATATATTTTAATATTTCTCTTGCTCATCTTGGACACAATGCTGATCCCTGCCTGATCCCTTTTTACTTCATAAAAAAGCAAAAATTTTAAAACCTACATTTCCCTAGTGAATTTACTCTCCCACTCTCAAAGCCAACCAGTCTCCTCTTTCTTCCCATCAACACTCCCATTCTTATCTAACTAAAGGCTTACTTCTTACTTCACTGAAAAACAGAAGCAACCAGAGTTTCTGGCAACACATTTGAGAGATGAAAATTAGGGAAATCACCTGAGGTCAGACATGAGACCAACAGAAAAATGTGCTGAAGCACATAGCTTTGACTTCCTAGATCAGGAGGAACTGGAGATAAAGTCTTTGGTGGGCCAAAGGCATTGCAGACAGATGAGAGTATGCCTACATAAATCCACGACCCAGACTATTCTCTACTCATTAGCCAGAGCAATTATTTCAAAATGTCAAAGATGGCCAAACAGGAACAGCTGCAGTCTACAGCTCCTAGCATGAGTGACGCAGAAGACAGGTGATTTCTGCATTTCCAACTGAGGTACCAGGTTCATCTCACTGGGGCTTGTTGGACAGTGGCTGCAGCCCATGGAGCAGGGTGGGGCATCACCTCACCTGGGAAGCACAAGGGGTTGGGGAATTCCCTTTCCTAGCCAAGGGAAGCCATCACAGACAGTACCTGGAAAATTGGGACACTCTCACCCTAATACTGCACTTTTCCAATGGTCTTAGCAAATGGCACACCAGGAGATTATATCCTGCGCATGGCTCAGTAGGTTCTAGGCCCACGGAGCCTCACTCACTGCTAGCACAGCAGTCTGAGATCGAACTGCAAGGAGGCAGCAAGGCTGGGGGAGGGGGGGTCCACCATTGCTGAGGCTTGAGTAGGTAAACAAAGCAGCTGGGAAGCTCGAACTGGGTGGAGCCCACCACAGCTCAAGGAAGCCTGCCTGCCTCTGTAGACTCCACCTCTGGGGGCAGGGCATAGCTGAATAAAAGGCAGCAGAAACTTCTGCAGACTTAAATGTCCCTGTCTGACAGCTTTGAAGAGAGTAGTGGTCCTCCCAGCATGAAGTTCGAGATCTGAGAACAGACAGACTGCCTACTCAAGTGGGTCCCTGACACCAGAGTAGCCTAACTGGGAGACACCTCCCAGTAGGGGCTGACTGACACCTCATACAGCCAGGTGCCCCTCTGAAACAAAGCTTCCAGAGGAAGGATCAGGCAGCAACATTTGATGTTCTGCAATATTTGTTGTTCTGCAATATTTGCTGTTCTGCAGCCTCCGCTGGTGATACCCAGGGAAAAGGGTCTGCAGTGGACCTCCAGCAAACTCCAACAGACCTGCAGCTGAGGGTCCTGACTGTTAGAAGGAAAACTAACAAACAGAAAGGACATCCACACCAAAACCCCATCTGTATGTACGTCACCATCATCAAAGACCAAAGGTAGATAAAAAACCACAAAGATGGGGAGAAACCATAGTGGAAAAGCTGAAAATTCTAAAAATCAGAGTGCCTCTTCTTCTTCAAAGGAACACACCTCATTGCCAGCAATGGAACAAAGCTGGATGGAGAATGACTTTGACGAGTTGAGAGAAGAAGGCTTCAGATGGTCGGTAATAACAAGCTTCTCTGAGCTAAAAGAGGATGTTCAAACCCATTGCAAAGAAGCTAAAAACCTTGGAAAAAGAGTAGATGAATGGCTAACTAGAATAAACAGTGTAGAGAAGACCTTAAATGACCTGATGGAGCTGAAAATCATGGCACGAGAACTACGTGACACATGCACAAGCTTCAGGAGCCAATTCAATCAACTGGAAGAAAGGATATCAGTGATTGAAGATCAAACAAATGAAATGAAGTGAGAAGAGAAGTTTAGAGAAAAAAGAGTGAAAAGAAATGAACAAAGCCTCCAAGAAATATGGGACTATGTAAAAAGGCGAAATCTACATTCAATTGGTGTACCTGAACGTGACGAGGAGAATGGAACCAAGCTGGAAAACACTCTTCAGGATATTATCCAGGAGAACTTCCCTAGCCTAGCGAGGCAGGCCAACACTAAAATTCAGGAAATACAGAGAACACCACAAAGATACTCCTCAAGAAGAGCAACTCCAAGACACATAATTGTCAGATTCACCAAAGTTGAAATGAAGGAAAAAATATTAAGGGCAGCCAGAGAAAAAGGTTGAGTTACCCACAAAGGGAAGCCCATCAGACTAACAGCAGATCTCTCAGCAGAAACTCTACAAGCCAGAAGACAGTGGGGGCCAATATTCAACATTCTTAAAGAAAAGAATTTTCAACCCAGAATTTCATATCCAGCCAAACCAAACTTCATAAGTGAAAGAGAAATAAAATCCTTTACAGACCAGCAAATGCTGAGAGATTCTGTCACCACCAGGCCTGCCTTACAAGACCTCCTAAAGGAAGCACTAAACATGGAAAGGAACGACTGGTACCAACCACCACAAAAACATGACAAATTGTAAACACCATCAATGCTAGGAAGAAACTGCATCAACTAAAGAGCAAAATAACCAGCTAACATCATAATGACAGGATCAAATTCACACATAACAATATTAACCTTAAATGTAAATGGGCTAAATTCTCCAATTAAAAGACACAGACTGGCAAATTGGATAAAGAGTCAAGACCCATCAGTGTGCTGTATTCAGGAAACCCATCTCACATGCAGAGACACACATAGGCTCAAAACAAAAGGATGGAGGAAGATCAACCAAGCAAATGGAAAACAAAAAAAGGCAGGGGTTGCAATCCCAGTCTCTGATAAAACAGACTTTAAACCAACAAAGATCAAAAGAGACAAAGAAGGCCATCACATAATGGTAAAGGGATCAATTCAACAAGAAGAGCTGACTATCCTAAATATATATGCACACAATACAAGAGCACCCAGATTCATAAAGCAAGTCCTTAGAGGCCTACAAAGAGACTTAGACTCCCACACAATAATAATGGGAGACTTTAACACCCCACTGTCAACATTAAACAGATCAATGAGACAGAAAGTTAACAACGATACCCAGGAATTGAACTCTGCTCTGCACCAAGTGGACCTAATAGACATCTGCAGAACTCTCCCCCTAAATCAACAGAATATACATTCTTCTCAGCACCACATCACACTTACTCCAAAATTGACCACATAGTTGGAAGTAAAGCACTCCTCAGCAAATGTAAAAGAACAGAAATTATAACAAACTGTCTCTCAGACCACAGTGCAGTCAAACTAGAATTCAGGATTAAGAAACTCACTCAAAACCACTCAGCTACATGGAACCTGAACAACCTGCTCCTGAAGG
The DNA here is from genome assembly GCF_000001405.40 of Homo sapiens. NCBI lineage: Eukaryota > Metazoa > Chordata > Mammalia > Primates > Hominidae > Homo > Homo sapiens. The sequence continues at coordinate 100,601,505 of NC_000001.11, read as the reverse complement.
ACTACTGGGTACATAACAAAATGAAGGCAAAAATAAAGATGTTCTTTGAAACCAACGAGAACAAAGACACAACATACCAGAATCTCTGGGACACATTTAAAGCAGTGTGTAGAGGGAAATTTATAGCACTAAATGCCCACAAGAAAAAGCAGGAAAGAGCTAAAATTGACACCCTAACATGACAATTAAAAGAACTAGAGAAGCAAGAGCAAACACATTCAAAACCTAGCAGAAGGCAAGAAATAACTAAGATCAGAGCAGAACTGAAGGAGATAGAGACATGAAAAATGCTTCAAAAAAATCAATGAAACCAGGAGCTGGTTTTTTGAAAAGGTCAACAAAATTGATAGACCAATAGCAAGATTAATAAAGAAGAAAAGAGAGAAGAATCGAATAGTTGCAATAAAAAATGATAAAGGAGTTATCACCACCGATTCCACAGAAATACAAACTACCATCAGAGAATACTATAAATACCTCCACACAAATAAACTAGAAAATCTAGAAGAAATGGATAAATTCCTCGACACATACATCCTCCCAAGACTAAACCAGGAAGAAGTTGAATCCCTGAATAGAACAATAACAGGCTCTGAAATTGAGGCAATATTTAATAGCCTACCAACCAAAAAAAGTCCAGGACCAGATGGATTCACAGCCGAATTCTACCAGAGGTACAAAGAGGAGCTGGTACCATTCCTTCTGAAACTATTCCAATCAATAGAAAAAGAGGGAATCCCCCCTAACTCATTTTATGAGGCCAGCATCATCCTGATACCAAAGCCTGGCAGAGACACAATAAAAAAAGAGAATTTTAGACCAATATCCCTGATGAACATCGATGCAAAAATCCTCAATAAAATACTGGCAAACCAAAACCAGCAGCACATCAAAAAGCTTATCCACCATGATCAAGTCAGCTTCATCCCTGGAATGCAAGGCTGGTTCAACGTATGCAAATCAATAAACATAATCCATCATATAAACAGAACCAAAGACAAAAACCACATGATTATCTCAATAGATGCAGAAAAGGCCTTCACAAAATTCAACAGCCTTCATGCTAAAAACTCTCAATAAACTAGGTATTGATGGGATGTATCTCAAAATAATAAGAGCTATTTATGACAAACCCACAGCCAATATCATACTGAATGTTCAAAAACTGGAAGCTTTCCTTTTGAAAACTGGCACAAGACAGGGATGCCCTCTCTCACCACTCCTATTCAACATAGTGTTGGAAGTTCTGACCAGGGCAATCAGGCAGGAGAAAGAAATAAAGGGTATTCAATTAGGAAAAGAGGAAGTCAAATTGTCCCTGTTTGCAGTTGACATGATTGTGTATTTAGAAAACCCCATCATCTTAGCCCGAAATCTCCTTAAGCTGATAAGCAACTTCAGCAAAGTCTCAGGATACAAAATCAATGTGCAAAAATCACAAGCATTCCTACACACCAATAACAGACAAACAGAGAGCCAAATCATGAGTGAACTCCCATTCACAATTGCTACAAAGAGAATAAAATACCTAGGAATCCAACTTACAAGGGTTGTGAAGGACCTCTTCAAGGAGAACTACAAACCACTGCTCAATGAAATAAAAGAGGACACAAACAAATGGAAGAACATTCCATGCTCATGGGTAGGAAGAATCAATATCGTGAAAATGGCCATACTGCCCAAGGTAATTTATAGATTCAATGCCATCCCCATCAAGCTACCAATGACTTTCTTCCCAGAATTGGAAAAAACTACTTTAAAGTTCATATGGAACCAAAAAAGAGCCCGCATTGCCAAGACAATCCTATGCCAAAAGAACAAAACTGGAGACATCACACTACTGACTTCAAATTATACTACAAGGCTACAGTAACCAAAACAACATGGTACTGGTACCAAAACAGATATATAGACCAGTGGAACAGAACAGAGGCCTCAGAATAATATCACACATCTACAACCATCTCATTTTTGACAAACCCAACAAAAACAAGAAATGGGGAAAAGATTCCCTATTTAATAAATGGTGCTGGGAAAACTGACTAGTCATATGGAGAAAGCTGAAACTGGATCCCTTCCTTACACCTTATACAAAAATTAATTCAAGATGGATTAAAGACTTACATGTTAGACCTAAAACCATAAAAACCTTAGAAGAAAACCTACGCAATACCATTCAGGACATAGGCATGGGCAAGGACTTCATGACTAAAACACCAAAAGCAATGGCAACAAAAGCCAAAATAGACAAATGGGATCTAATTAAACTAAAGAGCTTCTGCACAGCAAAAGAAACTACCATCAGAGTGAACAGGCAACCTACAGAATGGGAGAAAATGTTTACAATCTATCCATCTGACAAAGGGCTAATATCCAGAATCTACAAAGAACTTAAACAAATTTACAAGAAAAAATCAGACAACCCCATCAAAAAGTGGGCAAAGGATATGAACAGACATTTCTCAAAAGAAGACATTTATTCAGCCAACAGACACATGAAAAAATGCTCATCATCACTGGCCATCAGAGAAATGCAAATCAAAACCACAATGAGATACCATCTCACACCAGTTAGAATGGTGATCATTAAAAAGTCAGGAAACAACAGGTGCCGGAGAGGATGTGGAGAAATAGGAACACTTTTACACTGTTGGTGGGACTGTAAACTAGTTCAACCATTGTGGAAGACAGTGTGGTGATTCCTCAAGGATCTGGAACTAGAAATACCATTTGACCCAGCCATCCCGTTACTGGGTATATACCCAAAGGATTATAAATCATGCTGCTATAAAGACACATGCACATGTATGTTTATTGGGGCACTATTCACAATAGCAAAGACTTGGAACCAACCTAAATGTCCATCAATGATAGACTGGATTAAGAAAATGTGGCACATATGCACCATGGAATACTATGCAGCCATAAAAAAAGATGAGTTCATGTCCTTTGTAGGGACATGGATGAAGCTGGAAACCACCATTCTGAGCAAACTATCACAAGGACAGAAAACCAAACACCGCATGTTCTCACTCATTGGTGGGAATTGAACAATAAGAACACTTGGACACAGGGTGAGGAACATCACACACAGGGGCCTGTTGTTGGGTGGGGGGAGTGGGGAGGGATAGCATTAGGAGATATACCTAATGTAAATGATGAGTTAACGGGTGCAGCACACCAACATGGCACATGTACACACATGTAGCAAACCTGCACATTGTGCACATGTACCCTAGAACTTAAAGTATAAAAAAAAATAAAAAATAAAAAAGACATACCTGAGACAAGGCAATTTACAAAAAAAAAAAAAAGTCACTCAGCTGCTCACTATCTTCCAGTGCCTCTCCCCCAACTTCTGAAAGAGTAAAACCCTAGGCCCTTCAAGTTTTTCTGTAACCTGAGACTACTTCCCTGAACTCCCTCTTGCCTCTTTCCTTCTCATTCACTACGCTCCTGCCATATCAGTGTTCTTGCTCTTCTTCATGCTATTAATAGTCCTAATATAAAACAGCGACACTATTTTCTGCATCTGTTTCTTAACTCTTTCTATTCCCTGCCTAGTTCTCAAACTACATACAGCTTATCTCTCACTTCACATTCAGAGCCTGTTCAACGTAACATCATCAGAAGAGCCTTCTCTGATGCGTTATAAAAAAAATACCCCTCACCCTCCATCCTCCATCCCCTTATCCAGCCTTATCTCACTTGACAGCACTTATCATTGATTAAAGTTACATTTTATGGTTTTATTATTTATTAGCTGTCTTGGCCACCAGAATATGAATTTTAGGAGGAAGAAAACTTTCACTTTTTCATTTAGATAAATAAACCAGTCCTAGATCTGGGCCTGAGAATAAGGGTGCTTTATTCACATATAACTTTTTCAGAGTGGTAGGGACTTTGGAGGAAAAGGGACACCAAAGGAAGTGTATTAGTCATTGTGGGCTAACTGCTACAACAAACTCTAAACACTATGTAAGGAGACTAAACACAATGTAAGTTTACTCCTTGCTCATGCTGTAGTCCAGTGTGCATGTGCCTAGTCAGAGGGCCCAAGGGGTTACCAGGCTTTTCAGTCTAGTGTCTTTACCACTCACTAGGATCTTAAAGTCCTCCAGGATCCATTATATCTGCCCTGAAGATGAGGAACTGGAGAGGACATAGAGTATTCTATGGAATGTTTTCAGAGGCAGGTCTGGAAGTGATATAAATCACTTTCACTCACATTCACCAGAACTGAGTCACTAGGCCATATCTAACTTTGAGGGAGCCTAGGAAAGCAGTCTAATTGTAATTCCAGGGGAAAGAGGAAGTGGCACTCGGTGGACACATAGCATACAGTGTCTGTCATGAAACATGACCATTAGATGATGCAAAAGCTGATTTATAAAGGATGAAAAGTTACCCTGGAAAAGGAGGGTAAGTGTGTTCTAAGGGAAGGAAAAGGCAGATGCAAAAGCAAAAAGGCACAATAAATAATAACATATGTTAGGAACTTCCGTTGTAGATATGGCTGAATGTTTAATGTGAAATAAAAAGGCATAAGGTTGGGGAGATAAGAAGAATCTGGATCATGAAAGACCCTGTGTACCATAACAAAAAGTTTAGACTCATCCTAAAGGTATTGCGGAGGCACTGAAAGATATTAAGGGAAAAGATTGAAGGACAATACGATCAAATGTCTGTTACTAAAAGAATATAATTCTTATGGTTATATAGGGGGTAAATTTGGGATACAGAAAATGGAGACAAGATAATTAGATAGGTAACCATTGCAGAAGTACAAGAAACAACGTTGACAAATGGAAGCCAAGACTAAGGTAGTAGTTACATAGTGCTTAAGTTCTTTCTTCCCTCTGAAAAGTATCATGAGCATACTTACTGTCTTTGATGAGCTGAAGACTCTAATACTACTGAGGTCAGAAATCCATCTCATAGAGAGGTTAGCAAAGTCAAATTCTAATTGAATTTCTAATTGGATTTCTATTATTTATTAAAAAATACAAGTTGATATAAATGAATAAAGCTATTTTTTAATCACTGCTAAGAGATTACTGGGGGTGGAGTGGGCAGGGGGAACAGAATAAGGGGTATATATGAATTCTCACATTGATAGTGTGTGTAAAAGAGAAGAAAATGATGAACACCTCTTCAATATCCTTTGTGATAATATAACTTTAGTCAGAGAACAGATGAGAAGGGATAGATTGCTCATCATAACACTGTATTTAACTCCATCAGATAAATTAATATTATGTTTCAATTAAATAAATCATTAGGTATTTCCATAGCCACAACTATCAACATTTTCCAATTTTTCTCTTTATAAACTTTTCTTTTACCTGAATCATTGCTGATCTATCATAATTTTAATTTACAATAACTGGATGTACAGTCTAGATATTTTAAGGCTATGGGAAAAAAGGAGCAAGAAAAAACAATTTGCTTGTTTATTTTCTGCCCTGAAAAAACAAAAGCAAAAACAAAAACAGAAGGTTCCTAGAATGTAGAGGACAAATTAAAGCATCAGCAACACTTTTTTTTTTTTTTTGAGATGGAATCTCACACTGTCACCCAGGCTGGAGTGCAATGGCGCAATTTTGGCTCACTGCAATCTCTGCCTCCCAGGTTCAAGCAATTCTCCTGCCTCAGCCTCTGAGTAGCTGGGATTACAGGTCCCCACCACCACACCCGGCTAATTTTTTGTATTTTTATTAGAGATGGGTTTTCGCCATGTTGGTCAGGCTGGTCTTGAACTCCTGACCTCAGGTGATCCACCCTCCCTGGCCTCCCAAAGTGCTGGGATTACAGGTGTGAGCCACCACACCTGACCAGCAATACTTTTTAAAGCAAACTTTATAAATCTAAAATCACATTGAACAATGATACCTATTATATTGAAATGGTAGAATTATGGGTGATTGACTTGTTTTTCCTTATCAAGCTTCCTGTGTAAGAACATTTTTGTATAATATATAAAATATATACAGAATCACCTTGACAAACTGATTTTCAAAATTATCAGGACTCCTGGATTAAATTTTAGCATCACTGCTTTTGTGACATTGGGCAAGTTAATATCATTATTATCATTATTACTATCATTACCAGTAGTATTATTAGATAGCACTCAGCACATATTATGTACCAGTCATTTGATTAAGAATGTAATATATATTATCTCATGTTATTGAATATTTCAATTACTATCATTACCAGTAGTATTAGTAGATAGAATTCAGCACATATTATGTGCTAGTCATTCTATTAAGCAGATTATATATATAATCTCATGTTATTGATTATTTCAAAATATTTTTCTTAACCTATTTTTAAAAATGATAGGAGGTAACTTTAGCAAGATGGCAGAGTAGGAAGCCCTGAATATTTCCCCTCCCACTAGCAACTAATTTAGCAACAATTCACAAATTCCTTTCATGAGAAATTAAGAAACTAATTGAAAGTCTCTTGCAACCTGGGCAAACATGAAACCAGACTCATGGAAGCTAGTAGGGAGAGTCAAGACACCCTGTCACCAGATCCCTGCTCCTAGCACAACACCACATAATCAGGAAGATTCCCCCTAGCTCCCAGCTTCTTCCAAGGGAAGGAATGAGTTAATACATATCCTGTACCCCCAACTTTCTGAGGGGGCTTCCAAGAGGCCTAGTTTGTGTCTTTCTAGTCTTGGATTTATGACAGGACTGGCACAGTCTAGTGAGTTGAGGGAGGCATACAGTGGCTGAGTGGATTAAAAATCAAAACACAACTATATGCGGTCTACAAGAAACTCACTTTAGATTTAAGGACCTACATAGGCTGAAAGTGAAAGGAAGAAAAAAGATATTTCTTATAAATGGTAACCAAAGAGAGCAAGCATTGTCATATCAGAAAAAAAAAATTAGACATTAAGCCAAAAACTGTCAGGAGAGAAAAAAGGACATTACATAATGATAAAAGGGTCAATCTGCCAGGAATATATAACAATTATAAATGTATATGTACCCAACTTCAGAGAACCTAAATATATAAAGCTAACATTGACTGAGCTGAAAGGAGAAATAGATAGCAATAAAATAATAGGATACTTCAAAAATCCCACTTTCAGTAATGGATAAAACATCTAGATAGAAGATAAATAAGGAAACAAAAGATTTGAACAACACTATAGGCTAAATGTACCTAACAGATATATATAGTTCATACCACCTAACAGCAGCAGAATACACATTCTTCTCAAGTCACATGGAACTTTCTCCAGCATAGATCACATGTTAGGTCACAAATTAGATCTTAAAATTGTTAAGAAGACTGAAATAATACCAAGTATCTTTATTAATAGAGTGAAACTAGGTATTAATAGTGGAAAGAAAACCTGAAAATTTCACAAATATGTGGAAGTCAAACAAACACACATCTTGAACACCACTGGGGTCAAAGAAGAAATAAAAAAGAAAATCGGGGGGCAAAGAAAGATGATGGAATAGAAGCCTACACCATCCATCCCCCACTGGAACACCAAATTTTAACAACTATCTGCACATAGAAAAGCACTGTCACAAGAACCAAAAATAGAGTACCATCTCGGCCACAGTAAGGTAGAGCAAACAAGCAGGCACTTGGGGCCCCCAAGTTGAGACCTAGGCTCTTGGTCAGCATTTCTAGACCTGCCTTGGGCCAGAAGGGTGAGTCCCAAGCCTGGCACCATTTACTACAAGCTGACAGAAGAGACAATGGACTTTAAACAAACATCAGCACTGGTCCGACAGAACCTTCCAGGGACCAGTGGTGATGGTGGCCACAGGGACAGGCTACTCTGCCTGTGGAAAGGAAAGGCAAAGGCAGAAAGGACATCGTATTGTGGTTTGAATGTCAACTTAGCCACAGTAAAATAGAATATCAGGTAAAATGCTATTTTTTTTTATTCTAATCCCTGGCCACCAGATAGTATCTCTGGACACACCTGGGGCCTGGGAGAACTCACCACCCTGAAGGGAAGGTCCTTTGCTGTGCTGGCTTCAGATCTGACCCAGCCCAGTTCTAGTGCTGGTCGTACATCAATCAAACGTACGTTTGGTCTTTTCACATAGTCCCATATTTCTTGGCAGCTTTGTTCATTCCTTTTCATTCTTTTTTCATTCATTTCATTAGAGAAAATGAATAAAGTTTATAAAGTTTCATAAAATGAAACTTTATTTCATTAAGTCGATCTTCAATCTCTGATATCCTTTCTTCTGCTTGGTCGGTTTGGCTATTAATACTTGTTTATGCTTCATGAAGTTCTCGTGCTGTGTTTTTCAGCTCCACAGGTCATTTATGTTCTTCTCTAAACTGGTTATTCTAGTTAGCAATTCCTCTAACCTTTTTTCAAGGTTCTCAGCTTCCTTACATTGGGTTAGAACATACTCCTTTAGCTCAGTGGGGTTTGTTATTACCCACCTTCTGAAGCCTACTTCTGTCAATTTATCAAACTCATTCTCCGTCCAGTTTTGTTCACTTGTTGGTGAGGGGTTGTGATCCTTTGGAGGAGAAGAGGCATTCTGGTTTTTGGAATTTTCAGCCTTTTTGTGCTGATTTTTTGTCAACTTCATGGATTTATCTACCTTTGGTCTTTGATGTTGGTGACCTTCAGATGGGGTTTTTCAGTGATGTCCTTTTTGTTGATGTTGATGCTATTCCTTTCTATTTGTTAGTTTTCCTTCTAACAGTCAGGCCCCTCTGCTGCAGGTCTGCTGGAGTTTGCTGGAGGTCCACTCCAGACCCTGTTTGCCTGGAGCAGAGGCTGCAGAACAGCAAAGATTGACACCTGTTCCTTCCTCTGGAAGCTTTGTCCCAGAGGGGCCCCTTCCAGATGCCACCCATAGCTCTTCTGTATGAGGTGTCTGTCAACCCCTGCTGGGGGTGTCTCCCAGTCAATAGGCATGGGGGTCAGGGATCCACTTGAGGAGGCAGTCTGTCCTTTAGCAGAGCTCAAGCACTGTGCTGGGATATCTGCTGCTCTCTTCAGAGCCAAAAAGCAGGAACGTTTAAGTCTGCTAAAGCTGGGCCCACAGCTGCTCCTTCCCCCAAGTGCTCTGTCCCAGGGAGATGGGAGTTTTATCTATGAGCCCCTGACTTGGGCTGCTGACTTTCCCTGCCCAGAAAGGAGGAATCTAGCACAAAGTGCAGTCTGCAAAGTACACAAGCTGTGGGGATATGGCTGCCTCCCTAGGTTTGGAAGGATGTCCCAGAGAGCAGCAGGGCCCAGGCACAGAATGGCCTGCCACAGGAGTGGGTCATTACTGATAGCCCCTATTAGGACAACGCCTAATGAGGGCAGGACAACCTCCAACACCATAGACTGTTAAAGCCACCAGCATGCAACTCCAGCCTAAGAGAACCAAAGGCACCAGACTTCTACCCATGACAACTGCAGCATGGGCTGTACCCAGCAAAGCTATGGATGCTACTGGAAATTTAAGCACCCAACCCCAGCCAGTGTGTCTGGAAGATGGGAATTCCAGTCAAAGAAGATTATTTTGAAGCCTTAAGATGTAACATTTGCCCTCTTCAGTTTTAGACTTGGTCAGGACCTATTATCCATTTTCTTTCCTGTTTTTTCCTTTTGCAATGGGAATGTCTGTCCTAGGCCTGTCATAACATTATATTTTGAAAGCACCTAACTTGTTTGATTTCATAAACTCATAGCTGGAGGAGATTTGCCTTAGGATGAATCACACCTTTGAGTCTCACCCATATCTGATTTAAATGATATTCGCATGAGACTTTGGACTTGAACTATTGATGCTGGAATGAGTTAAGATTTGGGGGCCTATTGGGATGGAATGAATGTACTTTTTATGGGAAAATGATAAAATTTTAGGGGCCTACAGGTGGGATGCTATGGTCTGCATGTTTATATTCCCCCAAAATTCATATGGTCAAACTGAATCCCCAATGCAATAGTATTAAGAGGTGAGGCCTTCATAAAAATAGGTGAGTTTAAGTCCTTTGCAGGAACATGGATGAGGCTGGAAACCATCATTCTCAGCAAGCTAACACAAGAACAGAAAACCAAACACTACATGTTCTCACTCATAAGTAGGAGTTGAGCAATGAGAACACATGGACACAGGGAGGGGAACATCACATACCAGAGCCTGTCATGGGGTGGGGGTCTAGAGAAGGGATAGCATTAGGAGAAATACCTAATGTAGGTGACAGGTCGATGGGTGCAGCAAACCACCATGGCACATGTATACCTATGTAATAAAACTGCACATTCTGCACATGTACCCCAGAACTTAAAGTATAATAAAAAAATTTTTAAAAAATTAAAAAAGAGGTGGGGCCTTTATGAAGTGGTTAGGGTTGAGTCCCCATGCATGGGATTAGTGCCTTTATGAAAGAGGCCTCAGAGAACTACCTCATCCTTTCTACCATGTGAGGGCACAGAGAAAACGAGTCACCTATGAACAAGAAAGGAGGCCCTCACTGGACATTGAGTCTGCCGATGTTTTCTTGGACTTCCCAGCATCTAGAACTGTGAGAAATTTCTGTTGTTTTTAAGTTACGCAGTCTAAAGTATTTTGTTATAGTAGCCCCAATAGACTAAAATACTGGCCTTCCACTTAAAATTTTCTTCCCCTGTACCTGTCTTCCAGCCTACTCCCTCACTCCTGACAGGTCTCTGATTAAAGAACATTTCTCCTTGAGGCTACCCCCTTATGTCAAAACTATCTATAACCTTATCCTGCCTTATTTTTCATGAAAATAATAATCCTGCCTTATGTTTTCATGAAACATATCACCATCTAACATATCACTATCTAACATAATATGTACACATTTTTGTCTGTCTCCTCCATTAAATTATAAACTCCACGAGAGAAGAGATTTTTATTTACACATAGTAGATATTTACCACCTACTATGTAATGAGATAGTAATGAACAGTGAATGAGTGAATGAGTAAATGGATAGATAAACAAATGAATGAATAAAGTGCTACAGGAGTTCAAAGGAAGGGTAGGTTACTTCCTGACAAAGAAATAAAGCAAGGTTTATGGTGGAGGCAGCACGTGAGTTGGTTCTGGAAGAACAGGTAGAATTTGGACAATAAGAAATGGTGCATGGAGGCTTACCAAACCTAAGAGAGCTCATTATTTCCAAATGTAACTAAAACACTGTATAATCACATTACAAAATATATAAAAATTATATCATTTGAATATTAATCTTAATATCATAATAATAATGTGAATTACTAGCTAAGTCAAACATATTTTAAAATTGTTTTTAAAATGTGAAAAAGTGTTTGAATGCATGAGAGAGGAAGAAGTGGATAGAGACTTTTATAGAAGTTGTTAGCAGGGCCCTGGGCACACTCAAGGGCTTTGGAGATGAGTGGGACAGAAGTTGTGGAAAATGTGCCTTCCCTTTCTTGGTAAAATTATAACCCAATAATCCTTATCTAACAGGACTGGGGATATTTTTTCTTAATAAATTGATAGAAGAGAGGATTTTCTAGGAAACAAGGCAAGAATAAAAGCTTAGAGTTAAAGAAAATGTGTGTTTGTATGACTGCATACACGTGTGTGTATCTGTCTTTGTGTGTGTGTGTGTGTGTAGTGAAATATTGCTTAAATTGTGAGCTGTGCAAACAAAGAAAAAGTAGAGGAGCTGCATTTAGGCAAGGTAACAGTGGGCATGACTCCAGAGAGCACACAGGGATCAATAAATAATTATCTAATGGATAAATTCTCACGTATTTAAAATACTCTAAGGAGAATCTATCCTAGCATCTGTGGATGATTTCTTAATTCTCCTAAAATTCATTTATCTCCAACGTGAGAACCAAATTATGTGCTGATTTTATCTTCTCTATGGAGAAATGTTGCATCCAGAACAAATGTTATGCTGGAGGGAACCTTAGGGGTTGCTTATTTCAACCACTTTCATTCTCCAGTGAGAGAGTGAGTTTCTGAGATGTGTTGAGCCTGTTCAAGGTCACAAAGATGGTTAGTATCAGATCCTGGACAAAGAGCCCAGGACTTCTGTCTCCATATTCAGAATTTCTCCTCTACTAGGCTGACAACTACCACCATATTGCTTGTTTTACCAAATACCAAAGCAACTCAGGTGGCCAGTACTTGTTCGTGTATTATTTGGTACATCCTGCAGAGCTTAAATTCTGGCTTATACTTGACTTTCTTCTGGAAGTCAAGACTGGCCTAGCAATTGTTCATTTCATTCATTCAGTAAATATTTATGAGCACTTATGTGCAATGCACTGTGTTAGGTACCAGTGATCCAACAATGAGCACAATATTCATGCCACTGGATTCACAGAACTTGCATTTTGGTGAGGATGACAGAAAACAACAACAAATGAAATTACTAAATAACATAGTAAGTGATATGAACAAAACAAAATAGCTCTAGTACAAAAGAAGGCAACCTGCCTTAAATAACATGGCCAGAGAAAGTTGCTAACAAGATGTGTTATTTAGGCTGAATCTGAAATAGGCAAAGGAATCAGGAATTGGAGGAGGTTCTAGGTAGATGGAATAGAAAGAGAGAAGCCTTTGAGACAGCAAAGAGCTTAGCATGTCTGGGAAGCTGAGAGAAGCCCTGTGTGTCTGGAGTACAATGAGAGAGGGAGAGTGAACAGAGTTGAGGTCAGGGTGGAGGCAGGGCCAGGTCACATGGGACCTAGAGGTTCTGATTTGAAGCTTGAATTTTATGTCAAGTACATGAGAAGCCACTAAAGGGTTTTAAGCACTGAATAACATGATTTTATTTACATATTAATAAGAGTTTTCTATGTTAGGCACAATTCTTCTCATTTAAAAAACTAATTTAATCAAATGGAAAAAATACACTTAATATTAAGGCAGGTGCTATTATTCTCATCATTTTGTAGCTGAAGCAATTGCAGCACAGAAAACTTAAGTAACTTGCTTAAATTCACATATTTAGTAATAGGCAGAGGCAGGATTCAAACCTAGGTTGTATCTCTCCAGAGTATTCACTCTAAACCACTACACTTTTGCTTTTTATATAATCTTATTTGGTGTAATAAGGAAGGCGGCTATTGCAGAGGTCTAGGGGAGAAACAACAGTGGCATAAATTAGGATGGTGGCAATGGAGACAGAGAAAAGCTGCTGGATTTCAGATGTACTTTGGTAGTAGAATTTAGGACTTGATGATTGTATTAGTCCATTTTCATACTGCTAAGAAAAAATACCTGAGACTAGGTATTTTATAAAGAAAAAGAGGTTTAATGGACTCATAGTTCAACATGGCTGGAGAGGCCTCACAATCATGGCAGAAGGCAAAGGAGGAGCAAAGGCACATCTTACATGGTAGCAGGCAAGAGAGAATGAGAGCCAAGTGGAAGGGGAAACCCCTTATAAAAACCATCAAATCTCATGAGACTCATTCACTACCACAAGAACAGTATGGGTGAAATCACCTCTATGATTCAATTATCCCCCACTCGGTCCCTCCCACAACACGTGGGAATTATGGAAGCTACATTTCTAGATGAGATTTGGGTGGGGACACAGCCAAACCATATCAATTATGCAGCAGATATAGCCGGTGAGGAAAAGAGAGGAATGAAAGATGGCTCTTAATAACAAACCAGGTGGGTGGCACTGACATTTATTAAGCTAAGGAAGACTGGTAGAGACGAGAAATTAGTTGTAAGAGTAAAAAAAATAAAGAGTTTTGACTTAGCTGTTTTAACTTGGACATGTCAAGTAAACTTTTAGGTAAGTCTGGAGCTCAGAGGGATGGATATAAAAATTTGGAAGACATCTGCATAAAGAAGGTGTTTAAAGCCTTGATAATAGACAAGGCAACCTAGGGGGAGAGTTTAGAGAAAGAAATAAAGAGGGCCTGAGAATAATCCCTTAGGAACAGCAATATTTAAAGCTGTTTAGAGAAGAACAAAGAGATATGAGATGCTTTGGACAGTGAAATGGAGGGAGCAGGAAAGGATGATGACAGAAAATCCAAGACAGGAGAGGGCTTCTTAAAAAAGGCAGTTGTCACCCTGTCCTCCAACTGCCTAAGGTGCTGAAAGGAAAGGAGGCCAAGGGGAAGAAAGTGGCACCCACCCCTGCTGTCATGAAGAAGCAGGAGGCCAAGAAGGTGGGAAGTCCCTGTTTGAGAAAAGGCCTAAGAATTTTGGCACTGGACAGGATATCCCGCACGAAAGGGACCTCACCTGCTTTGTCAAATGGCCCCGCTACATGCAGTTGCGGCGGCAAAGGGCTATCCTCCATGAGCGGCCGAAAGTTCCTCCTGCCATTAACCAGCTCACTCAGGCCTTGGACTGCCAGTTACTCAACTGCTTAAGCTGGCCCACAAGTGCAATCCAGAGACAAAGCAAGGGAAGAAGCAGAGACTGTTGGCCTGGGCTGAGAAGAGAGCTGACAGCAAAGGGGCTCTCCCCATTAAGAGACCACCTGTCCTTCAAGCAATTTCAATACTATCACCACCGTGGTAGAGAACAAGAAGTCTCAACTGGTGGTGACTGAACACGATGAGGATCCCATCAAGCTGGTTGTCTTTCTGCCTGCCCTGTGTTGTAAAATATGGGTCCCTTACTGCCTTATCAAGGGGAAGGCAAGACTGGGACGTCTAGTCCACAGGAAGACCTGCACCACTGTCGCCTTCACACAGTTTAACTGGGAAGACAGAGGAGTTTTGATGAAGCTGATGGAAGCTATCAGGACCAATGACAATGACAGATATGATGAGATCTGCCACCACTGGGAAAGCAATGTCCTGGGTCCTAAATCTGTGGCTTACATTGCCAAGCAGGAAAAGGCAAAAGCTGAAACACTTGCTACTAAACTTGGTTAACCATACACTGTTGAGTTTTCTGTACAGAAAAATAAGAATAATTCTCCCAGGCAACATAATGAGATCCATCTCTATAAAACAAATAAATTAGCCAGGCATGGTGGTGTGTGCCTGTAGCCCCAGCTACTCTGGAGGCTGAGGTAGGAGAATCACTTGAGCCTGGGAGGTCAAGGCTGCAGTGAGCCATGATCAAGCCACTGCACTCCAGCCTGGGCAACATTAAATAAATAAATAAATAAGTAAATATAATTTTAAAAAAAATAAAAATTTGCCTTCAAAAACAGGGAGGTTGTCAACATGTCATATGCTGCTGAGAAGTCTAACAGGGTAAATTAAATCACCTATATCACTTGACTCCAGTGTCTCCACAAAGCTCTCATCCCTTAAGACACTTCCACTCAGCTCCCAGATGTATAAAAGTCCATATTTAGACCTCCATCCTTTTTTTATTACATTCAATGTCTCATGAGTGAAATATCAAATTGAGTCACTTCTAGCCCCTAGAGGGAATACATTTCAGATCATGTCTGGATATTGGAGATTTGATAAAGAAAAAGAGAGACAGAGAGGGAGAGAGAGATGAGTATGGGCTAGTGACAGTACTGTTAAAGTTGGAATGAGAGAAAGGCAGAAACAAGGAGCATGGAAGATATCAAAAGGCAACCGCAGCTATTTTACACATTTGTCTGGGGCCTGCTCACTCCACTGAGTCATTCCTGTTTCATGCTGGTATTCTGGCTGACATTTGGTTTGATACATGAGTATAAAATCTCCCTTATCCCCTTCAGGGGATGCTCTCTTTCTACCTGATACACCATTGGTAATGAAGTTCTTGATGAACCCTCTTCACAGTCTTTATTACATCTAGGATATTATATATCCTAATCTACTTGAGGTAGGATTAATGACATAATAAGGAACAAAACTTTTATTAATATATAAACACTATATGATGCTATCATTTGATTGATGGAGACATAGAGACTGAGAAAGATGTCCCAGGTGACTTGTATCTTCAGACCCACCCACAACCCAAACTAGACCAATCCACAGCCTTCAGAAGAGTGAGTTTGCCAGAAGGAGACTCTATTCCTAGTGGATACCAGATAGAGGTGGATTCCAGCTGCACACATGGACCTGAACCATTGGTGTTTAAATTCTCTAAATTCCTCTTTGATCTTTCACGGGTCTTGAGGGAAGAGTTAAGATTAAAACTGGTTCACCTTTAGTGTCAAAAATTTCCACAGTAAATGGGTTCCAACCACTTGATTGGGGTAAGGGGGCAAAAAATGCCATTTGTCAAAGTACTTAATTTTTTAGAAACCCTATTTTCATGTGTCTTTGTAGGAACAAAACAAAGGCAGCTAGTATCCTCTTTATGACTCATAGTTAGGAAAACATTGATGTTATGTAACAAGTGTTTCTTAACAATAGAAAATTCTCCTAAAATGAATGAACAAACTAACAAATTAATGAATGAAGGAAGAAGTTACACCACATATTGGCTTCTTATAGGAGTCACTTCCAATGACTGTGACTCTCTCTAGACTCAGAACAGGGTATAAGATTGGGACAGACAGGACAGGAATGCAGGAAAAGCTACAAGAGGTATAAACAAAGAGACCTTGGCCTCTGGGTAATGGGGGTGACTGTGCTCTGGACATTTGTCCTTGTGGAGTCTTTTAGGCAACCACAGCCAACTGTTCTCAAATCCCTTACCAGAGGATAAAATTTCCCTGACTGTGCAAAAATGAAGCAGCTGATAGCCTCCCTAAGGATGTATTTTTGAAAGGCAAGCATTTCGCCTCTTCAGAGCAACCCCCTTCAGAGAAGGTTAGCATTCCTGGAGAAGCTCCAGATTGCCCAGAAACTCTGTGTCCCTGGAGTCTGAACAGAGCAACAATATGGAGACAATTCAACAAGATTTCTTTAAAAAAAAAAAAAAAGCCTTTCATTTGATGCCTAGATGACTACAAAGAGGAAGGTAGCTGAGACACGTGAGGACAGTCGCTATTCCTAGAGCCTTGGAACTGCAGGAAGTCAATGGCAGAGCCAGAATTGGGATTTGGCTTTCAGGTGACTGTACCAAGCAGAAGTCCTCTCCATTTTTGTAATTAATCAGTGGCATTTCTATATAAGCCCTACATTGCTCCTAAATTGCCCTCATGGTACAATACATCTAATTGTTTGATGGATCTGCCTCATGGAAATACTGCTTTGAAAAGATCACATAGCCAAAAGTGAGAATAAATTGTCCTGCTTCAGGACTTTCTTCATGTTCTTCCCTCACCTGCAAAAGAAAGAACCCTCTTCCATCTCCACCTATGAACAGTGGTCATTTTGTCTAGAATTATCTTTTGTCCCTAATACTTTGAAGCAATGTGGGATAGGGAAAAAGAGTTAAGAAGTCAGATAACTGGTTTAGAGCCCCAACTCTACCATTTACTAATTACTTGATCTCAGATAAGTTCCTTAACTTAGCCTCGATTTCCTAACATGTAAAATGAATCTAAGAATGTGTACTACACAGAATTGCTGTGAGTATTGCATAAGATCATACACGCATGCTCTTCATCACGCTGTCGGCACTTGAGAAGCACTGTTAGTGCTGCTTCCATTCTGTTCCCAACACCACGATGAATCCAACCAGAAATGACTTTACATTTCCTACCCGTTCCCAGAGTGCTTCTTATTTACCAGTTTATAGAACCCTTATCTAATCTTGTCTCAGCCTCTCTACTACTCTAAAAACTCCTTGAGGGCATCAAATGTATAATGTACAATTTCATCATTTCCCTACTGCCCAGCATGCACATTCACATGAAAAGGGCTCAGTGAACATTTATTAAATAAATCTTTCTCTTTTATCGGGACAAATCAGTAGGTAGACCTTCCTCATATCATTCTTACTTCCTTTCCACCTGTCAGTCTTTACCTAGAGAAAGGAATAAAGAAGTCAGCCAATAAATGAGATGGAGAGAGGAAGGCACTAGCACTTATGGCATGCCTACTATGTGTCAGGGTTTTTACAGTCAGATCTTATTTATTTCTCACATCAAGGCTCCTTTAGCCCCGATTTACAGAAAGGAAACTGACTAAGAAATATAAATAATTTGCCCAGGCTTTCACAAATTATAATAGCCTTTTAATTACCTTAATTGAAATGGGCTCTGTGAAAAATGAAAAGAAATTGAGGGAGAGACACCAGGTTGGTTCCAGAGTCCCTAGCAATCATTAGTTCTTACCAGCTCTCTATTTTGCCAGACACTATCTACAAGTGACAATAATAACTGATTATCTGCTAGCAAGTTGGCCAATTTATAAACTGTCAATTTTTCTCCTTTAAAAAAAAAAAGCCCCAAAAAAGCAGCTTCCCAGAACCCACAATCCCCCTCTCTTTGCTCAAGTTCAAAATCCCATGGTTACCTTTTGTCTCATTCCAAAGTGCAAGGCCCTTTGCCCAGTTGAGAGATAGAGATGTTATTTTTAAGGCTGAACTTTGCACTCTCAGCAGTCCTGCCTTAGAATCAAGAACAGTCTGTTCAGAAGCCCCTGGGGCTTCACAATCCAAACAAACGTGAGGCTCAGGTTCACCTCCCCCATCTCAGAGGAAAGGGTCCAGAGAAGCACAGAAATGAAGCAGTCCTTCCCCAACACGAAAACTTCAGATTTCCCTCCAATGTTTCTTTATTTCCAATTTTTTACTTACTTAATAAGAAAACCTTATTTAGGTCCTAATGGTCTTTGGCATCCTCCTAAACAGAGGCAAGCACAGATTGTATGTGACATGAGGCAACTGTAGTAGCCTGGGCCCAGGGATCAGTGGGGTGAGGTAAGAGAAGGAGCCCAGTATCAGGGAGTAAGTGCCCAAGATTATTTTGAAATAAAAATCTAGAATCCACACACCTAGATATGGAGATTCTCTCAGGTTATATAGTCATGATGTCTAGGGTTTTTTTACACGGAGTCGAAGCCAAGTGGTTGATGTAGAAGCTGGCTCAAGTTGTGGAGTACTTACTACCCCTTCCATTCTCTTCTGTGGCCTGAACTTGTGGCTGGTTCCCAGCCCCTCACAGCCTCACAATCTTGGCTTGTCTCCTCAGAACCTCTCTGCTCCTCTCCTCCCTTTTCCATTTGGGGATTTCATTCAACACCACATTTATATTTTATCTCATAACATTTTCTTTCTCTCATAAAAAAAATGTTTATTTGAGGGTTCTGCTTCACTTCACCATTTGTTTCTACCTGTGAACCACATGAAATTCACCCTACATCCTTATATTTTCATGATTTTGTATGCCTATTTGAATTTCAAATTGCAAAATTTGATTTTACAAACACAAGATTTTACATCTTGGTTCCCAGTCCATGGGAAATCTGTCCCAAATCTCAACTATGTTTTTGGGAAACTGGGCCATGTTTCTATAGATCACTCTGAATTTAACCTCTGGACCAATAGGCAGGGTTTAGAGATCAGAAAATAGAAAAACAGAAAAATAGAAAAATAGCTCTAGCTTGATACACCTGGGGGAGCCTACCGAGTCCATCAAGATGAGGAGAGGCCACTGCACTTCCATTTCTATTGTTGAAATGAGTTTTATAATTGCATGAAGGAAGCCACACCATGGTTAAGTTCAGTGTAAGTTAATTAGTGGATAATAAATCCATAACAGGGTATTTTTTTAAAAAACCCAGAAGTATCCTGAATCATTATGTTCAGTGGCCAAAAGCAATTTCACCAACATATCCCTTGCTACTGCTAAAAAAGACCACTTTTCATAGAAGAATATAAGGCTAAAGAGATAAATGTGGCATCACTTATTTCATATGAGATGAAATGGTCCAAGGAAGAGACCAATCTATCTCCACAGAAGTGACCAGAGTCACTGAGAAACATTAGGGCTTTTTGCAAGAGACAGTAAAGAGGACACATTCTAAAATACTTTTTCTTTCTCTCTTTGTAAAAGATGAATGATATTTTTAACAAGTATTTGGGACCCAGGAATTAAAACTGTGGGATAAACTTGAAGGAGAGAGGGATGGGAGGCACATGCTCAACCTGAGAATGGGTGATGGGAGGAGTGGATAGAGAACCAAGAGCTTGCTGGGACTGTGGTTGATTTTCAGAGGAGATGGGGACTCTTGGGAGCAACTTTGGCTTGAGTCATCTTGATATTCTCTGACCTAGTTCTGGGGAAACTTGTACTGGATTTTAAAAAACTGAAAGACAAAGAGCAACTTCAAAAGAACCCCAAAGCATTGTGACACCTGTGGGAGAAAGATTCTCTCCAGACTTTATGAAAGAAACTATATCAACCACTAAGGATGAGGTGGCTGTAGGTGGCAGTCAGTCAGCTTCCTTTCACAAGTGGTAGCCACCTCAACCAATTAAGGCCATGAGGAAAGAGGAGTTCCTGTCAGCCAATTTGATCACTTCCTCAGACACTCTATCTTCCCCAGTAAGACTTTTCTAGTCAAAATTTCTCCACGTATGCAAAGTTCTCATTTGCAGTAAGCTTTGGAAACCCAGTGTGTTTTGGTTTCTAAGAGAGTTTCAGAGCTAGTTGGGCTCTAAGTCAAGCAAATTGTATTCATCCCTAAATTACCTGCTATTGTCATGCACAACCCTTGATTCAATTTTTTTAATTAATAGACTTTCTTTTTTGAGAAGTTTTAGGTTTACAGAAAAATTGAGCAGAAATACAGAGTTCTCATTTACTCCCTCTACCCTCCTCCCCACACATAGTTTCCCTATTACTACATTTTGCATTAGTGTGGTAAATTTATTACAATTGATGAACCAATATTGATACATTATTATTAACTGAAGTCCATAGTTAATATTAGGGTTCACTTTTGTATTATACAATTCTATGAATTTTGACAAATGTATGACATGTGTTCATCATTACTGTATTACACAGAATAGTTTCACTGCCCTAAAAATCCTCTGTGCTTATTCATTCCTCTTATTCATTCCTCCCTCTGTATCCCAAACCCAAACGCTGGCAACCACTACTCTTTTTATATTCTCTATAGTTTTGCCTTTTCCAGGATGTTACATAGTTGGAGTCATACAATGTGCAGCATTTTTCAGATTGGCTTTTAATGCTAGCAACATGCAATTAAGATTCATCCACTTCTTTTCCTGGCTTCTTTTTAGCACTGAATAATATTCTATTGTATGAAGGGATCACAGATTGTTTATCCATTAACCTATTAAAAGCATCTTGTTTGCTTCCAAGTGTTGGCGATTATGAATATGGCTGCTATAAACATCCATGTGCTGGTTTTTGGGTGCACATAAGTTTTCAATTCATTTTGAAGAATGCCAAGGAAGTATTCCATTCTGCATTGTATGGTAAGAGTATATTAGTTTTGTAAGAAACTGCCAAACTGTCTTCCAAAATCGCTGTTTCATTTTGCATGAATGAGAGTTCCTATAGCTCCACATCCTCACTAGCATTTGGTGTTGTTGGTGTTTTGGACTTTCCTCATTCTAATATGTGTGTAGTGGTATCTCCTTGTTGTTTTAATTTATAATTCCTTAATGACATATGATATGTGATGTTGAGCATTGTTTCATATGTTTATTTGGTGTCTATATATCCTCTTTGCTGAGGTGTCTGTTTAGAAGGTCTCTTGCTCATTTTTTAAAGGAAGTTTATTGGTCTTTAAATGGCTCAAATTGCAAGTAAACAAATCAGGTAGTGGCATCAGCCTATGACACATAATGCATCTTTATCAGCTGCCTTTATAGCATCTCGGTACCCAGAAGAGGAAAAGTCACAAAGCAAAGTCACAATGTCAGTGGTTAAATACGACTGCAATGAGTACATGTGGAGATTGCTGGGCCCCCTGGCCAATGTTACGTTGGTGACTTGAATTCTGCACATCTTTTTCCCATTTTTAAATTCAGTTGTTTATTTTCTTATTGAGTTTTAAGCATTCTTTGTATATTTTGGATATAAGTCCTTTATTAGATATGCATTTTGCAAATTTTTGTGGAATTTTTTCCATTATTTAACAGTGTCTTTCATAGACAGAATTTTCTAATTTTAATAAAGTTCTTCTCACAAATTTTTTCTTTCGTGGATCATACTTTTGGTGTTGAATCTAAAAACTTACTGCCAAACCTAAAGTATAACCTGGGAGTTCTCTGATGTTATCTTCTAGAAATGTTATAGTTTTGTGTTTTACATTTAGGTCTATGATCCATTTTCAGTTAATTTTTGTGAAGGGTGTAAGGTCTGTGTCTACACTTTTTTTTTTACATGTGGATATCCAGTTATTTCACCACCATTCATTGAAAAGACCACCCCTTCTCCATTGAATTGCCTTTGCTATTTTGTCAAAGATCAGTTGACTATATTTCTGCAGATCTATTCCTGTGCTCTCTATTCAGTTTTATTGATTTATTTGCCTGTTATTTTTCCAGTACCACACTGTCTTGATTACTGTAGCTTTATAGTAAGTCTTGAAGTTGAGTACTGTCAATGCTCCAACTTTGTTCTTCTTTTTCAATAATGGGTTGGCTATTCTGGGTCTTTTGACTCTTCATGTAAGCTTTGGAATTCATTTGCCAATATTCACAAAAGAACTTGCTGTGTTGTGAAGAATGACATCTTGATAATATTGCCTTTCTATCCATGAACATGGAATATTTCTTTATTTATTTAGATCTTGTTTGATTTCTTTCATCAAAGTTTTATTGTTTTCTTTATAAATATTCGTATTTGTTAGGTTTATATCCAAGTATTTAAGTAACTTCCTAAGCATTTTATTTTTTGGTATAAATCGTGTTGTGTTTTTAATTTCAAATTATAGTTGTTCATTGTTTGTATGTAGGAAAGCAATTGATTTTTGTAGATTAACCTTGTATCCTGCAGCTTTGTTATAATTGGTAATTCATTCTGGGGTTTTTTTGGTCAATTATTTGAGATTTTGTATATAAAAAATTATGTCATCTGCAAAGATAGTTTAATTTCTTCCTTTTCAATCTATATATCTTTTATTTCCTTTACTTGTCTTATTGCATTTTATGCTCTTCTCATGTTTGCTTCCTTCTGAACATTTTTTTCTAATGGCCATATTTTTATTGTTGACCATTAGCTACTAACTATGGACAATTTTCTTTCACTTGATTTAACATGCCTATAAAGCTCCTCTTATACTTTAGTTACAAAGTTCCAACAGGTGTGGTAAACCAGCATCTCTGGGGGCGAGTGATGTGTCAGGGAAATGACAAACTGAAATCCCTGCATTCCTGTGGTTTACGATTGGCCCAAACAATGGCTGAGGAGGCGTATTTGTAAGGGAGATCCAGCTCTGTGAAAAAGCATTTATGCTTTATCTAGATAAATAATTGTTTGTTTATTTATTCTAAATAGACACTTGATAATGTCCATTTTGTGGATCATGCAGGTGAAAATCCTAAAACACAATATCTCTCCTTTAAAAACAATTGAAAAATTCACTTTCACTTACATGGTAAAGCTTACCAAAATTGTGTTCATGTGAATGAAATATCACATGTCCACAGGCAACAATTAAAAAATTCAGCATTTCCATATTAGAAGAGAGTGTTCTCACATCTAGCAAGATCTGATATAGAAAATTGCTTAATTTGTTTTAACCTAGGACTGATGTGTGTGTGTGTGCATCTGTGCACGCGTGTGTATAGCCATTTTATAGTTTTCAGAATAGGGCTCTTCGTCTATACAGAGAATTTGATTAAACTTCTGCATCCTTCAACACTACAAGCTAATGCCTATTTTTATATGCCAATGAAATGCACAAATTATCTCTTTTTTAAGTGTAAATACTAATTAAGTCACATTATTATTATTGCTAAGGTAATATGCCAGATAGGATTTGCCGTAAACAGCACAGTTGAAAAACTTCATGTAATCATTAAGAAGGGTACAGCTACACTGGAAGTTTTAAAAAAAGGAAATAAACTGTGATTCTTTCTCAAAGGGATAGATCTGGAGACCTCTACTGCCAGCTCAATAATCTACTTGCAAATTGCAAAACAAAAGATATAAGGAAATTACAGGCTATCACTTTTATTTACAACCTCCTTTCAACCAGAGCCTATACTTACACTGCTACATCCAAAACAAATCTGAGGCTACTGATGCCACAGCCTCTAATGGGTGTATGACCCTGGTCAAGAAGCTCATGGCCTCTACCTCAAAGAATTATTGTGCAGAAGTCAGGGAGCTGGGGATGGGTGATGCTGGGAGCAAGAGAAGGATAGGAAAAAATTATGGAAATCCTTTTTGAAGATTCAAAATGCAATTGAAATTTCAATCGTAATCAAAAGCAGTAATAGGCTCTGCTAAATACCTAGGAAGGCCTGCTAAAAATACGTGAAGTTCATCGGCAGTTCAAATCTCAGAATTATTTTTATTTCCCAGCTTAGGCCTATCAGAACTGCCACGAAACCTTCAGTGGTTGCACTGAGAAGATAGTCTTGTCCGTGCAAGTGGACAAACATGTTCTTAAATCACAAAATGAAGCCAGAGGTGAAAGCAACTTGACAAATCTTTCATTGTATTCAAGGTTAAAATTACACAGTGTGGTGTTAATTGAACCTGAATTGGAACTTAACTAGCTTCATAATGACCTCTCTGAGTATCAGTCTCTTAACCTTTGAAATGGATTGTTTGTGAGGAATAAATGATATGAAATACATATATGTAGATATAGATAGATGGATGGATGGATAGATAGATAGACAGACAGACAGACAGATGGCATAGATGCACTATACTGTATACTGCCTGGCAAAGAGTCAATTCATTAATTGCTTTCTTCCCACTGTTCATACTACTGCTTTGGGTCATGTGTAAGTTCTCTCAATGGTTATTTACTTACAATGTAGCTGAACAAAGCTGCTTCCCACTGACCCACAGACACATGAAGATAAGACATTGACTGAAGAGAGGGAAGAATTTAATTTGGAAACCAAATATCTTCGAAATCTGTAATGCAGATGTAAGGTGAAATCATCCTGCCCTCTGGGATTGATTTAAACTATGCTGAGCCCGACCCCTCATTCAATAGAAGTTCAGTGCTCTGCCTAAAATTTCTACACAATTCCAGGGCTTATGTTTTCATGGTTACTTCTGGCTTCAAGTCCATGCTTCTGTTGTACTTTCAAACTAATTTGAGGAGTCTCCTCACTTAATATTTGCAGAAGTTTCTCCTTCTACTCCCTAAATGGCACTGAGCCTTCTTTGGCATATCCAGAGACACACCGATGTGCTATGCTGAGCAGACAGCCATTCATGTGGCATCTCAAAGGAACTAGCAGAGCCTGTGAGATATTAATCTTTCCTTCAGTTTCTATAAGTAGAAGGAAATAGTATAGAGATCTATCTTCCCACTAATATGTATTTCCTACCTCAAACTCCTAAGACGACAGAACCGACAATATAAGGTTTAAAATCAATGCTTAATTATTCTGGCAGTTTGAGTTTACAGAGAAAGTGATCCAAGTGCACAGAGCTTTCACATACCCCTGCATCCTAGCCTCACACATACTTTCCCCTGTTATTAACATCTTGCACTAGTAAGATAAAAAGGTAAATTTGGTACAATGGATAAACCAATATTGATACATTATTATTAACTAAAGTCTATAGTTACATTAGGGTTCGCCCCTTTTTTTGGTACATGCTATGGGTTTTGACAAATATATAAAGACGTGTCCATCATTACTGTATTATACAGAATAGTTTCACTGTCCTCAAAACCCCCTGTGCTCCACCAACTAATTTGCTGGAAAGTTCTTCTTAGCTCTGCTATTGCTACACCCTTTCCACATTCCTTGTCCTTCCCCACAACAATTTCTCACCCACTGCTTACAGGCAATTTGAAGTTTGCAGCTTTTCTCTGTCTCTTAATTTCACTGAAAAATAGCATGTAGGGTTTTTTTTTTTTTTTTTTTTTTTGCCTCTGTTCTTATTGCTTTGTGTGTTTTCTAACAAGAGAAGTGAGAAGACTTATCAGTAAGCTGCCACCATATTCCTCAAGGGGGCATGATTTCTGACCTCAAGGAATTATGCAATGACATTTCAAGGGGACATATAAATAAACAAGTGAGAGTGTACTAAACACAATTCAAGTCACTGAAAATTGCTCTTTTCTATTGCTATACATGGCAGTGGAGCATGATCAGGGGTAATTCGAGGATTTAATTTTGGAGGCAGTGGGAGCCCAGAAAAGGGCAGTTTCAAAAACATCAACAAAATACACCTTCTAAAAGTGAGTGCATCACCTGGGTAGACAAAGGTTGCCCCTAGGTAACAGTGGTTTATAAAAAATTGGAGAAGCCCAGGACTAAATATAGAACCACCCTCCAACTAGGTTAAAATCTGAGAGGAAAAGGAGGCATTCCAGGCCTGATAAAGAAACAAAAGAGGGAGTCCCTGAGCAGTGAAGCCTGGAAAGGTACCCCACCCTCTACCCCCATCCACAGGAATCTCCTAAAACGGTGCAAGAAAACTGAATTTGTTCCAATAGGAGAAAAAAGAAAAGAAATGTGATCACCATACACCAAGAAAACCAAGTAGAAAATACCAGTACAACTTTCCTACAGAAAATTAGAACTTACCAGAAAAATGTTACCATAAAACAAATTGAAAATTATAATCTGGCATTCCAACATAAGTTTTAAAAACTTAATGAAGCAATCACAAGTCTAAGGGTAGACCACAAAGAAGAAATACAAGAACTCAAGGATAAAAGGACCAAATATGACAAGAGTATATTACAGAAATTGGCAGGACTCAAGAAGGAAATGGAAGGAAAAAACAAAAGATAATTACAGAAATACAAGCTAAAATACAAGGAGCACAATGGAGAATAAACACCACATTAAGGGCCACAGATGATAGAAATAGGAAAAGCATACAGAATAATGCAGAAATAAGGAGATAAGAGATATTAAAAAAACTATAAAAGACAAACAAAAAGATTCAACCTGCTCATAATTGGAGTTCCCAAAGAAAACTCAAAAAATAAAGCAAAAAGTAAATAAATTTTTTTTAACTTTACAGTTTTTTTCCCCTTTTTTCTCATTCCTTTTTTTTTTTAACCTTTTATTTTAAGTTAGGGGTCCTTGTGCATGTTTGTTATATAGTTAAACTTGTGTCACAGAGTTTTGTTGTATGGATTATTTCGTCACCCAGGTATTAAGCCTAGTACTCATTAGTTATTTTTCCTGATTCTCTCCCTCTTCCCACCCTTCACTCTCAGGTAGACCCCAGTGTCTGTTCTTTCCCTCTTTGTGTCTGTGTTCTTATCATTTAGATCCCACTTATAAGAGATAACATGTAGTATTTAATTTTCTGTTCATCCATTAGTTTGCTAAGGATAATGGCCTCTAGCTCCACCCATCTTCCACAAAAGACATGATCTCATTCTTTTTTATGGCATGGTAGCTGAAGTCAGGTATCATGATGCCTTCAGCTTTGTTGTTTTTTTTTTTTTAACTACAGATTGCCTTGGCTATTCAGGCTGCATAGTATTCCGTGGCATATATGTACATTTTCTTTATCCAGTCTATCATTGACGGGCATTTAGATTGACTCCATGTCTTTGATATTGCAAACAGTACTGCAATGAACATACATGGGCATGTGTCTTTATAATGGAACAATTTATATTCCTTTGGGTATATACCCAGTAATAAGATTTCTGGGTCAAATGGTAGTTCTGTTTTCAACTCTTTGAGGAATCGCCACATTGCTTTCCAGATGGTTGAACTAATTCATATTTTCACCACAGTGTATAAGCATTTCTTTTACTCCACAACCCCATCAGCATCTGTTATTTTTTGACTTTTTGATAATAGCCATCTG
Source organism: Homo sapiens (assembly GCF_000001405.40). Taxonomy (NCBI): domain Eukaryota; kingdom Metazoa; phylum Chordata; class Mammalia; order Primates; family Hominidae; genus Homo; species Homo sapiens. The sequence continues at coordinate 100,573,773 of NC_000001.11, read as the reverse complement.
CCTGGTGTGAGATGGTATCTCATTGTGGTTTTGATTTGCATTTCTCTAATAATCAATGATTCTGAGCTTTTTAAAAATATGTTTGTAGGCTGCATTTATGTCTTCTTTTGAGAAGTGTCTTTTCGTATCCTTTGCCCACTTTTTAATGGGAATTGTTTGTTTTTCTCTTGTAAATTTAAGGTCCTTACAGATGATGGATATTAGACCTTTGTCAGATGCATAGTTTGCAAATATTTTCTCCCATTCTGTAGGTTGTCTGTTCACACTGTTGATACTGTTAATAGTTTCTTTTGCTGTGAAGAAGCTCTTTAGTTTAATTAGATCCCATTTGTCAATTTTTGCTTTTGTTGCAATTGCTTCTGGTGTCTTTGTCATGAAATCTTTGCCCATTCCTACATCCCGAATGGTATTGCCTAGGTTGTCTTCCAGGATTTTTATAGTTTTGGGTTTCGCATTTAAGTATTTATTCCATCTTGAGTTGATTTTTGTACATGGGGTGAGGAAGTGGTCCAGTTTTAATCTTCTGTGTATGGCTAGCCAGTTATCCCAGCGTCTTTTATTGAATAGGGAGTCCTTTCCCCATTGCTTGTTTTTGTCAGCTTTGTTCAAGATAAGGTGATTGTAGATATGCAGCCTTATTTCTGGGCTCTTTATTCTGTTCCATTGGTCTATGTGTCTGTTTTTGCACCAGTACCATGCTGCTTTGGTTATTGTAGCCCTGTGGTCTCATTTGAAGTCAGATACCATGATGCCCCCAGCCTTGTTCTTTTTACTGAGGATTGCCTTAGCTATTCATGCTCTGTTTTGGTTCCATATGAATTTTAAAGTAGTTCTTCCTAGTTCTGTGAAGAGTATCATTGGTAGTTTGATAGGGAGAGCATTGAATCTATAAATTGCTTTGGGCAATATGGCCATTTTAATGATATTGATTCCTCCTATCCATGAGCATGGGATGTTTTCCCATTTGTTTGTATCTTCTTTGATTTATTTGAACAGTGTTTTGTGATGCTCATTGTAGAGATCGTTCACCTCCCTGGTTAGCTGTATTCCTAGATATTTAATTCTTTGTGTGGCAATTGTGAATGGGTTTGCATTCCTGATTTGCCTCTTGGCTTGACTGTTCTTGGTGTATAGGAATGCAAGTGATTTTTGTACATTGATTTTATATCCTGAAACTTTGCTGAAGTCATTTGAACGAGCTTTTGGGCTGAGACTATGGAGTTTTCTAGATACACAAAAATCAATAAATTTTTTATGACTGCATAGTATTTCATGGTGTATATGTACCACATTTTCTTTTTTTCTTTTTTCTTTTTTTTTTTTTTGAGACAGAGTCTAGCTCTGTCGCCCAGGCTGGAGTACAGTAGCTCAATCTCGGCTCACTGCAAGCTCCGCCTCCCAGGTTCACGCCTTTCTCCTGCCTCAGAGTTCCAAGTAGCTGGGACTCCAGGCGCCCGCCACTACGCCCAGCTAATTTTTTGTATTTTTAGTAGAGATGGGGTTTCACCACGTTAGCCAGGATGGTCTCATCTCCTGACCTCATGATCCGCCCACCTGGGCCTCCCAAAGTGCTGGGATCACAGGCGTGAGCTACAGCGCCCGGCCCACATTTTCTTTATTCAATCTGTCATTGATGGGCATTTAGGTTGATTCCATGTCTTATGCAAAAACAGATAGTTTGACTTCCTCTCTTCCTATTTGCCCTTTATCTCTTTCTCTTGCCTGATTGCTCTGGCCAGGACTTTTAATAACTATGTTGAGTAGGAGTGGTGAGAAAGGGCATCTTTTCCTTGTGCCATTTTTCAAGGGAAATGCTTCCAACTTTTGCCCATTCAGTATGATGTTGGCTGTGGGTTTATCATAGATGGCTCTTATTACTTTGAGGTATGTTCCCTCAATACCTGGTTTATTGAGATTTTTTAACATGAAGGGGTGTTGAATATTTTTTAGCTTTTAGTTTAAGTTTAGGGGTACGTGTGAAGGTTTGTTACATAGGTAAACACATGTCATCGGGGTTTGTTGTACAGATTATTTTATCACACAGGTATTAAACCCAGTATATAATAGTTATCTTTTCTGTTCCTCTCCCTCTTTCCATCATCCCCCCTGAAGTAGCCCGCAACGTCTGTTTTTTTTCTTTTTTTGTGTTCATAAGTTCTTATAATTTTGCTCCTACTTATAAGTGAGAACATGCAGTATTTGGTTTTCTGTTCCTGCATTAGTTCGGTAAGGATAACAGCCTCCAGCTCCATCCACGTTCCTGCAAAAGACATTATCTCATTTTTAATGGGTGCATAGTATTCCACAGTGTGTATGCACCACATTTTCTTTACCCAATCTGTCATTGATGGGCATATAGGTTGATTCCATGTCTTTGCTATTGTGAATGGTACTGCAGTGAACATTTGTGTGCATGTGTCTTTATGGTACAATGATTTATATTCATCTTGGTGTATAACCAGTAATGGGACTGGGGGGTTTAATTTTTATCAAAGGCCTTTTCTGCATCTATTTGAGATAATATGTGGTTTTTGTCTTTAGTTCTGTTTCTGTGATCAATCACATTTATTGATTTGTGTGTGTTGAACCAACCTTGCATCCCAGGGATAAAGCCTACTTGACTGTGATGGATAAGCTTTTTAATGTGCTGGGTTTGGCTTTCCAGTATTTTGCTGAGGATTTTTGCATCAATGTTCATCAAGAATATTGGCCTAAAGTTTTTGTTGTTGTTGTTGTTGTGTCTCTGCCAGCTTTTGTTACCAGGATGATACTGGCCTTATAGAATGAATTGGGGAGGAGTCCCTCCTCCTCAATTTTTTGGAATAGTTTTAGCAGGAATAGTGCTAGCTCTTCTTAGTACGTGTAGTAGAATTTATGTGTGAATCCATTTGATCCTGGTCCATTTTTGGTCAGTAGGCTATTTGTTACTGATTCAATTTTGGAGCTCATTACTAGTCTGTTCAGGGATTCAATTTCTTCTTGGTTCAGTCTGGGGAGGGTATGTGTCCAGAAATGTATCTATTTCTTCTAGAACTTCTAGTTTGTGTGCATAGAAGTGTTATTAATGTTCTCCGATGGTTATTTGTATTTCTGTAGAGTCACTGGTAATATCCTCTTTGTCACTTATAATTGTGTTTATTTAGATCTTCTCTATTTTCTTCTTTATTAGTCTAGCTAGCTGTCAATCTATTTTATTAATTTTTTCAAAAAAAACAGCTCCTATATTTCCTGATCTTTTGATTGGCTTTTCTTGTCTAAATTTCCTTCCATTCAGCTCTGATTTTGGTTATTCCTTGTTCTTCTGCTAGCATTGGGGTTCATTTGCACTTGGTTCTCTAGTTCTTTTCTAGTTCTTTTAGTTTTGATGTTAGGTTGTTAAGTTGATATATTTCTGACTATTCAATGTGGATGTTAGTGCTATAAGTTTCCCTCTTATCACTGCCTTAGCTGTGTTCCACAGGTTCTGGTATGTTATCTTTGTTCTCATTAGTTTCAAAAAATTTTTTACTTCTGCCGTAATTTCATTATTTACCCAAAAGTCATTCAAAAGCTGGTTATTTAATTTCCATGTAATTGTATGATTTTGAGCAATTATCTTTTTTCATTTTTTTAAATATCTATAGCATCTTTATTTGTAAAGCCTCAAACTGAAAACAACACAAATGTTTATCAACAGCTAAATGGTGAAACAAACTGTGGTATATCCGTACAATAGAATGGATAATATAAAAAAGACAGAGAAAAAAATGAAAAAGTACAAACTATTGATATGTGCAACAACATAGATGAATTTCAGAATAATTATGCTGAGTGTAGGAAGCCAGATTTTTTTTTAAGTCATTATGATGGTCATTTATTTACCCTTTTACAATGCTTCTGTTACTTTATAAAGAAAACTATTTACAAAGACAGACAAATTAACAGTTAATTCTTTAGCAGTTTTCAAATGTGTCTCATCACCAAAAGATTATTTTTAAGAGTACTATATAATTCCATTTATATAAAATTCTAAAAATTAAAAAAAAATCTAACATATAGTGGGAAAAAAGGGAGATTAGTGGTTTCCTAGGGATAAGCAGGAAGGTAAAGGGCATAGGGAATCTTTTACAGGTGATGGAAATATTCACTATCTTGATGTAGTAATAGGTTCAATGGTGTATAAATATGTTAAGATGCACCTACTTGTATACTTTAAATGTGCACAGTTTATTATATTTCAATTACACCTCAATAAAGCTATTAGACAAACAAAGACCTTTCTTTGTTTTTTAAAACCATCTTGAAAAGAGTGGTGTAGAGAAAATAGAAATAATGGTCATCTAGCAAATAATGAATATTCTAAACACCTGAGCTCTGCACCAGCTGCTATGGTGATACATATAAAGTAGAAAACTATAGATATAGATATAAATATAGATATAGATACTTTAAGTTCTGGGATGCATGTGCAGAATGTGCAGGTGTGCTACATAGGTATACATGTGCCATGGTTTTTTGCTGCACCCATCAACCAGTCATCTACATTAGGTACTTCTCCTAATGCTATCCCTCCCCTAGCCCCCCACCCCCTGATAGGCCCTGGTGTGTGATGTTCCCCTCCCTGTGCCCATGTGTTCTCATTGTTCAGCTCCCACTTACGAGTGCAAACATGCGGTCTTTGGTTTTCTGTTCCTGTGTTAGTTTGCTGAGAATGATGGTTTCCAGCTTCATCCATGTCCCTGCAAACGACATGAACTCACCCTTTTTATGGCTGCATAGTATTCCATGGTGTATATGTGCCACATTTTCTTTATCCAATCTATCATTGATGGGCATCCAGGTCTGTGCTGTTGTGAATACTGCAGCAATAAACATATGTGTACATGTGTCTTTATAAAAGAATGATTTATAATCCTTTGGGTATAAACCCAGTAATGGGATTGCTGGGTCAAATGGTATTTCTGGTTCTAGATCCTTGAGGAATCGTTGCACTGTCTTCCACAATGGTCGAACGAATTTACACTCCCACCAACATTGTAAAAACATTTCCATTTCTCCACATCCTCTCCAGCATCTGTTGTTTCCTGACTTTTAACAATAGACACCTGGCAAGGCTGTGCATGCTCCTTTCATTGCAGATCATTTGCTCACAAGATAAGAGCTTGTGTCTGTTTTTCCACAGTTTCAGCTCTTTCTCTACAGGAGATAAGACTCTCACCCAGGGCAATCTTAGCAGGTTTGAGCCTCAATATCTGCTTCTGAAGCTAGGCGATAGAATCCCTGAGTTCATCATGTTCCTTCATCACTTTGTCCACTGAACTTAGGAATACCCAACCAGCTTCATTATGTTCCTTGGTTCTCCACATATGGTCAAAGGTACAATGTCTAGAGTCACTAAACTCCTTGCCTCTCACAAACGATGAATCAGGAGTGTCAAATGCATTTATTTTGCATAACTCTCTAAACAGTTCATGCCAAGGACTATCAGTGTTCTCCATACTTTTAGTAGAGTCCTTAGCATTTTGGGGTCTAATCATATTAAGCAGCCAACTCCAGAAACCCCAAAACCAATTAAAGAACTCCATCCTTAATATTCTGTTCCTCTAGAACTCCACTCCTGGTACCAAAATCTGTATTAGTCAGGGTTCTCTAGAGGGACAGAACTAATGGAATAGATGAGATAGAGATAGAGATAGAGATAGATAGAGATAGAGATAGATGGAGATAGAAATAGAGATAGACATAGATATACACATAGACATAGACATAGACATAGACATAGACATAGACATAGACATAGGCATAGACATAGACATAGACACAGATATACGGGACTTTATTAAGTATTAACTCACATGATCACAAGGTCCCACAATAGGCCGTCTGCAGCCTGAGGAGCAAGGAGAGCCAGTCTGAGTTCCAAAACTGAAGAATTTGGAGTCCTATGTTTGAGGGCAGGAAGCATCCAGCACAGGAGAAAGATGTAGCCTGGGTGGCTAGGCCAGTCTCTCTTTTCACATTTTCCTGCCTGCTTATATTCTAGCCATGCTGGCAGCTGATTAGACTGTGCCCACCCAGATTAAGGGTGGGTCTGCCTTTCCCAACCCACTGACTCAAATGTTAATCTCCTTTGGCAACACCCTCACAGACACACCCAGGGTCAATACTTTGTATCCTTCAATCCAATCAAGTTGACACTCAGTATTAACCATCACAATTGTATAAAAGGGAAAACTGATCCAGAATATTCAACAATAAAATATCCCAATAAAATTATTACACTTTAAAGATTTAAAAGAATATAGAAAAAGAATCCTTTGGAAGTCAGGCAAAGAAAACAAAAGTCAAGTCACTTATAAGAAACAGAAATCCATTTGGCATTATATCTCTCATCTGTCACCGGAATACAGAGTAACAAAACCTATAAGACTCTCAAAAGAAACAAACTGTACATCAAAATTGTATATCCAGCCATGTTGTCCTTCAGCCATAAAGGCTATAAACAAATAGTTTTGAATTTTCAAAACTCAGCATTTATTGTTCATATAACTCTTTCCTGAAAAACTTGTAATGACTTTTTTTACTTTTTTTCTTTTTCTTTTTACTTTTTTACTTTTTCTTTTTCTTTTTACTTTTTTAAGGTGGTGTTTTAAATATTTTAAATTCCCATGTGGCTCACATTTGTGACTTGCATTACATTTCTTTTGGACAGCATTAATATAAGACAGCACCATGTACAATTAATAAATATAACTGTGCAAGACAAAAAAAATTCTGTTAGACAAAAACAAATAACAAATTCAGGAAAATATAGTTTCAGACCATATCACAGACAAGGGTTTATTACCTTGATATAAAAAGAGTTCCTAGAAATTGAGAGGAATTGAAAAATAATCCTAAAGTTAAAATGGGTAAAAGGTATAGACATTGAGAAAAAATATGGCCCCTAACAACCTAAGCATAATGTATTAATTATCACTTATAATGATGGAAATACAAATAAATTTACATTGTGAATTCATATATTATAATTTAGGTAGACACAATTCAAGAGTGACTGTACACTTTGTTGTTGATGTATGTGGAAAAACATATATTGCCTCACACATTGCAGATGAGAAGAACAATTTGGCAATATTTATCTAAATTACAAACACATTTACCCTTTGACCAAAGAATTCCCATAACTATCTTACAGGTATACCTTCACACATATTAAAACGTATCTGTACAAAGTTATTGCATCAATGTTTGTATTAAAACCTATTAGAAAACAGTTCAAGAGTTCACCAACAGGGGACTTATAAAATAAATTATGGTACATTTACTTGTTCAATGAAATACAAGTCATCTGTAAAAGAAAGAAGTTCTTTGTACACTGATATGAACAGATCTACCAGACTAATTAAGACCAAGGTGCAGAGAAGTCTATATGGTATATATTTTTGTTTGAGAAAGAGAAGAAAATAAGAATTATATAAGCTCGTATTTGTAAAAGAAACACAGAAAAGATATACAGACGGTAATAAAAGTACTTACTTGTACACGTCAGGGGAGTGGTGAGAGTGCACCTCAAAGACAAGCAGCAAGGAAGCCAGTGTGGAGTGGAGAAACAAAGGAGGAGGATAATAAGAGATGAGATCAGCAAGATTAATAGTGGCCGCATCACATGGTGTCATGTAGGTCCTAAAGAGGAAATTAGCTTTTAAAGTAAGATGCAATTCCATTAGAGAATTTTAAGCTAAGGCATGACATGATCTACCTTGTAGGTTAAAAGAAGCATTTTATGTGCTACATTGATAATGGATTGTAAAAGGATTAAGGGAAATAGCAGGAAACCCAATTAAGAGGCTTTTGTGGTGGTAAATGAGAGTGGCTTCGTCTAGGATGGAAGCAGTAAAAGTGGTAAAAATGGTGTATTAGTCCATTCTCACACTGCTATAAAGATACTACCTGAGACTGGGTAATATATAAACAAAGGAAGTTTAATTGACTCACAGTTCTGCATGACTGGGGAAGCCTCACGAAACTTACAATCATGACAGAAGGTGAAGAGGAAGCAAGGCAAGTCTTACCGTCTTACATGGTGGCAGGTGAGAGAAAGACCAAGAGCCAGGAAGTGCAACACTTGAAAACCATCAGCTCTCATGAAAACTCCCTCATGAGAACAGCATGGGGGAAACCTTCTCCATGATCCAATCACCTCCCATTTATCTTTCTGGGGTCTGGAGGACAGTGGCCCTCTTCTCACAGCTCCACTAGGCAATGCCTCAGTGGGGACTCTGTGAGGGGACTCCAACCCCGCATTTCCTTTCCACAGTGCCCTAACATAGGTTCTGCATGAGGCTCTACCCCTGCAGCAGACATCTGCCTTGACATCCAGGCATTTCCATACATCCTCTGAAATCTAGGCAGAGGTTCCCAAAACTCAACTCTTATTTTCTGCACACCCACAGACCCAACACCACATGGTAGCCAACAAGGCTTGGGGCTTGCATCCTCTGAAGCAATGGATGAGCTGTACCTTGTCCCCTTTTAGCCACAGCTGCAGCTGGAGCCGCTGGAACACAGGGCCCCAAGTCCCAAGGCTGCATAGAACAGCTGGGTCCTAGGCCTGGCCCATAAAACCATTTTTCCCTCCTAGGCGTCTCAGCCTGTGATAGGAGGAACTGCTGCAAAGATCTCTGACATGCCCTGGAGACATTTTCCCTATTGTTTTGGCTATCAACATTCAGTTCCTTGTTACTTATACAAATTTCTGAAGCCAGCTTGAATTTCTCCCCAGAAAAAAATGGGTTTTTCTTTTCTACCACATGGTTAGGCTGCAAATTTTCCAAACCCTTATGCTCTGCTTCCCTTTTAAATATAAGTTCCAATTTCAAACCATCTCTTTGTGAGCACCTAAAACTGAATACATTCAGAATAATCCAGGTCACATCTTGAATGCTTTGCTGCTTAGAAATTTCTTTGCCGGATACCCTAAATCATCTCTCTCAAGTTCAAAATTCCACAGATCTCTAGGGCAGGGGCAAAATGACACCAGTCTCTTTGCTAAAGCAAAATGCCACCACTCTCTGCATTTGAGCTTTCTGTTGTACATAAAAGGGTTATTTTGATTGTTTCTGTTGGTTTGTCTGAACTGGGGTAAGTTGCTCTCTTCTGTTCAAAAAGTGAGGTCAGGGATTTTTGTTTCCCTGGGTCCTAGAACAGTAGCTCCTTTGTCTAGCCCCTCCAGGGTTTACTTGACATCTTAAGGACTACAAAGGTTAGGATGAGTTCCTCTCAGTCCACAGCACCTGGAAATCTTCCAGCTACTTACATGTTTAAGAACTATAGGCTGAGATTTTGTGTCTTTTCAGAAAAATGGGTGAACTTTTCTAAGGGTAATTTAGAATTGCCGAAGCCACTTGGAGAACCTTTAACTTAGATAAAATAAGCTTATCTTAGAGGCACCTTGAAAAAAGGAGAATATGAAACCTCCCCAAAACAATGGGATACATTCTTCAATTGGTATAAAGAGGCTTCTGAAAGACAAAATGACTCTAGAATCACCTCTCTAAAAAATCCTTACAGCATGCTAATAAGAAAGTAAAGACCAAAATTCAGATTGACTGTACTGATGCAACAGAACCGCCTGTTAAATCTCTCTGCTTCTCTATATCATCTATTCCCTAATTATTCTGAAACTACTAACTGTTGATCCTTTGCTGTTTCCTCCAAACCGTTTCACCATAAAATGCCCTTTAAAATAAGACTTTCTAATGAACCTGGGGTACCAATCTCAGCAGAATTTAAACTTTTATCTCTAGCTGAACTCCAAGCCACATAATTTTCCAGACCTTAAAAGAGACTAAACTAAATTTAAACAAGAATTTTAAATTCCTTTGGGTGCTTATGATCCAGGAATCCCTGATTTATATCAATTTGTTTACGTGGTACTCAGCCCTGGAGGTATTCAAAAATGGCTTCAAGAAATGGATTGGAAGAATCCCATTAAAGATTTTGAAGATTCTGTTAAGCATGCTTCTAAGAGTAGACTAAAAAGAAACCATGTCTGAGGCTTTTTCTAAGAGAACAGATTGGTCCATGTCTTAGTCCATTTTCTGCTGCTGTAACTGAATACCTTAGACTGAGTAATTTATAAAATATAAATATTCCTAACAGTTCTAGAAGCTTGGAAGTCCAAGGTCTAGGGAGTGTACCTTGAGAGAGTCTTCTTGCTGTTGGAAACTGCAGTGTCAGGAGTTGGCACAAGGCATTACATGGTGAAGAGTTCATTAGAGATGGCCAAACTGGCTTTTATAACAAACCCACTCTTGTAATAACTAACCCACTTCCATGATAACCTATTAATCCATTAACCTATCAATCAATTCATGAGGGCAGAGCCCACATAACCCAATCACCTATTAAACCTCCTGCCTCTCAGTACTGTTTAATAGCAGGTTAAGATGAAACATGAGTTTCAGAGGGGACAAACTATATTCAAACCATAGCAAGGCCATAAACCAATCTTGCAAACAGAAAAAAGACGAATCTGCTGTGGATTATTGTTTCTGCTTAGAAAAAAATACTTAAACAGTACAAAATATTTAAACATTTTGGCCATAGTGGCCAAAATGATGAAGTGGCTATGTCAGCCCATTTTGTTAATGGGCTGCACATACAGATAAGTGACGTATGAAAGAAACATAAAGTAGAAAGCGAAGTGACTCCCATGACAGTATTACAATATTTAGCAAAACATTTTGGGAAAAACTTAGAACAAATAAAGTAACCACCAGACAAATAAATTGATGATTTTGTAATTACAGTCATTGCAGGGGCCTCAGCCTAACTTTAAAATACCTTTATCCAACAACTCTTTCAATAAAGACATTTTTCATTATTGTAAACAAATAGGACATTGGAAGAATTACCCATTAAACCCCTTAACACAGCAATCTAGACTATCAGACTGGAAACAAAAGGGAGATTCTGAACTTTCTGACTCCTATGATAACTGTCAATACTAATGGGGCTCCAAGGAATGGCAAGGTAAACCACTTCCAATAATTTCTTTAAATCAACAAACGGAAACTAAATTTTAAAAATAGAGAAATTTGTTCTGTGTAAGTAGACACTGAAGCAACTCTCTCCACTTTGAACTCCACCATGATAAATCAAGAACTTCTTCAGAATAATAAAAAAAAAAACTCAATGGTGGAAACTCTCTGAAATTCAAAGGTTTTTTTATTGGAACTCATAACTATCACCCTCTGCCCCTTCTCTGAAAATTATGCTTTTCTGTTAGGTAATAATACTGCCCTAGGTAGAGACCTGCTTTCTAAACTGAGAGGTCAAATTCAATTTTCCTTAGGAGAAACAACATTAGAAAGTCAAGATTTATTAGACACTGAAATATTATGTGTTTTCTAAACCCAAATTGTGCTGAGGAAACTACTAAATTTCATTAAAATATAGATATTATAGATGTCTCTGAAATTCCTGACACTCTATGGATATCTTCTTCTACAGATGTGAGAAAAATCAAAAGTGCTAAACCTATTAAAATTCAGATTAATCCTCCAAAATTGCTTCCTAAGTTGCCTCAATACTGTTTAAAACCTAAAGCCATAAAAGGGCTTACTCCTATAATAGAGGAGTTAATAAAAAAGGTTTGTTATTCCTTGTACCAATCCTTGCACTACTCCCATCTTATCTGTCAAAAAACTGCACAGATAAGAATGAAGACTTGTACAAGATCTTAGAGATATAAATACAATTGTTATTCCAAGATTTCCTGTAGTATCTAACCCAAACTCCCTACTGGCAAATGTACTCACTAAATCCAAATGGTTCACAGAAATGGAATAGACAAAGAGAATTGTTTACCTTTATTGTATTGTTGGAAAAATCAACAATGTATTTTGACAGTAATGCCTCAGTGATTTACCAGTTGATGAAATTTACCTTTAATCAATTCATGAGGGCAGAACCCACATAACCCAATCACCTATTAAAGGTCCTGCCTCTTCATACTTCTTACCAGTTTTACATCAGGATTTAAAAACCAACCCTGCAATTTCCCAGAAATTCCACTTGGTTTAATATGTAGATGATTTCCTTCTTTGCTCTTCATTCAAAGAGGACTCAGAAATTCATTTAATGTACAGTTGTCCCCAGTATTCCTGAGAAAGCTGTTCCAAGACCTCCCTCTGGCACCAAAATCGGAGGCTTAAGTCTCTTATATAAAATGGCATAGTATTGCCATATAATCTACACACATCCTCCTATATACTTTAAATCATCTCTAGATTACTTATAATACCTAATACAATGTAAATGCTATGTAAATAGTTGTTATATTGTATTATTTAGAGAAAAATAACAATTAAGAAGTTTGCACATGTTTACTACAGATGCAAATTTTTCTGTACATTTTTTATCTGTAGTTGGCTAAATCCATGGATGTGGAACCCAAGGATACCAAGAGCTGACTGTATTAGCTGAAACAATTAGCTTGTAAGGGTTATAAAGCCTCCCAAAATAAATTCCAACTCTTACAAGGAGTAGTACTTTCCCTCAGTCATGATTTATCTGCAAAAGGAATTTTTCTATCTCCAGAAATAATAAAAAAAAACTATCCAAAATTATCCTAAACCAGTGACTAAAAAGAAACTCAGAGTATTCCTTGAACTTTCAATATCTTGCGAGTCATGGGTTCCCAATTTTTCTTTCTTGGCCTCTTCACCCTATGAGCTGACCAAAAACAGTGCTCAGAGACCTATTCTTTGTGAAACAAACATTAAAAGGTTTTTACTGAACTTACATAGGTTTTACAAAATCCTCCCTCCTTAAGACTTCCCGGTTACTCTTCACGTTGTTTGTCCATGAATGAAACAATCAGGCTTTAAGTGTCCTTGCTTAGGAACATGGAAGAAAAAGTAGACCTTTGGCTTATTACAGCCTACAGTTGGACCCAATAGCTCAGGCATATCCAAATTGTTGAATAGCAATAGCTACAGCCACTAGAATTACAGAATCTTCTTCAGAATTGTTCAAGGAAATTACTATGTATGCAAGTTCCTCATTTTATAAAAAGTTTATTAAATACTAAATATACTCATGATTTTTCAGCTAGCAGTCTAATATCTTATAAGATCCTGCTTCTAGCTCCTTCAAACCTACTTATTATTTGATGTAACTCTCTGAACTCTCCCACCCTATTACCTTTACCTGACAAATAAGAGATTCACTATTGCGTTGAATTGGTTTTCCAAAATTTTACTCCTGAATTAGATTTACAAGACCCACTATTGAATAATCTACAGTTGATAATCTATGTTGATGGCTACTATGCCGTAAATTCTAAAAGAAAGTACTGAATTGTATATGCTGTTACAATCTGACACAAATTATTAGAAAGAAGAGTACTTCCTAAATTTAGTTACGCCCAACCTGTGGAATTAATTGCCCTCACTCAAGACTGTGAATTAACCAAAGATAAACTGTAAATATATATACTCATGTGCTTTTGGAGTAGTCCATTATTTTTGTATGTATTATTTTTGTATGGTATGGAAATGGGATTTCTTACATCTAATGGTATGCCCATAAAAAAGATCAGGTTGCTAATTTTCTTTCTGCACTATTGCTGTCTCTACTAGTTGATATTTGTTCCCTCAAAATATCATGTTGAAATGCGATCCCCAGTGTTGGTAGTGGGGCCTAGTGGGAAGTGTTTGGGTCATGGGGATGGATCCCCCATGAATGACTTGGCACCCTCCCAGTGGTAATGAGTTACTGTGAGATCTGGTTGTTTAAAATTAAAGTCTGGGACCTCCCTCCTCTCCTGCTTCCCCTCCTGCCGTGTGACACACTGACTCCCCCTTTGCCTTCTTCCACAATTGTAAGCTTCCTGAGGCCTTACCAGAAGTAGATGCTGGTGTCACGCTTGTACAGCCTATAGAACTGTGAGCCAAATAAACCTCTTTTCTTTATAAATACCCAGTATCAGGTATTCCTTTATAGCAATGCAAAACAAACTAACATGCCCAGATAGTGATTTATATTTTATTTTGTTTTATTGTATGACAATAAAATGTTTAAATTTTCCTAATTTTATTTGATTTTACTTTGGACAGAAAGGTTTTTCTGACACTTCAAACTAATTTAGTTGTCCATTTTGTAAATTTTCACAACACATCACACTTTTGCATTTTGTCATTTATCTGAATTGTAATGAAAGAACTGTGTTTGTAATTATTTGTTTCATGTTTCTCTCCCCTACTAGACCTAAGTCCCCTGAAGACAGCGACAGTGACTGTATAGTATACATAGGTACATAATAGGCTTGTTATAAACAACTATAACAAAAATATATTATGCCTCCTCCTGTCTCTGTGGGAAAGTCTAGTGGAGAAATCTTTAAAATGTATTTGACTTACAAGGAAAGCTCATTAAAACCAACTGTATATGAATCTTGCCTGCAGACTCTGATGAGATATCTTTATTTGCAGATGAAGCCTGGACACACTGTTAACAACACATGTGATGGAAATGCATCAGGATGGGGTATATTTTTAGCTACAGCAAATCATCATTCCTTTATGCGTTCAGATTTTCATCTCTGCAGATTAATTATCTGGTTCTTACATTTTTCAGAGTAAATTGAAACTGATTTTTCCTAATAAAGAAGGAAGATAGACTCTAAGACAAAGAGTATTTATCCTTCAATCTTCACCACAGCTCAGAGATTCAAAGAGCCTTTGTTGGGAGGCTTTTTTTTTTTTTCCTCAGAATAAGGATGGTCCTCCATGTTTTTTGTAACAACACTCTGGACTCGAACTTGTGTAGGGGAAACTCAGTCCAAAAAGAACAAAACAGAATTTGACTGTGAGATTAGTCAAGGACATGATGTTTTTCAATAACAAAATTGGTTAATAAGAAACTGGCATTGTACAGTTATAGGTTTTTTTTACTATATTTGTAAATATGGTTGCATTCTATAAAAATGAGTTATAGGCTCCCACAAATCAATGCAATTTATGTAACGGCCTGAAGATGACAAAGGGTTCAAAGCCAACTTAGAGAGCTTTCTGGGTTAACAAATGGTGTCAACAAAAGAGCTGAAATGTGATGTTAGCACAGAGGAAGTATTTCACAGAAAGAATCTCTATTTCATGGTGGTGGGGAGACTCCCAGGAGTGGGGAGTTAAAAAGATAATAGGAGGTTTATATTCTAGCTTCTCCAGGATGCAGGCAGACTGGGATTGGAGAGGGAATATGTAGCTTTTTCAATATACATTTTATATTTTTTAAAATATTGTTTGGTAATACAAACACTAAAGAGTAAAACTTGGTGTACATTTCTTAACTAATAGTGATATGAAGAAAAAGTTTCACAATCTCTAAGAAATTCTAAGATTTTTATGGTTAGTCAAAGAAAGCATAGGTCTAAAAATCCCAGTCATAAAATTGGCCTGAGAATGGAATAAGTATAAGGAATGTGGCTGGATCAGTGCAATCTTACCTTCTACCCCTTTTTTCCATATAATTATTTTAATTTCCAGTCAAACAAAACATTTACCATTTTGCTTCCATGTCTGTGGTAGGCAGAATATTGGCTCCCCCAAAAAAAAATCTCATCCCTATCCCCAGAACCTATGAATGTTACTTTACATGACAAAAAGGACCTTGTATTAATGTTACTTTACATGACAAAAAGGACCTTGTATTAATGTTACTTTACATGACAAAATGGACCTTGTATTAAGATTAAGGTTAAAGATTGTGGAGGTAGAGCAAGATGGCCAAATAGAACTCTCCAGTGAATGACCCCTTGCAGGAACACCAAATTAAACAACTAATTAAAGCACCTTCATAGGAACAAAAAAACAGGGTAGCAATCACAGTACCTAGTTTTAACATAATAACAAAGAAAGAGATATTGAGTGGATAGGAAAGATAGCCTCACATTGTCTACACTGTCCCTTCCCCAACTGCAGGCAGTGCAGCCCAGAGAGAATCTACATGGTTAGGGAAGGGAGAGCAAAGTGAGTGTTGAACTTTGCATTGGAACTAAGTGCTGCCCTGTCACAACAAAACATAACATAGGGCAGAATTCTGCCAGTGTCCACAAAGGGAATATTTATAGCAGCCCTGGACCCAAGGGGAATTCTCCACTCCAGTGGGAGAAACCCACATCCTGGTCAGCTTCACCACTGGCTGACTAAAGTGGTCTGAGCCCCCAGATAAATTTGAATGGAAGTCAGGAAACAAGGACTGCTGTCCTTGGGCAAGCCCCGGTGCTGCACTGGTCTTAGATGCAGGAAGCTTGGGATGCAACCCAGTGTGATACCAGTTCCAGTGGCCATAGGAATGCCTGTGTGCATCACGCTTTCCCCAACTCCAAGCAGTACAGCTCAGGGAGAGACTCATTCCACTTGGGGGAAGGAGAGGAAAGAATACAGAGAACTGTGTCTTGAAACTTGGATACCAGCTAAGCCTCAGTAAAATAAAGTACCAGGCAGATTCCTGAAGCCACCAATTCCAGGCCTTTGCTCCCAGATGGCATTTCGGGACCCACCCTGAGCTGGAAAGGAATCCACAGCTCTGATGGGACAGACCCAGTCCTGGAAGGATTCACCACCTGCTGACTAAAATGGCCTTGGGCCTTGAATAAACATCAGCAGCAGCCAGACAGTAATGGCCACAGGCTTTGGACAACCCCCAGTACTGTGCTGATCTGGAAGGCCATGGGCATCAGCTGTGACCCAGCAATGTGCCAGCTGTGGTAGCCATGGAAGTGCCCAATCACCTATCCTCAACTCCAGGCAGTCCAGTGCTGAGAAAAATTCCTTCAGATTGGGGGAAAGAGGGAAAAGAGCAAGAGACTTTGCCAGGTAGCCCGGGGAATTATTTCTTATCTTCACCAAGTCCGCAAAGGCTGTGTATGTAGGAATCTGCAAGAATCACAGCATTCTTGGGCTTAGGGCACTTCCTATTACTACAATGATTACAGTGACCATAGGCTTAGGTCACAGTACTCAATCCCATTTGAATTCTTGGAAAATCCTTTTAAAAAGGAAGGGTATAAACAAGCCCAGACTGCAAAGATTGGAATAAATACTAACTCTTCAATTCCTAGATATTGAAAAATGTCCATAACCATCAAACATCCAGGAAAATATGTCCTCACAAAGCAAAGTTAGTGCCAGAGATATGTGAACCCTCAGGCAGAGAATTCAAAAAAGATGTCTTGAGGAAATGTAACGAATTTTAACATAAGGAAGATAAGAGAAGGAATTCAGAATTTCATCAGAGAAATTTAACAAAGAGATTGAAATAATTTTTTAAAAATCAAGCAGAAATTCTGGAGCTAAAAAACTCAATTGGCAAACTGAAAAGTTCACCAGAGTCTCTCAATAGCAGAAGTGACCAAGCAGAAGAAAGAACTAGTGAAGTAAAAGACAGGCTATGTGAAAATACACAGTCAAAGGAGAGTGAAGCACTCCTACAAGATCTAAAATTAGCCTCAGTAAGGCAAATATAAGAGTTATTGGCCTTAAAGAAGATGCAGAGAGAGAGATTGGAGTAGAAAGTTTATTCAAAGAAATAATAACAGAGAGTTTTTCAAACCTAGAGAAAGATATGAATATTCAGGTACAAGAAGGTCAAAGAACACCAAGAAAATTCAACCCAAGTAGGGCTACTCTTGAAGGTCAAGGATAAATACAGCATTCTAAAAGCAGCAAGAGAAAAGAAGGATAACACACAAAGGATCTCTGATATGTGTGGCAGTGGACCTCCCGGTGGAAATCTTACAGGCCAGGAGGGAATGTGATGACATATTCAAAGTGCTGAAGGACAAAAATGTCCAACATGGAATATTATGTCCAGCAAAATTATCCTTAAAAAATAAAAGAAAAATAAAGACTCTCCCAGATGAACAAAAGCTGAGAATTTCATCAACACCAGACCTGTCTTACAAGAAATGCTAATGAAAGATCTTCAGTCTGAAAGAAAAATATGTTAACAAGCAACAAGAAATCATCTGAAGGTACAAAACTCACTGGGAAAAGTGAGTACATAGACAAATACAGACTAATCCAACACTGTGATTATGATGTATAAATCATTCATATCTTTAGTAGGAAATCTATAGACAAACCTATCAAAAATAATTACAATACTTTTTAAAGAAGTAGGCAATATAAAAAGTTATAAAGAGAAAAAACATAATGTCCAAATGTTGAGGGGATAAAGTTAAAATATAGATTATGTCATTTTTTTAGTTTTACCTTTACTAGTTTGAGATTTTTTCCTTCTTTTTTTGATGACAGTAGAGTTGTCATCAGTTTAAATTCATTTACTATAAGATATTATTTGTAAATCTCATGATAATCACAAAATAGAAGGCTGTAATAGATACACATAGACTGAAAAACAAGAAATTAAACATACTACCAAATACAATCACTTTAACACAAAGGAAGACAAGAAGGAAAGAATCAAGGAAAAGGGGACCAACAAAACAACTGGAAAACAAATAATAAAACAGCAGTAATAAGTCCTTACCTATCAATAATAGCATTGAATGTAAAAGGGCTGAATCCTTCAATCAAAAAACAGAGTGGTTACATGGATAAAAAATAAGACCTGTTTACTCTGCTGACTGTTCCTTTCGCTGTACAGAATCTCTTCAGTTTAATTAAATCCCACCTATTTATCTTAGTTTTTGTTGCATTTACTTTTGGGTTCTTAGTCATGAAGTCTTTGCCTAAGCCAATGTCTAGAAGGGGTTTTCCAATGTTATCTTCCAGAATTTTTATAGTTTCAGGTCTTAGATTTAAGTCCTTGATCCATCTTGAGTTGTTTTTTTTATAAGGTGAGAGATGAGGACCCAGTGGGAGATAATCTTCACAGTCAATATATCCGACAAAGGGCTAATATCCAGAATCTGCAAGGAACTCAAACAAATTAGCAAGAAAAAAAAAATAATCCCATCAAAAAGTGGGCTAATAACATTAATAAACAATTCTCAAAAGAAGATATACAAATGGCCAACAAATATATGATGCTCAGCAACACTAATGATCAGAGAAATGCAGATCAAAACCACAATGTGATACCACCTTACTCCTGCAAGAATGACCATAATCAAAAGTCAAAAAATAACAGATATTGGCAAGGTTGCAGTAAAAAGGGAACACTTATACACTGCTGATGGGAATGTAAACTAGTACAACCACCACGAAAAACAGTGTGGAGTTTCCTTAAAGATCTAAAAGTAGAACTACCATCTGATCCAGTAATCCCTCTACTGTGTGTCTACCCAGAGGAAAAGAAGTCATTATACAAAAAAGATACTTGCATATGCATGTTTATAGCAGCACAATTTGCAATTGCAAAAATATGGAACCAATCCAAATGCCCATTTCAATGAGTGGATAAAGAAATAGTGATAGATAGATATATAGATAGATAGATGGGTAGATAGATAGAGATAGATGATGATAGATAGATGATAGATAGATAGATAGATAGATAGATAGATAGATAGATAGATAATAGATAGATGATAGAATACTACTCATCCGTAAAAAGGAACAAATTAATGGCATTTGCAGCAACTTGCATGGAACTAGAGACTATTATTCTAAGTGAAGTAACTCAGGAATGGAAAACCAAACATCTTATGTTCTCACTCATAAGTGGGAGCAAGTTATGAGGCTGCAAAGGCATAGGAATGGTATAATGGACTTTGTGGACTCTGGGGAAAGGGTGGGAGGGGGGTGAGGGATACAAGACTACAAACTGAGTTCAGTGTATACTGCTTGGGTGATGGTTGCACCAAAATTTCAGAAATCACCACTAAAGAACTTACTCATGTAACCAAATACCACCTGTTCCTCAAAAACCTATGGAAATAAAAAATTTAAAAAAAAAAAGACCTAACTATGTGCTGCTTACAAGAAACACTTCACCTGTAAAGACACACATACACTGAAAAAGAAGAAATGGAAAAACATATTTCATGCAAAATGAGCAGGAGTAGCTGTATTTATATCATATAAAACAGATTTTGACACAAAACTATAAAAAGAGACAAAGAAGGCTATTTTATAATGATAAAATAAAAAGTGGTTAATTTAGCACAAATATATGACAATTGTAAATATATATGCACCCAATAATGGAGCACCCAAATATATTTAGAGCTAATGAGAGAGATAGATGCCAATAACAATAGCTAGGGACTTCGACACCCCACTTTTATCATCAGACAGATCATCTAGATAGAAAATCAACAAAGAAACATCAGACTTAATCTGCTCTATAGACCAAATGGACCAAACAGACATTTACAGAATATCCAACAGCTGCAAAATACACATTCTTCTGCTCAGCACATGAAATATTCCCAAGGATAGACCATATGCTAGGCCAGAAAACAAGTCTCAAAAAACAAAAAAAAAATTGAAATTGTATCAAGTATTTTTTCTGACGATAGTGGAATAAAAACAAGTGGAAACTTGTTTTTATAGTGGAACAAAAACAACTGGAAACAAGTGGAATAAAATATAGTGGAAATCAAAAACAAGAGGAACTTTGGAAACTATACAAACACATGGAGAATTAAATAATATGCTCCTGAATGGCTAAAAAGTCAATGACGTAATTAAGAAGGAAATGTAAGAATTTCTTGAAACAAAAGAACATGATAACACAACATACCAAAATCTATGGGATACAGCTAAAGTAGCACTAAGAGGGAAGTTTATAGCAATAATCACCTACATCAAAAAGGTAGAAAAACTTCAAATAAACAACTTAATGATACATCTTAAAGAATTTGAAAAGCAAGAGCAAATGAAACCCAACATTAGTAGAAAAGAAATAATAAAGATCAGTCATATATAAATGAAACTAAGACTACAAAAACATGACAAAAGATTAATGAAACAAAAGTTGTTTTTTTGAAAAGATAAACAAAATTGACAACTTTAGCCAGGCTAACTAAGAAAAAAAAGAGAGAGAGAAAACCCAAAAAAATAAAATAAGAGATGAAAAAGGAGACATTACAACTGATACCACAGAAATTTAAAGGCTCATTAGAGACTATTATGAGCAATTCTATGCCAATAAATTGGAAAACCTAGAAGAAATTGATAAATTCCTAGATACATATAACATAACATGACTGAATCATGAAGTAATCCAAACCCTTAATAGACCAATAACAAGTAACAAGATAGAAGCAATAATAAAAAGCCTCCAATTAAAGAAAAGCCTGGGACATGATGGCCTCACTGCTGAATTCTATCAAACATTTAAAGAAAAACTAATACCAATCCCAACTCAACTCAAACCAATCCAACAAATCAAGGAGGAGAGGATGCTTCCAAACCCAGTCTACAAGGCCAGTATTACCTTGATACCAAAACAAGACAGACACAACAAAAAAAGAAAACCACAGACCAATATCTCTAATGAACTTAGCTTCAAAAATCATCCACAAAAATACTAGCAAACCGAATTCAACAACATATTTTAAAGACCATTCATCATGACCAAGTGAGATTTATTCCAGGCATGCAAGGATGGTTCAACATATGCAAATCATAAATGTGATACATCACATCAATAGAAAGAAGAACATAAACCATATTATTTTAATAGATGCTGAAAAAGCATTTGATAAAATTTAACATCCCTTCGTAATAAAAAATCTCATCAAACTGGGTATAAAAGGAACATACCTCAACATAATAAAAGCCATATACAGCAAACTCACAGCTGGCACCATACTGAATGGGGAAAAACTGAAAGCTTTTCCTCTAAGATCTGGAGCAAGACAATGATGCCCACTTTCACTGCTTTTATTCAACATAGTACTTGAAGTCCTAGCCAGACCATTTATACAAGAGAAAGAAATAAAGGGCATCCAAATTGGAAAATAAGATATAAAATTATCCTTGTTTACAGATGACATGACCTTATATTTAGAAAAACCTCAAGACTCCACCAAAAAACTATGAGAACTGATAAAGTCAGTAAAGTTGCAAGATACAAAATCAACACACAGAAATCAGTAGCACTTCCATATGCCAAGAGCAAACAATCTGGAAAAGAAACTCAGAAAGTAATCCCATTTAGAATATCAACAAATAAACTATTTATAAATAAACTTATTTAACTTTTTTTCATTTACCCTGAGAATACTTGCTGGTGGTGTATGTGGCTGCAGTGTTTACCCTGAGATAACTTTGCCACAAAATGTCTCTTTTATTATTATTTTTGCATCACTCTAGTATACCAAATTTGGAAACAAAAGACATCATTCTATTTATAGCATTCTGGTTTTAGTAGTGGTATATCCATTTACAAAAGATAGTAATTCTCGATTGCTGCAAATGTCAAATCCCAGAAAAACTTAGCATTCCTACCACATGATGTTAACACTGTTCTCGAACAGTTGTTGGTTGAAGATTCATTTGATGAATCTGATTTTTTCAAAATAGACAATTCTGATGTTAGTTATGTTTAGAAATAACTCCAAGAACAGTTTTTATATTTTATTTTCACATTGAAAATCAGTCCAATTTGCTTCAGCCTCAAAGAGAGTGTTTATGTAAAATTAAGTGAGTGCTGGCAGCAAGCTGCACTTTTTTTCTAAACAGAAAAGAGTTAAAGAGTGAAAGATCTGTATAAGAAAAACTATAAGATACTGATTAAAGAAATTGAAGAGGCTGGGTGCAGTGGCTCATGCCTATAATCTCAACACTTTAGTAGGCCAAGTCAGGAAGATCAACTGAGCCCAGAAGTTCAAGACCAGCCTAGGCAATATAATGAAACTGCATCTCTACAAAAAATTTAAGATTAAGCAAGTGTAGTGGCATGCACCTTTAGTCCCAGCTACTCAGCATGTTGAAGTTGGGGGATTGCTTGAGCCCAGGAGGTCTAGGCTGCAGTGAGCCATGATCCTGCCATTGCACTCCAGCCTGGGTGACAGAGTGAGACCCTATCTAAGAAAAAGAGAGAAAAGAAGAAAGGAAGAAAGAAAAGAAAAGAAAAGAAGAAGGAAGGAAGAAAGGAAGGAAGGAAGGAGAGAGAGAGAGAGAAAGAAAGAAGGAAGGAAAGAAAGAAAGAAAAACAAAGAAAGAAAGAAAGAAAGAAAGAAAGAAAGAAAGAAAGAAAGAAAGAAAGAAAGAAAGAAAGAAAAGAAAGAAAGAAAAAGAAAAAGAGAAGACTGAAGAGGACACATCAGTGGAAAGATATCTCATGTTCATGGATTGGCTGAATCAGTATTGTTAACATGTTCATACTACCCAAAGCAATCTACAGACTTAATGCAATCCCTATCAAATGCCAATGACATTCTTCACAGAAGTAGAAAAAATTATCCTAAAATGTTTATGGAACCACAAAAGACCTAGAACAGCCAAAGCAGTCCTAACCAAAAAACAAAACTGATCACATTACCTGACTTCAAATTATACTGCAAAGCTATAGTAACCAAAACAGTTTGGTACTGGCATGAAAACAGACACATACACCAATGGATCGGAATAGAGAACCCAGAAATAAATTTATGCAGTTACAGCCAACTCATTTTTGACAAAGGCATCAAAAACATACATTGGGAAAAGGGAAGTCTTTTTTTTTTTTTTGAGATGGAGTTTCACTCTTGTCACCCAGGTTGGAGTGCAATGGCACGATCTTGGCTCACTGCAACCTCTGCCTCCTGGGTTCAAGTGATTCTCCTACCTCAGCCTCCCAAGTAGCTGGGATTAGAGGTATGTGCCACCATGCCCAGTTAATTTTTGTATTTTTAATAGAGACGGCATTTCACCATGTTGGCCAGGATGGTCTCAATCTCTTGACCTTGTGATCGCCTGCCTCAGCCTCCCAAAGTGCTGGGATTACAGGTGTGAGCCACCATGACCAGCCAAGGGCAGTCTTATATGGTGCTGGGGAAACTGGATATCCATATGCAGAAGGATAAAACTAGACCCCATCTCTTGCTACATGTAACAATCACATCAAAATGGATTAAATGATGAAATCTAAGACCTCAAACTATGAAACTACTAGAAGAAAACATTGGTAAAACACTCTAGGACATTGGTCTGAGCAAAGATTTTTTTTAGTAAGATCTCAAAAGCACAGTAATTAAAGCACCGCTAGAGCTGGGAATGGTTCTCAGTTTATAGTCAGCAAAAAAAAAACCATAGACCTGAGTCCTACAGTTGCAAGGGGATAAATTCTCAACTCAAATGAAGAAGCAATGGATTCACCACTTTAGCCTCCAGAAAGGAACCTAGCCTTCCAAAATTTTTATTTTAGCTTTCTGATCTACTGAACTGTAAAATAATAAATTGGTGTTATTTTAAGCCATGAAGTTCCTGGCAATTTGTTATGCCAGCAATAGAAAATTGATATAGTATCTCTGCTCCTTTCTCTGTGTTTACAATGCTCTTCCCTCTTCTATATTAAATCCCACATTCTCTGTGAAGCAATTCAGACTTCACTGATCTCTTCCTACTTTCTACCTTATAGGCACAAATACTTAGGGCAGCTAGTTATCTGTTCATACCTCTGTTCTATCTCCATAATGATATTGTAAGACCCGTAAGGACAAGGACGTAAAAATGGCCAAAAATCCTTTCCCTCCCTGAATCCGCCCTTGCAATGTGACTTTGAAGATATTCTTACCAAAAGGTGGAGTATATTTTTCTATCCCTCAAATCTGGGTTGGCCCTGTGACTTGCTTTTGCCAAGTCACATTAGCAAATGCAGCAGAAGGAGAAACTTGACTATGAGACCACCATCACGTAAGTAAGCCTGATCTAGCACAGTCATTCAAGTGCTAGTCCAGTCAACAGCCAGTGAAATGCCAGGCAGGTATGTGGACCATGGACCACCAGCTGAGTGCAAAATCACGAATGGGTTCAGATGAGACCAGTGGAAGAATCACCCATATGACCCCATTCAAATTGCTAACCCATACAACCATGAGCTAATCAATTTTGTTATTTTAAGTCAATGTTTTGGGATACTTTGTTAAGCAGCAAAAGCCAACTTATATATAACAGTGAGCTGTTTGTGAACATTTTTGATGATGACGATGATGATAATGACAATGACAATAACAATGATAAAGATAATAAAGAAGGCTGTACTCACTTCTAGTAAAAGAAGGTCAGTGGCATCATTTCCATATCCTAATGCCAGGATATTTTTGTTCTTATAAATTGATGGGTTTCAAAATTTTTGTTCAAGTAAATTGGAAAATGCAGAGACTAAAGATTTTAGGTTTATATACACTAGACTCAATTATAGGTCTTCAACAAATCCAAAATATCTCTGCGCTAAGCTTTTGTATTGGTAACTTGTAGTATATCAATCTAGCTCTCATGTGTCAAAACACTGGGAAGAGCCAGATTGTCACAGTGCTCTACCATTTCTGAACGTACAAATAAGTAGGCTTTGGCTTAGATCTGCTTGGGACTTTATCGCACCAGAAAAACTTAGCCAGGAACAATTTTCATAAAGGGTAACATTCACATGGAAGCCAGCCAGAGCTTATTTCTCATCTAAGCAGCGTTCTCTGAAATCTGTTCAACTCCATCAATGTCATCAAAAGTGTTGTACTTATAAAAAGTTTTAAGTTAATCAGGTAGCACAGCAGTCCTCAATATTTAGCCTGAGAAAATCTAAGCAAAATGGACTTCTTTCAGCCTATATTCCATTAAAGGTTTGAGGATGAGGTAGGAACAAAAGGGATATTAACAGGGATAAGTAGAAAGGGGGAAACAGCACTAAGAATATGGTATATTTATATTCCTATGCCCAAGGAGGGACATCCCTAGTCACCTAGGCTTGCTTTCCTATTGCTTGGTATCGGTGAGGTTTTTGCCAAGAGTAATTCTGGCTAATCATTTGAAGTGTTATAGCCCCTGGGCAAGAAAGATTTTGTCACCTCCAAGCAGAAGAAATATTTTACAATCATAGAAATTAGACTTGAAAGACATCTCAGAATTAATCTGGTGAAACTTCCACATAATATAGACATCCTTTCCAGAGATAATCCTCCACATCCTACTTAAATTTCTTAAACATTAAGGAAGTCACAATCTCCTGAGACAGCCCATAGTATTTTCAGCATCTATAAAGTTATTTCTCAAATTAAGCTGAAATCTGTCTCCTGCCCACTGAGTTAAAAAATTGCTTTTATTATTATTATTATTTTAAGAGACTGGATCTTACTCTGTCACTCAGGCTGGAGTGCAATGAGGTGATTATAGCTCACAGCAACTTCGAACTCGTGGGCTCAAGCAATCCTCCCACCTCAGCCTCCTGATAGCTAGGAATACAGGGTACGCCACCACACTTAGCTAATTTTTGTATTTTTTTTTTGTAAAGATGGGGTCTCACTATGTTGCTCAGGCTGGTCTTGAACCCCTGGCCTCAAATAATCCTTCCACCTTGACCTCCCAAAGTGCTGGGATTATAGGCATGAACCACTGTGCCTGGCCAAATTTTGCTTTTTGAACCTCATACCACACCTTTCCCCCGTCTTCTGTAGTCTGATGTGTTCACAAGCCTGGGCTTTTGAGTCAGCTGGACTTGAGCTCGACTATCATCTCTTTCCCTTGCCAGTGACATTGGGCAAGTCTAGCTTCAAAAAAACAGGATTTTTGACTATAAAACTGAAATCATAATATCTCTCTTATAGGGTTGTTGTACAATTTGATGAGGTAATGTACATAAAGTGCACAGCCCAGTGTCTGACACATAGTATGTTATCAATAAATGGAAGCCAGCATTATTATTCCACTTGCCAGTCTTCCAGGTATTTGAAAATAACTTCATTTTTCCATTTAGTCTTCTCTTCTCCAAACTAATTATCTCCTTCTTCAATTACACTTTAAATATGACCAAAATTATTCTTTCCCAGATCTGGAGACTACACTTGTCTATTTTAAATGATACCTGGGTAAAGCTCCCTGATACAACTGGCAGTTTACCTATGGCCAAAAACTGAGAGGAATTTCCTCTGATAAAACTGGATAGAAAAGCAGGTCCATGGCTCATTTGAGTCCCTTCCCCATAAGTCAGCCTGCCACTCCTGACTGCATCCTGGTTCAAAATCACAGCGTCTGTCCTTTGAGAGGAAAATGACATTTCCTCACTTCTCTGGTCTCCACGAAGAGGAATTTTTGCTTCGCACCCCTGGCTTCTTGCCCCATGGTTTTTTGTTTTTGTTTTTGATTGTTTATTTTTGTTTTTGTTTTTGAGACAGAGTCTCACTCTGTTTCCCACGCTGGAGTGCAGTGGCGGGATCTCAGCTCACTGCAACCTCCACCACCCGAGTTCAAGCGATTCACCTGCCTCAGCCTTCTGAGTAGCTGGGATTACAGGCATGCACCACCACACTCCGCTAATTTTTTGTATTTTTAGTACAGATGGGACTTCACCGTGTTGGCCAGGCTGGTTTTGAACTCCTGACCTCAACAGATCCGCCCACCTCGGCCTCCAAAAGTGCTAGGATTACAGGTGTGAGCTACTGCACCCAGTCTTGCCCCATGTTTACCCCTTGGAGGTAAAGTGAGTTACCTGGTAAATAGGCAGTAGCTACTAGTACAAGTCTTTCAACAGGGTGGAGCTAATTTAACAAGGTTTTAAAGGCAAGAGATGTGGTCTTTCCCTCCTCCCCTCTCCACTTGGACTAGTGACAGCTACTTGTTACTAGTAGGCTACTTGTTGCTACTGTTAGGCTACTTGTTGCTAGTCATTATGCTACTAATCAAATTCTGAAAGCATCTACCTCCAGACTTCTCTTGCATTATGCTTAAATGTCATCGGTGTTTAAAGCATTTTCAGTTAGGTAGTTTGTTACTTATAGTTGAACATATTCTAATTTTTATAAGCACTAATGGCAAATACCATCTGTCCCTAGGCCCCACTTTGTAACATCTTTCATTAGCTTACACTGTTTTTACATAGGTGAGTATGCATACACACATAAAAATACATATGTCAGTATATACTTTCTGATTATAATTATGTACAATTAAGTTTACATAGGAAAGAGTAGAAAGAGTAGATGAATACAGCAAAATGTCAAAGGTGATTATCTTTGGGAAGTGGAACTTTGGACGATATCTTTTAATGTTTCTGTACCTTACAACTTTTCTAGGAAAACAGACATTAATATTCAGGTAGAAAAAATAATGTCACTTTAAAAATAAAACTTTTCTAGGAAAACAGACATTAATCTTCAGGTAGAAAAACTAATGTCACTTTAAAAATAAAAATTTTTGTGCTAATTGCAGATTCAACCATGCTAATATTTCATAGAACTTTCATTTGGCTAAAAGCAGAGTATCTGTTACAGCATTACTATATGAAGGATGCTACATAGTTTTCTACTCCCTGAAAATAGAAAAATGGTAAAGGAGCCTAATTTATACCAGGAAAGATTAAAAATTAAAGCACTTTCTATCTAATAAAAATAGCAAGAAGCCATCCTAGATGATGTCTAGTACTTTTTTCAGGCCTGTTAGGCTTTGAAGTGACAAGGAGTCGTAAAGACATTCCCATAGTTATTTCTCCTAGCATTCCGGCAAAATTGCATGGCTATTGAATAGCAATGTTTAAGGCTTTTACAAACAAAAAAATACACAGTTTTTCTATGCAAGGCCCTGAGAAATAATTGCACATCTTAAGTAATTTGGCTTTGAATTTAAAGTAGTCATTAGGACCAAGACTTTCTATTGTTGCATTAGTCAGTGCGAACAGCGCTTGGATATGACAGGTGTATAAATCACCCTCGCTGACAGCACCAACAGCATGTGACTTACAATGCTGATAATCCCACAAGGTATTACTCTGGAATATCTTTTGGTAAGATATAAGGTGGGACCTAGGATTTATTCTTGGGTCTAGTTCATTAAGAGAACAATAAACATTCAAGGGAAAGGACCAAACCTTTTTTCTTTTAAAATTACTGTCTTCAACTATAAACATGTATTAAATATACGGTATATTTCAGAGAACTGGTTACAAAAAGATAGAAGACAGTATTTGCCCTTAAAAGTCAAAGGAATTGAAAAATAAAAACAAAACAAAACCAAAAACCTTTTCCTATCTGTTTTTGAAGACAAGACATGCACATTGAGAAAGAGACAATAGGAGAAGGGGATATGTGGTCAGAACAAAGTGGTACAGGCGGTTCTTTGGAGACAGAGCTTATGGCTGTGGTGGGAGCTCTAAGGAGGAGACAGAAACTAAATGAGTCTTCTTGGAAGGCAGGATGGAGGCTAGATAAGTGATGAAAAGTTAGGACATCCCAGAAATGTCTTTGGATACACCAAGTCTCAGACACAGAACATGGGCCATGTTTCAAAGGTAGTGTATACATCAACCAGGCAACAGCCAAGGATGCAAGTATGGGAGAGATAGGTTTGGGAAGTTAGGGAATGGCCACATCATGGAGAGAATTTTACTCTTGACTTTAAAATTCTTATTTTATCCTACAGCCCAGTATTTACAACCTCATGCTCTGCAGTCAAAGACTTGAATCCCAGCCCATCCATTTAATCATTCTGTGACCGTAGGAATGTTACTTTTCTTTCTTTACTTTTCTCCTTTTTTCTTTATTTTTTTAGTTTAGTTTCACTTTTTTTAACTTGTCATTATGAAAAATTTCAAAGATACAGCACAAAAGTAGAGAAAACTGTGCAATGAATGCCTCCCCATGTACCCATCACTCCCCTTCCACAATCATCAATATCCAACCTCTTGTTTTATATAAATCCATCCTACTCCCTCCTCACCATCCTCCTCACCTATTGCACCAGGCAGGATATGATTAAGTATCTGGGCACTCTGTGTGTGGCACCTGTTTAAAAAGTCCCTGAAGATGGGAGGGGCTAGGAAAGGATGCCTCTAGAGGGCGTATGTGCAAGCTGTATTGGAAGCAGTATTGCCCTTAGAGAATGTGGGAACCCAGCCTGGGTCTCAGGCCTTAAAAGCTCTGCTTCTGCCCTTTTCTGGCTACCCTTCCCAAAGGGAAAGAAGTCCCAATGAAATGTGCCCACTCAGAGCCTGTGCCTCCCGCAACAGGAGCTGGTACTTGGAACCCAGGAATTCCATGCCCAAATGGCTCGAGGCCACTCCCAGGGGATGCTCTGGCCCCTGCTTGTGTTCCACCATTAGGTCCCAGTAGTGGCAAGGTGGCTAGTGAGGGAATGGTTGTAGGCAGAACTGGGAATTGTGGGCTGAGTCATACACCTATGTATGAGGACCCTTGAGATGTTAAAATGGAGGGGGGAAGAAAGGGTCCTCCCACCTTGTTCCTGAAGACTGAGAGCTCCATCTGGAGCTCCACTCTTGCCCAGCAACCCACAAACTTTAAGGACAGGCCTCAAAAGTAAGGGATATCTACAATTTTTCTCAGTGTTCTTGAATTTAACTTATGCTACTGATGTCTTTTGTCAAGTCAGCTCCTAGGACTACTAAAGAGCCAGATGAGCATTGTCTGAATGCTGGGAGACAGAAGAAAGGTCACACATGAGACAGTGAAGTTGACCAATGTGGTTATTATCAGAAAAACAAGCTTGCACTGCCCATTAGTTTAAAGCAAGCTGACATTCCATTGGTAAGCAGGTCTTTTCAAGGACTTTCTCTATGTGAGGATTAAAATAAGCCCCTTCCCCCTTCCTCAGCCCCACTCTATCCTCCAACTGGGTCCTCCTGAAAAAAAAACAATACCCCCATTGTAGAAATTTTCTCCCTAATTCTGAGACACAGGAAAACTTGTCTGATCTTGGAACCCTCCCTGTCTTGTTTAAAACAAAGATCACCTGTGGATGCTTTTGTGAAAAACAATTCTTGTTTATTCACATACTACAATTTGGAAGAAGGGAAGTGCTAGGGGTAATATGTAATTCTATTACATCCTAGAATTTAGCTATTTAAAATGCAAGGGGAAGAGAGGCAGGTGCTATATGTCTTAACAGGCATATATCTAAAGGGAGAAAAAAGTAGAAAAGGCAAAATAGGGAAGCCCACAACAGCAATTAGGATTTTTTTTATTCCTGAGTGGATAATACGTGGTTTCATTTAAATAAAAACATGATCTCTGTTAATTTGTAAATCCAACAACTCCAACACTCACAGCTAGTGCCCTGGTAAGCCATTTTCAGACACATCATTACTACCTTGAAATTAAAAGTGAATCAGTCCTGTGGAGTTAATTACCAGTAAATTAAGCTAAAGTAGGTCTCCCATTGGCATGGAGCCAGTATAAGATGATTCTCAGTGCTAGCCAGAAACATTGCAAGATATCAAGATACCACTTGGAAAGCTGACTTCATATGCGTGGCAGATGTTTATAGGAATAGCGGGGGAAGTCATTCACAGCCATTTACAGTGAGAAACAGAGATAAAGTTCTAATTAAAAGAAGACCTTTTTGACAGAGACTTAGAAAAGCATCCCCCCTCCAGCCCCACCCCAAAAGGAAAATTCTCAGCTCTCTGTTGTTGTAACTTATTCCCCAACACTTACAGAAAGGAAATTTTACCTATTTCTCTTTGATGCTGGTATGTGGGCCTTATTTAATTATATAAAGTAGAAATAACTGTACAAACTAAAATTAGATAAAGCCAGCAAGAAGAAGTTACTTTCATCACTAGTGCTTTGGAATACCATATCCTCTGTTACAACGTTCTCAAGGAGGTATGCAAGGAAACCAGAGACAGAAGAAAAAAAACTCAGAATAGTTGTCTGAACTTTAATATTTGAATCAAGGAAAATGTGAACAGATGAAACTGTTAGTAAGAGAGAAATGGTGCATGCACAAAAGGGATAGATTAATAAAATGACAGCTGATTGTTGGTGATGAACATATTTGTTTTCCTTAACATGTCCCAACTTCCATAATTATTCAGATGTACAACAAGTGGTCCTAATGTCCTGGCTGAAATTGCCCAGGCGTGCAACAAAGCAAGCTGGTTTTGTTCCTGAATTATGCAGTTAACTGAGGCTGTTTGGGCCCAGATTTGATGTGGTAAGTAGTCAGAATGCTGACATATGATTATTAAAAATTATTAAAATTACTTTCTTCCCATTTTAATTTGATAAGGTGATTTCACACAATTTTGCATTTCAAATATTTCTAAGTAAATTTAGTAAACCAAAGATGAATATGACAAATCTCAAATAATATGTTTTAGAACACTTTCCCATTTGAACTGTTCACTATATATGACTGAGTTTATTATACCTCCTTCAACATATACGATATTGATGTTAAATGTCATGGTAATATATATGAACTACATAAAAACAGTGTTGCTTTCTAACGTGTGGCTTGTTTAAACCCTAAAAGAGCACAGCTGGCTTTGCTGAGCCAAACCATATTATTGATCCGTCTTGACTGTGATTCCACTTGTGAGATAAAGTCCCAACTGGGAGCTTTCTCATAAATTGGGTCAAGACAGGAAGAACTCTAGGTAGCCAGAGGTGTCTCTGTGTCTCTTTTCAAATAATTGAAGGCCATTTCTTCTGGTGTCTGGAAGAAGTAAAATATCCTTGTCTAACGGGTATTGCTTCAGTATACCACATGCCCAATAAGTTCTAGCATCTAGGAGCATGCAATAGCAGCTAATATTAGCTATGCAGTCATGGTATTATTAGTGTTTAATTATATCATGTGCATTGAGATATTTTAAATGTTAAAGAGAAAACAGAAGGACTTATTCTTCTTAGCAACCATTATAGTACAGAATGTTCAAAGCTGCAATCACATTCATAAGGCAAATAAATTGGTTACAAAATGAGGGTAGCAACAAGTGTGCATGCTATAGAAAATGTGAAACGGTACCTAAAATAGATAATCACCTTATTTGTTTTCAAAATTCCAGTGCTGGCTCTGACCATCAATTATCAAACTGGAAAATTTTCACTATAACACTCAACGCCAATTTTCAGTCTTAAGAGTGCGAAAAAAAAGGAGCATAAAATAATTTTTTTTCTCACTGGCTAAGATTCTACCTCATTTGAGAAAGACTTTATTAAAAACCCTTTTAAGAATAAAGGGCTTGAGGTCTTAATGGCAACTCATACTGGTGGGCACACCTAGGGCTTCACTGCCCCAGGGTAATATACAAAAACTAAATGGTAAGAGAAGCATCATCAAAGACAGGTTACTTTCTAAAATACTTTCTACATATTGTTTTCCTTCTTCAATGTTATTTCCTTTGGTTCATGCACACTCAAGGCGCTTCATATATAAGACGATGAAAGTGGAAAGGGTTATACATTATGAAAGCTCTTTTTCAAAAACAAACTGTGTGGAAATAAATTAACCGGTTATTTTAAAACGCCAGTTTGCAAGTTCTTCAAGTCTCTGGTGTTTTGACTTTAGGATTCCTCTAAAACACAGAAACAAAGGGTAAAAATCAGGTGGCCGTCCAAAATGACTTCGGGCGCCCCACTTAAAGAGACGCCTTGGTTCAGGTAGCCCGCTGGGGTCGAAGGCCCCATTTTCCCCCGATCTATCGGGCTTCGCGGCGGAAGTCTTCGTTCAGGCAGGGGATGCCCTAGGAGGGAAGGAGGCGACGGTGCCCAAGGACGTCGGAAGCCGGGGATCTCCGCTTCCCTCGGGCCCCGGCTAGGTTACCAGTGCTGGCCCGCGGCGCGGGTGCCCAGTTGCGCCTGGGACACTGCGGGCACGGCTGTGGCGGCAACGGCAGCGGCCGCCGCGTCGCCGACGCCCGGCAGGACTGAGCGCACGGAGCGGCGGAACTCCTCGTTCCTCCACGTGTAGAGCAGCGGATTGAGCGCGGACAGGGCGCAGCACAGGAGCCAGCTGGCCGCCTGCACTCCCCAGGGCACCGGCAGCGAGAAGCCGCTGGCCAGGCTCACCCACACCAGTGGCTGCGTGGCCAGCAGGAAGACGCAGCAGAGCAGCAGCACCGACAGGCCGCTGAGACGCCGCTGTGCCCGCCGCGGGTGCAGCGCGGGCGGCAGGGGCTGGGCCTGCGCCGGGTGCGCGGCGCCACCGGGGCCCGGCGCGTGCTGGGCGCCCGGGAAGGCGGCGGCGGCGGCGGCGCAGCCGGGCAACTGGTGCAGCAGGTGGAAGTTGAGCACGCTGACCCGCTTGACGCTGACACGCACGCGGCGCACGATGCCCAGGTAGCAGTGCAGCAGCAGAGCTGTCTGCGCCAGCAGCGCCGCGGCGGCCAGCAGCGCCGGGTAGTGGACTCGCGGTGGCGCGGCGCCGGGCCGCGGTGCCCAGGGCGGGAGCAGCAGCACGAGGCCCAGGGCGAGCGCCCAGGACAGCGCCAGCATGCCCGCCGTGTGGCGCCTCTGGTACAGCGCCTGGTAGGTGGCGGGCGCCCGGGTGATGAG
The DNA here is from genome assembly GCF_000001405.40 of Homo sapiens. Lineage (NCBI taxonomy): Eukaryota > Metazoa > Chordata > Mammalia > Primates > Hominidae > Homo > Homo sapiens. Next base: position 100,539,386 of record NC_000001.11, on the reverse strand, counting down.
CAGGTAGCGGTTCAGGGCCACGAGGCAGTGGGAGAGGAGGGACACCGTGAGTCCGAGGCCCAGCAGCCCACCCCGTAGCAGGCGGTAGCTGCCCCCAGCGCCGTCCCAGTCTGCGGGGGGCTCCGCAGAGCCGGTGGGCAGGAGCCCGAGCACCGCCTCCTGCGGCATCCAGAGGGCGCAGACGCTGAGGTCGGCGGCGCAGCCGTTCACGATGAAGGCGTTGCTGGTGGTCTGCAGCTTTCGGAAGGACGACACGAGATAGATGACCATGCCGTTGGCCAGCGTGCCCCCGATGGCCAGGCCCGAATACAGGAGTGACACCGGGATGCGCCGGCCCGCCCACGACTCCTCTTCCTCGCAGAGCAGCAGCAGCGAGCCACCGGTGGTGGAGGAGGTGGATGTGGAGGAGGAGTTGGTCATTCTGGCCAACTCTTCACACCTCCCTCGCTAGCGTCGGCTTCTGGCAGCGCGGTCCATCCTGACACTGTCCTGCCTGCCAGAAGGGCAAAGACATCCCTTCAGCCCTCTGCCACTGACACAAAAGGCTGAAGCAGAATAATGGGCTGGGGGAGGGGGAGAAAGGGAGCTCGAGGAGGAGGACGGGGGTGGCAGATGACAGGTGCCTGCCTCGGAAATGTCTCCAGAGCCAGGGGAAAGGCCACTTTGCATTGGATTCAGCAGGTATCGGGGAAGCCCTAGGACAGAGCAATACCTAAAACAGTCTCCTCTTCTCCCCCAACACACACACACACACACAGAGAGAGAGAGAGAGAGAGAGAGAGAGAGAGAGAGAGAGATATGTTGCCAGCTGGAGGACCTAGTTCCAGGAGAAAGCAGAGATATCCCAGCTGGGGAAAATCCCATGGGAAAGAGGTGAAGGTTACCTTGCGTTTAGGCTGGTCCTTAGCCGGTGTCTCAGGGGGAGGGATGCCGGGAAATACCTCCTCAGCAACAGCATCAGTGGTCCAGAAATCAACAGGAGAAACTCAGCTGGGATCAGTGCCAGGAGCAAGTGCCCGCTTCTCCCAAGCAGCATCCACACACATGGTCCTGGGCAGGAACTAGCAGCTGCAGGGAGACTTCTCAGCTGGTATCAGGGCTGGAGAAAGTAAAGTGGCGGGCTGCAAGCCCAGGCGGGTGGGCAGGCAGGCAGCAGCAGCAAGAATGCTTGGCTGCAAAAGCAGAAGCTGAGCTCAAGAGGAGAGCACCCTGTGCTCAGAAGCAGGAGTGGTGGCTGATGTGGTGAACCCACTCGAAGCTCTCTCCTGCTTAGTTATACATCATCCAGGGAAAAGACAGCCTTTCCACGCTTGGCATGAATTATTCAATAGCTTCCAACTTGTAAAAGGAAGAAAAATATCTTGCTCAGAAAGTCCTGTCGTTAACAAGTTTCTCTGTCTTTTCTCTCTCCCAATCACCTTATTTTTCATCCTGTTTCATTTTTCTTTCCGTCCTTTTTTTCCCTCCCTTCAATATTAGAATAAAATTTAATATACCCTAGAGTATTTCATCTCAGTCTGATGCATTTTGTGGGCAAGATTTTTCTGTGAGATAAATATATTCCCAGTACCCAGGACTGATCTCTTTATTCCCACATTTTTTAACGAGAATTACTTTATGCACTACTTGAAATTCATTTTTCTTTGGTAAAGTGGAACATAGACAATTATCCACAGAAAATCTCCATTCCTCAATTTAAATCGTACTTTCAGTGTTTTCTCATCAACAAACTCCTTTCCGGAGTTTGTTTTGTGTTTTAGTAATGAAATGGTTAGAGGGTAAAAATGAAATGGGCAAAAGATTTAAAGCAGATGTCAGTGGTACATCTAGACAATGGAATATTATTCAGTGCTAAAAAGAAATGAGCTGTCCAGCCATGAAAAGACATGAAGGAACCTTAAGTGTGTATCACTAAGTGACAGAAGCCAACTGGAAAGGACTACATACTGTATGCTACCAACTATGACATTCTTGAGAAGGCAAAACTATGGAGACAGTTAAAAAGACCAGTGGTTGCCCGAGTTAGGGGGAAAGGAGGAATGAATAGATGATCACGGAAGATTCTTAGGACAGTGGAACTACTCTGTATGATACCATAATAGTGGATCTGTGTACTTATAAATTTGCCCAAAGTGGCAGAATGTGAAACATCAGTGTAAGCCATGGACTTTGGGGAATGATGTGTCAACGTACATTCAATTGTAACAGACGAACCACTCTGGTGGGGGATTTTGATAATGGGAGAGGCTATGTATGCGAGGGGCAGGGAGTACATGGGAAATCTCTGTATCTTTCACTCAAATTTGCCATGAATCTAAAATTGCTCTAAAAAAATAAAGTCAATTTTAAAAAAATGTGTGTCAGGGGGAAAGCAAGAAACCTGAATAATCCACAGTGTGAACAAAGATGACTTTTCACTTCAGAACTTTTTGTCTTGTCTGTCTTGGAGATTTGCAGTCTGATGTTGGCATCTTCTTTGGTGCAAGTGTTCATTTATCCATTCCATGTGGGAATTTTTTCAGAAAAGGAGTTCTCTCAATTATTCACTGGAAAAGTCATGTATTTGAAAATGTAACTCAATATGGGAATATGGTAACATGGCATAATAGAAAAAAATGTTAGGTGGGGTTGCAGCACACCCAGATACTAAGCCGAGCATCCATCATGTAGCCTTGCGATGGATTATTTTCATCTTGTCAAATAAGTTCACAGTCAGTCACTTCAAAGGCCCTTTCTGTTAAAACTTTCTGTGAATCCCTATTCATGAATTTAGCATTTCTTCTCTCTAATTATGACACATGGCATATACCTCTTCTATCTAACATGCATTGCAGTTGTAGTTCTGGGTCATATGTCCCTAAGAGCAATGTTTCAGGAGAGAGGTCAAAACACAGCTTCTCTGCTTTTCTTTTTCTATTTCAAAATCAATATGGTTAGTTGATGACTTCAAGAACTCTGATGAGGATTAAGGATAAGCATGACTTGATAGATTTGGTCCAGCTAAGCTATATCTGAATGAAATTGGTTGGGGCAGGGGCAGGGGCCGGAGGGGGAAGTGAAAGAAAAGAACCAGTGACTTGCTATTCAGAGGGTTGAAGGTTTCGATATCAAGTTTACTGATGTAAATGAGATGAGTATTTGTCATCATCTTTTTGCCTATTGCCATTTGTCCTTATTGAGGTTTTGAGTGCATTAAGCACAGCAAGCCTGCATTTCTCCTTTCTAGTTATGACACATGGCGTATACCTCTTCTCTGTAACATGCATTGTAGTTCTGGCCCATATGTCCAGGAGTCTTTTCCACTCTGTCCCTAAGAGCAATGTTTCAGGAGAAAGGAGACTCTCCTAATCATTCATAGTTAAAACTTGCCATTGAAGTAAAGTTTTTTCTCTCACATTAACATAGTCCTAAAGGACTCTCTGATAGAATGTGGTGGGAGGGTATTCAAATTCTGGATCCCTGGTCCCAGCTGCCACTTTGTGTTGCCTTTGAGACGAGCAGCATTCCTGCTGAGGGACTCCAGTGCCTGGCAGTCACACACACTTCCTCCAAGACCATGCCTCCCTTAGCGCTGGCCTGACAGGGGCCAAATTTTTGTTTGTTTCTGGATTTGGTTTTCCTTTTGTTTTAAGTTAATGAACTTACATAATATAGGGTGGGAATTTTTTCTATCTTATTTCCAGCACCAGGTCAGTGCCTGGGACATAGTAGAAACTTAATCAATACTTACTGAATTAATAAGTGAATGGCAGTGTAAATGATTTCATTTATGTTTTCTCCACGGTGAAACAGTAATTCACTTTTATGAGCATCTCTTTCCTCCCACCTTCAGCAGGAACTTGCCCCATCAGTCATCTGCTTTCTGCTGTCTCTTGTCAGTCTCTCTGCTCTCCACTGCTTGCTCCCCTTCAGACTTACAAAAATGCTGATTTCACCACAACCTCATAAAACTCCCCTGGAACTTCACCTCCTTCTCATGGTGCCTACACACAGCTCACTTCCCCTTCCTGATGGAAGTGCTCATTTTCTCCTTCTACTTCTGATTTTACCATTGAATACCCACCCACACGGCCCTTAGCTCTCCCTGCTCCACAGAAACAGCTTTGGCCAAGGTTAACAGTAGCCTCTCAGTAGCAAATCGTGACTCCTAAATCCTTGCCCTCTACTTTGACTCTGTGAAGAACACCCTCCTCCTCAGTGCCATTTCCCTCCAGGTTTCCCTTTGCTTCTGTTCCTCTGTCTGCTCCCTTCCAGACTCAGTCTCTGGCTCCCCAGTGTCATGGCTCCTTTAAGATAGTGTTCCTGGCTTCTCTTCTTGGTTCTCTTCTCACCCTACTCTCTCTCCCTAATTGATCTCATCTGATTCCTGCCTTCCACTCTCGCCTATGGGTCACCCACAGATTCTTTCCCACCAAGCTTACTTCTTTCCAGAGTTGCAGACGTGTTGGAACTCTCCATTCGGCTGGCCTCTCTCCCTCCTCATCCCACTCATTCTCCTATGGTCACTGATTTGGTTAATAGTCCCCATTGTTACCCTAGTGTTTCTAATAATTCACTATCAAATATGGTGTTTGTTATAGTTTTCTGATATATTGTTTATAAGTTAGAGACATTTCTATCTATTTCTAGTATGACTTTTATATGAAGTGAATTTTTTTTTAGCTGTTGATGTAGTAGGTTACATTTGATATATTTTTAAAAGTTGAATCATCTTTGCATTCCTCTGATAAACCCTGTTTGGTTACAATATATTATCCTTTTAAAGATAGACTGTAGGATTCTATTTGGTAGTATTTTATTTAAGAGTTTTGCATCATAAGTAAAGCCCACTTGGTTTATTTTTCTTGTGCCATCTTGTCCTTTCTTAGTGTCAAGGTTAAGATAAAATTCCCCCCAGGAGTTATTTCACCACTGCTACATCCACATCCACATTCCAGCCCACAGAGATGGAGAAAGATGAAGGGAGGGCAGCCAGCTTCCTTTTTAAGATTTCAGGAGAATCATAAACATCATTATTTTCAATGCCGTCGAGTACATACCATATGTGCCAAGCCATGCTTTGAGTATTTTTTATCTGTTGTTACATTTATTCCTCATGCCAGGGTGACAAGGTACCCAGTCTCCCCCACCCCCCCCACCTAAATTTGCAGGGCAGAGCAGGTGTTCAAAAGGAAGTTTGCCTGCCAATGTCTAAATATTTTAAAATCATAAATCCAGCTATCAAACTATTAAATATGTTCTATTCTCCTAACTTAACAAATATACTTTCATGACAACTGGAGAGCCAGACTCAAATTTAGAATTCTGACCAGACACAATAGCTCACACCTATAATCCCAGCAATTTGCAAGGCAGAGGTGGGCAGATTGTTTGAGGCCAGAAGTTTGAGGCAAGCCTCAAACTGGGCAACATAGCCAGACCCTCGTCTCTACAAAAATTAAAACTTAGCCATTGTGGTGGTATGCACCTTTAGTCCCAGCTACTTGGGAGGATTGCTTGAACCCAGGTGTTCAAGGCTGCAGTGAGCTATGATTGCACTACTGCACTCCAGCCTGGGCTACGTAATGTGACCCTGTGTCTTAAAAAAAAAAATAGAATTCTCATCACACTCATGGGTTGTTCTGTGCTACCTGAATGTGACTTCTTTGGAGAGTGTGCCACTGGTCTGCAATTCACCCCCATCTCTCCCCACCCTCTGCTCTGTCATCACACGCCAGAGAGGCCTCATGTCTAATGTAGAACACTCTAGCCTGCCCAACTGAGTTCTACCCACACCACCGTCCCACAGCCACCCCTTGGCAACATCTCAGACCAAGGGTACTGGTAGGTATAGTCAGCCATCAGGACAAAGCCAGAAAGGTCCATGCAGACTTTGGAACCTGCTCATGGCTACTGGGCAGGGAATTCTAGGCCCTGCTACTGGATATAGTCTAGAAAGGGAATGAGCTCTAGGTGAACTTGTCCCTCAGGATCTATTCAATAGATGAGAAAACTGAGTCACAACAAGGTTAAATAACATGCCTAAGATCACACAGCTCAGAAGTAGCAGAACTGGGATTCAAATGCATGCTATTTGGCCCCATATACATCCACTATACAATACTGCCTCCCTTGGTAAAGTTCAATTTCCTGAACATGACTTAGCTGCTATAGATTACGCTGCTGTAACAAACTGATCCAAAACTACAGTGGTTCAAAAAAATAAATAACAGTTTATTTATCTGCCATGGGGGTAACTGAGCAGTCCGTGTAGAAAGCAGATCTACTCTACAAGATAATCTAGAAACCCAGGTGTCTCCTCTGTTGCCACTCCATCATCCCCTAGGGCACTAGTATTCAAAGTGTGGTCCCTGATCAGCAGCAGCGTCACTTGGGAATTTGTTAGAAATGGTCCCCACCCCCTGAATCGGAAATTCTGGAGATGGTATCCAGAGATCGGTGTTTTAACAAGCTCTCCAGGTGACTTTGATGCACACTGAGGTTTCCCCTGTCTACACGGCTGAAGTTATTTCACCACTACTACACCCACATTCCAGCCCACAGGAAAGGAGAAAGGCGAAGGGAGGGCAGCCAGCTTCCTTTTTACGAATGTGACCTGAAAATCTCAAACATCACTTCTGCACACATCTCCACAGCCAAAACTTTGGTCTCATGGCTGCTCCTTGCTGCAAAAGAAACTAGGAATGGATTGTCCAGCCAAAAGGCCACATGCCCCGCTAAAACTCCAGAGAGCAGGGAAAATGAGACTGGATACTGGGGCAGAGGGATGCAATTTGCAGGCTTATGACACAAAAGCCAAGTCCATTTTATCATTTGTTTTAAGCACAGTGCCTAGAGCCTACCAGCTTTGCAAGACCCCTTTAAAATGACTGCTATCTGGAAAAAAATTACTGGCTCTGAAATACAAAAGGAAAACTTTTAAAAAGGTAATATGTTATTAAATAGTCACCTGCAATTAAAGTCATCATTGTGTATAAATTACTTATGTGGAATTGGGGTGCATTTTAATATGTTTAATATATTGTATAATGGAGTCTCCAAAAGCATCCAGGTCTGCAGAAGCCTTGAAACAGCCCTGCATACGTTCCCACATGACCTCTCTGCCCCATCGCTCCCTCCTGTCACTCTGCTGCAGCCACTTGCCATCCCTGAGTGTGCCCCAGCCTCTCCTCTTTCCCATCCAAGCATCTTTGTTGACAGCATTGCTCGCCCCTTGGCTGCCTCTCTGCCCCTACACATGTGCTCCCACTTTTGCCCAGCTAGGTCCTACTCATCTTCCACGCCTGAGCTTAGACTTCACCTACAAAGGGAGTCTTTCTTGATCCCAGTGCTATGGTTTGAACATTTGTCCTCTCCAAAACTCATGTTGAAGCTTAATCCCCAATGCAGCAATATTGAGAGGTGCGGCCTTTAAGAGGTGATTGGGTTATGAAGGCTCTGCCCTCGTTAATGAATTAGTCCATTCGTGGATTCATGGATTAATGGGTTAATGGATGAATGAGTTATCATGGGAGGGGGGATCAGTGGCTTTATAAGAAGAGGAAGACAGACCTAAGCTAACATACTCAACCCCTTCACCACGTGATGGCCTGCACCACCTTAGGACTCTGCCGAGCGTCCCCACCGGCAGAAGGCCCTTGCCAGATGTAGCCCCTCCTTGACTTTGGACTTTGTCTCCATAACTGTAAGAAATAAATGTCTTTTCTTTATACATTATCCAGTTTTAGGTATTCTGTTGTTAGGAACAACAGAAAATAAACTAAAGTTGATGACCAGATTGCCTAGCCTGTGTGCCCCCAAAGCCCCTGAGTGTATCACTGCCGTGGTCTGACTTCTCCGGCATTGAGTATCCCCTCTCCAAGCGGTAAGCTAGTCAACGGTAAGGGGCCTAGACTCTCTTTTTGATTAGAGTACATGACATGTTGTAAATATTTAATCATGTGCTGACTGAATATGTCCCTTGGGAACCTTTATATGTGGGATCAAGATTTCAACCTCAATTATCTTTCTCAAGAGACACAACTCACATTAGTAGATCATGCCGCAGAGCATTGTATTTATTTTTCTAAAATACTTTAAAACCTTCATGTAACCACATCCTCCTGGTTTATGCTACCAGATTATTTTTAAACAGAGTGTTTGTTGAAAACACATCACAGAACCCCACACCTGATCCTGACAGGATCCAGTGTGGACTTTCCTGGTACTGAATTTCATGATCCACCAAAACATGATGTAGCAGCTGTCTCTCATACTTTGCGAAACCGAAGGGTATGTAGCAACAGTGAAAAAGTGCTCATTTCCTGTTGCCTTTCTCCCCTCTGTGCTGTTAGCCAAGCCACAGAGCAACCTCACTGAGCACAACACTGAGACTGTCTAAAATCCCATTTCCAACCCCAGCTGTATTTCTTCAGATCTTGGTCTCTCAGATATTACACAACTGAGAATTATGTTGATATGGGCCTCTTTCAACTCTATATTTTCCAAAAGAACAACATCTTTATGCTGTTTTATAGCCAGATTTGAGAGTAATTCAGCTGCACGTGAGCATTCACCATCACAAGAAACCATAGTGGTAGAGCTTTTTGAAATTATGAATTTATAGAATCATGAAGCTGCAATAACATAGTGTATTTCATCCTGAAATTCTTTGCCTGAGATATATGAAACCTTGTAATGATGGTTTTCAGCCTTCTCCTGCCCTACCAGACTTCAGAGGTTCGATAGCTTCACTCCAGCAGCAGCAGCTCACTATGGTAGTGATATCAGGGGACTACACTATACAGCAGTGGTTCTGAAATGGAGGTGATTTTTCCCCAAGCATACATTTGGCAATTTCTAGAGACATTTTTTGTTTTCAAAATTTGGATGAGGAGTGCTATTGGCATCTAATGGGTAGTAGCCAAAGAAGTTGCTGAGCATCTCACAATGTCCACACAGGACAGCACCCTCACAATAAAGAATTATCCAGGTCAAAATGGCAACAGTGCCAAGACTGAGAAACCCTGCCGTGGAAGTTAAAGGGTCAGGGTCAAATCCAGGCCCTGCTTGTTATTAGTCACGTGACCTGGGCAAGCTATTTCACTTTTACAGACCTCAGTTTTCTCATTTGTAAAATGGTGATAATGTCACCTACCTTGGAGGAGTCTTCGGCTTCCCAAAGTGGCCAGCGCTTACTCTGAGTGTGTTGCACTCTAAGTGTGTTGCACGTATTAGTGACAATGGTGATTCCTAACATGGGGCAAGGAGTGGAGGATAAAAAGTGACATGACTCCTCAACAAGGACAAATCTGAATTGGACAGGAGGCATATGAAACACAGATTCATATAAACCCCATTTTTCCCTTCAAAGAGCCACTGTCTGTCATATGAAGTTCACAAAAGCATTTTAAGGGAGCTGTGACCCTCCCAAATTTGGGTGCAAAAGTGTGTATTTGTGCATTTTTCTGGAGAAAAGATTGAATAGTTTTATTGGTTTCTCAAAGGAGTTTGTAATCTCAAAAAGATTAAGAATGATTGATATTGTATCTAAATACCTGTGTCCCTCAAAAATTCATATGTTAAAATCCTACCCCCTAAGGTGATGGTATTAGGAGATGGGAACCTTTGAGGGGTGATTAAGTCATGAGGGCAGAGCCCTCATTAATGGATTAGCGGCTTTATGAAAGAAACTCCAGAGAGCTAGATAGCCCCTTCTTCCATGTGAGGTCATAGCTAGAAGGTACTGTCTATGAACCACAAAACCCTCACTAGACACCAGATCTGCTGGTGCCTTAATTTTGAACTTCTCAGCCTCTGGGACTGTGAGAAAAAAAAAATCTGTTGCTTATAAGCTACCCAGTTTATGGTATTTTGCGATAGCACCCCAAACAGACTAAGGCATTATCTGATCTCATTTTATTGGAAAGAAAATTGAAACCCAAAGACAGTGAACTATTTACTCAAAGTCACACACAAAATGATGGAGTTAGGCCTTGTACCAGATGGTCCCACAACACTAAGACAGATGGCTCTATTGGAGTGGGCTAGGACATAGTTTCCCAAACACAATTCCTTTTTCTATCCTATTAATTTATAAATTTCTACATTGATCTTTTCTGAGTTAATTAAGCTGTGATCTTCAAATCTTCTCTACTTAAACAACTCGGGTTTTGTTTAGATCTGCAGGCTGGGTTCCAGAATCTGAATTTTAACAAGCTTTTTTGTCAAACAAGATTCTTTCCATGCTGGTATCTGAGAATCATTGAAGTGAAGGATATTTAGGCTGCTCTTGTTAGTTTTTGAGTGTTGATTTGTAAAGCTGCCAAGACATTTCTTTTCAGGATTACGTTTCCAGTTTTTCCAGGAAAACCAATTTGAGCTAAAATTACTTTGGCTTGGTCTCTGTCCAGAAGTGACTTTTTTTCCAGTAAGAAGTTTAGTATAGTCTATTTTTTGAATCTGCTTTAAAATATTTGTCTGATTGAGATAGGAACTAGATGAGGAGGGTTTTGTATTTTCAAGCATTTAGGAATTATTTCATGTAATTTAAGTGAGGACATCAAATTCATATTAAAGAGGGGTGTGTGTGTGTGTGTGTGTGTGTGTTCTCTCACATATAACACTGATGGGAAAAAAAGTTCATATGCTTTTAGGCAATTAGCCACAATTATCATCCTGCATTAGAGTTAAGCAGCATTGACAAAATCACAACATAACTAAGAAATATCTAAGATATTGTTCATGAAATTTTAAAGTCTAAATTATATTGATTAAGAAACAAGAAAACCAGGAGCTACCACCCTGTTTCTACGTCACTGAGGTCATCATTGATGGTGAAAAAAAATTACTTCTATTTGCTGTATCTCAGAAATAGCCTGTCTTCTCCCTGCTTCACAGCAAATTGGCACTCTCAATTTCCAGAAAACCCTTTCTCAGCTATAGTCCTTGAAAATTTTGAAATCCTTCTCTGGATACTGGGCACAACCTTCTGAGCCTCAGTGAAAGCAATGGCCAAATATGTGTTAGAAGCCTCTGCTGTGGAATTTCAGAGGTACAGTCATCACCCCATTTCTGCTGCTTATCAGACATCTCTTAGATATCCCTCAAACAGCATAAACCAAACTAAACTCCCTGTGCTTGCAGCTTGTTGGGGTGTGGAGTAGCAGTGATTCTCTGTGTGCTAAACACCCCTCATTTCATCCTAATCACCTCCACACCCCTCATGTGGTGGGAAGTCAGAGTGTGCGTATGCAGACCCAACTCCTCTGAGTAGAAGTTGCTCCTAAGGTTTAGGGTTCTTTCTCAGGTGGGAAAATGCAATATTTTGCACCATTCATTTGGCCATTACTCTGTACCACACTGTTTGCCAGTGCTGTCCTGGAATATCTCTGTCTTGCTATGCTACATGTATGGTAGATACTTGTCTTGTCTGCCCAGCAAACCCCTTCATCACATACTTTTTTTGAGTTAGAACCCCTATGGGTCAGAAAACTATTATCTTTCACTTGATTTCAAAGGGAGTTCCCTGTTCTCTTGTGAGCTCAGCCATTCAAACTCCCCACCCCACCCCAGCCACAATTTGTAGGTCCAGAGGTGATTATGAGTCCCTTCCCAGTGGTGTGGGTTCAGGGCTGACAGTCAGGCCAGTGTCCCTGGTGACTGAACCCTAAGTTGCAAAGATGTGGCCTCTGTTGGCATCCATGTTGTCATGAGATAGGATGTTCCTGCTAATTTGGAGCTCTTGGTTCCAGCTGTACCCGAGGCCCAGGCACTTACCATTTATTGGGTTCCATACACTTGTGCCTAAACCAGTTAATGTTGGGTTTCTCTCACAATCGAAAAACACCAGCGAATACATGATTATGCCATTTCCCCAAGTGGGTTGTGAGCTCCTTGAAGATATGGATGACGGCATGGGGAAGATACCTTCTCATCCTTGTCCCATTTATTTGTATTCCCCACAGTTCCTACTATCCCTTGAACAGGATATTAACTGATAGACGAGGGAGGACTATTTAGCCTATTATTTATCAACCTAAATCTCAATTTTTAAAAGCTATTCTGAATAATTAAAAATCTTATTGTCTAAAAGTTCCCCAGGGATAGGGGTGCAGGGAGGAATCCTAAAGAGACAATGTTAAATGGTTGGAAAGTTTGACTCCCCCTTCCCTTAAATGACATGAAAGTATTTAAGGTTGTAAAAGAAAAGAGAAGAAGAAGGGGGAGGAGGAGGAAGAAGAAGAAGAAAGAAGAAGGAGAAAAGGAAGAAGAAGAAGAACAAGAAGAAGAAGAAGAGCGAGAAGAAGAAGAAGAAGAGCAAGAAGAAGAAGAAGGAGGAGGAGGAGAAGAAGAAGAAGAAGAAGAAGAAGAAGAAGAAGAAGAAGAAGAAGAAGAAGAAGAAGAAGAAGAAGAAGAAGAAAAGAAGAAGGAGAAGAAGAAGAAAGTGAAACAAATAATTTGAGTCTCCTTTTCTCTGTATAGTGGTTCTTATTCCTACCGTGCATCAGGAATTACTCTGGAAGCTCTAAAAAAAAAATTAAAAATAAGTCTTAGGTCCCATGGCCCAAGTTCTGATTTAATTGGTCTGGAATAGAGCCTGGGCACCATTTTTTTTTCTCCAGAAAACTCTGGAATTTTTATTGTGACTATGGTGAATTTATAGATGTAAACGGAGAATACTGACATCTCGAGTTTCATTGGAAGTACCATAAATATGTTATCCCTTTCTATTTGTATAGATTTCTACAGCTTTATTGAGGAATGATTGATGTATAATAAAACTACATATATTTAATGTATAAGATTCAATTAGTTTGGACAGATGCTTATACCTGTGATACTATCACCACAATCAAGGTGATCAACATATCCATTATCTCCAAATGTTTCCTTGTGGAGGAAACACGCTTTTATTTTGGTAAGAGTACTTCATGTGAAAGCTACCTTCTTAACAAATTTTTAAGCTCACAGCACTGTATTGTTAACTACAGGCGCTAGGTTGTACAGCAGATATCCAGAATGTATCTGTCTTATAGATAACTGTAACTTTATAACAGGTGAACAGCTCTCTATTTCCTCCTTTGTTTTCCCGTCTGTGTTCCTCAGAAAACTGTGAACTTCAGCATAACGGTTTTAACTTTGTGTCTGTTGCTCCACAGTGGTCTTTCAATAAACGTTGCTGAATGAGGGACTGAATATCAATCCACAGTCAACTTTCCAATCTGTGTGGGTAAATATGAGTTCTTATATTTTATTCCCTTCCCACTGTGTCAATTTTTTCTGAACCAGCAATGTCCCCCACCAGAGGCAGTAGCCCGTTAAACCTCCCCGAATCTTTCCCAATACAGCTTGTTCGAAGTTCTGCTCCCCGTAGGAAGCTTTCCCAAACCAGAACTCTAGATGTAATGGCCAGAGCTCCACTCAAGAAAATGAATCTGCCGGGCGCGGTGGCTCACGCCTGTAATCCCAGCACTTTGGGAGGCCGAGGCGGGCGGATCACGAGGTCAGGAGATCGAGACCATCCTGGCTAACACGGTGAAACCCCGTCTCTACTAAAAATACAAAAAATTAGCCGGGCGTAGTGGCGGGCGCCTGTAGTCCCAGCTACTCGGGAGGCTGAGGCAGGAGAATGGCGTGAACCCGGGAGGCGGAGCTTACAGTGAGCCGAGATGGCGCCACTACACTCCAGCCTGGGCGACAGAGCGAGACTCCGTCTCAAAAAAAAAAAGAAAATGAATCTATGTAACCATTTCTGAAGAACTCAGATAAAATGTGAAAAGAAATACAAAGTGGAATTTTTAAAAAGGCCTAACCTATGCTTATTATGTTTCAGTTACGTGGGTTACAGCAATAAAAGGCATACAACCCTAATTAAGGATGTCACAGCTTAGTGAGAGAAAAAAAAATTATACTTTGCCAAACCCAGAGTGAGAAAGGCTTCCTGAAGAAGGTGGAAAGCAAGCTGACTACTGAAAGGATTGACTTTATGTGGCATGTGCAAATATGTAAGAAGGTGACTTAAAAGGTAAGAACAAATTTTTTAGAACTTGGTTTTTAAAAAATAAAACATAAAAAATAATTAAAAGTTTAAAACATTCCTAAGCAAGAGGGATACTTGTGCAGAGAAAGTTACAGATGCCCACAGACCTTCCACTTAGCCTAATCCCAAGAGTGAGATACCCTGGACTCCTCTTGTGAATCAAAATCCCCAGGCAGAAGAGTCTAAGGACATGACCTATGAGCAAGACATTTTGTCAGCTCAAAATGATCCCACTTAGATTGACGGCTTGGCATCTGTAGACTTGCAAAAGCTGTTAAGCCTTGGGGTAACTTTAATTATTCAATTACTGTAGGCCAAACAAGGTACTAAGTGCTACAAATCTGTAAGTAATCTATATGCTATCTTCTCATAGCCCTAAGATGTATCCATTTCTAGAAATGTTGTATCATTTTAATTTATATTTTTATCGTTTTAAGTGCATCATTTTAAAAGCCTCTGTTGCCTGCTTTTTTGCAATCTGTTTTTAGCTTTAATTTTTACTATCTTTAATTTTCTTTAAATTGCAGTATTTTAAAAACTGCATTAACTTACATTTTTATTTCTTTTACTTATAAATAACAGGGAGGTGGCATAGATACTGAGAGCAAAATTTTGAGACTAGTTTATCTCTTAAAGCAAATATGAGTTGGTGCATTTCTGCTACTCGTTTGGCCTGAAAGAGGTTGGAATATTGTAGACATCGGGTGGTAGCAGGTTTACTGTGGCCAGTAGAGTGTTTTATAAGGGGAAGCTGCACCACTTCCAAATTTATCCATTTGAAAACAAAACAGAAGCCAGAACTCTGGCCCATCTGGAACACTGGAGTCCCAAAACAGAGTTCCCGTCTCCTAGATCACAACTCTTCCCTCCACAAACAAGTTTTCTAAAAACACAGGTTTTGCGTCAACAGCCTGAGGGAAAACTGCACATTAATTTACATGGGCTTTAGTTACTACAAAATTAGTTGGCTGTGATCTAGGGTATACAGAAAAGTATCTAAAAATCAGGCCTGAGACTGTCTTGTGAATGGCTTGCTTGCAAGGTTGTCTTTGACTTGTGCCTGAGAACTTGACTGGTAAACGGTTCCCTTACACTGATATAAAACTTCTTCTGAATGATAAGTGTGGTTCATTGCACCTAGACTGTGTAAACAATATGGTTTATGTGGAATACCTGCTTTCCTTCTGGGCGCCTGGAATTTTGATCGTGCTCTTCCAAGGCTGCCCATGTGACCAGCCCCCAGTAGAAACCTAGGATGCTGAGTCTGTAACGAACTTCTTTGGTAGAAAATGTTTCACATTTGTCACACCTCCCTAATGGGGGAATTAAGTGTGTCCTGTGCGACTCCACTGGGAGAGGACTCGTGGAAGCTGGTGCTTGGCTTCCTCCAGATTTCACCCCATGTGCCTTTTCCCTTTGCTGATTTTGCTTTGTATTTTTTGACTGTAATAAATCTTTCCATTTAAATAAATCTTGGGTATAACTATACGTTGGGTCCTGTGAGCCCTTCTTAGCAAATTATCAAAACTGGGAATGCTCTTGGGGGCCCCCAATACACAGGGCTTTCCTGATTAGATAAATAATTAGATCCTGACTTAGTAACTGACTTTCATCTCTCCTCCAGACCAGATGAGTGAACTTTTCCTCTTTTGGTTTACCTTAAAAATTAACAATCCTAACTACTTGTCACTTAAACAGAAATCCTTAATTAAGGATAATTTGCCCCAACAGATTTGACTTTAAAATAGATCAAACTAAAGTCACAGTTTGTCAGCTTAGTAGATTTTCAAGGTTGCACTCAGCAGTCCCACTTCTTGTCATGACAGGGCAGCCATCTCAGGGCCAGCATCTCTGATTCACCCTCCAGAGCAATATGAGAGAAAGAGAACTCCGGGGCTGGTGCTCTATGGGGATGTGATACGAGACTGAGACCAGGGATTTTGCCACCAGTGTCTCTGCTAACAGATGTTAGCTGTATAGTTCGTGCAGTGTTGCCATCTGACGTGGTGCCCGGCCATTTAGTTGTTGGTCATTGAAGGCACCAAAATGGTAAAGTAAGCTACCAGCTGGGCCTCAAGCAGCAGGAAAAGTCTAGGATTGGTGGCTATGCTTGTGAAACTCATTGGTATGAAAAGTGGAGAAGGGAGAAAGAGGAAGTGAGTATTACACAAAACCTCAAATCAGAAAAAGCTAGGCCTCCCTTTCCAATCCTGCTGGTCACACTCAGCAGATGCAACATTACTTTACAACCCCAAGCTGCTTGAAAAGTTAACTGGTTACCTCTTTCCAGAGTTGATAAAACTGCCTGGAACATGCTTCTTGAAGTATGGTATCCAATTTATGTTTTTCCATTTAAAACAAAATATCTCTTTGCCTGTAAGGAACCTAGATTTTAAAAAATGGCTCCCTCTCCTCCATTGTTTTATTCATTTTTGGTTTTGTTTTTTACAAAGATCAGCTCCTTTCTTCTCAAGTCTGTGGGACCCCTGTGTCTTCCAAGTTTTATTTAACTTCCCAATACAAAAAGGCATATGTTATACTTACATTAGCTCTAGTAAAGCCCAGTTATATGGTAGGTTGGTAGGAGAGTAGTAGGTAGATAGATAGATGGATTCTTATAGTAATCTGATCTCTGGTTCCAATTTTGTCCTTCCACGTACTCGACATAATTATTTTTGGGGATCTGAATATCAAGACTGGCAATCTCACTTGGAGATAATCTTTTCTTCAAAACTGAGTAAAGTGAGTGCCAATGAAGAGTCCTGGAATTGACTAAAACTGTGTGTTTGGCATAAATATGCCCAGTCTGGAAAGAAAGGACAGATCTCCTGTGATGTCTGAGAGGCCTCTTTATCTCAGCTTCAAGTCTCAGTGTCAGTTGTCTTGAAATTCGATGTCCAAAGCCCCTATTTACTCTCCCTATGGTACATCTGCTTGGTTCTATGAAGCCACTTCAGATCCTTTTGGAAGACAGCCATAATATAAATAAAGAAAATACAGTTGGCCATCCATATCCATAGGTTCCACATCCATAGATTCAACCAACCAGGGATAAAAAATATTCAGGGAAAAAAAAATTGCATCTCTACTGTACTGAACATGTACAGACGTTTTTTGTCATTATTCCTTAAACAATATAATAACGATTTACATGGTATTACATTGTATTAGATATTATAAGTAATCTAGAGATGATTTAAAGTATACAGGAGGATGTGCATAGGTTTTATGCAAACACCACACCGTTATGTATAAGGGACATGAACATCCTCTGATTTTGGTATCCGCAGAGGTCCTGGAACTAATCCCCCATGGATATGGAGGGATGACTACATATTTGATAGATTACTACCCCCAAATCTTAAGTTTTAATGTAAATATTTGCAGGTAGAGTCATTTCTACAGTTATTACCATGCCCCATTCTTCACTTGGAGTACAACTTCTCAAAAATGCATGGTCAACTTGATTCAAACCAAAGCAGACACCGCAAGTGGTGATGTGATTTACTTTGATTTTGGTGGCGTGCAGGTTAAAACGAGGCATGCAGAGTGAGAAGTTCAGCTAATTTATGTTTGTCCACTTAAAACCTGTTCCAAATACATTTCGCATTAAAACTAGTCTTTTAATGTAAGTTTCTACTTGTACTTAGCAAAGAAAAGTTTAAAATTCTTGAGAAAAGCTATTTTTCTCCTTCTTGATATGATTATCATAATTCAATCCATAGAGAGGGAACTGGGTGGGAATATATTAACATTTCAATTCAGCTCAAAATAACTTAATACAATTATTTTCTACTTTCCATTATATGCCATAGTTGTCAACCCTATGCAACCTATGTGTAAATAAAGGAGTTTTCTGCTGTAAATTATATACTTCTGTAATTGGAATTGTCCCTAATTAATCTTCTGAGGAGACATACAGTGACCAAATTCTTGCTTTGCTAAGTGTTGCAAAGGGGACTCTGCCTTATGACTTTTGGAACGAGTACAGACTTCTTATATGACATGAAGCCCACGGAGTCCTGTTCAGCTTATATACTAACAACTGGTTTAATTAGACTCAACATATTAATGGTTTAACATGTCACTGAAGAAAGCATAGAAGTAAAAACAATTTTCAAAATACATTTGTGTATAGTTGGTAAATTCATGTTCCTGCTATATTTGAATCACATAGATAGTTTTCCCAGGTGTGTTTTGAGATTTATAAATCATTTTACATCTAAGGATAAAAAAGAAACAGGTAAACTCAATAGGTGAGAAATCTGCTGAAACCAGCTAATTGATTTGTTTTTTTTACTTTCTTTTTCATAAAAACCCAATCTGTACAAAAAAAGATTTCCTTCTGCCCTGTGAAACAGGTTCATTAATTCATAAGAAATCTCCTTCTTTAAGATGTGGTCCTATGAAAACCTTGGTACCCCAATTGTTTCATGCAGTGTTGTTAGGACAGCTATTTGCAGATCCCAATTCCAAATGTAAAACTACCTTCTCACCCACAAACTTTCCTTTGCATTCTAAAAAAAAAAAAAAAAAAAATTTAAGGAAAAAAAAACCTCAGAATCATCATAACCCAAAGAGATCCAGTTTACTATATAAAATATCTCCAATAAATAGTGTAGCTTCTTCCTCCCAAACTGACTTTTCAGGGCATAGATCCAACAGGTGTGAGGTTTCTTCTAACTGATTTCTATAATTTCTCATTTAGGAAAAATGGCATTCTTTTTCAAAAGGAACTGGTGATCAATCACACAATAGTCATCAGTAGTCATAAATGACTAAGCAGGACCCAAAACACTGATCAGGATCAGTATTTTATTGACAGTAAAAAAAATAAAGGGAAAGCAAGCAAGAACCTAACATTATATGATTTTTGTGAAATTCAAAGTATAAGGTTTCTGTGAGCTCACTGTCATGTATTTCAGGCAATGGCCACAACCTAGAAAGTCAATAAAAGCTAAACTAAAATCCAGAATAGAGATCTTGAAACACTCAAGGCACTGACCACACTGAACCAAAAATAAAATTATAAAGAGACTTCAGTACATTGATAACTCAAAAATTCAAATTATAAACACCAAAAAATAAGTAAATTGAATAAAACTTTTATTATTTATTAGCAGTGTATTCTTCTACACTTTAAAATAGAGCAAAATATCTTTTGGAAGATAAACTATTCATAACAAAATACATGTCAAACAATTTTTATTATCAGAGTAAAATTACTTTGCTATATACTTTCTATATTATATACATCCACTTCTTGGTGTGTCTATGTAGGCACATGTGTAAAGTAATTTTTAGACATATACATGTACATACATATGACACATATACACACATAATTATGGGAAATTTACAGTAGTCAACTTTACAATCATTTTAATAGCTTCACACAAATTAGTGTTCACAGAACTAAAACTGTCAACATGATTCCCTTTCCCCTACTTCTCAAATGTCATCTGAATTACTTTTTATGATAACTTGAAAAAAATACTGTCATCTTCCTATACAATTAACCAATTTTTATAATAACTCATAATAAAATATTTTACTTTTTTAACTTTAGAAAAGATACATAATTCCACTTATTTTAGTTTTTGATTCCTAAATCATACAATTCGTTTTTTTCATCAGTTGAGTGTAATTTTTGGTACTGCAGTTACTGAAGGTTAATTTAACAAACCTGAGTCAAACATTCATTCAAATGCCTTTTTTAAAAACATAAAACATGAACAAGATGTTTTGATGAAGCATATATAATAGACTCAAGGTACCCTCCCCTAATAAATACATTATAAATAACTCAATGGTTGGGAGTAAAGCACTTCATATGAATCCATTTAACTAGCACTTTCAGTGTCGAAGCAGTCCATTCTTAAGCAGCCTGGAAGGATATCAGGATGTAACGCTCCTCGATTCCTCATAGAAATGAAACCTACAGGCTTCTGAAGACCTAAATATCAGATCATACTTACATGAAAGGGCTGTGAGTACCTATAAGGGTCCTTTCATTTTCATAGTAGGTTCCAGATATGCTAGCGTGTGCAGCAGGGGGTTGTACCCTGTTTTAAAAATATCTCCTTTAATACAGAGAACTACTTAGCAGCATCTTTTTCAGTTTTTTCTCTCCATTGATTTAAAACTGATGTCAAACCATGTGTGATTACAGGCAACAACAACCTCATACCCAAAGCAGGATATCCTAATTGGGTTAAGAACTCTTTTGAAAGGAGGAAGGAAAAAAAAACATTTGGAATATTGAGTCATTTCATAGAGAAAAACCATGAAACCATGCTCTCAGAAGAAATATTCAGTGAATTCTGATCTTTCACTGCATGCTGTATTTTAAAGCCCCCCAGGATGCAAAACTAACTCAAATTGGCTCAGCAACAAAAACAATAGGAAAGGGAATTGTCCTAAATAAGCCATCCCATGCCATTATACTCTTGGTAGAGATAAACTTGGATAAACTCAGTGTAACTAAACTGACTTCCCAAAAGAATGAACTGACCTGCCATATTTATAGTGCGAGCATAAAAATCACTTTCTAAAAACTTTCTCCCTTACTTCTTCTTAATAAGAAGGAATTATTTATTCATTAGAGACAAAACCATACTAAAACTAAACAGATTTAAAATACAAATTTTTGGTAGCAAACAGCAGGAAAATCTAAATCAAAATATAGTGTAGTTTTTACATAATTTTATATATTTATAAATTTATCAAAATAGTCTTTTAAAGTTCACAATACATATATAATGTAACACTGTACATGTAAATATAATAATAAATGTATTACCAAAATACATTAAAAATAACCCTTCAAAATACCAAATTCAACATTAAAACTGTCTTTAAAAGTATGGAAATCTCCATAAACATAGTTTCAGTGCATTTATAGTAGTCATTAACCAGTTTTCTGTTTTCAAGTCTCTTGAAGGTGTTATCTTAGTGCTCTTTTTAATTTAAGGTAAGAAGGCAGAGATATTCTTCCAGCAAGAAGTTGCTTTCCCTCTCCACTGCTCGTCCAGATGAAGAAATTGTGTCTAAGAGAAGAACAGCTTTCACTGGAGTGGCAAGGCCTTAGTAATGAACATATTCAGACTGAAGGGACTGTGCAGGGAGAGACATAAACTGAGGTTAAATTCCATCACATGTAAAACTTCTAGCAAGTCATGCAGCTTCTCCCTTCCACACAAGACAGCTTAGAGATCAATGAAATAAACTAAGCCAAAACAGAAACAAAAAGACAGGAGACACAAAGCATTAGCTAGGTAAGAATGAGATATTCAATTACGCAAAGTGATTGTAAGAAAACTTTATATTTTAAAAGGTTTACTAATTTATTTATAGTGATTAAAAAATTAAGTTTTAATTTAAAAATCGGTAGGTAGCCTAAACTCATCTCTAAGCATTTCTACAATTAATGAGTTTTACTTAACAATATTAAAAGATACTTTTAACTAATTAAAGATTACTAGAATATACTTTGAGATGATATATCCTTAAATTTAATTCAGTACATATCAATGGCATGCTTCTAATGCAGTAGAATTAGCAGCCATTTAAATAAATTCCTTAAGCATGCTTGAATTTATAAATATCTTACACATCCTTTCCCTTAAGGGGAAATGAAGTACTACCAGCTTGAAATCTGATCTTAAGACCCAAAAACATTTATGCAGAAGAGTCTTGCTGTCGGAATTTAATAAACAATAGGCAATTTTCAAGTAAACCATACAAATTCTTCCACATCACATTAGATACTAACATATAAAAGGATTGTGATTGGGATATGTAATCAGAATGCCTGGGACAACAGACATAAACCAGGAAAAGATAGAGAGTTACAGAAAGTTTGCCAAACAGTTATTTTTTTTAGCAGGAAACAGTGATTAGAAAAAGGAACATAAATCAATCTAAACATTAACAAATTTTTTGCTCAATTCTTCCAATTAAATACCTGAGGATAACAAAGTTTACTTGATTTTCTAGTAAATGCCCTTTTCTCCCACCCAATAATTATTTCTCAAATTAGTCTGTAACATTTCATTAACAGGTCTAGTCAATTATAAGACAGGTCCATTTTGGTGATGATATAGGTTATCAGTAAAAAAGAATCTGTCCATTTTCCAAAGAACTTACAAAAGGATTCAAGCTATCTTTTCTCAGCTTCAAAACTGCAGTGAATTTTACACCCCATGAACAGCCAAATGGCTGTTCCTGAGTAAGTCCCTGTTAACACAGTATGTCAAAGAGTTATGGTCCCTGACCGCAAAGGGCGAAAGCCACAATGTCATAACAGATGTGAAATGAAAAGACAGCGGTGTCGACATTAAATAGTAATATACATAGTGTAAAGTTAACATCGTGCACCAGGAAAGGCTTAGGTGAGAGGTAGTAAGGGAAATGGGTGGTTCTCAAGGCTGCCAGTTTCAAGAGCTGTAGGAAGAATGGAAAAGGTTTGGCTATTGACTTTCTTGTATGTGGTTCATGCTAATACTTCAAAATAGGTGTGAGATGATCAAGAATCAGAGCACTATACTATAAATATACCTGAACCCACAGTGCGAATAAAAGAGGTAAGACCCTAAGAAAGTCCAGTGAAGTTGGTCAAAAGCCTTGAAGCCCATATACATTCCACTTGAGGGACGCCAGCTACCACACTCGCAATTAGAGCATAAACATTTTTCTACCTGCTTTTTCTCGGTTTCTTCTAAGTCTGGCAAGCAGTCAGAGGGCAGAGCCAGTTAAGTCCCCCAGCTATAAGAATGCCACAAAGGTATGTTGTGCGTGTATGTGTGTGTGTGTAGCTCAGCTAGTGCTTTCTTGAGAATATTTAACTTTTACTTTTGTTCCGATTAGTAAAGTTGTGCATGTTATCACTAACAGAAATCAGAAATTCTTCAAACTGCATATAACTTAGAACAAAGTTGTTTTTGCAAGCTCCATCAATTATCAATAAACAGAGATGTAGCAAATAAACATTAGACAAGCGACCTTTGTTAAACCAACTTTTTTATAGGGTAAAGTATTTCATATGTACATCAATATAGAGGGGCAAATATGTGTGTGTGCATATATTTATATATATAAACACACACATATATATATTCATTTATTTACATATTTATTTAGTGAATCACAGTACCCAGTGAACTGGAAAACAGAAATAGTCTAGAACATTTTAAAGATTTCTATTATTCATATGGAGAATATATTCATTAGTCTTCTATCCAAAGCCTTTACTTCCACAGAGCTCAAAAACTCTGGCTGGTGTTTAATCTAGGCTCAGATACAGCTCACCACAAGCCCCACTATTTCCTTTTCCAACCCCCTAGTTTGCTCTCTTATGTTGCCTAACTGGCCCTGCAGGCCTCTGCAAACAAATGATGACACCATTTGGCCAACGAATTGACCTTCTGTCCCACCAGTTCAATTCATTCAACAAATAATTACTGAACATAAGTTGTATCTATTAAGCACTAGAGGATAAAAATACAATACCAAAGTCCTCAAAACAAAACATGTTCCATGGTTTCTTTATATGGTATAAAGGAAAGTGAAATGAAAGATCAGTAAAAAGGGTTCAGCAAATTATTCTGACATCAGTATTTTGTAACAAATTAACTTCCTTTCATTTTCAATCTAAAATAAAAATCTTAATACAGATGCACTAAGGGGGCCACAGTGGCTCACACCTGTAATCCCAGCACTTTGGGAGGCCGAGGCGGGTGGATCATCTGAGGTTAGGAGTTCAAGGCCAGCCTGGCCAACATGGCGAAACTCCATCACCACTAAAACTACAAAAGATTAGCAGGGCATGGTGGCACATTCCTGTAATCCCAGCTACTCGGGAGGTTGAGGCAGGAGAATCACTTGAACCCGGGAGGCGGAAACTGCAGCGAGCTCAGATCACTCCATTGCACTCCAGCCTGGGTGACACAGCAAAACTCCGTCTCAAAAAAAAAAAAAAAGAAAGAAAGAAATGCACTAAGGGGAGAAGAGAATTGTTCAAGTCTCCAAGATCTATTCACTTAACAAAAGCATAACTAACACTGTGAGACCTTTCTATTCAGGGAGCAACAGTGTTGGATGACAGGAATATTTAAACTTCAGGTATCACATGGTTATCCTACGGGGTTGTGCTGACGGTCTCTCTGGGTCATTTGTACTCAGCCACAGTTGAGGAAACCTCAAGGAAAAACACAAGTACTCTCCATTTCAAATCTTAGACAGGTTAGATAGATAAGCCAGATGAGTGCCTGGTGGGACCTAATACACATCGTAACAAAGCATAACTTCATGCTTTTTTTGTAGTCACAGGTAGGACTACCAACTATATACAATGTTTTCCAAATGTCCATGTATTGTAAAATTACTAATATCCCAGAAAAGACTATAGCCAGTTACTGGCATTTTTAATTTTTATAGTAAAATTACATTTTATAGTAAAATTGCATTTGCATTTTGAATTCCATGAACAATATTATTGCTATTGATTTTCGTATTCAAAAATAGATTAAATACAACTAGCTGAACTTCTTAACAAATTAGATATATTACTTGACACATCAATTATTCTGAACTAGATATTTGAGTACTTCCTATATGCTAAGGACAGTTCTAAACATCTTATACATATTCACGCATTAAATGTTTCAGACAACCCACTTTACAGATGAGGAAACTGAGGCACAAAGCAGTAATTAGCCCCAATTCATGTAATTAAGAATTGGTGGAGCTGGAATTTGAACCCTAGCAGTCTGACTCTAAAGCTCAAACCCTTAGCTACCATAGTTTAATGTCTCAAGACAGCGAGCATTTGCCTTGTGATCACTACATATTCAATCCAACATTCTCTATCACCCTAACATAGACAAATAATGACCTTAGGCAAGATATGATTCTGAGTGAATAAAAAAAATTATTAAAAAATATTTGTTGCATTAAAAGATAAATACATTTTTGAATGATTTTCATCAGGCCTGAATTCAAAGAATTTTCAGGAATATTCTAAATTTAAAAGAAATTTTCATTATAAGAACATCCATGCTTAAGTATTATGAGTTGATTAAAGTTTTAATTCTGATTGGCCAATGTTTTTAGTTGTTACAATAATGAATTAATGAATCTGAAATACAAAATAAATTATAACAATGACAGTGAAGATGGTTATAAAGAAAGTGAAAATAATTTTTATACCTGAAGTACAAATATTATTTTAGAAGTTAGCCCTTGTTTATATAACCAAGAGATTTTAATTTCTCAAATATAATATTCAAGCTCATTTAATTAGTAAGCTCAACAGAGTTATAGTGAGTTAGGACCAGATCAAGTTTATTATGAATATGTGGTATTCTTATTGTATGAATACCATAAAATTAATAATGTAGCAATATTCAACCTGAAAAATAAGGATAAAATTGCCTTACATTTGCAGCCCCCAAAATTTTTATGTCAAAATATAAGCTTCCATCAAGAAGTCTTGTTCCCTGAAAGCAGTAAGATTTGACATAAAACAAAGTGTTAGGTAAGGAGATCAAGACAATTTGTTCTGTTCTGGAAATCTGCTACTAATCTGTTTTGGCAGATGTAGGTAGTAACTTTAAAATTTTAGCTATTCTGGAGGTGTTTCTTTTTTAAACAGCCCAGTTACCTAATCATGGCAGGAACATGTCTAATAATTACAGATATAAATATTGTACAGATGGTTAATAAATAAAACATGTTAGCTATCAAAAACAGCAAATTATAAAGAATAATGAAAGATTAAGGTCCTTGACAGCAAATGAATGTAACGATGTCTTAATGTTCAAATAACTTGAACCAAAGGATCCAATGGCCTGGAATGTTAGCATCCTACTAAGGTCAAAATCCTGATTCAAAATGTTCATGGACTTTTTTGCCACACTGACATTTTCTTTCCTACATTTTCCCCAGTCCTTTAAGGAATAAACAATAGTGTACTAGTTATCCCTGGTTTAAGTTCTAACCACAGAGGCAAAAAGAACCTAAAATAAAAATGGTTTGTTTTAATGTGATTGAAATTAAAGGAAAAAATACATGCTTGGCAACATGGTATTTTATATACATAACTATAGTGTTTTAAGTTTTAATGAACAAATACAACACTGGGGAAAAATAAATACACCCATAACTGCCTCTGTACTCCTATGTCTCTTTAAGCCTTTGTAATAGAGTTTCCAGTTTTTGTATTGCTCACAAATTAACACATAAAATGTGTGCATTGATACTTATTTCCATAACTGTGGTTTCACAATACTGAAAGTATTTTTTATTTTTTATTTCAATAGGTTTTGAGGTACAAGTGGTTTTTGGCTACATGGATGAATTGTATAGTGGTGAAGTCTGTGACTTTAGTGCACCTGTCACCCAAGTAGTGTATATTGTACCCAACATGTACAATACTGAAAGAATTTGCCTCTGTTAATATGATACATATTTCCTCCAATAACACTAGATGAAATGTAGCTGGGTATGGTTTTATTGGCATCATATTAAGATAAAAGGATGAAGGTTTGTGTTAAAATCAGGTTCGAAAGGTGTGTGTGCATTTTTCCATAGTGTTCTCTGTGCATTTCAGGGACTTCAAGACTTAAAAAGCCAATTTGGGCTCATTATAATGCTATATAAAATAGTCTTTCACCTTCCTACATGATTTTTAATAGATTCTTTTTTCTGGAGAAATTTAATATATGCTTTTCAACAATCACAAAGAGCTCAATTGTTAGATGACAGATTGTTGACACCCAGCTTGACTCAGCCAACCATTACATGAGTGTTTTCAGTTCATCTGAACACCAAAATTATATTGATGCAAACTCAGTTAAAATTTATTTTCTCTTATTTTAGTAAAGCCACATTTCTAGAAAAAAAATACACAACTCCCAGATTACCGTATATTAAAGCTAAAGCTGGAAACTTGTTTGTTTTCTGTTAGTGCTTCATATGCTAACAATGAGACCCAGGCTCCTAAACACTTTAACATTCACGAACCCAGATACATTATCTGACTTTTAGTTCAATAAGTATTTATTAGGCACTTATACTGTACTGTGGAACCTCAGGAAACAAGAGATGTTTCTGAGAAGCTTAAAGGAAAGCAGAGGAGAGAGAGAATCATGTATAACTGACTATAATATGAGAGTGTCAGCGCTCCTAGGAGAGTCGAGAAAGGAAGAGCCATTCTGTTTAGATGGGTCACAAATGCTTATCAAAAAGATAACTATCGAGCCAGGTCAAGAAATACAAAATCAAGCAGAGAAACAAGGGAAAGCAGAGTGGACTGCAAGTGCTAGGGTTCAGGCTTAAGGCAGGTCGTGCCAGGTAGAGCTGCTGGAGAGGAGGCTGGCAGGGAGGCACACAGCCCGACAGGGAAGAACCCTGAATGCCAAGCCAGGGGAGCCAGACTTGACCCAGTAGGCAGAGTGCAGCCACTGAACAAAGCCAAACATGAGAAGGATTTGATTAGCTCTGTGTCTCAGAAATTTAACACTGGCAACAGTATAGAGGAAAGATTAAAGGTAAGAGACAGGAAGACAGAAAGGGCTATGCGATAGTTCATGAAGACCCCAATTAAGGCAGCAGTGGTAAGAATGGAAGGACAGAGGCATTTTAGAGGGAGACTTGATAGGACTTAGTGACTGGTGTGACAAGGGAAAGGCAGGCAGAAGTAGTGTCAAAGCTGACTCCAAATGTCTAGCTTGGATGACTGGATGAATAAAGATGAGATTATTCGGCTAGGAAACCAAAGAGGAGCTGGCAATGGAAGGAACCTGTATTCTCTCTATCCCAGGTAACACCCAGAGGAAGCTGGGAGTGTAGGTCCAATGCTCAGGAGGTTACCCAAAGAGAAAGAGCCAATGTAAGGACAATCATTAAGGGGCAGGCTTAGGAGTAGAAGGACTAACAGGAGCCCATCAGATCTGGCCTTGAAGAAGTCGGCAGTAATCTGCGGGAGAGACTTTCACCAGAATGAGGGGCCACCTCCCAGCTGTAGAGCGGAGGAGTATCAAAGAGACAAGGGAGGGGGAAGTGCAGGCTTCTCTTTCCCCAAGTGTGGCCATAAAGGAGAAACTGTGAGAGGAAGACAGGGCCAAGGGAAGACTCCTCCCCAGCCCCCACCAGCCTACCAACTTGGATGTGCACATTTGCAGTTGAGGAGACCTGCAAACGGAGGGTAAGAGGCTGAAGATACAAAAGGAGAAGGAAGTGGTTAGGGCAACTTCATGAAAGATTCTGGAAAGAACAGTACAGGTAGGTAGAGTTATCATTGGAAAACAGTAGAGTTTCTTTGGAATTAAAAGGGAAGGAAGAAATGGATGAGTCCAGATGCAGATAAACTTTGAGACAGAGAAGAGGGAAGTTAGAGGAAATTACTTCTGATAAATTCTATGTTCTTAGCAGATCTCAAAGCAGGGTCAGCTGGCTCTGGAGATCAGGAAGGGGTTGTGTTGGTGAAAAATGTTAAAAAGTTTTGGAACAGCCAGGTGGGGAAGAGAAAAGGAGCCAAAAAGGGATAAAACAACTAATTAGGAGCACTGAAGGGCCGGGTAAATTAGAAACACATTTGAGATGGAGCCAATTGGCAAAGTTATAGGATTTTCTCCAACAGTGCTCACAGGAGAGAGATGAGGAACAGATACAACAGATGGTTGAATTGATCTAATTTTGGAGGCTGGTAATCAAGTGGTTACAGAATGTCCAAGTAGCAGTGAGAATGTTGGAAAAAGGAAGCAAAAATGACTATGCAGGCTGTAGAAGGAAAGAGGTGAACTGAGATGGCTGGGGAAACAGGCAGGGTCAGAAAGAGGTCATGGAGCAGAGTTAGGAGGAGGGGGAAATGTTTAAAGGAGGCTGGCAGGATTCAAGATGTCAGAAGCAATGTGCTAAGCAATAAGAAGGTTTATTCAATGAATTTTCAAGTGAACAAAAATAAAGATAACTGAGGTTAAGAAAGTTTAAAATAAGATCACTGTGACACCTTGGGCAAGTTATTGCCATTCTGAGTCTTGATTTCCCCATCTGTAAATAGCAGGTTAAATAAATAAGATAATGGATATAAAGTACCTAATACCATGCCAGGCACATAGAAGGTATTCAAGAAACAGTGGATGATGACAATGATTAGAAAAATGTTACAGTTGTCCAGAATGTTGGCAGTGCCCAGGCAGCTAAAAAGTAGAAGCAAAAGTCTTCCAGGGATGAAGGGAGGTGATAACAGTGATGAGGACAAAACGATATGAGTATCCTTGGATGATGTTTTCAAAAGACAGGAGAGCATGGAAACGAGGTTCCTAATAGGAAATGGGAACACAGCCTTTCCCCTCTTAACCATAAAGATTCAGGAGCTACCAGAGAGTAAGTAATGTGTACTTAAAGAGTAAATAAGGGAAAATGAGATAGAATGGGTCAACCTTATTTTGCTCACTTTCAAATTGAGACTTCATGATTTTCTCTTACAGTCTACTGCTTTTTCATAACAGAAGGCTGAAGGACTCACAACAGTCTGCCCAAGAGAGAAAAATATCTACTTCTAAACTGATAAAAACAGTTCTCTCCCACATATATCAACCTTTGAGTTGTTTAGACATTCACTATCAAGGAGAGCCTGCGTCATTTACCAAAGGTTTCTGTTACGGGCAAATCCAATGATTTTACAAGCAATGTGCACGTGGTGTCTGTGCTTCTTTGCACATGCATGCACATCCACATGTATGTGTATGTGTGTGTAAGAGGAAGGTGCAATAAAAATATGCCTTTCTAAGTTAAAGATCTGACACACATGTGCACACACAGTAAAATTCAAATTTTTGGAAGAAACAAATGACCTACACAGTATTAGAAAAGATGCAAGTATGGACTGAGTATACCCACAATCAAACAGGTAAGCATAGCTCAATGCCAGATGCTTTGGAGATAACAAAAATAAAAGACATTTTCTAACCTCAATCAAGGAATTCAGTGGGGATTCAAGGCCCACATCCACAAGATAGGTGACTCTCAACACAAAAGAGGGATGAGGAAGGCCAATAACCAATACAAACAGAATGACTTCAAAAAACATCATGATTGCTATGGTCTGGTGAGATTAAGGAAGGCTTCACAGAGGAGGAGGTTAGACTTAGCCCAACTCCTGATGGAAAGGAGGTGAGAAGCAAAGGGAGGGAGGAAGGGAGACCAAGTTGGGGACATAGCATGTAAGAAAAGCACAGAGGTAGGAGGAGCCATGCACGTTCAAGGACATAAGAAACTGCCTGGCAGAAGCAGAAGGTTCATGCTCAGGAGTGGAGGGATATGAGTTTGGAAAGCTGGTTGGGGAAAGCTGAAAAAGGCACTAAACAGCAAGCTGCAGAGACTGGACCTACTTCATGTCGAGATGGTACACTCCAAACTACCCTCTGGATGCATGCATTAAATATTTTTTAAAGATGAAGAAGAAAGAAAGGGCACAGCAGAAATTAAAAGCAAGATCAACATCTTTGTGACCCAGAAACAATCAAGACAGTGGTGGGACTCTGGCTACACAGCTGGAAGCCTGCAGAAGTGGCTGGGTGTTCCATTCATGTGGGTACATAGGTCGAAAGCCCCTGGCCTGAAATCAGGGGTGGAGTCAGGCTCTCCCACATGGGGAAGGAGGCTGAGAGAAATTGGGACCATTGCCCTCGGGCCAGGGCTGAGATGGAGCCACATCCCTGCCTGAGAAGAAAGCCTGGGAGGAGCTCACCAAGAGATGGAAGCCTGGGTCATTAAGGTCTGTTTCTAGACTGAAAGGCCTAGATGATCGGGCAGAGCCAACAAGAAGGCCAGCAGACGAGGAGGGAAAAACAGAGAGAGAAAGAGGAGAGAAACACACCAACACTCCCATCCCATCTGAACCTACCAACCAAATTCCCTAACACACAAGGCAAATGAACATTATGAGAACTGACGAAGTATGCAACCACAAGGCAAACTCTCACAGGATGAAATGCAAATAGCAAAGCAATATCAAAATGGCTTATCACCTGAGATCCTTCAAGTGAAAAAAATATATATATATATCTATATATATACACACACATATAAAAAGAATAAGAAGCCATAAAACAAAAACAGGCGGGCCCAAATTATAACAGATGGCTATCATAAGGATCAAATTAGAAATGCTGGAAAAGAAAGATATAGCCCCTGAAATCAAAGGTCAGTGGATTGGGGGATATACTCCAGAATGGACACATTAAAGAAAATTCACGAATTGAAAATAATAGGAGGAATTCAATCAGAATACAGCTAGAGCTTAGGAACTGAAAAATATAAAACAGAAGGTAAGATATATTGAGGACAGATTGAAAGTCTCCAATATAAGTTTGGGGGCTATTGGCTGGATGCAGTGGCTTATGCCTGTAATCCCAGCACTTTGGGAGGCCAAGGCAGGCAGATCACCTGAGGTAAGGAGTTTGAGACCATCCTGGCCAACATGGCAAAACCCCATCTCTACTAAAAATACAAAAATTAGCCAGGCGTGGTGGTGCACACCTGTAGTCCCAGCTACTCAGAAAGCTGAGGCAGGAGATTCACTTGAACCTGGGAGGTGGAGAACCTGGGAGGTGGAGGTTGCAGTGAGCTGAGATTGCACTCTAGCCTGGGTAACAGAGTGAGACTCCTTCTATTAAAAAAAAAAATTGTGGGGCTATTGCAAAAGGAGAAAATAAGGGAAATAAGGGGAAAGGCAGTAAAGCAATATCCAAAAAGATAGTGGAGCCGGGTGTGGTGGCTCAAGCCTGTAATCCCAGCAATTTGGGAGGCCAAAGCAGGAGGATCACTTGAGGCCAGGAATTCGAGACCAACCTGGGCAACATAGCAAGACACTCTCTCTACAAAAAAAAAAAGAAGAATGATGGCTGAGAATTTTCCATAACTAAAAAAGCAGCCCTAAGATTGAAAGTACACACTGATGCCAGGCAAGATAAATAATAATGAATCTGTATATAGCTATATTATGGTGAAACTACAGAATTTCAGGAAAAAGAGGAAAAATCTTATAATATTTGGTCTTATTCTTCAACCACAGAAGCTGTTAAACAAAGGCTTACATTAGGAAACTGGTATTTTAAGTGGATTCTGGCAGCAGTGCAAAAATAGAAAGGACCAGAAAAATGAGAGCAAATCAATTCTACCAGAAGATGCCTGCATGAAGTTTTTAATCTAGTGGAGGACAATGGCTTGTATGTATTTGTCTCACCTTGCTCTACCAAAAAAATACTAGGCTCAAGCTAGACACTTACATAAATATTAGCTATAGCTTTATTAATTGGATAAGTTTCCATTTCATTTAATTTCAGTTTTTAAGATACGGGTTCTCTCTGTATTGCCTAGGCTGGTCTCAAACTCCTGACCTCAAGTGATCCTCTCGCCTTAGCCTCCTAAAGTGCTAGGATTATAGTGTGAGCCATTGCACCTAGCCAGCTTTTATAGGTATATAAAAAGCACTTGCTTTCTTTTACTCCTAGCCAAAAAAATAAGATGCAAGATTAAAATAAGACTCTTTTCTATTGACCTAGTAGTATTATTGACACTACATAAGAAAGTATAAAATTAAGCTGAACAACCAGGGTGATTCATAACTCTAATACATTGAAAATATAAATTAATCCTTACCTATTATATATTTCTGATCAACCTTATCACTTAAAGCAAGTTTTATGTTTTCAAGTCTTTTCAAATGTACAGTCAAAAACAGCTGACAGGTTTTATACAGAAAAGTAACATAAACTACTATTTAACACTGGAAACTTAAATTATAGTTACATATATCTACAAATACTGCAAACATATAAACAGTTTATGTGCATATTTAAAGGCATCATCCGAACCATGCTGACCTCATAACAATTTGATGCTTTGTCAAGTAGCATTCTCAGGTCCCCTTGGGAAGGGAAAAAAAATCGCAATGTTGAATGAAGGCCAAAGATGTGGTTCAATACTGAGATTGAGCTCATGTTCTTGATATGTAGTTAGTATCCCTTAGCTGAAAACTTACATCAAATCTAAAGCAATGCCACAACAAAGAGGAAGGATGAAAAACCACAGCAACATAAATATACAACAAGAGGATAGAAAGCTAGTACCTTTAACTGTAATAAATATTAACACCTAGTTAATATTTAACAATATTAATATGAATTAATAAATGAATATTGATATAGTTTGGATGTTTTATCCCCTCCAAATGTCCTGTTGAAATGTGACTCCAGTGTTGGAGGTGGGGCTAGTGGGAGGTACTTGGGTCATGGCGGTGGATCCTTCATGAATGGCTTTGTGCTGTCCTCCCAGTAATGAGTGAGTTCCCACTCTATGAGTTCACATGAGATCTGGTGGTTTAAAAGAGCCTCGCACATCCTCCCTTTCTCTTGTTCCCTCTTGCCATGTGATACACAAGATCCCCTTTTGCCTTCCACCATGATTGTAAGCTTCCTGAGGACTCACGCAAAGCCAAGCAGGTTGTTGGTGCCATGCTCGTACAGCCCACAGAATTGTGAGCCAAATAAACCATTTTTCTTTATGAATTACCCAGCCTCAGGTATTTCTTAATAGCGACAAAAGCAGACGAATAAAAATGTCCTATTTAAAATCAGGACAAGATGACCAATTTTTAAAATGGAGAACAGGCAGAGGGAAAAGACAACAAGTTGATATCGGGAAACACTACTACATACCACTGGAAAGTATCAGCACTTTACTGGGAATGGATATTCAAACAATCAGTAAGTAGCTTATCACTGTCAGCACTAACATTATCCCAAAGTACAAATGAACCATGCTTTAGTGCACTGCCAATCACTCAGATTTTCATCAAACTGGTTATTTTATAAAGCTAGATTCTAATATTTTGATCTCATTCCAGGTCCTACTTTAAGGACCAATAATTCCTTAAAACACATACGTATTCTGCCTGATGTTAGAACACAGAAGAACTTAACCTATTCATAGGCTACCAAGATTGTTCTTACGTTTGTCAAATTTGAGGTGGAAAACATCCAGAGTCTTCATAACCAAAGAGCAGCATTAACCAACTGAGTATAAAAATGCTACTAACACTAGAAAAGAGAACTACATTTAAGCCAACTTCAACTATCATATAAGAATGCTGAGGGAAAGTAGGAAGCACACAATATTTCATTTCCATTTTGCTTTCAACTTTCAACCAAATGAGTATTTTAATTTTTAATTCCCTCCTGTGACCGGTACTGTGTTAGAAACCATGAACTATAAAAGAACTTTTTGAAATGTCTGCAAAAGAAGTTTAAATTTGGAGACAATTCTTACATACACAGACAATATGTAAACAAATATAGATGTTCATGTATATAATAGCATACATGATAAAATAAAGTATTAATTATAGGGTGGATTCCACTTACTGGGGAGAGCTTCACAGAAGACATGGGAGGTAATATATGTCTTTATTTAAAGATGAGAAATTGGTAAGGAGAGCAGGGGGCTTCCAAGAAAGGGCTTCCTAAAGACTAGCAGTAGGCATGAACACTGTGGGAGAAGAAAACAAGAGAATAAGCAAGGTAAATGCTGGTGCAAAGATACAATACTACAGAAATGCAGTACAGAGGGCCTGAAAGCTCAACAAAGAAAGTCAGTATTTATGTTCTAGCACTAAGGGACCACTGGTCATTTCTGAACAGGGAAATAAGATGTTGAAATCTATATCTCTTATCTGGCAATGCTTTAAAGCAGGGGTTGGCAAACTGCAGCTCACTATCCAAATGCAACCCACCACCTATTTTTGTTAATAAAGTTTTATTTAATATTAGCCACACTTTTCGTTTATGTATTGAGTTGAATAGTTGGGACACAAAGCTAAAAATCTTTACTATCTGGCCCTTTACAGAAAAAGTTTGCCAACCCTACTTTAAAGTAAGAATTAAAGGTGGAAAGAGACAAGTTAGGAAGATCATCAAAGACTCAAACACAACAGGGATGAGGAAGCAACTGAATGGAGAAGAAAGGAAAAATTCCAAGAGACAATGGCACCACTGACATTACCTACAACCTTCACTATGAGAATATCCCTGCAAATGTTTGAAGATTAAGATAGAAGAGTGCATAACAAAGCTTATTACAGGCTATAATAAGTTTCACTTATTTGTATAGTTTTATTATTAAAGCTACAGAGCATTCATTCATTTAACCATCCATCATTTTATCCAATCAACAAATACTTAATGAGTGCCTAATATATGCCATGCACAGGGCACATAACTATAAAAACCAGAGGCACCATCCCTGCCCTCACAAAGCATATAGTCTAGTGGATTATGCAAATTCTGAGTGAAAAAGAGTATTCTGATTTAGACCAAGGTGGGATGTAGAGAGGCTTATGGGAGAAGCAACATGAACTAACTCAGAGTTGGGGGTCAGGTAAGGTCAATGTAGATGACTAGTAATCCAGTGATTAAGTGTCATAAAAATAAAGCATAGCAAATATTCAAGACAGATACCACAAGTAATTTCAATTTAATAAAATACTTCCACCCCACCTACACCATAATCACATGTCCCTCATTTCTTAAGCATTTGAAAACTCCTCTGAGTGTCAGGGAGTGAAACTCATTTTTTACAGTAAGTGGGTCAACAAAAATGTAACCTTGTGTGTGTGCATTGCACAGGGCAGTAGAAACTGCAAGACTAGCAAAAGAGGACAAATTAATAAAAATAAAATCTGACTGTTCCTCAGCATTCTGTCACAACCATAAGGAATCCTTAACATTTGTTCTTGTTTTCTGTGTTAAACGATTTAATGACAGAATAAGGAAATCATTTTTACATTTTTCTGGGGGCTGAACTGCTGCAAAAAGTGAGTGAGCAATTGCAGCTTTCAAAAGAGATGCTAATTGTAGCTTTTAAAATATTAGATTCCCTCTAAATACCCATAACCCCCATCCCCTAAGAGTTTCTGGGTCTTTCTTAAAGGTTCTGGGAGGATATTGCCATGCAGACTTCATTTTCCTACCTAAGAATTTTAAAACATTTTTATTGAGTGATTTTCCTAGTTCTTCAAGGCTCCTAATCTCACATCTTCAGTAGTACTAGAACTAGAAGTATGATCTTATTTCGACAATAAACCCAGTATAATTAGACAAGCTGCACTGGACCATAAACAAAAATAACTCATAATCTCCTATCTTATTCCACACAAAGTGGGAATTTTCATCATAATTTAGCTTTTTGACCACAAGTCAGCAGAAGTAGGACTTGGAGCTTTCCCTCTCACAGGAGGTTTTCTAAGCAAAGTTAAAGGGGGGAAGGTCTGCTACAAAGACCTGCTGCTTCTTACTTCCAGGGAGGGTGAGAGGGAGGAAAATGTTGTGTTGATAATTCTATTTATAAATGCTTTTCTTTACAATAAGATGATAAATTTAGGAGGGAGGAGAAGGGAAGTGGCAGCAACTGCCCACACAGACTATTACTTAAATTGAATTATTTAAAAATCACTCTATTCTAGCCAGAAGAGGGACGAGGAGGAGGAGAAGTGAAAAGAAATAACAAAATACGGAACGAGACCCAAATCAAGTTATGTAAACATCATTAGGGGAGATTAACAATTGTCTAAAGAATTGCCCCCATGGTTCTACCAGCAAAGAGGAAAACAAAAAAGTAGAACATTATTCTTGTCAAGCTACCAATGCTACTGGCATTCAGCTATAAATGTGGATTACACAATACCTTTACGTATGTAATCTGCAAGGTATTTACATAGTCATGCATCACTTAATGACAAAGATACATTCTGAGAATGCATCCTTAGGCAATTTCATTGCTGTGTGCACGATAGAGTGCACTTATACAAACCTAGATGGTAGAGCCTGCTACACACCTGAGCTAAATGGTATAACCTATTGCTTCTAGGCTGCAAACCTGTACAGCATGTTACTCTACTGAATATTGCAGGCAACTATAACACAGTGGTAAGTATGTGTGTCTAAACATACCTAAACATAGAAAATAGACAGTAAAAATATGGTATAAAAGACTTAAAAATTGTACACCTGTAAAGGGCACTTACCATGGATAGAGCTTGCAGGAAGGGAAGTTACTCTGGGTGAGTCAGTGGGTGAGTGGTGAGTGAACATGAAGGCCTAGGACATTACTGAACACTACTGTAGACTTTATAAATGC
This sequence comes from Homo sapiens, assembly GCF_000001405.40. Lineage (NCBI taxonomy): Eukaryota > Metazoa > Chordata > Mammalia > Primates > Hominidae > Homo > Homo sapiens. Next base: position 100,502,167 of record NC_000001.11, on the reverse strand, counting down.
TGTACACTTAGGTTATACTAAATCTATATTAAAAATTTTTCTTTCATGAATAATCAATTAACCTTAGCTTACTGTAACATTTTTATTTTATAAACTTAATTGTTTTAACTTTTGACTCTTTTGTAATAATACTTAGTTTACTATTTTTTAATGTTTTTATCAACTCCCAATCACTTGAAATTAACACTTAAAATAAGCATTGTATGTGTAACTGTACCAAGTATTTTCTTCCTTTACATCCTTATCCTATTTTTTTTATTTTAAATATCTTTAGTATTTACTTTCTAAATTTTTTGTTTAAAATGAAGACACAAACACACACATTAGCCTGGGCCTACACCAGGTCAGGATAATCAATATCACTGTCTTCCACCTCCACATCTTGTCCCACTGGAAGGTCTTCAGGAGCAGTAACACATGGAGCTGTCATTTCTTATAACAACAATGCCTTCTTCTGGAATACCTCCTGAAGGACCTGCCTGAGGCTTACAGTTAACTTTTGTTTTAATAAGGAGAAGGTGTATACTCTAAAATAACGATATAAAGTACAGTATAGTATATACATAGGCCAGTAACAGGTATTTATTATCAAATATTATGCACTGTACATAATTGTATTGCTAGATTTTTATATGGCTGCAGCACAGTAGGTCTGTTTACACCAGCATCACCACAACACATGAGTACTGCAGTTATAACCCTACGAGGGCTACGACGTCACTAGGCAATAGGAATTTTTCAGCTCCATTATAGTCTTATGGGACCACCATTGTATACATGGTCTGTTATTGACCAAAACATCATTAGGCAGCACATGACTGTATGATTATCTATATATCTCTAGCACTTTTTCTGAAAATGGAAAGATCTGCATTCTGATCCAAAAGAAGAGGCTGATCCACAATCGGTATGTGAAAATGCTGACTGAACTCAATGCCTGCTGGAAAGTATATGATTTATAAATATAGTTAGGAAAATGTAAATATATTATCTTTTTACATCTAATCCTTAGTTACATGGATTTAAGTTTTTATGATACCTATACACCCAATTTTTATAGTGGGATCATGGGATCAGAATCAGATTAAGGGGTAGATGGGCTGGCAATTTCCTGGGACCCTAATCTGTAAAAGAATCTAAACTAATGCCAAGGCCAAGCATGGTGGCTCATGCCTGTAAAATAGGACAGGGAACATCAGATATGCCAGGCTCCTCTTAGGGAATGGGTTGAGAGTGGACAGAGAGGGTAAAAGTTTTAAAAGAGGTCTCAGGTAGGGACAGGAGTGGTAATGAATCTAATGCAACCACACATGAACACACACACACACACACACACACACACACACACACACACACTGCATTCTCATGTTAGAAAACATCCTCATCCTCATGGTTTCTTTTTTTTTTTTTTTTTTTTTTTTTTTGAGAGTGGCTCTGTCACCCAGCTGGAGTGCCGTGGCACGATCTTGGCTCACTGCAGCTTCCACCTCCCAGGTTCTAAGGGATTCTCCTGCCTTATGGTAGCTGGGATTACAGGTGCGTGCCACCACGCCCAGCTAATTTTGTATTTTTTGTAGAGACGGGGTTTCACCATGTTGGCCAGGCTGGTCTCGAACTCCTGACCTCAGGTGATCCACCAGCCTTGGCCTCCCAAAGTCCTGGGATTATAGGCATGAGCCACTGAGCCTGGCCCATCCTCATGGTTTCTAAACTGTCAACTAAAGAAAGTAGATATCATTAAGAATGAACCATGGGGCTCCTGTTTTGCTGAGTGGGCCATACGCAGCACACTGCCACCAGCACCTTTCCTCCTCCCCTCTTCTCTACAGAAGCAGGCACTCCCTAGATGATGGCTGAGGAAATGTTTCAAGAATAGCAAGTGTGAAGCGACACCAGGCCAGAGCCTTCCAAGACACCCAGGGCTTGTTCATGCCCTGAGTACGATCAGTGTTGCAACACTGTATGTATATGTACCATGCTTCATATTTCCTTAATACATAGGATTGATTTCTCCTTCCTATTTGTCCTTGTTCCTCTCAAATCGAAACTCACATTCCTATAGATCTCAATACCCCTAGAGGCAATCAAAACAGGTTATTAAAGTAATTCATAATAGGAGTTTACCAACAGAGTTTACCTTACCAGGTATTGTTGATTGTTAAAGAGAGCTTGGTAACCTAAATAGAGATCTCATTGGTAAGATGTGTTTGGAGGTCTTCCCACCTTTCTCTAGAAGAGTGCTGGCTACTTTTAAACACCTTCCTGATACTCTGCTTGCTCCCCACCTTGCATCCCAGGTACCTACCTATAAGCCCTTCTTAGAAATATCTTCCACTTGCCACTTATTTTATTCTGGGTCAGTTCCTTGCAGGAGGTGAAATATTCAAGGGCCTAATGCTTAGTTCTAGGAAGATACTGTTCACTCAGCACCTTCCACGTTTCAATACTCCAAAATTAATTCACTGATATATGATGCGGAAAAAGCCATAATTCCCCAAACCAGCGCACCCCCAGCAAATGCTATCCACTGTATGAATCAGCTCCTGGCTTAGCACCAGATATTCAGAGTGATTGGAAACATAACTGAAAAGTAACTGAAGTCAACAATGCCCATAATCAAAAGAATGAAAGCTATTTCCCTTTTAAGAGAAACTACTTAAAAAGGAGTTGGGGGTAAGAAGAAAAAGAAGGAAGGAAGAAAACCCAGTTGTGACTTGGCGTTTACTTGAAGAGGAGCTAGCAGAATGTAGTGCATAGACAGTTTCACAGCACAGAGGGAAGGCATCGCTCAGAAGGCTTCCTTGGCACTATTAAATTTCTTTGGTGGCAGCCTCGGCTGGGAAGGCAAGGCACAGAAGTTGCATTCAGGGTTCTGAGGACCAGGAGGTGGTGTCTGCGCACTTACAGGGATAGAACGGCTCAGGAATCTCGCTGAAGAAGAAGAAAGCCCGGTGTAGGAGGGTCGGAGGATGGTGGTGTGCTCCTCTGTCTTGGCGCTGTGGGGGCCTGGGGGGCTGTTCAGGTTGCCCCCGTTGCTGTTGCTGCTTCTGTTGTACTGATTATTGTTGAGCTCAGGGTAATTTCTGGTAGTTGGCTGGGAGCTGCCATTCAAGAGGTTGGTAAACGGGCTGGCTGTGAAGCCTGCCTTAGAGGATGAGGAGGTCTTTTTGTTCTCTGGATCATCTGTTGCAGCATTCAAGTTCCCTAGAGAACTGGCTAGCCGGGAGTTTATGGAAAAGCTGAATGGAAAACACAAGTGAGGAGGGAAAAAACAGACAACAATGTACAATCACACAGAGCTCACGTTTCTAAAACACATACTCATGACATTAGGGGAACATGATGAAGATGAATCTGATCAATGTGAATGATGTCAGGATGGCTTCCTCATCACCCTTGGTGTTATGATAATATGTAGCCTTGAGTTATACATATCAAGTTGCTTTGTCAAAAGCAGTTAACTAGGACCCAAGAAACTGGCTAAAACACTTTGACTACAGATCTTGAAATAGAACATCACAGAGTTTTATTTACCCTGGGGTGGGAAGTAAAGGAAAAGGGCCATGTAAGGGGAGCATTAAAAGCAGACTTAAGTACATATTCAATCACATGACTACATCAAACATCCCTACCCATTTTGGTTAGTTCTCCCTTGCCTATACGTGTCAGCTGAGAAATGACAATATCATTTGTATATACAACTGAACTCCATTTTCTGGATCACACTAAGCCAGCTGCTCACTCTCTAGAAGAAGAGCACGCTTTGCACCATTCCCTCCACAACCTTGTCTCCTGCCTTCCCAAGACAGGAACGGAAGCCCCAGAACATCACAGGGTCTTCCGTGGTTTCTCCTCTTCTCCCTTGTCCCCTCCTCTGACAAAACTGCAGCTAAACTCATCGCCTGCTGCAAGCTTCCTTTACCTCAAACCAGCACCTTAGAAGAGGGAGAGAAAAATTACCTTCTTACAGTGGCACCCGAAGACAAAGAAGTTCTGTTGATCCTCTTGGCCGTTGCTGAAGGGGACAGTGCCATTTTTGATGTCTTCAAAGTAACTGCAGATCCTTGCAGGGATGAACTTAATCTTTGCGGAGAAAAATGGCAAAGTGTCACAATAAAGTAGTCTTATCTTAAACATTCAGCAACTAACTAGGACAAGATAAATTAATCAATCTTAAAGATATCATGACAGGTCCTAATAGTGATGACAGCAGCGGCAGCCACCACTGACACAGCACTAACTCTGCCAGGCACTGTTCTAAGAACCTTAAAGATGTCAGCTCAGCTTGTCCTTACAACAACCCTAAGAAGTAGCTAATATTGCTGTCCTTACTTTACAAGTGAGGAAACAAAAACACAGAGGAAAAGTTCCTCATCCAGTCACTCAGTTAGTGAACAGCAGACCTGGGATTCAAACCCAGGAGTCAAAGTCCTGCTCTTAGCCATGATCCTGTCTTCCTGGGCCACTGCCCTTCTTTGCCACTGGTATTCATTCCTCAGCACAACCTTAGATTCCACTTCTTATATGTCAAATCCATCCTCTTCTTTTCACCCTGCAAACTACCCTAGGCGAGGCCATCTTTATTTCTTATCCTTGACTACAAGTGGCATCTTTTAATCTTATTCCTAAACAATTCAAATTGTGAATAGCCTTCAGTGAATCATGTCACTTCACTGTTTAAATCATTTCATCTTTCCTCTGTGCCCACAAGCCTATAGAAACTCTTTGGCTTGGCATATGCAGCCCCTCCAAAATCTGGACAGGTCCTTCTTTCCACACTTTCCCATTGGACATCTCTATTCCAGCTACATAAGAATGCCTTGAGTTCCCTGAATGGGTAGCGTCCACACGTTTGTCCAGTTTGCACAGACTATTTCCCTGCCATGGCATTTTCTCATCTCCTTCCCATCCTCTACCTCTTATCTTCCATGTCCATTTGACCCACTTCTATCACACTTAGCCTTTAATGGTCCAATCAGCTGTTACCTCATCAAGCAAGCCTTCTCTGAGTTCCCAAGCAATATATGTTTCATCATATATTCTCATAGTAAATCATAGCTCTTATACCATATTGCGTCATCTGATATTTGTCTATCTCCGTTACCTGATGTAAGCTCCTTGAGGGCAAAGACTTCTCTCTCATTTCAATTCCCAGTGGCTAGCACAATGCTGGATTCTGAGCAGGTGCTCAATAAATATTTGCCAAGTGGACAAAAAGGAAAAACTGACTCAAATCTGGAGAGCCAGGGCCCAGTCATAATCTTAATACCAAATCTGTTTGATCCTAGATAAATCATTTAATATAGCTGAACTCTGTTTTCCTCTCTGCTAGAGAAAAGCTTATTTACTTGTAGACTCTTTCCTTCATTATCCACCCACCAAACAGCAGCTTAAGCTCATGTTTTGCCTCCAAAATAAAAATGGAAAAAGTTCTACAAAGAAGCAATTCAAGCTTCTCCAGAAGCTCCAGATGCTTAAGCCCTCTTTGAACTGCCCTCACTAAACAGTCCTAAACCTAAGAATGAATAAGAACCAGCAGGTGAAGAGCTTCTTTCCCCTATTTCATCAACACTCTTGGCCAAACATCTCTGCTGCTCTCACTGAGTGCCACACCAGATCGTGGTACCACTCCCGGAGGTTTCAGGGGACATTTTTCCACAGAACAAAACTAGTGTTTCCTCTTGAAAAGGAAGGTAGAGAAGAAAATAAGACTAGAAAATAAAGGAGGGGAACAAATGCATGCTGATTGGGAAAAAATAGAAAGAGGACCAATAAAAATGAAAACAATTTAAGCTAGATCTATCACTAGATCAAAAGGAGAAATGCAGAGCACCTGTAGTTTCTTAGAGACCCCCCTCCACAATGTGCTAAGAGCACAAAATACATTGATGTCTCTACCACCACCACACAGTCCTGTGGGCATGCCAGCAAAAAAAAAAAAAAATCCTTTTCATGGTGAGCATTAAAAATAAGGCATAAACAATATGGAAGAGAAAGGAAGCAATTTAAAAAGCAAAAAGCTGTGTACAGTTGATTTTCGTGTTTGAGGCTTGGGAAACATGGCTAAAAGGAAGCATATATTTACAAGCTACTAGACATTCAACCTCATTGGCAGTACCTGAAAGGCTGGGACACTGCTCTTGGATGTCCTTTTGTATCATCTGACCTGCGGAAATCAAAGACAGATGCTCACATATCACCAGGGCACACGTTTTCACAAAGACCACAAGGCACATCAAATGGTATCAAACCAGTAAAAATATTAAATTAGCAAAAGGGAGAAACCTTGCAAATGGATATTAGATTACCCAGAACCAGGCTTGCTATCCCCTTTTCTCATAATACTGCAGAAAATGATAACCTCATCTTTGAGCAATATGAACCTTTATTCCTTAGATCAGGAACTCAGTAAAGACCCAATCTGACTACAGTGTTATAGTTTCTCCCAGATTACACATGAAAACTAAATTCCCTGTGAATCTGTTTGGTGTTTACCATACCGGCAAAACATCCTTCTGCTATGTGTATCTCTTATTTATAAGTCAAAAAAATGTTGCTGCTTACCATTATATTAATTTGTGGACTGGGGCCTTGCCACCCAGTATATTGTAATTTTAAAAAATGATGATATTTACAAACGTTTGCACCTTTTGATTCCCCTTTTTTTAAACCCAATCTGAGCTATCAGCAGGTTTCAAATGTGATCAGAAGTCAAGTCCCATCATTGATTCTGGTGAGTAGTTTGAGACTTCAAAGTCAAGATGGCTTATAACTTTACAGGCACAGGTAAGAATTGCTTATTCAATTTTCAAAAATAGAAGGTAAAGCTGAGGAACTAGCTTAGATTGCCAGAGACTGGCATACAATACTTTTATATACACTATGAGTCAATACAACAGCCTCAGCACACCTGTGAGGATCCAACACAGGACAAGAAACTCATTCACAGCAGAAGGGGAGAAATCCAAACAGAATTTGAAACAGAGTCCCAGAGATAACTGCTTTGCAGCTTAAGGTAGAATTCCAGAGACTGAGATGGCAGCAGTTGCTTTCAATAAACTTCTAAACTTTAGCTACTCCCAACAGTGATAAAATAATCAATAAACAACACAAAATAGTAAACTTAGTATTTGTAGAACAAAATTCAAAACAGAAGATTACAGATTAAAGAGAAGATGAAATGTTCTATTCACAAAGGGAAGCACACTATAAATTGAAGTGTTTAAAACAGATCTACCTAAATGCACAGGATGGTGAGGTACGTGGCTGTCTCTGACTTTTTAAGGCACGTAGTTTGTCTCCCTGGGTTATACCATTTTTCATTTCCACATCATCATCTTCTAAGTTATCCTGGAAAAAAATACACGTTCCATAGAAAGGTCAAAATTTGGCTTTATATAGGTTTCTTAACAGACTACATATATAGATACATTTTATACAGATTATCTTAATATAGATTAAGTCACTAAAGGTACTGTGAATCAGCATTGTCAAAGTTTACACAAAAGAACACTCAACTATTTGCCAGTTCAACAGGCAACAAGTCAAATTCCAAATCAATGAAGCATGGGAATAGATGTGGTAGAATATACAAGGAGCTGTTTGTTACACTGGACAGCAACAGAGGAGACTCTCCTGCAGACACAATCATACGTTGGAATATAGCCTAGATACAGAAGGGCCCACAGATGCAGTACAAATATGTTTTTAGATACTACCAGGACCCATCACTGCAAATTCCATAACCTGTTTACAAAAATACAAGATAAAAATACTTTAGGATATCTATACAGTAAGTTATTAACACAGTAATCATGTAACACTAGTAAAAGCACACAAGCCCTTTTCAGAAGGATTTAAAGGACCATGTTCACTAGATCTTTCCTTCTGAAATAACTCTTTAAAGTTTGAAAAATAGAAGTACCATGCTAGTCTCTTCAAATGCTAGTCTCTTCAATAGCCCTGATGCAGGGGGAGGCACTGGTACCCTTATTATCGATGAAAAAAGGACATACTCATGGAAGTTAGGAATATTGCCCAAGCTCCCATAAGCTCTTAATGACCTTTGTGTGACTTCAAAATTAGATTTATTGTCCCAAGATGCAATGTTCTTTCTAAAATATATGCCATAGCACACTGTCATTGCACCAGTGAAGACTGTATTTTGCCTTTTTTCCTCAACTGAAAAATCAAAGTGCTTGGATTTGCTAAAATCCCTCCCAGCCGTAATAGTCCCCTCCCCTATTTAAAACTAGAACTCTTGTTTGATGAAAAATGTACTTCCATCAAGTCACATTTGAGTCATTTCTCATCGCAATACCTCCTCAATCCCGGCCACCTATGTTGGGTTCCACAGTAAAAAGATCAAACCTCACCATCACATCTCTGAGTTTAAAAAAGAAATAAAGAAATGCAAAGCACAAGGCCAGTGGGAAAGAAAGAATAAGGACAAAAGCTTCCTAGAGGCAATCCCTTAAAGAATGGGTGCAAGTGACGCAGCCCAAGATCCCAGGAAAGGTCGTCCTGTGCAAGAATACCAGCTCAACAGTCACAGGATCATGGAGTCTTCATGACAGAGGATTCTCTTAGAGTCTCAAGTTGCACTTCTAAAAAATCTCCAGAAATCAGTTTTACCATTCAGTTCTATCCATACAACCCCAATGGGGGAGGAACTTATTACCATCAAAGGAAGCCTGCAAGAACAGAAATCAGGAAGGTCTGACAGCTAGGCTTGCCAGTGGGATGGTGCACCTGAGAAGGTGAGCTTAGCTTCACTAGGCTGCAGTAAGCACTCAACGTGCTGGGATGTTAGCAGTTACTTAGCACAGAGCCAGAGTTTCCTGAATATGAGGTGAGGCCAAAAAACACATAGGTCCTCATGAGAATGGCTAAGAAAGCTTCTAGGAGGACCTGACAGAATCCTTGCCACAATCAGTTTCATTGTCAACTGGGTGCTTTTGTACCAGGAAAGCTTATTTGTTCCTCCAACTAGGAGGATCTTTATGTTTCCCACTAGAAACACCTTCAAAATTCTAAATATAAAATGATTCTCAACCTGTAATTCTAAAATTCAACCTTTCAGGTAAGTATAAAGGTAAAACAGATATAAAAATTTACCTCCCATACAATCTTTCTGAGAAAACTATTACAGGATATGCTCTTCAGGAAAAAAGGAAAGATAACATGAGATCCAAGAAAATTAGGGATCTAACTGAAGAATATGAAGAAGAGTTATAGAATCAGGCTATATAGTTCTGATCCTAGGACTTCACACACACACACATACCCACACACACACACACATACACACACACACACACACACACAGCAGGGCTAAGAACAACCAGTCCAAGTTAGAAGGGAGAAATGTCTTCAGGAAAAGAATGGAATTAGAATGGAATTTTGCTGTGTTGAAATTTTGAAAAAATTTAAAATTGTTTGGCACAACTTTTTAAAGCATTATCTTTTCCTAAATGCATAGAAAACTATGCAAATTTAAAAAGGCAATTAAGTCTAGGACACACAAAGAGAGCGTCAAAAAAGAAAACAGTCATAGTGTACTACTAAGCTCAACCGTGAACAATGTTTACATAGTAATAATGTGCACATTATTTGATTTAACGAATATAGTTATATTGGGAAGTGGTGGTGACAGTGAGCTAGAAGAGCTGCATCCTGTCTACAACAACCAGGAGGCAATACAAAAATGTCCAAAATTGATCAATTAAAAAACAGCAACATAAGCAAAGTATTTATAATAGAAATATGGCACTAAAAATAATAGTATAATTTTCCTAGAGGTTTCCCCCTTTGGAAGTGGGTCCAGAGATACAGAAAGGTGAGAAAGGAGACTGATATTTTTTGTTGCTAGAATTCAACGCTTGTTGATATTTTTTAAGCTGTGATCATATATTGCTTGAAAAGAATAAAAGCATTTTAAAAGATATACAGTTAAACAGAAAATTAAATAACAGTACATTTTAAATTATAATTACTTTGCATGTATTTTTCTCTCATTCTATTGTGAATCTTAAAGGTCAAATATTTCTGTAAATTATGATACATCTCAAAATCAGAAAAGAACAAAAATACTACAATACACAGCCATGCACTTAACTACCCAGATTTAACATACTTTTACTTCCTCCCCTCAAGTTTACTTAAACACCCTCACAGGAGCCACCGCATTGTCTGTGATGAGCCTCGCGGGCCACTGTTCTTCCCCAGCTCCTCTCGGGTGGCTGCGGTGGTGACGACCACGAGGGCAGAGGTGTTTTTTCTCAAAAAAAGGTATCTGGCTAGGCACGGTGGCTCACACCTGTAATCCCAGCACTTTGGGAGGCCAAGGCAGGTGGATGACATGAGGCCAGGAGTTCAAGACCAACCTGGCCCACATGGTGAAACCCCATCTCTACTAAAAATATAAAAATTAGCTGAATGTGGTGGTGCGTGCCTGTAATCCCAGCTACTTGGCAGACTGAGGCACAAGAATCACTTGAACCCGGGAGGCAGAGGTTGCAGTGAGCCTAGATCGCACCACTGCACTCCAGCTTGGGCCATAGAGACTGTCTCAAAAAAAAAAAAAAAAAAAAAAATATATATATATATATATATATATAGAGAGAGAGAGAGAGAGAGAGAGAGAGAGATGCAGATATATTTATGATATATTTTTATGTATTTAAATATATATGCATTTACCATATATATGGAGATATGTTTACCATATGTTTGTCATTAGTAATAAAGTATAGGTAAACAGGAAAAAATATTAAAACCACCTATATATTTACCATCAAAAGCAACACACATTAACATTCTGGCACATAGTCTTCCAGAATTTTCCCTGTGCTATATAAAACCCCCAACCTACTTCTTCCTTACAAAAAGAGGTTGTATTATATACATATGCTGCTTTGTAACTTTTTTAACTTAAAAAACATATAGTGGAAGTTTTTCAGGGCAAATTTTTTTAAATCTCTGTCGTTTTATGGCTCCATAAAATTCCATTGTCTAGATATGCCTAATTTTATTATTTAACCGATAGCCTAGGTTAGGCTGTTCTCTGTCTTTCATCACTATAAACAGCCTCAACAAACATACTCTTATATATACATGGTTTATGAAGACTTATTATTGCCTTAAGACAAATTCATAGAAGTGGAATTCCTTTTAAAGTCATCTTCCACATATGATCAAATTGCCCTCCAAAAGGCTGTACCATTGTAAATTCCAACTAGCAATGTTTAAGAGCTTTGTATTCCCTAAACGTTTGTCAATACTGCATACATTTTTAATACATTTGATAGGCATAAATAGCATCTCATCATTTAAATTTGTGTCTCTTCCATTTCTAGGGAAGTAGAATTTTTTTATGTTTACCAGCCAGGAGGGTTCCCATATTGTTTTATTTGTGCACATAGTATTTTGGTGATTTGTAAGAGTTCTTTACACCCACACGACCCCCCTCATTTGCATATATTGCATATATTTCCTCCCATTGATCACTGTGAGAATGAATTGGAGGTCAAGACTCGGGGGAGGGACACATTTAAGCGGCTATACAGTGGTCTGATGAGAGATGATGGACTGGATTAGGGTACGGGAAACCACATGGGAGTTCAGACTTGGGGAGAGGGAAGAAGGAGGAAAGATCCAGACAGGCAATATAGGTCTGAAAAAATCTACTAAAATGTAAACCGTACTATTTTTGTCTAAACTAATCTTCTTTTATTTTTTCTCTGTGGCCATTGTACAAAGTGTGGGCATTTTTAGGACTATGAGAGATAGAACATATAAACTATAAAATTCTCAGTGATTAATAAATAGCCTTCAAACTCAAGAAAAATAGTAACATTATTCAAAACATATTTACATTAAATTACAGAATTAAGAAACTAAAAAGCTATATGGAAAAGGACTTTGGCCTCCTGGAATACTGAATAAGACACACAGACATAAATATAATAAGCCTTATATTTATTAGGGGATTGATCCGATAAGATGTACCAGGTCATAAGAGCCTGTGGGAGGAAAATGTTTATTAGCAAATGCAGATATTGTGTGGCACAAATCAATCTCATGAGTTGGTAGCCAGGGGAGTGTTTGAAGACTTTTCTCATCAGGTGCTGTTAGGCCTCCTTCCTTATACCAGATTCATTCTTCATGATGACTAAAGAACACATTCACAAATGACAAATGAGGAGAACCCAACCTGGGCCTCCATTCTGCCCTTAGGCTCCAGCCCATCTCCCTACAAAATGCCAGAGCAGACTCTCTCTTGTCCTAAGCTAGTCCAGGAGAGGCAGATTCCCTGGAATCTGCTGAAAAGAAACAAAACCACTTGGCTGATGCTGGCAACAATGAAGAACCCTACCTAGTCCAGGGAAGACCCTCCTATCTTTGTCCCCCACAGGAAAGGGGTCTGCTCTCAGATGCCCCACTGCCCTTTGGAGGATTAAGCAGCAACTCTCTTCCTTTTGGATACTGGGCTGCCCTACATGAAGGCAAGAAAATGATATTTTAGTAATATCATTTAGTAAACTAAAATATTGTACCAAAAGAAGTACAATTAAAAAAAAAAAACATGAGTGATGACCTAGTGAAAGAACAAACAACAACATGAAGAATAAATATTTTATTCCACCAGTTGTTTTCTCTATGCACAATCGTGTCCACAGATTTCAGCTAGATAAAGTAATTGCTGACCAAAACCTAAACAAAATCGTGGCACAGTAAGCTATAGGAAAGGCTGTGGAAAGTCTCATTAAGAAAAGATCTATGAGATAGAATATAGCACACTAGGGAATAAAGATGGAAGAGTCCTAATAGAAAAATGACATAAATAGACAGTTTAAATAGAAATGAGTAAAAATAGAAGTCCAAGAACTGGAAGATAAAGATGAGAATGGAATTTTTAGCAGATTTTAATAAATTGGCTAGGAAAGGTGGCTGGGTCATCTCTAGAGTTCTTTTCAGCTCTCAGATGTTGAACCTATGAGATGTAAGTGCTGGGGAAAGGCAAAGATGTCATCTTTATAATAAGCTGCTTCTGATCAATAAAAAGTTTGAATTTATCAGAGCTGCCCACATCTCTCTTCTGGCTGCCCCATTCACTGCCACTGGTTGGGACCTTTAAAACCTGGACCTCCCCATCACCAACTCCCTGGCCTTCCACCCTCAGCCCTATATGACACCATAGCCAGAGTGATCTCTCAGCACCATGATTCTGTGTGCTGTCACTCCCCTGCTTAATAACCTCTGGTGGATCCCAATGGCATTCAGATTAGAACTGGTCTTCACTGTCATAATGGGGGAAAGAAAGGTGCTTAAAAAGCAGGACATTAGAGATTTAATTTTTACTTCATAGATTTTTCTAAGATGTACCCTGCTTATGAGTACTTGATGGATTTTATAAATCACAATGTCTCAAAGATGTAATTAAAACACTACATTCTTGTCTACTTGATTGTCAATTTGTATGAACTTGGCTGAATATTAGCAGCACCTGTATCTAATTAATATCACTAAGTCAAGAGCATCTACTGATTGGTATGCTAATATTGGACTATAGCCCTAGAGTAGAAAGACAAAATGTAAAAACCGTTGTAATTCCAGAAGAAGTTTATTAGTAGGGAATGGTTACAGTTTTGCTCAAAATTACTGTACATAATTTACTAAAGCCACAATGAAGACCTCATAGAGAGTTAGCAGAGTATAGTGAGAGGCCTCCCGGGAGGGTGGCTGAGGGCACAAACTTTGGAGCCAGAGCACAGAAGTTCAAATGACCACCTCACCATGTACCCAAGATCTTGGCCAGATGGTTTGACCTCTACCTCAGGTATGTCTCCTGTAAATGGGCCTAGTAACAGTGCCTATTTCATATGGCTACTGTAAGGATTAATAGAGTTCATTAATGTCAAGTGCCTAAAACAGTTACTGGCATACAGTAACTTCATGCTAAGATCCTGATTTAATATTTGCACTTTAAATAAAGTACTTTAAATTCTATCTTTTAAGATAACTCCAAGCCATAATGGACCCATAGGCCCCTAAATGTTAAAGTGAGCACTTATTGCTAGTACTATTTTGTATTTGAGCACATAATGCACTTGTGTAGCTTAGATTATTACCAATTTCATGTCTCTGTCCTTTTTTTTTCTCTGAAACTATAAGCCTTCTTCATCCATTCACATAATACTTATTAAGGCCTTTTGCCAAAAACAGAATCATGATGAAGACAAATAAAAGTCTCTGCCTTCCTAGAGAGTATCACCGAGCAGGGAAGGAGGCATGAGGACTGTGGGGGAAAAGTATAGTGCAAGGCAGGAGCAGGGAGCAGGGAGCCTAACCTAGACCCACAGGATGGGCTGTGTATATTTCATAGTGCCCAGCCCAGCACTGAAGTCCAGGCTCAATAAAGGTGAAGCCTCTATTTTATTTCTCATAACTCTAAGTTGGCAAAGAACATTCAGTAAAACCACAACTTAGTCCATCACTATGACCTGCAACATTCTGGTTGTTTTCCTTTCACCTACATCCTAAGCACTAAAAAACTGTATTTTTGTTTTTTGTTTTGTTTTGTTTTGTTTTGTTCTGTTTTGTTTTTGAGACCGAGTCTCACTCTGTTGCCCAGGCTGGAGTGCAGTGGCATGATCTCAGCTCTGCAACCTCCGCCTCTCGGGTTCAAGTGATTCTCATGCCTCAGCCTCCCAAGAAGCTGGGACTACAGGCATGTGCCATCACACCTGGCTAATTTTTTCTCTATTTTTAGTAGAGATGGGGTTTCGTTATGCTGGCCAGCCTGGTCTCAAACTCCTGACCTCAAGTGATCCATCTGCCTCAGCCTCCCAGAGTGCCAGGATTACAGGCGTAAGCCACCATGCCCGGCCTAAAAAACTCTATTCGAATTCTCCAAATCTGGTAATACAGAGCTTCCTAGTAACTAATCACAAGAAAATTACTGTAGGCCTAGAAAGAAAATAATAATTTAGAATCTCTGCTTTTAATCTTTTTTTTAAAAGTCAATCTCAAGAGGAATACTGCCTTTTTGCACTTTCTATATATACAAACTAAGTAAATCCAGAAATTCCATAGACTTTTACCCACATGCAACTTGAAACACATTAAATTCTTACAGCATTCTCAATCTATTTTCCCATGTGCAATTTATAAGAATAATAAAGACATCATTAACTCTGTTAAGACCAATTTTGAGTAAGCGAATTTTCCATATTCATGTGATATTCCAGAGCTGGCACCAGATAAGCATGGAAAGAAAAGTGCTTGTAAGAGTTACTTGCACAAAGCCATTAACTAGCTAATAAAGTAGTCCTAGGGCCCATACATGATGCTGTGTAAAATATTCACCATACCATCATTCTCTGGCATCTCTGAATTCTTTCATTTCTGCTCTTGAATTTCAGAAACAATAGCATTTCAATGGCTAAAACTAAAATAATGATGGGGGATGCTATGGTCTGAATATTTGTAGCCCCCAAAATTCATATGTTGAAATCCCAACCCCACAAGGTGATGGCATTAAGAGTTTGTTTGCCCTTTTTGCCATGTGAAGATGCAGAAGGTGCTGTCTATGAACCACTAGGCAGGCCCTCACCAGACACCAAATCTGTTGATGCCTTGATCTTGAATTTCCCAACCTGCAGAACCGTGAGAAATAAATTTCTGTTGTTTATAAGCTGCCTAGCCTGTAGTGTTTTGTTACAGCAGCCCAAATGGACTAAGACGGGGGAGTAGACTTATATACACTTATATTTAAAACTGTCTTATTTAAAATTCCAATCATATTGCATTCCTTACCCTCACAGTGATACATAAATGTTAAGTTTCTTAAATTCAACAAATTGGGGATTAAAAGAGTATGAGAATAAAACGTTCTAACTACCAGATGTTAACTTAATCAAGATTATGATATAGAAAGTACTATGTTCCTGCAAGGTAAATATGTTTCTCAGATAACGGGATTAACTTTATGTTTGTCTTTTCAGAGTTCATAACTCAAAGCCCTATTTACTTGTACTCAACCTGGGGAGGAAATGCTGACTAGAGCAAGAAAAAGGTATTCTTGCTTAGCTATATTATCATGTTAAAATCTTAGTTCAGACCCTTTCTTTTTATTTGCTCTTAATAGGTGAAACTGGAACACAGAGACAAAGAAAAGTCAACAAAGGCTCTAACATCAACATGACCTTGGATAAGGTGTACATTTCATCAGGACAGATGACTCGAATGGGTAAACTTAGTCACCTCATCAGCAGCCATCCTGGAGAACAGAGCACTGGGCTTAAAAATCATTTCTTCCAACGGTCTCCATCCTTTGTCCCTGAAAGAAAATTCATGCTCCCAATCTCCAAGCACTCTGGCTATCTTTCTTGCTAAAAAGAAATCTGTTTGGGATGCCAGTCATTAACCTAAGAGAGCTATGATGTGTTCCTTCCATTCTGGGCTCCTTGTGGGCTAAGCTTGAGCCACAGTATTTGGTTTAAGGCCCTTGTCCGGGTCTAATGGGTCACTGTCTAATAGAATGTAAATCTACACTTGTTGCTTCTATATTCTTTCTTTCTCTTTTTTTCTTTTTTACTTTTTTAGACGGGTGCTTGCTCTGTCGCCCAGGATAGAGTGCAGTGACGCCATCATAGCTCACTACAGCTTCGACCACTGGGCTCAAACATCCTCCCACCTCAGTCTCCCAAGTAACTGGGACCACACAGGCACACATCACGCTGCCTAGCTTGTTCCACTATTTTGAACAGGTCCTTTTTTTCTTTTCTTTTTTTCTCCTTTAGAGATATAAAAGTATAAACCAGATACTTAGCTTCACCTCAGGTATAACGTGGTAGAAAGACCTAAACTAGGAATTGAATGCCCAGTTGTCAAAGTGGCCCCACTACTAAACAACCCTGGAACTTTACACAAATCACAAATTTTCTGGGACCCCAGTTTCTTGTCTCTACAATAGTGGAACCAAACAAATGGTGTTTCAACGTTGTTTCTAGTTCCAAAAATGCTCATAATCCTAATTCTTAGTAAATCACTTCTATTTTTATTCAGAGGTAACAGGGTGTGATATAAAAAAACACAAGCTTGGACTCAGACAGACATGGATTGAACCATGTTTGACACTGAGGTTAGAACATCTCTGATATGCAATTTCCTTCCTATAAAATAGAGATAGTATTACCTAACTCACCAGGTAGTTATGAATATTAATCAGACAATATATATCAACTATTTACCGTGGTTTGTTTACAGTAGAGCCTTAATTTTTTTTTAAAAAAGTGCCCTAATCATGTTTTCAAGTTGGCACTTACTTTAGAAATCAGCATGAATTTGAGGCTTTCAAAGCACCACTTGTGGTATGTATTATTTCCTCAATTGTCACATTAAAATTTTTCTTCTTGATATTTATTTTAATTTTCAAATAGAAAGTTTGCTTTTCTGTTTCCTTTCTATAAATATTACCCCTTACCAGAGTAGCCTCCTTTATAATTTACTCCTTAAATTATAGCTTTTTTTTTTTTAAGGGCAATTGGTTTCTTTCCTCTGCTTCTTGCTATATAGACGGATGGCTCTACTTCTAAAAACTTGGTACTCGTGGCATCCAGAGAAAAGACACTGCTATGTTATATAGGTCCAACTGAGAAACAAATGCAGAACATCAGTTTTAAGAAGATAGAATCTCCTAGGGAAAACTTACCTCTCCAAATCGTTCCATGTTTTGTGTTTTTGAAAGATTTCCACCAATAGACATATCATCTAGGCCAGAAAGAATTTTATTAATACTTCCTTCACTGGATGGTCGATTTTTCAGTTTGGATCGGAAAATGTCTCCTTGGACCCACAACGATGCTTGTTTTCTGTATAAAAAACAAAACAAAACAAAACGACAAGAAAAAGTTATCTTTAAAACAATCTACTCTCATCTCAAAGGTATGATGTCTTATAAAGGAAAAGATTTAGCAAATAAGCATTTACAAATCAGACTAGAAAGATTATGATATCTTAGAATAAAGAACAATGAAGTCACTTTCAAAAAGCCAAAATAAGATTCTATATTAAACACAAATGTCATCCTCCAATATTTGTCTATATAGTTGACTGCTGAAGTCCTCAGATGCTTAGAACAAATTCCACAGCAATAAAGATTATGAGCCCATTTGTCTTTTAAATATAAATTTGAAACCTTCAATTTCTCAAATAGCAATTTGATATGCCTATTTATAAAAACAGAGAGAATAACTGGACTCAAAACTGTACATGAAAGAACTTGAGTTAAATGGAGATATTACCCAAAAAAGTATTGCATACCTACTTTTGGGTGGTACCATGAAAGGCCCTCACACATAACTTTAAAAACCTACTCTTAGAATCTAAAAGCAAGGCTTATATCCTCAATTAGATTGTCCTTAGAAAAGAAAATGTGTTTGAAGTTCATGTATAAACTTTCTTTCATTCATTAAGGCAAAATCACAACTGTTTTCAAAGTTATATGAAGATAATTTAAAATATGTAAGCAAAATGACATTCTGAGGATTTTATTTTTATTGGTGGGATCACCTTCATACATTTCCTATAAGATAAACTATTCC
This sequence comes from Homo sapiens, assembly GCF_000001405.40. Classification (NCBI taxonomy): domain Eukaryota; kingdom Metazoa; phylum Chordata; class Mammalia; order Primates; family Hominidae; genus Homo; species Homo sapiens. The sequence continues at coordinate 100,483,559 of NC_000001.11, read as the reverse complement.
ATAAAATCACTTTATTTCTATCCTATAACACACTGTACAGAATAGAATTAAACTAAAAACACTGTGGTTCGTCATAAAAAATATCAACATCTAGTGAAATAATTGCATCATCAAGGAGACGCCACCAGTAAGAACATAGATATTTTTTAAAGCAACAGGATTGAGTAATACTTTCTCACAAAGATTTCACATATCACATAAAATTCAGGTTAAAACGCTGATCATTAGAGAAATGCAAATCAAAACCATAATGAGATACCACCACACACCAGTAAGAATGGCTATTATCAAAAAGTTAAAAAATAACAGATGCTGGTGAAGTTGCAGAGAGAAAGGAACACTTATACACTGTTGGTGGGAGTGTAAATTAGTTCAACCATTGTGGAAAGCAGTGTGGCAATTCCTCAAAGAGTGAGACACAGAATTACCATTCGTCCCAGCAATCCCATTACTGAGTATATATCTTGAGGAATATAAATCATTCTACCATAAAGACACATACACGCAAATGTTCATGTAGCACTATTCACAATAGCAAAGACAAGGAATCAACCTAAATGTCATCAATGATAGATTGGATAGAGAAAATGTGGTACATATACACCATGGAATACTATGCAGCCATAAAAAAGAATAAGACCATGTCATTTATGGGAACACGGATGGAGCCTCCCAAGCCTGCACGTTGTGCACATGTACTCTAGAACTTAAAGTATAAAAAAATATATATATAGATATCTATATCTTTCGATATCTCTCTCTGTATATACATATATACACAGAGAGAGAGAGATAGGTTGAAAAGAATAAAAATCATGATTTTAAAAAAAGAGAAGATTCAGCTCTGTCATAAATAGTAAGAAATTCAGATAAATGAAACACACAGGTAGGACAGGATATAAGGATGAAAGACTGAATCCCTGTCTCTCAAGAAGGGATTTCTAGTTTAGGATGAGAAAAGCAAACAAATGAAGTCCGATATTATAAACCCTATGATCAGGATTTGCACAGGACCTCAGGAAAAGAGGCCCCTTACTCAATCTGATGGAATCAAAAAGAAGTTCCCCAACATTCCAGAAGTATCTGGAAAGATGAGCAGGACTTACCCAGCTAAGAGTATTGCCAAGCAAAGAAAACAATGTGGGCTGGAAAAATAGTGATATCAAAGAAAACAGCATGTTTATGAACATGAATTGTTTAATTTGGCTGAAGCAGAGGCTATGAGAGATGGGCCTTGCATGTCATCCTAAGGAATTTAAATTTGATACCAAAAATACAGGAAAGACCTTTTAAGAGTCTTTAGGAACAAAAAACAAAGTGAGAACAGAGGAGAAGGACATAAGAGGCTAGTTGAAAAAAATTCCAATTTCAAAAGAAGTTATAAAATGAAAATTCTGATGCTGCTGCCAACTTAAAGATGAAAATTACAAAGTGACAACTTTCACTTGCTTGGTTTGAAAGACGCAATCTGTCCCATCTCTGGAAAGGCTTGATTTGAACCTGAATATTAAAGATGAATAAGGTGTCAGAGCTGATTTGTGTGTTGCTAAGCAATGCTGTACGCAAGTGCTTCTTGAGAAAAAGCAGCACTTCACGCAAATTCCTTTTTATTGAAAATGCAAACCATGCTAGCTTTTATTGTGGTGTCTATTACTCCCTAAAAGCCTCATCTCAAACAAAAGAAGTAAAACATGTATTTTTAAGCATTTAGTATTTAAAAATCAAATCTTATGAAGCCAACACACCAGCTCAAAGTACATTCTCCAAGAATATAGTGCATTTTCTAAGACAGCATGAAATTTACTGACCCTCTGCTAAAAAGGGCATGTGCTTTAAAATGACAGGAAGAGATGTGTCTTGGTTTGAATAGAGCCTTAAGAAGTATAGCCAGTGCTGGGGTCCTTGTTTTCAGCCATGTCCTTGCCCTGGGTTAGTTGGGTTTAGGCTAGCCAGGCATGGGACATAAGAAAATAACGAAATAACTTGGCTTATTATGAGCCAAGTTACAGTTGATTCTGATCTAGAGCCTTCACAGGTCTTTTTTTACATCTGCTTTTAATATTCCTCTAATGAAATTCAAGTCAGTCACACTGTTATAGTGAATATTCCTAGTTCTGAGTCCAGAACACAATGGAAGCTGTTGTGCAGGCTTCTGTGTGTGGCTGACCTGTCCTCCTTCACTTCCCTAAGCCCAGCCCAATCCCATCTCCACACCAACCGAACTCTTTATCTTTATCCTTCTTCCATCCTGGACAATTTTCCCAAAAAACTCAACCCTGACCCCAAAGTCCATCCAAAGCCACTGTTTGGTCACTCCAAATAGAAACATAACCCACTCTCTAGCTTGGCCTAGGCCTACTCTAGCCATGACTTGAGTACCAATCTGTTTTGTGTACCTTCTATTCCACCAGCCCAGAGCTATTATGGAAACAGAGACAGTTCCTGGCCTAAAGAAGTGGGCTAACAAAATGGTCTACCTTGCTATCAAAGGAAGACAGATGGGAAGCAGTAACCAAGATGCAGGGGGCGGGAAGGCAACAGGTATTCAAGGAGTTCTTCAAATGCTGTGGTACAAGTGGAAGATTCACTAGGAAGATGTTTAGAGAATTTCTGAAAGCATAAGGGAAGGCAGTTAATTGTGAAACATACTAGAAAATGAAGCTAGAAGGAAAAAACTGAGGAAGGGAATTCTCCAAAAGATTCAACTAACTAAATCTAGTTTAGGTATAGAACCCTACAATCAGAAGCTAGATCATTGGAGTGTCATGCCAAAATGCAAACTTCATAACTAAGCCTAATATATCACTGCTTACTTTCTTACTGCTTACAATACCTTTTCCCCCATCTCTAACCTTTTTCATATAGTTTTATTCAGAGCACACAAAACAAAATAAACAAAAACCATTCATGGTAAGGATACAGAGAAACTGGACCCCTCGTGCATTGTTGGTGGGAATGAAAAATGGCACAGCTGTTGAGGAAAACAGTTTCACAGTTCCTCAGAAAGATAAACATAGAATTACCACATGATCCAGTAACTCCACTTTTAGGTATATACCCAAAATCATTGAAACTAGGGATTCAAATAGATACTTGTGTACCAATGTTCAGAACAGTTGCATTATTCACAATAACCAAAAGGTAGAAATAACTCAAACGTCCATCAACAAATGAATGGATAAATAAAATGGGATATATACATACAATGGAATATTATTGAGCCTCTAAAAGAAATTCTGATACATGTTACAACATGGATGAATGTTGCAAATATGCTAAGTAAAATAAGCCAGACACAAAACGACAAATATTGAATGATTCCATTTATATGAGGAATCTGGAACAGGCAAATTCATAATGTCAGAAAGTAGAATAGAGGTTTCCAGGGACTTGGGTAGGGGGTGGAGATAATGGTGATTTATTGTTCAATGGGTACAAAGTTTCTGTTTGGAATGATGAAACAGTCTGGAAATAGTGGTGATGGCTGCACAACATTGTGAACATATATAAAGTCACTGAATTATACATATAATAATGGTTAAAATTGTAAGGTTTATGTTATACATATTTTACCATAATAAAACATTAATTTAAAAAGTCAGTCTTCTATCTAGAGTAATAACTGGCATGAGTATTTAATAATAAATTTCTGATGCAACCACTGCCAAAGATTCTGATACATACTTAATTATCCTTAATACTTGAACCCATATTAGGATTTTATTTTTGCTTAGTCAGTAGTTCCAGTATCAACTGGCAGTCAACAAATGGATCAGATAATGCAGCAGTAACTGTTGAAAATCAGAAAATTCTATAATTGAGTGTTACTACAAAAATGTCATTTTCAGTAAATAGTGTAAACTCAAACCTATGCAGTATGCTTGTAATTCTAATAAAACACTGTATCTTGTTTTGTTAAATTCTGATTTTTATAGTATTTCAGATTATAATTTCTGTATTTTAGGAAACACAAAATTTTAAACCCTTAAAATAAATAATTAAAATTTTTTAGCCTATATTCCTTGACCTACTGCATGTATCTAAAAGAAAACCATAAAAGGAAATGGTACAGGTATGCAAAGGCACACAGAGTGAATATAACGGACTATGGAGACTCACAGAAGGTGGGGTCGGGGACAAGAGAGATTAAAAAGCTACATATTGGGTACAATGTACAGTACTTAGGTGATGGGTGCACTAAAATCTCGGAGTTCATGCTATACAATTCATCCATGTAACCAATAACCACTTGTATCCCAAAAGCTATTGAAATTTAAAAAAGAATTAACTTTTTTTAAAAGGAAATGATAGAAGTCAATCTCAACTAAAACTCAAACCATTAGTGTTAGACTTTTTCAAGCATTTTCCATTTTCTAAACAGATGTTTTTCATCTTATTTTTGCTAATTCCTGAAATAAAAAAGCAATGGTTTAACTATTAATTTCTGATCTAGCTCAATCCAATTGTGAAACTTACGAAATACTATTGGCACCAAATTAAGATGTAGCCTAAGTTGATATTTACAGAGTAAGGATGAGCCAAACACCCTTGTTATTGAATATGGTTCAGGGACCAGCAGCAGCACACCACCTGGGAGCCTGTTAGAAATGCACACTCTCAGGTCTCACCTCAGACCTGCTGAATCAGAGACTGCACTGAACAAGATCCCCCAACAATTCCTAGGCATTTTCATGTTTGAGAAGCACTGAAGACAATGGAAGGCTTGCAACAAAGTTAGAATTCTGAAAATATCCAACTCAGTAGAAGCTGATGAAAACATCTATTGTAATAAAGTAGAACAGGGGAATTTTTGGTTTATGGATTTAAGAATGAAAAAGAGTTCAACCATAATACTGTGCTTCATAAAGATAACCTCATTCAAAATGGAAGCTCTGCTTTACAGAGCCAAAACTTCCTGCAAGAGCCAGATTTAGGCTTTATGTGAGTTCTCTCTGTCTCAGAAGGAAATGTAAAACAAAAACAATGCCATATTGAGCCCCATAAATAAAGGATCTCCGTGAGCTGAAAATCCCCGTGGGAGCCCCACACTAGTCCCTCAATGATCCCTTTATAATGAATGAAAGCTTTAACAGATGATGATCCCCGAGGTCACAGATAGATCTATCTGTGATATAGGTTATCTGTCACAGATAGATCTATCTATCTGTGATATAGGTTATCTATCACAGATAGATAATGATACCCAAGGTCAGGGGAACATTCACACAGCAAATGTTCAATAAATAGAATCAACCAAGTTGTAAAAGCAGCCTGACTCCACCTTTATACTTCTAAAGGTTGTCTCGGAGGACATTGAGTCCAGAGTTGGCTCAAAAACAAAAAGATGTATTTTTACATCATTTTAAGAACCTTGAGGATGTTTGATAGAAGACACATTTGGGATTCAGAATGGTATTTTTGGTTTAAGAACTTCAGCTTTAAATAGAAGAAAAACACCTGATGGTTGTTTTGCAAATAGAGAGCTTTATATCCTTTAAAAGTTTAAATATAAAATTTCAGACTGTAACAAAGGAGAGGTCAGCCAATAAGTAAATTCATCAACAACTCAAAAGGATGCTAATAAACATCTCTCTTACTGCCAGTGAATAAGAGGGCTGCTTGTTTAAGACATGGCAATCAAGCACCTGGACATATTTTGGTCCTCAAGGACTAGGAGGATATGACAAACCAGCCTTTCTAAAGTCAGAGATTTGGAATTAACATTCTCTAAAAAGCACTGATTGACTTTTCACCTTTAAAAGAATACAATCACTTTAACTTGTTCAGTCATTTTTGACAGGTGAAAACCTAACAGAAAACGTTTTTACCCTCTTATTTCTTGCTTAATGAACACGTTACTTATTCATGCTTTTGCGTCATCATTGACTTCATACTCTTCATCTCTCTGATCATTAGTTAGTCTTCAAAGCCTTGTTTTTTTCTTTTTTCTTGAAATGTCCCTGGTACCCATCTCTAAATCTTCAGTCCAACTTCTATCCTCTTTTGATAAGTCCTTGTCTCTCTGAGATGGATGATAATAGCCTCCTTTTTAGCCTCTCTGATTCCAATCTCCATCCACCCAATTCATCTTACACATTGTTGCAACTCAAGCTTCCTTAAATAACACTTAAGTCACACGACTCCTCTATATGCTCTTATTCATCATACTTTCTAATTTGGAGTATTTGGAATTAAATACTCCAAATTAGAAAGTATGATGAATAAGAGAAGTTCAGAATATGCATGTTCATCACTAGGATCTGCATCTCCTGCTGTACATATTTGCTATCTATACAAAGCAGATGTATTAATTTCCTATGGATATTGTAAAGCATTACCGTAAATGTGGTGGTTTAAAAGAACACCAGTTTACTTTCTTACAGATCTGGAGTTGGAAGTCTGAAATCAGTTTCACTGAGCTAAAGCAGTGACAGTAGGCAGAGCTGGTTCCATATGGAGGCTTTGAGGAGATAATTTGTTTCCTTGCCTTTTTCAATTTACAGTGGCTGCCCATATTCCTTGGCTTATGGCTCCTTACTCCATCTTTAAAATGCATCAGTCCAATCTGTTTCAGTCATCACATCGGCTTCTCCTCTAAATGGCTCCCCCTGGGTCCCTCTTCTAAGGACACTGTGATTAATTGGGCCCACCCAAACAATCCGGGATAATCTCCCCACATCAACTTCCTTAACTTAATCACTTCTGCAAAGTCCCTTTTTCCATATACAGTAACATTCACAGCTGGTTCACAGGGATTAAAATATGCCTGTATTTGGGGAGACATTATTCAGACTGCCACAGCAGATTTCATGCCGAAAATTATAGGCAGACTAATTACCTTAAAATATAAGGCAATAACACCATTTCTGGAAAATAAAGTAGATGTACTTTTCCCTATTCTTCCCATAAGTAAAATTTAAAATCCTATATATATTTAAAAAAAAAAACAAGACTCTGAAAAATAGAAAAGAAAAAGGCAGATTGGTTGGAACCTTGAGACCTAAGTAACGAAATGGTGGTGAGTTCCTCGAGTTTTCCTTTTGCCTTATATAGCCTAGTCTTAGGGCTGAAGAAGATATGATTCAAAAATGCCAATAGAGCTGATTTTTTTTTCAACAGAGTCCTGCTGTGTCGCCCAGGCTGGAGTGCAATGGCACAATCTCGGCTCACTGCAACCTCTGCCTCCAAGGTTCAATTGATTGCTTCAGCCTCCGAAGTAGCTGGGATTACAGGCACATGCCACCATGCCCAGCTGATTTTTGTATTTTTAGTAGAGACGGGGTTTCACCACATTGATCAGGCTGGTCTCAAACTCTTGACCTCATGCGATCTGCCCGCCTCGGCCTCCTAAAATGCTGGGATTATAGGCATGAGCCACCGTGCCCAGCCCAGAGCTGATATTTTTAAAGCCCGAAGAAAAGCCTGCTCTGTCTAGTCAAAGGAACAGGAAAAGGGTATCCTAGTAGACAACAAAACATTTCAACAACTGCTCTTCTCCAGCCAAACCCCACAGGAAATAAACTGTGGCCCTAACCCTGCCAGCCAGCAAAGACTGAGAGGGGATCCTGGATTTCCACGCTGCCAGGCTATAGGTAGGCACCCCTTTACCCTTTGTCAATCCCTCGCCACAGAAGTGTCAAAGAAGGCTAAGTTGGGAGTCAGATAATGAGATCCCCCAATTTCGGCCCCACTCCTCACTAAGGTAGTAATGGTGGAACCTGGAAGTCCACCTCAACCAGGCAGTGACCAGCAACCCTCCTCTGTCAGCTGGAGTGGTGTCACAGGAGGCCTAGTGGAGAGTGAAGACTTTCACCAACACCCTTCAGTAACAAGGTGACCCCTATCACAGTGTCAGTGCAGACCCGATGGAAAACTAGAACTCCCACCTCCACCCACCAGCAACAAGAAGCCCCTCAGCCTTGGACATCAACAGAGGCTGAGTACAGAATCCAGATTCCTGCCTCCACCTGGTAGTAGCAATGTGGCAACCCCCTGCCCCCCAACCCAGCTGCCACCACCTTCCTCTGCTGAAGCAGTGTAAGAAGCCAGATACAACAGAATGTTTTAGTAAGATCCAGAGTCTCAACATACTAGGAAAATGTCCAGGTTAACATTTTCTCACATTGACATTGACTGAATGAAAAGAGATGATCGCTAAATGCCAACACCAAGATGACAGAGATGTTAGAATAATTTGACAAAGATTTAAAAGTAGCCATGATAAAAATGCCCCAACAAACAATTACAAAGACACATGAAACAACTGACAAAATAGGAAGTTTCAGCAAAGAAATAGATATAAAGAAAACCAAACAGAAAGTTTAGAATAGCATATAACCAAAATGTAAAATTCAGTGAGTGGGTTAAATGGCAGAATGGAGAGATGAGAGAATTTGTAAAGGGGAAGATAGAATAGTAGAAACTACCCAATCTGAATAACTAAGAGAAAATAAACTAAAAATAAAATGATGAAGAGAGTCCCAGAGAGCTGTGGGACTATAACAAAAACCTAACACTCATGTCAACAGAGTTCCAGAAGGAAAGGAAAAAGAGGACAGGGTTGAGAAAGCACTTAAGTAAATAATAGCTGAAAACCTTCCAAATTTGACAAGACATAAACCTAAACATTCAAGAAGCTGAGTAAACCTCAAAAAAGGATAATTCCAATGAAATCCACACCTAGACACATTGCCAAAATACTGAAAACTACAAGGAAGCAGAAGGAAATAATAAATATAAAAACATGAACCAATGAAATTAAAAACAAAAATATAAGGAGAAAATTAATGAAACAAAGAGCTGATTCTTTGAAAATATCAATAAAATTGTCCAACTTCTAGGGAGACTGACAAAGGGAAAAAAAAATACACAAATTACTAACATCAGAAATGAAGCCAAGAAAATCACTACAGGCTCTGCAAACATAAAGGAATACTTTAAAAAAAAAAAACACACTCCACAAACATAATTTTGACAATTTAGATGAAACGGACTAATTCCTCAAAAAACAAACTACCATAATTCACCCAATATGAAATGGATTATTCAAATAGCCTTATATCTATTAAGGAAATTGAATTCATAATTTTAAAAAGAAATCCCCAGGCCCAGATAATTTCACTGGAGAATTCTACCAAGCATTTTAAGAATTCACACCAGCTCTCACAATCTCTTCCAGGAAACAGAGAAGAACAATTCCCAATTCATTTCATGAAACTAGTATTATCCTGACACAAAACCCAGACAAAACAGACAAAAAAAAGAAAACTACAAACCAATGTTACTTATGAATATGGACATAAAAATTTTTAACTAACAGAGTTCAGCAATATATAAAAAGAATTACACACCATGACCAAATGGTGTTTATTCCAGGGACATAAGCCTTCTTCAATATACAAAAAACAATCGATGCAATCTACCATATTAACAATCTTAAGAAGAAAATCATGTGATCATATCAATCAATGCCAAAAAAGTATTTGACAAGATTCAACACTCATTCATGATAAGAACCCTCAGAAACACAGAAATAGAGGGGAACCGCCTCGACCTGATAAAGAACATCTATAGAAAACCTCAATTAACATACTTAATCCAGGTGAATGCCTGGATGCTTTCCTTCCAAGACTGGGAGCACGACAAGGATGTCTGCTCTTATCACTCTTACTCATCACAGCGCTGGAAGTTTTAGCCTGTCCAACAAGGGAAGAAAAGGAAACACAAGGTATATAGATTAGAAAGAAAATAAAATTGTCCTATTTGTGGATGAAAAAGCAATCCCCAAGAATTTGCACATACATACACACACACACACTCCCATATAAAACTCCTAGGTTTCGGGATACAAAATAAACAGAAAAATCAATTGTGGCCAGGCAGGGTGGCTCACACCTGTAATCCCAGCACTTTGGGAGGCCGAGGTGGGAGGATAACCTGAGGTCAGGAGTTCAAGACCAGCCTGGCCAACATGGTAAAACCCCATCTCTACTAAAAATACAAAAAATTAGCCGGGCGTGGTGGCACACGCCTGTAATCCCAGCTACTTGGGAGGCTGAGGCAGGAGAATCACTTGAACCCAGGAGGCAGAGGCTGCAGTAAGCCAAGATCGTGCCATTGGACTCCAGCTTGGGCAAAAAGAGTGAAACACCGTCTCAAAAAAAAAGAAAGAAAGAAAAAGATAAATCAATTGTATTTCTACATACCAGCAATGAACATATGGACATAAATACCATTTATAATTGCTAAAAAAAAATAAGTACTTAGGTGTAAATTTAACAAAAAAGGACTTGCATCCAGAAAACTACACAATGCTGATGAAAGAAATCAAAGAAGATCTAAATAAATGAAAAGACATATCATGTTTATGGATTAGAAGACTCAACAATAGTAAAGATGTCAATTCTCCCCAAATCGATATAGAGGATTAACATACTTCCTATTAAAATCCCAGAAACATTATCTGTAGATTTAGACAGGCTTACTCTAAAATGTATATGAAAAGGAAAAGAAAGTGGAATTGCTAAGAATATTTTGTTAAACAAGGAGAAAGTGGAAGGAATCACTCTTCCAATATTAAGGCTCACTATATAGGTCCAGTAATCAAGAGAGTGTGGCATTGAAGGAAGGAGACACATAGGTCAATGGAACAGAATAGAGAACAAAGAAATAGATCAACACAAATATATCCAAATGATTTTTGATGCTGCTATAGAAAAAATTCAGTGGAGAAACTGAATTTTCAACGAAAATGGTACTGAAGCAACTGGGCATGCATAGGCCAAAAAAAAAGAAGCTTGACCTAAGTCTCACACGTTATGAAATAAACAAAAACCTCAAAATCCATCACAGACTTAAATGTGAATGTAAAACTATAAACTTTTTAGAAAAAAAAATATGAGAAATCATTGAGTCTAGGGCTAAACTAAGAGTCTCAGACAATATCAAAAAGAAAAAAGTGATAAAAGGGATTTCATCAAAATTTAAAACTTTTATTCTGTAAAAGACCCTATTAAGAGGATGAAAAGACAAGTTATAGACTGAAAAAAACCTTGAAAAACATTTACCAGACAAAGGACTAGTATCTAGAATATACAAAGATTGACCTTAGTCATCAAGAAAAAGCAAATTAAAACTATAAAGCAAGTTATCACTTAAAAAATCTAATGGCTTAAATTTAAGAGACTGACAAACCATTGCTGATGAGAACATAAACAGGCATATCTACTTTGGAAAACTGTTTAATAATTCTAACTCTGAATGCACACATACCCAACTGTTCCACTCACAGGTATATCTCCAACAGATAGCTGTACCAAAAGATAAGAAATAGCTAATGAGGGTGAATCGCTTTTCGTATGTTTATTGGCCATTTGTACATTCTCTTCTATGAAATGTCTTTTCATGTTTCTTACACATTTTTTATCAGATTGTCTTTTTATTGTTAATGTGTAGGAGTGTAAGTATTCTGGGTACAAGTACAGTGCCCATTATTATGTGATGTAAATATTCTCCTACTCTTGTGGTTTTCATTTTCACTCTCTTAATAGTGTCTTTGATGAAGAGAATTTTACAATTTCAACTCAGTTATAGGTAATGCTTTCCATGTACCACTTAAGATATCTTTGTTAACTTCAAAGTATGAATACATTATTTTATGTTATCTTCCAGAAGCTTCACTGATTTTTCTGTCACATTTGAATCAACAACTCATCAGGAATTCCTTTAAAAAATAGGTTGTGAGATAGGAGCCAAGGTTCTTCTTTTTCCCCATATAGATATCCAGTTGACCCAGCAGAATTTACTAAAAAGACCTTTTCCTGTTGCTCTAACATGTCACCTTTATCATAAATCAAGTGTCTGTATATTTTTGAATTTGTTTCTGCACTTTATATTCTATTCTATTGGTTAATTTGTCTGTCTTGACACCAATATCTCAATATCATAATTGCTGCAGTTTTAAAATGAATCCATATCTGGGAGTGTAAATCCTCCAGCTTTGATCTTATTCAAGATAATCTTTATCTTTTCACTTATTTATATCTTCTTTAATTTCTCTCAATAAAAAAAATTCTTCGGTTTTCTGTGTAGAGATATTGCACATCTCTAACCTGAAGTTACCAGATACATTGTAAATGGTATAATTTTTTAGGTTTTATTTTCTAATTGTTTAAGGCTAGTATATGGAATTACAACTGATTGTGCTCCTGTGTAAACACAACCCAAGATAAGATACAGAACATTTCCAACACTCTAGAAAGTTCTGTCATGCTTTTTTGGGGGGTCAGTTTTCCCTGACACACCTCAGAAGCAATTGCTTTCTGATTTCTATCACCACAGAATGGTTTTGCTTGTTCTTGGGCTTTATCTATACAGCATGTATTATTTTGTGTCTGGCTTTTTTTTTCCTCTTACAATAATATGATATTCATCTATGTTGAGTATATCAGTAATTCATTCTTTGTTATTGCTGGCTAGTATTTCATTTTATGAACATATTATGATATATTCACTCATAAATTGTTGACGGACATTTGGATGATTTCTAATTTTGGGCTACTATGAATAAAGCAACTGTGAATATTCTTGTACAAGTCTTTGTAGACAAATGTTTCCATTTCCCTTATTTAAATACCTAGAAATGAAATCATTGGGTCATAGAGTTAAATATAGATTAACGTTATGAGAAATGGCCAAACAATTATACACCAATTGGTTAACACATGAGAGTTCCAGTTGCTCCATATCTTTGCCAGCATTTTGTAGTAAAACTTCTTTTTTGTTTGCCATTTTGGTTGACATAAAATAGTATCTCATTGTGGTTTCAATTTCTATTTCCCTGATGGCTAATGATGTTGGACATCTTTTCATATACATATATTACCTTCTATGAGATATCTGGCCAAGGCTTTTGCCCATTCAAAAATTAATTTTTAAAATTGCTTATTTATACTTTTTAATATATGTGTACAAGTCTTTTGTCAGATATATATACTGTGTGTCTTTTAATTAGCAGAATTTTAAAATTTTGCTAAAATTTCTGAAAACTGACTTTGTATCCTGCAATCTTACTAATTTCACTCTTTAGTTCTAAGTTTTTTTTTCTTTCTTTTTTTTTCATTGCACTGGTTAAGATTTCCAGTATAATATTAGAAGTAGTGAGAGTAGACACCCTTGTTTTGTTCCTGATCTTACAGGAAAAGCATCACCATTAAATATAATTTTAGCTATAGAGTTTTCATAGATTATTTTTATCTGAATGAGGAAATTTCCTTCTATTTCTAGTTTATTGAAAGTTTCTATTAAAAATGGGTACTAAACTTTGTCAAATTTTTGTACATCTATTGGGATAATCATATAATTTTTCTACTTTTTGTGTTAATTTGGTGAATTATATTGATTTTCTAATATTGAGCCATGATGGTCATGATGCACTATCTTTTTTATACAGCTGGATTTGATATGCAATGTTTCTTTAAGAACTCTGTGTTTATGATCATGAGGAATATTCACCATCTGTATATCATTTTGGAGGACTTTCTGTTCAAATCATTTACTCATTTTATATTAAGTTGTTTTCTTGAGTTTTGAGAGTTCTTTATATACAGCTTAAGTATCTATAAATTTAAAAGCCTTTCTTCAGCCTAGAGTGCCTTTGCCTCATAACTCTAATTTCTTCTCTTACTATTTTGAGATATGGCAGAGAGAAAGAGTATAATAGGGAGGTTGGAGGGAGTATGCAGCCATGAAACATGAGGGCTGTGTTATCTGACACCCTGAGAAAGCTAGGTGACCTTGACTGGTAGAATTCTCTGCTATATCTCCTCACCTTGCGAGCTGTACTTAGCAGAATGCCTGGGGCAATAGGTATAGCAATACCTATTAAATGACAAGCAATAATTTTAAGACATTGATTAAATGGCTTAAAGAACTAGGCTTAGGAGTATTTGGTTTTTTAACCCTAAGACCATTTCTTCAACTTCAGCAATTAGTATAATGAGAACCTGGCAGATACATGGCACAAAGCTCCAGGCTACAGGCACATAAAATGCAAAACAGAGAAATAGAGGAAGACAATGAGAATCTGATCAAGAATAAAGCTCCAAAATAACAGAATTATCTTATTTGTACCTCACGGGTAAAAAGAGAGAAATTCCTGTCTTTGTAATGATCCTGTCCTTGGATATTTTTTCTAATGCATTCATTAGACATCTGCATCATTCTTTTAAGCTAAAGTATAACCACTCATTTTTCAGCACTTCTTAATCAGTTATTACCTCTAGGACTGGCAACTAAAGTAAGTAATTCCTCAGCAGGCTCAAATCCTCTTAATCATTTCAGATGCTAAGAGTTTACTTATGGCATCTTCCTATGAAATTCATGATCGTTTCTTTACGAATTCACACATGATCATGATCATTAAAACTGGAAAGGAATAATTATATTTAAATTGGAAATAAATAATTATATGGAAAAGAATGCTATTCAAAAGAGAGCCATCAGCCAGGCATAGTGGCTCACACCCGTAATCCCTGCACTTTGGGAAGTCAAGGTGGGAGGATTGCTTGAGCCCAGGAGTTCAAAACCAGCCTGGGCAACATAGTGAGGCCCCCGTCTCTACAAAAAATAAAAAATTAAAATTAAAATAAAATAGAGTCAACCCAGCATAAAAAGAAAAAAAAATGAAATTTCAGTAAAAGATATCACTAATAGATAGTATTTTAGAGCTGGACTTAGATCAACCAGTACTAACTTCATCTTCTTGTTTTATTAATGAGTACATTGAGATACATTCTAACATTCTAAGAAGAAAGGATTGTGTCCTACAGGTTAAATCTCTCTCTCTTGGGCTGAGGCTGGACAAAAAGTTAATGAATGAATGGCTGTGGGAATAAATGAATGAGTGAATACATAAGTATTCTTCTAAATAATGGTCATAAAGCTAGTTAGTGGAGAGCCAGAACTAAAACTCAGTTCTCCTCCTTTTTTCTTCTGTGGTAACTTCTTGGGTATATTCATAAGTTGTACCTACATTAGCAGTTTAGTTAGTTAGTTGTCAGGAGAGCAGCAATCTTACCAAAATCACTGAGTGACCTTAATTGTGGTTTTTTTTTTCTCATTATGCTTTAAGACATGCAAACAAAAGAAAAGAATGAAAAGTGCCAAGTGGGATGTCATAAGAAAATTGCACTGTAGCCAGATCACACATAGAAAATGACAGAAAAAGGGTAGGCAGAGATGGCTCTGTGATTTTCTTCTCACTCTCACCTGATCTAAGAGATATAAAAGGTACAAAGTTAGAATGCATTAGCTGTCAAATCAACAATATTCTATTAGAGGCACACACTTCTCTTAACAATGCAGCCATTTTATAACCACAGGCTGACATGGTCCACAACCAGGGGAACAAGAGGTAGAAAGGATCAAGAACAGGATATAATGTGGTAATGGGGACAATATACTTACTCTTCCAGGAAGTGCTGCTGGGGTCCTATAATAGAGCCTGGCCGGCATATTCTAATCCAAGCAATTATTTCAGCATGTGTAAACCTGTAGTGTTTCATTACATAACAGGCTATCAATGTCCCTGTTCTTCCAAGACCAGCTGTAAGAGAATGAAACAGAATAAGAAATATAAAGTCTAGCAAATGCTACCACAAAAACACTGAAATCAAACCTTGCCCAGAAACTGCTCTGCATTCAAGTGTGATGATATTATCAACAGCTAATAAACATAACTGCTATCATGTAAAACCCAATTTTTCTTTAAACAATGAAAAGGGCAAAATGAAGGTGCCATAGATTTGGGGGCAAGAAAGTGATGTGATAAAAAGCAAATGGGTCTGGCAGCAGCATTACTGGCTGGAGTGGAAAAGCCAGAGATGGAAGCAAGAGAGATGAGATGGAAGGCTGGGGCAGGGAAGCAAGGGTGGCTGGGGGGTTGGGATGAGGGTGGAAAGGGATGAGGGTGAGCAACTGCAACAAAGATGTAAAGCTCAATTAGAAATCCATTAGGACTGGGTCACAGGGAAAGTTATAGGTAAGTGACATTTCTGACCTAGAAAACTGGTACAATGTTGACTTCATCCATGAAAACATTTAGTTAGAAAAAGAAAGAAAAAAAAATTGTGTGCATATGCGTGTGTGTGTGTGCGCGCGTGTGTAAAACAAAACAAAGTAGGGAAACATTGATAGTTTCATTTTTTACATGTTCAAGAATCTTCTGCTTTTGAGGGGACCTTTTGTCAGCTTTCCCTGATCAAACAATAAAGGTAGTCTTCTCTTATCTCCCAGTAATTGGGAGCACACAGCATTTCAGCAAATCTAAAACTACAGTCGTGTAGTATGTAAGTTCCACTAAGAAAGAAAAAATTAAACTATGACATGCCATCAATTTTAAGATCCATTCTAACTTCAGAAATGTTAAAATATGAAAAATGTATGTCTTTAAATCAGTGTTCCTCAACCTTTTTTACATTATTGTTCCTTCCAGGAGCCTCTTTAGATATTTTATTCCTAATCAGTCCCCATGAAATTTCACTGTCACAGATAGACTGCATATCTGTTTATGTAAATCTGTGCTTTATACAAAAAAAAAAAGTTTTTCATCCCACTAAAACAACAATTTTGTGTCTACAGATGCCTGACATTTCCTTCCCATTAACCCTTCTTTTTTTTTTTTTTTTTTTGGAGACCGAGTTTTGCTGCTGTTGCCCAGGCTGGAATGCAATAGTGCGATCTCGGCTCACCACAACCTCCACCTCCCAGGTTCAAGCGATTCTCCTGCCTTAGCCTCCCGAGTAGCTGGGATTACAGGCATGCACCACCATGCCCGGCTAATTTTGTATTTTTAGTAGAGACAGGGTTTCTCCATGTTGGTCAGTCTGGTCTCGAAGTCCTGACCTCAGGTGATCTGCCCTCCTCGGCCTCCCAAAGTGCTAGGATTACAGGCGTGGGCCACCACTCCCGGCTAACCCTTCCTTTTTAAGAAGTATTCATACTCTGTTTCATTAGATGAGGTGTGTGTGTGTGTTCTGTTTTAATCTGAAGGAACCCTTGCCCCAGATCAAACATCAATGTTCTTTCGAAGAGTGAGGTTTAATTTTGGTCTCAGTGGGGCTCTCCCTTTATGATTAAGATTTCTGCGTAATTTGCCTTCTATTTCACCCAGTGCCTATCGTTGTTAATTCCCTAGATGCCTGGCAAGACTATAGGCAACCGTATAGATAAAACACAGGTGACATCCTGGAGCAGAAGCCAGAGCCCAGTGAGTTTCCAGAGTTCTTCCTTCAAGTCACCAATTTGGGTGTCTATCTGGAGAGAAAAGGGCCTTCCTTATGGAGACAACACTCTCTCTCACTGCTCCCCACTGTGCAAAGACCTGGATGGCTCCCTCACTTAGGCTCCTGTTCACACTCACAACCAAAAAGGAGGTGCAGGAAATTTTCCAATTTCTCTGAAACTAAAGCAGCTTCCCCCTTTTAAAAAAGAGTCTATAATTTTGATCTATAAAAAGAACGCACTTAGCACTCAATAGTTAGGAGCTCTTACCACAACTGAACTGAATAGGAACATTTCACTAAGTTTCTATAAAAACTTTAACAAAATTTTTTAAGCATTTGTAATTAAAGGGCTCCCTGGCACAGCATGACAAGATGTTGAAAAGTGTTCTATTTATACCAAGTCAAACACCAATTGCTTTATAGTTCCAGGCATTTTCTGAAAGCCCTATAGAACATCGATAATCACATACTGGACTATCACAACGTTGCTGTATTTTAGATTATTATTTGTGGTAGAGAATTTCAAGAATTCATAGCCATCTCTTTTATCAACCACAAAGTGAAATGCAGATATTGAAATGTAATCCCCAGCAAATTGGTTTCTAGTTTATCTCTGTATAAAATACTTTACGTTGAGGCATGACATATTCATTCCCTTTTCAGTAGCCACCAAAGTTCATTTGACATAGGATAAGATTCTTTCTCCTTCCTTCTTTTAGTTCAATTAAAAGACTGAGTGCTGCTTGAATTCCCAGAAAACTAAGCTGACTTAATTAGGGCAGATGTCAAAATAATTAATAAGCCTATAGTAGATAAGTATGCTGTGAAAAGCAATACAGCTGTAATTAAACCAAAGGTGTAATCCTTATAAAAGAATCCTACGTGTGTGTGCAAGTGGAAGAAAATGAAATAACAATCTCAAAAAGATATTACCACATGTAAATGTGACTATCCTATACAAGAACTGACTTCAATGTTAAAGGTTCTGATTTAAAATAAAAACATCTACAATACAGACTGGGTACGGTGGCTCACACCTGTAATCCCCGCACTTTGGGAGGCTGAGGCAGGTGGATGACCTGAGGTCAGGAGTTCAAGACCAGCCTGGCCAACATTCTCCTGAGGTTAGGAGTTCAAGACCAGTTCTGGCCAGCAGAACCCCATCTCTACTAAAAATATAAAAAATTAGCCAGGAGTGGTGGTGGGCACCTGTAATTCCAGATACTTGGGAGGCTGAGGCAGGAGAATTGATTGAACCTGGGAGGCAGAGGCTGCAGTGAGCTGAGATCGCACCATTGCACTCCAGCCTGGGTGACAGAGCGAGACTCTTTGTCTCAAAAAAAAAAAAAAAGAAAAGAAAAGAAAAGAAATTTGCAATATAAAATAAATACATATATTTTTTAAAAGGTAAACATTCACAGGTCAAGGATATAGAGAAAATATCTGTAATAAGAATGTTTAACACCAGAGAGTTTTCTTTGCACAAGGTCTCTCAGGTGAGAAATACTATCAAGAAACACACTGAGTTTTAATGAAAGCTTTGCAGTTCTTCTCCTTTGAATGTGTCAATCCAAGATACGGATGGCTAATCCACAGATAAACTCTACGACGTAGTAATAATAAAACTACTTGAACTAAGAAATAAGGCCAAATTAATCTCAGGAAAAAATACAATTTTTATGGCACAAAACTAAAGTTTGAAAGAGAAGATAGGATTATCTCCTGCTAAACGTTGATATAAACGTTCCCATTAGCTCTCAAGTTCTATTGCTGTTTAAAATACGTGACATGTGGGCTTTTTCTTGGACCTGGGCAATACTGAACAAAATGCAATGGAAAAGCAAACAGGGTGCAAATGAATCACATGGGGACAAGCCAACACACTGGCACCCCACTGTGGCCTGAAAGCAGCACCCACAAATGAGCCAGCAAGTGACACCTTCCTAACAGACTCCACGCCAGAGACAAGATATCCCACAAAGCCAGGGCCCATCCTGCTAGCTAATGGGGAGGGTGGGGAGGGAGAGCTCTGCCCACCCAGGAGGAGGGAGCCTGGCATGGGGAGCCCTGCTCCAAACCCAGGCCACGTGCTGCTCATTTCCATCTCTCTGGGTCTCTGGGAAACCGCAGCTTCCCATTTTTGCTCACATGTTCACAAAGTACCTCCACCTACTCAAATCTTAAACATAGAAACAAGGGCCTACAAAACGGCATTTTAATTTCTGTCAGAACCAAAGCCATACTCGTCTGAATAAGTCAGTTACAGCAGCACTAGGCACATGAAAAGAACAGCACCCTCCCCAACACCTACTAGATGATTAGCATAAAATGAGAGGGAAACCGGGTCTAGACCCAAAACCATAAGCACAGCACCACCCAGCGACACTAGGAGGAGCTGCACATGAGGAACTCGAGGCTCCAGCCCAGGGCGGCCCTAGTGATTTCTCCTCGCTGAAATCAAAGACCCAGTAAAATATCTGGAATATTTCCAGTATTATCCATACCGAAAGATCTGGAATGGAGTGGATTTTAAGCCTCCTCGAAGTCAAACAAGCTTAGAGCAAATGGCATGTCATATTTTCTGAGTAGCTGACATGGGGTTGCCAGATAAAATACAGAATGCATGTTCCCTGCAATATTTGGGACATATTTATACTTTTTGTTTTAAAAGTATTCATTGTTTATCTAACTTTCAAATTTAATTAGGCAGCCTGTATTTTTATTTGCTAAATCTGGCAATCCTAAACCTTCTATAGTCTGAACAATTCCTGCCCCAAAGTATCCACCCCCAGAGATCAGAGATTTTTGCAAAACAAACTCTTTAAGTTTATTCCATGAGGCAGCATCACATCAGCAGCATTGTAAGCTAGCGGATTGCCCCTAGCAACAGGCATGGAAGACGCTCTGCTCCATGAAGCCAAAGACTAGGAGGGGAGGGAAAAGCAGAGACTGGAATGGGGGTCCAGATAACTGGGTCATAAAACAGAACCACGACAGTGCAAGAGGATGGAGAAGAGATGGGCAATTCTGAAAAAAAACAAAGGAGAGAGGAAAACTAACAACCCTTGTCTCTTGAGAATTTTACCTGTTTAAAGGTGTTCCTGCAGCCTAAAGACACTGCTACTGTGTTTCCCCTCATTGTGGCACGTGGGCCTGGAAAGGTAAGGTCTGAAAAACTGGCATATCAAGAAAGCCACACCACCACCAATTGTCCACACCCAAGCAATCGTTTCTTTAAGAAGGGGTTATTAAAATGAGTTTGTGTCCCAGTTGTCTGAAATTTAAAACCTCATTGTTTTTCTAAGACACTAAACAGGTTTTGTTTTATGTTATTTGCTCTTCCTTGGCCCGCCCCTTCGATAAGCACAGCCACCACCACCGAGGCCTTGCACACACCTTTGCAGTGAACGGCGATGGCCCCTTCGGTGTTCTCACAGATGTTCAGGAACCTTCGCACGATGTTGTCACTGGGTGTGCTGCCATCTATGAAGAAGAGGTCATAGTGCTCGAAGCCAGCGTCTGTGAAGCGCTTTGCCTCATAAATCTTTTTGTTTAGCCTCACAACTGCAGTCACATTATGCTTTTTGAAATAAGGAAAGTAGGCTTCAGGGGCGTGAAGAGGATAACCTAAAGGAACAAAGGAGCAGTAAGCAAAAGGCATGCATTTCATCTTCCACAACCCAGAAATACAAAACTCTCAACAATGAAGTGTATAAATCTCAACAAAGCTTGGGAGGAAAGTGTGTTGTGTGAGAGAAGAGGTCACAGCAAGCTCCTACAAGCATCAATCTGCATAACTGTAAGCACCACAGGAGGTTAAAAAGAAAACTTCTGTAAGTACTGAAAATACATCATTAAAGTTCAAAATCTCAACCTCTAGATTCGAATCCTGGGAGCATACTCTTCCCACTCCCAAGACAAAAGCATTCTTGAAGTAATCAAATGTGCATAACAGACCTAGAATGGTGACTTTATTCTCTCTTGAGCTTTATTCTCTACTTGACAAACAGTTTTCAACTACAGCTGAAGCTTTTTTGCCATATGTATAGTTTTAATTTGTAGTACAATGCTCCCCAGAAGCAATTATTATTAAGCACCTACTATGTACAAGTCACAATTGCGTATCATTTCAAATTCTCAAAACCATCTCTTAAGTATGGCTAATTCCATTTAACAGATTAAGAAACTAAAAGAGGGGGTGTTGGGAGGATATTGGTCAAAGAAAACAAAATTTCAGTTAGAAAGGAGTATGTCCCAGAGATCTATTGTACAACATAGTGACTATAATAACAATGTATTATATACTTTAAAGTCATTTAGAAAGTAAAATTTAAGTCTTCTCACCACAAAAAATGATAAATATGTGAATACTTAAGTAAGACTTGACTTAACCATTCTACGATGTATACATATTTCAAAAGTTGTTGTACACCATAAATATATAATTTTTATCAATTAAAATATAAATTTTTTTAGTTAAAAATAAACAATAACTTTTGTGGACACTTCCTTTTTTTGAGGGAGGAAGATGCTCCACCTTTAAATCCCCTTTTATTTTTGAGTGGCTCCACCATCATGTGAGTATTCCTGGGAGCTACACAGTCAGCTGGGTTACAGACCTAGCCTTAGCTAATCAGCCAAGGCAACCACTGGGGGCTTTGGCCTTTGCAGGCCTTGCAATGGCAGCTCCAAAAGTTCAGGGGACTAAGTTCCCAGCACACTGATGGCCACATCTGTAACCCATTCAGAATTCACTGAACCCTAACATACCAGCTGAGTGCAATTATCTCAGTTGGAACCCATTCATGATGGGAGGTTCCAGGGGTGGCGGCAGCCAGCAAAGTGAACCAGACTGTTTCCACGCTGTGTGCTTGGCTGTATTTCTTGCTGCCTTGGATCCCTGTTATGCTAGTCAGCTCTCAGCTCCAAGCCGACTCTTATGCTCTGTGACACTGGGGCTGGAGTCCATATACTACGCCCTACATTTCCCAGACTACCTTTCTATCTGGCTTCCTATTGGTTGTAAAAATGGGAGGCACTAAACCTCAACCTGAGGAGGAGGAAGGGAATTCTTCCTGTCCTCCTGGCAGCATCACTTCAGCAGCAGAAAACAGGAGCAGGTTCTGCTAACTCCACTTTTGTCCCTTTTGTCCCCCCAGCCTTAAAGGTACTAGCTGTTTTCTCCAACATATTCTGGTTTCTTCAGTGTTGCCTTTTTACTTTTTAGTCTTCTTTGAAATAAACTCCTTGTATTAAATGCTTTATGTTTGAAATGCCTAGTGTGGTTCCCATTTTCCCACTTGGGTCCTGTTCATCTTCTAAGCCTAGTTCTCCAGCCTTTTCTTAAAGTCTATGAGCTACCCAACATATTCCAAAAACTGCCTTTTACCAGAGTTGGACAGCCATAACTGGTACACTTGGCCAGGTCACACAAAGGATGAAGACAGAATTGGAAGGCAGGACCAATTAATCCACAGCTCAGATATGTGATTTTCACAGGCTATGTTGCTTTTGAGCAAACAGGTAAAACAGAGCTTATTTAAAATCTTCTGTGTAGAAACAATAACCTACACAAACATGGAGAAAACATGCTTTTCTAACTGCAAAAATCAAGTCTGTTTTCCTAGTTGGTTTACTTGCTCAAATTATTTCCCTGCAACAGATTTATAGCCTAAAGCAAAAAAAGAACTGTAGTTGGCATTAAGAAGTAACGGTTTTTCTATCATGTGAGGAATGGGGAGGAGAAGGGCTCATAAACACCTGGGCAGCCTGCCCTGGTGTGGCGGGCTGGTGAGAGCTTCTGCCTCTGGGTTGCTAGCATGCCTGGGACCTCCATGACAGCACCTGTCACACGTTGTGTTAGCAATTGGTTCAGTGCCTATCCCCTTCCTCCCTGCAACAAAGGCTGCAAGAATCTCTCTTTTCATATATGAATTTCCATCATGAGTAAATGGCAGCATAGCTAACATGCCTAAATAGACTATTAAGAGAAACGATGTATACATCTTTTGAGAAGAAAACACTGGACAGAAATTGTCCAAATATGGCAACAGGGCACTGAAATAATAATAACAACAATAATTGCACCTAACGTTTATCAAGCACTTACTATATGCTAGCCACTATGCTAAGTGCTTTATGTGGATTATCTCATTAAAACCTACAATTACTCAATTTCTGGTGCCTGGAAAAGCTGGCCCGTACACATACAGCTAGTAAGAGGTAGAGCCAGTATTTCAATCCTGGCAGTCAGATTCCAACACCCATGCTGGGGCTAATTTCAAGTAAGATTCAACTTGATTCTATCTGTTAAGACTCCAAATAAGAGAACATGATATGAACATGAGCGGTTAGAATTGGTGAGTAGGTTTTATAAAAATCCTTAAAACTGTTTAGAATAAATTATAACGAACAATGGAAATGTCCTATGACCTGTGAACAACTGTTTGTGGCTTTTACGGATGTACGTGAGTGCTTTTTGCGAGAGATTGGTTTTAGCAATGTGTATAATGTGCCGACCCAGAACTTATGGAGCCTTCATCCGACCCTTACTCCATCTGGCCACAAGATGGTGCGCTGGCATCACTGAACCACAACAAAGTCCTGGAGTTAAGCTGACCAAACACATGAACACGGTATCAGAGTCAAAAGAGATGTTTTTATTCATCTCTTCCCAGGCCCTCATTTTAAAGTTCGAAAACTGAAGAACAGCAGAGTCAAATGACTAGTTCACTCAGTCATTATTAAAAGTAAAAACTGCAAACTGAGCAGGCAAATGTAGAAAGACATAAAATCTGTTGATTAGGCCAGCTAATGATAAAAATGTAACCATAATACCTGCTATCTAATAAACGCCTATTATGTGTGCCCAATACTCTGCAAGGCACTTCACATAACATCTCTAATCCTCACTAGGTGCCTGCAGTGAGGATCATATTTCTCCCACTGTGATATATAGGAAAACTGATGCTCAGAGAAGCTGTGGAACTCACTGAAGTTCACGCAGCCAAAAAGGAATGGAGCCAGGCTTCAACCTGCCCAGGCTCTTTACTAAACGGGACACTGGGCTTCTCTCATTAAAGGAGCAGGCTGATGCCTCAAATGGTCGGGATTCTCAGTCTGAAGCTATCTTTCTCTCTCTCTCTCTCTCTGTGTGTGTGTGTGTGTGTGTGTGTGCGTGTGTGTGTGTGTTTAAATAGAAGTGAGAATGACAGTGACACTTAAGAGACATTTTTACAGAAAATCTGAAATCCAAAATATCTGTTTCATTCTGCTGTTATCCATCATTTATCAATTCAAAAATGTTTAACAAAAAAAAGTAGGGCTCTTCTCTTCCCCACTGTCAAAACAATGTGAATCAAAATGGCTAAAAGAAACTCCTAGTGTTCCCTATTGACACAAACACACACTTAAGGCTCTTATAATACATTCTGCCCAGATCCCAAGATTTTAGAGCTTCCTTTAGCTACCTCCTAGCAACAGCTACTTGATCACTTCTTTAAAACCTCAGCTTTTCTAACGAGCCTCTAAAATGACTTTCAGCCTCCTCAGAAAAACACAGGTTTCTCAATTCAAAAAAAAAAAAAAATTACCAAGACGTCACTGTAATTGGATCAGGTTTATTAATTCCATCACAAAATTATTTTCTCAACTTCAAAAAGCATTTACAAAGTTAAAGTACTTTACAAAAAAGTATAGTGAAGCTTCTAGTGAATATTAGATCTTAAAATGGAAATTCCAGTAAAATAGCAATATTTTACCAATGGCAGCCTTAAATGAAATTGTTCTAGGCATCATAAAAGCTGACAAAGGTGAGATAAATGTACTTTCAGATTTTTTTATGTCAATATGACAGGGCACAATACATGCATAGAATAAAATATGCATATAGAGCGATATCTTAAAGTGATTATTTCTTGATTATATGATGTTTTTAAAGAGTTTTACTCTTTATATTACTTAAATTTTCTAGAGTGAGCATGTACATCCTCTATAATAAAATTTAAAACAACACAAAATTCAGAATTAAACAGACCAATGTTTGAATCCACACGCCAACAATTACTGGCCTATGAACCTGGACAAGTTAGGTAATTCCTGTAAGCCTCCAGCTTCTCTTCTATAAAATAAATACCACCTGCTCCAGAGGGTTGTTCTGATCATTAAATAGATGATGTATATGCAAGAGGCTTAGCACCCTTCCTGGCAGGTAAGCGAATGGTGGCTATAATTTTTTCCCCATATTAAATATAGGACCAAAAATTGTTTTAAATATTTTTGACACTTATAACTTATTATACAAAATTGCGTATCCTTTTATCTAGTGATTCTATTTCTAACAATTTAGAGAAGAAACTACAGCTGCAAAAAGATGTATGAACATTTATGCCAACCACAGCAGTTTTTAAAAAGTGAAAAACTTCATCTGGTTAAATAGATGATGAAATTTAAAAAGGAAAAAAAGAGTAAGAATAAGAGATAAACAACTTAGATCTCATCCAAAAATAAATTAACAGGCTGGGCTCAGTGGCTTAAATCTGTAATCCTAGTGCTTTGGGAGGCAGGAGGATCACATGAGCCCAGCAGTTCAAGACCAGCCCGGGCAACATAGAGACCTCATCTCTACTAAAAATTAAAAAAAAAAAAAAAAACCAGCCAGGTGTGGTGGGCTGTGCCTTGTAGTCCCAGCTACTTGGGAGGCTGAGGCAGGAAGATCATTTGAGGACAGGAGTTCAAGGTTGCAATGAGCTATGATCACACCATTGCACTCCAGCTTGGGCAACAAAGCAAGAGCCTGTCTCTAAATAAACAAAAGCAAAAACCAAAAATAAATTAACACAATATGGCACAGTCATATGGTAGAACAAAATGCAATGCAGTCGTGGAAAATGATTACATGGATCTTCATTTACTGCTATAAAAAGAAGTCGTGATATGTTAAGTGAAGAAACCTGGCTGTAAGATATTAACTATGTTATGATGCCACTTTTGTTAAAAAAAAATTTTTTTCAAAATGCATGTATCCATAGAATATACAATGTCTATATACATAAAAACTTTTAAATGGCTTTTACAATTATATCTCTCAATTTCTCATTAAGAAAACGTAGTCAAACACATGAATCACAAATGGTGAAAGTCTTTCGACTTTGCCAAATACCCAACAACAAAACTACTACTGAAACAATATCCCTACTAACATTTCCTGGGCCTGAGTCAGATAATTTGCACAGAAAGCAGGTTTAATCAGTCTTATCTTGAAAGGCCAATTGTCAGAAAGCAGTTTCCTCAGGCTCTCAACATGTAATTCCTAACAACCCAAAATGACAGAGGTTAATTATTGAATGTCCAGACCAAAAAAGATTATTTAGCAAGCTTATAAGTAAGAAGATCAAATTCTGACTTCACCATAGAGGTATCCTGTTTGTGAGCTTAACTCTCTAGACCTGGATTGCCCATTCGCATGGTAAAATCATGATTCAAGCAGAGTTCCCTATTAAATATGTCACAGGTATGAAATGATAAGCATATTTATGAAAGCTCAAATTATAAAACCTAAATGCATGAATAACAATATACAATGAAACTAGATTCTAGAATATGATGATTAAAGAAAAATAAATCTTTTTTTTTTTTTAAGAGACAGGGTTTTGCTATGTTGCCGAGGCTGGTCTTGAACTTCTGGCCTTAAGCAATCCTCCCACCTCAGCCTTCCAAAGTGCTGGGATTGCAGGCACATGCCACCATGCCCAGCTGAAGAATAAATCTAGACCAGAGGTTTCAAGTTAGGTTCCCTCAGAACACTGGTATTCCACCTCTATGATCAGATAGAAAAAAAAAGGGGGGGGGATATTTTGTTCATGGATATTTTTTCAATTTTATGTACTTCTCTTGTAAATTATTCTTGAACCTCTGTTGTCTATCATTACTTGTTTTCTAGGGAATATTAGTAGATAGAAAAAATTAGTAAGTACAAAATAAGTCTTAATGGGAAAACTTGCATAGCTGATCATGTTTCATTCAAAAGGTTTATTTTTAGTTTTGTTTTTATTTTTTTCCTAAATATGTATGCCCATGGCAATAAATTATGCTGCAAATAAGTAGTTTAACCACTGTCAGCTAGAAAATTGTACCTAGTTGTCACAATGGAACTAAGTGTATCAGTGTAGTGGCAATGTTTAGGAGCCCTCCTCTGGTTTGGAGTACCAGTTCTGCCTATTACTTTGTGACCTTGGGCAAATTCTCTACTAATAAGGCTCAATTTACTCCTCCCTAAAATGCAGATAACAATATCTGTATCTCATAGAGTTGTGTTGAGTGTTAAAAGAGATAAATGCTGTGATCTGTGTAACTAGCACCTAAGTATTCAGTAAATGACAGATTGTCTTCATCATCATTATTCAACATGGTGTTACCCAAAGAACATCTTGATGTGTAGCACTCTACCAACAAATAAATCTGAGAACCACTGAAAGAATACAGCAATCTGCTTATGAGTTTGACCAGTTTGTTTCTCAGATTCTTCTCTAATAATTGGGGGTCAGGTAAAGTGAACATCCTATTTATGGCAAGCTAAAAATTTGTTAAGTTCTAAAACAGTGATTATAGCTCCACCTACTGGAAATACAATATTTAACACACTATTACTACTGTTCAATTTTTTAAATTATGAATAAATATTCTTTGGAGAATATTACCAAAGAAAATAATTATCTGAGGAAGTTAAGAAACTTAGAAAGATAAATCAAAATAAATGTTTGGATGGTAAAGGAAAAAAAAACCTACCATTCTCAATTTTGCTTTTAGGATGTGGTCCACTAAATGCTAAAAATTTTCCTGGAACAATCCAGTTGAAGTCACCATTTTCAACTCGCTGGCAGAATTTTGTAAGAAAAGAGAAGAAAAATATTTTATAATTCTTATACAATTTAGGAAACCCTTACAAATAAAACTGCTTTTCACTCTTAGTACTAATTAGACATACATGTAGACAAACATAGCTTAAAATAAAAACATGCACCTGATTCTCAAAATGCTATTTAGGAATTCAATCCGCTTTAGAAAAACTTGTGTCTAGACTGTATGAAATGTTTAGAAACTTTTATTTACGGCAGAGGTATTTTGCATAAAATGTTTGTTTCCTGGCCACTGCAAAGAAATGAAATGGAAACAAACATTGCTTGTCTTGGCGATAAATAAGAGAAAATGGGAAATATGAAAACTTTCCATGAATGTAGTAAACATATTTTAAACAATGAAAAAACATCTGTAAATATCAAGCTCCTGATGAATACACTTCCAATTTTTTTTCTCTTTTTATAGGGCTGTTATCTCTTGTCAATGCTGATTTTTAGAGGGGGAAATGGCAAAAGGCAGGAGCGAGTGATATTGGCGCATCCATTCCACAAACCAGAGTCAGCCAAGCTGTACTCTGGAGGATAACAAGATTCAAGCAAGGGACATACATAGAGTCAGGTGCTCCTCCACTCCAGCTAATGAGACACCTTGTAGGAAAGCCAACTGAACACAGCTGATCTTCCAACTGAATTTTCATGTGAAAACTCTCTTTTTAAAATGTTGACTTTTTAAATTAGGTTTTTAACTCCTGTGAAACCAAATAAAACATGCCCATTGGCTGACTTTGAGCACCAGTTATCAGCCTCTAGTCTAAACACGCTAAGAGATCCTCAGAAAAGGCTTAAGAAGACCAAGAAAGTAGCCAAGCACATTCCCATGGCTCCATCATCTCCCCCATTTTCTTCCCTTCCCCATGTGCCTCCGAACCATGGGACACTGGGGCACGAGTAAGGTTACCCCAAATTTTGCAGTCATTAGAAGGCATTTGTGCAATGCATCACAAAATATATATATCACCTCTTCACTTACGCTGTCTTTACCACCACCACCCCCTCCCCACCTACCCCTACCCTTGCCCTCCTTGTCTCCATCCTCAGGGCAGGGAAGCAATGTTGTTCTCTTCACTGGGCCATCCGTTACCATCCATATAAAAAGCTTTCTCCCCCCATTATATGGCAAGGACCTCAACAGTAGAAAACTGACCCAATATAGACTCTGTACTCTACCATAAGAACACAATAAATATTTGTTAAACAAATTGGAATATGGCCATCAAAAAAAAACTGGAGCCATTACTTTAATTACTTATATTACCCATTATCATTTCCATGAAAATCAAAACTTGGCTATAAAATATAATTGTCATTTTTTAATGCAGATTTTTTTCCCAGTTATAAAAAGTTATATGTGAAACTGTGCATACCATCTTATAAACATCTGAACTGCATTTAATCTAGTTGTAATAAACATAATATCTCCAGCTGGGCGTGGCGGCTCGCGCCTGTAATCCCAGCACTTTGGGAGGCCAATGCAGGTGAATCACCTGAGCTCAGGAGTGCAAGACCACCCAGGGCAACATGGTGAAACCCCGTCTCTACTAAAAATACAAAAAAATTAACCAGGTGTGGTGGTGTGTGCCTGTAGTCCCAGCTACTTGGGAGGCTGAGGCAGGAGAACTGCTTGAGCCCCAGCGATGAAGGTTGCAGTGAGCCGAGTTTGCACCATTGCACTCCAGCTTGGGCCACAGAGTGAGACTCTGTCTCAAAGGAAATAAAAAAAATATCCAAAATGCCCTAAGTAAAATCTAAGAAACCCTGAGTGTTATGATTGCACATGTGAAATTAAACCTCAAGCATAGCTTCTATTTATAACAACTTAAATAAAGAATCTAATTATGGCAATTAAAATTTGCTTGTTTAAATAAAAGTCTCAAATTAATTATCCAATATCTCTCAAGTAATTATTAAGCTTAACACAGTATTTGAAAATCCAAGAATAAAGGTATGCACTAATCATCAAGAGACTAAAACCAATTCTTTATGAACAATAAAAGAAAACAGGTTTCTACGGTCACTATTTCTGTATCCTTGACCACCAAGTAGGTTAGATAAATACGCTCTGCAATATCTGCTTATTTGGATTACAGAAATCCATTTGGTTAAATAGCAACCTTTTATAATTAATCATATGGAGAGAGGCAAGGGGATCCCTAAGATACATTCATTCACAGAACCAAAAGAATATGTTTGCAAATCCTCCTACCCAAAAAGATAAATAGTAGATAATATTGGGTTATATTCAGCAGCCAGGATAAGGCTGATGGAATAAACAAAAAGATTTAGGTCTTAGACCTAAATCTGAGAAAAAATTAATAAGGAAGTTACAGCTTTTAACTGACCTAATATAATATACGCTTACTTTGGTAGTCTTCCAAAGTTAATATTTGTGCCTTTATTCATAGTGAATTATACAAATGTCAATGTTTATCAATAATAAAATACTTTATATGACCCAAGTTGGTTTTTCTAATTAAACACACACATACACTTCAAAGAAATCTAGATCAGACAGGAACTTAAGGTACTTTCCAACCCTACCACATTTTGTAAACAAATACCTAAGCAAGGATGAGGCAAGAGTATGATATTACCACTTCTGATCTAAAGCCTACTACCTACCAAATACTATGCAAAAAAAACTATAGATGTTCTTCACTGTAAGAAAAATCCAAAATAAAAAAATCTGAATTCCTGAAAGTGATACATTTAGGTGTTGTTATTCACTGTGCTATAGGATTCTCCAATCTACAAAAGATTCACAGCTTTCTTTTGAATAACTCACTCTCCTGGTGCACTCAAAATATAATTTGACTAAAAAACATGAATTTTTACAATTCCTTTTTTTTATCTGGAGATGGAGTTGCATTCTGTTGCCCAGGCTGGAGTGCAACGGTGCGATCTCAGCTCACTGCAACCTCTGCCTCCGGGTTCAAGCAATTCTCCTGCTTTAGCCTCCCAAGTAGCTGGGATTACAGGCACACACCACCAGGCCCGACTAATTTTTTTGTATTTTTAGTAGAGACCGGGTTTCACCATGTTGGCCAGGCTGGTCTCGAACTCCTGACCTCATGATCCACCCACCTCAGCCTCCCAAAGTGCTGGGATTACAGGCATGAGCCACTGCACCCGGCCAATTTTTATGATTTCTAAGAAATGCATTTGTGACTCTATAGTAATGGTCACAAATACATTTTTCTGTCCAAACACTGAAAACTATTTGACCTTTTTACTACTGTAACAAACCTACAATAAGATAGAAAAGATAGTCTTTGAGGTTGACGATTACAAGGTTGATTTCCTATATCAACAGATGTGTTTTCTAGGAAAACATGCAGAAACAGTTTTGAAGCGCAATTCAACATTCATTTAGACATTTGCTGAGCCTTTATTATATATCAAGGACTGTAACTTGGTGTCAAACATAAAATAATAAAAAGCATTCTCTATGCTTTTACAGAGTCCAAAGGCAGGTGGGAATGACAAATAACAGTAACAAAAATGGCAGCAAATATGTGGATACCACTGACTCTGTGTTAAACACTAGTGTATTCTATACAACTTACTTCTCATAGCAACCCTATGAGGTAGATGTTATTTTCATCTTCGTTTTATCCATTAAAGAAAAAGTCACATTACACTTTGAACATGCGATACTAAAAGTATGTAAGAGGAATGACAGTGACACAAAGACTATTTTGAAATTTAATAAGGTAGAACCACAGTGGCATTTTAAAATTCATTTAAAAAGTGCCTTCTTTATATTTCCCTAACTTCTAAAACAACAAAACAGTGTTGACAGTATAGTTGTATTACATAAATGCAAATATGCTGTAAGGACAGGCACTTTATGAGCTTAAAGCAAAGTAAATATTTGAATTATTTGGTTTAAGTTGACATGCCATCTGGCTTTAAATAATAATCAAACTCTAGATTATTAATTTAGACTTGCTTTTGAGGGAGACGGTGTGGTGGAGCAAAAGAGGAGTGTCCCATGTGGATGACTGCTTCACCTCTGCTAGCATCAGCTACAGCAGGGAGACAGTGGGGTTGGAAAACATGTGGAGGCCCATTCCAAAAGTCCAGATCAGTGAACACCTCTGCTGGTACAACAGCAGGGTGCAAAAATCCAGTGCACATTTGCAGATGCCACTCCAATGTTCAAGACGCAAAGATGATTTGGAGTCAGCAGCACAAACATAGTTGTTGAAACTTGGAACTGGATGCACTTAATCATACAAAGTGTGTATAACCAGAAATCATGAGGTCCTCAAGAACCCCAGCAAATCAGGGTGGGCAAAGGAAGAGAAAGGATTTGAGAGGGAGGCTGAGAAAGATGGCTAGCCATGGAGGGAGGAGAAATCCAAAAGACAGCACATTATAAATCAGGGAAGGAATGCGAATTAGAGAGCGACCATAGAATAAACCAAGTAGGAAGAAGAACAAGCATGGCCACTTGGTTTTACGAACGCTTGTGTTAGCAGGAACAGTTTCAGTAGAGGCCAGACCATAATTAGAGTCGAGACTGCTCTCTTAAGAAGTTTGGAGATTAAAGAAGGAAAAGATACCAAACAATCATTAAAGAGGAAGAAAAAAAAGCCATGGGGAATTGTTTAGGTCAGGGTAAGTCTCAAAACATTTTATAGACTTAACCAACGTGAGCTTTGAACCAGCAATGGG
The DNA here is from genome assembly GCF_000001405.40 of Homo sapiens. Taxonomy (NCBI): domain Eukaryota; kingdom Metazoa; phylum Chordata; class Mammalia; order Primates; family Hominidae; genus Homo; species Homo sapiens. The sequence continues at coordinate 100,450,684 of NC_000001.11, read as the reverse complement.
TGTAACAGATACGGAAACACTGGGTCCCCTCACTTTTGCAGTTGCGGTGGCCAGGAAGTAATTTTGCTTCCTTAAACTTGAGGCTTTGGAGTGGTGTAATGAACACTACCAGACAGCTCCAGGAGAATGCTTCTTCTAATAGTTCTTCCAATATTCAAATTGCCACAGGAGGCGTACTTCCATAACTGCTCCAGGTGGTGAGGACATGCCCACATACTTGCATTCTGAGGACTGCTTGACCCCAGTCCTATGGCAGTCCCATTATTTCCAGTTCCATAATCCACCAACATGTAAAGAAGGCAGACCAAGCAGCATCCAGATTACATTTTAGTTTGCTGTACAAATTCTAATCCAAACAAAGTCTTGAAGCATCATAACTTCAGTGTTCAACAATATTGACTCCTGCTCTTGACCCAATGTGACTTGCTGAGAGACAGGAGGCCTAACAAACTTTACTATTTCTCAAGGTAGGTGCTAAAGAGCAATTGTTAGGACTCTACACCACCTGGTCAATCTGAAAATTTACTTATGCAGTGAAGGATGACAGAGTCAACCTGGAGATAGGTCCCCACTCACATATTAAACTAAATTGATGTTCCATACAGAACTGGTCTTAGATTAAAACATCTAGCAATCTGTGTTGTAAATAACTGACTTAGAAACAAAAAAAAAAAACCTCACTCTTGCAGCATAGATTGGCTGCTGATAAAAGAAACATCATTTGAAGAAGTTGTCTACCATGGTAAATTTGTCCCTTGGAATATTACTGCAAAATCAGAATGGATTCTTAATCAACATGTTTTAGGCACTTTCCACTGAAAACAGATCATATAAAATATCTTGAAATGTGCTATACTCCTGTTTTTAGTATTATTCACACATTTACTCATTAGTTCTTTCATTCCACAAATAATGACTGCCCACTATGAGTGTACTGTGCTAGTAGGTTACTTATTCAAACAAAGAAGAATAAGACAAAGTTGCTGCCCAAAAGTACCCGCAGATACAGGAAAGACACAGATGTGTAAACAGAGTACCACACAAGGCTACATGAGAAGAGCTTCCATGGGGTTGAGAAGGACTTAACAGTCAACCATGTAAATACAGTGGACCAGAAAGAAGAGCTGACAGGCAGGAGGAGGGAGCAAGAGCATGTGCAAAAGCTCAGAAGCCGCCACCGGGTAAGCTGCGTGGATTTGGGTATGGGGAGGGAGTGGAAAAGGACAAGGGTGGAGAGGAAGGACAAGCCCATGTCAAGAAGGGCCTTCTGTGCTGTAGTAAGGAGTCTGCATTTCCTCCACACCTTTAGTCAGTGTGGAGCCCATGAAGGGGAAATGATAAAACAGGGGAATGATATAATCAGACTTAATTTTTAAAACCTACACCCTGATAGTAATGTGAAGTCTTGATCGAAGAGGCCCAAGATCCAAGAAAGACTCAATCCCAGGCATCCAGAATGAACCCATGCTTTTTCACAAACAGTTCCCAGATGCGCTACATTGTAATGTGGCTAAAATAATGTGAAATCACTTTCTAGAATAGAAATGGTCTTTCCCCAAAAGAGCACCCTTTAGGTGAAGATAGCAATAATGATAACCTGTGAATTGCTTGAATATCTCAGGAACAAAATAGTCCACATTTCAGCCTGTCATGGATCAGTGAGAAATTTTGTATCACAACTAAATTGATAAGCATAAAAGTAGGGGCTTGAAGCAAGACTCAAATATGGCAACTTCTGCAGAATGAGGCACAAGAATACATGGATTCTATGGTACCAGGTGACAAGAGCAAAGGCTTTAACCCTACACATGGAGAGATGATATTACTGGTAGCCTCCTAAAAAACAAAAAAAGAAAAAGAAACATTGGGCCTAGCAAATATATGGAGCAAACATGAGGCATTTAATATCTGTTCAACAAATGAACTGAAAAGCTATGAGAATGAGGCCATAAGGAGCATGGTGTGGCTACTTGACTTTCAAATAAGAAATGTTCATCTGCACATCATTATTTCTGTAAAACAAAGCTTCCTAGCCAGTGTGACCAGAATGGAGCTGCCTGGGCAGACTGGAGCAGCCAGAGTCCCCAGGCCACTTGCCAACAGCTATGAGCTATCATCACAGGGTGTTGAGCAAATATTATCATTTTCTCCATATGCCATGATGAAAAAACAAAAGGAAGCCCTGTGCGGTGACTGTTGTCAAGGCAGTAACAGGTGCCTCTGTCATCAGGCCTGCAGGCCAAATGTGGCTCTAACTTCTATCAAGACAATGGTAAAGAAGTGGCCTGGGTTTGTTCACATTTAAAAGTATAGGATCAAGGCCACAATAGCTTGATATTCTGGAAAATATTCTCATAATTTTGTTTTTCACACCCAAAAAAGGAATGAGTTATGGCAGGGGGCAGATAATGGCAGCTAGAAAATAGCTCAAAGAAAAAAAGTCAAAGTACTTTCTCAGTTTTGAAGTCATTTTTCAACTTTTATCTCCACCTAATCCCCAAATAGATATTTAAGGAGACTCCTTGAAATTGCATGGGCTGAATTTTGAATGGGGTAATAAATGTAAGCCACAGTGATGAGGAACCTCCGATGTTGCCACTGAAGCACCATTTCTCTGCATTTCTTCCCCCAAACCCAACTAAGAACAGGACACTGCTACCGCATCACACTTCCATCATCAAACCATGGCAAGCCTTTTGGTAAATAGCGGAAAGCCCTTGGGGACAAGCAAAATAACAAACTAGAGACATAACTTCAAATTCTCTCTGATAAATAATAACTGCTTAACAGTAGCATCATGAATGATCACTGGTGTTTGGGCAACATCTTGTTTGGTAAGGACAGCTACCCCCCAAAAAAACAGAAGAAAGCTGACTGAAGGTAGACTCTGTATATGGGTGCCACTTCCAGGTCTTACAAGCAGAGTATCAGCCTACACTAGCATTCACCACTAACTTTACTACTGAAGAGCATAGTTCCTCACATACCTACAGCTACCTAATTTAATTGAATGTTCAAGCTCTATCATCTTCATTATTTTTCCCTAGGACAAAAGGTCAACTTTCATTTTTCTGAACTAGATTTGAAATGGCTAGATTTCAAAGGAGTAAAAGTTCTCAAGGTTCTCAAGGTACATATTCTTTGAGAATACCTTAAGAAGCTGTTGGAGAAGTACAAATGTTTTGACACTGATTCCTAGAGGAAGGTTTTGGACCACCATCTCACAGTTACTTTTGTGGACCTTCCCAGCATAGCTGCCCAAATTTCATGTCTGATCGGGGCAAATGTAAGGAACTGTACAGTTCCACAACAGCTTGCTAAAGGACCTGGAAAGACCACATTTTGGAAGATACTTTTCCAAGACGGAAGCCAACACCTGGTGTTGTTTATCAATACTTAATACAATGGGCCATTTTTAAGTCACATGAAAATAAAGCAAGAGCCTGAGGTATCTCACCTCGAGCTTTCTAAATAGAACAGGGCTTTGAAATTAACTCTCATGTGAACCACAGATCACATGAAGCAAGGAGATATAACCTAGGCTTCATGTCACACTGATGGACTATGACAGTACATTGGCTAGCCTGTCCTTACAGAATCCATACTCTAGCTACATGTGGCTACTATGCACTTGAAATATGGCTAGTCTAAATTAAGATATGCTATAGTATAAACTGCACACTGGAGGCCAGGCGTAGTGGCTCACACTTGCAATCCCAGGACTTTGGAAAGACAAGGTGGGCGGATTGCTTGAGTCCAGGAGTTTGAGACCAACCTGGGCAACATGGCGAAACCCCATCTCTACAAAAAAATACAAAAATTAGCAGGGCAAGGTGGCACACACCTGTGGTCCCAGCTACTCTGGAGGCTGAGGTGGGAGGATGGCTTGAGCCCAGAGGGTCAAGGCTACAGTGAGCCTAGGTTGCACCACTGCACTCCAGCCTGGGTGACAGAGCGAGACCCTCTCTCAAAAAAACACAATAAATAAAATAAATAAACTACACACTGGGTTTCTGAGGCTTAATTCAAAAAAAAATGCAAAATACATACATCATTAATAATTTTTGTATTGCTTACATGTTAAATGCTATTTTAGGTATATTACTAAATATGTAAACAACATATTTACAACAAGTAAAATGTATTGTTAAAACTAATTTCATGATATGACTTTCACATTTCTATTGGACAGCACTGCTTTAGACCCTGGAATTGCAGGAGGAAGATGCATATAACCTTTTGCAGGATGGGCAGAGGTTTATCTGTAGACTTTACACAACAAAGCATTTCCCACATTCTGTTGACCTCATCACTAGAAGCATTTATAAGTAGCACTCTTTCTATAAGATTCCCCTTTAATCTCACATAGAGATACAGTCTTATTGTTTTAGGCTTTTTTGGGGTTTTTTTGTTTTTTGTTTTTCTGAGCCATATCATTTACTAAATGTACTTTAGCAAAGAAAAGTTGCATCTTGAACATCCCCTAATCATCTAAGGCTTACAGTCTCACAAATTGCTGTCAACAATAAAATTTTGCTTTGAAAACTACACTGCCTTCACTGGAATACTGACTTTACTGGAGCTAATAAAATGTATGAATTCAGCTATTCCACAAGTTCACCAAATATCATACTCACTAGAACAGGGCAAACAGCAAGAGAAATCTGACAGGAAATGACTGGGCCCACAGATTGTCAGAAAAGAGTTCCTTTATTCATTTATTCCTTAAACATTTAAGAAATTAAGAAACTAAAAATTAAGAAATACCTACCACCTGCCAATCACAATAGTGGTTTTCTATTTTATAGGCTTTATAATAGAACAGATAAATCATTCTCAAAAAAAAGAAGTTGTTTGACAACATCAAGTCTTCACCAAAACTGACTGCTCCCCTCCCATCACCTAGATGGTTGTTGTCAAGGTGAAACCATGACTACCTTCTTGTCAGATTTTTGTTTGTTTGGCTGGTTGGTTTCCAAGAATAAAATTGCACTGTCTGCTTCAGGTTTTTCAAGATTTTTTTCAACTAACCCTCAGCATCACCATTAAAGTTAGACAGAGAGGAAGGAAGGAAGGAATAAATAAAACATCCACAAGTTTTCTCCTTGAATTGTTCCTTCTTCTCTCTCACCGCTTCCAACCCCCTCCTGCCTCCATCTCTCCTTTAATTGAAATGGCTTTAGTGTTTGGCTGTATATTTAATAATTAATACAATGGGCCATTTGCATTCTTCATGTTCATATACATGGGGCAGAGATCCAGGTTTTGGTGGGGTCTGAAACTCACCTAATTTGAGGGTCCATCTTAGAGTAAAAAATTATTAACACAAAATTGGGTATAGGACTGTAAAAGGTGCCCATACAAGTTGAGGGGGTGAGGCTCTCTAAAATTTAAGCTTCATTAGCTTCAAAGTAAGTCACCTCTGGTCATATAATGTAGACACCTAGATGTGTGGGCTAGGGAGTGTCTTACTATTGTTTGTTTTATTACAAAGATGGATTTTATTAAAGCACTCTTCCATATCCTTTCTCTTCAACAAACATTATAGAAATCATTCCAAGATAAGTGGTATAGCTCAATTCATTTTTTAAAATGACTGCATAACATTCAGTGATTCAGATGTACTACAAGTTATCTGACCTTCTTTCTTATAAGTACATATTCCCTTTGTTTCTAACTTGGGGATTTTAGAGGGGAATCTTACTTTGTCACTACTAAAATGCTTTTATGGTATTAAAAAAAACTCTCTTTGGGTTTTTTTCATAAATTGCATTAAATGTATTAATTTTGGGAAAAGTAGCAGCTTTATGATGTTAAGTCTTTCTATCCAAGAACAAAGTATATGTTTTTCTATTTGGTCATAATTCCATCCACAGGGAATTTGCAACCTAATAAGGAAAATTAGGCTTGTACACAAATAGCCATGATATAAGAAAAATGGAAAGTACAAATTGTAACACATGAAATTGAAGGCAGGGAAGAAGAGTACTCCAGAGGTGAGATGTAATCTGTGCAGGATTTTAACACAAACGAAATGGAGGAGCGGGAGGTTAAAAGGATGGGAATCTGGGAAAAAGCAACCTCAGCCAAGCAACAGGGATATTCAAGAAACAGTAACTAAGCAGTTTGAGGAGCTGGAACACAGAGTACGTACAGTGAAGTAACAGGAGATGGGGCTAGAAGGGTAGGCTGGAGCTCATCACAGCTAAGAATGCCAGGACAGGAGAGTTTATCCACATTTCAGCAGGGCAATGGGAGAAACAGCCGGTTTGGGGCCAAGAACAAGACAAGCAAGATGAGAACTCTATTTTAGGATCACTCAGGTGTGTGTAAGGCAGCCTGGGAGGAGAAGGGCCGTGCTCAGTTAGAGAACTATTAAAATGAAAGGTCCACAGGAAAAGACGTGAGACCTGAGTCAGAGGGAAGGAAGTGAGAACAGAGAGGAAAGACAGATATAATTAATACATCCTGTGGCACCAGTAGAAGTGATCCGAATACTCACTAGGTTAGGGAGGAAAACAGCAATGTTTCTAGCCTTGAGGCTGGGTGCTCAGTAGGATGGCAATGTGGTAACACACACAAAGCAGAGGACCATGTTTGGGTAAAAGATGATCAGTTTCTTTTCAGATATGTTGCATTTAACATGGAAACAGAATATCCAAACAGCCCTATTCTAGACTAGGGCCCCAAATGTGAGGGCTGTCCTTATCTTACTAAGGATAGAGATAAATTGTATTACTCCTCTGGGGAAACCCAACGGATGAGTTCACCTTCCGAGAATGTTGAACCTACTCACATTGTACAGGCTTCTCATCTTTCAGAAAAAGTTAATGACTTCTAGACTCCTCCTTATCCTACTCTGCTTCAACATCTCCTTACAGCGCAAACCAGCTTGGAGATAGCCTTTGCCTGCATTTTGAGCAGTCAAGACATTAATCAAAAGTCTTGTAATGATGCCATGGGGAAAAAAAAATTCAGTGAACTTTTAGAACTAAGTAAATTCAGCCATATTTCAAAATAAAATTTATACAACCAAAAATATTATAAGGGGGCTTGGCATGGTGGCTCATGCCTGTAATCCCAGCACTTTGGGAGGCCGAGGCAAGAGGATCACTTGAGCTCAGGAGTTCAAGACCAGCCTGGGCAACATGGTGAAATCCTGTCTTTAAAAAAAAAAAAAAATTAGCCAGACATGGTGGCATGCACCTGTAATTCCAGCTGCTTGGGAGGCTGAGGTGGGAGGATAGCTTGAGCCTGGGGAGGCAGAGGTTGCAGTGATCCGAGATTGTGCCACTGCATTTCAGCCTGGACAAAAGAGCTAGACACCGCCTCAAAAATAAATAAATAAAAGGTACAAATTCAGTTTTATTTTAAATAAAACCTGATTTCTAAAATAAAAGTAACATAATTTTACTACCCTACTAGATTTTTCTTATAAACTAAAGGTGCAAAGTGATTGTATATAAATGAGAGAATATATATAGATATGTTGTTTTTCCAAAATAAAATTTTGGTGACTCCTGATTCAAAGGAAATAACCAAGGCTGAAAGGACAAAACTGACCACTATGGAAAACTCCAGAATGCTTTTATTTAGCACCCACTCGATTTGCAATACATGAGTGTGACAGGGGGAAAAAATTAATCAACATGAAATTATGTTTTGTAAAAAAAATTAAATGTACAAACCTCATAATGTTCATATTCATCCACATCAAATGTCTCAAAGTCAAAAAATCCATGTTGTAATCCCTAAAAGCAGAATTTGAATTAGTTTTTCCATGCTAAATTGATAAACTCTACTCATCATTTCTGGAACTCCTACTTACAGAAATGATCCTCACTAATCTGAAGAGACAGCTTGAAACCTTTGATGTTTAATGCATATCTAGAAATCTTTTTATAAAACTGGTTATATTGCATTAAGACTGTCTTACTGGAACTAAAAAAACACTTAGAATAACATGAAAAAGCCCCACAAAAGATGCCTTGATTTCTAATTTACATCAGTTTTGTATGTAAAATTATATGTATACAAAATGAAATAAAACAAATTTATAGTTAGAACCTGTTGGGAACTAGACCTAACTATGACAGAATAGATCATAGTGATTAACTTCTTTGTTAGGAGAAGAAAAATCAATTATTCTTATGAGTTTTTGTCTTCCTTTTATCATAGGGAGATATTTAGCCCCCCAAAAAAACCCTGCATCTTTTACTGTTTTTTCTTCCTTAATATTTCTACTTAATAGGTCCTTAATAATATTTGATGAGAGAATATATATATTTATATATAATATATAGTATATATTTATATATACTATATATAATATAGTATATTTATATATAATACATAATATAGTATATTTATATATACAATACATAATATATATGTAATATTTCTTAATATTTCTACTTAATAGGCCCTTATTTGTTCCTAAAACTCTACCTTGGGAGAATCTGTTTCATGAGATAGTTTCTGACAAAGTAGAATTATACTTGACTGCTCTTACAATTTAAAAAAAAAAACATATTTTTATCACAAAGTAAAAGTCATACTCAGTTTTGTAAACAATGACTTAGAACTTTTAAAAACTATCCAGCTAGCTCAGATCTAATATTTTAAAGAGAACAGAATCTTTTATTTTATAAATCATGAAGCTATACAGATTACAACAGAATACAAAACCACAGGTACATTTAAAAGTTACATGATCAAGTCATTAAAAATAGAAAAAGAAACTAGCAAGCCAAGCTCCAGTACATCTATCAGTGTTTTTTCAAAACACAGAACATGCGCCATCAGCATCAGAAACACTTAGGGTAATTCATATGAAAGAAGCAGACTCCTGGGCCCCACCCCAGAACTATCAAATCATATTTGCTGTGGTTGGGGCCCAGGATCACCATTTTCAGCATAGCTTCCCAGGTGATTCTTAGAAATGCAAAATTCTGATAACACTGGTTTAAACAACCCCTACAGAATAAGCAGAACAAATTATTTAAATTAGTCCATTCTAAAAAAAAAAAAAAAACTGAGTTCATCCATATGCACCTTTCCAGACAAAAAAGTGAGAAAAATATACAAACTCTCTGAAGGATTCACTTTTTTTTCCTCTGTATTTTCAAAGGGTTTGCTTATATCCATGTATAGTAGTTCACATAACATGGAATATAAACTATACTTATGACAATGCCAATACATTAAAATCAGAGAAATGTGCTCCCTAAAAAGGCAAAAATGTGGCCATACTCTGTATAGGTTCTTGGAATGGTACTACTCGTTGCCACACAAAAATAGCCCAGAATATGGTGCCTTATGTAAGAGAATGAACTTACAGGAAATGTCTCAGGTGCTTAAAGACATGCTGCACAATCTATCAGATCCTCCAAAATCTCATTTGTCTTTGAGTTAACCCCAACATTTGATGAAACAAGTTTACATACCTTTCCTCTACAACAGGAAGGATGCCACAACTTTCTATACTGAGTTACTAATTACCATAATTACAGGCAGCGATATTCCAGTGTGAACTTTCTAAATTTTTTAAGTGTTATAAAACAAATGGCCTGTAGCAGATGGTAGAAAAGGCAAAATAATAATAGTGACGATAAATAAATTATTTTTTCCCTCAGGCATATTTTCCAAATGCTATAATCAACTGTTATATGTTGGGTAACGTCTCCATAGAAGCTCTTAACTGGCATTACTGGAAATGCACCTTGGTAATATTGTTGCAAGAGTGGGCTAGAGTATCTCTGTAGTTGTTTAAGTAGAAAGAAAAAGATTTGAAAACCATTTTAAAGTTTGATAGGGTTTAAATTCATTTTAAATTAAATAGAAACAACCATGTATAAAACAGGTAGCACATTTATCACACCAATTTTCTCAACTCAAAACACAGCAAAAATCAGTTTTATATTACATCCAAGAAATGAACTAGAATTGCTACTGATAATATATTTATAGTCCATGTGACATTATTATATATGTCCTATGATCAATAGGTTATGTAATATGTACATTCCTGACTGATAATAAACCATAGTTATATGTTCGAGATTATGTACTTTGAGCCCTCATTAGAATTTACAGTATAGCTTATATAACTTCTCAGATTGTGAATTTATGTTTCTAAAACATGTTCCGAGAGCTCTCAGAAATCTTCTAGTTTAACTTCTCCATTATATACAGAAATAATTAAATAACTATGACTTGGTTCTCAAACTTTGGAGTGCATCAAATCACCTGGAGAGGTTGTTCAAATACAGACCGCAGGGCTCCACCCCCAGAGTTTTTGTTTTAGTGGGTCTGGGGTGGGACCAAGCAGCAGAGGAGCACAGTGGCTTAGATAACTTCCTGACTCTCCCACACCAAGATCAAGCCTGATAATGAAGCTAAGCATGTGACAAAGCAATGTCACAGGCACTGCAGCTGATAGTGGTGATAAATCTGCCCTGGAACACAAATAGTTTAAACGACAAAGAAAGGCCCCTGCCACTCCCTCCTCCCAGTTTTTCCTGGTGTTTGTATTTTACAAATCAATCATCCTTCAAGAAGTGAAAAGCCTTCTACTTACTGGCTCCCCTTTCTTCCCTCCAATAACAAATAAGGATGTTGAGATTATTCCTTTCTCATATTTTTTTAAACTACTGTGTCAACTACAGCAAGGAGAATTGTTATTACCTTTCTGATTCCCTGCAAACAGTCGAGAATGGTGAGATTGTAAGTGCAATTTCCAAAGGAAGCATCCCTATAAACATAAATAAACTCAACATTAAAAACTTGCATTTAGAACATTCAAATAATAAAATATAACACCAAAGTCAGCTGGAGATGTGCTTGTTTGGCTTCACAGCTATCAACATGGTAAACTTATATAATACATTAGATCCTACTAATTAACTACCACACTTAACTGAAGCACTTCTGAAATTGCTTTAATCCAAGAGGCTGATTTAAGAGCCTGCGTTCCTGAGTCCGACTGCCTTAGTTCCACTTCCAATTCAACCAGGTACTGCACAGGAACTTAAGCAAGTTATTTTACCTCTATGCTGAATCTTGGTCTCCTCATCTGTGAAATGAAGTTAATGATAGCAGCTATCACTCATAGGACTGTTGTCAGATTATGTTTTTTAAAATATGTAAAGTCCTTCATATAGTGGCTGGTACATAGGAAGCACTTCATAAATATTATGACTATTCTTATTATTAACAGTGAATTGAACTGTTTGATTAAGTAAAACATTCATCATTGCAAGAGGTATTCTGGCAGAGGAATAACCTCCTGTCAGGAATATGATAAAAACAAGCTTAAAAGATAGGAGAGACAATGTATGTAGGCCAACAGAACCTAGCAGGTGTTTTCATGGATTAAATGCCATCCTTCCCCTACAAAAAAGAAAAGAAAAGAAAGAAAACAGGAAAATGTAGTCAGGCTTCCAAACAATCTCCTCTGAGCCACTGGGAGCCACGAGAGCTTCTAATGCACCATGAAGTACTCCTTCAAAAGGAGTGGGAACCTACCGTGGTGAAAATTGAGTGCTTCATACTTTATTTAAGTTTTTAGAGCAATTTAGCAGACCTGCTTTAGGCAACATAAAACTAAAGTATCAAGTTCAGGTCAGTTAAGCAAGAACTGGCACCAGAGCTTTAACACTACAGTGTTCCAAGGTGTCCGAGGTAGGAAACTTGACCTCAAGGCTCCAGGCTCTCTGCCCAGCCTCCACTGCTGACCCAAGAAACAGAGCAGGCAGACACCTATCTAGACAAAGTGAAAGGCACATATGGCAGCCATCAGGAAGGGGCCAGAAGACGTTCCAAGGGGAGAATAGACCTTTAAGGGCTTTAAGGTATAATTAACATAAAACCAACTTTTACAACCATTCAAGGTCACTTGAACCTATGGCTGCTAAGCCATGAAGTGAAATGTAACTTCATCATCCCTGAGTTTCAGCATCCCGAAAGCCTAACATAAAACTAGGAAGTTAGCAAAGCAACTTAACAGAATGCTTAAGTCCTGAAACTTCAATTATTCCAAATATTTATGTCTCATTTCAAAAGGAGGGATCTTTGTTTTTGTGTTTTTAAATATCATCTGAACTCACATGTCAGCAAAAAATAAAATAGCCCCCTTTTCAAATATCTTGTAAAAATGTAAACTATATGTTAGAAAGCAAATTTTAATGGGCTATGCCAGAGAAAAGAGTGACTAGGGATCTAAGAAAAATATTAGTTTATATAAACAACCATAAATTCCTTTGCAGACACTTGTCTTTGGGGTTCAGAGTCTCTGTGCCATGGACTCTCAGTGACCTGAGGAAGCCTGCGAACCCATTTCCTCAGAATAATGTTTTTAATGCATAAACTAGGATTAACAGAAAACTATTTCAATTACATTTAAATAAAGTTTAAATATGTATTTTAAATATACTAAAATACAAATTTGCAATACCCCAAAATGCACTTTTCAAATTAATATATTATATAACAAGATCTAGTGGCAAGTCTGATAACTGCCACTACAATTTTGAGGAAGGAATGAGCATAAATATTTTAAGAAATAATAACTGTAAGTGATATTAAATTGTCACTTATATTGCTAATGCTACTACAGTTTATTTACAACATTTATAATTGGATGTAACTTTATAATTGATAAGGTAAGGTCAGTAAAAATAAAGATATAATTTTTTTCTCATCTAAGTTCACTGACTCTCTGAATTCTCTTCCACAGACCCTAGATTAAAAACTACTGCTTTACGTTTTTTAAAAGGGGGTAAAAATTTCTTTATATTTAAAAAAAGTAAAAAAAAAAAATTACAAGATGTAGAGGTATCCCTTATTCTTTCAAGTATGTCTTCCCACCCCTAGACTCAGCTAAACAATGTCACTAATGTAAGCTACCAGAAAAAGTTCCAGGCCTATTCTTTCTGAATGTCTGCAAAGTATGGTGAGGCTTCCATGATACCTCCTACCCCATCACAGCCACAATTGTTACCAGTGACTAAAAGGAGAGCTCTGGTGACCCGGTGGTCAAATCTGCAGGCCTCCAAAGTTGGGAGGGAAAGTTAACATGCCATCCGACAGAACTAGGCAAGTCAGTCACCACAGGCTGAAAAGGCACAGAGAAGTTTACAAATTGAAATCTAATAAGGAATGCAATAGAATTTAGTCATATCCTCCAGATTGAGAGAAGGAAACGGCATGCCTTTTTTGAGCACCTACTGTGTCAGGTAATTTATATGCATAGCGCATTTAATCCTCATGACAGCCACATAGTGCCAACAGGTTCTCAAAATCTGTCCCAAAGACTGGACAAGAAAGAAATGGCTTAATCGTGGCATGTGGCTCATACGTAGTCACAGGAAAATACTATAACAGTGAAGGGACACAAGAACATGTTATGTATTCTCTGGGGGAGAAAGAGAGAAGATAAAGATGGAAGATTGAACCCATGCATCTACCGAACCCCACTAAAAGGAGATTTTTTTTTCTTTGAAACAGGGTCTCACTCTGTCACCCAGGCTGGAGTGCAGTGGTATGATCTTGGCTCACTGCAGCCTCCACCTCCTGGGCTCAAGTGATCCTCCAGCCTCAGCCCCTGAATTAGCTGGGACTACAGGCACAAGCCACCATGCCCAGCTAGTTTTTATATTTTTCGTAGAGCCAGGGTTTCACCATGTTGCCCAGACTGGTCTGGAACTCCTGAGCTGAAGTGATACACCCACCTCTGCCTCCCAAAGTGCTAGGATTACAGGTGTAAGCCACTGCACCTGACCAAAAGGTGAATTTTTAAAGGCTTTTGTTTTTTAAATGGAAACCAACAAAGACTAGGAGAATAAGAGAAGAGACAAAACAATAAAATTTTGAAAGCTAGAAATCATTTAGATGAGTGGTAAATAAGTTAGAAGACCAAGAAAACTGAATACTAAACTGACAATGAAAAAACTGAGAACCAGTTGGGCACAGTGGCTCATGCCTGTAATCCCAGCACTTTGGGAGGCCGAAGCAGGTGGATCACCTGAGGTAAGGAGTTCAAGACCAGCCTGGTCCAACATAGTGAAACCCTATCTCTATTAAAAATATAAAAATTAGCCAGGCATGGTGGCAGGTACCTGTAATCCCAGCTACTCGGGAGGCTGAGGCAGGAGAATAGCTTGAACCCGGGAGGCAGAGGTTGCAGTGAGCCAAGATTGTGCCACTACACTCCAGTCTGGGCAACAGAGTGAGACTCCATCTCCAAAAAAACCAAAAAAAAAAATGATAACCAACACAATTAATACCAGGTAAGTCTCAAAAGGCTTAGGAATTGGCAGCACTGTGTTCTCCTGGAAGTGAGGATAAAGGAAATGACTAAAATAAGATTGAAAGTCCATTTAAGAGGCAACATTCCCTCCCATTTTGTAAGTCAATTTTCCCTGTTGATTTTCCTCAACTCACCAATATAGTCGGGACCATCTAATGGTTGGCCCTGGGAGACAGAAAGATACCTGCCCCACATGATGTTCAAACTTGGAATTGGAAGATCCCTTCTAAGGAATTTTTTTCACCTGCATTATAACATGAAATGGAGGTCAGGAGTTAGGAAAACAGCAGACTACTGAACCCAAAAGTCCCCTCCTACTCTGAGGTTTTACCACCATACAACACCATTGGTCATCTCTTTATCTCTCTTCTGGATCCTTTCCAACAGAATTTAAACATTTTCAGGTCCCTACTAGCTCCAAAAAGAACAAGCCAACCAAAATTTTCCAAGCTCCACATCTTCCTTCAGCTTCCACCCGGTTTGGACTCCTCTCTAAAACAAGATTTCTCTAAAGAATTACTCCTTTTCCTTTTTTTTTTTTTTTTTTTTTTTTAGACGAAGTCTCACTCTTGTAGCCCAGGCTGGAGCGCACTGGCACAATCTTGGCTCACTGCAACCTCTGCCTCCCGGGTTCAAGCGATTGCCTCACCCTCCCGGGTAGCTGGGATTACAGGCGCCTGCCACCATGCCTGGCTAATTTTTGTATTTTTCGTAGAGACAGGGTTTTACCATGTCAGCCAGGCTGGTCTCGAACTCCTGACCTCAGGCGATCCGCCCACCTCGGCCTCCCAAAGTGCTGGGATTACAGGCGTGAGCCACCGCGCCCAGTCTCATCTTCCTTTTTAAAGTGTACAATTCAGTGGGGTTTGGTGTATTCATAATGTTGTACAACCATCACCAGTAATTCCAAAATATTTTTACTACCCCAAAAAGAAACTTTGGACTCATTTGCAGTCACTCCCCATTCTCCTTCCTCCAGCCCCTGGCAATCCACTAATTTATTTTCTGTCTGTCTGGATTTACTTATTTTAAACCCAGAGAACATTGTGCATGCATCATCTTAGCCTAATATGTCAGCAACAAGTAACTCCCTACTTTGCTCTCTTCTCTTGGTTCCTGGATTTTCCTTCTACCCTCTAAACACTACTTCCAACCTCCTTTGCAAAGTCATCCTTCACTTCCCAGTCTTTAAAAGTCAAACCTTCTCAAGGTTCAACTCTAGACCAAAATTCTTCTCACTCCATACTCTCTCTCTCTAGACCAGGGCCTCTAAAACTTTAGTGTGTATTGGCATCACCCGGATAGTTCCACAGACACAGGCTGCTGGGCCCCACCTCAAGTTTCTAATTCAGTAGGCCAAAGGCAGGGCCTGAGAATTTGCATTTCTAACAAGTTTCCAGGTGGAGCTGAGGCTGCCGCTAGAAAGGCATGTATTTTGAGAATCACTGCCCTAGACATCTCCATAAATTACCATCTATCTGCCAATGACCCTCAAATCTCTCTAGCACAAACTCCTTCTTAAAGCTTCAAAAATAGTACAGCCAACCACCTACATGGCATTTCCGTTCGGGTGTCTTAAAGATGCCTCAAACTCACTATGTAAGAAGAATCTCTTGAATCTGCTCCCACTCCAAAAAAAAACAACTGCAACGATAATCCAGTCTTGCAGCGCTCCCTGTCTGGGTAAAAGCTCCCACAGTCACTCAAGCTACAGGCCAGAAGTCTCACCTTTCTTTCCCCTTATCCTATCCCTCACTATGCACCATTGGTTTCACCTCTTAAATATCTCTTGAATGCATCACTTGCCAATTCCATTGCCACTGCCTTCCTACACCCACTCTTAAAACTTTTTAATGGTTTTCTTCACTGAAGCCAGAGTGATATTTTTAAAAGGCAAATCTAATCTGATCACTCTTCAGCTATAACCCCTCACTGACTTCCCATTGCTCTCAAGGGAAAGTTCAAATCTTCACTGTGGCCACAAGGCCTGGGGGTATCTGGCCCCATCTTCCCTGAGCTCCCCAGTAGCCACTGGGCTCTTCCTACAGAACCTGCACATCTGCAAGTCACATGTTCTTCCCTCTCACCCTCATCTTCCCACTTACCCTCCTCAACCTTCAAACCACCACGCCTGGCCACAATTCTATCTTTCTAAATGTGACTTCTGGCATACTAGTCAACTGAACTATACAGCTATTATACAGTGGTTATAAAAATCCACAACTATGACCATAGGAAGAATTTGCAGTCAATAAATAGTTCTTGAATGAAAAACTAAATGAATAATATTTAAATAGAAGGAGCAATTGGGACTTGTTGTTTATTTTGTGTTTAGTGTTTATTTTGCAGAAAAACAGCAGGAAAAAAATTAAGTTTAAGAAAACTAGAATCAACATCCACAATTAAATGTTAAAGAGCTTGTTTCACTGGTGTCCCAGCACTGTCTTATATAGGCTCTCAAGAGTGAACTGTTAAATATTCAGAAATTTTGAGAGCCCAAATCAGCAGTGGTAAAAGTATTTGTACCATGGAAATCAGCAAATACTTTTTACTTATAGAGCCAGTTTACCAACATACCACTGCTTGTAACCTGAGAATCTAAGAAATCACTCAGAATGAAGCAACCTTATAAATATTAATAATGGGAGATGAAACCAGAGATGAAAGAACATATTTACACAAAATAAGAAAGCATTTCTTATTATGAATAATGAAGTTACTCGAAGAAGAAAGAATGGAGAACAGAAGCACAGTGTCTACAATGTGGAGACTACATTAAAAAATACAAAAAGAGCTGATAGAAAAGAGACTAAGAAATTTTGGAAATGACTGTGATCTACAATTATCTTAAGTCCTTGATTCTCTAAATTCTCTGGGTAACAAGTAGTTAGGAGGTATGCAAAAATTGCAGAGCAATGGGTTGGAAAGGATCATAAAGGTCATCTAAGAACCCTTATAAGCACTGAACTGAATCCCCTCTTCACAACCTCCACAAGAAGATGAGCTTCTTAAGGACGGGAAACGTGTCTTTTATGTCTATTGGCCCAGAGTATAGTACAGTGTTGGGAAAATTAGTATGTTATAGATGTTGCTAAATGAATTAATACAGGAATGAATAAATGATCATTACCAAGAGTTCATTCAACTTATGCCTGAACACCTCTGGTGGCTAAGAACTATTGACCTTTTGAAGCAAAAATGTGTCCAGGCATGATGGCTCACACCTGTGATCCCTTTGAGAGGCCAAGGCAGGAGGATTGCTTGAGCCCAGTAGTTTGAGACTAGCCTGGACAATAGAGGGAGACCCCTTCTCTATTTAAAAAAAAAAAAAATTTAATTAGACAGGAGTGGTAGCAAGCTACCTAGAAGGCTGAGGCAGGAGAATTGTTTGAATTCAGGAGTTCAAGACTGCAGTGAGCTACAATTTGGCCACTGCACCCCAGCCTGCTAACAGAGTGAGACTCTATTTCTGAAAACAAATAAATAAAGGAGAAAGTATATAGAACAATCTTTAATTATGAGCTATGTACAATAGCAAAAACACTCTAGATCATCACTGTCCAATGGAAATATAATGCCATCCTCAAAAGAGAGCCTCATGTATAATTTTAATTTTTTATAACCATATTAAAATAAACTAACAAGAAAAAAGTAAATTTTAGTAGTGTATTTTGCTCATCCAATATATCTAGAATATTCTCATTTCAGCATTAATGAACATAATTATAAATAAGATATCTTACATTTTTCTTTTATATTAAATCTTTTTATTTTGAGAGACAGGGTCTCACTATGTTGTCCAGGCTGATCTCAAACTCCTGGCCTCAGCCTGGGATTACAGCTGTGAGTCACCACACCCCGCCTTTTATACTACATCTTTGAAATCCAATATGTATTTTAAATGTACAGTCTATCTCAGTTTGGACTAGACTGATTTCAAGTGTTCAATAACACATGTAGCTACTAGCTAACATACTGGACAGTTCAGCTGCAGACTATATTGTCCGTATACTTCAGAGCTAGACAATGCCCAAAATACTTTACACAGTTGTCCAAAGTACATCCTAGTTTCCAGCCTCTGAACAAATCTATGACATATATGTACCAGCTACAATAAAAGAAAGAGCTTATATCATTGAGACCTACAAGACGAAACTGTATTGAGAATTAGTAGGGAGGACAAAACCATCTCCCATTCATGAAAGAGCAAAACCACATGCCTCAGGAGGCAGGGCCCAAAGTTGAACGTGACCTGTACCTAACAACAACAACAACAAAAAAACAGAATCTCAGCTTTTCAGATTTAACATAAGGCTATACAGGAATCATTTTACTCATCTAAAGAAACAGAGATACATGAAAATTCAATTCTAAAGTCATGGCTTAAAAGGTCACCTGAAATCAGCAGAATAAAATCTGTCTAGAACTAGCAATAACACCAGAAAAACAGACCAAGACCTGTACTCTGGGCATTTCATCAACATCTGACTGACACCCATTTAACCAGTAATTTTTCTATTCTTTTTTTTTTTTTAATTTCAGAGACAGGGACTCATTCTGTCACAGCAGCACGATCATAACTCACTGCAGCCTCAAACTGCTGGGCTCAAGCAATCCTCCCACCTAAACCTCCCAGGCAACTAGGACTACAGATGTGTGCCACTACCCCTGACTAATTTTTATTTTTATTTTTTTTTTGTAGAGACCAGGTCTTACTATGTTACTCACACTGGTCTCTAACTCATGGGTTCAAGTGATCCTCTTGCCTCGGCCTCCTAAAGCACTGGGATTACAGGAATGAGCCACCCACACGGCCAACAATTTTTCTTTAAAAATAAAAATAATGGCAAATTGGTTTTAACTCAGGTATTTAAGAGCTTTTCATAACATTCAACAAAATAATAACTATTACTATGTTCATTAAGGTAAATGACTGCAATCTTATTCAAAACCATATTTATCAACTAAGGCTACTGGAAATATACCGTAAAGAGTACAAAAACTTTGGCACCTACCCTACTTCACTAAGTTTGGTAAAACTGATCTGGAACCCTAAAGGTAGGAATAAAAAAAAAAAAAGTAGTCTGAGCGAATTTTCGCAACACAAATCACCAAAGCACCTTCTTGTTCCAGCAGACAAAAAATAGAATAATATAACTCACCTCCATGTGAGTTCTTAATGGGTCATGGAGACACTTACACTTGTTTCTCTTCTCAGGTCCTGTATAGCGGAGCTTACTTAGCACTTTAACAAGAAAACTCTGACAAAGAGTCTTTTTTCATGGGGGTACACTTATTCAAAATATGCCCCAGCTGTTAAGAATGGATTCAACAGTTTGGACTGGAAAAGCCATCTATTTTCAACACTCAGGAAATTGGCACATCCCCACTAGTCAAAACTAACGCGAATTAGCTTCCATTATACCAAGCACCAAAAGCAAAAGTTTACTAAAGATCCATGGGGCAGAAATGACCCCAAAGATCAAGACTGAGAAACAGCGAGGAAAAGTTGAGAATGAAAGGAACATCTTAAAAGAGGATAAAATATTGTTTCCACAGTTTTGATACTCAAGAGGAAAGCACGGTAAGGAGAACTTTCCCTTTGAAGTACAGTTAATTGCTAAACAAACTTCGACAAAAATCACAATATCATATTTAAGCTAATAAAAATCTGGTTCAATGTTTTATGTAAGGAAATATATTTTATGATTACATCTAACGTCTACCAGCACATGTTTACTTTATGAAAAAGAAGGCAGCCTGATGCCAAGTCCTAAGTGGTTGACCAACTTTTTGAGCCTTTGTTTAAAGACCTACAGTGGTTGACCCTTTTGAGCCTTTGTTTAAAGACCTACAAGTTCTGGCATGCCCAGAAGATCTAAAATAATTACTTTTGAGATTTCCCATTAAGACTCAGCCACAGAGCTCAGCAACTGGGATATCACTAAGGGTCATCCCCCAAAACACAACAAACACCTCCCTCAACACAAACATTATGCATCCATTTTAATGACAGATGTCATAAAAGGATTGCCAGTGGGAGGGGTGTGAATCCTCTGTTAGAGAAGATTGTCTGGCCTCACAACAGCAAGAAAACTTGGATATTCCTGTTCACATTAAATAAAATACCATGATTTGATAAGCCATCTATTTCCAAGACTCTCAGGAAACAGCATAAAAAAAATGTTCCACAAAATGCTAGCATATTATTTTAATCCCAAGAGATGTTTTTTGTTCCACACAGGTGTGGATCAGGAAATATGCCTCAGAGTGTTTCAGAACAGGAGTTCTGCTGGATATTAATGGAAAGTATGGGGCAGGAGGAAGAAAATCAGTACTTTGTAAAATTCTGGGCCAGATGCAGTGGTGCATGCCTGTGATCCCAACTACACAGGATTTGAGCCCAAGAGTTCAAGCCCACCCTGGGCAACAAAGTGAAACCTCCATCTCAAAAAAACAAAAAGAAGAAAGAAAATTCTGGGTTATACAGAGCTAAACAGGTTACTTCATTACTCAGAACCATTCAGAATCTTTAAAACAGAAATTTGCTTTGTAAATCTCCAAGATGGAGAGTTTTAAATTTACTTGATATATATATATACACACTTGATATATATATAATATATATATAAATATACTTGATATATATATAATATATATATAAATATACTTGATATATATATATATATTTTGCCATGGTACATCTTACAGAGCAGGAGTTCTCAACCTTGACCACACATATTGGCATCATATATGCAGTTTTTCAAAATCCCAATAACTCTGACTTCACCCTTGACCAATTACAGCAAAATTTCTGGGCACAGAATCTAGGGATCAGTAGTTTTTTAAAGCTCCCCACGTATGCAGATAAGTTTGAGGATCAACATAACTTTGAGAAACACCTGTAAATTCTAGCCTCTTCTCCAAGCTTTAGGAAAAAACTAAAGGGATAAGACATCGAATGTTCACAGCTTTATTCCATTACTGTCAGCACATTACCCTACCTAACCTTACCTCCAGACTTAGTCATTATTTTTCATGCCATGCTCTCTGGATATGTCTTCAGAACTAGATCCCTGGATGTTATTTATTGTCAGCATAATTTTATTCCCTGTTTAATTGTATATGTCATTTTATTTTATATTTATTTATTTATTTATTTATTTATTTTTTGAGATGGAGTCTTGTTCTGTTGCCCAGGCTGGAGTGCAGTGGCGCGATCTTGGCTCACCACAACCTCTGCCTCCCAGGTTCAATCAATTCTCCTGCCTCAGCCTCCCGAGTAGCTGGGACTACAGGCACATGCCACCATGGCTGGCTACTTTTTTTTGTATTTTTAGTAGAGACAGGGTTTCACTTTGTTGGCCAGGCTGGTCTCGAACTCCTGACCTCAAGTGATCGCCCACCTCCCAAAGTACTGGGATTACAGGCGTGAGCCACCGCGCCCGGCCTATATGTCATTTTAAAAACTGGCTTTTAGGAGATTTAGGAATTATCACCAATACTAAAAAACGTACCAACCTGATACATATGGACCAATAAACAAAGAAATAAGTATAAAATGAATTTAAAAGCACAAGAGACATCTTAAATAAGAATTGTACAATTTAGATTGGTTATCTTTTCAATGTTTTGCGGGACTTTAAATTTTCACAAATACTGTTTTGTGAGCACCAACAATGTAGATTTGAAAACCACTGCCACTGACTGCCATGAAAACAATCTGGACATTCCACTAAGGGTCACTGGTCTCCTGGGGTTTTAGACAAGCTGAGATTAATACGACTTTGTTTGCTCAATAGTATACACTATAATTTAGTAGTACACTGAAAGGAAGAGAACCTAAAAAGATTCATACCTAGATTGTCAATTCAAACTCTGCTGAGTCTGACCCCAGAACTGAAAGGCCTCTTGTTCCCTTGAAGGCTAACTGCCAAGCCAACACTGAAAATGGATGACTCAAAGAATTAAGGTAGATGAAAAACACCCCTTTCCCCTGATTTTCACCTAAAGTCACTCTTAATCAACACATTGGCTATTCTCAGTAAAAGTGAATACAGTTTTTGACACACCTACCCTCCAATTCAACAGAACATCCTGAGACTGACTCACAAGTGACATCACAACACTCACTGCTGTCACACAAGCCAGAAATTCAACTATCTCTAAAGTCAACTATACTTAATTTAATCAAGAATAGGCAGTTAAAGCTACACAATTCTCGTTTTTTGTTAATTTTAACTAGGTGAATAGAATCTAAGTAGGAATAAAATCAGATCATTCTTTTGGTTATAATAATGTACCCATACTGTGAACTTCGTATTATATATACTACCTAACATACCATTATACAACCTATGCCATACGAATAAATAAAATTAGCACCTAAAATCAGTGCCTGAATTGCTGTTCTCCAGTTTTCATCCTAACATGAAAGGCATTCCATGGGGCCTATTCCTAACATCTTCTCCTACCCCCCCATTTCAGAGTTAAACCTCCTTCCTCAGTATTCCCATAACACCTCTCTCCTAATTCTAACAAAGCACTGTAACTGTTTTACACACCTATACATGTATACAGACTATACACTGAGCTCTCCTGCAGCAGGTACCAAGTTGTCCTAAACATCTTTTGATCCATAGGACTATCACAGTGACTGGCACTGAAAAAGCAATAAATATATTTTAGTATACTTGCTCCCTCAGGACACAATAGGAAAAGAACCAACCACAGCCCTCAAGAGAAGAGTCAGCCATGCAAACAAATAATTATAATACAAGGTGTTTGCTTTAACGTTGTATGTAGCCTTGTAATACATAAAATGTAATAGGGAATCACAGGCAAAGGACCTGCCAAGCCTCTCCAGAAAAATGAGGAAGGCTTTACAGAAGTGACTGCTCAGATAAATGTTTGCAAAGTGAAAAAAATTTGAAAAACAGCATTATTTAAATTCACAGTAGCCATAAAACTCTTTTATTAGAAAGAAACTAAAATATATAGCACAAATGGGAACACAGACATTTCAGTGAAAAGTGTATATGAACATACCAACCACACCTTCAACAAGCCTTCAAAATCATCTTCATTTTTAAAAAATTTTAAATAATAAAACAATTACATCCAAATAGAAATTCCTTTAAGGCTTCTCATTTTTAATTAAAAGTGTTAATATATCAGCAGTTGAAAAAATCTAGACAATGAAGACAAAAGTGTAATTTCATAAGAAATGGGATTTTTTTTTAAACCTGGTGATAATAAAACCCAGATTATAATGAAGGCCAACGCAATGATGGCTGCCCAGAATTTAGTATGAGGATGATTCTTGATAGAAGTCCATTAGTCTTAGTTGGCCTGAACTGTAGACTAAAAACAACTCACATCTTATCTTAGCATAATAAAAAAATTAAGTTTCCAGAAAACTAGTAGTATTCTTTCAACTAAATTCTTCACTAAATTATAAATGTACTACTTTGTGGTATTTTCTGTTTCAAATGTATGGTTTATGAAGATTCTAGATTTAGAAATGAAGCTTAATGTAAATACAACTCTTGGTATCCTAAGATATCAAAAAGATAGAACTTAGAGTTACATTCAAAGGCATACTTTTAGTAGGAAATGGGTGCATATCTTCATTTACTTATACGTGCATAAAGAAATTCTAGACTGATATCAAATCAACTAATACCAGAAGTTACCTGGAAAGGACTAGACAGATGAGGATCAAGGATGGGAGGGATAATTTTCACTTAAACCTTCCTATATAGATTTTTTAAATTTCTGAACTATGTTAATGTATTTATATTTTCAAATATTTACATAAAAGTATTTGAGTGAAAAATATTTGAAAAATAGGCTATAAATTTAGTATTTATGTAGAATTGAAATCAATTCTATGTTAAGTAGTATTAATTATCTTACTATCTTTTCTTCTATTCTGGTATTATTATTTTAAAATTCTAGTTCTTGACTGGGTGCAGTGGCTCACACCTTTATCCCAGCACTTTGGGAGGCTGATGCAAGTGGATCACTTGAAGCCAGGGGTTCAAGAGCAGCTTGGCAGACATGGCAAAAGTCCATCTCTACTAAAAATACAAAAATTAGCCAGGCATGGTGGTGGGGGCCTCCAATTCCAGCTATTCAGGGGGCTGAAGCAGGAGATTCTCTTGAACCCAGGAGGCAGAGGTTGCAGTGTGCCACTGCACTCCAGCCTGGGCGACAGAGTAAGACCCTGTAATAATAATTACTACTACTATTAATTATGTTACTAACAGTAATAATAGTATAATGCTAACAACAAGAAAAACAAAAACCAAACATTGCACTAGGCAGAAGGATAAATTTATTACTTCATTTGATCCTTAGTTTAGACCTGAAGCCATTTTACAGATAAGGAAACTGTGGCTGAGAGAGGATAAGTAATTTGTCCGAGATACTTATTTACTACAGACAGCAAGAAGCAGAATGAGGCTTCAAACTGCTTGAAGTTTCTCTGCCTCCAAAGTATATACTCCTAACCACTTTGCTTAGAACTTAGAATTATCAGCATTATTACCCCTTTCTGAAAAAATAGGATTATATTTTACAAAGGACTTTCAAAGTATAGGAGCCATTAGAAGTGGAAGGAAAAATAAGCTTTGTCTTCACCATTAAAACTTTCATCTACATTATCTGCCATTTTTTATTTGCCCTTCCACGGCTGATTACCTCAGACTCTAGGTTGATTCAGAATATTTTCCCCTCAGGGTCCAAATCCCAATGCCTTACTCCTTGACTTCACTTTAATTAAGCACAATAGGTGTTGCTTCTTCCCTCCCCATGTCTTACCCTAACAGCTACCTCCTGTGATCTCAGAAGCAGAATGAGAATCCCTTGACTCTTAAGGGATTTAGTCTTAATGTATTCATTCAAATATTCACTAAAAGTGCTTTTAAGTATAAGGCACTGGGGCCTGCCCTCTGAGAGTTTACAGCAGAATGAGGAAGACAGACAAGCAGAGTCTTCTCAGTCACTCCCATTCCTTTCGCTCATTGTGTTGGTTAATTATGGTAATAATAATAAGCAATAAGCAATACACATGCTTGCAGATTTGGACACACAAGCAAAAAAGGCAAAAATATTAGAATCATTCACAATTCTAGCAGAGGTAAGTGTTATGGGAGTTTTGATGTATGGTCCCTTCTACTGTATGTATGTATGTATTTATTTATTTGAGAAACGGTATCACTCTGTCACCCACGCTGGAGTGTAGTGGGGCGATCTCAGCTTACTGCAGCCTTGACCTCCCAGGCTCAAGCGATCCTCCCACTTCAGCCTCTCAAGTAGCTGGGACTACAAGCACATACCACTATGCCTGGCTAACTTTTGTATTTTTAGTAGAGACGGGGTTTCACCATGTTGCCCAGGCTGGTCTCGAACTCCTGGGCTCAAGCTATCCACCAGCCTCAGCCTCCCAAAGTGCTGGGATTACAGCCATGAGCTACTGCACCCAGTCCCCTTCTACTTTTTAAATGAGCTCAAGTTCACCCCAAATTTTTAAAAGATCTTCTTTTGATGATACTTAGAAAACACAGTAATGAGAGAAAGGCTTCCTGGGGATGCCAGTCAGATTTGTGTGCCAAACTGGTGATTTAGGGTCCCCACTAAACAGGTGCTCCTGAAGAATCTTAGAGGGTCTTATTCTATATCCCCGGCCTCTGACATGTGACCAGAGCTCAATCACTGCTTATGAAATGAAAGAATGAATGGATGAATCAATGATGTAGATTACTGAAATCCAACAAATCTTGACATGATTATTAGCTTATAAATGAGGCACTTTTTGTGCTTGACATAAACTGTAAAGATATAGAAAGGATTCAAAGAAAAAAATAAATTCCTACAAGAAGAAAGCTCTTTTATTCTTGCTAGCTAGGGGGATAAAACTCTACGAAATGAAATAATAAAAACTACCATCTCATTTCATTCCATATAACATAATGGTTATTATCTTAAGACAATTAAAAAACACTACAACCCAACTCTAAAGTGTCCAGCTCTGTAGCAAAAGTTTAACCCAAGTCTCACCAGGAGTTATACCTGAATGGAAGATAGGGGGGGTTTGAGCCAGACAGGAGTGCTCTGTAGGCTTCTTCTGGTGTCTTCTTTAAATAGATTACCTAAGACAGATAAATAGTAACATTTAGAACACCCAAGAATGACACAAAACTAATTACTCACCAAATTTGCATTTCACTTCCTCCACTTTGAGTGACAGCTGTTACGGTGATAGTGTTGATCTTTACAAAGCAACAACTTGCCAACATTTCCTTTTCAGCATGAAGCTGCGCAGCAGCCTTTGTCTTCTCCATGGGTAAGCTTAGAGACAGAGGGCAGATCCATGAAGAGGCCATCCCAGGCTCTTTACAAAGGCACACTGAACAGACACAATGGCAGCGACAGTTGTACCCTCATAATATACCGTGTGCTCACCAAAGACCAACGCACACCTCCCTGACCTTCATCGAAGACCTGAGGTGAGTTATTTCAGTGCCTGGTAAATTTTGAAAGACTTCTCACAGTGAGCACAATATCCATGGGGTATCTACTGAATTTTCAGCCTACTCTTGAGGAAAGCCAGTGTTGCTCTCTAGACACTCAATAAAATCACAATAAAATGGGTGAAAATGTGTATGGGTAAGAGTATTGGAAAACATATTATCTTGGATTTTGATACCAAAGCTACTTAAATCCCTCTAGTCTGACAAGATGAACTAATCTTAAAGACACAAACAAAAAAGGATTCCTTAAAACCAGTGAACAACTCCCAGGTAATATACATAGATACTGAGTATATAGTATATGCCAGGCACTGTATCAGGTACTGGCACCTCCCTTAATAGAATTTATGCTTGTGGGGCAAAGACAATAATCAACAAAAATAAATACAGTCTAAGGTAAATGCTGAAAAGTAAATAAACAGGGGCCTGGAAAGCAGCTACCTGAGTCAAGGTAGTCAGGGAGGGGTCTCTGGGTGATGTTCAGGGTAAGATCTAGACTCTAGATGGGGAGAACCACAGGAAGAGCTAAGGGGAAGGAGGAATGGCTATCCAGGCATGAGAATGACAAAGACAAGTTCCCTGAGGTGGGAAAGAGCTTGGTAAGTTGGAGGAAAAGGAGGTCAGTGTGGCTAGGACTGAGAGAAGAGGACAGGGGGCGGGAGAAAGCCAGGCAGTGGCCGGAATGTGAAGAGCAATACAAACCACTGGGAGAGCTCAATTTTATTCCAAGAGCAATTTAATTTTTTAATTCTGAGCCGATGGTCTTGGTCCTTTTCCTCTATAGTCAGAAACGAGCTTAATTCCTACAATCTTCTCTACCTAAAATTAGTGGCACTATTTCCTTAGTATGTCCCAACATCAAAACCCTATGCATTTCAATGACAAGAATGGCAGAGTCTTGGTTCTTAACAGTAGGGTTTTCCTCTACTTACAGACCTTCTTTGAGCTTTAAGCTATTTCACTAGGAATATATTACATGTTTACTTATTAATATTTCAGGACTAGAAAACGAGTCCATTCTGAGTTTTCTAAAGAAAGAAAAATAAAATAAATAGATTAAAAATACTAACTTTAGTAACAAAACCCCATATTCATTTGGCAAGTAAACATGAAGGTCTGATAAAGCACACACCAACCAAAGCTTATTGAGTGTGAAACAAAAAGCAATAGAAAGGAAATAACTAAAAGTGCTGCCAGACAAGAGGCACAGATTCTAAAAATGGAGAATTGTCACTCTAGTTGCAGCTCAAATAATTACAAAACTCCATTTAAACCAACACTAGCTCTAAAGACCATTTTCAGTAACCAACATTACAACAGGTTTTACTGTACCCTAAGGGGTAGGTTATATAACAGAATTGGTTATAATGCAGTGATTTCTTAAGCCTAAAGATGCCGCAGTATTTGAAAGGTGACTGGTTGCTAAAAGGGAGGGCTGCTTGTAGAAAGCTTCTGTGTGTGGATTAGATAATTAAAGCTTAGACAACAACCTTTGAAAAGCAAAAATGCATTTTCCTCCCCAGGAGCAATTACGTTAATTCCCTTTAATTTGGAGGGAGTCATTCTGCAAGAGGGAGGCACCAGCCCACATGGAATGCTTCTTTAGATTGGCTACCCCACAGGGCTTTGCTCCTCATCTTACCTGCATGACTTAGCACACATGGCCCATGTTCTCACACTGCAAGATGAGACCCTTTGTTTTTATTTTTATCCCAGTGCTCAATTATTAATAAGTGCAAAGTGAAACCCAACAGAGGCCATCTAAATTCCAGGAAGATTCTTGGGGCATCTTTTACAGGTTGACCTTTCACAACCTGAAGGTAGGTATTTGGGCAAAGTGGGGAAATGTTCTCCTGATGAGTGAGTGCATTACTGCATGAATGCATGCTGGGTCATTAAAATACCAAATTCGATTTTTCCAGGACAAAATATGTCACATATTCTTATGCCAGATCTTCTTAGACATGTCTGCTTATTAAAAAGAGAGAGAGGAGAGAGACAGACTAGGCTAGATTAAAGCTCAGAAGAAAAGTGACATTTAGTAAGAAAGGTAAGGAACTTTCCAAACTCGCGTTGTTGCTCTAGGATGAAAACAGAATTCGAACAGTGGGCTGACTCCAAAGCCCACAGCAATTTCATCATATCTGCCTGAAAATATAAACTCAGTTGGTAGCATAGGTCTGGAAAAAAGGTTTCCACTCTTCCAAGTTCCTAAATGCCATTTCATTCCATTTGATTTTAAAACTTAGGGGACTTCAAACTGTTAACAGTTTGTAGTCACATTTGAGGAAAAGGGCAGGGGAAGGATCAGAAGGAGAAAGAGGAACTTTCTACCTTATAGTTCTACTATCAACACATTGTCTTTTTCACAGACATACACAAATCTGTTTTTTAAATGTGAAGTAAGTAAATTAGTTATGCAATGTCAAATGTGTACTCTTTCTAAAAATAAAATCCATATTTAATGCTCGAAAATTTGTTGCCAGATATTCTAATATTTCTAAAAATATTTTTGCCTTCTCTCAGCAGAATCATAAAAATATTTTCTGAATGAAATTAATTTCAAAGCATCTTCTAAATATCTTGATTTTTTCTCTTGTGCTCCTAAGGGGAAAGAAAGAATATGCTGTCTACTTTTCTCGCTAGGTATTAACATATATAAACCCAAACCAGAACTTTCCCCAAACTTTTGACTAATACAACTTAACAAAAGCATTTGCACAGATAATGTTTGGTGTACCACATCATTTTAGTGGGTGGTACATGCACGACTTTGATAAAATTGCCCTACTTTTGCCAAGAAGTCCTAGAAACCATATTAATAATATAGCATTTAACATATACTTTTATTTTTAACTGAGCAGGAGTCACCCAATTAAAGTGACTTTTTTCTGTTTAATTAACTTCCAGGTACCAAG
Source organism: Homo sapiens (assembly GCF_000001405.40). Lineage (NCBI taxonomy): Eukaryota > Metazoa > Chordata > Mammalia > Primates > Hominidae > Homo > Homo sapiens. Next base: position 100,420,922 of record NC_000001.11, on the reverse strand, counting down.
AACTTAAATAACTTTTAGTTTCTTTAATAAAAGCTTCTTAAAGAGCCAGTATCTTAACATATATATTATCAACAGCTATGAGGTTTTATTAAACAGCGTAATAAAATTTACCCTACTACAAACCAGCACAATTTATATTGTTTACCAGTAAGCCAATGTTGCCCATTAGTTAATCATGCACTTTCCCAACTTCTGCCGTAGGTACCACCATGTACTACCATTCATTCTTTTTAAACACACATTTACTTTTGACTTAAATCAATTTGATGTAAAATGTTTTATATCATTGCTATAAATGGGAAAACCCGCCACTGAGTCTATACATAAATGAATATTAAAATGCATAACTCTTATAATTTTAAATATTTGTGTTTACTACACCGTGAGAAACAATGTAACAAATATCAAGTCTGTACTAATTTTATAGAGGAACACCAGACCAACATGAGAAGTTATATAGAATCCTCTTAGAATTCATCTGCAAATACTTCTAAATCATTTTTTTAAACTAAATCCTGCAGTCATTAAATCCTTAATACCTGCTCCAAAATAATATGTGAATTTCTGAAGCATTTTGGAATTTACAACTGTATTTCTCTACTCAGATAATTCAACCTCTCTGATACACAAGGGGAGATTCTTAAAACAATAAATGGCTTCATAGAGAAGTCTCAACCAGACTCTGGGTCATGAATTTGCTAATGATCTTTCTCTGGGGACATTTGCCTCAAACTTTACTATGTTTTTAGCTTTGTTTTTAGGTGCTATTTTTCCTCCAAAAAAAAAAAAAAAAAAAAAAAAACCTTTTCAGCAAAGCATAACACACACACACATACACACTATATATATATATATATATGTGTGTGTGTGTGTGTGTGTGTGTGTGTGTGTATATATGTATATATATATGTATATATATATATATTTAAAAGTGAAATCTGTGCCCCTACATTAATTATATTTATATTTTGTGACTTGGAAAGTGAAAATACTCTTGAGGATTCAATTTGGCCATCTGAAAGAGTATTCTTCAATTTTATTTGTTTAATATTTTACTTGTGTGAAAAAGAGGAAACAAATGCTGACAATAGCCTTTCCCAGGTAGGTGCTGCCACTGGAACATTGGCACGATAGCTTTGAAATTAACATTTCAACCATGTCTTAGTCAATTAAATTCCTTCAAAATACAATTTCCAGAAAACTGATGTTACAACTTTAAAATAGTCTTAAAGCACTATGATTTACCAAATGTGGAAGACTTATGCCAAAAAAGGAGAGACTCCATTTACAAGTTTCAGACAACTAGGTTTAGAATACACAGAATACTAACTGTGGACATTACAAAGACATCACTATGATGTGTGCTTTGGGCTGAAGCCCATTAATCAGCAGAAATGCTGAGTCCTTTCCTTAGCACTGTGTAACTTACAATTATCATGCTTGCAAAACTGCAATTGAGGATGGGGGTGGGCAGATATAAGAAGAAAATGTTTCTTTTACTGGTGAAGCTAACCAGTGCAGAGCACTCACTTGGCTTGAAACTACCGCACCCTAACTGGCTGCTCCCAACATCCCCCTTTCTCATGAGGGGTTCCTCCCAGTCAGCCAGACCCAGAATCTCAAAAGTCATCTTTGACCTTGGCCTCTCCATCACGTGATAGCCACATCAAGTCAATACCCAGACTGATTATCTCTTCACAGTCACAGTCAGTCTCTCTCTTTTTATTTATTTTATTTTAGACAGGTTCTGGCTCTGTCACACAGGCTGGAGTGCAGTGGCACAATCTCAGCTCACTACAACCTCCACCCCCAAGGCTCAAGCCATCCTCCCACCTCAGCCTCCCAAGTAGCTAGGACTACAGGTACACACCACCACATTCAGCTACTTTTTTGTATTTTTCGTAGAGACAGGCCTTCACCATGTTGGCCAGGCTGGTCTCAAACTCCTGGCTTCAAGTGATCCACCCGCCTCAGCCTCCCAAAGTGCTGGGATTACAGGCGTGAGCTACCACTCCTGGCCATCCACAGTCTCTTTCAATTATGGGGTAGATCCAGGTTTGGGAGCCTGAAACACATCATTTGGGGAGCAAAGACGGAGGATACAAACATCTTTTCATATTTTACAAAAAATTTTCCCTTCAACAGCTTGAGAGACGGAACTAAGCAAGAAAAGGCCCTGAGTCTTAAATTTCATTAGTTCCGCAGTGAACTACCTGGACCTTTCTTCCATGACAATCATCATCACGTTATTTCAAACCCTTATCCAAACCCTTATCACCGTACTCTAGGACTAACACCATTTCTCTCTGCCTCCACCTCCTGCCTACTCCAGTAGTTCCAGAGCAGGGCTCGGAAAGTCTCAACCCTGCTCAAAAAGCCCAGTCCAGACTGCCAACCCTTCACCAAGATATCGTCCCAGCCTGCCTTTTCAGGTAAATTTGTCATTTTTCCTCAAATGAACCCTACCCGCTAGCCTGGACTCCTCACCCTTCCCTAAACATACCTGATATCTCTGGTATTTGAGGTTGTTGTTGTTTTTCTGGAATACTTTCCTCACCATTTCTACCTATTAGACCTATATTTCATTAGACCTAAACTCAAATACTATGTCCCATGATGCCTTTCTTCTCCAACTCAGAACCTTTTCCCTTACCCTTTAGACTCCAGAATATGACACTCAACTATAGGTGATAATGATCACAATAATGACAACAATAAAAACAAAAAGTTAACAGTATATACCATGTGCCAGGCACTCTTCTAGGCATTGTACATAACTTGGTTCATTAATCCTCACATCACCCCGAGTTAGGTTCCATTATTATTCCCATTTTCATTTTACAGGAAAAGCACTGAGAATTAGTTGCTCAAGGTCACACAGTCAGTCTGGCTCCCTCATAGAAACTCATAAGCACATCCTGATGGGCCCCTCACAGCTCTTTTGTAATTAGTTTCCTTTAGACTAAAGTGGAAAGCTTCTGGAGCTCAAGTAACCAAGCTTCCCATACCTTTATAAACCTTCAGATGCCTCCTGTCAGATAGATGCTCAGCAAAAAACCTATGTTTAATGAACAGCTACTTTAAACATATAAGGATAAGAATGCATCTACCCAAAAGGGTTAATTCAGCTTAATTAATAATTGGTGAATGAGATTTTAAAAGACTATATCACTACAACTATAGTGGGAATGCCCAAAAGAGGGGTAAAATGAACTTTCTCAGCCCAGTTGTATGAAAGCATCAAGCCAAATAGAGTCAATTCACCAATGATGTGCTTCAAGAGAAAGCAATAGACTGATTTTAAAAAATAAAAGCTCTAGGTCATATGATTTGTATTTGCTTATAGAAAGTATTTAGTCAAGGCATACTCCCTCATCCAAATATTCACTCTCCCACTTCCTCTGTGTCTATTCTGAAGCCACACTCAGCCACTTCCAACATGGGATACAACGCAGCCAGCAGGAGGTGGAACAGAGCACAAATCACCACAGATGACTGTAATTCAATCAGCATATATATTTACTTAACGCTTACAATTTGCACAGGAACCTGCACATATACGAGGGCACAGAGATAGTCTGAAATCTCCATTATGGAGCTTAAAGACACTGACTTCAAGGACTCTAAAGGGGGCTGGGAATGGCCTATGAAGTGACCAGACTCAACCTGAGCCTACCTTGCATCATCGCAGTGTTTAGATGCCACCTCCTCCGTTTCCTTGGGATCACAGCTCTAAAGTGAGACAGTCTTTTTGGCAACCCAATAAGATCAGGCCCCTGCCTTATGTTCTCAAAGCTCTCTGCCTTCTCCTTCAAATTCGTATACCAGTTTGTTTCTGTGGTTATTTGATTGAGCCTGTCTCCCCAAGTAGGCTGTAAGACTAATGACAGCAAGGTTTCCATCTCTTTTTTATCTGCAGGACTCAACACTATGCCTGGCATGTAGCACACACTCAAAAAATGATGGACGATTGCACAAATAGTGGGCGTTTTATACGAGGGGAAGCATGACATAGACACAGGTTCTTTCCCCATTAGTGGCATGAAACTAACCCTCTATGCTTCCATTGCCTTAGGTATAAACTGAGGATAATAATTGTAACTATCACATAAGGTTGTTTGTCGGGAAGAATAAATGAATTAATAATGTATGTAAAGTGCTCAAAATTATATCTAGCACATAGCTCTTCTACAGCAAGGGACAACAAAAAGGAGATAAACTTTGGTCCCAAAATGTTTTTTTTCCTTTCCACCATCTGTCTCTGGGTGAATCTGGACCCACACTGTTATTATTTCTCACACCTTCACCCTAAAGCCCGTCTATGTATACAAACATCAGAATATGAGGTTGTAAATGTCCCTAATAAGACCATGATTTAGTTCAACCCTCTGATTATAGAGTACAGATGTTGATCCTACTCTCAGTTCTGCCTCTTTAAACAGCCTCCCTAGTCTCCTGATGCCTTAGTATCAACATCCATAAAATAAATGCCACTGGTCCCTGCTTTACCAAACCCATTATCAAAATATCAGAAGATCCCTGAGGTGGGCCATGTCTTTCTGCAACAAAGTACATGAAATAAGAAGCGAGTTACTGTTACTAGCACTGTATTCATTTTTTCTATTTGAATGTCTCATGAACAAAAGAATTAGATTCCCAAGTTGGATTTGTTTTTAGGAAAGGAAAGCACTCACCAGTTACCTGCAAAGAATGAACCACACAAGTCCATGAAAAGAAGTCCAGCATAGAAACAGAAGTCCATCATAAAAATGCACTGCAAGGCAAAAAACTCTGCAAAAAGCTGAAACATAAAACTTTTAAAGTCTCTTCCTTGGCTCCCAAAACTTGGTTCTCAGACTTCTTAAATGTCAGGGCACTTAATTTATAAACTGTTTTTTCCTAAAGACAGCATTAATTGTGATACACAAACACAAACAAATTGTTTAATTTTGTTATTTTTAGCAACATTATTTTCTTAATCATTTCCTCCCATTATATCCAGTGACTCAGAAAACAATATCTACATTCAACTTTATAATTTTTTAAAAATAGGAAAAAGTTATACATTTCTCAAATGCATAAACAATTCCACTTTGTTCTAATTGCTTGTGGAAATAGAAATATTCAATGTTAATCACATATGAATTAGGAAAGTCAGTCTGATTACAAATCAGAAACACAACTGTATTTAAAACTTGTATTATATTCAGTCTATTTTAAATCTATCATGCTAAATAGTCTAATTAAAACAGAGTAAGAATGAATGTCTTTTGTTTCCTACAGTCTTTGGTTGAACATGTTGTAAAATAAAGTCATTCTTCCTGTTCTTCAAGTTTTGAGTCCATTATAAATCACAGATTATGAAGTCAGCAAAGCATAAGACAATATACCTGCTTAACAAATATGGAGGCAAGGCTAATCATAGAAGTTAAGCAGAACCTGACATCAGGTCTCTATAGACATCACTTATTTCTACCCTAAAAATACTTAACAATTTTCAGTATTTGAATCCTCATGAGAATGAGGTCTAGAAATGAGTATGTTTTTTGTTTGAGGTGCTGTTTGCTCTGAAATACCCTCATGTGACATCTCTTTACAGTTTAATTTGAAGCTGGGATTTAACATACAGTCAACAAACAGCAGACTTTATTTATTTGACAATTCGTTTAGAATAGAAATACTCTCTCACCCCTCTCATGGGTATAATTAGAGTGAAACCAGTGGGAGCTTTTTGATGGGCAATTTAGGGAGAATGGCAGACAATATTAGCCATGTGTGTCTTCCCATCTAATTTGATTACAACCAGAATTTTCATAATCAGCCTAAAAAGATATCCTTCCAGAACTGACAGCTACAGCCAGCACAAATGCACATCTCTTGCTAGCATTGTCTCAGTGACACAATGCTTCTCTTCTGCCTGAGGTGAGTTCATGTACCAGCATAGACCTCACTGAGCTGGTTGTGTGACAGTAAACTAGTCCAACCCCTTATAAAGCAAACAAAGGAAACACCAAGCCAATGTTCTTAACACACAGAAACCTAAAAGGACACGTTAATGGGGGAAAGGAGAAAATGTGTCGCCCCAAAATAACCTCAGTCCCTTAGTCTTACGCAAGCTGAGCAAAATACTGTTATGTTACAACATGCAGCTAAATATAACCCTGTAGAACATTTATCATTCATCATCAAAAGGTAGTCCTTATATAAAACGCAAAAACAGACTCACTCCAGAATATCACTTGAATAATACATACTCCCAAACTGAATGGTTTCATGTTAAAAACTCCTGGTGCTGAGTTTCACTGCTTACTTCTGGGTATATCATGAGCTTCATTTCATAAAACTTTCCAAATGAAGAAAGAAAATGAAAAAAAAGTATGTTATTTAAACCCAGGACTGAATTGGATCAAGTTTACAAGGCAAGGAACCATAACTTTGTAATGAAGATGGTGACGCAGATCCACTGTAACAGACCAGGACTGGATGTTTAAATCCTCTTAACACCTGTTAGCAATTATAGAAAGTCTTTAAATTGCAAATACATTATACTCCAAACATTTATCTGTAAAAGATAATATGCGGTTTTTTGTTTTGTTTTGTTTTCTGTTGTTGTTGTTTAAAGTAGAGATGGGGTCTACTATGTTGCCCACGCTGGTCTCGAACTCCTGGGCTCAGGCAATCCTACCGCCTTGGCCTTCCAAAGTGTTGGGATTACAGGCATGAGCCATTGTGCCTTGCCAAGGATAATATTTTGACTTCTGGAAATATTTTCCCAAAGACAAAATCTTAGGATTTTAAGTTTCCTAAGCTAGTCCAAACATGATAATATATTCACTATTATCATTAAAATCATATATCTAAAATAAAATGTAGTAGAAGACACTATTTTCAAAATTAAAACTAAAATAATTAAGTAAGTGTGTTAGTTTCTTAAGTTAATTATCTTCCCTCAATGCTAATACTTGAGGGAAAGCTAAATTAGAAAAACTTGAAGAAATCAAGGAATACATCTATAATGGCTTTAAAGTGAACCCTGAATTATTTCTAATGTTTTGATTGGTACTTAATTATATACAATTCTGCTTCAAAATGCATAACTTTCCTCAGTATTTGGCATTGTGATTACAGCTGATTTCAAATCTGAGGCAGTGGAAAGCAGGGCAAATATGAGAGGAAATTTTCTTGCTGTCACTGGAAGGAAAGTAATTGAGGAGAAAAGTGAACAAGAAAGATCATAAACTTTCTGGGAATAACAGGAGGAAGCCTACCAAACTTGCCAGGGATGGAACCAAACTTGTGGGGGTTGCTTCCCATGTACTTATGGCAACTTTAGGCAGTCTGTGATCTCCTCGAAGAGAGAAGGTGGTAGACCAGCAACCCAATGTATTTATTTTAGTAACTAGAGTATATACTTAAGGAACTGTACATAGAATTGTTTTTAAAATTAAAATTTTAAGAAGCCTTTTCATATATAGTCATTTTATTCTTTTTCAAATTTCAGGAAGTTTACAGGTGAGATGTTATCCAAACTTCTAACACAAAAGCCACAAAGCATGTGAACTAAATCTCAGGTCTAGAATCATAGTAACTTGTAAGCTACTGTTCTTTGAACTCACTGAAGAATAGAAAACTAACAATGCACACAAACAAGGAACTGGTTGTTCTCTTCCAGTATTTACAAGAGTTGTTGCTTAGAGAAAGCAGGAGAAACAAGAGTTTTGCCCATCAGTCAGGTGTTTGCAGAAAAGATTCTGTGGCAATTTTTCTGTGCATTAGCCCCAACTGTTCAAACATGTGCCACATGACAGTATTGTCCTTCGAGAAGATAACAGAAATTAATCATCCTTTTTTCTTTTTTCTTTTCTTTTTGACAGTTTCGCTCTTGTCACCCAGGCTGGAGCGCAGTGGCACGATCTCAGCTCACTGCAACCTCCATCTCCCGGGTTTAAGTGATTCTCCTGCCTCAGCCTCCCAAGTAGCTGCAGAATTAATCGTTCTTAAATGTGCATAGATTTTTTTAAGTAAACATGTTCCCTACATACTTTAGCTTACTAACTTCCACAAACAGCAGAACTGAAACAATTACAGCTTAAATAAAAGTAACTTAAACCCAATCAACAGATCCATTGCATACATACTATATATATATATATAATATATATATATAAAATATATATATATAAAATATATATATATAAAATATATATATATATATATATATATATAAAACATACAGGAAGTTCACCCACCTTCCCTGCAGTAACTGGGAACTTCCCTCCTATTCTGGCTCACTACTGTAGGCAGACCTCACTACTTCCAGAAAACAGCCCCCCTTCACCCTGGCCAGCAATTTCTCACCCCCATCTTCCTATGAGCAACAAGACTTGAATGGCAGGTTTCCTGGTAGTAAGGAAAATGAAGAAGGAGGAAGGAAAAGGAGAAAAACAGAGAGCTTTCCACAGTTCTACACACCAGGTAATTCATTTCTTCATTCAGCAAAGACTTACCAGTACCAAGCACCATGGATAATACCAAGAACAAAGCAAGTATGTTCCTGACCTCATGGCATATCCCTTGTATATCATTTCAGATCTAATCCCAGGAGATCCCCCACTTTAAGTACTCCTCACAAAAACCTTTAAAGGTTAAGTAATCAGAGCATTATGGCAGAGTAGCATAAGAGAAATCGGAACGATACAGATAACTGTACCATGGAGAGCTTCAAGTGACATTCTAAAAGGTGAGTTTTTAAAGTGTTTTTAAGTGTACGTCAGGTCATTTCAGCTCCCTAAGAGACCCACAGGTCACGAAGAATAAAATTCGAACTTGCTCTCACATACAAGCCCTAGCAGAGACTTTGGCCTCATCGCCTGCATTATAGCCTTTTTAGCCACAGCAGCTTTGTCTTGGTTCCTCAGCCTTTCCTAGTTCATTCCCACTCTAAAGCCTTTGTATGTGTTGTTCTCTGCCTAGAATGTTCTTCCTCTTTATCAGCATCACCACCCCAAAGAGGGCATCTCTGAACTTCCAATCTGAAGTAGCCAGCCAGTCACCAGCACATCACCAACTTGCCATTATCACTGACCTCTTATTTGTTTGTTTCTCCCAGCAAAATCTAAGCTCTGTCAGGACAGGGATTTTCTCTCTCTTGTCCATTACCATATCCTTAGAGCTCAGAAGGGGTGTCTGGCCCAGGTGCTCAATGACTGTTTGTTCAATGAAAGAATGAACAAATGAATCACACAAAAGGAGAGAGGAAAATACTATTTCCCATTAAAATGAAGAAAGAGTTTTTATTAGAAGGGAAGGCCACAGCAGCCCTCTACTACCCTCTTTTGACTAAACTTCCAGGAAATTCATTACTAAGTTTTGGGCTTCAGTAAGTCAGAGTCAATTTCTGTTACACACACCCAAAAAACTCCGACAGCCAACTAAGAAAGGAGGAAAAGGAAGGAAAAACAAACCAATAGGAGATTCCTTTCATTCTTGTCTGAAGAAAAAAAACTTTTTAAAGCAATAGGAGAGAAGTGATCAGAACACAGGAAGGAGAAAGAGATGGAACCAGTAGGAAAAACAAAAACAAAAATGGAGAGGGAAAGGTACACAGAGACAACAAGAAAGAGTGATAGAGGAGAAAAGAGGTAAGCGGTTATTCACACAACAGTGTTCCCTTGCACTATGGGTGTCGAAGTAAGCTGAGGGCTGCGAAGGTAGAGGCAAAGGACTGGAATGCCAATAATATAGGAGGCTCTTGGGCCTGTCAGTTCTGCCTCCTGTGACAAGTTAATTTATCCAGGTTTACCAGTATGGTGAGGATGGGGAGTGGAGAAGGGTGGGCTGGTTAGGTAGGTCAGGGAGAGATCTTCTCTAAGATGTATCGGTTCCTATAACTGAACAAAAAAAAATCACTATACAGCTCTACCAGAGCAGTTCTTCAGAGGAGAAATTATTCTCCGCATTGCTAGAGTAACACAGTAAAAGTCAGAGACCTCCAATCTCATCCTGAAGTTCTTGTACTTAACCTGAGGTCTAGATCAACCAATGTTCCTTAATAAAAAGGAGCAGGAGAGAGATAAAAATTTTTTAAATTGAATTAATAGCGAGAATTCGGTGATCACCATCGTGGTTAAATCCCCCAAATTTTAATTGTAATAAAAGGATCTTAACAACTTTAATTTCCTCTATTAATTCAGAAGTAAAATATTTTCATCAGTACACATGTGTAAAGTCTAATATACTTTTTAAACACAGCCCAATGCCAGGATATTCCAAATGTTTTTGGGTTTTGTTAAAAATTTATATATCTGGCCGGGCACAGTGGCTCATGCCTGTAATCCCAGCACTTTGGGAGGCCGAGGCAGGCAATCACGAGGTCAGGAGTGTGAGACCAGCCTGGCCAACATGGTGAAACCCTGTCTCTACTAAAATACAAAAATTAGCTGGGCGTGGTGGCATACACCTGTAATCCAGCTACCCGGGAGGCTGAGGCAGGAGAATCGCTTGAACCTGGGAGGCAGAGGTTTCAGTGAGCTGAGATTGTGCCACCGCACACCAGCCTGGGCAACAGAGCAAGACTCCGTCTTGGAAAAAAAATGATTTTAGAAACTTTTAAAATGTTATCCCCATTTTGTCACTATTTTCATTACATTTCAAAGATATGTTTCTTGGGGAAAAAAAACTAAAATAAAAATTTTTTTTTCTTTTTTTTTTTTAGCCAGAGTCTTACTCAGTCACCCAGGCTGGAGTGCAGTAGCACAATCACAGCTCATTGCAGCCTCAAAGTTTTGGGATCAAGCAATCCTCTTGCCTCAGCCTCCCAAGTAGCTGAGACTACAGATATGCACCACCACACCTGGTTAATTCTTTTTTATTTTTTATACAGACAAGGTTTCACTATGTTTCCCAGGTCCCAGGCTAAAAACTTAAAATTTGACTCTGGATAAAATACATAGCTTGCTGCTAAAACTCCAACTCACTTGCAAGTACTGATGAATTTCTCAAAATTTCAGACATTTTTGAAGGGAATATAAATACTTTACCACATTCAAACTGATGAGATTCAAGGATTCTCCAGTTCCTATTAGGAACTGATAACTATTAGGAGAGTTATCACATATTCCTACATTCTTTGAACAGGATGGGTCCATTCCTATGTTTTAACAAGCAGTTGATTTCAAATTGAAAGCCTTGCAACTGCAACCTTGGTGACAGGAGTCAAGGGCAGGACTGGATGTGAGATATGGAATCAAAGGAGATCACTTTGGAGCTTTAAGATTTGACAGCTCTGCCGTATTTTGAACTTGCATGGGGCCTGTAGCCCCTTTGTTTTGGCAAATTTATTCCACTTGGAATGGCTGTACTTACCCAATGCCTGTACCCCCATTGTATCTAGGAAGTAACTAACTTGCTATTGACTTTATAGGCTCATAGGTGGAAGGGACTTGCCTTGTCTCAGATGAGACTTTGGACTATGGACTTTCGAGTTAATGCTGAAATGAGTTAAGACTCTGAGGGACTGTTGGGAAGGCATGATTGGTTTTGAAATGGGAGGACATGAAATTTGGGAGGGACCAGGAGTGGAATGATATGGTTTGGCTGTGTCCCCACCCAAATCTCATCTTGAATTCCCACATGTTATGGGAGGGACCCGATGGGAGGTGTCTGAATCATGAGGGCAGGTCTTTCCCGTGCTATGTTTGTGATAGTGAATGAATCTCATGAGATCTGATGTTCTTAAAAAGGAGAGTTTCCCTGCACAAGTTCTCTTCTCTTATCTGCCGCCATGTGAGACGTGCCTTTCACCTTCTGCCATGATTGTGAGGCCTCCCCAGTCATGTGAAACTGTAAGTCCATTAAGCCTCTTTCTTTTGTAAATTGCCCAGTCTCAGATATGTCTTTATCAACAGTGTGAAAAAGGACTAATACAGGGGATAAGGAGATATTTGTTAAAGGATATAAAATTATAGCTATTAATAGATAGGGTAAGTTCTAGTGTTCCATACCACTGTAGGATGACTACAGTTAACAGTAATATATGGTTTCAAATAGCTAGAAGGAGGATATTGAATGTCCCCAACATAAAGAAATTATAAATGTGTCAGATGATTGATATGCTGATTGCCTGGATCCGTTCTGATCACTATATATCACATGTAGCAAAACCTCATTATGTGGGCAAAGGACATGAGCAGACACCTTTCAAAAGACGACATACATGCAGTCAACAAGCATAAGAAAAAAAGCTCAGTATCACTGATCATTAGAGAAATGTAAATCAAAACCACAATGAGACACCATCTCACACCAGTCAGAGTGGTTTTTATTAAAAAGTCAAAAAATATAACAGATGCTGGTGAGGCTGCAGAGAAAAGGGAACACTTATACACTGTTAGTGGCAGTGTAAATTAGTTCAACCATTGTGGAAAGCAGTGTGGTGATTCCTCAAAGACCTAAAAACAGAAATACCATTCAACCCAGCAATCGTATTACTGAGTATATACCTAAAGGAATATAAATCATTCTGTCATAAAGACACATGCACATGTGCATTCACTGCAGCACTATTCACAATAGCAAAGACACGGAATCAACCTAAATACCCATCAATGGTAGAATGGATATTTAAAATGTGGTACATATATACCATGGAATACTATGCAGTCATTGAAAAGAATAAGATCATGTCCTCTGCAGGAACATGGATGGAGCTGGAGGCCATAATCCTTAGCAAACTATTGCAGGAACAGAAAACCAAATACTGCATATTCTCACTTATAAGCTGGAACTAAACGATGAGAACACATGGACACAAAGAGGGGAACAACAAACACTTGGGCCAACTTGGGGATGGAGGCTGGCAGAGGGAGAGGAACAGAAAAAATAACTATTGGGTACTAGGCTTAGTACCTGGGTGACTAAATATTCTGTACAACATACCCCTATGACACAAATTTACCTCTACAACAAACCTGCACATGTACCCCTGAACCTAAAATAAAAGATTTTTTTAAATAAAAGCATTACATGTACATTTTAAAAAAACATCAGTATGTATCCCATGAATATGTACAATTACGAAGTCAACTTAAAAAATAAAAATAAATATAAATTTTTAAAATAGCACAGACAGACACTATGTTAAGTACTGGAGATACAAATACGAGTGAGACACCACTCCTATTCAACATAGTATTGGAAGTTCTCGCCAAGGCCATCAGACAAGAGAAAGAAATAAAGGGTATTCAAATAGGAAGAGAAGAAGTCAAATTATCTTTGTTTGCAGATGACATGATCCTATATCTAGGAGACACCATCATCTCAGCCCAAAAGCTTTTTAAGCTGATAAGCAACTTCCACAAAGTCTCAGGATACAAAATCAATGTGCAAAAATCACTAGCATTCCTATACCCCAACAACAGGCAAGCAGAGAACCAAACAGTGAATAAACTCCAATTCGCAATTAGCACACAAAGAATAAAATACCTAGCAATACAGCTAACAAGGGAAGTGAAGGATCTTTTCAAGGAGAACTACAAACCACTGCTCAAAGAAATCAAAGAGGATACAAACAAACAGAGAAACATTCCATGTTCACGCACAGGAAGAATCAATATCGTGAAAATGGCCATACTGCCCGAAGTCATTTATAGATACAATGCTATTCCCATTAAACTGCCACTGACATTCTTTATAGAATTAGAAAAAAAAACTATTTTAAAATTCATATGGAATCAAAAAAGAGCCTGAATAGCCAAGATGATCCTAAGCAGAAAGAACAAAGCTGGAGGCATCACGCTACCTGACCTCAAACTGTACTACAAGGCTACAGTAACCAAACAACATGGTACTGGTACAAGAACAGACACAAAGACCAATGGAGAGAATAGAGAACTCAGAAATAAGACCACCCACCTACAAACATAGGATCTTCAACAAACCTGAAAAAAGCAAGCAATGGAGAAAGGACTGCCTTTTTCTTTTTTTTTTTTTTTTATTTGAGACAGAGTTTCGCTCTTGTTGCCCAGGCTGGAGTCCAATGGCACGATCTCAGCTCACTGCAGCCTCCACCTCCTGGGTTCAGGTGATTCTCCTGCCTCAGCCTCCTGAGAAGCTAGGATTACAGGCACCCACCACCAAGCCTGGCTAATTTTTTTTGTATTTTTAGTAGAGACGGGGTTTTACCACTTGGCCAGGCTAGTCTTAAACTCCCAACCTCAGGTGATCCATCCACCTCTGCCTCCCAAAATGCTGGGGTTACAGGCATAAGCAAACGTGCCTGGCCAGAACAGCCTTTTTAATAAATGGTGCTGGGAGAGCTGGCTAGCCATAAGCAGAAAATTGAAACTGGACCCCTTCCTTACACCTTACACAAAAATCAACTAATGATGGATTAAATACTCAGATGTAAAACCCAAAACTATAAAAACCCAGAAGAAAATCTATGTAATACCATTCAGGACATAGGCAGGGGGCAAAGACTTCATGATGAAAATACCAAAAACAATTGCAACAAAAGAAAAAATTGACAAATGGGATCTAATTGAACTAAAGAGCTTCTGCACAGCAAAAGAAACTATCATCAGAGTGAACAGACAACCTATAGAATGGGAGAAAATGTTTGCAATCTATCTATCTGACAAAGGTCTAATATCCAGAGTCTGTAAGGAACTTAAACAAATTTACAAGAAAAAACCAAACAACCCCATTGAAAAGTGAGCAGGGGATATGAACAGACACTTCTCAAAAGAAGATATATTTGCGGCCAACAAACATATGAAAAAAAGCTCAACATCACTGATCATTAGAGAAATGCAAATCAAAACCACAATGAGATACCATCTCATGCCAGTGAGAACGGCTATTACTAAAAAGTCAAAAAACAACAGATGCTGGTGAGACTGCGGAGAAAAATGGACATGTTTACACTCTTGGCAGGAGTGTAAATTAGTTCAACCATTGTGGAAGACAGTGTGGCGATTCCTCAAAGACCTAGAGGCAGAAATACCGTTTGACCCAGAATCCCATTACTGGGTATATACCCAAAGGAATAAAAATCATTCTATTACAAAGATGCATGCACGTGTATGTTCACTGCAGCACTATTCACAATAGCAAAGACATGGAATCAACCTAAATGCCCATCAATAATAGACTGGATAAAGAAAATGTGGTACATATACACCATGGAATACTATGCAGCTATAAAAAGAAACAAGATCATGTCCTTTGCAGGGACATAAATGGAGTTAGAAGCTGTTATCCACAGCAAAGTAACACAGGAGCAAAAAACCAAACACTGCATGTTCTCACTCATAAGTGGGAGCTAAACGATGAGAACACACATGAACGCATAGTGAAGAACAACACACACTGTGCCTCAGAGGAGGAAGAGCATCAGGAAGAATAGCTAATGAATGATGGGCTTAATACCTGGGTGATGGGTTGATCTGTGCAGCAAACCACCATGGGACACATTTACCTATGTAACAAACCTGCACATCCTGCACATGTACCCCAGAACTTAATAAAAGTTGAAGAAAAAAAAATATGTAAGAGTTATCCCTTTACTCAAAAAGCTCATTCTTACAAGGGCGAGTGTGCAAAGCAAGTAAGTACAAGGAGCTCATCCTAGTAGATCATATTATGTGCAATTAATTGCAAAATGAAGTAAGAAAAGCTATAAATGAGCCATGTTCTAAGTCAGATAGTAAGAAAATGACAGTGAAGAGCTGGGAGGCAGAGAGTGAGGGGTAGGCAGAAAAACTAGGGAGAAAACATCAGGAAAGGTTTATCAGAGAAGGGAATTATGGTTTCTTAAATTAAGAAATTTCCCAAAGCAGGCCCACTAAATGACTCGTACACCCACTCTTGAAAGAATTGTCTGATTCATCCTACAGTATGTATATTCACATGGAAAGGCTTGTCTGTCTGCTCATTAATTTGAAACTATGAACCACAAATATTATTTCTTATTAAATAACTCTATGAGGTACTGCAGCCCTCCTAAAATATTTCTTTGAGGCTGAGGTTACACTTTCCCAGTCCTACTATTTAGTTTTTTGTTTTGTTTTGTTTTGTTTTGTTTTGTTTTTTTGAGACGGAGTCTCGCTCTGTTGCCCAGGCTGGAGTGCAGTGGCTCAATCTCAGCTCACTGCAAGCTCCGCCTCCCGGGTTCAAGCGATTCTCCTGCCTCAGCCTCCCGAGTAGCTGGGAATACAGGCACCTTCCACCACGCCCAGCTAATTTTTTGTATTTTTAGTAGAGACGGGGTTTCACCATGTTAGCCAGGATGGTCTCTATCTCCTGACCTCATGATCCACCCGCCTCAGCCTCCCAAAGTGCTGGGATTACAGGCGTGAGACACCACGCCAGCCATCCCACTATTTAGTTTTATTACCCATGAATTTGCTGTATAACTACACCCCTGGCTTTAAGTCCTCATCAATTAAAAGTTTGAATTTCCATAATGAAAATTCAAAGCCCCTACAAGCATTTGTTACGGGGGTTTGGGAAGATAGGCACAGGAAAAGCAAAGCTAAGGCAGAAGAGCAACAAGGAAGAAAATTAAGAAAGACACAGAGACAGAGTGTTGGTGACGTGGGAACCTAGTAGTTTACATGGCCACAGTCTGTTTTTTAGCATGGCAACCCTATTTTGAACACTAAAAATCTTAGAAATAACTGAACACACAGCAAACTCAACAGCAGTTGCAGTTAGCTCTTTTTTTTTTTTTGAGACGGAGTCTAGCTCTATTGCCCAGGCTGGAGTGCAGTGGCGCTATCTCAGCTCACTGCAAGCGGTTAGCTCTTCTTTTATTTAAAATTTCAGAAAGTGCTCATGAAGAGGGGTTTAATGAATTTATTCACTTTCCAAAATAGGGGAAAGGCCACAATTTTACTCACTCTATCAAATAGAAAACATTTCTTGAAATAAAAATTTACATAAATTAAAATTATTCAATCAAGAAAACCCTTATAAACCTAAGGTTTAAGATTCGATGTCTTGAGGTGAATGGGACATTATATAACTTTTCAGCCCACACTTAGAAACTAAGCCCAATGAGATACTAAAATGACAGACCCAGTAAGGCAGGCTCAGCGCTGGCTCCTCAGGGCCCACAACGTTGACCTAGCTACAGGCTTCTCAATCAAGGTTCTCCCAAACTGAATCAATGCACATTTTGGTTGCCAGGAAGAAGGGAGGAGTATGAGAGGGCTTTAAGGGTAACACAGTGATTCAAATGAAAGTGAGATAAGAAAAGATAAATCATATTATTTGAAGGCTTAAAACAAACTCAGATTTTCCCAAAAAGTCAAGTACCAACTGAATAAAAACCATCCAGAGACAGGTATGCATCTTGATGTTTAGAGAGAGCAGTCTTCAGAATACTTTCAGTTTTCCTTAAGCCATTCATGTTAATTGCAAACTAGCCTAGATGCAGAGCAATCAAACAATCACCTGCTCATTCAATGCCAAAAATCAATGCCCTAAGAACATTCAAGAACCTTCTGGATCTAAGCACAGTAAGTAGATTCTCCAATGGCTATGTTTTGCAGTCTGCAGGTTACAACCCATTAGTGAGCAGTGAAGTCAATTTGATGGGTAAAGACATATTTTAAATAAAATAGAACAGAATATAAAATATCAGTATGCTTTACACCTTGTAAGAATTGTTTCATGAACCTCTTGTTTCAATTATACATGTGAATGGCGTGTGTGTATGTGTGTGTACTAGGCTGCAATGTAAAATGTGTTTCTTATGGTGAATTACAGTGAATAAAGCTTGGAAAACTCTGTCCTAAGATACCAGCCCAACCTACTTTATATCATTCCTTGCTTCTCTTATCCCCCTATCACTCCTTGCACTTAGACCTACCCCAACACATCCATGGACATCACCAAAGTAAACATGAGAACAACCACCATTGTCCCTGGTTGGTACACGAAAGTTTTGGCAGTGTTAGCCCCATTAGCCAGAATCAAAGCTCAGAAGCTACCTGGAAAAGAAACTGTATGACTAGTGTATTTGAAACACTACAACACTGCTTTCTAAATAGAAAATTCTACTCTTCCACACTGCATGCTGTTTCTAATCTTTTTGCAGACTATTATGGTTTAGATGTAGTATAATATACCAAGACCAGCAGTGCTCGGTGACATGCTATATGACTGGATAAAGCTCCCAGCTAGAAACTTAGGGATCGGGGTTCTAGTCCTTCTCCATTAGCTGGGTTTGATCTTGGACAAGGTACTCGACCTCTCTGGGTTCAGATTCTCCAACTGAAATATGACAAAGCAGGACTGCAGAAGGGTTCTTCCTAGTGAGTGTTCTGTGGAGATACTTCACCAGTCTTGCAAAAGTGGGTCTTTTTTTTCTAATTAAGATGTTTATTTTTAAAACTAAAAGAAAACAGTAAACACAATCAAATACATTCAATATCAAATTTTACCATGCTGCAATTACCAGGCAGCCAAATAACCTCATTTTTCAAAAAATTTAAAGAATTACCTTCAGTTTCTGTATATATTCTAGTAAACATCTCATTGATTGGAAGCCTGTAGCTCTGCATGGGGAATACGTCTAAATGTGAGCCTGCTCTGTTCAGATATTTGTATAAAATGGAACACTGATAGTCCTCACTCGGGTAAATGCCAGGTGAAGCCTAGGTAGACATGTACAGAACATGCTCTCATATCAGGCACGGCAAACAATTTCAAGTCACACTCTGATAATGGATAATGTCTTCAGGGCTTTGAGTACCTCCTTTCCGATTTTTTTTTTTTTCATAATGAATGCATGCAGCTAAAAATTTTCAAGATCCAACTCTAATTAAAAATTTTCTAGTATTCCTCTTTCAAGCATATGAATTACTTCTTTTTTTTTTTTAATGGAGTTCTGCTCTTGTTGCCCAGGCTGGAGTGCAATGGCGCGATCTCGGCTCACCACAACCTCCGCCTCCCGGGTTCAAGTGATTCTCCTGCCTCAGCCTCCTGAGTAGCTGAGATTACAGGCATGTGCCACCATGCCTGGCTAATTTTGTGTTTTTAGTACAGACGGGGTTTCTCCCTGTTGGTCAGGCTGGTCTCGAACTCCCGACCTCAGGTGATCCGCCCACCTTGGCCTCCCAAAGTGCTGGGATTACAGGCATGAGCCACCGTGGCCGGCCCCATGAATTAATTCTTAACTGGAAATTATCCTGAGACTGCAAGGATGGCTGTTAAAAAAATCGTTGACACTTAGTAGCAAATACTTATATGTATAAATAAGTAGTTTCACCTATTGAGAAAAACAGAAACAATGCTGAGAGTAAAATTAACATTATTATCCACAATATTAATTTCAAATGTTTGTATGTACAGTATTAACAAAGCCCATTTCAGTTCTATATAACACACTTTGTTTTACTCAGTAACTTTAAGAAAATTAGTTAATGCTTTGCAACACTGATTCTTGCTGTTATTTTTACAATTAGTACCGACTTCATAATTTATCTTTAAGCACATCACAGGTTTTAAATTACTCCATATTAAACTTCCACAAAACTGTGGAAGTCAACCAAGACTTATTTATCAATTAAACAGTCATTCATTTCACAAACACTTATTGAACGCTTAGGATGTGTCAGACATTGTTCTAGATACTGGGGCTATTGTGGAAAATAAGACAAAGTCCTTTCCCTTAAAGGGAGAGATAATAAACTGGTAAATAAATAATTTCAAGTGCTAAAAAAAAGTACATCCCCTTAATTCAGTATATATTGTTTGAAGTAGCAAAAACCGCAATTACTTTTGCACCAACCTAAAATGAAACAAATGGATGTTAGCTTCTTCACACAGAAAGTATATGTTATTCCAAAGCTACTGATAAGATTCAGAAATTTGTGAGTAAATTACTGTAAGCATACACAGTGCATCCCTACTAAATATATAGTACTAAATGCAGTGAGTATGTATGCCTGTGTGTGCAGCTGTGTATGTGTATATAAATTTGAGAGCTTATTTACAACACAAAGGAAGTTTATTATCAGGATGCCAAAAGAAAAAAAGAAAAAAAAACTGAAAAGATTGATGCACCTTAACTTGATAAATCTTCCAGTAATGAAAAGCAAACAGCTAATTTTCCTCGCCCACAGCTAAATGAAACAGGCAAGAAAAGTTAAGAGGTGACACTGCTCTACCCATATGCAGAAGGCTAACAGAATGTCCAGTCTCAAAGAGTCTGAAATTGAAAATGCTGTATGAGTTTAAGGAGCCTGATCTGTTTCAAAGCCACCAAAAATACAAGCCTACAAAGATAAAAGACTGGCCCATTTACAGGCAACATCACAAAAGAGTTGCCTATCAAACTACAAAAGGAAGGAACTGCAAACAGGAAATTGCCCAGCCCCAGCCATGTGCCTCCCCTCCCTTCCTCTCCACTAACTTCTATAAGCAGAAGCAAACACTGCCGTTAGATTTACCAACAAGCCACAGAGAAGGATGACAGAACACTAGTAGCTGACATCTAATATATTATTGGTTCAATAAATATTTAAAGTAAATGCCTTTATTATTTTGAACCAACTTTTTGATAATTTTACCTACATTTTAAATGACATTTATTTAATCTACAGTTTTTTAATGTCAATGTAAAGTAGTTCTGAAATCAGAATTTACAGAATTGTGAGTCAAAATATAAGCAAAATAATATACTTGGTCCAAACAATAAAAACAAAAACAAAATCACAGTTAATTGTCTGGGTATATCAGTGTCCAATGATTTAAACACACACACTGTAACCACTTTTAAATAATACTGTTCTGTTAAAATTTCTGTATACTCAGCAGACGGCTTAATGTTCAAAAATCAATAGGTCCATTATCAGCAGTTCCAATTAAGCACATTTATATTCAGGTATACAGAAGTATTTAATAGAGCATTCTGACATTCTAATGAGTAACAGCAGGAAAGGTCTATGGACTTCCTAATTTTTTACAGAAACTTGGACTGATGGGCATGATTTCTAGTAGTCTGTATCTATTGAAACAAATAGACACAGATAAAATGACTTCATCTTTTTTTTTTTTTTGAGTCAGGGTCTGGGCTGGAGTGCAGTGGTGTGATCACAGCTCACTGCAACCTCAAACTCCTGGCCTCAAGCAATCCTCCAGCCTCAGTCTCCAGGTAGCTGGGTCTACAGGCTCCCACCACTGTACCTGGCTAACTTACTTTTTTAATGGAGGCTAATAGCACTTATCCACTCTAAAATGGTCTAAATATAGGAAACAAATATAAAAACACAAAGTTTTCAAACAGTTAATAAATCTATAAATAAAAACATGAGAATAATCAACCTCATTAATCAAAAAAATGATTACTAAAACAATGAGGTAGCATTTTTCACCAATTAAATTTCTAAAACTGTAATGTTCATACCCAATATGCAAAGTTTACATGAAATTGGAGATTTCACATAATACCAAATTTAGTATAAACTTGCTTAAGTATAGCAATATGCTCCAAGAGTCTTAAAAACTCTGAAATTTAAAATTATTTACCCTATTTCTGGCACTCTAAAGACAAAAATCCACGAAAAGAAACACTTATAATATAGAAAGAGATGTGTTACATTATAAAAAATTTTGAAAGAAATCTAAAATGTTAAACAATGGTATTCTCTCTAAATGAAATATTATTTGGTCACCTGAATAGCAAAATGGCAAAACATACATAGGCTAAATTTTAAAAGGCTCAAAAAACTACACTGCAATCACACCTAATAAATAATTCAGGTTTAGAACTGCGAGAGAATTTTTCCACATTTCTTCTACAATGTGGTTACTCCACTTTTTAAAGTTTTTTTAATTGTAAGGGAAAAAAACACCCCTATCTTCTCATTAGATTATCCCCTTTTCAAAACGGACATTTAAAATAAAATTAAATTAAAAATTTAAAATAACTAGTTTTCTTCCAGCCTCCCTTCACTCCCCTACCACCAGAAAAAGCATCATCACCTTCATGCTATTCTCCCTGTCTGATGGTTCCTCAGCAACCTGGCCTGCTGGGATTGACCATCTTGGAACCTCCCCTCTCTCCAGGTCTGAACCCAGCCCTCCACACCCACACCAACAGGCAGGGAGTCATTCACCTTAGTATCCTCAACTCCAGGAACAAGGCCTGTTACATGAAAATACCTCAAAAAAACATTTGTTAGATAAATTCATATTTACCCAATTGTACCTATTGCCCGCTTTAAACAATTGTTTATTGCTCACCTGTCCCACATTTTAAGCTAGGCATTGTTTATATGTATATATATTTTATTCCCTAGAACCTACCATAGTGCTAGGAAGGGCTCATAGTAGCTAAACAAAGATTTACTGAACTAATGAATACCTGACTACAGATCTCACAAATTCATTTGGTTTAAACAAAATATTCCCTTAAAATAACATCCTTGGAGAGAAATATACTCCTACCTTCCAGTGAATTATACTAAGCAATAATCAGATTAACAACCATATGAGTGTTGTTACTGAGCCAAGGAAGTATTTAAGTGAAAAATATGATGGACAAGAGGAAGATGGGCAGACAGAAAGAGGGGAAGTAGCTGTCCGATCATCAGGGAGGTAGCCCAAAGGGTCTACGCACAAAAGTGAGTGATAGGAAGTAGGAGACTGGGTCAGAAAACTTTGTGGAAGGCCACACAGCTTCCCTGCCAGGGCCACCAGACATTCCTAAGTGCATACAACGTCAGACACTGCACCGATGACACCTTTATATAAATGACCTCCTTCAGTCCTCACCGCAAGTAAAATAGGGTATTATTATGCCTATTTTAAAGATGAAAAAAACAGGAGTTTGGATAAGTTAACTTGCTCAGGGCATACAACTAACAATTGGATTCAAAGCCCAGTGAGCCTGTGGCTATGTTAAAGTCATTGCTCACAACCACTAAGCCAAATGGAGAATGGCTTCTTTGCAATTAGTCACAGACTTAGCAGTAGAGTATAACTACTTAGGTCTTAAGTGTAGTCTACAAAATAAATAGCCAACACAGACATGGTTAGACAGTCTAAAAACCTCAGGCTTGTTATTCCCAATTCAGACATGACATCTGGTTCAGGCTAGTCTCAGTTAATCCACAATGTAGACCTCTAATTTAGCAATGCAAAGACTTAACAAGTGGGTAAGGAAAGTATATAATGTGGCTACCACCTCTGTTTAAGCATCCTCCACATAACAGAAAAAAAAACTGTATTTCTTTAACTCTGAACTTAATTTTCTAAGCTATACAGTCACACTTATTTTAACATCTTCTCATACATATTATTTTCCAATTCTTCAGTCACGGTGACCTGATCCAAATTCTCCTTGACCTAGGCCTGCAAAACTGAAAACAATATAGTAACACAGGTACTAGTGAAGACTTGGTCTTTAAGCACATGGCAAGAACCTAATTAATTCATACTCATAATTTTAAAAAGCCATCTTTTTCAAACTCATATCAGAGTGTTTTAGATGCTACAATGATCTAAACATCCTAACTTCAAAACTGCACTGAGTGTTGCCCTGGAAGGGAAACACCTTTCTGACAAAGCTGGTCTCTTCTTAAATCTGAGCCTTCCATCTCAAGGAGCACAATGTCACAATGCAGGGGGTGAAGAGATGCTCTACTAGTAGAGGCATCCCTAAAATGGGTGCCTAGCATCTGCTAAGTGTCACTGTGGTCTCCAGTGCCCACATCATTCCAGCAACCCTGGCTTTAAGATCACTGAACATGATGGTCTATATCAGGGTGTCTAATCATTTAGCTTCCCTGGGCCACATTGGAAGAAGAAGAATTGTCTTGGGCCACACATAAAATACACTAACACTAAGGATAGCTGATGAGCTTTAAAAAAAAAAAAAATCTCATAATGTTTTAAGAACGTTTATGAATTTGTGTTAGGCCACATTCAAAGCCAGCCGCAGGTTAAACAAGCTTGGTCTATATTTTATCTCCTTTTTGATCCTTATGACAGCTCTATGAGAGAAAGCATAAAAAGTCTCCCCCCACTTAGATATAAGGAAATAGAAACACAAAAGCTGTGAAATACTTGAAGTCATTATCTAACAGAGAAACCAAAAGTGCCACAAGATGGCACACTCAAAAGTAAGCCATGGTGTTTGTGGCACAACAGTTGAAAAGTAGTTAATGCCACTGAGCTGTACATTTTAAAATGGTTAAGACAGCAAGTTTCATGTTACGTATATTTTACCACAAAAAAATTGGGAAAATACAAGTTTATTTTTTAAAAAAAGGCTAGGTAGTGATGTAATTTTGTATACTTGTTACTACCCTTGGTCTATGCTCTTTACTTTGATTCTGTATCTTTAAAAACCAAAGTTGGCTCAGTCATGACTACAAATATTCTGGTAAAGGGGAAGACACCACTTTATACCTTACGTCCAACTTCATTATTTTCAGGAGTTTCCCATATATTACCTTCTTTCTTTCATGTTTTGTCATCCCATTATTCATTCACTCAAAAGATACTTACAGAGCACCCATTACATACCAGGCACAGCTCTAAATTGATAGTGTTCAAATACTGAAATAGTTCTATACCAGTTGGTAAATAGCTGCAGCCCACAGCACACCACTCCACTCCACACTGGCCATCCTAGTCTCTTCCTTGGGACCCACGCCCACCCCCTAGGCCCTAGACTTCCCCAAGATTCAGCAAAGCAAGAAGCCTCCAGGACCCTGTCCCAGCTTCCAACTCAACGGGTGAATACCCGGCCTAACCCCTTGTTAAATATTTTATCACCCTCCACACACAGCGACGAACAAAACAGATAAAGTCCTTACCCTCTAGTCTGGGAAAGAGATAATAAGCAAGTAAATGCATAAACAAAGTAATTTCAAATAGTAGCATGCTGTAAAGAAAATAAAGCAACAAAGGTCTAAAGGATGACTAGGGGTGGAGGTAACAGGGTAGAAATTAAGAGAAAATCTCTCTGAGAAAGTAACATTAGAAAGAGCCAGGCATGCAGAGGTCTGAAGTAAGAACATTCCAGATAGAACAGAAATATCAAGGCTCTTTGGTAGGAACAAGCATGGAATTTCAGTTAGAAGTCCAGCATGAGGGGAGCAACTTGAGCAAGGAGACCACAGAGGTAGAGAGGGTCAGATCAGAAAGGATCTTAATGGCATTGGTAAGGATAAATTTTATGCCAAGATCAGTGAGCAATAACAGATTTGAAACAGGGTAATGACGTGATCTAATTTACAATTTTAAAAGACTACTCTGACAGTTGTATGGCAACTAAATTAATGGGAAGCAAGAATATAAAAAGGAGACAACATATAAAGCTGTGGTCATAATCCAGGTGAACAATGACAGTGGCTTGGGCTAGGTGATAGCAACAGAGATGGAAAGATACATTCTGATTCAATATGTTTTAGAGGTAGAGCTGACCAAACTTACGAATAAGTAGAATGTGGGATGAGCGAACAAAAGAAATCAAAATGACTACTCTTTTGATTTAGCAAGTCACTGATGGTAGTCCACTTACTAAAAAGGGAATGACTTGGGAAATAAATACATTTAGGGAGAGAAGGAATAAAAACTTCTGTTTTGTCACAATAAATTTGAGGTATCATTTAGATGTATAATATGGAGCTATCAAACAGGCAGTTGGATATTTGATCTTTACAATAATCCTGTGAAGCAGATAAGGAAACTCAGGTATTATCCAAATTTTACAAATGAGAAAACTAAGGCTTTGAGAAAAAGGTTTGTCTTAGTACAAAATACTTTTATTAGTCAGTCAATGCCACTTAACAGAGGGCCGATTCCACATTTTAGGAACAGGAACACCTTCACTCTTAAAGACTTCTGTTTGATAAAATATACCTACCTACCTAGCTTGCCTCATGTAAGTTACATGGCTGCTCCGAAGGTAAAGGTCTTTTGTATCCAGAGAAGATTCCCCCAGAAAACGGACACTTATCCAACTAGCAACATTTAATATATGTAAATTTTAACTGAGATATATGTATAATGGATATTATTGACTATCTTACAAGACTGTCAACAAGTAAATACATACAAACAATACGAAGAAAGGCATAAAATTCTCTTTAAGGATCCACTGCCAATTTTTAGTTCCGTGTGTATTAAGGGTTTGTGTCAAAAAGCCCTCTGGGGAATACAGTTACAAAATTAGAAAAATCAATTGGGACATGACCAGTTCAAGAATAATCACTTCACACTGCTTCTCAAGACTGTAACTAGTGTGTAAGACAAGCTCATGCTGTACTCAGCACTTCTTCCACCATGCTAGGACTGCTTTTTCCCCTTTTGGTTGCTTTAAAGTGGTGGAAACTTCTCCATCAGAAGACATATTTTGTCACAGAGTATTTTGTGACAAGCTCAACGCATCTAATTTAATCCTTTCAAAGTTCTAGAGGCACCCTGCTAAAATGAAGAACCACACTAAACAAAACAGGAAGAATAGGTGTTAAAAAGGAAAGAAGAGGTTGGGTGTGGTGTCTCACATCTGTAATCCCAGCACTTTGGGAGGCCAGAGCAGGGGGATCACTTGAGGCCAGGAGTCCTGAAGCCAGGCTGGGCAACAAAGCAAGGCACTGTCTCTACAAAAATAAAATGAAATTAGCTGGCTGTGGTGGCACACACCTGCAGTCCCACCTTCTAGGGAGGGCTGAGGCAGGAGGATCGCTTGAGCACAGGAGTCTGAGGATACAATGGTCTACAATCGCACCAGTGCACTGCAGCCTGTGGGGCAGAGCAAGACTCAGTCTCAATAAATAAATAAATAAATAAGTAAGGAAAGAAGAGAGAGAAGATGCAAGGGAGGGAAAAAGGGGTAAAGAAATGAGAAGAGTAGGGCAAACCTGAGGTCCCCAGAATGGCAGGCACAGGTTTGGTGGCTGGAGAGGTTGAGGTGGATGCACTGCTATATATATATATATTTTTTTTTGCGGTGGGGAGGGGGAACAGAGTCTCGCTGGGTAGCCAGGCTGGAGTGCAGTGGCGCAATCTTGGCTCACTGCAACCTCCCACTCCTGGGTTCAAGCGATTCTCCTGCCTCAGCCTCCCGAGTAGCTGGGACTACAGGCTCGCATCACCACGCCCAGCTAATTTTTGTATTTTTAGTAGAGACATGTTGGTCAGGATGGTCTCCGTCTCTTGACCTTGTGATCCGCCCGCCTCAGCCTCCCAAAGTGCTGGGATTACAGTCGTGTGCCACCGCTTGATTGATATTGACCACTTGATCCATATTTTGATCAAGGTTATGAAGCCTCTGGTGTGCAGGAAGCAGCTGCAGTGCTGGTGGAGAAGTAAACTCGCAGATACCAACCTACTATGAACTACCTGAGATACCTGACAGTCCTGGATTATTCTGCTTTTGAAACTGACATGATGAGAAATGAATTTGAGAGACTGGCTGCTCGACAACCAACTGAATTGCTCAGTATGAAACGATATGAACTTCCAGCCCCTTCCTCTGGTCAAAAAAATGGCATTACTGCATGGCAAGAATGTGTAAACAATTCTATGGCCTAGTTAGAGCATCAAGCAGTTACAACTGAGAATCTGAAACTAATGTCACAGCATGGATGTAATGCCTGGAAAGTATACAATGAAAATCTAGTTCATATGATTGAACATGCACAGAAAGAACTTCAGAAGTTAAGAAAACATATTCAAGATTTAAACTGGCAGAGAAAGAACATGCAACTCACAGCTGGATCTAAATTGAGAGAAATGGAGTCAAATTGGATATCTGTAGTAAGAATTATGAGACTGAACGGACTATTTTTCAACTAGAAAATGAAATCTATCAAATTAAACAGCAACATGGAAAGGCAAACAAAGAAAACATCCGGCAAGACTTCTGAAAAGACAATTTCGCGGGTAGAAAAGTTGGGCTCTCACAAAAGGCATCTGAACTTTTAATGAACTGTTAAGGACAACAGCAACTTCCCAAAACCATTGATGTTTAAATGTTTAGAAATCATAGAATGTGTGGGCTGCTGCGGTAATTCTATTTGTATATCTCAACAGAATTAAAATGTCTAGCTTGGTGATATTTTTATAGCCATAAAAAAGAAAAACCTTTAGGCTTTCAAAATAAGTATGACTTCAGAATAATATTATGTCACAGAATTAATTTTGAGCCATGTGGGCCATGTTTTGTATCCAAGGATCTTTATTCAAAACTTTCAACATGTACAGGAAGTTGGAAACTTTTGGTTTATTACCTTGTCTAATAAAGAGATAGTTCTAAACACATTCTTGATTACCAAACAAGACCTCAGAAACACAGTGACTATACAGAGTCATCGTTACCATCATCATCATAGATAACTGCTATATCAAGCTTAATATGTGCTGAACACTGTCCTGAACACTTTGGGTAGATAAACCAGACGAATATGAATAAAAATCATTTGGTCCTCACAAAAAAAAAAAAGAAAGACGTGCGAAGAGTGGCAAATGACCTCTTCTTGATGGCAATCCTTTATGAGAAAGGATCCACAAATAACACGCTTACAAAGCATCACAAAACCCTGCAGGAAAAACACGTTTGTTTACAGGGCTTGAATCCAGAAATTAGTACAGTCTTTTTCCATATTTCAATCACAGTGTCAATCATCAATTTCAAATGAGTAGTCATTATCAATGTAAGGTAAAAAATATTCAGCTTACCAGAACTTCACTGAACCTTCATGCTAACTGCCAGCTTTTCATGTATGCTCTTAAAATAAAAGCAATAGCCTGGCTGGCACTACAAATACTCTCAGTATCCTAAGAACTGAAAGGAAATGTAGGGGTCATTACATCCAACCCTCTCATTTTGCGGATAAGGAAACTAAATAAAGCTGAGAGAGATAAAGTGCATCATCACAGAGCCCTTCAAGATGAAAAACATGTTTTCTGACTCTTAGACACTATTCCTTGTACTATACCATGCTATCTACAGAGCAAGAAAGAATGCTGCCACAAGGGGTAGGCCAAGGGTTTATTGCAGCTACATCAAGGGACAAAAGGTGGGCAGGGCTGGGCACCTCAGTGCTACAAGCAAGGCCCCAGCCCACAGCCTGGCTGACAGTCTGCCACTCTTCTCAGCCTGCACCCTGCAATAGCTGACAGCTTTTCCAGCAATACTGCTGGGCTTTTTCCCCTAGAGCTTTTGGGTTGATGGGGCAGAGTTTGAGGTCTAGTAGCTGGTGCCCTCTTCCCTCAAGGTCCTTAGAATGAGGCCCTTGAAAAGTCACTCAGCAGGGTTGCTTCCATGGCTTCAGAGGAGCACGAGCCCTCCCCAAGGATGAGGGGAAATGATACCTCTCTGCTCCCTGCCTTTAAACCAGCATATTCCCAGCTGATATCACACATATCCCTGCAAGTATGTTTTAGCTCTGATGGTTTCTGCTTTCTAAGCTTTTGCCCAATCACAGCATATATAGAAAATTCCAGAATCACCACCTAAAACTCTACAGCATGGTCATGTGGAATTCATACTGACATGTTAGTGTCTGCAGAGAACAAAATTTCTAATTGAAATTAGTTTTGGAAAAGTCTCTTGTAGTTATTAGGGAAGCTATAATATATGCAGGATTTATATTCAGTTTGCCTACTGCAAACAATTGTATAAATTAATGAATGGATTGATAAAAATAATAACAATCCTCCCCTGTGCAATCTAAGGTTTCCTCTTCTCCCAAAAAACGAACACGTCAAGTCTTTTAAAATCTTCCATAATATCATATTTCATGCATTTAAACATACACACATGCACACACACATTTTTTTTTCCTAGAAATGTCCTTGGTAGGTATTCTTTTTATTAAAATACCTATATAACTGTGGAATTCAAGCTACATATTGCAGTTTCAAGATTCTCTCATTAACTAGTAGAAAATAAAATCTAAAGAGTAAACATTCCACCACTGCTAGTCCATATTTCTCACTACAGATCAATTCCCAAACTGCTAATAATCTCCACCGTCTCTCAATCCCACTGAAAAACTGGTTTGGATTTTCTTTGACAGTGTTAGCATTTCACTGGCCTGATTATAGAAAATAATCATGAAGAAGGTACTTACTGCATAGGCACCTATCAAAAATGCTGCATTTGCTCTTTTCCGTTGGTCAAAACAGGTGTAGTGCACTATTTTCTTTCTTGACAAACTGTATGACTAGAAAGAGGAGATAAAAAGAGTTAGTGTAACCATAGAGACAAAGTTAACATATACAGAAGGCAAACATCATCTCTTAACCTTCAAGATGTGCTACAACCCATAAAATTTAACAACTTTCAACTTTAATTTCTATGGCATTTGAGGGTTAGAGAATTACTAGCTCAGATTTTGTACAGCCCAATCATAATGTAAGAATCAACAATATAATTAATATCTTTCTCTCCCAGAAAAGAAACTAATATGGTGGAAAATAATTAAAATATTGGCATCTCTATTAACTGGAAACATTTTTGACTATTTATTCTAAATCTTCTACAGAAAGTCTCTTCACACTTTGTTACCCCCTACATGCCACTCCAACTCCCAGGAATATTATCTATAGTTTTCATATAACACAATTTTTTAAAATGTCAACCAGTTTACTATGATCTCCAAAAAATCGTATTTTTGAAGACCAATATTAGTATTTTATTTCTGGGATGTTATATAACAACCCCCTTTTAATATCTGAAAATACTTGGTTAATGGAAAAATACCATTAAAAAATTATATCAGCAAACATCTTAATACAACACATTACAATAGCCATCTATTAAATTCATGAATTCAGACAGTTATTAAGCACCTGTTATATGCCAGGCAATATGCTGCATGCTCAAGTATTTAACTAAGTTCAAAATAATCAACATGGTATGTTGTACACATGCTAAACATGAAAAGAAATGACAAAAAGATCTGGTAAAATGAAATCAAATTATTAATCAAAACTCGAATAAGTATAAGACAATGAGAACACAATGTAACTCAATGAAATCTGCTTGATTTCCTCACTTTTCAAAATTTATGTATTTTGACAATTGATTTTCTAAATATAGGTACATAAACTGTCTTTAATGAGCTAGCAAAAAAAACACAGGCACAAAAGTACATTTCAGTATTTGTCTATAAATTCACATTGACTATAAAAGCAGCTTTTTCTATCTTATACATTGACTACAACACACAGAAAATCCCTGCTTTTAGAACCTCTTTAAAAAAGGTAAATAGAGCTCAACTATGTACTTTTCTTGATCCTGCTATTGTCTACAAATTAAAAAAAAACTCTTCCATCTCTGAAGCCCGTTCTAAGATGAAACTGCAACACTCTGGCTTTACCATGTAACCACAGAAAGTGTATCCCTCCAATGAGCCAGGAAATCTTCACTCCAAGTCAGGCATTTCTTTTATAACCAAAAATCATATATATATATACACATATATATATATTTTTTTTTTTTGAGACAGATTCTCGCTTTGTCACCCAGGCTGGAGTGCAGTGGCGCAACCTCGGCTCACTGCAACCTCCGCCTCCCAGGTTCAAGCCATTCTCTTGCCTCCCATGCAGCTGGGACTACAGGCACCCACAACCACGCCCGGCTAATTTTTGTATTTTTAGTAGAGACAGAGTTTCACCATGTTGGCCAGGCTGGTCTCGAACTCCTAGAATCACATTATCTGAAAATGGCTGTACCCTTTTATCTTTTACCTTTTTTTTTTTTTTTTTTTTTTGAGACAGGGTCTTGCTCTGTCACCCAGCACCCAGGCTGGAGCGCAGTGGCATGATCTGGCTCACTGCAGCCTTGACCTCTCAGCCTCAATCGATCCTCTCACCTCGGCCTCCTGAGTAGCTGGGACCACAGGCACATGCCACCATGCCTGGCAAATATTTGTATTTTTCGTAGAGGTGAGGTCTTACCATGTTGTCCAGGCTGGTCTCGAACTCCTGGGCTTAAGTGATCCACCTGCCTTGGCCTCCCAAAGTGCTGAGATTACAGGCATGAGCCACAACACCCAGCCAGTAGTGCCCTTTTTATTAAACTTTTAAAAATTAGTATGTAAGGCCAGGTGTGATGGCTCATGCCTGTAATTCCAACACTTTGAGAGGCCAAAGCAGGAGAATCACTTAGGGCTGGGAATTTGAGACTAGCCCAGGCAACATAGTAAGACCTCATCTCTACAAAAAGACTGGATAGGAGTATCACTTAAGCTCAGGAGATGGAGGCTGCAGTGAGCCATGATCACACCACAGCAGTACAGCCTGGGCAACAGAACAAGAATTTGTCTCAAAAACAAACAAACAAAAATCAAACAAAAAAAATTAGTATTTGACTCAAAGAAAGTATCTTATTGCCAATGCCCTTATTTCCTGACAGGTTTATACAAATACTCCTATGAAATAAAGAGAGAACAAAGGCACAGCATTTAATTCAGCTCAGTTGAGTTGATGCATTGAAGTTACCTAGGGATGTAAAGGTTACAACCAATGGTGCTGACACTTGATTCTTTGCTTTCTCAATTTGGAACTACTGACTGCCTGAACATTGCCTTTTTCTGTTTTATTTCATTGTCTCATTGTCTGTTGGGTGGTTGGTTGGTTTTGCCACTTATTTGTTCCCCATCAATAAGTTATGTTTGATTTACCAAAAAGGAAATAAAGGCTCTTCAGACCTAAGCATCTCCTATCATCTCTGAATTGCAAATATCTAAATACTGCCTTACACAGGCCAGGCTCTCAATAAACATGAGTCAGACTGAGCATAGGGACTCGACGCTCTTATGGCTCCCAGCCTCTCCCTATTTACATTTCCTAATTCCCTAAAATACCTGTGGGGAAGAAAATATCAACAGTCTATCTTCAAGTCTGGATTATCATTTTTGATGCTCTTTTCTACTAAGAATTTAGGTTTTATGACAAACTACTGCTATTGGTTAATAATGTGAAACTGTATTTATTTTACAAATCTACTTGCTGAAAGGGACAAGTTATAGTGCTGTTCTTTCATCACTGATGCTTATTTCTTCCTTGGGTTTTTTTGGAGGGGGTTGGGGGGAGTAGAATCTTTTGTGTTTACTTGGTTTCGTTTTTTCTCTCTCGCATTCTAAAGTATATAGAATACAGAGACTTATCCTGGAACATGAGCCATAAAACTAAAGGACAGAACTCTGAGGAAGACTTTCTTTTCACTGTATAGCTATAAATATTATTTAAGTAAATATAATACAAATTAACACTTTAAAGATTTTAGAAGAATGCTTAAACTTTATAAGCTTTCATAAATTACATCAGATAGAGAATGATCTTCACAAAATCTTCCTAGAAACTTTATTTTAAAATATTTCCTATGAGAAACTCCCCACAGGAAGCAAACATAACTGACTTCTTTTTAGAGCTTTCTGCCTGATTTTTAGGAAAATGTTTAAAGCTGCTAGCATTTACTTTGCTTAGGTATTTTTGGAATTCAGTTTCCTCGGTTAAGTTTCAAAAGCACACCAGCCAAGAAATGATTTCCTGCTTAGCGAAGCTTGGCCAGCATCTCCGAGGTCAAATCACTGAGAGGTGAGTTCTCTCACTCGAGGAATCAAAACGAATTCAAAGTTAATGAGAGCAGAGAAAAATCTACTAATCTCAAAATTAGACCTTGTCCTAATTTCCTAATTAATTTTCTAATTAATCTCAAATTTGCTAATATCAAAATTAGGCCTTTTGCTAATGTCTTTCCTTTTCACAACTGGGCCTCCCTCTTATGGTCATCCTGGCCCACAGTTTTCTACCAGTGATGCTGTTCAACAGAGAAGATACTTTGGTATTGGAATAAAAATTTGAGGGGTAACAAAATATTTTGTCCGTTGTTTAGCTGATGTTTTATATGAGTGGGCTGATTTAAAAAAAAAAAACTCTTTAATGTTTTTTCCTCTCAAATTTTAAGCATGTCCCCCACTTAAAAAATACTATTACATAATCAAAGCACCCTAGAAGAAGCAATACTAACACCCAGTGGAGACATCGATGATTGAAGTACCTTCTATGGAACATTAACTTCTCTTTTGAGATCTTTCATGGAAGAACTTTACCATGCAGACAAAGTCACAGTTTGGAGACAATAGGACAGGACTCTATGTATGAGCCCAGTCAATGTTTTCTCAGATTCTGCCCTAATATCAGGAGAATATCATGCCTCTAAATTGGACAGTGGCCTCTTCCTTACTCTGGTCTGTCTCCTCTGTAGCTGGGACCACAGGAAGGTGTCACCATGCCTGGCTAATTTTTGTATTTTTAGTAGAGATGGGGTTTCACTATGTTGGCTAGGCTGGTCTTGAACTCCTGACCTCAAGTGATCTGCTCACCCCAGCCTCCCAAAGTGCAGGGATTACAAAGCAAATATGATGAGTGGGCCCTTCAAGGAGAACACTTGCAAGGTTACATCATAGCCACAGGCTTTCAATGAGCTACCTGCTCTATTACAGATTATTTTCTGCTTTACACAAGAAGCTCACAGGTTACAAAAACACTGTATGCCATAGCAAAGTGAAGTTTAAAATTGGTCAATTCCAATAAATACAGTGTAAATATAAAATAGAGAGGGTCACAGAAAGAATACTGAGACCTCTGGACTATTTGCCAGCTCTGTAGCAGCACAGCACATGACCCATTACAAATCACAATCTGCAGCCAGCCACTATCCACCTTATGTTTTAGATTTCTATCTTGAAACTGGAACAAATACTCTTCTTTTTTTTTTTTTTAAATACTATCTCACTCTGTCACCCAGGCTGGAATACAGTGGCATGATCTTGGCTCACTGCAACCTCCACTTCCCAGGTTCAAGCAATTCTCATGCCTCAGCCTCCTGAGTAGCTGGGACTACAGGCAGGTGACACCACGCCTGGCTAATTTTTGTATTTTTAGTAGAGATGGGGTTTCACCATGTTGGCCAGGCTGGTCTTGAACTCCTGACCTCAAGTGATCTGCTCACCCCGACCTCTCAAAGTGCGGGGATTACAAAGCAAATACCCTTCTGAACTTTCTAAACTGAAGTGGACATAGCCAGCCCTCTATAATAACCGCAACAACAGCTCGCATTTATTGCTCACTTGTGACATTCCACCATTATCCAAAGCAATAGGAATGGCACCAGAGGGGTCCAGTTTAATCAGACACATAACGTCTCCCAGACTAGGGGTCCTGGGCAAGGCTAAAATATAATGAGCACACTGTGTTTTACAAGGAGAACATAAGCCCAGAGTCAGAGAGGGCCTTTGACGAACATTTACACAGTAAGAGTAGTAAGCAGGATCAGTCCAAAACTTTCTCACAGAGCCTGATAATTTGTGTAAATCTTAATTATGAGGCCATAACAAGTTTCATGCTTCAGAATTTGAATAATTCTCAGGTTGAATTGGTCAATAGTACTAAGACTTTTCAGAAATAACTAAATCTAACTCTAAACCACATTATATTATTATTGTATTATATTTCATTCTCTTAACAGATTGGTTCAGAATCACCTGCAGGGCTTATTAAAACACAGATTGCTGGGTCTCACCTCCAGAATTTCTGATTCAGTAGGGCCTGAGAATTTACATTTCTAACAGGTTTTCCAGTAATGCTGACACTGTTGGTCCAGACACCACACATTGAAATCCACTACTCTAAGATATGGCTAAATTTTGGAGAAGCACTACATAAACATGTAACTGGTCCCACCCCTGGGAATCTTTTATATGAAGCTAAAACACTGTCCATCTGGTCAAGTAGTCTCGAAAGAACTCTACATTCTCTTAAAAAGGAATTCTAAATCATGCAATAAGCCTTTTAAAAGCATTTTACAAAAAACACATTTCCCCAGATTCCTCAGCAAACCTTATTACAATTTGTAAATTCATGCATTCCAGGTGATAACACCTTAGGAACAAGTCCCTTTAATGATTCCGTAATTAAGCTGCCTTAAATGTCATTATTCCAGAAGTTCCAAATTCAGATGTTCTCAGGTGCCAAGAATCTGAAGTGGGGCAGCTGGTAAATAAGAAAAGCATTCCCTATCCAAAGTGCAGTAAGCTCCAACCTACTGCTCTTGTGAGGGAATCTGGGTGCAGAATGGTCAGATACTGCAATATTTAAAAGAAGACAAAATTGAAGCTTTCATAAACTGCAGATGTTGACTATGAATTAAAATTTTTTAAACAGTGTTTAAGCTCAAGAAAACATGTCTGTGGACAGAATGCAGGCCACAGGTGACCAATTTGCTAAATCTGGGTGCCAGGATACTGCGGCTGAAGAAGGTTCTATGGGTTCCATCAGCATGAATTGAGTAGCTGTTGTGTGTCAAACACTTTGCTGAGCAATGCAGTGACAAGGGGAGAAGAAACCCACTCTCTAACCTCAAAGGCTAATGAATATTTAATGCAAAATATTGGCCAAGGCTTATTAAAAACAGAGGAGAATAACTGTATAGGATGCATTTACAGCACACAAGGACCAATAAAATGATACTAATTACAGGTACAGTAAGTGTTTCATTTAACAAGGAAAAAATATAGTAGATAAAAGGTGGAATTTAGTATTGACTATCAATTAACATAATCAAACCTATAGAAATTTCTGTATTGCTTACCTGAGAGTCAAAGTTTTGCCCCTGTTATGTAAATCATAAGTGTATATCATAAATACTTAATGGTACTTATAAACCAAAGTACAATGACTGCTATGATAGAACAATACAAATTAAGATAAGGGTATTGACCCCAGACATTTTCTATCTTGGAAAGAAAAGCTATGTGAAAGGTTATATTCTAGTGGGATCACTCCTTGTAAAACACAAGCCACAGCAACTTGGAGAGAGAAAAAAATAATGACAAGCTGCACAAATAACAAATAGCTCAGGCTACACTTGGATTATGGCAACAAACACAAATCATGCACTTGTTCAGCTTCAGTCAGGAGAGCACAAACTACTTAACCATTCAATAACAAAAGGTGATGCAATTAGGCTCAAAGCCAAAGCCAAAAAAAAAAAAGAGTTAAAGGTCAATTTAAAGAAACACAGAAAAGTAAAATCTTCAAGTTATTTGGTTAGAATGCTGTATTTAATTAAGCTGTATGAATCAGTCTGACTGAGCTAAGGAAGACATTAATGCAGCCTGGATAATATGCTCTTTAATAAAAATAGAGCCCATGCACCTCCTAAACATGCAAGTTCTGTCAATGATCATGGTCATATTAAGGAGATCACAGCACAGGGACCGCAATGACCAAGGCATCATTCTCTTACAGGTGGCTAGGCTAGCCCAGTAATGGCCGCAGCAATCAGCATCTCCATAGCAATCAGTGGTCATCTCACTGCAAAAGCGATAAAATGAGCAGGTCTTCCTGTGAGCAGCCATGACCTTTACAAGTTTTACCTCCAACTTTCTCAGGAAAGGAATACTCTGGAAAATGTTCTTTGGCTGTACAAAACAAAATATGGTTTATGTTTTTTATTTAGTGCCAAGATGAAATAGATCGAATCATTTCTTTAAAAAGAAAAAGGTGTCTCTGTGTGGCCCACTTTGTTTCAAACCCAATACATTTCATTAATGAAATGGCACATTTGATTAAAGCAGAAGTCAAAATGTCAGAGAAAAGTTGCTCATGAAGATGATTTCATCGTGTTAATAATCAATAATTGAAGGCACGTGGGATTCTCTATAAACGGGGTTCTTCCTGCCTGAGGATTCCTAACAGGCATAAGGGGTTCTTGCCTTGCAAACTCGGTATATGCTCGCTCCTATGGGAGTTGACATTGCTTTGGAGCCCCTAGAACCTCTTTAAACTACATGAACTATCTCCAGAATGTAGCTTGCTTTTCTTCCCCACAAACCTATGAGCCAGAAACAGAAAAGAACCACATGAAGAAATCTCAACATGTTTTTGTAGTTATAATAGGGTGGTCTAGTCATTACATCAAAAGAGTTCTGGTGTATATAACCCCCGATAGGGTGGCAGGTGCCTGGTTTACAGGATAGGATTATGGCACTGATTCATTCAGCAACAAGGACATTCCCTAAGCCCCACCATCTGCCAGGTACTTCCAATGCTTCAATATAATGGTTGGTTTCATGATACCCACCCACTTCCCCTTTTACCCTGAAAGGGCTATATGGGATGTTTTGTAAATTTAAAATTACATTTCTGTGAATACTCCTTTAATCCTTTTTTAAAATAGTCCTCAAGATTACTGTAATTATCCTGTTGATTCATAACAGCAGGTATTAAAAAAAAGAAAAACCACTGCCCTAGAAAATGTCCCCTTTTTTCAGAGACTTTTTTTTTCTCCAAGCTCAGGTTTTATTTTTCTCAGAGGAAAATGAAATCAATAATTAAAACTGTATTGACGGCCAAGCACAGTGGCTCATGCCTGTAATCCCACCACTTTGGGAGGCTCAGGCGGGAAGCTAGCTTAAGCCCAGAAGTTCAAGACCAGCCTGATCAACATAGTGTGTCCCTGCCTCTACAAAAACTAAAAAAAAAAAAAAAAAAAAATAGTTAGCTGGGTGGGGTGCAGAAGTGTGCACCTATATTTCCAGTTAGTCAGTTGACTGAAGTGGGAGAATCATCAAAGCCCAGGAGTTTGAGGCTGCAGTGAGCTATGACTGCACCATGGCACTCCAGCCCAGGTGACGCAGTGAGACCCCCTCTCAAAAAAAAAAAAAAAAAAAAAAGAATAGAGGAAGGTATTCAGTTTTTTCAAAATACCACAACTTTGTCTTTTGTTAGTAAAGTCTTCTTTTTCAGAAGACTTTAGCCCAGTGTTCTTAGCATGTCTGTGTCAAGGATCCCTCTGAGAACCTGAAAAAAAGCCATGAATCCTCCCAGAAGAAAAATGTAAATACATACAAAATTGTATAATTTCAAGGGTTTATGGATCCCTTGAATTACCAGAATAATAATTCCAGCTCAAGGCTATCAATCATTGATGACATTTAACATTAAATAACATACACAGTTTAACAAATTGTTCTCACTTCAATGCATCTTCCCTCTTTTGATTGCTTCCCCTATCCTAGGGGAAAGACCAAACAGCAACCTATTACTGCCTAATTCCTAGTACTGACAATTTTTTAAAGTACAGTTTAAATAAGCAGCAGGTTTTTTATTGGTGATGATGCATTTTATGTTTGGATTTTTAATCTAAGCATATGTTTGATGGGATAATTTTCCATTCTGATTGACATAATTAAAATAAGGACATTGGGAATAGAATGCATATAGACACAGAAACACAAAAATAGCGATAAATCACCAACTCAAATCATCAACTGGAAAAAAACATCTTCTCATTTCAAAAATGAGAAATTTGGGATTGGAATAAAATGTACAGCAAAATATTACCTATCTATATAAAGCACAGAATGAGGAAGAAAAATCACACAAGCTTTCTTGGAAGGAATAAAAATTTCCAAACTAAAAAATGAAATGTGCCTAAAAGAACTGGGAAATCACACAAGAGAAGAATCCTAAGACGAAGTTACTAGTTAACACAGTGCGAAATTACTCAGAGAAGTAAAGGAGTTTGAGGATCCAGCAAGTGCCATCAGATTCAGCATTTAAGACGTTATTAGAGCAGTTTCGGTAGAGTAGGGAAGGCAAAAGTTAGATAACAAAGGGTTAAGAAATCAGCACACAGGAAGGATGGAGGCAGGCTCTTCTTCTGAAACCTCTGGAAGCAAAAGGAGAAAGGGGGATCTGCAAATGAAGGGGATCATGACAAAGTCAAAAGAAGTCTCTGTGTGTCTGTTGTCCCTGCACTAGGCACTGAGAACACAAAGATACATGACATCCTCCACCTTCCACCCTCTAGAAGCTCATAGTCTAGTGAGAATGACAGGTGCAAACAGGTAATTACAATTCATCAACGATACAGATCTGCACAGAGAATGATGGGAAAACAAGGGAGGCACCCTCAATCCAGTCCAAAAGGACAAGAAGATGCTTCCTAAAGGGTGGTGGCTGGACAAGGTATTAAAGAATGAAGAGCTATCAAGCCAGAGGGTAAGGGCATCCCAGTCAGACTGGTCTTCATGAGCAAATGCATGGAACAGCTGGTATGGTAGAGTAAAGTGCAAGGCTGGGAGTGGCAAGGGTACTGCTGCTTCCCAGTAAATTAGTGCATGAAATCATCCACTGGGAAAACAACAAGGGTGAGAGCTGGCAAGGCAGAAAGACAAGAAAGCAAAGTACCCAAGACCTTACTGAAGTAAGTGACCATGGGCTGCAGGCAAGAGACATCAGCAGGGTGCCAGTGGACTGAGAGAACAGGGAGACTGAAGGTCTAGCAATCCCAGTAGTGTGAGAGGGACAGAATGTGCAAAGTGAGTAACAAAGGCATTTTCCAAGTGGGAGAATCTGGAGTCTGGGTTCGTGGAAGTGAAGCAGACAGAATGGCCCTAACACTTACTGGAATGAAAGAGGCAGAGGAGCCTCAAAGTCAGCGTGGGACAACAAGGTCAGGTAGCTGGGGCAATGCTAAGAGTGAACAAAGGATGACTGTAAACCAGAGGCTATGGTTCCTACTGAAGGTGGAAAGAAGAACAGGAAAAATGTGGTCAAGAGCCATGAAATCTAGCCCTGACTTTGCCTGCTGCACTGGGCAAGTCACACACCTTTCCCAGGCTTCCCTTTCTGAGTCTTGACTAAATGGTCATTTAGATTCCTAAAATTATATTGGACAGCTTTCCCATATATAAACAATAGCTTTAAGGCTGAGAAACAGGTGTTCATCGATTTTGTAGAAGAACTGTCTTTATTATATTCCCTATCAGAATTCACAAATGTTACATTGGTAACTTTATTATGTATAGGACTTTAAAATGTACAAAGCTTTTACATATTGATATAGTTTGGATATTTGTCCTCTCCAAATCTCACGTGATCCCCAGTGTTAAGAGGTGGGGCCTTGGGTCATGGGGGCAGATCCCTCATGAACGGCTCGGTGCCATTCTGAGGGGATTGAGTGGGTTTTCACTCTTAGTTCCCCCAAGATTTTGTTGTTAAAAAGAGTGTGGCACCTCCCTCCCCTCTCCCTTGCTCCCTCTCTTGCCATATGACATGACTGTTCCCCTTGACCTTCTGCCTTGAGTGAAAGCTTCCTGAGGGACTCACCAGAAGCAGATGTTGGTGCCACGATTCATGTACAGCCTGTGG
The DNA here is from genome assembly GCF_000001405.40 of Homo sapiens. Classification (NCBI taxonomy): domain Eukaryota; kingdom Metazoa; phylum Chordata; class Mammalia; order Primates; family Hominidae; genus Homo; species Homo sapiens. The sequence goes on along the minus strand of NC_000001.11, from coordinate 100,379,729 downwards.
AACCATGAGCTATATAAAACTCTTTTCTTTATAAATTACCTAGCCTCTGGTATTCCTTTATAGCAATGCAAAACAGACTAAGACATGTTTTCTAATATAATACTAACCACCACCCTGTGACAGTTCTATAATTCCTATTTTACAGATGAAGAAACTAAGATTCCACAAAACTGAAGCAATTCCAACTTTGGACTGGTACAGTAAATCTTTTTCTCCTAATTAGAGATTCTATGTAGTATGCTTCATTGAGACAACTCATGACTTATCAACATTTGGGTTTTTAAAATTCAATCATTCAGCAAGTAATGCAGTGCCCATTAATTGTCCTAAAGCTACATATGTCATTCCAGACAACCAACAGATTACCTTACCACTAAAATGAACCAAGGAGAGTGTTTAAACTTTATTAATAATGTCGAAACACAGCATTATAAATGAAAGCAAATAGAAACAAGTTTACATACATATACTTACCATACTGTTCAGTGTAGAAAATGGTAGAAAAAATACTCTCAACTCAACCCATCTACTCTTCTGCAACTGCTATAAGTAGAACACTGAGTCAGACCAGTGATTTTACTTTCCTGATAATGACTCCTTTCTCTTTGGCTACCCTAGATAGTACTCGGTTCCCAGATTAATTATAATACCCAATTCATACCAACTACATACTAATGACTAATCAAGACAGCAAAGAAATTCCTTGGTCTTCAAAAGAAAAAAATAGACTTCCATTATTTATTAATTATCCTTTTCTTGTTTACTCAGCCATTAAAAGTTCATTTTCTATAAAAAGGATATTATTTACTTCCTAGGTGATTGCAAAAACCTCTATTTTACTTTCTAAAATACTGGCTTCTTTTCTTAAAAACAGATCTGGCTTAATTAAAGGAATTTACATGTATCTTTTCAAGTCAGACAACTTTGTAAGTTAATTCCTACAAAAGTTGAGTAAAACAGATTTTATTATGTTGGTTCAAAAGTAATTGTGGTTTTTAACATTAAAAGTAATTATAAAAACCACAATTGCTTTTGCACCAACCTAATATGTTATATGATTATTGATTCTTTTTGGTATAATTCCATGTCCACCTCTCACTTTGAAATCAATGGCAAAAATTTGTAAATTCATAAGGATACAACATATTCTACAGGAAATTCTCTATCAGACTGCTTTTTATACCTAAGTTCATTAAAAACCAATCAAATCAAAAAATAATCACAGAACAGTTAATATGTCCAAGGCATTGTACTATGTAACACCAGTAACATTTTACCCAGCAGAAAGAGCAAAATACCTGAGCAATATAATTTAGTATTTATCCTTAAGAGTCCTCTGTATAGCATTTTGTCTTTCAAACTGAAATAGTAAAGATCTTCATTTAGAAATTGGAAGACAAGGAGATAAATATTGCTTTCTGTGTGATAAAATAAGTTTACTAAAACTAGGTATATAGATGAGTTTCCTCATATGCTTGAAGAAGAAAAAAAAAGCCACATGCCAAAATCCACATAAAAGTACAGAAAAGGAAACCAGATACCCATGTGAAATCAAAACTATAGATGAATACTAAATGTATGACCAGAATTCTATCATCTCAGGTAAATTCCATTCTCTGTTGCTGCTGGTTCATCAATCTCACCTGGCTGTTAACTACACAGAACATTTAAGAAACATGCAAAAAATTTCAATCTTGACCAAACAGAAAATGTTATGCACACAGCTCCAGCCATGATAAGCCCTGTTCATCACTTGGAAACAGGGTCTACAGGCATATCTGAAGGTTTCAGAAAAATTATCCTAGGAGGGAATTTGATAGAGACTCATTAACAACAGCCTAAAAGGATTTGTGCTTTCTTTCTTAGATCACTATTCCAGTGACTTCATTCAGCTCATATTGCAATTCATTCTGAAAACTGAAAGAGGTTAACATGTCCTTTGTGGTATAATCAGGAGGATCACTTTCAAACTCTAGGTGAACTACTCACATAAATTTCCAGAGATCAAGATCACCTGACTAAATGTTTTGTGCACACCAACCCCACTGAGCAGATCCTATGGTTCAAATGTTTTAATTCCAAATTATAAATATCACTACAATACTCACTTTTAGTTTCTTGTTTAGTTTGCAGCAATATCTGTACACCATTGCCAAGTTCAGCGGTCCAAAATCTGCATAGAAACTAAGATACAAGAAAAACAAAAAACGTAGTATTTAGTCAAAGTATAATTTTCAGTAACATCAATGTTCATCTTTAATTTCATTAAATTTACAATCAAATTTCAATTATCTTATAACTAATCTGATCCATGGTATAATCCAAATAACTAATGGTTTCGTCCTAATGCCCTCTAGTTACTCTAACTAGTCTCTTAATAGGGAACTAGTGGCCGGGCGCGGTGGCTTATGCCTGTAATCCCAGCACTTTGGGAGGCTGGGGCAGGCAGACTGCCTGAGGTCAGGTGTTCGAGACCAGCCTGACCAACATGGAGAAACCCCATCTCTACTAAAAATACAAAATTAGCCAGGCAGTGTGGTGCTTGCCTATAATCCCAGCTACTCGAGAGGCTGAGGCAGGAGAATCACTTGAACCCGGGAGGTGGAGGTGGAGGTTGCGGTGAGCCAGAGATCGCACCACTGCACTCCAGCCTGGGCAACAAGAGTGAAACTCCATCGCAAAAAAAAAAAAAACAGAACTAATTGGACAGTTTTAAGTTCCACCTCCTTTTATCTGCCTGCCAGACCATTTAAGTAAACACACTAAAGAACAGGCAAAGAAAGAACCAACAGGAATATAACAAGTACATGGCCTGTACTACTTGCTTTTATTTCTTTATCATATATTTTAGTCATAATCTTACTTGTGTACTTTGGATTCCAACTATTCCTCTCAAACATAGCTCACAATTCTCAAGTATCTTAAATCCAGTGGTATTTTTTCAGTTTTCGTTCTCCATGAACTTTCTGTATTATAAGACACACTGGCTCCTCCCCCTCTCTTCATCCCCTAACATCTCCAGGATACAGTCATCAATCTGTAGATCTTCTCTCTTAGCCAACATCATGAATTTAACTGACGACCCTATGGAAAAGTGATGTCTCTTCCACTTGAGAGCCAGTGTCAGTCTTCTCCATCTCGGCTACCTGCTGGGTCCACCATCTACAGGCCCTTCCGTCACCTGGAACTCAAAATATCTAAAACTCAACCCATCTTTCCTTCACATCATCCCTCCAGACAAAAAAACACTTTGCTTCTCCCAGTCACTCAGGCATTAAATCTCTCAATCACAGTAGGCCAACAAATAAATATTTAATTCTGATATATCAAACAAGCTACTACTATAATTCATCCTTTCCCTTTCTCTTCCTATTTTGCCAACAGAAGTCCAGATCCTTTTCATCTCACACCTGTACTTTATATATATATATATACTTTAAGTTCTAGGGTACATGTGCACAACGTGCACATTTGTTACATATGTATACATGTGCCATGTTGGTGTGTTGCACCTATTAACTCAGCATTTACATTAGGTATAGCTCCCAATGCTATCCCTCCCCCATCCCCCCACCCCATGACAGGCAGGCCCTGGTGTGTGATGTTCCCCTTCCCATGTCCAAGTGTTCTCATTGTTCAGTTCCCACCTATGAGTGAGAACATGCGGTGTTTGATTTTTTGTCCTTGTGATAGTTTGCTCAGAATGATGGTTTCCAGCTTTATCCATGTCCCTACAAAGGACATGAACTCATCATTTTTTATGGCTGCATAGTATTCCATGGTGTATACGTGCCACATTTTCTTAATCCAGTCTATCATTGATGGGCATTTGGGTTGGTTCCAAGTCTTTGCTATTGTGAATAGTGCCGCAATAAACATACGTGTGAATGTGTCTTTATAGCAGCATGATTTATAATTCTTTGGGTATACACCCAGTAATGGGATGGCTGGGTCAAATGGTATTTCTAGTTCTAGATCCTTGAGGAATCGCCACACTGTCTTCCACAATGGTTGAACTAGTTTACAGTCCTACCAACAGTGTAAAAGTGTTCCTATTTCTCCACATCCTCTCCAGCACCTGTTGTTTCCTGACTTTTTAATGATCGCCATTCTAACTAGTGTGAAATGGTATCTGATTGTGGTTTTGATTTGCATTTCTCTGATGGCCAGTGATGATGAGCATTTTTTCATGTGTCTGTTGGCTGCATAAATGTCTTCTTTTGAGAAATGCCTGTACTTTTTAAAATCTCTCTCCCCTTCCCAATCATCCTGTATTCCAAGAAAGATATTAGTCTTCATAAAGTCTCAGTTCTCACATATCCTCCCACTATTCAAAAATGTTTAATGGTTTCTTACTGCCTTTAGAATAATTCCTTGGCCCAGCAATCAAAGCCTTACACAACATTCCCCTAGCTTCCAGGCTGACCTTATCTCCTGAGAGGTCCCATAGGAAATCTGCATTCCAACAAACATGTCCATTCCTTATTCCCAAATATTCTAAATGTATTCTTTATCTAAGCCTCCACTCACATCGGTTTCCTTGTCTAGAGTGTCCTCCTTTTCTTTCTGCTACACTCTACCTTGCTCAAAGTCCAGTGCAAATCCCACCTTCTCCATGAAGCCTTTCCAATCATCCTAGGGAACACCTTTCTCTCAAAGTTTTCAAAACTTACCGTCTGAGTCATTCGTTTAGTCTACTACATATACTACTAAATATTGCAAATTATTTTAAGTATTGATTCTACTTAATCAACTACAATGTAAGTCTCTCTGTCAGGGACTGTATCATATACTTATGATTAGAAGAATGTCCTACAGGTAATACAAAAGCAGAAACAAGTATTCATTATGAAATAGTTTGTTCATTAATGCTTTAAGTTCAATTTAGTCTAGACCACAAATTTACTAAATACCAACACATTTCCAAAATCCATCCCCAAAAGACCTTTGAATTAGTCATTTAATTTTTTTGCTGCCACCCAAATGACACTATCATAACTATGTCATTACATTACATAAAATCTGCCAATAGCCACTTGCCTTAGATAAATAAAGAATGCTGAATTTGTATATTTCATCCCTATTAGGCAGGTTGGTAATATTTTGAAATTTATATTACAGGTGGCACCAAATTTAGCTGTCCCTTTACACAGGCTTCATGAGAAGAACACAGAGATGCATCAGAGAAATGCAAATCAAAACTACAATGAGATACCATCTCACACCAGTTAGAATGGCGATCATTAAAAAGTCAGGAAACAACAGGTGCTGGAGAGGATGTAGAGAAACAGGAACACTTTTACACTGTTGGTGGGACTGTAAACTAGTTCAACCATTGTGGAAGTCAGTGTGGTGATTTCTCAGGGATCTAGAACTAGAAATACCATTTGACCCAGCCATCCCATTACTGGGTATATACCCAAAGGACTATAAATCATGCTGCTATAAAGACACATGCACACGTACGTTTATTGCGGCTCTATTCACAATAGCAAAGACTTGGAACCAACCCAAATGTCCAACAATGATAGACTGGATTAAGAAAATGTGGCACATATACAACCATGGAATACTATGCAGCCATAAAAAATGATGAGTTCATGTCCTTTGTAGGGACATGGATGAAATTGGAAATCATCATTCTCAGTAAACTATCGCAAGAACAAAAAACCAAACACCGCATATTCTCACTCATAGGTGGAAATTGAACAATGAGAATACATGGACACAGGAAGGGGAACATCACACTCTGGGGACTGTTGTGGGGTGGGGGGAGGTAGGAGGGATAGCATCAGGAGATATACCTAATGCTAGATGACGAGTTAATGGGTGCAGCACACCAGCATGGCACATGTATACATATATAACTAACCTGCACATTGTGCACATGTACCCTAAAACTTAAAGTATAATAATAATAAAAAAAAAGAAAGAAAGAAAGCAGCAGTGATTTGAAATAAAAGTTCTAGACTCATTTCTTAACTTCCCAGTGTGGTGTTGTATTGTAAATGTAAACAAAATACCCACGAATCCAAAATGAACTATACCTATAATCCCCTTACTGACCAGTCCAAGACAAGTCAACAAAAACTAACTCAAAAGAACCAAAATGAAGAGTATAGGCATATCTCATTTTATTGCACTTCACTTTATCATGCTCACAGATAGTGCATTTTTTTACAAATTGAAGAACCGTGGCAACCCTGCATTAGGCAAGTCTATCAGTTCCATTTCTCCAACAGCATGTGCTCACTTCATGTCTCTGTTTCACATTTTGGTAACTCTCACAATATTTTAAATTTTCATTATTATTGTATCTGTTATGATGGTCAGTGATCTTTGATATTACTACTGTAATTGTTTTGGGTCTCCACAAACTGTACCCAAATAAGATAGCAAACTTAATTGATAAATGTCATATGTGTTCTGACTGCTTCACCAACTAGCCATTCCCCCATCTCTCTCCCTCTCCTTGGACCTCCCTATTCCCTGAGACACAACAATATTGAAATCAGGCCAATTAATAACCCTATCATGGCCTCTCAGTGTTCAAGTAAAAGCAAAAGTCACACATGGTTCACTTTAAATCAAAAGGTAGAAATGATTAAGCTTAGTGAAGAAGGTGTATCGAAAGCCAAGATAGGCCAAAAGCTAGGCCTCTTGCTCCAAACAGCCAACTGTGAATGCAAAAGAAAAGTTCTTGAAGGAAATTAATAGTGCTACCCCAGTGAACATATGAATGATACAAAAACAAAATAGCTTTATTGCTGATATGGAGAAAGTTTTAGTGATCTGGATAGAAGATGAAACCAGCCACAGCATTCCCTTAAGCCAAAGCCTCATCCAAAGCAAGGCCCTAATTCTCTTCAATTCTATGAAGGTTAAGAGAGGTGAGGAAGCTGCAGAATAAAAGTATGAAGTTAGCAGAGGTTGGTTCATAAGGTTTAAGATTTATGGGAGGAAGTCAACATATTAACATTCACAGGAGTTTGAAAGATGTTGATTCCAACGCTCATGAATGCTATTGAGGGGTTTAAGATGTCAGTGATGGAAGTAACTGCAGATGTGGTGGAAATGGCAAGAGAACTAAAATTAAAAGTAGAGCCTAATTGCTAAATTCTCATGATAAAACTTGAATGATGAGTTGCTTCTCATTCAACTTTATCATGCTCACACCTTTTGCTCATGAATGAGCAAAGAAACTGGGTTCTTCAGATGGAATTTACTCCTTTTGAAGATGCTGTGAATATTATTGAAATGACAACAAAAAAATTAGAATGTTACACATACTTAGTTGATAAAGTAGCCCCAGGGTTTGAGAGGATTAACTCCTATTTTGAAAACTCTAAGTAAAATGCTATCAAATAGCATCTCATGCTACAGAGAAATCTTTCATGAAAGGAAGAGTGAATCAATATGGCAAATTTCACTGCTGTCTTATTTTAAGAAATTGCCACAGCCACCCCAACCTTCAGCAACCACCACCCTGATCAGTCAGCAGCCATCACACTGGGGCAGGGCCCTCCACCAGCAAGAAGATTACAACTTGCTAAAGGCTCAGATGATCATTAGCATTTTTTAGCAATAAAGTATTTTTAGTTAAGGTATATACATTGCTTTCTTAGACACAATGCTACTACACACTTAATAGACCACAGTATAGTATAAACATAGCTTTTATATGTACTGAGAAACCAAAAAACCTTGTGTGACTTGCTTTGTTGCAGTATTTGCTTTATTGTGGTGGTCTAGAACCAAACCTGCAATATCTCCACAGTATGCCTGTGTATAAATATGCATCTACCAGTATTGATTAAGGTAACCTTTTTTCTAAATAAGAGATTTTCTTATCCTTGGGTTAATGGAAGCAACACTTTTGACTAATATAACTTGTTTTTTTTCTACTTGTATATGAATATTGACACTGGTAGAATTTGAAGTTTTAGCTATGGTTATTTCAGCTTTTTAAACTCACTTTGAATAAATTTTGGGAAAGCAAAAATAATTCAAGTTATCCATAAAAATCCTCCAAAAACCAAATCCAGCAGCACCTCAAAAAGTTTATGCATCACGATGAAGTAGGCTTCATTCCTGGAATGCAAGGTTGGGTCAGCATATGCAAACCAATAAATGTGACACACCACATTAACAAAATTAAACATTTTTTTAAAATGTGATCATCTCAAAGACACAAAAAAAGCTTCTGATAAAATCCAACATCCGTTCATGGTAAAAATCCTTAACAAACTGGGCATCAAAGGAACATACCCCAAAATAATAAGAGCCATCTATGACAAACCCACAACCAACATCATACTGAATGAACAAAAGCTGGAAGCATTCCCTTTAGGAGTTGAAACAAGACAAGGATGCCCACTCTTACCACTCCTATTTAACACAGTACTAGAAGTCCTAGCCAGAGCAAGCAACCAAAGAAAAAATAAAAGGCACTCAAATAGGAAAATAAGTCAAACTATCTCTTTCCACTGACGATATAATGATATACCTAGAAAATCCTAATGACTCTGCCAAAAGGCTCCTGGAACTGATAAACAACTTCAATAAGGTTTCAGGATACAAAATTCATGTACAAAAATCAGTAGCATTTCCATACACCAATAATATTCAAGCTAAGAGCCAAATCAAAAATGTAATCCCAGTTACAATAGCCTCAAAAGAACTAAAATACCTAGGAATACATCTAACCAACATGAAAGATCTCTACAAGGAGAACTACAAAACACTGCTAAAAGAAATTACAGACAACACAAATGAAAAAACATTACATGCTCATGGATTGGAAGAAACAATATGGATAAAATCACTATATTGCCCAAAGCAATCTACAGTTTCAACACTATTCCTATTACACTACCAGTATCATTTTTCACAGAATTAGAAAAAAAACTATTCTAAAATTCATATGGAACCAAAATAAGGCCAAATAGTCAAAGCAATAAGCAAAAAGAACAAAGCCAGAGGCATCACATTACCCAAATTAAAACTCTACTCTAAGGCTATAATAACCAAAACAGCATGGTACTGGTACAAAAACAGACACATAGAACAATGGAACATTATAGAGAACCCCGAAATAAACCTGTACACCTACAGCCATCTGATCTTCAACAAAATCAACAGAAATAGCACTAGGGAAAGGACTTCCTATTCAATAAATGGTGCTGGGATAGCTGGCTAGCCAAATGCAAAAGAATGAAACTGGTCTCCTATCTATCACCGTATACAAAAATTAACTCAAGATAGATTAAAGATTTAAATGTAAGATCTCAAACTAAATGTCCCAGAAGAGGCCAGGAGCCGTGGCTCATGCTTATGAAATAGCACTTTGGGAGGCCAAAGTGTGAGGATTGCTTGAGCTCAGGAGTTTGAGACTAGCCTGAGCAACAAAGGGAGACTCCATCTCTACAAAAAAAAAAAAAACTTTAGGCTGGGTGCAGTGGCTCATGCCTATAATCCCAACACTTTGAGAGGCTAAGGCAGGCCGATCGCTTGACCCCCAGGAGTTCAAGACCGGCCTGGGCAACATAGCAAAACCCCATCTCCTAAAAATTACAAAAATTAGCTGGGTGTGGTAGTGCATGCCTGTAGTCCCAGGTACTTGGGAGGCTGAGGCAGGAGAATTGCTTGAGCCCGGGAGGTCGAGGCTGCAGTGATTTCTGATGGTGCCACTACACTCCAGCCTGGGTGACAAAATGAGACCCTGTCTCCAAAAAAAAAATTTTTTTTTTTAATTAGCCAGGTGTGGTGGCATACATCTATAGTCCTAGCTACTTGGGAGGCTGAGGCAGGAGGATCACTTGAGCCCAGAAGGTCAAGGCTGCAGTTAGCCATGATTATGCCACAGCACTCCAACTTAGGTGTCTCAAAAAAAAAAAAAAATTTTTAGAAGAAAACCTAGGAAACACCATTCTAAATATCGGCCTCAGGAAAGAATTTATGACTAAGTCCTCAAAAAGCAAACATTGACAAGTGGGACCTAATTAAACTAAAGAGCTTCTGAACAGCAAAATAAACTATCAACAGAGTAAACAGACAACATACAGAAGGGGAAAAATATTCGCAAACTATGTATCTGACAAAGGTCTAATATCTAGAATCCATAGGAATTTAACAGTTGAACAAGAGAAAAATAACCCCATTAAAAAATGAGCAAAAGACATGAACAGACACTTCTCAAAAGAAGAAACACAAGCACCTAACATATGAAAAATGATCAACATCACTAATCATCAGAGAAACACCAATCAAAACCATAATGAGACACCATCTCACACCAGTCAGAATGGCTACTATTAAAAAGTCAAGGCTAGGCAGTGGCTCACGCCTGTAATTCCAGCACTTTGGGAGGCCAAGGTGGGCGGATCACGAGGTCAAGAGATCAAGACCATCCTGGCCAACATGGTGAAACCCCATCTCTACTAAAAATACAAAAATTAGCTGGGCGTGGTGGCACATGCCTGTAGTCACAGCTACCTTGGAGGCTGAGGCAGGAGAATCGCTTGAACCCAGGAGGCAGAGGCAGGAAAATTGCTTGAACCCAGGAGGCGGAGGTTGCAGTGAGCCGAGATTGCGCCACTGCACTCCAGCCTGGCGACAGAGCGAGACTCCATCTCAAAAAAAAAAAAAAAATGTCAAAAAACAACAGATTCACACTGTTGGCGGCGGGAATCTAAATTAGTCCAGCCACTGTGAAAAGCAGTTTGGAGATTTCTCAAAAAAACTTAAAACAGAACTACCATTCAACCCAGCAATCCCATTACTGGGTATATATCCAAAAGAAAATAAATCGTTCTATCTTTGCAGCAACATGGATGAAGCTGGAGGCTATTATCCTAAAAGAATTAATGCAGGAATAGAAAACCAAATACCGCATGTTCTCATTTATAAGTGGGAACTACACAATTGACTACTCACGGACAAAAAGATGGCAACAATAGACATGAAGGACTACTGAAGTGGGGAGGGAAGAAGGGAGTAAAGGGTTGCAAAACTAACTATTGGGAACTATGCTCACTACCTGGGTGACAGGATCATTTATACCCCAAACCTTAGCATCACAAAATATGCTTGTATACAAACCTGCACATATACCCCTGAATCTAAAATAAAAGTTGAAATTTTTTAAAAAAGAATTCGTCATCAAATTCCAGTTTCATACTAACCATTACAATCCAACTTCAAACTCAAATTCAAAGATGTACAATTTCTAACAATCAGATTGGCTTAGCCACATGTACTTTTGAAAGCAATATGGTTCACATATGAACCTATTTCACCAAACACCAGGAAATAAAATTGGCATACTACAATAACACAGGAGAAAGTAAATCAAATACAAACATTATCCTTAAGTTGATCTGTACTCTCCAACATGGTAGCCACTAGTCATGGCTATTTAAATTTAAATTAACTAAGGTGAAACAAATTAAAAATTCTTCAATTATTTCAAATGTGTTCAAAAGCCACACGTAGCTAATGGCTACAGAATTCAACAATGTTCTGCACTGATGGACAATACTGATCAAGATGAAAAGACATATCAAAATAACTATAAAAGATAAAAGAAATTACCAAGTACCATAAACGAAGTATAGATAAAATGTTTGAAGACAATATCCTTTCCCTACAAAGGCCCAATTATTTCCCAACAGTGAGAATAGGCCCTGGTAATTTTTATCCTGTTTTGTTCAAGAGGGTCATATTTCCAAAAAGCCAGTTGGGACTTGGAACATAAGAGAATGGAAAAATAGGTGAGGATCTAGTTCCCACCCTCCTTCACTGTCTCTCAAAAAGACAGGCTGTTTTAAGAGTAGGCTGCTATCCAAAGATAGCAACAATGAAGAAGTTATGCCTCTCTTTTGGCAAGAGCCTCAGGTTAAAGGTAGAAAAAAAATAAGCAATCCTAACCCAGAGGACTTCCCACCCCACAGTATGTTGAAGCTCAGTGGGCCAGCCTTTATATCCCACAAAAAGACGGATGAGCTTCAAGTTACACTAAAAAAATTCAGTCAAAAGTTTTGCACAACCAAGAGCAATTTTGAACAAGTCTTCAAAAGTCAGAATTGTCACAAATATAAAGCCAACAAGCTCTATCTTATCTTAAGGTCATTTGATACAATACTTACACTTGTAAGACTATTTATGTATTTAAAATAATATAGTCTTATACATATAGTTTTCTAGCTTACTATTAATAAATATATTTTTAAATGTCAAGATCATTGAAAAATTGCTGATAGTTGTTCACACCATGCTGGGTTATCACCAACTTTGGTATAATGAAATACTGTGAATAAAGAAGACATCTTCCAACAACATGCTCCTTTGTAAGAACCTTCTTCACCAGAGTTGAGGGAAAAATGAAAACATACTTATAATACATACTATTAGCTAGAGGGAAATTCAAAATAAAAATTAATTGATAATCAATGAAAATAATCAAATGTGCTAGATTTATTTGGGCAGCTTGGAACAAAAGCAGGGTGGAAGAGGAGAAATGGAAGGTCATCAACCTGGGGATAGTGAAAAGGGAGGAGATGGTAGAAATAAGTACTTCAGAGACTATTCAGAAATCTGAGGGCTGAGTGCACTCCTAAACTTGAAGTTAATGACAATGGACAGAGTCTTCTCCACTCTGGCATTTCCTAGGAAAAGGCTTCCAGAGCCACAGCCAAGCACGGGTCCCCACTTTGTCTTGGCAGAGGGGAGTAGTCTTTTGGTCTCATGTGGCCAGGGAAAAACACGGACATTTTATTATTTCAGAGTACCCGTGCGTTCATCTCCAAATGAATTAACAAATGAACGAATGATTCTCTCCACCTATTTGCAGATTTCTTCTAAGAAGATTGGCAAATTATGGGTCAATGCCTACAATGAAACTCATGAACTATTAAGGGAAAATCGGTCCATCCATCTTTTTATTCAGTAAGTGTAAATAGCTAAAATCAAACCCTTTTCTGTTTTGACAGGAAAGAAACTAAAAGAATTGGAGCATTTGGAGTCCTGCAAGTGGAGGAGGAAGGAGGTTCATCTCCTTACCAGGAGAACAAAGAAACAGGAGCCCAAGGATCAGAGCAAACATTCACAAGGGTAGGATCACCCACCACCCCACAGGTGCAGGTCCTACAAATTTGAAGGGACATAGAAGCTGGGCCTAAAAGCCTTGCTGTCATACTCAACATGTGCAGCTCTTCTCACAGATTTATGAAGTTTATGATGTACCATTATTTTGTCTTCGGTTTTTCTAATAAACTATAATTTAAGTGAGTCAATTCCCAGAGGAATCATTGTTTGAAGTATTGTTATACCTTATTCTACACATTAGAAGCTTCATGTGAAAATTCCCAACACCTCAGCAAAAAGATAAGCTACATTCCAAGAAGTACTCATTCATTCAACAAAATTTATGACTACCTATTCTGAGCAAGGCATTACTAGTTAGCATATTCATCACAGAGTACTTGCAATACAAAAAAAATTAACTGCTTTAAAAACAGGATGAATAAATTCTATAAGATCGTTATAAGGCATGCCAACCTTTCAATGTTTTACCAGCACTGCTGACGTTTTTTGTCTCTTCATTCACTTGCTCACTCAAATAGTTACTAAAAGCCTATTGGTCACCAGTCCCTACCCACAAGGAGCTCACTATCTACTGAGAAGACAGGTAAAGACATTATTACAATGTGATAAATGCTAAAATAGCAGTATCCTCCAAAACACAATGAGACCGTGTGTGTGTGTGTGTGTGTGTGTGTGTGTGTGTGTAAAATTTTGTTGAAATTGATCAGCAATGCCTCTGGGCCACACATTACCTAACAGTTTCCCTATCACTAGAATACTATCCGCACCCCTCCAGTCAGATGATAAAGTTTCTGTATGAGACGTGATTATTATGGCTGAACTCATAATGATCACATTTTAAAAAGGTCCTAACTGCATAACAAATACCAACCTCAGATGAGGGCACTAGTCTGAGTTTTTGCTCAAGCCCTTTAGCATAACCACCCACAGTCACACTGATGCCAACTTCTTGGGGAAGAGTTGCTGCACATCTAACAAGCTTCCCACACACACAGCAGTCTGATGCAGAACTAAAGATCACTGGGTGCCAAAAGGTTCCAGTCCCAATTTGGTCACTCAGTGTCCCTAATCTGGTGTCGTAGCCTCTCTGGGACTCCACGTCCTCATCTATCAAATGAAGCCACTGAATTAGATGGCTCCTAAAGTTCTTTCCAGCTCTTATGTAATATCATATATCACAGTTCTAGCCGCTATATAGACTCTACAGAGTCTATGACTCTAGTTATCCTTATTGGACAAACCCATTCAACTGTTCAAATGTTTCTCAAGGTCTACTTGCCCTATTTGATGTTCTCTGTTCTGTCTGTCCTCTCAGTGCATTGGGTCTGGGTACAGAAAACATTTCCCTCAGAGTGTCTCCTCTTTGAGGAAGGAAAAGAACACAACTTTTTCCATGAAATTCACTGTTTTCTGCACAGCCAGAAAGCAAACCCACAGACTACAAAGCAGCTACATGTATTAGGAAACTTATCATCTTTATTACTTACTTGTCTGCAAAAAGTCTGACATTTGTTGAGATCATAAAGGAAGGAGAGAACCCCAATATCAACTATCAATCCTGTCCCTTGATGCATTGTCTAGATTTCTAAGAAAGTTCAGGTTTACAACACCAGAGGGTGAGGAACCATTCTCCACTTATTACCTTCTTAACCCGAGGTAAATACTGGTCAGGTCAGGTGTCAGCTGCTGTTTCTGTAAAATAAGTGAGTGCTTTCACTTTGCCTTAAAGCCAAACAACAGACCAGATGGTATCAAGAAACCTTCCAGTATCAGGGTCTGTAATTCTAACATCCCTCGTTAGAGAAGGTCAGTTAATAAAAACTCCCTTAGAGACTCAGATTAACGAAAACAAAAGGAGACTTCTTCAGGAATGCACTGGGAAAATTAAAATTCACTCCCACAGAAATATTCTCAAGCAGTGTAAATTAACTCCATTATTCAATGGCTAGTACTGAAGGCAGGAGAGCTATACAGACAGTATATGCAAAGCTTTGTTAGAAAACAGAATGATGAGCGATTCCCCCATACATAAAAGGCTAACCCTCAGATTTCATAAAGTGGCTGAGGCTCTCAAAAGGAAAATAATTACTCTAAAATTTGTGGTGAGGATCACAGGGCCGGGGGCAACGGCTCCGCCTGTAATCCCAGCACTTTGGGAGGCCGAGGCGGGCGGATCACGAGGTCAAGAGATTGAGACCATCCTGGCCAACATGGTGAAACCCTGTCTCTATTAAAAAAAAAAATACAAAAATTAGCTGGGTGTGGTGGCATGCACCTGTAGTCCCAGCTACTTGGGAGTCTGAGGCAAGAGAATCGCTTGAACCTGGGAGGCAGAGGTTGCAGTGAGCCGACATCGGGCCACTGCACTCCAGCCTGGCAACAGAGCGAGACTCCATCTCAAAAATAAAAAATTAAAAAAAAAAAAGATGATCATCCATAATGATGAAGTCTGTGTATGACAGAAAAAAAGTAAATTGTGATCAATAAATTTTTTTTTTGTGACAGGGTCTTGATCTGCCACCTAGGCTGAGTGCTGTGGCATGCTCATGGTTCACTGAAGCCTCGACCTCCTAAGCTCAAGTGATCCTCCCACCTCAGCCTCCAGAGTAGCTAGGACTACAGCCATGTGGAACATGCCTGGCTAATTTTTGTATTTTTTGTAGAGACAGGGTTTCAGCATGTTGCTCGAGCAATCTGCCCACCTTGGCCTCCCAAAGCGTGGAATTAGAAGCGTGAGCCACTATGCCTGGCCAGTAAATTCTTTAAGAAGGCAGAAATGTATATTCATTTTAGAAAGGTTTCCGTAAATTATTCAAATTATAAAACTTTGATATTTCAGAATGTAATTTTCCAATTCTCTGTAGAAGCTGTCTCACTGAAATGCCACATATCCAGATACACAAAACTGAATAAATGCATTACTAAAGTACATCAATCATGGGGACCAAATTTGAAATAAACTACCTTTTCCAGTTCTCAAAAGAAAATTAAATTTTATAAAAAAAAAAAAAGAGAAGTCTAAACTGGCAAATTCTTCAATTTGTCACTAGGATGTGAAAATATTTAAGACCAAAAAATTAAATTAACAATAAAGGAAATATCTTATTCAAATTTATAGTTTACACAAATTATTTCTTATAAAGGAATTCACTGTCAACAACAAATAATTGTGATCATTTACCAGATGTTTTTGATATACGAGTTAAAAAGAAATTACTTAGGCAGGTACTGAGGGTTCGGGAGCCCTCGGTAAGGGTTTCCTTTTAATGAAAAGCAGCCCTAAAATCATTTTCTCTTTTAACAAACAGCAGCCTGTAAAAGAGAGCTGCACACGTAAACAAGCAAGCTGGAAACTTGCACAGGTGAATGTCGGCAGTTGTGCCAGTAGGAATACTACTACCTGGGACTAGGCATGTTCAAAATGGCAGCTCCATCTTCTCTTTTTGCCAGCCACATGTACAGTGAGGAGCAGACAAGACGGCACTGGCCGAGTGGAAAGTCCATTTGCATAATAAGATTAGGGTGGGGTGATCAGCCTTCCCCACCCACTACGTAAACGTCACACCTGGTTGAACCAATCTGCGGGCCCTATGTAAATCAGACACCGCTTCCTCAAGCCAGACTATAAAACCTGTTGCGGTCAGCTGCAGGCCCGCTTTTCCCTTTGGACTCCTCTGTCTCACAAGAGAGGGAGAGCTACTCTCTCCTCTGTCCTTTCTTCTGCCTATTAAAGTCTCTGCTCCTTAACCCACTCACGTGTACCTATTGTTAATCTTCGATGAGATGAAGAACCCCGGGTATTTACCCCAGGCAACAATGCTGCTTCATTTTCAAGTTGTCAAGAACTGGGGATGTTACATATTTTTAATAAATAGAGCAATATTTTTGATGACTCTCAATCCACATAAAATTCTTTGGTGCTCCTGGAAGTATTTCGTTGATTAAAACAAACCAATATATTTTTTAAGTAAATTGAAACTAAAGCTTTAAAAAGAATTATTCACAGCTCTACTTTGCTTCAGTAATGTGAATTGGAACAACTTAAAATGACAAGACATAGGAAACAACCAAAATGACCAAAGAGAGAAAAATGTTCAATACAGTATGGTATATCCTTTCCCCGAAATATTATTAATATAGAGACATTTATGGTGATTTTGAAAAATGGCATTGGTTTACAATGCTCATGTATGATTAAAAAAATCAGCATTTAAAACTGCATATACAAAATTATGCCAATTAAAAATTTATAGCACTGTAGGTTTGAATTTCTTCATTGTAGAAAAGCAATATTCTTTGAAAAATTAAAAAAAATATTTCTAAGACACAATGAATTTCACAATTCAGTATAAAAAATTCAGCTCAAATCACAAAGCCAGAAAGGAACTTGAGATCAGTTGTGCCACTTACCTCCCCACATTTTAAATATCCAGGACAGACACGGTCTATTTTCCGCTTAAAGATCACAAAAGACAAAGACTCCATTATAATGACCCCCTTTTTACTTCCTATCTCCAATCCTCAAAACAAAACAGAATAGCAAAAAGGCAGTTTCCTTCTGATTTACGTACCTCACCTACTTAAAGGTGTCCCTCTCTCCCAGTCACCCAAGCCAGAAACTTTGAATTCACCTTTGCTTCCTCCTCCCTACCCGCATCTGCTCAGTCCCAAATCCAGTCAACCAATTCTTTCCAGCCTCTCCCCATCTGGCCTTTCTTTCCCCACTGCTGCAACCCTAATCCAATTCTTCCATAGCCTAACTGACCCCACCTTCGAGCGATGGCAGCACTCGTCCTAAAGTAGAGCCCTGGTCACTCTCTGCCATTTACAAGCAAGCACAATTTACTGACATCCAAACAGTTTTCCACAATCCAGTCCCCAACTAAGTGACTGCTGCTGTGACCTGTGACTCCTCTCCATTCAAATATTATTACACCTCCTCTAACAGAATCTTGCTATTCCCAAACACCTCTTGTGCCTTTTCTCAGGACTCTGCCTGAAATCTTTTTCTTTCCTTTCTTCCTCATTCACTTACTCACTCATTCATTCATTCAACTAAAATTTCTTGAGCCCCATATCTATGCCAGGCACAGTGCTAGGTGTTGGGACATAATGGTGAGCAAAAACAGGTAGTACTGGTCCTCACAGAGATCATAAAATGTACTCTTTGCTATTATACACCCTTCAAAAACTAGCTCAGTGCTTATCACCCTGGGTAGCAATAATCTCTTCCTTTCTTGAACTCCTAACACATACATTTGCAGCTTTGGTCATGTATTATCCTGTACTGCATGTGTTTCTACTTCCTTCTTTACAAATACATATCTCCAAAGCATTAGTACAGTGTTCTGCATCAAAATCTATCCCATCTAAATACTAAGTTTCTTGTATAGCAATTTTCAACCACTTATGAAAGTTTTAAGTTATGCTTTTCACTTCCCATAAAAATGTGTCAAGAGTTTTGTGAGGCTTGTGTTTTAGTTTTTAGTTTTTTTGTTTTTTGTTTTTTGTTGTTTTTTTTTTTTTAAGCACAAAGGGGTATTGAGCTGTGGCTAAGTAAAAGTCATTTACTTCTGGCTTGGGAATGTGTTTATGAACTTACAAATGAGAACATCTGATGTCTTAGGAATCTACTTCAAACAAAATAATGAAGCCGCCCTGTGGTGACCTGGCACAGAAAGAACTTGGAAGGCTGACAGCTCCCCACTGGGATCTCCTGCAGCCCACTTGGAGCTCTCTCTCAGGCTGCATGATTATGACTAGCCCTGTTAAGATAACTCTCCTTAGCACCTCGGCTACATTTTTTGTTTTCACAGCCTTATCTCAAGCAAACTGAAAAAACAGAGTAATAATTTATCATTATGAAGATTAGAGATCAACTCTACACCGAATGCCTAAGAGGTCAAAACAGCAGATATTTAAATAAATCATTATCTAGAAGGTAAATTTGATTCCCCTGGATTACAGAATTAAGAACTGTGGGCCAGGCACGGTGGCTCACACCTGTAATCCCAGCACTTTGGGAGGCCGAGGCAGGCAGATCACTTAAGGCCAGGAGTTCGAGACCAGCCTGGTCAACATGGTGAAACCCTGTCTCTACAAAAAAATACAAAAATTAGCAAGGCATGGTGGCATGCACCCATAATCCCAGCTATTCGGGAGGCTGAGGTGGGAGAATTGCTTGAACCCCGGAGGTGGAGGTTGCAGTGAGCCGAGATTGCCCCACTGCACTCCAGTCTGGGTGACAGAGCAAGACCCTGTTTCAAAAAAAAAAAAAGAACTAACTATGAATGTACACAGATATATCTACTTCCTCTTAACATATACTACATCATAACACTGGCTGTCATGTGTTCAAAACAGAAGGTGAAAAAGGCTAGGCACAGTGGCTCATGCCTGTAATCCTAGCACTTTGGGAGGCCGAGGCAGGCAGATCACGAGGTCAGGAGATCAAGACCACCCGGCCAACATGGTGAAACCTCGTCTCTACTAAAAATACAAAAAAAAAAAAAAAAAATAGCTGGGTGTGGTGGTGCGCGCCTGTAATCCCAGCTACTCAGGAGGCTGAGGCACGAGAATCGGTTGAACCCAGGAGGCGGAGGTTACAGTGAGCTGAGATCGCACCACTGCACTCCAGCCTGGCAACAGAAGGAAACTCCAACTCAAAAAAAAAAAAAAAAAGAAGAAGGTGAAAAAAAGCAGCCCTGAACAATATTACTTTTCCAAGGTTTGGATGAAGAGAAGAAAAAGGGGGGAAGAAACTATAAACTACCATCTTTTAGAAAGTAAACAGTTTTCTGAGGGTTTTTTTTGGAGAATACCTTAAAAAAAAAAATCACCTTAAGTTACACCAGGTAAGCAGCCAGAACATTTCACCAGACAGCCTACAAAAGCAGTTATCATAGGCTTATAAAAACTGGGCTTCTTTCGTTTTCACGTGTCCTACAATTAACTCAATTTCTTTCCTCTCTTTCTTTTTGGTAGTGCACTGATAGGAAAAAAAAGGCAAAATTATACCCCCCAAAAGTGAAATTACAAAGAAAAATGTTTAAATTACCACCACACATTCCCAGATAGGAGCTGGTCATAGTTTGTGCATATACTGTCAGTGGCACATTTCCCCCAAGAGCCATCACCACCCAAGTTAGAGGGATCAAGTCTGTCAGGAAGGGGCAAAGTTGTCCCATACCCTCCCCATTGGCATCAGTCTCAGGCCAACTGGGAAATGCCTGGACTCCAGGGTGGACTGCCTCTGGCTTGCATCCCTGCTCTGCCTTACCAGCTCAGTGACCTTAGGCAATATACTTCCCTCTCTGGACCTCTACTTCCTCCTTTGTTAAGTAGTGATAATAACAGCATCTAACTCCTAGGCTTGTTCTGAGGATTAATTGAGTTAATGTGTGCGTGTAAACCACTTAGAACACTGCCTGGCACAGGGCTATACATGTTAGCTGCTGCTGCTGCTGCTGTTGTTGTTGCTATGGCTTTATTATTATTCCCACAATGAAATTTGTCTCGAGGTTCAACCAAATCTCCTCTTCTGTCTATATCATAGCAATTTATAATGAGAATTGAGGTTCTAAATGATGACCGTAAGGCTCTATCAGATCATATATATGTGTATGTGTGTATATGCTTAAGTGGCATTCAACCTTCCATTAAATTATCCTACTTGCTATACATTTAATTTGAAATAAAAATTTAAAAACCAAAAGGGTTTCTCCTGACCTACCTCTAACCTAAATATGCATTCCCACAAATATTTCTAGGCAAGAGTAGTTTTTCCATGCTTCTCTCATAAATATTCTATGTTCACATTTTGACTCAAAACTATGCTATAGACAAGATAAAAGAAATCATTTTTCTATAAATTACTTATCCAAAACTTCCTGGATGCATTAATATCAGGCTGCTTTAATTAAGTTTAAATGAAAATTGAATGTTTTAAATTATTTAAATCTTCCATTTAGCTAATTAGTTCTCATTAGAGGCTGCTCATTCTTAACATGCTAAAACATTTGGTGAAATTCTTCAAGTCACTTCAGAAACTGCTTAAAATTCAGTCCCTAGAGTTTCTCCCTAAAGAGCTCTTTCCTGCACTTTCAATACCTTTCTTCACAACTCAAAAAGAGAAGAAATGACAATGGACAGGCTGAAAATGAAGACCCTATACACTATCCTTCCCAGCAAACTGGCTTTCTATGCCATGAACATCCAACCCTACACCCATGACCACCACTAGGAGGGGCACACAGATGTCATAACAAGTAATATATTTCATTTCACTAACTTTTTAGCCACACAAAAGTAAGCCAAGTTATTAAAAGTAAGCGCCTGTTTGGATTACGGGGCCCAATTCCAATACCAAAGAACAAGCCTTTCCAGGGAGTGGTGTGTTATTTGTAGCTTAATCAAATGCAGATAAATCTTCTTTGAAAGGCTCCCTTTTTGTGGAGCTATTTTTGTACCACTAGTGTGTTAGCCTATACTTTGATTTTAACTCTGACCTGTGAAATCATAACCCAAGGACAAAGGATGATTTCTTATCATCCTCATTTTATTAAAGCTGCCCAGGCCTTTATAGTAATAAGTTCTGTTTTAAAAAATCAAGCAGATAATTCAAACGTTCACTTTTAATAGCCTTACCTCATGAGGCCACCTCATTAAATTTTCTCCACCAGCATCTCAGAAGGTTGACATTTCAATCATGGAATGCTGTCCTCCTTTCATAACTAAAGAAACATCTGCGCAAAACACAGCTGTGGCCAGAATATCCACAGCCTAATATTTAAAGAGTCTACTTCCTGATTCAAAAACAATCGCTTCTAAGGTGATAATTTAGCCAGAAAAGCAGCATTTCTTTCTTTTTTTTTTTTTTTTAAGAGATGGGGTCTCACTATGTTGCTCAGGCTGGCAGGCTGGCTTTTCAGTTCAACTGCAGGCCTCAAGCAATCCTGTCGCCTCAGCCTCAAGAGTAGCTGGGACTACAAGCACACCCAGCTGGAAAAGCAGCATTTAATTTAAACATTCAGCAAATAATTACACAGTACAAAGGCCTGTGTGATAATGAATATAAATATATTCTTCTCCTCAGAGACATGCACATTATGATGTGATAGTCAAAATCTTTCTCGCTGTAGGACGTCCTCCAGACAGAGCCCGGGTTACTAGACATCCTTCTAGGGGCTTTGCAGTCTCTCTCATTCTATACTTCCCCAAAGTGGAGCTGACGAGATGGAGTCAGTCCTTCTCCCTTTCTCCTTTCCCCTTCAGTGTTTGTCCACCTCTTTGTTGCGTACTTCCACCTTCCCTTGCTCCTCCCATCCTGGTTCTACTTGTGAAATACAGACCTTGAGACCTTCTCTATCTTCCCAGAAATCGCATCATTCTCACAGCTTTATTAGTCTCTTTGGGAAAATTCCCAAATTTAAGAACCTCAAATGTATGTGATATCTAACAGTGATGTAAATATCCCTTAAATTTCTTAAATTCAATCTGGCCAAAATGGAATGCCTGATCTTCCCACCAAAGCCAATTATTCCACCCTCCTTCCTTATTTCAGTTAAGAGCTCCAGTAGGCTCACCACAACCTAAGCTGTCTTAAGGACTTCTTTGATCCCTCTTTTTCCTCAGCACCCCTCCACGCCACCCTCCTGTGTTGCCAGGTCACATGGCTTCAGATCGCTTCTTTCCATCACCATTGTCACCATCCTAATCCAGGTACTTGTTTCTTTCCCCTGAATTTTTTTTTTTTTTTTTTTTTTTTTAGACAGAGTCTTGCTCTGTAGCCCAGGCTAGAGTGCAGTGGCGCAATCTCAGCTCACTGCAACCTCCACCTACCAGGTCCTGGTTCAAGCAATTCTCCTGCCTCAGCCTCCCAAGTAGCTGGGATTATAGGAACACGCCACCATGCCCAGCTAATTTTTGTATTTTTAGTAGAGACGGGGTTTCAACATGTTGGCCAGGCTGGTCTTGAACTCCTGGCCTCGTGATCCACCTGCCTCGGCCTCCCAAAGTGCTGTGATTACAGGCGTGAGCCACTATGCCTGGTCCCCCCTGAATTTTTTTAAGTGGGCTCTTATCTCCTTAACAACCCCTCTTAAATGATGCTACTGTATTAATTTTTTGAGAAGGATATATGTCCTCTGCAACTAGATGACTTGGTTTCAAACTCCAGCTCTGCTACTTTTACTTCTGTGACCTTGGGCAAGTGACCCAGCTTCTCTATGCCTTTTTGTACAATAAGGATAATAGTGCCTGTCTCACAGAATTGTTGTGAAAACACAATGAATTAATAGTTATAGAGCACCTAGAACAGCATCTGGCACACATTTAAATGCTCAATAAATGTTTCCCATTGTTTGTAATTAGCACAAATCAAGTCATACCATGGCTGCCCCAAATCCCTCAAGAGTCCCATGGTGTACCAAAGAAACTGCAGGTTTCTCACCCTGACATTCATTCTGTCCCCAGCCAACATCTCAATTTCACATTCTCCATCCCCTACATGTTCCCTGAATACACACCAGGCAAACTGGAGGACTTACTGTTCCCTGAACACACGTCCCAAGCCTCTCCCCTCCTCACACTTGCTGTTTTCCAAGATCCCTCCTCTCATGTCTCTGCCTGATAAGACCTTGTCCATCCTTCAAGCCAATCTTAACTCTTCCACGAAGCCTTTGCTGAACGCTTCCACCAGATGTGCCCCTACCTGCCTGTGAATGCCTCTCCTAGCATAGAGGTTGTATTTCTCTTTGGGCAGGTATCTTTCCTATACCTCAAACTGCAGTTCTGTTATTTTCCCTACAGGCTTGGAGCTCTTTGAAGGTAACATATGCATTCAACATTGTTTTATTCTCTGCATCACCTAGCACCATGTAATATGTTGGGGTAACAAAAAAGATGGAGTTGGAGGTGTCAGAGCCACAGCCATTACTGTGGCACAGTAGGGTAAGTTCAAACTAAGAAAAGTACACACTCTGCCCAGGCTGAAGTCCTCATCGTATTTCAAATGTCAATCCCAACTCACAATATAAATTGGATGGATTCTCCAGCAAGTCTTTCCTTATAAGATACCAGAAAAACAGTAGACTATAAGAGGAATATGATTTGTAGGCCTATCCCAAAATACCAACATGAAAATCACATTAAAAATTTCCCTCATCTATCAATATTAAAATCAAAAAGCCATCATGCACAGTGTTTAGTTTGGCTTAATTTTCTGCTAGATCTACCACCTAGCAATCCCAAGAGAAGTGACTCAGATCTCCATGGCTAGAGCTCATTCAATGACATATTAACAACCACTGTACTGTAGAATTGAACATAATGATATATACACCATCCCCACTCTCAGACTCATGAGAGACCCCCAAAACCTAAAATCACAAAAACAGAGGCACAACAATGCACATTCCCAACAACAGAGTGAACACTCAATAAACACTGCTGGCAGTGACATCATCCAGGTACACAGCCGCACATAACTCCATCCTGTCTAGAAGCAGAGCTGTAATCTGACACCAGGGACTCAGACCTCTTTGCCTCAGCAACTCTGGGCATTCATGAGCAGCAGCAAAGGGCTCTTTCATTCCCACTCTTACTTTAGCCATTCAAGAAGCATTCTCCTCCCAGCACCACTAAGAGAAATGTCGCAGACCTCAGTTTCAAGAACCTCTATGATGAAGTGACAAAGATTGTTTTCCCCCAAATAAAAGATATGCTCTTGAAGGTCCAGAACACTTACTCTTCGAAGACCTGGTAGTACCCACAAATCCTTAGGCAGAACTGCCAATAACCTTTCTAACAAGACAAGTCCAAGGAAGCTAATTATGATTAATTTAACTATGTTCATTTATCTGCACATTTGGTAAAGATAACAAGTAATTTAAACGTTTAAAATAGAATATATTAGACTCCTCTGAAACACCAGCTCTTTTCATAAAAGTACATAACCAAGTCAATTCAGCCTTCTTATTTCTTATTATCTGATACTTTTACTGAATAAAGATTTATCTCTCTTCAATTAATGTTTTACTATGCCTGAAGTATTAAGATATCTTTTTCCTGTAGATCAGTGGTCTTTCACAGAAAACAGTTCCCTACTTTTATTTTACACTCTCAAATCCTAATCCCACAGAAGCAAAGTAATCAAAGAAAATAAATCAGCACTGCTATATCATTTCCTTAGAAGCAAAGAAAATAATATCAAAAAGTTTGGGGTACCCAAATAAAAGAATCAATAATATGTCAGATAAAATGTTAGTCATAAATGTGACTCTGATACAGCTCCCCGCAGTTAATGTGTCCCACTTTCTGAAAAAGAGCTGCACAAACAAAAACATCCTGAGATAGAACAGAAGTCTTGTAAACTATAAAGCTCAAGCACCTGTAATACATGCACTGCCCTGTACCCTATGGCCACTCCATAAATACTTAGTGACTGATTCACAGGCCAATTACTGAGTCTGGCAATGACAGTGTGTCTCCCTGGTCCTACTCTGGGGAATGTTAGGAATCTCCAGTTGCTGTTTGTTGTGGTGGTAGGAAGAACTAAAACAGATAGATGTCTAAAAGAACTGAAGTGTTGAAAGGTTCAAATTCTGTCAATTTTCTCTGAACTTCTCCCCAGGCACCTGAGTCTTAAAAAATTGATATTGTTACTCGTATCATTGGGGGGGAAATGAATAAAACTGCCATAAAAGTGCATAGTGTTTCCTCGTCAAAGAACAAGCTGAATGGCCAAGAGAAAAAAAAACAAAACATAAACTTACTTTTCATAGACCAGCTCCTCATCGATGGAGAAATAGTGGGTATTTACTGTGCTTTTTGGTCTATTCCTTAAAGTAGCAAAATATAACCGATCTGAAAGACAAGTTTAAAAGACAGAAAAAACATATGAGAAGTAGAGAAGTGGAAGTGAAGGTGGGTGGTAACATACGAAGGATCACAATTTAAAGACCCCATTAACACGTGGAATTCTTGCAGAAACCTCATCCCTCCCAGAAAGCTAGAGACTCAAGAGCACAACAGTTAGGCAAGAGGAGGACCTGACCGAGGAACTCAGCGGGGCTCAGAGCACCCACATTTCCCTTGTTTCAGGCCAGCAGAGTAGGCAGGAGCTGGGGGTACCCGCAGAACTGGAGGTGCAAGTTTGGTTCCCAAATCTCCAGACCTCAGCAGCTGCGAGAAGGGGAAGAAAGAGGTGAGCCTCCCGACGCAGCTTCGGAGATTTGAAAAAGAGGAAGGGAGAGAGACTTGGGGGGTGTGGTTGGGGGTGTCCCGAAAACCGAAGCCTGCGATGGTGGAGTAAAGGTGACCGGTGAGCATCCGGAGCAGGCTCCCCATGAGCTGCTGAGTGCCGGAGTACGGGCAGAAGCCGGTGCTGTCCCATTACGAGGCCGAGAGGCCATCCGAGGGAGCTGCAGAGGGAGCAAGGGACACAAGAAAGAGAAGCCGGAAGCAGGGGGTCCTCGGAGAAAGGAGAGTCCCTAGAGGGGACGAGAGCGCGCGCAGCGGCTGCAGGACACTGGCAGCCTCAGGAGAAGGTGGGGACAGTGGCGCGGGAAGTGAAGAGTTGGGGGCAAGAAAGCGTTGGAAGATGCGGGGCGGCTGCTCCTCACCTTTCATGAACTCACAAGCCCCGATTAGTTCCCCTGACTCCGCTGCCATCTTAAGCGAGATACGCACGGGGGAGGGCTGGGTCGTGGCCAGCTGAAGTCACTCGCCCCCGGGGGCTTCCCCACTGCCCAGGAGCCAGGAAGCTCACAGTCCCGAACAACAAGCCTGGCCGAGGGAGGCAGCAGGCGCCGAAGGCGGAGGCGGCTTCGGGGTCAGCGCGCCGGGCGCCCCGGGGACATTCCGAGGGGAACCCGAGCTCGCTCCGCGCGGGGCGCTCACGCCCCTGGCTGTGGCCGCTCCTATTTGGACTCGGCTGCTGCAGCTGCTGCTCCGCCGCCGCCGCGCCTGGGAAACGCAGACCAGCTCTCAGGGCAGGGCAAAGTCTTCCCCCGGCTTCCAAAGTGATCATGGAGGAGGAGACTTCTGGTCCCGATCGCGCCCGTGGCTACTCGAGCGGCAGCCGGGAGGACTTCAGTGCCCGCGGGCTGGCAGCAGCTGCTCCGGATCCTCCTTCGCCACCTCCTTTCAGCAGTTACTCTTCCTCCTCCTCCTCCCCCTGGGTCCGCCCCCAGACCTTCCTCCCCGCCCTCCCTCAGCCCCCTCCACTTTCACGACTCCGCGGCCATCCCTTAAAGGGACAGCCCCGCTCCTTTCTCCGCAGCAGCCCCAGTTACCAGGCGCCCCGCGGGTCACTAGGAGCCGGTTGCTAAGGCTTTGTTGCCGTCCACCAATTGCTGTTCAGGAAACGGGGCCCTCGGCCCAGGGGAGCGGGCGGGGCCTGTAGGCCAGAAACTTATGAATGAAACGGCGGGGTTGAGAGTGGACATCGCCAAAGGCGCTGTCGCGGCCTCGGAGGCTAGGATGTGCTGGCGCCCCCTTTCTTTTCTGCACCCTCTAAGTCTTGTCCCACTCCAGATTTCTTTTCTCTCTCTCTCTCATTCTCTTTCTTTCTCGCCCACTCACCCATGCTCTTCTAAACTCTTGTAGGGCGCGCGCGCGCGCACACACACACACACACACACACACACACACTCGTAAAAACCTCAGATCTCCGTGCCCTGCCTCGCCTCTAGCTAACATTTCAGCCACCCCCCACGCCCAACACTGAGGGGGTCTGCATCTTTATAAAAAATACAATTGAAAAAGAAGCACCAGCTCCTAGCTCACAGTACATGTATTGGTTTCCTCTACACATACCAGACTCTGATATAACTTGTACTTTGTTCTCACGGGACAAAAAGTTTCCCATCTGGTTCTCCACGCCCTCTCATCTGGGCCGCCAATGTGAGCGCAAAAGCATCACAGATGCCTAATCTTTACAGTGCTCCGGTCCCGGAGGGGCGGGGCGAGACCGCTGAGCCAGCCTGGGCGGGCGCGGAGGGAACAGGAGAGAGAGGAGAGTCCACTGGTCCAAGGAGGAAGGTTAACACAAAGGAATTTCTTTACATAGTCTCAGCTGAAGCGCTCCAGGCAGGAGTCCCGCTAAAAGAGGCCATTGACTTGTCTCTGCGAGGCTCTACGTACTGTTTGAACAACTTGAACGCTGGGCGTCCTAAGGCTGTACCTAATCAGAGTGCAGTCCCTTCCATACGAAAATGGCGCTACAGACCGACTATCCGAAGAGCATGCGCTCTGAGAGGTCTCTCCAGAAACAGCAAGAAACTTGTGGCGGCGTTTTCCTTCGCAGTCGCTTGTTGACCTCTAGGGAGAAAGGGGGCGCACCCGTGCAGAGCTGACTGAGGGAACCAGCCCTTCGAGGGCCAATTGCAGGTTTTGTTTGTGGTTTTTTTTTTTTTAATGTGTGTTTTGTTTTAGACAGGGTCTCGCTCTGTCACCCAGGCCGGAGTGCGGTGGCTCAATCTCTGCTCACTGCAATCTCCACCTCCCGAGTACAAGCGATTCTCGTGCCTCATTCTCCCAAATAGTTGGATCTACAGGCGTGCGCCACCACACCCGGCTAATTTTTGTATTTTTTGTAGAGACCGGGTTTTGCCATGTTGGCCAGGCTCGTCTCCAGTTCCTGAGCACAAGCAATCCGCCCTGCCTTGGCCTGCCACAGCGCTGGGATTACAGGCTGAGCCACCGCGCCAGGCCTCAAATTATTTTATTGAAAAAAAATCTAGTATTTCTTATATGAAAGATAGGGAAAAACAAAGTATATGAATCTCTCGATAAACTTGCCCACTTTGTTTAAAAGGCTAAATAAATCCAAAGATGTTGTTGTATTTCCGAAGATGCTGATTTAAAATTCTTGCATAATCTAAATTCAAATTCCCCAACAATTTTTCATTAAAAAGTGCGTTAGAAATAGAAGTCAGAGTTCTCATTCAGTTCATAAACTTTTAATTGCACAAAGTAAATAGTCTAATGAACTCCAATCTACACTTTCAGAGAAGCCAGATATAGTTGAACACCTTCTTGTTATTTTCCAAAATGAATTTACAAAAATCTTTTATATAACTCTCCTGCTTAAAATTGTGATCATGAGGAATGAATTATGACCTAACAAATACAAGTCCTTAAATTCAAATGAAAATGTTTATTTTTCCTTAGCATTTTTACAAAGATAATAAAACTCTGTAAGTAATTAATGTTTTTTAAAATATTGCATGGGGCTGGTCATGGTGGCTCACACCTGTAATTACAGCACTTTGGGAGGCCAAGGCCTGCGGATCACCTGAGGTCAGGAGTTCAAGACCATCCTGGCCAACATGGCGAAACCTTGCCTCTACTTAAAAAAATACAAAACTTGTCTGGGCGCGGTGGCTCATGCCTGTAATCCCAGCACTTGGGGAGGCCGAGGCAGGTGGATCACCTGAGGGCAGGAGTTCGAGACCAGCCTGGCCAACATGGTGAAACCCCCAACTCTACTAATAATACAAAAAAATTAGCCAGGAATGGTGGCACACACCTGTAATCCCAGCTACTAGGGAGGCTGAGGCAGAAGAATGGCTTGAACCTGGGAGGCGGAGGTTGCAGTGAGCCAAGATCGCATCATTGTGCTACAGCCTGGGTGACGAGCAAAACTATGTTTCAAAAAAAAAAAAATACAAAACTTAGCCGGGTGTGGTGGCACACGCCTGTAATCCCAGCTACTCGGGAGGTTGCAGTGAGCCGAGATAGTGCCACGGCACTCCAGCCTGGGCGACAGAGAAAGACCCCGTCTCAAAAAAAAATTAGCCAGATGTGGTGGCGGGCACCTGCAATCCCAGCTACTCATGAGGCCGAGGCGGGAGAATGGCTTGAACCGGGAGGCAGAGGTTTCAGTGAGCTGTGATTACGTGATTATGCCACTGCACTCCAGCAGTGCAGTGTCTCTGGGTGACAGAGTGAGACCCTGTCTCAAACAAACAACAACAAAATTGCATGGAAGGAAGTGTCAGTATAATCAAATCTCTCTAAGCCATTCTAAATGGTATAGAAAATTCTACAAGAAAAATATGAACTAGATAATGCACACACAGCACACGTATAATACATACCAAGGTTCTAATGAGATCATAAAAACACTTTATTCTCTCAGTTATCCTGAGGTCAAAGTTCCTGTTGGTTGTAGTTTCATAATAAAGGCATACTTTTACAGTCTACAAGGGAAGATAATGGAAGAAAATTTTCCAACCACGAAACTTGATATAAACTTAAGGAATGGACTTTTAAGAAACAATAAAGGCGTTTCACATATAAAGGAAATACTAAGAGAGTTTACATATCGCTCAACTGCACAAAAGGAAGGTAATATTACACACAGAAATTCAGCAGGTAAGTGTAAAAAGTGTCGAGTTTGAAAACAACGCCTTTTTTTTTTTTCTCTAGACGGAGTCTTGCTCTGTAGCCCAGGCTGGAGTGCAGTGGCACCATCTGGGCTCATTGCAACCTCCACCTCCCGGGTTCAAGCGATTCTACTGCCACAGCCTCCAGAGTAGCTGGGACTACAGGCATGTGCGCCACCACGCCGGTTAATTTTCATATTTTTGGTAGAGACAGGATTTCACTATGTTGGCCAGGCTGGTCTCAAACTGCTGACCTCAAGTAATCCGCCCGCCTCAGGATCCCAAAGTGCTGGAATTACAGATATGAGCCACTGCACTCGCCCTGAAAATGACAAAATTTAAATCTAACTCCTCAACCATTGCTTGAAAACTGCTTCAACTACCCTGCAACCCGTGCTTGTGCACCTGCAGTTCTAGAAAACTCACTGCTGGAGGCAGCTCTAAATTATGTCAAAAGCCACTAGTTCTAATTCTGCCTGGAGGCTGCAGGACCTATGATCACCCTTACTCATGACAGCTCTTCAAAAATGCAAAGGCAGTTTCCTTGAACACCTTCCATTTCTCCTTAGTCTTCCCCAGATAAATATCTCCATTTTCTTCTACATTGTCTTATATTACATGGCTTCAAGCCCCTCACTTTCCAGTCCAGTCTCTGCCCATTTGTCCAATTGCTTACTAAGTGGGTCCCAGAACTGGATGCAGACTAGTGATAAACTGGTGTGGCCAGTTCTAAAAAAAGAAAAAAGAATGGATGGAAGATTCAGATGAGAGCAAAAGAAATGAAAAACATAAAAGAATTAAATTTTATCATTTAAACTGGTGTAAGCAGTTCTGAAAGAAAAAAGAATGGATGGAAGATTCAGATGTGAGCAAAAGAAATGAAAAACAAAAGAATTAAATTTTATCATTTAGCTTCAAGAAAAGGAAAATATTCTTTTTTTTTTTTTTTTTTTTGAAATGGAGTCTTGCTCTGTTGCCCAGGCTGGAGTGCAGTGGCACAATCTTGGCTCACTGCAACCTCTGCCTCCCGGGTTCAAGCAATTTGCCTGCCTCAGCCTCCCAAGTAGCTGGGACTACAGGCGTGCACCACCATGCCCAACTAATTTTTGTATTTTTAGTAGAGACGGGGTTTTGCCATATTGGCCAGGATGGTCTCGATCTCTTGACCTCGTGATCCGCCCACCTCGCCCTCCCAAAGTGCTGGGATTACAGGCATGAACCACTGCACCTGGCGGAAAATATTCTTTCTTGCTGGAAGAGGGCAAGGAAAAATGAGCTCAAGATTGTCAAAGGCCTGACAGCTGTGTGGTTTACATATTGTATTATTTTAAAATTATCATCATTTCTTATTAGAATGTATCATTAGAACATACTCTTTTAGTTGTTTGTTCAGTAGTGATACAAAGTTACCAAAGAACGTAAAGAAAATATAGAATACATACTTTGAATTCTTTCTGTAAATTAATTTTCAGATTAAGTATGAAACGTAGTAAAAACCTGTGCCACTGAGTAATTTGAAATTCAAGGTAATTTGAATTATTTATTCATATACATATTTTGACAATTTTTGATCCCAAAAATAATTTTAAGCAGCTTTTAGTAAAATACATGTAATAAAAAAGTTATTACAGTAGAACCAGAATACCAAAAATAGATAGCATGACTCATAAACGGTTCTGTTCCAGAAGTCTGCCCGCAAATGATAAGACCTTAGCCTAACCCAGCCACATTCTGTATCAGACAAATCACCAATGCCTGTTTAAGAATTCCAAACCAGAATCAAAGAAGTAAAAACCAGAAGGGACCTGGGAGATCAGCTAGTTCCAGTTTTCAAACAGACTCCATCAAACTCAAGGGATTTAGCACAGGCCCAATATGGGGGTAGGAGTGGAAGGCAGTGGATGAGCACTCAAGGCTTCTACACAATAGTTCCTTTATAAAAGGTTATATGGCAAAATAAAAGAGAAAAAAAGAGAAGGAGGTAACTGATTTCCCAAACTCACATAGCTGGTGGAAATAAGACCAGTATTCATTATTTGCTGTAGTATCAACAACCTTTTCTTAATTTTTCCCTAGTGAGCTTAAATTACATTGTTTAACTTATAGATTATTACACATTAGCCATAAAGTGTCAATAATAATGTATGCATAATATCTAGAACTATTTTCTTCAAGATATTTAGAGGAAATATTGAAATAATCTCCGAATGAAACAATATAAGATGTTGCATTATCTGCCATTGCTATTGTTTTTGTGTGGCTTCTATAAAAATTTCAATTGTTTCTAACCCTGTGATTTATTAATGGAATGGTATACCAGCATTCTACAAAATACAGTTTAAGAAATACTGGTATAGTGAACATTAAGTAAAACAAGTCAATTCAATATTCATCTCCTTCTTGACTAATGCAGTCAATAAAGAATGGTGCAGTTTTAGAAGGTAAAAGAAAGTTCCATGAGGTCAATATACTTCAGAGTAGTCAATTTATTGTCCAGTTTGCTATACTTAACAAACAAGTTAACAACTCAATACATTTTTTAAATTTTACAGAATTTATCCATCTATATTTATTTGTCATTACTACTTTTTTTTTTTTTTTTTTGAGACAGAGTCTCGCTGTGTCACCCAAGCTGGAGTGTAGTGACACTATCACAGGTCACTGCAACCTCAACCTCCTAAGCTTGAATGATTCCCCCATCTCAGGCTCCAGAGTAGCTGAGACTACAGACATGAGCCACTGCATTTGGCTAATTGTTTAATTTTTTGTAGAGACAGGGTCCCACTATGATGCCCAGGCTGGTCTTGAGGTTCTGGGCTAGAGCCAGTTTCTCCTGCCTCGACCTCCCAAAGTGCTGAGATTGCAGGTGGGAGCCACCGCACCCACGCCATTCATACTCTTTTTACAGAAAAAATAAGTGAACATTTTTACTCCAAAAATAGATAATATTCCCCACACCACTCTTCTCCAGCCATCACCACCATAGCCATGCTGAGAAATATTAGTGAGCTACACATTGTAATCTAAAGGTTTTTTTTGTTTTGTTTTGTTTTGTTTTGTTTTTGAGATGGAGTCTTGCTCTGTCACCCAGGCTGGAAGTACAGTGGCACAATCTCAGCTCACTGCAACCTCTGCCTCCTGGGCTCAAGCAATTCTCCTGCCTCAGCCTCCTGAGTAGCTGGGATTACAGGTGCCCACCCCCACACCCAGTGAATTTTTGTATTTTTAGTAGAGACAGGGTTTCACTATGTTGGCCAGGCTGGTCTCTAACTCCTGACCTCATGATCTGCCCACCTCGGCCTCCCTAAGTGCTGGGATTACAGGCGTGAGCCACCACCCCCAGCCGTAATCTAAAGTTTTGAATGTTCACTTCCATGTGCACATTTAATAATGTTTCTACTCTACATATTTCTAGCAGGAAAATAATAGTAGTTAATAGTTCGGTTTCATTTAAAACCAAGCACAGCAATTTACATCTCAGTTCTTACATTGGTTGCCTATCAGGTAGGTATATTATTATTTCCATTTTATAAATGAGGAAACACACAAAATACATGCTCAGTATGTATTTGGAGAATGTATAAATAAATGAGTAATTAAAATGTGAGGAGATGAACTCATGTGAATCATCTGGATTCATAAATCAGTTACTTTGTAGCCTGGAGTAGTGGAAAAAATGCTGGATTTGTAATCAGAAGCCTGGTTTTCAGGTATCTCTCTCCCACCAACTGTATGCATTATTTTGGACTCTGTTTCTTCTGATATTAAATAGAAATTATAATAATTTCTAACTCACAAGAATAACAGTAAAATTAAATGAGAGTGTCATGCTGAGATGCTAGACACTGTGTACAAATGTGATGCTGTACAAATACAGCCTAGCATTTATATTAATAAATACAAATATTATTAATATTAAGCATAGATTAAGAACTACTAACTTGTTTCCAAAATCTAATTTTCACAAGTCTCAAATGAATACGACTATTTGGATCTAGGTATTGTAATTTAATTGACTCCTAGCTAACAGCATAATTAAAATATACACTCACAGAGAAGTCCTTTTTATCAACTGAAGACAATTCCACAGGGTACAAGTTAATGTCCTTCTTCATTTCTGATTGCCTGTGATGATATGCCTGTCTCTAGAGTGTGATCAGGGCCAACAACCCCATTCAGGCATCCTCAATGGATTCCTAAATTCCCCTGCTCTCACTCACGTTCTTTCGGTCCTTAGTGTTCCAGAAGCCTGGGACACAAATGTTGTGCCCTGTGGTTTCCATGGTGACCCTTGACACACTTTTGGAACATATGTTTTCTGATGCCTAGTCCTGTGTAGAAACTCTAGAAGAAAATTATAATTTCAATAAACAGGAGACCTTTGGTTTCCATTTTTCCAACCAAAAATACTACATATGTATTGAACATATTATTAATGGTTGTTCTTGTTGTTATTAACATCAATAATTGTATTGATTCCCATGGGAGAAAAAAAATCACACTTCATATCTTCCACATACCAAGCCTTCCTACATGGAGTCTATGTTTTCTTCAAATGATATCTAAAGTAATATACCTGTATTTCTTAATGTAGGATAACAGTGATATGAATAATGTAACACACAAAAATAATGTCTACTTACCCTAAAATATATGTATTTTAGGTAAAATATTTCTCTTCATACCTATGTTTTATTTCCATAATATCAAATATACATTTTCTTTATATTTGTGTATTCATTCATTCAGTAAAAATTTACTATCTACTATTTGTCTGGCTCTGTGCTAGGTGCTAGGATTGCAACTGAGAATAAGGCAGAGTTCTATTCTTAAGGAAGTTACATTCTAGAAAGGGTTATGGATGAGCAATCAGGTTCCATAAGCAAGATACATGCTAGGCTGAAGTAAGCACAGAGCAGAGGGCTGTGTGGGCTGCATCAGACCTGAGGCATGAGGAAAGGGTTCCCTGCAGAATCCTTGTATAGACTTGAAGGTTGAATAGGAGTTAGCTAGGGGGAGGTAGCCAAATAGTAGAGAGAGCAAGGCGGGAGGGTACGTGGAAGGAGGAAGACACACAAGAGAACCCCAGGCGGAGGGAACAGTCTATACATAGGCCAGGAAACAGTAGAGAGAAAGGCCAGTTCAGGATTTGAAGCAGCTCCATTTGGCTCCAGCCCAGAGTATAAAAGAGAAGAGGAAGAAAGATCTTGGTAAGTTAGTCCAAAAATTTGGACTTTATCCAGAGGGCAATGGGGCACCAAAATGAAATACAGTTGACCCTTAAACAACACAGGGGTTGGGAGCACAGTTGCATATCCACATACAACTAAAAGTTAACAGCCTACTTTTTACCAGAAGCCTTGTCCATAACATAAACAGGTGATTAACACAGATTTTGTATGCTATATGTTATATATATGTTGTATTCTTATGATAAAGTAGGCGAGAGGAAAAGCAAGATTTTTCCAAATTATCACAAATCTCCAAAGATTTTCCTATATTTACTGAAAATAATACATGTGCAAGTGAACCTGTGCAGTTCAAATCAATGTTGTTCAAGGGTCAACTGTACATTAATGAGGAAAAGCCTAAAATCCCCAGGCTGGGATTTTAAAAATTGACAGAAAGAGTCTGCAAAATTGTTTAACTAATTGTAAATAGATTGGACTTTACTCCATGAATCCCCCCAAAATCAGAATTATAATGGGAATGTAGACAAACGCCCACAATAGCATGTTTCATTCTTTCTTTTTACCTCTCACCATTAAAAAGACAAAATACAACTTGCCTGGTTTTTGCAGAACATGATTAAGTACTTAATGGGAAGAATTGTCTTAGATTCCTGAAATTTAATTTGCCTGTGTTGGTGATAAATGTAGATAAGATAATATAGATAACTTCTAAATTGTAACTATTTTGAGTAAAAGGACCCTAAGCAAATGTAAAAAATAGAATATATAAGAATTACACTTTAGGCCGGGCATGGTGGCTCATGCCTGTAATCCCAGCACTTTGGGAGGCCAAGGCAGGTGGATCACCTGATGTCAGGAGTTGGAGACCAGCCTGGCCAAAATGGCGAAACACTGTCCCTACTAAAAATACAAAAATTAGCCGGGCGTGATGACAGGCACCTGTAATCCCAGCTACTAGGGAGGCTGAGGCAGGAGAATCACTTGAACCCAGGAGGCAGAGGTTGCAGTGAGCCAAGACTGCGCCATTGCACTCCAGCCTGGGCAACAAGAGTGAAACTCCGTCTCGAAAGAAAAAAAAAAAGAAAAAGAATTACACTTTAAAAATATATTATAATTAACTAACAAAAGTAATTTGGCATATGTAAGAACTTGATTTCTAAAAACCTTCTTTAAAAACTTTTAGAAATAATAAATTAATGTGAATGATTTGATTATTTTACATTGTAGAGGGCAAGTTAATGGTCCTTAAGGTATATGGAATAAAAAGAAAAAAAATCAGACCAGCACTACATGACATGTGCCCTGGGTCCCCACAGGGGCAGCCAATCCCAGCCTTGCTCATCTCCTCTTAAGTGAAAAACCATTCACCAGTGTGGAGATATAATTCTTATCTAACAAGCTCTATCTGTCTATGTATCATGGTGCCTTTCCTGGTGCTCTGGGACAGTTTGCTTAGTCAGGTTTTCCTGATGGACTTTAGCTCATCACTGCCATTTAAAGCATTTCTCTGAAAGTGACTTTAGTTCATGGAGCATCATTAACCAAATATTACCCGCTTGCTGGCAGGAAGACACACACACACATAAAATTTGACAAGAAGACCGCTGATTTTCCAAGCTAATTCTTTCCTATCACTTTAACTGTTCCTGGTCAGAACTTTGATTTCTGTCCCTAAACCTCTTCCTCCTCCAGACTTAGCCAGGTCAGTACATACTACCATCATTCATCCAATTGCTTAAGCCAACTCCAAGTTAAAAGTCACCTTTGGCCGGGCACAGTGGCTCACGCCTATAATCCCAGCACTTTGGGAGGCTGAGCTGGGTGGATCACTGGAGGTCAGGAGTTCGAGACCAGCCTGGCCAACATGGCGAAACCCGTCTCTATTAAAAGTACACAAATTAGCCAGGCATGGTGGTGCGTGCTTGTAATCCCAGATACTTGGAGGCTAAAGCAGAAGAGTCATTTGAATCTAGGAGGCAGAGGTTGCAGCGAGCTGAGATCACACCAGTACACTCCAGCCTGGGTGACAGAGCGAGATTCCATCTCAAAAAACAAAAAAAGTCACCTTTAATCTAACCGCCACATCCAGTCAATCCACATGACTTGCCTCTCTGCCTTCATATTGTATCCTGAATTCTTCTAATTTTATCTGCTTGGCAAACATCATCCCTTCCCCTGAACCTCTGCAATAGTGAAGAGCTGCAAAACTTTCATTTGTGTTTTGATCTGCAGGTAGGTCTCAAGAACTGTGGTCCAGTTGGAATTCTTCCACTGTTAGGTCCTTTAAAGGTCAGTGGGGAGGGGTTATTTATTTTAGTCAGTTCTTCCCTTCATAATTTCAAGAAGGTTGAAGAGTTACCTAGGTGTCCACTGCCTATGGTTGGTCTGTGATATGAAGTCATTGCCAAGTCTAGCTGCCTCTCCTGCCTTGCCTTACACATCCCCAACTCTGAATGCTGGGGCCTTGTGAACCCAGACACACATGCTGTCATGTGAAGAACGTACTTGCTTCCTCTCCTTTCCACCATGATTGTAAGTTTCCTGAGGCCTCCCAGTCATTATTCCTGTTAAGCCTGTGGAACTGTGAGTCAATTAAACCTCGTTTCTTCATAAATTATCCAGTCTTTACAGCAGTGTGAGGACGGACGACTACAGTTCTTGATGAAAAGATGAGTTAGTTCTTTCTCTCTCTCTGTCATGCTGTCTTTCTCCTTCTACTTTTCACCATGGGATGATGCAGCAAGGAGACCCTTGCCCTTGGACTTCCCAGCCTTCAGGACTATAAGAAATAAATCTCTGTTCTTTATAAATTACCCAGAGCCAAGTATTCTACTATAGCAACACAAAATAGACTAAAACAGAGGGGCTTCTTTGCCAGTTCATCAGTTGTAACCAACTATGTATGAATTACAATGGTGGGCATGGTTTATGCACAAACTGGAACCCCTGCTACTTGGTCATTCAGGAAAAAAATGATAAGGGTAGATGACAATAGGCATAGAAGGCCAAATTCAAGACATCTGTAGGAAATACAATTGACAGGATAGGCAAAACAGATGTAGGTAAAAGTTGAGGGGGAAATGAAGAGCCAAAGATAACTCCTAGAATTGTAACTCTTTCACTGACCGGCTGGTGATGCCATTTTCTAAAACAGAAGTGCAGGCTATTCATGGGAGGAAAAATGAACTCAGTTGTACTATCTAGAATTTGAAGTATCTGCTGGACAATGAGATGAAAATACATGTTAAGCACTTTAATGTATAGATTTCATGCTCAGGAGAGGCAGATGGGCTTGACTGACAAGTTTCAGATTCTCCAAAGGTTAGGCTCAATCTACATTGCGGAAAAGACAAGATAAGCATAGTGAGGTGATGAAGAGCATGTCCTCTAGAGACAGACTGAGTCCAAGTCCTGATCCCTCCACTTACTGCTTATGAGAACTTGGACAAATGACTAACCTCTCTGTGCCTCATTTTCCTAGTCTATAAAATGAGGATAATAAGAGTATCTACCTCATAACACCATAAAAATGAAACCAGTTTGTTTGTGAAGTGTTTAGGTCAGTATTCAGAACCTAGTAAACATTGTGTCTATCTCTTCCGAATAAAAATTTTCTCCAAGGAAGAGAGTATGAAATGAGAGATGAAGAAAACTAGAATTAGCCATGGAGAATATCAACATCTTAAAATGTAGGTAAAGAAAAAGGTATTTTTGATGTGGATAAAGAAAGAGGTATTCTTTTTTTTATTATTATACTTTAAGTTTTAGGGTACATGTGCACAACGTGCAGGTTAGTTACATATGTATACATGTGCCATGTTGGTGTGCTGCTCCCATTAACTCGTCATTTAACATTAGGTATATCTCCTAATGCTATCCCTCCCCTCTCTCCCCACCCAACAACAGGCCCCGGTGTGTGACGTTCCCCTTCCTGTGTCCATGTGTTCTCATTGTTCAATTCCCACCTATGAGTGAGAACATGCAGTGTTTTGT
The DNA here is from genome assembly GCF_000001405.40 of Homo sapiens. Lineage (NCBI taxonomy): Eukaryota > Metazoa > Chordata > Mammalia > Primates > Hominidae > Homo > Homo sapiens. The sequence goes on along the minus strand of NC_000001.11, from coordinate 100,340,050 downwards.
TTGACACATGCACACGTATGTTTATTGCAGCACTATTCACAATAGCAAAGACTTGGAACCAAGCCAAATGTCCAACAATGATAGACTGGATTAAGAAAATGTGGCACATATACACCACGGAATACTATGCAGCCATAAAAAATGATGAGTTCATGTCCTTTTTAGGGACATAGATGAAGCTGGAAACCATCATTCTCAGCAAACTATCGCAAGGACAAGAAAGAGGTATTCTTAAAAGAAAATGATAAGCAGCAGCTCCAAACGAGCTTTCTTTTCTCAAAAGACACCAAAACTGACACACTGAGACACAGAGGTGATAAAATATCAAGACCTAACTCCTGGTGCAAGATTCTCTGCAAGTTTAATGGGCTGTCTCTCAAGTAATTTTTATTTATTTATTTTTATTTTTATTTTCTTGAGATGGAGTCTTGCTCTGTCACCCAGGTTGGAGTGCTGTGGCGCAGTCTCGGCTCATTGCAACCTCCACCTCCTGGGATCAAGTGATCCTCCCACCTCAGCCCCCCAAGTACCTGGAACTACAGGCACATGCCACTGCACCCAGCTGATTTTTTTTTTTAATTTTTTGTAGACACAGCGTCTTGCTATGTTGCCCTGGCTGTTCTTACCCAGACTGGTCTCAAACTCCTGGGCTCAAGCAATCCTCCCACCTGGACAGTGCTGGGATTACAGGCTTGAGCCACCATTCTCAGCCTCTCAAGTAATTTTGGAAGTACAGTGTAACATTTTTAGGTTCTATAGGAGTAGAAAAAGGGAAGTATATCTTTAGCTACATTAAAGAGGGAATATTCAGTAATCCTTATCTACTTATAAAGAAGTTTCATATTTTAATAGTAATTGAGTGTGTTGTATTGGGAGAAATCAGTCTCTCAAGAGAAGTTAAATAACTACTCTGACCATAAAATAATCTGTCTACCTTACAGATCCTAGGTTGCATAATTAGCATTCATAAAGTATTTTTAAAAGAAAATCACTTATGAGCCCTAAGCATTACTGTGTAATTAATAATTTCCTAGACTTTATTTGATTAGAGATTACAGATGCAAAATTTAACATACCTGGCATGAAATCAGACTTTCGCTCTCATCCTCATATTCAGCAATGCTCATAGTGTGCTAATGCCATCAAAATGCCAGAAAAAATGTGCTTTTAAAAATAATTTAGTTTTTGGTAGTTCTCTACTGTTTCTACTCACATTTCCAACATCAAATGTGTAGGAATTTTCCATACCAAACAATTCTCCAATTCTCTGCCCACATCAATTGGGTTTCCTACAGTTCAACTTAATTGTAGGACACCCAGTTGGCGTGAGCACAGAAGTTACCTGGAGTTACCTGACACTATTTACATGGAGTTAGCATCAGATCTCACAAGTTAAAACTTCAGTACCACAAGACTGTGTCACTTCAGATGCCAGTTGCAAGTTCCCAGGTTACCAAAAGTAAAATTCTAAGCCCCCCAACAAACTGAATGGACCCCTCCTCTCACCCAAAGTCATTCCATAGTTAACCTGAAAAACTAGATCAGGCTGTGATGGCAAAGGAGGGGTCCAAACATGCCTCATTATACCCTCCTCCCTTTAGAATTCAGGTACAACTGACCAGTATTAACATTGAAACAGAGACCTAAAGATTGACCGAATAGACTCTTGTAGCAATAAGATACCAACATGACAGATAGCTAACCTTGAAAGGAATCAAAGTATTTTACCCCCAGATATATTTCTTTGACATATTTTGAAATGGCCCTGCAAAGCTGTCTATTGTGGGGAAAATCTACTTTCTGTAGAGAATCCTCTCCCCCTTTCCAGGTCTTTTCCCTGATCCAGGAGAGAATTAACTAAGAGTCTGGCACCTTTTTTAAGTCTGATAAAAAAAACATTTACAATCTAATCTCTCTGAAGCCTGCTACCTGGAGGCTTCCTCTACATGACAAAAACCTTGTTCTCCACAAGCCCTTATCTTAACCCAGACACTCTTTCATTCCTTTCTATTGATTCCAGGTCCTTTTTTTTTTTTTTTTTTTTTTTTGAGGTGGAGTGTCATTCTTGTTGCCCAGGCTGGAGTGCAATGGCGCGATCTTGGCTCACCGCAACCTCCGCCTCCCGGGTTGAAGTGATTCTCCTGCCTCAGTCTCCCCAGTAGCTAGGATTACAGTCATGTGCCACCACACCCAGCTAATTTTGTATTCTTAGTAGAGATGGGGCTTCTCCATGTTGGTCAGGATGGTCTCGTCCCAATCTCAGGTGATCCGCCCACCTCGGCTTTCCAAAGTGCTGGGATTACAGGCATGAGTCACTGCGCCCATCCTGATTCCAAGTCTTTAGATAATAACTTAACTTTTTCGACCAATTGCCAATCAGGCAATCTTTGAATCTGCCTATGACCTAGGACATCCCTCTCCCTACAAGTTGCCCCGCGTTTCCAGACCAAACCAATGTACATCTTACATGTATTGATTGAAGTTTTACATCTCCCTAAAACATATAAAACCAAGCTATAGTCTGACCACCTCAGGCACGTGTTCTCAGGACCTCCCTGGGGCTATGGCATGGGTCCTGGTCCTCAGATTTGGCTCAGAATAAATCTCTTCAAATATTTTCCAGAATTTTACTCTTTTCATCACCATTACCTATCACCCATAAGTCAGAGTTTTCCACAACCCCTTCCTCAGATTCAGTAATTTGCTAGAATGGCCACCAAACTCAGGAAAGTATTTTACTTACAATTACCAATTTATTATGAAGAACTCAAATCAGGAATAGCCAAATGGAAGAGGCATAGGGAAAGGTATGGAGGAAGGGGCACAAAGCTTCCATGCCCTGTGTGCACACCACCCTCTCAGCATCTTCATGTGTTCACCAACTCAGAAGCTCTTCAAACTTTGTCATTTAGGGGTTTTTATGGCAGTTCCACTATGTAGGCATGGTTGATAAATCACTGGTCATCGGTGATAGAACTCTGTCTCCAGCTCCTCTCTCTCTCCTCCCCAGAAGTCCTGAGGTGGGGCTGAAAGTTTCACAAGGTTAGTTGCTCTGACAACCAGCCCCTATCCTGAAGCTATTGAGGGGTCCCCCAAAAGTTACCTTAGTATGGTTGGAAGAGGCTTATTATGAATAACAAAAGATGCTCCTATTTTTACCACTAGGGAGCATATCCAAGTCTTGCGGGAACAAAGCATGTTACTGGTAGCAAATTCATACAGGTAGATAGCAATCTCAATTCTTGCCTTCTCAGAAGAAAGAATTTGACCAAGGGGGCATAAGGCAGAGTGAGGGACCAAGATAAGTTTTAGAGCAGGAGTGAAAGTTTATTAAAAAGTTTTAGGCAGGAATGAAAGAAAGTAAAGTACATTTGGAAGAGGGCCAAGTGGGCGACATGAGAGAGTCAAACACCATGCCCTGTTTGATGTTTGGCTTGGGGTCTTATATGATGACATGCTTCTGAGGGTTGCATCCTTCTCCCCTGATTCTTCCCTTGGGGTGGGCTGTCCGCATGCACAATGGCCTGCCAGCAGTAGGGAGGGGCCGCATGCACACAGTGTTTACTGACATTGTGCACATGCTCATTTGAAGCATTTTTCCCTTAGCAGTCGAGGGCTTAAACTCCACCATTTTGCCTCTTAAAGTGCATGCTTGAGCCCACCCACCCAACTTCTGAGATCTTACCTGGAAGCAGCTAATCACTAGTTTCAGGTGTTTCCTATCTATTGAGAGACTGCCTTTCCCTGGCGCTGGCTACAATCAATGATTATTTAGAGAGAAAGTTATCAACTGCATGACCATCATCTGATGGTCACCTGATGTTCCTGGTTGGGCGGTGGGTAGGGAGGTCTCATGCCCTGCTCTTGTCTGCCTACCTATAGTAACACTATCGCCCCTATCATTCAGGAAATTCCAAGGGTTTTAGAAGTTCCATGTCAGGAACTGGGGACAAAGATCAAACACATATTTCTTATTTATCACAGGTAGAAAAAGAAAAGAAGCCTAGGAATTACTTGCAAAAGGAAGCTTTCTGAGTCTTTCCATTTTCTAAAGACTTTGTTGCATTTGCCCAAAATTATTTAAGAAGGGGCCTTTAACTGCAAATATGCTAATTATAAACTGAAAGTATTTATTGTGTAGCATGGTGCATTTGAGCTTTATTAAGTTTTAGATTAAACCTAAATACACAGTGTCTTAATTTAATTTAAATTAAATTAAGATTTAAATTAATTTAAATCTGCTTCCCCAAGAAGCAGATTTTGAAACAAGAATTCAAGTGCAAGTAATTTATTTGGGATGTACAAGGAAACCATCTGGGAAGTGAAGAAATGGGGCAAGGAAGTGAAGGCAACTAATAGAGGGTGTGTCCTTGAGCCTAGCTACCACTGGCTTGGTGTGATATAAAACCACGAGCCTAAGAACTATCCCCACAGGAGCTGTGATATTTATCCACCAACTCCTGTCACCCATTGGTGGAGGGCTGCTCCTAGGGGTGTTAATTTCTGAGCATTTCCTTTGGTGCATGCAGGATTCAGAAGTTCTTAGGCACAAAGATGCAGATATTGGCAGGTGGAAGTCTTGGAAGCCAAGGGGAAGGGAGCATACAGTGTCAACGATAACAGAAAATCAAAATCAGAAAGAACAATTGTCTTTCGTTTTCTCAAATAGAATGTGGTTTTTCTGTTGCCTTTCATGCAAAAACTCCTCAAAATTTTTCTATCTTCTCTGCCTCTAATCCTTCTCCTCTCATTGTGTTTTTAACACACTCTAATCAGGCTCTGTACCCACTATTCCACCAGAATGTTCTTGTCAAGGTCACCAGTGATCCACAAGATGCTAAATTCAATGGCCAATTCTTAGTCCTCATCTTACTGGACCTATTACTAGCATTGATTGATTGATCAATTGAAACAGGGTCTCACTCTGTTGCCAAAGCTGGAGTGCAGTGGCACACTCATGGCTCAGTGCAGACTCAACCACTCCTCCCATCTCATCCTCCCAGGTAGCTGGTACCAAAGACGTAGAGATGGGGTCTCCCTATGTTGCTCAGGGACAACAAACTGGTCTCAAACTCCTAGACTCAAACGATCCTCTTGCCTTAGCCTTCCAAGGTACCGGGATTACAGGCATGGGCCACCACACCTGGCTCTATTTAACCGTTGTTTGCTTTCTCCTCCTCTGATCACTTTCCTTAATTGGCTTTCATGACATCATAGATCCTGGTTTTTGGTTTCCCTTCTGTCTCATGGGCTGCTGCTTTTTTAGACTCTCTCCTCATTTTTTGGGCTTTTTAAATTTGGAGTACCCAGGACTCAGAGCCTATACACTTCTCTATCTCAGCCACTCCCTTTGTGATGTCATGTAGTTATATGACTTTTAACTGTGATCTATATGTTTACTTGCAAATGTTTATCTCCAACCCTGACCTCTCTACTGATCTCCTGACATATATTTAACTGTATGCTAGACATTTTCACTTAAATGTCCAAAAGACCTTTCAAACTTAGTGTGTCTCAAAACAAATTCCTGATCTTTCCTCTAAAACTTGGTCCTTATGCAATCTTCCTCATCTCAGTTGATGACAACTTCACCTTTTTGGTGGCTTAGGCCAAAAGCCTTGGATTTATCCTTGACTCCCCTCTTTGTCCTATACCACATCTAATTTATAGCAATCCTCTGTTACCTCTATCTTCAAAATATATTCAGAACTGGAACAGTACTCCAGCAAGTGCCATATCCAAGCCACCATCATCTCTGAATAATTGCAAGAATCTCCTAGCTGGCTTCCCTCAGAGCAGCCAGAGGGATCCCTTTAGAATGCTAAATAAGGTCATATCACTTCTTGGCTCAAAAACTCTTTAATGATATCCCAAATCATTTGGAGTGAAATCATTCAGAACAAAAGCCAAAATCTGCTGTTGTTGTGTTTTCTTGAGACGGAGTCTCACTCTGTCACCCAGGCTGGAGTGCAGTGGTGCAATCTCAGCTCACTGAAACATCTGCCTCCCAGGTTCAAGCGATTCTCTTGCCTCGGCCTCCCAAGTAGTTGGCATTACAGGCATGTAGCACCATGCGTGGATAATTTTTTTGTATTTTTAGTAGAGATGGGGTTTCACCAGTTTGGCCAGGCTGGTCTCGAACTCTTGACTTCAGGTGATCCACCCGCCTCAGCCTCCCAAAGTGCTGGGATTACAGGCATGAGCCACCGCACCCGGCCAAAAGCCAAAATCTTTAGAATGGCATGTAAGGCTGTAAGTAACATAGACCCCCGTTACTTCTCCAACCCCATCTCCTATCACTCTGCCCCATATTCCTATTGACTCCAGCGATATTGGTCCTTGCAGTTCCTTGAACATTCCAGACACTCCCATACAAGGGTTCTTACCCTTGCTGTTCCCTCTGCCAAGGGCACACTAACTCACCTTCTTTGCTCAAACGTCATGTTCGCAGTGAGCACTCCCTATCTCCCTTCCTTGATTGGTTTTTCTCCACAGCACTTGTTATTTTCTAACATACTGGATATTTTACTTATTATTTTGTTCATTTTCTCGCCACTAGATTACAAATTCCACTCAGCAAGAGTTTCTGCCAATTTTGTCACTGCTCAGAGCCTAGAACAGTACCTGGCACATAATGGTTACCCCACACATATTTTACCTAGTTAATGAAATGGTTTAATTAATTAATTAAACTTATTGACCTCATTAACTAGTTAACTAACAGCAAATGATGAAGACTGAAGTGGTTTGAGAAGTGACTGGAAGGTGAGGAATATGAGGCTAATCATATTCCTTTTTTCTTTTTTTCCAAGACAGGATCTCACTCTGTCACTACACTCAGGCAGGACTGCAGTGGCACAATCATAGCTTGCTGCAGCCTCAACCTCCCAGGCTTAAGTGATCCTCCCACATCAATCTCCCAAATAGCCGGGACTACTGGCATGCACCACCACACCTAACTAATTTTTAAATTTTTTTTGTAGAGACAAGTCTCATTATGTTGCCCAGGCTGGTCTCAAACTCCTAGGCTCAAGGAATCCTCTCACCTCGGCCTCCATAAGTGCTGGGATTACAAGTGTGAACCACTACATCCAGACAAAAACAACACTTCTAAGAAGCTTGGGGCTGGGTGTGGTGGCTTATGCCTGTAATTCTAGCACTTTGGGAGGCCAAGGCAGGAGGATCTCCTGAGGTCAGGAGTTCAAGAGCAGCCTGGCCAAAATGATGAAACCATGTCTCTACTAAAAATACAAAAATTAGGTGGGCTTGGTTGCACACACCTGTAATTCCAGCTACTTGGGAGGCTGAGGCAGGAGAATTGCTTGAACCCAGGAGGCGGAGGTTGCAGTGAGCCAGGATCATGCTACTGCACTCCAGCCTGGGCAACAGAGTGATAATACATTAAAAAAAAAAAAAAAAAAAAAAGAGTCCGTTATGGTTGCTGCTGCCCTGAGGAGGATGAGGGGGCCCGCACAAGCAAAACTGCTGCCCAAGTCGGCCATCCAAGCCTTTGCGGGGCTGGTGCGGCCGCTGGTCTTGGCGCTCCTCCTTGTGTCCGCCACTCTATCCAGTGTTGTATCATGGACTGATTCACTGATTCAAACTGTACTCAACTCAGATATTTCTACCCCAAATGTGAATGCTTTAACACATGAAAAACAAACCAAATCTTCTATTTCCCAAATCAGTACCACCCTCCCTCCCACAATGAATACTGAGAAAAGTGGAGGAGCATCTGTGGCCCCTCATCCCTCACCTACACCTCTGTCTCAAGAGGAAGCTGATAACAATGAAGATCCTAGCATAGAGGAGGAGGATCTTCTCACGCTGAACAGTTCTCCATCCACAGCCAAAGACACTCTGGACAGTGGCAATTATGGAGAACCAGACTATGGAACAGACTATGGAACCAGACTACTGGACCACGGGCCACAGGGATGACGACGAGTCTGATGACACCTTGGAAGAAAACAGGGGTTACATGGAAATTGAACAGTCAGTGAAATCTTTTAAGATGCCATCCTCAAATATAGAAGAGGAAGATAGCCATTTCTTTTTTCATCTTATTATTTTTGCTTTTTGCATTGCTATTGTCTACATTACATATCACAAAAAAAGGAAGATTTTTCTTCTAGTTCAAAGCAGAAAATGGCGTGATGGCCTTTGTTCCAAAACAGTAGAATACCATTGCCTAGATCAGAATGTTAATGAGGCAATGTCTTCTTTGAAGATTACCAATAATTATATTTTTTGCCCTGTGATTTGAGTTTGCTTATTATGTAATTTTATTTGCTTGACTTTTTATATGATATTGTGCAGATGTTTGCCATAGGCAATTGGTACTTAAATGAGAGGTGGGTCTCTCTTTTGCCTTGGTGCTTTGGAAATTAAATGTCATAAACAAGGAGTATATAATTTTTTGATCTGTACTTTTAGAGTTGAGTTTAATCAGGTGTCCAAAATGTGAGTTAAGCATTACCTTATATTTACACTGTTAGTTTTTATTGTTTTAGATTTATTATGCTTCTTCTGGAAGTATTAGTGATGCTACTTTTAAAAGATCCCAAACCTGTAACTAAATTCTAACATATCTGTCACTGCTGACTCACATTCATTCTCTGCCATTCAAATACTATTTTTTAACCACACATTTTTTTGTGGTCCCAAACTGTAATGTACAAGGATATGTGTGATAATGCTTTACATTTGAATAATATTTTTTTTCCTTCCAAGAAAACTGCTTTGGATATTTTTAGATAATTTAAACATAATTTAGGATAACGATATTGCTCAATCTGACCACAATTTTAGGTAAAACATTAAATGTGTCAAGAAATCTTGGCAACAGAGACTCTGCAGCTTGCAGTGGACATACATAAAACGTTACAGAGATACTATTTTTTTTGGTTTGAATTACTATGTTAAATTTAGAAGTAGAAACTGTGATAAAATATTAAATACATGTACAGTTGCTTTTAATTAGCAATTGATTATAGCATGGGTTCCTCCAAGGTTTCAAGCACTGGGCAGAGTTTAAAATTATACCACATTTGTTTACTCCATTTATTATTTTATAGTGAATTTGAATAAATCTTATGGGCCATTATCACTTAAATAATACTGTATCTAGGTCTTTCAAATTAAAATTATACCTGAATGAAGTTGTTTGTATACATAAAGTATATTTGTGTACAATGACCTTTTTTCCTCCACGCTTGTTTTCTTTTGTTTTTGTTTTTTATGGCAACTGGAAATTATTTACTATATTTCATTTGTGTCTATCTTTCTATAATAAAGAACTGATCAATACATAAATATGTGATTTGAACCATGGTTGACTTACAAGTGTCACTACAACATTTCAGAAAACATAAGCCCTAATATATGTTAAGCAGGGCCCAGGTGAGCCAGTGGGCTTGTGCTTTCGGTAGAGCTGGAAGAAGGCCGTCCATCCTGTCTCTAGGGTGGACAGTGTACTTTCCTAACAAGGAAGGGAAGCACAATGGAAATATCTCTGAATTGTTTTATTGCAGTAATTTTTTTCAATCTGAAACTGTATTATTTAATATTTTGAATAAGATTTTAAAAAATAAATGGCAAAGATATGTATATATACAAAAAGAAGCTTGGATGAGAAGGGAAAATAAAAGATAGAGCAGGGTCATGAGAGTGTCGAAGAACCAAGAGAATTGTTTTGTTTTAAGTCTGATATCTTTGAGCACCCTGGTAGATTGAGGGAGAACAGCATGAGCCACCACGCCTGGCTGCTAAAGGCAATACTTAACCAAATGAGTATAACTGTCTTTCTATAACATTTTTCTCTTACAAAAAAATGTGGCAGGCCCACAGAGGATAGTTTGCTAATTGCAACGCTTAAGATTACCAGGGACTAGGTACGAATGAGCACAAATGTAAATGAGTTTGTGAATTGGATGGTCAGGTGGTAGAAATGGTATACTTGTTTAATTCTATTTTCTCTATGAATTAGAGTCAAAATCATTTGCTAAGAAGGAGTAGGACAAGGTAGGGGATTTGTGGCGCATAGTGAGTATTCGAAATACCTGCAGAAAAAAAAGGGGAACAAAAATATCACCTAACTAGATTAGAAACGGGTCCACACAGTTGTGGTCCATCACCACCAGTCTGGGGAGCAAATGTCAACTACCTGAAAGAGAATACCCAAAGCCAGGTATTGTGTTGGCTGCCTCCCTAGGATCCAAGTTCCTATTCTTCCTCCAATAGCACCCTAAATTTTCCTTTGAAACATTTGCTCTTCGACCACATAGTTGTGGTCATATTAACCTCACTCATCCACCTCCGCTCTAGTGGTGGGCCCTGGATGGCTTGGCCAATCAGCATTGTCCACCCCTGACACTGGTCACAATGACTGAGGTGGGAATGAAGAAGGCACACAATTTGAGCCAAAGAGAGAGAGAGTGAATCTCAAACTCTGTGTCAGAGACCAAGTTCAAAAGCACTGTTCTTTTCTGATGCATGATGTGGGGAGCAAATGTAACATCTAGAATTGTAGTTGCCATTTTGCCACCAAGTGGAATCCAAGGATAAATCCAGCCATGAAAGATCGAGCGGAGAGAGGGATAGAAACAGGATTTGGTTACATCACTGGGTCAAGCGGTACATGATGGAATTTTTTATTTTGTGAACCACAAGATTCTCCTTTTCTTTTGAGCCCATTTGAGTTTTATTGTCTATAACTAGCTATCTGAGAGTCCTAAGGGACACACTTTATTGTTTTAAACATGTGATCTGAGGATTATTTGCATAATTACCTCTGAGGGAGAGTACCAGTATTCCTCATTGGTTAACAAACAATCCAGATGAATCTTTTGCATGTAGCCTTTAAAAATAAGAAAAATTTGCTAACATATAAGTATTCTAAGGGGCCTCAGAGGCTGGAAATTCAAACTTTAATTAATTCATTAATTGAACAAATATATATTGAGCACCTTCTTTGTACCATGCCCTCTTCTTGATGTTGTAAATATAGCGGTGAATAAAACATATACAAAAGAATTCTTGCCTTAAGGAGTTTATATTTCAGGTCAGGGAGAAAGAAAGAGGGAGGGAAGAATGGTAAACAAAGAATATACCAGATAGTGGTAAGGACTATGAGAAGAATAAAACTGGGTTTAAGGATACAGGGCAAGGGGGTGCCATTTTACACAGGGTAGTCAGGGGAATCTTTCTGATAAAGTGTTATTTTGGCAAAGACCTGCAGGAAACAAAGGAACGGGCTGTGCAGATATTTGGGGAAACATTTTTCCAGGTACAGGAAACATCAGGTGCTAGTGAGGTGAGCATTCTTAGGGGAGTCAAGAAAGATCAGGGTGGATAGAGGCTTTGGCAAGTCTTTGGATTTTAATGGTGTCTAGGCCTATAGAACAAAATCCACATTCCTTATCAGAAATTTGAGGCCCTTGGCCATCTGTCCCCCACCACCTTGCAAGCCTGTCTTTGACCATGTTCAATGTGATACCAGTCCTCTTCCACACAGTGTAGCTCTTCCCTGGACATATCATGCCCTGTACAGGTTAACACCTCCCATGCCATAGCTTTGGGATTGTCTAGAATGCCTAGAATGTGCTTTCCACCATCTCTACCTGCTAAAATTCTCTTAGTCAAGAACCAGCTCACATGCTGCTTTTGTCGCATGTAATCACTTCCTCTTCTGTGTTCCTATAGAGTTTTATCTGTACCTCTCTTGGGGAGTGAGTGCTCATCACACTAATGTCTGCAATACAGCATCTCAGCCCACAAATGCCATCCCCACTAGATTATGCAATGTCTATTCTTCTTTAAACTCCCCCAAATATACAGTGCCTTGGATGTATTAAATCCTTGCCAAATTTGTTACATAAAAATGTGAGGCATACCTGGGGTACAATGAGTAATCCAGTGTGGCTGGAGCAAAGTATGAAAGAAAAGAAGTTTGGGATTTTCAAACCAGAAAAACATGCCAGGTGCAGTGGCTCCCACCTGTAGTCCCAGCACTTTGGGAAGCCGAGGTGGGTGGATCACTTGAGTTTAGGAGTTTGAGACCAGCCTAGGAGTTTGAGTTTGGGCAACATGGCAAAACACTATCTCTATCAAAAATACAAAAATTAGCCAGGTAAAGTGGCCTGGCTATAGTCCCAGCTACTTGAGGAGCTGAGGTGGGAGGATCACTTGAGCCCGGGAGGCCAAGGTTCCAGTGAGCCAAGATCACCTCACTCCACTCCAGCCTGGGTGACAGAGTGAGACCTTGTCTCAAAAAAACAACCACACACACACACACACACACACACACACACACACAAATAATGGAGAGTTTCTACCATTGTGCTGAGGCATTTGGAGTGTTACAACACAAACCTGTGCCTCCAGATTCCCTGATCTTCCATTTGTGGTAAATAAAACTAATAATGTTTTTACTTTTTTTTTTTTTTGAGACAAGGTCAAGAACTTGATATCTGCCGACCTGCATTTAAATTCCAATTAAGCTACTTTCTTATCAGCTGTGTGACTCAATCCAACCTGTATTATTTTAATGTAAACTACACTTTTCCCATCCATATATTGGGTATAAATAAAAGAGCTGGCTGGGCGCGGTGGTTCATGCCTGTAATCCCAGCACTTTGGGAAGCAGTGGCAGGTGGATCACCTGAGGTCAGGAGTTCAAGACCAGCCTGGCCAACATGGCGAAACCCCATCTCTACTAAAAATACAAAAATTAGCCCAGCATGGTGGCACATGCCTGTAATCCCAGCTACTTGGGAGGTTGAGGCAGGAGAATCACTTGAACCTGGGAGGCGGAGGTTGCAGTGAGCTGAGATTGTGCCACTGCACTCCAGGCTGGGCAACAGAGTGAGACTCTATCTCAAAATAAATAAATAAATAAGATATTACACAGATGAATGGAGAGATTACAATTTAAGGCAGCCAGTACTGAGCTTAGCACATTGCAATCAGTTAAGAGGTAGGTGCTATTATCACAACCTTATCATTCAGATTGGACTATAAGTACCTCTAGTGTCAAACAGGGTTTGCCGGCAGTAGCAGAAAACATTTCTGGAAGCAGGATGAATAACGGTGGATCCTCTGAAAGCCTTTCTGAAGATTCTAAAACATAAAGCTATGCTACTGATCTAAACTATTGACCAGCCATGAATTTTTGAGATAGTTAACCTCTCTGTGACTTCTAAAGGACAAGAGAGACAAACAAATAGAAACCCCACCAGACAACCATTTACCACTCCAGGAATTCAGATAAGTTATTAATGAAAGTTTCTGTGAGACTTATTAAACTGTATGAGAGAAAGATGATATATCAGTTTTGATAACAAGCAGGAAAAAGGATGCTTACCCCCCAAAATATTTTTACCTGTCATCCTCCCTTATTATCAATTAGATGATAATAGATAGAAGAAAGAAAGAAGGAAGGGAGGAAGGGTGGAAGGGAGGGAGGGAGGAAAGAAGGAAGGAAGGAGAAGAAGAAGGAAGGAAAGAAGGAAGGAAGGAAGGAAGGAAGGAAGGAAGGAAGGAAAGAAAGAAAGAAGGAAGGAAGGAAAGAGAGAGAGAAAGAAAGAAAGAAAAGAAAAGAAAAGAAAAGAAAGAAAGAAAAGAAGGGAGGAAGGGAGGAAAGGAGGAAGGGAGGAAGGGAGAAAAAGAAAGTCAACATCCCTAACATTTAACCCACTAGAAACCGTTACTGGCCCTGCATACAAAGGCATTTTCCACTCACGGTGAGCCAAACAGATATGAATTCCAGGTAAGCTACTCTTATTTATTTTTTTGAAACAGGGTCTCCCTCTGTTGCCCAGGCTGGAGTGCAGTGGTGCAATCATGGGTCACTGCAGCCTTAATCTCCTGGGCTCAAGCAAGTCTCCCACCTCAGCCTGCTGAGTAGCTAGGACTACAGGCACACACTACCATGCCTGGCTAATTTTTTTTTTTTTTTTTCATGAAGACAGGGTTTTGCTATGTTGCCGAAGCTGGTCTTGAACTCCTGGGTTCAACTAATCCTCCTGCCTCAGCCTCCCAAAGTGCTAGGATTACAGGTGTGAGCCACTACATCAGGCCATAAGTTACTCTTTCTAAAAACGAAACAGCCAAATCTATAGGCACACACACATGTATTTGTCAGAGCAAGTCATTTCAGACACTTACTGGACCAGAACAACACCCACTTTCCACTAACCTGCGATTTGTGGGGCCCATACTTCTTCTTCTTCATAAGGATATCCACCTGGGCTATAAGGACCCCACATATTCTGAGTTACCTTTTCATTCTTCTGGATGGCACAAGCCTGTTGTACTCAGGTGAGAAGGACAGAAGAATTCCACCCTATCACATGGGCAGACATGGTGTTCAGTTTCCCTCTATCAGTTAGATTTATAGGGTTCGGGAACTAGATCAAATTACAGTGGAGGAGTGTTCAGACATTGTAATGCAAGTAAAGGTATGGATGACAGCGGGCTACTGCTTTGCCTTCTGAAAACACCAAATTTGGTGAAAAGTTCGATCCAATCCTATTTTTTTTTTAATCAGAAACTGACTGGGGATTCTTAGAAAAGCAGAAGTGTAAAGTAATGAAAAGTAAAGCCAAAATAATAAAGTATAAAATAATGAAAGCTGAATGCATCAGAGCCTATTAGCTTGCTTCTGCTGTTTGTAGTACTGTGGTTTATTCTGCATCAACATAACAATAGCTGAATTAGATATGACTAACAGTGTTTGTTGATTCTGTTTAATTGGGTCAGATTAATTTGTCAACTGCACAATCATGTGGGAAAACCATTACTCATATAAACTAGATGTTGATGTTTTAAAATGTGAAATTATTTTTTCCCCAAATTTGTGTTGACTTCCATATCGTTATGTCAACCTCTCTTTCCCCTCGGGCTTCCAACAGATGCCTATAACCAAAAGAAGATCACTAAAGCAATTTCTAATGAGCTAAGGAACAGCCGAAGGGAGAGCCTGGCATCTGAGTTAGAGAAGTTAGACAAACAGTGGTGGTAAAGAGTGAGGAGTCAGACTTCCTGGGCTCAACTCCCTGCTCTGGCATTTACCATCAATGAGGTCTTGGGCAAGTTTCTTAATCCCACCACACCTGTTTGTCCATCTCTAAAACAGAGCGAACAATAATACCCACTTTATTCGGTTTTGATGATTAAATTAGGTGATCAATTTAAAGTGTTTACCATAATACCTGGCCTATAGTAAGTGATCAGTTAATGCCAGCTATTAAAAATAATAATAATAGATACCAAGCTAAAGGCAGCTTTCCTGACAGTTGCTTTCTCAGAAACGTTCAGATTAACATATACACCAATATATATGTATACATGCACTAGCCAGAGATTCTCAATCCCAATACTACTGAGATTTTGGACTCTATATGTCCAAAAAAGATAGGTGGAGTTAGTGATGATACTAAAAGCGTATAGTGCCATGTGAGAAATTTCTTCTAGGGCATAGCGTTAGGAAAAACTGTATACTCTCCTTGCATTGTAGGGTGTTTGGCAGCATCCGTGACTTCTAACCACTATGTAGCACTTTCACAGTTGTGAATCCAAAAATGTCTCCAGATATTGCTGAATATCTCCTGGAGCAGCAACATCCCCAGTTTGAGAACGACTGCGGAGACCAATTAATAGCTCCTATTAAGGACACGTCATCTTTGTCATATCACTCTTGCCTAAAGGTCCAGTCAACTATGTTCACTAAATGGTAAATAAATCACACCCCAAAAAAGCTACTTTAAAATTACTTCTTCCTTTGATATTAAGTTAACTCTTGTGAAGAGAATGTTTGTCGTGTTTACCTCTGCATTCTCACTGCCAGGCACACAATGGACAATGAATGAATGAGGAATGATTGAATGACTGAACACACCTTTAAGTTTTTTTTGTTTTGTTTTGTTAAACAACTCTGGGCTGGCACAGGGGCTTAGGCCTGTAATCCCAGCACTTTCGGAGGCCAAGGTAGAAGAATCGCTTGAGCTCAGGAGTTCAAGACCAGCCTAGGCAACATCGGGAGCCCCTGTCTCTATAAAATAAATAAATAAATAAATAAGTCGGGTGTGATGGCATAAGCTGGCTGCTGAGGCGGGAGGATTGCTTAAGCCTAGGAGGTCAAGGTTGCAGTGAGCTTCAGTCATACCACTGCACTCTAGCCTGGACAACAGAGTGAGACCCTATCTCAAAATAAATAAATAAACAACTCTGAGCAGCGTTTCAGTTTCCTCCCTCTTAGACTCCAGGCAATACACAAAGGAGATAAAGACTGCTCACACTCCCATACACTCACATACTGTGAGGAACCATGGCCAACTAGGCCAAGCTGAGTCAAGCTCTCAGGAGCAAGGGAAGGCAGGAGCACCCATTCCACAAAGCTTCAGGGTGTGGAGCCAAAGGCTGACCATGGATTATCTCCAGGATACAGTGCCAAGGACCTAGCTGGAGAAGTAGGTCCAAATAGGTCAGTAAGAAAGAATGCCTGCAGTTAATCCTGATATGAGAGGGGCAGATCCAGGGGAGTCATAGAGCAGGCAAAGAACAGAGGATTAGAATAGAAAGTGGCCCATAAAAAACCCACAGACAGGCATTTGACTGGATTTTAGCATGTTTCAGATCCTCTGTGATGTGTTCATTTACAGGGCCCAAGATGGAATGAGACCCAGAGTCTGTCATTTATTGTTTGAATTAACCCTGCTAACTTCATGTTTATTACTGTTTTAACCAATATACTCTCTCTTCATCCAAGTTCATGATAAACATTCTGAACAAAACTTTTCCTTCGAAACTACTATTATTTCCCCAGTGGCCCATTAAATGAAGATATTTAGTTATGTAGAGAGCAGAGCAACTTAATAATGAAATAATACATGAATCACAAAGTTCAGCAAACAGAATTACCAAGTGAACATCACTTCAAATATTTTCATATGAACCAAAAAATGATGCAATTTTACTAGGTGATTGCATGATATTTCCAAAGCACACAAATGAGGATTCTTAAATCCCTAGTTATTTGCTACTGAGATACAAATTGCTAAACAAATATACAACTCTCTTTAGTCTTGTCATTTACACTCACTGTTTCCTACATACTCAGTGCACAAGTTAACCATTAGCTCAATTTTGATTCAACTACAACTTTCTTTTTGGCTTTGTGCCCTTTATTATGCAAAGATAGGTGGAATTAGTGATGATAATATAAGCTTATAGCGCCATGTGAGAAATTTCTTCTAGGGCATAGTGTTAGGAAAAGCTACATACTCCACTAAGGAAATAGAAGGCTTGGGGAGGGGAGGGTTTGGGAGGTATTGGAAGGGAAGTCAAGGGGAGAATAGCCAGTAACATATCATGTCTCTCTTTTTACTTTCACTAGAAATCCTAGGCCAAACTTGAAACTCAATTCTAGTAGTTCATTTGCATACTACTTTTATGCCTGGTCATGATTTCTACTCTAGTTTTTATTTCTCTGGGCCTGATTTTTAACTCTTTATTTGTAGTTTACCATTTTATGGTCTGTGTTTATTTTAAGTCACCATAAATACATTACAAAATGAGGAATGGTATGAATGAAAATTAAATAAAACTAACTCAATTGCATATTATATAAATAACATTGTAAAACAAGAGGCAGGATCAGCATTAGTGATTAGTCAAACAGCATAATGTAAAAGACATAAGCATTAGAAAGCTCATAATTAGAGTCTTTTTTTTTTTTTTTTTTAGTTTTGAGGGCTTTCTGATTTTTAGGATTCCTGATAAAAACACAGAATCCCTTTTCAGGAGGCTAAGGTGGGAGGATCACTTGAGGGGCCAGGAGCTCAAGGCCAGGAGTTGTAGCCTGGGCAACATAGCTAGATTCCTGTCTCTTTTTTTATTTTTTATTTTTTATTTTATTTTATTTTTTGAGATGGAGTCTCGCTCTGTCACCCAGGCTGGAGTGCAGTGGCATGATCTCCACTTACTGTAAGCTCTGCCTCCTGGGTTCATGCCATTCTCCTGCCCCAGCCTCCCGAGTAGCCGGGACACAGGTGCCTGCCACCACACCTGGCTAATTTTTTTGTATTTTTAGTAGAGACGGGGTTTCACCGTGTTATCCAGGATGGTCTCGATCTCCTGACCTCGTGATCCGCCCGCCTCGGCCTCCCAGAGTGCTGGGATTACAGGAGTGAGCCACCGCGCCCGGCCAACTCCTGCCTCTTAAACATATACTCACACTCTCTCACAGAGACACACACACACACACACACACATACACAGAATCCCTTTGGAGGGTTAATAATTTAAGGCTTTATCACTTTGCAGCTAGCCGAGGACTAGCTTACATGTGTAGGATTATGCACATGAGAGGATGCTGGTAAGAAAATATACAGATAGGGCATGAAGGAGTGTCAAAGATCAACCACACTTTACAATTTTAAAACGGGGCTGCTGCAGCCACTAGGATCAGCCAGGGAGTAGTCTATGGTTTCTTTGTGCTGTTATATCAATCAGTCATTGCCCACTTACAGCCCTACTGAAGGGGAAGCCTAGCAGCCATGTTTTACCTCAGCAGGAGTCAGTCCTTGACCAGAGGGCAGTCGACTCTCGCTTCCATCCTAGCCTAGGATAAACACAAAAGATTTGTGTGTTAGTTCATTCTTGCATTGAAACTAGGTCATTTATAAAGAAAACAAATTTAGTTGGCTCATAGTTATGCAGGTTGTGCAAGAAGCACCGCACCCACATCTGTCTCTGGTGAGGGCCTCAGGAAGCTTCCAGTCATGGCAGAAGGCAAAGGGACAGCAGGCAAGTCAAATGGGGAGAATGGGAGCAAGAGTCGGGGGAGACGCCAGATCTTATGTGAACCGAGCGATAACTCTCTCATTATTGTGGGGACAGCACCAAGTCATTCATAAGGGATCCACCCCCATGACTTAAACACCTCCCATCAGCCCCCTCCTCCAATGTTGTGGATTACATTTCAACATGAAATTTAAAGGGGACAAACGTCCGAACTATGTCATTCCACCCATGGCCTCTCAAATCCCTTGTTCTTCTCACATTGCAAAATACAATCAACCCTTCCTCACAGTCTCCCAGTCTCAACATATTCCAGCATCAACTAAATCAAAAGTCCAAAGTTCAAAGTCTCATCTGATACTCAAGTCAAATTCCTTCCACCTATAAGCCTGTGGAATGCAAAGCAATTTCTTTACTTCAAAGACACAAGGGGAGTACAAGCATTGGGTAGACATTCTCAATCCAAAGGGGAGAAACCAGCTAAAAGAAAGGGGCTACAGGCCCCACACATCTGAAACCCAGCAGGACAGACATTAAACCTTAAAACTCCAACATAATCTCCTTTGACTCCATGTCCCACATCCAGGGCACACTGGTGCCAAGGGACAGGCTCCCAATGCTTTGGGAAGCTCCACCCCTGTGGCTTTGCAGGGTACAGTCCCCATGGCTGATCTCACAGGTTGAAGTTGAGTGCCTGTGGTTTTCCCAGGTTCAGGATGCAAGTCAGTGGCTATATCATTCTGGGGTCTAGAGGGCAGTAGCCCTCTTCCCACAGCTCCACTAGTCAGTGCTCCAGTGAACACTCTATGTGGGGACTCTAATTAATTTCCTCTTAGCACTGCCCTAGTAGAGTATCTGTGGGGGCTCACCCCCATGGTAGCCTTCCACCTGGGCACCTGGGGTTTTTCTATACACCCTTTGAGATCCAGGTGGAAGCTGCCAAATGTCCTTCACTCTTGCATTCTGTGCACCTGCAGGCTTAAAACCATGTGGAAGCTACCAAGGCTTACAGCTTATGCCCCCTAGAGCAGTGGCCTGAGCTGTACCTGGGGCCCTTTGAGCTGCAGCTGGAGCTGAAGCAGCTGGGATGTAGGAGCAGTACTCTGACACTGAACAGGGCAGTGAGGCCCTGGGCTTGGTCCCTGAGACCAATCCTTCCTTCGTAGGCCTCTGGGCCTGTGATGGGAGGAGCTGCCTAGAAGATCTCTGAAATGCCTTTAAGGCCTTTTCCCATTGTCTTGGATATCAGCACTTGGCACCCTTTTAGACACACAAATCTCTCTAGCAAGTGGTCGTTCCACAGCCTGCTTGGATTCTTTCTCTAGCACAGGGCCAGGTTGCAAATTTTCTAAACTTTTACACTCTGCTTTCCTTTTAAATATAAGTTCCAACTTTAAGTTATTTCTTTGCTTCCACATCTGATTACAGGCAGTTAGAATCAGCCAGGCCACATCTTGAACACTTTGCTGCTTAAAAATTTCTTCTTCCAGATACCCCAAGTCATCACTCCTAAGTTCAAACTTCCTTAGGACATGAACACAGTACAGCCAAGTTCTTTGCTAGAGTGTAACACAGGTGACCTTTACTCCAATTCCCAATAACTTCTTCATTTCCATCTGAGACCTTATCAGCTTGCTTCACTGTCCATATTTCTATCAGCATTTTGGTCACAACCATTTAACCAGTCTCTAAGAAGTTCCAAACTTTCCCTGATCTTCCTATCTTCCGAGACTTCCAAACTCTTCCAACCTCTACCCATTATCCAGTTTCAAAGCTGCTTCTACATTTTCAGGTATTTTTATAGCAATGGCCCACTTCTTGGTACCAATTTTCTGTGTTAGTCTATTATTGCATTGCTAAAAAGGAATACCTGAGACTGGGTAATCTATAAAGAAAATAAATTTAATTAACTCATGGTTCTGCAGGTTGTACATGAAACATAGTGCTGGCATCTGCTTCTGGTGAGGCCTCAAGAAGCTTCCACTCATGGCTGAAGGCAAAGGGGGAGCAGGCGAATCACATGGCAAGAGTAAGAGCAAGAGAGGGAGGAAGCGCCACACTCTCTTAAACAACCAGATTTCTCTTGAACTCAGTGTGAGAACTCACTCATTACCATGAGGACAGCACCACGCCATGCATGAGGAATCCACCCCCATCACCCAAACATCTCCAGGCCTCACCTCCAAAACTGGGAATTACTTTTTTTGTTGTTGTTGTTGTTGTTGAGACAGAGTATCGCTCTGTCACCCAGGCCGGAGTGCAGTGGCATGATCTCAGCTCACAGCAACCTCCGCCTCCCAGGTTCAAGCCATTCTCCTGCCTCAGCCTCCTGAGTAGCTAGGATTACAGGCACATGCCACCATGCCAAGCTAATTTTTGTATTTTTAGTAGAGACAGGATTTCACCATGTTGGCCAGGCTAGTCTTGAACTCCTGACCTTGTGATCCACCCACCTCAGTCTCCCAAAGTGCTGGGATTACAGGCGTGAGCCACCACACCTGGCTGGGAATTACATTTCAACATGATATTTGGAGAGGGCAAACACCCAAATGATATCAATATGCTATTTAGCCTAATTCAGCATCAGATCCCAAAAACATGAGTGGACTCATTGCTGTAATAATATTGCTACTACAAAACTTTTCTATTATATCAGAACAGGCATATATGAGTTACATACAAATCTCATCTTTTTATTTTCTTTTTTTTTTTTTCATTTCTTGGATAGATAATGCATGAACATAGTTCAGAATTCAAAAGGGACAGTGAAAAGTATGCTTCCCTCTCTCATCTACCTAGACCCTGTTTCGATTATCCACTGAAGGCAACACTGTTTCTAGTGTTAGCTTTCCAGAATTTTTCTATGAATTATAAAGATGTATAGTCTTATAAGCCTGAAAATTGAATAATCTTTTTTTTCCTTTTTCTTTAACCTACTGCATCCAGTTAATTCAAAAGTCCTAAATTCTATTTCAAAAGATTTGTGCATTTTATCAATACTGTGTCAGCATCTTTACATGTCTCCCTGACTCTGTTAAAGAGGAGAAACACTTTCCATGTAGCTACCAGAGCAATCTTTTCCATGTTGTGAAATACATCATAAAATATTAATATTATATAAAGATATATACAATATATGAGATATATATATATATGCATACAGCATACATGCTCTCTTAATCTGTTCTGGTTGCTATAACAAAATAGCTTCAACTGGTATATTTATAAACAACATGAATTTGTAATTCATAAACAGCATAAATTTACTGCTCACAGTTCTGGAGGCTGGGAAGTTCAAGACCAAGGTGCCAGCAAATTCAGTACCTGATGAAGTTTCCTTTCCACCATAGAAGATGGTGTCTTCTCTGTGTCCTCAAATGATGGAAGGAGCAAAACAAGCTCTCTTTTCTCAAGTCTCTTTTATATGGGCACTAGTCCCATTCATAAGAGCAGATCCCCTCATGACCTAATCACTTTCTAAATGTCTCAACTCTTAATACTATCACATTGGGTATTAGGTTCCAACACAGGAATTTGGGGGAATACCACCATTCAGACCATAGCACATACAAAATGGCATATATGATTTACATACATATTTTATATAAGACAACATTTCATATACCTATCACCCAGCTTACATCATAAAATATTACTAGCACTTGGGAAATCTACTTTATGCCCTTTTTTGGCTCACGTGTTTTGATGCTCTGTTTTCAGGCACATACACATTAAGGATTATTTCTTCTTAAAGAATTGACCCCTTTATAATTATGTAATGCCACACTTTATCCCCAATAACTTTCCTTGCTTTGAATTCTCCTCTATCTGAAATTGATATAGTGATTCCTGCTTTCTTCTGATTGGTGTTAGCGTGGTATATCTTTCTTATCATTTACTTTTAATACATGTGTCTTTATATTTAAAGTAGGTTTCTTGTGGACAACATATAATTGGAAATTTTTTTTATCCTTTCTGACAATCTTTGTCTTTTAATTGGTGCATTTATACCATTGACATTCAAAAAGATTCTTGATATTGTTAGATTAATAACTACCTCTTTTGTTACCATTTTCTATTTTTTGCCCTTATTCCTTATTCCTATTTTGTCTTTTACTCTTTTCTGCCTTTTGTGGTTTTAATTGCACATATTATATGAACTTTATTTTGCCACATTTCTTCTTTGTGCCCTTTTTTGACAGCTTGCCTTTCCCCCCTTCTACCCTAGAGTGATTGCTTTTCTAGATATTGAATTCTCTCATTGTCTTAGAATCAATTTATTGCACCCCAATAAAATAAATGTATAGTTTTGCATGCTTTTGAAATTTTCATGAAGGGAATTAAACTGATTGTGTGTTTTTGTGACTTACCTTCTCAGTTCAAAGTTGCTTTGATATTTGCCCATGTAGCAGTAAGGCATTGATTATTCCTTTTCACTGCTGTATAATATTCCATTATGTGACAACACCTACTTTTCTTTAGCCATTCTTCTATCAATACACATTTCAATTGCTTGCAATTTTTAGACTATTTCTAATAATATTCCTATAAATATTATTGTAAATATATCCTGATGCATACATATGAGAGTTCACAGTTTATATATCAAGGAAAGGAATTTTAGGTTATGGACATGTACATCTTCAAATTTCCTGAGTAATATCAACCTTTGTTCCAAAGTGATAGACTAACTTACACTTCCACCAACAGCACATAAGGGTTCCCATTGTTCCACATTCTTGCAAACACTACAGATTTTAAAACACTACAGATTTCAAACTTGGCCAGGCACAATGGCTCAGGCCTATAATCCCAGCACATTGGGAGGCCAAGGTGGGAGGATCACTTGAGCCCAGGAGTTTAAGACCAGACTGAGTACCTTGTCTTTTACAAAAAATTTAGCCAGGTGTGGTGGTGTGCATCTGTAATCCCAGCTACTTGGGAGGCTGAGGCAGTGATAGTAGCAGGAGGCAGACAGATTCCTAGGCAGACAGGGGTTGGTCCCCAATGAAACCCAACCTTCAAGCCAAAGACAGCCAGAGCCTGAAAACTGGGCTGCTAGTTCTGCGTAGAGTCCATAACCCGGAGTGAGAACTTCCTCGATGCCTTTTAGCCAATCAAATGGTGTTTCTTCCAGGCTCACTCATGGACAAATCAGCATGCACTCCCCAACTCTGAGCCCATAAAAACCCCAGACTCAGCCACACATTGGGACTACCCTGCCTTCAGATAGGGGCTACCCACTCTGGGTCCCCTATCCTGTTGAGAATTGGTCTGTTGCTCAATAAAACTCTTCTCCACCTTGCTTACTCTCTGTTTGTCCATGTAACCTCATTCTTCTTGGACGCAGGACAAGAACCTGGGACCCATCAAAAGCCAGGTGCAAAAGGAGCTCTAACACTGTAGCCCTCCTGTGCTCTGCTGGCACTGACCAGCCACCCCACATGATAAGAAGTAGTGGCAGGACCAGGCCAACCCAGGAGCCTCAGGACAAAGCAGGGTGGCAGGGCTGAATGAGTTGTAACATGAATGAGCTGAAGCATGTTCCTGAATGGCGGGCAGTGACATGCTCCCATTCACCAGACTACAAGGGAAGAGCTGCAATCCTTCTCAGGGCCCAGACCTTGGGACTCCCCAAGCCAGAGCTATGACACACTGTAACACCCCCTTGCAGTCACAAGTGAAACTCAGGCAGAGGAGCTGCCAGCCATAGAGTTTTCCAAGTGGCAAAGTGGCACTGAAAGAATCTTATGTCAGCAGGAGGACTACTTGAGCCCAGGAGTTCAGAACCATAATGGTCAACATAGAGAGACTCCATCTCTACAAAAAAATTAAAAATCAGCAGGACATGATGATGTACACCTGTAATCCCAAGCTACCTGGGAAGTTGAGGTGAGAGGATCACTTGAGCCCAGTAGTTTGAGGCTGCAGTGAGCCATGATCACATCACTGCACTCCAGCCTGAGCCACAGAGTGAAACCTCATCTCCTAAAAGAAAAAACTTTTGCCAGCTTCTAATAAGTGCAATATGGTATCTCATTGGGATTTTCATTTTCATTTCCATGATGATAATGTGATCAAGCATCTTTTCATGTCTCTTTTAAGTAGTGTTCTGGCTGCCTCCCACAAGTGTTTACTTATGCAGTCTTTATTATCATTCAGTTATAAGTATTTTCTAATTTCTATTGTGATTTTCTCTTTAATCCATGGATTAATTTCTGAATGTATAGCATTTTAAAGGTATATTTTTGTTACTGATTTCTAACTTAAATGCATTGATGTCACTGAACGTGTTCTATTTGGTATTCATTCTTTGAAAACTTTTAAGAATTTGTTATACGAATAAGCATATGGTCAATTTTCATGTATGTCCATGTTTACTTAAAAAGAATGTGTATTCCCTAATAATTGCATGAAATCAGTTGAATAAACATATTTTGAGTTTCTACCAACTTCTAGGTCTCTTCTAGAGTTGATCACATGGCTTTTAAGAGCTCTTTGAACCTCAGAAACACAAAGATGCAGGTTGCACCTAACCTCATCATTTTGGCTGACATCTACCTTAAAGTAAAACCCTTGGGGAAGAACATTATAATTAACTTCTGAAAAAGAAGAGAAATTAGGATTAAGTAGAATTCAACTTCCAATAAAGGGGAAGTGAGAAGAGGAAGAAAATTAAACTTCTCTTAGCTCATAAGAGAAGGGGGCAAAAATCAAACTTCACAATGGAAGTCTCAAACTTGATATTATCCATATCGTAGCCAAATTCCTTCAAACTATATCTGAAAATCCTCTTTTTCAACAGAAAATTGTTTGAAACATAATGGTAGAAGGATTAAGCAAAGGAAGAAACAAAACCACCATTCCCTCACATCTGCATGGTATGATATGATATGATATGATATGATATGATATGATTGCCTAAATAGAAGATACAGAAGAATCTACAAATTATTAGAATTAGTAACAGTATGGCAAATGTGCTGATTATAAGATTAATATACAAAATTGTACACAACATCAACAAAAAGTTAGAAAATTGACATTTTAAAAAGACATATCCAGCCACTACACATCTTTTAGAGTGGCCAAAATCCCAAACACCTACAACATCAAATAATGACAAGATTGTGCAGCAACGGGAACTCCAGACATTACTGGTGGGAATGCAAATGGCACAGCCACTTTGGAAAACAATTTGGCAGTTTCTTACAAAACTAAACATACTCTTACCATATGATTCAGTAATCACATTCTTGATATCTACCCAAAGGGGTTGAAAACTTCTGTTCACACAAAACCCTGTACATGGGTATTTATAGCAGCTCTATTAATAATTGCCAAAGCTTGGAAACAAGCAAAAACAAGCAAAACGTCCTTCAGTAGGTAAATGGAGAAATAAACTTTGGTACATCCAGAAACTTAACTGAATTTCACTACGTGAAAGAAGCCAGTCAGAAAAAGCTGTACTGTATTGGAATTATACAGTATAGCTTTTGAAAAAGACATTCTGAAAAAGGCAAAACTATGGAGACAAGAAAATGATCGGTGGTGACTAGAGACTGGGGTTGCGTGAAGGAGGGAGAGATGAATAGGTGGAGCACGGAGGAATTTTAGGGCAGTGAAACTATTCTGTATGATACCATTGTGGAGTCCCGATGAGTAAGCAACAAAAGGCAAGAACCCCAGGTGAGGAAGAACAATGAACAATTGTTCTGAGAGATGGCTAATCACAAACAACATGAGGACACAACAATATTCCTGGGCACAGTGACCTCAACCACTGGCACAATGATTGGTTCTTCATGTAGCCCCCTTCAGCACTATAAAACTTCCCAATAAAACTTCCCTCCAGCACCTGCCTCTTTGCAGACAGCCCGTTCTCTGCTGTGCTGCCCTTTGCATCCTTGCGACATATTTTCGTACCCTCTCTAACAAATATGTCTTTCTTTACCTATAACTGTAATGGTAAATACTTTTACCACCTGTGACACTGGCCCTAGCTAGTTGCTACCTGCAACAACCATCATAGTGGACATATGTCATTATACATTTGTCAAAACCCATGAAAGGTACAATACCAAGAATGAATCTTAACATAAACAATGGACTTAGGATGCTAATAATGTATAACTGTAGGTTCATTGATTGTAACAAATGTGTCACTCTGCTGCAGGATGCTGCTATGGGGAGTGTACTAGTCAGAGTTCTCAAGAGGAATAGAATCAATGGGATATACATATGTATACCTACATATATATATATGTAGCCCATTGATTCTATGTATATCCCATTAATTCTATTCCTCTAGAAAAACCCTTGTATATATATGAGAAGATTTATTATGGGACTCAATCATTCAATTACTTGAGGACAAGAAGTCTCATGGTATGCTGTCTGCAAACTGGAGAATCAGAAAAGCTGAAAAGTTGGTGGCATATTTCAATCTGAGTCTGAAGGCCCAAAAACCAAGAGCTCCAATGTCCAAGAACAAGAGAAGATGGATGTCCCAGCTCAAGAGGAGAGAGAAAGAATTTGCCATTCCTTTGCCCTTTTGTTCTATTTGGGCCCTCAATGAGTTGGCTCATGCCCACCCACATTAGTCAATCTGATATTCTTTGCTCAGTCTACTGATTCAAATGTTAAGCTCTTCCAGAAACTCCCTCACTGATACACCCGGAAATTATATTTTACCAGCTAACTGAGCATCCCTTAGCCTAGTCAAGTTGACATATAAAATTAGCCATCACACAGAAATGACTATGTATATGTGGGAGTGAGGAATATACAGAAAATCTCTGCACCTTCCATGAAATTTTGCTGGGAACCTAAGATTAAAACTGAAATAAAATCTATTTTTTTTTAAAGATTTTTTTTTGCTTGAAATCCCAGCACTGCGGGAGGTCAAGGTAGGAGGATCACTTGAGCCTAGGAGTCTGAGATCAGCCCTGGCAACATAGCAAGACCCTGTCTCTATAAAACATTTTAAAATTAGCCAGGCATGGTGGCATGTGCCTGTGGTCCCAGTTACTTAGGAGGCTGAAGTGGGAGGATCACTTGAGCCCAGGAGGTTGAGGCTGCAGTGAGCCATGGTCACATTGCAATCCAGCCTGGGTGACAGAGTGAGACCCTGTCTCAAAAATAAATAAAAAGACATTTTTCATAGTAACAAAAATATAAAGTAACTAGGAATAGCAAAAGAAGTAGTCCTTTATGGAAAAAATAATAATACTTTATTAGAAGACTTTAAAGAAGACATAAGTAAACAGAGAGACATACCATGTTTATGAATAGGAAGATTCCAAATGGAGCTATAGATTTAACACAATCCCGTTCAAAATCCCAACAAGTTTTTCATAGAACCTCTATCAGTCAAAGCACAGTTACAGAAGCAGAACCAATTATGCTACTTCACATATAGCATAAGAAACTTACTATAGTATACTATCATTTCTCTCTTCCCAGCCTTTGTGCTACTGTTGTCATGCATTTCACATCTATATAAAATCTACACTACATTTTATTTTTGTTTCAACAGTCCATTCTGTTTTATTTAGTTGTTTTTAATTTGTTTGTTTGTTTCTGAGACAGAGTCTCGCTCTGTCACCCAGGCTGGAATGCGGTGGTGTGATCTTGGTTCACTGCAACCTCCGCCTCCTAAGTTCAAGCAATTCTCATGCCTCAGCCTCCTGAGTAACTGGGATTACAGATGTGTGCCAACACATCCAGCTAATTTTTTTATTTGCCATGTTGGCCAGGCTGGTCTTGAATTCCTGACCACAGGTGATCCGCCTGCCTCAGCCTCCCAAAGAGTTGGGAATACAGGCGTAAGCCACCGTGCCCAACCTCAAAACTTCATTCTCTTTCAAAAGGCTCTAAGTAATAAGAAAAAAAGTATGTATTTACCCACGGAGTTAGCATTTCTGTTGTTCCTTCCCTTGTGTAGTTCCAGGTTTCCTTGTTACCATTTTCCTTCCACATGAGGGACTTCCTTTAACATTTCTTGTGGTGCAGGTCTATTGGCGGTTAATTCTTTCAGCTTTTGTAGGTCTAAAAAAGTGTTTTCCCTCCATTTTTAGAAAATATTCCTATTTATAATTTTTTTATTTCAGTACTTCAAAGATGTTTTCTCCAGTCTTCTTGCTTGCATTTTTCTGAGAGAAATATGCTGTCCTCCTTATCTTTGTTCTTCTGTATGTACTTTTTTCTGGCTGCTTTTAAGATTTTCTTTTTGTCACTGGTTTTGGGCAATTTATAGTTGCCCAAACTGGTGTAGTTTTCTTTCTGCTTCCTGCACATGGGATTTGTTGAAATTTCACAGAATTTTGGGTTTGTGTTTTGTATCAAATTTAGAAATACGTTATCATTATTTCTTCAAATACTTTTCTATCCCCCCTCCTTTAGGGTCCCCAATCACATATACAAGCTCTCCTCAACTCAAGATGGGATTATGTCCCAATAAACCCATCATAAGTTGAAAATATCATGTCAAAAATGTATTTAATACACCTAATCTACCAAACATCATGGCTTGGCCTAGCCTGTCTTAGACAGGCTCAGAACAGTTACATTAGCCTACAGTTCAGCAAAATCATCTAACATTTTATTATTTTTCTATAATAAAGTGTTGAATATCTCATGCAATTTGTTAGGTACTCTACTGAAAGTAAAAAACAGAATGGTTGTGTGGGTACTCAAAGTACAGTTTCTACTGAATAAGCATCACTTTCCCACCATCGTTAAGTTGAAAAATCGTAAGTCAGGAACTGTCTATATAGTAAACCAGTTAAAGTTGCCCCACAGTTTATGATACTCTGTGTACTTTTTAAAATTTATTTTTTTCTGTGTTTTTCATTTTGGATTAATTCTATTGCTATGTCTACAAGTTTACTAATGTTCTCTTCCATAATGTCTAATTTGTCTTTAATCCCATCAGTGTATTTTTCATCTCAAGTATTATAGTTTTCATCTCTAAAGTCTATTTGGATCCTTTTCATATCTTCTATGTCTCTAATTAACATGTTCAATCTTTCCATTAGCTTTTTGAACATATGGACTATAGCCATAATAACTATTTTAATGCCATTTGATAATTTTTGCATCTTTGTCAATTCTGGATGAGTTTCTATTATTTTTCTTATAATTATGGGTCTTATTTTCCCACATCATTTGATTGCCTGGTAATTTTTGATTGGATGCCAGACATTGTGTTTTTTACCTTGTTGGGGGATGGATTTTTTTTTGTTCTTATAAATATCATTGAAGTTGATTCTGGGCCACAGTTAAGTTACTAGGAAATAGTTTGGCCTTTTTAAATCTGTCTGTTGAATTTGTTAGCTAAGCCAGATCAGCATTTATTATAGAGCTAATTATTCCCCATTTCTGGGGCATGGCTATACTAAGTACTCTACACAATTCCCCATGAATTATGGGGTTTTCTTATTTGGCTGGGGGATGAGAGTGGTCAGTGGACAGGCACATTTCTAGCCCTGTGCAAGCACCATTATTCCCTCTAATCCTCTTGGGTGCTCCAGCACTAGGGAGGTTTAAAAAAGAAATCCTCTTGAGTGATTCTTTCAGAACCTCAGGTAGTTTCCTCATGTGCATGCAGTCTTCGCTAATCTGCTAAATATTTGAGGGGAACCCTCTGCAGGTCTCTGGACTTCTCTGTGTAACTCTCCTCTCTTCAGAATTCTAGCCACCCAGGTCTCCTCAAGCTTCCAGTCAACATCCTTAACTCAAGGAATTTACCAGGCTCTACTTGAGTGTCCCCTCCCTGTGCCATGGGAGGGGACACTCAAGTTTATCCTCACAGTCAGAGGGGGATATGTGTTTGCTTCCCATATCTCAGGGAACACTACCCCTCATTGCCTGATGTCTAATATCTTGAAAAGTGTTGTTCCATATATTTTGTTCACTTTTTAAGTCGTCCCAAATAGGAGGGTACCTCTAAATCCTGTTAATCCATCTTGGCCGGAAGCAGAAGCTTGACAAATTGTTTTCATTATAATGTTATAGAAATATCTACAAATAGAAAACAGTTAAATTCCTGATGTATGTAACTCATACAACAAAAAAGCATTTTTAAAATAAATTAATTATAATAAATCCATAAAATAAAATTCAAATTAATTAATTTAACATCACTGATTCTGTGATTTGGTTTAAACTAAACGATACTGATTGGTCTGGTACATTCATTTTAGTTTGGCAGATTTTTACTATTTGTGCTGTGTTGACTCACTTCCCCCATTAGTTCTCTATATTTGAATCACTGAGAAACATTCATCTGTACAATACACTATGATGTAATTCAGCCTCCAGTTAGTTCAAATTCATCACTTACATATCAAGTCTACCCCCTGTTTTCGTTGATGTTTCTACAATTAATGTGCAACTTGGAATATTGAAATTTTGTGGCAGTACTTGGCTATAAAATAGGCACTCAGATGATCCTAAATATATTTATATTAATTTTATTAATTTTCAAAATAATCATTGAGTTAGAAAAAATGAAATTTAAAAAATTCTTTTACAGCCTGGCAACACAGTGAGACTCTATCTCTACAAAAAAGGATTTTTTAAAATTAGCTGGCATGGTGGTTGTGGTGGTTAGTATTGAGTGTCAACCCGATTGGATTGAAGGATGCAAAGTATTGTTCCTGGGTGTGTCTGTGAGGGTGTTGCCAAAGGAGAGTAACATTTGAGTCAGTGGGCTGGGAGAGATAGACCCACCCTCAATCTGGGTGGACAACCATCTAATCAGCTGCCAGTGCATCTAGAATAAAGCAGGCAGAGGAAGTTGGAAGGAGCCGACTTGCTGAGTCTTCTGGTCTTCATCTTTCTCCTGCGCTGGACACTTCCTGTCCTCAAACATCAGACTCCAAGTTCCCGGCTTTTGTACTCTTGGGCTTACACTAGTGGTTTGCCAGGGGCTCTCAGGCCTTCACCCACAGACTGAAGGTGGCCCTGTTGGCTTCCCTACCTGTGAGGTTTTGGGACTCAGACTGATCCACCACTGGCTTCCTTGCTCCTCAACTTGCAGATGGCCTATCACAGGACTTTACCTTATGACCACGTGAGTCAATTCTCCTTAATAAACTCCCTTTCATATATACATATATCCTATTAGGTCTGTCCCTCTAGAGAACCCTGACTAATACGGTGGTGTACACCTGTAGTATTAGCTACTCAGGAGGCTGAGGTAGAAGGATTGTTTGAGCCCAAGAGGTCAAGGCTGCAATGAGCCATGTTCATGTCACTGCACTCCAGCCTGGGTGACAGCAAGACTCTGTCTCAAAAAAAAAAAAATTATTGTAGAGAACATGCAGTTTGAAATATACTGTTCCAATGCAAGACAATAAAATGTTTCTCAAGTTGGATGGTCGTCATGTTGATAAAGCTATAGACGTATTTGAGCCAAGAGAATTGCTGAGGATCTCTACTTTGTCAAAAGGACTGATAATGGGAGAGAAACAAGGAATGAAGTTGTGAAGAGCTACAGAAAAATGCCTGCAAGAGAAAATAGGGGGAAACTTTAAGAGAATAACCAAAATAAGACCGAGTGTGGTGGCTCATGCCTGTAATCCCAGCACTTTGGGAGCCTGAGGCAGGAGGATTGCTTGAGCCCAGCAGTTCAAGACCAGCCTAGGCAATGTAGTGAGACCCTGTCTCTACAAAAAATATTTTGTCTCTGCAAAACAGGCTGAAGGGGAAGTATTGCTTGCGCTTGAGAGGTGGAGGCTACAGTGAACCATGGGTGCACCTCTGCACTCCAACCTGGGTGATGCAGTGAGATCCTGTCTCAAGAAAAAAGAGAGAATAGCCAAAATAACTGCACTGTGTAAAAATGTAAGCATGACAACAGCTCAGTTACAAAGGTTAACTAGGAAGACATTGCCTGACAGAAAAAACAAAAATAAGGAGACAGGGGAAAAGAGACTATCCAGGGTCTTTATGGATAATGCAGAAGTGAAAGAAAAGGCAGTATCTCTAGGAAAGGAAAAGAGAAGGTACATCAGCCAAACTAAAGAGGAAATATCAGTGCAGCTTTTACCAGTAGTCAGAGTATAGATCTGAATCATAACAGGATATAATCATGTTCTCTTACAGAAGGCAAAGTGAGTTTTTAGGCCTTGCATTGGACCAGACTGTGTGGGAAAGTAAGTCATTGGAGTCCCTCACACAAGAAGAATTCAGCAAGACAGAGAAAAGAGAACACTATGTGGTACTGCCTTTCTACGTTAGACCTGGCCTTGGTTTCAAGGTCTTCCGTCTGTGGTGCTCTGTGTCTGCCTCTGGCTTCCTGAGTGCTCTCCTAGTTTATCCTGTAACTGCTCCATGAGCTCTGACCTTCATGAACTTTTTCCTACCATGTGACTTGAGGGCAGATCTTCCATTTTCTTTTGGGTTCATTCTCAGCCTTTTCATTGACTTTTTTTGGATCAGGTTTACTTACTCTGTTTCTTCTCTATTCAGTGATGCTGTCTGTCACTTATCAGGGTAAGAAAAACAGTCCTCCAAGGAACAGAAAGTTCCCCAGTATAGAATCGGGGAAAGGGCTATTTGGAGTAACTATAACCCCAAGGGCAAGGTCCTTATTATAGGACTGCATTAGTCTGTTCTTGCACTGCTATAAAGAAATATCTGATACTGGGTAATTTACAGAGAGGTTTAATTGGCTCACAGTTCCACAGGCTGTACAATAAGCATGATGCTGGCATCTGCTAGGCTTCTGGGGAGGCCTCAGGAAAGTTAGAATCATAGCAGAAGGCAAAGGGGTAGATAGCACTTGACATGGCCAGAGCAGGAGGAATGGGGGGGGAGGTGGTACACACTTTTCAACAACCAGATCTTATGAGAACTCACTATCATGAGGACGGCGCCACGGTGAGGGTGCAAAACCAATCATGAAGGATCCACCCTCATGATCCAATCACCTCCCACCAGGCCCCACCTCCAACATTGGGGATTACGATTCCACATGAGATTTGGGTGGGGACACAAATCCAAACCCTATCAGAGACCTAAGAGCTAAATGGAATGCCAAGAAGAGTCTGTGTAGTACTTTAAACCTACAAGTTCTTTCAGTGAGTGTGCATAACTTGGGGTTTTAATAACTATGTAAAGCCAACTGAATAATCTGAAGTTCACTTGAGTTCAAGTGTTCATACCTCAGAATCCCCACTCTGCGATAAAGGTCAGTTTTCTACATAAACCTAAACAATGCGTTGGAGTGGACAAAGTGAGTGGCAGAAAGAGTGAGAGAAGGTGGGAAAAGGCAGGAATCCAGGCTCCTGGTCTTTGATAGGAAAATCTTTTTATATTCTCTCATGGTGACAGAGAATAGGGAAATCTGAGACACATCAGATGTGAGACGAGATGTCATGCCCTATTTCAGCTCAAAGGCTCCTTAGGAATTTAGCATCATTCACACTCTTCATACGCCCCACTTTGGGCCGCTAACTTCAGGGTCATAGTGTGACAGAACTCCAGTTTCTCATCACTGGACATTCTTTTTCCAAGACAGAAAGTCCACTGAGGACATCACTAACCTGCCTGATAAGGGAGCTCTTAGGGGGCAGGTCCAAAGATTGCCCTTAGTTTGGGAGACCCTACAGCTTCCTGTGTAGACTCATTTTGCCTGAAGTAATCACTGCCTTATCAGACATTATTTAATTTAGGAATATACTAAGTATTAGATTTTTTTCCCTGATAAAGCAGTTATTTTAATGGCTTTTTTCTCAACATTGTGATTGTATGTTTTCTGAAAATATCTGAGTGTTTTTTCTTGAGAAATAGGATTCTCATATTATATATGAAAAATTTCAGAGCAAGAAAGGACTACAGTCCTCTTTAAGAAGAAACTGAAGTCTAAAATAATTAAGTATACTGTAGGCTCAGATTATCTCAGTAAAAAAAAAAAAAGATAAAATAAAATGATTAACTAATTCGACTCAAGTCATACTTCTGTAACACCTAAATATTATTCCCATGAAAAACCCACCTAAAGTCAAAACCTAAAAAGTGGTGAAGCTGGTATTCAAACTCAGATCTATTTGTCTCCACTGGCTTTGGAGGCAGCAGTGATATGGTAGTGAAAGAGTCATCTGATACCAGCACCCATTATGTTGTGTGGCTTTTCTCATGCAGATAGAGAACTGCTCTGAATACCTAGATTGGTAATGTGAGTGCAGTGACGTGCTACAATTTGAATCAATGCTAATCAAAGGCAAAAAGGATTTGGGGTTGTCCTTCTACTTGTGTTTCCGGAATCTGATTCTATTGACAACAGAATAACTAGCACCTGTTTCTTTCCAAGACTTACTTGAATTCTTCAATTTTTCCCAGCCGTGGAGCCACCTGTAAATCTAGAGCAGTGTTCCTTAAAGGGTCTGTGTGGACCACCTAAACCAGAGGCACTCACTTGGAGGTCTTTTGATAAATATACAGATTCCTACCTAGGTCCCACCCACAATTTCCCACTCAGAATTTCTTGGGGGAGAGGAGTAAACAGAGATTTTTATATCTCTCTGAAGATGCTTATTACACTGAAGTTTGAGGATCACTGAGATTATAGAGCAATATCCCTATCCCTGTGGATGAGGCTGCAATAGCCTTTGCCTGAGTGGTTTGAAAATAATAGAATTGAAATCATAATTAAAATCAGCTGGGTGTTGTGAGGCATGCCTGTAATCCCAGCCCTTTGGGAGGCCGAGGCAGCAGGACAGTTTGAGGCCTGGAGTTCAAGACTAACCTGGGCAACATAGCAAGACCCCATCCCTACAAAAAAAATTTTTTTTAAATTAGCGTGGTGGTGGCATGCACCTGTAATACCAGATACTTGGGAGGCTGAGATGCAAGGTTCACTTGAGCCTAGGAGTTTGAGGCTGCAGTGAGCTATGATTATGCAACTACTCCAGCCTGAGCAACACAGCAAGACCCCATCTCTGAAAAAATTAAGTAAATATCAAAGTAGCCTCAAGCAATCTTTTTTCTTTTCTTTTCTTTTTGATATGGAGTGCTCTTTCACCCAGGTTGGAGTGCAACGGTGTAATCTCAGCTCACTACAACCTCCGCCTCCTGGGTTCAAGCAATCCTCCCACCTCAGCCTCCCAAATAGCTGGGATGCCACCATGCCCAGCTAATTTTTGTATTTTTAGTAGAGACAGGGTTGGCCTGGCAATGTTGGCCAGGCTAGTCTTGAACTCCTGACCTCAAATGATCTGCCTGCCTCAGCCTCCCAAAGTGCTGAAATTACAGGTGTGAGCCACCACGCCCAGCCCAAGCAATCTTTTCTTAGGGAAACTGAACTAAGTTTCCCAGGGGTGAAGTTTTAAAACTATCTTGAATTGCCTTTGTATTTTATTTTTCCAGGCACACAATAATTTGGAAAATAAAAAAATAAAAAAGTAAAATACTTATATTACACTAATGCCCATTTGACAACTATTTTTAACATTTTGATATAATATCTTCCTGGCTTTTTTTTTCTTTTAGAGATCTGCTTTGTCCTTACATAAGGACGACTTAAAAATGAGCTCCTTGGTCAGAAGCAATATTGTGTAAAAACACCCATTAGTACCTGGATAGTCACATTGGCAGAAGCATTGCGGTCAGGGAAGACAAATCTATATCCTAATTAAAGCTATTCACAGAGGACAAATGGCTACCTCCTCCACTGTGGTCAACCTGCCAAGAGGTAGTCTTCTCCTCTTTCCCAGGGAAAAATCCTGTGTAAAGGGCTCCATCTCAGTCTCTGCTGTTGACAAGGTAGACACTCAGCAATGGGCATAGCCACACCAAGCTTGGTGAGGGAAGTACATGTTGAGCCTATGCATAATCTTGATCCCTTCCACTGGAGCCACTGAGCAAGCATTAAGGTAACTGCAGAAAGAGACTGACACCTCCACAGGGCAGGTCATTCTGTCCATCTGATTACTGAAATTCTCTTCTATAGTGGATCCCCTTTGCTGAGTATTCATGTGGGACATTTTTTTTTCACTCTATCCTGAAAGTGTCATCCACCTGTCTCTTCCCCTAACCTTTGGTGACC
This sequence comes from Homo sapiens, assembly GCF_000001405.40. Lineage (NCBI taxonomy): Eukaryota > Metazoa > Chordata > Mammalia > Primates > Hominidae > Homo > Homo sapiens. The sequence goes on along the minus strand of NC_000001.11, from coordinate 100,303,194 downwards.
TTTGTCACCAATCTACCAAAACCTTTTTTCTGAGTCCCCAACATTTCAAACTAACAGTCACTGTCCATGAATCAGAATATGTGTACTTCTGACCATCTCTTAATCTACACAGAGTGGACAACTAAATGTATTGCTCAGAGTTCTGCCCACTGGGAGAATTTTTCATCACCACTGTCTTACTAGGCCATCCCTGAATGGGGTTATAATGCTGCAGCCATCTGCATCCAGTTAATGCCAGATATATTGTGCAAAACCATCTGTAAACCAGGCCTTAGCTTTTTCTTCCTCAGTCAGCTGGTGACTGGGAACTCCCCACAATGAGTTAGTAGAGAGATGGCACTGTAGCAGGAATAGGTGCTATAGGAAACCAAGCCACCTCTCATGCAACATACTTACGTCTTCAGGACTTCAGGATCTGCTTGCACCGAATCTCATTCATACCATCTTCACTTGATGTTGGATTGCTGATGCCTTCAACCAATGTTCTATCTTGGTGGTTCAGAAAACGTCCAGTTCATCATGGGTAGTTCAGGACATGTGGTCTCCAGATGTCCCATGATCAGAAGTTTAGTTTCTACCAGGGCCCCGTAGAAAACCAAGATCTGTTTCTGAAAAGAATTATCTATTCCAAAACCCTAGTGGTCTGTGCTTCTTCCAGTATAACTGTTGTAGGCAGGCTCTAAAATGGCCCCCAGTGATCTCCACCTTCTGCTATTCATGCCTTTAAGTAATCCCATCCCCTTAGGTATGAGTTGGACTAGTGGTTTGCTTCTAATTATTAGAATATTTTGGATGTGATGGAATATCACTTCTGAGATTAGGTTTAAAAAGACTTTGGGGCCGGGTGTGGTGGCTCACACCTTGTAATACCAGCACTTTCGGAGGCCAAGGCAGGCAGATCACAAGGTCAAGAGATTGAGACCATCCTGCCAACATGGTGAAACTCCATCTCTACTAAAAACACAAAAATTAGCTGGGCGTGGTGGCACGCTCCTGTAATCCCAGCTACTCGGGAGGCTGAGGCAGGAGAATCACGTGAACCCAGGAGGTGGAGGTTGCAGTGAGCCAAGATCATGCCACTACACTCCAGCCTGGCGACAGAGCGAGACTCCATCTCAAAAAAAAAAAAAAAAAGACTTTGGTTTCCATTTTGGTCTCTCTCTCTCTCTCATCACTTATACTAGAGGAAGCAAGCTACCTTGTTGTGAGAAGGCCTATGGAAAGACCCATGTGGCATTCAAGAAACTGAAGCTCTCAATTCATCAACCTTCGAGGAACTGAAGCCTGCCAATGACCATGTGAGTGAGGTTGGAAGCTGATCCTTCAACGCCATTCTCAATTAATACTCAAGTAATTGAGATGACTGCAACTCTGCCCAGTGGCTTAGTTGCAACTTCATGAGATACCATGAGCTAAAACCACCTAGCTGTGTTGCTCCTGGATTGATCAACAGAAATTGTGAAATAATAATTTTATTTTGAGACAAAGTTTTGTTCTTGTTGCCCAGGCTGGAGTGCACCAGTGCGGTCTTGGCACACTGCAACCTCTGCCTCCCAGGTTCAAGCAATTCTCCTGCCTCAGCCTCTCAAGCAGCTGGGATTACAGGGGTCTGCCAGCACAACCAGCTAATTTTTTTTTGTATTTTTAGTAGAGACAGGGTTTCACCATGTTAGCCAGGTTAGTTTCAAACTCCTGACCTCAGGTGATCCACCACCTCGGCCTCCTGAAGTGCTGGGATTACAGGTGTGAGCCACCGTGCCCGGCCTCATTATTGTTTTAAGCTGCTAAATTTAGGGGTAATTTGTTATGTATCAACAGTTGAATACAATGATGATCTATGGGCTTATGGGTGTTCTACACAATACTGTTTGTGATTAAGGAACTCGTTTCTCAGCTAAAGAAGTTTACCAATGAGCTCATGCCCGTAGTTTATTGGTCTTGCCATGTGTGACATCTCTCAGAAGCAGCAGGGCTAATAAAACAGCTTACTGAAGTTTCTGTTACAGTGCCAGTTGAGAGACAACACTCTGAAAGGTTAGGGCGCTATCCTATAGGATGTAGGGAATTCTTCGAAACAGAGATTAAATAATATAGGGTACTCTTTCTTCGCCAGAATACATGGATCAAGGGGTGGAACTGGGACTGGCTCCTCCACGATGACCGTTAACTACCAACCAGCAAAATTTTCTTTTCCATTCTGCAACTTTGATTGCTGCTGGTTTAGAAGTTTTAGCTCTCAAAGGAGGAATGCTTTCATCAGAGGTCACAACAATGGCTCCACTGAATTGGAAGATGGGACTTCCATGCTATTGAAATAACAAACAAAGGTGGGATCACTGTTTTTGCCAGGACAATTGCTCCCAATTACTAAGGATAAATTGAGTCGCTGCTACACTAACGGAGATACAGGAGACTATGTTTAGAGCCCAAAACATTCTCTAAGGTGCTTCTGGGTACTATCAAATCCAGTAACAAAAGTTAAGGCAAAACCACAGCAACACATAAACAGACACTAAGATTCAGACCCTTTGGAAGTGAAGTTCTGGATCAGCTCCACCAGAAAAGAATTCTGACTGGTTGCAGGGCCAGCTGATGGCAAAGGAAACAGACTATACAGCAGATATGACTACACAGGACTGTAATAACTATGTAATTTTCTTCCTTGCTTATTATGTAATTATTGACACATATTTACTTACTTTCCCCCTCCTCTTCATTGTCCCCCTTTATTTTACACCAGGACTGTTATCAGTGGTTAACTTTACAATTTAGTCTTTTAGAATATTTAGGTGAGATTACATAAAACAGACATCACCCAGATATGGATGTAGTGACTACTGGAACTTTGGGCCCTCTTTTTTAGGAAGAGGATGGAAATGTCTAAAAAAGACAGTTGTATCTTGCTAAGCAAAAGCAGTAAGATACTATCGTTATCAGAAGATAGAAACACAAATTGATGCTGACTGACCAAAAGGATAGATTCTGCTGGCTATTTACTGTCTCTCAGCTTCAAGCACACCTTTCAAAACTCTGGTTCATGTTTGGGTGTGCAAAATATAATTTCCAGACTCCCTTGCCACTTGGTTTCTGGTTAGGTTCTGCAAAAAGAAAACCCTGAGTGGAGCTTTGAAAGAGAGAGGAAGAAAGGGAGAAAGGACTTTCCCTGCTTCCAGTTCCTGTCAGGATTGCTTTCATAGCAGCAGCAGCAAACTGTGGCACTGAGCTTCTTCTAGCACCATTGCAGCCCTGGCAACACCCTTGCTGTGCTCCCTTGACAGTAGAAATACCAGCCCCACTGTGCTCCCTCACCAACTAGGCCATGCCACCTAAACCACACGCGCGCCTGCCAGGTTGCACTCTGATAACACTACTCTTACCTTTTATTTCCCCAGTCCTAAGGCTGTTAACTGCTTGCACTTACTAATCTTTGGTTATCTCAGTGTCCTCTCATTCCTCTTTCAGCCTTCCAACAACTACATAACAATTTCCTACGTAAGATCCCACCTTTGTTTGCAATAACAAATGTGGTTTCTGTTTTCTTGATTGAGCTATGACTGATTCATGGGCGTATAACCAGTGAAATATCAAAATCAGTATTTTGGTTATGACTGACTTTGGGGACCAATGAAACACATAGCAGAAAACTCAAAATAAGCCCCGTGAATTATTTGGTAGGACAGATCCACCTATGCCTCAGAAATTGTTGCCTCAGTGGTTCCACTTGCTGAACTCCAATTTCTCTAAACTCTTACAGGCCAGTGTGTGTGTTTTGCATTTATTTGGCCACCAATGGCTTTAAGTCACTGAGCTTTACAAGGTGGTCCAGAAGGTTCTGTCCTCCTAGGGATATCCTGCATAGCTGTTGTATAGTGCTTGACCTTTGGATATACACGCAGTCCCTAACTTACAATGGTCTAACTTATAATTTTTCACTTTACAGTGGTGCAAAAGCGATATGCAAGCACACTTCAGATTTTGAATTTTTACCTTTTCCTCCAGCTAGCGATATACGGTCCAATATCTCTCATGATGCTGGGCAGCAGCAGCAAGCCACAGCTCTGTCAGTTACACAATCACAAGGGCAAACAACCAACATACCATTCTGTTTTTCACTTTTATTACGGTATTCAATAAATCACGAGGCTATTCAACACTATTATAAAGTAGCTGATTTTGCCAAACTGTAAGCTGATGTAAGTGTTCTGAGCATGTTTAAGGTAGGCAAGGCTAAGCTATGATGTTCAGTAGGTTAGGTGTATTAAATGCATTTTTGACTTATTTTCAACTTACGATGCGTTTATTGGGAGATAACCCCATCTAAGTTGAGGAGCATCTGTATTAAATGAAGGGTAGCACATTGCTGCCCACAAAAGACATTGGCTAGGGTCAGGATAGGAAAGAAAAAGGTGGTACTACTGCTAAAAGAGAAAACGGTCATTTGAAATCTCCACCAGGTGATGGGATATCTGCCCGGCCCTACCCCATTAACATCTACAAAGACCAAGTCTTTCCCTTTCACTACTGCTTTTAATGTGCATTTTAATCTGGCTTTACTTGGAGTTTTTGTTAACTTTGTAGTAAGGAGTCCCTGAGTGTTTTCCCCCCTCCCCTTCTCCTTTAGGAAATGCCTGTGTGCCCAGAGAAATCACTGAAAAAACATATCATGCACACCTATCAATCAGCTCCATCTCAGAGCTGTGGAAGCAGCACACATTAAAACCCAGACAAAAACCAAATGTCACACTAATTTTCTACTGTGAAGGAAAGAGCTAACCAAAAGAAACCACCAACCATCACCACCCCATCAACACCACCATTACAAGAGTCTGATTATTTTAATGATCACCAAAACAATGTTTTCACAATTGTTCTTCCTAAAAAGACACTTTATGTTTCATACTAGCAGTAAAATTGCCTCCTTTCTTACAGGTTCTAATCAATAAAGAACAGATACAAGGAGGGCCAGGCATGGTGGCTCATGCCTGTAATCCCAGCACTTTGGGAGGCCGAGGCAGACGGATCACTGAGGTAAGGAGTTCGTGACCGGCCTGGACAACATGGTGAAAACCTGTGTCTACTAAAAATACAAAAATTAGCTGGGCATGGTGGTGCATGCCTGTAATCCCAGTTACTCAGGAGGCTGAGGCAGGGGAATTGCTTGAATCCGGGAGGCAGAGGTTGCAGTGAGCTGAGATCATGCCACTACAGTCCAGCCTGGGTGACAGAGCAAGACTCCATTAAAAAAACAAAACAAAAAAAAGGACAGATACAGGGCACTAATAACTTTGAAAATAGAGGCTCTCTGGTAAAGCTGGATTGGGAAGCAAGAGATCTAGGACCTGAAGTCAAAGTAGAGCCACCTACTGCCTCCCCTTAAATTTAGGCTTAGCCCCAGCCAGTGGGGAAGATTTTCAAGGCAGATCCTGAGCAAACCTGCCCTGCCACCACCTAAAGGATCACAGGTCTGTCTAAAAAATTCCACTGTACAAGTGTCTTTTCACGAAGGAGCATGGGGGGAAGGTGGGCGGGAGACCCAGCCTTCTTACTGTCCTTGCTGCAGGCAGTGCACCAGTTACGGGGAGTGGAGGGGACTGTCTCCTGATGGAAGTCAGGCTTTCACCAACCAGATTACTGACTCCTCTCCCTGCTTTGAAGAACAAGTAGCCCAAAAGAGATACTGGAAAAGTTCACTACAATTCTGCTTTCTCCTGTGGAGTGGGGCATAAGCCTCATCAATGTGGAAATGACTAAACGCCAAACATCTACTCCAAATTATTTTCCTGAAAGATTTCTTCTCAGTAGCTATTACAGAGAGATGATGGTATAATACAAAATTCAAAAATAGTTCATTGCAGCACTATTCACAATAGCAAAGACATGGAATCAACCTAAATGCCCATCAGTGGCAGATTGGATAAAGAAAATGTGGTACATATATACCATGGAATACTATGCAGCCATAAAAAAGAATGAATCATGTTCTTTGCAGGACCTGGAGGCCATTATCCTTAGCAAACTAATACAAGAAGAGAAAACCAAATACTGCATGTTCTCACTTATAAGTGAGAGCTAAATGATGAGAACACTGGGACACAAAGAGGGGAACAACACACACTGGGGCCTACTTGAAGGTGGAGATTGGGAGGAGGGAGAGGATCAGAAAAAATAGCTATTGGGTACTACTAGGTTTAGTACCTGGCCAGTGAAATAACCTGTACAACAAATCCCCATGCCCCAAGTTTACCTATATAACAAACCTGCACATGTACCCTTGAACCTAAAAGTTTAAAAAATAAAAGTAAAATTAAAAAATAATAAAGACAAAGATCTATAATAATTTCTAGATCTGCACTGTCGAGTACAATAGCCACTAAATACATGTGGCTATTTAAATTAAAATTAAATAAAATTAGAATTCATTCTCTCAGTTACACTAGACACTTTTCAAGGCTCGAGAGCCACATGTGGCTAGTGGGTTCTTTATTGGACAGTGAAGATACAGCACATTTCCATCACTGTAGAGATTCTATTGAACAGCACTGTGTTAAATGTAGGAAAACAGGATACTGAATTAACAACTCTACTTTTCTCATAACTGAATGCAGTTGTCATCAAATATTATGGTCACAAACCTCCTAAAAAGAATTTCAAAACACTATTATTCTTATAAATTTTTAAGTTGACATAAATTTTTCATCATAAGTTTCAACAGCTATAGCAAATGATCTAATTTCCATGTTATATTTCCATTTTAAAATAAAATCAGGCAGGGCACAGTGGCTCACGCCTGTAATCCCAGCACTCTGAGAGGCCAAGACGGGCAGCTTGAACACAGGAGTTCAAAACCAGCCTGGCCAACATTGCGAAACCCCGTCTCTACAAAAAAATACAAAAAGTTAGCTGGGCGTGGTGGCATGTGCCTGTAGTCCTAGCTACTCAGGAGACTGAGGCGGGAGAAATCACCTGAGCCCCAGAGGTCGAGGCTGCTAGTGAATCTTGAACTCATGCCATGCACTCACTCTGGGTAATAAAGCGAAATACTATCTCAAAAAAATTAAATAAATAATGACACCACTCTCAAATGTATTTACTGGAGTGGCTGTTTGATATTATCTCAAATTAAAAAAAAAATTTCCACTTCTCCCACAAAGGTATCTTTTTTTAAAATTGTAGTCACCTAGCTAATTTTTTCACCCACAAAGTTATCTTAGTATATCTTTATGTATTAATCTGCATTATGTAAAAATGTTCAGTGAAGTTTTTTTTTGTTTGTTTTTTGTTTTTGTGAGATGGAGTCTTGCTCTGCCTCCCAGATGAAGTGCAGTGGCATGATCTCGGCTCACTGCAACCTCTGCCTCCTGGGTTCAAGCTATCCTCCTGCCTCAGCCTCCTGAGTAGCTGGGATTACAGGCACCAGCCACCATGCCCGGCTATTTTTTGTATTTTTAGTAGAGACGGGGTTTCATCATGTTGGCCAGGCTGGTCTCAAACTCCTGACCTCAGGTGATCCACCCACCTCGGCCCTCCAAAGTGCTGGGATTACATGCGTAAACCACCCTGCCTGGCCTTTTTTTCTTTTTTCCAAGATGGAGTCTTGCTCTGTCACCCAGGCTGGACTGCAGTGGCATGATCTCCGCTCACTGCAACCTCTGCATCCTGGCTTCAAGCAATTCTCCCTACCTCAATCTCCCGAGTAGTTGGGATTACAGGCACGTTCCACGTCCAGCTAATTTTTGTAGTTTTAGTAGAGACAGGGTTTCGCCATGTTGGCCAGACTGGTCTCGAACTCCTGACCTCAGGTGATCTGCCTGCCTCGACCTCCCAAAGTGCTGAGATTACAGGCTTGAGCCACCATGCCCAAACGAAGATTTTTAAAAATGAAAAAATTTCTTCTGACACTTAGTTACAATATCATTATACAATTGAGTAAAACAAATATACATTTTGAAATATTAAACACTAAAAATAAAAACTTATTGAAAATATCTTAATGAGATTAACGCTTTTAAAAATTAGATGTCATGTATAAATATTGTTAACTGCTGGAATGACACAGAGTTCAATGGAAACATATAGCAAAAAGTTTATCAAGCAAGTGTGGGACTTAAAAATATGTATTGGCTGGGCACGGTGGCTCACGCCTGTAATCCCAGCACTTTGGGAGGCCGAGACGGGCGGATCACGAGGTCAGGAGATCCAGACCATCCTGGCTAATACGGTGAAACCCTATCTCTACTAAACAAAATACAAAAAATTAGCCGGGCGTGGGGGCGGGCGCCTGTAGTCCCAGCTACTCCGGAGGCTGAGGCAGGAGAATGGCGTGAATCCAGGAGGCGGAGCTTGCAGTGAGCCGAGATGGTGCCACTGCACTCCAGCCTGGGTGACAGAGCGAGACTCCCTCTCAAAAAAAAAAAAAAAAAAGATGTATTAAGGCCAGGTAAGGTGGCTCACACCTGTAATCCCAGCACATTGGGAGGCAGAGGCAGGCAGATCACGAAGCAAAGAGATACAGACTATCTTGGACAACATGGTGAAATCCCATCTCTACTAAAAATACAAAAAAATTAGCCGGGCGTGGTGGTGCGCGCCTGTAGTGCCAGCTACTCAGGAGGCTGAGGCAGGAGAATCACTTGAACCCGGGAGGCGGAGGTTGCAGTGAGCCAAGATTACGCCACTGCACTCCAGCCTGGCAACAGAGTGAGACTCCGTCTCAAAAAAAATAAAAATTAATAATTAATAATTCAGTATCACAACCAGGACAGAAGAACATAAAGGGAAATGAAATTGTTCACCAAATTAGCATTATTGAGGACATATTTAATAATTCAATAGGCAGCTGTTGAGCACTTTTGAGACTGTCTCAAAACAAAACACCATCTATATATCTATTAATAATATGTAAACTACACAATAATATAAGATAGATTATAGAAGCTAGAGCACACTGCACATGGTAGGGATGAATAGAGAGCAATGAAGTGAAATTTTTACTAAGCAGTAAACTCCCAAAGTTTAAAAGGATTTAAACATTCTAATAGCGTTTTGGCAATTAAAAAAAAAATGGTTCTCCTAGTAATCAGAAAAGAAAATTCTGTTTAAAGATGTAATGTTTATCTATTGAAACACTGAATAGATAAACATATTAATGAAGCTTTCTCCTCCTTATTTAAAATCATGCAAAATACACAAATAAGATGCAGGTTCATATCTTAGTTTGAGTGGGCTTTTCAGAGACTAGTATTTCAAAATGCCCCTTTATGTGGTACCCTGGAGATTTTCTTACAACTCTGGGAAAATGCACTAAGACTGGTAAAAAATAAACTTCTTATGTAAAAAGGAAGAATGGCAATTGTGAAAAAGATGCTAAAAAGAACCTTCAAACACCTACCTTGACTTTAAGCAACTCAATTTTAGGAGAAAGTACACATTTAAGTAGCAAAACTTGGAAACTAATTCTCTAAAAACCACTGACATCTGCAAAACCTGAATCTCATGGAAAAGCGTTGTAAAACTCAAGTGGTAGGAATACCCCTGTTTGAAGGCCACTGGTTTAAAGAATATTCTTAAAAGACTGTTCTACAGTGTCAAATCAACAGAACTACTTGCATTTGGTAGTTTAAAACAAACAAACAAACATACTGAAATGGAATTTTAGATAAAGAACAGACATAAGAATAGAAGTTTTTTGGAAAATAGAAATTCAAGTCACTTGTAGGACTTACCGCTGAGACTCAATAACAGTGACACATCTAAGCCAAGATTAATCGTAAACTCCCCGTGTATACTGTTGAATTTAAATCTCTCACTCCCAGAGGCAAAATCTCTGCACTCCAGCCTACACCTTTAACACTGCTGGCACACCTCATCAGAAGTACAGAAATCATTTCAGTCTGAAGACCCCCAAATTTATCACAATCCCTCGAACAACAAGTGTAGTATTACTCTAAAAAAGTTTTACTCTAAAATAGAAAGATATATCTCAACTATTACAGAAATGAATAACTTACAAAACTTACCCACTATGTGAAAACATAAACAGCAAGTAACACTATTATCAACTTTAAAGCAAATTGAACCCAACTGTCCAAGGTCATAGATATCACAGACAAGGATAAGAATAATGACTATGTACATGGCAACTTTTTTCATTTTACTGTTCCATACAGACTAATTCAGGACTTTCTAAATGTATCATAGAGCATCCTCTGGATCTACATTTTGGACTATGTTTTAATCATCATGAGAAAAGGTCCAAGATAGACCCAAGTTTTAATGAATTACACACTCTATTGTAGTACAACACATTAAGCTGACATACCAAACTGATTTCCTTTGAGTCACAACCTCAACTGCTACCGGGAACAGGAAAACATCTAAATGTGGAAGCATGTTGGGTGTAAGATAACAGAGAATAATGAAAGCACATTCCATTTGAAAGACACTCATTTATTTGTTAATAACACAAGCCAAACAAAAACATATCTGGGGATGAATCTGCGAAACCTACTAGGGTTAAAATTTTACTTCTCTTAATTGTTTGGCTTCCAAAACATATTTGGCTTCCAAAACAGATTCAAATTCAAAAAATATTTACGACCAGCTGTGGTGGCTCATGCCTGTAATCCCAGCACTTTGGGAGGCCAAGGTGGGCGGATCACGAGGTCAGGAGATGGAGACCATCCTAGCCAACATGGTGAAACCCCGTCTCTACTAAAAATGCAAAAATTATCTGGGTATGGTGGTACGTGCCTGGAGTCCCAGCTACTCGGGAGGCTGAGGCTGGAGAATCACTTCAACCTGGAAGGCGGAGGTTGCAGTGAGCTGAGATTGTGCCACTGCACTCCAACTTGGTGACAGAGTGAGACTCTGTCTCAAAAAAAATGAATAAATAAAATAAAAAATAAATATGTACAAAGTGCCCACTAGGTAGAAGGTATATATCATTAGAATGAGACAATGCCTATTAAATGTTATTGTTGCCGGGTGCACTGGCTCACGCCTGTAATCCCACCACTTTGGGAGGCCGAGGCGGGCAGATCACGAGGTCAGGAGTTCGAAACCAGCCTGACCAATATGGTGAAACCCTGTCTCTACTAAAAATACAAAAATTAGCTGGGCATGGTGGTGTAATACCAACTACTCAGGAAGCTGAGGCAGTAGAATTGCTTGAACCCGGGAGGCAGAGGTTGCAGTGAGCCAAGATCACACCACAGCACCCCAGCCTGGGTGACAGAACGAGACTGTCTCAAAAAAAAAAAAAAAAAAGGAAAATGTTATTGTTGTCACAACAAGTACATTTGCATAAAGTTGCCTCATTATACTTGAGATGTGATTTCAGCAAAGATTAGAATTATACCCAAATTACAGATCAAATCTATATCCCTGATTTAATTAATTACATAAAAAAGAAAAATGTATTTACTTCAGGTGTAAAGAATATTTTATTTCAATACTTCAATATTGAAATCAGCTATCACACATATCCACCAACTGATATTTCATTGTCCATCTCTCAGGAGATATTCAAAGTGAGATTAATTTAATGAAGCCTTCTCAGCAAACCTAGAACACTGTACTTCATCTTCAAATTTAAGTCATAGCCTTTAATAAGTTACTTCCTAGTCATTATTTTATAGTATTTATGAAATAGTGCAATATATCAATGAGGTATCATTTAAGAGGCAAATACTCTATAGATTTGGATTTGTCATCCCAATTCCTTGGCATTCAATAATATAAGTATCTTTAGCGGCGTCTTCTTCATCTTCTGATTTCTTCACAATAAATTTAGCCTGAAATCAGAAGAGGAGTATATAAGTAATACGAAGAGAGATGGAGGAAAGAGCCCACAACTCCAACTTATGTAGGCAGAGAGTTAATGTCAAGCCCATTTTATTGAAAAACCTACAGAGACACAAAGATCAAATGATTGATGAGAAAGAAACTTAATAGCCTCAAGATAACACATTTCATTGTACAACCATGGTTCTTCTTCAGAGGTATACATACCTGTGAGTTTTGTCCAAATATATATGCCTGGGCCCCTTCCACGCACACTGAATCAGAAAGCTCAGATGTACAGCTTAGGCAAATAACAATTTTGAAACCTCAAATGGTAATTTTAATGCAACTGTATTCCCTATGCCCTAAAATTTTTCTGAAACATTTCTACTTTTATCTTGTCAAGTCACAAATTACCCTTTAATTTCTTTACATTTTTTCTTGCTAATTTAGTTCCCTATATATATCGTTCAAAAGATCCAGTTCAGAGAAGGTATGTGGGGAGGAGGGGTGGTGGTGGTGATTAACATCTTCCTTCATCTTTAATGTACTGGGCTTAACATCACATTTTTCACTTAGTAACTAAAGTTGGCTTTGAAATATTTTACCTGTATCATTGTATTTTGCTTTTGTTTTTGTTCTGTTTTTGAGACAGAGTCTTGCTCTGTCACCCAGGCTGCAGTGCAGTGGCATGAACACGGCTCACTGCAGCCTCAACTTCCTGGGTTCAAGGGATCCTCCTGCCTCAGCCTCCAGTGTAGCTGGGACCACAGGCACATGCCACCATGCCTGGCTAATTTTTAATTCTGTTGTATAGGCAGGGTCTCACTTTGTTGCCCAGGCTCAAACTCCTAGGCTGAAGTGATCCTCCTGCGTCAGCTTCCTAAAGCGCTGGGATTACAGGCATGAGTCATTGTGCCTGGCCTATATCACTGTATTTTGAAAACATCATTATTTTTAAAGCAAATGTGATTCATTTTAACAAAACTAAATTTAGAATCAAAACAACTAGCCAGGTGCAGTGGTGCACACCTATAATCCCAGCTATTCTGAGGTGGAAGGATCATTTGAGTTCAGTTCAGGAGGCTGGCCTGGGCAACACAGGAAGACTCCTCACAACTCCCATCAACGTCTTAAAAAAAAAAATCAAAACAATTAAATAGGTTAAGTTTGTGGCAAAAGGATTTCAAATATGCCTAAAATCTTAGGATTCTTGGAAGCACAATTTGAAAACCATCACTTGGGGGCCTTACTGAATGAATAGTAATGTTTAAAAATTCTTTCACTTTCAGCATTACATGGTAATGTACTGACACAGAGTGGACACTTGAAATTACTGTTGAATGAATAAATGCTGAATTCTGAGCTAGGTAACCATATTAATTAATTAGTAATATATGCATGCGTTTATATATTTTTCAAATTACAAGCATTATGTAAATATGAAACACACGTAGCAGCTATGAAAATCATTTCTAGCCTATACATAAACCTACTTAAAACTACAAATATGTAGACCTGAAAGGAGCATAGCAGGCCTATCTAGCTTAAGTCTGATTTTACAGATAACTATTTGCATTGAGACAAAGAAAGATAAGAAACTTGCCCCAAGTCACCCAGTTATACACAACAAAGCTGACCAAGATACAAGCTATACACAGGTTCATAGCACTTTCCGTTATGTATACATTTCAAATAACAAGTAAGCATCTACTATATGTAAAGTACTGTGAAAAGTAAAGAATATAATGAATAAAACCTGATCTCTGCTATTAAGGAGATCAATCTATAAGGAGAGACAGACAAGTAATAGTTATAAATACAGCATAAGTAGAGTAACAAAAAAAATAGAGTTAACACTCTTGACATCAAATACAATTTGCCTTTAATTCCCATCAGTCTTTCCTACAATTTAACAAAAACTTATCTATGTTTCTTAATAACAATTAAAAGTATACATAATTAAGAATCAAACTGGGCACAGTAGCTCACAGCTGTAATCACGGCATTTGGGAAGCTGAGGTGGGAGGATCACTTGAGCCCAGGAGTTCAGGACCAGCCTGGGCAACACAGGGAGATCCCGTCTCTCAAAAAACAAAAACAAAAACAAAAAAAAAATTAGCAGGGTGTGGTGGTGCACAGCTGCAGTCCTAGCTACTTGATAGGCTGAGGTGAAAGGATCACTTGAGCCCAGGAGTTCGGGGCTACTGTGAGCTATGATACTGCCATTGTAATCTAGCCTGGGCAACAGAGCAAGCCCCTGTCTCTTAAAAGAAAAAAAAAAAAGAAAGGCCAGGCGCGGTGGCTCATGCCTGTAATCCCTGCACTTTGGGAGGCCAAGGCAGGCAGATCGCGTAAGGCCAGGAGTTTGAGACCAGCCTAGCTAACACAGTGAAACCCTGTCTCTGCTAAAAAGTACAAAAATTAGCTGGACATGGTGGCACACGCCTGTAATCCCAGCTACTCTGGAGGCTGAGGCATGAGAATTGCTTGAACCTGGGAGGCAGAGGTTGCTGTGAGCCAAGACTGTGCCACTGCACTCCAACCTGGGCTAACAGAGCAAGACTCTATCTTAAGAAAAAAAAAAAGAAAAGAAAAAGGATCATCATACAAATAGGAGTAGGGCAGCAACAGTGGTTTTGTGTATGGGACACTTCTGTAATGATTAATTTTTTAAATTAATATATGTTACTTTTGTCACTTTAAAAAATGCTTAAGACTAGGGCTGGGCATGCTGGCTTACACCTGTAATCCTAGCGCTTTGGGAGATTGAGGTCAGAGGACTGCTTGAGCCCAGGAGTTCAAGACCAGCCTGGGAATGTGGCAAGACTCCATCTCTACAAAACATCAAAAAATTAGCCAGGTGTGGTGGCACACTCCCGTAGCCCCAGCTACTTGGGAGGCTGCGGTGGGAGGATCATTTGAGAGCCCAGGAGGTTTGTGCCACTGCAATCCAGCCTGGGCAACAGTGTGAGACCCTGTCTCAAAAACAATAATAATAAAAATGCTTAAGATTAGCAACTTCCCTTATAAAATTGTTACAAATTTTATATTTCTTTATAAAATTACTTTATAAAGAATAAGCAAAATGGGAAATATGCTACATGTTACTGAAATAAGCAAGAAATGAAGTTGTATGCATTAACTGCAAAAAATGCAAAGAGAAACGATTTAGGAGAAGAGGAAAACACCTAAATGTCAACAGTGGTTTTACCGGCAAGGGGAAATTATGAGAAGGCTTTTCCCCTCTATTTCCTATAAAGAAATTACATTAGTTTCATGATGAAATATACCTATTGTTTCTTTAAATTAACAATCCAGGCCAGGCACAGTGGCTCACACCTATAATCACAACACTTTGGGAGGCCAAGGTGGACAGATCACCTGAGCTATGAAGTTTGAGACCAGCCTAAGCAACATGGCAAAACCCCATCTCTACAAAAATTAGAAAAATTAGCCAGGTGTGGTGGCATGTGCCTGTAATCCTAGCTACTTGGGAGGCTAAGGCAGGAGAATCACTTGAGCCTGGGAGGCAGAAGTTGCAGTGAGCCGAGATCATGCCATTGCACTCCAGCCTGGGCAACAGTGTGAGACCCTGTCTCAAAAAAAAAAAAAAAAAGAATCCTGTAGGAAAGGTATGAATATGAGCTCATATAATGATAAATCCTTCTTCATTAAAAACTGTACGTCAACTCTACTAAATTTCAGAGGACAGTGAATATTAGTTTCAACAAATATTCTATTTTACCAATAGAATCAAGAAAATAAAATGTCTAAAATTTTATATAAATTTTTTTATAGCCAACTATGAATCCCTTGTGATTTGATATCATAGTTCACAACAAAACATCTTTACTTACTCTGTAAGGCAGTACCACACAGTGATTATAACATGGGTTTTGAAGTATGCTTTCCCAGGTTTGCTCAAAGCTCAGCTCTGCCACTAAAAATCCATGTGGCCTTGAACAATTTAATGAATCTCTCTGCCTCACTTTACTCATATTTATAATGGGAATAATAATAAATAGCCACCTACAATAGTTATGCTGAGTAGACAGTTTAGATAAATTGCTAAATTAGCTCAGTGCCTGTCACACAGGAAACAGTGATAGCAATTATGATTACTATTAAGTTTCCTATTAAAATTTAACCCAAAATTGGCTAAAATAAAAATCAAAATATCAATTTCCCTTTCTGATAGAATACTCACCTTTGCTATTTGTTCAGCAAAATGTATCGCGGTTTGCGTATGGAGTGTAACTGGTCCTGTTTTTATTCTGGAAACTCCATTGGCTAATGCCATGAAAACAATCAGCTATTTAAAAAAGAACAAAGAAAAACCTCACACATTTATTAATATTTGGCATTATAATTCCACTGCTGCCCATAATAAAAATACTACTAGAAATAAAAATTGCTAAAACAGAATTTCTATTTCTTTAGGTTTCCAGACATACTCAGAAGATGACAGAAAACCTATGTTACCCTAAGTCTGTGAGTAGTACAAAAAGGCTTGGTAGCAGCTCTCAACATATAATTTTTTAAATTAATATTTACAAGTAAAATACAGAACAGTAATATACTTAGACCAACTATCTCTACAAGTTGGTATATATAATATGATGTTTATTCTACTCTCTTAAATTACATTTTAACAGCTGAATAGACAGACTAATACTGGGACTTTACTGGGAGTTTAAAGTAGACCTGGGCAAGGAGGAGGAGACTAGAAATAACAGAAACTGTCTTAAGAAACAGGTCAAGAAATCTCGAGGACTATATTTCTAAATGTGGACACTACTGATTTGGGACTAAGGAGACAAAAGTATGGTAGAAAGGAAAATCTATAAAGATAACAGACCATAAAAACAATATTTGGAAATATTCAGTATCACTTCTCACTGTGAGTGAACGTGCTAAGTTTTTTTTGTTTTTCGTTTTTTTTTTTTTTTTTTTTTTGAGACGGAGTCTTGCTCTGCCACCCAGGCTGGAGTGCAGTGGCGCATTCTCGGCTCACTGCAAAACTCCGCCTCCCAGGTTCACGCCTTTCTCCTGCCTCAGCCTCCCGAGTAGCTACGACTACAGGCACCCGCCACCACGCCCGGCTAATTTTTTGTATTTTTTCAGTAGAGACGGGGTTTCACCGTGTTAGCCAGGATGGTCTCGATCTCTTGACCTCGTGATCCGCCCACCTCGGCCTCCCAAAGTGCTGGGATTACAGGCTTGAGCCACCGCGCCATGCAACGTGCTAAGTTTGAGAGGTCTGTGACACGTCCAAGTGGAGGTGTTGACAGGCATAGGGGATATTATGAGCAAGGAGTTAAAGAGAAAGGCCTGGGCTTCGGATATAAATTTGGGAGTTGTCAGCATAAAGACGGTACTTAAGCCATGAGA
The DNA here is from genome assembly GCF_000001405.40 of Homo sapiens. NCBI lineage: Eukaryota > Metazoa > Chordata > Mammalia > Primates > Hominidae > Homo > Homo sapiens. Next base: position 100,286,019 of record NC_000001.11, on the reverse strand, counting down.
CTGGACAAACTAAGAGAGGGAGCAACTACAGAAAAAGAAAACAAGTATAAGCCAAAGTCCAGGGGCTCATCAAAATTTAGAAGTTGGCCAGGCACAGTGGCTCATGGCCCTTAATCTCAAAACTCTGGGAGGCCAAAGTGGGAGGATCACTTGGGTGCCAGAGTTTAGGATTAGCCTGGTCAACATACTGAGACCTCGTCTCTATAAAAATTAAAACAAAAAAAAGTTTTAAATTAGGTAGGCATGACAGCATGTGCCTGTAGGCCTAGCTACTCAGGAAGCTGAAGCAGGAGGATCACTTGAAACCAGGAGTTCGAGACCAGCCTGGGCAACATAGCAAGACTCTGTCTCCACCAAAAAAAAAAAAATTGTTGTTGAGAAGATGAAAACCATAATAAACTAGCAAAGGAGACTAGAATGTATGGCCAGTGAGATAGGAAGATAACAGTATTTCAGAAACCAAGGAAAGAAAATACTTCAAAAAGGAAGGAGTGGTCAATTGCGCAAAACACTGTAGACACGTAAAGTAAAATGAGGGCTGAAATTTGAGGAATGCAAATCCCAGAATATTTTTTTAAATTATTGAAGTAGGACTTGCTAATTAGTGTCTGAAAGTCAATTATTTAAATTGATATTCAATCTACCACATATTCAAATCTAACAGGTTAGAGGGTTTTTAACCTAAATGTGTCATTACCTGGTCTTGCAGATACTCATCCACAGTACCACCATGTCTAAGATTTGCTAATAGCATTTCGGCAGCTTCAATTCCAACTTTGTCTGCATTTACACCTTAAGATAAGCACAACATTAAAACAAAACAAAACAAAACAAAACAAAACTAATTACTAAGAGACAAAAAGTTTGGTATATCCCAATTAGCACTGGTATACAATTTTTAGGCCTCAAAAACCCACTCAATGCACCTTTTAGAATAAGATCTTTAGTTATTTAATATTCTGAGTGTTTGGGATACACAAGTCTTATACCTTTAAATATACTAGTGGAGGAAAATATAGGCTTCATTAGTCCTATTTAAAATGTACTAATTTATAAAGCCAGTTTATAAGTTAAGTTATGACCCTATAATGCTATGCCTCAATTTCAAAAATTAAAACTTGCAGCCAGGCATGGTGGCTCATGCCTGTAATCCCAGGACTTTGAGAAGCTAAGGTGTAAGAATTGCTTGAGGCCAGGAATTCAAGGCTGGCCTGGGCAACATAGCTAGACGCCATCTACCAAACAAACAAATTCCCCTCCCAAATCCTAGAAAAGCATGCGTGTTACAATTAGTCTGCAGGTAATTCCATCAGAATTAAAGAATTTGGCTCAGTGCGGTGGCTCACGCCTGTAATCCCAATGCTTTGGGAGGCTGAGGCGGATGGATCACTTGAGGTCAGGAGTTTGAGGCCAGCCTGGCCAAAATGGCAAAACCCCATCTCTACTAAAAATACAAAATTTAGCTGGGCATGGTGGTGCATGCCTGTAATCCCAGCTGCTCAGGAGGCTGAGGCAAGAGAATCACTTGAACCTGGGAGGTGGAGGTTGCAGTGAGCTGAGATTGTGCCACTGTACTCCATCCTGGGTGACAGAGCAGGACTCTGCCAAAAAAAAAAAAAAAATTAAAGAATTTTTTTAAAGTCAGGAAATTACATTTTATGTAAAAAAAGAGCATATAACATTATCAGATAAAATATTTTAGAGTTTTATTTCCTCTAAGATTTGAACAGGTATTCGCTTATTTTAAATATAAGTCAGAATATTTACCCTCTTGCCCTATTCCCTATCTCTCCATACATATTCCAAATCTTTGGTACAACACTGAATACAAAGTAAGTCTGTCACAAGTAGTAGAATGCCACATTATTATTTTAAGGTATTTACTCTCAACTAAAAAATTCTTGGCTGCAAATGAAAACGTCTTATGAAAAATGAAAATGTGGTTAGTTTTGTTTCTATTTTATATTTGCAAATTTACTTGATTATATATGATAAAATTTTCCCCAAAGTGGAAATTGTAGAATTTTAACTCTATTTTTCTTTGTTTTTCTTGTTTTTTCTTGTTTTTTCTTTTTTTTTTTTTTCTTTTTTTTTTTTAGCGACTAGGTCTCACTACGTTGCCTGGACTGGTCTCAAACTCCTGAACTCAAGTGATCCTCCCGCTTCAGCCTCCCAAAGTGTTAGAATTCCAGGCATGAGCCATCATGCCCAGAAACTCTATTTTTCTTTATAGTAGTCATAATAATATAATAAATTACCCTCTTTATATTATCAATTGGCCAAGTATTTACGTGACTGAATGAAATGGTTTGAAACATGTTTTGTGAATCTTGACTTCTTGTTAGCCACTGCCATTTCCTCTTCTAGAAGATGGAGATGATAATAATTATGCTGCAAAGTTGTTATAGAAATTAGAGATAATATTTATAAAGCATCTATTACCCAGACTAGTACATAAAAAGCTATTAATAATAACACAGGTTGAGTAACCCTTATCTGAAATGCTTGGGACTAGAAGGTTTCAGATTTTGGATTTTTAAAAAATTTTGGAATATTTGAGCCAGGCATGGTGGCTCATGCCTATAATCCCAGCACTTTGGGAGGCCAAGGCGGGCAGATCACTTGAGATGAGGAATTCGAGACCAGACTGGCCAACATGGTGAAATACTAAAAATACAAAAATTAGCCAGGCATGGTTGTGTGCGATTGTAGTTTTAGCTACTCAGGAGGCTGAGGGACAACAATCTCTTGAACTCGGGAGGCGGAGGTTATGGTGAGCTGAGATCGTGCCACTGCACTCCAGCCTGGGTGACACATGAGATTCTGTCTCAAAATTAAAAAAAAAAAAAAAAAAAAAAAGGAATATTTGGATATACATAATGAGATAGCTTGGGGATGCGACCCAAGTCTACACATGAAATTCAGCTAAGCACAGTGGCTCACGCCTGTAATCCCAGCATTTTGGGAGGTGGAGGCAGGCAGATAGCTTGAGTACAGGAGTTCAAGACTAGCCTGGCCAACATGGTGAAACTCTGTCTCTACTAAAATAGCCAGGCATGGTGGCGCACACTAATAATTCCAGCTACTCGGGAGTCTGTGGTGGGAAGCTCTCTAGAGCTCAGGAGGCAGAGGTTGCAGTAAGCCAAGATTGCACCACTCCACTCTAGACTGGGCAAGAGAGTAAGACTCCCATCTCAATAAATAAATAAACAAACCTGAAATTCATTAATGTTCATACATACCTTACACACATAGCTTGAAGGCAACCTTATACAATGTTTTAAATGATTTTGTGCATAAAACAAAGTTTTGTGGCATACTGCCACTTGAAAAGCTTCTGATTTTGGAATATTTCAGATTTTAGATTTTTGGATTAGGAATGCTCAACCTGTAGGAGTATTGCATACCCACTATTTATCTACCATGCTAAGTAATAGAAACCAGATCCTTTGCTAAGGAGGCATTTAAAATACACATATATTAGAAAATTAGAGGATAATTAAGTGCTAACTCTGTGATATAAACTATATACCCGACAGGAGTTCAGAAAAGTAAGAGATTATATAGGTTCTAGAATAATTTGAGGTTTCATAAAGCATGAAGGACTTAAGTGAGTCCTTGAAAAACAGCTAAAATAGGGATGGAGGATGTAAAGGAAAAGGAAAGAACTTCCGGCTTTGTAGTACTAGAAAACAGCAGGTACACTAAAGTTTTCTGCCATGTAGCAAAGAATTCCTCAGAGCCATTCACATTCCTTTCCACCCAGCCACCTTGATAGTAATGGCATGAATGGTTCTACATTACTAACTGCCATTACTAGCAGTCTGTAGCAACTGAACATAATAAGCAAAATATGAGAATCTTGCTTATTAGTATTATACACACCAAAAGCAAAATCTCAATTTCTTCTGAAATCTTAATGCTTTTCTAACTAATTGCCAATCTTCTCACATTTTGGATGTTTTTAAACAAAGGTCTCAAGGACTTGTTTTAGGACATCAGAGAGATGCCATGAGGCCGGCACGGTGGCTCACGCCTGTAATCCCAGCACTTTGGGAGGCAGATTACTTGAGGTCAGGAGTTCGAAACCAGCCTGGCCAACACTGTGAAACCCCGTCTCTACCAAAAATACAAAAATTAGCCGGCATGGTGGCACACACTTGTAATCCCAGCTACTTGGGAGGCTGCGGTGGGAGGATTGCTTGAACACAGGAGGCGGAGGTTGCAGTGAGCCGAGATTGCTCCATTGCACTCTAGCCTGGGCGACAAAGCAAGATTCCGTCTCGAAAAAAAAAAACAAAAACAAAAACAGAGAGATGCCCTGAATTACCACATACACTGAGGGAGGGAAGGAAGGTGCTTGCTATAAGTGAGGCAATTACTATACAAAGGAAATAAAGATTGATTAACCAGAGGCACAATTCATTTCAGCAGATTATTTTGCTCCCATAGTAAAGAATATAACTAACTGTAAGATAAGAGTAATGAAAGATCACACAGATACGCAACAATGGAAAGACAAAACACATTCTGTCTATAATGCAATCACTTAAAGTTGGAAGGGATCCTTAAACATAGATCACAATCACGGTCCAATATCATTTTTCAGATAAGGAAAGCCCAGAGTCACTATGCATGATAATGACAGGACATGGGACTAAAATTTAGGTCTTCTCACTCTCTGTTTAGTGCTCTCTATCATAACACACTGCCTCAGTCTAAAACAGCGAGATTTTCTCAGACAAAACAAAATCTCACCGTTTTAAAATAAAATTGAAGAATGTTATAGTTAGAAGGATTTTGGAGATTCTCCAGGCTAATCTTCTTGCTCAACATATAAGGAAACTAAGATCAAAATGGTTATAGTAACTGAGACAATGATAAAGACATCTCTAGTTACAACTTCCTGCCTCTACCACCTATGGTGGTATTGACAAGCAGCCAATGTTCCTTCTGGTGATAACCCTAAGAAATTAGGATTCAAGGTCTGGTAGTTTTGTTTTATTTTTTTGAGACAGGGTCTTGCTCTATCACCTAGGCTGGAGTGCAGTGGTGTGATCTCAGCTCACTGCAACCTACACCTCCTGGGCTCAAGTGATCCTCCCGCCTCCTGCCTCAGCATTTAGAGTAGCTGGGACTACAAGCACATGCCACCATGCTCAAGTAATTTTTGTATTTTTTGTAGAGACAGGGTTTCGCCATGTTGCCCAGATTGGTCTTGAACACTTGGGTTCAAGTGATCTGCTCACCTTGGCCTCCCAAAGTGCTGGGATTACAGGCATACGCCACCACACCCAGCCCCTAAATCCAGTAATTTTCTAGTTAATTTAAATCAGAAATGAAAGGGGATCTGGATAATAGAGGTCATGACATTCTCTCTGAGATCCTTAATATATAGACAAGCTGGATTGAGAAGACCACAAGTTACTTTTGCATTTGCTAACATCTCATTTGACTGATGTGCATGATAGGAACCAAGGAAGGATACCAGGAGGAGTCAGTCAATCTCAGCAGGCATGTTGCTCTCTCCTCTATTCTCTCCTAACACCCTAAGTCTAAAAATAAGTACTGTGTACTCTACAAGTGTTTTATCCAAAAACTACTTTAAAGTACAAGTTGCTTCATGTGACAAAGTGAGAAAAAAATGCTGACAGAACATTAGAAAATTTTTTTCAGGCCTGGTAAAAAAATTCCATGTATTACTGATAAAGTAATGATCCCTTTACAATCAATCTCAACGCAGCATATCTAAAATTATCATCTACCCTGGCAAACTAACTCTACCCCGTATATTCACAAGAGGTAAATATATCCAGTTACCTAAGCCAGACATCTAGAAGGTCATACTTTACACTGCCTTCCTCACTTCCCATACCCAACTGGCCAGCAAATATTGTCCATTCACCTTTGCAAATACCCTTTTATCAGTATTCACCTCTCTAGCCCAGCATTCCTTGGCACAGGCCCTTACCATTCTGACCTGAATTGTAATGAACTCTTATCTTCCTGCCTCTAATATGGCTTTCTTCTACTTCTCTGAATTATCTTTCAAAAACTCTCATATCACATCCCTCATTAAATGCTCTATATTTCAGGATGAAATGTAAATTCCTAGATATAACCTATAGCCTTTCAGAATCTGGCCTGTCGATATTTCTGTTGTCATCTCTCTCCATTCCCTTACCCAGATCTATTATCCACTTGCAGTTGCTTGCTCAAACACAGAACACTATTTTTTTGGTGACAGGGTCTCACTGTGTCACCCAGACTGGAATGCAGTGGTGCAATCATAGCTCATTGCAGCCTTGAACATCTTAGGATCAAGCAATCCTCCCGCTTCAGCCTCCTGAGCAGCTGGGACTATAGGTGTGAGCCACCATATGGGGCTACTTAAAAAAAAAAAAATTTTAAGAGATGGAATCTTGCCATGTTGGCCAGGCTGTTGTCAAACTCCTGGCTCAAGCAATCATCCTGCTTCAGCCTCCCGAGTAGCTTGGACTAAAGCTGCATGCCACCTCACCCAGAATACTTTTGTATGTCAAATTTCTTTGTCCTTCCTCCTTAGCTCTCACTTTTCTATCCAGCTAACTTCTATTTACCCACAGAACCCACTGGAGGACCATTAAATGGCAGAAGGCAGATTTGGTGTCAATCAGTCCCCAGAAGGATTCCCTTTGCTTCCCCTGTATTCCTATGGTACCCTGGGGATACCACTATCATAGAACTGGTCTGTTTCCTCTGCCAGAATAACCCAGGAGGCAGGAATCATAGCTGTCACTTTTGAATCCCTAGTACACAGTACCTGGCACATTTGGTAACCAGTAATACAAACAAACTCACACTTCTCCCAATGCCTGCTAAGTACTTATTACTTGTAATATGTCTGCTCCTAGTCTCCGTTTTATATTTGTATTCTCTTTGCTTCTAAAGACTGTTGTAGATAGTGCATGCAGTGGCTCAATATCCACACTGATTCCTCACTGCACCTAATATGTAATTAGTATATGCCAAATACATATTTTAGATCACTATTTCTCAAACTTCAGTATACATTAAAAGTACCTGGAAAGTTTGTTAAAATGGATTCCTGGGCCCCACTCCCACAGATTCTAATTCAATACGTCTGAGGTAGGTCCCAAAATCTGTATTTCTAACGAACTCCCAGTTGATGCTGACAAGTTTGCCTGTCTGCCAACCACATTTTGAATAGCACAGTTTTAGACAGAATTCATTTATGTGAGTTCAACTGGAAATGGTGATTTTATTTATTCTCTTGATCAGATTTGATGCCCAACTAGTTCTAGATTTACCAACTGAGCAAACTGAAGAATTCCTAATTTTTTTTGTATTCAGTAGTAATAGTGTGGCTTAACAGCATAGCTAGGGTAAACATTTTTATTTGTTTATTTATTTTGCAAAGACAAAGTCTCACTACATTGCCCAGGATAGTCTTGAACTTCTGGTCTCAGTAATCCTCCCACCTCAGCCTCCCAAAGTGCTAGGATTACAGTTGTGTACCACTGTGCCCAGCTTGGTAAGCATTTTTAAAGATGCTACAAAGTAGGAATAAAGCAATCAATGACCACGCAAACAACTAGAAGTTCACCTAAAAGTTGCCTGATTGGTAAAAGTAACTTTAAATATTAACAAACACATGCATGTATGTATCTTCTCTCTCTAATATACCAAACCTTAAACAAATTTCCCTTTCACAAAAACATTCAAAATTCTGAAATCACCAATGTAATAACTGATGCAGAGAAGAATCATCAATAGATGTTAAAACCACTGGATGAAAGCTGTTATGGGTGCAGGATAACCAGATGGCCTCAAAATATTTTCTTGGATCACTAGTTAATTACAAAGGTAAAAGGAACTTTCATGGCAGACAGATCTGCAGGACACACCTCCTTAACCAAGTGATCACACTCAACCTCACCAATAAAGGAGAAACTAACATCATGTGCCCCCTGCCGTGATACAGTGGAATGTACACAAAATCACCTATGTAGTATTCTTAATAAAAATGTTTAATCTGAATATATCATGAGACAATCAGACAAATTTAAATTGTGGGAAACTCTGTGAGAAAATGGCCTGGACTCTTAAAAATGTCAGTATCATGAAATGAACAACAACAAAAAAGGTAATGGGAGGATTGTGTATTAAAAGAGGGACTAAAGAGACTTGAGAAACAAATGCTATGTGCCCCCCCCCAAAAAAAAAAATTCCACATCGCTCTAAATAATATTTTGGAAACAATTCATTATGTATGAAGCTATCTGGTGTGTCAGAATAAAACAAATTCTTCAGGTGTAAAAATGGTATTATAATTATGTAGTTATTGCTCTTTGGACATATATGCTGCAGTATTCAGGGGTGAGACATGGCACCTGCAACTTATATTGAAATGGCTCAGAAATATACACAACAAACTAAATGTTCATAACTAGTGAATCTAAGAGAAGGTTGTATGGATGACTAGTTGAACTAGTCATTCAACTTTTCCATAGGTTTGAAATTTTCCAAAGTATAAAGGTGGGAGAAAGACTGAAAGTCTGAAAGTGTAATTGACTCTAAAAGAGAATCAATTAACTACATCCTTTTAAACTTTCATCCATCATTCTATAACATTCCAATCCTGATGGATTAAAGAATTCTGCAGTAGCATTGGGAACTATGGACCCCCTTCATTTATCTTACCTCGTTTACCAAGCGATGATCCAGCAAACAAACAGCCAGTGGAGGTCTCAGCAATAATTCTATGCAAGAAAAAAAGTTATTACTACCTTTGCTATAAATGTTCCAAATTTATGCAAATACAACAAAAGAGAACAATGACTATTAAATAGGCAGAACTAAATCTGGGCAACAAATTGCAAAAGTAAAAATTCTTCATATAGAGTGGTATGATTAACATTGTCTATCTTAATCAGACCAGTAGTATCCTTTACCACTTGACCAGGAGAAGTCACACCAGATTCTAATTCACAGGTTAAGAAATGTCTACCATGCCCCCCAACAAGTTAACATGTCATTAGCACTAAGTGGTACCATTTCACAGGCACACAGTACTATAAAGTGTTTCAGAATTATCTTAAATAAAAAGGTCGTTATGCAGAGACTTTGGTATTGTTCTACGGTTTTTAGATAGTGTTATCATAAGTAGAGCAAGCGTTTACTTTAAACCTTTTAATGGAAATTCTGAATGAGAGGATTTGGAACTTAAATATCCAAAAATGGTACTTTTATACTTCAAAAACATCAGTTAAAGAATTTGTACTAATACTTAAATCTATAACTCCTAACTGAATTAACATAATAGTTCTAGTCTGGTTTTTTTTGAGATGGAGTCTCGCTTTGTCGCCAGGCTGGAGTGCAGTGGTGTGATCTCAGCTCACTGCAACATCCGCCTCCCAGGTTCAAGTGATTCTCCTGCCTCAGCCTCCCAAGTAGCTGGGACTACAGGTGTGCACCACCACGCCCAGCTAATTTTTGTATTTTTAGTAGAGACAGGGTTTCACCATGTTGGCCAGGATGATCTTGATCTCTTGACCTTGTGATCTGCCCGCCTCAGCCTCCCAAAGTGCTGGGATTACAGGTGTAAGCCACCGCGCCTGGCCTCTAGTCTGGTTTTAAAAAGCTCTTTGCTATATTTATTTGTGAACTGATTTCACATTTGACGTATTTTATGCAACTGGAAATATTCTCATAGGACTAGCTTTAAAGCCTAACTTCTGATTAAACGTTTAAGTTCACTATATAAGGGAAAGGGATCTTACAAGGTAACAAAAGGCAAGCCATCCTCAGAAAAAATTCAGAATAATTGTCTTAATTTATCATACTGGTGTTTTAGGTAGGAATGTCCTTAAAAATATAAACTGAGGCTGGGCACAGTGGCTCATGCCTGTAATCCCAGCACTTTGGGAGGCCAAGGCAGGTGGATCATGAGGTCAGGAGATCAAGACCACCCTGGCTAACACGGTGAAACCCTGTCTCTACTAAAAATACAAAAAATTAGCTGGGCGTGGTGGTGGGCGCCTGTAGTCCCAGCTACTCAGGAGGCTCAGGCAGAAGAATGGCATGAACCCAGGAGGCGGAGCTTGCAGTGAGCCAAGATCACACCACGGCACTCCAGCCTGGACAACAGAGCGAGACTCCACCTCAATAAATAAATAAATAAATAAATACTTCTTAAAACTATAAACTTAAGCAAGAAACCCTAAAAATCTTTAATTTAATTAGATAACTATTTTAGGGTTCTCAACTAATGTGTAGGAAAAAGTATTGTCTCACATTATTCCATTTCCATTGCCAAATGCTTGGTCTTTAGGTTCTTGAACAGGCTGGATGTTAACATACAAATCCCGGATCTCCTTTCTGATGCATCTAACTGCTGCCGCTGCCATATCTTTTGCTACCTATTTTAGCAAGACAGAAAAATAGAATAAAACAATTACTGATTATTTGGAAAATTGTTTTCAAGACTTCAAAGACACATAAAATAATTGGTAGCTTTTACATGCATTATTTAATAACTTGATTTTCAAGAGAGCACTGAATTTTTAAATATGCTTATGCAAATTAATTTTATTTTTGTTAATTAATGTATCCATTAATACATATATTTCATCTTTTATTTTAGGTTCAGGAGGTACATGTGCAGGTTTGTTACATGGGTAAATTACATGTCGCTGAGATCTGGTATATGAATGATCCCATCACCTAGGTAGTGAACACAGTACCTGATAGTGTTTCAACCCTCAGCCCCCTTCCACCCTCCTCCCATTAGCAGTCCCCAGTGTTCCCATCTTTATGTCCATGTGTATTCAATGCGTAGCTTCCACTTATGAGAACATGTGGTATTTGGTTTTCTGTTCCCACATTAATTTGCTTAGGATAATGGCCTCCAGCTGCAGCCATATTGCCACAAAGGACATTATTTCTTTCCTTAAAAAAATGTTAAGTTCTCTCAATAATTTCAAAATTTAGTTGACATAATATTTATCAAGACACACATATATTTTATTTCTAAGAACATCTAAACAACTTACTTTAAATGGCAAAACACCAGCAACGAAAGCTCTTCCATATATCTTAGTCACACAGCCACGCTCAGTTAAATTTATAGGGTTCAATTGTTTAACTGGTGACATTCGAACAATCACTTCACCACCCCCTTTTGGGTAATATCCCCTATGAAAAGTATAACAAATGCCCACATAAACTGATTGCATGACAAAAACAAAGCTCTATATTACAATAAAATGACATGTCAATGATATCCAAACATGTAATCCATGGAAAGGTCTAAATATTTTAGGTCTGTATTTTGTAAAATTTTATACATTAAAAAACAAAATTTTGTCTGTACTATACAATGTGGTAGCCTTGAGATATGTGAAACTATTAAAATTAAATAAAATTTAAAAATCAGCTCCCCAGCTGCACTAGCCACATTTTAAGTGCTCAATAGTCACATTTGGCTAGTGACTACCATATTGGACAGCATAGATATGGAACATATACCCCAATGCAGAAAGTTCTATTTGACAGGGCTATTGTAGAATATAAGCGCCTTGAGGGCTAGACTTACCTATATTGTTCCTGCTATTTTCCTGTGCCTAAAACAATGTCTGGCACATGGTAGGTCCTCAAATAAATATATGATGAATATTTAAGTAGCAAAACACTTAAAAAGTTTTAATTCAATTAATTGGTGTCATTTATTTTACAGCAGACGGTGAGAAGACAGTACTCCTCCCCTCAAAGAGCTCACCATCTGGTAGGGAGATGGCTCCACACACTGTCTACTAGAATACAGGTCAGGCTATAAGAAAGGCTACAACATAGGTGCAAATATGAATTCTGATTGAGGCACAATCACAGTTCATAAAGAATTATAAGTTTCACGTTGAAAAAAACATAGGATTTCTAACTTTTGGGAGAGCAGGGGAAGAATAACATGAACAAAGACACAAAAGTCCAAAGGCACAAAGCATATTTAAGGAATAACAAGCAAACATATTGTTAGAATACATAACACGTTGAAAGGAGGAGAGGGACGAAGAAGTTAGAAAAGTTAGGGCAAGACTTCAAAGCACTTAAATGCCACACCAAGAAATATGGCCTAGTGATTGTGTGGCAGAAGGGAAGCCTTAAAGAGAAATAACCTGAATGCCCAATGTGTTTCTTAGGAAAACAATTCTGATCACATTGTGGAAGAGAATTCCTTTTATGACCCCTTAGTGTCTAGTCCAGTTGTCTACACACAGTGAGCACTTAAGCTGTGCTGGGGCATGAAATATCACTAGATATGAGGGTACCTCACTGTGAAAATTCCCTTGAAAATATTTTCCCTAGAAATAAATAACCATGATGTGTAGCTGCTCTCGAGTCCCCATGCTCCTGCTATTCATTATTTTTAAGCCACAAAGTACAATTACTTCTTACAAGAGATGCAATGTATTAAGTGGGTACCAGAAAGACAGTTCTCTAAGGGTCTAACTTTTCCACTACTTCTAGCGTAAGTAATAGATCCTAACATTTAAGAAACAAGCAACTTACCTTGTTTTAATGTCACAATTAAATATGAAACCAAATTTTTCAACAATTGGCTTGAAGACCTGAAAAAATCAGTTTTTATCATTAGGTTAATCAGCAATATTCACTAATTTAACAAGTGTATTTATTAAACAAAAGCGCTTTGCTGGCTAGTAACTGGGTGCTATAGGTAAACAGTGTTATAAGAATATGTAGGCTGGTTCCATTTTTTTCAAATAAAAAAACTGATATGTAGCTAAATTTAAAAGTTTGACATTTATTTAATCAGAGCTGTGCAAGTCTATCTAACGAAAAAAATTGGAACTTAGGATATTTGATATCAGTGGTTATTCTACTCCGAAGGCCAATACTTCCTCACGCATCTCAATATAGTACATTTAAGAAATGAGGGGGTATTGGTGAAGAGCATTCCATTCTGTCATCTCAATTTTTTGTACAGTTGAAATCTCATTCCACAGACAATGCTTTAACATTATAAACATAAGCATTTTCCTGACATCATAAAATTATTCCTAAACAAAATCTGAATGACTCCATGGCATCCTAGCCTAATTGACTTAACGGTTCTCCAAGTTTTCATTATTAGATAATGATATATCTTATATAATGATAATTACAGTATATAATGCTCTGTTCAAATACCTTTAACATTTATCTTTAGCTGAACTTTGCAATATTGAATTAGAGGAGTTTCCTTGAAGTCAAATTATTAGGTGAGGAGAGATTAATTTTTATTATACATCCCATCGAACTGACTTTGAAAAGATTATACCATCTATTAGAATGGCAATATTTCAGAGAAAGATGGTGTTTAAGCCTGATGTCTAAGGCAACTCTTTGAGATCTACTCTAGAGATTTACTTATTTCTCTGGGTTGTCTCCTATGTATCCAGGAGGTATACAGGTTATTAACCTTGTTTTGTGTTTTTTTTTAAAGGCAGAAAAAGCTTAACAAATAAAAACCTGAAAATATCAAGTGCTAGGATGGATACAGAACAGCTGGAACCCTCTATTTGATATTTATTTTTATTTTAGAGATGGGGTCTCGCTATGTTACCCAGGCTAGACTCCAGCTTAAGCTCAAGAGATCCTCCCACCTCACCCTACCAAGTATTAAATAGCTGGGACTATAGGCACACACCACTGTGCCCACTTCAGCTGGAACTCTCATATAGTACTGGTAATAATGCAAAATGTAGCCACTTTGGAAGCTAAAATAACCTGGCTATGTATTATAAAGTTAGACATTTGCTTATTATAACAACCCAGCAAGTATTTTCCCAAGAGAAATGAAAATGTACAATCACACAAAAACTTGTATATGAATGTTAACAGTAACTTAATTTATAATTGCCAAAATCTGGAAACACCCAAATGCCCTTCAATAGATGAATGGATATGCAAACTGGTACATCCATATACGAGAACACAACTCAAGTTTTCATTGCAGATACAAGCAACATGGATGAATCTCAAATGTATTATGGAGAGCAAAAAACCCAGACTCAAAGCCTACGTACAGTATTATCCCTTATATGACATTCTGAACAAAAGGCAAAACTATGACAGAAAACAGATCAGCAGTTGCCAGGGGCTGAGGCTCAGGACTGATTACAAAAACGTATAAGGGAATTTTTTAGAGTAACGGAACTATTCTATGTCTTGATTGTGGTAGATGGTTCATAACTGTGAATCATGTCACTGTCAAAAATCACAGAACTGCATGTTAAAAAGGGTGGATTCAATTGAAAAAATTACACTTTAATAAATCTAGAAGAAAAAAGATTATACCACTTTTCTCTCCCACTAGTTATATGAGCATGCCAGTATTTTTTAAATCATTTTTTAAATGTTTGATCCTAGAATGGAAGGGGCTTAATAGAAAAAAAAAGTTTGAGTTTCCCTCCAAATCATAATCCTTGTATTTATAAAATAACACATCACAACTGATATAATTTATATCACACTCGAGGTGTTTTTTGTTTTTTTAAAGACAGCATCTTGCTTTATCACCCAGGATGGAGTGCCAACATAGCTCACTGCAAACTCAACCTCCCAGGCTCAAGTGATCCTCCCACCTCAGCCTCCTGAGTAGCTTGGACAGGTGTGCACCACCATGCCTGGCTAATTTTTCTGTGTGTAGTGTTTTTTGTTTTTTATTTATATTATTTTTTTGTAGAGATGGGATTTCACCATGTTGCCCAGGCTGGTCTTGAACTTCTAAGCTCAAGTGATCTGCCTACCTCAGCCTCCCAGAGTGCTAGGATTACAGGTGTGAGCCACCACACCGGGCCCTACACTTGAGTTTTTTTTTTTAATTCACTATAAACACTATTCCAAGATATAACAACAAACTTAAAGTAAACATAATTCCCCACCCCCTACTGCAATAGACACATTTGGGAGGCTGAGGTGGGAGGATCCTTAGAGCTCAGGAGTTCAAGACCAGCCTAGGCAACATAGTGAGGCATCGACTCTACAAAAAATTTAAAAAAATTGGCTGGGTGTGTGCCTGTAGTCCCAGCTACTCAGGAGGCCAAGACAGGAGGATTGCTTGAGCTCAGGAGGTTGAGTATGCAGTGAGCTGTGATATGCAACTGTACTCCAGCCTTGGCAACAGCACTGTCTCAAAAAAAAAAAGAAAGAAAGAAAGAAAAGACACCATGAAGAGATAAACAAGAAAGTCACAAAAAAACACTCAGGATATATTTAGAGAATGGAGACTCAGAAGCATGTATGAGATCATCTTAGTTTGTCAACAACAAAAGCCCTTACCATCACTGTATAATCGATCTGTGGTGCCATTTCAGCATTAGTTCCACCTTTCAAATGAAGTTCTGATGGAGAAGCAGCAAAGAGAACACACGGCATTGAGACCTGCATCAAGAGGCACACACTCCTAAGGAGAAGGCAGAAGGGGCTTATTTTCATTTTCTTTTCTGCATTTTCTTTTCAAACTCTTAAATAAGCTATATTCTTGTTCATCACTACCAACTAAAGCACAGACAACTGTGAAGGCAGGTATATGCCATTGAGTTTCTAGTTAAAAAACATTTTAGTGTCTGAATAGTAAAATCCTGAATTTTAAAGAAAAACAGTATTTCACCATAGAAAAATAGCTTTAAATGATAACCAAACCTGGGTCTGAATCTTCAACTAAACACATTAGCTGTGTGACCTTGGCTAAGTTCTGATACTTTTCTTTATATTACAAAAAAGTAAAAAAGAAAAAAAATTAAAAATAAAACCTTCTTCAAAAGTTTTACAAAAGAATTCTTGAAACTAGCAGTTTATGAAAATGCTTTCAAAATAGACAAGGTCTGGATATGATTAGTTACTATATAACAAGGTACTGTTCCAGGTATAAAGATATAGTTCCTGTCATTGTGGAGTTCATGATATGATAGAATAATATTTTACGCAGCCATAAAAGAGAATGAGTTCATGTCCTTTGCAGGGACATGGATGAAGCTGGAAACCATCATTCTCAGTAAACTAACATAGGAACAGAAAAGCAAACGCTGCATGTTCTCACTCATAAGTGGCAGTTGAACAATGAGAACACATGGGCACAGGGAGGGGAACATCACACACCAGGGCTTGTCGGGGGGCAGGTGGCAAGGGGAGGGAGAGCACTAGGACAAATACCTAATGCATGCAGGGCTTAAAACCTAGATGACCAGTTGATGGGTGCAGCAAACCACTATGGCACATGTGTACATATGTGACAAACCTGCACATTCTGCACATGTATCCAGAACTTAAAGTATAATAAAATATTTTAATAATTATTAATTTTAATAATAACAAACACTCACAGCTTGGCCGGGCGTGGTGGCTCATGCCTGTATCCCAGCACTTTGGGAGACAGAGGTGGGATGATCACTCGAGCCCAGGAGTTCAAAACCAATCTGGGCAACATAGTGAGACTCCATCTTTACAAAAAATTTAAAAATTAACCAGGCATTGTGGTGCACGCCTGTAGTCTCAGCACTTTAGGAGAATCGCCTGAGCCCAAGAGGTCAAGGCTACAGTGAGCCATGATCATGCCACTGCACTCCAGCCTGGGAGACCAAAAAAAAAAAAAAAAAAGACTGATAGCTAAATATTTCACATGGGAAGTTTTAGTGAAGTAATCCTTGCTTTACTTGCCTGTTTGGTCCTTATAGTCAAATAATGTGAGAAATCACAAGAAATAGTTATGTAACATGATGAATTTCATAAAGTGAAACACTTGGTCATTATCTTTTCTTTTTTTGAGACAGGGGCTCCTTCCATCACCCAGGCTGGAGTGCAGCGGCACAATCTCAGTTCACTGCACCTTCCACCTCCAAGGCTCAAGCCTCAGCTTCTCAAGTAGATGGGACTACCGGCATGTACCACCATGCCCAGCTAATTTTTATTTATATATATAAATATATAAATATATATATATGACGGGGTTTTGCCATGTTGCCCAGGCTGGTCTCAAATTTGTGAGCTCAAGCGATCCACCCACCTCGGCCTCCCAAAGTGCTGGGACTACAGGCGTGAGCCACCGCACCTGGCCTGGTTGTTTTCTAAATGAGCCATTATCTCCCTTCTCCAAAGTTAAGTGAAAGCAATCATATTCATAAGTAGTTTGAAAGGGAATTCGACATAGCCTCTTAGCTATCAAAAGACAGATCTTTATTTAACTCACTTACACAATGATGCTTAAGTATTGAACTGGGAAGTCTCTATCAGTAATAATGAATTTCATTAATTCAATGAATATTTATTGGACAGGTGTGGTGGCTCACACTTATAATCCCAAAACTTTGGGAGGCCAACGTGGGTGGATTGCTTGAGCTTAGGAATTCGAGACCAGCTGAAAAACATGGCGAAACCTTGTCTCTTTAAAAAATACAAAAATTAGCGGGGCATGGTGCTGTGTGCCTATGGTCCCAGCCACGCAGGAGGCTGAGGTGGGAGGACCTGTTGGGCCCAGGAGTTACAGCTTACAGTGAGCAGTGATTGCACCACTGCACCCCCGCCTGGGCAAGAGGGATACCTTGTCTCAAAAAAAAAAAACATAAAAGTAGGGAAACAAGCTCATAGACATTAAGCAACTTGCCCAGAAAGTGGCAAAACCTGGACTTAAACCCAGGTTACTTAAATGGAATGTTAAGTGATACATACCCTGCTGTCTTGGTATCTGCTGTGTGGATTCCACCTTTGATCTTCTCTGGTGTAAAGGTTATTTCTGTTGAGCCAATTTCTGCCCCCTCCAGTTGCCCATCACACAAATCTCGAATCATTTCCAGTCCAGATAAATGTTGAGGCCTTCAGGTCATAATACTGCATCAAAACGTGTGCATTCAGACTGCCTACATCCCCACATTTTATGACAAATTTATAAAACTGCAATGGCAAGAAAACAGCAAGGTCTAACCACAGTAAGTGCCACATCTTCAGTGTCAGCTTCCTTTTGGGTTTTTATGCACCTAGACTACCTGCTAGTATGTATCATTTTAACACTTCCTTGCAGACCAGTTATTTCTGACTATAAATACATACCCTGATATATTGCTGCAAATTAGAAGTGTGCTAAAGAAGAAAACTAATAGTTATTTCAGTGCCACCAGTCTCGCTTGCACTTGACTGAACAATCTATGGTGCCTGTATGGGCTGAACTATGTTCCCCCTAAATTAATATGCTGAGACTGTAACCCTCCGTATCTCAGAATGTGACTATATTTGGAGATAGAGCCTTTAAAGAGATAATTAAGTTAAAATAAGGCCACCATACAATCTTACTGGTGTCCTTATAAAAAAAAAAAAAACTAGAACATACAGAGACGCTAGGGGCAAGGTACACAGAGGAACCACCATGTGAAGAGGCAAAAAGACAGGCCTGGAGCAGATCCTTTTCTCATGGCTCTCAGAGGAAACCAACCTTGTCAGGACCTTGATCTTGGACTTCCAGCCTCCAGAACTGTGAGGAAATAAATTTCTGTTGTTTAAGCTCCACTCTGTGTGTGGCATTTTGTTATGGCAGCCCTAGCAAACTAATACAACACCTACAGCCTAATGAATTGGATTCCCCTGTTGGTGAACTGGAGGGCTGCAAACTATGACAAAGGCAATTAACATTAACATATCAGTAATTGCCTTTTGGTAATTTCAAAACTGTAGACAAAAGACTGAGACCGCTGATTTATTAAAATGTAATAAATACAGAATACATACAAAGCAATCAGTGTGGCTTCAAACCTGGGTCCTCTTCTAGCAGGTGCATGTACCTGAAGCTCAACTAGTGGCATGCCCAGCTACCCAGACAGAAGAAATAAGGTCAAATGTCAAGGTGTTTCCCTCTCCACAACAGATAATTCTGGTCATAACAGCTCTCTGGAGGTATGAATGAAGGCTGGGATAACACATCTCAGGATTCTTTCCTGTTTTATGATTCTAAAACTGACAGCAGAACCAGAATGCACTGGTTATAAAACAGGGTTTCCTCTGGCGTCACAAGCATTTCTGCCCTATCTATCTTGCCAGCTCATACGTGCTGTTCGGATATTTGGAATGCCCGGTGAGGTGAGAAAACATTTTAAAAGCTAGCTCTTCAGCAAATGACACTATTTAGTCAAACAGAGAAAACTCGAGACCATTTCTAAACTCACCCCTCCAGGCTTTCAAGACTTTACAACCCAGGCCACCGCCCAGGCAGAGTGCCCCGCCCTGGATCGCCCATACCTGCGTCTGGGACCTTCTGGGTTCCACCACTCGGACTCCCGATGCCCCAGCCCGGCAGCCCGACCCCCCGATCCCCCAGCTTCACGGCCCAACTCCCCCTCCAGCCAGATTTACCTCAGGCCTGGCGTGCTCCGGCCGGCTCGGATCTTCTGCACCCGCAAGGGGAGGCCTAGGAGACAGCTCAAGGCCGTAGAGACTCTCAGGATCTGGCCGCCCTGCAAAGGTTGGGGTACAGGGAGAAGAGAAGTAAGCACACCGGTGGTGAGAGCTCCCCTCCTTAGTTAGGCTGCAGCCCCGGCCGCTTCGCTCTGTACTCACCCCTTCCATGATGCTGCCATCGACCTCCACCCGCGGCCCCGCCATGGGGGACACCCTGGGGCCCAGCCCGCAGCGACAAAGCCTCCGCCAGAGCGGGAGAAAGAAGAGACGTTGGCTCCCGCCCAGTAGTTCAGAAACCTTGGTTCATGCCTGGGGCGCAGGAGCCTGACGAGAAAGCGGAAGAAGCGGCGCCTCTCGGGACACTGGAGTCAGCAGAAACGAACCCCCGGGTTCGCCCAGTTCCGCAGTCAGTGCGCATGCGCGTAGCTCGGCTTAAAGGAGCCGCGCTGGGAACACTGCGGTCGGGGCGAGGAAGCTGCCGGGGAAGTGAGATGACGGTCGCGGGGGTGCCCAGGAGCCCTGAAAAACTTGTGCCCTGGGCACGGCAAAATCTGCAGGTTGCAGAAAGTCTCAACTGTAAGATAACTCCTCCAGTTATCCCGCAGGCTTGTGCTTTATCTCTGTTTTGTGGGTAAATATGTGTTTATATCTGTTTTCTCGAGGATCCTGGCATACCCCGAGGTGCCGACTTTTAGAGCTGAAGATGCAAGAAAGATTGGGATCCTGCGATGCACCGAACCTGTCTCTCGAAGTGTGTGCGCCCTGGTACATTGATACTCTTGGCCTTTGGTTCCTTGCGGTGTGCGTGTTTGTGTATGCGGAGTGTGTTATCTTTCTTTCTAGGGTGACACACCATTTATTTGAGAGGCGGGAAAGGCAGAATCACTAGTTTAATATTCTGAAAAGCCAAAGTTATGCCATTTTGCTTGAGAGTGAGTGCAAGCTCTTGACTCCCAGGAACAGTGCAGCTAACAATTCACCTCAGGCGAGGGCAGAAGCAATAGCCAGCTTCTTGGTTCTGCCTGTGGCTCAGTTCCTACATAATTGAGTACCAAATAATATGTAAACCTCTAGGGAAGCAAAAAAGAGTAATTCAGCTTCTACCCCCGAAGTTATTGGAGGTATAATGGAGAGACTGAGACGTAATCAATTACAATGTCATCCTCAATAATAATTAACATGTACTGTATTTAGAGTTTATTATGGGGACAATTACAATATATTAATAATATACTGTAACAATAACAGGCAACACTTATTGAGCACTTAGGTGTTGTGCACTGCATGCATTCATAACATGATAAAGTACTTACTGTTTTTACTGTTTTACAGCTTCCTGTGTTAAACAATTTGCTACAAGGTCACACAATTTTAACTAGAAGACTGAGATGTGAACCTGGGTGGTCTGATGTGAACACCACTGTCTGGTAATCCCAACGCTCTGCTGCTTTGCGACAGAGAATGTTTTAGGGAACACACAGACTATGTACTTAACCAAATCTGGAATTTGCCGTAAGATATTAATCAGAGAAGTAATGATACTTGCATTTTAAAATGAAGGCTTTGGCAGTAGGAGAAGGGTGAATAAGAGGCTTAAGAGCCTGAAGGGAGAAATGCCAATGATACAATTATCCAGCAAGAAATAATCAGAAGTTGAAGTAAGGCAATGATGGTAGGGATGGAATATAAAAAAGCTGTACCCCTATCTGACATCTTTATTGGGGGAACCCGCCCCCAATATTTCAACGTAGGTTCTTTCTATTTTCCATAAGTGTTGGCCAGCTGAGAAATAAAGAGAGACAGTATAAAGAGAGGAATTTTACAGCTGAGCCACCGGGGGTGACATCACATATCGGTAGGACCATGATGCCCGCCTGAGTCTCAGACCAGCAAGTTTTTATTAAGGGTTTCAAAAGGGGAGGGGGTGTAAGAACAGGGAGTAGGTACAAAAGTACAAAGATCACATGCTTCAAAAGGCAAAAAGACCTTACTACTAGTAAGGGTCTAACAAAGATCACATGCTTCTGAGGGAACAGGACAAAGGGCAAAAGCAGAACTACTTATAAGAGTCCAACAAAGATCACAAGGCAAAGGGCAAAAGCAGAGCTACTGATAAGGGTCTATGTTCAGCAGTGCACATATTGTCTTAATAAACATCTTAAATAACAGAAAACAGGGTTCAAGAGCAGAGAACTGGTGTGACCACAAATTTACCAGGGCGGAGTTTTTCCCCACCCTAGTAAGCCTGAGGGTACTGCAGGAGACCAGGGCGTATCTCAGTCCTTATCTCAACCGCGTAAGACAGACATTCCCAGAGCGGCTGTTTATAGACCTCCCCACAGGAATGCATTCCTTTCCCAGGGTATTAATATTTATATTCCTTGCTAGTAAAAGAATTTAGCAATATCTCTCCTACTTGCACATCCATTTATAGGCTCTCTGCAAGAAGAAAAATATGGCTGTTTTTGCCCAACCCCACAGGCAGTCAGACCTTATGGTTGTCTTCCTTTGTTCCCTAAAAATTGCTGTTATTCTGTTCTTATTCAAGGTGCACTGATTTCATATTGTTCAAACACAGATGTTTTACAATCAACTTGTACAGTTAACACAATTATCACAGTGGTCCTGAGGTGATGTACATCCTCAGCTTACGAAGATAACAGGATTAAGAGATTAAAGTAAAGACAGGCATAAGAAATTATAAAAGTATTATTTGGGAACTGATAAATGTCCATGAAATCTTCACAATTTATGTTCCTCTGCCGTGGCTCCAGCCGGTCCCTCCGTTCGGGGTCCCTGACTTCCCGCAACACATCTTAGATTCTTATTACAGAAACTTAACATTCCCAGAAGAAGCCTCGCCTTTTTATTTCTAATTTTGGCTATGAATTCCTAGCTATGACCCATTTGCCCCATTCTAACTATTTCCAGTGGTAGGGGGAAAAGAACAAGACAGTAATATAATGTAGAGATGAGCTAATTGTGGTAATAATAAGCACTTGTGTAGTGCTTTCATATACATGATCTCTCTTAATGTTCATAACAAAGCTGTGAGGTTGGTGCTCTTATCTCTCTTTGGTTAATGAAGGACTGAGGCCTAGGGAATTGGAAGTGACCTGCCAAGATGACAGAACAATAAAGTGGCAGAGTTGGGTTAAATCCTTGGTTATTTTAATGACAAATGACAGACCAATAATTGATTCCTCAATAAAACAGTGGAAGTCAGAAAGAGTAGAATTGTACATTCAGAATGCTGGCAGAAAATAACCATCAACCTAGAATTGGGCACTCAGCAAAATTATCTTTCAAGAATTAAAGTATAGAAATAAAATAATTTCCAGGTACATGGAAACTGAATTTAACATCTACCTACACTTTTTAAAGGAAGTTCTAAAAGATGTACTTCAGAAAGAAAAATTACTTCAGAAGGAGAGTCTGAGATAGAAGTGATGGGCAAAGAAATTGTAAACACATAGTTGAATCTGAGCAAACATTACATGAAATAACACCAGACAACAAAAGTATGTAAGACGAGAGGTGGATGACAAAGTTAAAGAATTCTAAGGTCTCTCTTTGTAGTTAAGATATCAATTAATAGAGTTGACATAATTCAAGTCTTTAAGTACGCAAGGTAAAGTTTCAAGGATAACCATGAAAGTGTATAACTTCTAATCCAGCCAAAGGAAAAAATGGACTAACAGGAAAACACAGATTAAATGAACAAAAACCTAATATCATAATGAGCATTAAAAAAAAAGAGGATGAAAAGAAAGCACTAAAGTAACAAAATAGAAATAAATTCATATATATCAATAGTAACAATGAAAGTAAATAAACTTTCTGATGAAAAGCCAGAGATTGTTGGATGACACATACCCACAAGTTTAAAAAATAAAAAAGCCAGAGATTGGTTGAAAAAAAAAAGTGCCATTTACAAGAGATGCACCAAAAACATTAAGGATCGTGAGGAGTTGAAAATAAAAAGATGGAAAAGAGATGCCGTATAAATGCCAACAAAAAGAAAGGTGGTATACCTATATTCGTGGTATACCTGTATTTTGTATTAAATTAGACTTTAATACAAAAAGCATTATCATTGACCAAAAAGAGTCACTACAAAATAATAAAAAATTGTGTTCCCCAGGAAAATAGTTATTCAAACCTTTGTGTGTAATAAATAGCTTCAAAGTATGTAAGTCAGAAATTGAAGAAACTGGTGAATCCACTACCATATTGTGAAGTTTTAGCTCACTTATTTATAGATCAAGCAAATGAAAATTTAGGAAAGACAAGACAACTAATAAAACAACTAATAAACTTGATCTAAGGGCAATTATATACATACATAATTGGCCATGTACATATATATACAGATATATATATACATAAGATATATATACAGATATATATACACAGATATATATATATATAAAACCTTCAGTTATTATACATGTTTCCCTCCAGAACTCATGAAATAGACCTCCCCAGTACATTTTATAAGGCTAGTATGATCTTGATGCCAAAACCAAAGACAACTTGGGGAAGAAAAATTATAGGTCAACTTTATTTATAATTTAGATGCACCAGTCTCAGTCAAAATATTTACAATCAAATTCAACAATGTTTGTAAAATACAACACATTATAACCAAGTTGGGATTGAAGATCAATTTAAAATTGGAAAAATATGCTGATGTATCAAAAACCTAAGATCACACCAATAGATGCAGGAAAAGGATTGGAAAAAAAAAAAGATCCATTTATGATGAAACAAAATCAAGCAAAGCTAGGGATAAAACTCTCTTAGTGTTATTAATGGTATATTAGTCCATTTCACATGGCTATAAAGAACTACCTGAAACTGGGTAATTTATAAAGAAAAGAGATTTCATTCACTCACAGTTCTGCATGGCTGGGGAGGCCTCAGAAAACTTATAATCATAGCAGAAGGCAAAGGGGAAGCAAGGCATGTACTTACATGGTGGCAGGAGAGAAAGAGAGAGGAGATGGGGGCGAGGTACACACTTTTAAGTGCCACACACTTTTCAACAACCAGATCTTGTGAGAACACACTATCACAAGAACAGCAAGGGATTTCTCCATGATCCAATCACCTCCTACCAGGTCCCTCCCCTGACACTT
Source organism: Homo sapiens (assembly GCF_000001405.40). Taxonomy (NCBI): domain Eukaryota; kingdom Metazoa; phylum Chordata; class Mammalia; order Primates; family Hominidae; genus Homo; species Homo sapiens. Next base: position 100,261,438 of record NC_000001.11, on the reverse strand, counting down.
GGGGATTACAACTTGACATGAGATTTGGGTGGGGACACAGAGCCAAACCATAACAAATGGCATCTAAAAAATTCAACAGCAAACTTCATTTTCTTTTTCGGCCCTACTGGGAGTCAAGCAAACATCATGTTTAGTAGTAAAATATTAGGCTCCTTCCTTTTAATATTATTAACAAGATAAGAATGCCCACTATTATGGCTTTTTTTAAACAGATGGTAGAAGTCCTAGACAGATTTTACAAGAAAGAAAAAAGACATAAGATAGGACAGGCAAAAACAACACCTTAATTTTGATATCATCTTAATGATGAGACTGTCTACATAGAAAACCCAAAAGGAATCTAGAAGAAATGGATAAATTCCTCGACACATACACTCTCCCAAGACTAAACCAGGAAGAAGTTGAATCTCTGAATAGACCAATAACAGGCTCTGAAATTGAGGCAATAATTAATAGCTTACCAACCAAAAAGAGTCCAGGACCAGATGGATTCACAGCCGAATTCTACCAGAGGTACAAGGAGGACCTGGTACCATTCCTTCTGAAACTATTCCAATCAATAGAAAAAGAGGGAATCCTCCCTAACTCATTTTATGAGGCCAGCATCATCCTGATACCAAAGCCTGGCAGAGACACAACAAAAAAAGAGAACTTTAGACCAATATCCTTGATGAACATTGACGCAAAAATCCTCAATAAAATACCGGCAAACCGAATCCAGCGGCACATCAAAAAGCTTATCCACCATGATCAAGTGAGCTTCATCCCTGGGATACAAGGCTGGTTCAACATACGAAAATCAATAAACGTAATCCAGCATATAAACAGAACCAAAGACAAAAACCACATGATTATCTCAATAGATGCAGAAAAGGCCTTTGACAAAATTCAACAACTCTTCATGCTAAAAACTCTCAATAAATTAGGTATTGATGGGACGTATTTCAAAATAATAAGAGCTATCTATGACAAACCCACAGCCAATATCATACTGAATGGGCAAAAACTGGAAGCATTCCCTTTGAAAACTGGCACAAGACAGGGATGCCCTCTCTCATCACTCCTATTCAACATAGTGTTGGAAGTTCTGGCCAGGGCAATCAGGCAGCAGAAGGAAATAAAGGGCATTCAATTAGGAAAAGAGGAAGTCAAATTGTCCCTGTTTGCAGATGACATGATTGTATATCTAGAAAACCCTATAGTCTCAACCCAAAATCTCCTTAAGCTGATAAGCAACTTCAGCAAAGTCTCAGGATACAAAATCAATGTGCAAACATCACAAGCATTCTTACACACCAATAACAGACAAACAGAGAGCCAAATCATGAGGGAACTCCCATTCACAATTGCTTCAAAAAGAATAAAATACCTAGGAATCCAACTTACAAGGGATGTGAAGGACCTTTTCAAGAACTACAAACCACTGCTCAATGAAATAAAAGAGGATACAAACAAATGGAAGAACATTCCAAGCTCATGGGTAGGAAGAATCAATATCGTGAAAATGGCCACACTGCCCAAGGTAATTTATAGATTCAATGCCATCCCCATCAAACTACCAATGCCTTTCTTCACAGAATTGGAAAAAAACTACTTTAAAGTTCATATGGAACCAAAAAAGAGCCCACATTGCCAAGTCAATCCTAAACCAAAAGAACAAAGCTGGAGGCATCACGCTACCTGACTTCAAACTATATTACAAGGCTACAGTAACCAAAACAGCATGGTACTGGTACCAAAACAGAGATATAGACCAATGGAACAGAACAGAGCCCTCAGAAATAATGCCGCATATCTACAACTATCCAATCTTTGACAAACCTGAGTAAAACAAGCAATGGGGAAAGGATTCCCTATTTAATAAATGGTGCTGGGAAAACTGGCTAGCCATATGGAGAAAGCTGAAACTGGATCCCTTCCTTACACCTTATACAAAAATTAATTCAAATGGATTAAAGACTTACATGTTAGACCTAAAACCATAAAAACCTAGAAGAAAACCTAGGCAATACCATTCAGGACATAGGCATGGGCAAGGACTTCATGTCTAAAACACCAAAAGCAATGGCAACAAAAGCTAAAATTGACAAGTGGGATCTAATTAAACTAAAGAGCTTCTGCACAGCAAAAGAAACCACCATCAGAGTGAACAGGCAACCTACAGAATGGGAGAAAATTTTTGCAACCTACTCATCTGACAAAGGGCTAATATCCAGAATCTACAATGAACTCAAACAAATTTTAAGAAAAAAACAAACAACCCCATCAAAAAGTGGGTGAAGGATATGAACAGACACTTCTCAAAAGAAGATATTTATGCAGCCAAAAAACACATGGAAAAATGCTCATCATCACTGGCCATCAGAGAAATGCAGATCAAAACCACAATGAGATACCATCTCACACCAGTTAAAATGGCAATCATTAAAAAGTCAGGAAACAACAGGTGCTGGAGAGGATGTGGAGATATAGGAACACTTTTACACTGTTGGTGGGAGTGTAAACTAGTTCAACCATTGTGGAAGTCAGTGTGGCGATTCCTCAGGGATCTAGAACTAGAAATACCATTTGACCCAGCCATCCCATTACTGGGTATATACCCAAAGGATTATAAATCATGCTGCTATAAAGACATATGTACATGTGTGTTTATTGCAGCACTATTCACAATAGCAAAGACTTGGAACCAACCGAAATGTCCGACAATGATAGACTGGATTAAGAAAATGTGGCACATGTGCACCATGGAATACTATGCAGCCATAAAAAATGATGAGTTCATGTCCTTTGTAAGGACGTGGATGAAGCTGGAAACCGTCATTCTCAGCAAACTATCGCAAGGACAAAAAACCAAACACTGCATGTTCTCACTCATAGGTGGGAATTGAACAATGAGAACACATGGACACAGGAAGGGGAACATCACATACTGGGGACTGTTGTGGGGTGCGGGGAGTGGGGAGGGATAGCATTAGGAGATATACCTAATGCTAAATGACTAGTTAATGGGTGCAGCACACCAACATGACACATGTATACATATGTAACAAACCTGCACGGTGTGCACATGTACCCTAAAGCTTAAAGTATAACAATAATAAAAAAAAAAAAAAACTCTCAGAATAAAACTTAGATGTATTTTGTCATGACTTTGGATTAGCCCATTTTTTCTGTATTATGATACCAAAAGCCCAAGCAGCTAAAGAGAAAATTAGATAAATTGAACTTCAATTTAATTAAAATTAAAAACTTTTGTGCTTTGGAGACTATTTTATTTTATTTTTGTTTACACCAAATTTATTTTATTTTTGTTTACACCAAATTCATACACCACTATGAAGAAAGTGGGAGGACAAACCACAGAATGGGAGAAAATATTTAAAAATCATGTATGTGGGCCAGGTGTGGTAATGCATCCCTGTATTCCTGGCACTTTGGGAGGCGAGGGCAGGAGAATCTCTTGGGGTCAAGAGTTTGAGACCAGCCTGAGCACCACAGAGAGACCCCGTCTCTACAAAAAATTTTAAACAATAAATAAATAAATAAATCATTTATTTGGTAAGAGTCTAGGATCCAGAATATATAAAGAACTCTTTGAAGTTAAGCAAAAGCCTGGGTGCGCCGGTCATTTGGGCCCAGAAGTTCAAGACCAGCCTGGGCAACATAGTGAGACCCTGCCTCTACAAAAAATAATAAATTAGCCAGGCATGTTAGCATGTGCCTATCGTCCCAGCTACTTGAGAGGCTGAGGCAGGAGGATTGCTTGAGCATGAGCCCACAAGCTGGAAGCTGCAGTGAGCTATGATTCCAACACTGCACTCCAGCCTGGATGACAGAGCAAGACCACCACCCTGTCTCAAAAAAAAAAAAGTTATAAACAAAAAGACACAAGCAAAGGATTTGAATAGGCATTTCTGCAAAGATATACAAATGGCCAATAAGCACATGAAAAGTTGCTCGGTGTCATTAATTATTAAGGGAATGCAAATCAAAACCACCATGAAATACTACTTCTCACCCACTAGGATGGCTGTACAAAAAGACAGGCAGTAACCACTGTTGGTAAGGATGTGAAGAAACCAGAAACTTCATACGCTGCGCTAGTACAAATGTAATGTTGTTGGAGCCCCTTTTGAAAATATTCTGGCAGTTCCTCAAAAAGTTAAACATAGTATTACCATGTAACCTATAAATAGCAATTCTACTCCTAGATATTCACAGAAGAGAAATGAAAACATGTCCACACTCAAGCTTGTACATGAATGTTCATGGCAGCATTATTCATGATCCAAAAAGTGGAAACAACACAAATGTCAAAATTAAATCAAGTTATAACTTTAAGAGTTCATTGTGCATACGAAACAGTTTGCAAACTGGAAAGACCTCAAATTGGAAAACAGCATGAAGTCTCAATTTAAAAAAATTATGTTTTTTAATTTATATAAATAGAAACAGGGTCTTGCTATGTGGCCCAGGCTAGTCTTGAACTCCTGGCCTCAAGTAATATTCTTGTTTTGGCCTCCAAAATTGCTGAGATTACAAGCATGAACCACCTAGCCCAGCCAGGTCTCATTTTATAGCAATTACAGCAGTTTATAGAGCATACAGGAAGCAACATTGTAACTTTTTTCATGACTGGCTGTCATTTTTTTAAAGACATGTTGAGCTATTTAAGCTGATTTATCAATAGCTGATTCGTTTAATTTCATGAAATCATATTGATAAAGACAAAAAGCTTACTTTTATGTTTTGTTTATCTTTAGGGTTAGGGGAAATCAGGATGGATTAAGTCTTAGTTACATTGCTATGGGCAGTTTGGCCTTGAGAAATCTAAACTGTGGCTCTATTTTTATTTATTTATTGAGACAGGGTCTCACTGTGTTACCCAGGCTGGAGTGCAGTGATGTGATCACGGCTCACTGCAACCTTGACCTCCTGGGGCTCACGCAATCCTCCCACCTCTGCCTCCCGAGTAGCTGGGACTACAGGCACATGCCACCATGCCTTGCTAATTTTTAAATTTTTGGTAGAGACAGGGTTTCGCCATGTTGCTCAGGCTGGTCTCCAACTCCTGGGATCAAGTGATTCTCCTGCCTCAGCCTCCCAAACTGCTGAGATTACAGGTGTGAGCCACCACACCTCGCCCATTTTTATTTTTATTTTAACAATGTCTATCAACTGATGTGTATATAAACAAAACGTAAAGTATATCCATACAATGAAGTATTGTTCAGCCATGAAAAAGAATGAAGTACTGATACCATACACGCTGTAATATAGATGAACCTTGAGAACATAAGTGAAAGAAGCTAACTGAAGAAGCCAGTCACAAGAGACCACATATTGTATCATTCCAGGTATATGAATGTCTATAATAGACAGATTTATGGAGATAGTTTAGATTAGTGGTTGTCAAGGGCTGTGGGGGTACATTCAGAATGCGGAGTGATTGCTAATGGGTGTGAGGGTTATTTTGGCAAGGGGTGATGTAAATGTTCTGGAATTAGTGGTAATAGTTGCAGAACTTTGAATATACCAAAAATCACTAAATTTTACACTTTAAAAGGGTGAATTTAACGTATGTGATTGCTATCTCAATTTTTAAAATTGCAAAAGACAAGACATGTGAAGGAAATATAGCAGACTACCTTTAGGACCTTTGGATTGTAAAGTATTTCTTTTTTCTTTTTTTATTTTTGGAGACAAGGTCTTGCTCTGTCACATAGGCTGGAGTGCAGTAGCGCAATCATGGCTCAGTGTAGCTTCAACCACCCAAGCTCAAGCGATCCTCCCACCTCAGCCTCCAGAGCAGCTGAGACTACAGTCATGTGCCACCACACCTAGCTAATTTTTGTACTTTTTGTAGAGATGGGGTCTTGCCATGCTGCCCAGGCTGGTCTTGAACTCCTGGGCTCAAGCAATCCCCCTGCTTCGGCCTCCCAGAGTGTTGGGATTACAGGCATCAGCTACTGCGCCAGGTGGGATGTACTTCTCAAGACACAAAAATCACTAATTATAAACAAAAGATAAATACTGTTGGCCTGTGAACGGTGGCTCAAGCCTGAAATTCCAGGATTTTGGGAGGCCAAGGTGAGAGGATCGCTTGAGCCCTCAAGTTTGAGACCAGCCTGGGCAACATGGTGAGACCGCGTCTCTACAAAACGATTAAAAAAAAAACTTAGCTGCATGTAGTGGTGTGCACCTGTAGTCTCAGCTACTAGGAAGGCAGAGGTGAGAGGACTGTTGGAGCCCACGAGTTCAAGGCTGCAGTGAGCTGTAATTGCGACTCTGCATTCCAGTCTAGGTGACAAAGTGAAGCCTTGCCTCAAAAAAAGAAAAGATTAATATGTTTTAACTACACTAAAATTAAGAACTCTGTGCATCAAAGGACTCCTTCAAAAAAGCAAGCAAAGACATGTCACAAACTGGAAGAAAGTATTAGCAACACATGTAAATTAAAAGGATTAGAAGAATCCAGAATATATAAGGAACTCCTAAAGTAATCAACTAGAAAAAGATACACTATAGAGGGAAAATGGGCAAAAAGCATGGATAGGCATTTTATTTTATTTTAAATTTTTTTTGTTTTTACATAAACAACACTTTTTTTGTTGATGTATTCATCAATAGACACGGGTTGTTTGCATATCTTAGCTATTGTGAATAATGCTACAGATATCTTTACAAGATATTGATTTCATTTCCCTTGGGTTTATGCTCACAGAGAAATTGCTGAATCATATGGTAGTTCTACTTTTAATTTCTTGAGGAACTTCTATTTTCACAAAAATAAAGTATATCCATACAACGAAGTATTGTTCAGCCATGAAACTGTACCAATTTACAAATATTGCCACCAACAGTTTACAAGGGTTTCATTTTCCCTATACCCTTGCCAACATTTGTTATTTGTCTTCTTGATAAGTCATCCAATATATTAATACTACATTTATATAGACTCTTTCATCATATAAAGTAGTATCAAGATACTAGAATTCCTTTGATCTTCAAAATATCCCTGAAGGTATATTGAAGATGGTAGGGAAGGTATTATCAATGTCAATCTCATCTTGTACACAAGAAAATTGAAACTTGCCCATGATAGGCAAAAAAGAGGCAGATCTATATATAATTCAAACTCTTAATGAATCACTACAAACTATCCATATTAAACAAAATATATATCTGTATTATATACAATACATACAACTCTATATTAACATAGTTGACTAAGCATATATTGGAACAGTTTCTAAATAAGTAATGATATTTAAATACTTAGGCTATTAAAAGTCCTCAAAATTCATAAATAGTTAAACTACAGTAGCTCTGGCAAGCATGTGTTGGTATATTTTGGGGTAATGGTCAATGCAGGGGCTGACTCTAGGCTACATTTATCTCCTGACCACTTAGAATTCAGAGCAGAATTCAGAAGGTCATCCTCAGATTTTTCTACACCAGTCAGGCACACCAAGGAGCCAAACAAGTAATTTAAGACCTTCATTAATTAGCATCTTGCATTTTGGTAAACGTCACTCTTTCTGAGAATTCCATTGAATAGAGCAGAGTGTCAATTTAACGAAGCCACAGTCATGTTCTATTTTTTTTTTCTTTTAGGCAGGGTCTTGCCCTGTTGTCTAGGCTGGAGTGCAGTGATGCAATCACAACTTACTGCAGCCTCGAGCTCCAGAGCTCAAGTGATCCTCTCGCCTCAGTCTGTAGGACTACAGGCACACGCCACTACCCCCAGCTAATTTTTTGTAGAGATGGGGTTTTGCCATGTTGCCCAAGCTGGTCACAAACTCCTGAGCTCACGCGATCCTCCCGCCTTGGCCTTCCAAAGTGCTGGGATTACAGAGCCGCCGTACCTGTCCCACAGTCATTTTCTTAAGGATAAATTGTTTCATCTTACTTTGTCCCACATTTATAGAAAGTAACATAGACAACCATCTTAGAAATATCAACAATTGAGCAAGCACTCTAAGAATGGCTAATAAACATGTAGAAACATGCTCAACTTTATTAATAATCAGGGAAATTCAAATTAAGATTATAACATCATTTTATAATTACTAAATTGGGGGAAAATTTTAAATCTGACAATATCAAATGAGAAACAATAAACATACAGCAGCTAGGCATGTAGTTTGTACAATCACATTGGAAAACAATCTCGTATTATCTAGAGTAAACTTGAAGATAAACATAACCCCTGTTTCAACAATTCAACTTTTAGGTATTTATCCTAAGCCTACTAATCAAAGTGTAGTTGGCTAACCAATAGCATTTGTATCACCTGGAGCTTGTTAGAAATGCAGAATGGCAGGTTTACCCACATTTACTGAATTAGAATCTGCTTGTTAACAAGATCCCCGGTTGCTATGAATGCTCATTAATGTCTGAGAAGCGCTGTGCTAAAGAAACCCTAGAACATGCACCAGGAGAAATGATCAAGAATGTTCATAACAGCACTGACGGTAATAGCAAATAACTAGAAATAGCACAAATATCCACTCAGTAGAGAATGGATAAATAAATCATGTCAGAAAAACTAGTTGCAGAAAGATACATACAGTTTAATACCATTTTTATGAGACTCAAAAACAAGCAAAAGTAAATAATATGTTACTAGGCATCCATCCATATATGTATATGTGGTCAATTCTAAAATAAACAAAGGAATGAAAAACACAATTCAAGATAACGCTTATGAAGGGGAGAGGTAAAGGAAGGAGCAGACAGTGATCTTCACTAACGGGAAAGATTCTATTTCTTTTTTTTTTAGTTTAAAATGTATTTTATTTTTAGACAACCTACATAATGTGTTTTTCCATAGGTTCTATTTCTTAAAGTTGAGTGATAGGTTCAAGGGTTTTTGTTATATTATCATGTGACATATGTATTTGTTTTGTATTGTTTTGAGATGGAATCTTGCTCTATTGCCCAGGCTGGAGTGCAATGGCACAATCTTGGCTCACCACAACCTTCGCCTCCCAGATTTAAGCAATTCTCCTGCCTCAGCCTCCCGAGTATCTGGGACTACAGGCGCATGCCACCATGCCTGGCTAATTTTTGTATTTTTAGTAGAGATGGGGTTTCACTATGTTGGCCAGGCTGGTCTCGAACTGCTGACCTCGTGATCTACCCGCCTTCGCCTCCCAATGTGCTGGGATTACAGGCATGAGCCACCACGTCCAGACTTATGTATTTGTTTTTATTCATATGTTCATTATTGTCTCATATAACACAGTTTTAACAGCTTTATTATGGTGTACTTTACATACCATAAAATTCACCTGTCTTAAGTGTATAATTCAAAGATTTTTAGTAAATGTACAGAATTATGCAATCATTGCCACAAAGTGGCAACAGAAAATTTTCATCACCACAAAAAAAATCTCTCTTGCCTCTGCAATCACTGCCCCTTCCACCTCTAGCCCCAGGCGAATTTGTTTTCTAATGCTAACCTTATTAATTAATAATACTAATATAATCTTATTATATAACTAATATAACTAAAACTAATCTGTTTTTCATCTCTATAAATCAACATTTTCTGGACATTTAATTTAAATGGAATAATGTAATATGTGATCTTTTGTGCTTGTATTCTTTTACTTAGCATAATATTTTTTTGACATTCATCCATGTCATAGCAATTATCGCTAATTCAGTCATTTTTAAGGATGAATAATATTTCAGAATATGGATGTACCACATTTTGTTTATTCACCTGTTAATGGACATCTGGGCTGTTTCTAGATTTTGGCTGTTATGCTGTTATGATTATTCCTATTCAAGTCTTTGTGTGAACACTGTTGTCATTTCTCTTATGTAGCTATCCAGGAGTGGAATTGGTGGGTCATAACTGGCCATTTTTAAATCTAAAAAAAGAGAAGAAATGGGGTCTTTGTTTCTTTCAAACTCGAATAAAAGAATTAACTAGGGAATAGATGGTGTATTTCTTTCCAGATGCTGGAATGAAAGATAAGGACACATATTATACTGAATATAGAAGCAAGAATCCATTGACATAAGAAGACGGTAAAGGAAAATAAACTAGTTATCTTCTGAGGAGCAGGTACAGTTAAAAACGAAATTAGGACAAAGAAAGTTGTATAGCAGCAGCTTGGAAGGGAGATGATTCACTTCAAAGGTACAACTGCCACTGCTTTTTATACAAACACATGCTTGTGGGATTATCAAATATATTAATAATGTCTATAAACATTTTTAAGGAAATGTAAAAACTTGAAATTCTTTTGACTACTCTAGATTTTCTGAGAAAGATAGCTATTTAGGCCGGACCCAGTGGCTCATGCCTGTAATCCTAGGACTTTGGGAGGCTGAAATGGGAAGATCGCAGTTTGAGACCAGGACTTTGAGACCAGCCTGGGCAACATAGAGAGATCCCATCTTGAACTTCTGAGCTCAAGCCATTTGCCTGCCTCAGCCTCCCAAAGTGCTGGAATTATGGGCAGGAGCCACCACGCCTGGCCCAAGAGACCCTATCTCTACCAAACAAACAAACAAACAAAAAAGATAATAAGATTTATTGTTTGCATTGATTTTTTGTGTGTAGATGTGTAATACATAAAATGGCAAATGAGGGGGAAAAGTGTTTGGGTCATATTAAACAATGAAGTTGTGAAATACCTGAGATTTTGTTTCATAACCACTAATCTTCAATGTTGAGCATTTAAAATGTATTTGTTCCAGTTTTTTTTCTCTGTAATTCCTTAGACATCTGTGCAGATTTTCATTCCCACGTAAGAAGCAATAACAGACTAATGTCATCCTGGACATTTCCAGGAATTGGTTTCCTAGTTGCTCTGAGGAAGATTGCCTTTTAAAAGAAAGCTCTGATCTGTTCTTTACCAGTTCCACTTGACCTGAATTTGACATTTCTTTAAGAGACAACTAAATCAAGATCATGTGTCTGTGACATGTATTGCATATGCTAGTTAGCTGCATCTGATAGCAGTCTGTAAAAAGAAAGATGATAACATGTTTATTTTAGACATTAGGTAATGTTCATCTTTCATGAAAAAAATTGATTAGCCAATTTTGGTAATCAAAAACATAAATGGGAGTAAAAAAGGCAGTCATTGGGAAGTACTGCTGTATGGACTTGTGAAACAACTAGTTGTCCAGAGCCTTGCTACAACGTATAGAAATATTCTATTTTCTGTATTTGGGGCGGCTACACTACAAGATGAAGACGGGGAAATGTTTTCCAACTCATCGCTCAGGTCCTACTGCAACATAACTTTCTTGAGGTAAGTACCTTTCTTTGTGTTTCCTTAACACTCTCTATTTTCCCCATCACATACACTAAAAAGATTATCTTTGGTGCATCTGTATTTACACAGCAGTGTTAAATTTGGGCTGCCCTCTGCCCCGCCTCCGTCCCCCAGGCTCTTTTCACTCCCCGCTGGGTCCCAGATCCTAGGGTTTAGCTCAGGCTCCGCCCTACTCCTTGGTTGGCTGTTGGGTGGGAGGCTCGTTTCTTCCCTCCCTATTGGTCGCCCAGGGGGAGGCGCGTTTCCCATCTCCTGATAGGCCGCGCCGAGGAGAGTCTCTCCAGTTTGCGGCACTGTTGTCATTTCCGGGGTAAGATGGCTGCAGTCCGTATGCTGAGAACCTGGAGCAGGAATGCGGGGAAGCTGGTAAGCACGTTTGGGCAGATCTGAGGCCGGGAAGGAGTGATTTGTCCGGAGTCATCCAGGAGTGGTGTTTTACTTTCTCCTCCGGTGCCAGGCGTCCAGGGCACGCGTGATGGAGAGGTGAAGGGATGCATGCAAAATAAAGGGCAGAGAACGGAGCGAGTCGACCAGTCTGGAGTGGAAACCCACTCCCTCCCCTTACCTGGAAGCGCTTCTGCAGCGACTCAGCCGTCCTGCTCCATCTGTACCCCGAGGCCCAGCTAGCGTTTTATTGAGCGCCTTCCAGGTGCCCAGGCATTGTGATAGGCGCTGTGGATCCAGAGATATATTCGTTTAGCATTTATTGCGTACCCACAGTATGCCAAACACTGGTAACACGACCCCTACCCTCAAGGAATCTACAGTGTGTAGAGGAAGAGGCCGTTCAAGTTATAGAATATCAGCAGGGGTCCCTGCTTCCGAAGAACTGAGCAGCTCGGCGTCACTCTTTTGCCTTGTACTTCTATGTCCGCACCACATATCATTCCTACCCTTTTGTCACCAAGGCTGTGACCCATCACCATCTCCCCTGCACTTCCTTCTCTTTCTCCCAGTCTTAGCACCAAGCACTGACACATACCGGTAATGATACTTGTTACCCCTATTTGCTTAGTGTTTCTTCTTCCTGCCTCTTCTCCCTTTCCCTAGATGCTCCTGCCTTGGTGACCCCGATCTTACAAAAACTTTCAAGAGCCTGCTATGTACCAGTGCTGTGTTAGGCACTGGAGATACAAATATGAAATAGACATCATATCTTCCTTCTCAAGAGATTACAACCTTGTGGTGGAGGACAAAGGAGAGGGAGACAGATAGAAATTACAACCCAGCATGAGAGGTACTGTGATGGGACAAGTGCCTAGAACTACAGGAACACACAGGAGTGGACACCTATGGTGGACTTGGGGGTCAGAGGAGTTCCCAGAGGATACTGTATGACTTGAGATGTAAGAAGGATAAGTAAGAGATAACCAGGAGAAGAGAGCTCTTCTCAGCAACACTTAACACATATTGGTCTCTCTTCTTTCTAGAGCTTTCCATTCTTGTTTTCTGTGACACCAGTTTCCCAATATTATTCTTTCTTCATCTTTGGCCACTTCATCCCAATATCCTGTTTCCCTTCCCGCCTTTTAAATATTGCTTTTTCTAAAGGGCTCTGACTTTGGCCCTCTGCACTTTTCCCACTTTCTGGGTTATCCCATCCACTCTTTGGCTTTAGTTACCATCTATGCTGATGAGTCCTAAAGTTCCCCAGTCTTCCAACCAGGTCTACTCCAAACCCATATATCCTACTGTCCTGGAAATCTCCAGTTTCATATGTACGTGATGTTTTCCAGCTGCAATTAAAAACCCAACCAATAAATAGGAAATTAAGTATCCATGCATACAGAGCATCCCCAATTAGATGTCAGCTCACATTAAGTGGCTTATGATTATCAATGTCGTCATTTCCCTAGTAGTTCATTTGTCCTTTTCCTACTGTATACAAGAGGGCTGCTACGACTTCTTCTTTTATGTTGAAGGCAGGAAGGTGGAAGAGGAGGAGGTTCCAGTCTCACTGGCCAGAACTGTGTTACATGGCCCCGGCTAGCACAAGGGAGCTTAGAAAAACTTGTCTTTTTTTTTTTTTTTTTTGAAATGGAGTCTCTCTCTGTCACCCAGGCTGGAGTACAGTGGTGCGATCTTGGCTCACTGCAACCCCTGCCTCCCAGTTTCAAGCGATTCTTTTGCCTCAGCCTCCCAAATATCTGGGACTACAGGCACACGCCACCATGCCCAGCTAATTTTTGTATTTTTAGTAGAGACGAGGTTTCACCATGATGGCCAGGCTGGTCTCAAACTCCTGACCTCAAGTGATCCGCCTGCCTTGGCCTCCCAAAGTGCTGGGATTACAGGATGAGCCACCATGCCCAGCAGAAAAGCTTGTCTTTAGTCTTCTCACAGTGTCTGCCGTAAAGCTTCAAAGCAGGTCAGACTCTCCAGCCTCTAGAACTGAACCCTCAAACCAGTTTCTCTTAATTTTTTTTTTTTTTTTTTTTGAGAAGAGTCTTGATCTGTTGCCCAGGCTGGAGTGCAGTGGTGCAATCTCGGCTTACTGCAACCTCCACCTCCTGGGTTCAAGTGATTTTCCTGCCTCAGCCTCCCAAGTAGCTGGCACTACAGGCGCGAACCACCATGCCTGGCTAATTTTTGTATTTTTAGTAGAGACGGGGTTTTGCCATGTTGGCCAGGCTGGTCTTGAATTCCTGACCTCAGGTGATCCTCCTGCCTTGGCCTCCCAAAGTGCTGGGATTACAGGCGTAAGCCACTGCCCCTGGCCCAGTTTCTCTTGATTTGAGCCTGTAATTCTCTCTGAAGAAATCTAGTCATGATTTTTCCACCCTGCCCTCAACTGGAGGTGTCTTGGCCCTTCTTAACTGGATTATATGCCTCCAGTGGTCTTGTAGTTTTTCCAACCCATTCTCCATAGTGTAGCCAGAGTGATCTTATAAAGTAAGAGACATTTGATAATATCATTTTCTTGTTTAAAACTGCCTTCAGCAAAATGTCCAAAATTCAAATGACTATGAGGCAATTTATGATCTGGACCTTTCCAGTCTCTTAGATCTCATTCCTTACCAAAACCTACCCATCCCAACCCCAACTCTGACACTTCCCCACCCTTATTCCACACTAAACTACACTAGAAGTCTGTTGAACAACTTGAGTTATTTGCACACACACTGTGCTTTCTGTCTCAACTCCAGACCTTTGCACATGTATTTCCTCTGCTTTAAAGACTCTTGCCTTACTCCACTGTGGCCTTATCTGCAACATACCTCATCCCCGGGGTTACACCTACTCATCCGTCAGGTCTTACTTCAACATAACTTTCTCCAGCTAGGTTCCCTTAACACACTCTATTTCCTTCATTATAGCACGTGTTATAATCACCGGTTTACTTGTCTTTACCTTTCACTGTACTGTGCATTCTATAAGGGAAGAAATTGCATCTGTTTTGTTCTCTGTATAATCCCAAGTGCCTGGCACATTGTAGGTGTGCATAAATATTTTTTAAATGACTCAGTAAAAAAAAAAGTCAGGTTTGTAAACTCTTCTAAAAAGTTGTAAGCAAAAACAGTTCTTACCCCCGTAGTAAATTATTAAAATAGCCTTATAATGTTGTGTTTTACATTTCCCTAGGACATAATGCATTTGACTCTTGATTAATCATGCCATTTGGAATTTTTCTGTTGTGTCTGTCTTCCTGTAGTAAAGTGTAAGCAATTTGAATTCAGGAACTATATATTGCATCTTATTTAGCTTTGCATTTCCAAGTCCAGTACAATGTCTGACTTTAGGAGTGCTCAACAGCTGCCTATTGAATTATTATTAAATATTTCCTTAATACGCTACTTTGGTGAACAGTTTCATTTCCCTTTATGTTCTTCTGTCCTGGTTGTGATATTGAATTATTAATTTTTTATTTTTATTTTTTTTGAGACGGCGTCTCACTCTGTCACCAGGCTGGAGTGCAGTGGTGCAATCTCAGCTCACTGCAACCTCCGCCTCCCGGGTTCAAGCGATTCTCCTGCCTCAGCCTCCCAAGTAACTGGGCAGGCACGCGCCACCATGCCCAGCTAATTTTTGTATTTTTAATAGAGACGGGGTTTCGCTGTGTTGGCCAGGATGGTCTTGATCTCTTGACCTCGTGATCCACCTGCCTCAGTCTCCCAAAGTGCTGGGATTACAGGCATGAGCCACTGCACCTGGCCTAATTTTTTATTTTATTTATTATTATTTTTGAGACAAGTTCTTGCTCTGTTGCCCAGGCTGGAGTGTGGTGGCATGATCTTGGCTCACTGCAGTCTTGACCTCCTGGGCTCAAGTGGTCCTCCTTCCTCAGCCTCCCAAGTAGCTGGGACTACAGGCATTCACCACCACAGCCAACTAATTATTTTGATTTTTAGTAGACAAAGTCTCAATGCATTGCCCAGTATGGTCTTGAACTCCTGGGCTCCAGTGATCCTTCTGCTTTGGACTCCCAAAATGTTGGGATTACAGGCATGAGTCACTGCACCTGGCTGAATTATTTTTAAAATCAAGGAAAGACCTATTTTAGTCAAATAATTGCATTAAGACTTAGACTACACGTATAGTTGTTCAACCAGGATGTATTTGAGAATGAAAATGGTGTTATTAATAATTGCCTTGAATCACTAGAGGTGAATTGGGTGTCACCTCAGGCAAATTGGTACAGATGGTCCCCATAGAACTAGGTGTCTTTAGTATTGTTCATAGATGAATTTAGAATTGCTTCAAATATAAAATATATAAAACTGATAATTCCATAAGCATGCCTTTTTAAAATTGGAGGTTTAAAGCCTTATGCTTAATTTACTAGTCTAGCTGGGTGTGGTGGCTCACACCTGTAATCCTAGCATTCTGGGAGACTGAGACAGGAGGATTGCTTCAGCCCAGGAGTTTAAGACCATCCTGGGCAAAAAAGTGAGACCCTGTCTTTATTTTATTATTATTATTATTATTTGAGATGGGATTACAGGTGTGAGCCACTGCACCCAGCCAACCCTGTCTTTGAAGAAAATTAAAAAATATAATTTACTAGTCTAATAGTCTGTTTCTAGAAAAAAAATTTAGAATTCTAGCTTGAAAAATTATTTCTTCTCCTCTTTCCTGTTGCCTGTTAATCCATCTATTCAGCAACTTCACAGTGTTTTTAGCCTTCTCCTCAGAGCCATTCAATTACTATTATATTAATCATATACTGCCTATGGTACTTTTGTTGCTTTTTTTCTTTTTCTACTATTAATTACCTCAGTCAGGAGCCTGTTGCTTTGTGTCTCAAATACTATACAGTACTCTCCCCTTCTTATCTGTGGTCTCAGTTAGCCATGATCTACTGTAGTCTGAAAATAGGTGAGCACAGTACAGTAAGATATTTTGAGAGAGAGACCACATTCACAAAACCTTTATTACAGTATATTATTATAATTTTTCTATTTTATTATCAGTTATTATTATTACTGTCTTACTGTGTCTGATTTATAAATTAAACTTTATCATAGGTATGTATATATAGGAAAAACACGGTATATGTAGAATATGTAGGATTCAGTACTGTCCATGGTTTTAGGCACCCACCGGGGGATCTTGAACGTGTCCACTGCACATAAGGAGATAAGAGAGGAATACGGTAATAGTTATTTTTTTAAAAAAATCCTTTTTTGATAATTTTGGTATGTAATAGTTTCTTGACTTCTCCCTTTCTCTCCAGATTTTATCTGTTATAATCTATTCAATAAACCACTACTAATTTCCTAATCCTTTTTCTTCAATAACCCATAATGTATGAGTTCAAACTCCTTATACTGACATTATAGTCATCAACCATTTCCTCCTTGAGCTGTTTCCATTGCTCTCTTTTATACCTTTGGTCAAGCCAAATCAAGCCGCTCAATGTCCCAGCAGATATGCTAAGTCAATTTCTGCTGTAGTTTATTTATGCTGTTTCCTCTGCCTTAAAAGTGCCCTTCTGCTCTTTTATTATGTATGCTTATTATGCACAGTGCAGCTTAAATCTTCCTCCAAGAAGCCTTCCCAGGTCACACTAACGTGAAAAAAAAGCCCACCAGACCCCTCTACTTAAACTCCTTTTTTTTTTTTTTTTTTTTTGAGATAGAATTTTGCTCTTGTTGCCTAGGCTGGAGTGCAATGAGATTACAGCTATGAACCACTGTGCCCGGCCTGCTTAAACTCCTTTATCACGTACTGCCTATGTCTCTTTTTTTTTTTTTTCGTAAACCTATGGACTATATTAAAGAAGCCTATGCCTCTTATTACAAAAAGTTAGAGCATGCATGTCCATGCTTGAGTGTGTTTGTATGTGTGTTTATTTTCTCACATACGTTGTAAACTCTTTGAAATTAGGGATTATTTCTCCTATTTCTAGGGTCTTTGACATCAAATTTATTTAGCTTCAGAGCTCGATTGTTCCACTTATTTGCTGTGTGACCTTGGACAAATTACTTCACCTTTCCCATCAGTTTCCCGTGTGTTGAAGAGGGCTAACGTGTATGTTCCACAGGGAAATTGTAAATGTAAAGATGATGTCTGGGCCGGGCACCATGGCTCATGGCCTGTAATCCTAGTACTTTGAGAGGCCAAGGTGGGCGGATTGCCTGAGCTGAGGAGGTCGAGAGCACCCTGGGCAACATAATGAAACCCCGTCTCTACTAAAATACACACAAAAAAAGTTTAGCTGGACATGATGGCACATGCCTGTAGTCCCAGCTACTTGGGAGGCTGAGGCACGAGAATCGCATGAACCTGGGAGGCGGAGGTTGCAGTAAGCTGAGATCGTGCCACTGCACTCCAGCCTGGGTGACAGAGTGAAACTCCATCTCAAAAAAAAAAGAAAAAAAGATGATGTCTAAAAAGGCTATTTTTCTTTTTTTCTTTCTTTTTTTTTTTTTTTTGGAGACAAGGTCTCTCTGTCACCTAGGCTGAAGTGCAGTGGTGTGATCTTGGCTCATTGCAACCTCCGCCTCCCAGGTTCAAGTGATTCTTGTGCCTCAGCCTCCCAAGTAGCTGGGACTACGTGTGCCACCATGTCCAGCTGATTTTTGTATTTTTAGTAGAGAGGGGGTCTCGTCATGTTGACCAGGCTGGTCTCAAACTCTTGACCTCAAGCAATCCACTCACCTCAGCCTCCCAAAGTGATGGGATTACAGGCCAGAGCCACCATGCCTGGCCTGTCTGAAAAGAAAGTACTCAGCACATGGGAGGCACTCAATAAATGTTAAGCGTGGTGGTTTATGCTGCCCCGACCCATGAATAGTTCAATACGAGTTGTGTTGTTGTTGAAGGTAAGACCTTCTAGTAGTTTAATTTTCTTTCAAATGTTTTACAAATATGAACAATTTTATTTAAATTAAGGTGAATCTATATACTTCAAAACTTTCCTTTATTGTCCCTAAGTTTTATGTCTGATGAAACAGAGGTTGATTCACTCCTTTGATTTTATTGTTGACCAAGAGTCAGGATTATGGGAGCTGAAGGAGAAAGCAAGGACAAACAAAATGGAAATGTTTGGGAAAGAGAATTCTTTTATTGTCTTCTGGTTTTAAGTTATCAATTTTAATTATTTTAGTTAGGCTTTATATTTCCTGAATATTAATGTTAGTAAAAATAAAATGTTGATATTATAAAGACTAGTCGATTTAGGGTGATCTCTAAAGTTAAGATGAATGATTTAAGATTATTTATGTTTTAGGAAAGGGATCTTCAGTTTTTCTTTGCCTTCAGAAATCAGTAATAGTTTGAAATTTAAAGTAAAAAAATAAGAATTTAAATGTATTGTTCTTGTCAGTAAACCAAACTTTTACTTTTATATTTGCTATCAGAAAAAAACAAAAATTCTAGTTTATAAATATGTATTAAAACATGACTGTACTATATGATGTTTATTATAACATAGCCTTTAAAAGTTAAGAGCTAATCACCACTAATGTACATGATTTTTTTTTTTAAGTAAAAGTGACTCTGTTACATACATGAAAAAGTTTCACTTATCAGTATTCTTATACTAAGAAGGTTAGAAATTTCTGCAGAGAAGTAAGCTCAGGGCTTTAAAATTAAATAAGTAAATAAATTCTGTAGTTTATGTTTACAGTATGATGTAGTTAAGTATTAATAGCATTGAAATTTTTTTTTTTTTGAGATGGAGTCTTGCTCTGTCACCAGGCTGGAGTGCAGTGGCTCGATCCCGGCTCACTGCAACCTCTGCCTCCCGCATTCAAGCGATTCTCCTGCCTCAGCCTCCCAAGTAGCTGGGACTACAGGCGCATGCCACCAAGCCCAGCTAATTCTTTTGTATTGTTAGTAGAGACAGGGTTTCACCATATCGGCCAGGCTGGTCTCTTTAACTCCCTACCTCGTGATCTGCCCACCTTGGCCTCCCAAAGTGCTG
Source organism: Homo sapiens (assembly GCF_000001405.40). Classification (NCBI taxonomy): domain Eukaryota; kingdom Metazoa; phylum Chordata; class Mammalia; order Primates; family Hominidae; genus Homo; species Homo sapiens. The sequence continues at coordinate 100,241,767 of NC_000001.11, read as the reverse complement.
GGATTACAGGCGTGAGCCACCGCGCCTGGCCTAATGGCATTGAAATATTAACTTTCCAAATAAGATATTATGGCCTGGCATGGTGGCTCGCACCTGTAATTCTAGCACTTTGGGAGGCTGAGGTGGGAGGATTGCTTGAGCTCAGGACTTCAAGTCCAGCCTGGGCAACATACTGAGACCTTGTCTCTACAAATAATAAACAAAATTAATTGGGTGGGGTAGCATGCGCCTGTGGTCCCAGATACTTGGAAGGCTGAGGCAGGAGGACCCCTTGAGCCTAGAAGGTCAAGGCTTCAGTGAACTGTGATCGCACCACTGCACTCCAGCCTGGGCAACAGAGTGAGACCATGTCTCAAATACACACACACACACACACACACACACACACACACACACACACAATACCTTTCAGACACTTAGGTTTTGATATATAGAGTTGAATACATTTGGGCCTACTTATTTCTATAAGAGATTTTAAAATAATATTATACTAAGGTACTATGTAAAATAGTTAATTCTAAAGAGTCATCTATAAGTTACTATAAGTAAACTTTGGGGTATCATACTATACAAGTTTTTCATTGTTTTTAGATGCTAACTATTACTTTAGAATTCTTTAGTAGTTTTAGTTCAGGAAGTCCAATGACTTAAGCATACCTATAAGCTGATGTATTTATACAGAATACACTGTTAAAATGTCTTTACTTTCAGAAGGAATTTTGGGTAAGGATCATAAATGTAACAAATCTAAATCTAAGGATATAATATTTCTATTGTGACAATGGTTCTACTTTTAGAATGGAATTGAAATTCAATTTATACTTAGAGATAAGCCGGTATGGTTGTTTATAAATGCTTTTACTTTTTGTTTTCTCATCTGTAGATTTGTGTTCGCTATTTTCAAACATGTGGTAATGTTCATGTTTTGAAGCCAAATTATGTGTGTTTCTTTGGTTATCCTTCATTCAAGTATAGTCATCCACATCACTTCCTGAAAACAACTGCTGGTAAGTATGATTTCAAAATAACGTGTATAAAATAATGTTTTGTACCTCATTCAGTAATATTTTTTAGTAGTTGATTGAGACTTTTTAAACAAAAAAAAGTTGACTCTGTATTTCTAGCCGGGCCCTTCCCATCTCCCCACATTTTTCCAGTTCTCACTTTCTTTTTTCTCATCCCTCTCTTTTACATACTTTCCTTAACACTGGCACCCCTTTTTAAAAAAAATTTTTTTTTAGAGACAGGATCTCACTCAGTTGCCCAGATTGGAGTGCAGTGGTGTAATCACAGCTCACTATAACCTGAACTCCTGGGCTCAAGTGATCCTTCTGCCTCAGCTTCTCAAAGAGCTGGGATTACAGGCATTAACTTATCTCGCCCAGCACTTGTGTCTTTATAATATTGGGAATGGGTTGTGTTGGGCCATCTATTTATCATCTGGCTCATCTAAGTGCAATAGTCAGCATTGATATGACTTTCTCAGTCAAGGTAAATTGTTGACTTAATAGAGGTGTCTTTGTGTTGGCATACACATTGTGGTATTGTTTGTTGAAAGAAGCACTTAATCTGTCAAGTGAACATGGTGTGATGAAACCAGCCTGATTTAGTACTAAATAGAAAGTTCCCTGACTTTCACCATTTACTTACTTTTTCCCCAGCTTTTTCTACCCTCTGTAAAGAACTTGAAGGATTAAGTATTAGATTTGGCAAGGGCACAAGAACTGTTTTTTTTCCTGATGTTCTATTTAGAACCCTGATAAAGAACCCTAGACTTTTGTTACACTATTAAGTTTTTGACAGATACATGGGAGCTTAGTTTGTGCTGGGAATGAAAAATGGGGGAATTCCAGGCAGACCCCAAGTCAGCCTTTCCATGCTCTTTTTTTTTTTTTTTTTTTTTTTTTTTTTTTTTTGAGCTCTGTTGCTCAGGCTGGAGTGCAGTGGCACAATCATAGCTCACTGTAACCTCAAACTCATGGGCTCAAATGATCCTCCTGCCTCAACCTCCTGAGTAGCTGGGACTACAGGTGTGCATCACTACACCTGGCTAATTTATTTATTTATCAGGATGTTGTCACAGTGCCCAGGCTGGTCTAAAACTCCTGGATTCAAGAGATCCTCCTGCCTCTGCCTCCCGAAGGGCTGGGATTACAGGCATGAGCCCTGCACCGGCCTTCCATGCCTTTTCTTTTGCTTTCTTTTTTTTTTTTGAGACAGGGTCTCACCTCTCAAAGTGATGGGATTACAGGTGTGAGCCACTGTTCCCAGCCATCTTCCATGTTTTTTCTATGTCATCCTCCACTATAGCCTAAGACATGTAAACTTTACCTTCACTACTTTTACAAAAATTTCCATTTTTTAAAGTTGATCTTTTTTTGTTACTTCCCAGAGAAAATAGAGGTCATTCAAGTAAATACTTCAACTTCCTGGTCCAGTCTGTAAACACTTAGGAACTTTGGGTTGCTGGATACACCAGTTCCAGGCTACTTGGATTCCTGGTCTACAAATTACTAGCAGTGTAACTTTAAGCAAGTTTCACCATCTGGGAAATGGGAGTAATCATAGTATTTAGCTAATTGTATTCTTGTGAGAATTCATTCATTCAACAATTAATATTTATTGATCACCTGTGTTCCAAGGCACTGCTCTAGGTGCTTGGGATATATCAGTACACAAAACAAAGATCCTTATACTTGGGTGGATTAAATAAATTAGAATATATAAAGTACTTACATACTCTAATACTGCTTAGATATACTAATACTGCTTACATATACTAATACTGCTTTCTCTGGATACTTATTAAGGTTTCTCTTCTTCTGCTTCTCTTTTAAACTTCAGTTTTTCATAGGATCCCATCCTTTGCCCTCTCTTCTTGTACTACATCTACACACATGCCTTCAACTCTCACCTCATTGAAGACTTGTGAATCTGTAGCTGTAGCTCACATCTCTCACCAACTCCATTCCAATGTCCCCAAAACTCAGTCTTCTACAAATCTCTTTTCCTTCTGATATTTCCTAACTCAGTAAGTCATTAAGCTAGACTAGCCTAGCTTAACCATTGATATGAGACCCTGCCTCTACAAAAAATTTTAAAAAGTCAGCTGAGCATGGTGGTCCACACCTGTAGTCCCAGCCACTCAGGAGTCTGAGGTAGGAGGATCACCTGAGCCCCAGAGTTTGAGGCTGCAGTGAGCTGTGATCATGCCACTGCCCTCCAGCCTGGGCAACAGAGTTAGGCCATGTCTAAGAAGAAAAGAAAAGAAGAGAAGAGAAGAAAAGAGAAGAAGGAGGAGGAGAAGGAGAAGGAAGGAAGGGGAGGGGAGGGGAAATAAAAGAAAGAAGAAGAGAAGGAGGAGGAGGAAGAGGAGGAAGGGACGGGACTGGAAGGGACGTGATGAGACAGGACGGGAAGGGAAGGGATGGGGAGGGGAGGGGAGGGAAGCTAGAAACCTAGAGCCATCAGGAGGGAGGGAAGAATCAAGGAAAGGAAGGGAGGAAAGGAAGGGAGGAAAGGAAGTGAGGGAAGGAAGGGAGGAAAGGAAGCGAGGGAGGAAGGAGGGAAGGAAGGAAGGAGGGAAGGAAGGAAGCGAGGGAGGAAGGAGGGAAAGAAGGAAGGAGGGAAGGAAGGAAGGAAACCTAGAGTCATCTTGAGGGAGGGAGGGAGGAAGGAAAGCTAGAAACCTGGAGTCATCCTGACTCTAGTCTCACATCAAACTGATTATCAAAACCTATTAATTTTACATCTTACATTTTTCTTAAATCTGCCTTCTTTTCAAATGGCTTTGAAAAGTATATAAATATATAAATCACATACTTCTGTGCTGGGCAGAGTGGCTCACACCTGTAATCCCAGCACTTTGGGAAGCTGAGGCAGGAGGCTTGCTTGAGGCCAGGAGTTCAAGACCAGCCTGGGCCACAGAAAAGTGAGACCTCACCTCTATAAAAAATTTTTTTTAATTACTTGGGTGTGGTGGTATGGACTTGTAGTCAGCTGCTAGTCCTAGCTGAGGTGGGAGGATCACTTGAGCCCAGGAACTTGAAGTTATCATGAGCTGATTGTGCCACTGCACTCCAGCCTGGGCAACAGAGTGAGACCCTGTCTCTAAAAAAATAATAAATTAATAAATTCTATACTTCTGCTTCTTACCTGAAGTAGCCTCCTGCTTCCCCTGCCTTGTTTTGCCTCTGCCACCCACTCCCCGACCCCATCTACCACACTCCTGCCAGAGAAATTTTTTCTAAACTTGTAGACCTAAAGTTGCAGATCTGATATTATAAATAGGATTCCATATCAGTTAATTACTGCTGAGTAACAAACAATCCCACAACTTAGTGGCTTAAAGCAACAAGGACTGATCATTTCTCAGGATTCTGCAGGTTGGCTGGGTGATTTCCTTGCTGGTTACGCCCAGGCTCCCTAATATGGCTGTATTCAGCTAGAGGATCATATGGGCTGGAAAGTCCAAGATGGTCTCACTCATGTGTCTGACCATTCATGCTGGGTTTCCGATGGGGCAACTCATTTCTCCTTTTCCTGATGTCTCATCCTCCAGTAGACTAGATCAACTTCCTTGCATGAGGATTTTAGGGCAGCATTCCAAAAGGGAGAAGGGAGAAGCTGTGCGGACTTTTGAGGCCTAGCTTCATGAACCTTCACACTTCACTTCTGTTATATTCTATTTGTCAAAGCAAGTCACAGCCCAGCACAGATTTAAGAACTGGTGAAATAGACTCGGCCTCCTGATGGGAACAGCTGCAAAGAATTTATGACCATGTTAATTTACCACTGGGTCCTGATCACCTTTAGGATGAAGTTCAAATATTTTAGCATGGTACACAAAGTCTTTTAAGTCTGGGCTGATTTCTTGCCACATACCGCATCTTCGGCTATAGAGAACTGTTCTTTAACCTTGCCATGAACCATCACATTTTCATGCTCTTGCTGTTCCTTGCATATTGCTTTGTATAGAGGTGCCATAGTATATTTTCTTGTTTTTGTGTTACTTAGATTGATTTCCAGTTCTTCATTATGACCCTATAGTAACCATTTTTTAGCAAGTGGAATTACTTATGGAATCAAGAATGTTGATTTAAAAAAAATTTTTTTAAATGCTTTTGATTGTTAATGCTAAACCATTCAGAAAGTTGCCAGGTTATACTCCAATCAGCAAGCTGTGAGAGGACCCAACTTGCTAGAGAGGAAGTAAGAGGTACCTAATACCTCCATAACCAAAATGTATTTTGTATTTTTTATTACTAATTTAACTCCTCATATTTAAGAAAATTTTACAACCCTAATTAATTTGTTATATGTTTTATAAGCAAATATGGTTAACAGCAGTCTAAAGATACAGGAGCATTCCTGAATAGGTTCAGAGCCATTTGTTAACCTGGAAAAGTGGGAGGGTCCATACGTGCTTTCAAATGATCAGAAATACTTTTCTCTTTTGAGAATAATTACCATACAGTATCATTGGCATCTAAGTATTACAAAGAGGGTATAGAAGCTGGGTGTGGTGGGTGGTCCCAGCTTCCTCAGGAGATGGAGGGAGGAGGATTGCTTGAGCCCAGGAGTTTGAGGCTGTAGTATGCATTTATGCACCTGTGAATGTCTACTGTATTCCAGCCTGGGGAACATAGTGAGACTCTGTCTCCAAAAAAAAAAAGGAGGGATGGGTAGAAATTTGAAAAGGGGTAGAAAATGGAAAGAGGAAAGAGACGACTTAGGGATAAGGTGGCAGAACATAAGTTTGGACAAACAAGTTTCCATCAAGTTTGCTAGATATAGAACTGCCTGATTTTTAGCCATTAAGAATGAGAAAGAATAGTTATATAAATTCAAAAGAAATCTGTTCATGTTATTATAGTTTCATAACTTAAAACAAGGATATCTAGCTGGGTCTCTCTTTGTATATCTTTGTTCTATTTTCTATTCATTACATTGTTTCAAAATTTAATTAATTTGTTAGTAGGGCCTTTTATAGCCTTATAACAGACCATTTTGGAAGTTAGAAAATGTAAGTTCTGTGGCAGTGCCAGTAAGTCTGTGTTGTAAAATAATTTATTTAAATCTCTAATGGTTATGAATAATGGTTATGCTCTTAAAAATTATAAAATGCTGTTTTTCTGTCTGTAAGATGGAAGAATTTCTGCCTCTGCCTGAGAACATTCTCTAATTTTAGATGTGAAAGTATATATTAGTAATATGTTATATACTTAATGAGATCATTTCTCATTTGTCTTTGAAGCTCTCCGTGGACAGGTTGTTCAGTTCAAGCTCTCAGACATTGGAGAAGGGATTAGAGAAGTAACTGTTAAAGAATGGTAAGTGAATCTGAAAAAAGCTCTTAAGTAAATTTAAAAATAATTTGAGTAAAAATAACTATTTTTATTTTTATTTATTTAATGGATAGTGGGAATCCATTTAAATTGAGAAACGTCTTTATAAACACATAATGCATTTTTAAAAGCAATAAGGTAGAATTACCTTGTGTTGATGATATAGTGGTGAAGGACTTTGTCATACATCAAGGTACTTTATTTAGTGTGATTTAAAACTGTCAGGTAGTCTAAGCTCTCTTCACTGTTACGAAAATGACTTTAGTAAGAATGTAAGTATGTTTGACTTACCATTACCTGATACAGTTTACTTGTATGTTTAGAAGAGATGAAAATATTTTACCAAAAGTCATGAATCAAAAAATAAATTTTGAAACATTAAAAAATTGTCCAAAAAAGGGCCTGAAACAGACAAAAGCCTTTCATCCTCTACCCCATTTTTTTCTTTCACCTTCTGGAAAAATAGAAACACCTCTGGGTACCGAACTCAGTTTTAGAGGTTTTTAGAAGTGGCAGTTAAGATGAGTAAATAGATTACTTCCCACCTTAGATTTATACCATTAAAGATCCTTTTAAGAATCTGGTTCAACCACCTGAACATTCTTTTCTTGTACTTATTATTATTGCTTTGTAAGTTAGAAGAGAACTGTAATAACATAAACATACCTTATGGTTATGTCTCTGGTGGCACTGTGGGATTATGGAAAGAGCAATGGACTTCAAATCAGAAAAGTCTGACCTGGAAACTTATTAGCTGTCCTACCTGTGACTCACTTGGTCTCTTAATGTGTCATATGAGGATAATAGTACTTGCTCTGCCAACCTCTGGAGTGTTGAAAGGATCAAAATAATGTCATGTATAAGAAATGCATTTGATAATACCTTCTTTTCAAGACCAAGACAGTAGTAAAAAATCTTTAAAGATTTTCGACTTTTTTTTTTTTTTTGGTAGAGATGAGATCTTACTATGTTGACCATACTGGTCTTGAACTCTTGGCCTCAAGTGATCTTCCCACCTGGGCCTTCCGAAGTGTTGGGATTACAGGCATGAGCCACTGCACCCAGCTTTTTTTGATTGTTTTAAAAAACCATTTGTTAATTTCTACCTCTTATTCTCTAGACCCATATGCTTAGTATAGGGCTTACAGCTCTTGGAAGGGGAAATCATTTTATTCCTAATAAAATTCTAAAAGCTCTTTTAATGAGAAACTAATCATTTGATTAGTTTTCAGAAGTTCTTTGCGAAATATTAAGAGCTTTCTTGAATTCTGTTTTTTTTCCTAACTTCATATTGTAAAAAGTAAAGTAGAGGTTCCTCTTCAAAGACTTTCTTCCTCATTTAATTAGGAATAAATAGTAACTTCTCTTAGAAGCAAAATTTATTCAAAGACCTGTGCTAACATTCTTAAATATCTGCTAGCCGTGATAAATCAATGTACTTTATGTTCTTAGCTCCTACAATTTAGCCTAAAAATTTGCCCTGGCAGGCTTATACTGGTCCAAGCAAGCATTAGGTCGTAGGCTGTTCCTCTTCCTTATCTGAAGGTGTTTTTACCTTTCTCAGCATTCCACAAGTTACTTCCTCCTTCCTTTGTTCTCCTCTACCTTTGCCTCTTTTAAAAAGTGCTAAGTTGCTAGCCAATCAGGACAAATACAGAATGTGAGTTCCCATTCCAGCCAATGGAAATTGGACACAGCAGTAGGTTGGATGCGTCAGGTTATAAATGACCCTGTCTCCTTTGTTCCGTGTACTCTTGTGGCAAAACTGCTGGTGAGTGTACTTTTTCTGCAGGAAGTAAAAATGGCCTTGCTGAGTAAATTAAATTTATGTTCAACTGCTATTTCTTTACGGCACTGAGGAACAACCATTTCAAACTATCCATAAATAACTTAAGGAAAAAATATGTATTGCGTTGCACTTGGTAAAATGCTAAAGGGCAGAATTGTGTTCTATAAAATGAAGCCTGGGAATAGAAATTTGAATATGTAAGGAAGCATAATTTAACAGAAGTTAGTGTGGTTTTGGGTAAGGGTAAATAAAACCTCATTCTTAGAATTTGTGGGTGCATATGTATGGAAAAAGAAAAAAAATACTTAAATTTCACAAATCCTTTGACAAACTTCTAAAACAAGTTTAGATGTTATGTGTGCTTTTGTCTTAAAGTCTATTTTGTCTGATAGTATAGCCACTCTAGCTTGCTTGCTTTCTTTTTTTTTCCTTTTTTTGAGGGACAGGGTCTTGCTTTGTAGCCCAGGCTGGTCTCAAACTCCTGAGATTACAGGCGAGCCATCACACCTGGCCTTGTGTGACATATCTTTTTCAATCCTTTTACTTTTTACCATTTGTGTTGTTGAATTTAAATTATATTTCTTAGCATATAGTTGGAACATTTTTTTAGAATCTATTCTGCCAATCTTTGCCTTTTTATTGGAGTATGTAAACTTTTTACTGTGTATTTTAAAGTTATTTTCTTTGTGGTTGCCCTGAGGATTACAATTAACATGTTAATTTAAAACACTATAATTTGGATTAGTAGAAACTTAATAGAATACAAAGACTCTGCTCCAATATAGCTCTATTGTCTCTTCCTTCCTTTTGCTATTTCTGTCATACGTATTCCTGTTTTTCTTTTTTAGAATTATCATTCCATTAGCCTGGCATGGTGGCACAGGCCTGTAGTGTCAGCTACTTGGGAGGCTGAGGTGAGAGGATGGCTTGAACCCAGGATGCAGAGGTTGCAGTGAGCCGAGATTGTACCACTGCACTCCAGTCTGGGCAACCAGAGCAAGACCCTGTCTCAAAAAACAAAACAAAACAAATAATTATCATTCCACATTGAAAGTATTCCATTTTTAAACATCATAAAGCACATCAACACAGTTTTATAAGTATTGCCTTAATGTGGTTGTCTTGTAAATCAGATAGGATTTTTTTTTAAAGTTACAAACAAAAAGTTACAAATAAAACAAAATACAGATGTGGCCAGGTGTGGTGGCTCATGCCTGTTATCCCAACACTTTGGGAGGCCAAGATGGGAGGACTGCTTGAGGCCAGGAGTTCCAGACTAGCCTGGGCAACATAGCAAGACCCTGTCTCTACCAACAACAACAACAACAACAACAACAACCCAGATGCTCCTTGACTTATGATGGGGATAAGTCATAAACCCATCAAAACTAAAGTGTCTTAAGTTGAAAATGCATTTAATATACCCAGTCTATCAAACATCATAGTTTAGCCTAGCCTACCTTAAACATGCTCGAAACGCTTACCTTAGCCCACATTTGGGCAAAGTCATCTAATACAAAGTCCATTTTATAAAGAACTGTTGAATATCTTATGCAATTTATTGAATACTGAAAGTTTAAAACAGAAGAGTTGTTGCTTTTACACCATCATAAAGTTGAAAAGATATAAAAGTCAGAGACCATCTGTAGTGCCAGTTTCTCCGGGGATTTTGCTTTTTGTGGTGATCCAAACCTAGTATTCCCCTTACAGTGGCTGCAAGGCTGCTGATTTGGCTCCTGCTGCGCTAGGGAAAGGAGGATGGAAATTGGGCAAGTTAAAATACTACAAAACTCAACCATTTTTCCTGAATACATCCTTCTCAGTTGTTGCAAGCCTTTTTTTGATTTCCAAAATTCTGAAAAAATTGATTTTTAACAACTTTTGGCACTGTACTTGTTGCTCATATGGAAGAGCAGATTTTCAGATGTCTTTAATCCATCATTCTGGAAGTGAAAGTATGTGCTTTTAAAGCTGGTTTCTATGTCATGGGTGCTGTTTTATCATAGGCTGAGGACTGGTTAGGACAGGAGGACAAGAAGCAAGAATGACAACAATTATCTGTTGCTGGCAATAAGTCAGAAATAAGAACTAGAGACATTAAGAATGCCATTAGAATGAAAATTAGATGTATTATTTCAGGTTTGGTCCCATTCCTCCTGTTTTGTTTGCCAAAACGATCTAGAAAAGCCTGTAAAGTATACCTAAAATGATTATGGGATTAGAAGGACTTTATATAAGAACAGGCTAAAATAATTTTAGGAAGAAAGACTGGGAGAACTCCCATCTAAAATTCATGAAATTACAAAGGATATGTATTGAGGACATCACTTTTTAAACTTATTTCTGGAAGTATTGGGCATCCCTTAAAGTTTGGAAAAGGGTAATATAAGACAATAGAAGGAAATACCACTTTAAAAATGTGTTTTTAGAACTTGTTTTTCTGATAAATGGGTCAGACAGAAAACCTGAGAGTTTAATTAAATTTTTGGATTATAGACTGTGAATTGCTTAAAATTTTTTTGAGTGTTTCTTGCAGATACATTGAAGAGACTCTGAAAGTCATTATAGTCATCTCTGAAACATTGCTTAGTACACCATCTGAAAGTAAATGCTGGGCTAGATGAATACTGATCTAACTCAGCATGGCATTTACATCCTTAATATGATCTGTACTTATGACTGTTTCCATAAAAGTGTCTCATTTCTTTTTCTTTTAGGTATGTAAAAGAAGGAGATACAGTGTCTCAGTTTGATAGCATCTGTGAAGTTCAAAGTGATAAAGCTTCTGTTACCATCACTAGTCGTTATGATGGAGTCATTAAAAAACTCTATTATAATCTAGACGATATTGCCTATGTGGGGAAGCCATTAGTAGACATAGAAACGGAAGCTTTAAAAGGTATTGTAAGTCTGTTAATCTATTTTACCAAATTGATTATTGGTCTCTTTTTGTCATTGGGTCCCAATTAAAAGTGATCTTTGTTTTTTTGTTTTTTTTTTTTCTATTCCTATTTATTTTTAGCTCTTGAGGAAATGTAATCTTTTCAACGTGAAAAAAGGTAGCAAGTTCAACACAAAATAGAAATCTGAATTGTAGGATAAGACAAAACCAAAGGTGGGGGGGAAAAGGCAATAGCAAAAGGAAGAGATGAAATGTTGCAAAAAAGATGGAGGATGTCCCATCCTTTCTCCTCTGGGTAATGACTCAAACATTCAGGTGGCATTATACATTGTTCCACATAAGTCAGTGACGTTATTCCTTTTGGAGGGGTAAGAACGGGTGGGGATGGGCTTTTAATAACTTACAGGATTTGAGTTGGAGTTTTAGAAGCCGAAATCAGGAAAATTGAAAAGGTTCTCTGTGAGTCATGATTATCTTTTGGCCAGTTGCCATGTTAAAAATGTGTACAGTAACACTTCATTTACCTGAAGTCCTGCCTTCTCGAGATGTTAGTGTTCAAAGAGGCAACAAGCTCTCTCAGTAATTAAAGATTCAGACTATAAATACTGGCCACAAAGAACAAAAATTGGAGTATCTAAAGATGAAATCTAATATAATGGATTGCTCTGTTTGCCACTGATACAAAAAAAAAAGCACTCTTGTTGGAGATGGTTATAAACTTTTTCAAGAGAAGTTGAAGAGAAAAGAAGGAAAATTAAAATGAAAGCAAAGATACCAGCATTTAGAAGCAGCAGCAACCATGGGACTTACAAGTGATAGATGTCCTGTCAAAAGGGAATTCATCATGAGAATGTTACAGAGGAAAACTAAAACAGTTGGCAGTCCCAGTGGTGGCAGGCAGCTGGCTGGCTAACTCACAAGTTCCTTACAGCACTGTTGTGGTATACCAAAGTTTTGTCATCTAGGAATCAGTTTTGATACTAGGGGCTGCAAGAGCAATAGGTTCTGTGACAGAACTCCTAAGCCAGCATTCCCTCCTTGGAAGTGCTGAGATAAAGATATCTCACTGTAATTCAGAAGTCTAATTGAATTACAGTGTCTGGCTGACACTTAGTTCTACAGTCGGTGGAACAATAACTAATATTACAATCTTTTTTTTCCAGAATCACATGGTATAATTTATAAAACTTTTTACACTTATTATTCTGTGAAATATTCCAGTTTAGCAGATGAAGAAACTAAACCCAACTAGAAAGGTTGGACAGGCTGGGCGCAGTGGCTCACGCCTGTAATCTCAGCACTTTGGGAGGCCGAGGTGGGTGGATCACGAGGTCAAGAGATCGAGACCATCCTGGCCAACATGGTGAAACCCCATCTCTACTAAAAATACAAAAATTAGCCAGCCATGGTGGTGCGTGCCTGTAGTCCCAGCTACTCGGGAGGCTGAGGCAGGAGAATCGCTTGAACCCGGGAGGTGGAGGTTGCAGTGAGCCGAGATCGTGCCACTGCACTTCAGCCTAGGTGACAGAGCAAGACTCCATCTCTTAAAAAAAAGGAAAAAAAAGAAAGGTTGGACAATTTGCTCAATGGTTGGTGACAGGACCAAAGTTAGAACTTAGATGACCTGAGTCTTTGTCCAGAATATTTTCTATGACATGTTGCTTCTAAAAGCTAGAAGGTGATTTATTGAAGGCTTCCTACTACTTTTTATTATTATAAAAGCAGGAGGGGTGCATTGCAGAAAGTTCTAAAATACAGAAAGCCAAAACAACAACAAAAACCCTAATGTTCACAAATCACACTCAATGCATTCGTGTATATCATTCCAGATATTTTTCTAGGTCATATGTGTACATGTAGGTATTTTTTTAACCAAAATAATATATTGTATATGCTGTAGTCCAATCTGTTTGCTTTGTTCATCTATGTTTTCATGACAGTACATTTCAATTTTATTTTTTTGTTTGTTTGAGACAGAGTCTTGCTCTGTCACCCAGGCTGGAGTGCAGTGGTGCGATCTCAGCTCACTGCAACCTCCACTTCCTAGGTTCAAGCGACTCTCCCATCTCAGCCTCCTGAGTAGCTGGGACTACAGGTGTGCACCACTGTGCCTGGCTAATATTTGTATTTTTTTATAGAGATGGGATTTCACCACATTGGCCAGGCTGGTCTTGAACTCCTGACCTCAAGTGATCTGCTGGCCGCATCCTCCTGAAGTGGTGGAATTACAGGCATGAGCCACCATGCCTGGCCTATTTCCATTTTATATGATCGACAGACCATATTTAGATTTCCTGAATTATCCCCAAAATGTCCTTGATATTTCAATTGATTTTTTTTTAACTAGGATCCAATATAGGACCATACATTGCACCTAGTTGTTATATCTCTTAAGTCTCTTTTAGTCTAGTTTATCCTCCTCTACTTTTGTTTCATGACACTCATTTGAAGAGATTGCCTTTGTTTTGCAGAATGTCAAACTTTTTGGATTTGTCTTGTTGCATTGTGGTGTTATTTAACTTGTTCCTCTAGTCGTTATATTTCCTGTAAGCTGGAAGTAAGTTTTAAAGGCTGAATTCAGGCTGGGCTCAGTGGCTCACACCTGTAATTCCAGCACTTTGGGAGGCCAGGGTGGGTGAATCACTTGAGGTCAGGAGTTTGAGACCAGCCTGGCTGGCCAACATGGTGAAACCCCATGTTTACTAAAAATACAAAAATTAGCCGGGTGTGGTGGCACATGCCTGTAATCTCACCTACTCGGGAGGCTGAGACAGAATTGCTTGAACCCCAGAGGCAGAGGTTGTGGTGAGCCAAGATTGCGCCCCTGCACTCCAGCCTGGGAGACAGAGTGAGACTCTATCTTAAAAACAAACAAAAGAAAAAACAAACAAAAAATTAAAATTAAAATTAAAAATTAAAAAATAAAGGCTGAATTCAAGTTAAATATTTTGGGTGGAATACATCATAGATCATGTTTGTACTTCATGTTGCCTCACATCAGGATACACTTAACATCTGATGACTGCCATAGTGATGCTAAGTTTAAACACTGAACTAGGATAATGATACCCTTACCCCTCTATTGTGGAGTTGTGTTTTCCCCTTTTGTAACCAGAAAATTATGTATGTAGTGTTAGCTTTGACACTAAATAAGTAGGTTCTAATATAATTTGAGATCCTTCCTAAATCAATAATTGCTTTAGTGGTTGTGGAATGATGATTTTTGGATTTTGTCATTCCTTTAACATTATTAGCTGGCATTCTTCTGTAAAGTGGACCTTTCTCCTCTCATCAGTTGGGGCTATCTGTATTGGGGCTATCTGTATGCTACCTGTATGAAATACAGTTCTTACTGGAAAGAAAATAAATGCTTAATTCTTTCCCTTTGCCAGTTCTCGAAGTAAGGAGTTCCTTTAGTAGTCACTTCAAATGCTGATAGTAATTTTTCCAGCATTCTCAGTGTATGTGTGAGTGTATGGTCATATGTCGCATAACGACGTTATGGTCAACAACAGACTGCATATACAACAGTGGTCCCATAAGATTATAACACATCTTTACTATACTTCTTTTATGTTTATATATGTTTAAATACACAAATATTTACCATTGTGTTACAGTCACCTACAATATTCAGGACAATAACATGCTCCACAGGTTTGTGACCTAGGAGCAATAGGCTATTTCATATAGCCTAGGTGCGTAGTAGGCTATACCATCTAGATTTGTGTAAGTGCACACTCAAGTTTGGATAATTGTGAAATCACCTAGCAATGCATTTCTCAGAACATACTCCCATCATTAAGCAATGCATGACAGTATTTCAACTGATTTCATGTGTTTAATTAATTACAATCATTATTCTTCTCAATGCTCAAATCATTGTAGTGGTGACCCCTTCAACCTGGCTCCTATGTGTTCTATTAACATTGTCCTGTTAACTTTTAAAAGCTTCCTTGCTTTTGGCACAAAAGATGTTCTGGGATTCACCTCATACTTTTCCCACCCCATACCTGGAATCATTCATTTCTTCAGGGGCTCTTGTTCCTTTAAGTATTAGTGTAGAATGAATAAGAGGCTATAATCTGGGCGTTAGGGGTGCTTCCTATTACTTTGATTCTAAATTTCTTTTGAAAGACATTATTGGCTAGGCACAGTGGCTCACGCCAGTAATCCTAACATTTTGGGAGGCTAAGGTGGGAGAATCACTTGAGCCTGGGAGCTTGAGACTAGCCTGGGCAACATAACGAGACCCCATCTCTACAAAAAATAAAAAAAAATAGCCAGGTGTGGTGGCGTGCACCTGTGGTCCCAGCTACTTAGGAGGCTGAGGTGAGAGGATCACTTGAGCCCAGGAGGTAGAGGCTGCAGTGAGCTGTGTTAATGCCACTGCACTCTAGCCTGGGTAACAACAGGACCCTGTCTCAAAAAAAAAAAAAAAAAAAAGGCATAATTTAGAAAAATTTAAAGAAAAACAAAACAAAAATTCACCTTTAGAATTAAATGAAATAAACACAGTTTTTTTTGGATTCAGATTTAGAAAGGAAAGAGTGTTTCATTCTTGGCATAAACTGACAAGTAAGGATTCTGAACAGTACTATGGATGTCATTAAATTAGAATGTCCAAGCTGGAAACCAGATTAGATACCAATTTAAGTTATCTAAAAAAGCAAGTTATTTATATGAACAAGTAAACAATTGGAGTTTGTTATTTGTTTTGTTTTGTTTTGTTTTTTGACATGGGGTCTTGCTCTGTTGTACAAGCTAGAGTGGCACGATCATAGCTCATTATAGCCTTGAATTCCTGGGCACAAGCAGTCCTTCTGCCTTAGCTTCCCAAGTAGTTAGGACTCCATCATGCCCAGCTAATTGGCCTTCTGATTTTTTTTTTTTTTTTTTTTTTGTGAGATGGAGTCTTGCTCTGTCTCCCAGGCTGGAGTGCAGTGGCACAATCCTAGCTCACTGCAACCTCCGCCTCCTGGGTTCAAGCAATTCTCTTGCCTCAGTCACCCTAGAAGCTGGGATTCCAGGCATGTGCCACCACACCTGGCTAATTTTTGTATTTTTAGTAGAGGTGAGGTTTCACCATGTTGGCCAGGCTGGTCTTGAACTTCTGGCCTCAAGTGATCTGCCTGCCTCCGCCTCCCAAAGTGCTGGGATTATAGGTGTGAGCCACCACACCTGGTGCTGGTTTTGTTTTTAGAGTTTGTTTTGACATCTCAAGTAAGATCCAACTTAATAAGTCTGGGTATAGCAAATTATAAAATCACAGTACATTTTGTGGGGGGCCTGTGTTTTTTCTGGAGAATTTTTTTTCACAAAAATTAATATTCTCTATAACATGATAAATCTTAAAGAAATTATGCTGAGTGAAAGAAGCCAGATCCCACCACTCAAAAGAAAACATGCTATATGATTTCATTACATACAATTTTAGAAAATCCAAACTAATCTCTAATAACAGAAAACCAACGAGTGGTTGCCTGGTGACAGAGTATGGAGGGTAGGAAGGGTTGGAAAGGAGGCATTACCAAGGAATACGAGGAAACTTCTGGAAGTGATAGACATGTTCATTATCTTGATTATGGTGATGGTTTATGAGTATATACATATTTCAAAGCCTATCAGATTATATGTGTGTGTGTGTGTGTGTGTGTGTGTGTGTGTGTGTGTGTGTATATATATATTTTTTTTTTTTTTTTTTTTTGGGGGGAGACGGAGTCTCACTCTGTCGCCAGGCTGGAGTGCAGTGGCATGATGTCGGCTCACTGCGACCTCCAACTCCCTGGTTTAAGCGAATCTCCTGCCTCAGCCTCCTGAGTAGCTGGGATTACAGGCAGGCGTGCACCACCACACCCAGCTAATTTTCATATTTTTAGTAGAGACGGGGTTTCACCATGTTGGCCAGGATGGTCTTGATCTCCTGACCTTATGATCTGCCCACCTCGGCCTCCCAAAGTGCTGGGATTACAGGCGTGAGCTACCATGCCCAGCCTCAGATTTTATATTTTATGTATGTGCAGTTTATTGTGTGTCAGCTCTATCTCAGTAAAGCTTAGAACAAAATTAATGGCATTGGATAGGTTATATTTACAGTAAAAATTATCTGACAGTATTCTTCATAGAGAACTGATAATTTGCTAGCCATTCTGTTTCATTTGCCATTCATAATATGCTTTAAACAATTATCTTGCATGCTAGTTTTATTTCACATCTGTACCTTTTTGCTTTTATATTTGGACTTGTTTTTTATATTTTTATTGTAAGAATAAACTATGAAGCATAAGCCCATGTATCAAATAAGCAGGCCTATAGAAATTAAATTCAGCTTAATGAGAGAAATTTATATATGCTTCATTTTAATTGTGGAAATAAGAAAGATTTCTAAATATTTTATGTATCTTTTCTTAAGCAAGAATTTGTAGTAATACTGAATTTATGTTTTTCCTGTCTTAATGCTAGTAAAACCAATTATATAAAAGACGAACACAAAGTCTTCTAGAAGTATAAATTATATTATTAACATTTTACAGGTGGAAAATTATTATAGCATAGAGCCATGAAGGGTAGAAGAGATCAAGACTAGACATCTTAATAGTAGTATTGGAAATTAAGTCCTATCTTGTAATGCTAATTATATTCTATAGTACTGTCTTTTGTAACATAGTAGTAGTCTGCTTTTCAAAGCTAGAGGGTCATGATAATTTTGGTGAGGGAAACTGTATTTGTGACCTCCAAGTCCTATCTATGAGTCCTTTGACTGTAACAGACCTCTACTTCAAAACAGTTTATTGGACTCAGGTATGCCAACTTGTATCTGTGACATATAAAAAGGCATATACTATTAAAAAAAATGACAAGTTGAAATCCAGTTACTTAATTTTTTTTTTTACTTAACATTATCACCATTATATCAAAGCTATTCCATGTTTCAGTGCCTTGTCTACTGTAAATGTGGTTTAGACCATGTGCAGTCACTCATGCCTATAGTCCCAGCACTTTGGGAGGCCCAAGTAGGAGGATCATTTGAAGCCAGGAGTTTGAGACTAGCCTGGGCAACACAGTGAGACCTCATCTCTACAAAAAATTTTAAAAATTAGCCAAGTGTGGTGGAGCACACCTGTAGTCCCAGCTATGCAGGAGGCTGAGGTGGGAGGATCGCTTGAGCCCAGGAGTTTGAGGCTGCATTGAGTTATGCTTGTGCCACTGCATTCCAGCCCAGGTGACAGAGCAAGACCCAGTTTCTTAAAAACACGCACACACAAAACAAACAAAAAAGTTAGACGGGTGGTAGTACACCCCTGTAGTCCTGGCTACTCAGACAGAGGAAACCCTGTCTCAAAACCAAAACAAAACTAAAACCAACTCAGTTTAAATTGTGTTACCTCGAGTTGTCTTTACAGCTGATGTGGTGACAGATGCTTTCTCTAGCCTCTATTTATTTAATGCAGTAAAATGATTCCTCACTTTTCTAAACAACTAAGCCTCTTTGTTCCAAAACTTTTCAAAAACTTTTTTTTGAGAGAAATCATTAATTTTGTTTTAAAAATTTCATACATGTTAATTCTTAAAGTGAGGATATTGAGTAAGCTTTTTTGATTATGCAAAGACATGTTATGAACATTCACCACTGTACTAGAAACAATACAATTCTGCGTTTGATTTTTAGTTTTTCAGCCCGTTTAGATTGTCCTTGTGCCAGGTCATCACCCACCTTCCTAACTTTCTGAGAAGACATATAACCAAGTTGATTAAGAAGTATTTGCTAACAAAGGCAAATAGGAGCTGATTGAGAGTGTAAATACCTTTCCTCTGGGTCAAGTGGACAGTTTTAATGCTGAGGCTGTGTGGCACCTATTTTAGGTACACTGGGCCATGAAGCTATGTTAAGATGAAGTTGCCAGGATGCTCCACCACCAGATAAGTGGAGAGTTACTGAACCTAACTGAGAGGTACCATGGGGCAGTGAAAGGAGGAGAAAGAGGGACATGAGCTTTAGCAGAATACTTTATAAAACTAATATTATTCTGCCATTATATTGCATTTACCCCTTAACATCAACTTGTATTGTTGATTGGTTTCTCTGTGCTAATACTATATATACATCTCATTTAACAAATGTAATATCTGCTTTTGACACATGGACCATTGAGACTCTGAGAGGTTAAATAACCTGCCTATGATTACATAGCTACTAAGTGGTGGAGTTAGGATTTGACCTCAGCTCTGTTTAATGTGAAAGCCCATGCTCCTAACCACTTTGTTACACTGATAATTTAGTTCAGAGAGGATGGATATCAGCTTCATTTTGCATCTAGAGTAATGGGACTTACTTTCTAACACTTTACATATGCATTATTTACAAAATTCTGCTACAACAACACAGTTTAGTTTACAAATATATAGATTTTATAATATTGAAATGTTTACCAGGATTAGTATAAAATGTTTTAAAGAAAAGCTCTTTGACATAAAACCATTCCAATAATGTAGTGTACCATCTAACTAAATTACATTCAGTAACATAAATTGCATGGTTCAATGCTAGGCATAGTAGGTGCTCTTGGTAGCTATAACTGTTCATTTTGTATAGCCTATTGTAGATTAAATTGATTGAATTCGCTGTTTTAATAATTTGAAGTGAAAAAGAAAATGCAATGAAATCTTTTCAGTTTGGATGTCCTTAATTTTCAATTTATGAACATTCGGACAGGAACTAAAGTTTATTTTTGTGCTATGAAGAAAGGTCTTCCAAACACACTTGAATACTTTAGTATTTCAAAGCATTTTTCTTAAAAGAATTTCTCCTAGCTGAGTGAATTAAGGGGATTACTTAATGTTATTCTTAGAAATACCTAAGAATATTGCAGTTTCACAGTTTTATCAATTCATATTATTCTTTTATTTAGTTAACCTGAAATAATGTGGTTTTATTATAAATTTGCTTTCTACGAGGAATTACCTTAACACGAGATTGACAGGCTTCATAAGAAAAAGTGTTTACTTACCAGTGTTTGTTTGCTTTTTCTTAAAATTAGTTAAAGCTTTTAAAACTGTACTCTAATTCCCTAACTGAAGATCAATCATCAAAGGCTAAAATCTCACATATTAGACTGTGATGCTAGAAACACTAAAGTCATATCAACTGGGGAGACTTGTGAAATTCAAATTTGGTCAACTTCATCCCCCTTAGAGTCCGTTTCTACATTGGTAACATTGAGAAATCTGTCCTACATACTCATAACATTTTTGTAATCAGAGGAGAAAATATGTGTAAAAACACTGAAGGAGGCCAAGGCAGGAGATCACTTGAAGTTAGGAGTTCAAGACCAGCCTGGGCAACGTAGTGAAACACTGTCTGTATTAAAAAAAGAAAAGCAAAAAATAAACATTTTGAAGATTATTTAAAATCTTCTGCTGTGTAGTAAGGTGGTATTTTATTACTTGGTTAAGTGACAGCTTTCTTCCAACAACTACATGACTATTAGAAATAATATATGAGTGACTTCTCACAAGTAAGTTTGTCATTCATATTTACACTCAAGTTACTCTAAAAGGGTAGTACTATGTAGGTAATATATCACAAAATGTTTTCCAGAAAGGTAGGTAGCAATAAATTACTTGGTCTTTTGGAATAATGTAATAATTTTTGTATGTTATATATTTGGATATTTATACATTCTCTTCAGCAAATATGCATTATCCAAGTTAGCATTGGAGTTCCTACCATATTGGGGTTCCTACCATTGAATCCCCTGATTTTCGTTTGGATCTTGGTTCCACATGCTAATCTTTCTTACTCATTTCTCCAATGACTTTAACAGATGTAGAGAATATACAGAGATTCTGAAAATTCAACAAAAATTATGCCTTGAACTATAGGAGTTGTATTCTAGCTACTTTGACCAGAAGGAAAATTTACTAGGGCTATGAACTAATGGAAACAGCACAGATTGAGTCAGCCCTAGGACTGAATTCAGCTCTTAGATTTATTAGGTGTCTCACCTTGAGCCAATCTGTTCAGTCAAACCTCACTTTTTAAACTGTCTATAAAATGGGGATAATAATACCTATCTTAAACAGTTGTAATGAAAAGTAAGATACTGCATATGCAGGACAGTATTTGACACATAATAGATGCTCAATACAAGTTTTGGGTTTTTTTCTCTTCCCTTCCTTACCTTTAGGAGAATTTCTTTGTAGCTCCACTGGGCCAATTCATAGACTAGTAAAGAGGAATGAATAGACTATCTTATCACGGTTGCAGTAGTAGAAGATTTTTATTTACCTAGAAATGAATGTCAAAACTGTCAAAGCAGATTCAGTTGTCTGTTCATTTTCAGAAGTTCTGTCAGTCTTTAATTTACCAATTCAGACAGATTCTGCTATATGTATACATCACTGATTTCCTAACAGCAGAATTTGACAATTAAGTGCTCTCAAAAACATTTTTTTTTTTTGCTTGCAGAAATATATGCTAGTAGCCTGAGATAGTTTTTCTAATAACAGGAATCCAGAACTAGAGAATAAAACAACCAAATTAGCATTAGCCACAGCAGTTCTTTTTTCTTTTCCTTTTTTCTTTTTGAGGCAGCCTTGCTCTGTCACCCAGGCTGGAGTGCAGTTGTGCAACCATGACTCATTGCAGCCTTGACTTCTTGGGCCCAAGTGATCCTCCCACTTCAGCCTCCTGAGTAGCTGGAACTACAGGCACACACCACCACACCTGGCTAATTTTAAAATTTTTTATAGAGAGAGGGTCTCCCTATGTTGCCCTGGCTGATCTCGAACTCCTGGCCTCAAGCAATTCTCCCGCCTTTACCTCCCAAAGTGTTGGGATTACAGGTGTGAGCAACCATGCCCAGCCACCACAGCATTTCTTAAACTATTCAAAGCAGAGCAAACTTTTACGTACTATATCATCTCAGGAAAGTGTTTAAGATTTTCATAGATTTTATATGATTCTTGTGCGGTTTTTTTTGAGACTGGGTCTCACTTTTTCACCCAACCTAGAGTGCCGTGGCGCCAACATGTCTCACTGCAGGCTTGACTTCCTGGGTTTAAGTGATTCTCCCCGCCTCAGCTTCCTGTGTAGCTTGGACCACAGATGTGTGCTATCGTACCTAGCTAATTTTTAAAATTCACTTGTAGAGATAGGGAGTCTCACTTTATTGCCCAGGCTGGTCTTAAACTCCTAGGCTCAAGTAAGTGATCCACCCACCTTGGCCTGCTAGAGTGTTAGGATTACAGGCATGAGCCATTGTGCCCAGCCCATTCTTTCATATAATTTATCTTACATTTGATCCTTATTCCGTGCTGTTTATAAATATAAATGAGAATTTTATTAGAAAAATGTTTAAAATACAAATTTTTTTTTTTTGAGACAGGGTCTCACTGTCATCCAGGCTGGAGTGCAGTGATGCAATTACAGCTCACTGCAGCCTCGACCTCCTGGGCTCAAGCAATCCTCCCACCTCGGTCTCCCAAGTAGCTGGGACCACAGGTGTGTGCCACCAAACTCAGCTAATTTTTAAATTTTTTGTACAGGTGGGGTCTCCCTATGTTGCCTCAGCTAGTCTTGAATGCCTGGGCTCAGGTGATCCTTCTGCCTTGACCTCCCAAATTGCTGGGATTGCAGGCGTGAGCCACTGTACCTAGCCACAACACATTTTAAAATTTCTTGAGGAAAACTCTCATGTTTAAACTTGTAGCTGCTATATTATTTCAACAGGAGTGACATATCCACCAGGTACTAATAATTAAAAAGTACCAGGTACCGGCACACACCCCCCCCCCCACTCTACCCATACCATTAGGATAGTTGTGTTTTCCTATTCTGAAGTAGTTCAACTTTTATACATTTAGACTATAAACTTTAATTTATTTAGATATTATAGGCCACATCTTAGTGGCCTTACTTTACATCTTAGTAAAAAAAAAAAATTTTTTTTCAACTGAAGTTAAGTTTTACCTTGTTACCAGATTCAGAAGAAGATGTTGTTGAAACTCCTGCAGTGTCTCATGATGAACATACACACCAAGAGATAAAGGGCCGAAAAACACTGGCAACTCCTGCAGTTCGCCGTCTGGCAATGGAAAACAATGTAAGTTCTCTTAATATTTAAGTCTGAGATTGTATAGGAAGTGTACATTTGTATCTCTGAAAAATTAGCCAACTATCCCATGATGAAATAGCTCAATGAAATTAAGGAAACATGAAGATATTTGCTACTGAAAAGCAATAGTTGCATAAAAATACATGGGAGAAATGAGAAGTTGTAAACTTATTACTTACTATCAATTGAGCAGTATGATTTTATTATTCTTTCTTAGAGCCTAATAACAGTAAGAGCTACCATTTACTGAGCACTTGTAAATACCAGGTCTTATGTCAGGTGCTCTAGAGGCACAGCATGAGATAGGAATTTGAAGGAGGGAAAACCTGTAAAGGGACTGAAGGAAGCAAGATAAAAAAGAGAAGAGAAGGGAAATTGGCCAGACATGGTTATGGTATCAAGCATCTGGCCTGTCCCAAAGCTTGCCATGGTCCTAAGTAAAAAAAGAAAGACTCTGGCCTGATCTGAGGGTGCAAGGGAGAACCACAGAATTACTGCTTTGAGGCAAGGAGGCCGGCCTTTTGTATTTCCTCTGCCAGTCATTGACTGAATGGAAGGTGGAATGCCAGGCAGGGTGGCTCCCTGGCACTGGGATAGGTATTTACGTATTCTCATTTAACCCTGTAAGATAAGGAGCTATTTTAAGACTTGGAGGGTTTAAGTAACTAGTCTAAAGTCACACAGCTAACATAGCAAGAGCCAGAATTCAAAAGTGAGTCTATATCACTCCAAAACCTGTGCTGTTAGATGTTATATAAACCTCAACAATCATTGCCTCCATTATTTGAGCACATATGTGCCAGACACTATAGACACATCTGTAATCCTCACAAGGACCCTGCAGGCAGGTTGATTAACTTATCTAAAACCAAGTAAGCTGAACTAGGGATTTGAACACAAATCTGTCTGGTTCTGAAACCTGAATACTTTCCACTGTGCCCCACAATGAGACTTTTTGTTTGTCTCTTTTTGAGAAAAGTAAGGTTGCTGTGGGAAAAAAATAAAAGTTTATATTTTGTGAAATATGTAATAGAGTCATTAAAATGTTCATATTCTTTCAGCCAGTTATCCTGCCACTGGGGAACTATCCCAAGAAAATAATCTAGGAATCATTCTTCCTTGTATTTTATATAGCCAAAAATTAGAAGATGCATACACATTCAAATTATGTTATGTATCCTTGATAAAATGTTATGTAACCCTTAAATGTGTTTAAGTATGAAGACCATTTAGCATAACAGAAAATAGATATAGTAACGTGGAACATTAGGTTATTAAGGGCATCAGATGAAATAATGATTTAACATTTTGCTTTGAAATCTATAAAGCATTTTAATAATTTTTTTCTTAATAATATAGAAAGAAATATATAGAAGAAATGTATGATTTGGCTTTCCTAAAACACTCCCTAAAGATGGGTATAGAATACTTGGGTAGAGTGCTTGTATGATTACTAAAAATTAAATATTGGATTTAGTTATCAGAAATCATCTTTTTTCTTTGAATTTGCATATTTATGAATTGAGTTTGTTTAAAATTAAGAACCAGTGGCATTTACAGTTGTTTGTAACTGCCTAAAAATTATTTGTTTAAATTTTCATAGTCCATTTGTTACAAACTTAGTGTTTGCCTTAGTAAAGTCCTTTATTATTTTAGTCATCCTTAGAGATGCACTAATACAAATGAAATGGGGCCTATCCCTAAGAAATTAATACATACTATATATGAGGAGATCATTCCAAGCTTTTATGTTTATTTTTATTTAAATAGAATTAAATGTTTTGTACTGATCTTTCCAAAGCAACTACCAGAAAAATAACTAATTTGAGAGAGCTTTTGTATTATGATTATTTAAGTTGTTACGTTTTTAACTGGTAGCCAGTGTCAGAAACATTGGTCTAAATTTGGTATAGCATTTAGTTTCTCTTAAATTCTCAGCTCTCCCTCTTCTTATGTAGTCCCCAAGAATAGAAAAGGTCGAGTAAGAATTATGCAAGAGATTTTAAAATACTTGAGTATAAAAATGTAAGTTTTCAGCTGGGCATAGTGGCTCACGCCTGTAATTCCAGCACTTTTGGGAGGCTGAGGTGAGAGGATAGCTTGAGGCTAGGAGTTCAAGACCAGCCAGGGCAACAGAGTGAGACCCTGTCTCTACAAAAAATTTTTTTAAAAAGTAAGTTTTCATAAATAGCTCTAGATTATATATAATATAGATACCTGATGGTTACCACATGCATATGTGAACAGTATATACAAAAGTAATGATTACTTAAGTAGAAAATGAAAAGGTTATTTCCTTTTACTAATTTATTGGACAGATATATTTTACTGTCAGTTGATCAAATTCCATTTTGAAACTTTAATGATGTTTTTAAATAGTTGTATTTTTGGCATTAAAATATATCATTTTTTAGATTAAGCTGAGTGAAGTTGTTGGCTCAGGAAAAGATGGCAGAATACTTAAAGAAGATATCCTCAACTATTTGGAAAAGCAGACAGGAGCTATATTGCCTCCTTCACCCAAAGTTGAAATTATGCCACCTCCACCAAAGCCAAAAGACATGACTGTTCCTATACTAGTATCAAAACCTCCGGTATTCACAGGCAAAGACAAAACAGAACCCATAAAAGGTAATGATAATAATAACAATACTATAAGGCAATAGTTCATTTATTTTGGGGGAAGCTACCTCAGTAGATAAATGTATATAATATGGTGTTTTCAAGTCTTACTGAAGGGAAAGTTCAACTTCAGTCAGCATATAATTTTTCTTTTCTTTTCTTTTTTTTTGAGATGGAGTTTTGTTCTTGTTGTCCAGACTGTAGTGCAGTGGCACGATCTTGGCTCACTGCAGCCTCCGCCTCCCAGGTTCAAGCAATTCTCCTGCCTCAGCCTCCTGAGTATCTGGGATTACAGGTGCACGCCACCATGCTCAGCTAATTTTTTGTATTTTTAGTAGAGACAGGGTTTCATCATGTTGGCCAGGCTGGTCTCGAACTCCTGACCTCAGGTGATCCACCCTCCTCAGCCTCCCACAGTGCAGGGATTACAGGCGTGAGCCACTGCGCCTGGCCATAATTTTTAAATGGTGAAATAGCATAGCTTTTCCAGGAAACACTTACAATTTATGTGTATCATTATCTTCTGAAGAGTAATACGTTAGCAGGTTTCTTGAAATATAAACTTGTATATTGATAATTGCTCTGTTTGAAGACACACAGGACATTTTAAACATTCACTATTTGTAGTTAGCTTTCAAAATAACTAGTTCTGATTTGTTATTTATAAACTCCTGGAATGATTAACTTCCAGAAGAGTGGCTTTGCAGGAAAGCTGTTAGGGAAATACATGGCTTGCATTCTTTTGAATTTTTTATATAACACAGCATTTAAAGCAGTTACCTGCTATGTTATTGCATTTGCCACTGAGTGTCATGATGCAGTCAGTGTTCCAGCTTTGAAATTAGTGACTTTCAGTGTAATGTAATGAAGAGAGTAGTAAGAGGAAGGGTTTAACTGAGAGAGTAAAAGACATTAGAGAACCTTCCATTTTAGTTTCTTTAAAAAAAAAAAAAAGGATGAAGAGATTTGAGAATTTAAATAAATGAATAACAATTTAATGCTTTTCAGGCTTTCAAAAAGCAATGGTCAAGACTATGTCTGCAGCCCTGAAGATACCTCATTTTGGTTATTGTGATGAGATTGACCTTACTGAACTGGTTAAGCTCCGAGAAGAATTAAAACCCATTGCATTTGCTCGTGGAATTAAACTCTCCTTTATGCCTTTCTTCTTAAAGGTGAGATTCATTCATTTCAAACAAGGCTTGAGTAGGACATTTATTTGTTTGTTTGTCTTTTTGAGACAGAGTTTTGCTCTTGTCACCCAGGCTGGAGTGCAATGGCACAATCTCGGCTCACTGCAACCTCCACCTTCCGGGTTTAAACAATTCTCTTGCCTTAGCCTCCTGAGTAGCTGGGAATACAGGCACCTGCCACCACGCCTGGCTAATTTTGTATTTTTAGTAGACACGTGGTTTCGCCATGTTGGTCAGGCTGGTCTTGAACTCCTGACCTCAGGTGATCCACCCCCGCCCCAGCCTCCCAAAGTGCTGGAATTCCAGGCGTGAGCCACCATACCTGGCCCCAAGTAGGACATTTAAATTTTGCTTTGCCAACATGCAATATGTTGACTGTGGCCTTGAATAAAAATATTACTTTTCGCAACATCAGATAGTTAGAAAATGTGCCATTTCTTTGTTCAATAGGAAATTATAAAATTGAGATTTCTGTACTATATTTTTAGCTGCTTATCTTTGAGCTAGGTAGAGACAATTCTGCCAGTTAAGTAAAGCCTCTGATCCTAAAAGGATCACTCCAACCAAGTCTTGGTTTGAACTAAAATGAGACTTGATATTAATTTTGCAATATCACTGACATATATTTAATATTTATTTTCATTTACTCAACCAACTTATATTGAGGATCCTGGGAATCATTTCTAGTGCTAAGCCTTGGGACCAGTATAAAATGGAGTAAGACCATCAGCTAACCTTGAGCAGCATACAGTCTAGCTCACATTAGTGACTGTGCAGCAGCTACCATGTGCCAGCCTCCATAGTAAGCATGCTGTATACATTATCTCTCTCTTTTTTTTTTTTTTTTTTGGTATGAATCTCATTTATTGAAAAGATTATTTCTCACCTTTCTCAAATTGAAGACTGCAAAAAATAAAAGCAGTGCTTCATTGAGTTGTCATGAGCCTGGGGCAGGAGCAGCAGCGCTGCCTCTCCACGCTCCGGGAAACCGCAGCTGGCGTGTGCCACATCGGTCCCACCTCGCTTTACAAAACAGTCCTGAAGCTTAATCAAATAAAACTATTGAACACAACATTTACATTAGAAAAAGAGAGCTGGGTGTAGGAAAGGCCGAGCCTGGTGTTCCCTTTAAGCGAAGGTGGCTCCACAGTTGGGGCATCTTCGCTCCCTCAAGGCAAAACAGCAAATGAACCCAAAGGGGAACAGGATGATGGCCAGGAAGATGCCCAGGAAGGTGAAGCAGTCCTGCAGCCCCCCGACCCTGCAGACGGGACAGCCTCCCACGACCACGATAGAGTTGGTAGGATAGCGGATGACGGTCCAGCTGTGGATGTTGTAGACCCTGGGATGGTGGGTGGGTGTCCGTGTGACGAGGTAGGAGTAGGGCGGCTGCGGGGGCGCGGCGGGGATGGCGCCGTAGCCGTGCGGGCCTCACGCGTAGTCGCCCTGGCCGGCCTCCAGGTTGTAGGCGGGCGGCCGCTCCTGCAGCAGAGTCTTGTGGTCCATGGCGGCCCGGCTCGGCTCTGTCGGCCCCGGCGGGGACGCGGCGCACGCCCCGGGTGGCTCGGGCCCCTCTGAGGCAGACGCGGGGCAGGGCCCATTATCTCTTAATTCTCAGAGTAACCCTGACATGTAAATATTACTGTCTCCACTTTCCATTTAAGGAAATTGGGGCTCAGAGAGGTTGAGAAACTTGTTAAGGACTTACAGCTAACAGGTGGAGAAGCTCTTTCAGGTTCTGGTCTGTTTTACTCAGAAGGACATACTGATGTCTGTAATGCCAACATGTCCAGTCCTTTCTCTACACTGCACCAAGACTGGTCTTCCGTAAATCAAATTACTGTAATATTCTCTGATTCTTTTCAGTGGTTCCCTTTCATTACCTTCAGGATAATTTGTATGCCATACTCCTTAGTGTGGCATACAAATGTGTTATAAGTCTCTGCTGCCTGCCTCTCCATTCTTACCTCACTCCCTCATATTAAGGTACCCATAATTGCTGGAATACACAATTCCACCTGAAGTGCCCGTTCTTCTCGATCAAACACCTGCAAATCCCAAACTGTGGTCAGGTACAGACTCCTTCTGTGGCTGTCACTATTTGAATTAAATACTTTTGTTTCCCACTGTTAACTTATCTCAGTGCATTGAGTGCTTACTCAGTTTTCTCTTCACTTACTCACTTACTGGGCGCTGAGCCTCATGAGGCAGAAACTATTCTTCTTTATCTCCCTTTTTCTTTCTTTCTTCTTTTTTTTTTTAGAAAGGGTTCACTTTGTTGCCCAGGCTGCTGGAGTGCAGTGGCACAATCACAGCTCACTGCAACCTTGAACTCCTGGGTTCAAGTGATCCTCTGCCTCAGCCTCCCGAGAAGCTGGAACCACAGGTGTGCACCACCACACCTGGCTAATTTTTTTTTATTCTTAGTAGAGATGTGTCTCGCAGTGCTGCCCAGGCTGGTCTTACAGGGATGAGCCAGCATGCCTGGCTATTTTGTTTTAAAATAAAACATAAGTTTCAGAACATTCGAAAAAATACTACACAGTATTGTAGAGGGGGAACAAATGACCTAATCCATTGACACATACCTTGTATTTTCTTGGACAAAATTTGGATTATACTCAAATATTTTTATATGTAACAGTTTAGACTAACCTTAGGGGTTTTTAGATAAAGACTATTAAAATTACAGTTATTGAATCAAATGCTTACTAAAACTTTCAAGTTGGCTGGGCGCAGTGTCTCACGACTGTAATCCCAACACTTTAGGAGGCCAAGGCAGGCAGATTGCTTGAGCTCAGGAGTTCAAGACCAGCCTGGGCAACATGGTGAAACCCCATCTCTACAAAAAATACAAAAGTTACCTGGGCATGGTGGCACACGCCTATAGTTCCAGCTACTCGGGAGGCTGAGGCAGGAGGGTCACTCGAGCCAAGGACGTTGAGGCTACAGTGAGCTGAGATCATGCCACTGCACTGCAGCCTAGGTGACAAAGAAAGACCCTGTCTCAAAAACAAACAAGAAAAACTTCCAAGTCATAAAAATTAAGGAACTCGTAGCAGTTCTTTTAATTATATTTTTCTTCAGTTGATCTACTCTCTTAACCTGTCCTAACTAATGAAAATGAAATGTCTCTATATATTTAAACTTTTTTCTTAACTCTCTAGTTCAAGAATTTGATTTTTTTCCCATCAAGACCCCGATGCACTGAGAAGAATAACACAATGCATGTAAAGAACTTTAACAGGGACCAGACAAGGGCAGTGGGGGAGGGAATTCTTTTTAAGAATGATCTTAAGCATTTTTATTTTGCTATCTTTTAAATTCAATACAATGCATGGCCACCACATGTAAGGTATGAAACTTGATTATTAGATCCCAAAAACAGATTATCAAGAACATTTTGGGTACAGTTAGGGAAATCTGAATATGGACAGGAGAGAAATGGTATTAAGTGACAAAAGGGAGAAGGCAGCAGAGAGGGAAAATATAAATGCTATTCAGTGAGACTTGAGCTGTAAAGTAAATGTTCAGGACATCTCTGCCCTTCAGCTGGCCAAGGACACCAAGTAGCAAACTGGCATCTACTGGTCAGTGCGCTTTGAAATCCTCGTTACGTGTTCTTTCCACACAGAGAAATAGCTTACCTGCTTTTTTTGTGTTTTGATTCCTAGTATTACTTCTCATGGAAATCTTAAGATCAACATGTCAGTGAGGAAATCACCTAGAATTTAGACATTTTCTTTGGAACTTTGGCTGGTCTGTATCATTATTTTGAAAATCTCCTTGATGTTTACAAGCTACCTGACTACTTTATCTTTTATTCTTTAATGATTAGGGTGACCTAGTTCCACATGGCCTGAAGGTAACATTGGCAGTAATGTGACTAGGTACATGTAGACTTGAAATTAAACTCAGCATAAATAAGAGTTCTCTCTCTCCCTCCTTTTATACCTCTTATTGTTTCAAATTCTCTATCCTTTCTAAGTTAAAAGTACTAAAATTGCATTCTTTTTCTGTTAAACAGGCTGCTTCCTTGGGATTACTACAGTTTCCTATCCTTAACGCTTCTGTGGATGAAAACTGCCAGAATATAACATATAAGGTTGGCTATGCAGAGTAAAAATGTTCTTATTATTAATAGAAGATGGGGCAAATGTGCTTGTAGATTAGAGACTTCTATTGTACCTCAAATAGTGATCTTTTTTAGACTAGAATTAAAGGTATGGGGTAAAACATTAAACTTAAGTCTAATTCATTGTTGTTGTTTTTGTGTTAATAATACTGTTTAGAGATTCTTAAAACTATTTTTAAGCTTTTTTTTTTCCTGCTTAAAATAATGGAAATACATAGCTGTATGGCAGATTATGTTACCCACTCTACTTACCCTCTCAAAAAGAAGCAGCTCTTTCAAAATTGAATTCCTGGAATTTTAATATTATTATTCTTATTCTTCTTCTTCTTCTTCTTCTTATTATTATTATTATTATTGGCAGAGTCTCACTCTGTCACCAGTTTGGAATGCAGTGTTGTGATTGTGGCTCACTGCAGCCTCAACCTCTCAGGCCCAAGCAATCCTTCTGCCCCAGCCTCCTGTGTAGCTGGGACTATAGGCATGCGCCACTATGCCCAACTAATTTTTAAATTTTTTGTAGAGACGTGGTCTCATTATGTTGCCCAGGCTGGTCTTGAACTTCTGGTCTAAGCAATCCTCCTGCCTCAGCCTCCCAAAGTGCTGGGATTACAGGCATGAACCACTGTGCCTGGCAAATTCCTGGAATTTTAATATTAAGAATAATTTAAGTGAGAAAAATAATAAAAGTTTGAATTCAATTTGAGTAAACTCTTCTGTGAGTAGTGAAAGTTTCTTAAGACCGAAAACTCTTTTTGAGATGCCTTTCCTGAAGTTTACTTATCATTAGAAGTGCACAACCAGAGGCTGGGCACGGTGGCTCACGCCTATAATCCCAGCACTTTGGGAGGCTGAGGCGGGTGGATCATGTGAGGTCAGGAGTTTGAGACCAGCCTGGCCAACATGGTGAAACCCTGTCTCTACTAAAAATACAAAAATTAGCCAGCCGTGGTGGCCAGCGCCTATAGTCCCAACTACTCAGGAGGCTGAGGTGGGAGAATTGCTTGAACCCAGGAGGCGGAGGTTGCAGTGAGCCAAGATTGTGCCACTGCACTCCAGCGTGGGCGACAAGAGCAAAACTCCATTTCAAAAAGAGAATTAAAAAAAGAAAAAAAAGAAAAGACATGTACAACCAGAAAGTGAGCTTAGATATTCTGGGAGGTCAGCTCCCATACGGTTAATACAGTCAGCTGTATTAATTTTAATTTTAATATCTCCTGATTAAGTATATACTTATTAAAAAAATTTCAGGCAAGAAAATGATGTTGGCCGGGTGTGGTGGCTCCTGCCTGTAATCCCAGCACTTTGGGGGACAGAGGTAGGAGGATGGCTTGAGCCTAGGAATTCAAGACCAGCATGGGCAACAAAGTTAGGAGGCCCCATCTCTACAGAAAAAAAAAATTAGCCAGGCATGGTGGTGCATGCCTATAGTTTTAGCTGCTTGGGAGGCTGAGGCAGGAGAATCATATGATACCTGGGAGATGGAGGTTGCAGTGAGTTGTGATCATGCCACTGCACTCCAGCCTAGGTGACAAAGTGAAACCCTGCCTTTGTCAAAAAAAAAAAAAGAAAAGAAAAGAAAAGAAAAAAGAAAACAAAGATGTTTACCCTCAATTCCATGACCCTAAGATAGCTCACTGTTTATGTTGAGATATACATCTTTCTAGGATTTCATTTTTACATACTTTTTACAAGATATAGAATTATTTATATTTTCTTTAACTTGCTTTTTTCTTTTTCTTTTTTTTTTTTTTTTGATACAGAGTCTTGCTCTGTTGCCTATCTAAAGTATTCCCCATAGAGAATATCTATGCTGTGGTGTAATCATCGCCTCACTGCAGTGTCCACCTCCCACCGCAGCCTTCTGAGTAGCTGGGACTATAGGCACGTGCCACCATGCCCAGCTAATTTTTGTACTTTTTTTTTTTTTTTGTAGAAATGGGGTCTTGCCATGTTGCCCAGGCTGGTCTCTAACTCCTGGGCTCAAGTGATCCACCCACCTCAGCCTCCCAAAGTGCTGGGTTACAGGCATGAGCCACTGTGCCCAGCCTCTTCATTTTCATTTACTATATTGTAGACATCATTGTCAACAAGTATAGCTTTGTTATTTATTTAGCCAGTGACCTATTTATAAACATCATGATTATTTGCAGTTTCTCAAACTTATAAACAGTGTGTACTCAACATCCCTGTGTATCCCTACATACTTCTGCACTTAGTTCCTTAACACGAATTTTTATAAATGTTGGTTCATGTTGTCATATGTTCTCCAGAAAGTCTCTACAGTTTAAGTATCCGTTACCTGAAATGCTTGGGACCAGAAGCGTTTTTGGATTTAAGATTTTTTTGGATTATGGAATATTTGCATATACAAAGGAGATATCTTGAGGACAGGACTCAAGTGCAAACATGAAATTCACTTATGTTTCATTTACCCCTCATACACATAGCCTAAAGGTAATTTTATACAATATTTTTAACATTTTTGTGCATGAAACAAAGTTGGATTTGTTTTTTTTTGTTTTTGTTTTGGAGACAGAGTCTTGCTCTGTGGCCCAGGCTGGAGTGCAGTGCTGCGATCTCGGCTCACTGCAAACTCTGCCTCCTGGGTTCATGCCATTCTCCTGCTTCAGCCTCCTGAGTAGGTGGTACTGCAGGAGGCTGCCACTACGCCTGGCTAATTTCTTTTTGTATTTTTCGTACAGATGGGGTTTCACTGTGTTAGCCAGGATGGTCTCCATCTCCTGACCTCGTGATCCGCCCGCCTCGGCCTCCCAAAGTGCCGGGATTACAGGCGTGAGCCACTGTGCCCGGCCACAAAGTTTTTTTTTTTTCTTTTTTTGACACAGAGTTTTGCTCTGTCACCCATGCATAATCATAGCTTATTGTAACCTAAAACTCTTGAGGTCAAATGATCCTCCCACCTCAGCCTCCCAAGTAGCTGAGACTATAGGCATGTGCCATAATTTAAAAAAAAATTTTTGTAGCTAATTAAAAAAAATTTTTTTGTAGAGATGGAGTCTTGCTATGTTGCCCAGGCTGGTCTCAAACTCCTGGCCTCAAGCAATCCTTCTGTGTCAGTCTCCCAAAGTGTTGGGATTATAGGCATGAGCCACTATGCCCTGCCAGAACAATGGCTGCATTTTTCTCTTTTTTTTTTATTGATGGGCTCTGATATGATTAAATATTATAAAATGAGAACTGTTTCAACAACTATGCAGCATAATGTTTAAGGACAAAATATTGAATATACTTTTTATTATATATGTATTTTATCACATAGTAAGGAATGCTGAGGTGCTTAATCCATCCAATAAATTGAAAATAAAATCTTTACATTTCTATATTTGTCAGTATACAGAATTCTGAAGATGGATCTTGACTCAGGGTGATAAATCAGTTTTCAAGGAAATTGGCTACATCACATGACGTCATTTCAGCCCCCAGAAGTTTCAGATGTTGGAGCATTTCAGATTTCAGATATTTGGACTAGGGATGCTCAACCTGTACCAGTTACATTCCCACTAACGATGTTGGGAAATAGCCTATTGCCTACATTCTTATCAATAAAAAATTATCATCTTTTTTTGGACAGAGTCTCACTCTGTCTCCCAGGCTGGAGTGCAGTGGCACAATCTCGGCCCACTGCAACCTCCACCTCCCAGGTTCAAGCGATTCTCGTGCCTCAGCCTCCCGAGTAGCTGGGATCACAGGCCTGTGCCACCATGCTAATTTTTGTATTTTTAGTAAAGATGGGGTTTCACTATGTTGGCCAGGCTGGTCTTGAACTCATGACCTCAGGTAATCCAGCCACCTTGGCCTCCCAGAGTGCTGGGATTACAGGCATGAGCCACTGCGCCTAGCCCAAAAAATCTTTTAAAAATTATTTTTAAATTATTTCTTTTAAATCACTACCAATCTGGTAAAAATGAGTTTTGGTAGTGGTTTCTAGATGGCAGTGAAGGTTGATCCTTTCTTTGCTGTTAGCTTATTCATTAAAAGCCCTACTGTACAATTTTTTATTTTTTAGGCTTCTCATAACATTGGGATAGCAATGGATACTGAGCAGGGTTTGATTGTCCCTAATGTGAAAAATGTTCAGATCTGCTCTATATTTGACATCGCCACTGAACTGAACCGCCTCCAGAAATTGGGCTCTGTGAGTCAGCTCAGCACCACTGATCTTACAGGAGGAACATTTACTCTTTCCAACATTGGATCAGTGAGTAATAATGTTGAAATACATAAACCATTACTTAAGGTTTCTGATCATATGCTTAATTAAAAATAGAAAAGTCACTTGGCATTTGTTCCCTGAAAAATCTTAACTTTTAATACTCTCCTTTTTTTTTTTTTAAAAAATAGATTGGTGGTACCTTTGCCAAACCAGTGATAATGCCACCTGAAGTAGCCATTGGGGCCCTTGGATCAATTAAGGTACATGTATTAGATAACTGAAAAATGGAGTTTAAGCAAATTCAGGGACTAAACACAATGAAGAGTAACCATTTCTAAGGTTTCCCCTCCTTTTGTAGGTTTTAAGTTTCTGAGTTTATCTTAGAAAGTCTATTATTTCTTTTTTTTTTTTTTTTTTAACTTTAAGTTCTGGGATACATGTGCAGAATGTGCAGGTTTGTTACATGAGTATACACCTGCCATGGTGGTTTGCTGCACCCATCAACCCGTCATCTACATTAGGTATTTCTTCTAGTGATATTCCTCCCCTAGCCCCAGACCCCACGACAGGTCCCCAGTGTATGGTGTTCCCCACCCTCTGTCCATGTGTTCTCATTTTTCAACTCCCACTTATGAGTGAGAACATGCAGTGTTTGGTTTTCTGGTTTCCAGCTTCATCCATGACCCTGCAAAGGACATGAACTCACTCTTTTTTATGGCTGCATAGTATTCCATGGTGTATATGTGCCACATTTTCTTTATCCAGTCTAACTAACATTGATGGACATTTGGGTTGGTTCCAAGTCTTTGCTATTGTGAATAGTGCTGCAATAAACATACATGTGCATGTGTCTTTATAGTAGCATGATTTATAATCCTTTGGGTATATACTCAGTAATGGGATTGCTGGGTCAAATGGTATTTCTGGTTCTAGATCCTTGAGGAATCGCCACACTGTCTTCCACAATGGTTGAACTCATTTACACTCCCACCAACAGTGTAAAAGCGTTTCTATCTCTCTATATTCTCTCCAGCATCTGTTATTTCCTGCCTTTTTAATGATTGCCATTGTAACTGGCATGGTATCTCATTGTAGTTTTGATTTGCATTTCTCTAATGACCAGTGATCATGGGCTTTTTTTCATATGTTTGTTGGCCATATAAATGTCTTCTTTTGAAAAGTGTCTGTTCATATCCTTCGCCCACTTTATGATGGGTTGTTTGTTTTTTTCTTGTAAATTTGTTTAAGTTCCATGTAGATTCTGGATATTAGCCCTTTGTCAGATAGATAGATTGCAAAAATGTTCTCCCATTCTGTAGGTTGCCTGTTCTCTCTGATGATAGTTTCTTTTGCTGTGCAGAAGCTCTTTAGTTTCATTACATCTGATTTGTCAATTTTGGCTTTGTTGCAATTGCTTTTGGTGATTTAGTCATGAAGTCTTTGCCTATGCCTATGTCCTAAATGGTATTGCCTAGGTTTTCTTCTAGGGTTTTTATGGTTTTAGGTCTTACATTTCAGTCTTTAATCCATCTTGAGTTAATTTTTGTATAAGGTGTAAGGAAGGGGTCCAGTTTCAGTTTTCTGCATATGGCTAGCCAGTTGTCCCAACACCATTTATTAAATAGGGAATCCTTTCCGCATTGCTTGTTTTTGTCAGGTTTGTCAAAGATCAGATGGGTTGTAGATGTGTGGTGTTATTTCTGAGGCCCCTGTGCGGTTCCATTGGTCTATCTCTCTGTTTTGGTACCATTACCATGCTGTTTTGGTTACTGTAGCCTTGTAGTATAGTTTGAGGTCAGGTAGCATGATGCCTCCAGCTTCCTTCTTTTTGTTTAGGATTATCTTGGCTATGTGGGCTTTTTTTTTGGTTCCATATAAAATTTAAAGTAGTTTTTTCTAATTCTGTGAAGAAAGTCAATGGTAGCTTGATGGGAATAGCATTGAATCTATAAATTACTTTGGGCAGTTTGGCCATTTTCACAATATTGATTCTTCCTATCCATGAGCATGGAATGTTTTTCCATTTGTTTGTGTCCCCTTGTATTTCCTTGAGCAGTGGTTTGTAATTCTCCTTGAAGAGGTCCCTCACATCCCTTGTAAGTTGGATTCCTAGGTATTTTATTCTCTTTATAGCAATTGTGAATGGGAGTTTCCTCATGATTTGGCTCTCTGTTTGTCTGTTATTGGTGTATAGGAATGCTTGTGATTTTTGCACATTGATTTTGTATCCTGAGACTTTGCTGAAGTTGCTTATCAGCTTAAGGAGATTTTGGGCTGAGCCGATGGGGTTTTCTAAATATACAATCATGTCATCTGCAGACAGAGATAATTTGACTTCCTCTCTTCCTATAGAATATGCTTTATTTCTTTCTCTTGTCTGATTGCCCTGGCCAGAACTTCCAATACTATGTTGAATAGGAGTGGTGAGAGAGAGGGCATCCTTGTCTTGTGCCAGTTTTCAGAGGGAATGCTTCCAGCTTTTGCCCATTCAGTATAATATTGGCTGTGGGTTTATCATAAATAGCTCTTATTATTTTGAGATATGTTCCATCAATACCTAATTTATTGAGTGTTTTTAGCATGAAGGGGTGTTAAATTTTATCCAAGGCCTTTTCTGCATCAATTGAGATAATCATGTGGTTTTTGTCATTGGTTCTGTTCATGTGATGGATTATGTTTATTGATTTGCACATGTTGAACCAGCCTTGCATCCTAGGGATGAAGCCGACTTGATTGTGATGGATAAGCTTTGTAATATGCTGCTGGATTCGGTTTGCCAGTGTTTTATTGAGGATTTTGGCATTGATGTTCATCAGGGATATTGGCCTGAAATTTTCTTTTTGTGTGTGTGTCTCTGCCAGGTTTTGGTATCAGGATGATGCTGGCCTCATAAAATGAGTTAGGGAGGATTCCCTTTTTTTCTGTTGTTTGGAATAGTTTCAGAAGGAATGGTACCAGCTCCTCTTTGTACCTCTGGTAGAATTTGGCTGTTAATCTATCTGGTCCTGGGCTTTGTTTGGTTGGTAGGCTATTAATTACTACCTCAGTTTCAGAACTTGTTATTGGTCTATTCAGGGAGTCGACTTTTTCCTG
The DNA here is from genome assembly GCF_000001405.40 of Homo sapiens. NCBI lineage: Eukaryota > Metazoa > Chordata > Mammalia > Primates > Hominidae > Homo > Homo sapiens. Next base: position 100,203,396 of record NC_000001.11, on the reverse strand, counting down.
ATTTAGTCTTGGGAGGGTGTATGCGTCCAGCAATTTATCCATTTCTTCTAGATTTTCTAGTTTATATGTGAAGAGGTGTTTATAGGATTCTCTGATGGTAGTTTGTATTTCTGTGAGATCAGTGGTGATATCCCCTTTATCATTTTTTATTGTGTCTATTTGATTCTTCTCTCTTTTCTTCTTTATTAGTCCAGCTAGCAGTCCATCAATTTTGTTAATCTTTTCAAAAAACCGGCTCCTGGATTCATTGATTTTTTTGAAGGGTTTTTTTGTGTCTCTGTCTCCTTCAGTTCTGCTCTGATCTTGTTTATTTCTTGTCTTCTGCTAGCTTTTGAACGTGTTTGCTCTTGCTTCTCTAGTTCTTTTAACTGTGATGTTAGGGTGTTGATTTTAGATCTTTCCTGCTTTCTTCTGTTGGCATTTATTTCTGTGGGAAATTTATAGTGCTATAAATTTCCCTCTACACATACTTTAGCTGTGTTCCAGAGATTCTGGTACGTTGTGTCTTTGTTCTCATTGGTTTCAAAGAACATCTTTATTTCTGCCTTCATTTCATTATTTACCCAGCAGTCATTCAAGAGCAAGTTATTTAGTTTCCATGTAGTTGTGTGGTTTTGAGTGAGTTTCTTAACCCTGAGTTCTAATTTGATTGCACTGTGGTCTGAGAGACTGCTTGTTATTGTTTCCATTCTTTTGCATTTGCTGAGGAGAGTTTTACTTCCAATTGTGTGTACGATTTTAGAATTAGTGCTATGTGGTGCTGAGAAGAATGTATATTCTGTTGATTTGGGGTGGAGAGTTCTGTCGATGTCTATTAGGTCCGCTTGGTCCAGAGCTGAGTTCAAGTCCTGAAGATGCTTGTTAATCTTCTGTCTCATTGTTCTGTCTAATGTCTAATGTTCTGTCTAATGTTGACAGTGGGGTGTTAAAGTCTCCCATTATTATTGTGTGGAAATCTAAGTCTCTTTGCCAGTCTCTAAGAACTTGCTTTATGAATCTGGATGCTCCTGTATTGGGTGCATATATATTTAGGATAGTTAGCTATTCTTGTTGCATTGATCCCTTTACCATTATGTAATGCCCTTGTCTTTTTTTTATCTTTGTTGGTTTAAAGTCTGTTTTATCAGAGACTAGGATTGCAACCCCTGCTTTTTCTTTTTTTTTGCTTTCCACTTGCTTGGTAAATCTTCCTCCATCCCTGTATTTTGAGCCTATGTGTGTCTTTGCACATGAGATGGGTCTCCTGAATACAGCACATTGATGGGTCTTGACTCTTTATCCAGTTTGCCAATCTGTGTCTTTTAATTGAGGCATTTAGCCCATTTACATTTGAAGTTAATATTGTTATATGCAAATTTGATCCTGTCATTATGATGACAGCTGGTTATTTTGCCTGTTAGTTGATGCAGTTTCTTCATAGTGTCGATGGTCTTTACATTTTGGGTTGCTTTTGCAGTGGCTGCTACCAGTTGTTCCTTTCCATGTTTAGTGCTTCCTTCAGGAGCTCTTGTAGGGCAGGCCTGGTGGTGACAAAATCTGTCAGCATTTGCTTGTCTCTAAAGGATTTTATTTCTCCTCCACTTATGAAGCTTAGTTTAGCTGGATATGAAATTCTGGGGTGAAAATTCTTTTCTTTAAGAGTGTTCAATATTGGCCCCCACACTCTTCTGGCTTGTAGAGTTTCTGCCGAGAGATCCACTGTTAGTCTGATGGGCTTCCCTTTGTGGGTAACCCGACCTTTGTCTCTGGTTGCCCTTAACATTTTTTTCCTTCATTTCAACCTTGGTGAATCTGACAATTATGGATCTTGGGGTTGCTCTTCTCGAGGAGTATCTTTGTGGTGTTTTCTGTATTTCCTGAATTTGAATGTTGGCCTATCTTGCTAGTTCGGGGAAGTTTTCCTGAATAGTATCCTGAAGTGTGTTTTCCAACTTGTTTCCATTCTCCCTGTCATTTTCAGGTACACCAATCAAACGTAGTTTTGGTCTTTTTCACATAGTCTCATATTTCTTGAGGCTTTGTTCCTTCCTTCTCATTCTTTTTTCTCTAATCTTGTCTTCATGCTTTATTTCATAAAGTTGATCTTCAATCTCTGATATCCTTTCTTCCGCTTGATCGATTCAGCTATTGATACTTGTGTATGCTTCACGAAGTTCTCATGCTGTGTTTTTCACCTCCATCAGGTCATTTATGTTCTTCTCTAAACTGGTTATTCTAGTTAGCAATTCCTCTAACCTTTTATCAAGGTTCCTAGCTTCCTTGCATTGGGTTAGAACATGCTCCTTTAGCTCGGAGGAGTTTGTTATTACCTGAAGCCTACTTGTGTCAGTTCATCAAACTCATTCTCTGTCCAGTTTTGTTCCCTTGCTGGCGAGGAGTTGTGATCCTTTGGAGGAGAAGAGGCGTCCTGGTTTTTGGCATTTTCAGCCTTTTTATGCTGGTTTTTCCTCATCTTTATGGATTTATCTACCTTTGATCTTTGCTGTTGGTGACCTTTGGATGGAGTTTTTGCATGGTCGTCCTTTTTGTTGATGTTGATACTATTCCTTTCTGTTTGTTAGTTTTTCTTCTAACAGTCAGGCCCCTCTTCTGCAGGTCTGCTGGAGTTTGCTGGGGGTCCATTCCAGACCCTGTTTGCCTGGGTATCACCAGTGGAGGCTGTAGAACAGCAAAGATTGCTGCCTGCTTCTTCCTCTGGAAGCTTCATCCCAGAGGGGCACCTGCCAGATGCCAGCGAGAGCTCTCCTGTATGAGGTGTCTGTCATTCCCTGCTGGGAGGTGTCTCCCCGTCAGGAGGCATGGGGGTCAGAGACCCACTTGAGGAGGCAGTCTGTCCCTTAGCAGAGCTCAAGCGCTATGCTGGGAGATCCACTGCTCTTTTCAGAGTCGGCAGGCAGGAAGGTTTAATTCTGCTGAAGCTGCGCCCACAGCCACCCCTTCCCCCAGGTGCTCTGTCCCAGGGAGATGGGAGTTTTATCTATAAGCCCCTGACTGGTGCTGCTGCCTTTCTTTCAGAGATGCCTGCCCAGAGAGGAGGAATCTAGAGAGGCAGTCCGGATACAGTGGCTTTGCTGAGCTGCAGTGGGCTCTGCCCAGTTCGAACTTCCCTGTGGCTTTATTTACACTGTGAGGGGAAGACCGCCTACTCAAGCCTCAGTAATGGCTGACACCCCTCCCCCCACCAACCTCCAGCATCCCAGGTCGACTTCAGACTGCTGTGCTGGCAGCGAGAATTTCAAGCCAGTGGATCTTAGCTTGCTGGGCTCCGTGGGGTTGGAATCCACTGAGCAAGACCACTTGGCTCCTTGGCTTCAGCCTCCTTTCCAGGGGAGTGTCTCTCACAGTTCTGTCTTACTGGTGTTCCAGGCATCACTGGGGTATGAAAAAAAAAACAAAACTGCAGCTAGCTTGGTGTCTGCCCAAACGGCCTCCCAGTTTTGTGCTTGAAACTCAGGGCCCTTGTGGAGTAGGCATCCGAGGGAATATCCTGGTCTGTCGGATGCAAAGACCATGGGAAAAGCATAGTATCTGGGCTGGATAGCACCATCCCTCACAGCACGGTCCCTCATGGCTTCCCTTGGCTAGGGGAGGGAGTTCCCTGACCCCTTGCGCCTCCCAGGTGAGGCGACGCCCCATCCTGCTTCTGCTGGCCCTCCATGGGCTGCACCCACTGTCTAACCAGTCCCAATGAGATGAACCGGGTACCTCAGTTGGAAATGCAGAAATCACCTGCCTTCTGCCTTGGTCTCACTGGGAGCTGCAGACCGGAGCTGTTCCTGTTCTGCCATCTTGCCTGGGAATCCAAAAACCTATTACTTCTTCCTAAGAGCTAGGCCGGCACTTCTGGTGGCTGCCTCTGTGTGTAATAAATGGTGGCGATCTGGGTTGTTTCTGTATGGATCAACCATTGTGGATTATGCCAGGCACAGATATTGAGTCTTAATGAATAATCACAAATATAGCCAATCTACTTCTATCAAAATATCTTTATTTCATTATACCAAAGAATAATAGAAAACCAATTGAAAATGTTATTTTAAACAAAGTGAGACTCATTTAGAGCATTCTTTGCTCAGGAATCACTGGGAGTGTTAGTTAAAAGCGCAGATTTCTTTACCTTAGGGGCAGAACCCTCCGAACTTAAATTTTGAACAGGAACCCAAATGAGTGCAAAAAGGTGATCGGTGACCATGGTTTAGAAGACACTGACTTAGAATAAGGGTTGCAGTGATTCTTCACCCTGGCTACATGTTAGAATCATACGGGAGCTTGAAAAAAATTATGGCCAAGCTCCCCCTCTACCAGCTGAATTGGAATTTTGGGGGATGGGACTTGGGTACCCCCTATTAATTCAGGGTTGAGGACCACTGAGGCAAATAAGCTCCTGGATACCACTTCAATACCATGTTTATTAAATGTCATTGTCACTACATTAAGAAGAGTGTGTTTTAAGAAGAGCCTTTCTTTTCTACACTTATAATGCTTCCATGTTGAACATCTCTGGGACTTGTCCTCATGAGTTTATTCCTTGCGTGTTGGAACCCTCACAAATTCTTTCCTTCAGCCTTTGATTTGCTTTCTAGCAGATAGTAAATTAGCATCTAAGTCATTCCCCCTTCCTGGCATCCACTTTCCCTTCTGGCAAGCAGAGGAGATAGGGAGAAAAAACAAAAAGACACAGTATGTCACTATTTCCAAATCAGTTCTCTGAGTTATAACTTCTCTCTATCACTCATTCTCTTTTCCAACAAGAATTCAACATTTGATTCTCACAAAATTCTGGCTTCCTGCAGTTTCCAAACCATTATACCTGTTTGACAAAATTTTGTGTTCTCTTTCCTTAAAGAGATTATCTTCTTCTGAATTATATGTGTATATGTATATAATTGTGGTAAAATATATAAACATAAATTGACCATTTAAACCATTTTTAAGTACATTGTTCAGTGGCATTAAGTACATTTACATTGTTTGCCACCATCACCACCATCTGTCTCCAGAACTTTTTCATTATCCCAAACTGAAACTCTGCACTTACTGAGTAATCTCTCCATTTCCCCAGCCTTTGGTAACCACCATTCTATTTTCTGTCTCTGTGAATTAATTGGACTATTCTAGGTACCTCATGTAAGTGGAATCATACAGTATTTGTCCTTTTGTATCTGGCTCAAGGTTCATTCATGTAGCATGTATCAGAATTTCATTAATTTTTAAGGGTAAATAGTATACTGTTGTATATAAATGTATGCCATGTTTTGTTTATACATTCATCCATCAATGAATATTTGGATTTTTCCATTTTTTGGCTCTTGTGCATAATGGTGTTATGAACAAATGAATATTTGATTTATAAATATCTGTTCAATAGATATATTTTACAGAATCATTTTATCCATGGTTTTTTCAAGCCATGAAGTGTAGTTCTTAGAGTAGAAATCTTATTCCCTTAAAATAATATTTGTGGGGTAGGGACAAATAGTATTTAATTCCTTTCTCCCTTTGTGTCATCTTTCCTTTGCTATTTTGTTTTCATTATAGAATTTTAATTCCTTCTTGCTAAATTGTTTAAGTCATTAAGTCTTCCATGTTACTCAATTCTCAGTATTCGTTTTCCTTGACCTACTAGTTGACCTTGAGATGACTGATCAATCCAACCTCTTTGGAAAACTTTCTTAATATTGACTTGCAGAATACCTGGCCATTTTGGTTTTCCTCCTATGTCACTGCCTATTCCCTCTAAGTCTCCTTTACCCATACCTCCTAATGTTCCTAATCTCTGCACATGGAAGCACCCCAGGATTCAGTTCTCACCGCTTTTCTTTATCTGATCTTTCAATACCATTTATACACTGATGACTCCCAGGTTTATATCTCTAGACTGGACCTCACTTTTGAACTTACTCTTATATCTTGCTTGGATGTATAAAGGCATCTTGAATTTTAACATGTCTAAAACTGAGCTCCTGCTCCTTTCCTCACTGCCCCCCACCATCAGACCTGCTCCTCCTAAAGTCGTCCTCTTTCAGTGAATGGCCAATCTGCTCAGACACTTTGAAGGGCTTCTCATCTCACATAGAATCAAAGACAAGTAGTTGCAGTGGCCTACATGGCTTTACACAGATGCTACTCAGTGTGCTCAAGGATCCACATCTGGCTGTGACTGTTGTATCCCAGCCATGAGGAGATCAGTATAGAAAAAGAGAGTAGAGCTTAGAAACTTTTATAGCAGTTTGACAGCATGATTTTATGTCTATTGAATCTAATAATAAGTTGGGGCTTATATTTTGTCTACATTTTTTTTGATAGTGAAAAGATATATATTTAGAATTAGCTGGGTTCATTTTAGATGATCCCAATTTTGTTGGCAATATCCAAAGCATTGTAATCAGGAGCTAATGGAATATATGCCTTCCTCTCTCCGGGCCTGATCAAGGTGTTGACCTTGGCCGCATCAGTGTCATAGAGCTTCCAGCCTGTTTGATGTGGTGCTTACTAGCTTTAATATCCACAAAGAACACAAGCATGTTGTTGTCCTGTCTTCTTCCTGGCCAACTCAGTGGTCAGGGGAACTTGATAATGGCTTGTTTCCTCACTGCCTTCAGTGAGGAAGCCTTATTTAATTGTCTGTCTCTCCCCAGAGCCTAGAAGAATACTTGGCACATAGTGGGTATACAGTAAATAATTATTAAATATTTGAAATCTGAGATGAAAGTTAATGAATGTAGGTATGGGAATTGTACAAGGGATAGGAAGTACCTTGGAGAACTTCTGTAAGCTCCAGGCATATACTCAAAGATGGGAAGAGTAGGAATCAGCATTTTCAAAAGTCATTGGGGATGCCCATTTTTTTCTGTACTGTACAGGAAGAAGGGTTTGCCTGATCTTACACCATTGTTAGAGCTTGAGCTCTGAACAAGTGAAGGTTTACTCTTTGTTCTTTTTTTTTTTTTTTTTTTTTTTTTTTTCATTTCTAGGCCATTCCCCGATTTAACCAGAAAGGAGAAGTATATAAGGCACAGATAATGAATGTGAGCTGGTCAGCTGATCACAGAGTTATTGATGGTGCTACAATGTCACGCTTCTCCAATTTGTGGAAATCCTATTTAGAAAACCCAGCTTTTATGCTACTAGATCTGAAATGAAGACTGATAAGACATTCTTGAACTTTTTGAGCTTCCAAAGAGTATGTAAACCCTAGCTGTGCCAGCACATGTTCATCTTTACAATTTATATTGTAAATGATTTGTATCGTATGATTAAGGATCTAAGGCACAATATTTGTCACTGTTCTATTAGACTTTTTACTGAAAATGAATAATGGTGTAATGGTTCTCCTGGGGCTGTCACATTTTATAGGTCAGAGTGTGACTTCTTAATATGGTGCTGATGTTTTTGTGTCAATGGCTTGAAACTGGCAAGATTAACAAAATTAGGCCGGGCATGGTGGCTCACGCCTGTAATCCCAGCACTTTGGGAGGCCCAGGTGGGCGGATCACCTGAGGTTAGAAGTTTGAGACCAGCCTGGCCAACATGGTGAAACCTGGCCTCTACTAAAAATACAAAAATTAGCCGGGTGTGGTGGTGGGTACCTATAATCCCAGCTACTTGGGAGGCTGAGGCAGGAGAATCGCTTGAACCTGGGAGGTGGAGGTTGCAGTGAGCTGAGATCGTGCTATTGCACTCCAGCCTGGGCGACAGAGCAAGACGCCATCTCAAAAACAAAAAAACAAAATTCATGTTACTAAAAGACAGGTAGCCATATACAGACAGTATATGCCCTATTTTTTTTAACTGACTCTTAATGAAACTTTAATTTTACTTAATTAAGAAATGGAATTTATATACAAAAATATTTTCCATTTCCGTTATTATGCTAATTGTTGTATGAAATAAGTGCAATTATACTTCTCTTTTGAGATATCCAAGAGTATATTCTTGCTCTGTATAGAGAATATCATCTGATAGTGTCTTATTTATATTAATTAATGTCTTTGAAAAGGGAAAAGTATAAACTGGCCTTAAAATTGTCCAATTATAGTTTTATAACCAGTCTATTAAAGGTGTTTGTTTAAAATGGATATAGTTTTAGATTTGTGGTAATGCTTTGGTATTTTCTTGGGGAAGACCTTCACCTTTGCAAACTTCCCTCATGTAAGGAAGGTACTTTAAATGTAGCAGCCACTGACATTTCTTTTTTTAAAAAAAATTTGAGAAGTCTACTTCCTTTTAACTTTTTTGGTCTTCAGCTAAAAAATAGGATAAGAAATTAAGGTCTATTCCATTCTCCATATCCTGGGTAAGAATGTAAATAAGAGGAGAAGGAAGAGTCTAATAGTAATTATGGATATAAAAAATAAGAAATTTTGTATAGAAATGAAGGTTTCATAATGATCATTTTGTTAAAGGTCTACTTTAATCAGAAATAGCAACGAGATGAATGTATCCAACATTTCAATTTGCATTCGGAAATCCATGTTGTTTCTAATATTGTCCAGTTGAAAACTGTATGCCAAAATTAGTTGTTTAAGTGAAGTTTTGTGACAGAAAAAAGGTTGTTTTAATATCTACTTGGTTTTTCTCAAAATGGAAATAATTTTAAAATCAGGAAAGAATAAATCAGCCAGGTGTGATGACTTGTAACTGTAATCCCAGTTATAGGGGAGGCTGAAGCAGGAGGATCACTTGAGGCCAGGAGTTTGAGACCAGCCTGGGCAACATAGTGAGATCCCATCTCAAAAAACATTATTTTTAAAATTAGCCTGGTGGCTCACGCCTGTAATCCCAGCACTTTGGGAGGCCGAGGTGGCCAGATCACCTGAGGTCAGGAGTTCGAGACCACCCTGGCCAACATGGTGAAACCCCATCTCTACAGTTTTGTAAAAATACAAAAAATTACCTGGGCCTGGTGGCACACGCCTGTAGTCCCAGCTACTTGGGAGGCTGAGGCAGGAGAATTGCTTGAGCCCAAGAGGTGGAGGTTACAGTGAGCAGAGATCACACCACTGCACTCCAGCCTGGGTGGCAGAGCAACACTTTGTCTCAGAAAAAAAAAAAAAAACCAAAAAGCCAAGTGTGGTGGTGTGCACCTATAGTCCCAGCTACTCAGGAAGCTGAGACAAGAGGATCAATTGAGCCCAGGAGTTCAAAGCTGTAGTGAGCTGTCATTGTGCCACTATCCTCCAGTATGGGTGACAGAGTGAGACCTGGTCTCTAAAAAATAAAATAAAATAAAAAAAACAGGTCAAATAAATGCTGTTGTTGTAAAATTTCAGATAATACAAAGAGTTAACCAATAAAAGAAAAAGTCATTCATAATCTTACCACTATTAACATTTTGATGTATCTATCTGTATGTATGGCTATTCTTTTTTGTTAAAACATGATCATAGCATATCTACTATTTTATTATTTGATTTTTAAAATTTAACATTATATTATGGGTAACCTTACATGTCAATAAACAATTCCACATTGTCATGCTTTAAATGGCTGCATAGGCTGGGTGTGGTGGCTCACGCCTGTAATCCTACCACTTTGGGAGGCCAAGGCAGGTAGATCACAAGGTCAGGAGTTCGAGACCAGCCTGGCCAATATGGTGAAACCTCATCTCTATTGAAAATACAAAAATCAGCCAGGCACGGTGGCAGGCGCCTGTAGTCCACCTACTCGGGAGGCTGAGGCAGGAGAACTGCTTGAACCCAGCGGCAGAGGTTGCAGTGAGCCAAGATTGAGCCACTGCACTCCAGCCTGGTGATAGAGCGAGACTCTGTCTCTAAATAAATAAATAAATAAATAAATGTCTGCATAGTATTCCATTGTATGCATTTATTATACATTCAAACATTAAACATCTACCATACCAATCATGGTTCTAAGCATACAGTAGCCACCTTCATGCTTCCTTGATTGGGCTTACAGTCTAGTAAGGAGACAGATATTAAATAACTGCATAAAACACTGTTCTTGGTAGGTAATAACCCAGATGCTATGAGCCATCCAGTAAAGGTTACCGATCTTATCTGGAAGGATCAGAAGATGGATGTCCCATAATTTAACCAATTATCTATTGATAGGCATTTATTGAGTTTTAAATGAATAATGACATGATCAATAAAAATGTCCTCCTCACTTAAAGAATAGAAAAACCAGGAGAAGGGAGTTCTGAAATAAGTAAGTATGTAGGTCCAGCATCAATGGCTCAAGATACTCTATTCCCAAATAACCCTTAAGTTATCTGGTTCTATTCCAACCCTTGGGTATTACTATCTTCTCTTTGGTCTCATGCATTGAGAATTCAGCAAAGGATTTGTTCCCTACAGTGTGCACGGCCCTTAGGATAGCAGGATTCCCTGAAGAGGGCCAAAGGGGCAGGAGCGCAGCCTTAGTGGCAGTGCTGGTCCATGAGGCTCTACAAAGCAAGGGATGGGTGTTTGGGAGGAGGAAAAGGCTCTTGCTGTACTCCTAGAGGTTGGAATTAAAGTGGAAAAGCCAGAAAATTCAAGTCCTTTACTAACATGTCTGGAGATTAGAAGGTATATGTACATGGGGGAGAAGCCAAAATTATTGCTGCGAGTGGTCAGCAAGAAAATCAAGGCTCTTTTCATTATTTTGAGCATTCCTCTGATATTTGAAAAGGAAGTACAACAGGAAAGGAAGTCTGAGGATGGAAGCTAAAATTGGTATGAATTTATATTTTAGAGATCAAAATGTACCTTATGTTGAAACCTATGTAAGAAGTGATTATGTAGAAAGAGTGAAAGTGATAGCTCTTAGTCTGGAAAGCCCACTGGCTTGTTTGGGCATTTCTCATGGCTTCCCACTCAAAGTGGATCCCCAAAATCACTTGATGGATTTCCTTGCTGATTTCTAAGTAAACTATGGTTTAAGAAAGAAATGACAGGGCTCAGCACTGCCCTACAGTACCAAGAATACAAATGTTTCCATGAAGTCTTCAAAGGCATTTGTAAAATTCAGGCTGTAAGTGATTAGTTAGTTCATTCTGCACTTATTTATTAACTGTATATTCAGTTCCAGGCTCTAGGGTAGAGATTATGGATAAAGGTGAATTAGATAGATGAAGTTTTTGCCCTCACAGCAAAAGCTTTAGCCAATAATTAAAGCTATCACTGGAAGTGGGTCTGTGCCAATAACCTAGAGAAGAGCAGTGCTTTTAGAGTTGAGCTATATTCCCAATCAGTTCTTAATGGTGGTTTTACCCCCTTCCCTCTACACTGTCTTTTCTTGAGATTGGATCATGTGTGTGAACCCACATCATTTCCAGTCAAAATCACCAAGAGAGGCCGGACACAGTGGCTCATGCCTATAATCCCAGCACTTTGGGAGGCCTAAATGGGTGGGCCTCTTGAGTCCAGAGTTTGAGACCAGCCTGGGCGACCCCAGCTCTACCAAAAAAACCAAAAAACAAAAAATACCAAAAAAAAAAAAAATTAGGCCGATGAAGTGACATGCACCTGTGTGCCACCTACTCAGGAGGCTGAGGTGGCAGGATCACTTGCATCTGGGGGCAAAGGCTGCCGTGAGCTGAGATTGTGCCATTGCGCTCCAGCCTGGGCGACAGAGCAAGACTCTGTGTGTGTGTGTGTGTGTGTGTGTGTGTGTGTGTGTGTGTGTGTGTGTGTGTGTGTGTATACACACACACATATATATACACACACCCCCAGGAGACCTTTTGTCTTTCTTGGTTCATGTGCCCATCAGTGTGGGCAGGAGAATAGAATACTCTGTCCACACTTGAGTCTTAGTCACCTTTGGAGCCTAGGAGTCAGCCATCCTCATTCAACTACATGGATCGAGAATGGGAATCTGGGAGAATTTTTTTATGGGCAGATTAAAAAGGAAGTTAACTATGTAAAGTAAGGCATTGCCTTCCCACCCCATCCCACCTCAGTTCGTGTTAAATTATGAATTTTTCTAAGAGAGTTCTTTAATGACATGGATAGAGAGGAAGCTGAGGTGGCAGTAGAGTAGGGAGTGGAAGGCAAATACATAAGATACTATTAAACTGTGAAGCTGTTTGTTACAATTCCAAGATTTTATAATTTCTCCAACAAAAAACATTTGTATTTTCTTCCCAGTTTAAGTTCAATGTTAATTTGAGAAATAATTCTACTCTCAAACTTCATGTTATGCTGACAGTTCAACTGATGCTGTCAAAATGTGAATTACTAACTTCAGTATTCTCTATTCATCTGATTTTTCTTAAAATGTTTGCGTGTTAATATACTCACTAGCTTTAATGCTCTACTCTTATACTGGCACCTTAATTATGGTAAAAGGTAAAAGGTTAAGTTAAAATTCCCAATCCTAGTTATTTGGTCAAACAGAAGATTAACAGAACTCCATGGCTTACCACAGGAATATTTATCAAGAGAAAAAGAAGATACCTATTTGAATTTACATGACACTTTCTGTGAAATATCTGGATTACCAGATTAGTCTGAAACAAATGCCTTCCAAATTCTACAGCGCATGCCCAAGGCACTCTTTACAGTACCTGTTCGGGTCTTTTCTTCTAATTTTAAGCACCTACCCAAACGTCTTCCCAGGCTTGTCATAATAAGCAAATAACCTCAGAGCAGACAAAGTGATTCAATCTAAGAACCTTGAATTTCTCTCCTTTTCACCTCAAAATTTCTATTCTCACACTTTCTTTTTGTTTCTCTTTCCGAGAAGTGGTTCTCCATCAGCAAATACCAACTGTTTTCTGTCCTCTATTATTTATTCCATCTCTTCCTCCTGATCCCTGCCCCATGTTGAACCCCCATTGCCCCACTTTGATCCTTCAGTCTCTTCCTCACATCCAGAACTGTACCAGATTTACTCCCTTAGCACACTGATTAAAATTTATTTCCATTTCCTTATGGAGGAGGTATTAGAGACTGATCCCAGACCTCTACAAATTTCATTGTGGCAGGGTAATGTTATGTGTCCATAAACCTTGTTCCTTTTCTTTCAGCCTGCAGTTAGGTAGAGCCATGTCATTTATTTGTAACTATTAGAATATGGGTATATGGGTTGAAGTAATGTAGGCCATTTCCAGACATGGCCCATAACACTTCTCAAGAGATTCTTCATATTCTATCTCTTCCCCTCCAACATGCACCCTTCAAGGTTGAAGATGGCACCACACAAGATAGAAGGAGCCAGTGTTCCAAATGACTAGGCAGAGCAGAATGCTCCCCTCCCTACACCCTAGCACCAATTGGTTTGGATGTGATAGTTGAATAATACACTTTTATTGTTTTAAGACATTAATATTTTGAGATTAATCTGCAAGTCTAGTTAGTAAAACTCGAACTCTGAGCTGTCTAATGCAGTAGCCTCTAGCCACATGTAGCTATTTAAATTTAAATTTTAATTTTAATTAATCAAAATTCAACTCAGATATACTAGCCACATTTCAATTGCTCAGTAGCCACACTAATTAAATTTAAATTTAAATAGCTACATGTGGCTTATAGCACCATACCAGATAGCACAGATGTAGACTGTTTCCATCATCACAGAAAATTCTATTGGATAGTGCTGCCTTAACTAATAAGACACAAATGTTCTTATTTTTTAAATAGTCCCTAAAACAAACGAAAAACAAAGAACTCCCTTCTCTAATGGCAAATTTCAGTTTGCCTAAAAGAAGACTCAGAATGCTTTTCTTATATTGTTACCTCTGACTGCCACTAAATGAATAAATTTCCTGTCTTGCTCCTTCTGCCAAACTTCTTGAATGGGTGATCTTTAACTCCTTGCAATCCTGGCTTTTTTCCCCAGTGCTCACCTGTAATCAGTGTTGGCCACAACTCCCACCCAGATGTCTCCTAAATAGTTCTCTGAACCCACCTCTGTCCTGATCTACAGACATTCATTCCAATGCTTTAGCATTTCAAGGTCATCAAATGACTCAGTGACATCTCAGACAGTCAGACAGACCAGGTCAACTATGAACTATTTATGCCAAACCTTACATGGTTCATGTTATCCTTGCTATCCCATCAAAATAACCACAGGCTTTTTTTTTTTTTTTTTTTAATTTTTGAGATGGAGTCTCACTCTGTCACCCCGACTAGAGTGCAGTGGTGCGATCTCGGCTCTGCTCACTGCAACCTCCGTCTCCTGGGTTCAAACAGTGCTCATTCCTCAACTCCCAAGTAGCTGAGATTACAGGCATGCACCATCACGCCTGGCTAATTTTTCTATTTTTAGCAGAGATGGGGTTTCGCCATGTTGGCCAGGCTGGTCTCGAACTCCTGACCTCAAGTGATCTGCCCGCCTCCACCTCACAAAGCTTTGGGATTACAGGCATGAGCCACGGTGCCTGGCCTGCAGCCTCCTTTATTTTACAAAAGGCATTACCACTTAAACACTGAAGATAGCACGAATCTCTGATGTTTGCAAGTTCAGAATAAAATGGAAATGAAAATTCATTATGTGGCAGTCTCAGTACTGAGCACAAAGGCTTTTAACCACAAGCAAATTACTGTGCTAGCCAGACCGTGTGAGAGAACTCCAGGCCAGCTTGCTAAAACTGAGCAGGAGAATTTGGAGAGAGTCCAGAGGAGAGCCACAGAAACAACTGAAGCATGACAAGAATAATTGCAGTTCTGTTATAGAGAGGTCATCTATATCAGGCTTTTATGGAGTACCATGTGGAATGTTACCACGCAGAGCATGGGGAACAGCTGTTGTGACTCAACAAGAGACAGGACAGAAGAAATGAGAACAGGTGGAAGATCAATAATTTAGGTTTGATATGGGGAAAGATGGAACAGTCAAAGGGATTCACACTGATTTTTGGCTGAGCAGAAGGCAGAGTCTCCTCCAACGGGCAATGTAAGTGCCCCCACTCATCTACACCCCGAGAAGAGCCATCAAACTGTATTAAACTTGGAAAAAGCTATTTAACTTCAAGTGTGCTGCGAGAAAACTTCATAATAGTTCCTAAGATGTGCTAAAAAGTAAAGTCCAAAAAGATCATAAAGTCTGTAGAGAAGTTCTAAGAGTGCAGTCAGCTATAAAAACCTAGCAATTTAATTTCTTAGAAAAATGTAGCTGGAGTTCAAACTGTAGTAACAAAGGCAAGTAAATTAAGTTGTGGGCAGGTGTAATTAAGTTAATAGGAATGGCAGGGATGAATATAAATCAGAACAGGACTAACAGTTTGAAACATTAGATATTCAAATGCTCAGAGCTGATGAGCCGAGCCACTACGCTAACAACTCTGCAAACCAAAGGTTTCACAAATTGCACAAGAACCTGGCCTCGATCCCATTGTGTTGCTGGCATAAGATTAGAAGGGCCTGTTGGTTCAATTGTTGCTTTGGACAGAGGAGGACAAACTTGCCACAGTGAAGAAATCATTTTTAAAAACCACCACTGTCCTTTAGTGCACTAATTTCTCTAATAACTAGGTGTATATTAGAAATAATGATATATAAGTGCAGTATACTCCAGTTTCAACAGAATGGTGTCACTTCTGTAAAATGTTGATTTTCAGATTGTCATACTTTCTAAATACAAAAATTTGTCACAGCTTCCACATTTACAAGATATTAAACATTCCATAAAATATTTGTAGAAATATGAAAAACCAATTTTTGTAGTTGCCTTTTGAAATGTATACAAAATATCCCACATGGGCAACATGGTAAAACCTCGTCTCTACAAAAAAAAAAAAAAAAATACAAAAAGTTAGCCAGGCCTGGTGGTGCACGCCTGTGGTCCCAGCTACTCGGGAAGCTGAAGTGAGATCACCTGTGCCCAGGAGGTCGAAGCTGCAGTGAGCTGTGATTGCACCACTGCACTCCAGCCTGGGTGACAGAGTGAGACTTTGTCTCAAATAAACAAAAAGAGACATATACAAAATATATTAGAAAGTTGGGTTAATATCCTACAAACAAAGTATTACATAGTTTGCACAGGATTATGTGTGTAAAAAGTTTTAAATTCAGTATAGCTTTTATTTCTGCAGAACTAAAAGTAGTGCATAAAAATAAAAGTGGGATGAGCATATCTTTTTAATTTGCTATGCAGTAAAAAGTATCTCAGTCAACATATAGGAAACCAGTGCCATTTCTGTATCATTTGACACCGAAGGGGTATTGTTTTTTGTTTTGTTTTGTTTTTCTTTTGAAGAAAGACTTTTATGTCTTTTATTCTATTCTTCCGATTTGGGGTTTAAATTACCCCCAATAAGTTTGCAGAATATTCTGATTACTACTGCTTAGGTGATATATTTCATATGAGAACTATCTTTACACAATGGGAAAAAATATGGTAACCACTTCATTCATCAGAGAAGTTGTGTTTTGTTTACTTGTATTTTGTTTGCTAAATGAAATTGGTTATTTAGACTCATGGCATGCTTTTTCTCAAATGGAGATTTAAAAGTCATTTCCAATGTCCTTCTAACTTCTGGCCAATTCCCAGTAGGCTATAGAATAAACAGTTTTCATATAATAGTCTCTAGTGTCTCCACTGTTGATTGGTTTACAGAAACGACGGTGGTGGTGGTGTTGATGGTGGGGTGTGTGCGTGTGTGTGTGTGTGTGTGTGTGTGTGTGTGTATGAAAAATGACAACTGGCACAAAACAAACCTAAAAATCAGAAGTACATTTTAATTCCTAGTTAAAAACATTAACTTTTTATTCATAAAATACATATTTAATAATAGAAAAAAGAAAAGGGAATAATTAGCACTTAAAATGAACAATTTTTCTTAGCTATTTTAGTAACTTAAATATTTAAGGTATTAAAAGATTGAAACTGTGGGCCGGGGTCATGCCTGTAATCCCAGCACTTTGGGAGACTGAGGTGGGTGGATCACCCGAGGTCAGGAGTTTGAGACCAGCCTGGCCAACATAGTGAAACCCCATCTCTACTAAAAAATACAAAAATTAGCTGGGTGTGGTGGTGGGTGCCTGTAGTCCCAGCTACTTGGGAGGCTGAGGCAGGAGAATTGCTTGAACCTGGGAGGTGAAGGTTGCAGTGAGCCCAGATCACACCACTGCACTCCAGCCTGGGCAACAGAGCAAGACTCTGTCTCAAAAAAAAAGATTGAAACTGTGGGGAAATGTAGCAGAAGTCATATGAGACTGACTGGAATCAGAGTTTAAGGTCCAGGGGAAAGACATTTGGTGTCCACCAACATTCCCCACCTCTCCTTAGAAACAGTCTCTGTTTTGTGAGACCAAGTGGTTCAAGTTAGGATGTAGCCATAACTTTCTAATATAAATCTCAAAATATGGAGAAGAATGACCCATTAACATTTGGCAAGTGTACAGTCTGTTATTTAAGAGTTTTCCTTGCATAGACACACAGACACACACACATCCATCCACCCAACCTTACCTGGAAGATTTCCACATAAAGGAGTATCGGTGTTCACAACAGTGTAGTACTGGCATAAAGACAGACATAAAGACCAATGGAATAGAATAGAGGCCCAGAAATAAACCCTCACATATATGGTCAAATGTTTTTCTGACAAGGGTGCCAAGACAATTCACACTCTTGTGAAAGGGGAAAGAACAGTCTTTTCAGCAAGTGGTGCTGGGAACACTAGAATGAAGAATACAAAAGAATGAAGTTGGACCCTGCTATGGTCTGAATGTTGTGTCCCCCCCATTAATTCATACATTGAAACCTAATCCCCAAGGTGATGGTATTAAGAAGTGGGGCTTTTGGGAGATAATTAGATCATAAGGACATTGCCTTCATAAATGGGATTAGTGTCCTTATAAAAGAGGCCCTGAAGGAGCTTGTTTCACCTGTGAGGATACAGGGAGAAAGTACTACCTATGAGGAATACACCCTTGCCAAACACCAAATCTGCTGGTGCCTTGATCTTGGACTTCCCAGCCTCCAGAACTATGAGCAATAAATTCTGTCATTTAGAAATTGTCCAGTCTCGGCTGGGTGCAGTGGCTTATCCCTGTAATCCCAGCATTTTGGAGGCTGAGGCTGGTGGACTGCTTAAGCTCAGGAGTTTGAGACCAGCCTAGGCAACATAGTGAAACTCCAACTCTATCAAAAATAAAAAATAAAAAATTAGTTGGGCATGGTGGTGCATGCCTGTAGTCCCAGCTACTCAGGAGGCTGAGGTCAGAGGACCACTTGAGCCCAGGAGGTGGAGGTTGTGGTGCGTGATCACACCACTGCACTCCAGCCTGGTGACAGAGTGAGACTCTGTCTCAAAAAAAAAAAAAAAAAAAAAGGAATTACCCATTCTATCTCAGATGTAAGGATGGATCAACATACACAAATCTATAAATGTGATACACCACATTAACAGACTAAAAGACACAAATCATTTGATCATTTCAATAGATGTAAAAAAAAGCATTTGACACAATTCAGCATCCTTTCATTTAAAAAACTGAGCAAATTAGGTATAGAAGGAATGTACCTCAACACAAGAAAGACCAGATGTGACAAACCCACAGCCAACATTATACTCAATGGTGAAGAGTTGAAAGCTTTTTCTATAAGATCAGGAACAAGACAAGGATGCTGTATTAATCTGTTCTCTCACTGCTATAAAGATACTACCAAAAGAGGCTTAATTGACTCACAGTTCTGCATGACTGGAGAGGCCTCAGGAAACTTACAGCAGAAGACAAAGGGGAAGCAAAGCTTGTCTTACATGGCAGCAGGCAAGAGAGAGAGCAAGAAGGGGGAAGCACCAGACACTTATCAAACAACCAGATCTTGTGAGAACTCACTATCACGACAACAGCATGGGGGAAACCACCCCCATGATCCAATCACCTCCCTCCAAGTCCCTCCCTTGATATGTGGGGATTACAATTTGAATTACAATTTGATATGAGATTTGGGTGGGGACACAGCCAAACCATATCAGATGCCCACACCTGTCACTTCTACTCAATATAGTACTGTAAGTTTTAGCCAGAGCAATTAGGAAAGATAAAGAAATAAAAGGCATACAAATTGGAAAGGAAAATGTTAAATTGTCCCTGTTTACAGATTACATGATCTTATATATTAAAAAAAAAACTCTAATGACTCCACCAAAAAAAAAAAGTTAAGACTAATAAAGTCAGTAAAGTTGCAGGATATAAAATTAACATACAAAAATCATTGTGTTTCTATACACTAACAACAAACTATCCAAAAAGGAAATAAAAAATATTTTACAATAGCTAGAAAGAAAAAAAAATACTTAGAAATAAATTCAACTAGAGGTGAAAGATCTGTCCACTGCAAACTATAAAACATTGATGAAAAAAATTGAAGACATAAATAAATGAAAAGATATCCCATGTTCATAGATTGGAAGAATTAATATTGTTAAAGTGTCCATACTACCCAAAGTGATCTACAGATTCAATGAAATCTCTATCAAAATCCTAATGACTGTTTTCACAGAAATAGAATAAACAATCCTAAAGTTCCACAAAAGACTTCAAATAGCCAAAGCAATCTTGAGCAAAAAGAACAAAGCTGGGGTGTTGACACTACCTGACTTCAAAATATACCACACCGCTACAGTAATCAAACAGCATGATAAGGCTGGACACAGTGACCCACGCCTATAATCACAACACTTTGGGAGGCTGAGGCAGAAGGATTGCTTGAGCCCAGGAATTCAAGACCAGCCTGGGCAACACAGGCAGAACCTGTCTCTGCAAAAAATGTTTTAAATGCTGGGTATGGTGGCGTGTGCCTGTGGCCCCAGCTACTCAGGAGACTGAGGTGGGAGAATTGCTTGGGCCTGGGAGGTCGAGGCTGCAAAGAGTTCTGATTGTACCACTGCACTCTAGCCTGGGCAACACAGTGAGATCCTGCCTCAAAAAAGGCTGCAAGAAAACAGCATGATAGCCAGGTGCAGAGGCACATGCCTATAGTCCCAGCTACTAGGGAGGCTAAGGCAGGAGGATTGCTGGAGCCCAGGAGTTCAATGCCAGCCTGGGCAACATAGTGAGACCCTGTCTCTAAAAATACAAATAAGTAAAACAGTATGGTACTGGCATAAAAACAGACGCAGACCGATAGAACAGAATAGAGAGCCCAGAAATAAATTCACACATTTATGGTCAATTGGTTTTTTGTTTGTTTTGAGACAGGGTCTCCCTTTGTCACCCAGGCTGAAGTGCAGTGATGCTATCATAGCTTACTGCAGCCTTGAGCTCTTGGGCTCAAAGGATCCTCCTGCCTCACCCTCCTGAGTAGCTAAGATTACAGGTGTGCCCCATTATGCCCAGCTAATTAAAACTTTTTTTTTTTTTTGTAGAGGCAGGGGCTTGCTATGTTGCCCAGGTTGGTTTCAAACTCCTGACCTCAAGCAATCCACACATCTCAGCCTCGTAATGTGCTTGGATTACAGGCATAAGCCAATATGCCCAGCCAACAGTCAACTGATTTTTGACAAAGGTGCCAAGAACACACAATCAGCAAACAACACTCTCTTCACTCAATGGTGTTGGGACAACTGGATATCCATATACAGAGGAATAAAACTAATACTTCATGCTACATTAAAAAATAAACTACAAATGAATTAAAGACTTAAATATAAGACCTAAAACTATAAAACTACTAGAAGAAACCATAGAAGAAAAGCTCCATGACATTCATCTGGGCAATAATTTTTTGGATACAAATCCAAAAACACAGGCAACAAAAACAAACATTGACAAATGGGATTACACCAAACTAAAAATCTCTTGCACGGCCAAGAACACAAACAACAAAGTGAAGAGACAACCTGTCTGCAAATCATACATCCGATAAGGGGTTAATAAAAAAAAAAAAAAAAAAAAAGAAACTCAACTCAGCAATGAGAAAACAAAGAACTCAATTTAAAAATTGGCAAAGGATCTGAGTAGACATTTCTCCAAAGAAGACATAAAAATATCCAACAGGTATATGAAAAAGTGCCCCAAATCAAAAATCACAGTGAGATATCACCTCACGCCTGTTAGAATGACTGTTATCAAAAACACAAAAGATAACACGTGTTGGTGAGGATGTGGAGAAAAGGAAACCCTTGCACATTGTTGGTGGGAATGTAAATTAGTACAGCCCTTGTGAAAAACAGTATGGAGATTCCTAAAAAAAATTAAAAATTAAAAAACTACTATAGGATCCATTAATCCAGTACTAAGTACGTATCCAAAATAAAGGAAATCAGTATGTCAAACAGATATCTGCACCCTGATGCTTATTACAATATTATTCACACTAGCCAAGATGAAATGAACCTAAGTGTTCATCAACAGATGAATGGATAAAGAAAATGCATATGTACACAATGGAGTGTTATTCAGCCTTGAAAAAGAAAGAAATCCTGTCACTAGCAACAACATGAATAAATGTGGAAGACATTATATTAAGTGAAATAAGCCAGGAACAGAAACACAAATATACCACTTAATTTCACTTATACACGGGATCTAAGAAAGTTGAACTCATAGAAGTAGAGAATATGGTGGTTACCAGAGACTTGGGAGAGGGGTTGGGGAAACAGACAAACAAACTACCTATTTCAAAATTTTTTTATAGCAGCCTGAGCAGACTAAGACAGACCCTTACCCAATACCATGTATAAAAATTAACTCAAGCCGGGCGCGGTGGCTCACGCCTGTAATCCCAGCACTTTGGGAGGCCGAGGCGGGCGGATCACGAGGTCAGGAGATCGAGACCACGGTGAAACCCCGTCTCTACTAAAAATACAAAAAATTAGCCGGGCGCAGTGGCGGGCGCCTGTAGTCCCAGCTACTCGGGAGGCTGAGGCAGGAGAATGGCCTGAACCCGGAAGGCGGAGCTTGCAGTGAGCGGAGATCGCGCCACAGCACTCCCGCCTGGGCGACAGAACGAGACTCCGTCTCAAAAAAAAAAAAAAAAAATTAACTCAAAACAGATCAAAGACCTAAATGTAAGATCCAAAACTATAAAACTCTAAGAAGTAAACATAGGTGAAAAGCTTCACAGCATTGGATTTGGCAATGATTTATTGGATAAGACATCAAAAGCACAGGCCACAGAAGAAAAGGTGAAGTGGATCAGGCCTATAATCCCAGTACTTTGGGAAACAGAAGTGGGAGGATTGCTTGAGGCCGGGGGTTCAAGATTACAGTGAGCTATGATTGCGCCACTGCACTTCAGTCTGGGTAACAGAGTGAGACCCTGTCTCTTAAAAAAAAGACAGACTGGATATCATAAAATTTTTTAAATTTGTGCATCAAAAGACACTATTAAGAGAGTAAAAAGGCAACCCACAGAATGGGAGAAAATATTTGCAAGTATTATATCTAATAAGAGATTAATATCCAGAATATTGTCATTCACCACTTAATGATGGGGATACATTCTGAGAAATACGTCATTTGGTGATTTTGCCATTGTGAGAACAACATAGAGTGTATTCTGTGTGATAAAATACACATAACATTAAATTTACCATCTTGATCATTTTTTTTTTTTTTTTTTTTTTTTTTTTTTTTGAGACGGAGTCTCGCTCTGTAGCCCAGGCTGGAGTGCAGTGGCGGGATCTCGGCTCACTGCAAGCTCCGCCTCCCGGGTTCACGCCATTCTCCTGCCTCAGCCTCCCAAGTAGCTGGGACTACAGGCGCCCGCCACTACGCCCGGCTAATTTTTTGTATTTTTAGTAGAGACGGGGTTTCACCGTTTTAGCCGGGATGGTCTCGATCTCCTGACCTCGTGATCCGCCCGCCTCGGCCTCCCAAAGTGCTGGGATTACAGGCGTGAGCCACCGCGCCCGGCCGATCATTTTTAAGTGTACAGTTCAGTGGTATTAAACACATTCATAATATTGTGCAACCATCACCACCATCTATCTCCATAATTTTTTATTTGTCCTTTTGTAACTGGCTTACTTAGCATAATGTCCTCAAGAATCATCCATGTCGTAGCCTTTGTCAGAATTCCAGAATTACATTACAGTACTTGCCTAGTAAGGGAGTTGCTGCTGCTGACCCCAGAACCAGCTACATCTGCTGAGGCTAGGCAACTTTTGCTGCCAAAACAAACCCCAGAACATACTGCCTTTGCTGCTACCCATGCCAGCAAAAATGGACACCAGCGACACAAGTCACCCAACAGAGCCCTTTGTTGGTGTATATAATTAGTGGAACCTTAGTAGTGTATAAAATTAGTCACATACCCCATTCCAGTAGCAGGGGAGGCTGGGATTTCTTTTCCCCCTCAAATTCTACCTTGGAAAGGTAGGATTCATGATGTGGGGGATTATAAAAATGTGGATGGTGTTCAAAATATTTTGGACAGTCGTAAATGACAGATAGATATTCATTATATAGTGCCTGTCTCTTTGCATTCACTTTCTACATCCCTCCAAAGTCACCAAAATTCTGGCTAATTTGTGTCATAAATAGCTCAGGCATCTATTCACTTTCCCTATCCTCCCGGGCATTTCTTTAGTGTAAGTCACTCCATGGGGATGGGAAATAAAAGGTAGATAAGGGAAGGAGAAGAGAGATGCCTTGAAATTTGTGGGTTCTCTATAAATACTGTCAAATTAAAATTTAATTGTACGTAGTGCCAAAGGCAGAAAGAAATCTTAATTTTCTCCAAGGTAACAATATACTGTTCTTTTTAACTGAAACAAAACTCCCTGGATCTCTCTCTCTCTCTCTCTCTTTTTTTTTTTTTTTCTTCAGACAAGGAAGGCTCTGTTGCCCAGGCTGGAGTGCAGTGGCACCATCACAGCTTGACCTCCCTGGCTCAAGGTATCCTCCCACCTCAGTCTCCCAAGTAGCTGAGACTACATATACACACCACTACACCTGGCTAGTTTTATTTTATTTTATTTATTTTTATTTTTATGGAGACAGGGCCACCATGCCTGGCTACTTTAATTTTTTTTTTTTTTTTTTTTTTTTGGTAGATACAGGGTCTCACTCTGTTGCTCAGGCTGGTCTCCAGCTCCTGGGCTCAAGTGATCCTACCATCTTGGCCTCTCAAAGTGCTGGGATTACAGGTGTGAGATCTTGATTTTTACTTATGAACACATGCAAGCACTCTGTATGTGTTGGGTGGTGTACACTCTCGGGACAGGGAAGTTAGAGTTTCAATTGTGGCCATGGCTTCTTTACTCTTTCTGTGATCTTGAGCAGTCCCACAACTCTTAGAACTTAATTCATTATAGAAGTGTTGGAGAATTTCTGTGAGATAATCAGGCATAAATTTTTAAAGCATTAATATTGCTGAGATGTCCAAATGACTACATAAATTATGATCCACCTACACGCTAAACTGCTATGTAGCCATTAAAAAGAATGACGCTGCTCTAAATATACTAATATGAAACAGTTTCCAAGATATCCTGAGTGAAGAAAAGACAGTATAGAACAATGTATATAGTATGCTACCATTTTTGTATGTGTGCATGCCTTCACATATGTGTGCTTTTAAGGGATATAGGCATATTTAAGCTCGTAAATTCATAGACCATCTTTGTAAAGGTACACAAAGAACTGGCAATAGTGGTTGCCTTCAGAGAAGAGAACTTGAAGAGAACCTCCCTACTGGAGGCAGGGATGGTGGAAGGGGTGGGGGATGGAGAGAGTGGAGATTGAGCTTTTGAATTCTGTTCCATGTGCATATATTATAAATTCAAAAAAAGATATAGTTTATTTTTTAAGAACCTGGAATTAAGTCCTATCTATGAAAGCTGAAGAGATCAAAGTGAGAGGTAATTTAATTTGAAGCCCAGGTACAGCAGAAGTTTGGGGCTTCTGTGTTACTCATGCTTATCCACACCTTTATTTTTTCTTTTTCTAAAGCATCTGGGTCTTTAGTTCAAATATTTGCAGATCCATGGTTTACTGGGTAGAATTTTTGTTGTGGCATACATCAACATATTCCAAGTTTCTCTGCTTGGATGGAATAGATGCATGAAATTCTGTGAAATGATTAAGCTGTGAAAAGTAGAAGGACTTTGAATAGGCATTATTTTTCAAGATCTTAGAAATAGTTATGCCTGATAGTTTTATAATGTCTGTAGCGTATTTTGCAGTCCACAGAACGCACTCACATACATTATCAGCTGATCCGTCGCAAAGAAGCCTCATGTGATTCTTTCTATTCTCAGCTTTGTCCATGAACTAAAATTAGAACTAGGCTGACATTACATTTCACTTGGTTACAGCTGACTGGGGATTTTAATCATTTGGAGCCACACTGAAAAAAAAATTTCCCCCTGCAATCTACTCTTAACTGATAGTCGCTAACTTTGGTTATGTGTGGTAAGTATTTGACAATGGTAAGTATTTTTCAAAAACATTTTTCCTTTCTTCTTCACATGTAAATAGATTGCTGCTGATACCTATACTGTGTCTGTATTGGTTGGAATGTCCAAACAAACTGGAATAGAATTTAAAAGTTTTTTTGCGGGGTGTTCATGGTCACTCATATAATTGTGCTCCTCTGGAAGATAGATTTCCCCAGAAGTAAGAAACAATTCTTCTGCAATTCTTTTCTATGCTTACCTCACTTGTCACATTATGTGCTTTTTTTCTATTATGGTACTAATCAGAGTAGAGAGCAGTCCTGTGCTGGAGGAAGAAATATATCATTATTGACTTGTGTTTCCCTAGGGGAAGTTGGTTGTTATAGGAAAACTGATGGATGAGCAACATTTAATGGCAAATGAGGAAATGAATTAGCAAATGGATGAATTGTTTTACATGTCTTCTAAAATACATGTATACATGTAGATACTTGGGAATTCAAAAATATTTTTATTCGAGTATTTAGCAAAAACTTCAAACTTTCTTAAATTAGAGACAATAAATTGTAAATTGGTTGCAATATGCTCAGGAAGTTGGATTACCAGTGTATGTATCCCAAGGTTTCTTCACAGCAAAGAGATCTCGCATTCTGTTCCTGAGTAAATTCGGCATGCCTTGCTTAGAGATTCTCTCAACAATTTCCTGCCTATGCCAATTATTTATCAATCTTGAAATTTTAAACTTTTTTCTGTAATATAGTTCTCCTCTTTCTTTGACTGTCTCACACACATATATACTGCATAATATTAGTTTAAAAAATCAATAATTTAGAAGAGGTTAATAATGAAAAGCAATATTATCTATCCGATTCCTCTCTATCACCAGTCCTGCTCCCTAGAAGTAATCATTTTAACCATTTTGGAATTTAGTTTTCAGTGGTTATCTCCATATTTCTCTCTTTTTTTTCTTTTTCAAAGACAATTGCATGCTATTTTTAATCAACTTTAAACATCTGTGGAGCTTCATTATGAGAGGTGGGGATTAAGTTCCCTTACACTGCCATAGAGTTATATCCCTATTTTTAGCTTCTCTCTTGATTACCTTAATAACTTTAAGCAAATACTTTAATCTTTATTTCTTGTTCCATAAGGTACAGACAGTATCTGTTGATTCCCCACTTCGAAGATGTGGATATCGGTGTTCTTATCATTTACTTCTTTTCCTTATTTCCTTCTTCCATATTCTGTTAAAAGTACTGTCACTTTTATGTTTTCAAGATATATGGCATTTATATTCTGTTCTGTAACCCTCAATAAGTCTTCCTTACTTTTTTATAGATTGATTTATTTCAAAAGTTTAAGACCAATACATAGACTTTACTATGTAATTTCTGTTTTCTGCAGAGCCAACATTTCCTTCTCAGTATCAATGTCATATTCATTGTACTAAAGAAGAATGTTAAAATAGATTCTCCTTTCCTGCACTTCAATAAATGCTAAAAAATCATGCCACATTTTGTTGGCTCTATATATGGACTGTGGCTTTCTTGTACAGTGTCTTCCTCAACACAATTTCTGACTGCCTTTCTTTTTGCTTATTGGGAGAAGAAATTTCATCTTTTCACCATATCTCCAATGTCACACAGTTTTTTCCCCCTTAATTCTAGCTATTTTTATAATTCAATGGATGAATACTGCCATTCCTTTTTTTTGTTTGTTTTTGAGACAGAGTTTCATTCTTGTTGTCTGGTCTGTAGTGCAATGGTGCAATCTCAGCTCACTGCAACCTCTGCCTCCCGGGTTCAAGTGATTCTCCTGCCTCAGCCTCCCAAGTAGCTGGGATTACAGGCATGTGCCACCACGCCTGGCTAATTTTATGTTTTTTTAGTAGAGACGGGGTTTCACCATGTTGGTCAGGCTGGTCTTGAACTCCTGACCTCAAGCGATCCACCAGCCTCCCAAACTGCTGGGATTACAGGCGTGAGCCACCATGTCCAGCTATTGCTTTTAAAACATTGTTTTACTTTATTTTTAATTTTTTTACTATCATGTAAAACATTGCTGGGAACAGTCTTGTTCATGTTTCCTGGTGGAGACACACCCTTCCTCTAGGTACATACCTTTGAATGGAATTGCTGGATCATAAGCTGTGCTTATCTTCAATATTAGTACATAAGTATTTCAAAATAGTTAATACTAATTTACAATTTCACCAATATACCAGGAGTCCATGAGGATTTCTGTAACTCAAATTCTCACCAACACTTGGTATAATCAGCCTTTTGAATTTTAGCCATTCTGACAGATGTTCATTGGTATCTTATTATGTTTTTATTAAGGTGGAGCACAACTTCATTTGTTTTTGGTCATTTGGATTTTTTTTTCTCCACAGGGAAAGTTCTACCATTTGGATTTTATTTTTTGAAAATTTCCTGTTCAATTGTATTTTCTGTTGCCTTTTTCAGCTGATTTTAAGGAGTTCGTTATATATTCTAGATGTAATCCATTGGTGGTTATATATATTGCCAATATCTTCCCCCACTAATGTACATGGTATTCCTTTTATTTTCTAAGTGATGTCTTTCAATAGGTTCTTAATTGTAAT
This sequence comes from Homo sapiens, assembly GCF_000001405.40. Classification (NCBI taxonomy): domain Eukaryota; kingdom Metazoa; phylum Chordata; class Mammalia; order Primates; family Hominidae; genus Homo; species Homo sapiens. The sequence continues at coordinate 100,175,545 of NC_000001.11, read as the reverse complement.
GTAGTCCACTTTATCAATCTGTGTTAGGCTGTTCTTGCATTGCTATAAAGAAATAACTGGCCAGGCACAGCAGCTCATGTTTGTGATCCTAGCACTTCTGGAGGCCAATGCAGGAGGATCACTTGAGCCCAGGAGTTCAAGACCAGCCTGGAGAATGTGGAGACATCCTGTCACTACCAAAAAAAAAAAAAAAAAACTGGCACACTGGTTCTTGCTGTAGTCCCAGCTATTCTGAAGGCTGAGGCAGAGGGGGCCCAGGAGATCAAGGCTACTATAAGCCATGATTGTGCCACTACACTCCAGCCTTGGTGGCAGAGTAAGCCTGTCTCAAAAAAACAAAAAACAAACAAACAAAAAACCACAAAACAAAGAAATACCTGAAACTGGGTAAATTACAAAGAAAAGAGGTTTAACTGGCTCACGGTTCTGCAGGCTTTACAGGAAGCATGGTGCTGGCATCTGCTTCTCAGGGAGCTTTCAATCATGGTGGAAGGCAAAGGGGGAAGCCTGCGTCCCGCAAGGCCAGAACAGGAGCAAAAGAGGGAGCAGGGGGAGGTGCCACAAACTTAAAGAACCAGATCTCCCAAGAACTCACTGTTTCAAGGACAGCACCACGCCATGAGGGATCCTCCTCCATGATCCAATCACCTCCTACCTAGCCAACACCTCCAACGTTGGGGATTACAGTTCAACATGAGATTTGGTGGGAACATATATTCAAACTATATTGTGATATAGTATATCTTTTCCTTTATGGATATGCTTTGTATTCTGTTTTAAAAAGTGTTCTCTACTTTAAGGACATCAAGATAAGTCCTATATTGTCACCTAAATGCTTTATTTTTTCTACTTTCACTTTTAGATCTACAATTCACATGGAATTAATTTTGGTAATACATAGATATTCAACTGTCCCAATATAATTTCTCTTAAAAAATTATTCCCATGGCCAGGTGTGGTGGCTCACACCTGTAGTCCCAGCACTTTGGGAGGCCAAGGCAGGCAGATCACTTGAGCCCAGGAGTTCAAGATCAGCCTGGGCAACATGGTAAAACCCCATCTCTACAGAAAAATACATAAATTAGCCAGGTGTGGTGGTGTGCACCTGTAGTCCCAGCTACTTGGGAGGCTGAGGTGGGAGGATGGCTTGAACCCAGGAGGTGGAGGTTGCAGTGAGCCAAGATCATGCCACTGCTCTCCAGCCTGGGCAACAGAACCAGACCCTGTCTAAAAAAAAAAAAAAATTTCCACAATGTTCTGCAGTGCCTATGTGTATATGAGTCTGTTTCTGGGGTTCCTTATTCAGGTACACTGGTATGTTTTTCTATTGCACCAATAACATTATCTAGTACCATAGCTTTAAAAGAGATCTTGATGAATGCAAAATAAATCCTCCCACTCTAGTTTTCTTTGGCAAGAGTGTCTGGGCTATTTTGTATCCTTAGAATTGTCATTAAAAATTAGAAACTGATTGTCAGGTTGCTCCTCTCCTTCTCCAAATGAATTTTGTATTGAGATTGATTATAGTTCAATGTGGGGATAATTGACATTTTTACAGATTGAGTCTTTCTATCAATGAATATGATGTATATCTCTTCATTTATTTAGGCCTTCTTTAATTTCACTCTAATTTTTAGTTTTCTGTATAGAAGTTTTACATATTCTGTTCATTGTTAAGAATTTGATTTTTATGCTATTGAAAATAGTATATTTTTCAGAACTTAATATATATTTTCCGCTGGAATATAGACACATAATTGATTTTTCAAAATATTGACTTGTCAGAAGTCTTGCTAAATTCTATATATTTAGTTGTAAATTCTCCTGGATTTTCTAGTTCATAATTGTACTCATGAAAAATGTCCTTTTGTTTTTTATTCCTTTTCAAACTTTAAGCCTTTTATTTCTTTTTCTTGCTTTTATGCAATGGGTAGAGCCATGATACAGTATTGAATGGAAGTAGTGAGAGCAGACATCTTTTACTAATTTTAAATGAAAGGCTTTCAATGTTACACTATCAAGTATGATTGCTGCAGGTTTTTATTAGACATACTTGGTTAGGTTAAATAAATTATCTTCTACTTAGAGTATGTTAAGACTTGTTTTTAATCACGATATTAAATTTTAATAATTTTCTACATCTATTGGAATGATCATATTTTCTTTCTCTTCTAGTCTATTCAGAATATTACATTAATTGATTTCTCAAACAAAGGTAAGCAAACAAATCTTAATCTCTGGAATAAACCCAATATGGCTGTAATGTATTTTCTTTTTTTTGTTTTGTTTTGTTTTGTTTTTTTTTTGAGACAGAGTCTGGCTCTGTCGCCCAGGCTGGAGTGCAGTGCCACCATCTCAGCTCACTGCAACCTCCGCCTCTTGGGTTCAAGCGATTCTCCTGCTTCAGCCTCCCAAGTAGCTGGGATTACAGGTGCATGCCACCACACCTGGCTAATTTTTGTATTTTTTATTTTTATTTATTTTATTTTTATTTTTTTTGGAGACAGATTCTCGCTGTGTCACCCAGGCTGGCGTGCAGTGGCATGATCTTGGCTCACTGCAACCTCCTAATTTTTTTTTTTTTTTGAGACAGAGTCTCGCTCTGTCACCCAGGATGGAGTGCAGTGGCATGATCTCAGCTCACTGCAAGCTCTACTTCCCAGGTTCACGCCATTCTCCTGCCTCAGCCTCCCAAGTAGCTGGGACTACAGGCGCCTGCCACCACGCCCGGCTAATTTTTTGTATTTTTAGTAGAGACAGGGTTTCACCATGTTAGCCAGGATGGTCTTGATCTCCTGACTTCGTGATCCCCCCGCCTCGGCCTCCCAAAGTGCTGGGACTACAGGTATGAGCCACCGCGCCTGGCCACAATTTTTTGGTATTTTAGTAGAGACGGGGTTTCACTGTGTTGCCTAGGCTGGTCTCGAACTCCTGAGTTCATGCAATCTGCCCACCTCGGCCTCCCAAAGTGCTAGGATTACAGGCATGAGCCACCACGCCTGGCCTTTTTTGTATTTTTTTAGTAGAGACGGGGTTTCACCATGTTGTCCAGGCTGGTCTTGAACACCTGACCTCAAGTGATCTGCCCGCCTCGGCCTCCCAAAGTGCTGGAATTACATGCATGAGCCAGTGCGCCTGGCCAGTATTTTCTTTTTCCTATATTGCCAGATATGGTTTGCCAGTATATGGTTTAGGACTTTTCTCTGTTAATATATTTGTTAGTGAGATTAGTCTGTATTTTTCTTTCTAGAATTACCATTCTTGGGGTTTGGTATCAAGCATATGCTAATCTCATAATCTGAATTGGGGAGTATTTCTTTTCTATTCTCAGGAAGAGTTCATTCTATGATTAGTGTTATTTTTTACCCCTCAAATGCTTGGTAGAATTTTCCACTGAAGTCATCTCTGGGACCAGCATTTTGTTTGTGGAGAGATTTTAGATTATTATTATTGTATTCTATTGTGTCATTTTAAAATTTTATACATGTGTGTGTTTATCTATAATATTCCCTTTCTTCTGTTTTCTTTGTGTTTGTTTTATCTAGCTTCTTGAGATGGATGTAAATTTTTTAGCCTCATTTCTTCTAAAATGTATACTTAAGACTAGAAATTTCCCTCTACTACATTACCTATATTCCATACACTTTGATTTGTGGTATTTTTGTTAATTCAGTTCAAAATGCCTTCTAATTTCATGATGATAGCTTCTTTGACTACAGGTTATTTAGAAGTGTGTTTCATGGATGGGTGCAGTAGCTCAAGCCTGTAATCTCAGCACTTTGGGAGGCTGAGGTGGGAGCATCATTTGAGCCCAGGAGTTTGAGACCAGCCCAGGCAACATAGCAAGACCCCTGTCTTTACAAAAAAAAAAAAAAACAAGCCAGGCATGGTTGTACACATCTGTAGTCCCAGCTACTTGGAAGGCTGAAGCAGGAGAATTACTTAAGTCCTGGAGTTTGAGGCTGCAGTGAGCCGAGATCACGCCTCTGCACTCCAGCCTATGGGACAGAACGAGACCATGTCTCAAAAAAAAAAAAAAAAAGAAGAAAGAAAAAAAAAAGTGTGTTTCTTTAGCTGAAATAATATAGGCTTTTTTTCCAGGTATCTTTTCATTATTGATTTCTAGCAAGTTTATATTTTGATTAGAATAAAAACTTCATGCTACTTTAATCCCTTGAAATTGACTGAGACTTGCTCTATGACCCCAATATGAGATTTTTTTTCTGTGACTCTTCCATGTGTTTTTTAAAGCATTATGTATTCTGTCATTGTAGGATATAGTTCTTTATTTATCATTTAAGTAAGTTTATTCATTGTGTGGTTCAAATTTTCAGTATTCTTCCTAAGTTTTAAACTGCTTGTGCAACCAATTGCTAAAAGAATTGTTAAAATATCCCACTTCAGTTCTGGATTCCTTGATTTTTCCCTTTAGTTCTGTCAATTTTCCTTTGTATATTTGGAAGCCATGTTATTAGAGGCATGTAGTTTAAAGTTGTTTTATATTTCTTGTGGATTAAATCTCTTATTATGATATGATTGATCTTTTATATCTGTAAAGTATTTGTGCCTAAAGTCCATTTTGTCTGCTATTAATATATTGATACTAGCCTTCTTTTGCTTAGTGTTTGCATAGTATATCTTCCTCAGTTCTCAAAAAATTTAATTGATTAGCCAGACATGGTGGCACATGCCTATACTTCCAGCTACCTGAGAGGCTGAGGCAGGAGGATCACTTGAGCCCAGAGGTCAAGGCTGCAGAGAGTCATATCCCGCCACTATATTGTAGCCTGGGTGATAGAGTGAGACCCTGTCTCAAAAGAGCAAAGAAAGAAAGAAGAAAGGGATGGAGGGAGGGAAGGAGGAAGGAAGAAACGAAAGAAATAAAGATATAAAAAAGAAAGAAAAAATTAATTGAAATATAATTCATATATAAATTCTCTCTTTTAGTGTACAGCTCAGTAGTTTTATTCAAGAGTTGTACAATCATTATCACTAATTCTAGAACATTTTCATCACTCAAAAAACTGTACAGTTAGCAGTCACTCCCTATTTCCCCCTCTACAAATCCCCTGGGTACCACAAAGCTACTTTTTGAATCTACAGATTTGCCTATTCTGGACATTTCATATAAATGAGATCATATATGTGGTCTTTTGTGTCTGACTTCTTTCACTTAGCATAATTTTATTCAAGGTTTATTTATACTGTGGCATGTATCTATACTTCATTCATTTTTATGGCCAAATAACATTCCATTGTATGGATATACCACATCTTGTTTATCCATTCATCAGTAGATGGCCATTTGTGTTGTTGCCACTTTTTAGCTATTATGAATACTGTTTCTATCAACATTCATGTGCAGGATTTTGTGAGAACATATGTTTTCATTTCTGTTTCTATATACTTAGGAGTGGATCTTTTCCTGTTCTTGTACTGTCCACTTTTCTCTACCTTTATTTTTTAGGTGTGCCTCTCATAAACAACACTCAGGATTTTGTCTTTTCTTTAACTGGACAACCTTTGTATATTAACTTGGAACACTTAATCATCAGGGAAGTACAAATTATGACCACCCTGGGATATGGCTTTATGCAGTAATGGATGTATATCAACGGGGACCCTTATACAGTGGTAGTAAGAGTATAAATGGGCACAATCAATTTGGAAAACAATTTGGCTCTGACTTATAAATTGGAACATTTACATACACTATGATCCAGCAATTCTAATTCTAGATATGTACCCAGTAGAAATAATTCCACTGGAACACCAAGAAGATAAAAACATTAATTTTAGAAACATTATTGCTTATAATAGCAAAGCTCTGGGACCCAAATATTCACATTCATTAGAATGGATAAACTGTGGGATAGTTATATATTTTGGAGATCATGGCATATGAATATATAAGATACCTTTCTTTTCTTTTTTTTGAGCTATATAATTTCCCATGATATGGGTAGACTATAGTTTACCGATGAAATATTAGGTTGTTTACAATATTTTGCTGTTATGAAAAACACTGCGAATAACTTCAAAAATATTTGAGGGATAAATTGCTAGTGTGGATGAGCATTAGTGAGTTTAGTAAGTATTACCAAGTTTCTCTCCATACAGAATATAATAATACCACCATTGATGAAGGAAAGTGTCTGTTTCCCTATGTTGTTGCAAATTTTATTGCTTTCTTTTCCAACTACATTACTTTCTATTTACTTTACTTCCTTTATGGTTTTCCTATAATGTTGAATAGAAGTGATTGTGAATGTCTTTGCATTCCTGAATTTGAAAGGAAATAATTCAAATAATTGTGAATCAAATTATTTTATTATTACTAATTTGATCAAAAATCAGTACGATTATTTTAAGGCCATAGGATATTCCATAAAATGTACCTACCATAATTTACATAACCATTTTCCTATTATTGAGTATTTTCCTTTCATTTCTGAGATTCAGGTCAAAATCCTTAATACTGCGTCATCCATTTGCAATTTATTTTACACAAAAGGAAACAATCCCAATATATTATCACTTAACTGAATTTCTACTTGTGCATATGGTGTCCTGATTAGATTGATATCTCAAGATTCCAGTCTTTTTAAAAATCTCCATTATTTAACCATTTTCCTATAATTGGACATGAAGACTAGTTGCAGTTTTTCATTATTATGAAATACACAGTAACAAAGGAATCATATATTAGATATGAGACCCCCAAGAAAATTGTTCACCTTCTTTAAAGCTTAATTTTCTCATCTATACATTAGTCAATAAAAGTACCTATATTATAGTATTTTATGAGAGTTTTTAAATATGATATGGCATGTAAAGTATATAAAATAGTTTTTGGAGCATGGAATGTGTTCTATAAATATTAGCTATTATGATCATTATGGTACTCAATGAACAGTCTGAAACATTGCTTTTTTTCTCTGGTACATTTAGGTCCTTTCTGAAATGGTATCTATGATTCAGCTATTCAAAACCTAATGAAGTTGGTGACTATGACAATGTGGAGAAATCATGACAGAAAATGTGGTTTGTACTGGGGCTGTCAATGCTGTAAAGGAAGTTTGGGAAAAAAGAATAAAGAAACTCAATGAAGACCTGAAGCGAGAGAAGGAATTTCAACACAAGTATGCTAAAACATATTTATTATTTTGAATTAGTGAAAATTCATATTATCATCACCATAAAAAAGAGCATTCTAAATGCCTTGTTATTGAATTTGATATAGAATTTTATTTACTGAAAACTCAAAATATACTTAAAGAAAACAGCTGACTCAATTAAATTTGTCTATGCGATAGGAGTCACAAAAAATACAAATGTGAAAATGGTAGCTATCTTATACCCTCATAGGACTCTGTTTAACATTCATCAAAGTTTGATTAGTATCATATAGTCTAATTTTCAGGATTGTATGTTCAGCATTATATGCCCTAGGACCTAAAACAACATTTGACAGTAGAAGGTACAGTAGATTCTCATTTATTTGAATAGCCATGTGTTCTAGCCAGAGCTGCTGGATCACTTGATTCCTTGATCTGGGCTATATTTATTTGACTCTCATTTCCTCTGCCTCCATTTTATCTTACCTACTTTCCTGATTGGATGTCACCAAAAAGTATTCTACTAATCCTGCAAAAATAGTCCCTTTCCTCATAGATGCATATAGTTCCATACAATTCTCATTCATTGTCTCTTTCTATCATTATTATTATTATTATTATTATTATTATTATTATTATTATTATTATTTTTGAAATGGAGACTCACTCTGTCGCCCAGGCTGGAGTGCAATGGCATGATCTCAGCTCACTGCAACCTCCGCCTCCCAGATTCAAGTGATTCTCCCTGCCTCAGCCTTCCAAGTAGCTAGGATTACAGGCGCATGCCACCACACTCAGCTAATTTTTGTATTCTTAGTAGAGACAGGGTTTCACCATGTTGGCCAGGCTGGTCTTGAACTCCTGACCTCAGGTGATCCACCCACCTTGGCCTCCTAAAGTGCTGGGATTACAGGCATGAGCCACCATGCCAGGCCATTGCCTCTTTCTAAACATTAAATTAGCAAATGTTATTTGCCGATGTCAGTTAGCAAATAACAAAAAATTCAACTAAAGATGGTTTAGGCGATAGGGAAGTGAGGCTGTTCTGAAGATAGTCAATGCAAAGCCTCAACATCTTTTAAAAGTCAGCTTTTTTTTTTAATCACCTTCCACTGTTAATCCCTGTGTCAGTCTGATCCTCGGATTAGCTTCCTTCAGTGTTACAAGATGACTGATGCACTTCCAGGCATCACAGCCAATGATCATTATGTTTTCAGAAAAGTGGAAACTATTTTTTTCTATTTCTTCTTTAAGAGTAAAGAAATCTTTCACAGAGGGTCCCTAACAAACCTCTCCTTCACTTCTCATTGGCCAGAATTGGATCATTTGTACACATCTAACCCAGTTACCTTCTAGGGGAATGAGACTGATTGGTTTAGATAAATTAAGATTCATCCCTGGTGTATTAGTCTGTTTTCATGCTGCTGATAAAGACATACCTGAGACTGGGTAATTTATAAAGGAAAGAGGCTTAATTGACTCACAGTTCCACATGGCTGGGGAGGCCTCACAATCATGGTGGAAGATGAAGGAAGAGCAAACGGACATCTTACATGGCAGCTGGCAAAGAGAGAATGAGAACCAAGTGAAAGGGGAAACCTCTTATAAAACCATTGTCTTGGTGATTAACATGTGGCTCCTCATTACTTATACAAATTTCTGCAGCCAGCTTGAATTTCTCCTCAGAAAATGGGTTTTTCTTTTCTATCACATCCTCAGGCTGCAAATTTTCTGAATTTTTATGCTCTGTTTCCCTTTTAAAACTGAGTGCTTTTAACAGCACCCAAGTCACCTCTTGAATGCTTCGCTGCTTAGAAATGTCTTCCCTCAGATACCCTAAATCATCTTCTTCAAGTTCAACGTTCCACAGATCTCTAGGGCAGGGGCAAAATGCTGCCATTCTCTTTGCTAAAACATAGCAAGAGTGACCTTTACTCCAGTTCCCAACAAGTTCCTCATCTCCATCTGCGATCACCTCAGCCTGGATTTCATTGTCCATATCATTATCAGCATTTTGGTCAAAGCCATTGAACAAGTCTCTAGGAAGTTCCAAACTTTCCCACATTTTCTTTTCTTCTTCTGAGCCATCCAGCTGTTCCAACCTCTGCCTGTTATCCAGTTCCAAAGTCACTTCCACATTTTTGGGTATCTTTACAGCAGTGCCCCACTCTATCGGTACCAATTTACTATTTTAGTCCGTTTTCACACTGCTGATAAAGACATACCTGAGACTGGGTAATTTATAAAGAAAAGAGGTTTAATTGACTCACAGTTCCACATGGCTGGGGAGGCCTCACAATCATGGTGGAAGCCAAAGGAAGAGCAAAGGGACATCTTACATGACAGTCAGCAAAGAGAGAATGAGAACCAAATGAAAGGGGAATCCTCAGCCAGACATGGTGGCTCACGCCTGTAATCCCAGCTACATGGGAGCCTGAGGCAGGAGAATTGCTTGAACCCAGGAAGCAGAGGTTGCAGTAAGCCAAGATTGCACCATTGCACTCCAGCCTGGGCAACAAGAGTGAAATTCCATCTCAAAAAAAAAAAAAAAAAAGAAAGGGGAAACCTCTCATAAAACCATCAGATCTTGGGAGAGAGAATGAGAACAGTATAAGGGAAACTGCCCCCATGATTCAATTGTCTCCCACTGGGACCCTCCCACAACACGTGGGAATTATGGAAGCCACAATTCAAGATGAGATTTGGGTGGGGACATAGCAAAACCATATCACCTGGATTACTTGGTAAACACTTGGACTTGGAAGCAATTGATATTCTTCCAGTAAACGAGGGTGGGGGGCAAGAAGCTACTGATAAGCAATGATTTGTGTTGCTAAATATCTGTAAAAACAAAAGATCTTGACAGGGAGGAATAATTTTTCCCACTTAGTTTTTAGTAAGTGTGCAGACATAGCAAGATTCCTGTTCAAAGTGGATTCTGCAAGGACAGAGAGGGAAGCCCAAGGTCAATCCTGGTCAAGCAGAGGATGTGGAGCCTGGCTAAAGTTTTGATAAAAGGGATCTTTGTCATTAATTAAGAATCACTTAATTTCAGAAATTTCAGAAGTTCTCTATATAGGAATAATGAGTGTGCAGTCTTGCCCTTTCTTACTGCTTGTTCTTTTTTGGCATCATCTATTTTATGATTAGGGAGGAGGATTCTCTGTTAGCAAAATGTAATTTCCAAAAGTTAAGTTAGACCAAAATCAGCTTCTACTTTTAGAAACATTACATGGAATTTGTGTAATGTAGTTTTTCAAAGCACCTTTCCCTTAATCTTAAAACAATTACATTGTAAAATCATTGTACAGTATTATAAAGCTTGGATTGTGGTTAAAATTAAGTATAAACTACTTTAAAAGTAAATTATATAGAGATCAAAGGTTAGGTTTAAAACCTGTAATATGACTAAATAAATAATTTTCCAGGTATGCTGGCTTGTGCCTGTAATCCCAGCACTTTGGCAGGCTGAGGTAGGAGGATTTCTTGAGCCCAACGAGCTTGAGACCAGACTGGGCAACATAGCGAGACCCCATCTCTAAAACAAAAAGTTAGCTGGGCGTGGTGGCATGCACCTGTAGTCCCCGTTACTTGGGAGGCAGAGGGGTGAGGCGGGAGGATCAATTGTGCCCTGGAGGTCAAGGCTGCAGTAAGTTACAATCACACCCACTGCACACCAGCCTGGGTGTCAGAGCAAGACACTGTCTCATTTAAAAAAAAAAGAAAAAAATTAATAAATAAACAATCATAACTGACGCAAAATGGTAAGAATCTGAGAGACCTTTTAAAGTGAGACAGAGAAGCTGATTACCAGAGAAAAGGCTAACTGGAAAATTCATAGAAATTTAAAACCAACCAAAGGTAACCCAAAGAAATGTCCTTACTTTTTTACTCTGCTCTGAAATAGACCAGTGTTTCTCAAACTTGTCTGCGTAGGAATCCCATAGGGATCTTATTTAAAATAGCTTCTGGGTTAGTAAGTCTGGAGTAGGACCAAGAGTCTGGATCTCTAACAAGCTCCCAGGAGACAATGATGCTGCTGTTCTGCAAATCACACTGAGTGGCAAGGAAGTAGACAAAAGAAGCAGATTTGAAAGGGGTCAGTACACAGGCAAGGGGTAAGAAGGGTAAGAATGTAATCTAATGCTGCTTCGTTCAGCTAAATTGGCTAGAGCTTTAGCTAAAAAATGAAAGAAAAAAAGCCTACAGTTTAAACAGAAATTGTGTTTTCTCCCTTTTGATGCCAAGCTCCTTGAAAAAATCAAGTACTTAGGTAACGATTGGTGTGGCAATATCAGAAAAAGGCCTTATTCTACAATAAAATTTGTAGAATCAAATTTTATTTTGTTTTTTTAGAGACAGAGTCTCACTCTGTCACCCAGGCTGGAGTGTATTGGCGCAATCTTGGCTCACTGCAACCTCTGCCTCCTGGGTTCAAGTGATTCTCCTGCCTCAGCCTCCTGAGTAGCTGGGATTACAGGCCCACAACACCATACCCAGCTAATTTTTGTATTTTTAGTGGAGACAGGGTTTTATCATGTTGGCCAGGCTGGTCTCAAACTCCTAACCTCAAGTGATCCATCTGCTTTAGCCTCACAAATTGTTAGGATTACAAGCGTGAGCCACCACGCCCGGCCTCAAAAGGGTTTTAGAAGAGTTATAAAATTTCGATTAGAGACCTGAAAGAATATCAAGATTAAAATAAGCAGCTTCACACCTGTAATCCCAGTGCTTTGGGAGGCTGAGGCAGGAGGATTGCTTGAGCTTAGGAGTTCGAGACCAGACTGGGCAACATGGAGACAGCCTTTCTCAATTTTTTTTTTTTTTTTTTTAGAAAAAGCTGTATAGGAATTATAGAATATTTAAGCTGGAAAATACATAGATATCATTTAATTATAACCTCACATTTTATAGGTAAGGCCCACAGATGGGGGATGTCTTGCTCAAGGTAACCAAATTAATAAATCGTATATTCTGGACTTAGATCATAAAAACACAGAACCAGAAAGAATTTAGCGATCTTTACAGAGATGGAAATAGATTTTTCTAATAATAGCCTGACCGTGAACTCAGTAACAACAGAGCTTTTTGTATCTCCAATGTCTAGTACTTGGCTATAATGGTTACTGGATTAATTCCTTAAGTTAAAGGTCAAGGGATAAGATTCCTAATTTACTTGTTACTAAATCTTGCTCTGAATTTCATTTCTGTCTTAGTAATAATAACCATTAAGCCCATTGTTTGAATAGTTCTATTTTTATAATAAGTAATATAATTGAATAGCTGACATTATACATTTTTTCTTAGTTACCCACATCTATGGGAAGCTTAGCTGTTTAGATCAGAAGGCCACACATATCCCACTGCCACAGGGCACCTGTTAGCAGATTAAATTTTAGGCAAGTGATAGATCAAAATACACAGATACTAAGAGAGGTATTTTACAAACCCAAATACTTAAAGACAGCAAATTCAACACTTTGTTTACTTTTGGCTTTCTGTTCATTAAAATAAAATCCTTATTGAAGATCAGTTAATATACAAAACTGCTAAAATTATGTATTAACTCTCAGAATGTCAAGAGATTTCTGGCAAACAAATATTCAAATTAGTTAAACTTCATGCTTTCAGGACTGCTCATATTTATTATGTATCCTTTTAACAGCCTAAAATTTTCAAAATTTTCAATTCTAAACTTACTCTCTTTTTCATGAGTGAAGAATTTTCTGGGATAGAAATAGCTTTTTGCAAAAGGTTTTCCAGTTTCTTTTCTTTCTTTTTTTTTTTCTGGAGACCGAGTCTTGCTCTGTCGCCCAGGCTGGAGTAAAGTGGTGCAATCTTGGCTCACTGCAACTTTGCATCCCAGGTTCAAGCAATTCTCCTGCCTTATCCTTCCTAGTACCTGGGACTCCAGGCACGCATCACCACACCCAGCTAATTTTTGTATGTTTAGTAGAGATGGGGTTTCACCATGTTGGCCAGGATGGTCTCGAACTCCACCTGCCTCAGCATTCCAAAAGTGCTGGGATTACAGGTGTGAGCCACCGTGCCTGGCCGGTTTTCCAGTTTCTAGTTTGCATTTTTCTAGTTTGAGATCATTCTTATGTTTGCAATAGATCAAAAATCAACAGGAATGTGCTTCAAATGACAAAGATTTTATACATTTTTATATGTAAAAAGTAAAGACTAGATAAAATTAACATGTAGTAAGATGAAATTGAATTCTGAAGTTGAACTGTATTCTTTGCAAGCCATTACAAAGTCTATTAAATATCTATAGATTACTCACCAGGAAAACGCAAATCAAACCCACAATCGGATACCATTCGCACCCACTAGATGGCTATAATAAAAAAGAGGGACAATAGCAAATATTGGTGAGGATGTGAATAAATCAGAACCTTGATATGCCACTGGTGGGAATGTAAAATGGTGCAACCATTTTGGAAACAGCATGGCAGTTTCTGAAAATGTTAAACATAGCCAGGCACAGTGGTTCACGCCTGTAATCCCAGCACTTTGGGTGGCCAAGGCAGGCGGGTTGCTTGAGTTTAGGGGTTTGAGACCAGCCTGGGCAACATGGCAAAACCCTGTCTCCACAAACAATACAAAAATTAGCTGGGCGTGGTGGAGCATGCCTGTAGTCCCAGCTACTCAGGAGGCTGAAGTGGGAAGATCACCTGTGCCTGGGAGGTTGAAGCTGCAGTGAGCCGTGATGGTGCCACTGCACTCCTGCCTGGATGACAGAGCGAGACTTTGTCTCAAAAAAGAAAAATGTTAAACATAAAGTTACCATATAACTCAACAATTCTACTCCTATGAATATACCCAAGAAAAATGAAAACATGGTCACACAAAAATTTGTACATCAATATTCATAGCAGCATTATTCCAAATAGCCAATAGTGGAATTAACCCAATGTCCATCAGTTGATGAATTGGTAAACAAAATGTGGTAGATCCATACAGTGGAATCATTCTGCCACAAAAAGAAATGAAGTACTAATACATGCTACAGCATGGATGAACTTTGAAAAAAACGATGCTAAGTGAAATAAGCAGACACAAAGGCTATATATTGTATGATCACATTTAAATAAAGTGTCCAGGATAGGAAAATCCATATACAAAAAGTAGATTAGTGATTACCAAGAGGTATGAGAGGGAAGAATGGAGAGTGACTGCTCATGGGTATGGAGTTTCCTTTATGAGTGATAAAATGCTTTGGTATTAGATAGTGATGATAGTTGCACAAATCTGTGAATATACCAAAATTTACTGAATTGTGTACTTAAAAAAGTAATTTTTATAGTATGTGTATCAGACCTCAAAAAAGTTATTAATAAAATCTATAGAGTTATGATACTTTTAAAAAATTTAAAAATAGGGCATTTGTGGTACTAATCATATTTATAATTCTTGCAAAATAAGTTATTGTCTGATTTCCAGGTACTAATAGTCAAATGGTTTTTGATTGGTAATTAAAATATATATATATAAAAGTGGCTGGGCGCAGTGGCTTACACGTGTAATCCCAACACTTTGGGAGGCTGAGGCTGGTGGATCACAAGGTCAGGAGTTCGAGACCAGCCTGGCCAACACGGTGAAAACCCGTTTCTACTAAAAATACAAAAAATTAGCCGGGTGTGGTGGTGGACGCCTGTAATCCTGGCTACTCGGGAGTCTGAGGCAGGAGAATCACTTGAAACTGGAAGGCAGAGGTTGCAGTGGGCCGAGATCGGGCCACTGCACTCCAGCCTGGGCAAAAGAGTGAAACTCTCTCTCTCAAAAAAAAAAAAAAGTGAATGCCACTTATGTAATTGTCTATGAACTAAAATGATTTCCTGGTTTCCTAGGCTAGTGCGGATCTGGGAAGAACGAGTAAGCTTAACCAAGCTAAGAGAAAAGGTCACCAGGGAAGATGGAAGAGTCATTTTGAAGATAGAAAAAGAGGAATGGAAGGTAAGCTTTTATAGAATATTTGATTTTCCACATTTTGCATTTTGTGAGTCAGTTGAGAGAATGATTCTGAGACTGTGTAATTAAGACTAGAATAGTTAGAAACTAATTTTAATAATACACCAAATGAATTTGAGCAACATGTGCAACTGAAAAGAAACACAACTTCACAATTATTTTGCAAAAGTTCAGTTTGCTTCAACCCTGCCTAAACCTAAATCATTTGTGATATTTCTCCTATTAATCCTTCTTATAGCAACCTCTCATTTCCCATAAAAAAGATAACCATCTGCCTAATAAAAATAATATTGCTTTTCCAAAGAAATGCTCAGTTAAAACTTTATGGAATGGAAATATTAGTATTTTCAGTGGGTCTACCACCTAACTCATATTCTTTCTTCCCCTTACACACAAACTCACAGTTGGTTAATTATATTAGGCATACTCTAATTTTTACAAGAGCTTCTAACCCTTGGGTCAGTGTTTGTTTTTATGTTTTATGTCAGTGTTTGTCAGAGTTAGCTCCTTTATATTCTCTACTGGCTATTTTAGGCTGAAAGGGAAAAGGCACAGAGTTCAGAATAGTTGAAACTCTTAAAATTCTCAAATTAAAAAATAAATTTTTAAAAATATTCGTGTATTTCAAAACAGAAGTGGAAAAGCAGTTTGAATTATTGATTGAAATTATTTTTTTGGATTGTCTCATTTTCAATAACATATATGTACTTTAGGAAAGCCTAATACTGCATAACAGAATCATCAGGACATACTGGATGTGTGTACATTATTGATCAAAATATTTTTGTTTATTCTATCATGATTGGGGTTTGAAGGTTTAGCCAAAAAAAAAAAAAAAAAAAAAGGAAAAGAAAAAAAAAAGGAAAGATCTTAAAATCCGGAAGTCACACAAAGCACTTGGAAAAGTAACCCACTAAGGAAAACAAATTCCAAATATTCCAAAGTGCTTGTATAAGTCAAATATCACATTTCAGGGTGGCGTGATACTAAAAAAATTTAAGTAATATACAACAACCATCATTTCTTTTACTGTAGACCCTCCCTTCTTCTCTGCTGAAACTGAATCAACTACAGGAATGGCAACTTCATAGAACTGGTTTGCTGAAAATTCCTGAATTCATTGGAAGATTCCAGAACCTCATTGTGTTAGATTTATCTCGAAACACAATTTCAGAGATACCACCAGGGATTGGTAAGAAAGATTACTTTTATTCCTGTGCTATTTTATCCACCTGCAGATGTGCTTTTTATTAAGATTTTTTTGGATACATGGAATAAAGACCTCTTTATACAGCCCTCAACCTTGAGAATTTTAAACATTTAATCTAAATTGAAGCTTCTAGGGGATTCAAGTTTGTGGATTTACTGAGGTGATTCAAGATGAGATTTCAATGAAAGAAAAGCCTCTTTGGAAAATATCCTGTGATTCTCGGAACAATATTGTCGGCTCAGCTATTCCTCTTAGGAAACAACAGGTTGAAGGCAATAAAGCAAAACAAGAAGATTCTTCAAATGGGAAAAAAAAATCCAAATAGAAAATTGCTGAGGATTTTGTGTAGACAAAATGAAAATAGTTTTCGATTTTTTTTTTTTTCCTATTGCACGGATAAACTTGTCCCTTGTTTGAAGAAGGGACAGGACACAGACTGGGAAAAGGAAAGACACTAAGAACTCCGAATTTGCCAATACAAAATTGGCAAGTAAGTTATGCTGTAGGCCGGGCGCGGTGGCTCACGCCTGTAATCCCAGCACTTTAGGAGGCCGAGGCAGGCGGATCACGAGGTCAGGAAATCGCGACCATCCTGGCTAACACGGTGAAACCCCGTCTCTACTAAAAATACAAAAAATTACCTGGGCGCGGTGGCGGGCGCCTGTAGTCCCAGCTACCGGGAGGCTGAGGCAGGAAAATGGCGTGAACCCGGGAGGCGGAGCTTGCAGTGAGCCGAGATAGCGCCACTGCACTCCAGCCTGGGCGACAGAGCAAGACTCCGTCTCAAAAAAAAAAAGTTATGCTGTAATACCTTAATAACTATAAAGATTATTTTATATCCAACTCCTCTCTATTGTATATTATTTTTTATAGGACTGCTTACTAGACTTCAGGAACTGATTCTCAGCTACAACAAAATCAAGACTGTCCCCAAGGAACTAAGTAATTGTGCCAGCTTGGAGAAACTAGAACTGGCTGTTAACAGAGATATATGTGATCTTCCACAAGAGGTTAGAAAGACATAAATGCCTATGATTGTATTTTCCATCTGCAGTAGTTGACCACTCAATGTGTGGTTGTTAACAATAATAAAACTAATGAGAAAATTCTATGTATTTCAGAAAAAATATTTAGAGAAAACCATTTCCTTAAGTATAATGCAGGTTTTAACTGGAGAAAGATTTAGTGTAAAAGATACTTCTATTATTATCACAGTACTGACATCATTTGTTAAACTGTGATCTCCTTGAAGGCCAGGGTGAGAGTTGTATTATAGTCTCAGAATTGAGGGCAGAGCCTAGGTTGTAGTGATTACTTAAATGCTTTTTGAATTAATAAATGGTTATCATAAAGCACAGACAATGTAGTGATAGCAATGGGACTGGAATGCCTCCAAACTTTGATTTGGTATGATGTCTTGTTATTGGTCAAACCAAATTGATCATATAAAAATAAAGACATTTGTATTACTTTTTGAAAATATTTAATGCTCTTAGAATCAGTGAAGAAGTTTCCATGGTGCTTTGGCTTTGAAAACAATGACTTTACAAGATAAAAGTTAAGAAAAATAATAAAATAGGCTATTCCCTTCTCCCACTTTATCTTAATTAGTGTATCAGACTTTTCTTCCAAACAAGCAAACTTGTCACCAACAATTGTCGCTCTTGCAAATAAAACACAGTATATACATATACATTATATCTTCTAATAGTTCAATTTAATGAAATGTATACCCTTGTGTATTAGTCTGTTCTGACACTGCTGATAAAGACATACTCAAGACTGGGTAACTAATAAAGAAAAAGAGGTTTAATGGACTCAGTTTCACGTGGCTGGGGAGACCTCACAATCATGGCAGAAGGCAAAAGGCACGTCTTACATGGTGGGAAGAGAGAATGAGAACCAAGTGCAAAGGGAAACCCCTTATAAAACCATCAGATCTCATGAGGCTTATTCACTACCATGAGAACAGTAAGGGGGAAACCATCGCCATGATTCAATTGCCTCCCACCAGGTCCCTCCCACAACACATGGGAATTATGGGAGGTACAATTCAAGATGAAATTTGGGTGGGGACACAGCCAAACCATATCACTTTGCATACAATAAAAATGATAATCATATGGATAATTTCTTACACATACAAGAGGGCCAATAAATATTTTATTTCTAACTCATGTGTTTTTGTTTCTGGGTTGGCTCCATCATTATAAAAGCTATGTGATTTTGTACAGTCTATTAACCAGTCTTTTTTTTTGAGACAGAGTCTCACCTTTTGCCTAGGTTGGAGTACAGTGGTGTGATTCTGGCTCACTGCAGCCTCAACCTCCTGGGCCCAAGCAATTCTCCCACTTCAGCCTCCTAAGTAGCTGGGACTACAGTCGTGTGCCACCATGCCCAGCTAATTTTTAAAGTATTTTGTAGAGACAGGGTCTCACTATGTTGCCCAGGCTGGTCTCAAACTCCTGGACTGAAGTGATCCTCCTAACTACCAAATTGCCTAGCAAAATGCTAGGATTATAGGCATGAGCTACCCCTTTCCTCCACCACTATTATTTGGAAGTTAAATGTTGAGTTTTCCCATACAATTCTCAACTACTGGATCAAAGGAAAACATGATAATGGGTGCTTACTCTCAGGGAAAAAAAGGTTTTGCCAGGCACATTCTATAAACCCTGAAACCAGGTTATTATGAAAGATAAATTTTCTTCAAATAGATGAACTTTCTATGAGAGTTTTCCACTTCCCTGGAGGTCATTTAGCTTTATATTTATTTTTAATTTGTTGCGGACTAATATGACTAAATAAAGCCCAAGTAAAATGTGAATATTCCTGGATGTGAAATATCTCCTTTACCAATGTGAGTCTTTTAGTAGTTTACATTGTGGACATTTATTTTGAAAAACCTTGCTTTCTTCTTCAGCTCAGCAATCTGCTAAAACTTACTCACCTTGATCTGAGTATGAACGATTTTACTACAATCCCTCTTGCTGTGTTGAACATGCCTGCCCTTGAGTGGCTGGACATGGGAAGCAACAAACTTGAACAACTTCCTGATACTATAGAAAGGTAAAAGAAATAACTCTTTATGCTAATGATAAAAGTCTTGAAACCTCTTATGAAAAATAACCAAGCAAGACAAATGGGATCTCAAGCATAATCAATCACAATAGGTCCAACTAGTTTGAAATACACTGTTTTAACAGAATATTTTCATTTGTTCCAAGTAAGTAAAAGGGTTTGGGAAGAAGAAAAAACTGGCTTTTTTCAAGTGATCCACCTACCTCAGCCTCCCAGAGTTCTGGGATTACATGCCTGAGCCACCACACCTGGCCAAAAGTGGCTGACTTTGAGAAATTAACAAGAATATGCCACAATAACCACCTTGCTTAGCATATGCCAAGCACTTCTATGCACTTTACAAGTGGATGAAGAAACTAATGACAGAGATGTTAGCTAACTCGCTCAAGTTAGTAAGTGGGCAAGCTAGGATTTGAACCTAGGCAGCCTGGCCCCAGAGTTCATGATGTTACGCATTATGCATACTGCTTTGCTATAAATGGGCATATTCATCATTTTATTGTTCTCTTAAGACTCTGTCTCAGATTAGGTAACATTTACAGTAGTTCTTCTTCAAGAAATCCTATGAGAATAGTGAAAGAATTCTAGAATATGTTGATTTGATTTCATTTCTATTGCCATATGACATGAGAGTTGTACTGTAGAGATAAACTTCCTGATGTGGTTTCTCTAATAACCAGGTAATGTGATGTCAGTTAACTCAATAAGTATACTGGTTAAAGATGTTGTAAAAGACATTTGATTTTTAACATAAGAACCAAAGGCTGGGTGCAGTGGCTCACGCCTGTAATCCCAGCACTTTAGGAGGCTGAGGGGGAGAATAGCCTGAGCTCAGGAGTTTGAGACCATCCTGGACAACATGATAAGACCCCTACCTCTTAAAATTATTTGTTAAAACTCCAAAACCAATATTTTCATATTATATGTAATTAATTGTAGAAACCTTAATTTTTCAGAATGCAAAATCTACATACGTTATGGCTGCAACGAAATGAAATAACATGCTTGCCTCAAACAATCAGCAATATGAAAAATCTGGGTACTCTTGTTCTCAGCAACAATAAACTGCAAGATATTCCAGTATGCATGGAAGAAATGGCAAATCTGAGGTAAAAAGTTGTAGGCACAAAACTGAAAAACCTTGCTTTCTTTCTGGCTACAGAAAAAAGTACTGTAGAGAGATTGTTATTAATAAATTTCAGTTGTTATTTATGTGAATGGATATCTTAAAAATCTTTTCCAATGTTGACATTCTATAATTTGATGAATAGGATTCATATAACACTGGTCTATTCAAGAAAGAATCCTTAAAACTAAAGCAGTTTGGGATTTATCAGCTTTAAGAAATGTCTTCCATTTTAGATGTTTATCAAAGGTCTTTTATGGGGAAGAAAGTAAATGTATGAAATAATAAATGTGTGACCTTTATGGGTAATGTTGGCTCTGAACAAACTTTTGAAAACTTGGTTGACAAAATTTTGAATCAACTGAAAAAAAGCATGACTTGAAATCTCTGAATGCCTTGGTTCTCAGTATTATCATTCTTCATTGAATTTGTTTCTTATTAAAATATGTAGTTTTTAAGACTTTTTTTCTCACAGTATTATGTAATTTTTTAGCATGGGTAGATGGGAGTGTCACTTGTATGTTACCATACAGCTGACAAGTATTTTTGTCTTTTCTTTATTATGTTTCATGCTATGTATGTACCATAACCAACCTATTGCCTATGAGAAACATGTAAGATAAAATATTTACAGCCATTGTTACAAGTTTATAGTGTATTTTTCTATCTTGTTTTATATGTATGTTACATAACATTCAAAAGGAATTTTTTTTCTTGAGAAAAGGATACAAATTGCAAAATCCACAATTTTGATAACTGAAAATTGCCAATTGTTTTGCAGTACTTTATTATATTGGGTGTCTTGTCTCTTTTGGGCTTCTAGTTAGCTAAATGAATGAATACATTAGACATTTTTGGGTTTTAGTTGGGATTTTACATAGCTTGCATTTTAATTCTTTGGTTCTTCGCTGTTTGTATTAACCCATAGCATTATTTTAATAAATGTTATAATACCAACCTAAAAAAAAAAAGAAATGTCCTCTGTTGATGACATTTTCATGAAAATTATACAGCTAAAAAAACTTCACTCACAACATAAAAATCAAAAGCATAAAAGTGTTTATTTCCTAAATAAGCACAAAGGGAAACAATTATGTTATTGATAGCAGATATATTAGTCGGGAGTGGTGGTGCATGCCTATAACAGCTACTTGGGAGGCTGAGGCTGGAGGATCGCTTGAGCCCAGGAGTTCGAGGTTGCAGTGAGCCAAGATTGCGCCACTGTACTCCAGCTTGGGAAACAGAGACTATTTCTTAAAAACAAAACAAAAACAAACAAACAAAAAGCCACTAGATATAACTTTTTACTAAGTACTATCAAAACTCTGTCAAGCATTTTTTCTTTTTAAAAATTATTTTAGATTATTTTAGGTTGCTTGTATGTCTTCTTTTGGGAAATGTCTGTTCATGTCCTTTGCCCGCTTGTGGGGTTGGTTTTTTTCTTGTTGAGTTCTTTGTAGATTCTGGATATTAGTTCTTTGTCAGATGTATAATTTACATATATTTTCTCCCATTCTATAGGTTGTCTATTAACTGTTGATTATTACTTTTACTGTGCAGAAGTTTTTCTAATTAAATCTCATTTGTCTATTTTTGGTTTTGTTATGTTTGCTTTTGAGGTCTTCATCATAAATTCTTTGCCTAGGCCAATGTCCAGAAGAGTTTTTCCTAGGATTTCTTCTAGGATTTTTACTGTTTCAGATGTGACATTTAAGTTTTAACCCATCTTGAACGCTCCCTCAAGTATTTTTCTTCCAAAGCTTAATCTTCTGACAAATGAGAATAAGAGAATACCCACTAAAACCCAAAACTTCGATAACAAAATAATTCATTTATTCACTTGTTCAGCAACTACCTGCCTTGTACTGGGTGGTGAAGACACAATGATAAGTAAGATGGAGGTATATAAATTATGCAGAAACTAAGTTCATAGCACTAATTTTATATTTAAGATATGTTAAAATTGCTCTTAGAAGTTAAGCTGTATTGCATTAAATATATGCTGTAGGCCAGATGTGGTGGCTCACACCTGTAATCCCAGTACTTTAGGAGGCTGAGGCAGGCAGATCACTTGAGGCCAGGAGTTTGAGACCAGCCTGGCCAATATGGCAAAACCCTGTCTCTACTAAAAATGCAAAAATTGGCCGGGCGTCATGGTGTGCACCTCTAGTCCCAGCTACTTGGGAGGCTGAAGCACAAGAATCACTTGAACCCGGGAGGTGGAGGGTGCCATGAGTCCAGATCATGCCACTACACTCCAGCCTGTGCAACTAGACTAACAGTTGCTTTTATAAGCTTTGAAAGTAAGTTGTCTAAAGCTAGTGTTTTTTTTTCTCTTAGGAAAAAAACATAAGATTCTTGAGATATATCACATCTCACCAAGTCGTTCAGTTATTGAAACCAGTTAAAAACGAGTAATTTAGTATATTATCATTTGACCTTTCTCCAGGGAAATAAATGTACACTTCCATGACACCTATAAAAATACTGTTTTTTGATGAACTTCTAGGTTTGTCAACTTCAGAGACAACCCACTGAAATTGAAAGTATCACTTCCTCCCAGTGAAGGCACAGATGAAGAAGAGGAACGGGAATTATTTGGCCTTCAGTTTATGCACACATACATACAAGAGTCACGGAGAAGAGCAGGTATAAGATTTGTATATAACACAGATTAAATGTTTTTTGGTAGAGTAATGTGTGTATCACTAACTGCTGCCTTTTGATTAATTCCTTTATATATTTCTCATTCCATCTTAAGTTTTCTGTCAAATTCTGTTCTCTTAGTCAATATTGTGGGAAGAAAAAAAGTGAAATAGAGAGAGAGGTTTTAAAGATATTCAAAGTCTTTCAAGTGGGGGAAGGAAATAAATCCTTTGGCTAAGCATCTGAAGTAAAACCAAGTGAGTGAAGACATGATTCTTAAAGCTTTGCTACCTCATTCTACCAGCTTGCCACACATAGCAGTTTGACCATGAACTGACCTTCCCTGTCATTCCATAAATAGAAAAAAAAATTTACCTAGGGATGAAAAATATTGAGAACACAGTTTTTTGTTTGTTTGTTTGTTTGTTTGTTTTAAAGAGATGAGGTCTTACTATGTTGCCCAGGCTGGAGTGCAGTGGCTATTCAAAGGCACAATCATAGCTCACTGTAGCCTTGAACTCCTGGGCTCAAGAGATCATCCGACCTCAGCCTCTGAAGTAACTGGGGCTATCAGTGCATGCCACCACGTCTGGCTGAGAACACAGATTTTAATGAACAAAGTGTGAGGTTTTGATATAGAGATTTCAATCACTTAGTCTCTGATAATTAATTGAGGGCCTTTAAGCTAAACCAAGATCAGGGGAAGAGGACAAAGTGCACAATTATTTGTTAATAAAAACAATGAAACAATAGTAACAGAAATCATAGTCTTATAATTTTAAAATGTTAAGAATTTTTAACTTAAAAGGTAGATTTTAGTTCAACTTAATGCAACAACTAGTTTGAAAAATGAATATAACTGAGAAGACAATGACAGAGTTTTTCAGCTAAAGGAAATAATTTTTACTAACATTCAGTGGAGGATGTTTAGGAAATGGTGATTAGATTTATTGCAGCAAGGTCATAGAAGCAATGACATGGAGACAGATTGGGGGAAGACAGGCAAAAAAGTCATAATTGTGACCTAGTTTTGGAAAGCAGAGAATATATAAAGACAATTAGGAGACAGAATTGGTAATTGAATGAAGATGAGAAAAGGGAGTTTACAATGAATGTTTTTGGTTTAGAGGGCAACTGGATAGATGGTGGTGCTAAGATGGAGAATGAAGTACAGAAGATGGGTTGGCGAATAGAATCAGGTGGTAGAGGCAGAAGATGATTTCTAATTTTGGCAGTCTTTTTTTTTTTTTTTTTTTTTTTTGAGGAGTTTCTCTCTGGTTGCCCAGGCTAGAGTGCAATGGTGCAATCTCGGCTCACTTGGCAAATTTCGCCTCCCAGGTTCAAGTGATTCTCCTGCCTCAGCCTCCTGAGTAGCTTACAGGCATGCACCACCACGCCACGCCCCACTAATTTCGTATTTTTAGTAGAGACAGGGTTTCACCATATTGGTCAGGCTGGTCTCGAACTCCTGACCTCAGGTGATTCACCTGCCTTGGCCTCCCAAAGTGCTGGGATTACAGGTGTAAGCCACCACACCTGGCCCTTAGCAGTAAATTTGATGCACCTGTGGAACATGCAAGTTGTGGTAATTGTGCAGGTGAATCTGAAGTTCAAGAAGAGGTTTGTTGAATCTGAAAATTCTGCAGGACAAGAAATAGCTGTATGCATATCCCACAGTCACTTTCTCATGATATGTGAAGACAAATTAACAGTTAGGAAAACAATAATCCTGACCTAAGGCTGGCATGTTGAAGGACAAACTTATCTTCCTTTAAGGTACTTGATACCATTGTCAGAAACATACCATTAAGCTAAATGGGCCACAGAACTGTTTCTGTATGATAATTCTTGGGTGTGTATGTATATTTTATCAAACATAAATGAGATTATGCCTGTTGTAGAATATTGTTTATTTCTGGGCATAAATTGTTGAATGATGCAAAACAAATTTTATGACACAAATTAGTATTGCTTGACACAATAAAAAAAGGTTAATTATTTAATGATATATCTTCATTTAGGTTCCCTTGATTGGGGACATGGGTAACTAACTTAAACAAACTACCTTACTTGACATAAAACTTATAACAAGGGAAAAAAGTTAACAACTTAAAGAGATAATAAAATCAAAGCCTATTATGTTATTAAAAAGATTCACGAGTTACTACCACTACTATTACTAGTTAATATTTATTGAATTACTCTGTGCTTGGAACTGTTCTATGCATTTTACTTGTGTTATCTCATTTGATGCTCACAACAACCTTGTGAGGTAGGTATTATTGTTATCATCATCATCCCCATTTTAAAAGGAGGAAATTGAGGCACAAAGAGATTAGGTAGCATGCCCAAGGTCGCACAACTGAAGATGGTAGGTTTGGAATTTGAACCGAGACAGTCTGACAAGATATATGAGACTAAAGTCAGGAATTTTAAATTGGTTAGGCTTCTTATTTACAAATCATATAATCATAGAACTACAGGATAAAAATAGTTATTTCAGAATATCATAATATCTAAAATTAGTAATTCTGAACCTTTGTCTTGGCAAATGTACCATCAATTAAGACAATTTTTACAAATAAAGGCAGAAACAAAATAGGGATAAGATGCAGAAGAGAATAACAGTCCTACCATATATTTGGTTTAGTATTTTCTTGTGCATAGAAACCAGTCATGAGTTAAATAAGGCCTAAATTTGAGAAGGTTTTTGGTTTCATTATCTAATTTCTATTTTATTCCAAATTATTTTCCCAAACAGAAGAGAACATACTTATTGTTTGTGCCTACATATATAAAAAATGACCTGATAAAAGATATGAGATAGCTAATCAACTTCAGAAATTATTTCAAATTTGTGAATTATGTTTGTAAGTATCTTTTTGGAAGTTCTAACTAGACAATTATCCAACAAAATAATTAAGTGAAATAATCTTTTTTCTTTGAAAACAGCTCTTCAGTTTTGTGTTTGTCATGGACAGATTCTGACAATATATACATGTATGGCTCTGGAAATTTGAAGGTGACTTCATTAATTAATTGTGTTTATTAATTGTGAATATCTCTGAATTGTCTGCATTTGAGAAAATCACAATTGTGCTTTCCAGATCTGTAGGGAAAAATGTCCACATATAAGTCAAATTCTCAGATTGGCCCTTGTTACAATCAATCACTACCTCTTGAACTTAAGAAATAAAAAATATTAAATAAAATCAAAGGAAGATAAATTTCCAAAATTAATACAAACAGAAATACGCTAATTATGTGTTGACATGTTATGTATGTTTCAGATCACCAAGTCAACGGTTCAACTACTTTACCAATCTCCATAAATACGGATGGATAATATAATTCAAGATGCCCTTCTAAAGAGGATTACTTTGGTGAATTCTCTAATGTTTGGATTTCTGAAGTAAAAAGAAAAGCTATTACCAAAGTTTAATGAGGCCACAGCATTTTTTAAAGTTCATATTATTTGCTATTTAAAGTATATATTTTTTTGATATAAAAATATAATTAAAAAATTTTTTTTGGTGGAAGACAGATGATGCTCAAATTTCTTTTCCATTAAGCAGTTGTTTCTGGTGATGAAGAATGATTTGGTAAAGCAGTTAACAAAACATTTTCCAAAGACACCAGAGGGTCTGTATAGTACTGCAAAGCAGGACTGAATCCCTTCTGCTGCAAATACTGGATTCGACCTTGGTCAATCAGCAATTTACAAAGATGCCCTATTTTCTTCTTTTCTTCAACACTAAGAAGCCTAAATTGAATAAACACACACAAAACATTGTTAAAATTTTGCAAAAGTTTATAAAAAATTATTTTTGTCACTATTTATTGAGAGACTGTTAACTAACCCATAATGTACTAAGTACTTTGTCCCATGCTTCCAAGACACATTATATTTATGACCACAATAAAAGATGTGTATATTTTAGCTTATTCTAAAATTAGATTATAAAATACATTTTCATGAATTGTTGATAATAGTCATCTAAAGTACAGTACAATATAATATTTCTCCTTTAGTATCATGCATTACAAAAGTAGTCTCTTACCCAGGCAAACAATCAGCGCCATCATCTGTGATTCTGTATCCTCCATCATCATGCTCTTCACTATCATCATTCTGATTATCTTGCCTCTTTGTGGTACTATTTGAGGTTTCCAAAGATGTTTTCCGCATCCCACAAGTTGCCCAACTACTCATTCGCTGGAAATAATGGAATTCCACTGCTCCAAGGCCTAGAGCCCTGAAATATTCTTTGCCCACATAATGTCTCCAATCACACCTGTGGTGACAACAGAGTGCAATAACAATGCCAGCCACAGGGTTCCACTTCTCTGGGACATTTTTTTCATTTCCTTCCTTGGCCAAAGTGTAAATTTCTTTTTCTGTTTTATCATTCTTTATGCGTTTGGCTAAAGGTTCTTCATTCCTTTCCTCAAAACTGGCAGCATAGGTTTCAACCAAACATCGTAATGCAAGATCTGCAAACACAATTATGTGGCCCCCCCAAACCACATCATCTTTAAAAATAAATACTTTTTACATTTATTAAGCAGTACTGTTTTTAAAAACTCAACAATAAAAACAGCAAAAACCTACTCAGCTTTATATTTGTAATAATACTATCATGAATTATCAACTTCATTCAAATTTGCTCTT
Source organism: Homo sapiens (assembly GCF_000001405.40). Lineage (NCBI taxonomy): Eukaryota > Metazoa > Chordata > Mammalia > Primates > Hominidae > Homo > Homo sapiens. Next base: position 100,147,715 of record NC_000001.11, on the reverse strand, counting down.
CTATCTTCTCAATTTCTTTAATGATTTATTCTGCATAAAGCCTACTTCCCAATAAAGCTATCTGAAGCTTAAGATCTACAATTTGAAGAACTTTTACCCAACTACCTGAATTGTCTCTCACTTTTCCTACCTTAGCTGAGGAAATGACTTGTATGGGAAAACTTTATTCACCTACACTTACATTCTAGTTTAAGAAAGGAAAAATGAAGGAAGGAAGGAAGGGAGGGAGGAAGGGCAGACAAATCTGTTTAGGTTGATGCTAGGTCAAGATGCTTGTCTTGAAGAGGCTCATAGCAAATAGTGATGAACTGAAGAGTTGAAAAGAGGGCGTCAGAACAGAATCTGGAAAGCAGGCCTCACTGAGTAGCCTTACTGTATTTATTCATTTATTTAACAAACATTTACTGAATGCCTTTCATGTGCAAAGCACTGAGGATACAATTATTAATATACACAAACTTAAGAGGCAGATGTACTCCACATTACAATGAAAATATTTTAGTATATTTTAAAACTAAATAAATGGATTTTTGATGACTATGGCTATTTCCCATCGAAAACTCCTACACTGTTGACAATACTGGAAAGACCCAAAATGTAGGACCCATATCTTCTTAATCATTAGATTGTCATGTTGTGTCTGTTCAATCAAAAACATATACATATTTTAAAATTTTATTACCCTAAGATATCACAAATGACTATTAAATGATCTGATATTTCACTAGTAAATTTAATTCAATATATGAATTTAAGTCAACAAACATTAGAAACCCATTATTTGCAGAAAGTGATAGCTAATCTATTATTTCATAAACTATTATTTTCTGACAAAATACATTTAGTCATTGTTTTATTCATATTTGACTTAAGTAAGTGATTTTCAGAAATGTGAATAACCAGATAAATTATTAAAAGAATTAAGTTATTTCAGGCCAGGCGCAGTAGCTCACGCCGGCTGAGGTGGGCAGATCACGAGGTCAGGAGATGGAGACCTTCCTGGCTAACACGGTGAAATCCCGTCTCTACTAAAAATACAAAAATTAGCCGGGCGTGGTGGCACGAGTCTGTAGTCCCAGCAATTCGGGAGGCTGAGGCAGGAGAATCGCTTGAAGCCGGGAGGCGGAGGTTGCAGTGAGCCGAGATTGCGCCACTGCACTCCAGTCTGGGCGACAGAGCGAGACTCCGTCTCGAAGAAAAAAAAAAAAGAATTAAGTTATTTCAGAATTAGAAGGAGCTTTAGCAATTTATCTCAATTCATCTTTTATAAAGAACTTAAAAGACAAAGCCACATATGCAGAAAGGGACAAGGAAACACAGCAAATTGGTAGCCAAGATTATTCATTCATTCAAATATTCACTGTGTTCCTGTTATATAGCAAGCATCGTACTAAGTATATACCATATACTCAAAAAATTCAGAGCATGGTGGAAGAATTAGATATATAAACAGATAATTAAAATACCACAAGGTAAAAATATGCAGAGGGTATTATGATAACACCAAGGAGGCATATCTTATTTAAGGGAGCTCCCTGAGAGTGGTGACAACTGAGGTGAAGGATGAGTAAAAATTGACCAGTTGTTTTGTTTGGGTGAGTAGGTGAATGGGGGTGAAATTCCAGATATAGTAGAAATAGTACAGTCTATGGAAAAGCACACAGGGTTTGATGTTGCTGAACAGCAAAGTAGGAGACAGGGAATGTAAAGAGAGGAAGGCTGAAGCCAGATTGAGACTAAAACGTTATGTCAAAGAGTTTGGACTATATCAGGAAGTACCGAAGAGTTTAAAGGGAAAGACACATTAGTTGTGTAGCAGATGGGTCTGAGATTGATTGACCGATTGAGATAGGGTCTTGCTCTGTCACCCAGGCTGCAGTGCAGTGGTGCTATCCCAGTTGACTGCAGACTCAGACTCTTAGGCTCAAGTGATCCTCCCACCTCAGCCTCCTGAATAGCTGGGACTACATGCACAAGCTATCGTGCCCAACAAATTTCTGTAGAGATGGGGTCTTCCTATGTGCCCAAGCTAATCCTGAACTCCTAGCCTCAAGCAATCATCTCACCTCAGCCTCCAGTGTTGGGTTTCCAGGCATAAGCCACTGTGCCTGGCCTGAATATTAGTATTTTAAGGACAGAAGTGGAAGGAGACTGTGAAATAAACAGAAGAATGGCATAGATGTAGGGGAAGAACCAGGAAATAAGAGTATCGCAAAAGAGAAGAAAATGGAATTTCAAAAAGGGTAAGCAACTGCAGCAGAGACAAAAGGAGGATTCAGATACAGTGAATCAAGGGAAAAAATTATGTGGAACATGAGAAATGGCCACTGTAGGTCAAAAGAGTGTACTCCCTCCTACCCCCGGGATGGAACTGGTTTACTTTAGAAGACTTTTATGAGGCTTAAATGAGATAAGGTATGCAAAAGTACAGTCATGCATTGCTTAACTATTGGTGTATGTTTTGGGAAATGCATTAGGCGATTTCATCATTGTAGGAACATCAGAGTGTACTACACAAACCTAGATGGTGTAGTGTAGCCTACTACACACCTAGGGTGTATGGCACAGCCTATTGCTCCTAAGCTACAAACCTGTACAGCATGTTACTGAATACTGTAGGCAACTGTAACACAATGGTATTTGTGTATCTAAATACAAAAAAGGTACAGTAAAAATATGGTATAATTTTATAGGACCACTGTCATATATGAGTCCATTGTTGACCAAATCATCGTTATGTTGTACATGACTATAGTCTTAAAAACTATGAAGGCCAACACAAATATATAGTACTCAATGCCATTTCCAGCCAATATGAATAATATCTATGGATGCTCCAAGTAATCCATATGGGTAGATGATGAAACTAGCAAAAGTTAGGAAGATGATGTAACAATAATTAACATTTATTGAGCACTATTATGTGCCAGACACTTTACATGCAACCCGGTAAATTATTAATATATTAGTATCTCTGTTTTATAGATGAGGTAACCAAAGCTCAGAAAGGTTAAGTAATTTGACAAGGTTACACAACAAAGCTGAAGGCTAGACTATCTGATTCTAAAGCACATGCTGTTTCCACTTTACCATGCTAGATCTGATGGATCAAAGTGCTAAGACAAGACATCTTAGATTTTTTTTTTTTGTCTAACATTTATTTTTTTCTTTTTCCCCAGAATCCTGAAACACAATAGTCTTTTAGTAGAAGAGGTTTCTGAGTTCTTTCTAAGCAACTACTCTAAAAAATCAGTAGCTTCTAGGTGGAATCATACAGTTTCCATAAATGGTCTTATTTTCCTTTTCTGGTTGAAATTTAACCCAAAGAACTTTAAGGTCTAATGTGATGCAGTATTTACATACAAAACTCTTAATTCATCCTGCAAAATGGCCAATATGAGCAGATAAATAGGAAAGCTATGCATCTAATAAAGCACAGGGCCAGTGCTCTATAAAGATTATTGAGTTGTAAACATAAGATATCTATTCAAAAGAGACCACTGAAATGGTTGGGGCCAGGTTAGGCCAAAACTTAATGCATTAATGTAAACATTATCAGTATGTTTACGTACCTGTTGCCATACCACACAGATGCTTTCCAATTCCTACCACAGGTAGTTTTTCTTCTCTTAGCACAGGAATCTTGTCTGAAATGGAAATGAGAATTAACTGTCTAGTGAAATAAAGTACATATTAATGTGGCCTTCCAAAAGAAAGAACTAATTAGAGTCTCTGAATTTTAGCCTGAAAGAGACTCAAACAAAAATTATCACTTTATGGAACCCAACATATAACATAAGAACTTGTTTAGGGTTCATAACATCAGAAAGTTAATATATTCAGCTAAATAATTTTAAATACATTGATTTCTATACAAATGCTGGGTTGCTTTTCATGGCTGGATTAAAATTGGTGAATGGAAGAGGTTGCAAAGATATGTTTGCATTATTTTCTTTGGATAATCTGAAAAATAGAAAAGGTATAAAAAGGGCACTACAGAGGTTGATTGAGGAGTTTGTGTGTGTATGTGTCTGTGTGTGTTTTGTGTATGGAATATGAATCCCACAGTGATGACTTCTTTTGTACAATTTAAAATTCTAGGAAGTATCTTTTACACATTAGCTAGGCAGAGAAATATCTCATTTTCTTTCATGGTTTAGGTAAAGTCACGTTAACTGCAGGCAGAAGGCTAGTTTATAGTTTGAACAGACTCAAAATTAATTTAAACAGGACAAAGAAACAACAGAAGTACATATTATAAAACTTTTAAACTCTTCCCTAATATAACACTTCATTTCCACTTGATACTGAAAATTTTTAAAATTCTCAACCTTAATTCAATTTACATCTATTTAAAAACATTATATAAAACATTCTATATTAACAATGAATTGATTTGACTGTTTTCCCTGAAGCACAGTTCTGCATGATTGGATTTCTAAGCAACCTCAGAGTTTAAAACAGTTATGATTTATTTGTAGACCAATGGAAAGTTACACAACTTACTCAAACACAAGTGTTGAATATCAATTTGAAGTCTTTCAAACACTGAATTTTTCTTTCTGTGTTTTCCATCCACCTGCACAAACAGAACATTATTGTAATAATCACTTCTTACATTTAAAAAAGCTTTATGAAAATAAAAAGATTTTTATTGGTTTTCAAAATTCAGAGCAACAGAACATATTTAAAAATTAAGATTGTACATTCTTTGATGAGAACTTCAAAATATCACACTTTTTAAAAAAGATTTGAAAATGTTTATCAATTATTACATAGACATTATTTCCTTTAACCCTAAAAATTCCCAATTCACTGACAAAGGAACTGAAGTTCACAGATCTTAAGTGATTTATCTAAGATTGTCTACTAGCTCCTTTATCTTTGTCACTCCTGGTGTACTATTTTTGGTTCGCTCCTCTTCTTGCTCTCCTGAAAGATCACAACCATTCTAATCTATACCTATGTGCCCACGACCGGCTGATCTACATTTGTGGCTCAGGCCTCTCCAATGGGCATCAGACACATACTCAATTGTGAACTAGAAAGCTCTACTTCACCAGCAAACTGGACACATTCAGAACTGAACTCATTATTTCTGTCTCCAAAACCATCCTTCCTCTTGTGCCTCCTTCATTCCTTATCTCAGGAAAGAACACCACTTAGTCACCTAAGCCATAAAAATCCTACCGAGAATTACTCCTTATCTCTCATATTCAATTACTAACAAATCACCAACTCTTGTGGCTTCCAACATCTTAATATTTCTCATACTCTTGCCCTCCTCTCCATCCCAATGCAATAGCTTTAGCTCTGGCCTCTTTCTTACTTGGATTGTTGGACAAAAATTATCTTTATTATTAATCTCTCTAAGTATCAGACTCTTCTAATATAGTTTTAATGGTGCTGCTAGGATAAACTTTGAAAAATTTCCTTCTACTTTACCAACTCTTACATATTATTTCAATCTCATCTCAACTGTCACTTCTGCAAAAACTTCTATGACCCACACTAGACTGAGGTTGGTGCTCTATCTTCATGCTCCCATAGGATTGGGTACTTACCACTATCAAAACACACTTAGCATACTGAACACAAATATTTATATGTCTACTCCACTAGACGTAAGCTTCCTCAAAGCCAAGAACTAAATCTTTTTTCTATTGTATCCCCACCAGACAGCAGCATAGTCAAACTCCTTCCTTAGCATAAAATATGAGACCTTCTATAGGCTAGCCATCCTCTCCAGTCCCATCATTGCTGAACTCTACTTTGCACCATGTACTCCCATTATACAGGAATGTTTCCATATTTTCCTGTTATTTCAGGTATTTGGTTACACTGTTCTTGCTTCCTAGAATGCTTCTCAAACTCTCTAACAAACACCAATTCACCTTTCAAGATTTAGTTCAAGCATCACCTTTTCTACATAGTCATTCTCCATCTCTTCCCTGCAATAGAACTTGTCACTCCCTTCTTTGAAACCATGCTGTACTCTGTGCAGACCTTTCTCGTATTTTAACACTTCACTACAATCATTTATGTATTTGCCTGGGTCTCTTTTCTAAATATAAGTAATAAAGTGGCTGGGCACAGTGGCTCACACTTGTAATTCCAGCACTTTGGAAGGGTAAGGTGGGAGGATGGCTTAAGCTCAGGAGTTCGACACCAGCCTGGGCGACAAAGTGAGACCCTGTCTCCACAAAAAATTTTAAAAAATTACCTGGGCATGGTGGCGTGGGACTATAGTCCCAGCTACTCATGAGGCTGAAATGGGAGGATTATATGAGCCCAGGAGGTCAAGGCTGCAGTGAGCCACGATCCTGCCACTGTACTTCAGCCTGGGTGGGGCCTGGCAGTATGCTCAAAAATTGTTTAATGAATGAAGGGCAAGTGGCAAAGATAGGAGTAGAGCCCAAGACTTTTAACTCCTAGCTTGAGCTTGGCTCTTTCTATATATTTTCCTGTCTCTGCAAATAATTTTAAGAATTCAGATCAATGGACTATCAAAACTTAGATTAAAAAATTCACCTTCAGTTTGAGTTATCAATACAATTAGAACTAATAAAAAGCTACAACAAACAGATAAAGAAAATTCCTTTCCTTTCTTTTAAGAAATGTTTCTATCACTTTTTTCCTGAATACAAAAAATGAAAACAAGTTTGGTTACTAACACAGAGCAATGGTTTCACTTACCTTGAATCTTGTGGTCACCTTTTCCACTAGGATGAAGTGAACTTTTTCAGCATCTTTTAAGGCAATATCAACCCAATGAGATAATTTTCCCTTTCCCGCTCCAAACTCAACAAAGCATCTTCTTGGACCAAGTAACTTTAAATTTTCAATGTTACCTAAAATAGAAGCCTGCAAACTTCACAAGATTATTTTATAAACTAGAGTAAACACATTTGGTTCAAATGGGAAAACAGCAAGGTAATTTCTGCATAAGGCAGTATGCTTACATTGATAATTTGTATTTGACTTAAAATTTTTCTCTCTTGCCTTTAAATATTTAATATACGGTACTCAGAATCACATCCATGCCCTCAATTTTTTGTATATGTTTCTATATATTTTTGAAATGGAAATATTTGGTACCCTCAAAGGTAAACAAAATAAAATCTTATTAATAATTACATTTAAAACAGTTTTAACAAATGAACAAAGGCCATGTTTAGTAGTTACTATAGCCTAAACATACCTGCTGTTTCAGGTGCTTGGTTGCAGAATCGCCATTTTTAGGGTCATTAAGTGCATCGTGTAATGCTGGATGGGACATAATATGATCTTTAAGTGTAGAATTCAAGCCTGTGCCAAATATAAGCACAACAGCTTAAGCAGCCAAACATGTAATTGTAGGATTCTGAACAATAGTAGTAACATATTTTAAACCAGAATGGTATCAACTCATATACCACCTAATTACTCTAAAATAATTGAACTTGCAACTTTAGGCAGTCTTACCTTCACTTGCTTTTCTCAATTTCTTAATTAACTTTTCCAACTGCTCTTCAGATAGAGAAGAAATTGGAACCTATATACAAAAATAAAACTAAATAATGTAGCCAAAAATTGCTTTAAAGTAGCATAACAGAGACTGAGTAGAGGTTTACCAACTGGGCAAATCCCATGACAGCTTAGGCTCTTCTCTCTATCAAGCCTTTTCCCTAAGCTGCCATCAGAATTGTCCAACTGCTAAATTTCTACTCCGTCTTTGCTGTGCTACTTTAATTTTCCTAACTTCCTCAAGGTCAAGAACAAGTCTAGGCTCAGAAGGGTTCAAGAATCAAAGGGGATTCAGGGCCATATTGTAGCTTCTTTTGTTATGGGGCATGAGCTGGTCTGGGTCTAGGAACTAACCATCACTAACAATATTAAGTCTACAGGAAAATGCATTCTAAATTAAAAACAGACTTGAGACAAAAATTAGAACATGCCTTATTCACATCATGAAGAGAGCTTATAAATATCTTTTAAAATTAAATATTAAGTCAATGTACTTACTAATTGTTCAGGTATTTCTGTTTCATCTCTTAAGCCTGCATTAATATCTTGAATATAGAAATCCTTAACAAAAACAAAACCATAAAAGAACTGTTAATAATGTGTAGCTCACAAAAATTAAACTAAAATACTGATTCTTCCCTTTATCCCCTGCTCTGTACCTGCCATCCTCCCTTCCTCCATTCATTTCTTCATGAAATCACTATTGAATATTTACTCTAGGCCCTAGTTTGCTTTAGGTATTGGGCACTCCACCACAGTAGATAACAAAAGTGACAAAAATATGTGTTCGTGGATCTTATATTCTAGTGAGGTGATTATCTGAATAAGCACTTACAGTTTAAAGAAATTCATTTGTAACACTTATTAAAAGTTCTACAGCCTAGACTGTTGACAGCATACACTGAGAACTGTAATAATTTTGTCTTATAGTGCTAAAGTAAAAACAGCAAAGTACTAACTACACAATGCTGCTTATCAGACATGCAGCATGACCAAAAACAGATAAGACAAAGATATTATAACAATAAGTCTGATTTCTTCTATTTTAAAATATTAATTAAAACTTGAAAATATAAATGTCCTGTCACACTATTTAAATTAACGTAATGAAGCCAGGCACAGTGGCTCAGGCCTGTAATCCTAGCACTTTGGGAGGCCAAGGCAGAAGGATCCCTTGAACCCAGGAATTTGAGACCAGCCTGGGCAATATAGGGAGACCCTGTCTCTAAAATAAACAAAGAAACAAACAAACACACATAATGAAATCTTTCTAGTCTGGCTTCAGAAATACAGATTCTAGGTAAGGATCTGCATTACCATTGTCCAACAGAACTTTCTGCAATGATGGAAATGTTCTACATCTGCTCTGGCCAATATGGCAGCCACTGAAATATGACTAGTGTGACTGAGAAACTAGATTTTTAATTTTATTTAGTTTTAATTCAAATTTAAATAGTCATATGTGGCTAGTGGCTGCCATACTGAACGGTGTGGATCTAGATGAATGAAAAAGTACTGTTTCTACAAATCCTGTTTCAAAAGTGAAAATAACTCTTGGGGACATTATGTTATGTGTAGTAAATGGACTTTTGTTACATGGAGGCAGAAAGGTAACATCCTGATTGTGTGTTGCTAGCTTTACCTATATGGACAGAATGTGTGTTGCTTGCAATGGAAACTGGTGATTGAGTGGAATGAGTGAAGACTGCAGGAATTACAATGTTTTACTGCAGGAATTACAATGTTTTACTGCAGGAATTACAATGTTTTACTGGATAACGGAAAAAAACTATAATAGAAAACTAGCTGTTAAGTATTAGAATTTGATGTACTCTTAGTTCAAAATGGTTGCCAAGAGTGCTCCAGGTAACTTACGTTGTAGATTAGATTTTTAAATGTGAAAACTATTTATACTGGAGAAATTTATAACCAACTAACTTTTATTTAGTATACAAAATTTAAAAAAATTGTTCACCAGTTTCCCAAAGTAAAGCAGAATAGTGATATGCCTTTACCTGGGTTCCAAGTGTCCTACTCTACATAGTGAACCAGATAAATACTGCTTTGCATTTCTTTCTTCGTCTCATCATTCCACCGCTTTTCTCCATTTCCTTGCCACTGTGTGTTGGTATGCAGTGAAACTCACCCAAGGGTTTCCATTTTTAATAAATTTATCTATCCTCTCAAACTTTTCTCTGAACACATATTGCACATGCTTGCTTTAACTGAAACCTGGAACTTAGGTAAGGAAGATATTTGCAAACAAAGCCAATGTTCTCTCTTTCTATTAAAGGGGCTAAGTCCTAAGTAGGTGGTGGTGGTGAGGGTCATCATTTTTCTTCTACACCATCTTAATGTAAAAATACTTTCTAAACTTATGCCATCTGGCCCAGTGGTTCTCAACTGGGAGGCATTTGGAAATGAATGGGAGTATTTTGTTGTCAAAGTAACTGAGCGGTGCTATTGCAAGACATCCTCCCATAAGTCTCGATTTTCTATGAGTCTTAGAAGCAAAGGCACTGATTATCTTTTTTCCCAGACTACCTTTTCAAGGGAGCTTGTATACCAAGCACCCTTGGAAGACAGAAATGGTGTCACCTCCTGGATCGCATGGCAGCCCTTATTGTACAGTGTAATAAATAAATGTCTACTTATGGAACAAAAGTCAGGCAGGTTTGCCTACTACCCAATTTAAAAATATTTGTATTTCCTGGCTGGATTTGGTGGCTCACGCCTATAATCCTAGCACTTTGGGAGGCTGAGGCAGGAGTACTGCTTGACACCAGCAGTTCGAGACCAGCCTGGGCAACACAGCGAGAACCCCGTCTCTATAAAAAAATAAAAAAATAAGCCAGGTGTGGTGTCGTTTGCCTACAGTCCCAGCTAGTCATGAGGCTGAGGTGAGAGGATTGCTTGAGTCCAGGAGTTCAAGGCTGCAGTGAGCTACGATCACGCCACTGCACTCCAGCCTGAGTGACAGAGTGAGACCCTATCTCTTTAAAAAAAAATTATATTTCCTGAGCTTGGGTTCCTCAGCTATGAAACAAGTACATTCCATGTGCAGCATCTACCAAGGCATTACATACCACATTTCACCATTCAATTTTACTGATCAAACACTTACAGGTTTTGGTTTCTCTCTTGAGTTACATTTTTTCAAATGCTTTGCTAGTTGATCTTCATATACTGTGCTAAATTTAAAGAGAAAATTATTTCAAATGAGACTTGTGCCAATTACTGTTTCCAGCACAAAAAAAAACCCGTATCTGATCCACACTTACTGTTTTGGATCTAAAGGACACAGGATTCTTTTCCGAGCATCTTCTTCCTAATAAATTAAGAGATACATTTATTTAAATAAAATATCAAGTTTATTGCTTACAGATACCAGATATAACTTCAGTGTCTCTGTAATCTCAAAACAAGGTAAGGAAACCTTACAAGGACATAATGAAAAGTTGGCAAAATCAGGTCCCAAGGGTTTAACAAAAACTCTCCAGTGTACTGGCTTAAATACATATGAACAAATACTGCTTTGGACAAACAAGGGTCTATAGCTTCAAACAGGGTATAGAGAAGGCCTACATATGGTGTCTGAAATCTAAGATAGCATCAACTATTATATGTATGACTATTTTATGCACAACCAAGAAAGAAAAAAATGCTGCCTATTTCATGTTAATTGACAAATAGTTGTATATATTTATCACATATTAGGTTTGTACAAAAGTAATTGTGATTTTTATGGCAATAAAAATAATATACACTATTATTTATGTATGGTTTTAATACAACATAATGTTTTCAAATATGTATACATTGTGGAATGGCTAAATCAAGCTAATTAACATGTATTGCCTCACATACTAATCATTTTTTGGAAAATGCTGCCCATTGACATATGGATTTTAAGATGTATCCTGATTTTAGAATGTTAAAATGTAAAAATAAAGTTTCTTAGAAACAATGGAACATGGCATTTTAACCATTTGGATGTGCCATATTTTACTGGCTTTGCAACTTTTTACTATCAGTTACATCCTACTCATTCCTAAGTTACATCACTTAATGACTGGGAATACATTCTGAGAAATATATCTTTAGGTGATTTTGTCATTGGGAGAACATCATACAGTATAGTAACACAAACCTAGATAGTATAGCCTACTGTACATCTAGCCTATATAGTATAGCCTATTGCTACTAGGCTGTAAACCTGTACAGCATGTTACCATACTAAATACTGTAGGCAATTGTAACACAATGTAAGTATTTGTGTATCTAAACATATCTAAACATAGAAAAGGTACAGTAAAAATACAGTATTATAACCTTATGGGACCACCATCATATATGCGGTCTGTTGTTGACTGAAATGTCATTATGTGGCACATGACTATATGAACTGGGAAAAAAGAAAGGAAAATTGATAATGTTGGCAATTCTACCCAATATTCCACATGAATCTGTATAAATAGGGGTCATATAACAGTTAAGAACACAGGCCAGCCAGACTGCCTAGGTATGATACCCAGCTCTACCTACCAGCTACGATCCCTATGACCTTAGTTAGGTAGGCTTACTGCCTCATCTGAAAGATGAGAACAAAAATATGTCTTACCTTCTAAGGTTTGAACACATTAAGTGAGCTAATAGTTAACAAAACAAAACTGCCTAGCCCAGTGCTGTACATAGAGTAAGTGGTGACTAAGTGTCTGCTATTATTATTCTTTTAAAAATTTATTTCTGTTCGAATGTGCCTCTCAGCATGTCCATGAAGCTATTCACACTGAATTTCATGGGAAAGCTAAGAAATTTTTTTTTTGAAAATACTATATATTCAATAGAAGAAAAAGAAAATACTGTATATAATTTCTTCCTTATTGCTGACTTTAAATCCTAACCTCCATGTAAAAGACTATTCTAACCCCCAGAGCCTAACTGTAGCATAGGAAAAAAAAAGCACATTTAAAATTTATTAGTTGAATTTAGAAACAGGAATTCTCAATCTTGGCACTATTGACGTTTTGGGCAGGTAATTCTTTTGAGGGGGTGAGTGCAGGGGGCTGTCCTGTGATTTGTAGGAGGTTTAGCAGCATTTCTGGTCTCTATCCATTAGATGTCAGTGATACTCCTCAGTTTGACAACCAAAATGTCTTCATTTTGCCAAGTGTTCACTGGAGGCAAAATCAGTCCCAGTCGAGAACCACTGGGTAAAAATGAGTGGTGTCATCACAGCTATATATGACACTTAGAAAAAAAGATGGAAACACAACATCCAGTTACATCATAAATTACAGATTCAGGAGGATAGCCACAATTTAAAACGAGATAGTAGTCAATAAAAGTGTTTCCACTTGATGTTTTGCGGTCTCTCTTCAAGTGTCTAATGACAATATGTCGTTCCTCTATAGGAATACTAATCAGCTTGTAAGGATTTATTCATATTCTACTATCATCACTATTTGTTTTCACCTTCCATATATCTGGATAAGGTGGAGTCTAAATCCTTCTCCTATCATAACTCTCATTCTTCAACAAGGGATGTTTGCCAGTCCCCTCAAAACCAGTCAATAGACTATGGGCATAATTCAGAGTTCCCACAACAAATCACGTCTCCCATATTCCAAAACAAGAATGTCCTTGTTTCAGTATGCTTCACTTTTGGTAAATGCCAGTCAAAACAAAATAGGAAGTAGACTACAACTATGATGGAGAGTGGCAGATGAAGGGGGTCAGGGGACTGATCTGCACTGGATATTGTCTAGAAGAATAAATTCCTTAAGAAATAAAATAATGCAAATAATACTGAACATTCAGAAGCATGAAATCTGATGCTGATCGCTTTGGTTTATTCTTTATAGTTCTGTGGAACTATAAGGACATGCTCTCTTCCTATGAGCATTTTGCTCCTCTGGTTTTTATTTTCCCATCTCATATATATCCTAAAGTAATATACATATATACAAATATAAAGTGTTTGATAGTACATTTATATGCATAATTATCAAACAAAATTGTATGCTTTGTTCTCAATTGTAAAAGGTCAATTCGTATATATTTAAAAATCTTTCCTTCCCATTCCAGCAAAGTTGCATTCTTAAAAACTGTAAGTCGAAAAAAATTTTTTTTTCTTTTTTGAGATTCAGTCTGGCTGTCACCCAGGCTGGAATGCAGTGGTGTGATCTTGGATTATTGCCACCTCCACCTCCTGGGTTCAAGCGATTCTCCTGCCTCAGCCTCCCGAGTAGCTGGGGTTACAGGCTCGCACCACCACGATTTTCTTAATTTTAGTAGCTCGCGCCACGGCTGATTTTCTTATTTTTAGTAGAGAGAGGGTTTCATCATGTTGGCCAGGCTGGTCTCGAGCTCCTGACCTCAAGTGATCCGCCCGCCTCGGCCTCCCAAAGTGCTGGGATTACAGGCGTGAGCCACCGCGCCGGGCCTCAAGTCTAAATTTTTAAAAGAAAGTTTCTTCCAACCGCATTCACGAGAAGTGCTTCTCTTTCATGAAATAACAATTAGAACACAACTAGTGAAACCTTTGGGACTTCAATCACTACTTTTTCTAAACTACCACTTTCCAGCAGGAAGACGGAGCGGTAGCTTGGGGTAAAAATTAAAACCTAGCATTACCATGAGTTAAGATCGAGATAAATAGATCAAAATAAATGGGTCACTGCTGGCGCTTTACTTAGAAAAATAAAAAATTTCTCATCACTAGAACTCATAATCGCTCCGCAAGGAGGGCAAAACTGGGTTTATTAAAGTGAAAGCTGGAGAATCCAGGGGACACAAGCAGAAAGCTGTCAAAGAGGGGAGGGGCCGGGTTCCAGCACCGACAGGACCAGGATACTTATTTCCGACTCTTGAGAGAGTAGGGCGATACCACACCTCCGCGGCTCCAGCGTGTTCACCACAAAATCTTTTCCCTGCGGCCACCACCATCCTGCAGAACCGTTTCTTCTTTTCCACATAGTAACCGCATCTACCCTCAGCTGGAAAACCAGGCGCGTGCGGCGACGTCGCGGAGGTCGCCATAATTCTAGGGCTCGCTTCCGGTGTCCAGCATCCGGCAACCAGAAGAAAAGTTAGAAGCTTCCTTCGGGTCTCCTTCCCTTAACAAACATGGCTGCCTCAGCCCCCGCGCCACACAGGTTAATACCCGGAACTACCACAACCGTCTTCCCTTTATCCTCCGCAGAACCGGAAGAATCCGATGGTGGCTGGCGAGGGCCAAGTCTCTTACGCCTTCCCCTCGTTTCTCCCTCCCCGCCTCCTCCGCAGAAGCCGAGCGCCAAACTCAAACTTTATCAGGACCCGGACCTCTCAGGCTAATCCCGAGGGCCGGGCCTGTTGGGCTTTTCTGCACACCAGCCGAGGCAGCGAGCCAACATGAGCCAAGTGCTGTTCCACCAACTAGTCCCGTTGCAGGTGAAATGCAAAGACTGTGAGGAGAGGTAAGGTCCGCGTCATCCAGTGCCCGCGGGTGGCGGTTGGGGTCAGGCCAATGGGGAAAGATGGCGGTTCTGGCCCGTGGGATCCACCTTGCACCTAGGTGTCGAGTCGGCCCCCCTAGGAAGCGGATAGGGAACCCAGAGGGCCCGGTGGTTACCTCTCTCACCAAGTCGGCCGTTGCAGAGGGGACTGGAGGAAGGGTGTGAGGAGTTAGGAAGCCGGCTCACATCAAGTTAATGTCAAAAACCCTACCTGTGCACGGAATCGTGAAGATTATAGCCCTACTCTTCCCTTTTGACAGATAAGAACTCTGGCCCAGAGAAGTTAAAAAAATTTACGTGAGGGCTCACAGCCAGTTCATGGCAGGGTCAGGACTAGAACTCAGGCCTTGGCTCCGAGCCTTTCCCCCTCGTTCTCTTTTGAAGTATGTTGGCAGTAAAGTTCAACTTTTAAAAACCTACCAATTTGGTGGCGTACTTTGGCTCTTCACATCAGTTGCTTTAAAAAAGTAAATTACATTTAACCGACTAAAAATGAGAAAAGCAGAAACGTCATTAATTCATTCAATAAATATTGCCTCCTTGTAAAACACCTTACTGGGCACTGGGAATACAGTGGTCAGGAAAAACAGTCCTTTTCTTCATGGAGTTTACAATCACTGGAGGAAATAAAGACCAGTCGCACAGAGAAGTGCAACTTTGATTAAGGAGGTGGTATTATTGGGGCGTAAATAGATTTGACCAGAGGTCAGGAGACTTACTTTTTTTTTCTCAGTTCTAACACTCAATGGTTGTCTCTTTTTTTCTCTGAACGTTCTTTCCTCATTTGTAAAACTGATATAACATGCGTATTCACGTGTTTGTAATGAGGATCAGGTGTGAAATCTTTTGCGTATTCACGTGTTTGTAATGAGGATCAGGTGTGAAATCGTATGTGAAAACTAAGTGGTGTACAAATGTAACATAAAAAATGAAGACATTGCCTTATTGAGTTGCCAGTAATGTCAAACTGTAGTATATATAGTTCAGAATTCGGTCAAAAATCAATGGCAAGCCGGTCAAGGAGATGGTCCCAAAACCAGCAGCTGCATATGGAGATCTGTAGGTTTAGTTGATCATTCTTTTAATGCTGTCCAGTATGGTAGCCACTAGCCACATGTGGTTATTAGACATTTGAAATGGGGCTTATCTGAATTGTTGTGCTTTACATATGAAAATGCACGTTGGATTTTTAAGACTTACTATGAAAAAAGAATGTAAAATATGTCAATTTTTATATTATGTGTTAAATGGCAATATTTTTGGGTATATTGGGTTAAATACAATGTATTATTAAAATTAATTTCACCTGCTTTTAAAAGTCTTTTTAAAATGTGACTTCTAGAAAATTTAAAAGTAGGCTAGGTATGGTGGCTCACACCCGTAGTCCCAGCACTTTAGGAGGCCAAGACAGGAGGATTGCTTGAGCCTAAGCTTGAGGTTACAGTGAGCTACTATTTGTGCCACTGTACTCCAGCCTGGGTGATAGAGCGAGATCCTGTCTCTGAAAAAAAAAAAAGAAAAAGAAAAAAATTAAAATTACATACCTGGCTCACATTTGTGGCTTACATTGTATCTCCATTGGACAACACTGTTTTAGAATGATTATAGAAAGATAAAGGAGGCCATGACTTTGGTTTCAATATGGAAACTCCTAGATGGTCTCTTTCTGGTTACATTGCCATCACAGTTAATCTAAAAACTCAATTTCTCTGCTTAGAAACCTTTAATATATTCCTATTATCTGTATAATAGGGGTCAGCAAACTGGAGCACATGGGCCAGTTGGCTCACTGTTTTCGTAAATAAACTTTTCTTGGAATACAGCCATGCTCATTTGTTTACATATTGTAGCTGCTTTTGCACAGGAAGGGCAGAGATGAGTAATTGTGACAGAGACCTTATGGCCCGCAAAGCCTAAAATATTTGCTATCTGGCCCTTTACAGAATAATTTGGTGATCCTTGACCTATAGGAAGAACAACCCAGACTCTCTCTCTTTCTCTCTCTCTTTTTTTTTTTTTTTCTAGACAGAGTCTCGCTCTGTTGCCCAGACTGGAGTATTGTAGCACGATTACAGCTCACTGCAGCCTTGACCTCCTGGGCCCAAGGGTTCCCCTCACCTTAGCCTCCTGAGTAGCTGCAATTACAGGCGCATACCACCACGCCTGGCTTTTTTTTGTTGTTAATTTAATTTAAAAGAGACGGGGTCTCCCTGTATTGCCCAGGCTGGTCTTGAACACCTGGGCTCAAGTGATCCTCTCACCCCAGCCTCCCAAAATTCGGGGATTATAGGCGTGAGCCACCACGCCCAGCCCAGACGCCTTGGTTGAGTATTTGAGGCCAGTTCAGCTCAACAAATACTGGCAAATGTCTGCTGTGTCTCAGGAACTGTCCTAAGTGTGGAGGATGTAAATACGCACCCCCCTCTCCGTCCCCAACAACAACAAAAGCCAACAAAAACCTCTTTTCATTCTGTCCCTCAAGGAACTCACATTTTAATAGGGGAAATAAGATTTTCCTTGAACAGGCACCATAGCACAGATTAGGAGTTCAGGCTCTGGAGCCAGATTGCCTGGGTTTAAGTCCCAGTTCTTCCACTTACTGACAGATCTTGTACAATTTCCTTCTCTGTGTCTCATCTTTAAGTTGATGGTAATAACAGTACCTACTTCATGGTATTATGAGAATGGAATGAATTATACATATGAACTGCTTACAACAGTGACTAGAGCATAATAAATGTTCACTAAATTTTAGGTATTAATGTGTGACAAATGCATAAAGTAATATAAGTACACTAAAGTCAGAGAAGAAGGAAATTCAGTTGAGGACAGTGGTAATGATCAGGGAACTTCATCTGGTGGAAAATTATGCAAAATTTTGGAACCCATGATTTGACACTAATCTGCCTTTTCAGTTTTGTTTCCTAAGCTTATCTCTCCAATATGAAAGTCATACAAGCATTCTTGTTACCTTCTGAATATACCTGATACTCATTCTATACTATTACCCCTGCTGTTCCTTGTGCCTCAAATGCTTTTTTCTTTCATAACTTTCAGGTATGTCTTAAATCCTTTCACTATAAGGACCCTTCAAAGTTGCCTAAGTTGAAATGAATTGCCATTATTCAGTTATTAGATAGTGTGGTGTAGGTGAAAGATCTGAGTTTTCATTTGGGCTCTGTAATGTGACCTTAAACCATTATTTGGGCCTTAAGTTCTTCTTTTGTAAAATAAATAATATTTACTTATCAAGATTATTGTTAAATAAGATGATATATGTAGAATACCTGGCAGGTACTCAGTAGTGTTGGTAACCCTTCCCTCCCCTCTCATGGAGCCCTAAAATGCAATCAGAAGCAAATCTAGCAAAAAGTCATTAATCTCATCTCAATTTGAGGACAGAGACCATGGTTTTTTTTGTTTTGTTTTGTTTGTGTCATCCTATGTTCAAAAATTATTATTTTTTTTTTTTTAGAGAGAGGCTGTCACTCTGTTGCCCAGGCTAGAGTGTTGTGTCATAATCATGGCTTACTGTAATCTCAAACTCTTGGTCTTAAGCTCTCCTGCTTCAGCTTCCAGAGTACATGAAACTACAGGCATGCACCACCATGCCTGGCTCATTTTATAAATTTTTTGTAGAGATAGGATTTTGCTATGTTGCCCATGCTGGTCTTGAACTCTTGGCCTCAGGTGATCCACCCACCTCAGCCTCCCAAAGTGCTGGGATTACAGATGTGAGCCACTGTGCCAAGCCCCTGGACCATGTTTATTTCTGTTTGTATCCCTAGCACCTGGCACAATACCTGGCTTAAAGTACCTTTTATTTGTTTGATTGATAGTTTAAGAGCACAGCTACTGGGTGTCAGAGATGGCCTAGAATCCAGTTGTGCTAAAGCAAGCCTGATGTTTAGAATACTTTTTATTTAGAAGAACTCATAACTAAATCTAATGTCATTAGTATTAGACATCTATTGAGTACGACATCTATTGAGATGAGAAATAACATTTTATTGAGTTTTTATTGTTTTATATTGCTCTTATGACATTAACCATTATAAGGGAAAAAATAAGATTTGTGATTTTAGTTAGCGTATCCTCTGAAAGCTTGTATTTTTCTACAGCATATTTCTAGGGATGTTTTTTAACTAAGCATGGGGAATTCGTTTAACTTACAGGCCTTCCGTTTTTTCTTTCAACATCTAATGTATATAGGCATTTGGAATATATGCAACAATATCATTAATATGATTGGTAAATTGTCATAGTAATATAACTCTTCCAGGATTATGTAAAGAACACTTTGATAAGTGAATTCTTCTTGTACTTTTTGCAAATATATGAAGTATGACAGGACTTTTAAAACCGTAAAACACCGTCTAGGTGCAGTGGCCCACGCCTGTACTGCTATCACTTTGGGAGGCTGAGGTGGGCAGATCACTTGAGGTCAGGAGTTTGAGACCAGTCTGGCCAACATGGTGAAACCCCATCTCTACTAAAAATACGAAAATTAGCCAGGTGTGGTGTTGTGCCCCTGTAAACTCAGCTACTCAGGAGACTGAGGCAGGAGAATCGTTTGAACCTGGGAGGCGGAGGTTGCAGTGAGCCAAGATCGCACCATTGCACTCCAGACTGGGTGACAGAGCGAAACTCTGTCTCAAAAATAAATAAATAAATAAATAATTAAAATAAAAATAAACTGTAAAGCACCATAAAAAGTTAAATACCAACTGCAGTATCATACCACTATGGCATTTATACTAGAGAAAACTTCAGAAGATGAAAACCAAACATAATGATGTAGAGCTAAAAAGGTTTTCACAAACCTTCTAGTTGAATCCACTTATCTTACAAGTTCGGAAACTGAGTCCCCCCCTCCCCCACCCCACCACGAAAGCTTAATCTTGCTGTGTTGCCCAGACTGGACTTGAACCCCTGGGCTCAAGCTATCCTCCTGCCTCAGCCTCTGAAGTAGCCAGCACTACAGGTGGGAGGCACTGTGCCCAGCTCAGGAAAGCTTAAATGGAATTGGAGTAACACTCTAATCTGTTTCACATATGTTGCTTTAGATACTAGAAAAATAGCAACAGTGTATTCTCTTGTTTTGAAAATAATTCTTCCTCTCTCTGGTGTAAACCAGTGCTTCTTGTTCCTTTTCAGAAAACAGATACAAGTTATGAGGTAACATTTAACCTTATTGTACAAACGGAGATTTAGCATCCAATCATATGTTCAACAAGAAACTTAACTAAAATGACACATTTTAAACCCATATAAAATTACAAGTCAGCATTAAAAAATCTAAACAATTGAATCTAGCCTTGATCAACTGTTTCCAAGTTTTCCTATCAGTACTCAATTGCTGTTTATACTTTTTACTTGTGTAGTAGATAAGCAATAGTGTGGAAAAGGTTTAAAAGAAGTCCTTAGAAGAAAAACTTAAAATTGAACAAATTCTATTTGTTAGTTTACTTTTTTCTACCTGCACATCAAAGAAAGGCCATTGTTATTTAATTCTGGCAGAATAGTTTGAGAAGTACTTGTGCATAGGTATTTTTTACTAATTTCTCCCTTTATTTTCTGAATTATATAAGCATTTGTGCTCTATTTGATTAATGTTTATGAGCACTTTCACCTATATACCTCTGTCCAATTCTGGATTCTCTAAGATACAGCATAGGATGTGGAACACTGTGGTCTCTCCCTCTCAGGGCTTAAAGTTACTTTACTCAAGGATAAAATAGGTGTAATAAACTTGTTGATAATACTTCTGTGGTTTTATTACATAAAGAATATATTAAGCAGATTTAATTCGTGGATGTGAAAATACGTTTTTGTATGAATAAATGTAGGGAATATGTTATTTCCTTGATTTTAAACATTCAAAGCATTCTAATATCGCTTCACATATTAAGTTTTTATTTTATTTTATTTTATTTTTTGAGACAGGGTCTCTGTTGCCCAGGCTGGTGTGCAGTGGTGCAGTATTGGCTCACTGCAGCCTCTGCCTACCAGGTTCCGCATTTCTCCAACCTCAGCCTCCCAAATAGCTGGGACTACAGGTGGGTGCCACCACGCCTGGCTTGTTTTTGTATTTTTTGTAGAGATGAGGTTTTGCCGTGTTAACAGGCTGGTCTCCAACTCTTGACCTCAAGTGATCTGCCTGCTTCAGCCACCCAAAGTGCCAGGATTACAGGTGTGAGCCACTGCGACGGGCCACATACTAAGTTTTTAAAATGCAATCAGTCTCTCATTAATCAGTTTGATTACATGACATGGTAATTTTTTAATGTGAAAAGTTGTTACTAAATTGGTGGTTTGTCTTTCTAGATGTTATTTTAGAATCAGGGCAGTAAGGGTATATGAGGTTCTTACCTCATTTAATCCTCAAAACATCCCCATTTTACAGTTGAAAAGTTACTAAATTGATGGTTTGTCTTTCAATAGATGTTACTTTACAATCAGGGCCGCAAAGTCATATATCAGGCTAGTGCTAGGCACTCCACAGTGTTTATTTCATTTAATCCTCACGATATCCCCATTTTACAGGTGAGAAAAATTTAGTTTTAGGTTAAACACTGCTAGATTACTCACTAGTGGAACAAGAAGAAATTAAGCTTCAAATCCGGTGTGCTTTTCAAACTTCTGTTCATAAGTTAGAGAACACCTGTGGAAAGTCTTGTCACTTAAGACTGAAAACTTAATACAAATGATAGTGATAACTCATTTCGTGTGAATGTTTCTGATGGTTGGGTATGTCTTTTCCTACAGGAGAGTAAGTATAAGAATGAGCATTGAACTACAATCAGTTTCTAATCCAGTTCACAGAAAGGTTGGTATTTAGTCCTTTTTTGAAATATCATTTCGGTACATTGTAGACAATTAGTTTTGTTCTTTAAGAATGTGACATCTTTTATTGCATTTATTTTGCTTTTACATTTTAGGCTATTTTGCAACTGTTGGAAATCAAGGGTGGTGGAATCTACTGAGACAACAACTGAAGGATAATTATACTATATATTTCTTTTTTTTTTTTTTTTTTTTGAGATGGAGTCTTGCTCTGTCACCAGGCTGGAGTGCAGTGGCACGATCTCGGCTCACTCACCTCCCGGGTTCAAACAATTCTCCTGCCTCAGCCTCCCAAGTAGCTGGGACTACAGGCATGCACCACCACGCCCAGCTAATTTTTGTATTTTTAGTAGAGACGGGGTTTCACCATGTTGGCCAGGATGGTCTCGATCTCTTGACCTTGTGATCTGCCCACCTCGGCCTCCCAAAGTGCTGAGATTACAGGCTTGAACCACTGTGCCCGGCCTATACCATATATTTCTAAAACATACGTGAAAAATTGTGGGGTGGGGTGACATTCTCCTTAGATTTGCCCAGTGCACTTAGAAGTTGCATATTATATATATATAATAACATATATATAAAAATATATTTTATTGCTGTTGGTCATACACACACACACACACACACACACACACACACTGCTGCCTTGTAGAATTGGCATTTCATGGTATAAATGTAAAAACAATAAACCGAAGTACTGCAGGGAGATATTTGTGAATCTTTTACTTTACGTTTTGAAGAGAGGCATTTAGAGTATCAGTCTCATATAACCTTCAAAAGTGTGAGTCATTAACAGAACTAAGGATATAGAATAGAGGAGGGGTCCCCAACCCCCTGGCCACTTACTGGTACGGTCTGTGGCCTGTTAGGAGCCAGGCTGCACAGCAGGAGGTGAGTGGCAGGCAGGGAAGCGAGTGTAACCTCCTACGATCCACCTCCTGTCAGATCAGTGGTGGCATTAGAGTCTCATAGGAGTGCAAACCCTATTGTGAACTGTACATGCAAGGGATCTCAGCTGTATGCTCCTTATGAGAATCTAATGGCTGATCTGAGGTGGAAGTTTCATCCTGAAACCATCCTTCACTCCCTAATTCTTGGAAAAATGTCTTCTACAAAACTGGTTTCTAGTGCCAAAAAGGTTGGGGGCCACTGGAACAGAGAACTAAGAAATACGGCATCTGTGCCAAGGGCAGTGCCTCACACCTGTAATCCCAGCACTTTGGGAGGCTGAAGTAGGCAGATTGCTTGAGCCAGGAGTTTGAAACCAGTGTAGGCAACATGGTGAAATCCCATCTCTACAAAAAAATACACAAATTAGCTGAATGTGGTGGCACACTCCTGTAGTTCCATCTACTTGAGAGGCTGAGGTGGAAGGATCACTTGAGACTGGGAGGTTGAGGCTGCAGTGAGCTGTGAGGGTGCCACTGCAACCTAGACTGGGCGACAGAGCGAGACCCCATGTCAAAAAACACTGAAATATAGCATCTGTTTTCTGTGTGCCATAGCTTTCCCTGAACACATTCAAGGACCTAGTAGTATTAATAGTACCTTTGGTTTTTTAAGTAGCATCCTGGGTGAATTTCAGGAAGTACTTAAATAGAAGCTGCTTAAGAACAAGGCATTCTGAGGCAGAGCAGGTGCCTAAATTACTAATTTTCCAGAGTAGAGATGATATATTATACTTCTTACATGTTATTCCTTATGCCTGCTGTACCTCTTCATTTTCTAGCTTGGTGCATAAGTGGTTTAGATTTTTCTAGGATCTTAGCATTTCCTCAGTAGACATGAGTAGAGATTTTATTTCAAATGAATTCTTAACCTTAATGCCCAGTTCTTTATTAGTTTTACATCATCTTGTAACTAATGCTGTTTTTCTTTCACCAGTGTTCTCTGGTACATAATTTTGGTGTACTTTTTGTGAGCTCTAGCTGTTATGATGGTCTCCCACACTATGTACACGTAGCTACCTGGAAAGTGATCTTTATGAAAGGTACTTACTTCATTTGAGACTGAAAACAGTTGGGCTTCCATATCAGTGGCCACCTGGCCTAGGAGAGAATAGGCTCTTTGGAAGAAGCCTGGCAACGTGTTACCTGATACCCTGGTCTTCTGAGAGACAGAAGCTCTTTTTTCTAGTGTGGATTATTGTCAGTTCTGCTGATATATTTGCCACTTTTGAAATGCCATACCAGTTAACTTTAAGGAAACTAAAAATAAAATTGAATGTGGTATGTTCAGTGGTAAAGAAAATTTTCATCATGTTATGGTGTAGCAAGGACTGGGTCTAAATTTCCCCAAGCCTCTGATAGGAGGATATTCCTAAACTTTCAACTCCTAGCACTTGCTTAACTTTTACAGACCTCCATGTGGCTTTTAAAGAGCGGAATGTCTACCCCTATTTAAGATTCTAACTCTCTAAAGACTAATAAAAAACCAGCAGCACTAGAAAACAAAGCTGTCTGCAATATAACTATGATACACTGATGTTGTTGGATTTCTTTACTTCTGAGAAGAAATTACTCAAAAGGCCAGATCTAGTAAAAACATTTAAAAACAACAAACTTTCTTTTAGGACTTAGTTATTCGTCTGACTGATGACACGGATCCATTTTTTTTATATAACCTTGTTATATCTGAGGAAGATTTTCAAAGGTAACTAAATTTTTTTCTGATCTTATATTTAGTGAAAAAATAAGTTTCTAAGTTTTATTGGTACTGTTCTCTTTCAAACACATACCTACATATTAGATTTAGTTACTTTGGGAATATTGGGCTATTTGTACTATCTTTACTTAGGGTGTTTTGGAAAATAAATATTTTGTGGGTTATTAGAATTCTGCTTAAAACACCTGTGAAGTTTGAAGCTTTTGCTGAATTTATTGATTTTTTTTCCCATTGAATACGTTCTATAAAAATCAGAGTTCCTTAGCTTAGTTCTTGATTATAACAAGCGTTAGTAAATTTGAAAAAAGAATCCTTCAGGATGCTAATTATAATTAAAGATAGTAATTGGCCAGGCACGGTGGCTCACGCCTGTAATCCCAGCACTTTGGGCGGCCGAAGAGGGCGGATCATGAGGTCAGAAGTTCGAGACTAGTCTGACCAACATGGTGAAACCCTGTCTTAACTAAAAATACAAAAATTAGCCAGGTATGGTGGCATGTGCCTGTAATCCCAGCTACTCAGGAGGCTGAGGAAGGAGAATCTCTTGAACCTGGGAGGCAGAGGTTGCAGTGAGCCAAGATTGCACCACTGCACTCCAGCCTGGGTGATGGAGTGAGCCTCTATCTCAAAAAAAAAAAAAAAAAAAAAGGCACCAAAACAAAACAAAGTTAATTAAAATTTTTAAAAAATTTCTTTTCCTTTCTTCTGTATAGTTTAAAATTCCAGCAAGGTCTTCTGGTAGACTTCTTAGCTTTCCCACAAAAATTTATAGATCTCCTTCAGCAATGTACTCAAGAACATGCCAAAGAAATTCCAAGGTAAGTTGCATGAGAATGCTACATTATTAAATTTAATTCAAGACAGACTCTTCTTTGAAACACAAGTTGATGGCAAAATCTTTTCCGTTTATTATGACTATCCCTGTTTATTTTTAGAACTGGGGTTAGGCCTCCATTAAATCTCAGACTTTAAGGCATCTTGATTAAAATCAGAAATATTTCTTAATTTTCATGTCTTGACAAAGGCACTAAAGTCATCCGAAATATTTAGCAGCATCAAATATTTGGTTTTATAATGATATTGGAAAAAGGGAAGACTAAGATTGTATGTGTGTATGGTGCTAACGCCTGATTCTTTTACTGTAAAGTTCACCATCAACCTTTTATTTATTGGTTTTATCAGTTGACGATTGTTGTTGAATCAGTTATTTCATTAGGAAGAACAAAATGATGCTTCTGTATAATTTTTTCTATATTAAGTATAATTCTTCTATAAAGAAGAACTTTTCCTCAGCAATTAGGGCTATTTGATTACTCAGAAAATTCATAAAGGATAAATGCTTAATTCTTGCATTTAAATTGTCAATTTTTAGAGTAAAGAGCTGGTAGTCTACTTTTGTGGCACTCAGTGAATTTTTGTTTCTAGTTTTTGCTTTTTCTCTCATTTGTTTCTCATGAACTCATGGACTTTTATGTAGTCACTGTGTTTCAGTCAATCTTTTCTTTTTTTTGCCCAATTTATCTTTTACCATTGGGAGTCCTCAATGTGCTCCCTTTCCTGAGCTTTCTTAAGTAGAGAAGCTTCTGATTCAGTGAGAGATTTTCACTATCTCTTAAGTGTGTTATAATGTAACATTTTCTTTTCAAAGGTTTTTGCTACAGTTAGTTTCTCCAGCAGCTATTTTGGATAACTCACCTGCATTTTTAAATGTGGTAGAGACAAATCCTTTTAAGCATCTTACACACCTCTCACTAAAACTTTTACCTGGAAATGATGTGGAGATAAAGAAATTTCTCGCAGGCTGTTTGAAATGTAGCAAGGTAAGATTTAAATTTAAGTTATTCTTTTAACAAAATAAGTATCAATGGTCTTTGATAAATTATTGAAGAGATACATTGCCATAAGTTTTTGTTTTCTAAATAAAGTTTTATGAAATATAACGAATTTATTTTACTGTTTCTTATTTAGTCAAGGTATAGTCGGGATGGATCTGGACCAGGAATTGAGAAGCTTAGGTCTCAGGGTTTTTACCAATCGTGTGATTTTGGACAGGTCACTTAAACTCTTCTGTCATGGTTTCATCAACTGGTAGACATGTATGGAAATAGCTACCCTATCTAGCCCATCTTTTTTTTTTTTTTTTTTTTTGAGACGGAGTCTCGCTCTGTCGCCCAGGCTGGAGTGCAGTGGCGGGATCTCGGCTCACTGCAAGCTCCGCCTCCCGGGTTCACGCCATTCTCCTGCCTCAGCCTCCCAACTAGCTGGGACTACAGGCGCCCGCCACTACGCCCGGCTAATTTTTTGTATTTTTAGTAGAGACGGGGTTTCACCGTTTTAGCCAGGATGGTCTCAATCTCCTGACCTCGTGATCCGCCCGCCTCGGCCTCCCAAAGTGCTGGGACTACAGGCGTGAGCCACCGCGCCCGGCCCTAGCCCATCTTTAATGAGATAAGATATATGGAAATGTCTTGAAAATTATAAAGTGCTATATGGCACAAGGAAACAACATAGGGATGCTGCTTGAGTTTTTAGAGTCTTTCTAGTCAAATGCTATAGATCAGTGCATGTCAAACTTTAAATTATCTGGGGATCTTGTTAAAATGATTTAGATTTGAGATGGAGCCTAAGAATCTGCATTTCTAACAGGCTTCCAGGATGATGCTGATGCTATACTTTGAGTAGCATGGCTATAGATGATTACATTGTAAACTGTGTAATTTTATTATTTTTATGAATAGGAAGAAAAATTATCATTGATGCAATCACTAGATGATGCTACTAAGCAACTGGACTTTACACGAAAGGTAATTCAAATTTCATTTTGTCTTTGTAAGTCATCCAGACATTGGCACTGAATTGCTTCCTTGACTCAGTTCCAAGCTTTTATGTATTTTCTTTCAAAGCATGCTTCCGTTGAATTTCCATTCCTCTTTGCCACCCTTCAACTACCACTTAATTATCTTAATTTGATACTTTCTCTTGTACATACTTGATTTTACACAAACATTTCTGTATCCCCAATATATAACATGTTCCCTCGAGTCTTCATTAAATAAGATATGTATGTTTCTGTCATATATTAGTTCTCCACTCCCCACTTGTTCGCCTCATTCCTCTGGCCTAAATGGCTTTTCAGTTCCTATGCTCTAAACCTTTCCCTTTCTTTGCTATGTTTAGAATTAATTCCTCTGATAGGCTTAGCATCATTTCAGTCATAGCTACAACATTTCTGCCCTAGTTCATGAAATTGAAGGCCAGAGTATCTGTTTTAGCTTGTTCTTGCTTTGCTTTAAAGAACTATCTGAAGCTGGGTAATTTATAAAGAAAAGAGATTTAATTGGTTCATTGTTCTGTAGGCTGTACAAGCATGGCACCAACATCTGCTTGGCTTCTAGTGGGGACCTGAGGAAGTTTACAGTCATGGCTGAAGGCAAAGGGGAGCAGGAGTGTCACATGGTGAGGGTGGGAGGAAGGAGGTACCACATGCTTTTAAACATCCAGATCTCATATGAACTAACTGAATGAGAACTTGCTTAACACCAAGGGAATGGCACTAAACCATTCCCATGATCCAATCACCTACCACAGGCCCTGCCTCCTCTGTTGGGGATTACATTTGAACATGAGACTTGGAGGGGACAGACATCCTAACTATATCGGTATCTGATAATCTGCATGGCCTCATGCAGAAAATACCCCTGCACAATGTGGCCCACAGGGCCATGTTACTGGGTTTTATATGTAAGTGAACTATTCCTTATAATCGACTTGCTTCCCCTTACCCCTCTTTATTGGGTGGTAAAGAGCCAGATTTAATTAAAAGCTTTAATTAAAAGATAGTTAATCTTGACCTGTGGGCCGTTTTGGGTCTAAGATTGTTCTTATTCTAATGTTGATTTCCTAAAATTAAAAAATTTTGTGTAGGAAAAGGCTTTGAACATGTCCTGAAAAGCTATAATTTTGTTTTCTTTAATATCCTTGTAAATATTGCTATATTCTAATCAAAATTATTACATATTAAGGAGCCTATCTTAATATTTTGTGTTAAACTCTAATGTAGACATTAGCAGAAAAAAAACAAGAATTAGATAAGTTACGGAATGAATGGGCGTCACATACAGCAGCCTTGACAAACAAGCATTCTCAGGAACTGACAAATGAAAAGGAAAAAGCCTTGCAGGTAAGAACATTAAAGGAAACTGAAAAAATATCTTTTATTGCTGTTAGTCATTTTGTTAATTTTAAAAGTAATATATGCTTGCTTTAAATTTTCCAAACGTTACAGAAGTATATAAAATAAAAATAAAAATCCTCTCTTTCAAAGTCTTACTACCTAGAGATAATCTATAAACATTTTGATGTATTTTTTTCAGACTTTTCTCTACGTATATGTAAATAATATGTAATTTATAAATATTTGTTTATAAACTTATAACTCTGTAAATTATGTCATTTATATATGTACCCATATAATGGGTTTTTGGTTTTGTTCTATACTAATGGGGTCTTATTGGATATATTGATTGTAACTTTCTTCGCTTAATGTGATACCATTCTGTATCAGTTAAGATATTCCTTTTTAGTGACTGCAGAGTATTCATTTTTTGGGTTTAACTTAAATTATTTAACTACTTGCCTAAATGGTGGTCATTTAAATGCTTCGAAGTTTTGGTTATTTTAAGCAATACTGCAAGAAGCACTCTTAGTTTCTAGAAGTGAAACTGCAACATATCTGTATAAAATATTGATGGATACTGCAAATTTGCCACCCAAAAAGACTAAACCAAATGGAATCCCAAAGATAAGGTAGTGTATAAGGATACTTATTTCCCCATATTCTTGACATTGTTTTTAACCTTCTTAATTCTTCTTTTTTTTTTTTGAGACAAAGTTTTGCTTTTGTTGCCCAGGCTGGAGTGCGGTGGCACAATCTCGGCTCACTGTAACCTCTGCCTCCCGGGTTCAAGCAATTCTCCTGCCTCAGCCTCCCAAGTAGCTGGGATTACAGGCATGTGCCACCATGCCCAGCTAATTTTGTATTTTTAGTAGAGATGGGGTTTCTCCATGTCGGTCAGGCTGGTCTTGAACTCCCAACCTTAGGTGATCTGCCTTGGCCTCCCAAAGTGCTGGGATTACAGGCATGAGCCACTGTGCCCTGCCACGTTCTTAATTCTTAATATATGCCACCTGATCTTAAGGTAGTACTAGTTTTATTTTATATTTCTTGTATTTTTTGTGAAGATAAGCATCTTTTAATACAACTTTTTATCATTTTTATTTCTTCTATGGATTATTTTTTATTTTCTTTTCATCCCTTTTTCTGTGTGGTTATTTTTTTTTTTTCACTGTGCCCTGCCACCTTCTTAATTCTTAATATTTGCCACCTGATCTTAGTACTAGTTTTAGTTTATATTTCTTATATGTTTTGTGAAGATAAGCATCTTTTAATATAACTTTTTATCATTTCATTTCTTCTGTGGATTATTTTTTATTGTCTTTTCATCCCTTTTTCTGTGTGGTTGTTTTTTTTTTCATTTTTTATTTTTAGATGGAGTCTCGCTCTGTCGCTCAGACTGGAGTGCAGTGGCACTATCTCGGCTCACTGCAACCTCTGTCTCCTGGGTTCAAGCAATTCTCCTGCCTCAGCCTCCTAAGTAATTGGGATTACAGGCGCATGCCACCACCATGCCTGGCTAATTTTAGTATTTTTAGTAGAGATGAGTTTAACCCTGTTGGTCAGGCTGGTCTTGAACTCCTGACCTCGTGGTCCACCCACCTTGGCCTCCCAAAGTGCTGGGATTACAGGCATGAGCCACCATGCCCAGCTGTGGTTGTTATTTTCTACTGCTTTGTAGTATGAATTCCTTTTCTACCTTTCGTACTATAGCTTCTTTTTTTTTTTTTTTGAGACAGAATTTCGCTCTTGTTGCCCAGGCTGGAGTGCAATGGCATGATTTGGCTCATTGCAACCTTTGCCTCCCAGGTTCAAGCAATTCTCCTACCTCAGCCTCCCAAGTAGCTGGAATTACACATGTGCCACCATGCCCGGCTAAATTTTGTATTTTTAGTGAAGACGGGGTTTCACCATGTTGGCCAGGATGGTCTCGAACTCCTGACCTTAGGTGATCTGCCCTCCTCAGCCTCCCAAAGTGCTAGGATTACAGGCGTGAGCCACTGTGCCCAGCCTTATAGCTTCTTTAATATTACATTTTATTGTTGTTTTTATGTACTTTACTAGATGCTTGCTCTTAAGAGTACAGCTTGATGATTTTTTTAAATGTGTAACTTTCACCCAAATTAAGATAAAGAAATTGGACCACCCCTCTAGGTTCCCTTGTATGGCTTCCTAGTCCTAACAGTAGTCCATAGGAGGTTATCATACTTCTGACTTACATCATCATTCATTAGTTTTGCCAATTCTTGAACTTTGTGTAAATGGAATCATATATGTTTGCATATGTCTTTCTTCACTCAGCATAATATTTCTGAAATTCACCTATTTTCTATTGTTTCCTTTTATTGTTATATGAATCTGCCATAATTTATTTTCCTATTGGTAGGCATTTGAGTTGTTTCTGGTATTTTGCTATTATTAGTTAAACTGCTATTAACATTCTTGTACTTATCTTTTTGTGGACACATGCACTCATTTTTCTTGGATATTTATCTATTATTGGAATGGCTAGGTTGTAGTATATATAGGCATATGTTTAGCTTTGGCAGAAACTACCAGTTTCCCAAAGTAGGTAGGTATACCGGTTTACATTGCCATTCTATGGGTATGTAATACTATCTGATAATAATGAACACTTCTTCATATACATATTTATCACTTGAATATTCTCTTTTCAAGTGCCCATTCAAGTTGTTAGCATGTTTAATTTGCCTATTATTAGTATTATTATAGATTTGTAGGAATTTGTATATTCTAGACATGAGTCCTTTGTCAGATGTATGCATTGTGAATATTTTCATTGTCTATAGCTTGCCTTTTCACTTTTTATTGGTATAAATTAAGGATATACACCTTATCTATCATGTACATTATAAACATTTCTCCCAGCCTGTCATTTGCCAGCATCTTTTGCCGTATATAGTTTTTTTAATTTGAATGTCATCAAATCTGTCAGTCATTGCCTTTATGGCTTAAGATTTCATTTCACATTTGGAAAGTGTTTCCCACCCGAGGACTATGAAAAAATTCTCCTATATTCTAATATTTGTTTAATTTTCTTGTT
Organism: Homo sapiens; assembly: GCF_000001405.40. Lineage (NCBI taxonomy): Eukaryota > Metazoa > Chordata > Mammalia > Primates > Hominidae > Homo > Homo sapiens. The sequence continues at coordinate 100,115,959 of NC_000001.11, read as the reverse complement.
ATATTTAGCTTTTTAATCTACTTGGAATATAATTTTGTGGAGTATAATATAAGGTAGAATTTTTTTGACATATAGTCAGTCATTGTTCCCCAATGATTTAAAATACTACCTCTATTATTTTATTTCATTTTTATTTTTTAGAGGTAGGGTCTTGCTCTGTTGCCCAGGCTGGAGTGCAGTGACACGATCATGGCTCACTACAGCCTCAACCTCCAGCGATCCTTCTGCCTCTGCTTCCAAAGTAGCTGGGACTGCAGGCATGTGTCACCACACCGGCTGATTTTAAAATTTTTTTGTGGAGATGGGGTTTCACTATGTTGCCCACGCTGGTCTTGAACTCCTGGCCTCAAGTGATCCTCCTTCCTTGGCTTTCCAAAGTGCTGAGATTACCAACATGAGCCACTGTGCCTGGTACTACCTTTATCACATACTAAATTTCTTTATGTACTTGGGCTTGTCTTTGGACTGTTGTTAAGAACTGATCTCATTTTCTCGTTCAGTGGAGAGATGTATCTCTTCATTTATTAAGGTCTTATTTGTTGAAAACAGACTTATTTACTCTCTCTCTCTCTCCCTTTTTCTCTGTTCTCTTTTTCTTTTGCAGTCTTGTTAAACAGTGTTTTTGGCTAGGGACTTTACAGATTTTTACTGCATAAATGAGACCATCCACTCCCTACCAGTACCACTGTGGTTAAATTTATAATTGTTTATCAGTAGTGTATGTTAATGTCATATCCAGCCACCTTACTAAATTTACATACTGTTTCTAAGAGTTTTGGAATTGATTCTCTTAGGTTTTCCAGGTAGATATGTAAACTATAAAAATTAGTAATTTTTTCTCTTCCTATGATTAGTGTCCTTTTTTTTCTTGCACAGAAAAATAATAGTGGAATTTTTATCTTTTTCCAGTCTTTTTTGGTAAATAACTAAAATATCTCACTGTTAAATATGATATTTGCTTTGCATTTGAGAGAAAGGGTTTTCTTCTCTTCCTTGCTACCTGAGAATTTTAATTCAAAGAGTGCTAAGTCAGATAAAATGAGTTTTGGGATCTAACCAAATAATTACGTCATTTTTCCCCTTTAATAGTGTAGTAAATTATAACAATAGATTTCCAAAGGTGGAATCATCTTTGCATTCATAGAATAATACTTAAATAGTCATAGCGATTTTTAATAAACTATTGTATCAATTTGCTATTATTTAACTTGGGATTTTTGTATTTTTATTTATTTAATTTTAGAGACAGAGTCTTGCTCTGTTGCCCAGGCTGGAGTGCAGTGGTGTGGTCCCGGCTCACTGCATCCTCAGCCTTCCGGGCTCAAGTGACCCTCCCACCTCAGTCTTTGGAGTAGCTGGGACCACAGATACAGACCACCAGGCCTAGATAATTTTTTTTATTTTTATTTTTATTTTATTTTTATTTATTTATTTTTTTTTTAGAGATGGAGTCTCACTATGTTGGTCAGGCTGGACTCAATCTTCTGGCCTCAAATGATCCATCTGCCTTGGCCTCCTGAAGTGCTGGGATTACAGGCATGAACCACCATGCCTGGCCCAGGATGTTTGTATTTATATTCATAAGTGACATTGGTCTGAGATTGTCTTTTTCCTGCACATCATAGTTCGCTTATTGCAAATGTGGGTTATAGACTATGGTATTAGAATTATGCTAGCCTCATGAGATGAATAAGGACATTTTTCAGTTTTCTTTATTCTTTGAAACAGTGAAATAACAGGGAATTAATCTGTACCTTGAGGGCCTGATACAATTAGCCTTTTAACACCATTTGGATCACTCACCTAGTTGAAGCATTTATCTTTTTCTTTTCCAGTTTTCTCCATGATTATTGGTCTGTTTAAATTTTCTCTTCTTGAGTTTTGCTAATTTATATTTTCTTAAAAAGCCATGTGTTTCATCTATGTGTTTTTATTTTTAAAATTTATTATTTTTTTTTATTTTTGAAGATGAGGTGTTGCTATGTTGCCCAGGCTGGACTCAGACTCCTAGGTTTAGGCAATCCTCCTGCCTCAGCTCCTCTAGAGTAGCAGGGACTACTGGTGTGTGCCATTGTATGTGGCTGTTATCTGTGTGTTTAAATATATTAGTACAATATCGTGCATATTGTCTTGTGATTTTTAAAATCTCCATATTATTTCTCTTATGTTCTTAATTTGTTTTGTTTAACGCGACTAGGTGGTTTTTCTATTGTTTAGTGTTTTCGAAGAACTAGTTTTTCATTTCATTAATTAGTTCTACACTGTTTCTCCCCCTATTTCGTTAATTTCTATTTACTACCTTTTCTTTTTTTTTTGGCTTGATTTTCTTTTTTTTTTTGAGACCGAGTCTCACTCTTGTCACCCAGGCTGGAGTGCAGTGGCATGATCTCAACTCACTGAAAGCTCTGCCTCCCGGGTTCACGCCATTCTCCTGCCTCAGCCTCCTGAGTAGCTGGGACTACAGGCACCTGCCACCACGCCTGGCTGATTTTTTTGTACTTTTTTTTGTCTTTTTAGTAGAGACAGGGTTTCACCGTGTTAGCCAGGATGGTCTCGATCTCCTGACCTCGTGATCCGCCCGCCTCAGCCTCCCAAAGTGCTGGGATTACAGGCGTGAGCCACCGGGCCCGGCCTTTTTTTTGGCTTGATTTTCAAGCAAGTTGTGTTCTTCTTGACGTTGTTGTTCGATTCAGGGGTACATGTGCAAGTTTGTTACTGGATATATTGCTTAATACTGAAGTTTGGGCTTCTGTTGAACTAATCACCCAAATAGTAAACATAGTACTCAATAAGTAGTTTTTCAATCTCTACCTCACTCTATTCCTCCCTCATTTTGGAGTACTCCTTGTCTATTGTCCATGGAAACAAGTTAGATCTGAAAGTTTCTTCATAAGGGCATTTGTTTAAAACTCCAGAGTGACTGAAGGATTTGTTTGTATTTCTGTATTGCACTTTCTGATAGGATTGTTAGGCAGCCCTTCGGGACTTTAAAACCAGGTCAACACTTCTCTTCCTGCTAATAGATAATGTAAAACTTTAGTGTGCGTGAGAATCATTTGAAGGGTGCATTAGAATGCAGATTGCTGGGCTTCATCCCCAGAGTCTTTGATACAGTTAGTCGGGGGTGGAGTCCAGGAACTTGATTTCCTGATAGGTTCTTAGCTGATACCGATTATTCTGTTCAGAGGACCGTACTTTGATAACCACTGCCATAGTGTGCTCTTTCTCAAATTAGGCCAATTTTGTGACTATATAGAAATCTGCTGAGGCAGGTAAACTGCCTTCTATTATTACTGATGGTTTCTACAAATGTTATAGGGAATAATGGCTGTATTATCTATATTTGTCACTTATCTATTCAAGTGGACATTAAACCTGTGTTATCTTTAAGGCATTTTAATAGGGCAAATTTGATTCTTGCATTTTTTATTTCTCTTTATGTTTACACTTATTTCTCATGTTTTCTTTATACCTCCATTTAAAAAAATATACTGAGTAATCTGAATTGTTTCTACACTAATTTCTTTGTAGAAGCTTTTTTTCTGTGAGGAAAGTCCTAGCAACACGTAGAATCACCCATCTTCCTTCTATTTATTGTATTATTTTCTTAATTCTGACTTCTATATTTCATCACTTCTTCATAGAATTTTTTATTAATTTTTGTTTTCCCATTCATATCATTATTATTCCATTCCCAAAACATTTTTCTCATCTAATATTCTTCCAAAACTACTGTGTGCTTTTCTGATTTAAGCCTCTATAGAATATTCATTTGAAAAATATTGCTTCCACCTCTACAAATTCTCCCTTTTCTGTTAGACTCTATTATTTTGAAACTGTCCTTCCAATGATTATTTTTTTTCCTCCAGAATGGAAAATTTTTAATGTATTTTTTTCTAAAAATAATGAAATGATTCAGAAGGGAACAAAGTAGAAAATGTGAACTTTATAATGCTAGTTCTCACACTTTTTTTTTAAACAAAAATCTCCAAGGTTCTGATGAGCACTGGAATAAAAACCAGTTCTTTATTTTCACTGCTTTTGGCCTCTATTGTCTTTAGTGTCTTTGATTACTCTCTTAGACAGTTACAGTTAGCATCTTTACCAGTTTGCTCTGATTTTTCTTCTTGGTTGCTTCTTCAATGTTTTCTTCCAAGATGGCATTTTCAATTTTATATGGACTGCTTCCTGTTTTATCTCTTTTTGCTCCTTCTCCTCTCCTTTTCAGCTTTCTGAAAATGAGGAAATTCCTGAAGTAGTAATGTAAAATTCCTAAGGTATTTTATGAGAGAGACACTCCCCTGTACTAGTGCTAAGACTTTTGAATGGGTATAACTTCTCTGGGATACAGTTTTGGAACTTGCATCAAGCTTTATATTTGTTTATATTCTTTATTCTATAATTGATCATAAAGAAATAATCTGAATTTTAGATGTATGTCTGTGCAAAAAAAATCATCATTTTATTTATAATTGTGAAAAATTGGGAACTAAATGTCCGTAATAGGGCAGAAGTTAAATGAATTATGGAGTAACCATGGATGGAATGTTGTGTAGCTATTAAAGACTTTACAAAGAATTTTTTAATGATGTGAGAAGGTGCAAATGCTAAGGGATTAAAAAGTGTGATTAAATTGTATAAATAGTTTGATATTCATTCATTAAATTTAATATGTATATTGTGTGTTTATGTGGATGTCAATATAAGTATATAAACGAGTGGAAGAGAGTACTCCTAAATATTAGGAGTGATTTTTCTGGATGGGATTATGGGTTATTTGTGTTTCCTTTTTGCCTGTAAGAGCATGTATAACTTTGATAACCACAAAAATATGCTTTATTTTCAAAAGATATTTAGGATTTCATAGTGTTCGTTAACAAAAGTTACTAAGATAGGTTTGTGATACGATTCAGACAGGCACTAAATATTGCACAGTTATAACCATGTTCAAATTTTATTGTTGGTAAAAATGACTATAAGATTGGACTAATGAACCAACCTTGCTCGTTTTACAATTTTAGGTGTTTTTCCATTATAAAGCATATATACGAGTATTTATTATTAAAAACTGAAACACTGTGATGGTGTTTAAAGCAAAAATCTGCTTTTTTTTTAATACACAAGTAGGTTCATCCTGTATACAGTATTTGCAGTTTGCTTTTTTAACTTATATAGCATCTTCCCTTAACTTGAAGACTGTTGCACCTAAACATATATGGATTTAGAAGAAGCAAAAATTATGAACAAGATCATGGTGGTAAATTTGCTTTTGTTGACCTTGCTTTCTCCGTCATGAAATTCATAATTGAAAATAGACCCTTTTCAGAATGGGGATCTAAAGAAAGATGACAAAATTAAGACAAAAAAGAAAAAGAAAAAATAAGAAATTACAATTTTTTTTTGTTCAAATCTTTCTGTATTTGTATTTCTGATTTTTTTCTTTGAATTTTGGTACTGTATTTTTATTGTATCATAGGCACAGGTTCAATATCAACAGCAGCATGAACAACAGAAAAAAGATTTAGAAATCCTCCATCAACAAAACATCCACCAGCTACAAAACAGACTGTCTGAGTTAGAAGCGGCTAATAAAGACTTAACCGAAAGAAAATATAAAGGAGACTCCACTATTAGAGAACTTAAAGCAAAACTTTCTGGTGTTGAAGAGGTATTGAATGTTGTTTTTTTTCCTCCCCCAATTTAAGAGAACGTTTTGATTTGGTTATTTTAATGTGGTTACTTGTGTGGGTGGTGTTCCTCTGGATGCTCTTGTGGTGTTAGGGTATCCATTCAGACAATGCAAAGAAAATTGAGAATTTGAAATTTGATAAAAAGCATAATTCATAACAGAACTGAGGTAAGCTTGAATATTTTTAGTTAGGGTCTTGAGAGCAGATTACTGGCACAGCTGTCAGATTTATCAATATGTTTTTAATAGTAACACAGCACCTGTATTTCATAGGGTACTGTGTTGACAGGGCTGGGGTTTTTTTTCCTCAACCTGCTTAACATATATCAAACAATTATGTGAATTTAGTATCTAGTAATAATAATGATAATGGTAATAGTAAAGATAATAGTTAATGCTTACTGAGCATTTTCTATGTGATAGGTACTGTTTGAAGTGCTTTACATATATTAACTCATTTTATTGTTACAACAGTTATTTAAGGTAGGAACTATTATTAGCCCTATTTTACAGATGATGAAACTAAGGCACAGAAAGGTTAAATAAGTTGCCTAAGGTCACATAGTCAAGGAGTGGAAGAACAAGGATTAGAACTCATCTATTATTTGACTATCTTTAATACTACCTTGTTCTTTCAGGCAACAGAGAAATTTTTATTTTTTATTTTATTTATTTTATTTAAGTTCCAGGATACATGTACAGAATGTGCAGGTTTGTTGCATAGGTAAACATGTGCCATGGTGGTTTGCTGCACCTATCAACTCATCACCTGGGTATTAAGCCCCACAGAAATTTTTAAAATCTTGCTATAGTGCCACATTTGTTGTTGCTTTGGCATTGATTACAGGCTTCTTTGTAGCATTATATATTATTGTCATATGAATTATTAGAAAATATATGTAGATTTTGTCTATATTTAAATACCAAAGTTACCAGTGTTATTCTAGCTCACAAGACTTCAAACTCTATTTTACCAGTCTCATGCTTAGAAGCTCTAAAGCCTGACCAATTTTGTGTTCAGATCCTCATATTGTTTTGCCCCAATAATAGATGTCTTCTGTTTTTCCTGCATACACTCTTCATACTGGTTGTAAAGCATTTGAACCTTCATGGTACATTGGTAGTCTAAATGCTTCAGTATAATGCTCTGATTTCATTATTCTCAGCCCTGGAACTGGTCATTATATAAACAACCTCATTGCATTGATTTTTATATGATCTAATGAAAATATTTCCTCCAAGATTTTCATAAGACTTGCAAATTGTTAGTTCTTGGAGCTTTTTTTTTTAACTGCTGAGTATTCAGTTACCTATTTTAAGTAACAATTTTTAGGCATTAGTGTCCTAAAAATAACAATTGCTACCATTTATTGAGTTTTACTGTGTGCCAGCCAAAATGCTAGGCAATTTACGTAAGGATTTTTATGAAGGTTAAATGAAATAATTTATTAAGTATTTGTTATTTCTGTTTTACAAATGAGGGAACTGAGATTTAATTTAGGGAGTTTCAGTAATTACCAAGATCACACAGTAGAAGAGCCAGGATTTGAATTTTGTTTGATACTAAAGTTTGTGCTCCTAAAACCACTATAGTCACAATACTGTATAATTATTTTTGGAAACTTTGGTTAAGAACTAAAACTATCTAGGAATATTGTATCCTGGGCTTTCATATACCAGCAGCATTTGGGTTGATATTAGCTGATTGGGAAGAGATCTATTGTAGATTTTTTAAAAATCTATTTTTAATGAACAATTATTGTTTATTTTGCTTGAAAGAGTGAACAGAGAGATCTGGAAATGTTAACATTTATTGACATAGAAAGATATTTGTAATACGTGAAGAAGGTAGATTATAAACTGCAGAGTATCAACCTTTAAAAAACAATCTGTACATGTAAGCAACAAAGAAAAATGTTAAGTCTACATTGTGGCGGCTCTCACCCGTGGTTACCCTTGGAATCAGTTGTGGAGACATCAGAAAATTATTGTTAAAAGTTTTAAAGTTACTGTAATTTATTCATAAATTAGAATTATTTTCCCTTGATATGATTGAATCAGATAGTAGAATATTTTACAATTATATTCCAGATATATGCTACTATACCATTAGAAAGACATTTATGCTTTTAAAAAAAAATCTGTACTAAAACTTTAAAATTATTAAAGACTTTTTTTTAATATGTTAGACATCTTAATTATAAATAACCAGATGAGGCAGCTTCCTTTTTTCATAATGCTTAATTTCTTTCTTTTCCCATTCTAGGAGCTACAGCGGACTAAGCAAGAAGTCCTCTCTTTGCGAAGAGAGAATTCTACACTAGATGTTGAATGCCACGAGAAAGAAAAGCACGTTAATCAGCTACAAACAAAAGTGGCAGTTTTAGAACAGGAAATCAAGGATAAGGACCAGCTTGTTTTAAGAACAAAAGAGGCATTTGATACAATCCAGGAACAAAAGGTCTACTTTTAAATTTTTCTCAGAAATTGATAATCATATTTATAAGTAAACACAAATGCCCTAATTATTCATGTTTTTAAAAAATATATCAGGTGGTTTTAGAAGAAAATGGTGAGAAAAATCAAGTACAACTAGGAAAGCTTGAAGCTACAATAAAATCATTATCTGCAGAACTTCTGAAGGTTTGTTTTAAAAATTTTATAGACTAGTATTTCATTAAATTACATAGAAATATACATATGAAGCTCTTTTATAGGCAAATGAAATTATCAAGAAGTTACAAGGGGATCTGAAAACTTTAATGGGTAAGTTGAAATTGAAGAATACAGTTACTATTCAGCAAGAAAAACTCTTGGCTGAGAAGGAGGAAAAATTACAAAAGGAACAAAAGGAATTACAAGATGTTGGACAGTCTCTTCGAATTAAAGAGCAAGAGGTAGTTAATATTTTAAATTTTTATGTTGTAACTAAATTTTTTCCTCGTTTTAAAAATTTATGCTTTGTTACATTAACAAATGGCTTTGGTCTTGTTTTTTTTTTTAACAAAAGAACATGACTAGATTGAGTAGATGGTAATAACCTGTTTCAGTTTGGAAAGTTAGTTATCATGATTCAGATACCTTGATTGCTCATGTATGTCTATGTTTGTATACACATGTAAATATTTTATTACATAATTGAGCTAATTCCTTTATTCTCATTTAATAATAGTAGTAGTAACCATTTATGTAATTATTTAGTTAATAATAATACATTCTTCAGTTTTTATTTAACCTTTATTTTGCTTGACTTATTGTGATGATTGATATATTTCAGGTATGCAAATTACAAGAACAATTAGAAGCTACAGTTAAAAAACTTGAAGAAAGCAAACAACTTCTAAAAAATAATGAAAAGTGTAAGTATGTTACGTGTTAATGTAAATGAGGTTTGTAGTTTTATTCTTTTATTTTTTTGAGACACGGTCTCACTCTGTCACCGAGGCTGGAGTGCAGTGGCATGATCTCAGCTCACTGCAGCCTCCACCACTTTGGTTCAAGTTATCCTCCCGCCTCAGCCCCCCAAGTAGCTGGGACTAAGGTGTGCACCACCACACTCAGCTAATTTTGTGGGTTTTTTTTGTAGAGACGAGATTTTATCATGTTGCCCAGGCTGGTCTTGAACTCCTGAGCTCAAGTGATCCACCCGCCTTGGCCTCCCAGATTGCTGCGTTTAGGTTTACAGGTGTTAGCCATCGTGCTCGGCTGTAGTTTTATTCTTAACCTGAAAATTTTATTCGAATTCATAAAAGTAGACATTGGCCAATATATAAGTAATTTCTGCTTTAAATATACTGTCTTAATGCCTTTTCTATAATAAATTTATATCATCTGCCCAGTAAAAGAGTTATCATCTTTATAAAGAAAACCATATCCCATAGGTCAGTAACCCACAATTAAAACTGTTGAAAATGTTGACTGTAATTTATTGTTTAAATTCTTCATTATTCCTTTTTTTAATAGCTGTGTTTACCTAATAATAACAATATGAATTGTTTGAAAACAAAACATAAAAATAAGATTTTAACTAACATTTTCTCAGTTTATACTACTGGGTATCATACATAAGATTGTGAATTTTAAGTAAACTGTAAGATATTCTAGAAGTGAAATCTTTCAAAGAGTTGCTTGACTAGCAGAAATATGTGCTTCGGAAAGTAATACAATAAGGAGTCCTATGTGGCAGCTTCTAAAATAAGAAACTTTAATGACAAAAATTTAGGTGAACCTATATTGCTCTCCTGTGATGTCAGGTAGTTGTAAAAACTTATAATTTAAAAATCTTAATATAATTTTTAAATGTTTAAGATGATTAGAAAAATAAACAGTCAATATTCTTTACCTTGCTTCTTGTTCTTTTATTTAAGTAATCACGTGGTTAAATAAAGAACTAAATGAAAATCAGCTAGTGAGAAAGCAAGATGTATTGGGACCTTCTACTACTCCGCCTGCACATTCCAGCAGCAACACAATCAGAAGTGGAATTTCTCCTAACCTGAATGTGGTAAGATTTAAAACAAGATGTGAGTGATCTTAGTGAATTTCCTGAAACAAAAGTATTTCCAGATTGTTAGGAAGTTTCCATGATTTAAGGTGCTGATACCAATACAAAGTGGAGTCCTACAATTGCACTGAAATAGAGTTTAAGTTGCCCCTGGAAGTGGAACAAAGGCACACTTGCTCTGAACAGAGGCTGAGTTTCAAGAGCACATTTCTTTTTTTTGTTTTGTTTTGTTTTTTTTTTGAGATGGAGTCTCGCTCTGTCGCTCAGGCTGGAGTGCAGTGGCGCGATCTCGGCTCACTGCAAGCTCCGCCTCCCGGGTTCACACCATTCTCCTGCCTCAGCTTCCCAAGTAGCTGGGACTATAGGCGCCCACCACCACGCCCAGCTAATTTTTTGTATTTTTAGTAGAAACAGATTTCACCCTGTTAGCCAGGATGGTCTTGATCTCCTGACCTCATGATCTGCCTGCCTCGGCCTCCCAAAGTGTTGGGATTACAGGCGTGAGCCACCGCACCCAGCCAAGAGCACACTTCTTTATAAGTCTTGACTGGATATTGAAATCTTTCAATGCTAACTAAAGTAATACCAAATATACTGAAAAACTTGAAAACACATAACGTAAAACATTTAGGAGACTTGAAGAAGAGAGAATTCAGGGTTTAGGCTTAAGCCTAAACTGAATTCTATCAGAAAAAGAAAAGAAAGTAAAAAAGAAAAAAGTCCTATTAGCAGGCTTGTCACCTTTAGATTCTACAAGAAACTGGTTATGAGATATAAACTTTCTAGCTCCCAGGACCAGATTTTTTTCTCTTTTGAGACAAGACCTCACTCTGTTGCCGAGGCTGGAGTGCAGTGGTGGGATCATGGCTCATGGCAGCCTTGACCTCCTGGGCTCAGGCAATCCTCCCACCTCGGCCTCTCAAAGTGCCGGGATTATAGCTGTGAGCCACTGTGCCCAGCCCTGCTTTTTTTTTTTTTTTTTTAACCTGAGAAAAAAGGGAGGCTGGGCACGATGGCTCATGCCTGTAATCCCAGCACTTTGGGTGGGAGGCTGAGGTGGGTGGATCACCTGAGGTCAGGAGTTCAAGAGGTCAGCCTGGGCAACGTGGTGAAACCCTGTCTCTACTAAAAATACATAATTCAGTTGGGTGCAATGGTGCATGCCTATAATCCCAGCTACTCGGGAGACTGAGGCAGGGGAACTGCTTGAACCCAGGAGGTGGAGGTTGCCATGAGCCAAGATCGCACCACTGTACTCCAGCCTGGGCAACAGAGTGAGACTCTATCTCAAACAGAAAAAAGGCAGAATAGGAAAAGCAGCTTCTTACATTCAGAGGTGGTTTGGTACTATCTGATAGTTAGGCCTAGGTGCTGCTAGGAGCTTACCTAGCATCCGCACATAGGCCTGGGGCTCTCCTGTTGAACACAACAATTTCATGGAATATTAACATCAGGCAAGGTTACTCTGTGACTCTGTCAATACAAAAACAAGACTGTTTCATAATCATGCCTGAATACAGACAAAAATATGAACATTGCTAAATCACAGATATGGCCCATAAGCATCCTCATATCCTGGCTAACATGAATGGCTGCTGCTGCTTTAATTACAGCTTTGACCTTAATACATTCCTCTTGCTTTATTAGATAGGATTTATTCAGATACCCAGTCATACATTTATCCCCATTTCCCAGTAGCTTCCAATCCACAGCAAAGCACCACTTAAACTTTTTCTTAAATCACCTAACATGTGCCTAAATCCAATAAATAAGTCCCTTTTAATACCCACTTTTGGAGATACCCATGTTTGTTCATGGTGTGCAGTTTCCCTTGTTGCAAGGAGCAATAAATCTAGCTCGTATATCTATACATGGGTTCCTGGTGGTCCTTGGCTACAGGACATTGGCAGAAGGTTTAAAATTCAGATTCCTAATTGAATTTTTAACCTAATCTACTCTGGTAAGTCAGAGTACGGGATGTCTAAAGAAGGGGAAAGATTGCTGTTAAATTGGAGAAGGGTGCAGAAAGAAGTGCCTGGGGCTGAATTACAAACTTAAAAAAGATTTTTTGTCCGGCTTAAAATTTGAATGACTGATGATAGCTGTGTGAAAGGTGTTTTTTTGTGTGCATCCATTAGTGTGCACAAATGCTTCTCAAGATTTCTGTTACAACTGGTCTCAGTATAAAAATAAACTTTTTCATAACGTTGGTTAATGTGTGGTGCCAGTATATTGAAAATTAGTGGCAAAACCAATTACTGTCTCAATTAGTCCATTTAAGAACACTGATCTTGTTTTTATGCAGTCTGACAGAAAATTAGTTTTATTTTATCTCTGATTGGCCTATTGATCTCCAGACTCCCCCATTCCCCCCTTTTTTAGGAGACTTAGAGTGAAACAAGTTGGTTCAGAAGCTTGGCTTTAACTTAGTACAAAGGCAGGCCCAGTAGTTTGTTTTATCCAAGCTTGCACACCTACCTTGAAAAGCCCTCTAGTTCAAAGTTATCCTAGCCCCATGGTAGATAATAAAGCAGAGTTGTGTGGCATGATAAACAAGACTGGCGTCTGAGATAGTGCTCTCTTAATTATTAGTTATTATAACAGATGCTAATGCCACCTGATCAACAAATACTATTTAGAATTAATTTATCATCTTTAATCATCTTTATGTTTTTATTTTTAGGTTGATGGTAGACTGACTTACCCAACCTGTGGGATTGGTTATCCTGTCTCCTCTGCATTTGCATTCCAGAATACCTTCCCTCATTCGATATCTGCCAAAAATACCAGCCACCCTGGTTCAGGAACAAAGGTAGCCAAATTAACTAATACTTGTTCTGGGAAAAAATATAGCAACCTATTAGCATACAAACATTTCACATCTTTTAAAAGTTCATTTATTCTTTGGTCAGTTGTTAAGTAGTAGGTAGTGTATTAGATAAATACATTACTGAATATCTAGTATCTATGTGTACAGGAAATATATGCACTATATATTTCTTGAGTCACTGTAATTTCTAAAATCTTGACATCAGTCTGTTTAAACCTCACTTATTTCTACTCAACCTCTCCTTTTTTTTTTTTTTTTTTTGAGACAGTCTTGCTCGGTTGTCCAGGCTGGAGTGCAGTGGTGTAATCTCAGCTCACTGCAGCCTCTGCCTCCTGGGTTCAGTGATTCTCGTGCCTCAGCCTCCTGAGTAGCTGGGATTACAGGCATGTGCCACTACACCCAGCTAATTTTTTTGCAATTTTAGTAGAGGTGAGGTTTCGCCATGTTGGCCAGGCTGGTCTCGAACTCCTGGCCTCAAGTGATCCGCCTGCCTTGGCCTCCCAAGGTGCTGGGATTGCAGGCCTGAGCCACCACGCCCGGCCAGCCTTTCCGTTTTTATTCATTCTTCTACTTGTGTCTCCTACGCTCTCAGGCCTGGCTAGGATTTCTGACTTCATACTGTTGGAGTCTGAGCTATGATTTGGAGTCCATTGCTAGAATTTAAAGGTCTGGTAGGGCAGGCTTAAATCAAATTCTAAAATTTAGTTCTGACAGCATTATCTCAGATAAGATATGACTAGCAATCCCCCCAACCCTTGATATATTTGTTAAGGCTTTCTTCTACCTACTTCTTTTTCCTCATTTTTATTATTATCTTAGATTTATGTATTTTTTATGTATTATAATTTTGTTTTCACAATAGTTTAATCCACCCAGACCAGTCACTGCTTTTATTTTCATTGCTAACTTCAGATCCAGGTTTATTTTTTCTTAAATAATGAGACAAATAAACATTTATGAAAAAATATTGTATAAAAGATAAAATTGAGGACTTTGAAACTGGTATTACAAACTCTATCAAATTAGGTCTGGGCTACTCTAAAAATAAGTTGGCTGTGTTGCTTAGGCATGTGCTCTTTTTAGCCATAGCCTTATTATTGCCAGTAGCTATGGAGAATTCTCAGTTAAATGAAAATTAAGCCTGAGTTTTTATGCCTGGAATACTGTTATGTAAAGAGTACTTAGATGCATATAACTGGCTCTTCTTGCATTGCTTATTAAGGAGAATTAGATATGTGCATTCGAAGGAATGTCTATTGTTTTATTATCAGTTTCAGTATACTCAAGTGTCGTTGTATCTTGGGATCATTTTTTTTCTTTAGAATTATAAGTGAATTCACAGTTGTTTTTTATTTAAACAACTTTCCAGGAATATATATATAATGTCCAAAATGAGGACAAGTACTACTAGAGACAGTTGCCTACTTGGTAGGACTAAAGATGGCTTATAAAATAATACTATCATTCTTATAGGTCTTGTGGAATCAGAGGAATCATTATAATAATTATGTTCTTAAATACAGGAGCAAGACTTTCAGTGTTTCCTGTATCGGTGATCTCCATATTCTTTTAATTATGTATCCCTAACAGGGAAAAAAAAAAACCCTAAAACAGAACAATTTGCGCTCTCATCTCAAATACATTAATGTGTATTTATTTGTGAATTTATGCATATACTACTGAAATACTATATGCCGTATAATTATTGGTTAAGAAGGCGGAATCTGATGTTAGGATTTAAAACCTGCCTCTATCAACCTGAAGTTGATCAAGCCACTGAAAAACAAACAACATTCAACTCTTACACTTCAGTTTTCCCACTTATAAAATGGAGTGATAATTTTCTCTACCTTACTGGATTATTGAGTTAAGTGAATTAATGCATTTGCTTAGAATAGTACCTGGTTCATGATAAGTGCTCTGTAAATGTTATATTATTAATAATAAAATATATTCAAAAATAGAAATTAAAGAATCAGACTAAAAATGGATGTAAATGAAAGTTGTAAGATTTTCTTCTCAGACCTCAGTGAATGGTCCTAATTACTGCCTACTTTGTCCTCCCCGACTCAAAGACCCACTTTAAAGCACCAAATACCACCTACTTTGGTGATCATTGATCTAGGTAGTTTTGTGCTAGCAGCTATGTTGATTAAAACATGTACTTTTGAATTACAGTTTTTAAAAATGACGCTTTTATTTTTGACGTTGAACCTGTGATCTTCCTGATGTCTTAAAATGTTACTGTCAAGATTGAATACATTCAAGGATGTTTAACTGTGGGAATGTAAAATAACATGAGAAATTTGGCAAGAAACAAAATAATGCTGAAAGAATATGTGAGAATATTTAACAAGATTGTGCTGTTCTGACAAATAGAACAAATACTTGATAATTTTAAAGCAAGATACACAAAACTACGTGTTTTTTCTCTTTTATTTTTGGATACAATGATAGCCAAAGATTCATTCATTGAACAAGTATTTAATGAATGTCTGTTATCTGCTGTGGCCAGGCATAGTTTTAGTTGCAGGAGATGACAGCAGTGAACAAGACAAATGCCCTGACACTATGGTGCTTACATTTTGTGGTGAAACACCAGTAGATAGTAAATTGTAATGTCTTTCAAACTAAACTGTTTATTCATTCATTCATTTATTCATTTATTTTTGTGACAGAGTCTCACTCTGTCACCAAGGCTAGAGTGCAGTGGCATGATCTTAGCTCACTGCAACCTCCACCTCCCAGGTTCAAGCGATTCTCATGCCTCAGCCTCCCGAGTAGCTGAGATTACAGGTGTGCAGCACCACACCTGGCTAATTTTTGTATTTTTAGTAGAGACGGGGTTTCACCATGTTGGTCAGGCTGATCTCTAACTCCTGACCTCAAGTGATCCACCTGCCTCGGCCTCCCAAGTGGTGGGATTACAGGCATGAGCCTCTGTGCCTGGCTTGGGTTACATTCTTGATCTTCAAGGTCAAACTTTCATCAAGGAGATTATGAAGTATGTGAGGGATTTTCTGCAGTGAGGAACGGGCCAGATGATTGATTTATCTTTTTTCTTTTAATCTGGTTGAAAGGCTTAGGGAGACAATTCTGTTTACTGTTAAGGACCAAAAAACAAAGTCTGGAAATGCCGTACACAATGGTCATGAACTACAAAATAGTAGTGGAGTGGAGAGGAGACACAGTAATACACAGCATTATTTTGAGTGAGCTCCAGCTTTTCATTCTAACCCTTGAACCGAGGAGAAACAGCTGTCCTTTTTCATTGAGTCTGCAACAGAATGGAAATGTGACTCAGTTTATCAGCTCCCACAGAGCAGGCAGAGTAAGAGACTATTTTAAGCTGGTTTGGGGAGCCCCTATCCCAAGCATAGAGTGGATGTTGAAGGTTGTTCCCGGCATCCACTGGTGGTGGCTTGTGGCTAGTCCTGGGCTCCCTGGGTCCTAGGCATCTCTTGATTCTCAGTAATGAACTTGTCAGTTGGCCAATGTGGACCTGTTGACAAATTACTCTGAATTACTGTAAGGTCTCTTTTGGCTTTATTCTCTAGGGTTTGAGTTTCTACAGGAACGTTTACATTTTTATTTTCTCGGAAGGAATCTCTTATCCTCCTGACACTGTAATTGTAGGTGCTGAAATGCTTGTTTTCTGTCAGTGTCATCCAGTACAGATCTCTAACATTTGTGTGTGACTGGAGGTGCCCCAAGGCCCTGTTGCCTCAATTTCTTTATCTTGGTAGTGTTTGGCCCACAGTGTGTATTCAGAGACAGATTTTGTGTACAGATAGCATTATTCAGTTGGGTTAACCATCTGATTCACCTAGATGGTTTAAATTAATTTTTCATTTATTTGGTATTAACTTTTTAAAAATAATGTGTAAGTATGGGAAGCTTTGAAAGGTACAAGAGGATGTACTATCTAAAAGTCCCTACTGTGGTCCCCAGTCCTCTTAGAGAAAAATACTGTTAGGAATTTCTTATGATATATTCCAGAAATATTCAGAGCATGTATTAGACCATATGTATGTGCATGTATATGTATATGTGTTCAAATATATGAGTGTTTTTATATATAAACATAAATAGTACTTGCCAATTGTTCTGCGCCTTGCTTTTTTCATTTAATGGTATTATGGAATAGGTAACTGCAGTGTATCAGAATATAAGTTTTTGTTTCTTTTTAATGACTTCATAGTATTCCAGTATACGGATGTACTATAATTAACTAATACTCTATTTATGGATGAGTAGGTTTTTTTCAATCCAGATGCTCATACAGTGCTCCAGCAAATATTTTTGTGCATACATCTCGGTGGCCTGGTACTAATAGATTTATAGGTTACATTGTTAGAAGTAACTGTGTCAAAGGCATTTTTGCATAACTGGTGACTAAAATAGTATCTTATTGTAATGTTAATTAACATTTTCTTGATTAAAGTGAGAAACATCTTTTTATATATTTGTAGGTTATGTTTCCTGTTCTGTAAAACTCCTGTTTATTCATTTTTTGTTTTCCATTTGTTTGTTTTAGAGATGGAAATCTCCCTGTGTTGCCCAGGCTGGCTTCGAATTTCTGGGCTCACCTGATCCTCCTGGCTCAGCCTCCTGAGTAGCTGAGACTACAGGCATGCACCATTGTGCCTGGCTCTTTCTTTTATTCGTTTTTTTTTGTTTGGGAGGTTTAACATTTATAAAATGGTTTTATAAGTGTTCTTTACATATTCTGGACGCTAGTTTGCCGTTGTTTTTAATGTGTTATTTTGTAATTTTTGGTTTGTTTTTATTCTTCATTATACTTCCTTTTTAAAAATTTAAAGGTTATTAAGGTAGAATTTACATACCATAAAATCCTTCCACTTTAAGATTAGTTCAATAATTTTAGTCAGCTTATAGAGTTGTGAAGCTATACCACAGTTCAATATTAGAACATTTACATTACCCTAAAAGTACCCTAGTGCCTGTTTGCAGTTTATCCTTACTCCTCCTTCTAGCCCTAGGCAACTACTGATCAGCTGTCACTATAAAATTTGCTTTTCCAAGTTTCATATGAGTAGAATCATACAACATGTAGTTTTTTTGTGTGTCTTTCTTCTTTTTTTTTGAGATAAAATCTCATTCTGTCATCCAGGATAGAGTGCAGTGGCACGATCATGGCTTATTGCAGCCTCGACCTCCCTGGGCTCAGGTGATCCTCCTATCTTAGCCTCCTGAGTAGCTGGGACTACAGGTGTGTGCCACCATGCCCAGGTACCTTTTTTTGCATTTTTTTGTAGAGATGGAGTTTCACCATGTTGCTCAGGGTGATTTCGAATTCCTGGGCTCAAGGTATCTGCCTGCCTCAGCCTCCCAAAGTGCTGGAATTACAGGCGTGAGCCACCATGCCTGGCCCATATCTTTCCTTTTCACTCAGTATACTGTGTTTGAGGTTCATCCAGGCTGTAATGTGTGTCAGTAGTTCTTTTCTTTTAATTGCTCAGTAGTATTTCATTGTATTGATATGCCACAATTTGTTCATTCATCAGTTGATGGACATTTGAGTTGTTTTAAGTTTTTGGATGTTACAGATTAAGCTGCTGTGAACATATGTGTACAAGTCTTTGTATTTATTGTGGGTGAGTACCCAGGAATGGAATGGCTGGTGGCATATGTTTGATTTTTAAGAAATTACCAAACTTTTCCAAAGTGTTTTTACAATTTACCACCAGCAGTCTGAGAGTTCAAGTTGTTCTGCATCCTTCCAACAGTTGGTATAGTCAGTTGTATAGCCATTCTAATACATGCATAGAAGTACCTCATTGTGATTTTATTTATTTATTGAGACAGTGTCTTGCTCTGTTGCCCAGGCTGGAGTGCAGTGGTGCAATCTCAGCTCACTACAACCTCCACCTTCAGGGTTCAAGCAATTCTCATGCCTCAGCCTCCCGAGTAGCTGGGGTTACAAGTGCACGCCACCACGTCCAGCTAATTTTTGTATTTTTTAGTAGAGACAGGGTTCACCATGTTGGCCAGGCTGGTTTTGAACTCCTGACTTCAAGTGATCCCCTACCTCGGCCTCTCAAAGTGCTGGGATTACAGGCATCAGCCACCACACCTGGCCCCTCATTGTGATTTTAGTTTGCATTTCCCTAAAACCTAATGAGGTTGAGTATCTCTATTCATGTGCTTATTTAACATCAATATTAAAATACCACTTTGGTGATATTTCTATTTGAATCTTTTGACCATTGCTAAACAAGGTTGTCTTTTTATTGAATTATAAGTTCTTTGTATATTCTGGATACAAGTCCTTTATCAAGTATATGATTAGCAAATATTTTCTCCCAGTGGCTTCCCTTTTCATTTTCTCAATGTGTCTTTTGAAATACAAAAGTTTTTAATATTTGATGGAGTGCAATTTATCAAACTTTTTTCTTTTGTGGATCTTGCTTTTGGAGTTGTATATAAGAACTCTGTCCAACCACAGGTTGAAAACATTTTCTCCTTTGTTTTCTTCTACAACTTTTATAGTTTTAGTTGTTACATTTAGATCTGTGATCCATTTTGAAATAATTTGTGTGCATGGCTTGAAGTAAGGATCTAAGTTCATTTTTCCCCCCTGCTCTGAATATCCAGTTCTTAGTACCATTTATGAAAAGTCTTTTTCTCTGTTGAATTGTCTAAGCACCTTTGTTGAAAATCAGTTGACCATGTAAGGATTTATTTCAGGATTCTCAATTCTGTTTCATTGATTTTTATGCCTATCCTGTGCCAGTGTCACAGCATCTTAATCACTATGACTTTATATTAAAAGTTTTGAAAGTCAGTAGTATAAATCTACAGACTCTATTCTTCCTTTTCAAAATTGTTTTAGATCTTTTACAGTTTCATGAAAATGGTCACCTTCTCAATTTCTACAAAATGGTTTGTTTGGATTTTGATAGGTATATAAGGAATTTATAGGTCAGTTTTCAAAGAAATGCTGTTTTGGCAGTATTGTGTCTTCCAATCCATGAATATTAAGAGTCTTTCCATTTATTTAGAGCTTTACTTTCTCTCAGTAATGTTTTGCAGTTTTCAATATATAAGTCTTGAATTTCTTCTGTTGAATTTATTCTTAAGTGTTTTATTCTTTTAGATGCTATTGTGGGTATAATTATTTTATTTTTCAGAATATTCATTGATGTGTAGAAATGTATGTCATTTTTGTATGTTGATCTTGTATCTTGAAACCTTGCTAAACTCATTTATTATACTCATTAGTGGTTTTTGGTAAATTCTGTTGGATTTTCCACATAGACAGTTATGTCATCTGAAAATAATGACAGCTTCCTTTCCAATGTGGTTGCTTTTTATTTATTTTTCTTGCCTTATTGTAATGGCTAGAACCGATAGTACAATTTATTTTTATTTATTTATTTTTTGAGACAGAGTCTTAGTGTCACCTAGCCTGGAGTGCAGTGGCACATTCTTGGCTCACTGCAACTTCTGTCTCCCAGGCTCAGGTGATCATCCTACCTCAGCCTCCCTAGTAACTGGGACCACAAGTGCATGCCACCATACCCCCAGCTAATTTTTTGTAATTTTGGTAGAGACAGGGTTTTGCCATGTTGCCCAGGCTGGTCTTGAGCTCCTGAGCTCAAGTGATCCACCTGCCACAGCCTCCAAAAAAGTGCTGGGATTACAGGTGTAGGCCACTGCACCCAGCCTATAGTGCAGTTTAAATAAATGTGAGAGCAGACATTCTGGCCTTGTTCCTGAGCTTCAGGGCAGAGCATTCAGTCTTTCATCATAAGCATATTAGCTGTAGGTTTTTGCTAGGTGGCCATTTTTCAGAATAAGGGAGTTTTATTCTATTCCTAGTTTGCTAAGAGCTTTTATCATGAATGGTTGTTAAATTTTGTCAAATGCTTTTTCAATTGATATGGTCATGTGGCTTATCTTTTATCAGTTAACAGATTGTATTGATTGTTTAAGATTATATTAGCCTTTCATTCTTGGGATAAACTTCACTTGGTCATGGTGTATTCTTTTTATATATCGCTGGAGTTAATTTACTTTTTGTTTCTTTTTCTTTTTTTTTTTTTTGGAGACAGAGTCTCTCTCTGTTGCCCTGGCTGGAGTGCAGTAGTGTGATCTCGGCTCCCTGCAACCTCTGCCTCCTGGGTTCCAGCGATTCTTCTGCCGCAGCCTCCCGAGTAGCTGGGACTACAGGTGCCTGTCACTGCACCAGCTAATTTTTGTATTTTTAATAGAGACACGGTTTCGCCCTGTTGGCTAGGCTAGTCTTGAACTTCTGAGCTCAAGGTCAGAGGTGGGTGATCCGCCCACCTCGGCCTCCCAAAGTGCTGGGATTACAGGCGTGTGAGCCCCAACACCCAGCTTGGAGTTAATTTTCTGATAGTTTGATTTTGTGTCCATGTTCATAAAGCATATTGGCCTGTAGTTTACTTTTCATGTACTGTCTTTAACAAATTTAAATCAGGACAATACTGGCCTCATAAAATGAACAGGAAACTGTCTTTTCTCTTTTATTTTCTGGCATATATTGTATAGAGTTGCTTTATATTTTCTTTAAATGTTTGGTAGAATTTTCCAGTGAAATCATCTGGGTCTGGAAATTTTTTTGCCGGAGGCTTTTTTCAGCTGTGAATTAATTTTTTTCAATACCTATAGAATGTTTGGGTTATTTATTTCTTCTTAGGCCAGTTTCGATAGTTTGTGACTTTCACAGGATTAAATCATTTAATCTAAATTTTAAGCTATGTGCGAAGAGTTGTTTTTAGTATTCCATTATTTTTAATGTCTATAGACTCTGCTGTAACATCCTCTCTTTCATTACTTATAATGGTGATTTTTGCCTTGTCTCTTTGAAAAATCAGTTTGGTAAGAGTTACCAGTTTCATGGATCTTTTCAAGGAACCGGCTTATGGTTTCATTGGTTTTTCAATTTACTGATTTCTCCATTTTAATATTTTTTCCCTTCTAACTGCCTTGAGTTTGTTTGGCTCCTTTTCTTACTTTCTTAAGGTAGAAGATTATGTTCTGATTTAAGAGTTCTATGTTAATCTAAACATTTAATGCTATACATGTTGTTCAGTCTTGCTTTAACTGCATTTCACAAATTTTGGTATTTGTATTTTCATTTTCATTAAGTTTAAAATATTTTTTTTTCTTTTTCTTTTCTTGTTTTTGAGACAGGGTCACACTGTGTCCCCCAGACTGGAGTACAGTGGCATGATCGCAGCTCCTTGCAGCCTCACCTCCTGGGTTTATGTGATTCTCCCACCTTAGCCTCCTGAGTAGCTGGGACTACAGGTGCACACCACCACACCTGCCTAATTTTCGTATTTTTTTGTAGAGACAGGGTTTTGCCATGTTTCCCAGGCCAATCTCAAACTCCTGGGCTCAAGTGATCTGCCTGCCTTGGCCTCCCAAAGTGTGGGGATTACAGGCATGAGCCACCACGCCCAGCCCTATTCTTTTCAAGTACACATGGAACACTAACCAAGATAGACTACGTCCTAAGTCCTAAACCAGTCTGGAATTAAACTAGAAATCTATAACAGAAAGATATGTGGAAGATTTGAGGGAAATTAGAAAATATTTTGGCCAGGTGTGGTCACACACACCTGTGGTCCCAGCTGTTGGGGAGGCTGAGGTGGGAGGATCACCTGAGCCCAGGATGTGGAGGTGGCAGTGAGCTGTGTTTGCACCACTCTGCTCTGTCCTGGGCAATAGAGTGAGAGGTCTCACAAAAAAAAAAAAAAAAAAAAAAAAGAAAACAATAGGTATTCTGTTTTTGTTGGGATAATGTTCTTTAAATATATCTCTTTGTATTATTTTTATTTTAGTGGTTGCTCCAGGCATTATAATATACATACTTTTCGTAGTGTGTAGAATTAATATCTTACCACTTAAAGTACAATATACATACCTTGCCACCATACAGTCCCTTTGCCTTTTCCCCCCTTATGTTTTCATATTTCGTATGTATTGTATCTGCATACATTGGAGACATTATCAGACAATCTATAATTTTTGCTATCCTCCATTATACATATTTAAAACTCTGGAGTGGGCTGGGTGTGGTCCCTTACGCCTGTAATCCAAGCACTTTGGGAGGCCGAGGCACGTGGATCACAAGGTCAGGAGATCGAGACCATCCTGGCTAAAGCAGTGAAACCCTGTCTCTACTAAAAATACAAAAAATTAGCTGGGCATGGTGGTGGGCGCCTGTAGTGTCAGCTACTCGGGAGGCTAAGGCAGAAGAATCACTTGAACTCGGGAGGCGGAGGTTGCAGCGAGCCGAGATTGCGCCTCTGCACTCTAGCCTGGGTGACAGAGCGAGACTCCATCTCAAAAACAAACAAACAAAAAAACACAAAAAAACTCTGGAGTGGAGAAGACTAGTTCGTTATATTACCCAGTGTTTACCATTTCTGTTCTTCTTGTTCTTTTCCTTCATTCCTGGTATTCTAAGTTCTTCTACAGTATAATTTCCCTGAATGATAGAACATTCATTAGCATTTCTTTTAGAGGAAGTCTTCTGTCAATTCTTTTTCTTCCCCTGGGAATGCCTTTCTTTTACCTTTCCCAAATGATATTTTCTCTTGATACATAATTCTGTATTCATAATCCTTTTCCTTAAGCATTTTAAAACTGTTGTTCTGCCTCTTTTAGGATTCCATGATTTCCAATGAGAAATTAGCAGTAAATTTGAATCGTTCTCCTATAACTAGTGCATCATTTTCTCTGCCTGCTTTTAATATATATATATATTTTTAGTTTTTCACAGTTTAACAATGATGTGTCTGGGCATGGATTTTGAACTTATTTGACTTTATCCTTTTGGGGGTTTACTAAGCTTGGTGAACCTTTTCCCAAATTTTTGAAGTATTCAGCCATTATTTCTTCAATTTTTTTTTTTTTTTTTTTTTTTTTTTTGAGACAGGGTCTCGCTTTGTAGCTCAGGCTGGAGTACAGTGGTGTGAACAGAACTTGTGGCAGCCTTGACCTCCCAGGATCAAGCATTCCTCCCACCTCAGCCTCCCATGTAGTCAAATATTTTTTTCTGCAGAACACTCTTCTTTCTTTTAGGACTCAAAAGACATGAATATAAATCTTTATTTTCCTAAAGGTCCACAACCTTCTGTTCTTTTCTTCCATTCTTATTTTTTCTGTTTTTCAGATTTGATTATTTCTATTGATCCGCCTTCAAGTTTACTGTTTTCTCTGTCCATTCTACTATCAAGCCCATTCAGCGGTTTTTTTCTGTTCTAAAATTTCCATTTCGTTTTCTTTCCTTTTTTTTTTTTTTTTTTAATGAGACTTTTTTACATTCATTTGAACAGTGTTATTAGAGCACGGTTATAATGGGTGATTTGAAGTGGTTTTTCTGATAATTCCAGTATTTGTGTCATCTTGGGGTTGACTTCTTCTGGTTTAACTTTTCCCTTATGAGTTGCTTACATTTCCCTAGTACTCTATTGAGTGATTTTGGATTGTATCCTGGACATTAGAATATTATGAGATCCCAGATTTTGTTTAAATCCTGAGGAGAATGTGATTTTTTTTTAAGCAAACAATCAGTCTTGTTAGGTTCAAGTTCTGATTAGCCTTCTTTAGGTTGTGATTCTTAAGTCAGTTCAATTTTTTTCAAAAGAGTTTCACTCTGTTGCCCAGGCTGGAGGATAGTGGTGCAATCTCAGCTCACTGCAATTCTGGGTTCAAGCAATTCTTGTGCCTCAGCCTTCCGAATAGCTGGGATTACAGATGTGCACCACCACCCCCAGTTAATTTTTGTATTTTTAGTAGAGATGGGGTTTCACCATGTTGGTCAGGCTGGTCTCAAACTTCTGGCCTCATGTGATTGACCCACCTCAGCCTCCCAAAATGCTGGGATCACATGCGTGAGCCACCATGCCTGGCTGTCAGTTCAAATTTTAAAGACTTTGTCATGTCATGCTGTTTGGATCTGTCTCAAGTGTGCTATTCTGTGACCTTGGCAGTAGTTTACCCCATAGTTCGGTTCCCAAAGCCTTTGGTATGCTGATTAGGGTCAGATTCGTACAGCTCATAAGTGAGCCTAAGAGTTTATATACCACTTTATAGGATTTCTCCCTTGAGTTTTCTCTCCATGATTTCCTCAGAATTTTCTGTGCCCTTAGGGTCCCCCTTCCTGGTCTTCTGGCTAGAAAATATAGGCCTAGGTTTCCTTTCCGTGCTATGCAGTTCCTGTAATTGTATCTCCATCTGTTATCAAGCAGCAAGAGGACAAAGAGAGTAGAAAAGTAGGGAAGATGTTTCCCCTGTTAATGAGGCCACAGTGCCTTTGGTAGGAAAATATGATTCCCCTCCTTCAAAGTTTTAGTTATCGCCTCGCCACTGTTGCTGTCACCATTACCTCTGGCACTTCTGCTTCCATATAGTAGCCTGGGAGTTGGAGCAGGAAAGAACACAGGGAAAAATGAAAAGAAAGGGATTTTCCTCCCTCTCTTTGACGCTTAGGAGTTTCTTTTTTCATATCTCAGCAGAAAAATAAATCTACCTTGATATTAATATTATATTCTGGCTCTCTTATGCCTAGTATTTACATGAAGTATCATTTTCTATTTTTTTATTTTCCAGCCTGTGTCTTTAAATGTGATTTCTTTTAGATATTTATAATTGACTCATTTGAATCCATTCTGACATTCTGGCTTAAATAATTTAAAATGTAATGCATATAATAAGTTTTACCATATTATGATTTGTTTTCTATATGTCCTGTTTCTTGCCTCCCTTTTCTGTTTTTCCTGCCTTCTTTCCAGTTAGTTTTGTGCATTTTATTTCATTTTTCATTTTATATTTACTCTTGGCTTTCTTTTATTTTCTTTGTGTTTACTCTAGTTTATAATATACAATTTCATCATCTACTTTCAAATATTATTATACTACTTCCCATGTAAAATAAGACTGTTACAATAATATACTTCCATTTCTTCCCTTCTTTTTGCTACTGTTGTCAAAATTTTACTTGTATCTTTGTTATAAGCTCTACTTTTTTTTTTTCTTTAAACAATCAAGTATATTTAAAAGACATTAAGCAATGAAGAAAAATCTCCTTGGTTAACCCATACATTACTATTTACACACTTTTTTCCTTTATGTAGATCTAAATTTTCATCTGGTATTATTTTCCTTTCTCCTCAATAACTAAGATCTCTTATAGTACAGGTTTTTAAGGCTTCTTACAATGCAGGTCTGTGAGGAATTAATTCTTCTTTTGTCTTATAATGTTGTTATTTTGACTTCATTTTCTCTGAATATAGAACTTTAGGTTGGCAAGTTTTTTTCCTATCTGTATTTTGAAGATGTTATTCCGTTGTTGCCTGGATTGAATACTTTCTGGCAAGATGTCAGTAGTCATGTTTATATATAATGTTTCCTTTATATAAAGTGACCTTTTTCTCTGGGTGCTTTTAAATTTTCTCTTTATCATTCATTTTCAACAAGTTAATTATGCCTTGGTGTGGAGTTTGTGTATTATTGTTTAATTGGGGTTTTCATGAAGTTTTTAAATAGGTGGGTTTGTAGTTTTTATCAGTTTAGGAAATTCTAGTCATTATTCACATTTCTTTTTCTGTTTTGTTCTCTTTTTTGGTGTTCCTCCTTGGTACTCCAATTATACGTGGTTGATTACATGATACTTTCCCAGGGAGACTTAGTTTATTTCATTATTATTTATTTCATTTTATGTAGATTCTGATGCTGTGTCTTAAAGTTTATTAGTCTTTTCTTACTGCAGTGTATAATTTGCTGTTAATTTATTCAGTGAGAAATTTTCATTTTATATATTGACTATTTTATGTCTGGAATTTTCTTTTCACTCTTTTTTATATCTTCAATTTTCTCATACTTTTTATTTCCATTAAGTTCTTACACAATTACATTTGTGTCCCTGGTCTATAATTTCTACCATTTCTGAATCTGTTTCTGTTGGCTAATTTTTCTTCTGAGTATGACATCTTATTGTTGTCTTTGTAATTTTTGATAAGTGGAGCATTGTGAGTGTTACATTGTTGATTGTCTGGATTTTATATTTCTTTAAAGCATGGCAGGCTTTTTTTTTTTTTTTATAGACAGGGTCTTGCTCTGTTGCCCAGTCTAGAGTGCAGTGATGTGATCATAACTCACTGTAACCCCAAACTCCAGGGCTTAAGTGATCCTCCTACCTCTCATATATCTGGGACTACAGGTGTGCACTACCACACTGCTGGAATTACAGGCGTGAGCCACCACACTTAGCCAAAGCCTGTATTTTTATGGTGTAGATTTATCAGAAAACAAATTTAACCACCCATCTCAATATAGAACTAATTCACCCCGGTAATGGTGGCTCATCCCTGTAATCCCATGATTTTGGGAGGCTGAGACGGGAGGATCACTTGAGCCGAGGAGTTTGAGACCAGCGTGGGCAACACAGTGAAACCCCGTCTCTACAAGAAATAAAAAATTAGCCAGACTTCGTGGCGTGTACCTGTAGTCTCAGCTAGTTGGAAGGATGAGGTGGGAGGATCGCTTGAGCCCAGGAGATTGGGACTGCAGTGAACCGTGATTATGCCACTTTACTCCAGCTTAAGCAACAGAGCAAGGCTCTGTTTAAAATCCCCCCTCTGCCCAAAACTGTCTACTTCTATATAACTCAGTTACATGAGATGTTTTTCCTTCTCACAGGTTCAGTTTAATTTGCAGTTTACAAAACCAAATGCATCACTAGGAGATGTTCAGTCAGGAGCAACTATTAGTATGCCTTGCTCAACTGATAAGGAAAAGTAAGTGCTTAATGACATAAAATTTAATGTTTGCAATTTTGAAGGCCATCTTACAGAATTTTTATCAGTGCTTGAGAGCTGTGATGCCCACCTGTTTACCTGAGACATTTCAAGTTACTGATCATTGGAATTTAAGTTGAATTACTCTTAGCTATAAAAAAGAGATTTCTCATACTTTTTTCTGTTTCCTCCTCCAACAATCTACTCATTATTTTTTAATGTGGGATGTGCTTAGATAGTAAAATTTCGTTTGTTGAAAGAGATTTTCCTACATAACTGAAGACTGGGCTTTCAAATATTCTCAGACATATTCATAGAAATTTTTAAAAATTCCTCATGGTCAGCTGTTTTTGTTTTCTTATATGGCTATGTCTGTCCCTGGAAGCTCTCCATTTTTCTGATTTATTGCTTTCAGTATAATCTAATCTAAAATACCAGCTAGTTAATATGCTAGAAATATACAGAGAATGAGTAAAAAGGTTTGTGAGATTTTCCCATAGATAACAAAAATAAGCTTTAATGCCATTTTGCGACTTCCATTCCCTGTTTTTTAAACAGGGTTTACATAGTGAAGTCTGTTGATTCAATGACTTGTGGTTAAATCAAACCACTCATACAGGCAAACTTTTCTCTCTGGATAGACTTCATGTTTGTAATTTATTACTACTAATATAGTTATTTATTAAATTTAATGGCTTTAAGGCCTGTCTGCTGATACTCATTATCATGAGCTATCACCATCCTAGTTCTACATTACAAACTAAATTACTAACATAGCTCAAAGAGGGTTCTTATCCCCAGCTCTCTAGCTTTTATTCATTGGATCATGATGTGTTAAAATAATTAAAATGTTTGTGGCTGGTCACAGTGGCTCATGCCTGTAATCCCAACACTTTGGGAGGCCAAGGTGGGTGGATCACTTGAGGCCGGGAGTTCCAAGACCAGCCTGGCCAACATGGTGAAACTCCATCTCTACGAAAAATACAAAAATTAACCGGGCGTGGTGGGCACGTGTAATCTCAGTTACTCAGGAGGCTGAAGCATGAGAATCGCTTCAACCCAGGAGGCAAGAAGTTGCAGTGAGCCGATATTGTGCCACTGTGCTCCAGCCTGGGCGATAAGAGCAAGACTCTGTCTCAAATAAAATAAATAGAAAAAATAATGTAAAAAAGTTAATATTTGTGAGCCTCCATTTTTAAAAAAGATCAAAATTCACTTGTTCACAAGGGAGAGCACCTTGAATTCCTGTTAATGGTAGAATATCATAATGTTTGATATATTTAATTCATCATAGGCCAGGCATAGTGACATACACCTGTAGTCCCAGCTACATGGGAGGCTGAGGCAGGAGGATCACTTGAGTCTGGGAGGTCAAGACTGCAGTGAGCCATGATCCTGCCACTGCACTCCAGCCTGGGTGATAGAGTGGGGCCCTGCCTCAAAAGGAAAAAAACCAAAAAAAAAGCCAGACATGGTGGTACATGCTTGTAGTTCCAGCTGCTTGGGAGGCTGAGGGATCACTTGAGCCTGGGAGTTGGAGTCTGTAGTAAGCTATGATCAGTCACATCACTGCACTCCAAACTGGGCCTCAAAACGAGAACCTGTCTCAAAAAAAAAAAAAAAAATCAAATCATTATAGACAGAGCAATTTTACTAGCAGAAAATATGACAATCGTATTTGTAGTATGAAGTCAAACATATCCATCTGTCCATAAAATTAGGACTGTTCAGTGATTTTGAGTTTTTTCTGGTTCTTTTATTTGTCAGCTAGCAAAAAGTGGCACCGGGTATCAAACTTTAAAGAAAAAAATAAAATAGAAAAAAAGTCTGTTCACCCACTTATTTCTGAAAATTGGGTCAAGAGCAACCATCATTTAATTTTAAGGATTGATTTATTCTCATTGTTTTGCAAGAGCCTTTAACTTCTTATTACAAGTAATACTAGGGAAACCGTTAACACTGGATGTATTTAGAAAGGATGGCAGTGGTAGAAAGGGGAAACACAGAAATGCCCTTCTTTCTCCCCCAGATTTTCTCATTTGTATTAATTTGATCAGAATTTATTGTGTAATGTGTGTTAATACTTGATCATGACTACTTTGAAGCACTAGAAAATTTCGAAGAGCTTTTGGTCAAAGGAAAAAGAAATCTTATTTTAAATATGAGTTAGAAATTAATAGTGTTACTCTCAAGGCACGTATTTTTCTGTCATGTATCACTTATGTGCTAGTATTTAAATTTTTATAGCACTTGTAGAATTTTCATTTTTCCCACCATCCTTATCCCAGCTCTTAAAATTTTATTATAATCTACTCTTTACTGAGGATACTTTGGTTTATGTATAAAATTACCATTTGCTTAAGAAACCAGTGAAGAATGTGTTCTGAACAAAGCTAAGCTATAAATAGAACTTAGTTACATTATCTTATATATATGTATACATATGAGATAAACCTTCAAAGTTAATAAAGACTTTGTTAAATAAGTTATTACCATTTTCTTTTTAAGTGGTGAAAATGTAGGGTTGGAATCCAAATACCTGAAGAAAAGGGAAGATAGCATTCCTTTACGCGGACTCAGCCAGAACCTATTTAGTAATTCAGGTAAGCAGGGATTTCTGGATTTTTGTACTTTATAGTTGAATTAAATTTAATGTATGAAGACTTAATGAATACCAGTAACCTTTTTTTGTCCTCATTTGCAGACCATCAGAGAGATGGCACTTTAGGAGCATTACATACATCTTCCAAACCCACAGCGCTCCCCTCTGCGTCTTCAGCCTATTTCCCTGGGCAGTTACCAAACAGTTAATTCTAGTGTCATGTTTTACTTTTTATTGGTATTTTAGAAACTCAGGTGCTTAAAAAATATGTCAACACAAACCAGATCCTCAAATAGCAAGTTTCAAATTTTACTTGAGCTGTTAAAGACTGGATACTTTAAGTACTGCTTTTATGGCAGTTTATAATATAGGAACAAATTTGTACTTGGGGATTGGTAAAGATTGTGAGTAAATGACATTTTTTGGTTTGTGAACATGGCGTTTTATAGAATAATATGAATTTTATTAAGCTATTCTTTAGAAATTCAGTTCTAAGGAAAGAGTTGATCCTTATGAGGGAGATTCTGATCATATTAAAAATCTGGGTAAACTAAAACCTGCTCATAACCTCATAGTATGCAACCAAAGAATACTAATTCATTTTATCACTTTCATTGGTAAAACTTTTAAATTCAACACCTGAAAATCATGAGGGAAAATGATTACCTCTTGAGATATATTATTGATGACATTTAAAGGGAAAAGTCCTAAATTTACCTTAAATAACTGAAATGAATTAAGCCTTCATAGCGTATTTTCCTTGAAGCATTTAAATTTGCTAGTGATGAATCAAATAAATTTGATATACTTAAAATAATTTGGACAGTTTTTATGTGACCAGATTAAGTGCTTTTGTCATTTGAGCTGACAAGTTTTTAAAACTTCAGTGCTTCCTAAATGTTTATACTCATCTAGTTTTTCTCAATTTGTAGTTTTATTATGCAGTTAAATCTGTATCAGTGGACTTTTAAAACTTGGTACTACTACTAAATCTACTATATCATGAATATTCATTTATTTTTATAGTATCAGAACTTGGGTTGATTTCAATGTTAATAAACTAGGCAAAACAAATAACTGTTAGAAGGTACAATTTTCTTCTCTTCCCTGTAACTGAAAGTTTTAAGAATTGTTCCTTGGGGAAAAATTTTTTTAAAATTCACCTAGAATCATAGGGCCTCATTTTGTTTTCTTATTGACAAACAATACCTGGTAGCATTCTCTAAAGAGTCTTCTAGATCAATTTTTATAAAGTACTAATGCTCATGTGATAATTTAAAATTATTTTCAACTACTTTATTACACAGATGAAGAAACATTTCAAGATATTGATGTAATAACATTACTGAGTCCCATGGTAAGAAAGAATCTTTGCTAATTTTTTTTTTTTTTTTACGAAGCCAGTATCTTGAAACTATTGGCAATTGCAAGTGTCTTTAAACTAGGGATCTAATCTGAAAATTCAGTAACTAATATTAGGCAGTTGATACTCCCCCACCTCCCCCATTTAGATACACTACTGTATTAGTGAGAATACTTGGTACAGTAACTTGAAAGCACTTGCTATTCTGGAAAGAAGCCTCTTGGTGATTTTGGAAGGAGCTTTATTGTAAATACTATGGAAGGGGCTTTGTTGTAAATACTATGTAATATATATAAAATATTGTGACATGTTTTGGATGGGATGCATGACATACAGGTAGCTCTCTTTTTTAAAATATAGGTATCTCTTTGCATATATATACACAAGGAAAGTTGAATTTTCAGGAGAGATCATTCTGATATCTTGCAAATTTGTATTAAATGTATACAGACTTCCAAGTGTGCTAATTCTTTACCTCCTAAACTTTTAGTTGCAATTGTTTTGCAGTGTAAAATTGTACATGTGTTAATAATCAAAAAGTGTTGCATTTAATGTTATTTCTGTAAACTTTGAGCTTTGTTAATAAACTATTATGCAGCATCTACACTTTGAAAATCAAGTACTTCAAAACGCATACTGCATTTTTGTTTCTTTCCTCTTGTCTTCCTTGAAGAGCATTTTTTAGTGAGGGAAAAGAAATGGATGCAAAGAAAGAATGAATAATGCTTTGATTTGTTACTGTAAAAATATGGTAACAAAGCCAAAACAGACCCTGTAGGAACTCACAGATCAAGACTTTTTTAAAAAAAAAATCATTAAAATATTTAACTTTATTAACAGAATATTTACATTTCTTTTAAGACCTTATTTAACCATAGTGAGTGTTCCAAGTTTAAAAAGCATTAAGCAATAACCACACACAAGATGAAAACAGTGTAAACTATACAGTTCTTTATATACAATTTTTACAAAGTAACACTTTTTTAAATAATATAACTGGACACAAAAATATACACTTTAGAGAAATTCACATCGGTAATTGTATAAAGCTCTCCTCTAGGGTCCTGAAAATTTAGGACAAACATTAGCTCTGTAAATAAAGTGTTACTGTGACAGTCCTGAAAGGCCACTATATATATTTATCTACATAATAGATATCACACTGACATTTTCAAGGCTACCAGCTTTACTATATAATTTTTAGATTATGTATTCAAGTGTTGAGGTGCTTATGATTATGCAAACATTAAAAGAATAGTGGTATAAGAAGTAGCTGGGGAATAAATTTGAGCCAGCATTTAGATTACAGGCTCTAAATACCCCAACTTAAATGCTAAATGGCTGATACTTTCTCACTTCAAAAACAGTAGTGAATAATGTTTAAAAGTACTGCAAACAAGCTCAAAACATGATTCAGATTTAGTACAGTTTTCTTAAGAGTTTTTTTTTTTAAATGCAAACAATTCATTTACCATTTCTTTGTTTTAGTGCATCTGCATTAAGGCTTTGAATTATTTGACCCAAGATTTTACAATATTAAAATCTGACTCAAAATTTTACAATGTTAAAACAAATAGGTCCACAACCATACTACCTACTGTGTCTCACTGAGTCAGCATAGAGTTAAAGCTCAACACCTTAAGGAAATGGTAGCAGAGACATTTGCTAATATCTAAGAAGTTACATATATAGTTTTTAATTAAAGGATGTATAATAAAACAAATAGCTTAGTGGCAAGAAATTGGTGCTAATAAACAAAAGGTTTTTCAAAAGAAATTGTAACATCTTTGGAAAACTGTCTGGTTCTAAGTTCCCACTTCCTTTAGTTCCCACGGAGTTCATGCAGATACATTTCTTAAGACAATCTTAAAGTACACTGTGGATGGAAATGGAATGTACATCCAGAACTAGAGGTGAAAACTAAGACCTGGGTGCTGATAGAAAAATCTTCCTGATTTCAGTCGTCACACATTTGTGTCCTGGAGTAAAGGTTCTTTGGCCTCTCCTGGCGCTTGTGTATTATGAGGATGGCTGTGACTGCCACAGTGCTTTCTCCAACTGCTGGACCTTAAGCTTAAATTGGTATGTTCCGGAATAAACAAGGCAACAAGCAGAGCCAGCAGTACTGAACAGGCTCCAAATAGGAAGGGAGGGCCAGGGATGATGGAATTCTGAGGAAGAATAAAGTAATTAGGATTTTTACACAAATACTTTTACTCATAAGGAGAAACTACATACCTTTTAGTATTAACTTATGAATTACAAGCTAATTGCTCTTCTCTTTATTAAAGCCATAATTATAAAAGGCATTCCCTTTTTAGGAGAAAAGAGATACTATCACATTCTCTATAAAATTCTGGGAATAACAACTGGCAAAACAGCCTATGCGAAAATATTACATCATTACTTTCAGCACAAAATGTGAACACAGCTATTCTATGATTAATTTGTTAGTCCAAGGGGAAAACGTTTATAGAAAGATCTCAAAAATAAAATCAGGCTGCACGTGTTGGCTCAAGCCTGTAATCCCAGCACTTTGGGAGGCTGAGGCAGGCAGATCACTTGAGGTCAGGAGTTCGAGACCAGCCTGGCCAACATGGTGAAACCTCGTCTCTACTAAAAATACAAAAAAAATTAGCCGGTCATGGTGGCATATGCCTGTAATCCCAGCTACCCGGGAGGCTGATGTTAAAAGAATCGCTTGAACTTGGGAGATAGAGGTTGCAGAGAGCCAAGATTGTGCCACTGCATTCCAGCCTGTGTGACAGAGTAAGACTGTCTCAGAAACAACAAAAAACAAAATAAAATCAGGTAGCATACAGTATTTACTACAGTAGCAAAATAAATTACCATTTCTTTGTTTCAAGAAGGTAATTATAATTTCAAGTGACTGGAAGTGAGAAAAACACAGGTTACCAAGAAAAAGAGACCTTTGTTTTAGCCCAAAATTACATTCATTCTTAGCAGAAGCTTGCACTGCCAGTTTTGTGTATAGCCCACAAACATTCTTTTATTTAAAAGTAGTCTTAGTGGGTTGGAAGATAAGTACAGAACTCTGCTAAATAAGCCAGGAAACTGATGAGCTGCTAATATTGGCCAAAATGATCAGCATTGTTTGGCATTAATTTTCAGTTGAAAAGAGGGAAATATAGCAAACAGTGAACAAAGGTTATTTACCATAAGCCTGCCTTTTGTATGAAAAGTTAGTTAACATACACAACTGTGATATTAGAAAAGTTTCAAAAGAGACTAGTAGTAAAGAGAAATGGTTTGTTACATATGCCATTGACAAACTAGGTACTTAAAATTTTTCATTCTCAAGTGGAAAAAAAATATGCACAGCCAATTTTCACAAGGTGGTATGTAGAAGAACACAGTCCCTTAAACTCTGGTTTTTAAGCATTTTATCCAATCTCAAATAGAATCTCACATAAAAGCTTTCATGACCAAAAACCAGTAGCCTTTAATCTAGCCAAATGAACCATACAATTTGATCATGTTGAATGAGAATTACCTGTTCAAAGTGGTGCTGAGGGCTTGTGTTTGTTCCCAAGTCTGTTCCTGTTATTGGCAGTTCTTTAAGTTCCACATGGAATATGTAGAAAATGAATCCATAGAGGGCCGGTCCCAGACCATTGCATAATCCTCGAATTCCTGTTATCATTCCTTGAACGACACCTACATTGTTTAAACAAATTATCACTTAGTAAACTACCTGGTTTTTTTTCCCTACCTTAGAACCAGTACAAATATGAAATCACTTAATCTAAAATCAAGCTTCTTATCAGACACTAGCAATTTATAGCAATGTCATTAAAAACTATTAATATTTAGAAGCTATCAGCTCTACAAAGTGTAGTAAGCTGTCCTATGCAAACATGAGCTCTGATGTACCCATATATAGGTCTCACATAGAAACAAGTGGGCAAAACTACTTTATTTCCCTAGATTACAGCCTTCAAAACATGGCTGGTTAAAAATCAGTCACAATTTCACAACTACAAATGTTAAAATTTATCTGTCCCCAAGCAAGTACTTAAGACCCCTTTTAGTCAAAAATAAAGTGGGGGGGTCAACTGGCGGGAGTGCAGTGGCGCAAACTTGGCTCACTGCAGCCTCAACTTCCTGGGCTCAAATACCTGGCTAATTTTTGTACTTTTTGTAGAGATGGGGTCTCACTTTGTTGCCTAGGGTGGTGTTGAACTCAACTCAAGTGATCCTCCTGCCTCAGCCTACCAAAGTGCTGTGATTACAGGCATTGAGCCACTGTGCCCAGCCAAAATCACACTTTTTTTTTTGAGACGGAGTTTCACTCTTGTTGCCCAGGCTGGAGTGCAGTGGCACGATCTCGGCTCACTGCAAACTCCGCTTCCAGGGTTCAAGTGATTCTCCTGCCTCAGCCTCCCGAGTAGCTGGGATTACAGGTGTGCACCACGACGCCTGGTTGATTTTTTTAGTAGAGACAGGGTTTCACCATGTTGGCCAGGCTGATCTCGAACTCCTGACCTTAGGTGATCCACCAGCCTTGGCCTCCCAAAGCACTGAGATTACAGGCATGAGCCACTGCGCCCGGCCAATAACACTGTTTTAACAGCATTTGATTTTTGTTTCTCTCTTTTGGATCTTTAATTTAAAATGCAACTTGCTTTGGCCATAGGCCTTTCCTTCCTCATTTATCAACCAAGTGACAACTGCCACTGTTTTGCAGTGCCCCTTTTATCCTTATGACTAGACAAAACATATCCTTTTCAAAGAAGTATTTGTCATCTGTTAGCATCCCAAGAATTAAATGTTCCCACCAAAAAAAAAAAAGAGAGCATATGACATTAAAGATGTTGCTGTGTTACATATCTTCAGATGACTGAAACTATATGATTTCTTTTTTTTTTTTTATTAGAGATGGGAGTCTTGCTGTGTTGCCTAAGCTAGCTTCAAACTCTTGAGCTCAAGTAATCCTCCTGCCTCAGCTTCCCAAGTGGCTGGGACAACATTCATAAAAGGTCTATGAATATATCCCACAAGGTGTCTAGCACAACACAGCAAAAACTTAATGCTTAGTTAATATTCTGTGGCCAACATTCATCAGTAAATTTTTTTGAGACAGGTCTCTCAAGGTCTCTCACTGTGTCGCCCAGGTTGGAGTTCACTGGCCTGATTTTGGCTCAGTGCAACCTCCGCCTCTGAGACTCAAGTGATCCTCCAACCTCAGCCTCCCAAGTAACTGGGACTACAAGCATGCGCCACCCTGCCCAGCTAATTTTTGCATTTTAGTGATGGGGTTTCCCCATGTTGCCCAGGCTGGTCTCCAACTCCTGAACTCAAGCAATCTGCCTGCCTCGGCCTCTCAAAGTGTTGGGATTACAGGTGTGAGCCACCATGCCCAGCCTCATCAGTAAATTTTCTATGAACAGAACAGATAAGCCACATATTCTAAGTGAGAGAAAAGGGAATATGTATCTACCTAAGGATAAATACCCTAGAATCTGCTTTTCCTGTTTATATCAAAAGCAATTTTAAAAGTCTCTACCCTGAAGATATACTTATGTTTCAGTACATAGGAGACAGAACACAGGATTAGAACATTCTGTACTTTTAAATAATTATCGCTAGTTCCTATCAACTCACCCTGTTGATCAGCATCAGCAGTTCGTGAAACAAGTGCACTGACAGCAGGAAAGGTGATGCTAGACATGGCTGCTACTGCCCCAGCAGCCCACATCATCCTATAAGGAGAGCAGCAAAACAAAAACAGTAAATTCTTCTCCACTGTACCTGAAAGTCAAACTACATAATTAAGTAATTCTTACTGTGAAATGGCTGTAGAGAAAAGGAGAACTGAACTTGCTTACTAGGTGACTATGGGCAAGTCGCTTAACAATCTGACCCTGTATACAAAGACAGCAACTTAATTCACAAGAGTGCTGTGAGGGTGTAATGTAAAATAGGGATATCATGTTCCAAACTGTAAAATGTGCTGGGTATTATTTCTACAGGCAATTGAGAGGTTATATTGAGGATAATGTATAATATAGATGACGAAACATCATCAAATATTTCCAAACACATGAAGCCAACAAGTCTTTGGCAAAGTTCTTATGGATGGATTTGTGAAGATATCGCTGATTTGATCTAATCCTTAAATTGTAAAGAACAAGTAACTTGGATGTTCCTGGCTTGATGTTTAAAAGAAATGTTTTAGGTAATTTCAATTGTGAGCACCTCTTTGCAAAGGCTAGTTTGGAGAACAAATCATCACCCTCTTGATGCTTGCTTATATCCAAGTCCAAACAGAGACGAGGCAGTCAGTTGTTTGAAATATTAGTGCAAACCATGGAGTTCAGTGCCATAATGCCTGAGCACAATAATACTATCTACGTGGGCAGCCTGACAACAAGCGTCACTACTCAAGTCCCCTGCAGGAAACCCGACTGGTCAGAAAAGCTGAGACACAGCATGAAGCTGGCACCAAAATAACTGGATTGTTTTCACTTCTGGTTTGCTATCAGTAATGATCACTGGTTATACAACTTTCTTTTTCCTGACCAGAAAAACAAAAAATGTAAATAACTTTCAGGGCCTTGTTGCTATGGGATTACATACTTTTTCCTAGTAACGGACTGATTTAGATTAAATGCTCCTTAAAGATTCAAAAGCTGTATAATCTCATTCAAAAATTCAGCCTGTCATTTAGCTATAAAAGGTCACCTTTTTAATCCTCAAGCCATTCTAGGAGAACATATAAATATACAAGTGGCAGACTTATATTAGACACATTTTGAAAGATAAAAAGCATAGTATGAGACAGATTACAGTCTACCCCTCAGTTGAGAAGCAAATAAAAACACAAGGGCTAACACCAAAATTAAAAATATTAACATTAAAATATTTATACTTACCAAGGTTCTGAACCAAAGCCATACCATGCCAACTGTAATATTTGAAATCCTAGACCCAGTAAAATGGTGTTCTTATTTCCAATTGACCTCATAAGTAAACTCAAGACTATGGTCTGAAAAAAAAAAAAAAAGATTTATCAGAATAAAGTTTTAAAAAGTGACTTCTTTCAATCTACACTATAAAAGGACTATTGGCACTTTTCTACAATTTGGCTGATTTTCAGCAATAATTGCCCTGAATATGTCTGAGATCACTAGTCCAGGTCACATAAGCAGATGAAAAGTCCCTCTGCTGACATAGATCCAGACTGAGAGTTAGAAAACTGAAAGATAAAACTTCCTATTCAGTACATTTCTACTGAGGACCACTTAAATCAGTAGTTGAAAATGGAAGGGTCAAAAGTTCTAACTAATGATTTGGAGATCCCCATTACATAATAGCCTTAAAGCTTGTTTAGGTCCAAGTTAGTCTAAAATGCTTATTTCCACAACTAAAGAAAAACTAACAGAACAATGATTACCCATATATTATTTACCTAAGTTAATCTGTTGTTGAAACCATGATGCCTTTTATAAACAGTAAATTAATAAGCTTGATTTGGGATAAATGCAGTATACTATACAGCAGACTTTAGAAAAACAGCCTGGATCATAATCTTGGCTTTGTGTGGCTCTCAGCAAGTCACTTCACTTTGAGCCTCACTTTTGTCTCTTTGCAAATGGGGATAACAGCACCTATTTCAAAACCTTGTCATGGGAATTAAATGAGATATATTTACATAAAGTTCTTAGAATTGTGCCTGGCAATAATCAGCGGTTAATAAACAATATTATCAGTGGGTGGGTTTTCTTGTGCCTCCTTTTTCTTTCAAAGTCAACAAAGTTCAGCAGTGATTTGGGAACATTAGAAAATTTTTTTTTGCTATTCTAACTAACGTTTTTAATATACTACATAAGATAGCTAGTAAGTCCATAGACAAGTAAAAATAATTCAGGAAATCACTATTTTATGATGGGCTGACACTTTAAAACTCATAAAATATAAGTTTTGAATTCTTTAAATTGAGATGGCCACTTAAGAATTTAATCACAAATATGCCAGTGAAAAGCAAATGATTCATTCAAGGATTTTTGAGCAATTAGAACTCACAGCTTTCTTGTCTAAGACTTTCACTTAAATCACGTGAGTATAAGACTGAGTTCCATGTAGAATTATATTCTTCGGCAACCAAACCAGAAAAGGAAACTTGCCCAGAGCCAGCAGTTAGCTGAGAAAAACTTCAACTGAAAGAAACATTTAGGCCAGGCACAGTGACTCATATCTGTAATCCCAGCACTTTGGGGAACTGAGATGGAAGGACTGCTTGAACCCAGGAGTTTGAGACCAGCCTGGACAACATAAAGAGACCACATCTCTACAAAAAATTGAAAAATTAGCCAGGCTGGTGGCACACACCTGTGGTCCCAGCTACTCAGGAGGCTGAGTCCAGAGGATCACTCGAGCCCAGGAGGTCGAGGCTGCAGTAAGCCATGATCACACCACTGCACTCCAGCCTGGGTGACAGAGACCATCTCAAGTCACCCATGACTTGTGGGTGGGAACTGGTGGCCAATATTATAAAAAATAATCAGAAAGATTAGAAATGATTAGGATTCTAATTAGGGTTAGAAATAATTAAAAATGATTTTATTTGTGGACTATATCAGAGACTGGCTTTCAATTAATTATGAAAAAGGAAACTGTAAGTATACCCAAAGCTCTGTGGCCTCCAACTGTCTGAGAAGAACAGGGAACTATAATGCAAAGTTGAAGAACTTCTGGGAAACTACTTTTAAGAACATCCCGGAAGGTAGCACTTTCATCTAAAAAGCTGTGATTCTTTATATGGCTCTAGGAACTCACAGAGCAGAAAACATTTGTTCTCATCATTCATTGAGATGATGATAAGCATTACAAGGAAGAAATGCTGTTAAAAAATAGATTTCACTTAATGATGAAATCCCTGGCACTTCAGCCAAGAGACAGGACAGTGAAGAAGGCTGAGCATCAACTCCCAGCTCAGTGGGAACAGGATGGCATGGGCCAGCCATGTACCCTGGAGCACGTGTTCTTTCAGGAATGCTAGTCTAAGAAAGCTGACACTTCTCAAGCAGAGATCATTAATATTACCAGAAAGTACTTATAAAATGCGGTCATCTCATAGCCCTTCAACCAACCCATCTAGCCAGTAAGTACTTATCTGCAGAAATGACTATCTTCCCCTTTGTGGAAAGCTGTTCTCAAAGAATAAATCCCAATTCAATAAAAAAGGCTTAGAATGCATTATTAGCCTCATTTCCTTTTTATAGATAAGATTAACTGGAGAATATATTTTCTTTTTCTTTTGGGTTTTTTTTTCTTTTGAGACGGAGTCTCGCTCTGTTGCCAAGGCTAGAGTGCAGTGTCACAATCTTGGCTCACTGCCACCTCTGCCTCCGGGGTTCAAGCGATTTTTCTGCCTCAGCCTCCCGAGTAGCTGGGACTCAGGTGCCCACCACCATGCCTGCTAATTTTTGTATTTTTAGTAAAGACAGGGTTCCACCATATTGGCCAGGCTGGTTTCGAACTTCTGACCTTGTGATCCAGCTGCCTCGGCCTCCCAAAGTGCTGGTATCTCAGGCGTGAGCCACCACGTGCCCAGCCTTTCTTTTTCCCCCCGAGATGGAGTTTCGCTCTTGTTGCCCAGGCTGGAGTGCTGTGGCGCAATGCTGGCTCACTGCAACCTCCACCTCCCAGGTTCAAGTGATTCTCCTGCCTCAGCCTCCCGAGTAGCTGGGATTACAGGCACGTGCCACCATGCCCAGCTAAATTTTTTTTGCATTTTTAGTAGAGATGAGGTTTCACCATGTTGGCCAGGCTGGTCTCGAACTCCTGACCTCAGGTGATTCACCCACCTTGGCCTCCCAAAGTGCTAAGGTTATAGGTGTGGGCCACCGTGCCCGGCCAAGAATATATTTTCTTAAGGCCATGAGATGAGTCATTAAAATTGGAAACAATGAGATACACCAATCCCCCTTTCCTGGGGTAACGTCCTATGTGCAGAATTACTGCAGCAGGCCCACTGCTGTGAGAACCTCCTCTTGGACTCCTTCCCCTACAGCCTATCTTGTGACCCAAAGCCCTAAAAGACACCGATACTTACAACACTGTAACTGGGAACACTGATTTTCTTCTTGAAGGCAGGAACTTTTCTCTTATTTACATTTATATCCCCAGCACCCAGTAAGTTCTTAATAAGTGTTTATGGAAAGCATGCATAATTCTAAATGTTATAATATTCTCAATAATATTAATAATAATGGAACAAAATACTTAATATATAAGTGTTCTTGAACGGAAAAAATTTTTGGTGTCCCTTAATTTAACTCTCATTTTGAAGATGACAGCACTGAGTCCCAAAGGTTAAATGACTTAAGCAAGATGGCATAGCTGATGAACAGCTAAGCTAACACTAACATCAGCTTTGGTTAGTCTGTCAACAAATATTTGCCAAATTCCTAATAAGACCAACTCTTATTCTTGGCCTGAAGACGCATGGGTGAGTAAGTCAAAGTATCCATCAACACACGGACTACCTTCTCATGGAGGAAAGATGCATATGAGCCTGCTTATTTAACAAGATATTCCAGGTTGTAGCTGCTATGAACAAAATAAAACAGGGCAGTGTGATGGAGATGCTGCTTAAACCAGGATCCAGGGAAGGCCTTTTGAAGTGAGAGCTCACTAAGGGGAGAGACCTAGTTATGCAAAGATCTGGGGAAAGAGAACACCCCAAGCAAGGCTGACAGCAAGTGCAAAGGCCCTGGACTGAAACAGAACATACTCAACCATGTGGAGAGTGGAGGAAAATGACATAATAAGGAGTCTAGATTTTATTCTGGTTGCAAAGGAAAGTGAGTTATAGGTAAGATGCGATTAAATTTCCATTTTACAAAAATTACTCTGCCAAGTGCAGAATGAACTATAGTGAGGCAAGATGGAAGCA
Organism: Homo sapiens; assembly: GCF_000001405.40. NCBI lineage: Eukaryota > Metazoa > Chordata > Mammalia > Primates > Hominidae > Homo > Homo sapiens. The sequence goes on along the minus strand of NC_000001.11, from coordinate 100,073,252 downwards.
GAGAGACCAGATGGAAGATATGGCCACGGCTCAGATTGGGTTCCTACTAATGGAGAATATCAGAAACGCTCTGATTCAAGATATATTTTGGAGAGAGAGGTGATAGGAAGTATCATTTGATGGGCTGAATGTAAGGTTAGGGAGAAAGGATTCATGAATGTCGCTAAGGCTTCTGGCCCCCAAAACCTGGCGGTGGTGAAGCCACTGAATGAGATGAGGAGCATAGGGGTGGCGGGCAAGGGATGGAACCCAGATTTTAATTTTGGCCATGTTAAGGCTGAGATACCCAGCCAATGTGTCATATAGGAGCTCAGGGACTGGACTGGAAGAGTAAGTGTGGGAGTCACCCCCACAGAGAGGGCTGGATAGGAAAACACTGAGAAAAAAGAAATGTGTAGAACTATATTGATGTTCTCATGTAAACACTTACTTAGTGCAAGTGTTAGGAACTCTTATACGTACCGGTGCCCAGGAAGTAATGGGGCTGATGATAAACCAAAAAGAAAAGGTTCCAAAGGGGACAGCAACTACTTGGCTCTCGCTGGAAGGTTGGCCCACACCCGGTTACCAGATCTAATCATTTTGGGGGAGAAGCTACATAACTATAATTTCACGTAACACTTCCCAATTTTAAAGTGCTTACTACTAATTTTTTAAGTTTTTTTTTTTTTTAACATTATGGAAAAAAACCAATGACCTTTAGTTTAGCACCTCCTGGCAGTTCAGGGTGCTAGGGTGACAAAAATGAATATGATATAATCCTGACCTCATCATCTACTCAGAGGTCCGCTAGAGCTCACAAACTAAGGCAATAAACAGAGATAAAATCTCTACTACACTGTATTCTGTACAATGATGGAGATATGCGCACATGAGCATGGGGACCCAGAAAAGGGCTACTTAGGGTGGAGGAAGGGGAGGCAGAAAGAATAGCAGGAACAAAAGCACGTGGGTAAGAAATAAAGCAAACATGCATTAATGGAGAGCTATTAGCAGCTCCGTGCTGCTGGAGAGGAGGGAGAAATACACTGGTCTTTCAGTGGTATGGAAGGTCAACAGGGGACAAGTCATTCTCAATTGTATATTTCTGCATAAATGAGAATACAAGATCATTCTTCTACCTTTGAGGCTATACATGTAATAATGTAGTAGCTCATATATGATATAAAGTGTTAATTCTTACTTCTACATAAGCACCAAAACCTAAATGGTCACTTAAGGACCTTGTTCCTCATGGACTGTGTGTGTCATGCTGTGTCAGCAATGGTGTTTGGAGGGTTGCTTGCACCTTTGCGGTCTTACTGCCTTCAGGGCTCTGCTGCTGCACTGATCTTTCCAATACAAATCCAACTACATTCCTCTCCTTTACCTGTCTGCCCTGCCAGATTCTGCACTCTCAGAGACTGTTTTTCATCTTGTAACCTAGTGCCAGATGCCATCTGCTAAACAGAGGAAAAATACCCTCAAAAGCACCCTCCACTCATCACTGGGTCTGCAGTGTCACTGACTACATTTATTAGATGCATACAGCTCCCATGGTCATTTAAGTAAGAAACAGAACTTAAGACCTTATAGCTATCAATCTTTTATGTGTCATTACAGTATTAGTCTGCTCTCTTCATCTAAATCTTAAACAAAATGTTAGCAAATCTAATGTTGGCAATGTATGAAAAAGATACTCATGCCCAGGTTGATCACATCTATTGCAAGGTTGGGTTAATCTTTGATAATTCATCAAGTTCTACACATACTAACTGTGTATTTTCCTTACACTTTTTTTTTGAGACAGGGTCTCATTCTGTTGCCCATACTGGAGTACCATGGGACAACTGTGGCTCACTGCACCCTCGACCTCCCAGGATCAAGCAATCCTCCCATCTCAGCTTCCTGAGTAGCTGGGACTACAGGCACACACCACCACACCGGGCTTTCTTTCTTTTTTTTTTTTTTTTTTTTTTTTTTTGGTAGAGATGGGGTTTTGCCAAGTTGCTTGAGCTGGTCTTGAACTCCTGGGCTCAAGCGGTCCCTGACCTTGGCCACCCAAAGTGCTGGGAATACAGACATGAACCACCGCACCTGGCCTCAAAAACTTTTTTTAAAGCCATTTTTATATAAAGGCTACAGTATATTTTCCTCCAAAGTTAAAAAGCACTTTTCTCATGGCTAGGAATGAATATTTAAATGCATTGTTTTTCCAGACTGATGATTTTTAGGACAAACCTGAAGCTAGAAATAGTACTAATACTCAACACCAAGTATATGTATGTGCAGAGGCTTGGGGAGGCATATAGGATTTAAATTTGAAATTTGTTGCTAAACTCACCAAAACAGAATGAATCATGAGACCTGCAGAAGGAATCCTACTCGAGAAATGGTGAACCATCCAAGAGTCAATTAAAAATACCCTAGAATAAAACTAAGTTGTAATCTAGTAGATTACATCTAAGGTGAGAAAAAGTATTAACTTAGACTAGATTGTCTTCATAGTGTCTTAGAAACAGAAAGCCAAATAGCAAGAAAGGGGGTGGGGCTTTTTCACAGGAAGGAGGACAATGTTCTGTGATGTGAGAGAATTATGGTGGTCACTGGAAAAAAGATAGTATTCTTATTGTTAAACAGAAACAGTTTGGAAGCCAGGATGAAATATCTCCTCAGAAAATCCAAATTCCTGTGTTGATTAATATCTTATTCATCACACAACAACTGTTTACCAACTGGGCTGCCAAGATACACACTTTCATGTCATTCTGCTGCTCAAAACCCACCAATGACTTCCTATCTTACTCAAGTCTTATGAGGACCTGTAAGCCCCGCACGATCTGGTCCCTCACTACCTCTTGGACTTCAGTTTCTAAGATGCTCTCAACTGTTCACTCAACTGGAGCCGCACTGGCCCCCTGTTGTTTCTTACACAAGCCAGCTACAGTCTCTCCTGAGAATTTTGTTTGTACTGTTTAAAATTCTCTTCTTCCAGATAATCCTACAGCTTGTTCCTCATACCTTTGCGTCTCTGCTGAAATGTCACCTTGCATTAGCAAGGTCTTCTCAACCATGCCCCCTGTGCCCTTAAGACCATTCTCCCAAGTCACTCTCCATATGACCCTTAGCTTTTTCTCTGTAGTTCTCAATACATCTGATATGTTTACATTGGTGTTTTTATTTTCTGTCTTATCCCACCAGAATGTAAACTCTACAAAAGCAAGAATTTAGTTAAGTTCACTGCTGTATCCCCAGTGCCTGACACACGGTAGGTATTCAATAAATATTTGTTGAATGAGTGAATAAATAGGACAAGGACTACAAGACATGAAACTTCTAACTTCATCCAGACATATATCCTAGTATACATCAATAAACTAGCTTTTACGTTTATATATCCTATATTAAATGTGTCAGTCCCAAAAATCTGATCAACACTAGCTACACAAACAAATTGAATTTCTGAACCTATCAACCTCAGACTCCTGACTTTGTTGATTCCACCAAGATACCATCACTAGATGAGGCCCCAGTTTGGATGGCCAGCCAGGGTCACTGACATCACTCTAACTAAAAAAAGAAACTCACCTGTGCAATAATGGAAAGAATGCCAAGGACTGCTATAAACGCTGCAACACTTTCTGGTGAAAATTTCATTATCTAGAAGGGTTTCCAGAAAAGGTAACATTAATGAATACAAATGTATACCAGATAGAAAACCACTGCAGCTACTTGTATATTAACATTTAATGGGCCAGAAAAAAATAAATGTAATTCATTTATAAACAAAGAATTCCTCAGAGGAAATACAACATATCTTAACATACTAAAAATGCCTACTTATCCATGGTGGGTCCCTCAATGTGGATATACTAAATTGGAGATACTTATCAAGAACTCAGAATCATTTTACAAATAAATATTGCAGTATTTTGTGCATTTTACATGTATTGGTTAAAGGCTTGATCTCCGTCTAGTGAGACTAGTGTCAAGGAGGAAAATACTTGTTTTTGCTCTCATTTTGGCTAGCTGCTCTACTTACATATGCTCTAAATCACAAAGAAGCTGGAGCAGGTGAAGGGGTTAAATCATCCCATCAATTCTATAGCCAACAAACTCAAACCACCTATATGGACAGGGAAAACTATCTTTCTCCCTAAGCCAAATATCTTAATATACCAAATAACCCCCATTAGAAATGCATAAGGAACATCAGCCACACAGAATAGGAGGTAAAGTCTAGTAGACCAAATAATATTCTTTTTATTTATTTATTTATTTATTTAATTTTGAGACGGAGTTTCGCTCTTGTTACCCAGGCTGGAGTGAATGGCGCAATCTTGGCTCACTGCAGCCTCCGCCTCCTGGGTTCAAGTGATTCTCCTGCCTCAGCCTCCCAAGTAGCTGGGATTACAGGTGCCCGCCACTACGCCTGGCTAGTTGTTGTATTTTTAGTAAGCATAGGATTTTGCCATGTTGGCCAGGCTGGTCTTGATCTCCTGACCTCAGCTGATCCACCCACCTTGGCCTACCAAAGTGCTGAGATTACAGGCGTGAGCCACTATACCAAGTCCAATGATATTCATTTTTAAAGGCCACTTCTATTACAGTTCTCTCAAGATTAAATATTTTTATTAAAGCACTAGACAATGAAAGAAAAGTCCACCTTAGTGGAAGAGGATTTTACCTGTCTGAGGTATAAAAAAAAGCTGGAATATTGGCCTGCCTCCGGTAGGTAGGAGAGAAACACTGTAATGCAGATCAGCAGCACTATGGAATCTTGGCCGACTTTTTTTAAGGACTAGAACAAGAAAAAGACTGATTGATATAAGGTTTTCTATCAAAACCACTGAACTATTCTTAAGAATACGCAGAGATTCCTTTTGGCAGTGTACTCATGGACAACTAGTTGTCCTTTTTATTTATTTCATATTCCCCAAACTATTCTGAAAAGTATTTCAAAATGTTAAAAGAAAAACCCAAGATGTTTTCCCTAAAGAAATATCCACAACAAAATATTAATGCTGCACTGAATCATGCACTTTTTTATCAAGGAGAAGGAAAAAGTATAAACTTACCGCAAAAGGGTCAGCTTGTTCCCAGGAAATGGGTGCTCCCCAGGATGCTGGCCGCATTTTCTCAGGCAACGACTCTGGCACAGCAACAAGGATAAAACAAATATCTAGCAAAGCTATTGCTGTAGCTAAGACCACCACCAAGCTGTCCCCATATACTCGTCCAAGATAAGCTCCAATTGCAGGACTGGTGACTAAACTTGCAGCAAATGTTGCTGAAACCTGCAATAAATTAAGGATAGACAGAGATTAGTCAGGCTACTTTTTTCCTCAACACCACATAACTCCTTTCATAATCTTGATTTATGTCAGGCCTTCTGTTGCACACCCTCCCTTTTCTCTTCCTACCTGTGCCATTTATCTTTTTTTCTTGTGGGGGCGAGAGTGGGGGAACTGGGTCTTGCTCTGTCGCCCAGGCTGGAGTGCAGTGGTGCCATCACGGCTCACTGTAGTCTTGACCTCTCAGGCTCAAGAGATCTTCCTGCCTGAAGATCTCCTGATGGGGCTACAGGCACACACCACCACGCCCAGCTAATTTTGTTTATTTTTTATAGAGGTGGAAGTCACGCTATGTTGCCTAGGCTAGTCTCGAACTCCTGAGCTCAAGCGATCCTCCCACCTCAGCCTCCCGAAGGGCTGGGAGTACAGGTATGAGACACCAAGCCTGGCCCCACTTTTCTTATACTCTCTCCTTTGGCAGGAAAAGTAAAGAATTAGATTCTTGCCTTAAAAACAGCCTGGACAACATGGAGAAACCCTGTCTGTATCAAAAAAGAAAAAAGAAAAATTAGCTGGGCATGCTGGTGTGCACCTGTAGTCTCAGCTACTTCAGAGGCTGAGGTGGCAGAATTCCTTTGAGCCAGAAAGGCGGAGGTTGCAGTGAGCCATGACAGCACCACTGCACTCCAGCCAGGGTGACAGAGTGAGACCGCATCTCAAAAATAAAATAAAATAAATGATAGCCTCTCAGGACACTGTCTTCAAACTTTCTAAGCCTTGGAGCCCTCTGTTCCAATAAATCCTACTGGCAAATTCATAGGTAAAAGAGATTTTTTTAAGAAGACTGGGTGTGATGGTTCATGCCTGTAATCTCAGCACTTGGGGAGGCCAAGGTGGGAGGACTGCGTGAAGCCAGAAGTTTGTGACCAGCCTGGGCAACACAGCAAGACCCTGCCTCTATTTAAATTTTTTTTTTTTTTTTTTTTTTTTTGAGACGGAGTCTCGCTCTGTCGCCCAGGCTGGAGTGCAGTGGCGCGATCTCGGCTCACTGCAGGCTCCGCCCCCGGGGTTTACGCCATTCTCCTGCCTCAGCCTCCCGAATAGCTGGGACTACAGGCGCCCGCCACCTCGCCCGGCTAATTTTTTGTATTTTTAGTAGAGATGGGGTTTCACCGTGTTAGCCAAGATGGTCTCGATCTCCTGACCTCGTGATCCGCCCGCCTCGGCCTCCCAAAGTGCTGGGATTACAGGCGTGAGCCACCATGCCCGGCCTATTTAAATTTTTTAACTCTTTTAGTTGAGGAAGGGTTGAGAGCCTGGGCACTGTACAAACACCCCTCCTTGACTGCCAGTCATGCTGGTCCTTAGGGGAGGGGTGTCTAATCTTTTGGCTTCCCTGGGCCACGCTGGAAGAACGGTCTTGGGCCACACATAAAATACACTAACAATAGCTGATGAGCTTAAAGAAAAAAAAACTGCATAATGTTTTAAGAAACTTTATGAATTTCTGTTGGGCCATGTGTGCAGCCTGTGGACCATGGGTTGGACAAGCTTGGTTAAGGGCATCTCCATAAACCCTTAAGTGCTCTCTGTGAAAGGAGTCTAAAATCCACTGCTCTAAGGAAATCCAATTTCACTGTGACTTTTCCAATATTAAAATTAAATGAACGTTTATCTTGATACATACTGAAGGGCTAGCTGAAATAAAGCTTAAAGACTTGGAGGTTCCTGTTCTCATGAATAATATGTTAAGCCCTGGAACAAAACTGAGCTTGGTAATCTTTTTAGTTGGCAGGGTTAGGAAGAATGAAATCACAGATAAATTAAGAACATCTCTAAAACTCTGAGGAAGTCTATTTTTTTAAGCCTGGTGAAGATGAAGATTAAAGTTGAAAAGGACACGAGTAGAGCAAACCTGTTAACCGCAGACATTTCTAGCCTACTGGACAACAGCCTACAAATTAGCAGATGTGACAGCAGGAAACACTTCATAAAAATAGCACTCTTAGTCAGGTGAGGTGGCACCTGCCTATAGTCCCAGCTACTCAGGAGGCTGAGGTGGGAGATCACTTGATCCCAAGAGTGAGTCCAGTCTGGGCAACACCCTGTCTGGAAAGGAAAGAGGAAAGGAAAGCAAAGGGAAAAGGAATGGAGAAAGGGGAAAGAAGAGGAGAGGAGAGAAGAGAAGAGGAAAGGAAAGGAGAGGAGGAGAAAGGAAAAGGGGAAAGGGGAAGAGAAAAGGGGAAGGAAAGGGTTAAAAAAGGGAAAAGGCTTAGGGAAAAGGCTTAAGGAAAAGGGGAAAGGGGAAGGGAAAGGAAAAGGAAAGAAAAAGAAAAAAGAAGGGAAAGGGAAAAGGGGAGGGGAAAGGAAAGGGAAAAGGGGAAGGGAAGGGAAGGGAAGGGAAAAGAGAAAAGGAAAGGAAAGGAGAAAGGTGAAAGCGAAAAGGAAAGGGGAAAGTGAAAGTGAAAAGTGGAAAGGGGAGGGGAGGGGAGGGGGAAGAGAAGGGCAAAGGAAAGGAAAGGGGAAGGGAAGGAAAGGAAAAGGACCATATTCTTTCAAAGCATAGAGATTAATGTTGGAATTTTATTCTGTTTCTATGCCATTTTTGACTTTTGGATGGAGAACTTAAACTTCACAAGAATGCTTACTTGCAACTCTATTGCTTAAGGCAAGCAATTCAATTTTCAAAGGTCAATTATTTGAACAAGTACATAAAATTCTAGTAATTTCAAACATCTAGCTATCAATCAAATGTCCATCAACTGATGGATAAGAATACACTACACAGCAATCAAAAAAAACTACTGGCCAGGTGCAGTGTCTCATGCCTGTAATTCCAGCACTTTGGGAGGCTGAGACAGGCAGATCACTTGAGTTTAAGAGTTTGAGACCATCCTGGGCAACATGGTGAAACTCCATCACTACAAAACATACAAAAATTAGTAGTCCCAGCTACTCGGGAGGCTGAGGTGGAAGGATCACTTGAGGCAGGGAGGTAGAGGGGAGACAGAGGCTGCAGTGAGCTGTAACGGCACCACTGCACTCCAGCCTGGGCAATAGAGTGAGACCCTGTCTCAAAAAGAAAAAAATTAGCTGGGCATGGTGGATCATGCCTGTGGTCCCAACTGCTTTGGAGGCTGAGGCAGAAGGATCGCTTGAGCCCAGGAAGCCAAGGCTTCAGTGAGCCATGATCATGCCACTGCACTCCAGCCTGGGGGATAGAGCAGGACCCTGTCTCAAAAAAAAAAAAAAGGAAAAGAGACAAAAATAGAACCTATTGATCTATAGTATCAACATGGATCAATCTCAAAAGATTATGCCAAGTGAAAGAAGTTAGACACAAAAGATGTTTTGTATTATTTAATTTCTATGAAGTTTCTAGAAAAGGCAAAACCATGGTGACAGAAGCTAAATTGTTGGTTGCTTGGGGTCACAGGTGGAGCATGGGGACAGATGGCAAACAGGGCTGAGGGAACATTTTGGGCTGATGGAAATGTTCTATAACTGGGTTGTGGTGGTTTTTTAAATGGTATTTAATATATTCACATGGGGGCCAGGCGCCATGGCTCACGCCTATAATCCCAACACTTTGGGAGGCCGAGGCAGGCGGACCAAAGGTCAGGAGTTCAAGACAAGACTGGCCAATATGGTGAAACCCCGTCTCTACTAAAAATACAAAAATTAGCTGGGCATGGTGGTGGGCATAGCTACTGGGGAGGCTGAGGCAGCAGAATCGTTTGAACCCAGGAGGCGGAGGTTGCAGTAAGCCAAGATCACACCTCTGCACTCCAGCCTGGGTGACAGAGCGAGACTCCGTCTCAACAAAAAACAAACTATATATATATACACACACATACATACACACACACACATACATATAAATATATATTTTCAAATGTAGTGGTTATTTTGTTATTGCAGCCCTAGGTGTGGTTTCAGAGGGACCCAGATCTCAGCAGGGCTCTGGCACAAGTGTGGGGAAAGGGAAAATGGTTCTCACTATGAGGGTCACTGAAGACATTTGAGGGCATTTACAGAGATCACATTTGTGACACAGTGAGCAAGTCAGTACAGTTGTTTCATGTCATTTCCCTTCTCCTCAGTTCTCTCCACTTGGTAGCCATTTCTTTCTGCTCAGAAAAAAGATCACAGGGGTCACCCCGCACCCCCCAACCCCCTTTTTTGGAGACAGGTCTCGCTCTGTGGCTCATGTTGGAGCGCAGTGGTGCGATCACGGCTCACTGCAGCCTCAACCTCTCAGGCCCAAGTGATCCTCTCACCTAAGCCTCCCAGGTAGCTGGGACTACAGGCACACACCACCACACCTGGCTAATTTTTAAAGTTCCTGTATAGATGGGGTCTCACTATGTTGCCCAGGCTAGTCTCAAACTCCTGGGCTCAAACAATCCTCCTGCCTCAGCCTCCCAAAGTGCTGGGATTATAAGCCACTGCACCTGGCCCCTCCAACTTTTTTTTTTAAGAGACAGGGTCTCACTCTGTACCCTAGACTGGAGTGTAGTGGCATGATCATAGCTGCAGCCTCAAACTCCTGGCCTCAAGCAATCCCCCTGCCTTGGCCTCCCAAACTGGTGGTATTACAGGCACATGCCACTGTGCCTGGCCACTTCCCCACCTTTTTTCTGCATCCATATTATTTCTAGAAGATTTCAGTGTTTTTTGTTTTGTTTTGTTTTGTTTTGTTTTGTTTTGTTTTTTGCCAGAACATGGCTTAATACACAGAACCTCCAGATTGAAAATTGTTAATTTCAAAACTTTGGCTATGGGAAAATAAATTACGTCAAAAAAACCAAACCAACGAACCAACCAACCAACCGACCAACCCCAAATTGGGTTATGGTGGTGTTTGCATAACAGTATAAATTTACTAAAATTCACTGAACTATACTCATAAAAAGGATAAATTTTATGGTATGTAAACTATAGCTTAATTAGACTATTTTTTAAATATCCTGGCTATCATCAGCCTTGTATCATTTAATGTTCCAAGTTTACAACTGAAATCATTAGTTCTTTTTCTTTTCACTTTTTTTTTTTTTTTTTTTTTAAATAGAGACAAGGTTTCACCATGTTGGCCAGGCTGGTCGTGAACTCCTGATCTCAAGTGATCCGCCTGCCTCAACCTCCCAAAGTGCTGAGATTACAGGTGTGAGCCACTGAACAGGCCAGAAATTATTAGTTCTTTTTCTAACTTTCTCTCTATAGGTGTTTCCTCCCCAAAAATCTTATGATTCTTCACTATAACGTCCTTTGAATCAGAAATCAGTCCCTTTTAAAACTAATTCAGCCCAACACAATATTCAGTCCTTATTTATCACAAGGTATTTGTCTCACATTTACCGAAATGCATCACTGTCCTATTTCTGGCTATTCAGTAGTGATCTATTATTGTGCCTATAGTAGTCATTCTATTACTAGGCTTTTTTCCTTTAATTCCTAGATTTGATAGATGACACATTATACTGCCATAATTTAGTTTACCAAAACAGTGTCCAGGAGTTGGCGACCTACCACTATGGCTCAAATCTGGCTGTTTCTTACATTTTTAAAGAGTTTATAAACATAAATACACATGCAAAAACAAAAGAATGAGACAGAGACTGTACGTGGCCCACAAAGCCACAAAAAAGGTTTGCTGATCCCTGAGCTAGATGTTAGCCTGTTGTATTTTAGATTAGACATTAAATGAGTAGTGATTTTTTTTAACTCTTGACATACTAAATAATTCTTATTTTTAGGATTCTGTTAAAAAGAACTCTACAAGGTAAAATATACTATAATTTCAATTCTGACATGTGACTTATGAATATCTACTAAATGAAAAGAATCAAAACTTACATAGCCTCATACCGCAAAAAAATTTTAAATGTAGTCTAATGAATGATTTTATTACAAAATATATTTTACGCAAAAATCTTGTAATGCAAAGGTTTGCACTCCTTATAATAATATTTATCTTAAAAACAAGGCATTTCTCAGCAGATACAAAAGGTATAGAATAAACATACATACCAGTCCATAAGCCATACTTCTTTCATGCTCTTGGGTTATATCTGCTACGTATGCAAATACCACAGAAAAAGTCACTGCAAAAACCCCAGAAACAGAGATAACAGCAAAGTACCACCTAGGAATGAAAGATAACAAGAAATGGTTAGAGCAATTACCATTGTTTTAATCTTCTTTCATTTTTATAAGTTAATTAAGCGTAAGAGCAGCTCATTTCAGTCAACAGCTTACTAGGATAGTTCATGGATTAACTATTCCATAAATATAAGCCACAGATATTATGAAAACATAGGGCTAGAAGGAGCCCTTCAATAGCAGCTCAGCTACTATACAGGAATACTTAAAATTAGATCATGTATTCAGGCAAATCTTTTGACCAACTGTTGAACTGTTAAGTGATTTTGCTTTTTCTGCCAAAAACAGCAACAAACTAAAGTCTATTATAATCCATCCATTACTGTTTTTCACCACAACACTAGATAAAAAACAAAATCCAGTAAACAAGACTGAGGAACAAGTTTCTTCATATTTATTTTGAGCCTCTATATAGTAACTAAATGTTTTCCATAAGTTATCTTTAGCTTTTCAAATGCTGGCAAAACAAATAACTCAGTTTTACACACAAAAAACCTATATGGCAGGATTCAGTGTTCATAAAACTGAGAATAGACAGTTACTATAAACAGTGAACAAAATATTTAAAGAGTAAACTATATTTTGCTATAAATAATTCCAAAATAGCTGGGAATAAGAAGTTTCTATTGTAATACTGATGTTTAGTTTCTGAAAATCACATATAATCATAATGAGCTTTCAAAATATCATTCCACCAAGACTATCACTACTAAAATTTTTCTAACACACTGCTTAACACAGCAAATTCTTTGTTCATTCCATGTTCAATTTTTGGTAAGATTTCATGTGCATGAGTGGCCTTCATCAAAGGCTTGGTCTATTAGAATTGTATCTCATCTACAAGAAGAAGATCCTGCCCCATATAAACCTTTGGGCCTTTGTAGATAACACCATGGAAATAAAGCCCATCCGTGATGTAGAACTAACATTAATACTCAGTGGAGTAAAAAGAACATTAGTCAGAATAAATCTATAAATCTACAACCAAATTGGGCTCTGACTTTAGGACAATTATTCCCTTTTTGTTAGCTTTCCTTCCCTTGCCTCCTGAGTGGAAAAAAAAAAAATACTGATTTTAATCAAGGTGGCCTTGAGTCCAGACTCTTGTAACTAGGAGCAGCATATCCCTGAAATCTGACCAAAGAAATGCAAGCAGAGGTGGGATGGGAATTCTGTAAAGTTTCCTTAAAAGAAGGTGATGTGCTCTTCTTAGCAACTCCTTCCACCTTGCTATCAGTAGTATGACTTGATGGCTAGAGCTCAAGAAGCCACTTTGTTCAGTGAGGTGAGAGATGAGGATGGAAGAACAGCAAGATAGAAAAAGTCTGCTCCACTGGAACTGCCATACCAGCTCCAGACTGCTCAACTTGCAGACCCTTTTTCACATGAAAAGAGAAATTTGATTTTTAAGCAACTCTTATTTTGGGTTTTGATATATAGCAAAACCTATTCCTAACTAATATAGATAATGACAAATTTTGTGTCTGTTTTTAACATTCTATACAAGAAAAAAAGTTAGCAATCCTATCCAGTCCCCAAAATATTGTTTTGAAATTTGGGTTCTGGAATCCAAAATTAAGTTAGCCAGAAGTCTAGATGCCTCCAACAGTGTCAACTATTTCTAAAATCTTTATGAACTATTACCTACTGTATTTTTAGAGGCCTTCTTATCTGTGTGAAAGAATAAATGTATTAGAAAAATAAAATTAAAACCTCATAACCAAGATGGCACAAGTGAAAGAAATAAAGGAACATTAAGAAAACAATAGCTGAAAGTGATATTTAGTTGCTATAATCTAAATGTGCACATACCATGGGCTGATCTTCATTAAAGGAATTGGGGCACATGTGAAAAACACCGTTAGCAGCAAGAAGGATTTTCGGCCCCAAACATCAGAAAGAGCACCAATAAGCGGGGCACTAAGGAATGACAACAAACCCTAAAAAAATTAAATGAAAAAAATGAATACCACACATCTATGAGCATGAACCAAAAATAAATCATTTTACTCCTATAGAAAAATTTTCAACAACTTTGTTTCTAAAGTAAATATATCACAAACTTTTAAATAAACAATTGCTTATCTATATATAAATTTAAAATTTCCCAAGATAGTTTAGAATCATCTGTGGGGCTCCAGGTAGGTATTAAATATGAACTGCTCTAATAAATTCTCAATCACAATAAATCCACAATAGCAATTCCATATGCTAATTACCTGTTTGTGTATGTGTGTGTATATGTATGTGTGTGTGTATATATATATATAAAACATAAAACATATATTTATATATATATAAAACAGGCTAATTACCTATTTCGAAAACTTGTTTGTCAAACTGAATCAAGAGTAAAGAATTTGAGCTGGGCACAGTACTTGCACCAATAATCTCAACACTTTGGGAGGTCGAGGGCAGATCACTTAGGTCAGGAGTTCGAGACCAGCCTGGCCAACATGGCAAAACCCTGTCTCTACTAAAAATACAAAAAATTAGCCGGGTGTGGTGGCACATGTCTGTGGTCCCAGCTACTTAGGAGGCTGAGGCAGAAGAATCGCTTGAACCTGGGAGGCAGAGGTTCTCAGCAGTGAGCTGAGATCATGCCACTTGCACTCCAGCCTGGGTGACAGTGCAAGACTCTGTCTCAAAAAAAAAAAAAAAAAAAAAAAAAAACACGAAAAAGAAAGAGCAAAGAATTCATATAATAACCAACTCTTTACCCTACTGATACAGTTTTATATTGATGGGGGTTTTTTAGTATAGTTTTTTCCTCTTCAATCTGTAGTCTTACAAAATCATTGAGATCTCTGGAATTAAAATGCCAACATAAAAACAGGGAATCTGTTATGATGTGGTTTATTATTATGCATGATTGGCTATATTGTAGTTAGATCATATTTAAAACTCAAGTCTAGAAAGTATTAAGTTATCTCTCAAAATATACTCCATCTAATTATAAAAATTAAGTTATTAATCAGTAAACAAACATATATTCGCATAGTTATATATATGTATTTATGTATGTTCATCCGTGTGCGTGTATGTGTATGTATGTATATATACACATATATATGTATGACTGATCCTACCTTTACTCCTTGAATTAAGCCGTTCATCAGAAATGTATGTTTAGGAAAGGTTTCATGTAATACCTAAAGAATAAAAACCAAAATAAAAATCACATGCTATATTTCAGTCTTAATAAAATTTCTACATTTACCTTTTTGAACATCCATTCATACTACAATCTGATTTATTTTACATATTCAGATTTGTATGACATGCATATGACCATTAATAACCAAATATTTATATGGTACTTAATATGTCACAGGGCACTACATTGGGCACTTTACATATATTATCTCATTTAATCCCTCATAACAGCCCTATCAGAAAACTGATATGCAGAGGTTAAACATCTTGTCTAAGATTACAGTCAGTAAGTAAATGGCAAAGCTGAAGCTGAACCTAAGAGATCAGACTTGAAAGCCTATGTTTTTACTCACTATGCTATGCTGCTTCCCCAAAATAACTGACTTATAATTCTCTTTCAGATGGATATATTATCTAGGATAGGAGATTGGGAAAATTAATAAGTAATTTTTAATTGCCACGAAGTAGATCTAGAAAGATTCTATAAAGAAAAAAAATCCCAACCTATGAAAATGTATAACAAGTTATTCTATCCTTTCCAAGGCTTGTTCTCAAATCATGTGGTATCAATTTTTTGCAGTGGGCAGCAAGAGAACCGCTGGAATGCATCAAATGAAAAGGCAATTCCAGGCAACTGGAAAAATAAACAGCAGCTACCATTTTTACAGCCTATATGTACTCCTGTTTAATCCCAACACTGTGAATTAGATAATATTATCACTTTACATATGAGGCAACTGAGTTCCTGTTTGACTTAGAAACTAATGCTTCTATTATCCAATGCTATCGCTCAGTAATAACAACAGAGAATGGGAATGTGGGTAATAAGGAAGGTAGGGAAGGTCTTCCCTTTAAGAAGAAACATTATGCTAAATATACTTTCTGACATGTTGCAAGAAGAACCTTTAGAAGGATCAGAATTGCTCCCCTTTCTTCAGTTATTCTTCTCCTGCCAATAGCGAGAAATTTAACAAAAATGTGCTCATTGTAAGTAAAAATCAATTTAGAGGCCAGGTGTGGTGGCTCACACCTGTAATCCCAACACTTTGGAAGGAAGAGGCGGATGGATCACCTGAGGTGGGAGTTCAAGACCAGCCTGGCCAACATGTCGAAACCTCATCTCTACTAAAAATACAAAAATTAGCCAGGCGTGGTGGCAGGCGCCTGCAATCCAAGCTACTCAGGAGGCTGAGGCAGAAGAATCGCTTAAACCCGGAGGGCAGAGGTTGCAGTGAGCTGAGATCGTGCCACCACACTCCATCCTCAGCAACAGAGTAATAGCCTGTCTTAAAAAAAAAAAAAAAGAAAGAAAAAGGAAAAAAAAAAACAGTCGCAGACTGTATGTAAATGAATGGGTTTGACTGTGTTCCAATAAAATTTTATTTATAAAAATAGTATGTGATCTCCAGGACACTGGACTGGGCAAAGATTTCTTGATAATACTCCACA
The DNA here is from genome assembly GCF_000001405.40 of Homo sapiens. NCBI lineage: Eukaryota > Metazoa > Chordata > Mammalia > Primates > Hominidae > Homo > Homo sapiens. The sequence continues at coordinate 100,057,212 of NC_000001.11, read as the reverse complement.
AGCACAGGCAGCCAAAGCCAAAGTGAGAATGGACAAATGAGATCACATCAAGTTTAAAGCTGCACAGCAAAGCAAACAACAAAGTGAAGAGACAACCCACAGAATAGGAGAAAATATCTGCAAACTATCCATCTGACAAGGGATTAATAACAAAAATGTATAAGGGGCTCAAACAATTCTGTAAGAAAAGAATCTCATAATCTGATTTTTAAAAAACGGGCAAAAGATCTGAATAGACATTTCTCAAAGTGACCAATAGGTATATGAAAAAATGCTCAACCATCACTGATCATCGGGGAAATGCAAATCAAAACTACAGTGAAATATCATCTCACCCCAGTTAAAAACAGCTTTTATCCAAAAGATAGGCAAGGATGTGGAGAAAAGGGAACACTCATACACTGTTGGTGGGAATGTAAATTAGTACAATCACTAAGGAAAACAGTTGGAAGGCTCCTCAAAAAACCTAAAAATGGAGCTACCATATGATCCAGCAATCCCACTACTAGGTATATACCCCTCCAAAAAAAGGAAATCAGTATATTGAAGAGATAGCTGTACTCCTACATTTACTGCAGCACTATTCCTTTTTTTGTTTGTTTGAGACGGAGTTGGGCTCTTGTCGCCCAGGCTGGAGTGCGATGGTGCAATCTTGGCTCACTGCAACCTCCGCCTCCCAGGTTCAAGCAATTCTCCTGCCTCAGCCTCCTGAGTAGCTGGGATTACGGTGTGCACCACCATGCCTGGCTAATTTTTGTATGCAGCACTATTCTTAATAGCTAAGATTTGGAAGCAACCTAAATGTCCATCAACAGATGAATGAAAGGATAAAGAAAATGTATTTATACACACAGAAAAAGAATGAGATCCTGTCATTTGCAACAACATGGATGGAACTGGAGGTCATTATGTTAAGTGAAATAAGCCAGGCACAAAAGGAGAAACTTCACATGTTCTCAATTATTTGTGAGAGCTAAAAATTACAACAACTGAACTCATGGAGACAGAGCAGAATGATGGTTACCAGAGGCCGGGAAGGGTAGTGGGAGAGAGGATGGTTAGTGGGCACAAAAAAATAGAATAAATAAGATCTAGTACTTGATAGGCACAACAGGTTGACTACAGCCAACATTTATTCTACATTTGAAAATAACTAAAATTTGGCCAGGCGTGGTGGCTCACGCCTGTAATCCCAGCACCTTGGGAGGCTGAGGCGGGCAGAGCACAAGGTCAAGAGATTGAGACCATCCTGGCCAATACGGTGAAACCCCATCTCTACTAAAAATACAAAAATTAGCTGGGTATGGTGGCAGGTGCCTGTAGTCCCAGCTACTTGGGAGGCTGAGGCAGGAGAATTGCTTGAATCCAGGAAGCAGAGATTGCAGTAAGCTGAGATCGCGCCACTGCACTCCAGCCTGGTGACAGAGCAAGACTCCGTCTCAAAAAAACAAAAAACAAAACAAAACAAAACCTAAAATTGGATTGTTTATAACACAAAGAAAGGATAAATGCTTGAAATGATGGATACCCCATTTACCCTGACGTAATTATTACATACTGTATGCCTGTATCAAAATATCTCATGTACCCCCATAAATATATACACCTATGTACCCACAAAAATAAAAAATAAAATATTATTTAAAAATAAAAAAGGAAAAATGGCATGCCCTCTCTAATTGAAAAGAATTACTGGGAGGTCTTTGAGAAACTCCTAGAAGTTCTTTTTAGAGTTCTACTGCATGCATTAACTAAGTAGCTAAGTGATAATTAGGAAAAAGTTCAATTCAACATACTTGTGAAAAGGAATATAAACACACACACAAAGAGAAAGTTGCCAGAAGCAACTACAAAAAAAAAAAAAAAATTGCAAAAAAGATCTAGTCCTCTAGCCATATTTTCCCAGTCCTTGTGCTAAAGGATAAGATTTAAACTCCTTAAACTAGTATCTCAAAACTTTTTACGGGACTCAAATGTATTATGCTTTTCTTTCAATAATCACATAGGGCCTACTGCAAGCCAAATCTTTCTAGGTATGAAGAACAGGTTTGGTGTTAGAAAGAATGAAAAACATTATGAATGTCTATAAGAAGTTTTATACTATGCTAGATCTTATCACTAATGATTCACTTTGCCAAGCTGTATTCCATTCCAATCAATCTGTTCGCTTCACTGTTTCTGAAATATTCTATGCTTTCCAATATTCATATTTTATACACGGCATCCTTTCAATTTTGAATGTTTCTTCCCTTTCTTTATCTGGCCAACCCCCAACCCTTCCAAACTGTTCCTCTGCTACCTAACTTTTTTCTCCAAAGCAATTTCTCCTTTGGGGCCATACAATTTCTAACAAAATTTTAACAGACAAATATAACAAGTAATTCGAATGTTGTAAAGATTTTTGATGTCAGGATCCTTTAGCACTGGTCTTTAGAGGTGAACAGAGAAAATGTAACACTTTTCCAAAAAATTTTATGGATCTTAACTTTTTTTTAACTTTAAAAATGTTGAAAGTAAATAATCCTTAAAATGTTAAACGCTTTGGGGCTGTTTCTGTAGCCAAGGACACGAAACCATCTAGGTAGAAGAGATGCTAGTGGATTTTGAGTGTTCCGTAACATGGACTGTGTATCTAGGAGCTTGAACCATCAAACACTGGCCTATTATTTCCAGAGCCATAGGTCTGTCAAAAGGGTAAAGCCGGCCAGGAACAGTGGCTCACGCCTGTAATCCCAGCACTTTGGGAGGCTTAGGTGGGTGGATCACAAGGTAAGGAGTTCAAGACCAGCCTGACCAAGATGGTAAAACCCCGCCTCTACTAGAAATAAAAAAATTAGCCAGGCATGGTGGCAGGTGCCTGTAATCCCACATACTTGGGAGGCTGAGGCAGAGAACTGCTTGAACCTGGGAGGCGAAGGTTGCAGTGAGCCGAGATAGTGCCACTGAATTCCAGCCTAGACGACAGAGTGAAACTCTGTCTCAAAAAAAATAATAAAAAAAAAAATTAGCTGGGCGTGGTGACATGCACCTGTAATTCCAGCTACTGGGGAGGCTGAGGCAGGAGAATCTCTTGAACCTTGGCGGTGGAGGTTGCAGTGAGCCGAGATCACGCCACTGCACTCCAACCTGGATGCCAGATTAAGACTCCGTCTCAATGAAAAAAAAAAAAAAGGAAAGAAAAAAAAAAACCGGTAAATTCCACTCCTTGGCATTACAGATCCTTATACCTACTGTTATTCTCATCACTTAGCTAATATGTTACATAATCAAGCAATAATCACTGATTCTGACTGAACTATCTACTATGACCAACCATATATTCATAACCTCTCAAAAGTGTTAGACCTCAATCTTTAAAAATATTTGTCAGTACAAAATCCTTCTTTTTAGCTAAATCCCCTTGTTGGTAGAGGCTCACCATCTTCCCCTGGGCAGATCTTCCACAAAACACAGCTTTTGTTTTTTGACTGTTCTATGAGGGCTTAAAAGTGAAAGATAATTGCAACACACAGTTTTTTTGGTCTTAAAATGTCACATTAGTTTTAAAAATTAAGAAATTAAGGCTATCATAAATCCCAAACCAGACATTCAAAATTAATATGTCTAAAACTGGTTATCTGATTAAAAAAATACTTCAAAGAATATCTTTGAAATCTGAAATGCTGAAACAAACTATGATATAACTGTTGAGGGAGGGACAGGGAAATGAAAGATACTGACTTAAAATATAAATTAAATTATGTCTTCATCCTCATTTTCCTTTTAAAATGAATGTTAAAAACTTTGACTCTTGTGGCATGCACCATTTATAATCAGTTTCAAAACACATAAAACAGAAATGAAATGTTTAAAGATTAACAGACTTTTAAGAGGAGAGCCTTCTTTTACCCAGAAACCCACCTCTTTACACACCTCTCACACACAATGCTGGGGAGGAGTGGGAGGAGTACTGGGGCCCAAAACAAAGACTGCCAACAAAGCCAACAACAAAAAAACAAAATTTGTAAGCAAAAAGCCTTGAAATGAGTAAAACCTTTTTAAAAAGCCCATATTGAATTAATATATTGTTCTTAATTAGTGACATATACTGAATATATAACAGGGTCACTTCTAAAAAGTAGATATGCCAGGCTGGGCATGGTGGCTTATGCCTGTAATCCCAACACTCTGGGAGGCCGAGGCAGGCGGATCACCTGAGGTCAGGAGTTCAAGACCAGCCTGGCCAATGTGGTGAAACCCCGTCTCTATTAAAAATACAAAAATTAGCCTGGTATGTTGGCACGTGCCTATAGTCCCAGCTACTCGGGAGGCTGAGGCAGGAGAATTGCTTGAACCTGGGAGGTGGAGGTTGCAGTGAGCCAAGGTTGCACCACTGCACTCCAGCCTGGGCAACAGAGTGAGACTCCATCTCAAAATACACAAACAAACAAAATAAAAAAAAAAAGAAAAAGAAAACAAAAATTAAAGATAATAAGAATATATTGGCCAGGCACAGTGGCTCACACCTGTAATCCCAGCACTTTGGGAGGCCAAGGCGGGCGGATCACGAGGTTAAGAGATCGAGACCATTCTGGTCAACATGGTGAAACCCCATCTCTACTAAAAGTACAAAAATTAGCTGGGCATGGTGGCATGTGCCTGTAGTCCCAGCTACTTGGGAGGCTGAGGCAGGAAAATCACTTGAACCTGGGAGGTGGGGGATGCAGTGAGCCAAGATCGTGCCTCTGCACTCCAGCCTGGGGACAGACAGAGCGAGACTCCGTCTCAAAAAAAAAAAAAAAAAAAAAAGGAATATATTAAGCACATTAGTCTATGAAAAATGAATAAACAAGCCTTTCTAATTAAGGGGACTCCTTCCTTGTTCTTAAAAAAGATAGCCTCCCTTTGTCCAACTAGGAAAAAAATGTACCAAAATAACACGAAAGATAACATACCTAAAAAAATTTAAACAAGAAGCAAATTTTAAAAATAGCTATACACACTTGAAATACTGATAACAAATTATGGAAACATCACAAAATGCTTTTTTTCATAGCTTGCTAACAGCTCATCCACATTTTGATCACCCTACTTAGCTAGTGGTTGGGCTGCCTGACAACCTCAACTATCTAAAACATGGGTACAAACAAGTTACTACCTGCATTCCCCAAAAGACTGAGCACTGGAGGAGTCAAGGAAGCCTGGGTGCAAATACCAACACTGCAGCTTACTGTCAGAGTAGCAATCAAATTGCTTAACTTTTCTAAGCCCCGGTTTCCTCATCTGTATTATGAGGCTAATATCTCACTGATAAGGTGGTTGTAAGGATGAAAAATGATAATGTATTCAAAGTGGAATACATTAGGACTGTGCTTAACATAGTCCACTTTGAATACATTAAAGGACTGTGCCTAGATCCATCATAATATAAATACACGTGGGCTGTTTACTATTACAAAGCTCAAGTACTTTAAATGGTAGGAGTGATGGTCTACCAGACAGATTTGTATGTTAAACTGACAGATTATAAAAAGCACGCTGGCGCATTAGGAAAGCTAATGTAAAGTCATGAGCCCAAAAAGTTATTACAGCACTTCAGTAACCCTTGACAAAAACAGGTTATTACAATTCAATGAAGTTATGAATGTCATAATCAACTTGCATCATCTGAGGAAGTTCCAAATCGTTGTACTTGGATTATGAAGCCAGGAAATGTGTAAATTAATTTTTTAAAGATTTCTATCTGAAATCAGTAAACTAAAAAAAAAAAAAAAACCCTCTGATATTTTTTTATAGCAATACTCATGAACATGCTCTATATATTCAAAATGACTTTTTATTTTTGAGACAGAGTCTCACCCTGTATCCAGGCTGGAGGGTAGTGGTGCAGTCTCGGCTCACTGCAACCTCCACTTCCCGGGTTCAAGAGATTCTCCTGCCTCAGCCTCCCAAGTAGCTGGGATTACAGGTGCGTACCACCACGCACAGCTAATTTTTGTATTTTTAGTAGAGACAGGGTTTCACCATGTTGGTCAGGATGGTCTCAATCTCTTGACCTCGTGATCCACCCGCCTTGGCCTCCCAAAGTACTGGGATTACAGGTGTGAGCCACCGCGCCCGGCTGTTTTTTTTTTTGTTTTTTTTTTTTGAGACAAGGTTTCACTCCCGTCGCCCAGGCTGGAGTGTGGTGGCACGATATCGGGTCACTACAACCTCTGCCTCCTGGGCTCAAGTGATTCTCCTGCCTTAGCCTCCCGAGTAGCTGGGACTACAAACATATGCCACCATGCACAACTAATTTTTGCATTTTTTGTAGAGACAAGGTTTTACCATGTTGCCCAGGCTGGTCTCAACTCCAGAGCTCAAGCGATCTGCCCACCCAGCCTCCCAAAATGCTGGGATTACAGGCATAAGCAACTGCTAAACATCAATATTTTATGTATAGATAGTAACAATTACACAGCTGTCAATAAATATATCAAGAAATATGTACTGTAAATGTTCTTAGGCTAGTTCAATCTACTTACATAATTTTTCTATTAAATAACTTTTTTATAAAAACCTTCATGAAAACATAGTATATTACTTTAAAACTCTATTCCTCTAGGATTTGGTAAACTGTACATTTATCATAATTACTCCTTTCAAGATGGTATAGATATTTACCATAGATAGTCCTTCCCTCCTTCCATTCCCCTTATCTACACCAATATAAGAAAACTGGCTATCTTCTGAGTTGTTTGGTCGGGCAGGGAGGTCTTTTCTAAAGTTTCAAACCTGGGAGAATTTGGGTAAAATCAGCTTAGATCTATTAAAGAATAGCCCTTCTAGGTACTTAGCCCAAATGAACAGAAACCTGTTTTTGGAAAGTACAGCTGCATAAATGAACCTCAAAGTAATTATGCCGAGTCATGCAGGTCACAGACATCATCTTTTCTAAACCTGTCGGTTTAAGAATCTCTTCCATTTTACTCAGAGTAGTTACAGAGCCTCTGCTTGAACATGCCCAGTGACAAGTCCAAATTCAAACACCTCCACGCCACCCCCCTCCCAAAAAAAGGTAAGGGAGAGTTAACAGTTGGAAAAGACAACCAGTAAAATACTGGTGAATACTGAACAATACTGGTGGGAGAATTAACCGTGCAAAGGGAAAAGGCCCACATTTTCCTCCAAAACTGAAGAAGAAGAGATTTTGGAGTCAGTGTTAAATAATTTAAAAGATTACTTACCACCAAGGTGGGTGCTGTCAATAGTCCCCAAGCAAAAAACTCCAAAAAGATGACGATAACTGCATGATAGACACTAGGAGAACCTATTCCTTGAGGCTATAAAAAACAAGATTTTTTAAAAAGTTAAAAAAAGTTAACAGTACATTCTATAATTATTAACAATAACAACGATGTTAATAGTCAACAAATATTAAGATCATATATGTACTGGGCACTGTGTCAAACATCTGTACTCACTGCCTCTGTCTTCAAAGTCAGAGGGACAGACAAGGCAACAACGAAATTCATTAGCATAAGCACAGTATGCAGTTGGAACATACAGAGTCCAAGGGAGCTTGGGAGGTGGGAAATATCAGACTTCCAGGAGGAAGGCTGAAAGGACACAACAGAGTTAGACAGGCGGAGGTATAGGGTGGAAAAGATGGCTCAGCCTGTACAAAGCTTCCAAGGCTTGCGGCATTATGGGTCTCATATATCGAGTTCAGTACAACCAGTGCATGGGCTGCACGTTGGGTGTATTGAAAGACAAGCTACAGGTACTCAAAGACCAGCTTCCATGCTAAGGAGTCTATATTTAATTCTGAAGGCCATGGGGAGCCACTAAAAGATATTAAGACTGACACAATCAGATGAAAGTTTTAAGATTATTCTGGCAAAGATGTAACCAAAAAAAAAAAAAAAAACCATAAATGAAGCAAGTGGCAAAAATATAAACACGATATCAACATGGCTCAAAAGCAGAACAATCCCCAGCGAAAGTATGTAAGAGATTTGGAATTTGATATACATGAGAAAGAAAATACAAAATTAAGTTTATACCGCTGCCAGAGATGTCTTAAGACTCACTGCAGTATTATCACTCTGGTGATTTCCTAAAGGATAAAATGGAGAAGCAAAGCGCATCTAAAAGGAAGCTATCTGAATCAGCTCAAACAAGAAATGAGGGCATAAAACAGTGGCACAGTATGAATGTTGGAGGGGAGGGAACGGATTAAGGATTCAGGATTTGAAATTGGGAGGAGCTTGATAAATAGCGGAAGGGAGAATCAAGAACAACTTCCAAGTGTTTAGCTTGGTTGTCTAGCAGTTAAAGCTGGTGGCTTCCCAGCACTTCCCCCCACGAGGCTCAGATTTACTTCAGGTCCTATCTACAAAACTGCCCTCTTTACTTGAAACATTTGTATTGTCTTTGAGCACTGATTAAAACAATTAGCAGCAAATGTGATATCTGAAACCACCAGAGTAGATGAGATTATCAGGAGTGTCAAGTGTGAAAACAGCAGTGGGCTGAGACAGAACCCCAAGAAGCGCCAACATTTTAAGTAGGAGGCACAGGAAAATAGTGAAGGTTTTTCTTCTTTGATAAAGAAAAGAGGAAGATAAAAGGAACAGTAAGAAAATATCAGGAGAGTGAAGAGAATACAGTGTCACATATGACAATGGAGCAGTTTCAGGAAGGAGGAGGTGATGCCTAGTATCAAATGGAACAAGCATAGTAATATAAGGTCAAAAAAAGACCACAGGAGGCCAGGCATGGTGGCTCATGCCTGTAATCTCAGCACTTTGGGAGGCCAAGGTGGGCAGATCACTTGAGGTCAAGAGTTCGAGACCAGCCTTGCCAACATGGCAAAACCCTGTCTCTACTAAAAATACAAAAATTAGCTGGGCATGGTGGCGTGTGCCTGTAATCCCAGCTACTCAGAAAGGCTGAGGCAGGAGAATCGCTTGAACCTGGGAGGCAGAGGTTGCAGTGAGTTGAGATCCCACCACTGCACCCCAGCCTGGGCGACAGAGACTCTGAAAAAAAAAAAAAAATTGGCCACAAATTTGATAAGCTTTAAACCTGTTTTGTCCACCATGTTCACCACCACATATACCCAGCCCCTAGCAGAAAGCTTGGTACAACTTCTCAGGGCTTAAAGCATGCTAATTTTTTTAAAAATCAAAGTAGGATATAACATGTATAGGTAGGGTAATTTCAACTCTGAAAAACAATAAATACTGACCTCAATGTAAATAAAATTTATATTAGGTAATGATTTTAAGTGATATCACATTGTTTACTATGCTATTCTGAATTTTCCATATCTTTTCTAATAAGCATGCTTGCACTTTAGGAGGAAAATGCTTTGTTTATTTAAGAGAAAAATTACCTAAAACTAGCATGGAGAAAAACAAAATAAACTATGGGACAATATCTCTGATGAACATTGATGCAAAAATCCTCAACAAAATACTAGCAAACCTCCTTCAGGAAGGAGGTCTTAAAAAAGATCATTCATCGGCCGGGCGCAGTGGCTCTCACCTGTAATTCCAGCACTTTGGGAGGCCAAAGCGGGTGGATCACCTGAGGTCAGGAGTTCAAGACCAGCCTGACCAACATGAAGAAACCCCGTCTCCACTAAAAATACAAAATTAGCCAGGCGTGGTGGCGCATGCCTGTAATCCCAGCTACTCAGGAAGCTGAGGCAGGAGAATCGCTTGAACGCGGGAGGCGGAAGTTGCGGTGAGCCAAGATTGCGCCATTGCATTCCAGCCTGGGCAACAAGAGCAAAACTCCGTCTCAAAAAAATTAAAAACAAAAAAATCATTCATCATGTTCAAGTGGGATTCATCCAGGTATGAAAGGATAGTCCAACATACATAAATCTATCAAGGTGATACATCATTTCAAAAGAATGAAGGAAAATAAAATGATCATTTCAATTAATGATGAAAAAGCATTTACTAAAATTCAACACTGCTTCATAAAAACTCTCAAAAATGGTATAGAAGGAACATACCTCAATATGATAAAAGCCATATATGACAGACACAGAGCTATCATGCTGAACAGGGAAAACCTGAAAGCCTTTCCTCAAAGATCTGGAACAAGACAAAGATGCCCACTTTCGCCACTCTTATTCAACAAAGTACTGGAAAGTACCAACTAGAGCAATTAAGCATGAGTAAGAAATAAAAGGCATGCAAATTAGAAAACAGGAAGTCAAAACTGTCCCTCTTTACAGATGACATGACCTTATATAGAGAGAACCCTAAATACTCCACCAAAAAACTATCAGAATGGAAGCAAATTCACTGAAGTTGCAGGATACAAAAATCAGTACCATTTCTATATGCCAACAGCAAATATCTGAAAAAGAAACCAAGAAAATAATCCCACTTACAATAGCTACAGATGTAATACCTAAGAATAAACTTAAAGAAGTGAAAGATGTCTACAGACTACAAAACATTGATGACACGAATTGAAGAGGACACACACACAAATGGGAAGATATTTCATGTTCATAAATTGGAAGAATCAATACTGTTAAAATTTTAATACTACCAAAAGCAATCTACAGATTCAATGCAGTTACTATCAAACTACAAATGACATTCCTCACAGAATTTTTTCTTTTAAATCCTAAAACTTATATGGAACCACAAGAGCCAGAACAGCCAAAGCAATCCTGAGCAAAAAGAACAAGGCTGGAGGCTGGGCACAGTGACTCACGCCTGTAATCCCAGCACTTTGGGAGGCCAAGGCGGGCGGATCACCTGAGGTCAGGAGTTCAAGACCAGCCTGGCCATCAAAGTGAAACCCCGTCTCTACTAAAAATACAAAAATTAGCCAGGCGTGGTGGTGGGACCTGTAATCCCAGTTCCTCGGGAAACTGAGGCAGGAGAATCACTTGAACCAGGGAGGCAGAGGTTGCAGTGAGCCAAGATTGCGCCACTGCACTCCAGCCTAGGCGACAGAGCTAGACTCTGTCTCAAAAAAAAAAAAAAAAAAAAAAAAAAAAAAAACGAGGCTTGGAGGAATCACATTACTTCACTTCAAATTATACTACAAAGTGATAGTAACCAAAACAGCATAATACTGGTATAAAAACAGATACATAGACAATAGAGCACAATAGAGAACCCAGAAATAAATCCATGCATTTACAGTCAACTCATTTTTGACAACGGCACCGAAGTATACATTGGGAAAAGGATAGTCTCCTAAATGGTGCTAGGAAAAGTGGATATCCATATACAGAAGAATAAAATTATACCCCTACCTCTTGCCATGTACAACAATCAAATCAAAATGGATTAAAGACTTAAATCTAAAACCTGAAACCACAAACGACTAGAAGAAAACATTGGGAATACACTCTAGGACATTAGTCTGAACAGATTTATTTATTTATTTATTTATTTTGAGACAGAGTCTCCCCGTCACCCAGGCTGGAGTACACTACTGTACTATGTATGTCGCCTGGGCGACAGAGCGAGACTCTGTCTCAAAAAATAAAAAATAAAATAAAATAAAAGTGGAATTGGCATGTTCCTAACACAAAGAAATGATAAAAGTTTGAGGTAATGGATACCCCAGTATCCCTGATTTATTATACACTGTATACCTGTATCAACATATGCTTGTATCAAAATATCAGATGTACCTGATAAATATCTGTATCTACTTTGTACCCATAGTAATTAAAAAATTTAGAAGTCCTAACCAGAGTAATCAGACAAGAGAAAGGAATAACGAGCATGCAAATTGGAAAAGAGGAAATCAAACTGCCACTGTTTGCCAATGATATGACTGTATACCTAGAAAACCCTAATGACGCATCCAAAAAGCTCCGAGATCTGATAAACGATTCAGTAAAGTCTCAGGATACAAAATCAATGACACAAATCAATAGCACTGCTATATTCCAGCAACGACAAAGCTGAGAATCAAATCAAGAACTCAATCCCTTTTACAATAGCTGCAAAAAAAACAAAACACCTAGGAATACACTTAACCAAGGAAGTGAAAGATCTTTACAAGGAAAAGTACAAAACACTGTTAAAAGAAATCATAAATGACACAAAGGGAAACACATCCCATGTTCATGGAAGGGAAGAATCAACATTGTGAAAATGACTATACTGACCAAAACAATCTATAGATTCAATGCAATTCCCATCAAAATACCAGCATCATACTTCACAGAACAAGAAAAAACAATCCTAAAATTCATATGGAACCAAAAAAGAGCCCACATAGCCAAAGCAAGACTAAGCAAAAAACAAATCTGGAGGCATCACATTACCCGACTTTAAATTATACAAAAGGCTACAGTTACCAAAACCGCATGGTACTGGTATAAAAATAGGCATGAAGACCAATGGAACACAACAGATAACCCAGAAATAAAGCAAAATACTTATAGCCGCCTAGGCATGCCTGTAATCCCAGCATCTTGGGAGGCCAAGGCGGGTGGATCACCTAAGGTCAGTAGTTTGAGTCCAGCCTGGCCAACATAGAGAAAACTCGTCTCTACTAAAAATACAAAAAAGTTAGCCAGGCATGGTGGTGTGTGCCTGTAATCCCAGCTACTTGGGAGGCTGAGGCAGGAGAATGGCTTGAACCTGAGAGGCAGAGGTTGCAGGGAGCCAAGATCATGCCATTGCACTCCAGCCTGGGAAACAAGAGCAAAATTCCATCTCAAAAAAAAAAAAAAAAAAAAATCAGCAGAGTAAACAGACAACCCATACAGTTGGAGAAAATATTTATGAACTGTGCATCTGACAAAGGACTAGTACCCAGAATCTACAAGGAACTCAAATCAGCAAGAAAAAAAACAAACAATCCCATCAAAAGTAGGCAAAAGACATGAATAGACATTTTTCAAAAGGCATACAATAAGCCAACAAACATATGAAAAGATGCTCAACATCACCAATTATCAGGGAAATGCAAATTAAAACCACAATGAGATATCATTTACTCCTGCAAGAATGGCCATAATTTAAAAATCAAAAAATAATAGATGGTGTGGATGTGGTGACAAATGAACACTTTGACACTGCTGTTGGGAATGTAAACTAGTACAACCACTATGGAAAACAGTATGGCGATTCCTTAAAGAACTAAAAATAGAACTACTGTTTGATCCAGCAATCCCACTACTGGGTACCCACCCAAAGTAAAAGAAGTCATTATATGAAAAAGACACATGTACATGCATGTTTATAGCAGCACAATTCACAACTGCAAAGATATGGAACCAACCCAAGTGCCCAATGACCAACAAGTGGATAAAGAAAATGTGGTGTATATATACCATTGAATACTTAGCCATAAAAAGGAATGAAATAATGTCTTTTGCAGAAACTTGGATGGAATTGGAGGCCATTATTCTAAGTGAGTAATTCAGGAATGGAAAACCAAATGTCGTATGTTCTCACTTACAAGTGAGAGTTCAGCTATGAGGACGCAAAGGCGTAAGACTAATAGAATGGACTTTGAGGATGGGGGGGAAGCTTGAGAGGGATAAAAGACTATATATTGGGTACAGTATACACTGGTCAGGTGACAGGTGCACTAAAATCTCAGAAATCATCACTAAAAAACATCTATGTAACCAAAAACCCACCTGTACCCCAAAACTATTGAAATATTTTAAAAAATAATAAATTTTAAAAATAAAGTAAAACTTGAATGGAAAATGACAGGTATGCTGCATATACTTGTCCCTCCTGAACCATTCTATTAAGTTTCCCACGACTGGAAGGAAAACATGTATTATTTATTTTTTAAAAAACAGGGCAGTGGGAGGGATATTTCTTTGTTATAAAGTACTGGAAATTTTGAGAGCTATATTATACCCATATTCATCTCTTCTTGATGTACCCTGGCTGAAACTGTCAACTGTTACTTTCACACTTCCAATTTAAAATAATGCTAAAAGACAATCAGAGTTCCTTATAATTGAAACTTTTAAATCATACAGACTTGTCAGAATGTTACCTGAAGAAAGCTATTCATTTTTTTACTTAAACTTTAAACTTTCAGTAGCTGCAAAGGAGTTACATTTCAACTGTAGGAGAATTTCTGCAGACGGTCTGATTATGTTGGTATGCAAGTCTTCTAACTACATGAGGATGAACTGGATGCATATAGCCATCTGAAAAAAAAACTGCATATTAATTTATCCCCAAACACACCAATCTAAACCAAACACTGAACCATGGAGGTAAGGAGCTAAGTAATTAATGATGCTGCCAGCCACACACCTGCCAAAGACAATATAAACACCCTGATGTTTCTAGGCTTTTTGAAAAGCACCACGGGGCCAGGCGCAGTGGCTGACACCTGTAATCCCACTTTGGAAGACTGAGGCAGGTGGATCACCCGAAGTCAAGAGTTCGAGACCAGCCTGGCCAACATGGTAAAATCCGGTCTCTACTAAAAAAATACAAAAATTAGCTGGGCATGATGGCACATGCCTGTAATCCCAGCTATTCAGGAGGCTAAGGTAGGAGAATTCCTTGAACCAGGGAGGCAGAGGTTGCTGTGAGCCAAGATCACGCCATTGCACCCCAGCCTGAGCAACAAGAGCAAAACTCTGTCTCAAAAGAAAAAAAAAAAGAAAGAAAAAGAAAAGCACCACAGGCCCTTCTTATTGCTTGCATGCTAGCAACCAAAGGTTATTTAACAGCTCTCTGGGTCTACAAAGGCCCTACATCCCAGAGAGCTTTCCTGCCACTACTTCAGCCATCCTTGCAGGTGAAGAGTGCAAAGGGTCAGAGCTTGGGTCCTGCTCTTGAAACGGTTGCTGACTCCTATTTAATTAAAATCAGGGATGCCAAGAAAAAAAAAATCTGGTGCTCTGCTTATCCAGGGATATGCATTTCATTTTCAAATGATATATCAATTTTACTTTTTTCAGGTACTTCCGACCATGCAATTCAGATATGCCTTACTTTCTATCAAATCTTTAAAGTCATTTTACCACAAACTTCTGAAAGAACTATACATTTTCCACTGTCAGAGATGTAGTTCCACAATTGTATGGCCAAAACAATAAAGATCATATTTTAAGATGAGCATTTTAAAAGATAAGGAAAATTCAATTTGAATACTGTAAATAACTCTTTAGCTCTTAGCCTCTAACAGGAATGCTTAAAAACAAGTGGTAATGCTTTAATAAAACAAAACAGAATTCTAGTATTTGAAAATGTCAGAAGGTATTTTTATTTCAGCTGTCTTAAATACCTACACTGAATGTTACATACATGAAAACCTGTAACTAAAAACTTCTTTTTTTTTTTTTTTGAGACAGTTTCACTCCATCACCCAGGCTGGAATGCAGTGGCGTGATCTAGGCTCACTGCAATCTTGGCCTCCCAGGTTCAAGTGATTCTCGTGCCTCGGCCTCCCGGGTAGCTGGGATTACAGGCACATACCACCACACCTAGCTCATTTTTGTAATTTTGGTAAAGATGGGGTTTCACCATGTTGGCCAGGCTAGTCTCAGACTCCTGGCCTCAAGTGATCTGCCCACACTGGCCTCCCAAAGTGCTGGGATTACAGGCGTGAGCCACTGCCCCTGGCCTAAAAACTATTTCTATATATGGATGCTTTAAAAGCAAATTCACTAATATGGTTACTTTCATCAGTGAAGTAGTATACAGTATATGATTAAATATTTACTGAATATAATATGTGGAACTTATTCTTTAGTTACTTATGCTGTTTTCAAACAGAACAATTGCTCTTAAACTTTTGGGAAGTATGGACCTTTTGGGACTCTTCCAAGAAACATGTATAGCCAAAAGAAAATTTTGCAAACAACTTCAGGGTGAACAGACCCAGGTTAAAAACACCTAATATAAAATCACACACCTTAATGTAATTTATCTTAATTGTGTCTACTCACATAGGTAGCCTACTTGTTAGCTTTATCCTGGCCTGTTTTTCATTCAGCTGAATGAAATACAATTCAATGAAATACAATTTCAATAAAAAAATCAGTAACTTACGATTAATCTGGCTCATTTAGAAGGATTTATTTCTTCAGCCGTTGAAAACTACAAATCTGCTCTAATCTGCTCTAATTTTCAGAAAAATCATTAACAACTCTTACTAGTTTTGTTTATAAATATTTAAACTGGCCAAATAGGCTTACATATATGTCATTAGCAGGACAACGGGAAAGAATTTTATTAACATTGTTGAAAAGAAGAAATCAGAAGGGGGATCAAATCAGTACCATTGACCAGGTATGTGAAATACTGTTCACGACTGTCATGTACCGACCATAGAGCCTCAGACATCTCACTGAATGAATCTACCCATTGGCGGAACTTTATAAAAACTCTGAAACTCTGAGGTCAACAGCAATAGCACTGAAATATTCTATGATACGATGAATTAAAAAACACACAACAACAGAGTATCAAATGGCAATTTTTTCCCCTTTCTTAAAAAATGTTCAGTCTGGGCACGGTGGCTCACACCTGTAATCCCTGCACTTTGGGAGGCCAAGGTGGGTGAATCATGAGGTCAGGAGTTCAAGACCAGCCTGACCAATATGGTGAAACTTTGTCTCTACTGAAAATATAAAAAATTAGCCAGGCATGGTGGCACGTGCCTGTAGTCCCAGCTACTCGGGAGGCTGAGGCAGGAGAATCACTTGAACCCAGGAGGCGGTGGTTACAGTGAGCCGAGATCCTGCCACTGCACTCCTCCAGCCTGGGCAACAGAGTGAGACTCCATCTCAAACAAACAAACAAAAAAAGTTCATAATAGTAGTCTGAACTATTGTAAGTAGAGAGGTAGATAAGCAACTACCATTTTACAATCATTTCTATGACTGCAATAGTTATACTTTTTAAATTTAAAGCTGGGATGGATTAAAATACAAATAATGCAAAATATTCCCCTGATATTTATTGAAATATATCCTCTGATTACGTATAAGAATAAACAAAATTACAATAAAAATTCATCTAGGAATGTGCTAGTACAAAATAGAAGTGTTTTTATCACTTTAAAATTCACATACTAGGCCCTGTGGGATCCAAACATACAAAACAAAGCCCCTTTTCTAAAGGAGTGCCCAGTGCTCTTAGAATAGAGAATGAAATATTAAGTGTATAAAGATGAGAAATGATAATAGCCCCCATGTTCACAGCCCTCAAGAAAAGTCTTCATTTGTTCTATGTGAAACCTATTGCTGGTGCAAACATTTTATTTTGTGTCCCAAAGCAGGCTAAGAATTAATTACAACCTTAATAATAGGACAAGAAAGTTTAAAAACGATCTTTTCCAAAACTCACAGGATTTGGAAAGAAAGCATCTGCTGTAAAGCAAATCAAACAAAACCCCAAAGAAAGGTAATAAAACTGAACTTTCCAAGGAAAAGGAAGCTGTGTTTCTTAATCAGTTTCATTCTTACATTTTGTAAAAAATACTGATCTTAAATATCACTTGGTCTTACAAAATACAATCTTTCATTGCCACTATTTTGTAGATTTTATGAAGAATGTAAAATATTGTCTCTTTCTAAAGGTAGACAAAGGCAACAGTATTTTTCTCCCCACATAGTTCTTACCTACTTGGTCAAAAGAGCTATGACTCTTCATAACCGATCTAATCAAAGTAATGTTTTAATTAATCAAGTTCAATAAAAAGAACTTGAGGAATTTGTTTCTTTTTTTCAATAAATGTCAAAGCTATAACATATAATAAACGTTAAACTAAAAATATATTCCAAAGTCATTACATATGTCTCAAGTTTTCTAAACTTTGGCATATTGACTGGGCCGTGTTCTGAAATGTCATAAAATTTTGTCACGTTTTTCAACTGAATTCAGCAAATCCTCAATGGTGGCCTACTTACACATTTACTACTGTGCTAGCAGTTGATCGCGGCTCCAATAAGATATAAACAGAAATGGAATTAATGGTACAATTTCTGCACACTTCAGGTAAGTGAAACATATATATCACCTTTCCATTCTATTTCAGAACGCGGTATCAGCGGATGCAACAAAGACCACACAGTGTAGCAACGGAGAAATGTTAGCATAAAACAGTTTTGTTTTGTTTTGTTTTTCAATTAAAAATCCTACGTCCCCAGCTGGTTAACTACACACTGCATAAAGTTTACTGTGATGACAACTGTTTCTAAAAAGCAAACCTTTCTTCCCTTCAAAGTGTCCTCCTCCGATCCTTAGGCCATGACTGATTCTAATACTTTTGATCTTAAGACACACAGTGATGACTTTTCTTTGAAAACTAGCAGGTTCGAATGTAGGCCCCAGGTGTCTGCCGTCATGCTTCCGACTCCGGGAAGTGAGGGAAGCCCATCTCCGGTCAGGGTTTACTGTAAGCAGCCCAGAGCCGGAGCACCGACGCAGAGAGACGTGGAAACAGAAAGCGAACGTACTACGGGGCCGCAGCGGGATCCCCGCGCCAGACGCCACCCCGTTAGCAACATATGGGAGAGCAGGGATGGTTCCCAGCCCCTTGACAAGCGCGGCGACGGCTCCGCGGGGCCTGGCGGCGAAGGCGAGGCGAGGCTGCGGCGACGAGGGGCGCGGCGGGCGGGCCGCCGGGGGAGCCCCGCACATTCCTCCCCGCGGCGGAGGCGCACGTGGGGTTCGAGGCCGCAGGGCCTGCAGAGGCGGCCAGAGCAGAGGGCGGCAGGTGCGGGAAAGAAAGAGGACGGGCCCCGGAGGCCGCAAGCCCGAGCAGCGGAGGACGATTCCCGGAGCGGCGGCATGCGGGTCCGCGACCCCGAGGCACCGGCAGCTCGGACAGGGTGGGGGAAGGGAGGGAGGCACCGGGACGCCTAGAGACGGCAGTGTGGGGGTCTGAAGGAGAGACCGGATGGGGGCCCCGAGGGACGCTCGCCGGCGCGGAACTCAGCTCACCGTGCCTCCGTCCTTAATGATGATCTTCTTGGCCAGCATGATACTGCGGTTCGCGGCCCGTTTCTTCTTCTTCCCCTGGGTCATTTTACCATCCTCGATTCCTGGCGCTGCTGCAGCCACTCCCGGGGCGGCAGGCCCCAGCAGCTAGTGCCGTCCCACCACTACTGCCGGGCCGAGCCGCTCTGGGCGCCCGCCGCCATCTTGAGGGCCCGGCCTGCCTCCGGCGGCGCGTCACAATCGTGCGATCAGCCGACGAGCGGGCCCCGCCCCTCCCGCGTGATACCGCCCCGCCCGCTCGCCGCCAGCCCACTCTACAGTAGCCGCGCGGCCAGGGTAACCGCGGGCTCGCGTGGGTGCTGCTGGCTACCTGTACAACTTCGTGCTCCGGCGTCACCAGCTAGCTAAATCCTCGCAACGGTTCTGGGCGATAGGGGCCGTTTTTGTCCCCCTTCTTCAGCAGATGAGGGAATTTGTTTCAAAAAGTTGTTACCTGCTCACGGAAACAGACGTCCTAAGCTATTAACACAATCTCCAGCTGTGTTCTAACCAAGACAGGAACCGAAGGGAACAGTAAAAAATCATTTTCCGTAAGTAATGGGTAACTTAAGAGATAATGTAGTGTTTCAGAAACAGTCTTGTCCTTTTGGTGTTCAGGGACCCCCGCTAGAACTCAGCTGGCTCACGCTTGTTTACCTCCCTAGACCCAGGACCTTTTTTATTCCCTGCCAAAAAAAATACCTTACCTGACCGATGTCACCCTTTGTGGCCCTCTACGTTTTTACTGTATTGTTTAAAAATAAATTTGATGGGAACATTGCTAGAAAGGGCAATTTACACAAGTGGAAGTGGACTTTAAAGTATCACAATGTTAAAATTAGATATTGATAACTACCGTGTTGTATAATAGAATATCCTTTTCCTTAAGAGAAAAACACGAGGGATAGGGATACACCGCATGCTCCCTACTCTCAGATGGTTAGGGAGTAACATGTATGTGTATGTATATGTAGGTGGGGAAAAGAGAGGGACAAAGCAAAATGGCGAATGTTTAAAAGTACTGAAACTAGGTATGGTAGTTCTAAGATATGTTCACAGATTCAATGATATTCCTCCCTGGAAGAGGTGGACTCTAATTCCCCTCCCCTTGAGTGTAGACTAGGCTTAGTGACTCTTGATAGATCAAAACAGAAGTGACAGTATTGACTTCAGAGGCTAGGTCATAAAAGGCACTGCATCTTCCTTTGCGGGTCTCTTTTTCATTCATTTTGGGGCTTGGAGCCTGGGGAAGCCTGCTTCCGTGTTTTCAGGACACTCAAGCAGCCTATGGAGAGATCCAGTTGTCCAGGAACTGTTTGTAGCCTCCTACCAAATGCCACGGAGTGAGTCACTTTGGAAGTAGATCCTCCAACCTTGGTCAAGCCTTTGGCTGACTACAACTTCATGAGAGACCCAGAGGTAGGACCACCTAGCTTAGCCACTCCTGGAATCCTGACTCAGAAACAGTGTAAGATGAAAAGTACTTGGTGTAAGCCACTAAGCTTTGGGGTTATTTGTTACACAGCTATAAATAACTAATATATAGGGTAAAAGGAAAAACAGTAAATGAATGTATGAGTTCTTTGTACTGTTTTTGCAACTTTTCTGTAAGTTTGAAATTATTTCCAAATAAAATGTTAAAAAGTAAATTTGATTGAATTTCCTTTTCCTTGTATTTTCATACTGACTAAAAATGGAAAAAAAAACTAATTTCCATGGAAGGGAGAAGAAAAGCAATTTATAGCCTGATAGATACTTCTAATTATATTTTCCAATCAATAAGTATATTCATTATACTTGTTTTGAAACATATATTCTCATTTTGAAACTTTTTTTATTATTTATTTTTTGAGACAGAGTTTTGCTCTTGTTGCCCAGGCTGCAGTGCAATAGTGCCAACTTGGCTCACTGCAACTTCCAGCTCCCAGGTTCAAGTGATTCTCCTGCCTCAGCCTCCCGAGTAGCTGGGATTACAGGTCCCCACTACCATGCCTGGCTAATTTTTTTTGTATTTTTAGTAGAGATGGAATTTCACCGTGTTGGCCAGGCTTGAACTCCTTACCTGAGGTGATGTTCCCGCCCCAGCCTCCCAAAGTGCTGGGATTACAGGTGTGAGCCACCATGCGTGGCCTATTATTATTTTCTGAGGCAGGGTCTCACTCTGTCACCCAGGCTGGAGTGCAGTGGTGCCATCATGGCCTCCTGCAGCCTCTTCCGAAACGATCCTTCTGCCTCAGCGTCTCAAGTATCTGGGACTACAAATGCACACCACCATGCCTGGCTAATTTTAATTTTTCTTTTGTAAAGACAGAGTCTGGTTATGTTGACCAGGCTGGTTTCAAACCTGGCCTCAAGAGATACTCAGTTCTACCAAAGTGCTGGGATTACAGGTTTGAGCCACCGCGCCTCGCCTGCAACTTTTTAGTTGACACCCAACTTGAAGTTCTTTAGAGAAAGTAATATGATAGATTTCATAATTCAATTCCCAGGAGCTTGTTTTGAATGGAAGTAGAGGGCTGATAATTTATTGTGTGGTTACTTTGATTTTCATAGTCCCTCAAAATCATACTTCATCTAGCTATACCAATTTTATCAGCCTTATGAACTGGTTATTGTTCAGTCATTCAAAAAATATTTACTGGGTGCTTGTGTTGTCAGTGTTTTATTAGATGCCAGGGATACATCAATAAATGAGACACTATCTGCACAGAGCTTACATTCTAGTGGGGGACACAGTTACAAAACAAAAGGAAGGTAATTGCAGATTGCAGTAAATACTGTTGGAAATAATGTAGTAAGAGAAATTTAACACATACTAAATGTCCAGAATGTCCCAGGCTTTGTGCTAGAAAGGCTGCAATGATAAACAAGAGAGAACAGTCCTGTTCTAATAGGCCTATTGTGTATGAACTTGTCGCTTTGTATGTGATTTGGGTTGTGAATACAGCTGGCCCTCAGTATCCTGTGGATTCAACTATCCTCAGAATAAAAATATTTTTTAAATCCCACAAAACAACAAAAATACAAGTAAAAAATACAGTATGACTACACAGCATTACATTGTATTAAGTACTATAAATAATCTAGAGATGATGTATGGGGAGGATGATAACCAAATACTATGCCATTTTATGTAAGGGACTTTAGCATCCACTGATTTGGATATCCACGGAAGTCCCACAACCAATTCCCACTCCCCTCCTCATATGGAGGGATGACCGTATTCACAAACTTTGCGCTAAGAGACTGATATCTCAGTTAGGGTTTTTTGGTTAGGATCAACAGAAACTAACACTGGCTAACAAACTAGTACTCGCTAACGTAAGCAAAAGGGAATTATTTGGAAGGATATTGGAAGTTTTGAAAATTAATGAGAAGGCCAAGAATCAGGCTTAGAAACAAGCAGAAACCAATGTTTGGAAAGTTCATGAAAACAGTTCATGAGGCACCTTGAAAGGGAGTGGGATTCCTTGGAAAGAAAGGCAAGTGGCCAAAAGTAAAAGATTCCTAAAGAAACAAGATTGTATCACAGAATCCAAATCCCACCCCCACCATGCACAATTTATTAAAGAAACTGCACTTCACCATGCTAACAGAAGAGGGTCCTCTTTAACTAAAAACTGAGTAAGTCACCCACATCCCTTCTACCCTCCATTCTATAGAGCCACCTGTTATTGCTGATTGAAGAAGATCCTACACATTTAATCATGAATAGAAAAGCCACCAAAAATCCATACAAGGCTATTATAAAAAACAGAAAATGAAAACTTTTCAATCAATAGAAAATACTACCCTCTAGACAATATGAAGCAGAGGCAAATAATATACAACACTCCAACATGAATATCATTAATTGCACATATAAAAGAACACAGCAAATAAAAATTTTTAAACTCAATAGTAAGATGTAAAATGAGAGTTGAACAAACATAGGCAATATACTGAAAAGATAAAATCATCTAAAAATGAAAACTAAATCACAGGGTACCTGAGAGACACAAATAAAAGTAAAGTAAGAAATACAGAGAAGAGGAATAAAACAGCTATGAGAACAAAAATGAGATAAAAAGGATCATAGATAAAATAATATAGAAAAAATTATCTGGGTCTCTAGGTAAAAAACAACAAACAAAATGTCATTTCCAAAAGGGAAAAAAATCAAGTGGTGCCACACTTCTTGATGATAACATCAAGCAACCCAACAGTGAAGCACAAATTCAGACAAACTCAAGAAAAGGAAATGTTTGTCAAGGATTTTCTACATGGCCAAGGTGTACTTTAAGTATCTAGGCTCCAGAAGAAATTTTAAACATGTCACAACTCAGAGAATATTGTACAGTACTTACAAGCCCTCCTTGAATACTCTACAGAAGAGCTTCATCCAGCCAAAAGTTGACCAGAGAGACTTCAGGTAAGTATCAGTAGGTTATTAAATATACTTTTTTAAAATTTTAATTAATTTTATTACAAAGGTGGGGATTAGGATGGGAAAATAGTGTGTAAATATTATATGTTCTAATCAAAAAGAAATAAGACTACAGAAAATATGAACAGATAATATATTCACTGACGGTCACATAGACAATTAGATAAGAGTCAAAGAACATCATTTAAAGGTGTCAAATTAAATAGTAGAGGCCTAGACAAGCAAATTGGGGACTCTAAATGCATTATATAAAATGTTATCAGTATAAATTAGAGCATACAAACCTTTCTAAACATCCAAAGAAATTTTATAAAGACCCCATGTTGTGAAAGAGGCACAGTAAGTACAGCAATATGCATATTTGTTTGCTTTTTAAAAAGAAACACATGAAAGATAAATTGGAAAACTAAGAAAATACTTATAATAATTACTTATAAGAGATGGATAATAATTACTTATAAGAGATGGTTAGGAATGGAGGGATAGGTATGACAGCTAGATTTTTTCAGAGTACACTTTTCATATAAAACTTTTCGAAAAAATTTATCTTTTTTTTTTTTTTTGTAGAGACAGGATCTCACTCTGTTGCCCAGGCTGGTCTTGAACCCCTGGCCTTAAGTGATCCTCCCACCTCAGACTCCCAAAGTGCTGGAATTACAGGGATGAGCCACTGCACCTGGCCATGTTGCTAAATTTTAGTTGTAAATATTAATTTGAATTCATGATCTTTTAAAATTGTATTTCCTAGCTATGTCCACTAAAATGGCCTAGAAACAATGACAGCTCAGTAACAATGGATTCTATAATAAATTCCATTCACTGGCTAGAAGGACTCCAAAGAAAAAATTAAATAAATCCCACTCCCCTTAAAAGGTATAGGGCTCCTTGGAGAATTAGCTGATAATCCAAATTTGGAACAAGACAAATATAAGGTAAGCCTCAGATTTCTTGTGCCTAAAGCAAATAAGGACTAAAAGACTAATGTGGTCATGTTTAAAAAACACAAGAGTGGCCGGGCGCGGTGGCTCATGCCTGTAATCCCAGCACTTTGGGAGGCCGAGGCGGGTGGATCACGAGGTCAGGAGTTCAAGACCAGCCTGGCCAAGATGGTGAAACCCCATCTCTACTAAAAATACAAAAAATTAGCCAGGCGCGGTGGCAGGCACCTATAGTCCCAGCTACTCAGGAGGCTGAGGAAGGAGAATCATTTGAACCCGGAGGGTGGAGGTTGCAGTGAGCCGAGATCGTGCCACTGCACTCCAGCTTGGGTGACAGAGTGAAACTCCATCTCAAAAAAAACCCAAGAGCTAGCTTGCTGTGACTTACATGGGCTAGAGGCTCACAATATATATGAGCATCAAAAAGAACTGTGACCGATTGGCTATAATATATTGAGTAATTTTTTTTAAATTCATGAAGACATGGTCTTTTTTTTAAAGAGGGATATTAGAGAAACAGGAGGGAAATATACTTTTTTATTTTAAAAAAGAATATAAACTAATAAATGTAGAAGAAATTTAGAGCACTAAAAAAAATTTATCACCATTTTGCACCCCAGTGTAATAAATGATTCAGTCAAGAATCATCAATTGATGCTAAAGGCATTGGGAAACAGAATATTCTCCTGGTGCTAAAACATTACTCCATAGATTACTAAGGGTGAACAAATGACCTTTACCACAGGGAGAACTTTACAATAACCTTTACAATGGGGTAGTCATCATCTTAACCAAATAATTACCAACATTAATAATGAGATTATCTGTGCCTTTTAATATGATACAATATAAAATCTGTGAAATATTTTTACCCAATACATTTAACCTGAAGGTAATCAAACCTATAGACTTGACTTCCAGTTCAAAGGACATGAAAGGAATAAAGGGAACAAATCAAACCACATAATAGGAGCAAAGTAACTTTGGTCCTTCAAAGAGTACTATCATGGGGAGAAAAGTCATTAGAGGTAGCATTTTCAGTCTCTTGGTATAAAAAAGCCATTGAGGGGCAGGTGGTGGTGCAGGAAGGGGACTTCAAGACCAAAGGAGACAATCAAATACAAAGCATTAACCTTGATTTTACCCTCGTTCCAAAACAAAAAAGCTATAAAAAATCATTTTTGAGACAACTGGGAATACAGTTGACTCTTGAACAACAGATTTGAACTGCATGGGTCCACTTATATGCAGATTTTTTTTCAGCCAAATGCAGATGGAAAACACAGTTATTTGCAGGATGTGAAACCCACCCATAGGGAGGGCTGACTTTTCTTATACGCGGTTTCCCCTTAAGGACTTGAGTGTGCCCAAATTTTGGTATACACGAGGTGGGGGTCCTGGAACCAATCCCCCACGTTTACAGAGGGGCAATTGTATTTGAATTTGAACTTAGATGAAGTGACCTGAATTAATTTAAATTTTCTTAGGTGTCATAATGGCACTGAGGTTAATTAAGAAGATGTCCATATCTTTAGGTCACGCATGCTGGAGTATGTAGGGGTAAAGTGTCCCAACAGAGATAAAGCTAGTGTGGCAAAATGTTAATAATGGTTGGATTTAGGTGGTATACCAATTTTTCAATTTTTTTGTATGCTGCAAAATGAAAAGCTGGAGAAAATTTAATTTTAAAAAAGGTTCTTTAACAATGCCGCATGTGTGAGTTCATGGAGGTAGCCCATGAGTTTTTTAAAGCTAAATTGGCACAATCTGTCATAGCATGATTGAAGCCATTAAAATGGCAATATTATAAAAACAAAACATTGAAAACAAAATGAAACTTGACACGAGGGAAATGGAGAAAAATAATATGAAATAATGGAAATTTGAGGCATTATGTGTATATAACATCCAAAATAAGTGTGGCAGGTTTTAAAATTCTAGAATTCATAGCAATATGACTGGAACAGTTATAAAATGAAACATGGGCACACATCTTTCATGATTTTCTATAATTCTATCATCACTCAGGAAATATTACCCTGCCTTGGCTATATTTAAAAGACCTATTGAAGCAGCATGCATATATTAAAAAAGCACTTAGCATCATCATTTTAAAATGCTGTATTTACTATCCAAGCAGAATAAAATAAAACTTTAGCCTAAAGGGAAAAACTTAATAAACCCTCAATTATTAGAAATCATGTTTGTACATGCAGTATCTTTTAAAAGACCAAACACACACACACACAGATTTTGTGTCTAAATCACACAAGTCTGATTTAGTACATTTAACTGAACCTCTTAAATACTCTACATTTAAAGCTGGGGTGTCCAATCTTTTGGCTTCCCTGGGTCACCCTTAAAGAAGAAGAATTGTCTTGGGCCACATATAAAATACAGTAACTAATAATAGCTGATGAGCTTTAAAAAATTGCAAAAAAATCTCATACTGTTTTAAGAAAGTTTACAAATTTGTGTTGAGCCACATTCAAAGCCATCCTGGGCTGCATGCAGCCTGCAGGCCGCGCGTTGGACAAGCTTAAAGTATATTTTAACGTGAATTTTCAGTGATTATCACTAAACACTGTAACAATATTCATTATTCTTTTAAACCTGCAGTGAGTTCTACCTTTAAAATGAGGAAAGTGTATATCTAAGATAAACTGTATATTTCCAAAAGAACACCATGTTATTTGTTTTAAACAAATTACCTCTAACATTTTAGAAATCCTAAATGAATGAATGAAAATAAATGCATTAAACGAAAAACACCTGATTCTCAGGTCCAAGGGAGGAAAATGTGATCCTAACACTAGTGAAGCCCTACTGTGAGCCAAAATAACAACTGGTATCAGGTTTTAGCTCTTCCTTATAATGGTGATAGGAATGCCTAATTTAAAATTAGTTCAAAATTGTTTATTAATATGCAGTACAGGTAAAAGGTTTATAAACCATGTTTTAAATTTGTAGTTTAAAATAGTCCAGCATTTATAAAGTTGTCATTAAACATAAGAAGTGAAAACTAAATGACAATACTATGCTCTCTCTCTCTCTATATATATATATATGTTCTTAACACAATATCTGATTATAAACATTTTTCCACACTAGATTCATGTTATGTTCAGAATCATTTGACAGATATTCTAAAATTAAAAATGACAATGTATAAATTAAAAGTCTCTGGGCTGGGTGTGATGGCTCATGCCTGTAATCCCAGCACTTTGGGAGGCCAAGGCCGGCAGATCACCTGAGGTCAGGAGTTCGAGACCAGCCTGGCCAACATGGTGAAAACCCGTCTCTACCAAAAATACAAAAATTAGTTGGGCGTGGTGGTGAGCACCAGTAATCCCAGCTACTTGGGAGGCTGAGGTAGGAGAATTGCTCAAACCCAGGAGGCGGAGGTTGCAGTGAGCAGAGATCGTGCCGCTGAACTCCAGCCTGAGTGACAGAGCGAGACTCCATCTCAAAAAAAAAAAAAAAAAAAAAATTAAAAGTCTCTGAAAAGAAGAATTGTCGTTGCTTGTATCATCCTCATCAATTCAGAAGGAAGTGTATAGAGATGAATGGTCTTTGTGTAGTAAGAAATTTGGCCCATCCAAAGAAAGTTCTGGTGTAAGTCTTTGGGAGTTCTCACTGATAGGAATGTCTTTATTATTCATTGTGGGTTCCTTAGACAACACTTGACAGTTTATGCTAACGAGATAACCTATGGTGAGGCCCTGAAGTCTTGATGTCAACCAGATCTCCAGGGAGGGGCAGATGTTGGAAAGAGAGGACAACTACATGGGCAAAAAAATCAACCAACCATGCCAACTAATAGAGCCTCTCTCAATAAAAATCTGGACACCAAAGCTTAGGTGAGCTTCCCTGAATGGCAATACTATGTGTGTACTGTCAAACATTGTGGTCAGGAGTAGATAACACCTTCCATGACGCTACAAGAAAAGGACACCGAAAGCCTCAAGTTTGGACCACTCCTAGACTCTGTTTTATGTGTCACTTCCTTTGGCTGGTTTTAATTTGTATTTCCTTTCTCTGTAATAAATATGACTGTGAGTATAATAGCTTTTAGTAAGTTTTCTCTTTCTAGCCAGAACTGAGGGTGAACTTGGGAAACCCCTGAATTTGCAATGACCAAAACACTCTCAGCCATAGCAGAAGCTCAAATCTTTGGTAATTGAAGGCAATTTATTTCTTCCTTGCTATTTTCTTTTCTAGAGTGTATATGTAATCGGTCCTGCCTTAAAGGAATTCTCTTTTTAAGAACAGTAAGAAAGACCAATATGGGCTGGGTGTGGTCGCTCACGCCTGTAATCCCAACACTTTGGGAGGCCAAGGCAGGCAGATCACTGAAGCTCAGGAGTTTGAGACCAATCCGGGCAACATGGCAAAACCCCATCTCTACAAAAAAATACAAAAATCAGCTGGGCATGGTGGCGCGCACCTGTATTCCCAGCTGCTTGGGGGCCGAGGCTCCTGGGAGGATCACTTGAGCTTGCTCTATCAAGGCTGCAGTGAGCCAAGATTGTGTCACCGCACTCCAGCCTAGGCAACGGGAGGAAGACCTTGTCTCAAAAACAAAAAACAAAAAACAAAACAGAAAAACACCCCAAAAAACCCCACCAGTATGATTACTAATGCTGGTCACTATCAGTCTCTTTTGAAAGGCAGTATTGGCCGGGCGCAGCGGCTCACGCCTGTAAACCCAGCACTTTGGGAGGCCGAGGCAGGCGGATCACCTGAGGTCAGGAGTTTGAGACCAGCCTGGCCAACATGGTGAAACCCTGTCTCTACTAAAAATACAAAAATTAGTTGGGCGTGGTGGCATGGCCTGTAATCCCAGTTACTAGGGAGGCTGAGGCAGGAGAATTGCTTGAACCTGGGAGGCAGAGGTTGCAGTGAGGTCACACCACTGCAGCCTAGGTGACAGAGCGAGACACCATCTCAAAAAAAAAAAAAAAAAAAAAAAAAAGGTAGTATTATCTATAAGATTCAGATTCTAAGATACTTTTGCATAGCAGTGGAACTTGAGGATTGTGATATATTTCCAACAAAAGAAGCACTGTAATACAAAAAAGATTATTAAATATTTTTAGTTAGTGCTTTTCATGAGAGGTTGCCAAAGAAAAATATACACTTTAAAAATGCTGGCACTTTAGTGATTTTTTTACAAAGTATTTTGTGTAAGGTTACTTCAGCAGTAGAGATAGGACTAAAATCCTGTATATTATCACAATTGATCTCCATGCATTCAATTGACAGTCACAATGGAAGCAATTATATTCAAATTATGAAGAAAATACATACCAAACTTCTATAATTACTTAACCTTGAGGCTAGCCTAGAGATATTTAAAACAAAAAATCTGTTAGGCTGTTATTAACATATAGAAAGATAAATTCTAACTAGCTTAAATAAACCCAGTCTTTTTTTGTTGTTTCAGTTTTTGTTTTGTTTGTTTTTTGAGACAGAGTCTCACTGTCACTCAGGCTAGAGTCCAGTAGTGTCATCATGGTTTACTGCAGCATCAAATTGCTGGGCTCAAGCAATCCTTCTGCCTCAGCCTCCTGAGTAGCTGGCCCCACAGGTGCATGCCCACATATTGGCTAATTTTATTTTTAAGATTTTTTGTAGAAACAAGGCTATGTTGCCCAGGCTGGCCTCAAATTCATGGGCTCAAGCGATTCTTCTGCCTTGGCTTCCTAAAGTGTTGGGATTACAGGAATGAGCCACTGCACCTGGCCAACCCAGTATTTCATGCTAGAATATGGGCTAGAGAAAAGGAAGAAAGATCACATGTGACAGTGATAGAGATACTACAGAGCCAGAGAAAAAGATCAGTAATTCATTTTTGATATATAAAGAGAGAAGACTAATTCATAGGTTAGGTCATAGACACAGGTAAATAGGAAAATAAGGAAATATAGAAAAAGATTTGTATAGAGTTCTTTATGAAAATAATCTATTTCAATAAATCTATTAAATAGGTAATAGCTGGATACCAAAAAATGACAAGAGAAGTTTATCAATTAAAAAGCCATTTAACAAAAGACCAATTTATACATTCCTTTGAATTATGTCCATAAAAAATTTAAATATACAAATTACATTATCAAACCCAAAAGAATCTTTCTAAACAAATGAAATACAGATATAGACAAAGTCAGGATCCAAATTATTTTAAAAAGTTTTTAAATTATTTTGTAATTACAAATGAAACAACAAACTGACAGTTTTATACAATTGTTAAAGTTTCAAAAAGTTCAATGATGGAGCAATAGTATCACAATTTATTTAAGTACTGTTCACAAATGTTTATGCTTTTGTAATATACCTATTTTAATTTTGTTAATGAATTTGAAGAGCTAATGTTGAAACAACCAAAAAAATAGAAATGTATTTATTCTTAAAAATCCTAATTTTGCCCATGTGTCTACAGTTGTGAATTACAGGAACACCCTCCAGAAAAATCAGGTATTTGGTAAAGCAAGGCACATAGGACCAGATTTTGATAAAGGTGCTTGTTCTCTGCTCCTATAACTACTTTAAATAACCTGGAGATTCTTAAGATGACTTTCAATATAGCATAAATAACTTTTATAAACCTTTTTTATGTAAAGCATACACCCATGATAATTAAATATTATAATGTGAATGTGTAAATCAAATGAGTGATGCTAAACCCTTTAAGAAAAAACCCAACTCAGTTTAATGACTATACAATGAAATTTTTAAAGTTCAATAATTTGATATGTAAGAATAATCAGTATTACAGTAAGTGTAGAGAACATAATTAGTTTCCTTTCAGATTATATCTTAGAATCTAAATATCAAGCTACCTTTCCTTCCATGAAATTATGTGACATTCAATATAAATTGATGTAAACATTTAAGTTTTGCATCTCTATACTATATATTCCACCGTAAAAGTAGCCTACAACATCTCTAAAATCACTTACTAAAGAACTGATAATATAATACTACTGTGTTGAAATATCCATTTGTTGCATTTCAAACTTTTCTTCCCAAATACCATATTCTTAATTGCTAAAAGAACTATCAATTGGCACTCTTCTCCCATGAGTTAGCACATTTTCACATTGAACAAAGTAGTTGCGTGATAACAAATAAAAAGTATAGGAATTTAAATAATGAAGGAGTCATCATTATAAAAGCTTGATACAGTAAGGCCTGTGGAGGTCATCAAAACACACATCACACACACAAGGAAATGGCATTATCTGTATATGTGACATGATCCTAGGGCACAGGTCTACCTTCTCATGTATGATTACTTTTTTATGAATTAAAAATTATAAACTACATAGCCCAATCTCCAATAAACATTTTCAAACCCACTAGAAAAGCAAAATGTAAATTATGCCTGTCTAATAAAATTGTGCTTTGAAAATATATTTGACTACTTTGTCCATTTTTACAATTCTTGTTTACATTTTTATAACTTTCATTAGGAATTTTGAAAATTGTGTTTCGACACCTAAAAATGTGTTACCATTGTAACTAACATGTCTAATATCTAATTTGCTTGTATAATTTTTTAAAATTATTAAAATAGAAACAGACTAAACCTGATTAAATGTGAATGCACACTGCATTAATACATAAGTAACCAACCAATACTTCAATGTGAGCTAAACATAAATCATTATATTTCAGCTTGAATTCTGTGCATTTGCAGGATTTAGATTTTACTTAGCAGTAAGTAATAATGTAAGTCTAAATATTATTGCAGTCTAAAACTACCATGTTCAAAATGTGGTGAACTTAGTAAACAAATACTCTAAAGGGTGGTTACTGAAAATCATGTTGGGCATCCAGAAAGTTTGCTTGGTACCAATTTGGAATCACCACCAAAGTGATTTTAAAGATTTGGTAATTTTAAATGCTTTTAAACTTTGGATGGAATTGATGAGACCTGCAATCTGTAGACTATTACTGCAAAAGCAAGGTAACACTGCCAGTTCACGTTAGGCAAGGGTACCCAACAGTCTGTAACATAGTATTTTTGAGCCAATTCTGTTTAATAAAATCCATGAGAGCTATATAAAAATACTTATTTTTTACAGTTTTTATATCTATTAGAACAGTCTTTAAAAATATATACAGTATAGGCCGGGCGCAGTGGCTCACGCCTGCAATCCCAGCTACTCAGAGGCTGAGGCAGGAGAATCCCTTGAACCAGGGAGTGGGAGGTTGCAGTAAGCCGAGATCGCGCCACAGCACTCCAGCCTGGCGACAAAGTGAGACTCTGTCTCAAAAAAAAAAAAAAAGAAGTATTTTATTTTTTTCATTCATACTGTGGGTGTGTGTGTGTGTGTGTGTGTTTTCTTTTTTTTTTTTTTGAGACGGAGTCTCGCTCTGTCACCCAGGCTGGGGTGCAGTGGCACGATCTTGGCTCACTGCAACTTCCACCTGGTGTGTTCAAGAAATTCTCCTGCCTCAGCCTCCTGAGTAGCTGGGACTACAGGCGCGCACCACCATGCCCAGCTAATTTTTGTATTATTAGTAGAGATGGGATTTCACCATGCTGGCCAGGCTGGTCTCGAATTCCTGACCTTGTGATCCACCCGCCTCGGCCTCCCAAAGTGCTGGGATTACAGGCATGAGCCACTGTGCCCAGACAGTAAAATACTTCTTATACTCAGTAAGTAATTCTGTCTATAGTTAATAATTAAATTAAACCCATATTCAAATTATAGAAAGCATTTTTGCCCACCAAATCATCTTACCATTTCTAATATACTCTCTCTCTCTTGAATCAACTTATTAAATAACTCATGTAATCTGCATCCTCAGCTCCAGTGTTCATTAAAAAGGAAAAAAACCCACTATTTTAAAGCAAAATGGTGGCTCCTTCTCAGTAGCTTTTTTTTTTTTCTTTTTTTTGAGACAGACTCTCACTGTGTCGCCCAGGTTGGAGTGCAGTGGCGTGATCTCCACTTACTGCAACCTCTGCCTCCCGGGTTCAAGTGATTCTCCTGCCTCAGTCTCCCGAGTAGCTGGGACTACAGGTGCGTGCCACCACACCCAGCTAATTTTTGTATTTTTGGTAGAGACGGGGTTTCACCATGTTGGTCAGGATAGTCTCAATCTCTTGACCTTGTGATCCACCTGCCTCAGCCTCCCAAACTGCTAGGATTACAGGCGTGAGCCACTGCGCCAGGCCTTCTCAGCAGCTCTTGTGGGAACACAGAAAGGGAATTCAAAATTTGGCTACCTCTCCCACTCATGTGATCAGGGAAGAATAGGCTTATGAGAGACCTAAAAAAATCTTCCGAGCAGCCTTGGATTTAAAGTCATAGCGCTGTTTAAAATAAAGTAATATGGCAATCTGGAATGTCTCCAAGAAAAGTCATTTTGTTCTGTCACTGACATCTGTACTATTTGTTTGAATGTTGTTTTTGTAAACAGTTGTAGATTAAAGAAGTTTTTACAGATCAATGAGTAAAATGTTCATTTAATAACTTTCTAACTGTATACAGTATATGCTTGATAGTTCAAAATTCTCCAAATGTAGATATTATACAATAATTATTTTAAATTATTAAATGAGTATTTAATCCTTTTAAATTACATTTTGAAAATTTAATGGCAATTACACACAAATTTTAATTTAAAATAATATTAAGGACTTAATCTGATTTACAGAAATGAAATGCAATGAAGAGATTAAGGGCTAACCTCCATTACTATAAAATTCTCTGGCTACCATCTAGCACAGGAGCAACTGGATTGCTTTCAGCAGTCTTGAAGCACTAAAATATCTTAAAATTCATATGGAGAAATAGTATGTATCTCTACATTAAATTTAGATTTGATATTTATTCTCTGACAGATCAGACCCAGAATATTAATTTTTATGTAATTGAACCAAAAACATTTAGCAATCCTTCATTTAGTAATCTTTTGTATAAATATAAAAATCTCTGATAAGTGAAATGTTTTTTCAAATTATACTTCTATTTTTCACAGCTTTATAGGTAATTATAATTTTCAAACTTTAAATATTTCATGTGATTTGATATATCTGTACAGAAAGAGTAAGATAAAAACATTTAATAAGATTAAATCTAATTTGCAAAAATTGGTATCTGACATTTGTTGTGTGCTCTTGCAAAGAGTGCATAGGACATTTCTGCAGCAATCAAAAAGGTAAAATCTTTTTAAACTCAGATTTCAAGTTTCCTCTAATATTCCTTCTAATCCTAATCCCTGGAAATACTTTCAAGTTTTGATTTCTAGATGCAATGTGTTTTGTTACATATACACATGTCTTATCCTTAAACTTTTAAAAAACAGTATGATCAGATTCAGCATGATGATATCTTCTCAGACTCTGTAGAAGTCCTCTGTGCAAGATTAATGTCGAGATTCCTAGTGCCCCATCGTGAAAAACCAGTTAAAGATAGTATACAACTATGCTTTAGTGGGATTTCCTGCAGGTTTGGGATCATAACCATACAAAAAAGTAGCTGTTATTACAAGGATGGCTCCAAGGAAAAAGACACTGAATAAGATGAAGACAAAATAAAAAAGAGAAAATCAGATTAAAAGCAGAACAAGTTCCTTCTATTTCTTTACTATAAAAACAATTATAATGTGGGGAAAAATGTTCCAGTAACACGGCTAACAAATCTTGAGTACTTACTACATTCCAGGTATCTGGCTAAGTGCTTTATATGCATTATTTCATTGAGTTGTCACAGCAAATCTATGAAGATGTATTAGTATTCATTTTTTACACATGAGGAAACAGTTTTAAAGAATTTAAATAACTTGTCTAAAGTCCCACAACTTCAAGAGGATCAAACCCAGGTATGTCTAACTCTACAGCCTGCACTCTCATCGACTGCACTATACTGTCTTCCAAAGCAAAGCTATTTTAAGTTCTGTATTTCACCTTAATAGGGATTTTGTATACAATACATTCAATAACAAAAGGCCTTAATTCTTTAGTTGAACATACGAAAGGAATATTTTATTCTGTCATGTTAAACCAAGGTAAAGTTTAGTTTAAAATCCAAGATAATAATAAGCAAAACTCAGGACCAATTTTTATAGGATGCTTTACAAAGGGAAATTACATTAAATGCAGGGAGTTCTTGGTTTCCTCTTTATCCTATATATTTATAGATATAGTCTACTTTACAATAAATCAGAAATGAATTTAGACAGGATATGTAAACTAGACTACAAATATTAACTTTTTTTTTTCTTTTTAAAGACAGGGTCTCACTCAGTCCCTCAGGCTCTGGAGTGCAGTGCTGTCACCATGGCTCACTGCAGCCTCGACCTCCAGGGTTCAAGCAATCCCAGCTCAGTCTCCTAAGTAGCTGAGACCACAGGTGCAAACCACCACACCTGGCTAATTTTTCTATTTTTTGTAGAGCTGAGGTCTCACTTTGTTGCCCAAGCTGATCTTGAACTCCTGGGCTCAAGTGATCTGCCTCAGACTCCCAATGTGCTGTGATTACAGGCATGAGCCACTGTGACCAGCCTGAATCTTAACTTTTATTTATTTATTTTTTTGAGATGGAGTCTCACTCTGTCGCCCAGGCTGGAGTGCAGTGGTGTGATCTCGGCTCACTGCAACCTCCGCCTCCCAGGTTCAAGCAATTCTCCTGCCTCAGCCTCCCGACTAGCTGGGATTACCAGTGTGCACCACCACACCCCGCTAATTTTTTGAATTTTTAGTAGAGATGGGGTTTCACCATGTTGGCCAGGCTGGTCTCAAACTCCTAACCTCAAGTGATCTGCCCACCTCCGCCTCCCAAAGTGCAATCTTAACTTTTAATGTGTACATTTTTTAAAATGCTATTATAGAGACATAAGCTAGTTTTGGATTTAAAGTTTCTACTAATAGTCCAAAGCCATGCTCCTGTTTTTTTGTTTTTAATTGCCTATAAACGAAAAATAATTACTAATCATTATTAAAAGGCCCTTCATAATATGGTCCCTCCAAACTCATCCTTCCCACTTCATGCCACCCAATCTATAATTCAGCCACTCCAATCAGTGAACACAACATACACTTTCTTGACAGTGTCTTTAGAGATACTATTCCCTCTGTCCACAGTTTCCTTGCTTCTTAGAAAATGCTTATTCATAATAATTCAGGTCTAATGTCTCCAAGACTCACTCCCCTAGGCAGAACTACCCCAGCATAACACTTACCACACTGTCATTAAATGATGCATTATTTACAAGTCCACTCCCCTGCTCAACCATATGCTCTTCATTCACTGTGGTAGCCACAGTGCCTAGCATATATAGGGAGCTCAGTAATTATCTGTTATGATTAATAACTAGATTTGACTTGATACAAATGGTTAACTCTTCAAAAGACTCGAATGCAGTTATACATATAAGGTTATTAGGATAACATAAAACATCCTGTAATGTATCTTGAAGAAATTGCTACATTAATATTGGTAATTATTAATTACTAGACACTGTCTTCCTTAGTCATTATGAACTATTCTTAGCTTTCTGGAACTTTGGAATGGCATGGACTGAAAGTTCATGCTCAACTGAAAGATTCTGTGGTCTACCTTTGTATCCACTGCAGGAATCCTTTCTATAATATCTTTAGCAGGATCTACTTGAATACCTAATCATGTCAGGAAACACCTGTTTCTCAAGCCAGCAATTTTAAGATGGTTCTGAGAGAGAAAGTTGTCTCAGAAAAAAAAAAATTAGGATAAAACTATCAGAATGTAATGATTACTTCAAGGATTTGAGCCCCCTCTAACAGAATTATTGTATGTATACTTCCATTGTTGCATTGATCATACTGTTATAATTATTCACATCTGTCTTTCCAATCACTTGATGATCACCAAACCTTGATGACCTTGAAGACAAGAAATTGTGTCTCATTCATGCACTCCTTTTCCAGGAGCTAGCACAGTGGCCAGCAGGCACATAGTAGACACAAACTTTTGATAAAAGAATAAGCAACCCTAAATGGAAGAATGGTAACACCAATAAGCAAAATAACAAGCACAAGAAAAATAATTTAGGGAAGTGGGTAACAGTGATATTGTATCAGTAGAGATGTCTAACAGTCAATAGAATAAAGGGATCTAGAGTTTAGGTGAAATCTGAACTTATCTTCCTAGAGAAGACAGATATGACATGGCAGTGGATGAGATAGCCAAGAGAGTGAGCAAGGATTGACAAACTACCAAAGGGACAATCAGAAATGCAAGTATAGGCGTACCATTTCAGAGAAGCCAAACAAACAAACAAACAAAAACCCAGTTTCAGGAGATGGAATGAGGCTAAAGGCAAATATATTATTACATTTAGGATAGAATTGAATGAAGATTGAGAAAATGTCACTAGATTTATTACTGAAAATGTATTCTCCACAAAGGTAAGATGCATAAAGATAGAGGGCTTAGTTACCTATTTTAGGAAAAAGAATCCATCTTCTCCATCTGGCTTAGTGTCCTGAGCATATTCTCAAAATATTCATTCATTCATTCATTCATTCATTCATTCATTCAATAATGGCAGTATCATTGTCTTTTCTCTTTCTATCTTCAACTAAACAAACCTTATATACTTCCTCAGAAACGTGAATTTACAGGCAGGCATACATCTCATTGCCAAACTACTACTCTTTTGTCCCTCTGATGGTTTGCTTGTTCATTTATTTGTTTATTCTCTGCATAATTCAAAGATTTAATTACCTCGGCCTTACATAAGGTTCAATTTAAAAAAAAAAAAAAGGTATGCTTTTAAAAGTAAAATCTAAAAATCTGCAAGGTGCAAACATTCTCAAAGTACATTAAAGCATACGATTTCCTCATCTTATGAACAGGGAATATGATTAAGATTACAAAATTAAGACACAAGTGTTCATTGTTCATCTAGTCTCACTAGCTAAGTGATTCATTTCCATACCAAGCTGAAAACAGAAATGCTTTTAAATTTTTGTCCCATAAGAACTACAGATCTCAACATGTATGTTCCAGACCTATTGTCTAGATTGCTAGAAAAGAATTAAAACCGTCAATGTTCAATATAAAAAATATAAAAAGGATATTATATTTTTATAGTGCCAAATTCCATCCATAATCCTATTTCACTCTCAAAAACACAAATGAGTTCAGCGAAGTGGCATATGCCTATAATCCCAGCACTCTGAGAGGCAGAGGTGGGAAGATTGCTCGAGGTAAGGAGTTCAAGATCAGCCTGGGCAACAAAGCACATGTGTAGTCCCAGCTACCTGTGAGGCTGAGGCAGGAGGATTGCTTGAGCCCAGGAGTTTGAAGCTGCAGTGGGCTACGATCACGCCACTGCACTGCAACCTGGGTGACAAACTGAGATCCTGTCTCAAAAATATGAACATATAAATAATAAAGTAATAAATAAATAAAAGATTCTTGGGAGATTCCAAAGTTTAGAGGTTGAGAAAATCAGGAGAGGAGTAAAGTTGGAGGAAAACCAAGAGTGGTGTACTGGAAACAATTAAAATATAATCCCACTAGTCTGAGATTATAAATTAAACAAAAAACTAGAATTTTCAATGCTGTCTGTAATGGATATTCATTACACTCAATTTTTCCTGATGCTATCTCCTCCCTTAGCATCCATAAAACTACAGAGTCCTGGGTCTTCTTCCTCACCTATAACTCCTCCTGCAATTCCTTTCCAGATTGCTCTTCCTGCTACCACCTAATTGAGTTTCCTCATGAGCCACATTCTCTATATAAACTATCTCCTTCAAGGAAGTCATGTAAATTCCGTATTTTAAAAATGTCATTACATGACTTATTTTTATGACTTTATATGACTTATTAACTTTTTTATATCACTTTTTTACTTTGCAGGGAAAATATTCACATCTATTTATTGGGAAAATTCTGGCCAACCAAATTTGTATAAGAAACTTTTCAGGAGAAGACTTTCTTTCATGAATTTAATTTGAAATATTTTTAAAACATAGTTAAATAAATTTTTAAAATTATATTTCAGTGCTTCTTCAAATTTATCAGATCACCTTACAAAGAATTCTAATTTTTCTATATACTTCTGGGGATTTAAAAAAATAGAAAAGAACATTTTACCTGGTTGGCACAAAATCTTGAAGCCAAAAATAGGAGATCAATGTTGATAATATTATCGATAAAGAGGTTGCAAATCCTTTTAAAATATTATCTGCATACTTAATAACAGCAGCTATTACAAGGCCTCCAAGTGCCTGAAGTTTTAAAAAAATATTTTTTAAAACACACATGTAAAACTGCATTTCAAAACACTTTCAGTATTTAATAAAGCTTTAAGCTTTTGTCCCATAAATTCAATCCCATTATAGTAAGGGATTTATTTTAAACATCTCTTAACAACGAATAGACTTACAGGTTTTGTTCAATAGCCCTCTTATTTCAAAAGGCATTTAATTAAAGTAACTACCAGGACAATCTGCAGTGTGTTATAATGGACTTTGACCATATTACAAATAAAATGTCTATCATTATCCAATTTAGTAATTAAACATCACTTGTTTGGACAAATGTAAGAGGACTGGTCACTTTAAATAGTGAAATATTTTTACTTTTGAGTAAAATTAGTAATCAGAGTCATTTTACAGCCTTTCAACAGCCCCTTAATTTGGCTTTTTTCCTATAGTTTCTCCCCTTTCAAATCCACCTCTCATTACTGTCACATTAAGTTTTCTAAAGCACAGTTTTAATTGTGCTTTTTCTTTAAGACTGTAGAAAGAACTTACCTAATCCCTCTCAAATTCCCAATTGTGGCTACTTTAATAATGAGGTTTTACTATACTACACAGTTTTGCTTTCTGCCAAAGACTACTTATCATTTTCCAAATCTGGGTTACCTACTGCAACAACTTTCAAAACATCTCTTCTATGATGGAAGCTTTATTTAGAGAAAGTCGTAAATTATGCCAATTGAGCTTACTACAAATTAATGTTTCAGTCCCAGTATTTCTTGGCAATGTTGTCATTCATCTATTTACTCCCTATTGAATCCTTCATACCAGTTATACCAAACATTTTTAATTTTTCTCATATCTTCAGCCCCTTTTTAAGGGAAGGGGGCTTCTTCTCTTTGCTGGAATAAGATACATCATACATAAACTCTCTTGACTCACCCTATCTCCGCTTCAAATTTTCTCTTAATTATTTTTTTAAAATTTTCACTTATCTTTGTTTCCTTTTCTGCTATCTTAAAAACAGAAGTATCCGGGCCAGGCGAGGTGGCTCACGCCTGTAATCCCAGCACTTTGGGAGGCCGAGGTGGGCGGATCACAAGGCCAGGAGATCAAAACCATCCTGGCTAACACAGTGAAACCCCGTCTCTACTAAAAATACAAAAAATTAGCTGGGCTTGGTGGCGGGCGCCTGTAGTCCCAGCTACTTGGGAGGCTGAGGCAGGAGAATGGCGTGAACCCAGGAGGCGGAGCTTGCAGTGAGCCAAGATCTCGCCACTGCACTCCAGCCTGGGCAACAGAGCGAGACTCCGTCTCAAAAAAAAAAAAAAAATAGAAGTATCCGGGCCGGGCGCGGTGGCTCACACCTGTAATCCCAGCACTTTGGGAGGTCAAGGTGGGTGGATAACGAGGTCAGGAGATCGAGATCATCCTGGCTAACATGGTGAAACCCCCGTCTCTACTAAAAATACAAAAATTAGCTGGGCGTGGTGGCACATGCCTGTAATCCCAGCTACTCAGGAGGCTGAGGCAGGAGAATTGCTTGAACCTGGGAGGTGGAGATTACAGTGAGACGAGATCGTACCACTGCACTCCAGCCTGGTGACAGAGCTAGACTCCGTCTCAAAAAAAAAAAAAAAAAAAATAGAAGTATCCTACCTGCTTTTAAAACACAACTATCCTTTGCCATCTTCACCTTCCTTTCTGGAGCCTTGCTTCCTAGGCTTCAAATATCTCTAGAAGAATAGGAGGCTCTAAGGATAGTGACTTGTATCTTCATTTTTATATCCTCTAGAATTCTCCATATGTATTTTTTAAAGATGTAATTAATTACTCAACCCTTGAACAATTCCAAGCTATATATAAACTGAATTTGACAGATGTTTTCCAATATGTAACTACAATATGAGGCTATGAACTGTCACAGAATTAAATATCTAGATCTGCTTCCTGGGTCTTAATGGCTGACCCAGACTTCCTGTACAATGATAAGACTTGTAAAAATCAAAAGTTATATTTGCCTTTAGCTTCAACTCTTTTATTCTTAAACTTGTATTTTCATTATGTTACATTTAAAACCACAAAGTTCATTAAAGACCCCTGTACAAAATAAGATTTCATTACAGCATTAAGATCACTTCTATTTTCACTTCCTTGAATAAACTAGATACGAGAGCACTAACAGGAGGGACCTTTTCCCCCTCACATCAGTATATCAGGAGCTACTTTGATTCTTTATATTAAAATACAGTTTATTAGCATTAAATCTAAGACTTTAAATGCTTTACCTGAAGAACAACTACTATCCAGGTCAGTCGGTTATATCCCTGAAAAAATCCATTCTTTGATACCAGTTCTCCATCATAAATGTATACACCCATTAATCCAAATATACTTCCAAAGAAACCTAAAAAAAAGTAAAGTCTACATGATATATCGTTTAGTTTGTCTGAAGAGATATATTTTTTCCACTGACATTCCAAATAATTTTACACTTAACTTTTTCTTTTTGATAAAATTAGATTACTTTCTTTTTTTTTTTTTTTTTTTTGAGACGGAGTCTTGCTCTGTTGCCCAGGCTGCAGTGCAGTGGCACAATCTTGGCTTACTGCAACCTCCACCTCCCAGGTTCAAGCAATTCTCCTGCCTCAGCCTCCCGAGTAGCTGGGACTACAGGCGCGTGCCACCACGCCCAGCTAATTTTTTGTATTTTTAGTAGAGACGGGGTTTCACTGTGTTAGCCAGGCTAGTCTCGATCTCCTGACCTCATGATCCACCTGCCTTGGCCTCACAAAGTCCTGGGATTACAGGTGTGAGTTACGTGCCCAGCCAAAATTAGATTACTTTCTAAAATTTTTACTTGGTTTTGTATACTTAACAAAAGTATACTTAGTACTATATTATGACTACAAGACAAAGACATATAAATGTAAAAAGACAAAGACATAGAATACAAAAAATAACATACATTACCAACTTTGGAGCACTAAAATAATACAATGCACAAATTAGATAATTACATGGCTAGCCCATTCGAATATGTGCAAATTGCTCACATTTGGAATATGTCATTGTTCTTCCATCTTCCTCTTGCTAGATCTAGATTTTTCATATATTCACATTGATACATACAAATATAAAAGCTGAGGCAGGGGGTACAATATTTTTCCCTATTAAGAAGTTTTGAGAGTGGGCACAGTGGCTCACGCCTGAAATCCCAGCACTTTGGAAGGCCAAAGCAGGAGAATCATTTGACCCCAGGAGTTTAAGACCCACCCAGGCAACATAGCAAGACTCCATCTCTACAAAAAAATTTTTAAATTAGTTAGGTGTGGTGGTGCATGCCTGTAGTCCTAGCTACTCAGGTGGCTGAGGAGGGACAATCACTTGAGCCCAGAAGTTTGAGGTTACAGTGGGCTATGATTCTACCACTGCATTCCAGTCTGAGCAAAACAGCGAGACTGTCTCTAAAAAAATAAATAAATAAATAAAAGTTTTGTTTTGAAAGTATAACTAATAATAACTGATATCCAAAAAATCACAGCTAAGAAATAGTCATAGAAATCATTAGATTCTGTGTTACTGAAGTTTCACTGTTAGAGAAAGTTAACTTGGTGACAGCAGAAACTGTCTTGTTCATGTTGAATCTCACCTCAAAAACATATTCTATCACATGACTATTGGAATAAGAGATTCCCAGAAGCATTGCGAGGCTATTAATAAAGAAATTCATGCTTACATGGACCACTTCTTATGGGTCACCTTTGAAATATGTGCAGTTAAGGAGTGCAAGCGTAAAGCAATTTTTAAAAATGAAGTTATAACTAATCAAAGTATTCCACAATAGAAAGGAAGTGAAAAGGATGAGAAATGCTCTAAAATTCCATTTAAGTCAGCTCTATCCTTTTAATGTCTAATTTCAAACATGAAATTAATGCTGGCATATAATTACAAAAACACATGTGATGGTATTTTATATGATGGTATTACATATATATAAAATAGGTATGTGTGTGTATATATATACACACATATATAAAATACCATCAGAAGAGTTTTATATATAACATATATATATGTATATGTATATTTTGAGACAGGATTTCACTCTGTCACTTAGCAGGCTGGAGTGCAGAGGCACAATCACAACTCACTGCAGCCTCGACTTCTTGGACTCAAGCGATCCTCCCACCTCAGCCTCCGAAGTAGCTTGGACCACAGGCACACGCTACCACACCCAGCTAATTTTTTTTTTTTTTTTTTGTACAGAGTTTTGTAGTGTTGCTCAGACTGGTCTCCAATTCCTAAGCTCAAACAATCCACCTGCCTCGGCCTCTCAAAGTGCTGGGATTACAGGCGTGAGCCACTGTATCCAGGCTTATATATATATATTTTTAAGAAACAGGGTCTCACTATGTTGCTCAGGTCTCAAAACTCCTGGTTCTCAAGCAATCCTCCCATCTCAGCCTCCCAAGTATCTGGGATTAGAAGCACAAGCCACCAAACCCAATAAAGTTTTTTAATTTATAAAAGACTTTGTAATTACTAAAAAAGTATACATTATAGAAGGATATATACATGTCAGTATGAACAGAACTACTGCATTCTAACAGTTGCATAATATTCCTTTGTATGGATTATAATAGCAAATATGTATGTATCAGCATGTAACAAGAATTATTCTAAGTGCTTCATGTATGTTAACTCACATACAACACTATGAGGTAGATGTCTATTTTATAGATGAAGAAACTGAAGCACAGAGAGGTTACATAACTTGCCCAAGCTCACACTACTGGTAAATCATGGGCTCAGGAGAGAACATGATCTTAATCACTATACTATGTATTATACTGATAATTTATTTAACCAGCCCTCTAAATGTTTTCTGTTTTTTAGAATGGTAACCAATGGCTGAAACAATAATCCTGGACATCTATCTTTGTGCTCTTATAGGATAGACTTTTATCCAGACTTGGAATTCTTACATTACAGCCTACACATATTTAAAATTTTGGCAAATATTCCCAAATTGAAATCCAACATGGTTATATCAATCTATACTCCTAGGAACAATAGGTAATAGAGTTCCTGGTTCTCTATTCTCTGGATAAATTGGATCTTATCATGTTAATCTTTGACAATTTGATGTTTGAAAAATGCTATTACATTGTTTTAATTTGTTCTTATAATTTTGAATTGTGATAGGTAATTATTTAATTATCCTTTCAAAACATTAAGTCTGTTATCATTTTTTTCTATGAGCATTGGAGCTTATGAAGTCACCAAATAATAAGAAATCCATGAAGCACATTAGAATCATGAATTCTGATTTGTCTTCCATTTTTATCTTACAATTTAATAAAAGTTTAGGCAACTCACACAAACCTTATTTCTTTCTTTTTCTCTGATATTGTATATTTATATAAATAGT
The DNA here is from genome assembly GCF_000001405.40 of Homo sapiens. Taxonomy (NCBI): domain Eukaryota; kingdom Metazoa; phylum Chordata; class Mammalia; order Primates; family Hominidae; genus Homo; species Homo sapiens. The sequence continues at coordinate 100,012,274 of NC_000001.11, read as the reverse complement.
TGACATTTTTAGGGCTCACTATATGTAAGACACTTTATTCTTGGCTCACTGCAACCTCCGCCTCCTAGGTTCAAGCAATTGTCCTGCCTCAGCCTCCAGATTAGCTGGGATTACAGGTGCGCGCCACCATGCCTGGCTAATTTTTTGTATTTTTAGTAGAGATGGGGCTTCATCATGTTGGCCAGGCTGGTCTTTATGTCACAGATCTAAGTTTTTCATATTCTTAAATAAAAGGCGTTCATTTAAAATAAAATGTTTGGCCGGGGAGGTGGCTCACGCCTGTAATCCCAGCACTTTGGGAGGCTGAGGCAGGCAGATCACAAGGTCAAGAAATTGAGACCATCCTGTCTAACACAGTGAAACCCTATCTCTACTAAAAATACAAAAAATTAGCCGGGCGTGGTGGCGGGCGCCTATAGTCTCAGCTACTCAGGAGGCTGAGACTGGAGAATGGCGTGAACCTGGGAGGCGGAGCTTGCAGTGAGCCGAGATTGCACACTGCACTCCAGCCTGGGCGAGAGAGCGAGAATCTGTCAAAAATAAATAAATAAATAAATAAATAAATAAATAAATAAATAAATAAATAAATAATAAAATGTTTTAAAAGACAAGAGCATTGCCAGATATTTGGATCAATAGCAGATTTTATGCAAGGCTCATTTATTTAAAGATATATAGAAATCTTTAAATATAACAATATAATCATTTTTAAAATAATATTAGAAAACATTTAAAACTTACCAAGCTGAATATTTCTTATCCACACTGATTGTTTTGTTTCTTTTAAGATTTTCTCAAAGTAAACCCCAGCAAAGCCACTTGAAAAACATGCTGTGAGAACTGCCATGAGTCCTACAAATTGAGAACCAGCTGAAAGTTCCTTAGAATCAAGCTGAGAATCTGAGGGCCACTAAATAAGAAGAAAAATAAAATTGAAGTTTAATTTCCATAACATTTTACATAAACATATTGAGAGCCCACTCTTAGACCATAACTTAAAAATGCAACCAATATCATTTTTGGGACTGCAAAGGAGAGCTTTTAACATAAAACCTTACAATCATTTGATTTTTTTCCTCACAGTGATAATATATTACTAACTTATAATTTCAAAAAGCACCTTAGAAATAATAAATATTTTACATTTCATCTATTACAGAGACCAATGCTACCTTGAGATAATTCCTTAAAGTTTAATTTATTAAAAAGCACCATCTCAAATACAGGTAGAAGAAAGAATGAGAATCTCACATCCCCTCTGCTGTGTCAGCAAAAGTAGAGATCAGCTGGAAAGTAGTGTTCTAAATCAAGCATAATAAAGGGAAGCTGTTGGGAGGTGAACCCCCCCAAACACTGTCAGGAAAAGACAGTCCATCAGACAGGGAAGGAAAACTCTGAGTACAAGACACTGGAAACGAAATGTGTTGGAAGGGACTCCAGGATCATTGCACCAGGGATAGTACCCTATGGCTTAGATGTTACCCTTAATCTAATCAACTGATATCCTGTAACTACTGTTAAATTTTCTTTTGCATCTATTTCTTCCCTCCTCAGTTTGATCTTCTACTAGCTGGACTTCTTTTTTTGAGACATGGTCTCACTTTGTCACCCAGGCTGGAGTGCAGTGCATGATAACAGCTCATTGCAGCCTCAACCTCCCTGGGCTCAGGTGATCCACCTTAGCCTCCCCAGTAGCTGGGACTACAGGTGCACACAACCACACCCAGCTAATTTCTGTGTTTTTTGTAGAGACAGGGTTCTGCCATGTTGCCCAGGATGGTCTCAAACTCCTGGGCTCAAGCAATTTGCCTGCCTTGGCCTCCCAAAGTGCTAGGACTGTGGGTGTGAGCCACCATGCCCAAACTAGCTGGACTTCTTAAAACCATTTTTCCTTCTGAAACTGTACTTTTCATAGCGACCAAAGACTTTTCAATCAATATGTTAACTAATTTTTAATAATAAAATTGTTCATTCTCTATTCAGCTTGCTTTCACCAGAGAATTAACACTAGTGACTATTCATTCCTTACCTCTTGAAACAACCTGCTCTTTTCCGTGTTCTCTCCTCCAATCTTTATATTTATTCTAGTCAACTGACTCTTTGGATGATGGAAATGTTCTGTATCTTCACCCTCAATAGGGTCATCGCTATATTTAAGTGGCTATTGAGCACGTGAAATGTGGGTAGTGCGACCAAGGAACTGAAATTTTAATTTAATTTTAACTAATTAAATTTAAATAGCTACATATGGCTTGTGGCTACCCTACTGGACAGTGTAGTTCTACAGCATAGTTTATAGGAATCCCCTCTACCCTGGAGAGCTGATTCACAGAAGCACTGACATCTCTTCTGAGCTCAAGTCCAAGATTTTCAGTTGCTGCTATCCAGAAACTTACTATCTCCTCAAAGCCAATATGATTAAAATGTACCCATACCTCTTCAAAGCAAACATACCTTTTGATACCTTTATATCTATTAAAAATGCCACCATTCAAACTTAAGTTTCTTAATCTCCTTGCTCTCCATTCTCTATGATATTTATTGGTCTAACACTCATACTGATTCTTCCCTTGGAACAACTCTTACATCACTGCTGTGGGACATTCCAATCCCATTAACCTGACAGTTTAGGTCCCTGTCATGCTTTCTAACTCCTCTCCATTCCTTCAGTATTTCTCCCCACCAATCTGTCCTGCATGCCTATAGGATTTCTCTGATATGCCTCTCTCCCTTCCAACTCTCCAGTGAGCCCTTACAGCCAAAAGCAGTCAAGCCTAAGCTCCTGGCTCAATACTGAAGACCACATATAATCTAGGACCAATCTGTATTTTGTAATTTCATCTCTCGCCATATCTTTGTCAATTATTTGTTCCAATCAAAGAAGACTATTACCACTCCTTAACTTATTTGTGCTTATCCACAGATCGACATCTGTATTTTTTTTAACATACCTTTTATGTAATGCTTTTTCTGCTGTTTCCGACCTACTGAAACACAAATAGTGAAAAGTTTTAAGGAGATTTGGTTCTGGCTCTGCCACTACTAGATTGGGATCAATAAGCAATTTCATTAACCTCTCTGAGCTTCAATAACTCTTTTGAAAGTTGGGAAGAATAATATCTACCTTAAACAGTTGGGTATAACATGAGATTATACAAGATAAGTACCAAGTGGGCACCTGGCACATAAGTACTCAGTATGCAAATTTCATTATAATTATTACCTTTCAACACCTAATTTAACTCCAATATCATCCCTGAAGATTTCCCAGGAGTCATCTGTACTTACAGGATATAAAATCAGTTGACAACCAATCACATAAAAACAAATATCATTTGTTTAAGTCTTGCTAATTAGGCACTATGAATGGAAGAGCGGTGAAACACAGCTGCTGCCTTCTAGGAACTTAAGTTGTAAGTGTAAACAGACATATAAATGAGCATTTAACTATAATATAAGTACTTTGGAAAAGATATGTACAAAGTACTATGGTGGTACAGAAGAAGGCACAAATGTTTAAATGTTATGCCTGTGATGTTAGGAAGATATTCTGGTAGAGGCAGACTTTAAGACTGAGCTGAGTCTTAAAGGTAGGAGTTAGCCAGGCAAAGAAAGGGGAGAAGGCATTGTAGGCACAAGAGAAAGAATGGATAAATGCTCAGCTGTGCAAAATAGCCCCTACAAGCAGCTCAGTTGTAGCAATTCAGAGTGTGAAGTATGCAGCAGCAGAAATGAGTCTAGAACTGTAGGTACATTTCAGAAGGTCCAGTGTGTCACACTAATCACTCTGAGCTTTATCCTATAGGTCTGTGTTCCTGAAGCTTCAGTTATTTGCCTATCATTTTCATGGTTTTGTCAAACTTATGTTCCACCTGAACTATTAATAACTTTCTAATTTAAAATACCTAACTGTTTGAAACAATGCCTACTTTAGCTTACCCTAAGCAATATTTATGAAAATATGAATTTGATATGCCACTTAAACTTTTGTAATACTCATTTAAAATAAATATGAAAAATATTAGGCTGGGTACAGTGGCTCGCGCCTGTAATCCCAGCACTTTAGGAGGCTGAGGAGGGTGGATCATGAGGTCAGGAGTTCGAGACCAGCCTGGCCAACATAGTGAAAGTCCATCTTTACTAAAAATACAAAAAATTAGCCGGGCATGGTGGCAGGCACCTGTAATCCCAGCTACTTGGAAGGCTGAGGCAGGAGAATTGCTTGAACCCAGGAGGTGGAGGTTGCAGTGAGCTGAGATTGTACCACTGCCTTCCAGCCTGGGACAGAGCAAGACTCCATCTCAAAAAAAAAAAAAAAATTAAAAAGTTATTTATGATATAAATACCACACTTCAGGGAAAGTGATGGCATGAACTGAGGAATTATCAGGATATAAGTATTAAAAAAACCTTCCATCAGAACAAGTATCACTGAGGACTAAAAATAATAATAATCATAATAAATAATAAGGCCAGGTGCAGTGGCTCACATCTAACACTTTGGGAGGCTGAGGCAGGATGATCACTTCAGCCCAGAAGTTTGAGAGACTAGTCTGGGAAACACAGTGAGACCCCGTCACTTTATAAATTTTTTTTAAAAAATTAAAATTAACCGCCCCCCAAGAATAGATGAAATCTCCAAAAATAAAGATGTAACTTAGAAGAAATAACAAACCTGCAAGCAACCCCAGTATTTAAAGGGAGTCTCACAGAAAAGATTCCTATGAAGAAAACCAATAAGGAATCATTAGAAAGATAAAAGAACCAGGAAAAAATGGTATTGTGAAGCCGATAGAAAATAAAAAGGGAGTGGCTAATAATCTCAAATGCTACAGATATCCAGCAAAAATCAACTTTCTTTAAAATGCAGTGTCTTATTTCCCTAATTAGAATGTTCACTTCTGTAGGTAATATAATTTTATTTTGATTAATTCCTCTGTATTACTTACACTCCCAATGTAGTATGTCACATAAAGGATGCCCTCAAAACATATGTTAGTTGTGGGGAAAAACATTTGTTGGTTTCAACAATCAATAGAACCATATTTCTCCACACAAAATAAATAAGGTTTTGAAACCACAATAAAGATAAAAATATATACTTATCTTGAATAGTTACCTGTACAAAAGCAACTCCTGTCATCAAAATTACTAGGGACAGCCACTGGTATACACCCAATTTTTTACTAAGCATAGACACAGAAAATAATGCTGTTGTAAGAATTTTTAACTGATACGTGACCTGAAAAAGAAAACAGTAATATTATTAATGTTCGTTTGTTTGTTTGTTTGTTCCTTAAGAGTACTATTAGAAATGTATTTTAAGGACTATGGCAGCATGCCTGGTGGTTGCATCTGGCTGGGAACTGGAATCTAAAGCTTCAGTTAATGCCAGTCTCAGGAATCTGTACTATGTACCAGAGAGCTCTGGACACTTTAGGCAATAATGCAAAATGAATTGAACCTTCTTATTATAAATTAGGTTGCAACATGAAAGCAAAGACAAAATTATCTCCACAGCCACTGCCACTCTTGCAGATACACAAGCATGCAATCTAGGGGCCTGGGTATCAACCTGCCCCACCTGTCACAGACAGCACCTGCGCAGACCATCCAGGGGCCTGAGGACAAGCCTGTCCTTGCACAGGCCTCCAGGGACTTGAAAACGAGCCTGCTCTGTCTACTGCCCACGCATGCCTCCTGGGGGCTAGCGACTGACCCTGCACAACCTGTTGCTACCACTGCTGGCACCCACCCATGCACACAAACTGGGGCCTGAAAATTGGATTGCTCAGCCCTATGCTTTCACCACTGGCACTCATGTACACTGCTTGGGGAACCAAGATTGGCCTACTGCTGCTTCTGCTACTGCCAATGCCACACATGCCACCCAAGAACTGGAAGACCCACCTACCTGCCCAGCCCACTGCTACCTCAAGCAGCACTAAAACAAGCTGCTGGGAGGCCCAAGGACCAGCCACCTGGACCCACCACTGCTAGTATCTGCATACACCTCTTGGAGACCCAAGAACCAGCATACCTGGTCCACCACTGCCACCACTGGACCCTGCCTGGCATCCCCATCCCCAGCAAAGCCTTGCCACAGCCTCCACTAACAACTTCAGTCGAAGCCACTAAGGAACCAGACAGACCCCACTGACATTGATTATAGCCAAAGAAATCATATAGAGACTATATATTACTGCACCCACCCAGGATCAAAGCCAAAGCACCCTACCCAACCAACATTATGCATATATCTGTGAGAAAATGTCTTTCCCTATGAAAGCTATCTACAAAACTGGAAGAAGCTATTGTTATACCAGATGCACAGATATCAATGTAAGGAAACAAGAAACATGAGAAAGCAAGGAAATATGACACCTCCAAAGGGACACAATAAGTCTCCAGTAACACATCCCAATGAAAAGAAAATATGAAAGGCCTGAAAAAGAATTCAACATAATGATATCTAGAAAGTTTAGTGAGATACAAGAGAACACAAGCAGACAATATAAACAAAATAGGAGAACAATTCATCATCTAAATGAGGTTTTCAACAAAGAGATATCATAAAAAAGAACTAAACAAAAATCATAGAACTAAAGAATTCAATAAATGAAATAAAAAATCCAACCAAGAGCTTCAATGTTAGACTAGATGAAACAGAATAAAGAATTTCTGAACTTGAAGTCAGGTCTTTTGAAATAAGCCAGTCACATAAAAAAAAGAGAAAAAAGAATGAAAAAGCCTAAATAGAGTCAACCCAAAACGATCTTCACCAAAGTACATTTTATTTTGATTAATTTCTCTGTATTACTTACACTCCCAATGTAGTATGTCACACAAAGGATGCCCTCAAAACATATGTTAGTTGTGGGGAAAAACATTTGTTGGTTTCAACAATCAATAGAACCATATTTCTCCACACAAAATAAATAAAGTTTTGAAACAACAATAAAGATTAAAATATATACTTTTTTCTACCAAAAGTCAAACTACCAAAAGTCAAAAGTCAAAGAGAGAACCCTAAAAACAGCAAGAGACAAGCATCAAGTTACATATAAGGGAATCTCCATCAGTCTTAGCAGCAGGTTTTTTAAGAGAAACATTATAGGCCAGGAGAGAATTAGATGATATATTCAAAGTGCTGAAAGAAAGAAAAACTGCCAGATAAAAATACCATACGCAGTGAAACTATTGTTAAAAAATGAATGCAGGCTGGGCGTGGAGGCTCATGCCTGTAATCCCAGCATTTTGGGTGGCCGAGGTGGGCAGATCACTTGAGGTCAGGAGTTCAAGACCAGCCTGGCCAACATGATGAAACCCCGTCTCTACTAAAAATACAAAAATTAGCAGGGCATGGTGGCGTGCACAGGCATGGTAGAGTGCGATTGTGGTCTAGCTACCTGGAAGGATGAGGCAGGAGGACAGGTTGAGCCCAGGAGTTTGATACTGCAGTGCACCATAACTGTGCCTGTGAACAGCCACTGCACTCCAGCCTAGGAAGCATAGCAAGACATCTGTCTTTTAGAAAATAAAAAATAAAAAAAATAGAAATAATTTTTTTTAAATTAAAAAATAGGTAAATAAATTTTTTAAAAATAAAATGAGAGATAAAGTCTTTCCTAGATAAGGAAAAACTGAGAAAATTCATCACCACTAAACCAGCCATATAAGAAATGCTTAGGCCAGGTGCCTGTAATCACACTTTGGGAGGCCAAGGCGGGCAGATCTCTTGAGCTCAGGAGTTTAAGACCAGCCCTGGGAAACATGACGAAACCTCATCTCTAAAAAAATATGAAAGTTAGCCAGGCATGGTGGTGTGCATGGGTAGGCCCAGCTACTTGGGAGGCTGAGGGAAGATGGCTTGAGCCTGGGAGGCAGAAGTTGCAGTGAACCAAGACTGTGCCCCTGCACTCCAGCCTGGGTGATAGAGCCAGACCTTGCCTCAAAAACAAACAAAAAAAGTGCTTACAGAAGTCCTGCACTTGAAAGCCAGTATCTACCATGATAAAAACACAAGAAAGCATAAAACTCACTGGAAAACCAGATACACAAATAACAAAAAGAAAGAAGTCAAACATTAACACTACAGAAAACCAACCAGAAAACAACTGACAAAATGACAGGAATAATCCCCATGTACCAATAATAACTGTGAATGTAAATAAATTAAATTTCCCACATAAAAGATATGGACTGGCAAAATGGATTTAAAAAATCATATGTTAACTACACACTACCTACAAGAAATGCAGTTCACCTGTAAAGACAAACAGACGAAAGTAAAGGGATAGAGAGATATTCCATGCAAACAGAAACCAAAAACGAGCAGAAATAGCTATACTTATGTAAAATAGACTTTAGGTCAAAAACTGCAGAAACAGACAAAGAGGTAATTATATCATGATAAAGGGATCAATTCAACAACACTATAAAGCAATTCTAAATATACATGCACCCAACTCTGCAGCACCTAGATATATTAAGAAAATATTAGTAGCTCTAAAGAGAGAGATAGACTCCAATACAGTAACAATTGGGGACTTCACAACCCCACTCTCAGTTTTGCACATATATCATCTAGAAATAAAATCAACAAAAGAAACATTAGAGGATTTAAACTACACTTTATACCTAATGGAACTCCCAGACATTCACAAAACACTTCATCTAACAGTTGCAGAATGCACATGCTTCTCATCAGCACATGCAGCATTCTCCAGAATAGAATATATATTAGGCTATAAGTCTCAACAAATCTTTAAAAGTTGAAGTCATATCAAGTATCTTCTCAGACCAAAACAGAAAATTTTCTTTTTTTCCTCTTCTCTTTTTTTTTTTTTTTTTTTTTTTGAGATGGAGTTTCAATCTTGTTGCCCAGGCTGGAGTGCAATGGTGTGATCTCAGCTCACGGCAACCTCCGCCTCCTGGGTTCAAGCAATTCTCCTACCTCAGCCTCCTGAGTAGCTGAGATTACAGGTACCCGCCACCATGCTTGGCCAATTTTTGTATTTTTAGTAGAGACAGTGTTTCACCATGTTGGCCAGGCTGGTCTCAAACTCCTGACCTCAGGTAATCCACCCACCTTGGCCTCCCGACGTGCTGGGATTACAGGCGTGAGCCACTGTGCCCAGCCTAGAAAAATTTCTTAAAACAAATATAAATTGAAACACAACATACCAAAACCTATGAGATACAGCAAAAGCAGTGACAAAAGGGAAGTTTACAGCAATAAATGCCTACATCAACAAATTAGAAAGATTCATATAAACAACCTAATATACCTCGAGAAGCTAGAAAAGCAAGAACAAACCAAACCAAAACTAAAAGAAGGAAAGAAATAATAAAGATGGGCAGGCCAGGCATGGTGGCTCATAGCTATAATCCCAGCACCTTGGGAGGCCAGGTGGGAGGATCACTTGAGGCCAGAAGTTCAAGACCAACCTGGGCAACATAAAAAGACCCTGTCTCTACAAAAAAAAAAAAATTAACCGGCATGGTAGCACATGCCTATATTCTCAGCTATTCAGGAGGCTGAGATGGGAGGATTTCTTGAGCCCAGGAGGTTGAGGCTGCAGTAAGCTAAGACTGTGCCATGGCACTCCAGTGTGGGCAACAAAGTGAGAATGTCTCAAACAAACAACAACAACAACAAAAGATCAGGGCAGAACTAAATGAAATAGAAACTAAACAAAAATACAAAGGATGAAATAAAAGAAGAATTGGTTTCATGAAAAGATAAATAAAATCAATAAACTACAAACTAGACTAACCAAGAAAAAAAGAGGAAAGACCCAAATAAAATCATAAACAAAAAAGGAGACAGTACAGATGACACCACAGAATTACACAGGATCATTAGAGACTATTATGAACAACTATATACTAGCAAATTGAAAAACCTACAAGAAATGGATAGATTCCTGGACTCATACAACCTACCAAGATTGAACAAAGAAGAAAGACCAATAACAAGTAACAGGATTCAATCAGCACTTAAAAAGCCTCCCACAAAAGAAAAGTCCAGGACTGGATGGCTTCAATTCTGAATTCTACTGAACTTATAAAGAAGAACTAACACCAATTCTCCTCAAACTATTCCAAAAAAATCAAATGGAGGGAATTTTTCCTAACTCATCCTGTGAGGCCAGCATTACCCTGATATCACAACCAGACAAGCACACAGCAAAAAAGAATACTATAGTTGCATATTCCTGAACAGAACAACAGAGAACCCAAAAATCCTGAACTAAATATTAATACTTGCAAATCAATTCCAACAGCACATAAAAAAGATTGTTTACCATAATCAAGTAGGATTTATCCCAAGGATGCAAAGATGGTTTAATATATATGCAAAATCAATAAATGTAATACACCATATCAACAGAATGAAGAATAAAAACCTTATGATCATCTCAATAGATGCAGAAAAAGCATTTGATAAAATTTAAAATATTCCTAGGAACATATCAACATAATAAAGGCCATATATGACAAACACACAACTAATATCATACTGAATGCGGAAAAGCTGGAAGGCTTTCCTTTAAAAACTGGAACAAAATCGGGCAAATGAGATTTAAGGCATCCAAACTGGAAAAGAGGAAGTCAAATTGTCCCTCTTTGCAAATGACATGATCTTATATAGAGAGGACCCTAAAGATTCCATTAAAAAAACTCTTAGAGCTGATAAACAAATTCAGTTGTTTCAGGATACAAAATCAACATACAAAAATCAGTAGCATTTCTATAAACCAATAACAAGCTAGCTGAAAAAGAAATAAAGAAAGCAACCTTATTTCCAATAGCTACAAAAAAAAAATCTGGGAATAAATTTAACCAAGGAAGTAAAAGATCTCTACAAGAAAAACTACAAAACACGGATGAAAGAAATGGAACAGGACACAAATGGGAAGATATACCATGCTTGTGGATTAAAAGAATTAATATTGTTAAAATCACCATATTACCAAAAGCGATCTTCGGATTCAGGACAATCCCCATCAAAATACCAATGACACTCTTCACAGAAACAGAAAAAACAATCCTAAAATTCATATGGAACCACAAAGACCCTGAATAATAGCCAAAGCAACCCTGAGCAAAAAGAACAAAGCTAGAGGCATCACACTATGACTTCCAAATATACTACAAGGCTATAGTAACCAAAATAGCATGGAATTTGTTTAATAACAGGCACAAAGACCAATGGAACAAAATAGAGAACCCCAAAATACATTTACATGTTTACAGCCAACTGATTTTTGACGAAGGTGCCAGGAGCATGCATTAGAAAAAGGACATCCTCTTCGATAAATGACGCTGAGAAAATTGGATATGAATATGAAGAAAAATGACACTAGATCCCATCTCTCACCATATAAAAAAAAAACCCAAAATGGATTAAAGATGTAAACATAAGACTCAAAACTATAAAACTACTACTAGAAGAAAATAGAGGAGAAATGTTTCAGGACATTGGTCAGGGCAGATTTTATGGCTGTTATTTCAAAAGCACAGGCAGTGCTTGCTTCAGCAGCAAACATACTAAAATTGGAATTACACAGAGAAGATTAGCATGGCCCCTGCATAAGGATGACAAACAAATTCATGAAGTGTTCCATATTTTAAAAGATATACAAATAAATACATAAGAAAAAAAGCACAGGCAATGAAAACAAAAATAGAATAATGGAACTATATTAAACTAAAAAGCTTCTGCAAAGCAAAGAAAAAAATACAGACACAATCTGTAGAATGGGAGAAAATATTTGCACTAATCATGTGACAAGAAACTAATATCCATAATATATAAAGAACTCCAGAGCGTAAGAACAAATAATCCCATTAAAAAGTGGGCAAAGGACCTCAATAAACATTTCTCAAAAGAAGACATACAAATAGCCAACAGGTATATGAAAAAATGCTCAACATCACTAGTCATCAGGGAAACGCAAATCAAGACCACAGTGACATATCATCCTGCCCCGTTAGAATAGCTATTATCAAAAAGACAAAAAATAACCAGTGCTGGTGAGTATGTGGAGAAAAAGGAGCTCTTGTACATTGTTGCTGAGAATGTAAATTAGTACAGCCTCTATGGAAAACAGTACAAAGCATTCTCAAAAAACTTAAAATAGAACTACCAGACAATCCAGCAATCCCACTACTGGGTATTTATCCAAAGGAAAGGAAATCAGTATATCAAAAGGATATCTCTAGCCCTGTATTTATTGCAGCATTGTTCACAATAGCTAAGATATGAACTCAACCTAAGTGTCCATCAATGGATAAATGCATAAAGAAATACTATTCAGATATAACAAGAATGAGATCCTGTCATTTGCAACAACATGGATGCAACTAGAGGTCATTATGTTAAGTGAAACAACCCAGGCACACACAGAAAGACAAATATCGTATTTTCACTCACATGTGGAAGCTAAAAAAAAAAAGGGAGCGGGGGGATCTCATGGAGGTAGAGAGCAGAATGATAGCTACCAGAGGATGGGAAAGATACAAGGGCAGGGGGAGGAATAAAGAAAGATTGGTTAATGGGTACAAAAATTGAGTTAGAGAGAAGGAATAAGTTCTAGTGTTAGCATAGTAAGGTGACTATGGTTAACAATAATTTACTCAAAATTTCAAAATAACTAGAAGAGAAGATCTGAAATGTCCCCAACACAAAGAAATGATAAATGTTTGTGGAGATGAATATCCTAAATACCCTGATTTGATCATTACACATTGGATGCATGTATCAAAATACCACATGTACCCCATAAATATATACAATTATTATGTATAAGAAAAAAGTTTTTTTAAAAAAGAAAGAAATGTATTTTAAGTACCTGATAAGTAGCTGCATCTAGATTTGATAGTGCCACATACAGTAAATTATTCTGAAGAGTATAGATCCCTGATGGAATAGCAAGTTTAAGTGTTTCCATAGGTTTATTAAGAATTTCATCATGTAGTACTCGATTCAGTGCTCTTAGACTACATTCTAGAAAATAATATGAGAAAAATCAGTAATTAAGTAACTCTGAATAAGTTACATATCTGCTCTCAAGATCTCAATTTTCTAACCTATAGAAAAACAAAATTGAGCTACATGTCAAGATACTTTTAGGACTAAAATATATCTTTATGATGCTGATTTTTAAAATGTTAAATATTATAATGTATTAAGAAATCATATTCTTTTATTCTGATATATAATCAAATGTATCTTATGTATATCTACATATATGTATATATACAAACACATACAAACACATATTTATGACAGCCAAAATCTCAAAGTTTTAATTTGTTAACCAAGTATTCTTAGTTTATTATAGCAATGTTATAAAAACTTGTATTTTGTGCATTTTGTTTATCATCAGCCATTCATGCCAATTAGTAATTGTGAAGACTTTAATCATTAAAAGAAGGTAAATCAGTTAGGGAATGGGTTTGGTTGCAAACAACAGAAAACCCAACTAACACTAGTTCAACCCATAGGGATTTGTGTCACATGGGGTGAGTCCAGATTTAAAGCTTTTATAGAGACTCAGGGACCCAGGCGCTCTCTCTCTGTAAGCATACCTCATTTAATTATGCTTCATTTTATTACACTTTTCAAATATTGCATTTTCTTCCAAATTGAAAGTTTGTGGCAACCCTGCACCAAGCAAGTTGCAAAGGGTGCCAAAGTGTCTAGCTGTGAAAGGAAGGGAAAAGTCCCTGGGGTGGACAAAGGACTCTAAGAAAAGTGGGAAGGTGGATGCTAGAAGCAAATGAACCCACTCCTAAAAGTGACTGTCAGGCTGGGCACGGTGGCTCCTGTCTGTAATGCCAGAATCTTGGGAGGTCAAAGTGAGAGGATTACTTGAAGCCAGGAGTTGAAGACCAGCTTGATAAACATAATGAGAACCTGTCTCAAAAAAAAATTTTTTTTTAACTAGCTGGGTGTTGTGGCATGCACCTGTAGTCCCAGCTATCCAGGAGGCTGAGGCAGGAGGATCAACTGAGCCTAGGAGTTTGAAGTAGCAGCAAGCTATGATTGCATAACTGCACTTCAGCCTGAGCAAAAGAACAAGATCCCCATCTCAAAAAAAAAAAAAAAAGAAATGTGACTGTCACTGGCTTGAAAACAAACCAGATTAGCTCTGGCACAGGCTGCCAACCAGTGGTCTGGAAGAAGGCTTATTCTTCCACTTCTCCCACCCTGACTGCGACATTGAGACTGAAGAAAACTCAAAGTGGTGCCACTAATGGGTCAAGGTGCCATCAACCAGGAGAGGAAAAAAAGAGAAAGCTGGAGCCAGAGGATTTCAGAGTTATGAGGAACCAACCCCTTCTTGGTTGCATGAATCTCTCATACAGCATTATCTTTTAAAGACCTTCCAGTATCTAGGTTGGAAATCCTCTAACCACTGCAGCCCATTCTGGTGATAAACAGGCTTCTAGGTTCAGCTGGATTATCAAAGAGATAGCAGGATTCTCTCTTTCCTGTTAATACAATGCTGCTACAAATTAAGCCTGTGTCTCTTCATATTGTAAATTATTAAAATTATGTCCAAGAGAGGTATACTTAGAAAAAAAGGCATAGCAGAAAAACAAAATAACTGCATTAGAGTAGAATAACAGGCTTTAAAAATTTCTGCAATATAACCTTGAGAAAATTCCTGGATGGTAAAATAAATAAATAAATAAATATATAATATATATAATATATATATTAGATCTTAATACATGTCCAATTTTTGGAAACCAAAATGTGCCTGGTATGTGATAATATCAACTAAACACTATTCTAAGATCCATATATATATATATATATATATATATATATATATATATATATATATAAAACTATATATAAAACATATAACTGTATATATTTTGGCTTTTTAATCTTCATGCTTTTCATCTGTTGTCTACGTGATTATTGCAACAAGGTCATCAAAGTACTGCTACATCTCTAGTTCTTGTTTCAGGCAGCAAAAAAAGGAGAGGAAACAGCAGCTTAGCAGGTATCTTCTTGGTTCTCATTGAACAGAATTGTGTTGCATAACTACCCATAGCTGCAAGGAAGCCGGGAAGTCTTTTCCTTTATTTCCTCCACGTTAGAGCCAAGAAAGGGAGAAAGGGATTGAAAGTGAACTTTGAGCTGGCCAATCTTATGGTTAACAGTCATGAAAAATGGCCAAAGATCCTTTAGAGATATATACATAAACTCCTCAAAAAAATGAGAAATTCTAAGGAACCCTAGAATTAGGGTTCTAAGGAGCCTAGAATTATTCTAATTCGAAGGAACCCTAGAATTATTTACCAATAATGATACTTTAGACAATTTTTTCTCTCAATATAAAATAGGAAGACTTTGATTATGGAAAGTTTTTTGAAATAAAAAAAACTTTAAAATTGCTACCTGGTACTCACCCTCTCCTCAACCCAAAATAATAGTTGAAAAATTCTTAACTAAGATAAAAGTTACCAAAAGGTTTTTTTCTTAGTTTTACCAGAAAAGAAAACTAAAATATTACCTTAACTTTATGTTATTTTATTTTTACAGATGAGGGCCTCGCTATGTTGCCCAGGCTAGATCCCAACTCCTGAGCTTAAGCAATCCTCCTGCCTCAGCCTCCCAAGTAACTGGGACTATAGGTGTGCACCAAACCTGATTATTTTTTAATTTTTAAATTCAGTTTTTAAATAATCACCAATTCCTGGTATTAAGACTTTTTATTTTTGCCAATTTGAGGGCAGTGAAATTGTGTCCTGTGGTTTTAATCTGATTTCCTTGATTGCTAGTGAAGTTGAGCATCTTTTTATGTATTTATCTGCCATGCAGGTTTCTTCTTCTGTGAATTACCTGTTTATATCCTTTGCCCCCTTTTCTATTAAGTTTCTATGAACTCTGATTGAGTTGTAGGAGTAATTGTAATTCTGGATATTAATTATTGGTGGTTACAAGTGATATAAATATCTTCTCTTAATTTGTGACTTGCCTTCTTACTTGACTTGATTTACAGATGTTTTTCAATTCAATATACCCTAAATTATCTATTTTTTCCTTTATGTCTTATTTGTACCTTTTGTATGTTGTTTGAAATCATTCACAATAGTAAGGTCATAAAGTTTTGCTTTTTAAATGTCAATCTTTAATCCACCTGGAATCTGTTTTTCTGTATGGTGTGTCTATAGATGCTTTGGTTCACTGAAAAGTTGGTTTTACCACATTTTCACCACATCTCTCTACAATGCAACTATTTGTGTCAAAGATATCTTTGGCTCCACAATGTTAAATGCAGTGAATACTTCTGCTCATCTATACCTTAGCAGCAAAAACACTACCATCTCAGTTTGGCTATTACGTTTCCATTTATCTTTCTATTTTGCTTCTGTCTTCTTTTGCTGATTCCTTCTGTGGAATCTGATATCTAAATATTGGGAATGCAACAGAGTTCAGCCTTTGGCCTTCTCCTCTTCTAGTATACACTAGGTTATCTCATTCAATCCTCAACTTTAAAGCAAAATGTAAACTGACAAATTCTTGAGCTCCATATGCATAGACTCTACTATTTGACATCTCAATGGGAATGCCTTATAGCTGTCTGAAACTTATATGATGCAAAAAGCAGCTTTAATTTCCCCCCAAATCTATTTATATATATCATTAATTGCAGCACCCATTCACCCAATAGTTTAATCTAAAAACCTAGCAATTATTCCTCAAGCTGGATTCCTCCTTTCTTCTGACTTTCACATATTCAATCTTTTAACAAGCCATGCCAGATGTAGTTCGAAAGAAAATACACAAAAAGGGCCAGGTGTGGTGGCTCACTCCTGTAATCCCAGCACTTTGGGAGGCCGAGGTGGGCAGATCACCTGAGGTCAGGAGTTCAAGACCAGCCTGGCCAACCTGGTGAAACCTCATCTCTACTAAAAATACAAAAAGTAGCAGGGTGTGGTAGCATGCACCTGTAATCACAGCTACTCGGGAGGCTGAGGCATGAGAATTGCTTGAACCAGGGAGGTGGAGGTTACAGTGAGCCAAGATCATGCCACTGCACTCCAGCCTAGGCGACATAGTGAGACTCAGTCTCGAAAAAAAAAGAAAGAAAGAAAGAAAGAAAGAAAGAAAGAAAGAAAGAAAGAAAGAAAGAAAGAAAATACACAAAAAGCCAAAAAAAAACCCCATAAAAATTCATCATCATTAGTTATTAGAGAAACACAAGTCAAAACCACAATGAGAAACTACTTCACACCTATTAGAATGGCTATTTGAAAAAACAAAAAAACAAAATATTAAGTGCTGGTGAAGATGTGAAGAAACAGGAACCTTCATACTTTGTTGATGGAGATATAAAATGATCCAGTTGCTGTGAAAAACAGTTTGATGGTTCCTTAAAAAGTTAAACATAGAATTACCATATGACCTAGCAATTCTACTCCTAAATATATACCCAAAAGGAATGAAAACAGGGACTCGAACAGATACTTGTACATCTACTGAAGCATTACTCATTGTTCTTTCCAGCATTATTCACAATAGCCAAAAGGTGGAAACAACCCAAGTGTCCATCAACACATGGATGAATAAACAAAATGTGTTACGTCCATACAATAGAATGTTATTCAGCCATAAAAAGGAATAAAGTTCTGATGCATGTTACAACGTGAACAAATCTTGAAAACATTTTGCTAAGTGCCAGACCTAAAAGGACAAATACATGATTCTACTTATATGAAATATTTAGAATAGGCAAATTCATAGAGCCAGAAAGTGAATTAGAGGTTACTAGGGGCTGTGGGTAAGGGAGAATGGGGGTTATTACTTAACAGTTACAAAGTTGT
This sequence comes from Homo sapiens, assembly GCF_000001405.40. Taxonomy (NCBI): domain Eukaryota; kingdom Metazoa; phylum Chordata; class Mammalia; order Primates; family Hominidae; genus Homo; species Homo sapiens. The sequence goes on along the minus strand of NC_000001.11, from coordinate 99,994,419 downwards.
TGTTTAAAGTGATACAAAATTTTAGATAAAATTTAGATTAAAAATTTTAGATAAAATTTAGATAAAAAATTTTAGATAAAAGTGATTTAAAAATTTACACTGTTGTACAACACTGTAAAATAATGACAATGAAGTGTACACTACAAATAGTTAAGATGGCAAATTTTATGTTATGTGTATATACTTTACCACAGGTTTAAAACATTATAATTGAAATATACCAAAAACCATTAAATAATATACTTTAAACACATAAATTGTATGGCTCATGAATTATCTCAATAGAACTATTTTTTAAAACTATATAAAATTAGTCACTGCTGGACTAATCAATAAAGCAAATAAAACAGAAGGTGTTTACATTAGTAAAAAAATTATTATGATTCTTCTAGAGTTCTAACAGTAACAGATTTATAAAATTTACTCTTACTCTCAAATTATTATAAATGCAAGAAACTATTTTATATTTACAGAATTAACCAGAAGATATGAATCATGATACAGATTAAAATGGCTTTATTACTAGACTTAAAATGTCTTAAGAAAATTTTTAAAATATTGAAATATTCTTCATACTAGGCCATTCGACAATGCAAGAGTGCAAATGTGTAGTTACCAATATATATATGCAAACTAAATAAATTGCATTGATTAAAAACAAAAAACCTAGATACCTACTGCTGTCTTTGTAGACCAATAAAATGCAGGCCATTATCTTCAAAAGTTCAGCAACAACCACTGCTGTAGAAGATAGATAACGAGGTCCTTCTTCTTTTAAAGTTCTGGAATAACGCATTGTTAGAACCAAACTGGTAGTCTGAAAGACCAAAATTCCCAGGGAAACGTATTTTAGGTTGGCGAACATTGTTTTATCTTCATTTGCCTGAAAAACAAAATAAACAGGGCAAATAAATAAGATTACAACATATGAAAACTAGTATATTTAAAAACACCGAGAGGGAGAAGGGAGAGGGCCTGCAGGTCTCTCCTCCACCTGCCACCAAAAAGAAAAAAGAAAAAAAAACAGAAACCAAGAGACTCAAGATGAAATAAGCACACTCCACCTTATTCTTTCTGCTAATTACAACCAAAAACCTTGAATTGGAAACAAAAAGCAACTACCAGAAGACTCTGAAAGGTGAAGAAAATAAGGTAAATTGGATAGAGACATCAGATCTTGACGGATGACTCAGCAGTGAGTTCCCTAGAGATTTTTTTTGCTACAGATGTAATCTACTTTGGGTGCTACAGCAGCCCAAAACCTGAAACTGCTCAAAGGCATAGAACAAAAACAACAACAAAAGCCCCAAGAAAAACATACTTTCTCTAACCAAAGGCCTGAGAAGGCAAGAGTCTTTCAGAATAAAATCTTTTCAACTGGTTACTGTGTAATCAGCAAGAAAGAACTTTACTGACCATCCTCGTCTTGAACCAATGAGAGCAGAGGTGGTGGCCCTTCCCCCTCCCACTAGGGGTTACAGCCACAGAAACTGTGGCACAGAGCCCTGCTGACCATTCCTGTCCTATAGAAGGCAAATGTTTGCAAGGAGGCAGTACTCTTCCTCCCTCCCCAGTGGCTGTCTATTAACATAGAAGATTTAAATAGGAAACAGAGTCTCATAATATGCAAAAAGTTCAGGAAACAATCCAAAGTAAGTATATTTATTATACCAACAAACAGAAAAAAGGTCTCAACTTGGATGAGTAAGGACAACCAACAGACAACAATGCAGAGATGACACAGTTGTTGCAATAGTCAGAAAAGAATTTCAAGCAAGCTATCTTAAAAATGCAGCAACAAGCAATTATGAAGACTTAAAATAATTTTAGACTCACATAGTTTAAAAAATAGTACAAGAGTTCATATGTACCCTTCACCCAGCTTCCCCCAATGAAACTAATTCAAAATCCCTATATTTTCCCTAAAGCAATTCAGTATTACTCCAGGAGACTTACTTTAAATATGAAGACATATATAGGTTAAAAAGTAAAAGGACAAAAAAAGATATATCATGAAAAAAATAACTAAAAAAATTAAAGAAACTTTAGTAATATCAGCCAAAATGGGTTACATAAGATTTATTTCTGGAATCAAAGAAGGACATTTCATCATGATAAAAGGGTCAATACATTAGAAAAATATAACCATTTTAAAACACATATGTGCCTAATAACATACCTTCAAAATACATAAAGCAAAAACTAACATAACTAAAGGGGAAAACAGGTAAATGCAGTCATAATTAAAGATTTTTACCCTACCTTTCTCAGTAATTAGTAAAATAACAACAAAAAAGAAAACCCAGTAAGAATATAGAAAATCTGAACACTATCAACCACCATTACCATGGTAGACAAAAAAATGATCTACCTGGCTGGGTGCAGTGGCTCATGCCTGTAATCCCAGCACTTTGGGAGGCTGAGGCAGGTAGATCATGAGGTCAAGAGATTGAGACCAGCCCGGCCAACATGGTGAAACCTCGTCTCTACTAAAAATACAAAAATTAGCTGGGTGTGGTGGCACGCACCTGTAGTCCCATCTGCTCGTGAGGCTGAGGCAGGAGAATAGCTTGAACTCGGGAGGTGAAGGTTGCAGTGAGCCGAGATCATGCCACTGCACTCTAGCCTGGCGGCAGAGCAAGACTACGTCTCCAAAAAAAGATCTATCAGATCTTACTTGAATTCAAGGATTCAAGGAAGGACTTAATGCAGTGTCTAATACCTGACTGCTTTCCTAGTGATGATCACATCCTTTGTCATAGATTTAACTGAAGATGCAATTCAATTCTGAACAAAATCGCTGTAGGCTTTTTTGGTAAACAAACAAACAAAAACCAAGCAAGCTTATTTTAAAATCATATGGAAATACAAAGGACCTAGACCATCAAAACGATTTTGAAAAAGAAAAACAAAATTGAAAGGCTTAAGCTACCAAACTTCCAGACTTACTATAAAACTACAGTAATCAAAACTGGTGGCTGGGCGCGGTGGCTCACGCCTGTAATCCCAGCACTTTGGGAGGCCAAGGCAGGCAGATCACGAGGTCAGGAGTTCAAGACCAGCCTGGCCAACATAGTGAAAGCCCGTCTCTACTAAAAATACAAAAAATTAGCCGGGCATGGTGGCGGGCACCTGTAATCCCAGCTACTCAGGAAGCTGAGGCAGGAGAATTGATTGAACCCAGAGGCGAAGGTTGCAGTGAGCTGAGATTGCGCCACTGCACTCCAGCCTGGACGACAGAGCGAGACATCATCTCAAAACAAAAAAACAAAACCTGGTATTGGCATGAGGACAGAAGCATAGATCAATGGAACAGAATATAGTCCAGATTTAGATCCATATGTCTTATGAGCTTAGGCTGCTGTAACAAAGTATCATAGACTGGGTGGCTTATAAACACAGCAATTTATTTCTCACAGTTCTGCAGGCTGGAAGTCCAAGATGAGAGTGCTGGCATCGTTGGGTTCTAGTGAGGCCCTTCTTCTGAGTTCACAGATGTCTGTCTTCTCATTGTATCCTCACATGGCAGAAAACAGAGAGTTCTCTGGGGTCTCTTTTTATAAAGGCACTAATCTCATTCATGAGGGCTGCACTTTCATGACCTAATTACCTCCCAAAGGCCCTACTTCTTAATACCATCATATTGAGAGTTAGGATTTCAACATGTGAATTTGGGGAGGCAGGGGACAGAGAGGAGAAGAGCACAAATATTCAGTCTATTAAACCATATATAAATATTGTCAAACAATATTTGACAAAGGTACAGAAAAAAGGGGACAGTCTTTTCAACAAATAGTTCTGGACTGGAATAATGAGATCTATGTATTTTTATTTATTTATTTATTTTTTGAGACGGAGTCTCGCTGTCACCAGGCTGGAGTGCAGTGGTATGATCTCAGCTCACTGCAACCTCTGACACCCTTGTTCAAGCAATTCTCCTGCCTCAGCCTCCCGAGTAGCTGGAATTACAAGCACACGCCACCACACCCAGCTAATTTTTGTATTTTTAGTAGAGACGGGGTTTCACCATGTTGGCCAGGATGGTCTCGATCTCCTGACCTCATGATCCACCCACCTTGGTCTCCCAAAGTTCTGGGATTACAGGCTTCAGCCACCGTGCCCCGCCAGATATACGTATTTTTTAAAAAATAACCCTCTACCCCTAACTTTCTCACACCAAATATTAACTAGAAATGGATCATATAGCCATTACAAAAGCTGAAACTATAAATATTCAATAATAACAAGGCATAGGAAAAAAACTGTAATCATGTAGAGATAGGCCAAGAGTTCTTAGGATACAAAAAGCACAAACCATAAATGAAAAAAATGGATAAACTGGACACATTAAAATTAAAAATCGGGCCAGGTGCAGTGGCTCACACCTGTAATCCCAGCACTTTGAGAGGCTGGGGCAGGAGGATCATTTGAGCCCAGAAGTTCAAGACCAGCTTGGACAACAAAGTGAGACCTCAGTTCTACAAAAAAATAGCTAGGCATGGTGGCATGCACCTGTGGTCCCAGCATTCAAGAGGCTGAGGCAGGAGGATCAATTGAGCCCAGAAGGTCAAGGCTGCAGTGAGCCATGTTCATGCCACCACACTCCAGCCTGGGTGACAGAGCAAGACTCTGCCTCAATAAAATAAAACAATAATAAATTAAAGACTGCTCTTCCAAAGATACTGTAAAATAATATGAAAGGCAAACTACATTATGGGAGAAAATATTCTCAATACATGTATCTGACAATATATCCAGAATATATACAGAACTTTAATAATACAATAAATCAAAGACCGACAATCCAATTTAAAAATAGGCAAAAGATATTTTACCAGCCAGGCACGGTGGCTCATGCCTGTAATCTCAGCACTTTGGGAGGCCGAGGTGGGTGGATCACCTGAGGTCAGGAGTTCAAGAGCGGCCTGGCCAACATAATGAAATCCCATCTCTACTAAAAATACAAAAATTAGCCAGGCATGCTTGCAGGTGCCTGTAATCCCAGCTACTCAGGAGGCTGAGGCAGGAGAATTGCTTGAACCCGAGAGATGGAGGTTGCAGTGAGCCAAGACTAGGCCATTGTACTCCAGTGTGGGCAACAAGAGTAAAACTCCATCTCAAACAAAACAAAACAAAACAAAAAAACAAAGATATTTTATCAATAAAGACAAATGAGTGACTAATAGGCATAGGAAAAGGTCATTAGGGAAATACAAATTAAGACCACAATGAGATACCATTATGTACCTATTAGACTGGCTAAATTTTAAAAACTGATACAACTAAGTGTTAAAGGGGATTTAGAGCAAACAGCCCTCAACATTGCTAGTGAAAATGTAAAATGGTACGACCACTTTGAAAAAGTTTATCAATTCCTTATTAAAAGAAAACAGCACTTTGGGAGGCTGAGGCTGGAGGATCACTTGAGGCCAGGAGTTTGAGACCAGCCTGGGCAACATATTGAGATCCCGTCTCTACAAAAATAATTAGCTGGGTTTGGTGCTACATGCATGTAGTTCCAGCTACTCAGGAGGCTGAGGCAGGAGGATGGCTTGAGCCCAGGAAGTTTGAGGTTATAGTGAGCTACAATTGAACTGCTGTATTCTAGCCTGGGCAACAGAGCAAGACCCTCTCAAATAAAAAGAGTATAGGAGAGAGGAGAGAAGGGGAGGAGAGAGGAGGGGAAGGGGAGGGGAGAGGAGACCAAGGGGAGAAAGACAGGTAAGAAAGGGAAGGTAGGAAAGGATGGGAAGAAACGAGAGGAGGGGAGGAGAGGGGAGGGAAGAGGAGGGGAGGGGAGGGACAGAAGGAAGGGAAGGAAGAGAAGGAAGAAAACAATAACATAATCTTTTCATATGACCTAGCAATTCCACTCTTAGATATACCCAAGAAATTTGAAAACACATGTTCACAACAATATTTGTACATGAATATTTATAAGAGATTTATTTGTAAAATCAGAAATGAAATACTCCAAATGCCCATCAATATTTGAATAAATTATCCTATGTGGTATATCCATACAATGGAATAATGCTCAGCTATAAAAAGGAATAAAATACTGCCACACTAAAGCACCCAAAAAAAGTAAAAAACATACTGAGCAAAAAAAAATTAAACAAAACAGTATACTGTATACTTTATCTTTCCATTTATATATAAAATTCTAGAAAAGGCAAAATTAAATTATAGTGACAGATGCAAATTTATGGTTACCTACAGATAGGGGCTGGGGTTGAGGGTTGACTGCAAAGGGACAGCAAAGAATTTTTGGTAGTGGTGGAAATACTGTGTGGTAGTTATATGATTGAATTTATTTATCAGAATTCACTGAATTGTGGATTTTGTTTAAATCTACAATTCAGGGGTATAATGGTTCATTTTATTCAATGGGTACATTTTATTGTATGTAAATTAGAACTCAATAAAGTTGATTTAAAAAAATTAAAGATTGAGGACATACCAAATAATAGCATTCCTAACCAGGCTTTCTTCACAACTTTGGCTCTAGCTCTGATTTATTTGGATTAATTCTAAGGACATTCTGTTAGTCTATTCTTCACCCCACCTCTATCTTTTCCATGAGTCCAACTTCTACCTAAATTTTTTCAAATGTGAACCCTGTTTATAGTATATCTCTTTAGAGCTCTCACAGCCCAAGCTATCAAGCTACCAGGTTGCTACAACCAAGCTACCATGGTTTAGGTATGGTTGTATATATATGATCCTTAACTCCTAATTATTGTAATATATATAATATATTCAAAGAGATTCAACAATCATTATTTCATGCCTACATTAGGCTAAGTACCATAGTTACAGAGAGATCTATTCCTAAAAGCATTAAGTCTAGCTTACTAAATTCAGCAATTCCTACCCTCAACTGAATATGCTCCAAACACGAACAATGCAGCACCATGAATATAAGGATAAAATTTTTAATGGTAAAATACGTATACTCACTATTAAATATACATAGATTATAACTATTGGAAAAAACGATCTTAAGCATTTAATTTGACTTTCAGAGACAAAAATTGAATAATATATCTCTGTTACAAATAGAGGATCAAGCTTAGAGGAAAGAATACATAGACTTTGTAATCATCTATCTCAATTTTGTCCAATGTGAAATAAAATTATAGCACTTTAGAGGTATAATATGTTTTAGAAATCATCTAATATAATTTCTTCACTTTAAAATGACGAAAATAGTGAATAGAGAAGTAGATGATTTGTTCAAGGTCACTACTAGTAACTGGAGACACCAGCCTATATAGCTTATATCAGGCTCCCTGGCTCCCACTACATGCTATTGTAAAATTCCAGGACATCCTGGTGCCTTTATCTCTATATGGAAGGAGAGTAAGTTTCCAGCAACTTACATTTGGCAGAGGCATCTAATTCTCCTGGAAAATGTCAAACAATGATTTCATATCTGTTCAAGGAAGTCTTGTTTATTCTGTGCAAACAAGACCATAATGTCCCTATTATAACAGCAATGCTCTAACTTCTTTTCAAGTGAAAATTTAGGCCAGGCGTGGTGGCTCAGGCTTGTAAACCCAGCACTTTGGTAGGCCCAGGTGTGCAGATCACTTGACTCCAGGAGTGAGAGACCAGTCTGGTCAAAATGGTGAAAACTTGTCTCTACAAAAAATACAAAAATTAGCTGGGCATGGTGGCCTGTGCCTGTGGTCCCAGCTATTGGGGTCTGAGGAGGAAGTATCCCTTGAGTTTGGGAAGTCAAAGCTGCAGTGAGCCAAGATTGTGTACCACTGCACTCCAGCCTGAGTAACAAAGAGAGGCCCTGTCTCAAAAAATCAAAAAAATAAATAAATAAATAAATAAAAATTAAAGGTCAGGATATACTTTGAAAATTTTGCATTTCCATTTCCAAACATCAATATAAACATTCCCCATAATAATACAGTTATTATTAATGCTCTTTATTTATTATAATGTATGTTTTTAAAAGTTGAAAAGTAGAATATGGCCAGGCGCAGGGGCAGGCAGATCACTTGAGCCCAGGAGTTAGAGACCAGCCTATGCAATGTGGCAAAACCATGTCTCTCCTAAAAAATACAAAAATTATCTGGGCATGGTGGTGCATGCTTGTAGTCCCAGCTACTCAGGAGGCTGAAGTCAGAGGATCACTTGAGCTCGGGAGGTCGAGGCTGCAGTGAACCATGGTGGCACCACTGCACTCCAGCCCGAGCAACAGAGTGAGACCCTGTCTCAAAAAAAAAAAAAAAAAGTAGAATATATGCAAACAAATGATCATTTGTAACAGATTACCTATAAAGAATTAAAATTTAATTTACTATTCTGCCTAACAGTAGAATAAACTCAAAATGAAAATAATCAGGCATCCAAATTGATAAACAGGAAGTCAAAGTGTGGCTGTTTGCTGATAATATGATTGTATACTTAGAAAACACTAAAGACTCATCCAAAAAGCTCCTAGAACTGATAAATGAATTCAGCAAAGTTTCAGGATACAAAAGCAATGTACACAAATCTGTAGCTCTCCTATACACCAACAGTGACCAAGCTGAGAATCAAATAAAGAACTCAACCCCTTTTACAATAGCTGCAAAACAATAAAATAAAATACTTAGGAATACACCTAACCCAGGAGGTGAAGGACCTCTATAAGGAAAACTACAAAACACTGCTGAAAGAAATCATAGATGACACAAATAAATAGAAATACATCCCACACTCACGGATGCGTAGAATCAATATTGTGAAAATGACCATACTGCCAAAAGCAATCTATAAATGCAGTGCAATTCCCATCAAAATGCCAGCATCATTCTTCACAGAACTAGAAAAAACAATCCTAAAATTCATATGGAACCAAAAAAGAGCCTGCATAGCCAAAGCAAGACTAAGCAAAAAGAACAAATCTGGAGGTATCACATTACCTGACTTCAAACTATACTATAAGGCCATAGTCACTAAAACAGCATGGTACTGTTATAAAAATAGGCACATAGACCAATGGAACAGAATAGAGAACCCAGAAATAAAGCCAAATACTTACAGCCAACTGATCTTCAACAAAGCAAACAAAAACATAGAGTGGGGAAAGGACACCCTATTCAACAAACGATGCTTGGATAATTGGCCACGTTCAGAAGAATGAAACTGGATCCTCCTCTCTCACCTTACACAAAAATCAACTCAAGGTGGATCAAGGACTTAAATCTAAGACCTGAAACCATAAAAATTCTAGAAGATAATATTAGAAAAACCCTACTAGACATTGGCTTAGGCAAAGACTTAATGATCAAAAACCCAAAAGCAAATGCAACAAAAACAAATATAGATGACTAAAATGTTTCTTCACAGCAAAAGAAATAATCAGCAGAGTAAACAGACAACCCACAGAGTGGGAGAAAATATTTGCAATCTATACATCCAACAAACAACTAATATCCAGAATCTACAAGGAACTCAAGCAAATCAGCAAGAAAAAAACAAAGAATCCCATCCAAAATTGGGCTAAGGACATGAACAGACAATTCTCAAAAGAAGATATACAAATGGCCAATAAACATATGAAAAAATGCCCAATATCACTAATTATCAGGGAAATGCAAATCAAAACCACAATGTGATACCATTTTAATCCTGCAAGAACAGCCAAAATCAAAAAATAAAAATAAAAATAGATGTTGGCATGGATGTGTTGAAAAGGGAACACTTTTACACTGCTGGCTGGAATGTAAACTAGTATAACTACTATGGAAAACAATGTGGAGATTCCTTAAAGAACTAAAAGTAGAACTACCATTTGATCCAGCAATCCTGCTACTAGGTATCTAGACAGAGGAAAAGAAGTCATTATATGAAAAAGATATTTGCACACGCATGTTTATAGCAGCACAATTTGCAATTATGAAAATATGGAACCAGTCCAAATGTCTATTAATCAACAAATAAATTGTGGTATATATACAATGGAGTACTACTCAGCCATAAAAAGAAATGAAATAATGACATTCACAGCAACCCAGATGGAATTGGAGACCATTATTCTAGGTGAAGTAATTCAGGAATGAAAAACCAAACATCATTATGTTCTCACTCCTAAATGGGAGCTAAGCTATGAGGATGCAAAGGCCCCTTTAATCTACAACTCTAAGTCTATTCCTTTCCTCTTCCCTCCAGGGGAATCAATTATCCGGCTTCTAAATATTATATATAAGACACAAGTGTTTTTATGCTATTTTTAAAAATTTAATATTTCATATGATTTCTCAGGTCCCCTCTATTTCTTGTTTTTGTACTTTTTAACTGATATATCAGATCTACTTCTTTTGGGAGTACATGTGATATTTTCATACATGTATATGATGTGTAATGATTAAATGAGGGTTAATTGGGATATCCACCACCACAAACTAATCTTTATGTTGAGAACATTACAATTCTTCTAGCTATTTTGAAATGTAAAATAATTAATTAAATGTAAAATAAAATAAAAAAATAAGGCCGGGTGCGGTGGCTCATGCCTGTAATCCCAAGCACTTTGGGAGGCCAAGGCCGGCGGATCACGCAGTCAGGAGTTTGAGACCAGCCTGGCCAACATGGTGAAACCTCATCTCTGCTAAACATACAAAAATTAGCCAGGCGTGGTGGGCGCCTGTAATCCCAGCTACTCAGGGGGCTGAGGCAGGAGAATCGCTTGAACCTGGGAGGCAGAGGGTGCAGTGAGCCGAGATCGTGCCACTGCACTCCAGCCTGGGTGAGAGAGCAAGACTCCATCTCGAAAAAAAAAATTAAATAATATATTTCCCTATTGTATTATCATATACTCAAACTTATTCCTTCTATTCAACTGTTTTTTTGTTTTGTTTTGTTTTGTTTTGTTTTGAGACGGAGTCTCGCTTTGTCGCCCAGGCTGGAGTGCAGTGGCGCGATCTCGGCTCACTCCAACCTCTGCCTCCCGGTTTCAAGAGATTCTCCTGCCTCGGCCTCCTGAGTAGCTGGGATTACAGGCGCCCGCCACCACGCCCGGCTAATTTTTTGTATTTTTAGTAGAGACGGGGTTTCACCATGTTGGTCAGGTTGATATCATCTCCTCACCTTGTGATCCGCCCGCCTGGGCCTCCCAAAGTGCTGGGATTACAGGCATGAGCCACCGCGCCTGGCCCCCAACCGTATTTTTGTAGCCATTACCCAACTTCTCTTCATTCCACTCCCCTCCAGTTCTGAAACACACACACACACCCACACACACACAATTCTATTAATCTAATTTCAACTTTTTCTAAAAGTTCCACATAAATTTGTAAATTGTAAACGTTGAGTATATCTATATAGTAAAATATAATAATCAACTATTGTATAATTATTATAATGATCCATAATTATAATCTTTGGGTATGAATGTAGACATTACAATCACACTGATTTGATACAGCAATCACATTGCTAGTACTTCTATAAATCCTTTACAGTCCTGTGCACAAAAAATATTTCAGGGTTTTGTTTGTCACCCTAATCGATCTTGAACTTGCTTTCTAATCACTAATTCTCCTCTAAATTTTTGGATGTTTGATATTTATAAAGTTCAGTTTTATTATTTTTAAATCTCTTCTCACCTCTTGGGGGAAAATATACAAGAAAATTTCATTCATCTAAACTCCATTCATTTGGATTTAATGAGTTTGGATGATGGCTTGGTTAGAATTTACTTTTGCATTTTATACAAAAAATATTAGCTTATTTCATGTTCAAAGATATTTTCAGTAATTATTTAATATTCTTAAGAGAAAAAGATTTTCAAACACACTAAAATCTATAGTTAAATATATGTGATATACTAGTTACCTTCATTTTTATTAAAGCAGCTCCCAAAGATCCTTGCTTTACAAAGTTTTATCAGCCAACTACGAGTTACTTTACAGGTCTAAATATTTAAAAAATATACATTATATAATGCATATGTTTCATTAATGCACACTTACTACCACCATCCCCAAACTAATGAGATACTGATAAATTATTTATATCTTCATTAATTGCATTACAGATCTACACCAAGTTCTAAAATACTCAAAACACCATATACTAATAATTTATATTCATCTTTTCAAAAATAGAATACAGGCCGGACGCAGTGGCTCACACCTGTAATCCCAGCACTTTGGGAGGCCGAGGTGGGCGGATTGCCTGAGCTCAGGGGTTCAAAGCCTGGGCAACATGGCAAAACCCGTCTCTACTAAAAATACAAAAAATTAGCTGGACATGGTGGTGCGCACCTGTAATCCCAGCTACTCAGGAGGCTGAGGCACGAGAATCACTTGAACCCAAGAGGCGGAGGTTGCAGTGAGCTGAGATTGTGCCACTGCACTCCAGCCTGGGCAACACAGCAAGACTCCGTCTCAAAAAAAAAAAAAAAAAAAGAATACATCCTTGTAGGTGTAGGTAAACCCTAAAATCAGTATTACTACAGACTTATTTCCAGTGGCTCACCAACGTATAGTCTGTATACTTTCTCAGTCTGTGTATAAAGCTTATCATTCTGAGACAATATCTGTATTTTGCTGATATGTCTCCAGCCACTAAAAGTCCTAAAAAACTAAATGTTTAGTCAATGTTTTAAAACTGTACTAAAATTCATACACAGGCTGGGTGCAGTGGCTCATGTCTGTAATCCCAGCACTTTGGGAGGCTGAGGTGAGCGGATCACTTGAGGCCAGGAGTTCGAGCCAAGCCTGGTCAGCATGGCAAAACCCTGTCTCTACTAAAAATACAAAAATTAGCCAGGCATGGTGGCACACACCTGTAATCCCAGCTACTCGGGAGGCTGAGGCCACGAGAATTTCTTGAACCTGGGAGGAGGAGGTTGCAGTGAGCCGAAATCCCGCTGCTACACTCCAGCCTGGGCAACAGAGCAAGACTCTGTCTCAAAAATAAATAAATAAATAATAAAATAAAATAAAATTCATATACATTTTGAGACTACCTAGTATCTTAGATAGTCTGCAAGTCAATTTTCCTTCTATTATAAAAACAAGGGCTAAATTCCTAAGTTATGATTTTTAGAGTAAGCTATATTTACATTTTCTAAACACTATACTCCCTTAGTAACAATATCAGTCTACTAGAGGTTAATGACATAAGAGAGTATATATGAAAACACACAAGTTACAAAGTGCTATGCAAATATGTCACATTATACACTGGTCAGAGACAACTACTAGGGTAAAAAACAAACATTTTAAGGTTTTTCCAAATAAATCAACAGAAAAAAGTATATACATACAGAAATGCTGAGCTCAGTTGAAATTTTTTGTCCATTATCTTCCATGATGCCAAAACTTTAAAACTATAACCTATTATTACAGGCTAAATAATGACAAATAAAATTCATCATAACTGACAACTTTTGACACTGGTATTTGTATATATTCTTTTCTAACTACCTCAGAAGTAGATACAGTACTCAAGAAGAAGAGCAACAATATCTTGTACTTGAAATCCATAATAATCTCGTGGAAAATCCAAAAACCTTTTTCATGTAAGTGAAAGAAATAAGTAGAAAGTAATTTACGCTACAGATATAATAAACTCAATTTTTATGATAGAAACAATAGCCTCCCCTAAATTAGTTCCCTCTTAAGTGCTTAAGAAAAGCAAAATTTTGCTCAATAACATTTAACCAACTCTATAACTTACAGGCTCCTATCATGTTCTAAGTTAAACAACTTTTCATTGTTTCTCCTTTTCTTTCTTCCTCAAGGTGTCAGGTAACTATTTACTAAGAAAATATCACCTGTACGTAAGTTACAGTAGTATCCATTTTTAACTTGTTCTTTCATAGGCTGCAAAATTTCCATTCCTAGATTTAAATAAAACCAAGAGTATTCAGCTATTTCTTTACCTATACAAATATAAAACCTATTTGCATTCTAATGTTTAGATAAAAATCGTTCAGCACTCACTATTGTACTGTTTACAGAAATGCATTGATTTGGAAACAAAACGACTTAATATCTCTAAGATCTCCTTTCAATGTGTGGTGCCATGTAAAAATGAACTTACTCCTTCCCACCCTCCCATTTCCCCACACTCTCATGCAATTCTGCTCTACCTCATTCTGTTATGGTCACTTCCCACCACTTACAACAGTTAAAGATATTCTACAAAGAACAGAGACTTGTGTAAAAGCCAGGTAGGGTCTACAGGCACTAATCATTAGTAAAGATTCAAAACTAAGAAGATTGGGGATAGAAGTAAAAAAAAAATACAGTTATCACACAATTCTCCAGATGGAAATCAGCCACCAAATATTTAATTAATACATATATATATAAACACTTCAATAAAGCTGGAATATATATACATATATATAGAGAGAGAGAGACAGAGTCTTGCTCTGTTGCCCAGGCTGGAGTACAATGGTGTGATCTCGGCTCACTGCAACTTCTGCCTCCTGGGTTCAAGCGATTCTCCTGCCTCAGTGTCCCGAGTAGCTGGGATTATAGGCTTGCACCACCATGTCCGGCTAATTTTTGTATTTCTAGTAGAGACGGGGTTTCACCATGTTGGCCAGGGTGGTCTCGAACTCCTGACCTCGGGTGATCCACCCACCTCGGCCTCTCAAAGTGCTGGGATTACAGGCGTGAGCCACCGCACCCGGCCTGGAAAAATATTTTTAAAAAGAAAAGGAGGCCAGGCGCGGTGGCTCACGTCTGTAATCCCAGCACTTTGGGAAGCCAAGGTGGGCAGATCACGAGATAGAGGAGATCGAGACCATCCTGGCTAACACGGTGAAACACCGTCTCTACTAAAAATATAAAAAATTAGCCGGGCGTGGTGGCGGGCGCCTGTAGTCCCAGCTACTCCGGAGGCTGAGGCAGGAGAATGGCATGAACCCGGGAGGTGGAGCTTGCAGTGAGCCGAGATCACGCCACTGCACTCCAGCCTGAGCAACAGAGTGAGACTCTGTCTCAAATAAAAAAAAAAAAAAAAAGAAAGAAAAGGAGAATACAGATACACAAGAGAAGAATGCAATATAAAGATGAAGCAGAGAGAGATTTGATAATGCTGTCCTGTGATATTAGAGTGATGCAGGCACAAGAAAAGGAATATTGGCAGCCAACAGAAGCTGGAAGAGGAAAGGAATGGATGCTCTCCCAGAGCAACCAGATGGAGTGAGGCCTTGCTGACAATTAGATTTCAACTCAGTTATATTAATTTTGGATTTCTGGTCTCCAGAACTGTGAGAGAATAAATTGCTATTGTTTTAAGCCACAAAATTTGTGATAATTTGTTACAGCAGCCACAAGAAATTAATATGAGGATCTAAGTCTGTATTTTTTAAATGTAATGTTTCCAATTCTACATCTATTTTTTCTTCCCTAAGGGAATGCTTCATGAATTTGTGTAGCATCCTTGAGCAAGGGCCATGCTAATCTTCTCCATAACGTTCGAACTTTAGTATATGTGCTGCCAAAGGGAACACTCTATGTCTATTCCAGAAGAAAGCATTAAATATGTTTCAGAGAAAGACTGGATGAAATTAAGTTGCTATATTTTTAAAAATTAATTATTAGGAAAACTGGTTTACCGAAGAGTACATAGAACAATTCCTTGCACACAGTATGCACTCAATAAATACTTTTTAAAATATATTCTGGACTCAGTAACAACAAAGATACTAAATGAATGAGAAACTACTCTAGTAATCTTCTCATAGAAAACTGACCCATCCACTTTTTGCTCACAAAACTAAATGTTTAACCGTAACATTTCCATAGAAAAAACAAGGACTTGGCCAGTGTTACAAAGCAATTCTTCTACTACCACTTAGTTTAGAAAACATCAATTTGTTTTATTATTTTATTTCTTATTTTCTTATTTTATTTTATATTTTTTGAAACAGGGTCTCACTCTGTTCCCCAGGCTGGAGTGCAGTGGCATGCCACGGCTCACTGCTGCCTCTACCTCCTGGGCTCAAGCTATACTCCCACCTCAGCCTCCTGAGTAGCTGCAACCACAGGCATGTGCCACCACACCTAGCTAAATTTTTTAAATTTTTTTTTATCTGTAAAGATGGGGTCTCCCTGTGTTGCCCAGGCTGGTCTCAGGCTCAGGCCATCCTCCTGCCTCAGCTTCCCACAGTGCTGGGATTGCAGGTATGAGCCACCCTGCCCGGCCTCTTTGCTGTTTTAAAAAACATAGCTAGGTATGGGTAGGAGGAAAAAAGGACATAAAAGGCAAAACAGTACAGATTTTCACAATTTTCATTAGTATGTTTGTTTTTATAACTTGAAATATTAATAACATATAATCAGATATAAAGCTTATAAGCTAGAGAAAAAAATTCCCAATTTTAGTCTCTCTGTCCCTACTAGACTATTCAAGTTGACTCCTTTAAACATAATTTATTGCTCAATCTCAGATATACTGCATGTATCAAAACATGCCAACTGAAACGTATCTATATGCAGAAAGTAAAATATAATTACTCATTAAGATAGAATTGCTCCCCACGTACTAACATTACAAGGTTCTAGCATTTTCCAGTGATTTTTCAAATGTTTAGGTATTAAAGCATACGAGGGCCAGGCACGGTGTCTCACACCTATAATCCCAGCACTTTGGGAGACCAAGATGGGAGGATCCCTTGAGCCCAGGAGTTCCAGACCAGCCTGGGCAACATAGTCGGACTCTGTCTTTACAACAAACTTTAAAAAATTAGCCAGATATTGTGGCGTGTGCCTATCTATACTCCCAGCTACTCGAGAAGCTGAGGCTGGAGGATTGCTTGAGCCCAGGAGCAATGAGCTGTAATCACATCACTGCCCGCCCTCCCTCCCTCCCTTCCTCCCTCCCTTCCTCCCTTCCTCCTTCCTTCTGAGATGGAATTTCACTCTTGTCGCCCAAGCTGGAGTGCAATGGCGTGATCTTGGCTCACTGCAACCTCTACCTCCCGAGTTCAAGTGATTTTCCTGCTTCAGCCTCCCGAGTAGCTGAGATGCTGAGATTACAGGCACCTGCCACCACGCCCAGCTAATTTTTTTTTTTTTTTTTTTTGGTATTTTTAATAGAGACGGAGTTTCGCGATGTTCGTCAGGCTGTTCTCAAACTCCTGACCTCTGGTGATCCGCCCGCCTCTACCTCCCAGAGTGCTGGGATTACAGGTGTGAGCCACTGCACCAGGCCTACTGCACTCCTTCTTGTGTGACAGAGTAAGACCCTGTCTTAAATAAATAAAGCATAGAAGGGTAATCAAGAACAATGTTTAGCTATTCAGCCTGAGGATAAACCTGAATGGTGAGGGGCCTTAAAATAGTTTTCTTTGTAGCATTCATAAATGATTTTTAAAAATTTAATGTGAAAATAATTTAACTGAAACAATATAGAATGAGCAGTTTTTATGGATTTATGGTCTGACAAACTGTCAAACATTCTTTTTTTTTCCCCAACTTTTATTTTAGATTGAAGGTAAGGGGTAGGTATGCACGTTTGTTACATGGGTAAATTGTCTGTCCTGGGGCTTTGGTGTATAGATAATTTTGTCACCCAGGTAATCAGCATAATACCCAATAGGCAATTTTTCAATCCTTACCCTCCTCCAACCCTGCACCCTTAAATAGACCTCAATGTCTATTGTGTCCCCTTCTTTGTGTTCATATGTACTCAATGTTTAGCTCCTACTTATAACTGAGAGCATGCAGTATTTAGTTTTCTGTTCCTGCATTAATTTGTTTAGAATAATGGCCTTCAGCTCCATCCATGTTGCTGCAAAGGCCATAGTCTCATGTTTCATAGCTGCATAGTATTCCAGGTGTATATGTATCATAGTTTTATGTCCAGTTCACCACTGATGGGCATCTAGATTGATTCTATGTCTTTGCTATTGTGAATAGTGCTGTGAAACTTAACAGTGCATGTGCCTTTACAGAACAATTTATCTTCCTTTGTTGTCAAAGGTTTTCAAACTTTAAAAAATCCTAGCTGCTGATTGTGTTTAAATAATTAATGTTAGATTACCACCTTCCCTTGAGAACAAGATTCCAATATTCGAATCCAAATGCTGTATAGTTTTGTTTTTTTAACAAACACCTTTTCTAAACATGAAATTGCAACCACTTCCAGGTAAACCTACAGTCTTAGAAGTTTACACATACTATAAGCTTAAGCTACAGAGAATATAAATATATATTAATTATGTTTGTTCTACATTTACTGTTCAAGTCTTATGCCACTCTGCCTAACTGAAGAGGGCAAGCTTCAGACGCTCTCAACTCTAATCTAGCCTCCATATAGCAGATATCTTAATAAGACATAGGTCTGATCACATCTCTTTTATTTTTGGGGTTTTTTTGGAGTTTTTTTGAGACCAAGTCTGACTCTGTCACCCAGGCTGGACTGCAGTGCTGTGATCACGGCTCGCTGCAGCCTCAACCTACTGGGCTCAGGCAATCCTTCTGCCTCAGCCTCCCAAGTAGCTGGACCTACAACCGCATGCTACCACAACCAGATAATTTTTTTATTTTTTGTGGAGCCGGGGTCTTGCTTCATTGCCCATGCTGGTCTCAAACTCCTGCCCTCAAGTGATCCTCTCACCTAGGCCTCCCAAAATGCTGGGATTACAGGCATGAGTCACTGTGCCTTGCCCTGTTTGTAAAGTTTAATTGACTTCTTACAAAATAGAGGATAGAGTCCAAACTCCTTCACATAAAACAGCCCTCATAATCTGGTCCCAACCTACATTTCCTGCCATAAACTATTACCTGTCTCAGTCTTGTTCTTTCATGCATTCACGAACAAATATTCGTCTTTTTAAACACCTCTTCTCCCTTCTCTATTTGTAGAACCTCTATATATCTTACAGGACTCAACATACAAGT
The DNA here is from genome assembly GCF_000001405.40 of Homo sapiens. Lineage (NCBI taxonomy): Eukaryota > Metazoa > Chordata > Mammalia > Primates > Hominidae > Homo > Homo sapiens. Next base: position 99,975,544 of record NC_000001.11, on the reverse strand, counting down.
TTTAGTGAAGTTTCATATGTCTTCCAAGCAGATTGAATCCTTCACTCTACTACACTCTCATGCCATTTTGTATATACCTTTTATAATAGCACTCATAAATTTTATCAGACTAATTTGTTGACAAATGATATACATTTCCTTCTTCTATTCACTGTATTTCCTGCTTCTCCATACCAGCACCTTTCATATATTAAGCATTTACTCTATGTTGAATTTATAAAATAATAAATAAACGCCACAATATTTATTGTGGGAGAATGATCTCTTCATAACTCTGTGTAATAACATAAAAGACAAATGCAGGGGCTGGACACGGTGGCTCAGGCCTGCAATCCCAGCACTTTGGGAGGCTTAGGTGGGCAGATCACTTGAGCCCAGAAGTCTGAGACCATCCTGGGCAACATGGTGAAAGCTGTCTCTACAAAAAATAAAAAATTAGCCAGGCATGGTGGCACATGCCAGTAGTTCCACCTACTTGGGAGGCTAAGGTGGGAGATCACTTGAGCCAGGGAGGTGGAAGTTGCAGTGAGCTGAGATTGCGCCTCTGTACTCCAGCCAAGGTGACAGTGAGACCCTGTCTCAAAAAAAAAAAAAGACAAATGCAGGTCAAAACTGGTTTGCATTAAATGTTTTCTAATAACTGTAATAACTGTACTTCATGAGAGAAGTAAAAATAGTAAGAGAATCTTGAATACCTACAGTATATCAGGCATTGTGCTAGGTGATTTACAGGTATTATCTCATTTAGATCTCATTTAATCTGTAAAAGGAGGTATTCATTTTACAGATTAAGAAACAGAGGTTCTGAGATATTAAGTGTATGGCTTGTCTTGCATAACTTGTCAGAGCTCAGACATGAACCAAGACTTATCTCAGTCAAAACCCACAGTCTTTGCAGTAAAGCCTGTGTTTAAGCATGTCTATGGACTGATCACACCAGTAATCTCAACACTTTCAGAGGCCATGGTGGGAGGATCGCTTGAGGCCAGGAGTTCAAGACCAGCCAAGCCAACATAATAAGACTTCATCTCTACAAAAAATTATTTAAAAAACAAAAAAGCACATCCAAGTATCAGAGGGTCAGTCACCATAGTATATAAAAGTATGCCTTTGGTCTCAGACTGAGTTCACATTCTGTCTCTACAACTTAGTACAGCAAATTATTTAATCTCTCTGTCCCTCCTTTCCCTTATCTATAAAATGGTGATAAGTAATAGTATGTATTTTGTAGGGTGGTTATGATTAAGGAATATAAATCAAATAAAGTGATTATTATACTACAATGCCTTATTCATTGAATACCTTTATAAAACCTACTCATGATAGAAAATACTATTAGAAATGCTGTTTGAAATTGGTTTTATAGCATATATGAATTTAGAAAAAAAACTTACATAACTTTTACAGAAAAAACTCAGCTCTAGGTAGATATAAAGTCCTATGTAGATACTTTGTGGAATGAGCTTGTTTCTTAGCATTTTATCTGACATGACTTCAAAGTTTCAGCTTCATTTTTTTTTTTTTTTTTTTGAGATGGAGTCTCACTCTGTCGCCCAGGCTGGAGTGCAATGGAGCGATTTTGGCTCACTGCAACCTCCGCCTCCCGCGTTCAAGCAATTCTCCTGCTTCAGCCTCCCGAGTAGCTGGGACTACAGGTGTCCACCACCACGCCAGGATAATTTTTGTATTTTTAGTAGAGACAGGGTTTCACCATGCTGGTCAGGCTGGTCTTAAACTCCTGACCTCGTGATCCGCCTGCCTGGGCCTCCCAAAATGCTGGGATTACAGGCATGAGCCACCACACCCGGCCCAGTTTCAGCTTCATCGTAATTCTAATTTCCACTATGCTTCCTGACCTAGCATACCTTTTCAATCAAACTTCTTATCTCTAAGTACAGCAACTTATTTTAAACTGGCTCTTTGGTTTCATTTTAGATGGTGTCTCCAATATGGATGATAAACTAGAAAGAGTTCTGGTCAGGCAATCTGGATAGAGAAGCCAAGCAACATTGTAGCTTCTAAAGTCATTTTCACACTTATATATAAAACACTCGAATTTATATAAAAGATACATTAAAGAAACAATGATTAAAAATATATAACCACTACACTCCTTCATTAATAGAGATAATTAAGTTGAACATACTTAAGAATACATTGCTTTTGTGAGGATTAAAATCTAATGTTAAGCTACCAATTCATATTCACCTGAATCTTATTTAATAATAAATTAATACTCATGAATGACATTATTAACTGTCAGTGTGATGATGTTCAAGCTATTTCAGTTACCCAGACAGGTCTATAACTTACTCTAAATTTCTGGCACTTACATGCACACACACAGACAAATCCACAGTTGATTAACATTAAACAGAAACTTCACTCTCTATACTTCTCAGGAAAGGAAAAGCTCAAAAGTTATATTTCATGGCTACTGAACAAGTTTAGGCTTTCAAACGAGATTCTTTCCATTGATTCTGTAACTTATCCAATCACTCGAGCAAAATGTTGAATTTCTACTAAGTAAAAGGCACATGTTTCAGGACACAAATTATATCAATTTCAAATATAATTGAGGCAGCCTAAGGCGTATATGTAGGTCCCAGGGCAAATTATTTGGACTGTCTGAACTTTAATATTCTTATCTATAAAATAGCGGTGATAATAACTATCCTACACCAACGATTTATTACTAGGATCAAATGAGGTACTAAAACATGGAACAGAAAAGCATTTTCAAATATTAAATCCACAGTAAGTTTCTATAACAACTCAAGAGCTCATCTTGTCTCCAGAAGCACAATAACAGTCTGTTTCATTACATGATTAATGTAACAAATATTTAAGAGTCTAATACATCATGATGTGTTCAAGTACTAAAGTGCTTTAAAAATGTAGTAAGTACAGGCTGGGCGCGGTGGCTCATGCCTGTAATTCCAGCACTTTAGGAGGTGAGGTGGGTGGATCACTTGAGGCCAGGAGTTCAAAACCAGCCTGGCCAACATGGTGAAACCCCCGTCTCTACTAAAAATACAAAAATTAGCTAGGTGTGGTGATGCACGCCTGTAGTCCCAGCTACTCGAGAGGCTGAGGCAGAAGAATCTCTTGAACCTGGAAGGCAGAGGTGGCAGTGAGGCGAGAGGGTCACGCCACTGCACTCCAGCCTGCGTGACAGAGCAAGACTCCATCTCAAAAAAAAAAAAAAAAAAAGTAGTAAGTACAAATGCTTTCCTTAGGAAGCTTACATTACAGTAGGGATAATAGAACTCTCAAATTACAATGCAAATTTAACAAGTGTTGTAAGATTTATAAAGCCCAGCACACATGAAGAAAAAAAAATGGGCTGGGCGTAGTGGCTCATGCCTGTAATCCCAACACTTTGGGATGTCGAGGCAGGTGGATCACCTGAGGTCAGGAGTTCAAGACCAGCCTGGCCAACATGGTGAAACCCCGTCTCAACTAAAACTACAAAAAAATTGGCTGGGTGTGGTGGCGGGCACCTGTAATCCCAGCTACTTCAGGAGGCTGAGGCAGGAGAATCGCTTGAACCCGGGAGACGGAGGTTGCAGTGAGCCGAGATCGCAACATTGAACTCCAGCCTGGGCAACAAGAGCAAAACTCTCTCAAAAAAAGAGAAAAAGAAAAAGAAAAAAAGAATGAACTGGATTTATGGCAGATTTCAGAAAGCTGCATAAGAAAGAGATGGCATTTAAGGAATTGAAGAATAAGTAGAATTTCTACAAAGACAGCAAGGAAGGCCTTCCTTGTTTCTTCTTTGTAGGAAGAAATGATAAAAGCAAACACCAAGGCTGACAGGCATATAGCATGTTCAGAAACTGGACGTCTAATTAACGACTAGTTTGGCTAAAAAATAGGATATGTGGAAAAAAGTAATACTTGTTTAATAAAAGGAAAAAAGAAAGAATCATATTGGGGGCCGGGTGCGGTGGCTCACGCCTGTAATCCCAGCACTTTGAGAGGCCGAGGTGGGTGGATCACGAGGTCAGGAGATCGAGACCATCCTGGCTAACATGGTGAAACCCCGTCTCTATTAAAAATACAAAAAAATTAGCCGGGCGTGGCGGCGGGCGCCTGTAGTCCCAGCTACTCAGGAGGCTGAGGCAGGAGAACGGCATGAACCCGGGAGGCGGAGCTTGCAGTGAGCTGAGATTGCGCCACTGCACTCCAGCCTGGGCGACAGAGCGAGACTCCGTCTAAAAAAAAAAAAAAAGAATCATATTGATTTTACTGGAGCCACCGTCAGACTCAAATTCTGAAGGAAAAATCTGAAGCCTCCCTAAATAATATAAAATTTATTAAATGCCTCCCTAAATAATTTACATTTTATTCTGAAGCCGATCGAGAGTCACTGCGTATTTCTGAGGAAGGAATAACCAAAAAAAGAAAGTCATAAGATCTTTGGCTTTAAAAGTAATATGGAGGCAAGTGACTGGAAGGGTGCCAGGCTGAGGACAAGTCCAGTTTGGAAGTTATTGCTATAGTGCAAGTAAGAAGAGGAAAGACGAGCATATTTAGCAGACAGGTAGTGGGAATGAAAAAGGGGAGAACTAAATTTGAGATGCTGAAGAGATAGAATCAACAGTTGGGAGGAAAGTTAGCCTCAGAAATATAAGTTTACAAGTCATTCCCTTGAAACACCCTGAGTTTACCAGTGAAAGTGAATAAGAACACCAAGTAAGAAACTGCACCAAATTTCATCTTTAACTACTAAAGTCGAATGTTGATTTCAAAAACGAAAAGACTTAATTTTCAAATACTGCATTTAAGAGAACATAATAAAAGATCGTCTTTTACTATAAAGCAATGCACCCACACACCTGTTCTGATGAGAATCTCACCCCACTTCAAACAGTCCTTGTGTTCTTACTAGCCTTACCAAGGGCAGCCTTTCCATTTCTTTAAGTTCCTGCGGCTTCTTGAGCTCCAGGTGCTGGTCGGGTGCATCTGTGCCTACCACAGGGCTCAACACCGAGCGAGAGCTCATGGGATGTTCACTGAAGGAATGACGGGCCCCAGCCGGGCCCACCCGTCACTAGCTCCGCACGCACCAGGCGCTGAGGCACACACTGCCGTCTTCATTCGCTTGACACACCCCTCTCCTCGGGCCTTTTTTCCTCCTCCACCCAGTACATTCCGCACGTCGTCCGTCGGAGTTACAACGTGTCACCTCATCTGCTCCCACCCCTACTTAGCTAGCACTGTATTTCAGGTCTTCGATACCGTCCCCTTCACCCCTACAGACTTCACATCAGCCCCCTCGCATGCCTCCTCTTCCTCCTCCTCCAGGAGCTTCCCGGGCCGCCCCGCAGCCGCTAGCCTCCTGGTTCCCGCCCCTCCCCAGGTGCGCTGAGGACTCACCTCCCGCGCAGCTCGACCGGCTGAGCCCACCACCGGGGGCCGCGGTTCAGCTCCGCCGGGCGCCCCAGGCTGCCGAGTCCGCTGGGTCCTACGCGACCGCTGACCCGCAGCGCCGCCGGCTCCCGTCGCCGTAGCCACCGCCAGCTCGGTGCAGCCCAGGCGTTTCCGGGTTCCCGCGGTCCCGTCCCCCAAATGCTCCGGCTTCCGCCTCGGCTCTGGCAAATGCCGTTCCCGGCTCGGCTCTGGCAGCCCCAGCTCGGCACTTGGCAGCTCTGTCCCTAAGGCGACGCACCTGGGCTGCTCTGCTGGCAGCCCCTGGTTCCTGCTTCACCGTCGCGTGGAGGCCTGGGGCACTGCTTTCTGCTACACCTCTCCTAGGAGCGCGAAACAGATGGAGTGACACTCGTCGAGGGCCTCTGCGGGACTGTCTGTTTGCAGAGGGTGCCAAGGTGTCCACTGCGTAAGGAAGGGCAAAGTCCTTTGGGGCAAAGAACCCTGAGAGGAACGGGGAGATGGATTTTGAAAGCAAACGAACCCTCTCCTAAAAGTGACTGTCACTGACCTGAAAACAACCAGATTAGCTATGGCAAAGGCTGCCAACCAACCAGTGGTCTGCAAGAAGGCTTGTTCTTCCACTTCACCCACCCTGACTGAGATCTTGAGACTGAAGGAAACCCAAAGCCGTACCACCAATGGGCCTAGTGTCATCAACCGGGAGAGGAAAAAGAAAACTGGGCCCAGAGGATTGCAGAGTTATGAGGGACCAACCCCTTCCTGGCTGCATGGATCACAGCATTACCTTTTAAAAGTGTTCCAGTAGCTGTGTTGGAAACCCTCTAACCACGGCAGCCCATTCAGGTGATGAACAGGCTGAAATCAGTACTTCAGGTTCAGCTGGATTATCAAATAAGCGAATAGGATTATCTCTTTTTGTTAACTCAGGGCTGCTATAAATTAAGCCTATGTCTCTTTATATTGCAAATGATTAAAACCATGTCCAAGAGAGACATACTTAGAAAAAAAGTGATATTGAAGAAAAATAAGTAACTGTATTAGAGTAGAATAACTGGTTTTAAAATTTTCTGCAATACAGTCTTGAGAAAATTCCTGGATGGTAAAATACATATTAGATCTTAATACATGCCCAGTTTTTTTTGAAACCAAAATGTGCCTGTTAGATGATGATAACAGCATGCCTCGTTTTATTGTGATTTGCTTTATTGCTCTTCACAGACATTGCTTTTGTTTTTTTGTTTTTTTTTTTTACAAATTGAAGGTTTGTGGCAACCTTGCCTCAAGCACATCTATTGGTGCCATTTTTCCAACAGCATGTGCTCACTTTGTGTCTCTGTGTCACATAATATTCAATAATTTTTGCAATATTTAAATTTGTTCATCATTATTATATCTGGTATAGTGCTTTGTGATCAATGATCTTTGATGTTACTATGGTAATTGTTTTGGGGTGCTGATATGGTTTGGCTGTGTCCCCACCCAAATCTCAACTTGAACTGTATCTCCCAGAATTCCCACGTGTTGAGGGAGAGACCTAGGGGGAGATAATTGAATCATGGGGGCCAGTCTTTCCTGTGCTATTCTCATGATAGTGAATAAGTCTCATGAAATCCGATGGGTTTATCTGGGGTTTCTGATTTTGCTTCTTCCTCATTTTTCTCTTGCTGCAGCCATGTAAGCAAGTACCTTTCACCTCCCGCCATGATTCTGAGGCCTCCCCCGCCATGTGGAACTGTAGGTCCAATTAAACTTCTTTTTCTTCCCAGTCTCGGGTATGTCTTTATCAGCACCATGAAAATGGACTAATACAGGTGCCATGTACTGCACTCATATAGAAAGGCAAACTTAATTAATAAATGTTATGTGTGTTCTGACTACTCCACCAACTGCCCATTTCCCCACACTTCTCCCCCTTGGGCCTCCCTATTTCCCAATAAACAGCAATATTGAAATTAGGCCAATTATTAACCCTACAATGGCTTTGAAGGAAATCAAAATATTTTACCCCAAAATATACTACTTTGACATATTTTGAGATGACTGTTTAGAGGGCCTGCAATCAGAAGTAGCCTTTGCAGGCCAGATGTGGTGGCTCACGCTTGTAATCCCAAGACTTTGGGAGGCTGAGGCCAGCGGATTGCTTGAGCCCAGGAGATCGCGACCAGCCTGAGCAACATATTGAGATCCCATCACTACAAAAAATAAAAATTTAAACATGTACCAGTCATAATGGTACATGCCTTTAGTCCTAGCTACTCATGAGGGAGGCTGAGGTGGGACGATCACTTGATCCCAGGAGTTCAAGGCCACATTAAGCCATGATCATGCTACTGTACTCCAGCCTGGCTGATAGAGCAAGACCCTGTCTCAAAAAAAAAAAAAAAAAAAAAGTAGCCCAGTAGCCCTGCAAAACTGTCTCTTGTAGGGCAGATTTGCATCTGTGGAGAATCTGCATTAATGTAGCCAGGCTTTCTCTGAGGCCCTTCCTTGTCCAGATCTAGGAAAGATTTACTGAGATTCTGACACTTTTAAAGGTCTGAAAGAAACTTCCACCATCTATTCTCTCTGAGGGCTGCTACCCACCTTTGTTAGTCAGGCCTCTGCTTCTGTCCCTCCCGTAACTTGTTTTGCCACTATAACCTGATTTACCACCATAATCTATTTTTGGCCATGCTTGGAGCTCTCATTCTTTGTAAAGATGGTATACCCTTCTGTACTACATGGGGGATAAGAGTAATCACCCTGTGATTTCTCCTCATGTACACTAATAAATTTCTATGCCTTTTTTCTTTTCTTTCTTTTTTTTTTATTTATTTTTTTTTTAGTTAGGGTCTCTCTCTAGAAGGAGTGCAGTCGCATGATCATGGCTCACTGTAGCCTTGACCTCCAAGGTCCTCCTGCCTCAGCCTCCCACTTAAGCAACCCTCCTGCCTCAGCCTCCTGAGTAGCTGGGACTATAGGCACATGCCACCATACCTGGCTAATTTTTTTTTACTTTTAATAGAGATGGGTTCCCACTATTTTATGCAGGCTGGTCTCAAACTCCTGAGCTCCAGTGATCTTCTTGCCTCAGCCTCCCATTGTATTGGGATTACAGGCATGAACCACCGTGCCCAGCCTGCCTCTTCTCTTATTAATCTGACTTTTGTCAGTTGATTATTCAGCCAACCTTCAGAGGGCGAAGAGGAAGGTACAGAAGCTCACCAGGGCAAGAATGTCAGCTGAGCCTGAACTGCAAGTCTGGACATCCAACAATTCAAATCAGTACCCAAGGTCTGCAGCTCTTTCAAATGAGAAAAAGATAATAGTCTAAAGGCAGCCAGGGCCAAATAGGACTATGTGTCTCAGTGGTACCTAATTAGAATTGTCGGATAAAATAGAGGCCTTCGCCTGGCGCAGTGGCTCACGCCTGTAATCCCAGCACTTTGGGAGGCCGAGGCAGGCAGATCACCTGAGTTTGGGAGTTCGAGACCAGCCTAACCAACATGGAGAAACCCCGTCTCTCCTAAAAATACAAAAAATTAGCGGGGCGTGGTGGCACATGCCTGTAATCCCAGCTACTCAGGAGGCTGAGGCAGGAGAATTGCTTAAACCCGGGAGGCAGAGGTTGCGGTGAGCCAAGGATTGCACCATTGCACTCTAGCCTGGGCAACAAGAGGGTAAACTCTGTCTCAAAAAAAAAAAAAAAAAAAAAAAAAAAAACAGAAGCCTTGTTAAATTTAAATTTCAAATAAGCAACGAAGTATGGAATATTTCGGATATACTTTAAAAAATTCATTGATTATCAGAAATTCTAATTTAACTGGATGTCCTGTAATTTTATTTGCTAAATGTGGCAACCCTATTGAAGGCATGAGTGCATTATGATATTGTACAATAACTGGGATTCCCTATGATGCCCCAGAGAAATTAAGGCCAGATCAAATTATGTTTAGTGCAGTTGACGCTGCAAACATTATGCACACAAAATGACATTCTCTAGATCAATATCTTCAGACAGTGCCAAGCTGGTAGACTTTAATGGATAAAGGTCAGACGTTGTTAGAAAACCCAGGAGAAAATAATGAAAAGACAACAAACAAGAAAGAAAGAGGGCAGGGACTATGTTGATAGACATTTTTAAGGAATTTCTGCTCAAAATGGTTAAAATATTGAAAAAAATTTCAGTGCTTAGAGAATTAAGCTGCAGGTTTCCAGGTGTCACTTGACAAATATTTTGTTCCTATGCCATCATAGCTTTTAAAACTATTTAATTGAAATTTCAGCTCAGGAGCAGGAAAAACCAGTTTGTTGTTTCAAGCTGCCAAATCATAGTAATTGAATCTGGCTTTTTCTTGTTAGTTCTTCAGGGGGAAAAAGAAACCTATGTGTAAACAAAACTGGAAAGGATTGCCAAAGATTATCTACTTGTCCATCATTTACTTCTAAGAAGAGTTGAATGAGGTTACTTCCATTATAAGAGCTTAACTGTCAATATGAATATGGTCCTTTGATTCTGAGATGGATCTGTAGAGTTTAACATTCTCTAGAACATGGATCTGATAGGTTTGAAATAAAACTTACTTTTCATTTCTGAGGAAGAGTATTTCAGTGGCTTCTGGTTTTTTCCTATAGTAGACTTATTCTTCGAGTCAGGGGCCCAGGAGGAGATTTCAGGGAGATGAGGCCCTTTCCTCCCTCTGTACATTCGGAAACTGGAGAAGCTACCCTGCATGATTGCTACCCTATGGGGCTTGTTGATCAAAGCTTCAGTTATCACTTGATGCTCTAAAGTCTATTTGAGAATCAATGAATTGGTTTCATCTCAGAGTCAGGGTTAAATATAAATTAAAGCCTTGGGGATTCTCCTGTATCTAGCACAGTTACCTGATAAAATCACCACAGCTTCCTTTGTGGAAGACTAGAGAAAGGTGCACAGTATGTATAGTATGCACTTGTGCTGTTAAAGGGACCTCTTAAATCTGGGAATGGGGGCTACAACTCCAGTAAAGTTGGGCCTCATTTACCAGTCCTAGTGTACATTTGATTACGAAGTTCATATGCAATTGGATTGTGCTGTTCACCAACTATTTCCCACTCTCAACCTGCAGGGCACTTCTTAAAGTAGGTTGCACTCTCAGGCTCTCTTGTGGTTGAGTGAGACCACATGTCCAGTTCTGGCCAATTACCTCAGGGCCAGGGCACTGAATTGCCAATTTGCGACTGTTTAGACTCCTCTTTCTCTCTGCCTTTGAGTCTGGCAATGTGCAGCATTGCTTCATCATCAGACTGTATCCTAGAATTAGGAGATGTATAACCTACAGTAAACGTATAGCATGAACAAGAAATACATTTTTTATTATTTTATGTTACAAATGAGAAAAGAAAAATAGCTCAGGGCAGTCTGAGCTTTGGGAGGTATGCAGTCCCAAAGAGACAAGAGCATGGGATTTTGGTCATTCTTGCCTTCCATCCTGCAACTCCCACTCTACATCCATGCTTGGGGACAATTATTTAAAGTAATTTTCTTCCTGACTAGCTGCCTCACCCATGATCTTTGTGTTCCCAGAATTTATGATGCAAAACAACAACAACAACAACAACAACAACAACAACAACAACAACAATGTATAGCCCATCAGTAGCTTGGGTTTAAAATAACATTTTAATTTACATTAAAATATGTAAATTCTTGGTAAACAAGTCAGGAGCTGCCTCTTCTTTTCCTTTAAAAATCCACTTGTAACTGCTGCTAATCAGAGTGTATATTTAGGGCAACTTGAATCTGTACTCCTAAGTTGCAATCCTCAAGCTTGGCCCAAATTCTACTTATATTAATTTTGCCTCCACATCTTCCTTTGAGGTCACACTAAGATTTTGCCAATTTCCAAGCACTTGGAAGTTGAAAAAAAATTTTTTTGACAAAACCTAGCATATATTGATTAATACAGAAACTTATGGCCAGAGATGGGTGTATTTTAACAAAAGCATGACTTTTGTGACTTTGACTTAGGGGCCAAGTGATGGGGGCAAGCAAACTGATTTTAGCAGCTGGAAGAATGATAACCCATGGTGTACTATGGAATATTTGATAAAACTGTGACCTACAATTACTTAAAAGTTAAATAATGAACATAGTAAGTTTATAGCTCCAGTGCAAGAGACTAGAAAACAAAATGTTAATAGCATGTGTAGGTTAATGTTGGATGTATTTGAAAGACACTTCATGAAAGAGAAATAGCCAAAAAATAATTTACTAATTTGTAAGCAGGAATGGAAAGGAATAAAGACAACATAGAAATTCAGGAACTGGCACAGTTGACAATGGCAAATACTTTTCTAATGGAAGCCTTTAATAATAATTTTAAAAAATCAAACCAAGCCTATCCCTGTCATACCTATCTTTAAAATCTCTAAATGGATTGAGATATCACCTAGTAAGTCCTTTCAATTGGATGAAATGGCTAAATGAACAGGGAATAAAGGTGTTGGTCTCCCACCAAGCTTGATAGGCTCAAGGTACCTAGAATTAAGTAGACAGATAAATGGAGATATGTCAAGGAAAGAACTGTGTTATGGCCATTGGCAAATGAAGCTGATTGGAATCTAAGAGATAAGAAACCAGTAATGTTTATAAGATAATTGTATTGCCAAAGGAGCCAAGAGCCTAGACAAAACTTAACATGTCTCTTTGGCCTACAGCCCTCTATACACAGGAAATGAGCTCAGGATACTGGTTAGCCTCCAAAGAGTGCATATTCTCCAATACCCTCTTCACATATAACTAAAAAATATAATAAAGGAAGAACTGTCTCCCAGAAGGTCAAATCAAGGAACATAAAGAACAATGAATTGGGAACCCCCTTCTAGAGGGCAGAATTAGCATCTAATTCAAGAACTATTTAATATCACCTACACCCAGGATAGCAGGACTTCACAATGTGTTGCCACTGAGCAGTGTCAGCTCTGTTCATTGACTTTACTCTCATTTTTTCCCAATGACTCACCACATCTCTTCCCTCTAATATACTTTCTGTGATCTAAGAATTTGCCTGTTCTAGATATTTTATATGTGTTATCATACAATATTTGTCCTTTTTTATTTAACTTCTTTCATTTAGCACCATGTTTTCAAGGTTCATCCATATTGTAATCTGTATCAGAACTTATTCCTTCTTCTGGCTGAACAATAACCCATTTTATGGATATACCACATTTTATTTATCCCTTCATCCATCAGTAGACATTTGAGTTGTTTCTACCTTTTGGGTGTTATGAATAATGCTGCTATGAACATTTATGTACAAGTATCTTATTCGTTTAAGTCCTTGTGTTTTTTTGTTTTGTTTTGTTTTTTTGTTTTTTTGAGACAGAGTCTTGCTCTATTGCCCAGGCTGGAGTGTGGTGGTGCAATCTCGGCTCACTGCAACCTCTGCCTCCTGGGTTCAAGTGATTCTCCTGCCTCAGCCTTCCGAGTAGCCAGGACTACAGACACATGCCACTACACCTGGCTAATTTTTGTATTTTTAGTAAAGACTGGGTTTCGCCATATTGGCCATGCTGGTCTCAAACTCCTGACCTCAAGTGATACTCCCACCTTGGCCTCCCAAAGTGCTGGAATTACAGGAATGAGCCACCGTGCCCAGCCAAGTCCTTGTTTTCAATTCCTCCACGTATATAAGTAGGAGAGGAATGCTGAGTTATATGGTAATATTATGTTTAAATTTATTTTTTTAGAGGCAAGTTCTGGCTCTGTTGCCTAGGCTGGAGTACAGTGGCATGATCTCATAGCTCACTGCCACCTCAAACTCCTGGGCTCAAGTGATCTTACAGCTTCATCCTCTTAAGTAGCTAGACCTACAGCTATGCGCCACCATGCCTGCCTAATTTTTTTTTATTTTTAGTAGTGATAAGGTCTCCCAATATTGCCCAGGCTGGCCTTTTTTAAAAAAAAAATTTAATATTTAAAAAATAGAGGCTAAGCAACATGGCTCATACCTGTAATCCTAGCACTTTGGGAGACCACAGCGGGCAGATCAGGAGTTCAAGACAAGCCTGGGCAACATAATGAAACCCTGTCTTGACAAAAAAATACCAAAAAAAGTAGCCAGTAGTTCCAGCTACTTGGGGGCTGAGGTGGGCGCATCACTTGAGCCCAGGAGGTGGAGGCGGCAGTGAGCCAAGATCATGCCACTGCACTCCAGCCTAGGTGACAAAGAAAGACTCTGCCTTAAAAAAAAAAATTAATTTAATTTAAAAAATAGAGAGAGATGGGGTCTCACTATGTTGCCCAGGTTGATCCTGAACCTTTGGACTCAAGTGATCCTCCTACCTCAGCCTCCCAAAGTGTTGGGATCACAGATGTGAGCCACCACACCCAGCCTAATTCTTTTTTAAGATTTTTTTTCCTTGTTATCTTCTTCTTAAATTTTTTTGTTTTTTGAGACAGGGTCTTGCGCTGTTGCCCAGGCTGGAGTACAGTGGCAGAATCATGGCTCACTACATCCTTGACCTCCTGGAGTTAACTGATCTTCCCACCGCAGTCTTCAAAGTAGCTGGGACTACAGGCACTCACCAGCATGCCTGGCTAATTTTTGGATTTTTTGTAGAGACAGGGTTTCGCTGTGTTGCCCAGGTTGGTCTTGAACTCCAGGCCTCAAATGATCTGCCAGCCTTGGCCTAACAAAGTGCTGGGATTACAGGCATGAGCTGTCCCACCTGGGCTGTCATCTTAATTATTTCCATTTGGTACATTTAATCTTTGAGGAACTGCCAAACTGTTTTTCAAAACAGCTGTACCATTTTGTTTTATTTATTTATTTAATAATAGAAATGGGATCTTGCAATGTTGGCCAGGTTGGTCTCAAACTCTTGGGCTCAAGTGAGTCTCCCACCTCAACCTCCCACAGCACTGGGATTACTTGTGTGAGCCACTGCACCTGGTCCCAAATTTTAGACAAAGCTTTACTCCTTTAATCAATTGCAAATTAAAGAATCTCTGAAGACACCTATGACCTGTAAGCCCCCACTTCAAGATATTCTGCCTTTTTTTTAAAAATTATACTTTTAAGTTTTAGGGTACAGGTGCACAATGTGCAGTTTGTTACATATATATACATGTGCCATGCTGGTGTGCTGCACCATTAACTCGTCATTTAACATTAGGTATATCTTGGCCGGGCGCGGTGGCTCACGCCTGTAATCCCAGCACTTTGGGAGGCCGAGGCGGGTGGATCACGAGGTCAGGAGATCGAGACCATCCCGGCTAAAACGGTGAAACCCCGTCTCTACTAAAAATACAAAAAATTAGCCGGGCGTAGTGGCGGACGCCTGTAGTCCCAGCTACTTGGGAGGCTGAGGCAGGAGAATGGCGTGAACCCGGGAGGCGGAGCTTGCAGTGAGCCGAGATCCCGCCACTGCACTCCAGCCGGGGCGACAGAGCGAGACTCCGTCTCAAAAAAAAAAAAAAAAAAAAAAAAAAAAACATTAGGTATATCTCCTAATGCTTCCCTCCCCACTCCCCCCACCCCACAACAGGCCCCAGTGTGTGATGTTCCCCTTCCTATGTCCATGTATTCTCTTTGTTCAATTCCCACCTATGAGTGAGAACATGCGGTGTTTGGTTTTTTGTCCTTGCGATAGTTTGCTGAGAATGATGGTTTCCAGCTTCATCCATGTCCCTACAAAGGACATGAATTCATCATTTTTTATGGCTGCATAGTATTCCACGGTGTATACATGCCACATTTTCTTAATCCAGTCTATCATTGTTGGACATTTGGGTTGGTTCCAAGTCTTTGCTATTGTGAATAGTGCCGCAATAAACATACGTGTGCATGTGTCTTTATAGCAACATGATTTATAATCCTTTAGGTATAGATAGTCTGCCTTTTTAGGCCAAAGCAATGTATAACCTCCATATATTGATTTATGACTTAGCCTGTAACTTCTACTTCCCTAAAATATATAAAACAGGCCAGGTGAGGTGACTCATGCCCGTAATTCCAGAACTTTGGGAGGCTAAAGTGGGCAGATCACTTGAACGCAGGAGTCAAGACCAGTGGGTAACATGGTGAACCCTCATCTCTACAAAAAATACAAAAATTAACCAGGCATAGTAGTTCACAGCTATAGTCCCAGTTATTTGGGAGGCTGAGGTGGGAGGATCACTTGAGCCCAGGATGTAGAGGCTGCAGCAAACCAAATCATGCCACTGCACTCCAGCAGGGTGACAGAGTGAGACCCCGTCTCAAAAAAAAAAAAAAAAAAAGATGGCATAAACATATTCCATGCTATTTCTCCCAGAGAATACAACAAAAATTCTGGGGAGAATACATGAAACTGTTGTACCTGACCGAGTTAGAGAAAACGCCACACTTTGAGACGAATTAAGAGTCCTTTATTAGCTGGTGACCAAGAGACGGCTAATGCTCAAAATTCTCTTGGCCCCGAGGAAGGGGCTTGATTAACTTTTATACCTTGGTTTAGGAAGGGGAGGCGAGGGGGGGGCTAGTTAAAACAATTTTACAGAGGTTAAGTAGTCAAAAAAGTTAAAAGAATAAATGGTTACAGGAAAGTAAACATTTCCAGGTGCAGGGGCTTTAAGACTATTACAAGGTGATAGACGCGGGGCTTTGGGCGTTATCAATCAGACGAATTCTTGTGGACTGCGGATATAGCTTGCCACAGTATCTTATCAGTTAATTGCATTCTTGGATGTGCTGGGAGTCAGCTTGCACAAGTTAAGTCCTTGAGGAAGGGGCTGCCAATGAAAGAGCCAAGATGGAGTTTGTCTGGTTCTCTTAGCTAAGGGAGGAACAAGGCCAGGTGAATAAGGAAAAAACAAGGTTGGGCATTACAAAACAAATAACTGAGATTAGTAAAATAAATAATAAAGGTAATAAAGAAAATAATAGAAGATAAATTGGGTAAGAAATTAAAACTCAAAGACCAACAAAATGGTGAGTTTCGTATATTTTTCTCTCTACTATCTCAAAGCAAGAAAAATTCTGGAATGTTGCAAAAGGAACACCAAGATGTATCTCTATCTTTAAAAAGAAAACTGGAAAGAGGCCCCTCTGACAAATGAGGAACTATTCTGTTTCTGTTTTCTTTTATTGGCTCTGTAGGGCTCCAGTTCTAAAGCTGCATTCTCCCTATGGATGGTGACTCTATCAGCAGCTGAGCTTGCTGATTTGCCTTGGAGATTGTCTTAGTCTACTTTGGCTGCTATAACAAATTACCTTAGACTGGGGAATTTATTTATTTTTATTTTATTTTTTTGAGACAGAGTTTTGCCCTTGTTGCCTAGGCTGGAGTGCAGTGGCGTAATCTCGGTTCAATGTAATGTCTGCCTCCCGGGTTCAAGCTATTCTCCTGCCTCAGCCTTCCCAGCAGCTGGGATTATAGGCGCACATCACCACACCCAGCTAATTTTTTGTATTTTTAGTAGAGACGGGGTTTCACCATGTTGACCAGGCTAGTCTTGAACTCCTGACCTCAGATAATCCACCCACCTCAGCCTCCCAAAGTGCTAGGATTACAGATGTGAGCCACTGTGCCAGGCCAGACGGGGGAATTTATAAACAACAGAAACCTATAGCTCAGAGCTCTGGAGTCTAGGAAGTACAAGATCAAGTCACCAGCTGATTCAGTGTCTGGTGAGGGCCTGTTCCTCATAGGTGGTATCTTCCATGTCCTCACATAGTGGAAGGGGCAAAGGAACTCCCTCAAGCCTCTTCTAAAGGGCATTAATCCCGTTCATGAGGGCTCTACCTTCTAATCACTTCCTAAAGACCCGACCTCCTCATGGTAATTGATGGTAATTGGGGAATAAGTTCTAATTTATGAATTTTGAGGGGACACAAACATTCAGATCATAGCAGAGATGGATCCAGTTGTGGGAGGTGTCTGACAGCACAGGAAGACTGAAAACCAGGCATTTGGGCCACAGAACCAGGATAAGGAGCTCTGGGAGCCAGAGACTATTGTGGAGATTTTGGAGAAGAGGACTTCAAAGAGAGTTGAAGTCTTAGGATCACTCCCAAGGTGTTTGTGGGAAAAACTTATCTGAAATAGAAGAGTGTAAGGGAGGGAAAGACTTTCCCTTTACCCACCTAGGATCAATAGCTAGGTCTAGGATACAGACTGACAACAGGTGATTAACAGGAGAAAAGGTATGCTAATTTATTATGCGCATGGGAGCATCACAGGAAAAAAAGGCAAATACCCAAAAAGCAGTGAGATTTGAAAGCTTGTATATCATCATCACAAGGGAAAGGGCAGAAGAGATGTGGGCATTTTGGGGAGATTAAATGATTTTTAGTAAAGATGAATGGGCCAGGTGTGGCTCATGCCTATAATCCCAGCACTTTGGGAGGCTGAGGCGGGAGGCTCACTGGAGCTCATGAATTTGAGACCACCTTGGGCAACATGGCAAAACCCTGCCTCTACAAAAAATTCAAAAATTAGTGTGGTGTGGTGGCGAGCACCTGTAGTCCCAGATACTTGGGAGGCTGAGGTGGGAGGATGGCTTGAGTCCAGGAGGCAGAAGTTGCAGTGAACCGAGATTGTGTCATTGCACTCCAGTCTGAGCAACGAGAGTGAAACCCTGTCTCAAAAAATAAAAATAAAAAATAAAGATGAATGATGGGTCCCTTGGAAGAATAGATGGGAGATATGATAGTTTCTGACAAAGTTTGTCTGGGGATAGTATCTAGTCTGCTTTCCTATGATGCATTAATCTTTTCTGTTGATGAAACTCCTGGGAAGGGGATTGATGACAATTGAGTTCCTTTTGGAATATCTGTCTTTAGGCAGATACAGGGAGTTCAGAGAAAGCTTGTCTCTGCATTTGTTGTTTTTTAAGTGTCTTCACCTCAAAATAATCAGTATACCAAAGTGGCATATTTTGAGGTGGCATATCCTAAACTACTTCAAGACCAAGGGCTTTGAACACTGGTGTGTGGTGTAGACCCCCACCCAGGTCCCATTTAGCCCCTGGGGGAAACATACATAGAACAGATTGAAATACTCTGCAAAAGCTTGAAAACTGAAATTACATTCCATGGTCCATAGAAGGCAGGCTAGACTTTGGCCTGAACGTAACTGAGACAACTATCTGCTAAACCAAAACAAAGAAAAAATCCAGCATTCCTCAGAGGATTTTAACAGGACTTACAGTCTCATAACATAATAATAAAAACATCCTGGATACAATACAAAATTGCTCAACATTGAAAAAAACAACAGAAACAAAAACAGGAAAATTGCAGCAACTCATGGTGGAAAAAACAGCAAATCCCAGCCCAAGATGACTCAGAATTATCAGACCTAGACTCAATAATAGCTTGAGAGCAGAGTGGAAAAAAAGGAAAGGATCTATAAACGTGAAGAGCAATAGAAATTATCCAATCTGAACCACAAAAAATATTGAAAAAAAAATTGAACAGTGCCTCAGGGAACTGTGGGGTGATATCAAATAGTATAACATTCATTTCATTAGGGCAGGAGAAGGAAAGGAGAATGAAATTAGTGCAGAAAAAAATATTAGAAGAATGAGGTTGGAGGATGCACACTACTCAATTTTAAGAATCATTATAGGCCGGGCGCGGTGGCTCACGCCTGTAATCCCAGCACTTTGGGAAGCCAAAGGGGGCAGATCACAAGGTCAGGAGTTTGAGACCAGCCTGGCCAATATGGTAAAATCCCGTCTCTACTAAAAATACAAAAATTAGCTGGGCATAGTGGCAGGCGCCTGTAGTCCCAGCTACTGGGGAGGCTGAGGCAGAAGAATCCCTTGAGCCCGGGAGGCAGAGCTTGCAGTGAGCCGAGATTGCACCACAGCACTCCAGCCTGGGCGACAGAGCAAGACTCTGTCTCAAAAAACAAACAAACAAACAAACAAAACATTAGAAGAACAAGGTTGGAGGACACACACTACTCAATTTTAAGAATCATTACAGGCTGGCTGAGGTGACTCATGCCCGTAATTCCAGCACTTTGGGAGGCCGAGGCAGGTGGATCTTCTGAGGCCAGGAGAAAAAAACTCGATTTTAAAAACTGAGGCTGAGGGCTGTGACTTACACCTGTAATACCAGCACTTTGGGAGACTGAGGTAGGAGGATCACTTGAGGCCAGGAGTTCCAGGCCAGCCTCAGCCACATAGCGAGGCCTGTAGCTCTACATAAAATAAAAAAATTTGCTGGGCATGGTGGTATGCCCTTGTGGCCTCAGTTACTTAGACGACTGAGGTTGCAGGATCGCTTGAGCCCAGGAGGTTGAGGCTGCAGCGAGCCATGATTGTGTCACTGCACTCCAGCCTGGGCAACAGAGTGAGTCTCTGTCTCTAAATAAATAAATAAATACATAAATAAATAAATAAAAGGCAAAGGTTTTGAACAGATTCCTCCCCAAAGAAGATACAGATGACAAATAAACATGGGAAAAGATGGTCAACGTCATTAGTCATTAGGCAAATGTAAATTAAAAATCACAATAATATGCTCTTACATACCTATTAGAATGGCCAAACAAAAAACTGACAATACCAAGTGCTGACAAGGATGCAGAGTAACTTAAGTTATCATACATTATTATACAGTATCACACAGCTACTGTGGACGTTTTTCAGTTTCTTATAAAGTTAAACATACACTTAAATGACCCAGCAATTTGGCTTATAGGTGTTTACTCAAGAGAACTGAAAACTTATGTTCGCACAAATCCTATGCATGAATGATTATAGTAACATTATTCATAACTGCTTAAACTTGGAAACAAGTGAAATGTTTTTCAATGGGTGAATGAATAAACAAACTGTGATACATCTGTACAATGGAATACTGTATGATTCTATCATACGACACCCAGGAAAAGGCAAAATTACTAGAGACCAAGAGCAGATCAGTGGCGGTGCACTGTGGCTCAGGCCTGTGATCCCAGCACTTTGGGAGGCTGAGGTGGGTGGATCACTTGAGGTCAGGAGTTTGAGACCAGCCTGGCCAACATGGTGAAACCCCATCCTACCAAAAATACAAAAATTACCCGGACGTGGTGGTAAGCATCTGGAATCCCAGCTACTCTTGTGGCTGAGGCATCACTTGAAACTGGGAGGCTGAGGTTGCAGTGAGCCAAGATTGCGCCACTACACTTTGGCCTGGGCGACAGAGCCATGGAACAGCTCTCAGAAGAGAGGGGATGCAGGGGCTGGGGGGTGGTCCCACACCCCTGCAGTCAGGTGGTTTTTCTCTCTTAGTGTGGCTGGGTCCTGGGCTTTTTATGGACTCAGAATGGGGAGTGCATGCTGATTGGTTTGTGAGTATGTAAAAAAGGTTAAAACGAAGACTCCACTCAAAGGTGGGCATGACAGTGGAGAAAACCAATTAGGAAAGGGTAGATAAATGTAAAATAGGTAAAGGGTGGGGATCAATCAGAGGAAAGTGCACCAAATAAGAAGACAGGTTCTCAGTTCAGCTGAGAGATTTGACTTGTAGTTTGGTTTTCAGGCTTTAAACGGTCCTTGGCTTGGAGGAGGGGTTTCACTGGGGACCCACCCCTATTTGTCTAGGCATTTGTCTGCGTCCTGTGACTCTCAGTATGATCAAATTAGATTATAAAATATCTTAAAAGGGTTCTATTCAGATTGGTTTAGAGATAAATAAGGCTTATATAATACTTGAAATAGCCAGAAATTTAGGGGATTGACCTTCCAATAATTTCAATGTGCTGTTAAAATGTACTTTTATAGAGACTAATTTAAATGGTTTAAGAATTTAAGTTCACATTATTTATGTGAATATTTGGCAAATGAGGCTAGTTTAATATTGTGGGTTTAATAAAAACAGCGTGTCTTCTGAATTATCTATATTAAGTATAATACAGGCATACATTTTTATTCTAATTGGGTATGCTTTTCCTAAACCTATACAGGTTTACAGATCAAATAAGCTAGCACATTGTGCAGGATCTGGATTTTAAAAAGATAATAAAGAAAAAAGTAAGCTAGCATTATGATCTACTAGATGTTTAAGATTATGAAAATTGTAAATTTGTGTTTAATCAAATTAAATCATTATTCTGGCAAACCTTATTTCAGCAGTAATTATATTTGGTAGCATGTCAGCTTGGAAATAGTTTCTAAGATCTTTTTGTAACTAAAAATCTTGAATTGATGCTAAATTGAATTAGTTAATGGATATTCACAAAATATTAAGATCATTTCTTTCTTTTTTTTTTTTTTTTTTTTGAGATAGAGTTCGCGCTTGTAGCCCAGGCTGGAGTGCAGTGGCACAATCTCGGCTCACTGCAACCTCTATCTCCTGGGTTCAAGTGATTCTCCTGCCTCAGCCTTCCCAATAGCTGGGACCACAGGTGCGTGCCACCACACCTGGCTAATTTTTTGTATTTTTAGTAGAGACAGGGTTTCACCATGTTGACCAGGATGGTCTTGAACTCTTGACCTCAGGTGATCCTCCTGCCTCGGCCTCCCAAAGTGCTGGGATTACAGGCGTGAGCCACCGAGCCCGGCCAAGATCATTTCTAAGATAAGCTACTGAAACATTAACTTCAAAGTATAACTTTAAGTTTATATATATATATATATATATATATATATATAATTTCAACTGTTATTTTTGATTCAGGGTGTACATGTGCAGGTTTGTTAAATGGGTATATTGTGGGACACTGAGTTTGGGGTATAAATGATCCCATCACCCAGGTGGGAATTCATAGGTAGTTTTTCAGCCTTTTCCCTCGTCCCTCTCTCTCCCTTCTAGTAGTCCCAGTGTCTATTGTTCCCGTCTTTTTTTTTTTTTTTTTTTTTTTTTGAGACAGAGTCTCACTCTGTTGCCCAGGCTGGAGTGTAATGGCACAATCTCGGCTCACCACAACCTTTGCTTTCCGGTTTCAAGCGATTCTCCTGCCTCAGCCTCCCACGTAGCTGGGACTAGAGGCACACGCCACCATACCCAGCTAATTTTTGTATTTTTAGTAGAGATTGGGTTTCACTATGTTGGCCAGGCTGGTCTCGAACTCCTGACCTCATGATCCACCCGCCTCGGCCTCCCAAAGTGCTGGCATTACAGGCGTGAGCCACTGCACCCGGCTTTTCCCGTCTTCATGTCCACAGCTACCCAATGCTTAGCTCTGAATTATAAATGAGAATGTGTGGTATTTGATTTCGTATTCCTGCAAAATTTGCTTAGGATAATGACCTCCAGCTGCATCCATGTTCCTGCAAAGTACATGATTTCGTTCTTTTTTTATGGCTGTGCTTATATATTTTTAACATTTTTTGCCTCTTATTTTGATATAATACTGAGAGGCTATGTACTTGGATCTGTTAATAAATATACTCATTTTTGTGAGTTAGGGATGTGTATCACTATAAAGTTATAAGATATATAATCATAAGCTTTGCTGGTCTGCTAAAAATGCTGATGTGTTACAAAAACAGTTGCAATTATTTACCTCCTAGTTTTCTGTGTAAAATATAAGTCCTGTGATTACAAGTTATAATCAATATATGTGAATTAGACTCTACTAGGAGCAAATAGAGGCAGAGAAAAGCAACTTTCTATGCAAAGTATATGGGGATGGATTTTTGTTAAGGAAAAAAGTAGTTTTGTAAGTAGTTTTGTGCTGAAGTAAAATGACTTTGTTTCAGAATGAGAAGGCGTAAAGTATAGGAAAAAATCTGAATAGATATAGAAAGTCATGGAAGATTCACAGAAAGGAAATTTTGTGGTGGTCAAAGCTGGCTACATTTGATGAATTTATTTATAAGATTATTAGAAAAAGGCTTAGTGTAAAGTATAATACTTACATAAAACTTGAATTTGGTTTTCTTTCTGTTAAAATTACAAAGTCAGCTGGGCATGGTGGCTCACGCCTGTAATCCTAGCTCTTTGGGAGGCCAAGGTGGGCAAATTCCCTGAGCTCAGGAGCTCAAGATCAGTCTGGGCAACACAGTGAAACCGTGTCTCTACTAAAATACAAAAAGTTAGCCGGGTGTGGTGGCATGTGCCTGTAGTCCCAGCTACTCAGGAGGCTGAGGCAGGAGAATTGCTTGAACCCGGGAGGCGGAGTTTTCAGTGAGCCAAGATCGCGCCACTGCACTCCCGCCTGGGTAACAGAGCAAGACTCCGTCTCCAAAAAAAAAAATTTTTACAAAGTCTTCTTGGATTAATTGGCTGTGTTACTAAAATGTTTGTAAAACCAAACCAAACCTGGGTCCACTCACCTGGTACGGGAAAGCCAGTCTACACAAAGATTTGCAGTGAGAAAAAGGAGGATGTTTATTTGCAGGGCACCAAGCAAGGAGAATTGGGCAGCTGACACTTAAGACCCAACTTCTTTACTAGCCTAAACCCAAGGGTTTTTAAAGGAAGGGGTAAGTTTCAGAAAAGCAGAAGTTACAGGCAAAATTGTATACCAGTATGTGGAGGTTATACACTGGTTTGGCCTTAAAAGGTAAGATATATTGAAGCATGGCCTTACAGGTCATAGGTGGTGATATGGTCTGGCACTGTGTCCCCCACCCAAATCTCATCTTGAATTGTAATCCCTATGTGTTGGGGGAGGCACCTCGTGGAAGGTGATTAGATCATGCAGGTGGTCCCTCCATGCTGTTCTCGTGATAGTGAGTGAGTTTTCATGAGAGCTGATTTTTTTTTTTTTGGAGATGGTGTTTCATTCCTGTCACTCAGGTGCTGGAGTGCAATGGCGTGATCTCGGCTCACTGCAATCTCTGCCTCCCAGATTCAAGTGATTCTCCTGCCTCAGCCTCCCTCGTGGCTGGGATTACAGGTGCACAAAACCATGCCCAGCTAATATTTTTGTATTTTTAGTAGAGATAAGGTTTTGCCATGTTGGCCAGGCTGGTCTTGAACTGCCGACCTCAGGTGATCTGCCCACCTTGGCCTCCCAAAGTGTTGGGATTACAGGCATGAGCGACCACGCATGGCCAATCTGATGAATTTATAAGGAACTTTTCCCCCTTTGCTCAGCACTTCTTTTTCCTGCCACCATGCAAAGAAGTATGTATTTGCATCCCCTTCCACCATAATTGTAAGTTTCCTGAGGCCTCCCCAGCCCTGTGGAACTGTGAATCAATTAAACCTATTTCCTTTATAAATTCCTTTATAAATTAATTGCTGGGCAATTCTTTATAGCAGCGTGAGAAAGGACTGATACAGGTGGCTTCCAAGATTCTTTGATTTGCAATTGGTTAAGGAAGCAAAGCTTTGTCTAAAAACTTAGGGTTAGCAGGAAAGAATGTTAAGATCTGGCCTGTGGTTGCGACTCTCCAGGCCCCTCAAGAAGAAATTTAGAACAAAGAACAGTGGTTACAGTTCAGTCCTCAGTTCCCTCTTATCTGAGTTCTACATGTCAGCAGGATGGACTTTCTATTTGGTGGGGGTCCAGGTGTCTGAAAAACAACTCAAGAACATATGTTGATATATTGTCTTTAGTTTCCATAGGGAACCAAACATCTTGTGGCTCTAACTTCCTTGGCTATTGTTTAAAGCTATTACCTTCTTGCTTATCAGGTTGCTCATTTACTTTTCAAGGCTAGCAGGGTGCCCAGAATTTCCCTTGAAGTAACTCAAGATTTTTTTATATTTCCATGCCTGGGGGAAGGGGGACAGTGGGCAGCCGGCCCCGAAAGGAGGTCCCTGCTCTGTCTCAGTTGTAAGAGATTTTTCTTACCTTCTGAGTTATCTATACAACAAAGATTCTGTGTTTTATCAAAATAATCTCCTGTGCTTTATGTTGAGTTTATCATGTCCTTGATTATTTAAGATAATTATTTATTTAAGAGAAAAGTCTGCCCACTTTTGAAAGAAGAACCAAGGTCCTTTTCAATTGTGCTATCATCTATGTATACTTTACATTTTTGTTTTATTTATTTTATTTTATTTTATTTTATTTTTGAGACGGAGTCTTGCTCTGTTGCCAGGCTGGAGTGCAGTGGTGCGATCTCAGCTCACTGCAACCTCTGCCTCCTGGGTTCAAGCAATTCTCATGCCTTAGCCTCCCAAGTAGCTAGGATTACAGGCGCCCACCACCACAACCAGCTATTTTTTTTTTTTTTTGTATTTTTAGTAGAAATGGGGTTTCACCATGTTGGCCAGGATGGTCTCCATCTCCTGACCTCGTGATCCGCCCGCCTTGGACTCCCAAAGTGCTAGGGTTACAAGCATGAGCCACTGTACCCGGCCTATTTTATTTTATTTTTTTAGAAACAGGGTCTCTCTGATGCCCAGGCCGGAGTGCAGTGATGCAATCGTAGTTCACTGCAACCTCAGATGCCTGGGCTTTAAACCATCCTCCTGCCTCAGCCTCTGAAGTAGCTGGGACTACAGGTGTGCACAACCATGCCCATCTAACTTTTTAAAAAAATTGTAGAGACAGGGTCTTGCTATATTGCCCAGGCTGGTCTCAAACTCCTGGCCTCAAGTGATCCTTTTGCCTTGGCCTCCAAAAGTGTAGAGATTACAGGTGTGAGCCACTGTGCCCTACCTTTAAAATTCTTTAATGTCATTTTGCTGTCACATGATTAAATAGGTAGCCAAGTGTTATTTCCCAGGAACCCATGATCCTATTTAATCAACTGTTCAAACCTCCTGACAACTTTTGATATTTTGCCTTCCCAATATAAAGTCCTAAATGATATATTTTGCACCTAAAACCGATTTTCCAGAAGGCCTCTGGAAAATCACAAGGAATTTGTTTTTCATCTTACAAAAAGGGAGGTGCTAGAAATAATTAGGTTTATTTAATTTGTTACTATTGAGTTCCTTGGGAAAAGTTGTCAAATCAGAAGAGGTGATAAATTTGTATGAGTAAAATGCTATTAATATAAATACTTCAGAAATTGTGTGCTATATAAGAAGTTCATAGAGATTTGTCAATGTCCTCACTATCCATGTTATATTTCCATTTCTCAGAGTCTTGGTGCTGTTTTGCCAAGATATTAGGCAAAAAAATGGTATAATAACACTGGTCATATTTTGAGTTATTTTTTAAAGTGTTAAGTTAGTTGCAACTTTAATTTGAATCTAGCATCCTCTTGTCCAGAGGTTTTCAACTGGGGATTCATATCATTAACCTACGAAGATTTATCAAATTCAGATGTTTAGGATCTACTCGAGATTTTCTGAGTCTCTTTCCTTGATAAACTTGATATATTCTCGGTGTAGTCTAACTATATGTTTAGTATATCCATGGTATATTGTGTCTCAGGATTATTATATGTTATATTTGAATATTTTTTCCTCTGTGAAGATTACATTCACTTATTTTCAAAATGTAGATGTATTATCTACTCTTCTTTGAAAATAGGATTAATCATTATGTTTATAGATATTTTATCTAAAACTTTTTTGGGTTGACATTTCATTTTGCATGCCATGGAAACATTTTTTGCCAGTTGCATTATTCTTGTAATAAACTCTCATCAGATCTTTTACTTTGGAAAGTTATTAGTAATAACTATTACTAGCCATTTAAAGCCTTTTGTCATCAGCTGGGCCCGGTGGCTCACGCATGTAATCCCAGTACTTTTGGAGGCCAAGGTGGGTGGATCGCTTGAGCCCAGGAGTTCAAGACCAGCCTGGGAAATATGGTGAGACCTCATCTCTACAAAAAATACAAAAAATTAGCTGGGCCTGGTGGCGTGCGCCAGTAGTCCCAGCTATGCAGGAGGCTGAGTTAGGAGGATGACTTGAGCCTAGGAGGTGGAGGTTGCAGTGAGCTGAGATTGTGCCATTGCACTCTAGCCTGGGTGACAGAATGAGACCCTGTTGAAGAAAGGAAAGGAAAGGGAAGGGGAGGGGAGGGGTAGGGGAAAGGCCTTTTGTCATCTATAGACAGTTTTTTGTTTTACTCTGATGCTTCTGTGAAGCACTTGGAATAGCTGTGGCCAGAGTGAATCAACAAAGATGGACTCTTTCAGAGCCCTGTGAAAAAGGAACCCTGTGTCCAGGTACTCCTGGGCACAGGCTCTTCTGATGGCATTACATAAACAATTCTGAATTTATACCAGTGGACTGAGTCAGAATTTCCAGAACTGTGGTTCAGAAGCAGATAGATTTCTGAGACTGCTAACTCAAGACTGAGTGGAACAAGAATTACTTACATAGGACTGGATAAGCTGATGGATAATTGCGGCTTTCATCTGGAATATTGTTGATGTTTAATGTTATATTTTCTGAACATAAGGAATGCGTTTCTCTCTCCTCTTAAGCTATCTGTCACTCATAATAATTGATTAAATTACACTTTTGTAAATGGAAATGAAATATTTATATTTTTCTCTTTGCCTGATTTCTCCAGAATTGGAAACTGTCACTGATTATTATTATTATTATTTTCTCTTTTGGAGACAGGGTCTCACTCTCTCACCCAGGCTGGAGTGTGGTGGCACCATCTCAGTTCACTGCAACCTTCACCTCCCAGGTTCAAGTGATTCTCGTGCCTCAATCTCCTGAGTAGCTGGGATTACAGGTATGCGCCACCATGCCTGGCTAATTTTTTATTTTTAGTAGAGATGGGGCTTCGCCATGTTGGCCAGGCTGGTCTTGAACTCCTGGTCTCAAGTGATCTGCCCACCTCGGCCTCCCAAAGTGCTGGGATTACAGGTGTGAGCCACCACATCTGAGCTTACTATTTTTATTTTCATTGCAATATAGTTATTTTTACAATTTCAATGAGTCTGTCTTCCTTGTTAACAGGATTTAATTGCAAATATTGGTTATACAACAAATGTCTTCCTTGAAATGTTATATTTTAGAATGATTACTTAATCAGATATGATCTGACACTTTTAAGGAACTATGGTTAATTTTGTGGAGGTAAAGCTTACAAAGCATACCTAGGAAAACTGGAGTCTTATCTGGTTTACAGAATGAATAAAGATTGTCATTTCCTGGCAGGACTGTGAACATTAGGATATTTTATGGACTTTGAGAAGTGAGGAATTTACCCAAATTTTTAGGTATTATAGGTGAAATGTGATGGTGAATTCTTGGCTTGGCTTCCTAGCTCAAAAAGTTTTTAAAAGTTTAATGTGACATTTCTTACTAAACTTTCAGCAAAGCACATTTAAGAAGGACTCTGGTACATTACAATTTTTGTAGCACCTATGTAAATAATCAGGTCAAATCTAATCTGACCGTCTTTATTTTGTGTTCAAGGATAATCTTCAAGATCATCTTTGATTAAAAGGGGAGTGACTGGAGAGATATTTTCTGTTTCAATGGAAAACTATAGCACTATACCCCTTCTTTCCGACTATAGTCCTGAGTTGCAACAGTGTTACCAGACTCTAGCCCTGTTCATTTCCTTTGAGTTAGTTGCACTCCTTGTAAATTGCAGGTAATTGATGGATATGCAAACTCTGTTTTCTCTGGTAGAGATTTAAGTTACTTTCTTCCCCCATACTTTATATACTTTTTGTGAAAAAATCAGTTTGGGTACATGCCTGTAATTTGGACTGGATCCTGTTACCTTGCACAAATTATCAACAATTACCCAATGCTTAATTCTTCCAGTGTTCTTCAATATCTGGCTACAACGCTCTAAACAAAGTTTTCCAAATTGTCTCCCTTCTGTGTGACTCAGCATCACCAAGAACTAAAACTTGACCAGTTAAATCCTTTTCAGGTGCTGCGCTGGGTCTTTTTCTTTGGAATTTTAAGAAGTTCTGTGAGCTAAAGACCAATGACTTCCTACAAATCTTGAAGGACTCCAGGACTCATCACCATAGCAGACCATGTATGGATTTCTTTTCTTTTCTTTTCTTTTCTTTTTTTTTTTTGAGAAGGAGTTTCTCTCTTGTTGTCTAGGCTGGAGTGCAATGGCACGATCTCGGCTCACCGCAACCTCCGCCTCCCAGGTTCAAGTGATTCTACTGCCTCAGCCTCCCGAGTAGTTGGGATTACAGGCATGCGCCACTACGCTTGCCTAATTTTGTATTTTTTAGTACAGACAGGGTTGGTCATGTTGGTCAGGCTGGTCTCGAACTCCCGACCTCAGGTGATCCACCCACCTCTGCCTCCCAAAGTGCTGGGATTACAGGTGTGAGCCACTGCACCTGGCCAGTATGAATTTCTTTCTGGACAAGTGACTGTCAGGGCCAGTAAAGAAGTTTGACAAAACACTGGTTATGCATGCCTTTACATGAAAGGTAGCTAAGACTGTGGACATCACCAAGAGCATCAACATTTTAGCCTCAAGAAACTCAGTGAGTTTTACCAACCTCTTGGAATCCACTGGATTGGTTACCCTCAGATTTAACTTCTGAAGCTATTACTTTAATACAGCTTTTCATATTAATATTTCTCTTTTTCATTTTAGGCATCCTTTTTAAGATGCTTGATGTCCAGGACTTTGAAACAGCTGATTTCTTTTTAACCACCTCTCAATAGGTAATTCAATTGATTTTTACAGGAACAGCACCAGTGAGGGTTCTCAAGAGATTGTTTCTTAGCCCTTGCTTGGTCCCACCCACGTTTATTCTCACCTGAGTTGTTCAGTGTCGAACAAAAGGCTAACCATGTTAAACTTTACCTGAGTCGTGTGCTCTTGGAGAACAGCAACAGTTAAGAAATCCCTCCAACCTTGGCATTCCAGGAAAGGACTTTCTGCAAATAACCATCTTTCTTCATATGACTTAGATAGGACTCACTTTCCACTTTTTCTCATGACTCCCATAACAGTTGAGGATAACTCCACCATTTACCTGTGTCAGGAACAAACAGAGAACTTTCCCCTCTTGCATGAATTTGCTGACAAGGCCAAACACAGATCCTCAACTTCTTGTTCCTTGGCTCATGATTACTGAAATTAGAATCGTTTGTCCCCTGGAAAAACTAGCTAATACAGAGAAAAACACTTTCTGTTCAGCCAACCAACTGATATTACCCCTGCTTGCAAAAACACTCTACTGTAAATCACTTCACCTGAAATTTGATTACCATTCTTTCTGAAACTCTAAGGCAAAATCACCTGCTGAGATACGCTGATCTTTGAATTGGGGATGCTCTACCATTGCAATAGCCTGAGTAAAATTAAAATTAATACCCTTACTTGTCCAATTTTTGTTTTTCACAATAGCAAAAGGGATTTTGCAGATCTGTTTAAGGTCCCTTTTGGTTGACTTTAAGATAGTGAAGAGAAATCAGTAACACTGATTCCATCTTTTCTAGCCAGGCATGGTGGTGTACACCTGTCATCCCAGCTACTTGGGAGGCTGAGGCAGGAGGATCCCTTGAGCCCAGGAATGTGAGAACAGCCTGGGCAGTATAGCATTACCTTGTCTCAACAAACAATGAACAAACAAACAAACAAAAAACCCAACAAAATAATAGAAAAATGTCCTTGCTGGGCCTAATCTAATCAGGTGAGCCCTTTAAAAGCAGAGACTTTTCCCTGGCTAATCAAAGAGGAGATAAGAGAGACATGCTCTGGGTGGCCTGAAAGAAAGCAAACATCTATGGTGTAAATTGTGTATGGGGGGTCATATAGCAAGAAACCGCAGAAGGCCTAGGAGCTGAGAGTGGCCCTTGCTTGATTGCCAGCCAGGGACTGGGGGCCTTAGCCCTTTAGCTGCTACGAACTGAATTTTGCTAACAATCTGAATGGGTTTGGAAAATTTCCTCAAGTCCTATTTGAGAACTATAGCCTGACCAACACCCTGCTTTCATCCTGTGAGACTATGAGTGTATTTGTGGATGTGGAGGCTTAAAACAACACCCTTCATTAACTCATGCATTGTGCATCCTCACTGCTCTGTACTTTATCTCCTTTCTCAGTGGTTATTACCTCTATATGGTATGATCTGTTATGGAGCAAATGGGCTCACTGCTTGATGCTCACAGAAGCTGATAACTATGGCACCAGCTTTTGAGAAAAGAAAGGCTTTATTGTAGAACTGGCAGCAAAAAGACAGGCTCAAATCTGTCCCCCAGTTTGGAGTCTGC
This sequence comes from Homo sapiens, assembly GCF_000001405.40. NCBI lineage: Eukaryota > Metazoa > Chordata > Mammalia > Primates > Hominidae > Homo > Homo sapiens. Next base: position 99,944,180 of record NC_000001.11, on the reverse strand, counting down.
GGCAAGTTTTATGAGATCAGAGGAAAAGAGACAGGATTTGGGAATGTTGGCTTGGCAGGATTCGACTGGGGAGCTTCAAATTTGACCATTTACAGTAAAGCATGTTGAGGCAGATTTTAGCCCCAGATCTTCCAGGTCAGCAGAGCCCTCACTTCTGAAAATCCTTCGGATTGCAGGCATGTTTTGAGGGGAGGAATAGTTGGTTCCAGGTGTTGTTAAAGGTCAAAGCTTTTTCTGTTGTGTATGCTTGTTGGGGTGATCAGACCCAACACCAGGTTGTGGGCGTGATGAAGTCCGGCGGAGTCAAAGGAATGAGAAAAAGACAGTTTGAGAGAGAAAGTGGGTCCAGGGGATCATCGCGAGTGTGGAGGCTGCGAAGGCCCTAGCTCTGGAAGCCCAGACTATTTATTGGTGATCAAAGAAACAGGTGGTGAGAATGTGGGAGTCAAAAGGGAGTGTTGCATTAAAGCACATGATTTACAGCTGTGACGGTTTAGCATCTGCTCTGCTACTTGAGATAATGGAGAGCAGGTTCTTTTAAATCAAGATATAATCGATCCCGGGAGAGCAAGGAGCAAGGAGCCAGCAAGTCTAGACACATTCCAGAGTCGCAAGCCCGGGGTTCTATCCAAGCCACAAGGGGTTTTATGCCCTGGGCTTAGATTATGGCGCATCAGGGTAGCCTTCCACCCTTTAGCACCGAGCTTGTTGTTGCAAAGGCCACAAGAGGTTTTAGATCCTGGACCCTGGACATATTCCAAGACTCTTTTACATTATGTCAGACATGCAAGCCCTGCCTCAGCTTCTGCCAACACTCAGCTTTTCTCCCAACATATGCCTGGGCTGCATGACTTGCAGTTTTTGGTTTTGTTATACCTAAAAGGCAACTTGACATTTGTTACCAGTTTGGCTGGTCCTGTGGTTATTATGCTACACCCTTCTACAACCTCATCCACAGGAATCTTACTCCATTGGTTGTTCATATTATTTATTCTTCCTCCTATCTCAGCCTCCCAAAGTGTTGGGATTACAGTGTGAGCCACTGAGCCTGGCCTGAACTTATGTTTTCTATAGTAAATATTTAAAATTATAAAAATCATAAATTGAATCTAAGCACAAAAAGTACAAATAAAAATGTAGTACCTATTACTTCATGTATATCAAACATAGCATTAAAACAAAACCCCTTGTATTAACTTTTAGGTTTTTCCTTTTTTTTTTTTTTTTTTGAGACAGGGTTTCCCTCTGTCACCCATGCTGGAGTGCAGTGGTTCAATCTTGGCTTGCTGCAGCCTCTTCCTCCTGGGCTCAAACGATCCTCCCACTACAGCCTCCCAAGTAGCTGGAACTACAGGGACATGCCACCATACCTGGCTAATTTTTTATTTTTGCAGAGACAAGTTCTCACTATATTACCCAGGCTGATTTTTGCTCTCATGATGTTTGCTTAACATGAAAACACATGTGGTATAAAAATAGTTAACAGGAAAATAACTTGAGAATTATGGCTAGAAAATAACTTGAGATTTGTCTGTCTTGTGAAATTTTCATGAATAATCCAAATGTAATTGTTAAAAACAATCAAGTAATGTAAGTGGGATAAGTTTATAAATAAACTTCTAAACAATAACTATTTTTTATAATATGTCTACTGAAAAACAGTTTCCCAAATCTCTTTGGTAACATATACCCTTAGAGTTTTTTTGTTAAGTTAAATTGTGAATATTCATTGAGTATCTAGACCATTTACAAATAAGATAAAATACTAAAATATTAATTGCCAAACATAGGTTTAAATTTATGAACTTTTGGCTTCTTAATACAGAAGTGGGGTCAGTTGGTAAATATGTCCTGTGCAACATTGAAAAATAGTGCTGTGGGAAATTATATGTTTCTAGAAATTATGAAATTATATAGTCATACATTTGCCAATCTACAGAGTGTTATACAGTATGTACCAGACAGTTCACAATTGCTTACTTCCTAGTTTTCACTAGAAATTAGGTTTACTAAGGATTAAGAATTTTAATTAGGCAATATAGTGGTACCCTGTATCTACAAAATTAAAAAAAAATTATCCAGGCTTTGTGGCATGTACTGATAGTCCTAGCTACTCAGAAGGCTGAGGTGGGAAGATTGCTTGAGCCTGGGAGCTCAAGACTGTAGTGAGCCATGATCGCACCACTGCACTCCAGCCTGGGTGACAGAGTGAGATTCTGTCTCAAAAAAAGAAAAAGGAAAAATTCTAATTAGTATATGCAATTAAAATTACTAGAGATAATAGGGAAAACAACTTTGTGTATAAGAAAAGTAGGGTGTATTTTTGGTAAGAAAAGGTATGGAGTATGAAAATGTGTGTTTGTTGAAAAAAGAATTTTTTTCTAGCTTGGAGATTATTTAAATTTTTCAGAATGTAAAAGGAGAATGAAGGACAAAAAATTGATATAGAAAATTGGGAAGAGAGAATCTTGTGTGGTCAAGTTGACTACCATTGAATGAACTTATTATAAGGGTCTGAAATGACTCAACATCAAAATACCATACACTAATGCAAAACTAAAAATTGGTCTTCTCTCTGTTAAAATGACAAAGATTTCTTGTAGTATTGATCTCTTCTTGGTAAAAGATTGTAAAAGGTTTTCTTTACGTTTTAAATAATCTGCCTAGAAAACAAAGTTTTTTTGTCTTATCAAAGTAATTTTCTTTTTTTTTTTTTTTTTTGAGACATAGTCTCACTCTGTCGCCCAGGCCAGAGTGCAGTGACATGCTCATGGCTCACTGCAACCTCCGCCTCTCAGCGGATTCAAGCAGTTCTCCTGCCTCAGCCTCCAGAGTAGCTGGGATTACAGGCATGCGCCACCATGCCCGGCTAATTTTTGTATTTTTAGTAGAGATGGGGTTTCACCATGTTGGCCAGGCTTGTCTCTAACTCCTGACCTTGGGTGATCCGCCCCGCCGGGCCTCACAAAGTGCTGGGATTAGAGGCATGAGCCACCTCGCCCAGCCATTATCAAAGTAATTTTCTATGTTTCATGTTGTCTTTATCAAATCTTTGATTACTTAAGGAAACTGAGCATTCTCTATTAGGAGAGGTAAGGTTTTTCCTACAGCTACAGTTTTCTGTATTTTGCCTTTGAAGTCTTTCAGTTGCCACTTTGATTAAATGATAACTAAGTATTTTTTCACAGTGACCTGTGATTCTATTTTAAACAAGTCTTTAACCTTTTTGACATTTTTTTACAAACTTCCCAAAATCAAAATCTAAATTTTGACCTCAAACTAATTAATAACTGGGATTTTCAGGGCCCCTGGAAAATCTCAGAAAAAATTTGTTCTTTTTTAAAAAAATCTTTTTTTCTGTATTATTATTATTTTTAAAATTTTCTGCAGAGACAAGTTCTCACTATGTTGCCCATACTGGTCTAAAACTCCTGAGCTCAGGTGATCCTCCTGCTTTGGCCTCCCAAAGTGCTGAGATTACAGGCATGAGCCACTGTGCCTGGCCCTTTTTTGTGTGAAACAGGGTCTCATTCTGTTGCCCAGGCCGGAGTGCAATGGTGTGATCACAGCTCACTGCAGCTTCAAACTCCTAGGTTCAAGTGATCTTCCTGCCTCAGCCTCCCAAGCACCTAGGGACTACAGGTGCATACCACCATGCCTGCCTAATTTTTTAATTTGTTGCAGACATAGGATCTCACTTTGTTGCCCAGGTTTGTTCTTTCCTTATTAAAAGAAAGATCTTAAGCTAATCAAGCTTCCTTGATAAGTTTAAGCAAATGGGAAGCATTGTCAAGTAAGAAGTGATGCTTAACCTCCTTTATGCTATATTTATATAGGTATATATTATTAATATAAGTCTTCCAGAAATGCATAAAATTCCTGGAAATTTGATATGTCCTAGTATAAGTCATAATTCTAGTTATCTTAAAGTGATATGTCACAAAAATAACCAAATTTTCTTGTCAATTGCATTATAATGAGCTCTCATTAGGTCTTAAAGCATCAACATTTTAAGTCTTTTGTCTTCTGCAGACAGTTAATTTGTTTAATAAGATGCCTTCCTATAATTCCTGCAAACACCTATAATTTGAACGTATTTTCTTTTCAAAGGATTCATGGAAAAAACTCTGACAAGCACAGATTTCTGAAAACTTTAAGGTCATACCACTGGACTCGGTAAGAATTTTCAAAACACTAATAAAGAAACCGATTGATATGTAAGACTGTTAAACCAAGATCAAGTAAAACAAGAACTAGGTACACGGGGACCCAGCACGTTGACTCACACCTATAATCCCAGCACTTTGGGGGGCCCAGGTGGGTGGATCACTTGAGGCCAGGAGTTTGAGACCAGCCTGGCCAACATAGTGAAACCCCACCTCTACTAAAAATACAAAAATTAGCCAGGCAAGGTGATGGGTGCCCATAATCCCAGCTACTTGGGAGGCTGAGACGTGAGAATTGCTTGAACCCGGGAGGCAGAGGTTGCATCGAGCTGTGATCGCACCACTGCACTCCAGCCTGGGCGACAGAGCAAGACTGTCTCAGCAACAACAACAACAAGAATTAGTTACATGGGATTAAGTGAACTGATGAGGATGATTACAATATCTATGCTATTTTGTTTGAAATATTTCTGGTTCTTCAGCGTTTTATTTTCCAGGCTTTTTTTTTTTTTTTTTTTTGAGACAGGGATTCCCGTCACCCAGGCTGAAGTGCAGTGGAGCAATCACTGCTCACTGTAGCCTGGAACTCCCGGAATCAAGCCATCCTCCCCACTCAGCCTTCCAAGTAGCTAGGACTATAGGAGTGTGCCACCATGCCTGGCTAATTTTTTTAATTTTTCGAAGTGACAAAATCTCACTTTGTTGCCCAGTTTTAGACTCCTGGCCTCAAGTGATCCTCCCACCTCAGTCTCCCATAGTGCTAGGATTACAGGTGTGAGCCACCACACCTGGCCATTTTCCAAATTTAAAGAAACCCTTTTTCTCTTACTTTCTTCAATCATCTATAACTTACTGCAATTTGGTAGGTTATACACTTTTAAATGAAAAACAAAACAAAACGTTTATCTTTTTCTCCATACCTGATCCCTCCAGAATCAGAATCTCTTATCAAATATTCTTATTTCATGACAACACAGTTATTCACCTAAGTTCAATAAGAACTTTTTCTCCTTGCAACAAGGCACAAATAGAAGTAGTTATATTACCAAGACTTTGACTCAGATGTCACATTTGTGAATGATATGCTTAAAAACAGACACAACAGGCTGGGCGCAGTAGCTCCCATCTGTAATCCCAGCACTTTGGGAGGCTGAGGTGGGCAGATCACCAGGTCAGGAGTTTCAGACCAGCCTGGCCATTATGGTGAAACCTCGTCTCTACTAAAAATACAAAAATTAGTTGGGCGTGGTGGCGCAAGCCTATAGTTCCAGCTACTCAGGAGGCTGAGGCAGGAGAATCACCTGAACCTGGGAGGCAGAGGTTGCAGTGAGCCGAGATTGCGCCATTGCATTTCAGCCTGGGCGACAGAGCGAGATTCAAAAAACAAACAAAACCCCAGATAAGACAGACAGTTTTAAGGAATTAAGATTGACTTTATGGAACCAATAAAGCCCCTTGAAAACAACTGGCTTTGTACCTTGCCTATGGAGTTCCTAACCTTACTGGGGAGAAAGATCACTTTCTGGCAGGCCCAGGAACTTCAGAATATTTGGGGAACCTTGAGAAGAGACATCTGTTGGTGAGTCCTTGGTGTGGCTTCCTATACTTGAGGGGCTTTTAAAACTCCAATCTGAAATTCTTTATTGAAACTTGCAGCAAAGCAGACTTCAAAAGAGCCTGTATAATCAATCACTATTCTTGCTGCACCTTTCAAAATAATCCTTATGCCAAGCTGGCATATTTTGGGGTGGCATATCCTGCTACTCTTCAGTGTGCAAGGTTATTTTAAAGGGACTTAAACTGAATTATCAGCTTTTTTTTTGGTTGCATCTCTTGCTAAAGGTTAGAGTTAAATGGAAGTTTGACCATGACCTGTGACTTTCATTTTCTTTCAGAGAAATATTACTGAACACTTGTTCTGAAGGCTGATCCTAGACAGCAAGACTCAGAGAATTGAGAGAAGACAAAAACATTCATCTAATCGGGGCGGCTGGGTGGGGTGAAGTGAACCCAGCCTGATTACCCTTAGCATCTAACTCCACAGAAACTCTGCTCTCTATTTTCTCAATCTTCTCCAATTCTTTATGAAGGGGTTCAGGAAATGCCGCCCCAAAATATGGTGCTTTGGTGTAATACTTTGAGCTGAAGACACTTGAAAACAGTATATGCAGGGAGACGCTTTCTCTGAACTCCCCTTATCTGTCTAAAGATAGATACCGCAAAGGAACTCAATTTGTCATCAATTTTCCATCAGTGAAACTCTTCCAGGAGTTTCATCCACCAGTGAAGCTTATCTCAATCACAAGAGAAGAGACTAGAAGCCCACACCACACTTAGACAAATGTCACAAACGATCATCTGTTCTTCTAAGGGCCATTCATCTTTTCCCAAAATCATTTACTCTGCCTGAAATTGGCTACATCCCTGGCTTCCTTCTCGCCTATGTAGAGGGTATATAAGCTCCTAAATCTCCCGGTTTTTCAGGTACTTTTCTTCCTGTGATGCCACCACACATGTAATCAATTTATATACCTTTTCTCTTATTAATTTGCCTGTTGTTAGTATGTTTCAGAGGCTGAGTTATTGAACTCTCAGAGGGTAGAGAGGGAAAGTCTTCACTTTTCTACAATTAAGTAGATCAATTTAACTTCTAAGGATAAGTCTGTCTGTTTTTCCCATGTTTTGAATTTTGAATCATAATGACCTGAGATCCCCAATTAAGGAGAAATGGGAAACAAATATCTGTATGATAATCTATAACTGTTTTCTTTTATACACAAATCTCAATGTCATGAATATAAAAGTAATGCTTGATTTGGAGTTCCTTTACATTTATTATTCAAAAACACCCACATGGCCGGGCACAGTAGCTCATGCCTATCATCCCAGTGATTTGGGAAGCTGAAACAAGAGAAACGCTTGAGTCTAGGAATTTGAGACCAGCCTGAGCAATAAAGCAAGACCCCATTTCTACAAAAAATTAAAAAATAAAAAAAAATTATCTAGAAATGATGGCATGTGCCTATAGTCCTAGCTACTCAGGAGGCTGAGGCAGGAGGATTACTTGAGCCCAGGAGTTTGAGGCTACATTGAGCTATGATTGCAACACTGTACTCCAGCCTAGGCAACAGAGCAAGACCCTGTCTCAAAAAAAAAAAAAAAAAAAGAAAAAAAAAAGAAATATGGTCAATATTGGTCCAAAAGGAAAGGAAATTTTCATTTCTGAGAAAAAAAAATATACGTATATATTTTTGAGACGGAGTTTCGCTCTTGTTGCCCAGCTGGAGTGCAATGGTGCGATCTTAGCTCACCACAACCTCTGCCTCCAGGGTAGGAAGGAAGTTATGGCAACCAGCTGGTAAATGCATTTCCAAGTTAAATGTCAATAAAACATAGCACCTATGAACAATTTTTGGAATTTTAAACATGTTAGATCAGGAAGCAGTCTTTAACACACAGCATGTAGCCTTTCCACCATCTGACTTACTTTTGTCAAGACATTAGATTGTGTAGTAGTCTTGGGTTTGATGCTGTGGCTCTCACAGGCCTGTTGAATGGTTTGATGGATTTGGCAGAAGTTTGACCTCCAGTGTTCCATGTAAAGTGTACTCCATTTCTAAGTGTTGCAGGATTTTTCTCAGCCACTTTGCTGACTGAGGACATCCACAGCTGGTGCTGCCCCCTGACTGCCTGGGCCTTGCTTGGCCCTGGGCCTGCTGCTGGAGGCACCCTGCCCACTCGGCCTGCTTGTGTTATGACTTATACCCGCATTAGGCAGTTCCCGAGCTCTTCTCCTGCATCCAAGAAGAATGAGGATACACTGACAATTTGAAGGGTGAAGAGGGTGAACAAGAATTTTATTGAGTGATGGAAAAGCTTTCAGTGGGGAGGGGACAATGGGGGTGGTCCCCCATCCTTGCAGTCAGGTGGTTTCTCTCCCAGTGTGGCTGAGTCCAGGGCTTTTATGGGCTCAAAATAAGGGAGTGTGTGCTGATTGGTTTGTGAGTATGCAAAGAAAGGCACCACTCAAAGGTGGGCATGGCAGTGTAGAAAACCAATTAGGAAAGGGTAGGTATATGTAAAGTAGGTGAAGCTTGGGGATCAGAGAAAAGCATGTCAAATGGGAAGACAGGTTCTCAATCTGGTCCATGGATTTGACTTGTAGCTTGGTTTTCAGGCTTTAAACTGTCTTCTGCTTGGAGGTAGGGTTTCACTGAGGACCTGTCCCTATCTGCTTAGGCATTTGTCTGCCTCCTGCCTCTATCATAAGGGCATTCTGAGTCATTTATGTCATGTCATTAGGTAGTGGTTGAATGAGAGTGAGTACCTTAGTAATGCATCCAAGAATAGGATGAGTCTTAGGGCCCCATGTAAAGAAAAATATATTAGGTTTTAGTAAATTCTAACCAGGAAACTTCTCAAAAAGAGTAGTGGCCCTTTTGATGCTTTAAACCAAGCTTAAACTCTCGCTGCTGCTTCAAAGCCATGTCTTTTTGCTTTCAATATAACCAATTATTCAGCCAATTATTAATGTGGTGAATATTCATTTTACTGAAAGATAGAAGTAATTTTGGAGATTATAAAGGTAATACTGAGATATAAAAGTCACTTATTTTGTGTTTTAAATATTAATGTATTCTAGTACAGGGTTTCTCAACCTCAATACTGTTGGCATTTTGGGCTGCAATAATTTTTTACTGTGAGGACCTGTCCTATGCTGTATAGGATGTTTAGCAACACACTAGAGGCAAGTAGCACTCTTCTGCTGTGACAATTAAAATTGTCTCCAGATATTGGTAAATCTCTCCAGAGAGGCAATTTATTAATTTTGTTTTATTAATAGAGATAGGGTCTTGCTCTGTCACCCAGGTTGGAGTGCAGTGGTGTGATCATAGCTTACTGTAACCTTTAACTACTGGGCTCAAGCAATCCTCTAGCCTCAGGCTTCTGAGTAGCTAGAACTACAGGCAAATGTCACCACACCTGGCTAATTAAAAAAATTTTTTTGAGACAGGGTCTAGTGATGTTGCTCAGGCTGGTCTTGAACTCCTAGCCTCAAGGGATTCTCAGCTTGGCCTCCCAAAGTGCTGGAATTACAGGCATGAGCCACCACACCTGGCTGAAAATCACTGTTCTAATGGAATAATCCATCTTATATGAATGCTATTTTTAAATTGGTATTTTTAGACAGATTGTTTCACTTAATTCTTAGATTCCTGTGACTATTCCTTTCCTGAGATATGAGAGTATTCATTCTCATATCTCGAGATTCCTAAGGTATGATATTCATTTTATTTGTAAGTCATTTAATTCTTGTGAACCTCAGTTTTCATGTACATGAACACAGAGCTAGAAGTGTTACACCTGGAACTTTTCCCTTAGAACAAATTAATTCTCATATGATACATAATGAAATAATTGTATACCTGTTGAAAATGAATATCTGGGTATGAAATTGTTATCTGTATATGATCACAGGTTTGTAAACATTTTGTATAAAAGGCAAAAAAGGCAAGATGACAGAAAATATTTGATTTATTTTGGTAGTCAAACTTGTTGGCTTCAGAATCCTGACTTCCATTGATGCAGTGGTCTCAACCCTAACAGTTAATTAGACTCCCCTAGGGGGCTTGAAAGTTATTAGTGCTGGATTCCTATCTCCAAGGATTTGGATTTGAGGAAAGAAAAAGCAGAAAGGAATACTGCTTAGTTAAAAAGGAGAATGTCTCACCAGGCACCAGTACACTGCCATTCATTGCCTTTTCTTTCTCTCATTCTCTTCTAAAACGAGGTAAAGAAGATAAAATTTGGGAACTTAAAACTTGGCAAAGAAGGAAATCCTTTTGGCAATATCATAAAGTGAGTGTCTATTTTCCTACCTTGCAGAGGGGAACCTAAAACTCAGATTTTATCTCCTTTGTGGGTTCCTCTTCTTCACCTGCTCATGAAATGGAAGTTTCCTGAACATCATTTCAGAAATGAGGACATTAGTAATTTTCTGTTACTGGATCTTTTTATTAAAATCACCCTTGATGTACATAATTTAATAGAAATATACATCTCTTTGGCTTCTTAAGAACAACCAGAGCCAGATGTCTTGAAGGCAGAAATGTCCCTGTGTTTTCCTAATACGGACCAGTATTTCTTTTTTCTTCTCTAGGTTCAATTTTTAATTTCATGTAATTTTATTTTAAATTTTTATTTATTTATTTATTTATTTATTTGGAGGCAGCGTCTCGTTCTGTTGCCCAGGCTGAAGTGCGGTGGCCTGATCTTGGCTCACTGCAAACTCTGCCTCCCGGGTTCAAGCTATTTTTGTGTTTCAGCCTCTCAAGTAGCTGGGATCACAAGCCTGTGCCACCAAGCCTGGCTAATTTTTGTATTTTTAGTAGAGATGGGGTTTCACCATGTTACCCAGGCTGGTCTCAAACTCCTGACCTCAAGCAATCCACCTGCCTTTTGCCTCCCAAAGTGTTGGGATTACAGGCGTGAGCCACTGCACCTGGCCTATTTTTTTTATTTTCATCAAAGCTTCCTTGCCCACAGTATTAAGAGATCTGTAAGTTTTGTTCCCCAAACACCAGTTCACCCAGTCAGCCCCAACTTCTACTGATCTTTCATGTTCTTCCAGCCATTTCATATCTGAACTGATTGTTTTGGGTATTACCTGCATGTTGCTATGTAACATGTTTATATTGCTATTTCTTGTTTTTTTCTTTTTTCAATTTTAGGCATTACTTATTGACTTTTATGGAAGATGTCCATTTAATTATCTTTCACACACACCTTCCCATTCCTCCTAGCCTCTACGGCAAACACATTTTCCATCCCCAGTCCAGTCAGTATAACTTCATCATAACTTTGCTATAATAAAAATTCACCATTTATGGTACTAATAACTCTTTTAAGTTTTATTAACAGCTGAGCCATATGGTATACTTTAATTACCTTTCCTTTTCTGCAAAACGTTATTTCCTCTATTGTTAAATATCTATTTTTGTTATTGCTTGCTTAGTTTTCTAAGTACTTAGGAACAATCTAGCCCTACTTCTTTACCTAGGAATCCTCTTAAAAGTTCAAACGCACTAGGTATCCCATCAATTTTAATGACTTAGAGAACCCTCTTCCTTGGATAGCTCCAATCTGCACTGGTTGATCTCTAGGTCCACTCTACAAATGTCACCTTGAGATCTCCCTTCAACATCATCCTGGCTCCCCTGGGAAAGTTCTTGAACTTTATTGTATAATTCTTTGTTTCTGCTGGAGTTTTCAATATCTAAGAGCTCTTTTTATGTCCCCAGGTGTTCCTTTTTTAACAATAGCATCCTGTTCTTGTTTCCTGAATGCAATATCTCCTCCTATACCTTAGAGGATATTAATCATAGTTTTTCTGATATTTTCTTCTCTCTGCATCTAACTTTTTAAAAAAGCTTTATTGGGCCGGGAGTGGTGGCTCACCCCTGTAATCCCAGCACTTTGGGAGGCCAAGGCGGTGGATCCTGAGGTCAGGAGATCAAGACCATCCTGGCTAACACGGTGAAACCCCATCTCTACTAAAAACACAAAAAATTAGCCAGGCATGGTGGCGGGTGCCTGTAGTCCCAGCTTCTTGGGAGGCTGAGGCAAGAGAATGGCGTGAACCCGGGAGGTGGAGCTTGCAGTGAGCCGAGATCGCAGCCTGGGCGACAGAGCCAGACTCTGTCTCAAAAAAAAAAAAAAGTGGCCAGGCGCGGTGGCTCACGCCTGTAATCCCAGGACTTTGGGAGGCTGAGGCGGGTGGATCACGAGATCAGGAGATCAAGGCCATCCTGGCTAACACAGTGAAACCCCATCTCTATTAAAAATACAAAAAATTAGCTGGGAGTGGTGGTGGGCGCCTGTAGTCCCAGCTGCTCGGGAGGCTGAGGCAGGAGAATGGCGTGAACCCGGGTGGCGGAGGTTGCAGTGAGCCGAGATCGCGCCACTGCACTCCAGTCTGGGCTACACAGTGAGACACCGTCTCAAAAAAAAAAAATAAGTTTTATTGAAATTAATTTCCTTACCAAAAAGTTCACCCATTTAAAGTATATACATGAATGATTTTTAGTAAATTTTCAAAGTTATATAACAAAAACCAAAATCTAATGGTAGAACATTTCAATCATCCCCACAAAAAAGCTTATGCCCAACTGCAGTCACTCCCTCTTCCCTTCCCATTCTAATCCCCAGGCAACCATTAATCTGCTCTTTGTGTCTATGTATTTGCCTTTCTGAATGTTTCATATAAACCCAAAATGAAGAATATTCTTTTGGTAAGAGGTGGGGTAACTTTTTTTCTTCAAAAATGTCATAAATGACAAAGAAATATTGTGGAAATATTCCTGATTAAAGGGAACTAAAGAGATGACAATTGCATGCCACACCTGATCTTAACTGGACCCTGTACTCGACGGAAAATAAGCTATGGAGGACATTATTCAGTGAACTGACAACACTGAAATTAGAAGGTGTATTTGATGAAAGTTTCATCAATGTTAAATTTACTGGAGTTAACTGTACTGTGCGTGTGTGTGAAGAGGAATAATTAAGAAAATAAGACAGATGGGGTAAAATGTGAGCAATAAATAGTTTTCAAAAACTCTCAGTCATTGTTATCATTTTCCTTGATTCTGAGACTCCAATTACAAGTGTGTGAGACTGTTTGACACTGTCCCATGTGTCTCACAAGCGGTGCTTGGTTCTTTCCGTTATTTTTCTCTTTTTACATTAGTTTCGATATTTTTAATTGATTGGCCTTTGATTTCATTACTTGTAGCACTCAGTCTGCTGTTAAAACTACTCTATATATAAATTCTTAATTTCAGATTAATATTTTTCAGTTCTAGAATGTCCTTCTGATACTTTTATATAGATTCCAATTCTCTTTTGGAATTCTCTGTGTTTTCCTTTATTTACTAATTTAGAGACAGGGTCTCCCTATGTTGCTCAGGCTGGTCTTGAGCTCCTGGCTTCAAGCAATCCTCCTGCTTTTGCCTCCCAAAGTGTTGGGATTACAGGTGTAAGCCACCATTTCCTTCTCTTATTTTTTAACATGTCTATAATCTTATTTGAAAAGGCCTATCAGCTAACCTCTGCAAGTGCATCATTTTGATCTGCATCTCGTCTGTTTTTTCTTTTGATTATTTATCACAGTTGCTTTTCTCTTCAAATGTTTCTTTATTTTGGGTAATATGCCACATATTGTGAACAAAAGAACTGTACAGCCTAAAGCTGGCCAGGCATGGTGGCTCATGTCTGTAATCCCAGCACTTTGGGAGGCCGAGGTTGAGGGGGAGGGGATCCCTTGAGGCCAGGAGTTCAAGACCAGCCTGGGCGACATAGTGAAACCCATCTCTATTAAGAAAAAAAAAAGATATTGGAAAATTTATTTTTAAATTGAAAAAAGAGACTAAAGTTGGTGTTATTTTCTTATAGAGAATCGTTTGAAGGGATGTATAAATTGTGGTTTATTCAAACAATGGAATCAACTATGGCAGAGAAGAAAAATGAGCCACAAGCTGCACTCATCAATGGGAATAAATCTCAAGAACATAATATGTTACAAAAATTAAATTTAAAAAGATTAGAAATAATAGAATTCCAAATATATAACGGTTAAAACAGGCAAAACTAAATCGTATATTAAGATATACATATATAACACTATAGAGATAATTAGGAAAATAACTAACATAAAATCAGGAGGGAGAATCCACCAGTGGCAGAGAGGGAATCTAATTTGGAGGGGCAGGCAGTGCACTTTAGTGATACTGGTAAGGTTATCTTCTAAAGCTCTGTAAAAATCTCCCATAAAATACCTCCAGAAAAATCTGTTGGTCACGTCTTAAATATTGCTGCAAGGAAAAATACCATCTTAACAAAATCTTGGTATTTTCTCAGAAGGGGTAAGTTAGGGAAAGGTATTTACAGAGTTTTGGAACATGGCTGGGTGATTTTTAAGGCAGGTATTGCAAGATGGAGCTGGTTGGGATTAGGCAGAGTTTAAAAATAATAGCTTTGTATTGGTGGACAAAATGAGGCAAGTGTTTTAAAATAAATCTTGATGAGCAAGATAATTATCAGAAAAATACTGGTGAGCTAGCTGTTTTAGTTGGTTTACAGTCTCATCTTCCTAGACAGGAATTTGTGAAATAAACAGCTACTATCTTTGCTTGGCTGTAGTATTGTCTAAAATAGGGGCAGGATATTTGTCTTCGTTTTCAACTCTGTGGTGGGTTCATGCTGTTCACTTAATTGTTGTTCTTTAAAAATGCATATATTATGTTTCAAAACACAATTTCTTTTTCTCTAGGAAAGCAATTATACTTAAACATTCCATAAGAAATTTATATTCCATTCACTGAAAGAAAACAAACAAAACAACAAAAGAAATTTATAGGCTGAAAACTGATAAACTATCCCCTTAAGTCCAACATAACAATTTCTCCTTTAATTGTAAGTGGTTTGTTCTTCCTTAGATTGGGCACAAGATATAGTAATTGATCTCTGTGTTGGGGGCAGCTTCCCAACCCATGTAGGACTCTATGATGAATGGGTTACAGGAGTGATGAAACAGTTTTCCTTAGCTCTTTAGGCAACGCGTCTCTGGCTGTTTGTCACCAGCCAGAAGTATCCACCTCTCTTTTACCACAGTATGCTAATTATCTTTTTGTTGTTGTTGTTTTGAGACAGAGTCTCACTCTGTCACCCAGGCTGGAGTGCAATAGCAGGATCTCAACTCACTGTAACCTTCACCTCCTGGGTTCAAGCAATTCTCTTGCCTCAGCCTCCCAAGTATCTGGGACTACAGGTGTGTGCCACCATGCCCAGCTAGTTTTTGTATTTTCAGTAGAGACAAGGTTTCACCACGGTGGCCAGGCTGGTCTCAAACTCGTGACCTTAAGTGATCCATCAGTCTCAGCCTCCCAAAGTACTAGGATACAGATGTGAGCCACTAAGCCCAGTCTTTTTCTTGTGTGTTTTTCTGAGACAGGGTCTCGCTCTGTCACCCAGGCTGTAAGGTAGTGGCATGATCATAGCTCACCGCAGCCTTGACCTCCCGGACTCAAGTGATCCTCCCACCTCAGCCTCCTTAGTAGCTGGGACCACAGGTGTGTGCCACCACACCAAACAAATTTTTAAACTTTTTAGTAGAGATGGGGTTTTATTGCCCAGGGTGGTTTTGAACTCCTGGGCTCAAGTGATCTTCCTGTTCCTGTCTCACTGTCTCAGCCTCCCAAGCTATATATATATAATTTTTTTTTTTTTTTAAAGACAGGGTCTGGCACTGTCTTCCAGACTGGAGTGCAGTGGTGCAATTACAGCTCACTGAAGCCTTGACCTCCTGGGCTCCAGTGAGCCTCCTGCCTTAGCCTCCCAAGTAGCTGGGACCACAGGTGTGCACAACCATGCCTGACTGATTTTTAAATTTTTTTGTGGAGATGGGGGTCTCACTATATTGCACAGGCTGGTCTCAAACTCCTGGGCCCAAACAATCCTCCCACCTTGGCCTCCCAGAGTGCTGGGATTACAGGCGTGAGCCACCACACTCAGTCCAAGCTTACCTTTTTACATGTGTTCTATAACATGTAAAGGGTTGGAAGCACTGGTTTAGGGAACTGTGTCTTATGGAAATGGTATATTTTTAAACACTGGACTCACAATTGGCTCAGTGGAACAATGACATTATGAGAAACACACAGAAATGAAGACCCCCCCAGGGAAGCATATATTTGCTTATTTCTGAGTATGCAGAGCTGAATTCCAGTAAGTGAATCTCTAATAGAAATAGATCTCTAGCCAGATGTGGGTTGCATGCCTGTAATCCCAGCTACTCTGAAGGCTGAGGGAGGCTGAGGCAGGAGGATTGCTTGAGCTCAGGCATTCAAGACCAGCCTAGGAAAAACAGTGGGACTCTATCTCAAAAAAAAAAAAAAAAAGGAAACCGATCTCTAGGTCTAAGAGTTAATGCTTTGAAGTTGCTTAAAGAAAATAAAAAAGCTTATCTTTTGTAGACATTCAGAAAGAAGGGAAGTCTATCAAACAGTCACACTCTATTTATTGCAAGCTAGTTCATTTATTTGTCTGAAATACATTTCCCCACGTTGTCCAATGATGAGAAAGACCAAAGTAGAATTAAAATCAACCAAACCAAAACGAACAAAAATTCCTATAAAATTCTATCTTGCTTTATTAGTAAAGACTTCAGTAATAGCTCTTCTGCTTCTTTAGAGTTTAAGTATAAAATTACAGATTTTTTTTTTAGGTGAGAAAATTTGTTATTTTAGCCAAGCCTTAAAATTTGCCATCAATTTAGATGATGTAAAATTTGAGTTGTTTCCCCTATTGTTAAAATAAATAGGCTGGGTGCAGTGGCTCATGCCTGTAATCCCAACACTTTGGGAGGCTGAGGCTAGAGGGTCGCTTGAGTTCAGGAGTTTGAGGCCAGCCTGGGCAACACAGTGAAGCCTTATATCTACAAAATATTAAAAATTAGCCAGGCTTGGTGGCACATGGCTGTAGTGCCAGCTCTCTGAGAGGCTGAGGCAGGAGGATCACTTGAGCCCAGG
The DNA here is from genome assembly GCF_000001405.40 of Homo sapiens. Taxonomy (NCBI): domain Eukaryota; kingdom Metazoa; phylum Chordata; class Mammalia; order Primates; family Hominidae; genus Homo; species Homo sapiens. The sequence continues at coordinate 99,927,427 of NC_000001.11, read as the reverse complement.
AGTTGGAGGCTGTAGTAAACTATGATCATACCACTGCATTCCAGTCTGGGTGACAGAGTGAGACTCTGCCGCTAAAAACATTACAAAAAGTAAACAGATTATTGTCTACCCCTGCTTATAATATCTAAGAGACAATAAGCTCATATTAAAAGAAATATTTGAGAAGTTCTTGAATATTCTATGTCATTAAATGCTAGCTTTGGTTCTTGATGACAATGGAACCATCATATCAAATCTGGGGTGCACACCTTCGACATTTATCTTATGTAGACCATTGTTATTTAGGTTCTATTATAGGCAGTGAAACTTAAATACACTATGGGTTGCCCTCGTGAATTCTTACTACCCACAGATGTTACAGTCACTGTTTTTACAATTGAAGAAACAAAGTTTCAGGGAGGCAAGTAATCAGCTTTGGAAACAGCAAGGAGACACTAAGACAATAGGACTGGAAAGAGACTGAGGCCAAATCATAGCGAATCCTCAATGTCCTCTGACCAGTGATGGACAGCATCAGTGTTCAAGAAAGGTTTTCCTCATAGTTCCATGAGGGATAAATTGTGATCAATTTAAAGATTATTGTGTTAATCTATGCACAAGATAAGAGTACGAGTAGAAATCTGCAGTCAGGTAAAAGTGAAAAGACTTTGTGATCCATTGAATGTGATGTGGGAGCCAAGATAAATCATTTTTGGAGTACTGCTCCTTTATGTGGTAAAAAAGATATCTAATAAGACTTAGTGCTCAGTTTTGTACTTTGAAAATATATCCATTACAATAAATATATTAACATTGAACACTTGCAGAATTAAGTGCCATATTTTTTAGTGAATTTCCATAGATTGTTTCCTTTGGTATTAAAAATGCATGGGCATGGGCCCCACTTTTTGGCCGAAATTCCTTTGGACCAACTTTAACCAGTTGGCCTTCTCTTAATTATTAACACTTCCTGTTGTCTCTGACTTTTCTGTTTCACTGTCCTTGATAAGATACTTATATTTCCAAATTTATCCTACTTGTATAACCTAGCCCATGCTTGGCACCAAGTCTACACATTTAGCCAGGAACACATGGGGTTATCTGATTAGTGCAGATGGCTGCAGATACAGAATTTTGGCCAGGTAATAATAAGGAAGTATACCTAGGCCCAAGGAGAACAGACCTAAATGCTTTCCATGGGAAACCGATAATATCAACAGTGGGTCCTGTGGGTTGATGGTTGCAGGAAGCAGGAGGGCAAGCACAGAAGACAGCAATCTTGAGGGTTTGTGTAAGAGGATTTGTGGTAGGAAAATCAGAGTTTGAGTCTTGGGTCCAACAATTTATCCACTATGTGATTTATGGTAAGATTATCAATGTTCTGATTTACAAAAGGGATATAATACCTCCAATGTAAAATTGCTTATATAGTAGGGGCTCCATAAATGTTTCTTGAATCTGAATTTTCGATTCTGACCAATTGACCACCAAATTGAACCAAAATGGACCACAGCAATCATAAACATAAAAATTAGGAAGAATTCCAACAAGCTAAAAATTTTTAAATAAATAGCTTATGTTTTAAGATTAAATAATGTCAATATGTCTGTTGTTATCAAATTAATAGTATGAGGGCTTGTTTAGTAAAAATGCTGAGAATACTTTTTGGATTTGGAAAAATACATACAAAGAATAGGTGGGAATAAATAAGATTCTGAAAAAGAAGACGAGGGAACCGATGAGAGAAAAACGTGGTGACAAAATGCTCTAACAAATATTAAAACAAAAACTGTAATAGTGAAATAGGTGAATGGGCACAGAAAACAGTATATTCTAGAAGTAGACCCTACTAGTAAAGAATAATGCAAGATTAAAAAAGGACTTCCCATAAATCATATTCAACTTATAAGTTTGGGATTTAACAATTTGGAAAAAAAAGCCTAAGTAATGTCTCATCTCATACCACATGCACTTATAAAAAAAATAAAACTGGAAATAGAAACAATGGTTATTATTGAGACTGATGTAAATTTTGAGGAGACAGTAGAGATTACAAACGTGGAGGCAAGTGCTGAAAGATCTGATTAAAGAAAAAAGCTGGCCAGAAATGGTCACGCCTATATAATCAGCACTTTGGGAGGCTGAGGTGGGAGGATTGCTTGAGCCCATGAGGTTGAGACCAAGCCTAGACAACACAGTGTGGACCCCCATCTCTACAAAAAAAGAATTGCAAAAGTTAGGTGGGTGCAGTAGTTGTACGCCTGTCATCCTAGCTACTTGGGATGCTGAGGTGGGAGGGTAGTTTGAGCCCAGGAGGTTGAGACCAGCCTAGACAACACAGTGTGGACCCCCATCTCTACAAAAAAAGAAATGCAAAAGTTAGGTGGGTGCAGTAGTTGTACGCCTGTCATCCTAGCTACTTGGGATGCTGAGGTGGGAGGGTAGTTTGAGCCCAGGAGGTTGAGGCTGTAATGAGCTGTCTGTCATCAGGCTTGGGCAGCAAAGCAAGACTCTTTAAAAAAACAAAAACAAAACCCCTGCTCTAACCAAAATAACTACAGCCAGAATGACAAAGTATTAGCACTACTCTATAATTCAAGGCTCATACAAATTGGGGGGGTTGGGGGAGGGAACCAACAACTACTAAGCAAATTCCATGAGTTTATTATATTGGCACATTGAGGTTCTATGTAAGTAATTTTGGCAAGTTTGCTGTGGTAGTTACAGGTTTGGATTTTTAGGTTAATATCTTTTATCTGAAGATGAAGATATGCATATCTGCAGTAAAAAGAAACCAACAGAAACTAAGGCAAAGACCAAACTGATCAACTTTGGTCATTAGATGCTTTTCTATAAATATGTATATTATTCAGTAATACAATGAAAAGTAAAAAAATTTTGGCTACTTTAGGAGGCAACGTATATATGTCTTCTGGCCTGTAGTGTTTACTGTAAGTTGATCAAAGGTAAATTAAAAATTCACACTTGAGTAAAAGGTTTCAAGAAGTACCAGGAAAGTGTGCAGCTTATTTTTATTTATTTTAAAAAAATTATTTTTATTTTTCCAGGAGGCCCATTGTCACCAGAAGTGTATAGTTTCTAACAGATTTATACATTGGAAGTTGATTTTGCTCCTAATTTCAACATGCCTAATGAAATAAATAATCAAAACAGTCTAAAATTCTTCCTCCTCTCTGCCTCCTGCAAAAAGGTAAGCACCTAAAGTAGGCAAGCACTGAATAAATGACTCTGGTCAGCACTGACAAATTAATTGCCTCTAGGAGGCTGAGGCAGGAGGATCACTTGAGGCCAGGAGGCTGAGACCAACCTAGGGAACATAGTGTAGAATCCTGTCTCTACAAAATAAAAAATAAGTAAAAAATAAAAAATTAGCTGGGTGCAATGACTATGAATGAAAGCAAAATACAGACCTTTAGAAAATATTTTTATTTTCTTAACACACAGAGGTAACAATGACATTTGCCCACTAGACACAGTAGTTCAAGACATATCAGAAATGGATCACAATTCACATGTTACAATATTCATCAATATGACCAGTCTCATGTTTTCCCAATTATCTTTGAAAACTTATTAAAATACCACAGCATACTAAACTGGTAAATTCATTTATCATGTTAAAGAGTAATTTTGATTTTGATTAGTGAAAAACCAAGGCATAGTCCATTGTTGAAATACAATACCTTATCCAGCATCACTCAAGTATGAAGCATTCTACCGAAACGTTTAGTCAAATGACACCTGTTAAAAATCTAATTCTGTATTTTAACTACCATAGAGGAAATAATGTTTAACATGCCTTCTTAAACTTTAAAATATACCACGCAGAATATAACAATGTTCTTTCATTAATCTTCCTCATTAGAAATATGAACCACTTAGTTTTCTAGTGCAACACAATATCCTAAAAATTTACCAACGTGGGTATCTGCCTTACTAGAGATAACCCCAAATGGCTACATTAAAAAAATTGTGAACTTTTAATTTTTTTGGTCACATTTAACTGTCAGCGATTACTTCTTGCTTTGATTAAATATGCTGGTTTTCTGTTACCTTTCCTACCTCCCTGAATATCAAAGTTAGGGTACAGCAACAAAACTACATAAACCTTTGATAAACTAATGGTTCTCTCAAGGACAGTCATTCCTTTTACCCGCACAGTTTAGAGAAGGGTATATATTGAACAAGGAAGGAACTGAAGAAGAAAGGGAGATTTGGAAACCAATGTCCAATGTATTTATAGATAGTGGTCAGATTACTGTCACAACTGTCCTTAAATTTGTAGGATTTAATCTATTTTAGTTTTGGAAACCAGAAAACTAAGCTAGTTAAAACTATTTCTAAAGCAAGGTCAGCTTTGAAGAAGAGCAGGCAGATAATCTTAAAGTAAATTACACGAGCTTTCAAGCATGGGTATTTGACATCTGAAGCATTTATATATTTTTGCTGCCCAGAAGTTTTAGTTTGCTGGTTTTCTTCTTTAATTTCTTAGTCATAGTTAAGGTTTTGGGTATGTAACCTGTAAACTAACTAAAAAAATGCTACTTTGAAAGTAGCATTATTTTAAAATACCATTATTTTATTAGGTATAAATGAGCCACTGAATATTATATAGCAATGAAAGAATTCTTGCCACTACTTTCTTCCAACTGAATGCATAATGATTTAACTGTTTTCTTAAGAAAACAGTAAAAAACAGTAAAAAATTCTATCTAGGAAATAAGTTCTATGAAAAAATGTTAACTCATGTAAATGTTAAAAACCTTTTTCCTTTTGTGACTTTAAGATTTTTAAGGCATCTTAAAATAAGTTATCATGAAAAACTTCCAGTGATTTTATTGAATTTAAGATATCTACTGAATTCATATCCATATTTTTGTTAAGATTCTTCTCAATGTTAAACTTGTCAATGTAGGTTTTGAGTTAATAGAAAACCAGTATCTACTATGATCTAGCAATAGATTTTTGAACATGACTAAAGATAGTTGAGTTTTAGAAAACTAATATAACATTCTTTTTTCTTTAAAGTTCTAGAAATATGACCGACAATTTCCATTTTGAAAATGTAAGCTATCTTATAATACTCAATAGAACTCAATACTAATTTTACAAAACTGTTTTTAGGAAATAAATTTCCTAATGCTTTGCATGTTTCCTCACATAAGTAAATCATATAAAATATACTGTTGGCATTCATTACACAAAAATTAATATATCAGTGAAAAAATGAAAGCATAGTTTGAACATCTGTGCTCCATTTAGGAACATATATTGTAGATGGAAACTTCTATCATTCATCATTTATTAAATATTTATTAAATGCAGTGAGCACTGTATTAAGAATACTATAGTACGTGGTGTTAATATTAATGAACCACAGCGTATTCAGTATGTATTGTTACTGAAGATTATATATACCACAATTAAAAGCTATCTTTTCATTTCTTTCATTATTTTCATATTTTATTTTCATTTCTGTACAAATAGAAGATGACATGATTTTTCTTTTCCAAACTATGGATTTCTAGGCATTTGAATAATTCTTACTGAACTCAAACACATTTCATTGGTAATGATATTTCTTTCTGATTCAAATTGAAATCTACCTCTGTACATTAAAAAAAATCAATGCTTTTACAATCTTACCTAATTGAGCATCAATATTATAATAAATGAGATTTTTAAAACAACTTGAGCCTGTGCATATAAGGCATTTACATATGATGACCTTGCATCCTATAATACAAGTAATTGCATACTTAATATCTGTAATAAACTATAAATCATAAAGTGTCTCAAGAATAGTAGCAATTGACCAGGCTTGTGTTTCACAGCTGAAAGGACAGTACTGGGCATTCTCATTGGTCAGTTCTGGAAGTCCTTTCCAAGGGGATCTGAATGAAAGAAAAGACATTTTACAAAGACATAATTTAATTCATATTAACAAAATAGGCAAGACCTGGTGATTTTTGCCTTCTAGTGTAGAAAATAATCATATGTAGTCATTTGCTACAAAATAAAACAATATCCTAAAGACATACAAATGAATTTAGACTGAAATTATTCTTTGACATTCCATCTTTGGAATTTGAGACTTTTAAATACAAGGAATCCCTTTATGTATTAAAAACATAGAAGAAACTACCATTACAAGCTACATATAAACATAGAGATAAATACTCTCTCAGGCATAATTTTGTTTATGAGACTCAAATTGTAATTATGCAGATGTGTTATGTGTGATCTTGATAAAACTGTAAAAGTAAAAGTAATGAAGAAACACTAAGAACTATGATTAGGCGGAAAAATGGCATTCCAGAATACTTTCTACTTAAAGAAAAAAATGCCAATTAATTTCTCTTTCTACTGAATAATAAACTTGGTATTTATTATGCATTTATGTTCTAATACTGCTTTTATGTATATTATCTCATTTAATGTTCACAGTAACCCTGTAAGGAAGGTACCATAAGTATTCCTATCTATAGAGAGGTAAGAGAGATTTATAGAGGTTAAATAACTTGTTCCAGCCCTCCTTATCAGAACACAGTGATGTTAGCACATCAAATTTATTGTTAATTTCAATGTAATCCCTTAAAAATGAAAACAAATTCAAAAAGTACAGACATCTGTAATGTTTCATTTTTAAGTTGGGTTGTGGGAACATATTTGTTTCATTACTATGGTTTGTATCTCAGGGCTATATTACATACACGCTTCAGTGGGCATCAAATACTTCATAGTAAAAATGGGAAAAAATAATCCCATTAGGTAAAACAGGGTATTTTGGATAATAACTAATATCAGCTAGGTACCATATTTAAAAAACTGTCATAGAAACATGGAAAATATAGAAAATGTATGTTTCCAAGTATTCAAGCTACATCAGAGTAAAATGCCAAATGACTGAAGTTGGATACCTGGGCATCTGTAATGTGTTGAATTACATCTCCACAGAATTTGTATGTTGAAGTCCTAGCCCCGAGTACCTCAGAATGTGAACCTGTTTGGAAATCGGGTCACTGCAGATGTAATTAGTTAAGATAATGCCACATGAAGATTGGAGTTTTGCTGCCACAAGCCACAGGATTATCAGCAGCTAGGAGACAGGGCTGGAAGAGACCTTTCCCTAATGCCTTCAGAGGGAGCATGGCTCTGCCCATGCCTTGATTTTTCAGATTTCTGGCCTCCAGAACTGTGAGACAATATTCTGCTGTTTAACAATTTCTATTATTTAAGTCACTCAGTTTGTAGTGCTCTGTTACTGCAGCTCTAGCAAACTAACAGATACCAAAATTAAAAAACAAAATGAGGTTACAAAACCATGAATATGCTGCCCATAATTACACTTGGACACTAGGACATGGAATGTATCCATACAAATATAAGGAAGTCCCCTTTCCCTTGCTTTCCTGAAAAATTCATCCTGAAGTCATTAGGTGGGACAGAGCAAGGTAGGTGACCAGAAATGGAGGGGAAAGGGTAATAGGTAGTATGGAGCAGGATGTTAGAGTCCAAGAGGTATGAAGAGGGAGTCCACCAAGGGTGAGAGTGGTCCAGAGTGGGTAGTTAGAATCCAAGTGGTGCCAGGAGGGCTCCACACATAGAGGTGGCTTACTGTGGGGTAGCAGGCCCAAGCTGGGTGAGCAGACTCTATGTGGTGGTGATGGCCCAATGTGGGAAGTAGGTTATTCATTGTTGGAAAAGGGAATTACAAATATAGAAAGGGAGAAAAATAGAATTAAACACTGAGAAATAGCTTGGAACTGGTGTAAACTCAGGTTTTCAACACACATAGACAGGATACATTGAGATGAAGATAAGTGTGTATGTATTTACTTATGTTTATGTATTATTATATATTCCCTAGCCCTATCTACTGGGGGTCATAGTAATAATAAATACACCATGTGCTCAGATCTGGCTTCTAAATAACATTTTTCACTATAAAGAACAAGGGATCCTTAGAGAATTGCCCAATTCCAGGCTGGGGTAGTGAAAGTGAAAGATGAGTGTTGAAAACCTTGCTGGGCCAGAAAGCAAGGAAGGACTTCCATATGTGACAAACAGGAAGTAGTATGGACAGAATTTCCCTCCTGTCTGATACAACTGAAGAACTGGACATTAAGACATTAGACATTAGGCAACAAATAGCGATCCTTGAAGGATGAGAAACAAATGAAGCAAACCCTATGATTACCATACCTTACTGCCTTGAGAGTTTCCAGGATTTGGCACAGAGAGGGGGAACACAGGTGGAGCCTGGCAGACTTCCTTGAGTTGAACTGAGAATCCAGGAACACTACAAAGCAGCTACAATTTGCAGGATAGAGTACTAGAGAGGAAGGAGCTGTACAAAGAGAGAACTCTGAAGATATGCAGAGGGTCCCACTCAAGTATCTGTAGTGTACCAACCAGCAAATTCACAAGAGGAAACTACCAAAGAACAAGGAAAGAACCATCCAAAAGGATGAGAAGAAGCAGTATGTGGCACTCATACAGCGTCAGGAACACTTGCTTGTTCCCACCAGCCAGATTTGAAAACGTCATAATTTTCGAAATACAGGGTAGGGAACACAGATGGGTCTTGATTCACTAATGGAGAATAATTATTCCTAGACCAAATGCTATTCTGGTCAGGTCTAACAAGCTTAAAATCAAGACCAGAAAGGATCAAACTGTTTCCAAGTAATTTCACTGCATTCCAAAACAAAGCTCAAAAACATTTACAGAAACACCAAAAATCTAGCACCCAACAAGGTAAAATTCACATCTGGTATCTAATAAAAAATAACCAGGCAAATGGCTGGGTGTGGTGGCTCATGCCTGTAATCTCAGCACTTCAGGAGGCCGAGGTTGGGGGACTGCTTGAGCCTAGGAGTTCGAGACCAGCCTGGGCAAGATAGCAAGACCCCTGTCGCTCCAAAAATCAAAAAACAAAAACTACCAAGCAAAGAAGCAGGGTGATATGACCCAAAATAAAGAGAACAATCACAAGCAAAAGCAACCCAGAAATGAATTAGCAGACAAGGATATTAAAAGAGTCACTGTAATCATATTCCACATGTTCAAAACATTAAGCAGAGACATGGAAGATATAAAAACAGCCCAGATAAAACTTTGAGAAATGAAAACTACAACGTTGAAATGAAAAACACCAGCATGGATGTGATGGTAGGTTAGACATAAAAATGATGCAGATTTCTTATCAAAACAATGTAACCACCTTAAAGTATGAAAGAGAAAAAAGCTTAACTTTGAATTCTATACATAGTGAAAATATCTTTAAAATAAAGGCAAAACACAGATGTTTTACACTTATAAGAATTGAAAGAATTCATCATGAGGAGGCAAACACTACAAGACATGATGGAGAAAGTCCTTCGGGTAGAAGGAAAATGATACAAGATGGAGATACAGAACATCACAAACATATGAAGAGCACTGAAAATGGCAACTATAAGAGTAATTAGACTTTTTAATATATTATTTAAAGATCATTAAAACATAACTGACTGCCTAAACAAATGTAGTAACCATGTAGTGTGGGGGGTAATAACAGGTAAAAGCAAAATGGATGATGATGATAGCACACAGGCCGGGAGGGGAAAAATAAAACTATACTATTTTAAGGATCTTTATACCTTACTTGAAGTGGTATATCACTGGAAGGTAAACTATAAAGACATATACTATAAACCTAAAGCAGCCATTTTAAATAAACAAGAATTACATCTAATTAGCCAACAAAGGAGATTAAAATGAAATAATAAATATTCAATGCAAAAGAAGCACAAAAAGAGGAAAAAGCTAACAAAGAACAGACAGAATAAACAGACAACAAACATTTAAATTTCACAATTTCAGACCTTAAGTGTAAATGGTCTAAATATTCCAAAAGCAGAAACTGTTGTGCTACACGAGAGCAAGGCCCGATTACATGCTACTATGTACAAGAAAGCCACTTTAAATACAAAGACATAAATAGCTTAAAAGGATGGTAAAATCTGTACCATGGTGACAACCAAACAAAACAGACCAGGAGTGGCTCTATTAATATGAAACACGCAGAAGTCCCTTATGTGCTTGTAAGAAAGGAGATAAAATTTGTGCTGTTTATTCATTATCTGAGGAATAGAATATAGATATACTTAGGTATAATCTAAAATTTGAGGAATTAAGATACACTCTGAATTTATACTCTTATAAAGATACGTAACTCTGACACTGTCTATTTGCTAATAATTAGGACAAGGAAGTGAAAAATGTTTTTTGAACTAACAGGCAAAAGACCAGTTCTGATATTTTAACTATAATGAAAGCATTTCTGAAAACTATTTCTTGATATATCTTTAAATCAATTAACTCAAAAGGCCCAGGCTGAGTACCTTCAGTTTTTATATTTATCCTGTGCTAACCACATCCAAAAACATCAGGGAAATTTTAAAAATCAAAGACTATTCCACATGTATAAATCGCACAATATCAAGACCTCAACTTAAAATAAATAACAACCCAAAATAAGAGAAAGTGAAAATTATATAACAGAATTTGTCATGTTAAAGAATAAAGGCTTCACTTTTCATTGGGATACCTAGGGCATACAGAAATCAATTCTAAGAAACTGTAATTTACCTAATAGCTAATAAACTGACTAAACACTAGTTATGGAAATTACATGCTCCTGATGACTTACCTCTCAAGATGAACATAATGTCGGGAAAGAACATTTTTAACCAAAACTATAGTCTTTGCAGTAGTCTCCGGGCCCATCAATCTGGAAAAATATAATTTTGCACGAAGAAAATACCCAATAGGCCACAGCCACTCCTAAAAAAGATTATTTAAAAGACAAAAAAAACCATAAATACCTAAAAATTACTTGAAAAATAATTTAAACTGAAACTCAGAAGATAAATGAAATTCTTACAGGTCCTTGGTGATAATTGAAACCTTTAGCAAGATTGTAGTTGTCATTGTCTAATGCATTGTCATAAATTCCACAGTAAACCATATCACTGCAAAATGATTGAAATTTAAGTTAAATAAAAGATGATCAGATATTATGTAAAAAGCATTAGAAAAATTTCAATAACAAAGGTAAGAGAAATAATCAATTATTTTGTCTTCTACAGAATAAGCTCGGCATTAGTACATCATCCATCTAACCTTAAATTAGTACATACTGAGTTCACAGGACTTTAATCATGTGTTAAAAATGATTAACAAATACTGGTTAATATAAAAAATGTAAAATATTCTGGTATCTTGCCTTAAAGAAGTTAGCCTGGCACTAAATATGGCTTGGTTTAAAGTCAACTATTTCCTAGGCCTCTAATATATTGAAGCCTATCTAATAATTGAAATATATATAGAATAATTTGAATTAATAAAAATTAAAGACATGGTTTTATTAATTATAGATTGGAAAGGTGATTTTTAAGCTTCTCCATAAAATTATTTTAAAATTAAAATTGGCCTATTATCGGATTACAAATAGCAACTGAATATACATATTGCTTTATTGTAATACATGGAACTTATAACACAGTTATCTATACTCCATTTGTTACTTTTCTTTTTTTGGAGAGCTGGTCACAAGAGTCAGCTTTAATTGTGAGTTTTGGTGTGTGTGTGCGTGTGTGTGTGTGTGTTTTAATACAGTGTCTCATTCTGTCAAGCAGGCTGGAGTGCAGTGGTGCCATCATAGCTCACTACAGCCTTGATCTCCTGGGCTCAAGTGATACTCCTGCCTTAGCCTCCTGAGTAGCTAGGACTACAGGTGTACACAATCTCTCCCAACTAATTTTTTTTTTAACTTTTATTTTTGTAGAGATGGCATCTCCTTTTGTTGCCCTGGCAAAAAAAAAAAAATTATGGTTGATGTCAATGTATTTGGATTAAATATGATAACATTCTTAATACTTATATTCCAACTTACTCTGGATCTAAAGTTTTCATGCCAAGGGGACCAAGCAATTTTTTTTCTGCAATCTCCAAAGCTTTCCATGCTTTTTCTGTAGTAAAGAGCTCAGGGGCCTAGTGAATGCCAAAAACAAATATACAAATTTTTAAGATCACAGAAGAATTAGTTCCTACCCACAGAAACTATTCATAAGCTTGAAAAAAATTACTTAAAATACCATGAGGGTCAGAATTTGAGTGTAGATGCCTAAACAGATCTAATCCTATGAGGCTGACTTAGAAGGACTGTTTTTGGCCGTAGAAGTTAGGAAAGCCTTTAGAGGTGATTATTTCTCTGTGTCACCTCAAGAAAGTTACTCAGCTCCAAAAGGAAGTTGCCACAGCTACACTGAAGGCAGAACACACTTTTATTTTAACCCCTTTGGAGACAGGGTCTCACTCTGTCACCAGGCTGGGGTGCAGTGGCGAGATCAGAGCTCAGTGCAGCCTCAATCTCCTGGGCTCAAGCGATCATCCTGCCTTAGCCTCTTGAGCAGCTGGGACTACAGGTGTGTACCACCACAAATGGCTAATTTTTTTTTAAATTTTTGTGGAGATGAAGTCTCACTATGTTGCCCAGGCTGATCTTGAACTCCTGAGCTCAAATGATCCTCCAACCTCAGCCTCCCAAAGTGTTGGAATTACAGGTGTGAGCCACTGAACCCAGACAGCACACACTTAAATTTATGTAACTCATTCTTCAGCAGATTCATAATAGCTTTCTTTAAGTACATCTGATACCCATTGTTTGCTTCTGGGGCCATAAATAAACACAGAACTTTTACTCCAATAGCATGAGTAAATTTATCAGAGATACAGAGAAAGAAGAGAAAAGCATTGTTGACCAAGAATATGCATTAATTTTAATGGTCCACGCTGAACCAAAGCTACCTTTGTGTACTTTTACACTTTTCATTCTACTATAATTTATAGTAGTAGGTTTGGTACTCTTTTTGACAACGTGAAAACAGCTAGCCAGGCATAGAAGAACACATACCTTCTCTATTTTACTTCCTTGTAGTTTATTTTTAGACTAAAGTATAGATTTAAAACAGCAGAGAGTCTAAAATTCTTTGCCGGACAAACTGATTGCAGCAATGCAACAATGAAAACAGAATGTTAACTAAAGCTATCCACTTTAGTTCACTAGTTCAGGGCTTTCCAACTAGTGTGCTGAGGCACTGGTTATAGCACAGGTGTGTAGGATACAGAGACCCTCAGCTTTCAGGGTAGCTGGGTGGGGCCTGGGGCTAACTGAAGTAGTTGGATCTAGCACAAGCAGCCTACTCCATGTAACCTATTGTGCTATACAAATATCATTTTCTTTTCTTTTCTTTTCAAATATGGTGGTGGGGCTTCATTATGATATCCAGGCTGGTCTCAAACTCCTGGGCTGAAGTGATCCTCCTGCCTCAGTCCGCCAAGTGTGTGAGCCACTGCATCTGGCCACAAATAACATCTTCTATGTGTGCTCTGAATGTGAAAAACTCTAGGAAGCACTTCATTAGTCATCATCTATTACTTTCGGCTTTTGGATACTGAATGTTACAGGTTAAAAGTGATACGCATAATACTTGATTAATTAGGAAAGACTATTTAAAACTAGCTAGTAAGCAATATACTACTTTTTAGCAATGAAGTGAATTTGAAAACAAATGGGAATAAGGAACTAAGCAAACTCTAGCACATCATTTTTTGAAATGTTTTTACAAACGAATCACCTACCACAACCATTGCTATGGTAAAATTAGGCCTGAGCTGATAGTCACACCAAGGACTTGAAGCTCCATAACTATCTTTGTATATGCCACGTTTGTGAACCAGATTTGGATGCTTTTCATTTAAATCTGAAGGGTCTTCGGAAACATGAAATAGCTTTTCAAAGTTGTCTTGTATTTTTCTGTTCCACTCATCATATGAGACCTTTATAGCCTTTCCTGAAAAATGACATAAGACATGGTAGTTTTAATCATTCAAAACAATTCACACATCTAGTTACAGACAAATAGTAATATTTAGTTTATTTTTATCTACTACAAGGCAATAAATTATCCACTTTTGGAAAATGTGGCCAGTCTGAATTGAGATGTGTTATAAATGTAAAATATAAGCTGGATTATGAAGATGTAGCACCACCCAAAAAGAATGTAAAATAGCTCATGAATAATTTTATATTGATTACATGTTGAAACAATATCTTATATACATACACTGAGTTAAATAAAATGTCTTTTTTTTTTTTTAAGACAGCGTCTGGTATTGTCCACCCAAGCTGGAGTGCAGTAGTATGAACTTGGCTCACCGCAACCTCCGCTTCCTGGGCTCAAGCCATCCTCCCACCTCAGCCTCTCAAGTAGCTGGGACTACAAGCTCACATAACCACACCCTACTAATTTTTGTATTTCTTGTAGACATGGGTTTTCATGTTGCCCAGGATGGTCTCAAACTCCTGAGCTCAAGCGATCTGCCTGCCTTGGCCCCCCAAAGTGTGGAGATTACAGGCATGAGCCACTGCACCTGGCTGATTTAATAAAATATCTTGTAATCAATTTCACCTGCTTCTTTTTACTTTTTAAAATGTGGGTACTATAAAATTTAAAATTATGTATGTGGTTCACATTATTTTGGACAGCACTATTCTAGAAAAAGACATGTAAAGATTGCAAAATTGCTCACAGAAATGCAACTTGCTCAGTCACAGTGAGGAAAAAGACATGCACAATAAAGGCAACAGCTATGCTGCTTTCTTATCTCAGTTCAAAGTTGCGACAAATATGGTTCAACTAGAATTGTTACAATTTTCACACTAGTAAATTAATGAATTTTCTTTCTTCTTAATTTTAAGGGTTTTCCGATATTAGCTGATAGAATCAAATGATGATTACATAGGTTGAGAATATACATAGTACATTTGAAGGTTCTTTGTAAATAAAATAACCAGCTTACCATGTCTTTTTACTGTGACTTCATGATAAGGGAAAATATTTTTTTTGGATAATTCCAGCAACCAGCGAACAGCAGATTTACTCAGGCCCACAATTTCCACAGCAGACCCATCTCTAAAATTAAAAAACGTATTTTTATTCTTTAAGTTGGCGTCCTTTAAGTACTATTTAAAGGGCATTCGGTAAACAATTGTAATGAATCATATAACATATTATGAAAACTATTAAAAAATCCTTACTCTATAGGAATGTGTACTATATCATGTAAAGATTTTTTCCTCTCACGGTTTTGCCATTGTCTATCATCCTCACATAATTTTAAAAAATTCTATGATGTAGAATGGGAATTGTGGAATAAAAGAAGATGGCAGTTGGAAAAGGTAGGAGTAAGGAATCTGAATATTGGGATAAGGTACTAGAGAAAAGATAGCAAACATGAAAAATAGGGCTGGAGAAAGTGAGGGAAGGCAGACACATTAATTTGAAAGCTCATTTTTAAGAAAAATAAAAGGGAAGTACAAGGATCTAATGTACCAAATAGATTTTTAAAAAACTGGTAAAGCATGTAAAGATGGCAACTTATTTATTAATTATTTTTTGTAGAGATGGGGCCTCACTATGTTGCCCAAGCTGGTTTCAAACTCCTGGGTTCAAGCTATCCTCCCACCTCAACCTCCCAACCTCCCAAAGTGTTGAGATTACAGACGTCAGCTACCACACCCAGTACACAACTATTTTTTGGACAATTCTTACTGAAGATAAAATTTAGAATAAAAGGCCGAGTGCAGTGGCTCATTTCTGTAATCCCAGCACTTTGGGAGGCTGAGGTGGGTGGATCATTTAAGGCCAAAAATTTGAGATCAGCCTGGCCAACATGGTGAAACCTCGTCTTCACTAAAAATACAAAAATTAGCCTGTCTGGTAGTGTGCGCCTGTAGTCCCCAGGTACTTGGGAGGCTGAGACAGGAGAATTGCTTGAATCTGGGAGACAGAGGCTGCAGTGAGCCATGATTGTGCTACTGCACTACAGGCTGGGCAACAGAGTGAGGCTCTCTCTTTCAAAAAAAAAAATTAGAATAAGAAAATAACTTCTCAGCTTAATACAGTATCAGAAGCTATTTTAATAGACATTACTTAATGGGTACAAAGTACGTTATTTGGGTGATAGTAATATTAAAAGTGATTTTAATAGCTTATGATGATGTATTTAGCATTTGAAATGATAAAAACTTCTTAAATGACAAACATTAGGAAAAAAGATTTAAAAATTAGGAAAAAAGGTTCAGAAAGTGAAAGAATTGCATAAAAGACAGAACAACTGGTTGTTTTCTATGTTTGCAAAAGATGGGCATAATGAAATGTTTACATCAATAAGCAGTTCAGGTTACGAAAATGTCTTAACCACTGGGATAATGAATCATAAATCTTTCCTTTGAGGTGCTTGTAGAGAATCAACCCACGAGCACTTACAGAAAAGAACAGATAGTGTTACTTGATAACTTATATCAACAGGATTGTGTAAATGTATAATGGGGAGATGAAGGGAAGAAGGCAGGGAAATTTTGATTGACTTAATGTAAAGAGTTCATAGTTAACAGAATAAAAGATTCCACAAGTAAGTGCTTTCTTAAAGAAGGGTATAATTACACAGCATTATAACATTTACACTACCTTGGTGTGGCTGGGATTCCTCTGTTTCTAGCTCTGTCACTTTCTCCCATTTTATCCATCCATGTGCCACAATTGAAACGATTTCCTCCATAAACAAATCCTGTTTCTTCATCAACTCCTGCAGTTATATTAAAACCTAAAAAACAAAATGTGTATAAAATAAAATTTTATAAGTATTATATATAGTATATACAAATATTTTAAAACATTTACAAAATTTTAAATATAATAAACTAGGACAACCACTCTAAAGCTCAGTTTGGTGGTATCTTATTATTTTGTATCCAGAATATACAAGCACAAAGTTGGAGATGTGTATATTCTACCACATAGGAATTTCATTTCTATATATATTCTAGAGAAACCCTTACTTATGTGCACATGGAGATGTGTACAAGGATATTCACTGCCACATTGCTTGCATTCACAAAAAATAACTGCTCAATAGAGGAATGGATAAACACTGTAGTTTATTCATACAATGGGAAACCCTCTATACCATTTGAAATTAATGAACTGGATTTACATGTATCAAAATGGAGCTAAATAATGTATGTACATGGACATAGAGTGTGGAATAATAGATACCAGAGACTCAGAAGGGTGAGATGAGAGTGACAGATGAGAAATTACTTAATGGGTACAATGTACATTATTTTGCTGATGGTTACACTAAAAGCCCAGACTTCACCCTTACCCAATATATCCATGCAACAAAACTGCCCTTGTACCCCTTAAATTTATATAAAAAAGATAAATCTCCAAAACAAAATGATTGAATAAAACAAGTTGCAAAAGGACATATATAGTAAGATAACTTTTTTGTAAAAGTTTAATCATAGATAATACTGGTATATCTAATATCTGTGTATAATCTCAAAACATAAATTATTGATTATAGTATATATTATAGTACACTGAATATATGCTATGTAATATATAGCATAAGTAATTTACACATACTCAAACACACATAACTACAGAAAGTTCAAAAACTTCTGGTATGAAAAAGGGGAGAAGACTCATTTTTCCCTGATCTTCCTCTCTTAAGTACAATGAAAATCCCTGAGCATAATACAGTGGACTATCATAAGAGGACTCAAAAAGTGTAAAGAGGAAGGCAGATTGGCTAGGAACCTCAAGACTTGAGGAATGTCATAGTGGTGAGTTCCCTGGTTTTTTTTTTCTTTTTTTAAAATTCTCCATATATACCAGTCTGGGTGAGATGTAAACTTGGAAAAGCAACCTGCAACCTCCAACAGGTAATGACAAAGAGTTCCAAGAAAAACCAATTGACTCTAGCCAAAGGAAAAGGAAAGAGGGACCCTACCCAGACAGAAACTTTTGTGACAACATCCGCCCTGTGCCAGTAAACACCATGGATGTCCTTTCTCCCTGGAATGTCAGTGGAGACTGAGTGGAAGCCTGGACTCCTATCCCCTACCTGGGGGTAGCAGATGGCTTAAGGCAGTGCTCCCCTTCCTCAGCAGCGTGGTACCTGCGGGCACCACGAGGGGAATCTGGGGAGTATGAACTTCCACACCCAACCTGGCAGTAGTAGGTGGCCTTGGGGTGGCAGCAGGCAGCTCAGGGTGTTTCCCACCCCTGCTGCATGATGTTAGCACAAACTGGGTGGGGAGTATAGACTTCCACCCCCAGTGGAAGCAGGTCGTTAGGGACAGTGCTCCCCTCTCCTGACAGCATGCTGTCAGCAGAGACTGAGTGGAGAGTCCGGATTTCCATGCCCTGCCCAGCAGTGATGGGGTGCCCCTCACACTCCCAACTAGAGATTTCAGGGAAGATCTGAAGAGGAGGAAGCTGGAAAACCACGCTTTAAAGCTGTATAGGAAGTCCTGGGCAGGCTCTGACCAATCTACATGTGAAACAGATGAGCATTAACACACCCAAAGGTTTGAGAAGTAAATTACACAGTGTGGAACTCCACTCAGGTTTCCTGAGTGGCCTCCTGATAGCCCATGAATGAAGTAGACCAGAATAACCTTGCTAAATATTAAATTGTTACTGAAACCACAGCCCACAAGAGTAGGCCAGAAGCTGCATACTAAACTTAAATAACGGCTACTTGGTAAAATGAAAGATTTCATAGGATCCAGTGTCCTATAACATCCAAAGGTCTAGGAAAACACGAAAAACTACTTGTCAGGCCAAGAACCAGGAAAATCGCAACCTGAATGAGAAAAGGCAATTAACAGGTGACAACACTGAGGTGACTCAGATGTTGGAAGTATCTGACAGAAAAGCTTAAGGGAGGTATCATAAAAATGCTCCAAAGAGAATGATGCTTTGTAGAAATAGAAAATTCCATCTTAAAATAAATATGGAATCTCCAGGGACCTTGAATAGCCAAAACAATCTAGAAAAAGAACAAAGTTAGAAGACTCATGCTTCCTCATTTCAAAACTTACTACAAAGCTACACTAACCAAAACAGTGTGGTTCTGTCATAAAGACAGACACAGAGGCCTATGGAACAGAGAACCCAGAAATAAACCCTGTATATGCAGTCAAATTTTTTTTGACAAGGGTGCCAAGACCATTCATTGGGGAAGGGACAGTTTATATTTTTTTTGGCAAATGGAGCTGAGTAAACTGGATATTCACATGCAAAAAAAAAAAATGGACTTGGACTTAATATCATATGCAAAAATTAACTCAATATGGATCAAAGACCTAAACACAAGAGTTAAAACTATAAAATTCTTAGACAAAAATGTATGGCAAAAGCTTCATGACATTGAATTTGATGAGGCTTTTTTGCATATGATACAATAGGCACAGGTAACAAAAGTAGATAAATTGGACTTAATCAAAATCAGAAACTTTTGTTTATCAAAGGATACTTTTAAGATAGTGAATAGACAACCCACAATATGGGAGAAAATATTTGCAAACCATATCTAATAAGTGTTTCGTATCCAGAATATACAAAGCACCCTGCACCTCAATAACAAAAGAACTCAATTCATTCCCTAAATTCAAAGGATGTGAATAGACATTTCTCCAAAGAAGATATATGTATGCCTGCAAGCACATGAAGAGATGCTCAACATCACTAAGAAATCATTAAGGAAATGCAAATCAAAACCATTAGATACCACCTCATAGCCATTTAGGATGGCTACTAGCAAAAAAAACAAAAAACAAAAACAAACGAACAAAAACAAAAACCAAAACAACAAAAACAAAATCCAAAAAAACAAACACAGAAAAAAACAAGTATTGGTGAGGATATAGATGAATGGAAGCCTGTTTACTATTAGTAAGAGTGTAAAATGGCACAGCCACTGTGGAAGACAGTACGGTAGTTACTCAAAAAGGTCAACAAACAATTATCATATGATCCAGCAAGTTCTCTTCTAGGTAGATACCCAAAAGAATTGAAAGCAGGGACTCAAACTGATATTTGTACACCCATGTTCACAGCAGCATTATTCCCAATAGCCAAAAGGTGGAAAAAACCCAAATGTCCATTGACAAATGAATGGAAACACAAAATGTGGTATATACATACAATGGAATATTATTCAGCCTTAAAAAGAAATGAAATTCTCATATGTATGATAAGGGGTTAATATCCAGAATATATAAGAAACTTCTACAAGTCAATAACCAAAAAATCAAAAACCAATTAAAAAATGGGCAAAGGGCTTCAATAGACAATTCTCCAAAGAAGACCCATAATTGGCAAACAAACATATAAAAAGATGGTTAACACTTCTAATCATTAGGGAAATGCAAATCAAAACCAGAATGGGATATCACCTCACACCCATTAGGATGGTAACTATCAAAAGAACAGAAAATACCAGGTGTTAGCAAAGTTGCAGAGAAATTTGAATAGTTGTGGGAATGTAAATGTTGCAGCCATTATGGAGAATATTATAGAAGTTTCTCAAAAAATTAGAAATAGAATTAACATACAATCTAGCATTCCACTTTGGGTATATATACATAAAAATGAAAGCAGGATCCTGAAGAGATATTTGCATACACATGTTAACTGCAGCATTATTCTCAAGAGCCAAGAGATGGAAGCAATAAAATGCCCACTGACAATGAATGAATAAAGAAAATGTATGCATACAATGGAATATTATGCAGCCTTGAAAAAGAAGGGAATCCTGTCACATGCTATGAGATGGATGAACCTTGGCATTATGCTAAGTGGAAAAAATCAGTCACAAAAGAACAAATACTGCATGATTTCACTCATATGAAGTATCTAAAGTAGTCAAAATCACAGGGACAGAAAGCAGACAGGTGGTTACTAAGGCCTGGGAAGAGTGGGGATAGAGGAGGAAGAACTAGTGTTTCACGAGTATAGAGTTTGTTTTGCAAGGTAAAAAAGTTCTAGAGATCTGTTCCACAACAATGTTAATATACTTAACACTACTGAACTGTACACTTGAAAATGGCTAAGGTAAATTTAACGTTACATGCTTTTTATCACAAAAAAGACAAAAAAAGGAATAAAATTATGACATCTGCTACAACATGGCTGAACTTCAAAAGAATTATGCTAAGTATGTACAACTCTTATGTATTGATAAAAAATAATTATGCTAAGTGAAATAAGCCAGGTACAAAAGGGCAAAGACTGTATGATTCCGCTTATATGAGGTCCCTAGGATAATTGAATTTATAGAGGCAGAAAGTAGGATAGTGGTTCCAGGGGCTGGGGAAGGAGATAATGAGGAGTTCCTGCTTCAATTAGGAATGATGACAAAGTTCTGGAGATGGACAGTGATGATGGTTGCACAACAATGTGATTGTACTTAAAGCCACTGAATTGTACACTTAAAATGGCTAAAATTGTAACTTTTATGGTAAAATGGTAAATATACATTATGTCTATTTTACCACAATAAAAAAAACCAATAGTAAAAACAAAACAAAACAAAACAAAAAACAGCACTCCAATTATACAATTATAAAACGGACAAAAGAGATTGAGCTCAGTGGCTCATCCCTGTAATCCCAGCACTTTAGGAAGCTGAGGCAAGAGGATTGCTTGAGGTCAGGAATTCAAGACAAGCCTGGGGAACATAGGGAGACTCCCACCTCTACAAAAAAATTAAAAAAAGAAATTAGCCTGGTTCAGTGGTGCACACGTGTAGTCTCAGCTACTTGGCAGTCTGAGGCAGGAGGACTGCTTAAACCCAGGAATTAGAAGTTGAGTGAGCTATGATGCACCACTGCCATCCAGTCTCAGTGACAGAGTGGGACCCTGTCTCTAAAAAATAATAAAGAAAGAGACAATGTGCAAAATACGTGAACCGACATTTCAGCAAAGAGGGAAGATGGATGGCCAATGAGCACATGAAAAGATATTCCATACCATTAGCCATTAGGGAAATGCAAATTAAAACCACAATGTCCAGCCTGGCCAAAACATGGCGAAGCCTCATCTCTACTAAAACAACAACAACAACAACAACAACAACAACAACAACAAATACAAAAAATTAGCTAGTTGTGGTGGCATGCACCTGTAGTCCAGCTACTTGGGAGGCTGAGGTACAAGAATCGTTTGAACCCAGGAGGCAGAGATTGCAGTGAGCTGAGATTGCGCCACTGCACTCCAGCTGGGGGACAGAGCAAGACTCCATCTCAGACCCACCCCCCCACCACACACAGTTTGTAGTGGTCTATGAAGCTATCTGAACAGCTTAAAAGAAAGGGGTACCACCAAATGCTGGCAAGATGTAGCAAAACTGGATCTCTCCAGTTTGCTGGCGGGAATTTATTAAAATGGTAAAACACTCTGGAAAATAGTTTGGCAGTTTCTTCTAAAACAAAACATATACTTACTATATGAACCAATCCCATTCTTGGACATTTATCCCAGAAAAAATGAAAACTTATGTGTCACACAAAAACTTGTACATGAATGTTCACAGTAGCTTTACTCGTATTAGCCAAAACATGAAAACAACCCAAATGTCCTTCAATGGATGAATGGTTTGGATGAATGGTTAAATAAATACTGGTATATGCATAAAAGGGAATACTACTCAGCAATAAAAAGGAATAAACTATTGATAAATGCAACAACTTGGATGGATCTTAAGGGCATTATGCACAGTGAAAAAATCAATCTCAGAAGGTTATATAGAACATGGTTTCATTCATATAACATTCTCAAAATGACAAAACTATAGAGTTGCAGAACAGATTAGTAGCTGCCAGAGAGACCAGGGTTGGGGGTGGAGTGGTCAGGTGTGACCATAAAAGGGTACACAAAGATCTTTATGGTGATGGACCAGTTCTGTATCTTGATTATGGCAGTGGCTACATGAAGCTATACATGGGGTCAAATTGCACGGATCTACACATACACATATACACACAAGTGAATGTAAAAACTTTTAAAAGTTGAAAACATACTAATGTCAATCTCCTGACTCTGATGCTGTACTGGGTGAAGAGTTCATGGCATACTATGTATCATTTTTTCAACTTCTTGTGAGTCTAATCTTTCAAAATTACAAAGTTTAAAAAACCCACATGAACATAAAACAATGCATGTTTTACAAAATAAATATATAATAAACACATTGGAATGACTAAGGGGAATGGGGAATAAAATGAAATAAATTACTATTAGCCTTGCATTGGCGGCGATGATAGTGTGCCATGAGATGACGAATATGGTGAACTCAAGAGAAGTTAGAAAAGCACATTTATTTTAATACCATATACAAATAAACCTTTCTACAAAAAGTATTTTGTAAGTGCCTAGGCTCTCAAGATAGACCATGAGTAAAGTCTACCTCTACCACTTAGTAGCTATGTGACTCTGGGCAAGCTACTCTGCTTCAGTTATCCAGAATCTACAAAGAACTCAAGCAAATTTACAAGAAAAAAACAAACAACCCCATCAAAAAGTGGGCAAAGACATCTATGCAGCCAACAGACACATGAAAAAATGCTCATCATCACTGGCCATCAGAGAAATGCAAATCAAAACCACAATGAGATACCATCTCACACCAGTTAGAATGGCAATCATTAAAAAGTCAGGAAACAACAGGTGCTGGAGAGGATGTGGAGAAATAGGAACACTTTTACACTGTTGGGGGGACTGTTAACTAGTTCAACCATTGTGGAAGTCAGTGTGGCGATTCCTCAGGGATCTAGAACTAGAAATACCATTTGACCCAGCAATCCCATTACTGGGTATATACCCAAAGGATTATAAATCATGCTGCTATAAAGACACATGCACACGTATGTTCATTGCAGCAGTATTCACAATAGCAAAGACTTGGAACCAACCCAAATGTCCATCAATGATAGACTGGATTAAGAAAATGTGTCACATATACACCATGGAATACTATGCAGCCATAAAAAAGGATGAGTTCATGTCCTTTGTAGGGACATGGATGAAGCTGGAAACCATCATTCTCAGCAAACTATCGCAAGGACAAAAATCCAGACACCGCATGTTCTCACTCATAGATGGGAACTGAACAATGAGAATACTTGGACACGGGAAGGGGAATATCACATACTGGGGCCTGTTGTGGAGTGGGGGGATGGGGGAGGGATAGCATTAGGAGATATACCTATGTAAATGATGAGTTAATGGGTGCAGCACACCAACATGGCACATGTATACATATGTAACAAACCTGCACGTTGTGCACCTGTACCCTAGAATTTAAAGTATAATAATTAAAAAAAATGGAAACAATATCACTCATTCTCAATGTTTTGGGGAGTGTTAAATGGTAATAATATAGGTAAAGTAGTTACCACAATGCCTAGCAATAGTAAGCATGCAGTTCATGGCGATTATTATAGTTATAAATGAAACCACCAAAATTATCTTTCAAACTGGCTGACAAAAGATATAAAATTTTATTTTTCTGCTAGAAACTAAAAACTTGGTGAGATCAGGAACTATGTTAATCTTTTTAATCATTATATCGTGAGGTTTGGCACACAAATATTTACTAAGTGAACAATTGCAAGGTTTAATTTCATCACCTTGATAAATTTGTACTATTTTAGTTAAAGTTCTGTACCTTCGTCCTTCATGTTTCGATCTATCTGGGGACCAGCATTCCTTTCTCGGAACTGTATGCCCTGCATGTGTTTTTGCATTGCTTCCTGTATGACTTCAAACAATGGCTGATCCTGTTTGAGACATAATGGGTGTTACCTCTGTTAGAAATTACATTTTTCTTATTTTCCCCCAAATCCGACAACTGAAGTAATGTGAAAATATATACTTTCCTTTGAAGTGAGAAATAGGAATTGGGGTGAGGCCAGGGAAGAAGCAGCTCCTATATACCAAATAATACAGACGAGCATACAAATATTTAACATCAGTAGTTTTGACTATTCATGTCTGTGACATAAAATAATCTGCTGATACACAAAAACAAATCTAGTGAGCTTCTACAGTTTCTATCAGAGTGATCTCTTCAGCTAATAAACGAACCTAGCTTGTTATCCAGCATCTGAATTTTAAATTGGCATTGCTATTTTTACTCATCTGCATACACAGGTAATGGGGGTAAATTATGAGCTAAAGGGAAACTCTCAAATTTGAGGATCCATAATGACTTTGGAAAATACCCCAGTGAATGTAAAGAATTCATAAGTCATTTTCTTTACCCATATAAATAATAAATGTGATACTCAGGATGACATTTGGGAAAATATACAATTATATTTTTAAAAATAAGGTAAAGAATGTTAAATAGAAGCAAAATGTTTAGAGTCCTTACATGTTTATTATGTTTCATTTTAAAGACTCTGAATATAACCAAAACTCTATAATATAAAAATTCTACTATTAATTATAAAAATTATAATGCTGTGAATATTTTTGGATAAACTGTGAGAAAACAAAGTTATGTGTAAAATAATTACCTGCCTGATAGCATGAACCTATATTCATTGTAACAGAAATGTCAGTTGATAACAGAGGACAAATAAAAAAATTTTGGACAAATGTTGAGTACTTCATGATATAAATAAATATCATGAGAACACAAATATATGCTAACCCTGGAGTAGCTTACAAAGCTACTATCCCCTCCCAGCCCCCCCAATCATATATAACAAACTATTAACATAAAGGCAGATCAGAAGTGGCAAAAGTATAGTATTATTGTCCATTCTTGATTAGGGAAAAAAAAACACTCAAAAATGTCTATCCATTCTTCACTGTTCATAAGATAATCTTTAAGCTCCCTGGATTGGTAGTCAAGGCTCTCCATAACCTGGCTCACCCTTTCCATAATCTCTTACTACCCTGCAGGTATCCTACACAAAAAGCCAAACCATATTGACTTTTTCACAAAACGTATTTTATAAGAGCCTAGGCTCTTACAAAAACACTATTAAGTACTATGTCCCCTAAACTGTGCTTCAATCCACTATGCAACCCTATTATTCCTTTCCTCTTTTTTTTTTTTTTTTTTTTTTTAAAGAGACTGAGTTTTGCTATGTTGCCTAGGCTGGACTCATACTCCTGGCCTCAAGTGATCCTTCTGCCTCAGCCTCCTGAGAAGCTGAGATTACAGGTGTGTGCCATACACCTGGCTTCTTTTCAACTCTAATGTCTCCCAACAACTTTCTCCATCTCTCCGAAAGTCCTACTCACCTTTTATGGCTCATTTAGGTGAAACTTTAGCTACTTTCTAACGTTCTCCCTGAGACCTACCTACTGGACCTTCTCTCTCTTTTAAGAGACTACACAACACTTCCTCTACAATCTATTGCAATGGCCATATTTATGTACACATCATCATCTCTTCTACCATGTTGCAAAGTTCTTCAGGCAAAGACCAATCACTTATAGTACCAGCAGGTGCCAAATCAATACTGACATTTGAATAATTCGTAAGATTTGGATTCTTAATTACCCTTATTTTTACATTAGAAACTAAAAGTCATTTTTCAGAAAAAAAAAAAAAAACAAAAAAACATTTTAAGAAATATCTTTACCAGTGTGCCAGCAGGCAAAGGAGCAGAATCATCTGTAGGATACATTCTGGAAACTGGGCACTTGAGAATGTCTAGACCATTTGGAACCATTTTACAGTAATCCTGGATACACTGCAGCCACCACCACACAGCATCCCGACAATTGTATCTGGCATAAATTCCTTCACCCAGTAGATTAGGAATGAGACCATGCCTCAGGGTACCCGCAAATGCTAAAATAATATTCCTAAAACAACAGAATTAAGTGGATCAGAAATGAAAACAAACACTTAAAAATTGAAGACAAAAACCAGTCACTTTTGGTGACTATATTTTGAATGCGTTTTCTCTCTTGCCCTATTTCTTTATATTTTCATGTAGAAAGTAGTCATAGTATGATAGAGTAAGTACTGAATTAAAGTCAGGAACCTTGATTCTAGACTAGAATTTTATGCTAACAATCTGTGTGACTCCCTCTCTGATACAGTTTTTTCATTTGAGATTGGACTGGGTGATTTTTAAGGTCCCTCATAGCTCCAGATTCTACTTTTGAAGTCTATGGTATTTCAAAATCGAAGTAACTATTAAACAAGAACTTAATTATTTTAAATAGCAGAAACCAAGAGTAAAACAAACATATAGGAAAACAAACTGGCTGGGCATAGTGGCTCACACCTGTAATCTCAGCATTTTGGGAGGCCGAGGCGGGCGGAACACCTGAGGTCAGGAGTTTGAGACCAGCCTGGTCAACATGGTGAAACGCTGTCTCTACTAAAAATACAAAAATAAGCCAGGAATGGTGGTGCGTGCCTGTAGTCCCAGCTACTCAGAAGGCTTAGGCAAGAGAATTGCCTGAACCCAGGAGGCAGAGGTTGCAGTGAGCTGAGATTGTGCCAGTGTACTCCAGTCTGGGCAACAGAGCAAGACTCTATCAAAAAAAAAAAGAAGAAAGAAAAGAAAGAAGGCCGGGCGTGGTGGCTCAGGCCTGTAATCCTAGCACTTTGGGAGGCTGAGGCGGGTAGATCACGAGGTCAGGAGATCGAGACCATCCTGACTAACACGGTGAAACCCCGTCTCTACTAAAAACACAAAAAATTAGCCGGGCGTAGTGGCAGGCACCTGTAATCCCAGCTACTCAGGAGGCTGAGGCAGGAGAACGGCGTGAACCAGGGAGGCGGAGCTTGCAGTGAGCGGAGATTGCGCCACGGCACTCCAGCCTGGATGGCAGAGCGAGACTCAGTCTCAAAAAAAAGAAAGAAAAGAAAGAAAGAAGGAAAGAAAGAAAGGAAGGAAGGAAGGAGAGAGGGAGGGAGGGAGGGAGGGAAAGAGAGAGAGAGAGAAAGAGAGAGAGAAAGAGAGAGAGAGAGAGAGAAAGAAAACAAACTGGTAGAAGCTGACCTTGAAAAACATAATTCAACCAGTTTAAAAACTGGTTGAAGACAGTTAATTTTTTAAAGCATTATTTTACTATTATATACCAAATGAAAATTTTGTTTGTAAGACAGAAAGGCACTCTAGAAACAGCATGAAATTAAGAAATAAGAAGGCTGAAGTCTAAATCCTAGCTTTGCCATCTGTGTGGCCTTGGAAATGTTATTTAAAATGTCTAGGTCTTACTGCTTTTTGGCTAAACCACTCAGAAATTTTTATTAATTCTATGTCTAAGCTTAATGCCCATCTTTTCAACAGTAATGCAATGGGAAACTTTTTATTTACAAAGTATAAAAATATTAGTATAGACAGTGACACTTTCAATTAAGAAAAGGTCAGAATACTAGCTCTCTCTATATATACATATATATTTGTTTTTTTAAGAGACCCTGTTGCCCAGGCTGGTCTTGAACTTGTGGACTCAAGCAATCTGCCCGCCTCAGGCTCCCAAAGTGCTGATTACAGTTGTGAGCCACCATGCCTGGCCATAGTGCTAGCAATCTTAACCATCTGGAACAATCTTGTACATTTTAATAAAACGACTTCTGATTCATGATTACCTCTATAGAGGGAGGAAGTAGAACCATCTGTGGTAGAGGTATATGTCCACTAAAACGAATTTCCTACAATTCACAACCAATCTTACAGTTGGTTGTGGCCAGAACTGATGCATGTTAAGTGTATGGAGAATAGGTGTGTTCCCCCAGCTCTCTTTCCCTCTCTGCTTGCCTCCTGGAGAGGCCCCAGAAGCCATGGAAACTGACAGATCCTCAAGCTGGAAGAAACCTGCTTCCCTGAATCAGTATATAGAAGGCTGCTTACTGAGCATGCGTCTACGACTACAAGCAAGAAATAAATTTTATTTGTGAAAAGCCATTAAGATTTTAAGTGTTTATAATTTATGGCAGCTAGCACTACCCTAACAAATACCCTCTGGGATAATATATTATTCTCTGGGAATCACCTCTAGATCGGGGTAGGCAAACCTTTTCTATAAAGGGCCATATACTAAGTATTTTAGGCTTTGTGGGACATATATGAATTCTGTTGCACATGCTTTCTTCTTTTAAATGACCCTTTAAAAAGAAAAAGGTAAAAGCTATTCTGGTAGGGCGCAGTGGCTCACGCCTGTAATCCCAGCACTTTGGGAGGATGAGGCAGGCGGATCATAAGGTCAGGATATCGAGACCATCCTGGCTAACATGGTGAAACCCGGTCTCTACTAAAAATACAAAAAATTAGCCGGGTGTGGTGGCGGGCGCCTGTAGTCCCAGCTACTCAGGAGGCTGAGGCAGAAGAATGGCATGAACCCGGGAGGCGGAGCTTGCAGTGAGCGGAGATTGCGCCACTGCACTCCAGCCTGAGTGACAGAGCAAGACTCCGTCTCAAAAAAAAAAAAAAAGGTAAAAGCTATTCTTTGCTCATAGGCCATACAAAACAGGTGATAGGCCACAGTTTGCTAACCAATAATCTAGACAGTTCTATGTAAAATTAAGCAGCACAAATTTGTGATATTGCATAGAGGTGATAATTGGGAGCCTAAACATTAATAATGATAAAAACTAACATTTATGAACTGTTTAGCATGTGGCAGATATTACTCTAGGCATGTGGCAGATATTACTCTAGGCACCTTAACTGTATGTGTTCATTTGATCCTCCCAAGTACCCAGTAAGGTAATTTGTCAGTTGGTAGTTTGGAACCAGGATTAGAAGCTGGCAGTCTGGTGTAAAGCCGAAGTTCTTAACCACTATACTATGCTGAATGCTGATGTTCCATTTCCTTCTTCTAAATCAGTAATTCAGGAGCATTTAGGGAAGAAGCAAACAGCTTCCTAAATTTCTATAGCTCCATAATGGTAATACAAAAAGGTCTTACTATATATCGGATTAACAAAAATGCAATTCATTTCAGATGCCCACCTAAAAACTTCAGTTTTAAAAGTATCAAAAATAAAATTTTGGCATGTAAAGATGCAAACTTCAGTTATTTTCCTGATGGCATCAAAACAAGGTATCGTATAAATGCCCTTTTGCTGAAAGTTTTATCTTTTAGAGCAGTGCTTTCAAACTTCAGCCTTAGACTGTTGATAATCATCCAGAGACCTTGTGAAAACACAGATTTCTGCCCACCAACCCTACTCTCTCTATGTCCAGGTTTGGATTTGGGAGGTTTGGCATAGGGTCCAAGAATCTGCATTTCTAACAAGCTCTCAGGTGAGGGTGACACTACTGATGTGTGGAATGCATTTTGAGTGGCACTGCTGTAGTGCTTTCCTTTCGACCTCCAATAAGTTCATTCATATTATTGTGACATTAAAAAAAATACCATTTTACGGCCGGGCACGGTGGCTCACGCCTGTAATCCCAGCACTTCGGGAGGCCGAGGCAGGCAAATCACAAGGTCGGGAGTTCAAGACCAGCCTGACCAACACGGTGAAACCCCGTCTCTACTAGAAATACAAAAATTAGCTGGGCGTGGTGGCGGGCGCCTGTAATCTCAGCTACTCAGGAGGCTGAGGCAGCAGAATGGCTTCAACCCGGGAGGCGGAGTCGGAGGTTGCAGTGAGCCGAGACTGTGCCGCTGCACTCCAGCCCGGACGACAGTGCGAGACTCTGTCTCAAAAACAAAAAACAAAAAACAAAAACAAAAAAAACCATTTTAAGTCTAGAAAACATAAAACTGGAGGTTACAAGGCTTGACAACAAATAGAGGGAAACATCAAGACTTCTACAAGACTCAGACAAAGAACTAGCAATGCCTTCACTATGGAAGGCATAAAAAGGTTATAACATTTTTAGTTTTGTTGAAATAAATTAGCTAATGCTAAAGATAACCTGACTTGTAATATGAAGGACTAGAACTTAGTGACTTCAAAGATTTTCACCCCTTTGAAATTTTATGATCCTATTAAGTGAACATACAAAAATAAAATAAAAACTACCTAAAGAAAATACAGCTCCCAAATGTTAAGAAAAGATGGACAAGAAGGAAAGTTTGAAGAGCATGTAAAAGACATTCAGACATAAACTCGCAGTACAACACTTTAGAGGCTCTCCTACCTGGCTTCTACATAGCGTCCAGTAATCAGCAGTATACCTCTAAGTGCAATAAAAGTATCCCTTCCCCAGCAGCGGAAAATACCAGAAGAAAAATGAGGTAAGCCTAACAAAAAAAACACAACAAAGTAATATGTTAATCATAATAATACACACAAACCTATGAACTCCATTACTATAGAACAGTTACTCTAAACCTGGGGTACAAGGCAGGCACCTGCAAATCCTCTAAAACCCTCTAAAATTATTTGCAAAATGTATGTCTATACTTATGTTAACTTCTGTCAAATGAGATTCCATTATCTTGTCAGATTCCTAAAGGAACCTATGACCTAAAGAAGATTAAGAACCAGAGCTATAGAGAGATACTTATCTAAATTGAGGTGTGAATACACAGATAAACTTTTCTTCTTTCTGAGAGAGGGTCTGGCTCTGTTGTCCAGGCTGGAGTGCAGTGGCACAGTCTTGCGTCACTGTAACCTCCACCTCCCAGGCTCAAGCCATCCTCCCACCTCAGCCTCCCAAGTAGCTGAGACTACAGGTAGACACCACCATGCCTGGCTAGTTTTTGTATTTTTTGTAGAGAATGAGGTTTTGCCAGGTTGCCTAGGCTGGTCTTGAACTCCTGAGCTCAAGTGATCTGCCCAACTTGCTTTCCCAAAGTGCTAGGATTACAGGCAGGAGCCACTGTACCTGGCCAAACTTTCTTTTATAAATTAAATCTAAAGAGTAAAATCAGAGATCAAATATTTAACACATAAACACTAAATATTAATTATATATTTAAAAAGACTCTACCTTGAACTTAAGGACAATAAATAAACCTAAACATGAAATTATTACCTTAATGATACCTAATTAAGTATATGGAGTCAACATTTGAGCACTTGAGTCAACATTATCAAATTTCCCACTAATTTAAAACAACTTAAAAGTGTTATATTCTGTACACAATATGTACAATTTTACTTGTCACTTCAAGTTATCTGGCACATTAAATCCTTCATTCTAGGTAATTGGAGGTTTTATATACAAGATAAAATAGTATGATTAATGGTGCAATCTAAAATTTTACTTAAAGATTGAGTTTGGTTTCTTATAAAACAGTAAGGTCAGGAATTCGAGACCATCCTGGCCAACATGGTGAAACCCCATCTCCACTAAAAATACAAAAAATTAGCCAGGCGTGGTAGTGGGTGCCTGTAATCCCAGCTGCTTGGGTGGCTGAGGCAGGAGAATTGCTTGAACCCAGGAAGCGGAGGTTGCAGTGAGCCGAGATCACGCTATTGTACTCCAGCCTGGGCAAAAAGAGCGAAACTCTGTCTCAAAAGAAAAAAAATTATGCCAAAGCATAAATATAACACATATTTTGGTTAGGGGAAACTGAGGACAAATAAAATATACACAGCATTCACTTATAACTATCTTAAAAGCACTTAACGCTATCTGAAAATTATCTTGTTTGCTATCTGTTGAATGCATATATCTTCCCAGTAGGAAATAAGACCTATGAGTAGAAACCTCATCTACCTTGTTCACCAACAAGTATGTATTCATTGAAAATTGTAACTGTATATAATATATACCTATAAATATTTGATGACTGAAATAAAAAACAAATATTAAAATGTAGATCGAAAAGTGAAAGAATTTGACTAAGATAAAAGAAAGTTTTGGCAATTCCTGAGTGTACTTCACAATTTAAGTTTCTGTTTATTGGGAATTAGATGTTAGTTTCTTCCATTAAGAAAGATAAGAATTAGACCTTTTTCCTACCTATGTTGTCTCCAAAATGACGGTACAAAATTTCCCCAAATACACTGTGTATTATTTATTTATGATTAATATGGTTTATATATGGTTGATATATACATGATATTAATTTTGATGATAGTGATGACAGCAGCTAACATATATATAGCACTCTGTGCCATACACACTTCCTGGTACTCTGACCCATTTAATTCCTTGTATGAAACATGAATACAGGTAGATTCAAAGGTGAGTCTGAATCGGTATATCCAAAAATATATGCGGTCTGTCTTTGTGAAAAAGTCAAAACTATAAAATCTCTAGCACTATGTATGGAAATGTTTGTATTAACTTTTTGACCTCTAAGAGTACACAACTAATAGATTCCATATCTTCTAAGTGATTTCTAATTTGTCAATTATTAGAACAGGCTACAAATTTTTTTTTTTTTTTGAGACAGGGTCTCCTCTGTCACCCAGGCTGCAGTGCAGTGGTGTGATCATAGCTCACTGCAGCCTCAAACTCCTTGGCTCAAGGGATCCTCCTGCCCCAGCCTCCTGAGTAGCTAGGACTACAGGTACATACCACCATGCCTGGCTAATTTTTAATTTTTTTTTTTGGTAAAGATGGGGTCTTGCTATGTTGTTCAGGCTGGTCTTGAACTCCCTGCCCCAAACGATCCTCCTGCCTCAGCCTTCCAAAGTGTTGGGATTACAGGTATGAACCATTGTTTTTAATTGCTGTTGTTGCAATACTATAACCAAAGGAAGACATCCCCAATCAGTTTAAAATGAACCCCAAAAAACCTATCTGCAAATCTGAATACAGTCCTATTTTTTACAAGTATGGAATAGGCAAAACATTCCCTTGGGATGCTAGGAGCAAATATCACACTTCTATTTGTATTTGTTTATCAACTTAATTTTTTAGTTTTTATTTGTTTTATATCGTACCTGAGAAGTATGTCAGATGTAACAGTTTATATCAGTATATCGTTTAAAGTGTATATTTTGAAGATGTTTAACAACAGCAGTACACAATCAAAAAGGTTGAAATTACTATTTTTTGTAATGGGTTCTAAAAAGTAGGCTTTAAAACCAAGTTATTTACATCAATGTTTCCTTTGCCCCTATGGCTAAGGTCAGTTTCATGAGCATCTGCATGGATTCATGAGGGAACAACGGGTACCAGGAGATCAAACAGTCAAATGAAAATCTAAAAACACAATTATAGAACTTAAACAACGTTTTATGAATGTTTCATGAACATTTTTAATGGAAAGGTAATTTTCATTTTAGTTGTTGGGTATCACTAAGTCTTTTTATCTGGTCTAAGTAGCTGCAAATTTAAGGGTAAAAGAGGGAATTACACAGATAATACTATTTCTTTCTTCCTGTAACTTGATATTTTTCAGTTTAGTTTGGAAAGTTCTAAACTTCAGTCACCTCAAATACTAAGTACTTTCTAGAAATATGCTTGAAATGTATTAAAAAGAAAACAAAAGCCTGTCCTTTAGCCTATTTTGCTTACTTGAATTTGTTACTTGATTCAGGTTTTAAATCTAGTTGGAATAAAGGATATTTATTCAAATGTTGAAAGCATTTGATTCCAATTAGACACATGATGAAAATTATTTAACATCTGTTTTGTTTTATAATTTATAGGGACCCTTACATGACCTCTTGATAATTACAAGATTGGGTTTATTTTTTAAAATTGGGGGAAAATATAGAAAAGAGAATAGCAAAATAAATTTGATTTAAAAAAACACAGAATGTCAAGAGTTGGAAAAAATAGAAACATGAAGAATCAGCTAGCCATAAAAAACACACATAAATGCCTGGTGCACAGTTATAATTAAACAGTAAGCATGGTTATTATTTTTATGAGTGAATATCTATGAAATGTACTAAGTGGTAAAATAAAATCTTGAGTAGCATTACAAGCTTTTAAAAAATAATCATTTTCCTATAACTTTTCTTCCGCGAATACTATCGATTTACATATTTTAACCTTGTACATAATTCCTTACCTGCAGCTAGAGAAACACAACATTGCTCCTTTTCTTTTGTGATCTCATTTAACCTATAAGGTACATCCATTAGGGCAGGTGAAAGAATTGGCAGGGAAGGGAATTTTCCTACTCCACACAGTTGAACTGAACCCAATGAAAGGTGTTTCACAAAGGTTGAACCATTCTGAACAAAGCTGTAACAAAAGTGATTGAATTTATTACTTGTAGAAATACAATTTTTAGCAGTTTTATTTTACTTGGTTTCTTTCCTTCAAATGATTTTTCTATACAAATCTATAACAATAGTAATATTACTTAACATTTTTAAAACTTTGGTTAGATTTCAAAACTGCTTTCATTTCACCCATTATTTTAGCTGGCTTACAGTCCACAGATGGTTGTAAAACAAATGGTAGAAATGAAAGTTTGTTCTTGTGAAATTATGTCCTAATCAATTTGGTGGCTCTCACGAGTACACTTAAATTTGTGGTTTCATTTTAGGGAAATTCATCATTAAAGGCAAATTTCATTCATAGTAATAGTGGAATTTTTTCTCCTAATTGATGAAAAATTAGAAAAATTGTACATGTAGATTTCAGAAACTTTATCAATTAACTCAATAAGTCAGTGAATACATAGAAACAATATAAAACAATATTCTTATCAATATGTTTTATTAGCTTTTAGAACAGATTTTATAATATTCAAGTTTGTTTTTGTATGCTACACAGACTAAAGGATGCTAATAAATTTACTATCCACCTACAAGCCTTTTCAGTTCTATGACAATTCTTTATGGTTTGGTTTTTTAAGAACATGTATGAAGTGACTCTGTATATAGTTTCAACACAGATATGCCCATTTATTCAAGCTTTGTTGGATATACCTTGACATCTGCTTCCATGCTGTATCCAGAAGAGTGGTATATGCACCAATTAATATAGCATCAAAGTAACATGGGATAAGGTAACGTGGGATCTGCTTCAGGTAGAAGAACATAGCCTGCAACCATTTACCAACCTGTAATTAAAATAAATTTGAAAGTTAATTTGGTATGTGTACAGACTAGGTGTGTTTTTAGAGGTAAATCTAAATGTGCAACTTTATCTAGTAATCTATAAACCCGATTTCCATTTATTATAACTGAAAGATGATGAAGGAAGGAGGAAAATGGTTCAGGTTAGAAAACAATGTAAATATTATATATAACATGGTAATATTTATTATTATGTCCTTGATTTTTTGGGACGATAATATAGCTCTACTTACTTCAGCAATAGTTCCTGATCGTGAAATAAGCCGGTTACTGACATAGTCAATCATCCAATCTCCAGATCTCAAATTATTACAAAAAGGATGCCCCAAGTCATTCTTTGGTCTTATTTCTGCCAATACAGACATTAAACCTGAAAATTCAGAGACATGTCATGCTGTATTATTGGTAGCATCAATTTGTTCCTATATCCTCTAGTCCCTATTCTGCTAGTCTCTATTCTAGTGATTTGGGGTGAATACGTATTAGAGGCACACACAAGGGCTACCCAGTCCACAACACTGCTTAATACAGTTGGAGATAAGTATGACAATACTGGCTTGAGCCAAGTTACAAAGGCATACTGAAGGGGACTACTGTCACAAGAGATATAAAGAGCTTTTCAGGATTCATAACTTCTGGGACTGGTCTTATTCTTTTGGATTTTAATGTTATAATATTCAAGGGTAACTGGCATGGCTTCCCTGCCCAAAAGCATCTCAAGAAAGAAAAGTAATAAGCCTGTATTTTTTCATGTTGAAAAGTAGTGGGTTCATCAGTATTCAGGCTAGATTTAAGGAAGTCATAGAACTGGTTTCAGAAAGAGCAAGAACACCTATGGAGATAATAAGAATAAAGCATGCTTTGGAAGGAATTGTTAAAATTTAACAGGAGGTACTTAGAACTAAGTGAAGTATCAAAATGAGGTATATATATATATATTTTTTTTTTCTTAATCCTTCTAGTCTTCAATTAGAAGCATTAGAATTTCCCAGATTTTATTATTTCAATGATGCTACCTTAAAAATTATATTGGCATCACTGACTTCATTTAGACTAAATTTATTTATCTATTTAGAATTGCATGAATTTTACTAGGTATGTAGCATGTTTTGAGAAACTAAAAACTATATAAATTTAAGATAAAGTTCTTTCCCTCAAGGGGCTCACAATCTTCTCTGGGGAAGAAAGCTTAAAACATAAAGATGTTGGGAAACAAGACTATAAAATAATATTCTACATATGCCCTGGCATTTTCATGGACAGCAGATAATGCTCGGTAAATGTTGGTCTCACTGTTGAATAATGGAAGGACATAAGGAAAACAGTGTTTTAGAAACAGATCTGATGATGACCAACGGAATGGAATGATTTGTAGATGAGGTAACAAGATTTGGAAAATTGGTTAGTTGGTTTTGTATATAGGACTTAGTCCTAGAATAGAGTGAAAACTGTGGTAATAAAAAGGATATGGTGTACCCAACAGAACATGGAAAAGAATCCACAAATCATAATGACTGATTGGATACTGAGGATGAAAGGAGCAGATCCAAAATGGATTCCTGGATTCCAACATGACTAGATATACCGTATTATAAGGAGGGAAATACATTTTGTTTAAGGGAAAGACAGGTCAACAAAGTAGTTAAATCTGATTTAATCTGAGGCTCTTATTAGCAGCCTGCTGGAAATATGTGGCCTGCTGAAAATATTAAACAATCAGAGGGAAAAGGGATTGGTATAAAGCAGCAAAAAATAAACAGGTAAAGGCAATTCTATTTAGAAAAGATAAGAAGAATCATTTCATTAGAAAGATAAGGAGAATTAGCAAAGAACCAAACTTAACTATAAGAAAGACAAAGGCTAGAAAAAGAGCACACACAAGTTTGGTCTTTGTAGTGAACTAGAAGTAGTTTAACAACTCAGAGTGAAAATGAAGTAGATAATTACTCAAATCTGATAACATACATACATCTTTTAAAAATTAATTAAATAAATAAATTTATTTATTTTTTGAGACAGTCTCACTCTGTCACCCAGGCTGGAGGGCATTGGCATGATCATAGTTCACTGCAGCCTCAAACCTCTCTTGGGCTCAAGTGATCCTCCTGCTGTGGCCTCCCAAAGCATGAGATTACAGGTGGAAGCCACCATGTCTGGCTCACATACACTTCTTTCTTACTCATAGCACAAAACATTTTGTATTAAAAATGAGAATATTTTAGAAAAAAAGATCATAAATCCAAAAAGTCTCAAAAAAGTTTATTGAGAACCGCTTACGTGCTTGGTTTTGCAGAAAGTATAAAAGCTAAAAGACAAGAAGCA
Source organism: Homo sapiens (assembly GCF_000001405.40). Lineage (NCBI taxonomy): Eukaryota > Metazoa > Chordata > Mammalia > Primates > Hominidae > Homo > Homo sapiens. The sequence goes on along the minus strand of NC_000001.11, from coordinate 99,889,267 downwards.
TAAAAAAGATAAAACTTAATTCTTCTTTCTGAAAGTGTGCAGCCTACTTAGTGTGGTTTTAAGGCTAACAATTTCCAATTACTTAGTATGAATTAGGTGTCGTCTAATGAGCTGTTCACATGTATTAATTCATTAATCCTAACCATAATCCCTGTGGTAGGTACCATTTTGCAGGGGAAAAGTAAGCCATAGAGCATTTACTTCAGGTTATAAAACTAGTCAATGTAACCCAGGAAATCTGGTTTTAAAGCCTGTTTCTTAATCACAATGATAAAGATTCACAAAAATCATTATACTAACTATCAAAATAAGGCAATATATTTCAAGGGCCAAGTAAGAGGTATAGAAAATAAATGCAATGGTGTCTGGAGGACAAAGAAATTACTGTAAAAAGCAATAGTTAAAGAAGGTTTTATGAAAGATGCAAGAATTAAATTAGTCCTTAAAGATAGGTTAGATGGAGAAAGAAATAAAGAGTTGAACAAAAGGCATAAGTGAAAACTATATGAACCAGGAATACAGGTGTGATAAAGCAAATTTCTTAAACATCTAAGTAAATATTACCAACTAGATGAATAAAACTGATAAATACTTAATTCCTTTAACTCATCTTACAACTACTGTATGTTTTACTGTAAGTTCTCTTTACAGGATAAAACAAATATGCAATAAAATATATTTCCAATTAGATTTAAAAAAAGGTGAATGGATTATATTTACAACCTAATCCCACTTGGGGCCCAAACAAGAATATTCTGTTTATTATATAATAAACCAGGTCAAGAAACATTAATCAAGGTCCAAGTATACATAAAGAGCTATACAGACCTTAAGGAAAGAGATAGAACTAGTATTTCTAGGTAAAATTTACTGGGTAATTACTTTGTGTTACATCCTGTTTTCAGTGTTTTATGTGAATGATCTCATTAATCCTCACAAAAACCTTCTAAATTAGATAATATTATTCAAATTTTATAGAAGCAGAAATTGGCACACAAAGAGGTTATATTACTTGCCAAAGGTCAATTAATGAGCAGAAGCAGAGCCATAATTGCAACCCAAGTAGGCATACTCTGAGCCTATATCTATGTCTGTAAAGAAGACACCAGATGACCCTAAAAGAAAAACACAAAGCTCAGCTATCCTTCCATTTGCTTACCTTGAAGACCTGCATATTTAAGGGCTGACCAGTTTGGTATGTCATAGCACCCTCCACCATCTTCCTTTTCTTCTGATTCACATCGGTAAAGGATCTGATTTAGCTCAGCCAAAGTTAATCTGGAGGCAAGACTAAGAATTGGAAAATAAAGATAACCATATATTGAAGTTTCGCTTGTTGTCAATAGAAACAAAAGAAGAAAATCTGAATTACAATCATAAAATGTCTTAGCAGTGTATGTTTTAGGAACTCAGCATTCAAATAAACATTATACTCATACATTTTAAGTAATTATTAAAGGACAAATTGTGAAAAAAAATTCAATTAGAAGCGACATTACTCCCAAACCAAGCAAATAATCAAGTACCAAATTGTATTGATTAGAAGTATGCTGGGAAAATATTTTGGCTTCTATATCCTTTATCTTATAAATCTGTTTTTTTAACCTTTCTAGTTTGGACTTAGTGTTTTCCTTCCTTCCTTCATTTATTTATGTGTTCTCATCTGATTTCTCTCCTTTATATTCCCCTAAGTGAGACATCAAGAACTTTTTATGCTAGTTATTGTATACTAAAAATACTTATCAGAGGATGACTAAAGGAATAAAAAGTCAAAGTTAATTGCCTAGGAAATCACATGCTCTCTACCTTCATATTTCTCTCCAAGTCCCTTCCTTTCTCTTCTCTAAGGTTGCACTGCCCCTCAGCTTGTTTATTCAAGAAACCAGGATTTTTCTCAGATTAAGATGCCTCCTGATAACTGTCAGAGGGAAGACTATCATGGCCTTGATTTCCCTTTGTTTGGTTAGCAGTAAGACTGTATAACTGACCACACCTGAATACAGCTGAAACTGTATTTTCTTGTGCTTCTATAATAGATGCTCAGGTAATTTCATTTTACATGACTGCTATTTTATGTGAACACATATCCTCTTGAATGTGTATCTTTCTTTCCCATTTAGTTCTGGCTCAATTTAGAAAATCATTGTCATCTGTGCTTTGTTCTCTCCATATCAGCCTCCCTCCCCAGAGCTAGTTTGTGAGTCAAGCCTGAGTCAAATCACTCAGAAGTCTCAGTATCAACTCCATTCTAGGACAATATTTTTCAATAGCCAGTGGACTCCTTGCCTAAAAATTACCTGGGGATCTTATAAAACTGCAAATTTCTTGGCCTTGCTCCAAAATAATCTGAGCAGGTCTGAGGAGGAACATGCATTTTACAAGCAGTCCATCCAAACACAAAGCTGCTTCATCACAGATTTTTTGGTTAAGAATGCAACTACTTTATTAAGAATAGTTTGAATTAGGAGTTAATATCCTTAACAATAAAAAGTCTTACAAAACAACAAAGAAAGCCGAACACAATAGCAAAATGGGGTAATACATAAAACAACACTTCAACAAATAAATACAAATGGCCAATGAACAAAATAATTTAGCTTAATATTTAAATTACATGAGATGTTATTTTTAACTATTTTATATTTACCAGTTTGATTAGTAACAGCTAACACTTATCAATCACTATGTGTCAAAAACTATTGTGTTTTACTCAAGTAATCTGTAAGAAAGGTGCTATAATTATGTCTATTATAAATTCTCAAAGATCTCTTTTTTTTTTTCTAGAGACAGGGTCTTGCTCTGTTGCCCAGGCTGGAGAGCAGTGGCACAATCATGGCTCATTGCAGCCTAGACCTCCTGGGCTCAACTGATGCTGATGCTGTTACCTCAGCTTCCTGAACAGCTGTGACCACAGGTGCATGCCACAACTTCCAGCTAATTTTTTTAAAACGTTTTGTAGAGATAGGGTCTCACTATGTTGCCCAGGCTGGTCTTGGACTCCTGGGCTCAAGCAATCCTCCCACCTTGGCCTACCAAAGTGCTGAGATTATAGGAGTGAGCCACTGCACTCAGCCAGGTCTTACTTCTTATAGCTAATAAGAGTCTGCAATGGAATTCAAATCCAGTTAGTCTGGTTCTATACTCCATGCCCTTAAACACTACGTTATAATAATATATACTCAGTATTGCTAATGATGGAAACTCTTGGATAGAGCTGAAAGTATTAATTATTATAATCTTTCTGGAGAAAATTTGGCAGTATGTATTAACAGCCTCAAATATATGGATATAGTCTAACCCAATGGTCCTTTTTGGCACCAGGGACTGGTTTCACAGAAGACATTTTTTCACAGACTGGGGGTGAGGGGCGTGGTTTTGGGATGATTCAAGTGCATTACATTTATTGTGTACTTTATTTCTACTATTATTACATTGTAATATATACTGAAATAATTATACAACTCACCATAATGTGGAATCAGTGGGACCCCTAAGCTTGTTTTCCTGCAACTAGACAGTCCCATATGGGGGTGATGGCAAACAGTGGCAGATCATCAGGCATTAGATTCTCATAGGCAGCATGCAATCTAAATCCCTCGCAGGGACAGTTCACAATAGGGTTCACGTCCCTATGAGAATCTAATGCAGCCACTGATCTGACAGGAGGCAGAGTTCAGGTGGTAATGCGAGTGATGGGGTGCAGCTGTAAATACAGATAAAGCTCACCTGCCACTCACCTCCTGCTGTGCGGCCTGGTTCCTAACAGGCCATGGACCAGTACCAGTCTGTGGCCCAGAGGTTGGGGACCCCTCGTCTAACCCAAAACTTCCATTTCTGAAAATATTTATACTAGTACTAATGATGGCAAACTATGAGCATTTACTATGTGCCAGGCATTGTATTAAGTGTTTTATAAGTGTTATCCTATTTAATTCTTACAAAATTTTCCAGATGGGAGACTGAGATGATGAAAGTTCTAAACAATAGATCCAAGATCATACTGACAGTAATGAAGCTAAAGTTAAACCTAGGTCTAAACCTCAAAACCTATATTCTTCTGTAGTATGCAGAAACATCTAGAAAGGGAATAACTAAGGATTCATGTAAAGATGAATGTACAAAGACATAAATAATAGGGAACAATTAGAAGCAATCTAGATGTCCAAAAATGGAAATTGTTTAAATAAATTATGGTAAAGCCATAAAGTAGAATAATATGTTGACATTTTTAAAAAATGATGTGGTAAAGGGTATGAGGTATGCAACTTAGTCTCAAATACTTCAGAGAAATTGTGTGTGTGTGTATACAGAGATGCATGCATGTGTTATGTATGCATGTAGGCATGTGTGTATCTATATCTATAGAGAGAATACACATGCAGGTACACACACAAATTATAAAACAATAGGGTAAAATGTTAACAACAGGTGATGCTGACACTGCTGGTCCTTGGACCGTACTTTGAGTAGCAAGGATATAGAGGACCCTTAAAACTGCTTAATTCAGTCTAGTGGTAACTTACTTATTAAGGTGGCAAATCTCTACCAAACAAGGCATACTTACGAAGCAAAAGGAATTTTTAATATAGGATCTGCATTGTCAACAGCTAGGCTGCCAGATTTAAAGTGAGGACTGAATTGTGTCAGATGATTTCGAAGAATTCCAACAGCGACTTGTGCATGTGGATCAAGACTAACTCTGAAAATGTTAATTAAAAAGTGGTTAATTTTTAGGAGTAATTTATTCAAATTTAACAGGATATGCAAACTATTTTAAATATAAGTAAAGTCAACAGTTTGAGCTCAATTAACATACCTGAATATAATAACACTTCCTGGAGACAAGTTTTCAAATTCTATTTCTTGAATATATTCATTGGGCCCTTTTGTGGCAACTCCAGCTTGTTTAACAATTTTACTTTCATTAAGCTTGAAAAAAAGTACATTAAAAAAATCCATTCAACAAATAGTTCTAATGTTCTTAAAATGCTAAACACAGTAGTAAGATGAGAGTCCCAAATACCTGAATATGTTCTCTAATTTCTACTGTGATATCTGGTGTTCCATTGATTGAATTCTCATCCTTCCTATAAGGTTTCGTGTTTCTCTCAATAGTTCTAGCTTCAAGAACTACTTCTTCAATTTTGCCTAGGAATACATAAAAACATTTTAACAAAATTTCATATGGAATCATCCAAAATTAGGAAGGCTAAAGTGGTTTCAAATCATTTAACTTAAAGTTGAAAACAAATTATCAGTTACTTTTTTTTAGAAGTCTGAAAGTAGATGATTCTACCCAAGGTGTATTTTCACATTTGTAAAAAAAATTACAGCTTAGTTAACAAAGCTTTTTTTGAAGTAGAAACGTATCAAAATAATAGCTTAGCTCTAGGGAACAACTTCCTAATTTTGAGCAGAGAAAAGCAAATCACTTGAAAGGCTTACATTTTTTTAAAACTTGGAATATTTCGGATACAAAAAAAAATTAAAAACCCAAGTTCTACTTCCTCACTTAAACTTTACAAATACAATAAAGCCTCTGTGTACCCATTCTTCACTTTCAGAGGTAACCTCAATTCAGTTTGGTGCTCACTACCCCTGGCATTTTCACTACACATGCCTGTTTCCTTAAACAACATATATTATTTTCCCTATTTCCAAGTTTTATTAAAATGAATTGAAGTTATATATATTTGCAACTTGCTTTTTAGTGGTCAACAATGTATTTTTTAGATTCATTCACACTGCTGCATCAGCTACAGCACATTTACTTCAAATGCCAAATAATATTCTACTGTATGAATATACCAAAATATATCTGTTCTATTAAGGTTGTCTCTAATTTTTCTCTATTATAAATAATGTTGTAATAAATATTCTTGTGCATATCTTCAAATGGAAATATATGAAAGTTTCCCAGATATATACCTAGGGATAGAACTGCAGGGTCAATGGATTATATAAAATTTCAACCTTACTTTAAATAACTTAAGCTTTAAGTCATTAATCTGGCAACAGGTAACAGAACCTTTTGATCTAGAAATTCTACCTCTGTAAATATACACTAAGAAAATTGTTTAAAAGAAAAAACAATTATCCTTACTGTATATTTAACACTTAGTAACACTACTAAACATACTATAGAATATTTAAAAGGGCATAATAACAGAACGTACGAACATTTAACAAAATAAAAATCACAATTTTGCGGACTGAAGTGGAAATGTTTTAAGAATGATCTGTGACCAAAACAAAACCTGAGATAATATTGTACACAGTGATTGTTGTCCTATAAAACTGAATACGTATATTAGCAAAGATCAGATAAGGATAGTGAATATACATTTGTGAACAATTAAAGAAACTTTTAGGTATTCAGGTTGATAATTTTTAAAAACCGGAACTATGCATATTCAGCAACTAGCAACCAATATAGAATATGATGATTTTTATAGGAATTTTCATTTGGTCAATCAATCAACAAACTTTGCCAGCTGCTGCATGAACAGGAGCATGCTATGCTGTAATATGCCACATATAATAGTAAGTAAGACAATAAAATACACCTATCCAGAAAAAAATCAAGTAATATTAAGGACATATCTCAGGGATGTATTTTATAATTTTTGACTCTCTATGCTAGAGGAATACATAGAGACTATAATTGCTACATGTTCAGAAGAATCACTGAACAAAGGAGGTGCAACTTTAGACCTTGAAAGATCCAGACAATTCGCATAGTATTTGGGGAGAAGTAAAAATATCTATTTGGCTGAAATAGTGGACTGACATAGGGCTAGGATGGTGGATGAGAATGGATTATGAAAAGCCTTAAACATAAGGTTATATTATTTTCCATTTTAGTTCGCATGTTTGTATGTATGTTTGTGCATATATACACACAAAGACATTTATACACATATATACATATACACTAACACAAATATACATATTGTTCTGCTAGAAGAGAAATAAATGTTCATTTTACACAAATTAGGAAATAAAATATAAACAAAAATATTTCACAACTCAAAAAATGTTAACATTTGAAAGTATTTCTGTCTAGGTTTTGTTCCATGCAGTAAAAATATAAGTTGCCAAAAATTTCTTTCTTTTTTTTTTTTTTTTTTTGAGATAGGGTCTCACTCTATCACCCAGTAGAGTGCAGTGGTGGGATCTGGACTCAGTGTAACCACTGCCTGCTGGGCTCAAGCGATCCTCCCACCTCAGCTTCAGGAGTAGCCAAGACTACAGGCATGTGCCACCATGCCCATCTAATTTTTTGTACTTTTTTTTTGATAGAGACAGGGTGTTACCATAATGCTGAGACTGGTCTTGAACTCCTGAGCTCAAGTGATCTGCCTGCCTCAGCCTCCTGAGGTGTTGGGATTACTGGTGTGAGCCATCATACCTGGCCAAGTTACCAAAAAGTTTAAATTCTTTTTCTCAAGTACGTCCACAGTAGCACTGTGTTATAATATATATGATATATACATGATATATAACCATAACATTACAGTATAATTTAATATAATAATATAATACAAATACAGTAACAATTTTTAGATTGCATTACCAGGGATGCACATTTGAGGCACTTCCTTGCTGTAAAATGAAGTCTTGGGATTCCTGAAAGCAGTTCTAGATACAGCCACAACAGACTGATGGATGCTAGGTGAGTGTCTTGTTACTGCCACTATGTCTTCATCAACTTGATCCACATACACCTGAGAAGCAGAAAGAACAACTAGATTAGCTCTCAAACTGGAAAGACTTACTCTGAAATTGAACCTGAAGAAACAAATTTAATTATTTCTTGCCTGAATAAAACCCTTGGCTCCAAGCTCCTGATGAAGTTTACTGATAGCACACCTGGCTGCAATAATGCCGCTTTGGAAATTAACTTCACCTGTGTTTGAAGGCAATGCTTCAGGATTCCACTTAGTGTAAAACCGTTCTTCAGAAACCACTGAAATCTGGACAAAGGTAAAATTTAGCATGGATACATCTTAATTACAATGAATTTTTTTTAATAAAAATGCCCAAAGTTGTTGGCCATGTAGGTTTTAAGAAACAACATATAAACAAACCTGATGAGGCACTAATTCATCATAGCCTCTTGTACTTCCACTAGCACAACATGCCATAGAAACAATTGTAGTACTTGGAAGAGCATCATACGCTGATCTATGCTAGAAGACAACAACAACAAAGCAAAAGTTTGCTTTCTTTCAAATGCAAAGTGCTATTCTATAGCATAATGAAGTAAAAGGATAATTACATAAATAAATTCATAAGGTAAATTAATTTGCTTTTAAACAAGTAAAACATTCTGAAAACTATGTATTATAAATCAGTTATAAATCTAAGACACTATTTTGAAGTATATGGGTATGATTGTGACCAAGTGTCAGAGAGTTAAATATCAAAGCATTTAGCAAAATAAGTACATGAAAAAGATTAGGTGCTTACCACAATAGGACACTCATTATCATGCGTAATATCCATAAACAGGGCATGTGCAATAGCTGGCATTAAAGGCCTCAAACAGGGCTGAACAAAGGATCCAACAGGTTCTCCTCCATATCGGTAAACTAATCTGCCCTCTTCATGACTATTATATGCACTCATTGCCTCTGCAGAGCATTACAGAATATTTTAACAATCTTCATTATTTATGTCCAGGAAGAGGTTAGATTTCTTCTCATAAATGATTTTCAAAATAAAGACCACATCAATATTATAAAAAATAAAACTGCTTTAAGGATTTAAACAAATGTCTACTAGTTTAAGTGACAAAAAAGTTTTCCCCATAACTTAACTGGAGAAATGGCTCATGTAAGGAAAAGGGAACATATGTTGTTTACTGGGATGTAAGCTATACAAAATTGATTATAAAACATCTAAACATTACATCATATCTCCCAGTAGAAGATGAAAAACAGGTTTGCATATTTTCAACAACAAAAAATGGTTTTGTTAGTGAGTCTTCAGTTCATCCTACTGGTCTTTCAATTTGAAATGAGGTATCTTACCCCAAAGTAGAAATTTATACTGATAAAAATAGACTGAGTTATATTAGAATATGTCATACAAAGTATTTAGAAGAACATTAACTGTGTTAAAAAATTATTAAGCATTGCATATGAAGCTATTAAATCCTTTAATCTACTTAAACAAAAGCTAAAGTTTTAGAGGGAAATACACTCCAACAAGCCTACCTCTTATTAAGGAACTAATGCCCAGTCTAGTAACAAAGACATTGTCCAGATCTTCACTTCCTGTGAACAGTTCAGCTACTACATATAAATTGGGTTGCAAATTCCTAGCAGCATCCAACATGTACTGTAAAAAGCACAGTGACAAATGTAACAAATAAATGTAACAGAAAGAGAAAAGCAAGATAGGAGGAAGGAAAGAGACAAAAGGAGGCATGATTTGACATAGAAAAATATGCAGCAAGATATCAAACATACCAAAACACATAGAAACAAGAGAATTTATCAAGAGAAGAAAACGGTTAAAAAGGAAGATTAGATTTTGCAAAGATATTGAGACATGAGAGAGGAAAAGAAGAAGAAAAATGTTAGTTTCATATTACTAAATGTAAATCATAACACTACAATTCTGTTAGGTTTTCTCCCTGTTTTTTGTTTGCTTATTTATTTATTTATTTATTTATTGAGACCAAGTTTCGCTCTTGTTGCCCAGGCTGGAGTGCAATGACATGATGTGAGCTCACCACAACCTCCGCCTCCCAGGTTCAAGAAATTCTCCAGCCTCAGCCTCCCGAGTAGCTGGGATTACAGGCACGCACCACCACACCCAGCTAATTTTGTATTTTTAGTAGAGATGGGGTTTCTCCATGTTGGTCAGGCTGGTTGCAAACTCCCAACCTCAGCTGATCTGCCTGCCTGAGCCTAAAAGTGTTGGGATTACAGGCGTGAGCCACCGTGCCTGGGCCTGCTTGCTTATTTTTAAAACTTTAATCAGACTTAATTTCCAGGTGGTTGACTAAATAATTATTCATAAATTCCCTGCTGGTGAATTACTTAGCTGTTGGAAAGATTAGATTTGTCTGACCAGACTGAAGCCAGTTTCTCCTACAGATGATGATAAATAACTCTTAAAAACTCTTACACCTTACAATTTCCACTTGTGTGATTTACGTTTAACACTGGTGCTATCTATCTAGCTGTTTATTATAAACACTGGTTTATAATAAAAAATCAGATTGGTTCCAAACTGTTAAACACAACATTTGCACAAAGATTAATAAAATACTTGAAACTCTATTAGCTAACAAGTAGAATCCTAGATTTTGTAATTTAAAATTAAGTAAATTAAGTTTGAACATTCTTTTCTGCCATGTAACAATCTTAGAAGCATATTTCTTTTTGCTATTGCTAAAAGCACAATAAAATAAAGCCGTCATTTTTTGGAACTAAACAATGTTCTACCAGCTTAACTAATATTCACTAAATCCCTCCAAATCAAATCAATTTTTCATCATAGGACTTGAAATATATATTATAATACTGCTTTAATATTATAGAAATAGACATTTTTTAGGTAAGCACACATTTCCAAAGAACACCTAAGTGACACTGGTCACTAGTAAGGTATCAAAAATCTTATAAGCAGTGCCACTGTAGGGTTTCTAAAAATAACAAAAAAAACTTATAAGCAGGATGAAAATTATGAGTTTAATTACAAAGATTGTATTAGATAGAAGTTAATACTATAAGTATTGGCATTGTTCAGAAGTTATTGTAAAGAGCTCAAAGAGAAATAGACAATGTTTATGTTTACACTTATAATTTTTATAAATAATAAAAATTAAATCGATGAGGCTAGACTGGCTTCAATATGCTATAATGTTAATGTTTATTTTTTATTTAATTTAATTAATTAATTTATTTTTTAGACAGAGTCTCACTCTGTCGCCAGGCTGGAGTGCAGTGGTGTGATCTCGGCTCACTGCAACCTCCACCTCCTGGGTTCAAGTGATTCTCCTGCCTCAGCCGCCCGAGTAGCTGGGACTATAGGCACACACCACTATAATGTGTAATAAGCTATTCACCTTCACAGTCACTTCTAAAATATATTGAAAGCAACCTAAAAATAACAAAAATTAACATTTTATGTATTCACAGTAGCCAATATGATTGCACTCCATATTATCAGAAACGTGATCAACTTCCCTAAATTAAAATTTTAAAATTAGCTAGTTAAATATTTTATAGCCCAGTATTCCATAACAACTGCAAAAGATTGTTAGAATTATGCTAATTATGCAATAGTGATAAATACTACCACCAAATCAATGCTTGTGTCCAACTAGCAAAAGGAAACATTTACCTGCATAGTTTACTTAAGGAAAGCTAGGAAGGAACACTGAATTTCTTTTCTTAATGTAGATAAATTGTTTTTCTGTACCTCAGCTACGTGAAGAGGTGTTGAGTGGCAGTTATCAAGACGTACTCCCTGGAAATAAGTTGCAGTTATTTCAGTGTATTTTTTCATGTGTGCCCAGAGATAAGGACAGTCCTCTGGTTTATTCCCATAGCGTAATTTAACACTGTCTCCCCAGCAAATAAGTTCTCTCCTTAGGTAAACTTCTGAACCTGTTCAGAAAAGAGATTGCTTTCAATGGTTCAAGAAATAAAATGAAAACAATTACTTCAAGGAAACACTGGTTTTTAAATTGCTTTGATCATTTCTGCCATAAATGATATATTGGTTAAATTATATCTAAAGTGGTATGAGATAATGTTTTAAAAAATTAATAATTATTTATTTCTCATAGCTATTCTGAAAAAACTCTAGCTTACAGTCTCTTCTAAAAATTTGTCCTCAATTTCAAAAACCCAAGTCGCATCATAAGGGAAAACAGAAATGTTAATATCATAGGCCTTTTAAAACCATAGTTCTACCAAAAACATTTAAAACTCCATCTCCACCCTCCTACTTATTTTCGGCAACAGGTTGTATTAGATCCATGGCATACAGCAGAATGGCTTGATTTCGTTTAGAATGGCTAGAAAAAAGAGGGCAGAGATACTTACACCCAAATTTATACTCTTAAAAAAAAGCATTAAGATTTCTGAATAAATTTTAATGTCACTAATATAGACTCCTAGTTTCGAAATGTTAAAAAATAAATATATCAATGGGCTCCTGCAACATTCTTCCTGGTAATGAAATAGCTATAGAAACACAAGACACTAAGAGTGAGGGGGGACCTAAAACCATTAGGTTCTGGTTTAATTGCCACTGAAATTCTTAATACCTCTGGCCAATGAGTGAAAATATCTCTTATGTCAATGTAATTGTAATAGCAGTGGTTTCAAACTTGTCTGTAAAAATGCAATAATATTTTGTCCAAATAAAAGCTTATGTAGACCCACAATATAGAAAACAGTACATAAAAGTTATTCTGTTTGAGAAGATAAAAGGTAGGAAGGCAAAGGAGAGGACAGAAGATGAACTTCTTTTTTTGTTGGCTCCATGTTTTCTTTCTCAAATTGTATGTATCTCTGGTACCTTTATGGTGAAATATTTAAAAACCAATAGACTAATGGGGAAGAAAATCAGTAAAGCAGATTTTATTTTGACCTTGCCATGAACTATTCTTTCCCCATCCACAGAGAAGTTAAAAATTACATACCCGGTTCAGCAAAGTTTCGAAGAGGATCATCTCCCATTACCCATCCATTGTGTGCCATCAGAAAACAAGCTTTATTTGGCAGATGAATCATAGATTCTTCCATGGAGAAGTCTATCTCTTCAAATGGGAAAGTAAAATACCTATGAAAATATAATTAAATATTAAATCCATACAAAGAAACTCCTTGGAGAGAATATAAATTTGCAATATTAAAACTAAACTTCTTTTCTAATGAATAGAATAAAATAAGTTTGATGCTATTTATAGGAAAAAAACTTCAATATAGGTCAAAAATCTTCATTAGGCTTTTTGAGTAAATCTAGCAGGATGTGAGAAATAGGGAGTTAACATGACAGCATATCTGGCTAACAGTTTAAACAATTTTTAAAACTTCATAAAATTATTTTAAAAAATCATTGAGGCAGCTGGGCATGGTGGCTCATGCCTGTAATCCTAGAACTTTCGGAGGCCGAGGCAGGGGGATTACCTGAGGTCAGGAGTTTGAGACCAGCCTGGCCAACATGGGGAAACCCCGTCTCTACTAAAACTACAAAAATTAGCTGGGCATGGTGGTGCACCTCTGTAGTCCTGGCTACTTGGGAGGCTGAGGCAGGAGAATCGCTTGAACCCTGGAGGCGGAGGTTGCAATGAGCTGAGATCGTGCCACTGCACTCCAGCCTGGGTGACAGAACAAGACTCCATCTCAAAGAAAAAAAATAAATACATAATTGAGGCATTGATGTTACTTTGCAAAGATATTTTTAAAAAAGACTCTAAGTAAAGATATGCAAAGGCTTTTACTGCACTCTAGTTGCCCAACCTATGCTTTATGTCACTTACAAAGTAAGGAGCCAGATGCTTGCTTAATTTGATTAATATTGAATTTATTACTAAGTATGCAGTCCTCCAGAAACATTAAATAATAACTATGAATTGGTTTATACTGATGACAGTTTCTCTAACAAAATATTTGCCTAACAAAATTAGTTAATATTAAGCCTATGTCCAAATCAAAACTTCTATTTCAATTTAAGAAATGTACTGAACTCACATGTTAAAGAAAACATTTAGGTTAATTTCAAAAGTTAAATACAATTTTCAGTTTTCAACCATCAATAAGAAAAAAAACAAAAATGCAACACCTGGTAACTAAAGGATGCTTTCTAGTGACAGGTCCTAGTTTTGGACCATGGCCAGCCAGTCGTTCATAAAACACATTTCCCAAAAGGCAATTAACTGCCTGAAAAACATTAAATTGTGTTAGATCATCACCATCCTCAAGACAACAAAAAAATAGTAGTAAGATGCAAGGAAAAGCAGCAGTTCAAAAATAAGTAAAACCTGTTCCTGATGATAGTTAATGAGTCGATGCTTCTCTGAATTTAATTCCTCCATTCTTTTATGAAACCAATTACAGCATTCTTCAATTGCTGCTGGCCCCTTGCTAGAGCAGATGGAGAAATGCAGATATAATATTTAATGGCTTTACAGATTCTACATTTAAAAACTTTCTAACAAAGGTCACAGAAACCTTAAATATATTCATCGGGATTTCAATTATGGCTGATGATGTTTTCCAATTGTAAAAATGTTTATATACACATATAGAAACATGGCCCACACACAGAAAAAGTGGGAAAATGTCATGTGCTGAAATAGTAGAATTACAGTGAATTACTTTATTTCATTTTCTATTAAGCGTTTTTAATAAGTAGTATGAAAATCATACTAGCCATAAAGGTTTGTAAGTAATATTATTATTTCACAGAAAAAAACACATTACATACTCATGTGGTATGAAAGTCGTTAGTGCAATGTTCATATCTACAGTACAGCCAAACCGTCTGTATTCAGGATCTTGAATAATCGTAAGGTGTTGGTTTGGATCAGACTTGGTTACTCGCCTATTTTCTAAAAGAAAGAAAAGACGATACCTTAAATGCAAATATCTACAAAGAGATTATAACTGTCACTATTTTCTAATTTTTGGCCTATAATTTTTTCACTGAAAATAAAACAAATATTTATTTCACAGGTATCCTCCTACCTCCTCCCCTTCTCATCCTGCTGTGTGCACGTGTGTGCACGTGCGTGCACGCGCAAACACACACGAGGGGTGTGGGGGAGAAAGAAACAGAGACAAAAATAACATAAAAGAAAGACACAAGGATTCCTATCAATTCAATCTCAGCCCCCACTTTTCTGCCTACATCAGCATTCACTTATTCTATTCTTTTTTTATTTTTTTATATATATATTTTATTATACTTTAAGTTCTAGGGTACATGTGCACAACTTGCAGGTTTGTTATACATGTATACATGTACCTTTTTTTTTTTTAAACACTTTAAGGACTTTAGTGGAACCCGTTTTCCTCCCCGGTGCTACCAAATATTCTAACCTCAGGAGTTCTTTTTCAAGATTGCTTTCAAAGTTTGCTTCCTGAAGTCTTATTAACAACCTGACTTTCTTTGAATTCTCTAAAAGAAGCACACAGGTTTAATACTTTTTTTCCCTTTTCATCAACCATATTCCTTAGATAATAACTTAAAAATTAAAAAGGAAATAAATGGTTTTTGGGGAAATTTTCACTCTTTTTCTGGAACTTGTTTGTAATAAAATTAAGAACTGGTACAGGATTGCCTCCATTGAACTTGATTTTATATTAACTAATTAATTTGTGTCTGGCTTATTCTAAAGAGACTTTGAAATGACTTATAAAAACACGAACAAAAAAACAAAATAATGGGTTTCATAGTGTAGTGGTTATTCACGTTAGCCTCACAAAACAGCATAAAATACAAATCAATTCTTAAAATCCAGTTTCTAAGGTTCATCTGGAAGAGTAAATATATGAAAACTGCCGCCGGGCATGGTGGCTTGCACCTGTAATCCCAGCATTTTGGGAGGCTGAGGTGGGTGGATCACCTGAGGTCAAGAGATCGAGACCAGCCTGACCAACATTGAGAAACTCCATCTCTACTAAAAATACAGAATTAGCTGGGTGTGGTGGCACATGCCTGTAATCCCAGCTACTCGGGAGGCTGAGGCAGGAGAATCGCTTGAACCCAGGAAGCGGAGGTTGTGGTGAGTGGAGATTACACCACTGCACTTTAGCCTAGGCGACAAGAGTGAAACTCTGTCTCAAAAAAAAAAAAAAAAAAGAACACTGCCAAGAAATGTTTGAAAAAGAGAAAAAGCTATGCCATCAGTATAAACTAATAATCTTTAGTATTGATAGAATAAAAGAGACGGATCAGTGGAAGAGCACAGATAACAGATGTATATTTTGTATATTACCATACACTATGAAGTATTATGGTGGTACTTCAAATCAGTATAAAAGGATGGATTTTCAACTCAATATAATTTTAAAAATACAAATCAAGTTAAATATCTTCTTTATATAATACACAAAAATAAATTTCAGGTATATTAAATATTCAAATGTAAAAATACAAATTAGAAGAAAAGAGAATGTTGATGGAAGGTCTTTTCTAAGCATGATATGAAATTGGAAGCCATCAGAGATTGAAAAGTTTGACTACATTGAAAAAAAATGTCACCATAAACAAGAGTTAAAAGATCAAGAGCATACTAGGGGATATATTTGAGGCCTGTGTAATAATCAATAATGTCGATATAAAAAAAGAGACAACTCAATAGAAAAATGAGAAGAAACATTAACAGGCAATTAATGGAAGAAATATAAATAGCTAATCAAGGTGTAAAAATATACTTCATTAATAAGCAAAGAAATGTAACTTAAAAGGCTGGGCGCGGTGGCTCACGCCTGTAATCCCAGTACTTTGGGAGGCTGAGGCAGGCAGATCACGAGGTCAAGAGATCGAGACCATCCTGGCCAACATGGTGAAACCCCGTCTCTACTAAAAATACAAAAATTAGCTGGGTGTGGTGGTGCATGCATGTAGTTTCAGCTACTTGGGAGGCTGAGGCAGGAGAATCACTTGAACCTGGGAGGCAGAGGTTGCAGTGAGCCAAGATCACACCACTGCACTCTAGCCTGGTGACAGAGTGAGACTCAGTCTCAAAAAAAAAAAAAGAAATGTAAATTAAAATAAGGTATGTTTTGCCTAATTGACAAACATGATAAAGGTTAATGATATCTAATGTTAGTGATAATATTAAGTTGGTATAACTTGCTGTGAAAATAAATTTATTATATTTGAAATCTGTATACCCTTTGACTCAATAATTCCATGTTTAACAATGTATCCTTCAGATTGACTCACATAAGCAAGTAAACATAAGGTGTACGGGGATGTATTTTCTGCAGTACAGCTTATGAGACTGGAAGTTTATCCAGGGAAAGGACTTTGTTCTGTTTACCACTGAATCCTCATGTCTAGCACACAGTAGTAGGTGGTTCAATGAATATGCATTGAATGAATGAATGAAAAATGAAAAAACTGGAAACAACCTATCAAAAAGGCTAAATAAATTCAAGTACTTTAAAAATAGCATATTGCTATACAGAGGTTAAAAGAAATAATTAGCTATAATAAATTCATATTGTCAACTAAAAGAACAAGTTGTTGACAATTTATGTTCTTATTTGCATGTGTAAAAAATAAAAATAAATATAAAATTTATGTACTTACCATATATAGAATTATATAAAATTATATATAAAATTGAATTTTTTTTCACAAAGAGTCTTAAGTACAAGAAACAATATGTAGTAGCTGAGATGTGGGTTTTGGGAAAGAAGAGGTCATACATTCTATTTTCTTACACATTTAAACTATTGGGCTTTTTCTCTTTACAATGAGCACATATTATTTCATGTAAATAATACAGGTTATTGGGGGAAGGGAAGATAGAGGCCCTTTAGTAAAATGAAACAGGGAGAAAAGTTAATATTAAAAATTCCTGTATTAAGGTGTTACACAATTGCAAAAGTTGATGCATGAAGCTGACTGAGTATCCTAGAGCTCAAGCCATATTGACGTCTACTTCAAAGGCACTATTTCTGAGTCCTACTCTAGTTCTGTTTTCTGCAAGAGAAAAAAAGTATTTTAAGATCTTCCCCAAATCCTCACTGCTAGGTTGTCCTATATGAAATGCAGATAGACTCTTAATAATCCTTTCTAATTTGTCTCCTACAAACCCTACTTTCTCATTTCACCTATTTTTTCCTACCCTATTTTGTTGGGGGGGGGGGGGCACATTAACTGCTTGATTAGTTATGTCCTTAATAGAAGACTCACTTCGTTACCTTTTGTTATCTCGTCAATATCTGGCTTCAATATCACTAGTGGTTAGGTGGCCTTAATAGTGCGCAAAATCAGCTGGGAGCCCCTCTACGTCAGTTAAGGTTCTTACTATAGACAACAGGAGACTATCACATCTCTCAATTTCAAAACTTGTTTCAAGCCTTTCTCAGCTGAAATAACCTGTTCAACCTACTTCCCATTCATACATTTAACAACTATATACTGGGTTCCACAATATTCTGAGCATTCTATGGAACTAACAGTAAGATACAGTACCCAGGGGAAATAATTGTGTTATGTATTATTATGACGTGCCCTTTAGATGTTTCTGCTAACTCTCAGCTTACAGAATCACAGTTTTATAATATCAACAATAACACAAATATAATACAATGACATATTTAATAATGACGTTACCCAAAAGAGAGTTTTCCCTTTATAATATTACATTTCTTAAAATCGATAGGAACATTCTAGTATGTATCCTTTACCTTGTGTAAGAAGTCTTCTAAATTGCTCAACCGCTTTGTTGACATCTACTTGGAAAAATTCCCAGAGTTTAAGCTTTGGAAAAATATCCTCCCAAATTATTTTTCGGATGGACTGAAAAATGTCAATAGTTAAAAAATACATATATACATATACTTATTTAAAATCAGTTAAGCAAATACTGTTTATCATATTAAAATACAGGTTCTAAGTAATTTTCAACCATATATTTAATGTGTGCTTTAGAAATTTTTTCTGTTTTAGTGTGATACTCCTCTGTACATACTGACATTCATATGGTGATCATTTTCAATCAAAGCAGGTATTCCCTTTTCTTTGTATTTCCCTTCTGCAACATCACAGGAGAAACGCCAAAGTGCTCTGTCTAAGACCCAGGCAGGTTTTAAGTGTGGAGAATTCACAAGATTATAGGCACATTCTGGATGTTCCTGGATCCATTTACTATTAGCAGCTGAAGGAAAAAGGAGACACAAAGGAGTATCTCATAATTAAATTGAAACTGTATCTATGTTAAGTTTAGAGGTGAAATAAAATATAAAGATCTACCACTCATTTTTTTCTATATTGGACATCAATTTTACGATGATACTGTTACAGGAAAAGTTTTTTCTTTGGTTATGGTATCCTATCATTCGCTTCAGCATACTTTTTTTTTTTCTAACTTTAATTCTGCTTAGAAAATCCGATGAAACAAAAAGCAACTCTCTCATAGGTAACACTTTTGTATGGCTCATCCTAAAGTGTTAATGAAATACGTTGTTTTGATAAGTTGGATAAAAGCGAGGTTGAGAAAGTGCTAAAATAAATACGCTCAAGGAATACGAATGTAGCTTATAGTTCAGAATCAGAATCAGGAGTTTGGCACAGTATTCCAAATATTTACAACATTGAAGATAATTTGTTTTGGCCAGGCACGGTAGCTCAACCCCAGCACTTTGTGGGAGTGGAGGTTGGATAGCCTGCAGGAGTTCAAGACCAGCTTGGGCAACACAGTGAAACCTTATATCTACCTATTTAAAAACAGATAATTTGTTTTAATTTAAAATAAACGAATGAAAGTTACATGGAATTTGTTTGATCTTTAAAATGGACTAATAATTATCCCTGAATTCATATTGAAGAGCATGAGTGATTAATGTGTATAAAATAAAAAGTAGTAACAATTACTGAATATTTACCACATACCAGAAATTGTTCTAAGCAGTTAAATACACTAATTTATTATTCCTCACTTCCTACCACACAAATTAGGACATACTGTTATGTTCCCTTAACAAAAGAGAAACTGAAGCACAGAGAGTTAAGTAACTCAGCCCAAGTCATACAGTCAGGAATTAACTTGGCCAAGTCTCTCTTCAGAATATGCAATCTTAACCACATTGCTCTGCTGCTGAAATGAATTGTTTGTGCTTCATTTACTCAGCTGAGCACCCTTATATAATTTTAGAATCATTATTATTTCCAGTTTCAGTCATTTATTTAGTAAGTCATTTATTTACTTAGTATTTATTCATACCCATAATAAGCACTCAGATGAAGAAAGGCTATGTAAGGAGCAGAGAAGTTGTAATAAAAGTTAAATTGGTAATTCTCAAAACTTGCATTAAGTAGTTCCTCCGAGATTCATCAACACAATCACTGAAATTCAAGGTATTTTTCAAAATGACAAAATGTAGTAATAACTTATGTCCAAATAGGATTTTCACGTATAAAAAATAAATATTGGGGCTAGGTGCAGTGGCTCACGCCTGTAATCTCAGCACTTTGGGAGGCTGAGGAGGGAGTATCACCTGAGTCCAGGAGCTGGAGACAGCCTGGGCAACATAGTGAGACCTCATCTCTACAAAATTTTTAAAAAATTAGCTGAGCATGGTGGCATGTGCCTAAAGTCCCAGCTACTCAGGAGGCTAAGGTGGGAGGGCTGCTTGACCCCAATAAGTGGAGGTTGCAATGAACTGAGATTGTGCCACTGCACTACAGCCTGGGTGACAGAATGAGACCCTGTCTCAAAAAAAAAAAAAAAAAGAGTAAATACCAATGCTGCTCTCATTCATCCATTTATTTTTGAGAAAGGTCTTTCTCCATCACCCAGGAGTGCAGGAGTGCAGTGGTGCAATCATAGCTCACTGCAGCCTTGAACTCTAGAGCTGAAGTGATCCTCCTGCCTCAGCCTCCCAAGTAGTCAGGACGACAAGTGTATGCCAACACACACAGCTAATTTAAATTTTTCCCTTTTTTTGAGACAGAGTCTTGCTTTGTCACCCAGGCTGGAGTACAGTGGCACAGTCTCGGCTCACTGTAACCTCCACCTCCTGGGTTCAAGTGATTCTCCTGCCTCAGCCTCTGGAGTAGCTGGGATTACAGGCGCCCACCACCATGCCCGGCTAATTTTTGTATTTTTAGTAGAGATGGGGTTTCACCATGATGCCCAGGCTGGTCTCAAACTCCTGACCTCAGGTGACCCATCCGCCACGGCCTCCCAAAGTGCTGGGATTACAGGTGTGAGCCACTCCACCCGTCCCCAATTTTTAAAATAGCAAAATCCTAAAACTGTTTCTTTTTTCAATATTTTGAAACAAAAATCAACTGTAAAATGAAAGAATTCTAAACAATAGGTAGTGAAAATATTTTTTTCTAATTCTACATGAAAGAAGAGTCAAACTCCAAACTATGTTTTAACACACATCAACATTAAAAAATAAATATGGACTTCTGGAGTGATACAGTAAGAAACTCAACAAACACTGTCCCTAGCAAAACAATTTAACTGGTGAAAATAATTTTAAAAACAATCATTTAGTCCCTGGAAATTATCCTAGGGCATTCAGCATAAGAAGAAACATTTATTTAAGATAAGAACAGCAAGAGTCTTGGCATTTGAACCAAGACCTTTTCCAGGGCAAATGGGTTCCCAGTGTTCTTGGCCTGCTACTTGTGGGAAAGGATGTCAGCTCTGCAAGTAGGGGCTGGGTGGAGAAAAGGAGATTTTTCTCCACCTGCCTGCTTGGAATAGAACTTCTGCAACACGGCCGGGTGCGGTGGCTCACGCTTTGGGAGGCCAAGGCAGGGTGGATTGAGACGAACCTGGCCAATATGGCGGGACTCCAACTCTACTAAAAATATAAAAATTAGCCAGGCATGGTGGCTCATACCTGTAATTCCAACTACTCGGGAGGCTGAGGCACAAGAATCGCTTGAACCCGGGAGGTGGAGGCTGCAGTGAGCCAAGACTGCGCCACTGCACTCCAGCCTGGGCGACAGAAGGAGACTCCGTCTCAAAAAAAAAAAGAGAAAAAAAAATTAAAAAAAAAGAACTTCTGCAAGACAGGGCCGGCAGGGAGAATTAAAAACACTCATAGACTGTGCCTCTTAGCATGAAACTATAACCCCAGGCTGGGAGTTGGGAGGAGAGAATGTCTCCCTCTTGGCCACACCTACCAGGAGTGGAGCACCTGTGATACAGCTTCCATAACAGAGGCATTTGTGTAAGATAATGGAGCAGGTCTTGGTTCAATCACCAAGGACTCCTGTTCTTACTAAGATGTAGTAGATCTTCATATGTTTCTCCATATGCTAAATATCCGTAGGACAATTTCAAGGGGATTTAAGTGATTGTCTTAAAATAATTTTCACCAGTTAGGGTTGTTTCACTACGTAAAGAGTGTGTGAAGCCTTCACATAACCATTCTGGAGGTTGAATTCTGCTAGATAATACTTTTTTAAAAGAAAACTGGCTGGGCACAGTGGCTCACGCCTGTAATCCCAGCACTTTGGGAGGCCAAGGTGGGCGGATCACTTGAGGTCGGGAGTTCAAGAACAGCCTGACCAACATGAAGAAACCCCATCTCTACTAAAAATACAAAAATTAGCTGGGTGTGTTGGTGCATGCCTGTAATCCCAGCTACTTGGGAGGCTGAGGCGGGAGAATCACTTGAACCTGGAAGGTGGAGGTTGCGGTGAGCCGAGATCGCGCCATTGCACTCCAGCCTGGGCAACAAGAGTGAAACTCCATCTCAAAAAAAAATAAAATAAATAAAATAAATAAATAAAAGAAAACTTGTTTCACAGAAAGGATATTACGATTTGCAACACTTTTCAAGTAAGGCTGTGGCAAGGTTTACTTCTTTTACATTGCACAGAATCTCCCAAATGTCTCAGAAATACAGTCTGTGGTAGAGACTGCTGCTGTACTCAGTTTTATCCTCCCTTTCTTTCTTTAGTAATAAAATTCCCAAGGTTCAACTTTACACATAGCTGACAAACTCAAGACTACGCTGCAGGTCTCCTTTAAGGTAGGTATGGCAAGAGACAAATTCCTGTGATGCAATATGAACACAGTAATATATATCATATCATACCCAAAAAGACATGCCTGCCCTTTCCTCATTTCCACTGGGGAGAATGTGGTAGCAGGAGCTGGAATAGCCATATCTGACTAAGAATTTGAAGCAAAGTGTTGGAGACTGCAGAGCAACATGAGAGAAACTAGTTCCCTATCACCACTGAACTACCATCCTAGTCCAGGAATGCCTATCTAATCTTTTGTAAGAAATAAATACAATTTTAGCCTTTAGTCCCTATGTTTTTCTGTTATAGCTGCTTATGCCATATCCTAACTCATACAATTTATAACTCATAAAATGCCCTTATGTGGTTTGATAAATCTGATTTCAATAATATTATAGATCTCAAAGTGATTATCAAGACTGTCAAATTTTCCTTTACAATTTTTTTACATTATTTTGTAAGAGATGGGGGTCTCATTATGTTGCCAAGGCTGGTTTCAAACTCCTGGCCTCAAGTCATCCTCCCACTTCAGCCTCTCAAGCAGCTGGGATTACAGGTGCAAGCCACAGCACCTGGCTTAATAATGTCAAATTTTCAAATGAAGAATACTGAGTTCTTAGGTATTATGAAGTTTTCACCGTAGAACTGGAGGCTTGGTTTCTAGGTACATGCAGAAACACCAAATTTTAGAATGTACCTATTTCTTTACCTAACTTTGCCATTATGATTAGAGATTTTTATTTATATTGATGAACCAGATCTATGAGCTTTTAAATATCTTCATAGTTTCTATGGTTACTTGGAGAACTGTTTTATGAAACAGCAGATTGTATCTTTTAAATGTTTGTACCAACTAGAATTCTTGTTCTTTACATATGCAAATCAGTGGTTTCCAAACTTTTCTACATTGTAGCATACACACAAGATAACATTTGTAAGGTAAACTGGGTTAAACCCAAAGCTGCTGATGGCCACGCTTTGTCAGGCTAGGCCAGGCCAGGCTCAGCTCCTCTGACAGGTGAGGGGAGCAACCATTTCCTCAAGGATCACTAGCTGGAAAAATCTGATCTATTTTAATAGAATTATATACCACTAAGGAATCTTAGGAACCAAAACAGACTAAATTTAATAAGCTCTTTTAACATGTAGAAGACATAATTTCCAAATACAACTTCTGAGAGTTTACTAATAAGTTTCTCTCCAAATAATAGAAGTCATTCAGTTTTTTCATATATGCTATAGTACTATAGTACCAGAGCTCCTGCTAATATAGGATCCATGAGTTACTTGGGAAAGGATTAATAGAGTAGTCCCCTCTTATCCTTAGGGGTACCTTCCAAGACCTCAAGTGGATGTGTAAAACTATAGATAGTATGAAACCCTATATATATATATATTTTGATATTTTGTGTTTTTTTATCTGATAACTGAGCAGGCTATTAAGTAACTGGTGGACAGGTAGTATTTACAGCATGGATGCACTGGACAAAAGGATGAGTCACATTCCAGGTGGGATAGAGCAGGATGGCATGAGAGTTTGTCATGTTACTTAAAACAGCATGAAAATTAAAACTTATGAATTGCTGATTTCTGGAATATTCAATATTTTTGAAATGTGATTGACTGCAGGTAACTGAAACCTCAGAAAGCAAAACTGCGAATAAGGGGGGACTACTGTACTGTAAGTTGAAATATGTGATCATTATGTTCCTTCTATGATCACTCTCCTGTATTTATAAGCAACAGATGCAAGATACTTATATATTGACTTAATCCTCAATTAAGAATGTTTTCTTTGAAAGGAAAAATATTAATTTTTTAAACAGAAGGACACCTAATCATCATTTGTGTTTTTAAAATTTATGTTAGCCCCTTTCCTTTCTCTTTCTTTCTTCCTTTCTCTTATTTGTGTGTATATGTGTGTGTGCATAAATTCTCATCAAAATTAATGAAGGCAGTCAATGAAGCTCATACCAGTATGATTGTAGACAACATCAGTAATACAAATAACATTCCATTCCTTTTTTAATTTTTCCACTAGCTGTCCAACATCATTCCAGGTATACTTTCTATTAGGTCTTGAAAAGTCAGGATTTAATTCTAACTGATTGGCAAGGGAGTAGCATGACCTAGATAGTCCAAGAGTCTGCAATGGGGTAAAATGAATCATGTTGTAGCCTGCAAAGCAAATAAAGGAAAGACCACTGTAAAAACAAACAAACAAAACCAGCCTAAAATGAAGAAAATATAAATTTAAACTTTCTTAAGTAATTATAAATAGCAAGGCAAGCATGCTACTGGAAAAGAGGTCAAACACTTGGGTTCAAATCCTAACTGTACCACAAGAGACTTTAAGCAAGTTTATTTAAATCTTTCAAGATATGTGTCCTCATATACAAGACAGAGATAATGAGATAATATTTGAAAAAATTCACACACACTGCCTATTAGAAAATTTATATACTTAACATGTAGTAAATTTATCTTCTACGAGTATATCAACACGTGTTTCTACTACTTTTAATGTTCCATAGTACTTGTATTCTGTTTTAGTTATGTCAGTGAACTTCTCATTCCTTTCTTCATGTATTATCCAACTTAAAAGCAGAAAATTAATATTGAGATCAGGTGCAGTGGTTTGCACCTGTAATCCCAGCACTTTGGGAGGCCAAGGCAAGAGGACTACTTGAGCCCAGGAGTTCAAGACCAGCTTGGGCAACACAGTGAGACTTTTGTCTCTACAAAAAATAGATCAGGCCACTGCACTCCAGTCTGGGTGACAGAGACACTGTCTTAAAAAAAAAAAAAAAAAAAAGGCCAGGCGCAGTGGCTCATGCCTGTAATCCCAGCACTTTGGGAGGCTGAGGCAGGTGGATCATGAGGTCAGGAGATCGAGACCATCCTAACACCGTGAAACCCTGTCTCTACTAAAAATACAAAATATTAGCCAGGCGTGGTGGCAGGCGCCTGCAGTCCCAAGCTACTCGGGAGGCTGAGGCAGAAGAATGGTGTGAACCCAGGAGGCGGAGCTTGCAGTGAGCCGAGATTGCGCCAAAATGAAACACAAGTTTCATTTTGCTCTTGGTATTTATGGTAGCACATGTCTTCTACACAAAAGATGGTTAACCAATGTTTGTTGAATTAAAATGATACATAATGATAATACATTTTCCTTCACTTTTCAATAGCTTATTTCTGATTTTTATATGGTAAAGTCTTAGAAATGATAAGTGTTTCATTATGGAGTTCCTTCATTTCTTAAGCTGAACCACAAAATTTGCCATTTTTATAGGTTAAAAATGGTTAAGTATCAAAAATGTAATATGGGCCAAGCACAGCAGCTCATGCCTATAATCCCAGCACTTTGGGAGGCCAAGGTGGGCAGATCACGAGGTCAGAAGTTTGAGACCAGCCTGGCCAACATGGTGAAACCCCGTCTCTACTAAAAATACAAAAATTAGTGAGGCATGGTGGCAGGTGCCTATAATCCCAGCTACTCAGGAGGCTGAGGCAGGAAAATCGTTTGAACCCGGGAGGTGGAGGTTGTAGTGAGCTGAGATCGCACCATTGCAGCCTACGTGACAGGGTGATACTCCGTCTCAAAAAAAAAAAATTTTTTTTTAATATGGTTCTATCTACTTATATTACTAAATAATAAGAAACAAAATTAAACATAGAGGCAAAAAGATATGGTTTGGATTTGTGTCCCTGCCCAAATCTCATTCGAATTGTAATCCCCGATGTTGGAGGAGGGGCCTGGTGAGAGGTGTTTGATCACAGAGGTGGATTTCCCCCTTGTTCTCATGATAGTGAGTGAGTTTTCACAAGATCTGGTTGTTTAAAAGCACGTAGCACCTCCCACTTTGTTCTCTTCCTCCTTCTCTGGCCATGTAAGACATGCCTGCTTCCCCTTTGCCTTCTGCCATGACTGTAAGTTTCTTGAGGCCTCCCCAGCCATGCTTCCTGTATAGCCTGCGGAACTGTGAGTCAAACCTCTTTTCTTTATAAATTACCCAGTCTCAGGTAGTTCTTTACTGCAATGAGAGAATGGACTAATACACAAAACTTTTGAAATCTATATCACAGAGGATAATTACATTTATTTTTTTAAATAAGAAAAAGAAAGCAAGCTGACATTACCTGATTCTTTTGCAACCCTAAGTCTGCTTTCCCATTCATCAAAAGGTCCCAAACACTTAGCTAAAAATGTCTGAAGAGTAACACAGTCCAAGGGTAGCACATGATTATCAGCACCAACACGTAAAATGGGGTCCACAACTATGTAACCTCCACCACTTTTCTCATTTCTAAGGGAAAAAACAAAACAAAAACTTTTCAGTCAGTGATAGAAAAAAAATCCTCATATAATATAGTCTGACTCTAACTAAAAGGTTAATTGTCCCAAATAAAATGTATTTATTTCTAAGCACATAAAATCATTTTAAAAGTTGCAACAAAACTTAATGGAAAAGCTACTTTTACCCTTTCACAATCTACATAATTACATGTATAATACACAAAATATCCAAGAATGTTGGTTTAATGAAATATAAGTATACTAAAACCTATCAGTAATAACAAGGGCACGCAAATAAACAGCAACCTATAATCAGGTTGCATGAAATTACTACATTTTAAGATGTTACTTAAAATACATTTACTTGATACTTTAGCTCTGCAATGGACCATAAAATTACCTCCTAGAAATCAAAGAATATTCTATTTGCATCTCAAGGAAGCACTATAAAAATTGCACTGCCATGGTTCATACAGTAACATTTACAAGTTAGGTGACTTCAAATTACAGAACAAATTAACTTTTTTTCTCACAAACAAAACACCTGACTTACCCTTGAAGGAAATAATACTGAAATGAACCAGATTGTTGCAGATTAAGTTTACAGTATTTATCAGAATCATCTTCTCTTTCTGTTGGATTTTCCCAATCCAGAGAACGGAATTTTTCTCTATTAAATGTTTCTCCAGGAAATGGGTAATTTGTATACACGGTAACTGCTTTTCCCTGTAAAGTTGGGCCTAATCGGAACTGTAGCTCATACCCTAAATAAAAAGCACATGTTAATAAACTCATCGTAGGACTTAAATTACCACATTGAAAAACAGATGTTTTATTTAAAGTATTAAAAAACCTTGATTTTTCAATTATGTTTAAAATAACTCCGCAAACCTAATGCTGTTTTGGCACTACTTTGTATTCCAATTTAGCTGAATTTCACATTTTAGCAAGTATAGTAAACATCATAGAGCTGTCTGCTCTGTAATGTCTCTTTCTCCTTCCCCTGGAAACGCATTCCTATTCACATAGCAACTTGGGATGTGCAAATTCTTATACAACCCCATTTACCATGATCCCCCATCCTCACCCCTGAATTAAGTACCCAATGGCAGGCATCTGAGGAGAGACCTTCTCTAGTATTTTTCTAACTGCAACAGAGAAAGCTAGTTTCTCTATGGTGTCAGAAAGTATGTGATAGTCTGTAAAACTTGGGAGCTACCATGGGACTATTATCTCACCATACTGAGAAAGCTAGTCTTCACTGACAGAAGTCAACCTCTATAGAGGCAGAATTCAGGATTCTAACAGGAGTTCTGAAGGCAACTGAACCCGACTGATATCTGCTCAAGTCCAGTGATGTGCTAATAAAGATTTAGCAACTGACTAGGGTGGTGGGAACCTCTGACTTGGAGTGTTTGCTGACTTTCTGGTGGAAATAATCCCGACATGGGCAATCTTAAGCTACCAACACGACAACATTGAACGTGGAAGTGGGAAGGGATGTGCACAATCAGCTCTTGTGAGCCAGCAAAAGCACCTCCAACACACTACTGCCTATATCCCTATGCTTCATGGTTTAGTTACTAAAGCTGTCTTGTAATCCTGAGAGCCAATGCATTTCTACTTTTGCCCAAGTTAGGTTATTTTTAAAAAAACATACCTTAGACTTGTGCAATGTGTTACAAATATTTTGCCATAAGCGAAAACAAATAAGCACATTACAGTTAAAACTGTACTGTGAAAGAAACATTTTGGTTGGTTTAAAGCAGACTTTAAACCTTCTTTATAATTATTAGAATACAAAAATACTGACTATGGTCAAGTCTATTAGAAATATAATACATATAAATTTTAAACACGAATATAACTTTCAATTAATAATGGGCAATAATAACTGATGAGGCAGGAAAGTTTAGTTCCACTGAGTAAAATCTTTAATATCTAAGGAATTTCTTTGAGAGGAAAAAAACTAATATTTACCTATTTAATATATATTATTTATAATTTATAATCCTTGACTTATTAAACATCCAACAAAGTAATAAAAGAGGATATACTAACAGGGATATTTTCTGTGAACAAAAGATTTCAGTAAAAGACACTAAGAGAATGCTCTATAGTGAAACTAAGAATTTCTTCTCTAAGCAACTAAATGTACTTTTTCTATAATACAATTTGGCATTAATATATTAAGAATGTTTATATTTTTTGATCTAGGAATTTTATATAGATTTTTTGAGAAAAGTATCAGTGATGTAAACAGAGATTATGTATAAGGATATTTATCACAGCCTCATTTATTGAAATGAAATAAACTGACAACAACCTAAATATCTAATGATTGGCAGTGATTAAATAAATTATGGTAAATCTACAAGCTGGCATATTGTAAAGCCATTATAAATCATGTTATCAAAAGACATTTGGCCAGGCACAGTAGCTCACGCCTGTAATCTCAACACTCTGGGAGGCCGAGGCGAGAGGATCACCTGAGGTCAGAAGTTTGAGACCAGCCTGACCAACATGGTGAAACCCCATCTCTACTAAACGCAAAAATAGCTGGGTGTGGTGGTGTGCACCTGTAATCCCAACTACTCAGGAGGCTGGGGCAGAATTGCTTCAACCCAGGAGGCAGAGGTTGCAGTGAGCTAGGATCGCACCACTGCACTCCAGCATGGGTGACAGAGCAAGACTCCATTAAAAAAAAAATGTAATAACCACTTTTAATTTATTCTATTTTGTTACATTGTACACATTTATGTAGAGCTTTTAAAATATCTTCTGGAAAAAAGTATGGCTGAAACATGGCAGTAGGCAGGGAGGTAGAGTACATACACCATAATACTACTACAAACGGGAAAAAGGCAGGTTACAAAATTGTTTAGATAGTATAATCCTAATTAAAAAAAAAACACAGAAAAAATGCTTTTTATACATTTGCATAATTTTATAATTAGGGAAAACATTTTAAAATTAGAGCTACAATTATGAAGGGATAGACTAAGAAATAATTACAGAAAGAATTAAAACATGAAGTAAAATACTTAGTGACTGAGAAGCATAAACATTTACATCTCACAAGAATGACTAAATTTATCTTTAGGAGAAATAGTGTCATTTTGAACAAGTACAAACAGCAGAGATTAGCTGTCTGGGTATATGTGTACAACCTGTCCCCTGTTAAGTTTATACAAATACTGTTTTTATAATTACACAAGTATTCAGAGAACTTGCAGAGCAAAGGTTAAAACTCATCTAAAATCTCCAAAACAGTATTTGGATCAGTGCTCTACCTTCAGGAAAAAACCCCAATAATTCCCAAGCTAAGTCATTTATTTATATAATATATATGTATGATGTTCTCATAGATTATGTAAATTATAAAATATAAAAGTTAACTTAATGGGATAAGATATAAATGAAATAAATAATATTTAAATAATACATTTTATTTATTAGTGGGTAGAAAAAACCTTTTGGCTCTCACTAAAAATTAATATTGATAATATCTCTCAGTGAAAATGTAACTAAATAAATTTCATTATTTTAAAAAGTCTTGGTTTTAATATTTTGTAATAAAGTGATTCAAAGATTTCAAGTTCTACTTATTTTGGGTAAAATCATATAATGATGAAAGAAGCATTTCTAAAAATATATATTCAAAATGCTTTCACTATAGCAAGGGTTGGCAAAGTATATCCAGCCTAATCCCCATTTCTGTAAATGAAGTTTTACTGGAACACAGCCACATCCATTCATGTATGTTTGCCTATGGCTGCTTTCCTGCTACAATGGGAGTTGAGTCGCTCCAATAGGGAGTGCATTGCCTGAAAAGCTGCAAAGATTTGCGATCTGAACTTTTGCAGGAAAATATGTGCCAAACTCTGCTCCAAGCATCAATTTCCTTCAAAAAAGCACTTAACTTTCTCACTCATGTTTACATCAAAGACTTAAGTTTTTATTTTTTCTGAAAATATTTTCTAAGTATCATACTATCTAATGCTACTTGTTATTTCTGAAAAGGACGAATCTCAAACACTTTCTAACTCATCTTTTAAGTTCGATCACTCCTGTGAGGTAAAAGAACTATTCTTGGTTACTCTACCTCTCCTTACAAAGTAATATAGAGACTGTTATTTAAGATAATATAACCCGTAAAGCTACTTAACCTAGCTTAAGTAAAAGTGCAATGCATGGCAACATACTGCAAACAAATGAGGGTGTGATTGTCAACCCCTTCCAGACCTACAACCTCTACGTTTTCTTCTGAGTATGCCTTTTTTGTTTGTAACTTATCTGACATACAAACTGAGAGCATAATTCATATATTAACGTAATTCAATGTTGCTAACATATAACAGACTTAAAAAACTAAAACAGGTAGAGAGAAAAGAAAAGAGCCCTCTCCCTCTTCCCCCCTCCCCCTCCCCCTCCCCACGGTCTCCCTCTCCCCCCTCCCCCTCCCCACGGTCTCCCTCTGATGCCGAGCCAAGGCTGGACTGTACTGCCGCCATCTCGGCTCACTGCAACCTCCCTGCCTGATTCTCCTGCCTCAGCCTGCCGAGTGCCTGCGATTGCAGGCGCGCGCCGCCACGCCTGACTGGTTTTCGTATTTTTTTGGTGGAGACGGGGTTTCGCTGTGTTGGCCGGGCTGGTCTCCAGCTCCTAACCGCGAGTGATCCACCAGCCTCGGCCTCCTGAGGTGCCGGGATTGCAGACGGAGTCTCATTCACTCAGTGCTCAATGTTGCCCAGGCTGGAGTGCAGTGGCGTGATCTCGGCTCACTACAACCTCCACCTCCCAGCCGCCTGCCTTGGCCTCCCAAAGTGCCGAGACTGCAGCCTCTGCCCGGCCGCCACCCCGTCTGGGAAGTGAGAAGCGTCTCTGCCCGGCCACCCTTCGTCTGGGATGTGAGGAGCCCCTCTGCCCGGCTGCCCAGTCTGGGAAGTGAGGAGCACCTCTTCCCGGCCGCCATCCCATCTAGGAAGTGAGGAGCGTCTCTGCCCGGCCGCCCATCGTCTGAGATGTGGGGAGCGCCTTTGTCCCGCCGCCCCGTCTGGGATGTGAGGAGCGCCTCTGCCCGGCTGCGACCCCGTCCGGGAGGTGAGGGGCGCCTCTGCCCGGCCGCCCCTACTGGGAAGTGAAGAGCCCCTCTGCCCGGCCAGCCGCCCCGTCCGGGAGGGAGGTGGGGGGGTCAGCCCCCTGCCCGGCCAGCCGCCCCATCCGGGAGGTGAGGGGCGCCTCTGCCTGGCCGCCCCTACTGGGAAGTGAGGAGCCCCTCTGCCTAGCCACCACCCCGTCTGGGAGGTGTACCCAACAGCTCATTGAGAACGGGCCATGATGACGACGGCGGTTTTGTGGAATAGAAAAGGGGGAGAGGTGGGGAAAAGATAGAGAAATCAGATTGTTGCTGTGTCTGTGTAGAAAGAAGTAGACATGGGAGACTCTATTTTGTTCTGTACTAAGAAAAATTCTGCCTTGGGATGCTGTTGATCTATGACCTTACCCCCAACCCTGTGCTCTCTGAAACATGTGCTGTGTTCACTCAGGGTTAAATGGATTAAGGGTGGTGCAAGATGTGCTTTGTTAAACAGATGCTTGGAGGCAGCATGCTCCCTAAGAGTCATCACCACTCCCTAATCTCAAGTACCCAGGGACACAAACACTGTGGAAGGCCGCAGGGTCCTTTGCCTAGGAAAACCAGAGACCTCTGTTCACTTGTTTATCTGCTGACCTTCCCTCCACTATTGTCTTATGACCCTGCCAAATCCCCCTCTGCGAGAAACACCCAAGAATGATCAATAAAAATAAATAAATAAATAAATAAATACAAGAAAAGAAAAGAAAGGGAAGAAGGAAGGAAAGAAGGAAGGAGGGAGGGAGGGAGGAAGGGAGGAAGGAAGGGAGGGAGGGAGGGAGGGAGGGAGGGAGGGAGGGAGGAAGGAAGGGAGGGAGGGAGGAAGGAAGGAAGGGATGTTATATTTTCTTTCTGTAGCCCAATAGATATATCAGCGCATACCCCAAGGGATACATAGCCACTCTGTAGACCTCTAATGCAAATCACTGAAACTAAAATTTTTATATACAGTAAATGAAACATCAGAGAGCCTACAGTAGGTCAGATTCCATGACTCAGTTTGCTAAAATTAGCTGAGGTCATAGCAGTACATGGTGTGGCTATCTTATTCCTCATACTAATGCTAGGATACTTAACTTGCATTAGCCATGTCTCTCTTGTAGGCAACTAGCATAATGAGTGATTAAACTATTATTGTAAATAAATATGTTCTATCTTTTCCCCTCCACTCAATTTATAGAAACTCAGTCTTCTAATCAAAGAACCTTTATGTCTAAATATTTTCTTTAAAAAATAGTAAAAATTATAAATTTCATCAACCTACTTAAAAGATGGAAGAATTTCAGATTTGGGAAGTACTTATTTTGTTCATTATTCTTTTTTTTTTTTGAGACCGAGTCTCGCTCTGTTGCCCAGGCTGGAGTACAGTGGTGTGATCTTGGCTCACTGCAACCTCTGCCTCCTGGGTTCAAGCGATTCTCCTGCCTTAGCCTCCTGAATAGCTGGGACTACAGGTGCATGTCACCACATCTGGCTAATTTTTGTATTTTTGGTAGAGATGGGGTTTCACCATGTTGGCCAGGCTGGTCTTGAACTCCTGATCTCAGGTCAACTACCCGCCTCGGCCTCCCAAAGTGCCGGGATTACAGGAGTAAGCCACCGTGCTCGGCCTGATTTTATTCATTATTCTACCACTAAATGAGATAGGAAATAAGCGAAAAAGCTATGATTTGTCTAGAAAAGATCATTATTTATTCTTGTACTTGTTGAACTGGAAGAATCTATAGAAATATCAGTCTTAAAAACGAGGAGGAATTCCTTCTTGTAGAAAAGAGAGAAGGAAAGAAATATGAGGGCTTTGATGACCAATTAAATATGAAACAGCCAAAAACTGCCAGAGTTTTTCCTCACATTTGATTGGTTACCAAGTCCTCTGAACTTGAAAATAACTCATACTTTGTCCTCTCTTTTTCTTTTTTCTTTTTTTTTGAGTCGGAGTCTCGCTCTGTTGCCCGGGCTGGAGTGCATTGGCACGATCTTGGCTTACTGAAACCTCCGCATCCTGGATTCAAGCAATTCTCCTGCCTCAGCCTCCCAAGTAGCTGGGATTACAGGCACCCGCCAGCACGCCTGGCTAATTTTTATATTTTTAGGAGAGACAGGGTTTCACCATGTTGGCCAGGCAGGTCTCAAACTCCTGAACTCAGGTGATCCGCCTGCCTTGGCCTCCCAAAGTGCCAAGATTACAGGTGTGAGCCACCGCGCCTGGCCTTGTCCTCTCTTTTTCAACTCAGGCTGTTCAATCCTTTTCTTTAATCAGATGTGTTTTTAAAATAGCCTTCTCAATGCTTCTTGTCTCCAATGTCCCTTCTCTACCACTCTTCCACTCATCTTTCACATTTCAAATTATCTTTTTTTTTTTTTTTGAGACGGCATCTTGCTCTGTCACCCAGGCTGGAGTGCAGTGGCGCAATCTCAGCTCACTGCAAGCTCCGCCTCCTGGGTTCACGCCTTTCTCCTGCCTCAGCCTCCCGAGTAGCTGGGACTAGAGGCGCCCGCCACCAGGCCCGGCTAATTTTTTTTGTATTTTTAGTAGAGACGGGGTTTCACTATGTTAGCCAGGATAGTCTCGATCTCCTGACCTCGTGATCCGCCCGCCTCGGCCTCCCAAAGTGCTAGGATTACAGGCGTGAGCCACCGCACCCGGCTTCAAATTATCTTCTAAAACAAAATGATCACACCATTACTGCAAAAAAAGGTGGCACATTCTCATTTATAACATTTGGATACATTTACCGGTTTTAACCAGAGTTATAAAGTCAACCACATCATTCTTTTTTCATAAATCCTTCAATTTCCCTCTTCAAATAGGTTAGCTTTTACAATTTTTGCTAGTTTTAACTAGAGTTCTAGTAATCAATCAGCAGTACACTGCACTAAGTTTGTAAGGCTGTCCCTATCCTCACAGATTTTATTTTATTTTTTATTTTTTTTTAAGATAGAGTTTTGCTCTTGTTGCCCAGGCTGGAGTGCAATGGTGTGATCTCAGCTCACTGCAACCTCTGCATCCCAGGTTCAAGCGATTCTCCTGCCTCAGCCTCCCAGGTAGCTGGGATTATAGGCATGCGCCACCACGCCTGGCTAATTTTTGTATTTTTAGTAGAGAAGGGGTTTCACCATGTTGATCAGGCTGGATGGTCTCAAAATCCTGACCTGGGGTGACCCACATGCCTCGGCCTCCCAAAGTGCTGGGATTATAGGTGTGAGCCACTGCGCCCGGCCCTTTATTTTTGTTTTTTAAAGACAGGGTCTCACTCTGTCACCCAGGCTGGAGTGCAATGGTGGGATCATAGCTCACTACAGCCTTTAACTCCTGGGCTCAAGAGATCCTCCAGCCTCAACCTCCTAGGTAGCTGGGGACCACAGGCAAGCACCATCATGCCCAGCTAATTTTGTTTCTTTTTTGTGGAGATAAAGTCTTACTATGTTGTCCAGGCTGACCATGAACTCCTGGCCTCAAGTGGTCCTCCAGCCTCAGCCTCCCAAAGCACTGAGATTACAAGTGTGAGTCACCTGCCCTCATCAATTCTCACAGATTTTAAACCCTAGTCTGACACTGTAAGACTAACAAGCCTTTAGACACTGCTTCATTATTCAGCACTTAATAGTTCTGTGCTCATTGTGTAATTGGAAATCAAAGGAAGCAGACAGTGAAAAATTAGGGAAAGACTTCACAAAGGAGGTGATATTCTAGCTGAAAGTTGAAACTTAGGCAACACATAGACTGACAGTAAATGAGATTTAACAGATATAAAGGAATCTGATGGGAGTACGGGTATAAGGACAGGCATGAGAAAACCTGCTGAGAAGGGAATTAACAGGAATGACTTGGGCAACTGTAAAGATCTATGACATTAATGATGGAGAATGAGATACAATCTTGGCTAAGGAAGGTGTAGTCTCATTACAGAATGTCTTAGAAGTCAGACAGAGGTATTTAAATTTGATTTTATACATACCACTTAATAACAAAGGGAAGAGACTGCATAAGATTATTCTGGCATCTATATTCAGCCATACAGAATAGACAGGCAATCAGAGATATTTGGAAAGAAACTGCAAGCTTAAAAAGAGACTGCAGGAAAAGAGAAGAAATCATCAAAGAATATAAGGTTTCTACCCTGGGAACTATAAAAATGGAGATGCCACGAAATAAACAGGGAAGCTGAGAAATAAAGGATCGAGAATGGGCAGGGGATATTTTTGGACATGCTAGATTTAAGCATATCCAAGTTGAGCTATCCTAATACTATTCTATTGCATAATATCAGGTTGAAGCCAAGGTCCAGGGTGGGAATACATGGAGTGATTCATATCAATGCCTTATATTTATTTAGGGCTTTATCACAAAAAATTCATGTATTATTAATTTTGAGTCTCAAAACCTAGAAAGGTAGAAGAACAGAAATTACCACTTTCATCTCACCAATAAATAAATTAATGCTCAGAATTGGGGCCATGCCCGGTGGCTTATGCTTGTAATCCCAGTACTTTCAGAGGCCAAAGAGGGAGGGTTGCTTGAGTCCAGGAGTTCAATATCAACCTGGGCAACATAGTGAGACCCAGTTTCTACAAAAAAAAAAAAAAAAAAAATTAGCGGGGCATAGTGATGTATGCCTGCAGTCCCAGCTACTTGGGAGGCTGAGGCAGGAGAACTGCTTGAGCCCAGGAAGTTGAGGCAGCACTGAGCCATGATCATGCCACAACACTCAGCTTGGGCAACAGAGTAAGACCCTGTCTCAGAAAAAGAGAAAAGGAAAAAAAAAAAAAAAAAAAAAGAAATGAATGCTCAGAATTAATGTAACTTGCCCCAAGTCAGCTTGTTAGCAGCAGAGCCAGGAGAATTCTGGCTCTAGATCTACCCGTCATCAAATGCTGAAAGCTTCCAAGAAGAAGAAAGCTCAAGGCTTTTCCTCCAAAAGTAGTCATTAGCACAGAGGCAACAGTTGAGGCCATGAGACTGTGTAACTAATTCTTTGAAGGAGAACAGAAAAAGAATTCCTAGCAGATACCCATAATTAATTAAAAAGTGAAAGGAAGAGAGCCTAGTAAGAGACACCAAGTTGACAAGAATATGCAACAGGGGAGGGGGAAAAAAAAATCAAAACCAGAAAAGTGCAGAGTCAGGAAAGCCAAAAATGGAGTAGGTACTCAGTGATTTTAAATGCCAAAGTTGGAAAAAGGCGCGGATTTGGCATGAAGATATCACATTGTATGTGTGAAATTTTTTTCAAAAATTTAATTCTTAAAACATTAGCGAAATTTAAAAATTCCTTTGAAATGTTTATGACTAGCAACATCCATTTGGTACATTAATAAGGGGGACTGGATTTTTCATATATTACACTTCTTCAATGTTGAAAAATTACAAAGGCTAAGAAAATAAAACATCTATTAACTAGCCTTGTAGAAAAGTAATTTGATCTTTTAAATACAGATCAACTATATATAGTTCAACATAACCAGATGAGTTATTGCACTTTTTATTTGCTAAGAAAATATTTTCAGCTTTTACCTACTCCACATTTGAGAAGTTTTTGATATACATAAACAATAGTTTACTATACTTTTTGCTGCAATCTATTTTGTCAATTCAAAGGTTCAACAAAGGAAAAGAGACAGTTATACAAAGGCAAAACTACATGCATACCCAAAGCAAAATTACATATGAAGTAATTTACCAAGTTTTAATAGTAAATGTTATTAGAAATAATATGGGCAATCTTCTGATCATATATTTAACTTCAATCTTAAGTGGGAATTAGTACGCAGAGAAAAGAGAACTATTTTATCCTTATCCTAACACGAGGGATATAAAATATTTTTAATTCAAATCAACATTAATTAGTGATATATGGAGAACACAGCACCATCTTTGCACAAATCAAGTTTTAGACCCTTGGAAATAATATTTATCTTAGAGCTTTAAAACATTTAACAGGACTGCCAATGAATTAAAAGTTTAAAAGACGCAAATGAGCAAATCAAAACAACTTGCTACTGACCTTGTTCAAGTCTGAAGAGGGTCTTTTCCAGTTTCTCCATTTCGTTCAGAAGTAAAATTCGAATCTGTTTACTGTGTCCCATTTTGGCTTCTAGAGGATTTGAAATCTTTCATAAGAATTAAAAGAACTCCACAGTCGAATGAGTTACCCCTATGAAACAAAAAGGAGTTAAAATATCGAAAATAACTATTGCCTTAAACTCTCCAGAGCTGACAGCGGCACTTACATGTTCGAAGTGTGTTTTATGCCTAGCAGAGCAATGAAAGAGAATGAATCTTATAACTATTAAGATTCGAGAAGGCAAATTAATAGTTGTTTCCTGCCTTTGAGCACAACGAATAAGACCGAAATAAAAATGCTGTATTACAGATTCTTACAATTAAAAAATTAAAAACCTAGACCATTCTCAGAGAAAAGCAATACACTTAGGAAAGCCTGAAGTCAGGGGGACATTCCCAGCCCCAAGCCACAGGGCTCTGGAGACTCCGAATGGCACTTCTGCTTACAAGAGATTAGTCTGCTCAAAGATAACAGGTGGGCAATCTCCCCATTCCCAAATTCGGGTCGCCAGCCACCAATGGGGAGATGAGAACAGAGGGAAGCAGTTGTTGCCTCTGGAATAGCTGCCGTAGACAGAAGATGTACAGAGCGAGCTATAGATAGAAAGAATGCGTTTCCCCGCGAGGCCAGCGGCATTCCTAGCACTTACGCCGAGGGAGTTATACGTGCGGCTTCTGGGGCACTGCAGGACCCGCGACTCTGGTGCTACGGTCGGGGGGAGGGGACGGGGAGAAACAGAAGGGGAAGGGCTGGCTGCCCAGCCTCGCACAGAAGCCGCAGCCCAAGGAGGGCCGGGCGCCGTGAAGGGCAAAGGGAGGGGCGGCGAGCGACCGGGGCAGCGCCGAGGCAGCTGGGTGAGAAGCAGGCAGAGTCTCAGCGACTTCGCCTCGCGCGGGTTCCTGGGCGCACCCGGTACCCAACCTGGCCGTGCGCGCACTCGCCCCAGGTGGGAGCGGACCGTACCTCTGGCCCACTTCCGGGAGGCTCGACCCGCCCGCCCCGACCGCTAGTCTCGCGAGAGCGTGGGCACCGCACCGTCTCAGTCGGCTCCGGGCCGGGGGACCTGGAGCCTGCTGCGGCTGAGGCCGGGAGCGGCGCTTTCTCCTTGCCCTGGGGAAGGTGCACCGGCCAAGGCGCGGCCTTCCTTTAACAGCCTGCGAGCTCACAGTTGCACATTAAAATCCCGCGGTACCGGCTGCGAGCTAGGTTGAGCTGCACAGTAGGATCTTTTGCTGGGAAGGGCTGAATGGTGAGGGGCAAACGACCTGGCTTCTGGTGTCTTTTGTGCCACCACGTGTTTTGTTTCTTTGTTTTGATAATTTTTACTTGGCCTAAGTTCTCAGAGTCCTGATTTCTAAGTGTCTAAAATAAGGGGCCTGGCTACAGCCTTGACATTCCAGCCAACACGTGTCCATCACTTCTAGTGCTAACAGACAGGACACATGTTCCTGAATGCAGACCCAGTAGGTAAGGTGTGGCCAGTCTGCAAACCATCGAGAGTGCAAACACCACTGATACTTAACGGTGTCCGGGTGTACCTCATGTACACTAGATAGACCCGGAGATCGTCTGAGATTAAGCTGCACTTATGTTAGGCCAGTAACTCAGAACTTTTTGCAGATGCTTAAGGAGATTTAATGCCTGAGGGTAAAGGAAAACCCATCTTCCAGGGCTTTTGGAGGGCTCCTAATGGTTATGAGAAAATGGACAGAAGATTTGGTTAACTAAGACTTGTGGCGTGTGGAGAAGATTCTTGCATTCTTTATTGTGGAATGACTGTAGGTCCAAAGAGGATATAAGTTAAAAAAAAAAACCCCATACTGAAGTATTTGTTTATTTCTGTAGATTTCTGAGAATGGCTAGTTGCAAATGGTCCGTAACTGACTTTGGGAACCCACAGCTCATTTTCTGGCCCCTACTATTTGCCAGGCACATAAGGTGCTGGGAATGCAGCAATAAAACAGTCACTGCCCTCAAGGAACTCCTACATTTTATTGGTGGGAGACAGATAAATTAAATAAATTATACAGGATATAATATATCCTATATAATAAGAAGGATATGTTATATCCTATATATAATAGGAAGGGGGAAGTGTGGAAGAGTAAGCAGAGAGAGGTTTGCATTTCTAAATATAACGTTCAGTAAAGTGATGCCAAACTGCGAGAAAGAAGAAGTCTAAGGTAGAGGGTTACATGTAGAGGTATAGGAAGTACAAAGGCCATGAGGCAGGAGCATACTTGGTGAACCGAAGAAGATCACCATAGCTGAGTGAAGAAGAGAGTGGTAAGAGATTAGGACAGACAGATGGGGCAGGAGAAGGGATCAGGAGCACAGACGGGTGACCAGATCTTTTAAGGCTTTGTAGGCCATTGCAAGGACTTGGGCTTTTAAACTTTGGAAAAAAAGCCATGGAGATTTTGAACAGAGGAGTGACATAATCTGATTGACCTTTTAAAAGGATCGCTCCGCAACTTTATGGGAAATAGTTGAATAAACTGTAGAGTGTAGCAAGGAAGGAAGCAAGGAGACCAGTTAGAAAGCTATTTTAGTTATTCAAGCAAGAGAAAGTGACTTGTGTGTGTTTTCTCTGTGTCGGGGGGTTGGGGGTGATGGGGGGGAGGTGGTATAGCAGGTGGTGTAGTTGCTGAATTCTGGACTATTTTGAAGATAGAACCTACAGGATTGGTGGAGAAAGGAGTCAAGGATGACTCCAAGGTTTTTGGCCTGAATGAGCAGAAAGCACTGTCCAATAGAAATATTAAGTGCCACATAGGTCATTTAAAATTTTCAAGTAGCCACATTAAAAAAACTTTTTTAAATACAAAAATTAGCCAGGCATGGTGGCACATGCCTGTAGTCCCAACTACTGTGGAGGCTGAGGCAGGAGAATCGCTTCAACCTGGGAGGTGGAAGTTGCAGTGAACCCAGATCATGTCACTGCACTTCAGCCTGGGTGACAGAGCGAGACTGTCTCAAAAAAAAAAAAAAAAAAAAAAGAAAAGAAAAGAAAGTTTTGAAAAAGGTAATATTAATTTTAGCAATATAATTTACTTAATATATCCAAGGCATCATTTCAACATATAACCAATAGAAAAAGTTACTTTATTTTATTTTACTTTTTGAGACAGGGTCTCATTGTCA
Source organism: Homo sapiens (assembly GCF_000001405.40). Lineage (NCBI taxonomy): Eukaryota > Metazoa > Chordata > Mammalia > Primates > Hominidae > Homo > Homo sapiens. The sequence goes on along the minus strand of NC_000001.11, from coordinate 99,847,920 downwards.
CCCAGGCTGAAGTGCAGTGGTGCAATCATGGCTCACTGCAGCCTCAACCTCCTCCCTCAGCCTTCCTCATCCATTCCCAGTAGCTGGGACTACCAAATGCATTACATTTGGTAAAAGTATTATTTCACAAAACTTCTATTTCTGTTACTTATGTTTTGGTGTACTGAGTCATGTATTCTTACTGGAAGGATTATGGTTAAAAACAAGATTGAAAGTGATTGTTCTAGATTGCATGCTGTGTAAAATGATAATTCATGATTATGAAGTGGTGCCTGGTGTTGAATCCCAGCTCTGCCACTAACTAGCTGTGAAGCTTTGCATGGTACTCAACCTCTTTGGGCCTTGGTTTTTGCAACTATAAAATGGGGATGAAAGTAGTATCTATTGTTAAGTAAATGAGGGCTTAGAACTGTGCCTGATAGAGACTAAGTACTAGCGTACATACAAATGTTAGCAGAGTGAGGCCCTGACCATGTTGTGAAAACAGATCACATTTATGTTTGTCTTCAAGTTCTCCCTTTCCATGCCCCCTCCCACTTTCAGTCTCTCCTATGACTATCTCATTACACTGCCCTCCTGTTGATCACTGTTCTCCAGGGCTCCAAAATTAGCCTTTCTTGCTGTCCTTCCTCCAGTAAAACTCTCACTTTAATGCCCAGTGTTGCAATTAGATATAAGGAGTAAAAGATATTGATGACATCAATTCCTTTAGTAGTGATTTATTCTCATACAAATGCTTGAATTTTACAAGATTTGTAAATCCAAATCATCTTAATCTTGGAAATTTCATATTTTGAATGAAAATGAAGACTGCTAAGTAATGGAACCATGATTAATATGATGTGCCTCTAAGATTAATTTTACAAGCTACATAGTGTCCTTTTTAAAAAAGAAAAGTCACATTATTGTGCTATTTGTGAAGTTCTTGGAATGCCAATGAGTTTGCAGTCTAGGGCTACAGTGGTGCCATGTGCAGCCTTCATTTTAATGCACATTTGTCATGTGCCTGTCCTGTGCATGACAGTGATCTATATATACACAATAATCTCATGCTGTAGTTGTCAGGAGAAGGCTCACCTTGGGGAACATCTGATGGATAACCTCAACTATTTGGCAGTGACTCTAGTGCTTTCTAAAACATTGAAGTTAATGCATTTGGGGAGTGGGAGGAGGACTGTAGTTGGAAAAGACTTTCTCCAGGGTTGTGTGTATGTATGTATGCTTTCTGAAAGGAAAAGAGTTATTTGGGTTATTATTTATAATTAGGTCCTAATCCTGTGACCTTGTGGATCTGAAATGGACGGGGCTGCCTTATATTTGGTTTTTATATTCTTTGGCATTTTCTGTGCACTTTATTTCAGAGTGCACCATTATTATCATGTCATAATTTTACTTTGTAAAATTTGGATTTGTGTTTTCAGAATCCCTTCTAAATTGAACAACTTATTCTGTACTTTTGAAATATCCAGATACAGCCAGTGAGAAGCAAAAGGGAAGCAGGGAAAAGAAATAGAGTTGAAGTTGGAGAAGTGGAAGACTTGAATGTAATGATACAGAGGTATGGAAAATCAGAGAGAGATTTTCTTAAAGTGAGATAGAAAACAGACTTTAGAGGCAAACAAACCTTGGATTCGTTTTAATCACTCTGAATCACGATTGATCACCCATAAAATGGAGAGAACAAGACCTCACTTGCAAATTTGGCATGAAGATTAGAAGAAAAAAAGAAAGCATTTGAAGCATCTATTCTAGCACTTAGCACATGATAGACTTTTAATAATAGTTTTTTTAAAAAAGAAGGGGTCACATCTAGTTGTCCTTGCTGGGTTCAAGATGGTAGTCAGACAAATTAGATGAAGAGGAGGTTCCCAGTGCATGGCAGAGGCCAAAGTTTCCAGAAAGTTTCTTACTTTGTGAAGAGGGGATATAAGAGTGAATTCAGTGAGCAAAATCAGAGCGTAATTGTTTCAGCCCAAATTAGAAAACAAAAAAAAGGCAGAACCTAAGAATGAAATGAGGATTAGTCAGTATACAATAAATATTTATTAGAAAATGTATTGAGATGTACATAAATAGTGGTAAATATAGTTGTATTTCTATTCAAAACAAAACTTGAGCTCTTAGAGTTTGCATAGGAAAAGTCCTTTAAAAATTCCTAATAATTGATATAATAAATTAGTCAAAAACAATGTATGGAATGCTTTGAATGCATGACAGGAGGACACGCGAGAGGCTTTTTTTGGTGGTGATCTTTCCTTTTTTCTTAGAGTAGATCTTTTAAAATGTTGTTTGGCCCCAATTTAAAAACGAAATCATTTACTCTTGCAAATAAATTTAGCTGCTTGTTGTTGGAAGCAAGCCTCCCAACATCTGGCCATAAACTGGCCCCAAAACTGGCCATAAATAAAATCTTTGCAGCAATGTAACATGTCCATAATGGCCATAACGCCCAAGCTGGAAGGTTGCAGGTTTACGGGAATGAGGGCAGGGAACACCTGGCCCGCCCAGGGCGGAAAACCGCTTAAGGGCATTCTTAAGCCATAAACAAAAGCCTGAGCGATCTGTGTCTTAAGGGCGTCTTCCTGCTGCAGTTAACTAGCCCAACCTATTCAATTAATTCGGCCCATCCCTTCGTTTCCCTTAAGGGATACTTTAGTTAATTTAATATCTATAGAAACAATGCTAATGACTGATTTGCTGTTAATAAATATGTGGGTAAATCTCTGTTCGGGGCTCTCAGGTCGGAAGGCTGTGAGACCTCTGATTTCCCACTCCACACGTCTATATTTCTGTGTGTGTGTCTTTAATTCCTCTAGTACCGCTGGGTTAAGTTCTCTCCTACCGAGGTGGTCTCGGCAGCTTGTTAAAATTGTGAGCTCCAGAGTTTCCATAAATGAGCGCTTTGGGTTGGCAGTATAGCTGAAGAGAAAGGACCAGGAAAGGGGGACTTCAAGCTGATTTGCTGTATTTGTTAGCATCACCTCAGCTGCAGATGGCAGGAACACACACACACACGACAAAAGTGGCTTAAATAAGAGCCACTCTCACATATTTTCTCTCACATAAAAGTGTAGAGGATGCTGGGCCCGGTGGCTCACGCCTGTAATCCCAGCACTTTGGAAGGCCCAGGTGGGAAAATCACTGGAGGTTAGGAATTTGAGACCAGCCTGGCCCACATGGCAAAACTTTGTCTGTACTAAAAATGCAAAAATTAGCCGGGCCTGCTGGTGTGTGCCCCTGTATTCTCAGCTACTCGGGAGGCTGAGGCAGGAGAATTCCTTGAACCCAGGAGGCAGAGGCTGCAGTGAGCCGAGATCATGCTACTGCACTCCAGCCTGGGCGACAGGCAGGAGGGCGAGACTCCGTCTCGAAAAAAAAAAGGCTAGAGGTAAGCTCTTCAAAGCTGGTGAGGCAGCTCTGTAAAGTCATCAGGAACCCAGGCTCCTTTCAGCCCATAGCTTCCTCCCTTTTGTGTTGTGGATCTCATCTTCATTGTACAATAAGGCTGCCAGAACTCCAGCTGTCATATCCAAATTCAGGCATCAGGATGGAAGAAGAGAAGAAGAAGGGCGAACCTTCTTCCTTTAAGGATAATTATTGAAAATACTGTACATTTCTGCTTGTCTCATGTTTATTAAAACTTAATCCCAATGTACATACAAATGTAACCTTTATGTAGGCAGCAATGAGTCTAGCTAACACCCAGGTTTTGTTGTTCAGGAAAGAAAGAATAATTTTGGTGGACAACTAGTAGTCTCTGACACAGTTTGCGTGGTATTTTATTTTAAAATTTAATTGTTGTCAAAGTGACACAGTTTGCAGCAGGAGAATGGAAGGCTCTTGGAGGAATGCCTCCAAGGGATGGGGGTGGGGGAGAGACTGATTATTTAATGAGCTTGACCACATTGAAGAAAAAAAAGTCCTGTTGGAGAATGAAGCTTTAGATCTGTCAGACAAATGAGTTTGCTAAAACTGAACTCTAGAACTGGGCCAACTTTCTCCCAGTCACAGAAGGACTGGAAGAATCGTGCTTGGCCACTTCATGGTCACTCCTAAAAAGGAAGAGGGATAGAGGTGAGCCAAGCTCACAGTTATTCTTCCCCAATTTCCCAACCAGAGAAATCACTTTTCCTCCTCAGGAATGGAGCAAGTTAAAGGGCAAAGAAAATCCAAGATATTGTTTTGGGACACGCTCTCTTCAAAGAAAACAGGAATTAGGGAAAAATATTTTCATCAAACATAATATAAGTCATTTAACCTCTTTTAGGCACTAATTCCTCAGCTGTTATTTATCTACCAAGGATCACAAAAATAAAATGTCTGAAATGTTTTGAAAATAATACATGCTCTATAAATGGTAACAACTAATATTAATGAGCTTTTAAGAGGTGCCAGGTACTGTTCTAAGTTAACTCAATTTCCAGAACAACACTATTATTACCCCCACTATAAAGACAAGGAAACTGAGTACCCAAAGTTAAGTAACTTGTTTAAGATCACATAGTGAGCAAGTGAAGGAATGTGACTTCAATTGCATGCTCAGTGATTCTGTTCGGTAATGCTACATCTGAGGCAGTGATGCTACGTCCATGGCCTGGTAATCAATAAGATTTTATAAATTGAATTGGAATGTTGTTGGCTTCATATATGGCTATGCCAACAGTGAGTCTGTTTTCTTGATTCTAGGATATTCTCGCTAATCTAAGACTCTATCATCTTAGATATCTCCTTCAAGAAGTCTCTGCCTGCCGTGCCCTCCCTCCCATGGGTCTAGGTTAGGTGCTCCCTGGAGCTCCTTTGCTGTGGCTATGTTGTGCCATGTTGTGTAATAACTCATTATCCCACTAGATTTCTTCAGACAGGGCTGCGTTTTCTGTCTCTGGAAAACAGAATTACAAAATTATTTACACTACTTAGATATATTAAGAAACGTATATTTTATTCTTTTTGTTTGTTTGAAATGAAAGGTCTCACATATTTATTACTGAATCCAGCCTACCAGTGCACCAACAGCACATACACAGAGAAAAAAATATATATTCACAATAAAACATGTCCAACTGTCCAGATAGTGGTGACATTTTCAGCTTGATATGGTAAGATGGTTGTGACCTTGACACAGCATAAATATGTGTGCCATCTCATGTGTAATTCCGTACAGACCCAGCTTGATTCTTCTCCAATGTCTCCTTTTGGAGTTCTACCTGATTTTATTACCAGTTTTCATCTGGATCCACTGGGGGATGGGATGATTTTGCTTTTGTTTCTTGACCACGAAATGCTTAATCCTGAAAGTCTTGTGAGAAGACATGGCAAGAAGCAGAGTCAAGCACACACCTCGATGGCAGAGAAAGGAAGAGAGTATATTTTATTCTTAAAAGCTTCTCCAATTTCCTTTACCGTTTCCTAACTGCTAGGCAGGTGTGGGAAAACAAAAATAATTTTAGTCTAATCTGGTTGGAAACTAATTCTGAGCCAATTATTTAAATAATCTCTTTAACCCAGTCTCTTTGAAATCATTGTTCTATTGTTTCGACGCCCCTTTCTCTCTCTACTTTGTTCTAAGAGATGTCTAGTATAAGGAGCAGGATCTCACATGAACTGGTTGCACTGGGGGAGTTGAACTCTGTGACCTTGAACTGGTTCTTGTGCAGGGGCTGGCATCACCTAATGTGTATCTGTCTAGTCCTGTTCCTGGTAATCCTGTTGGCACAAACTATTGATGTCTGTAGCTGATAACTTCCTGTCTATTCTTTCTTGGCTTGGCCAGAGTCTAAAGGCATCCTCCTCCCCTACTGTCTCAGCCTTTCTTGATCCTACTTTCACTACAGACCCCTCTCTGAGTACCTAAAATGTTCTCTGCCTGGTCCAAGGCCCAAGACATCCATTTGATAAGGCTTTGCTGGAATCACCTCAACTCTGTCATGGTGGATCTATAAAATGTGTACTGGAGCTGAAACCCAGGTCCTATATGTAAGTGATCTTGCTTTACCCTCTTAATCATTCTAGGATCCCTCTTTTTGGACCCCCCCCAACCCCCGCACCCTTTTTGCCTAGTATAGCATTCTACAACCAGAGTTCAGAACAGGGAGCAGAACAAAAAGCCCTGTGTGCATTCAGTAAACACTGTGTTTGCTGTGTACTAAGCACTGTTCTATGCACTGGGGATACAGTAATGAACAAAACACACAAAAATCCTTGCCTGCATGGAATTTATAATCTAGTAATCCCCTCAACCTATTGGACTTGCTTCTATCATGATACATCAGACCGTTTCCTTCGCCTCCTCTTTTCTTTAGGTTTTCTCATCTTTACAATCTTTCAAACCCTTTCTTAAGAGAATGGGTTTCCCTTAGAAATTTTTTTGTTTCTCAAACTGCCCATAGTCTTGCTGCAAAATCCTATTTTGAATGTCAGGTGTTAAACATCACCTCTCCTTCCTCTATGCATTTATTCTATTACAATCCAAATCTCCTACAGAGGCAGATGGGTGTCTTAGGCTGAATGGAGAAAGTCTTGCATATTGCAAAGGCAAATAAGAAAGTACATTAATATCTTTAGAAATACTAACTTCATTATATCAGAAACAATAATGCACCATTCCCCCCTTCCAAATTCCTGGCAGCTACTCCTTTCTGTCTCTATGATGTTGATGACTCTAGGTACCTCATATAATAAAACCATACAGTAGTTTTTGTTACTGATTTATTTCACTTAGCAAAATATTGAGGTTCATCCATGTTGTAGCATGTGATAGTATTTCTTTTCTCTTTCTTTCTTTTTTTTTTTTGACAGGATCTCACTTTGTTGCCTACGGTGGAGTGCAGTGGCATGATTTTGACTCACTGAAGCCTCATCCTTCCAGGCTCAAGTGATCCTCCCATCTCAGCCTCCCGAATAGCTGGGACTATAGGCTCATGCCACCATGCCTAGCTAATTTTGTTTATTTTTATCTATTTATCTTGTTGAGACGAGTTCTCATAATGTTGCCCAGGCCTGTCTCGAACTCCTGGACTCCAGCAATCCTCCCACCTACCTGGGCCTCTCAAAGTGCTGGGATTACAGGCATGAGCCACCATGCCTGGCCTAGGATTACTTTTTTAAGGCTGTCTAGTATTCCATTTTGTGTACACACACATTTAGTCATCTGTTAATGGACATGTGGTTTGCTCTTGGCTCTTATGAATAATGCTATTAGGAACATGAGTGTATTAGTTTGTTTTCACACTGCTGACAAAGACATACCCGTGACTGGGTAATTTATACAGGAAAGAGGTTTAATGGACTTACAGTTCCATGTGGCTGGGGAGGCCTCACAATCATGGTGGAAGGCAAGGAGGAGCAAGTCACATCTTACATGGATGGCAGTAGGCAAAGAAAGAGCTTGTGCAGGGAAACTTCCCCTTATAGAACCATCAGATCTCATGAAACTTATTTACCAACACGTGAACAGCAGGGAAAGACCTGCCCCCCATGATTCAATTACCTCCCACCGGGTCTCTCTCACAACATGTGGAAATTCAGGATGAGATTTGGGTGGGGACACAGCCAAACCATATCAGTGGGTATACAATGATCTCTTTGAGATCATACTTTCAATTCTTTTGAGTACATGCCCAGTAGTAGAATTGCTGGATCATATAGTAATTCTATTTTTAACTTTTTGAGTAACCACCATAATGTGTTCAACAGTGGCTGTAACATTTTATCTTCCCATCAACAGTGCACAAAGATTTCAGTTTCTCCACATCCTTACCAACACTTATTTTCTATTTTTTGTTTTTTTTATAGTAGCCATCCTGGTAGATGTGAGATGGTATCTCAATGTGTTTTTGATTTTCATTTCCCTAATGGGTAGTGATGTTGAACATTTTTTTATGTGCTTACTGGCCATTTGTAAATCTTTTGGAGACATGTCTATTTAAGTCCTCTGCCTACTTTTGAATTTTTGTTGTTGTTGTTGAGTTTTAGATTAGTTCATTACATATTCTAGATATTAATCCCTTATCAGATGTATGATTTTAAAATATTTTCCCCCATTCTGTAGGCTGTCTTTTCATGCTATTGATAGTGTCCTTTGAAGCACAAAAGTTTTACATTTTAATGAAATCCAATTAATCTATTTGCTTTTTGCCTGTGTCTTTGGTGTCATATTCATTGCCAAATTCAATATCATGAAGTTTTGCCCTATATTTTCTTCTAAGAATTATATAGTTTTAGCTCTTTTGTTAGGTCTATGATTCATTTTGAATTAATTTTTGTATATGGGGTTAGGTTAACAGTCCATTTTCATTATTTTGCATGTGGCTATTCAGTTTTCCCAGCACTATTTGTTGAAAAGACTGTCCTTTCCCCACTGAATGGTCTTAGTACTGTTGTTGGAAAACATTTGACTATATATACTGGGGTTTATTTCTGGGCTCTCTATTCTATTTCATTTGTCTATCTATATATCTGTCTTTATGCCAGTACCACACTGTTTCAATTACCAAAGTTTTGTAGTAAGTTTTAAAATCAGGAAATGTGAGTCCTCCAATGTTGTTCTTCTTTTTCAAGATTGTTTTAGCTGTTCAGGGTCCCTTAAGATTCCACATGAATATTAAAACTAATTTTTCTATTTCTGTAAAAAAAAAGTCAATCTGTAGATCACTTTGGGTAGTACTGACATTTTGACAATATTAATCTTCTAATCCATGAACCATGGGATGGTTTTCCATTTATTTATGTCTTTCTTAATTTCTTTTAGCAATGTTTTATAGTTTTCAGTGTACAGGTCTCCTTTTGGTTTGTGAATTCCTAAGTTTTTAAATGCTATTTTAAATAGAATTGTTTTCTTAATTTCCTTTCAGATTACTCATTGTTAGTGTATCAAAATGCAATTGATTTCTGTGCATTGACTTTGTATCCTGCTGCTTTGCTGAATTCATTTATTCTAACTGTGTGTGTGTGTGTGTGTGTGTGTGTGTGTGTGTGTGGTATCTTAGTTTCCTACATATCACATCTGTGAACAGAGATAATTTTACTTGTTCCTTTTCAATTTGGATGAAGCTTTCATTTATTTGTCTTGATCAATTGTTCTGTCTAGGACTTTCAATATGTTGAATAGAAGTGGTGGAAGTGGTTATCCTTGCTTTGTTCCTGACCTTAGAAGAAAAGTTTTCAGTCTTTCACTGTTGAGTATGATGTTTGCTGTAGATTTTTTTACATATGGCTTTTATTAGGTTGAGGTAGTTTTCTTCTAGTTTGCTGAGTGTTTGTATCATGAAATGATGTTGAATTTTGTCAAAAGCTTTTTCTGCATCAATTGAGATGATTCTTTATTTTTTATGTTTAATTTTTTTTTTTTTTTTTTGAGACAGAGTTCTCACTCTGTTGCCCAGGCTGGAGTGCAGTGGCGTGATCTTGGCTCACTGCGACCTCTGCCTCCCGGGTTCAAGTGATTCTCCTGCCTCAGCCTCCTAAGTAGCTGGGACTACAGGTGTGTGCCACCACACCTGGCTAATTTTTGTATTTTTAGTAGAGACAGGGTTTCACCATGTTGGCCAGGTTGGTCTTGAACTCCTGACCTCAAATGATCCGCCTGCCTCGGCCTCCCAAAGTGCTGGGAATACAGGTGTGAGCTACAGTGCCTGGCCTCTTTATTTTTTAAAGAATACATATTTTCTTTTCCTTTTTGAAGTATCACAGGAAAGGGCTTGATTTTGCTATATCTTATAGCAGCATGGTAAATTTATGGTTAGCATAGTGCTAACCATGATGCATTTACTGTCTTTTCAAAAGCTTTAACTTTGGTTAGTTTTTTTTTTTTCCTCAGTTTTGAATAGGAATTGATTTGACAGCTGATTTTGTGTGTCCTTTGCCCAGCTCAGAAGGGTGGAAAACAAACCTGTCAAAACAAAGCTCTCAGAGTGGCAAAATTCCTAAGAATGCATCAGGTATCCTGACCTAACAATTAAATGTCTGTCCTACTAGAGGGTGAGCTTATTGAGAGGAGAAAATATCTTTTCTCCGGAATCCCCAGCACCTAAAACATTGCCTGTTGTATAGAAAACACTCAATAACATCTTGAGAAGGAATCCAAGAACAGTGTGTCTCTTGCCCTTTCTTCCCTGTCCTTTCCCCAAGAGAGAATACATCAAAATCAGTAACTTCCATATAGTTAATTTACTGTGAAGTATAAATATGAAAACATTCAAGTTCTACAAATAGTGCAAAAGTGAGCAGTTATGACATTTGACAAACTATTGTTGAATTGAAAGGTTTAGAGTTTGGTATTAAGAAAGGACTGTACTCTCTCATGTACTCCATGTCATAATTGATTGCTTTCTTTTTCCAAAGCTATATAGACTCATGTATTATCCACTTCTTCTTCTTTTTTTTTTTTTTGAGACGGAGTTTCGCTCTTGTTGCCCAGGCTGGAGTGCAATGGCGCGATCTTGGCTCACCGCAACTTCCGCCTCCCAGGTTCAAGCAATTCTCCTGCCTCAGCCTCCCGAGTAGCTGGGATTACAGGCATGCACCACCATGCCCGGCTAATTTTGTATTTTTAGTAGAGACGGGGTTTCTCCATGTTGAGGCTGGTCTCGAACTCCTGACCTCAGGTGATCCGCCCGCCTCGGCCTCCCAGAGTGCTGGGATTACAGGCGTGAGCCACTGCGCCCGGCCAATCCACTTCTTAAGAGTTAAGTTGATAGATTGTCTGAGGGTACATGGCTAACCAGTAATTAAAGCCTGAATTGGAAAATAAAAGTACTTTGTCTAACCTCTCAAAGCAGGGCATTATTTCATGTAGGTCATCACACAGTACATTGTGTGAAAATAAAAATAGATGAAGTATAATCTATGAGTGATACCTGTATAGATTCTCAGTTTGATGACCAATGCAACCTAACTTTCCAGAGCACTTGAAAAAGGTATTCCATGGCCGATCAAGTAAACTTAGGAGAAAGGTCAGTGGTGTAACTACAAAGGCCGATCTATTTTAACTACCTAAGGTTTAAAAAAAGCCCTCTTCTCAATTTACAGTGACTGTGGGAGTCATTTTCCTGCTTACACAGTGGTAAAGTTTTGTATATCTTAAATGCAACATAGTAAAAACTCAACAGAACATTAAATTAAATTAATCAGCACTTTGGAAAGTTTATTCCATGAATGTGGGGAAAAGAGAGATCAGACTGTTACTGTGTCTATGTAGAAAGAAGTAGACATAAGAGACTCCATTTTGTTCTGTACTAAGAAAAATTCTTCTGCCTTGAGATGCTGTTAATCTGTAACCCTATCCCCAACCCTGTGCTCGCAGAGACATGTGCTATGTTGACTCAAGGTTTAATGGATTTAGGGCTATGCAGGATGTGCTTTGTTAAACAAGTGCTTGAAGGCAGTATGCTTGTTAAAAGTCATCACCACTCTCTAATCTCAGGTACCCAGGGATACAATACACTGCGTAAGGCCGCAGAGACCTCTGCCTAGGAAAGCCAGGTATTGTCCAAGGTTTCTTCCCATGTGATAGTCTGAGATATGGCCTCATGGGAAGGGAAAGATCTGACCATCCCCCAGCCCGACACCTGTAAAGGGTATGTGCTGAGGAGGATTAGTAAAAGAGGAAGGCCTCTTTGCAGTTGAGATAAGAGGAAGGCATCTGTCTCCTGCTCCTCCCTGGGCAATGGAATGTACCTGATTGTGTGTTCCATCTACTGAGATAGGAGAAAACCGCCTTAAGGCTGGAGGTGAGACATGCTGGAAGCAATACTGCTCTTTAATGTACCAGATATGTTTATGTATGTGCACATCAAAGCACAGCACCTTTTCTAACCTTGTTTATGACACAGAGATATTTGTTAACATGTTTTCCTGCTGACCCTCTCCCCACTATTACCCTATTGTCCTGCCACATCCCCCTCTCTGAGATGGTAGAGATAATGATCAATAAATACTGAGGGAACTCAGAGACCGGTGCTGGCGCGAGTGAGCGCCGGTCCCCTGGGCCTACTTTTCTTTCTCTATACTTCGTCTCTGTGTCTCTTTCTTTTCTCAGTCTCTACCGGACGAGAAACACTCACAGGTGTGGAGGGGCAGGCCACCCCTTCACATGAACATAGAATACATGTTCTGTCAAGGTAAATAATTACTTCATTGGTTACAAGAAAAATACTAACATGTTTTTATTTTCTATTTTTAAAAAAGCATTTTACTGGAAATAATTTATACAGAGAATCAAACATAATAAGGTTATATATTAAAAAGATATGAGGCCTAAATTTGATAATAATGGTATTTTAAAGTACAAATGTGTGAAATACACATTAAATTCGGAACCAGTTCAAAATTTAGCCTTTGAACTGATTTTGCAAATCATGCCATTTTTATCTAACCTATTCTGTAGGATACATCTTGACTTATCTCTTTCCTTTTTTTTTTTTGAGACAGAATCTTGCTCTGTTGCCCAGGCTGGAGTACAGTGGTGTGACCTTGGCTCACTGCAACCTCCACCTCCCAGGTTCAACCACTTCTCTTGCCTCAGCCTCCTGTGTTGCTGGGATTACAGGCACCTGCCACTGCGCCTGGCTAATTTTTGTATTTTTTAGTAGAGACGGGGTTTTGCCATGTTGGTCAGGCTGGTCTCGAACTCCTGACTTCAGGCGATCCGCCTGCCGGGTGAGCCACTGCACCTGACCCTTGACTTATCTCTTTCCTTCTCAAGGCTTTTGATATTATAAAATAATTTTTTATGTTGTAAAATAAAACTTAAAAAGTCATAAAAATTTGAGATACTTTCTAGTTCTCTCATGTTATATCTTAATAGTAAAACTAAAATCAAAATGTCAAGCAACATTCTTGTGTTCATAATTCTGTACTGTTTAGAAGGTATGGTGACATTAAAAGATCACTAGGGTGCATATCAGGAAAGATGATTGCAGACCCTGCTGAGCCACCAACTAGCTGTATAGGTCAGCCATTCTCAGAGCCTTACTTTTGTATCAATACGATCATCTCTAATAGAGAATGGATAAATAAGAGAAAATCTACATCATGAGTAGAATGTACAGTGAGGTACTAGCCATACCTCAGAAATCAGAGGAATTTGTGCTAGACACAGTGCTGATGATACTGCATTTTAGGAAGACTTGAAGGGCTTTTGGGCAACCTAATCCATGAGATAGCTGCTTGCTGGGCAGAATATCAAGGAAGCACTGGAATGCCCTCACTAACTTGCCCTTATTCAGTGATGTAAGTAGTCATGGGATGATAAAAGGCTTTGGGGATGTTGAGACTCCCAGCAGGTCTCCCTCTCCCATGGAAGTTATGGGAGTCCTGCGGGACCCACATGGGAACCAAAAATGTAGGAGAGAGTTCTGATCTTTAGTCCATTATTGCATTGTACTTTCTTTTTATTTTATATTATTTTATTTTATTTCAATAGTTTGGGAGGAACAGGTTGTTTTGGTTACATGGATAAGTTCTTTAGTGATGATTTCTGAGATTTTGGTGAACCAGTCACCCAAGCAGTGTACACTGTACCCAGTGTGTAGTCTTTTACCCCTCACTGCCCTCCCAAACTTCCCCTCAAGTCTTCAAAGTCCATTGTATCATTCTTGCACCTTTGCATCCTCATAGCTTAGCTCCCACTTCTAAGTGAGAACATATAATCTTTGGTTTTCCTTTCCTGAGTTACTTCACTTAGAGTAATGGTCTCCAATCCCATCCAGGTTGTTGTGAATGCCATTATTTTGTTCCTTTTTATGGTTGAGTAGTATTCCATGGTGTGCGTGCGTGTGTGTGTGTGTGTGTGTGTGTGTGTATATGTATATATATATATCACACTTCCTTTTTTTTTTTTTCTTTTTGAGATGAAGTTTCACTCTTGTTGCCCAAGCTGGAGTGCAATGGCACGATCTTGGCTCACTGCAACCTCTGCCTCCCCAGTTCAAGCGATTCTCCTGCTTAAGCCTCCCGAGTAGCTAGGATTACAGGCATGCGCCACCACGCCTGGCTAATTTTGTATTTTTTGTAGAGATGGGGTTTCTCCATGTTGATCAGGCTGTTCTCAAACTCCCGACCTCAGGTGATCTGCCTGCCTTGGCCTCCCAAAGTGCTGGGATTACAGGCGTGAGCCACTGCGCCCAGCCTACGTCACACTTTCTTTTGTTTTTTTTTTTTTTTTTGTCTGTTTGTTTTGAGACAGAGTCTTGCTCTGTTGCCCAGGCCGAAGTGCAATGGCATGATCTTGGCTAACTGAAACCTCCGCCTCCCAGGTTCAAGCGATTCTCCTGCCTCAGCCTCCAGAGTAGCTGGGATTACAGGTGCCCGCCACCACGCCCAGCTAATTTTTGTATTTTTTTTTTTTTTTTTTTTGAGACGGAGTCCCGCTGTTTAGCCCAGGCCGGATTGCAGTGGCGCAATCTCGGCTCACTGCAAGCTCCGCCTCCCAGGTTCACGCCATTCTCCTGCCTCAGCCTCCCGAGTAGCTAGGACTACAGGCGCCTGCCACCTCGCCCGGCTAATTTTTTGTATTTTTAGTAGAGACGGGGTTTCACCGTGTTAGCCAAGATGGTCTCGATCTCCAGACCTTGTGATCCGCCCGCCTCGGCCTCCCAAAGTGCTGGGATTACAGGCGTGAGCCACCGCGCCCAGCCTAATTTTTGTATTTTTAGTAGAGGCGGGGTTTCACCATGTTGGCCAGGCTGGTCTCAAACTCCTGACCTCAGGTGATCCACCTTCCCTGGCCTCCCAAAGTGCTGGGATTACAGGTATGAGCCACCACGCCCAGCCTACATCACACTTTCTTTATCCACTCATTGGTTGATGGGCATTTGGGCTGGTTCCATATTTTTGCAATTGCAGATTGTGCTGCTATAAACATGCATGTATCTTTTTCGCATAATGACTTCTTTTCCTCTGGATAGATACCCAGTAGTGGGATTGCTGGGTCAAATGGTAGTTCTACATCTAGTGCTTTAAGGAATCTCCATACTGTTTTCCACAGTGTTTGTACTAGTTTATATTCCCACTAACAGTGTGAAAGTGTTTATTTTTCACCACATCCACACCAACATCTATTATTTATTTTTTAATTATGGCCATTCTTGCAGAAGTAAGATGGTATATCATTGTGGTTTTAATTTGCATTTCCCTAATAATTAGTGATGTTGAGCATTTTTTATATTTTTTTTTGCCATTTGTATATCTTCTTTTGAGAATTTTCTATTCTCGTTCTTTGCCCACTTTTTGATGGGATTATTTGCTTTGTCTTGCTTAATGTTTGAGTTCCTTATAGATTCTGGATATTAGTACTTTGTTGGATGCATAGTTTGTGAATATTTTCTCCCACTCTGTGGGTTGTATGTTTACTCTGCTGATTGTTTCTTTTGCTGTGTAGAGCTTTTTAGTTTAATTAAGTTTCATCTGTTTATCTTTGTTTTTGCTGCATTTGCTTTTAGGTTCTTTCTCATGAAGTCTTTGCCTAAGCCAACGTCTAAAAGGGTTTTCCAGTATTATCTTCTAGAATGTTATGGTTTCAGGTCTTAGATTTAAGCCTTGATCCACCTTGAGTTGATTTTTGTATAAGGTGAGAAATGAAGACCCAGTTTCATTCTACATGTGGCTTGCCAATTATCCCAGCACCAGTTGTTGAAAAGGATATCCTTTCCCCACTTTATATTATGCTTGCTTTGTCTAAGATCAGTTGGCTGTAAGTATTTGACTTTATTTCTGGGTTCTCTATTCTGTTCCATTGGTCTGTGTGCCAATTTTTATACAATACCATGCTGTTTTGGTGATTATAGCCTTGTAGTATAGTTTGAAGTCAGGTAATGTGATGCTTCCAGATTTGTCCTTTTTGCTTAGTCTTGCTATGGCTATGTGGGCTCTTTTTTCATTCCATATGAATTTAGGATTGTTTTTTCTAGTTCTGTGAAGAATGGTAATGGTATTTTGATGGGAATTGCATTAAATCTGTAGATTGCTTTTGGCAGTATGGTCGTCCTGATACATAAGCATGGGATATGTTTCCACTTGTTTGTGTCATCAATGGATTTCTTTCAGTAGTGTTTTGTAGTTTTCCTCATAGAGATCTTTCATTTCCTTGATTAGGTATATTCCTAAGTATTTTATTTTATTTTATTTTATTTTGCAGCTGTTATAAAAGGGATTGTGTTCTTGATCTGATTCTCAGCTTGGTCGTTGTTGGCATATAGCAGTGCTACTGATTTGTGAACACTGATTTTATATACTGAAACTTTACCAAATCCATTTATCAGATCTAAGAGCTTTTTTTTTTTAAAATTATGTATTTATTTATTTTTGAGATGGAATCTTGCTCTGTTGCCCAGGCTGGAGTGCAGTGGTGTGATCTTGGCTCACTGCAACCTCCGTCCCCTGGGCTCAAGCGATTCTCCCACCTCAGTCTCCTGAGTAACTGGGACTACAGGCATGCACCACAATGCCCAGCTAATTTTTTTGTATTTTTGGTAGAGATGGGGTTTCACCATGTTGCCCAAGCTGGTCTCAAATTCCTGAGCTCAAGCAATCCGCCTGCCTCGGCTTCCTAAAGTGGTGATATTAGAGGCATGAGCCACTGTGCCCGGCCTAGAAGCTTTTTGGATGACTCCTTAGGGTTTTGTAGGTATATGATCATATAACCGTGACAGTTTGGCTTCCTCCTTACAGATTTTGTTGCCCTTTATTTCCTTCTCTTGTCTAATTTCTCTGGCTAGGATGGGATGGCATTGTACTTTCTGCAACATAATACTCCTGTTATGCGCTGGTCCTCCATGTGGATCAGGCAGTGCTTCTGGCAAGCTTAGGGATGCTCTTCACAGCTGTTTTGTCCATTAATTGGAGGCTCAGCCACAGGGATTCTCATCACCACTCTCAAAGCAATAATGTTTAGTTCTTGCCGCCCAGGTATCTTGTGTCCATTTCTTCATTTCAGGCAGAGCTTGGATCCAAAAATGGAGTATCTCAGCAATTCTGAGAAATATTTAGGAAAGTAATGGGATGTTTTGGTGTATGAATATTGTGGGAACCAATTTATAATTTTTATATGTACAGGGTATTTTGGAATTACATAAAGATGAAGGGGACAGGTTAGGCAATATGACTGATTTTTTGTAGAATAAAACAGCACCATTTCAGAGATAGCATGGATTGCATCCAGGCTGACATAAGTAGGCAGGATTCAATCTCATTGAGTGAGACATAGTAGTAGCCTTAAGTGGCACCACTTTTAGTTGAATGGAAGCATATTTGTTCTTGGGGTTGGAGTTGGACCAAGGTCATAGATACAAAGAGATCCTACAGTGAGGAGGTTGGGAAGGGGCTACAACGACCAGGCATAATATCAGGGTCCCAGAAATCATATTGTCTAGGATTCTCTATTGTATTGTCTAGGACTCTCCACCAGGCTCTAACCTTAGTTGCAGAATTGGAACACAAATCAGGCCTGGAGTAGCTGGAGAAACTGTGGGAATTGGGTTTGGGGTTTAGGAAAGAGACTGCTGCTATTTATTTTTATTTTATTTTATTTTTTTTCTTTTATTATTATACTTTAAGTTTTAGGGTACATGTGCACATTGTGCAGGTTAGTTACATATGTATACATGTGCCATGCTGGTGCGCTGCACCCACTAACTCATCATCTAGCATTAGGTATATCTCCCAATGCTATCCCTCCCCCCTCCCCCCACCCCACAACAGAGACTGCTGCTATTTAATAGGCTGGGGAATGTTACCCCAATGTGAAACACAGGGAAAACAGGCCAATTGTAGATTTTAAAATATATCCTAGACATGGTTCTTATTGGCAGACCTTCATCTGCTGATCACATATCTTTAATTCTCCCTGCTGGACGGAGTACAAGTGAGCAGGGAGCAAGAAACTGCTCTACTGGCACTTGAGCACGTGGTTTAACTTACAAGGCATGTACTTTACCTGAGACTTAAATGAGATATTCTGCTCGAGTAAGTCCACAGATTTATAACTGTAAAGTTTCCACATGTTACCTATGTAAAATATGTGCTACTGCATTTTACAATAATTTCCACATGTATTTTCATGATACGCTGTCAGATGAACATGTACTGTTTTATCAGTGCTTCTAGGACTATCTGAAAAATAGCACAGGTATTCGCATGACAGTGTTATGTTAATAGGTTTGATTGGCATGAGCAAAAATTAATTCAATGACTCATAGGTAAAGGTAGCAAACTCTGTTTTCCCATGCCACCAGTATTCTAATCTTGTGAAGGTCTGTACATTTCTATGGCTGAACAAATATATGGAGACTTCCTACTTGGGTTCCATGGATGCTATGTTAAGTCAGGAGTCATCAGTACTTTGCTATTCAAAGTGTGACCCAAGGACCAGCAGCATTGGTGTCATCTGGGAACTTGTTAGAAATGCAGAATCTCAGGCCTAGTGCTAGACCTGCTGAATCAGAGTGTGCATTTTAACAAGATCTCCGGATGATTTGTAAGTACATTCACGTTTGAGAAGCACTTGTCATGCCATTGTGCCTCAAGTGCTTCCATTTTTGGATTCTTTACTTCCTACTTTTTCAGATCTGTGAGCCATTAGATAGCCAATTCACTTGAATACTTTAAACATTCTAAAACCTATAACTTTGTGTGGCCTAAGCTGTCTCTCTCCCTTATATGTCAGAGAAGGAGGGCTTCTTTTCTTTTGCATTGCCTGTATATTTTACCTCTTTCTCCTAGATGATTTTAATTTTTTGGAGGCAAAGCATTACCTTTAGCTTTCAAGGGACACATTTGCTCTATGATCAACCTGACGACTCTTTTTTCCTCCCGTGGCATCTCCCTTAAGAACATTGATATATTGAAGTTCTGTTTATTGTTGAATTCTATCAGAAAAGGCAAGTTGCCCATTAATTTCAATATTGCATATTTTTAGGTAGCTTTAGATTACCTTTTAAATAAAAAATGCGACTGACAAAGACTACTTGGTAGCTTTCTCTGTCAAGTCCAACTTTTTGTTTTGTTTGACTTTTCACAATGTAATAGAAATGTTGGGACCTTAGAAATTTCATCTCTTCCAACAGTAGCTGTATTTTCTGTGTCTTAGCCATAGGTCTTCTGTTATTTTATTCTACAACACTAAGCCAATTAAGGGGAAAAACTCTCTATTTGGCATTTTCTCCTTTCTGTTTTTTTAGCTTTGTTTTCTATTTTTCCCACCATCTTTGTTATAAAAAGAAAAAAAACCCTCATGGAACATGTCACCATTTTGGAATGTAGGTATTTATATATACTATTTTTGCTTATGTATCAGAAGTCACATTTAGAAATATTCTCTGTAAGTTAAGCTTAAACCATTTTAGTTGGTAAATGCCAACAACATTATGGTTTGTTTCATAAGAATCCTCTTCACTTTGAAGCCATATCCTTTGTTTCTTCATTTTCTCTAAAAACCGCACAGGATGATGAAGAAATAAAATGAGAGAAGTCTGCTGAAATATATGCACAAGCTATTCTAAATGTCATTTATTGAATGATATATAGAATTTCATAACAATGAGTGGCATTGTCTGAAAGTGTCTCCCGTAGCTCACTCTTGGTTACCTGAACCAATGGACTACCTAGAACCAGGAATTATTCTTCAACTGGTTGAAGAAGCTGTGCTTAAACTCAACTTCCAAGAAAACTGATGGTGTTATTTCACCCTCTTGCAAGAGCTACAACTTCCCATGGTCCCCACTGTTCTTGGGTGCTGGACAGCTAGCTTTCAGTCACCTCCTCCAACTAGCTAACTGCCAACCCAGACTGCCAAACATTCAAGTTGTCTGATTATCTCTTCTGATAAAGTTACTTGCTCTGTGAGAAAGGAGAGCAGCAGTGGGGTGGCGCCCCTTCCCTGGAATACTAGACTGAGTCTCCATCAGATGATCCTGGCCCCTGCATACTGCTTCATGGGAACAGTGGGAGAATCAAAGGACCTGTGAATTATTTTGTTGCTGACCCCTTGAGTTCGCCTATTTCTTAAACTTTATAATGTGATATTGTAAAATTCATCCTGAGCTCTGGTGAACCTCAGGTGGCCATCACAAAGAGACGCATCTTGCAAAACACTTTTACTGGTGATAATCAAAGCTTTGTCCTGCCTTGGACCCTGAGTACCCTGTTATTAATTAGTGTTGGGACAGTTCATTTAACTGCTCTGTATTTCAGCTTGCATACTTCTAACATGGATTGCAGTCACTAGCTGTATTCATATTTTGCCTTGGGGCCTAACGTTATAGATTATCTTTAATCTCTATATTCAAACTCTCCCTCAATTGCCACTTTAAAAAACAGGCTCAATTTTCTCCCAATTAAGAGAAAGAAAGAAAAAGAAAATTCTCACTTCATTCCCTCATTCCCTTCTAGCTAATGCCTGAGTTCTTCCTCTTTACAGGCAACCTTTTCAAAAGTTGTCTACACTTGCTGTTTCTGTTTCTGTCTCTACTCACGTCTCAACTCTCTCTACTCTAATTTTTGCCTATTTCACTCTATGTCAGGATTTCTTGACCTCAGCACTATTGGCATTTTAGGCTGGGGAATTCTATTTTTGTGTGGGATACCATCCTGTGCATTTCAGTGTACGTAGCAGCACCCCTGGACTTTATCCACTCCATACCAGTAGCAGTCCTCTCTCCCCAGTAGTGACAACCAATAATGTCTTCAGGCATTGCCAAATGACCCCTGCAGGGCAAAATCACCCCTGGTTGAGAACCATTGCTCAGTCTTTTGTAACAACTTCTGCTAAGGTTACTAATGACTTTCACATTGTTAAATCCCATTTCTCATATTAATATCTCATTGGCATCTGACATTGTCAACCTTCCTTTCCTTCCTTCCTTCCTTCCTTGTCTCTCTTTCTCCCTTTCTTGCTTGCTTTCTTGCTTTCTCTCTTCCTTCCTTCCTTCCCTCCCTCCCTCCTTTCTTTCTTTCTTTCTTTCTTTCTTTCTTTCTTTCTTTCTTTCTTTCTTTCTTTCTTTCTTTCTTTCTTTCTTTCTTTCTCTTTCTCTCTTTCTCTTTCTTTCAACAAAGTCTCTATGTTGCCCAGGCTGGAGTTTAGTGGTACAATCTTAGCTCACTGCAACCTCCACCTCCCAGATGCAAGTGATCCTCCTGCCTCAGCCTCCCAAGTAGCTGGGATTACAGGCACCCGCCACCACACCTGGCTAATTTTTGTATTTTTAGTAGAGACGGGGTTTCGCCATGTTGGCCAGGATGATCTCGATCTCTTGACCTCATGACCCACTCACTTCGGCCTCCCAAAGTGTTGGGATTACAGGTGTGAGCCACTGCATCTGGCCCCACAACCTCTTCTTTCTTGAAACATTTTCACTTACCTCCAATGACAACATACTCTTAATTTTCCTCTTACCTCTTGGATTGTTCTCTCTCTCTCTTACAAAAATTTCATTTGTAGGTTTATCCACTCCCAACTGACATTTAAATGCTGGTATTCTCTTCTTCTGCCCTTTGAAAATAATTTAAAAAATGATTCTACTATACTATTTTTAGTTGTACAACCTTGCTATAGTCACTATTTTTTTTCTTATATTTCATTTCTTTCCAGGACAGACATTCTGAATGTAGATATAGTCACTATTTTTATTTGTAAAGACTATGCTAGGAAATAGGAGATTTCCTAACTCTAGGAGAATTCAAACAATATTTTATGTTGGTTGAGTTAATTAAAAGAGAATGAGTGAAGTCAGAGTCTTTGAGTTAAACTATTACGGATTGGAAGAATATATTCAAATTTAAATTCGTGAATTAAGTACATAAAAAGTAGACACAATTTTTTCATAACAGACAATAAAAACAAACATCTTCATCTTGGAAGTTCAGGATTATATAACAATGAATCATTTTAGCTTTGAAAATATCAGATGAGTGTATACTTAAGAGGGGGAAATAAGTAAATAAAACAATATATTACAAAAGATCTTGTAAACTCTCAATAACTCAATTTTATGATGACATGATACCAAATAAATATTAATCTGACAAGAAAACCTGACTCTGCAAATATGCACATAAGAATATTTTTCTGGCACTGAGGTTACTAGGTTCTTTGAATTGTTAAGAATTATTTTTGTATATATTTATTTATTTATGAGATGGGGTCTTGGCCTGTCACCCAGGCCGGAGTGCAGTGGCATGATCATGGCTCACTGCAGCCTTGACTTCTGGGGCTCCAGCAATCCTTCCACCTCAGCTGCCCTGAGTAGCTGGGACCACAGGCACACACCACCATGCTTTGCTAATTTTCATATTTTTGGTAGAGATGGATTTTCACCATTTTCCCAGGCTGGTCCCAAACTCCTGAGCTCAAATGATCCACCTGCTTCGGCTTCGCAAAGTGTTGGGATTATAGGCGTGAGCCACCGCACCTGGCTGCAAGAATTTTTTGACATTAATAATTTGACAAATACCTTGCCAGATCTAAAGCCTTGAAGAAATATTGACAAAACAGTACTATATTACCATTTGTATTAGTCAGCTAAGGCTACCATAACAAAATACTACAGACTTTGTGGCTTAAACAACAAAAAATTATTTCTCATGGTTCTGGAGGCTGGGAAGTCCAAGATCGAGCTGCCAGCCAATTTGATTGCTAGCAAGGGCTGACTTCCTGGCTTGCAGATGGCTGCTTTCTCACTGTGTCATCACATGTCAGAGAGAGGTAAGTCTAGCGTTTCTTTCTTTTCTTATAAGGACACCAGACCTGTCTGATTAGAGCCCCATCCTTATGACCTCATTTAACATTTATCACTTCCTCACAGGCCCTGTCTCTGAATACGGTCAACATAGCATTTTTGGAGAGGACACATTCAGCCCATAACACTATTCAAAAGAAGGAGAGAATATTTTAATTTGGGTGAAAATGCCAAAAGCTTTCAAAGGAGGAGACTTTTAAGACTGGCTCTGCAGAATTTTCAAGAAGGGTTAAAACAAAGACTGGCTAGAAAGATAATTATTTTGAACAAATCTCATATTCATCTTTCATATATAAAATTGTTACTTATTCCTTCCATGCAGTCTCTTCGTTGTCTTTAAGTGTGTGCCTCCAGGCATGCTTATTTATTTTTATTGTCTCAAGGTAACATTTAAGATGTATATTAATCTACATTTTTTTACTTCATTATTGCATTTACAGGGATTTAATTGTACTTTGTAATTTATTTTTCTTATTAGCCAAAAGTTTCGTGCATTTTTTTTGATGAATTAGGCACCCACATGAACACCACAAATCAGGACATTGTTTATCATTGTTGCTATGAATCCTATGAATGATCTTTTTTTTTAATTTTAAAGACCTACACTTAACCTACAAAACATTTGCTGTATAATTTGGTCAGCAGTTTCTATCTATCTGTATACTATCATGATGTCTTAAACTGCAGGAGTTACATACTGAGTTTACATTTTTATTTGCTTTGAGCAAGATAGATGAATGTTTTGGCCATTATAATGTGAAACCACTTCTTTTTTTTTTTTTTTAATTGATCATTCTTGGGTGTTTCTCGCAGAGGGGGATTTGGCAGGGTCACAGGACAATAGTCGAGGGAAGGTCAGCAGATAAACAAGTGAACAGAGGTCTCTGGTTTTCCTAGGCAGAGGACCCTGCGGCCTTCCACAGTGTTTGTGTCCCTGGGTAATGGAGATTAGGGAGTGGTGTTGACTCTTAACGAGCATGCTGCCTTCAAGCATCTGTTTAACAAAGCACATCTTGCACCGCCCTTAATCCATTTAACCCTGAGTGGACACAGCACATGTTTCAGAGAGCACAGGGTTGGGGGTAAGGTCATAGATCAACAGGATCTCAAGGCAGAAGAATTTTTCTTAGTACAGAACAAAATGAAAAGTCTCCCATGTCTACTTCTTTCTACACAGACAAAGCAACCATCCGATTTCTCAATCTTTTCCCCACCTTTCCCCCTTTTCTATTCCACAAAACCGCCGTCGTCATCATGGCCCGTTCTCAATGAGCTGTTGGGTACACCTCCCAGACGGGGTGGTGGCCGGGCAGAGGGGCTCCTCACTTCCCAGAAGGGGCGGCCGGGCAGAGGCGCCCCCCACCTCCCGGACGGGGCGGCTGGCCGGGCGGAGGCTGACCCCCCACCTCCCTCCCGGACGGGGCGGCTGGCCGGGTGGGGGCTGACCCCCACCTCCCTCCCGGACGGGGTGGCTGCCGGGCGGAGATGCTCCTCACTTCTCAGATGGGGTGGCTGCCGGGCGGAGGGGCTCCTCACTTCTCAGACAGGGTGGCCAGGCAGAGACGCTCCTCACCTCCCAGACAGGGTCGCGGCCGGGCAGAGGCGCTCCTCACATCCCAGACGGGGCGGCGGGGCAGAGGCGCTCCCCACATCTCAGACGATGGGCGGCTGGGCAGAGACGCTCCTCACTTCCTAGATGGGATGGCGGCCGGGAAGAGGCGCTCCTCACTTCCCAGACTGGGCAGCCAGGCAGAGGGGCTCCTCACATCCCAGACGATGGGCGGCCAGGCAGAGATGCTCCTCACTTCCCAGATGGGGTGGCAGCCGGGCGGAGACTGCAATCTCGGCACTTTGGGAGGCCAAGGCAGGCTGCTGGGAGGTGGAGGTTGTAGCGAGCCGAGATCACGCCACTGCACTCCAGCCTGGGCACCATTGAGCACTGAGTGAATGAGACTCCTCTGCAAACCCGGCACCTCGGGAGGCCGAGGCTGGCGGATCACTCGAGGTTAGGAGCTGGAGACCAGCCCGGCCAACACAGCGAAACCCCGTCTCCACCAAAAAAATACGAAAACCAGTCAGGCGTGGCGGCGCGCGCCTGCAATCGCAGGCACTCGGCAGGTTGAGGCAGGAGAATCAGGCAGGGAGGTTGCAGTGAGCCGAGATGGCAGCAGTACAGTCCAGCTTCGGCTCGGCATCAGAGGGAGACCGTGGAAAGAGAGGGAAAGGGAGACCGTGGGTAGAGGTAGAGGTAGAGGTAGAGGTAGAGGAAGAGGAGGTAGAGGAGGTAGAGGAGGTAGAGGAGGTAGAGGAGGTAGAGGAGGTAGAGGTAGAGGTAGAGGTACAGGTACTTCTTCTTTCTTTACAGTATTTGACCAAATTTGTGTGTCTATGATATTTGTAAATACATGGGAAT
Source organism: Homo sapiens (assembly GCF_000001405.40). Lineage (NCBI taxonomy): Eukaryota > Metazoa > Chordata > Mammalia > Primates > Hominidae > Homo > Homo sapiens. Next base: position 99,822,780 of record NC_000001.11, on the reverse strand, counting down.
ATCTGTATTTCTTATCATAAGCCTATTTAGTTTTATTCTCAGTAGGGTTTTTTGGATTGTACGGTGTTTATATGATCTGAACTCCTTATACATAAGAAGGTGTGTATATTAATCCAATTATGGACTTAAAATATTTTAAAAGTATAAATACCCTTATTTGCTGCAAAGACCAGCGTGTGGGCATTTGCTTTTTAGAAATATTTTTAAGTGCTCCATTTTAATGCCAAGGAATAAGTCTTTTGGCAACACAAACTGGTTAATAATAGGTAATGCAGGTATATTCAGGTTAAGCCAACAATGTTTTGCATTTTTATGCTTATTTTCTGTCAACACTAATGAAGTCAACATTGCCTGAATGAATAATGAAACACATCCCTGTTTAAAAGTATGTAACTGAAAAAGAAAGAAAAAAAAATTAAAGTAGTTTAAAAAAAAAAGACTGGCTCTGAAGGGTTTGGACATGCAGAGTGGGATGGAAAATTATACTAGGATTTAGATATTATATGGGGACAGCAGAAGGAATGCAGGATCTGTGTGGGGGTAGTGGGGATTTCAGTTTGATTGACCTCCTAGGATGTGAGAAGAAAGTGAGTGAAAAATAGGGTGATTTCAAGTCTTTGAGGAAGTTGAATGATAAGCTGTGGAGTTTGTATTTTATTCTGTGAACAACAGGAAACTACTATTTTTAAAAAGAGTGCTATGATCAGAATTACTTTCTAGGAAGATTTAATCTGACAGGGCCTTCAAGTGGGTGAAATTGGCAGCTTAGTACTGGTCTGGTTAGGGGGCTATATTAATAGTCAGGAGTTAATGAGAGCCTGATCTGTACTAGTGGTACTAAGGTATTCACCAGTGAGTCAAACATCAGCCCTTCCTCAATAAGCAATAAGCCAGCACTCTAATGGGTGAAACATACAAATAAACTAATAATTACAATGTAATGAGATAAGTACTATGATAAGATTCAATTCACCAGAAATATATAACAGTTCTAAACTTGATTACATAATAAAATATCCTCAATATTTACAAACCAAAAATTATATAAATAGAACTGCAGAGAGAAATGGACAAATCCACAGTCACAGTGGAATAGTTCAAGGTAGGTTAAGCAGAGGAAATGTATGAAAGATATAGAAGATTTGAATAACACAAGTAGCTGTATTGACGTAGGCTCAGTACAGAGAAAAGTATTATTGGCTTAGAGAATAAGAGAACTAGAGAACACACATTAATGTTGTTTCTCCTTTCCCCTTACCCAAATTCTTTTTCATAGTTACCATTCTCCTACTTATCAAATGAAAGGGATACCTCTTATCCATTCAAAATTTTCTTTCTTTTTTTTTTTCTTTTTTTTTTTTTTTGAGAAGGAGTCTTGCTCTGTCGCCCAGGCTGGAGTGTGGTGGCATGATCTCGGCTCATTGCAACCTCCGCCTCCCTGTTTCAAGCGATTCTCCTGCCTCAGCCTCCCAAGTAGCTGAGACTACAGGCATGTACCACCATGCCTGGCTAATTTTTGTATTTTTAGTAGAGACAGGGCTTCACCATGCTGGCCAGGCTGGTCTCGAACTCCTGACCTCAAGTGACCCTCTCACCTTGGCCTCCCAAGGTGCTGGGATTACAGGAGTGAGCCACCGCACCCGGCCACCATTTGAAATTTTTTATGATGCTTTCTCCTGTAGTATTAAAAAACTTCAGAAGAAAAATTAAAATAGTGGTGTTGAAGAAGCCTCTTTTAATCATAGCACATATACCCTTCTAGGCCATTGTCTTTCCATGACTGATATGAATGTCTGTTAAGGATGAGACATAATATTAGAAATGGGGTAATTTCATACTTTGGGGGATAACTGAATTCACTAGTATGATACAGTTGGAGTGATGATAGTTTTTGCCTGACCACGTCACCTGTCATACTCCCACTATTACCAAACATGAGTTACACTTCAGAGAGTTTTATCAGAGCAACACTCACTTAGGTGGATGAGAAAGGGGGACAGGAAGGACTTGGCAGGGCTGGCCCAGGTACCGTAACGGTAGCCTTGTCAATCAATGGGCTGGAGTCTCTGAGAGTGGCTCTGGCAAAAAGCACTTCCTGACTAGAAACTGGGAGGAAATGACAGATGTGGCTTAACCACTAGTTACCAATAATGACGAAACAGAAGCTTGTCTAAACTATCAATAATAAAATGAAAATACATCACCTATGCAGAAGAAAAGTCTCAATTAGCTTTCTATTTTTCTCAGAGAAAATGATGTAGAAAGTCATTACCATTTGAAGTGGTGATTAAAAGTATCTAGCCAAAAACTATAGAAGTGTCATAGACATATTAATGAACATCATTGTTATATAATTTTTCTGAGTTATATGATGTTTGTAGAATTGATCTTTTAAAATTCTGTCATTTGTTGAGATTTTGTTCTCCTATTAAATATTTACTTTCTACTAAATTTTTTCCTTTTTTTCCCACTGGTTTCTCCTGAGAAAACATACCTAATTTTTTATTCATAATGTTGTATTATTTTTCTGTAAGAGGTCTGCACCTCAAATTATATAGGCTTCAAGCTGAAAAAACCCAAATCCATCCCTGGTCCTGATACCTTTTCTCTGTTGCTCTTTCTTGTTATCTGTTTTTCTTTTCTTTTCTTTTCTTTTCTTTTCTTTTCTTTTCTTTTCTTTTCTTTTCTCTTTCTTTCTTTCTTTCCTTCTTTCTTTCTTTCTTTCTTTCCTTCTTTCTTTCTTTCACAGTCTCACTCTGTCACTGAGGCTGGAGTGCGATGGCGTAATCACCGCTCACTGCAGCCTCAACTTTCTGGGCCCAAGCCATCCTCCTGCCTTAGCCATGTAAGTAGCTGAGACTACAGGTGTGTGCCACCATGCTTGGCTAATTTTTTTCTGTTTTTTATAGAGATGGGGGTCTTACTCTATTGCCTAGGCTGGTCTTGAACTCTTAGGCTCAAGCAACACACCTGCCTTGGCCCCCCAAAGTGCTGGGATTACAGGTGTGTGAGCCACTGAGTCTGGCCTGTTTCTCTTATCATAGCTTTTCATGATATCATGCTCTTAAAAACAGGATCTACACTAATATATATGAGATGTGGAACAAAATATCAAAAAATATAACCTATGATATAGTGCCCTAAATTTTAGAAAACCAGTTTTATTAAATTAAGATTAATTCCCCACTCACAGATATTAATTATCAGATGCAAAATATATGTAGTCTTTGTTCACACTCAATAGGAAAAATACAAAAATGTACAATTTTTTTTAAGTTAAGTTTTATTTATTTATTTTTTTGAGATAGGGTCTGGCTCTGTTGCCTAGGCTGGAGTGCAGTGGTGTGATCTTGGCTCACTTCAACCTCTGTCCCCTGGGCTCAAACCATCCTCCCACCTCAGCCTCCTGAGTAGCTGGGACTACAGGTGTGCACCACCATGGCCAGCTAGTTTTTGTATTTTTGGTAGAGACAGGGTTTCACCATGTCACCCAGGCTGGTTTTGAGCTCCCGAGCTCAGGCAATCCTCCTGCCTTGGCCACCCAAAGTGCTGGGATAACCGGTGTGAGCCACTGTGCCTGACCAAAAACATACAATTTCTAATTCAAGATATTATACTTATACCAGTTTCATCTGATTTTAGTGCCATAACAAGGTGAAAGACAAACTAATAGTCATTTGGTAAGTCCTGATATAATCTTTCTCATATACTTCCTAGAAACTCTGAAAATGAATGATTCAAATGACAGAGTAATAAACACATTTGTAAGTCAGATGGTTTCTAATTCATTGCTTTTATCAAAGTTTAAGCTGGCCCTAAATAGATTGTCATCTAAATAGATCATTAAAAATAATCTTTGACAATTGATCACTATATGTTATTCGGCATTTAACTTGAAAGGTTTAAAGAATTGATTGACATTGCTAACAGAATTTCCAATCTCATTTACTTATGTATAAGAACAAGGTTTTTTAGTGCTATAGGTATAAATGAAAAACAGGAATAGCTAAATCCTGACTGATTTTAGCTATAAGGTAATATTAACCCATGGACAAATAAACTTTTCAATTATCTAAACATATTAAAAATATTAAGTGGTCAACTTTTTTTGCCGAAGGATACATAAATTTTTCCAATGTCTTTTAAGGGAGCACAAGCAAAAATGTTTAGAGACAACTAATCTAGAAAAATGAATATGGAAAACTATATAAGTCAATTACGCAACACCCTTAAAGGAGACTGGCCATCTATTTTTAACTGTCCTGTTGGCAGACTTGAACAGACAGCTGTATCAAATGATGGAGGCTGCCTGAGGGTGTGGAAGAACACTATGTTGGCTGAGTTATTTTTAGTTGTGAAACTCTCTTTTCAAACCCTAATATGTAAAACAAAATACTTGAGGTGAACACTTTTATAGTTTGAAGTGGAAATAATTCCACTTAGTGCTACAGGACACAGACCACTGGAATCTACAAGCCTACACTGGCAGCAGTTCTGATCTATTTCCCTCAATGCCCTCCTTTTGTTTTTCCAGGAAACCTGTGTAGTTATTAACAGTACTTAGGAGCAAGTAAGAGTGATGGTGTGATTGATCTAGACTGCCTTGATTCTTTCTTGTTGAAGTGTCTACACTGGAGACTCCTCGTCCTCAGTTTGGAGTGTCTTTCCTGCATAACTGGGATGAAATCCCCTGTCAAGGAGGCTGGAGCACCCACAGTAGGTGATTTTTAAGGATAGGCAATCATGTTTTCTTGGTGTTACTCTTAGTAAAAAAGGGTCTATCCAAACTGACCATAACGTGAGACTCATTGCTCTTTTTATTTCTTCCCCCAACCAGTTTTCCAGGATTTGAATCTATTCAAATCTATCCAGGAGAGCGGGTTCAGTTTGGATTCTGGAATTTATTACTTATGGACTTTCTGTTGCAGTAAGCCTGGGTCTCTACAGATTAGACTTCAGTAATCAAATCTTTGAAATAACATGCAGTGACTTCTCTTGAGTGCCTATTTACCCTCAGGTGGGCTGGATTAGGGTAGGTTCCACCATACACTGCCTCATGGACTCAAAAAATCATAGTTTTCTCTCCCTTGGCTCAGTTCTGGGGCTCAGTGCTGAGCATTGGTCCCCTCTTTATGCTGTCGTAATAACTTTACTTCAGAAAACTCATTGACTTTCACTGTGACCAGCCTAAATACACACAGCCCAAGCTCCCTAACTCCAAATCTCAGAGAAAAGGGGATAGGGTCTTGATTTCTTTCCTTGCAAAAGGTCTCAAGTTCCCTTGAGTAAAATTTTCCTTCCCACAGATGTACTAAGAGGAGTTGCTGACTTTGCTAAGATGAGAATGAATTCTTAGTTATGCATCATTCTGTTTTAAATTGATTTGTATTATTTTGCAGAGCAAAAAACAACAACAAAATGAACAACTCCCCCGCCCCACCCCACCCCAACACCAAAAAACCATTCCAAGGTTATCTTCTATTTCCTTTTATTCTGGGAGCACAGTGCAGCAAAAGGAATAATGCTAACAATGATAAAACCAAGTGATGGCCGGGCACTCCCTTATCGAGGTAAAACTAGGCCCACGCTGAAGGGGGAGTGAAAGGCATGAGTTCCACTGGTATATTGGGCCCCCCTTTACTTACCTCCTCCTAGATCATATCCAACTTATGGCAAATTTATTTTTGAAAAGTTTGTAGAGTTAGTTTTAAACACATAATTTATTTCCCAAATACACTGCATCATATTCGGCAAACTTATCTTTAAATAATTCCAGTCCCTCCCCTGTCACCATTTTGTTCCCAGAGACCTCTCTCCTAGAACCCTCTTTCCTCTGCTCCACTCGGAACAGATCACTCTCTAGGCTGCCCCACAGCCGTCATGAGGGACTTCACCTGGCTGGTCTCCTGGGTTAAACTCAGTGTAACAGGATCCGAGGTGTAACACGGTGGTTGCTGAGTGAGAGTTTTCCTCTTGTCCCAGAATAAAGTACAGATGTGAGGCCCAGAGGCACTTAGTTCTCCGCACTCTAAAGAGAGCCACCAACTCAGCCTCATCAGTTGGTCAGTGGCCAAGGCGAAGTCTTGGACTCCTGCTCTTTATTGTGTTCCATGTTCCTTCCTCGGGAGCCTCAAGAACTGGGTCCTCTCCAGCTGGATATGATAAGGGCTTGTCCTTTTTTTCCTTTAGGGATTTGGGGCTTGAGGATACTGGAGGGGTGGGATTCTTCAGAGACAAAATTACTGGGGAGTGAAAGCAGTCTTGGGAGGCAGAGTTGCTCTAATGTAAAGTATGCATGTGCATGAGTGTGTGCGTGTGCACACACACATACAGATAAAGATGTGCTTGTTCTAAGAGTTAATATCGGTAAGCCTGCAAAAATTGGGAGGGAGCATCTTATTTCTTGGATGAATTCTTGCTGAGCTGCAGAACCAGTAGGTCTGCGCTGGAGCTGCAAGTATGGTAATGAAATTTTGGGGAGAGCTTGGCTTTTGTGTCCCCTGGAGTTTGGGCAAATATGAATATAGAGACTGTGCCTATTTCTTAGTCTAGAGATTTCTGAGAGAGTCTCTCTTGGTTAGCCTGGGACTGTGGGGCTTGAGGTGACTGTGGCATAGTACATCTAAAGGAAGAAAGGACAATCTCTTAATGTATTCAGTTGGGGAGGACCCAGTTCTTGAGGCTTCTCTGGAAGAAGCACGGAAGACAGGTGAAGAGGAGTAGCTCAGAACTTTTCTGGTGGCCACTCAACCAACTGATGATATACCCAATCTAGAGGAGGTGTTGTGGTCCTCAGTCTCTAACAGGCCAAAAGAAGACTGCCTTTATTTGAGTTGGTTCTCAATGACAGGTTGCTGGTAAGACTGTGCTAAGAAATATATTCTATCTAAGAAATCTATTCTATTCTATTTCTACCTGGAGACCAGTCATTGTAGTGGGAACTTGGTGGGCCAGTTTTAATCTGGAGATTAATATACTTTGGTATTGAGAACTTTTCTTGTTAATATGGAGATTAATATATTTTGGTATTGAGAAATTTTCTTGTGTTATTATTTTGAGATTATCCTTCATCTACATTTTTCTCTCTCCTTCACCCAGCTCCTACTAATCAAGTATTTGATTCTCCATTTAAGTCCTCTAAATCTCTTACTGCTTTTTCCATATATTCCATCTGCTTGTCTTTTTGTTCTGTTCATTTGAAGGTTTTTTTTCTTTCTTTCAACTTTATCTTTCATAGTTTTTGTTTAATTGTTTTCTTTTGACTCTTGTATTTTTAATTTCAAGAATTTTAAAAAATCCTTGCTGGCTGGGTGCGGTGGCTCACGCCTGTAATCCCCAGCACTTTGGGATGCTGAGAGGGGCAGATCACAAGGTAAAGAGATTGAGATCATCCTGGCCAATATGGTGAAAACCCGTCTCTACTAAAAATACAAAAAATTAGCTGGGCGTGGTGGCATGTGCCTGTAGTCCCAGATACTAGGGAGGCTGAGGCAGGAGAATCGCTTGAACCTGGGAGGCAGAGGTTGCAGTGAGCGGAGATTGTGCCACTGCACTCCAGCCTGGTGACAGAGTGAGACTCCATCTTAAAAAAATAAAAAATAAAAAAAAGTCCTTGTTTATTCCTTATTCATATTAACCTATTCTTTTTTAGTGAATATTTTCTCCTATTTCTTTGATTAAAAAAAATTTCTTTCTGTTTCTTGCAATATTTCTGTGTCTTCTGAATTCCTTTTGTCTCCTCATAAGACATTAATATGCATAGGCAGGGCTTGTGAATTAGTGACCTCTAGATCACACCACCAGGGTTCAGATGAAAGCTATTTATCCTTTGTAGGCCTCCATTTCTTCCTCTATAAAATGGGTATAATAAAATTACCCCTCTCATAGGCTTTTGAAAGATCTCAGGGAGCAGTGCACCAGGAAATGAAATTGGGCCAGTACAAAGTACTAAGGCAAGAGCATAACAAATGTGTTTGAGCAGCCACTGTTGCTGGAGAAGAATAAGAGAGAAGTAAGAGATGAAACAAGGGTCTGATTGTGTAGGGCTTTGTAGACAATTGGAAAGACTTTGGCTTTTACTAGGAGTGAAAGAGGGCACCACTAGGGCCTTTTGAACAGAGCAGTGACCTGATCTGATTTGCGTTTTAACACTGTCATTGTGGCTACTTTGTTGACAGAAGTCCATAGGAGGAAAATACCTAAGGAGGGAGACTAGTTGGGGCCTGTTGCAAGAATCCAGGTGAGATCATGGTGCATTTGACTGGTATGGTAACGGCAGAGGTAGTGAAAAGGGGTCAAATTCTGGTTATATTTCAAAGGTAGAGCCAACGGGACTTCTTAGTGGATTGAAAGTGAGAAAGACAGAGGAGTCAAGCATGACTCCAGATTTTTAGCCCCAGAAATTGGATATATGGATTGCCATTAAACAAGATGAGGAAAATTACAGATGGAGCAGGTTTGGAGAAGAAGAACTGAAATCCGGACAGGTGAGGAAGAACCTGACAGGTTTCTACTAAGGCTACTAGTAAGACAACTCTTAAAAGGAGATTTGCTGTAAGTTAGAGCTGAGAAATGATCTGGCACCTGAAGCAGGAGAATGGGGTTAGGACCGTCTTTGTTTTTAACATGGGAGAAATAACAGCGCATCTATTTACTGATGGGAGTGACATCAGTAGAGCGGGAAAACTTATGATGTAGGAGAGGAAAGGGGAGTGTATCAGTCTAGGTCCTGGCGAGAAGCAGATGGTGCATGCAAACTGGGTAATTTAAGGAGAGTTTTTATTTTTGGATTTTTTTAAGACATGGTTTGGCTCTGTCACCCAGGCTGAGTGCACAGACCTGATCTTGGCTCACTGCAACCTCAGTTTCCCAGGCTCAGGTGATTCTCTCACCTGTATTGTATTTTTTAGTAGAGACGGGGTTTCACCATGTTGCCCAGGCTGGTCTCGAACTCCTGAGCTCAAGTTATCCACCCGGCTTGGCCTCCCAAAAAGCTAGGATTACAGATGTGAGCCACCGCACCTAGCCATTGAGGAGAGTTTTGAGGAGAGTTTTTTTTTTTTTTTTTTTTTTGAGATGGAGTCTGGCTCCGTCACCAGGCTGGAGTGCAGTGGCTTGATCTTGGCTCACTGTAATCTCTGCTTCCTGGGTTCAAGCAATTCTCCTGCCTCAGCCTCCCGAGTAGCTGGGATTACAGGCGCGTGCCACCATGCCCAGCTAATTTTTGTATTTTTAGTAGAGACAGGGTTTCATCATGTTGGTCAGGCTGGTCTCGATCTCGTGACCTCGTGATCCTCCCACCTCGGCCTCCCAAAGTGCTGAGATTACAGGCGTGAGCCACCACGCCCGGCGAGGAGAGTTTTAAGAAGGACTATTCATTATACAAAATTGTGGTCATAGTGTAAGGAAATGATTAGTGCAGTGCTCTGGGGTTAGTTACAGTTTGGCATCAATACCACCTTTCAGCATGAAGGGACAAGGGAAAGGGAAAGGGAAAGGATTCCAGAACCTGGAATGAGAGAGCTGTGTGGAGAGGGCTGCTTGTACCATTTGGTGGATGAACTCAGCCAGCCCACAGGGAGGGAGCTGGAAAAATAAACGCTCCAACTTCACTTCGCTTTTCCCCACACATCCCCAGCCCTTTCCTGGGATCCCCAGTCCTTCTCATTGACCAAAACCATCTGGAAGCCAGAGACCAAGGGAACATATCGATTCAGGCATACAGCAGGGTAGAAAATGGATCTGGAGGGGCAAATACAAGAAATCCACACAGGGAGAATTGCTGGGGCAATGCCCTTGAGTAGGTGAGATTGAAGAAACTTGGTGTACAAGTAGAGGGATTAGCCTTAGATAAGACCTCTACCGTTCATGCTGAGGACAGGAGAGAAGGCAGAATGCCAGGGTGCAAATGCTGGTAGGTGCAAATGCTGGTAGTTTGGGGGATAAGGTTGTTTTTCTCTTCGGATTCCTTCGAGTTTCTCAGTGAGTTAAAAAGCAAGGTCATCAGATTGAGCATGAGATTTTTTTTTTTTGAGACGGAGTCTCAACTCTTGTTGCCCAGGCTGGAGTGCAGTGGCGCAATCTCTGCTTACTGCAAGCTCTGCCTGCCGGGTTCATGCCATTCTGCCTCAGCCTCCCGAGTAGCTGGGACTACAGACGCCCGCCACCACGCCCGGCTAATTTTTTGTATTTTTAGTAGAGATGGGGTTTCACCATGTTAGCCAGGGTGGTCTCGATCTCCTGACCTCATGATCCGCCCACCTTGGCCTCCCAAAGTGCTGGAATTACAGGCGTGAGCCACCACGCCTGGCTGAGCATGAGATATTTGTATGTGTGCATAATATTAAAGAATCTGGGAGTACATTTATAATTGTGAGCTGTTTGTCAGTTGGGGACTGCCTATACTTTCGTACTTCTGCCATTTATCTTTACTGCTCTGTGTCCTCAAAAACATAACTCTTTTTTCTAGTCAGAACCATCTCCTCACAACTCCAGTACCTTCCAAGTTAATGTTTTTGCATGCTTTTGTCTAAAATAAACTACCTATCCCTTTGTCTATCCATTTGCGATGTCGAATTCAAGGCATACTTCCTTCATGAAGCCCTTATTAAATTCTCCATCTCATGCTATCCTTTCACTTCTATGTACTTTAACTTGTAGTGAATGCCACAAATTTCCAGCTTTGTTTTCTAATTGTTTCCTGCTATTCTTGGTCTCTGAACTTGACTGTAAGATCATCTAGCAGAAACCATTTTTTCTTTTGGTCATCCTCTCACTATGATGAGTGACAGGCTTGAAATAATTGTTCATTGTTATTATTCAATAGTTATTGCTCAATAGTTATTACTATTATCCACTCAGAGCCACAACAATTCTGAAGTAACTATGATGGCTGTGATTTTAATAGTTTTGTTTTTTAGCTACATAATCCAAAGGACATGGTGACTATCAATTGAAAGGCGAAAAATATCCTCTCCAATGACTATTTTTGATTTTGTTAAATAAGAAGTTATAGCTAAATATGAACCAGATGCATTTACTCAACATATTACAATTATTGTAGGAAAATATTCTGAGTTTGTCGTAGTCTGGAGATTTTCAATCCTAGTTGTATTGGTTATGTGCCTGGAAGAAACCTGAAGGTATTAGGAATGGTTCATCTAAGAGACAAACGTAGCAAGCTCAAGAGACTTCTCCTTGCTAACTCCAATCTAGCTAGTCACCAAGTTCTGCTGATTCTAGGTCTGAAATGATTCTCAACTCCCTGGGTATCTTAAGTTTGACTTGTCTGAAGCCACATCTTGATATGCTCCCTAACATGTTCCACTCCCTCCCCATCTCCCTTATCTCAGTCCATTTGGGCTGCTAGAACAAAATACCAAAAAGTGGGTGGCTTATAAAAAACAGAAATTCATTTCTCACAGTTCTGGAGGCTGGGAAGTCTAAGATCAAGGCCCCAGCAGATTCTGTATCTGATGAGGGCACATTTCCTGGTTCATAAATGGCACCTTCTTCCTGTGTCCTCACACAGTAGAAAGGGCAAGGCAGCCTGTTTTACAAGGACACTAATTCCATTTGGCAAGTGGCACAAATGGGATTAATCTCTTATCCTGAAGGACCTAATCACCCCCGAAAAGCCTCACCTAATACTATCACATTGGGAGTTGAATTAAGTTTCAATATGTGAATTGGCAGGTGGTGAGGGCACACAAATATTCAGACCATAGCAATTCTAAACCTTGAAGTAATTCTTGATTTTTCCATCTCCTATTTTCACATTCAATTCATCCAATTCTGTCAGTTCTTCCCACAAATGTATTGTAATTCAGACCTCTTCACTTGTTCAGTTCTCCAAGTAAGTATGAATCACAGATATCACATACATTTTATGTAAGACTTAGAGTATGTCAGGGGCACACTTGGTTCTCTTGCTGAGGCACACTCCTGCACCCATTTGCAGTGTTCTTCCTTTCTAATAAACTTTCCTTTTTCAAACCTAAAAAAAAAAAGAATATATGTTTTATTGTTACCTCTTAAAACCACGAATTGTGTTCAGAAAACTCCACTGGTTTTCATCACACCTGGAGTAAAATCCAGAGCCCTTGGTGTGGCTTGCAAGTCTCTACACAATCTGGTTCTACTTCTCCCTCTGACCTCATCACCCACCACTCTTTCCTTTTCTTTCTTTAAACTTTTATTTCTTATTTTTAAAATTTTCTCTGTGAGTCTAGCAAATGATCCCATTCTCACTGTACTCCAAGCAGGCTGGCCATGTTGCTATTCCTTGAATGTAACAAACATGCTCTTGCTGTTTTCTCATTCTGGAATAATCTTTTCCCCATATTTCTACATAGCTCACCTTTTCAATTGATTCAGATCTTTGCTCATATTAACTCCTCAGGTGATTACATATTATTGTGATTTGTATGGGTATATAGTTGGCAAAAGATAATGTTAAAAATTTACCAACGCTTGGGCAGAAATGGTGGCTCACACCTGTAATCCTAGCAGTTCGGGGAGCTGAGCTGGGCAGAATGCCTGAGCTCAGGAGTTGGAGACCAGCCTGGGCAACATGGTGGAACTTGGTCTCTACAAAAATACAAAAATTAGCTGGGCTTGGTGGCGCATGCCTGTAGTCCCAGCTACTTGGGGGACTGAGGTGGGAGGATTGCACCTGTGGTCCCAGCTACTTGTGGGGCTGAGGTGGGAGAATCACTTGAGCTTGGGAGATAGAGGCTACAGGGAGCTGTGTTTATGCCACTGCACTCCATCCTGTGTGACAGAGTGAGACCCTATCTCAGAAAAAAAAAAAAAAAAAAGAAAGAAAGAAATTTACCAACCCTCCAAGACTAGCCAACTATTGGACCATTGTCATTTATATAAAACAAACACAACCATTTTAGATTTGATGAGGCACTTTCAAACTCTTTGGCCCATCTATTAGCAAAAGGGAATGTTATATTACCTAGAAAAAGAACGTAGCTGGGCACAGAGGGTCGTGCCTGTAATCCCAGCACTTTGGGAGGTTGAGGTGGGAGGATAGCTTGAGTCCAGGAGTTTGAGACCAACCTGGGCAATATAGTGAGACCTTGTCTATGAAAAAAAGAAAACCTAAACATATAAGGAACTTTCACTTTTGTAACACCAAACTGCCTTTGTAGAATATCTCAGGATTAAACAAATTCGAACAGTGCCAGTTATTAACCCCTTTGGATATGGACTAATTAAGAAGATATGAGACAATCAGAAAAGGTCTTATTAAGATTTCTCGGTTTATACATAAACTCAGATAATAAAACCTCTCTCGTAATACAACTTTGGAGCACTCAATTCTGTTGAGTTATCTCCTCTTTTATTAATGCCAGATCTAGTCACTCTGACTGGGTAATGCTAACTATGGAATTCTGTACAGTGTACGTGTGAATATATGCACTGTATATATATGTGAGGCATGCCTATATGGTGTTAAGCCTTTATCCTTAATGTCTCTCATTTGTGGAAATAATATTCCTTCTTTTATTTGACACTTATTTTCCCCTGGGATTTCCCCAGTGGTATCAACTCTGAACTAGGCAGGCTTCACAGCAGACCAAGTATGACATTGTTTTAATTAACGCCACTCTGAAATATTTGGCTGTGAGTACTTGATAAGGGAAGGCTTCATAAGTATTTCAGGAGGTCTCATTCTCCCGCCTTAAGACCCTTACTACTCTTCTAGGAATTGGGGGAGGAATACAGTGAACTGTCTATGTCCTCACTCTTCAGTGGTAATACTTTATGGGTAGTGCTTCAGGGATGAGTGTGTGGAAAGATTCTAGTTACCTCCCCCTTTCCTTCCAGCAGTCAGACAGAAAGGAAAACGTGGGTGGCCATATAGGGAGATAAACTTGCTCTTCCATGCCCTCAGTTACACGTAACACTTAAAATTTCTTGGCATCTACTGCCACCGTGTGGTTATTTACATTTACTGACTTTAATGTGTTTCCCTTTTAAGGCTGGTCCGAAACAAAAATACAAGGAATTCTAGTTTGTTTTAGTATCCTTCAGCCTCAGATTGTTCCCAAGTCCCTCTAGGTTCTCTGTGCTCTTACACTGACGAGAAGATTCCACTACTAAATACTTTCTTCTTCTCTTATGTTACGCTCTACTAAAGCATGCTGCTGATACTCCAGTGACTTTCAGAGTTTTTGATGAACCAGTTTGAGGCAGAAAGATTCTAAAATGGGCTCCATATGTCCCTGTCCCTGATATTATGGCTTATGTAATCCCTTCACAGGAGTGTGGATGAGACCTGTGACTAGCTTTTAACCAACAGAATATGGCTGAGGTGATGGGATGTCACACTGCAATTACACTGGACAGTATTGTAACTTCTGTATTGCTAACAGACTCTCTTTTTTAGTTTTATTTTTTAATTTTTGTGGGTATAGTAGGTGTATATATTTATGGGGTACATGAGATGTTTTGATTACAGGCATGAAATGTGATATAACCACATCATGGAGAATAGGGTATCCATCCCCTCAAGCATTTATTCTTTGAGTAACAAACAATCCATTTACACTCTTTGAGTTATTTTAAGATGTGCAATTAAGTTATTATTAACTATAGTCACTCTGTTGTGCGATAGCACAACAGATAAATGATAAAATAGGTAAATGATAAAATAGGTCTTATTCATTCTTTCTATTTTCTTGTACCCATTAACCATTCCCACCTTCTCCCTGCCCCACACACTATCCTTCCCAACCTCTGGTAACTGTCCTTTTACTTTCTATGTCCATGAGTTCAACTGTTTTAATTTTTATATCACACAAATAAGTGAGAACATGCAGTGTTTGTCTTTGTGTGCCTGGCTTATTTCACTTAGTAAAATGATCTCCGGTTCCATCTGTGTTGTAGTAAGTGATGGGATCTTATTCTTTTTATGGCTGAATAGTATTCCATTGTGTATATGTATAACATATTCTTTATCCATTCATCTGTTGGTGGACACTTAGTTTGTCCAAATCTTAGCTATTGTAAACAGTGCTGCAGCAAACATAGGGGTGCAGATATCTCTTCAATATACTGACTTCATTTCTTTTGGGTATACCCAGCAATGGGATTGCTGGATCATATAGTAACTCAATTTTTAGTTTTTTGAGGAACCACCAAACTGTTCTCCATAGTGGTTGCGCTAATTTACATGCTAGCAGACTCTCTTGATCGCCTTCTGGGTTTGCATGCATGAAGCAAGCAGCCATGCTAGGGAGACTCAGTGAAAAGAAACTGAGGGTGGCTGCTGGCTGTCAGCTGCAAGAAATTGAGGCTCTCAGTCCAACAAAACACAGGGAATTGTAACAACCACATGAACTTGGAAGCAGATCATCCTCTTCGGTTGAGCTTTCAGATGAGATCACAGCCTTGGCCAACACCTTGATTGCAGCCTGATGAGAGACCTTGAAGGAGAGGACCCAGTTAAGCTATGCCCAGATTCTGTGAGCTTATACAGACAGTCCTTGACTTACTATGGTTCAACTTATGATTTTTGTGACTTCATGATGGGACAAAGGACGTTAAGTATTCAGGAGAAACTGTATTTTGAATTTTGATATTTTCACAGGCTAGTGATATACAGTACAATATTCTCTCTCCATGCTGGGCAGTGGCAGCAAGCCACAGCTCCCAGTCAGCCACACAATCAGAAGGGTAAACAACTGGGTACTCTACAGTGTACTGTGTTTCCAGATGATTTGGCCTGATAGTGGGCTAATGTAAGTGTTCCAAGCATGTTTAAGGTAGGCTAGGCTAAACTATGATGTTCGGTAAGTTAGATATATTTAATGCATTTTTGACTTACAATATTTTCAACTTATGGTGGGCTTATTGAGATGTAACCCCATTGTAAGTTGAGGAGCATCTGTAAATGTGAACTGTTTTCAGCCATTAAATGTGTGGTAATTTGTTACACAGCAATAATTAATACACAGTTCTTTGGTTTTACTTACATCATTCCCCTCTTCCTAGGACTGCAATATAAGTCCTTGGAGACTGTTTTTGGCAATAAATATAATTGTCAAACACCATTCTTTGTTCAGAATTGTCCCTTCTCTCCCACCAAGGCTCTGTTACTGAATCAGCTTGTGCCTGATTTCTTTAAAATAAGTTCTCTTTCAGGAGCTATCTCAACTCCTCATACAAAGAAAGTTTTGTGGGGCCTGCATATATAATCTGCATTCTTAATTTAAAAAAATGTTTCATTTGCGTGGAACACCTGTCTAAGAGCATCACAGTGGTGCCAAAAGGCAGGGGTGGAGAAAGGGATTTACTCTTCTCATCACAGATATTCAACTTGATCCCAAAATAAAACCAGGAGTTTTTAAAAGACGTAAAACTCAATAAATGGTATTGGATGGACAGTTGTGCTATGTCAATGGCATGCTTCTGAGAAACCAGTTTTAATAAGGAGGTTAATATAAAAGAGGTTAACCTAGAGTGATTATTTATGGACCAAGCTGCTCCTAGTAATTACCATTTGTTTTTCTCATGAAACATTATTTAGTTTATTCATTTTAGAGTTTGAGCTTGCTATTAAGCTCTGTTGCTTGTAAAATTTAATTTACTCTTTTTGAAAACCAGAACAGCATTTATTCAGCTCTGGCTTATAGACTTAAATATATTTAATCCTGAGAAATTCTCATATGTTATCCTTTTAGCATAACTGAAGCAAGTTTGGTTGTGAAGCGTGTCCAATTTCGACCAAAAAGACAGTGGGTAAGGGGAGGAGGATAGTTGATATGCTTTGGCTGTGTCCTGACCCAAAATCTCATCTTGATTTGTAGTCCCCATAATCCCCATAATCCCCATGTGTCAAGGGTGGGATTGGGGGAGGTAATTGGATCATGAGGGCAGTTTCACCCATACTGTTCTCACGACAGTGAGTAAGTCTCAACAGATACGATGGTTTTATAAGCATTTGGCATTTCGCTTGCTTGCACTCACTCTGTCCTGCCACCCTTTGAAGAAGGTGCCTGCTTTTCCTTTGCCTTCTGCCAGGATTGTAAGTTTCCTGAGGCTTCCCCAGCCATGTGGAACTGTGAGTCAATAAAAACTTTTTCCTTTATAAATTACCCAGTGTCGGGTATTTCTTCATAGCAGTGTGAGAACCAACTAATACAGTAGTTCTGTGCAGAATCGATCAATTTATAGAAATAGCTCTTGATGGGTAACTTGCTGTCCAAAGTAAAGTATGCTCCAGTATTTGACCCTAAACCAGACTATTTCTCAGTATGAACTTGCCCACGCCGCCATCTTCTGATACTTCAGTCTTTATTCCCCACCTCTCCTCCACCTCTGGTTTGGCATCTCAGCACAAAGAAACCTCCGTTGTTCAGTGAGGTGTAGAAGACTTAGACCAGAGGCAATATTTGAATTCAGATGAGGTGTCATGGTGGTTTCAAAAAATCCTTTTGGTCATGAGAACTCCAGCCAATGACTGAGGTGTGAGAAAGAGGATCTCATATCCCAGAGAAAAAGCTTAGAACAGGCTACAAAAGTTATCATGGTAGGTCTCTAATGTTTCTGTAGAATAGTAGGAAGGGAGGCCCAGGCTAAAGCCCAGGTGCACAAACAGGGTCAACAAAGCAGGGACAGAGGCTGGCACAGCCAGATTACTTATGGAAACACATATGCCCAGGGCACTTTGGATATTAAACCTAGATTTAGATCCTACTCACTGGAAAGGCTGAACTCCCGATATATTCCTGCATCTTTGATTAGCCTCATAGAAAGATGGGACTCAGGTAAATCCTTAGAGCACTAAGACAGACATGGAAAAGGCAAAATTGGGGGTGGAAGGAGGGGCAAAGACTGACCTCTCAGAAGACCCAGTGTGTGCTAATTTATGTGGAGCAGTAGTTGGATTTAAGGATGGAGATTCAAAGATGTGGATGGATTATTAATTAATTAATTAGCCCAACAACTGTTTTTTGTTTGCTAAGCAGAGGAGTCATAAAGTCTAGTAAGACCTAGATCTGGCCCACAATGATCTTATAGTCTCAAGTGGAAAGCAGATAAGCCTAATTCATCAACTGATGAGATGATAATGGAGCTGTGTTTTGAAGGACAGGAAGGAATTGGGTAGATGAAGATGACGGAGAATCCAGAGGAAACATTAGGTGGGACAGTCTGGAGACATGAAGCTGCCTGAAACATCTGGGGCACTGCAAAAAATTTTGAATGATGGGAGCAAAGAATGTGTGTATGCAAGTGGCAGATGATGCCAGAGAGGTAAGCAGGGTTCATATTCCACAGGGTTTTGAGTGATATGTTATAGAGCTTGGACTTGATCATGAAAACAGGAGATTTAAAATATGAATGCTATTTTAAGCAGGCAAATATTTTAATCAGAGAAATTATATGATGATTTGTGTTTTAGAAAGATACAGCCATTGTTGTGTTGTGGATGGGTCAGAGAGGGTTAAGATTAGAGGCAGGGAGACAAGTCAGGAGGTAAGAAGCAATGAGGACCTAAATTAAGATAGTGGTAGTGGGAATAGAAAATCATGAAAGAATATGAATAATTATGGAGGTATTTTTGATCAGAATTGATCAATGAAACATGGATGCTAAGTGAAAAGAGAAGACTATGAATAATATCAGGTTTGTAGCTTGGAGAATGGGTGGTTGGAGAAATAGAGTTGAGAGTGGAAGTCTGAGAAACATTAATGTTTAAAGCCTAAAATTTAAGAGTATAAGAAGAAGTCCATGTGGGAGCCTAAGTACAGGATGTCAGAGCCATTGGAAGAAAGCTAGGAGAAAGTGGATACACCAAAGCTGAGAAAGTAAGTGTCAAGAAACCTGGAGTGAGCAATAGTATCCAATGCCACAAAGAAATCAAGTAAGATGAAAGGAAATTATAACTTGAGTTGAAGAAGGCTGTGAGTGGAGCAGATTTGGAAGTAGGGGCAATTAAGAGGTCAATTTCGGACATTCTGAGGTTGAGAGGTCTATTAGAGGCAATAGAATAAATGAGTAGAGAGCTGAGCAGAGGAATTGGGGCTAAAGATATCTTTAAGAGTTGTGGACATACAGATTTGTTTACAGTCATGAGATTGAATATAATTTTCAACAGAAAACATATAAGAAGAGGAGATATTCAAGAACTAAATCTATCCTAATATTAAGAGGTCATGGAAAAATTGAAGAGCCAGCAAAGGACAAGAAAGATGAACCAGCGTGGTTTCAGGTTCACACTGAAAGTGTGGTGTCCTGAGAGTCAAACGAAATATGTCAAGGAGGAGGAGACAATTGATGATGTCAAATCCTCCTAATTTGTCAAGTAAGATAAGCAATTTTAATTTAACGAAGCAGAGGGCATTGTTAGATCAAAGTTCTAGATCAAAGTTCAAGAATCCTTCAACTAAAGTAGTTTCCATGAAGTAGTGAGGATAGACATATATTTGGGTGGATTTAACTGAGTATAGGAAAAGAAGAATTGGAATCAGGGGATGTGATGGTTAATTTTATGTGTCAACTTGAATGGACCATAGGAGCCACAGTGGTTGTTGTTGTTGTTGTTGTTGTTGTTGTTTTGGCAAAAGGGTCTCACTCTCATTGCTCAGACTAGACTGCAGTGGCACATGATCTCAGCTCACTACAGCCTCGCCTTCCAGGGCTCAGGTGATCCTCCCACCTCATCCTCCCTAGCTGCTGGGACTCCAGGCATGTGCCATGACGCCCAGCTAATTTTTTTGTATTTTTTTAGTAGAGACAAGGTTTTGCCATGTTGCCCAGGCTGGTCTTGAACTCCTGGCCTCTACACACCTCGATCCCGAAGTGCTGGGATTACAGGCAGGAGCCACCGCACCTGGCCAAGATTAACATTGGAATTGGTAGACTGAGTAAAGCAGATTATCCTGCCCAATGTGGGTGGGTCTCATGGAAATCCACTGAAGGCCTGAAAGGAACACAGGGGTGAGTAAGGCAGGATTCTCTCCCTGCCTAATGATTGTCAAGCTAGGATGTCAGACTTTGGACTGATACTCAGACTGGTACTCATACCATTGGCTGTCCTTTGTGCTGACTATAGATCTTGGGATATCTGTCTTCATAATCACATGACCCAATTTCTTTTTTTTTTTTTGAGTCTTACTCTGTTGCCTAGGCTGGAGTGCAGTGGCATGATCTTGGCTCACTGCAACCTCTGCCTCCCAGGTTCAAGTGATTCTCCTGCCTCAGCCTCCTGAGTAGCTGGGACCAGAGATGAATGCCACAGCTAACTTTTGTATTTTTAGTAGAGATGGGGTTTCACCATGTTGACCAGGCTGGTCTTGAACTCCTGACCTCAAGTGATCCGCCCACCTCGACCTCTCAAAGTGCTGGGATTACAGGTGTGAGCCACTTCACCTGGCCCAATTTCTTATAAGCTTCTTTATATCTATCTATTTATATCTCTTAGCAGTTCTGTTTCTATGGATAACCCAGACTAATACAGATTTTGATACTGAGAAGTGAGGTGCTGCTGTAACAAATGCTTAAACATGTGGAAGTTGCTTTGGAAATGGGTAATGGGTAGAGGCTGGAAGAGTTTTAAGGTGCATACTATAAATATAGATATTAAGGGTGATTCTTGTGAAGTCTCAGATGGTAACAAAGATCATGTAGGAACCTGAAGGAGAGGCAATCCTTGTTATAAAGAGGGAAATAACCTGACTGAATTGTGTTTGTGTTCTAGTGTTTTTTTGGAAAGTAGAACTGGTAAGCAATGAAACTGGAAATTTCCCTGAGAATATTTCTAAGCAAAGTGTTGAAGGAGTATCTTAGTTCCTCCTGACTGTTTATAGTAATATGTGAGAGGACAGAGATGAACTGAAGAAAGGATTGTTAAGCAACAAGGAACTAGATCTTAAATATTTGGAAAATTCAGCCTATTGATATTGCAAAAAATGCAAAAACATATTCTGAAAGGAACACCAAGGGTGTGGCTGGACTTTCACTCAATAAAGAGTTTATGATATTATAGGAGCAGAAGCACTGTCAGCTTGAACTGAGGGATGGAGGTTGGACAAAATGAAGAAAGGATATTTGACTTCTTAGATTTTGAAAGACAAGACGATAGAGCTATCTGGGTATAAACGTGCACTGTTCAAAGACAGAGAAAAATTGCCCTGAAGGCAATTCAGAGATTATCACGGTCACCATTCAGTTTTAAAAGGCCAGGTGGCCTCTGACCAAAGCTTGGGAGCCAGGACCTCTCTGCAGAGCTGTGGGGCCAAGACCACCATGTACAGCCTTAGGGGGATGACCCCCTCACCCCAACACCACCAGGCCTAGAAGGCAGAGTGTTGAAGAGGATTATTCTCCGGGCTTAAGATCTCATGGAATACCTTGTTGGGTTTTGAACTGGCTTGAAACCAACTACCTTTCCTTCTTTCCTGCTTCTTCTTTTGGAATGGGAATGTTTATTCTATGTCTGTCCCACTATTGTATTTTGGAATCAGATAACATATTTGGTTTCAAAGGTTCACAGCTGGAGAAAAATTTTGCCTCATAATGAATTACATCTCAAGTCTCGGCAATATCCAGTTTAGATGATTTTTAGAGAGACTTTAATAACAAACCTGCACATGTACCTCTGAACTTAAAACAAAAGTTAAAGAAAACCTTATTAAGTTAAGAAAAAATATTAGACTTTAAATGTTAGACTTTAGAGTTGAAACTGGAATGCGTTAAGACTTTAGGGGCACTGGTCACTTCCAAGATGGCCAAATAGGAACAGCTCTGGTCTATAGCTCCCAGCAAGATTGACAAAGCAGATGGGTGATTTCTGCATTTCCAACTGTGGTACCTGATTCATCTCATTGGGACTGGTTGGACAGTGGGTGCAGCCCATGGAAGGCAAGCTGAAGCAGGGTGGGGCATTGCCTCACCGGGGAAATGCAAGGGGTTGGGGGATTTCCCATTCCTAGCCAAGGGAAGCCGTGAGTGACTGTACCTGGAGGAGTGGTACACTTCTGCCCAAATACTGCACTTTTCCCATGGTCTTCACAACCTGCAGACCAGGAGATCCCCTCCTGTGCCTGGCTCAGCAGGTCCTATGCTCACAGAGCCTTGCTTGCTGCTAGCGCAGCAGTCTGAGATCAACCTGGGATGCCGGAGCTTGGTGGGGGGAGGGGTGTCCACCATTGCTGAGGCTTGAGTAGGTGGTTCTATGTTCACAGTGTAAACAAAGTGGCAGGGAAGCTCGAACTGGGTGGAGCCCACTGGAGCTCAGCAAGGCCTACTGCCTCTCTAGATTCCACCTATGAGGGCAGGGCATATCTGAACAAAAGGCAGCAGACAGCTTCTCCATACTTAAACATCCCTGCCTGACCATTCTGAAGAGAGCAGTTGTTCTCCCAGCACGGCATTCGAGCTGCAATAACAGACAGACTGCCTCCTCAAGTGGGTCCCTGACCCCTGTGTAGCCTGACTGGGAGACACCTCCCAGTAGGGGCTGACAGACACCTCATACAGGTGGGTGCCCCTCTGGGATGAAGCTTCCAGAGGAAGGATCAGGCAGCAATATTTGCTATTCTGCAGCCTCTGCTGGTGATACCCAGGCAAACAAGGTCTGGAGTGGACCTCCAGCAAACTCCAACAGACCTGCAACTGAGAGGCTTCTCTGTTAGAAGAAAAACCAACAAACAGAAAAGAATAGCATCAACATCAACAAAAAGGACATCTACACCAAAACCTCATCCATAGGTCACCAACATCAAAGACCAAAGGTAGATAAAACCACAAAGAGGGGAGAAACCAGAGCAGAAAGGCTGAAAATTCCAAAAACTAGAACACCTCTTCTCCTCCAAAGGAACACAACTTCTCACCAACAAGAGAACAAAACTGGTTGGAGAATGGGTTTGACGAGTTGGCAGAAGTAGGCTTCAGAAGGTCGGTTATAACAAACTTCTCTGAGCTAAAGGATCATGTTCTAACTCATTGCAAGGAAGCTAAAAACCTTGAAAAAAGGTTAGACGAATGGCTAACTGGAATAACTAGTGTAGAGAAGACCTTAAATGACCTGATAGAACTGAAAATCACAGTATGAGAACTTCGTGAAGCATACACAAGCTTCAATAGCCGAGTCGAACAAGTGGAAGAAAGGATATCAGTGATTGAAGATCAAATTAATGAAATAAAGCAAGAAGACAAGATTAGAGAAAAAAAGAGTGAAAAGAAATGAACAAAGCCTCCAAGAAATATGGGACTATGTGAAAAGACCAAATCTGTGTTTGCTTGGTGTTCCTGAAAGTGACGGGGGGAATGGAACCAAGTTAGAAAACACTTTTCAGGATATTATCTGGGAGAACTTCCCCAACCTAGCAAGGCAGGCCAACATTCAAATTCAGGAAATACAGAGAACACCACAAAGATTCTCCTTGAGAAGAGCAACCCCAAGACACATAATTGTCAGATTCACCAAGGTTGAAATGAAGGAAAAAATGTTAAGGGCAGCCAGAGAGAAAGGTTGGGTTACCCACAAAGGGAAGCCCACCAGACTAACAGCGGGTCTCTCTGCAGAAACCCTACAAGCCAGAAGAGAGTGGGGACCAATATTCAACATTCTTAAAGAAAAGAATTTTCAACCCAGAATTTCATATTCAGCCAAACAAAGCTTCATAAGTGAAGGAGAAATAAACTCCTTTACAGACAAGCAAATACTGAGAGATTTTGTCACCACCAGGCCTGCCTTACAAGAGCTCCTGAAGGAAGCACAAAACATGGGAAGGGGCCAGGCGTGGTGGCTCACACCTGTAATCCCAGCACTTTGGGAGGCTGAGGTGGGCAGATCACGAGGTCAGATCGAGACCATCCTGGCTAACATGGTGAAACCTCATCTCTACTAAAAATTATAAAAAATTAGCCAGGCATGGTGGTGGCTGAGGCAGGAGAATGGCATGAACCCAGGAGGTGGAGCTTGCAGTGAGCTGAGATCACGCCACTGCACTCCAGCCTGGGTGACAGAGCAAGACTCCATCTCAAAAAAAAAAAAAAAAAAAAACAACAAAAACCATGGAAAGGAGTAACTGGTACCAGCCACTGCAAAAACATGCCAAATTGTAAAGGCCATCGATGGTATGAAGAAACTGCATCAATTAGTGGGCAAAATAACCAGCTAGCATCATAATGACAGGATCAAATTCACACATAACAATATTAACCTTAAATGTAAATGGGCTAAATGCCCCAATTAGAAGACACAGACTAGCAAATTGGATAAAGAGTCAAGACCCATTGGTGTGCTGTATTCAGGAGACCCATCTCATGTGAAAAGACACACAGGCTCAAAATAAAGGGATGGAGGAAGATCTACCAAGTAAATGGAAAGCAAAAAAAAGCAGGGGTTGCAATCCTGGTCTCTGATAAAACAGACTTTAAACCAACAAAGATGAAAAGAGACAAAGGAGGCCATTACATAATGGTAAAGGGATCTATTGAACAAGAAGAGCTAACTATCCTAAATATATATGCACCCAATACGGGAGCACCCAGATTCACAAAGCAAGTTCTTAGAGACCTACAAAGAGACTTAGACTCCCACACAATAATAATGGGAGACTTTAACACCCCACTATCAATATTAGACAGATCAATGAGACAGAAAATTAACAAGGATATTCAGAACTTGAACTCAGCTCTAGACCGAGTGGACCTAATAGACATCTACAGAACTCTCCACCCCAAATCAACAGAATATACATTCTTCTCAGCACCACATCACACTTATTCTAAAATTGACCACATAATTGGAAGTAAAACACTCCTCAGCAAATGCAAAAGAAGAGAAATCACAACAAACTGTCTCTCAGACCACAGTGCAATCAAATTAGAACTCAGGATTAATAATCTCACTCAAAACTGCACAACTACATGGAAACTGAACAACCTGCTCCTGAATGACTACTGGGTAAATAACAAAATGAAGGCAGAAATAAAGATGTTCTTTGAAACCAATGAGAACAAAGACACAACGTACCAGAATATCTGGGGCACATTTAAAGCAGTGTGTAGAGGGAAATTTATAGCACTAAATGCCCACAAGAGAAAGCAGGAGAGATCTAAAATTGACACCTTAACATCACAATTAAAAGAACTAGAGAGACAAAAGCAAACAAATTCAAAAGCTAGTAGAAGACAAGAACTAAGATCAGAGCAGAACTGAAGGAGATAGAGACACAAAAAAACCCTTCAAAAAATCAATGAATCCAGGAGCTGGTTTTTTGAAAAGACCAACAAAATAGACCACTAGGAAGACTAATAAAGAAGAAAAGACAGAAGAATCAAATAGATGCAATAAAAAATGATAAAGGGGATATCAGCACCGATCCCACAGAAATACAAATTGCCATCAGAGAATGCTAGAAATACCTCTATGCAAATAAACTAGAAAATCTAGAAGAAATGGATAAATTCATGGATACATACACCCTCCCAAGGCTAAACCAGGAAGAAGTTGAATCTCTGAATAGACCAATAACAGGTTCTGAAATTGAGGCAATAATTAATAGCCTACCAACCAAAAAAAGTCCAGGACCAAATGGATTCACAGCCATTCTACCAGAGGCACAAAGAGGAGCTGGTACCATTCCTTCTGAAACTACTGCGATCAAAGAAAAAGAGGGAATCATCCCTAACACATTTTATGAAGCCAGCATTATCCTGATACCAAAGCCTGGCAGAGACACAACAAAAAAAGAGAATTTCAAGGCAACATACCTGATGAACATTGATGTGAAAATCCTCAATAAAATACTGGCAAACTGAATCCAGCAGCACATCCAAAAGCTTATCTACCACAATCAATTCAGCTTCATCCCTGGGATGGAAGGCTGGTTCAACACACGCAAATCAATAAACGTAATCCATCACATAAACAGAACCAATGACAAAAAACACATGATTATCTCAATAGATGCAGAAAAGGCCTTTGACAAAATTCAGCAGCCTTTCATGCTAAAAAGTCTCAATGAACTAGGTATTGATGGAACATATCTCAAAATAATTAGAGCTATTTATGACAAACCCACAGCCAATATCATACTGAATGGGCAAAAACTGGAAGCATTCCCTTTGAAAACTGGCACAAGACAAGGATGCCCTCTCTCACCACTCCTATTCAACATAGTATTGGAAGTTCTGGCCAGGGCAATCAGGCAAGAGAAAGCAATAAACAGTATTTGAATAGAAAGAGAGGAAGTCAAATTGTTTCTGTTTGCAGATGACATGATTATATATTTAGAAAACCCCATCGTTTCAGCCCCAAATCTTAAGCTGATAAGCAACTTCAGCAAAGTCTCAGGATACAAAATCAATGTGCAAAAATCACAAGCCTTCCTATACACCAATAACAGACAAATAGAGAGCCAAATCATGAGTGAACTCCCATTCACAATTGCTACTAAGATAATAAAATACCTAGGAATACAACTTACAAGGGATGTGAAGGACCTCTTCAAGAAGAACTACAAACCACTGCTCAAGGAAATAAGAGAGGACACAAACAAATGGAAAAACATTTCATGCTCGTGGATAGGAAGAATCAATATAGTGAAAATGTCCATACTGCCCAAAATAATTTATAGATTCAGTGCTATCCCCATCAAGCTACCACTGACTTTCTTCACAGAATTGGAAAAAACTACTTTAAACTTCATATGGAAACAAAAAAGACAATCCTGGGCAAGAAGAACAAAGCTGGAGGTATCACACTACCTAACTTCAAACTTTGCTACAAGGCTACAGTAACCAAAACAGCATGGTACTGGTACTAAAACAGATATATATATATATATATATATATATATATATATGAATAGAACAGAATGGAGGCCTCAGAAATAACACCACACATCTACCACCATCTGATATTTGACAAACCTGACACACACAAGCAATGGGGAAATGATTCCCTATTTAATAAATGGCGTTGAGAAAACTGGCTAGCCATATGCAAAAAATTGAAACTGGACCCCTTCCTTATACCTTGTATGAAAATCAACTCAAGATGGATCAAAAACTTAAACATAAGACCTAGGACCATAAAAATCCTAGAAGAAAACCTGGGCACCACCATTCAGGACATAGGCATGGGCAAAGACTTCATGTCTAAAACACCAAAAGCAATGGCAACAAAAGCTAAAATTGACAAGTGGGATCTAATTAAACTAAAGAGCTTCTGCACAACAAAAGAAACTCTCATCAGAGTGAACAAGCAACCTACAGAATGGGAGAAAATTTTTGCAATCTATCCTTCTGACAAAGGGCTAATATCCAGAATCTACAAAGAACTTAAATTTACAAGAAAAAAGCAAACAGCCCCATCAAAAAATGGGCAAAGGATATGAACAGACACTTCTCAAAAGAAGACATTTATGCAGCCAACAGACATGAAAAAATGCTCATCATCACTGGTCATTAGAGAAATGCAAATCAAAACCACAATGAGATACCAACTCATGACAGTTAGAATGGTGATCATCAAAAGTCAGGAAACAGCAGATGCTGGAGAGGTTGTGGAGAAATAGGAATGCTTTTACACTGTTGGTAGGACTGTAAACTAGTTCAACCATTGTGGAAGACAGTGTGGCAATTCCTCAGGGATCTAGAACTAGAAATACCATTTGACCCAGTTATCTCATTACTGGGCATATACCCAAAGGATTATAAATCATTCTACGATAAAGACACATGCACATGTATGTTTATTGTGGCACTATTCACAATAGCAAAGACTTGGAACCAACCCAAATGTCCATCAATGATAGACTGGATTAAGAAAATGTGGCACATATACACCATGGAATACTATGCAGCCATAAAAAAGGATGTGTTCATGTCCTTTGTAGGGACATGGATGAGGCTGGAAACCATCATTCTCAGCAAACTATCGCAAAGACAAAAAAAACAAACACTGCATGTTCTCACTCATAAGTGGGAGTTGAACAATGAGAACACATGGACACAGGGAGGGGAACATCACACACCAGGGCCTGTGGGGGTTGGGGGGGCTGGGGGAGGGATAACATTAGGAGAAATACCTAATGTAGGTGATGGGTTGATGGGTGCAGCAAACCACCATGGTGCATGTATACCTATGTAACAAAACTACACGTTCTGCACATGTAACCCAGAACTTAAAGTATAATAATAATAAAAAAATACTTTAGGGGCTATCAGAATGGCTTATTTTGCATACAATAAGTGTAGGGAAAAGAAAGAGAGATCAGACTGTTACTGTGTCTATGTAGAAAAGGAAGACATAAGAAACTCCATTTTGATCTGTACCCTGAACAATTGTTTTGCCTTGAGATGCTGTTAATCTGTAACTTTAGCCCCAACCTTGTGCTCACAGAAACATGCATTGTATGGAATCAAGGTTTAAGGGATCTAGGGCTGTGCAGGATGTACCTTGTTAACAATATGTTTACAGGCAGTATGCTTGGTAAAAGTCATCACCGTTCTCCATTCTCGATTAACCAGGGGCACAATGCACTGTGGAAAGCCGCAGGGACCTCTGCCCAAGAAAGCCTGGGTATTGTCCAAGGGTTCTCCCCACTGAGACAGCCTGAGATATGGCCTCGTGGGAAGGGAAAGACCTGACCATCCCCCAGCCCGACACCCGTAAAGGGTCTGTGCTGAGGAGGATTAGTAAAAGAGGAAGGCCTCTTGCGGTTGATATAAGAGGAAGGCCTCTGTCTCCTGCATGCCCCTGGGAACGTAATGTCTTGTTATAAAACCCGATCGTACATTCGTTCTATTCTAAGATAGGAGAAAACTGCCCTGTGGCTGGAGGTGAGATATGCTGGTGGCAATGCTGCTCTGTTACTCTTTACTACACTGAGATGTTTGGGTGGAGAGAAGCATGAATCTGGTCTACCTGCACATCCAGGCATAGTACCTTCCCTTGAACTTATTTGTGACACAGATTCCTTTGCTCACATGTTTTCTTGCTGACCTTCTCCCCACTATCACCCCGTTCTCCTGCCGCATTCCCCTTGCTGAGATAGTGGAAATAGCAATCAATAAATATTGAGGGAACTCAGAGACTGGTGCCGGTGCAGGTCCTCCGTATGCTGAGCGCCGGTCTCCTGGGCCCACTGTTCTTTCTCTATACTTTGTCTCTGTGTCTTATTTCTTTTCTCAGTCTCTCATCCCACCTGACGAGAAATACCCACAGGTGTGGAGGGGCAGGCCACCCCTTCAAATAAGGACATGCATTTTGGGGGGCCAGTGGTGGAATGTTATGGGCCAAATGTTTGTGTCTCCCCCACTTTCATATGTTGAAGCCCTAACCTTCTCTGTGATGTTATTTGGAAATGGGGATTTTGGGAGGCAATTAGAGTTAGATTTGGCCATAAGTGTGGGTCCTCACGATGGGATTAGCGGCCTTTTAAGAAGAGAAAGAGAGAAAGATCTCTCCTAGGGCACACACTGAGGAAAGGCCATATGAAGACACAGCAAGATGGTGGCCATCTGCAAGCCAGGAGAGAGAAACCTCAGAAACCAAATTAACACCTTCATCTTGGACTTCTCAGACTTCAGCATTGTGAGAAACAAATTCCTGTTGTTTTAGCCACCCAGTCTATAGTATTTTTGTTATGGCAGCTAGAGCAGACTAATACAAGGAATATAAGCAATTCTTTGCTTTTGTTTCTTTCTTTTTTTTTTTTTTTAATTTGAGTTGGAGTCTCGCTGTGTCACCCAGGCTGGAGTGCAATGGTGCGATCTTGGCTCACTGCAACTTCCGCCTCCTGGGTTCAAGCAATTCTCTTGCCTCAGCCTCACAAGTAGCTGGGATTATAGACATGCGCCACCATGCCCAGCTATTGTTTGTATTTTTAATAGAGACAGGGTTTCACCATGTTGGCCAGGCTGGTTTCGAACTCCTGACCTCAAGTGATCCGCCTGCCTCAGCCTCCCAAAGTGCTGGGATTACAGGCGTAAGCCACCGCACCTGGCCAGGAATATAAGCAATTCTTATGTTTTGCCACAACAAAGAGGAAAAAAAAAGTCGTGGTGATGGGGCAGTTGCAGGTACAGGAAATAGTATCAAGGAAAATTTTGTGGAGATAAACAGCAGTTTGTATGCCAATAGAAATGAGCCAGAGAAAGTGAATGAAGCACTTCTCTTAGTGGATCACTATTCTGGGCACAGTGAAAACAAGACTAACAAGGCCTCTGCTCTTTTGAAGCTCACATTTAAATAGAGGCATGGTGCATAGTGTGTAAGGGAGACTGAGTAAAAGAACAAATAAACATGAAAAAAATTAAATGAATTTAAATCCAAGTAATTTTAATGAACCACACCATTTGTTCTGTACAGCTTTCGAAGGCCTTGCTCTCTACCTTTAAGGACATATTTTTGACAGTCTTTTTAGGGCATCTCTGTTTGAATCTATCATTTGACACCTTCTCTGTTGAGAGCTGCTTTATAAACTGAGGAAGACCAAGGCTTCAGGTGAAGGACATCGGTGGCTAGAAGAAACTGGGACCGGGGATACAGAGGTTGCTCCTCACCCTCTTTCTCGTTCCTTTATTCTCCCCTGATCATGTTTGTTTTAATCTCTTCACTTTCAAAATCATTCTGTTCAAGAGAGAAGAAAACAGGTGTTGAGAAGTTCTATTTTCCACTGCCATCTTTTAATTTACCACCTGCCTCTTTTAGGCAGATATCTTCCTTATTTTTGTACTTTAAACATTCCTTAACAGGCAAGCCTTTACTAATCTTCTTAGCAGTCTTCATTGAACAATATTAAAATAGTCAATAATCATAATATAAATCCTGTTTATAGTTTCAACTTTGAAATCAATTTATAGGCAAAACATGGATGATATAGTTATGGTTACAGAATAGAATATAAATGTTATCCACCTGGACCATGTGGGAGTTATTGACAGAAGATAAGAAGGGAATGTAAATGGAATGTTGGAGGTCCTATTATCCTAATCTTCTTCTTATTTATTTATTTTAAACTTTATTTTATTTTTTATTTTTATTATTTTTTAAAGGCTACTCAAGTGAACCAGTGGGAGTGGAGAAGGGACAAAGAAATCTGTGATTAATTAGTTGTAAACATCACTGCACTTGGACCAGCCTTATTATCCCCCTCTTGTATAGGAAAAATTCAAAGGATAATATATATATTTGAGACAATTATTAATAGAAAGAAGTTTGGAGCTGGGCGTGGTGGCTCATGCCTGTAGTCCCAGCACTCCAGGAGGCTGAGGTGGGCAGATTGCTTGAGCGCAGGAGTTTGAGACCAACCTGGGCAACATGGCAAACCCAAATTCTACAAAAAATACAAAAATTAACTGGGTGTGGTGGTGCATGCCTGTAGTCCCAGCTACTCAGGAGGCGTAGGTGGGAGTCCAGGAGGTGAAGGCTGTAGTGAGCTGTGATCATGCCACTACACTCCAGCCTGGGCAACAGAGTAGGACTCTGTTTCAAGAAAAGAAAGAAAGACAGACAGACAGAAAGACAGAAAGAAAGAGTATTATATTAAGTTAAGAAAGAAAGGAAGAAAGAAAGAAAGAAAAAGAAGTGTGAGTATTATATTAAGTTAAAAAAGTAGCCAATTCAGGAACTAAAAATAGTGACATGAACATACAAAGAGTGGAGATGAGCAGGGGAGAGTAGCAGGAAATTAATAAAAAATACCTGAAGGTATTATATAAAAAAGTAGTAGGAAGGGTATATTATTAAAAGAAATGGAAGTAGCCACCAGAAGAACTAAAAGAGACATATGTAAAAGATTCGCCTCCAGGTTCAGGGACTGGTGGTAGAGGACAGAGGAACACAGAACAATTACTTTTTATTACATATCCTTCTTTATTATTTGATTTTAAAAACAACTTGCTTCAGTTAGAAGAGTCTCTGTCTTTCTCTTAGAATAATGTATTTACCGAGAGCTTTTCTTGGGATGAGGTAGCATAGGCAGATAAGCTCTTTGTTAAAGAGATAAACTCTTTGTTAAAACCATACCTCCTGCCTCCATTGTTTCTGCAGTACTGAAGTAATATCCTTAAGTTATTGAATGATGTCATAAAGTATAATTTTCATAACTATTTAAGTCCTCACACATTGCTGGTTGGAATGAGCAATGATGCACTTCGGAAAATAATTTGGTAGTTTGTTAAAATTTTAAATATAACTTATAGTCACATTCCTAGGTATTTATTTAAAAAGAATGAAAACATATGTGCACACAAAACCAGTATGTGAAGTTTACAGTGGCTTTATTCATAACTGCTCTAAACTGGAAACAACCCAAATGTCCTTTAGCTGGTGAATGGATAAACAAACTACAATACCTACAATGAAATATTACTCAGCAATAACAAGGAATGAACTTCTGACACAGGCATCTTGGATGAATCTCTTAGGCATTATGCGAAGTGAAAGAAAATAGATGCAAAAGGCCACATAAATGATTCAGTTCATAGGATAGTCTGGAAAAGATAAATCTACATGGAGAAAAACAGATCAGTGGTGTTATGGATTAAATTGTGTTGCTCTAAAATTCGTATGTTGAAGTCCTAACTCAACAAATGGTACCTCAGAATGTGACCTTATTTGGGTATAGGGCCTTTACAGAGCTAATCAGGTTAAAATGAGTTCACTAGGGTGGGCTGTAATTCATCATGATTGATGTCCTTGTAAAAGAGGAAAATTTGGACAGAGATATGCATAGAGGGAAGATGGTGCAAAGAGACATAGAAAGAATACAGCCATCTGCAAGGCAAGGGGAGAGGCCTGGATAAGATATTTCCCTCATACTCCTCAGAGTATGTAACCAGGAACCAACCCTGCCAAGACCTTGACTTTGGACTTCTAGACATCAGAATTGTGAGGCAATACATTTCTGTTAGGTAAACCACTCAGTCTGTGTTATTTGGTTATGGCAGTCCTAGCCAACTAATACAAGTGGTTTCTAGAGACGAGGTGAAGCAAGGGTTGACTACAAAGGGGCACGAAGGAAATATTTAGGGAGGTGGAAATGCTGTTTGTCTTGATCATGGTGGTTACAGGACTGCATGTGATTTCAGAATTCATAGAGCTGTACATTAAAAAGGGCACATTTTACTTAACATAGAATTATATCTCTATAAGCCTGACATCAAAATCTAACAGAAAAACTAGATTGGAAAAACCAAAATTACTTTTAAAAATTAAAAATTGGAAAAGAGACCCAAGATACGTGTGTGTGTATGCGTGAAGATCTTCATATTAACATTGGTCATAATAATAAAACTGCAGAAGTAAACACTATGTCCAAAAGTAGATCATTCGAACAAATATTAGTTAAATCAATCAAAAGACAAGATTCTTTTCCTGGTGAATCTTACATTATAGTAGGTGAGGTAGCTAATACATAAATAAAGAAATAAACATATAAAAATGATGTCAGGAAGTGATAAATTCTGTGAAGAAAATAAAGCGAGGTAAGGAGCTCTATTTTAAATACAATACTGTGATAATCAGTTGTATCTGTCAACTTCTCTGGGCTGTAGTCCTGTTATTCAATCAGACACTAATCTAGGTGTTGCTATGAAGATATTTTGTAGAGGTAATCAAAGACCATAATCAGGTGGCACCAAGAAAGGGAGATCATCCTAGGTAATCTGTGGGCCTGATTCAATCAGTTAAGAGCAAAGCTGAGGCTTCCCTGAAGAACAAGAAATTCCAGCTCTGGACAGCAGCTTCAGCCTGCACATAAGAGTTTCAGCCTATGCTTCTTGACAGCCTACCCTGTGGATTTCAGACTCACCCAGCTAGCCCCCACAATCATGTAAGCCAATTCCTTGCAATCAATTTCTTAATATGTATCTCCTACTGGTTCTGTTTCTCTAGTTGAACCCTTGCTGATCCAAGTAGTCAGGGAGGGTCTCCTGGATATGATACTTGAGTAGAAACAGAATGAGGAGGGTACAAATATCTGGTGTAGGGGCGAGGGTGGTAACGGTAGATTCTAGGAAGAAGAAGCATCTAGTGCAAAGACCCTGTCATGGAAATGTGTTTGGCTTGATAGAGGAAGAGCAAGGAGGGCAGAAAAGTTGGAGAACAGAGTGAGGCAGAGCATGGTAGTGCTGAGTTTGGGAATGGGGCAGGAGCTGGATCATGCATAGGTCATGATAAGGACTTCGGATTATATTCAAGTGAGCTGGGAAGCTAGTAGAGGGTGTTGAGCAGAGCAATGACATGCTGCAAATTTAGAAGGGGCACCTAACCTGCCATGCAAGAGAAGATCAGGGAGACCAATTAGAGGGCTATCACAGTTGTCTAGGGAGGAAATACTGGTGGCTTGGAATAGAGTGGTGAAGGTGAAGAAGGTTAGAAATAGATAGATTTAGGACATATTTTTATTTTTGTTTTTGAGATGGGGTCTCACTCTGTTGCCCAGGAGTACAGTGGTGCAAACTCAGCTCACTGCAACCTCCACCTCCTGGGCTCAAGCAATCCGCCGACTTCAGGATCCCGGGTAGCTAGGACTACAGGCAGGCGCTGCCATGCCCGGGTAATTTTTTATTTCGTTATTTTTTGGTAGAGATGGAGTTTCACCATATTGCCCAGGTTGGGCTCAACCAATCTGCCGACTTCAGGATCCCGGGTAGCTAGGACTACAGGCAGGCGCTGCCATGCCCGGGTAATTTTTTATTTCATTATTTTTTGGTAGAGATGGAGTTTCACCATATTGCCCAGGTTGGTCTCAAAGTCCCGGACTCAAGCAATCTGCCAGCCTTGGCCTTCCCAAATGCTGGGATTACAGGCATGAGCCACTGCACCTGGCTTGATTTAGGACATATTTTAAAGGGAGAGAGAGAGCTGAAAAGATTTGCTAAAGGGTTGAATTTGGAGTGATAATATAAAAGTGGAATATAAAAAGAATGATTTCTAGGGTTCTAGCCTGAGAAACTAGAAGAAACAATATGGTGGTGGCATCTGTGAGGATAGGAACATTAGTGAGAGGGAGGGGTAGAGCAGCTCTGAAAGGTGGAAAGCAAGAATTCAGTGTTGCACATATTAAATTTAGGTGTCATTAAAATATCTAAGTGGAGGTGTCTGTTTGATACATATTTCTGGAGATATATTAAATATGTTTGTGTCATTGGCACTTAGGAAGTGAGCATGGGCAGGCGCAGTGGCTCACGCCTGTAATCCCAGCACTTTGGGACACCAAGTTGGGTGGAGTGCTTGAGCCTAGGAATTGGAGATCAGCCTGGGCAACATAGCCAAACCCCGTTTCTACAAAAATACAAAAATTAGCTGGGCATGGTGGTGCACACCTGTAGTCCCAGCTACTTGGGAGGCTGAGGTGGTGGGAGGATGGCTTGAGCCAGGGAGGCAAAGGTTACAGTGAGCCAAGATCACACCACTTCACTCCAGCCTGAGTGACAGAGCCAGACTCTGTCTCAGAAAAGAAAAGAAAAGAAAAAAAAAAAGAAAAGAAAAAAAAGGAAGTGAGCATGGATGGAAAAGAGACTAGGTATGAAGAGTGTGCCTTGGACACACTAGTATTTGCAGGTTGGGAAGAACAGGTGAATTCAGTAAAGGAAACTGAGATTAAGTGGTCTGTAAGGCAGGCATAATACCTAGAGAGACTAGTGAGCAGAAGGTACTTCCAGGAGGCAGGTGTGGTCAATTGTGTCAAATGACTATATTAGGGACTAAGAGCTAAACAATAAGTATGGCTTCTCAGAGTCATCTGTGGACCACCTGCATCAGAATTACCCAGCAAGTTTCTTAAAATGAGATTTCTGGACCCACTTCAGGCCTACTGAATCAGATTCTCTTGGGGAGAACCCAGGAACCTGCACTTAAACAAGCACAAGATTAGGATTATTGGAAAACAAAACCGAAACAAAAGCACCAGGTGGTTCTTGTGAACCTGGAAGCTGCTGCCTGAGAGTCTTTGTTCATGGAAGCATATCAATCTTTTCTCTAGACTAGTGGTTGTCAGACTTTAACTTATCTCAGGATCCCCGATGAGCTCCTTAAAAGGATTACTGGTTCCCACCCCAGAGTTCCTGAGTCAGGAAGACCGAGGTGAGCCTCAAAGACATGTCTAACAAGTTCCCTAGAAATGCTGATATTACTGATTGGTGGACTACACTTTGACAACCATTGGGCCAAAACATTTTAAAATACGCCCTTTAAAAGTAGAATAAAGATATAATTAAGAAATGTGGTCTCTACTGCAAGTCATAGACGTGTGTGGGATATTGATCCATTTCCCTCATCTCCATTTTCAGTTCCTTCCCCTCAAATTTTTTTTTTTTCGAGTCTCACTCTGTCGCCCAGGCTGGAGTGCAGTGGCGTGATCTCAGCTCACTGCAACCTCCACCTCCTGGGTTCAAGAGATTCTTGTGCTTCAGCCTCATGCGTAGCTGGTATTACAGGTGTCCACCATGCCCGGCTAATTTTTGTTATTTTTAGTAGAGACAGGGTTTCACCATTTTGGCCAGGCTGGTCTTGAACTCCTGACCTCAGGCGATCCGCTTGCCTTGGCTTCCCAAAGTGCTGAGATTACAGGCGTGAACCACTGCACCCAGCCCCCACAAAATTTTGAATTAAAGCTTTTATGATGTTGGCCAATCACAGAACTGCTTTAGCAGAGGTTAATTTGACCCTATGACAAAATTTAGAGATATCAAAAAGCCTCTTAGAAATTTTAAGTTTGAAAGACTTTTCAGGATGTCCCATTTTTTAGGTGGGGGTGGCAGGGGTTAATTTTTTTTTTGACAGATGAAAGGCATTTAAGTAAAATAAAAATGAAAAAGGCCTTCGGACATTGTGTACTTGATGGTTCTGTCTTTGCCTATAACAAATCTCATTTTTGTTACCATAAACTGAATGAAAGAAGTAAATCCGCCCCAGTTCTATGTAATTAATTCCATCTATTTGTCATTTCTGACTGGAAAACTTCTTACTTCCATACCTTGTTTGATATGGAGAACAAATAATTGGATTGTCTGATAAGTCTGCCAAGAAACTGTCCAGAAACATCAAGTGAAATAGTCCCCACTATATGAATTTTATGGTTTGTCTAAACACTAACATTTTCCCCTTCTGTAGTTGTATGAAAAAACAAATATTGTTAGCATAGTAAACATTGCAATAAAGTACCAGAAAGAAAAACAGATCAGTATCTTTTAGCTGAGAACAACCAATACCCTGATAAATGACTGTATGGGGATTTCATTTGCATGTTAGTCCACAGAGTAGCCCAGAACCCTAAATTTATTCATAAAAGAAAATATTGATTAATTATTGGTCATTCCTCATAAATGTAGCTTTTGATGTGTATGTCTAATTTTTTGCTTTTTGAATTTTACTAAAACTGGCTGGGCACAGTGGCTCAGGCCTGTAATCCCAGTGCTTTAGGGGGCTGAGGCAGGAGGATTGCTTGAGTGTGGGAATTCAAGACCAGCATGGGTAAAATGGTGATAACCCGTCTCCACAAAAAATTTAAAAATTAGTTGGGGATGGTGGTGTGTGCCTGTGATCTAGCTACTTGGGAGGCTGAGGTGGGAGGATTACTTGAGCCTGGGAGGTGGAGGCTGCAGTGAGCTCTGATTGTGCCACTGCACTCTAGCCTGGGTGACAAAGCAAAACCCTGTCTCAAAAAAAAAAAAGTTATCTCCTAAAATTTTGTAAAATTACTTTTTTTTCTCCAGGGGAGGAGAAAACATCAAGAAAACAAAAAGAGAAATATCAAAATCATTCTTTCGGTTCTTTTGTGGTTTTCAACCACTTTTGGGTTTTCCCCTTGCAGAAACCACAGAAATATTCTCTTAGAATAAAATAGTTTATCTGTTTAAAAAAAGAAAGAAAGAAAAGAAAAGAAAAGAAAAATGTGATAAATGTGATCTCTAGTTTTGTGCAGGGGCAGTATCATAGTATCGTAGCCAGTGAGGTTTATCAAAGGTGTGATTATTGCTAACTGAAAACTTTTCCCAATATCCCTTCATGACAACTAAAAATAGAGTCGGCATTGGCAATTTTCGAATTTGACAGTCTATATGGAGACTGAACAAAGAAACAGAAAAAGAAATGTGGCCTCTTCCTTGGCTAAAAATTTTAACATAACGTGGTCTTGAGAAAAACATGGTCTATTTCTCTCAAGTTTTCTTTCTGTATTCACCAAATTTCATGTTGATCAGGGTTAAAAGAAATAGCACTGGTTGTTGCTTCCCTTGCCCTCGGTGGGGTAAAGTTATCAGTAATTCAAATCAAGAATTTATCCAATGCTCTGTTTTTAGAGAATTATTGCCAGCATCTTAAAATACCTCATTAGAGGCCAGAGAAGAGCAAACTTGGCCCTTTGGGGACAGCAAAAAACAGTCTGTTAGCTGTTTAGACCTAGAGAAGGCAGCTGAAAGTGTTTGGTTACCAAACAGCGTTCCTAAGCACCTAGATAACTGGTGTGATCAGTACTCAACCCTGCTGTTGGCTGATGACAGGGAAGAGACTGGAGTGAGAGTGTCAGGTGAGTGGTGAAAGAAGGAGAAACAAAACCAGGCCAGGATTGGAATATTAAAGAAACTCTGATTTTTAGTGTGCTAGAAGCCAAACTAGATTTAGGCTGAATGCAGTGGCTCACACCTATAATCCTAGCACTTTGGGAGGCTGAGGCAGGTGGATTGCTTGAGCCCAGGAGTTCAGGACCAGCCTGGGCAACATAGCAAGACCTCATCTCTACAAATAATAATAATAAAAAATTAGTCGGGCATGGTGGTGTGCGCCTAAGTCCCAGCTACTTGGGGGGCTGAGGTGGGAGGATCGCTTAAGCTTTGGAGATTGAGGCTGCAAGTGAGCTGTGATTGAACCACTGCACTCCAGCCTGGAAACAGAGTGAGACCCTGTCTCAAAAAAAAAAAAAAAAAAAAAGCCAAACTAGATTTGCCAAGAAATAGAAAAATCAGATCATTAGATCCTGATTGTTTATCAACGTAAAACAAGGCAAAGTAAAATAGCAAGTCTGAATTTTTAGTCTCCTGAGGAATCATTTCATCCTCATCTTATACAAGTCATATGTGTGGATGTGGCCAGGCACAATGTCATAGTCTTATGCCGCATTTGTTACTTTTATTAGGAACATGCCATTCATGTCATTTGTGTGACTGGCTTGTCTAATTCCCACAATATCAGTTGCTTTTATTTCTACTTCCTTTTATCCCTCAACTACTTTTTTCGAGACAGGATCTCGCTCTGTCAACCAGGCTGGCATACAGTGGCGATCGTAGCTCACTGCAACCTCAAACTTTTGGTCTCAAGTGATCCCTCTACCGTGTTAGGACTACAGGCATGCACCACCACGTTGGTTAATTTGTTTTTTTTTTTTGTAGAGACAGGGTCAGGGTCTTGCTATGTTGTCCAGGCTGGTCTCAAACCTCTGACCTCAAGCGGTTCCCCTCCTCAGTCTCCCAAAGTGCTGAGATTATAGGCATGAGCCACTGGGCCCCACCTCAGGTGCTGCTTATTATGCTCCCGAACCTTGGGACTGGAAGGATGTTTGTGGAAAATGTGAGGTTCATACAGGTCAAGTGCTATTCTTCTATCTCTTTTTAAAAATCATATATGTATTGTTTTGGTAAAGGATATTCTTCTGTTTCATCATTCATTGATGCAACAGGCATTTAAATGCCTACTATGTGCTAGACACTGCTATCAATACAAAAGCAAATAAAGGCAATATAAAAACGTTCTGCATTTTAAAAAATAGTGGGGCTGGTCATGGTGGCTCACATCTGTAATACTAGCACTTTGAGAGGCTAAGATGGGAGGATCACTTGAGTCAGGAGTTCGAGACCAGCCTGGGCAACATAGTGAGATCCTGTCTCTATTAATTTCTTTAAAAAATTAAAAAAATATAAAGAACAATGGGAGGAGACATGTAAAACAATAAGTGCAGGAAAAAGTAATAGATGACAGGATGGAGAGTGCACAGAATGTGGTGGGAAACAAGGGAGGAATGGCTGATCCTACTGTAAGTTTCATGGAAGACTTTATAGAGAAGATGATTTTTGAATTGGGTCCTGACTCACGGGTTCAACAGCATTCAATGTGGGGGTTTGGAGAGTGTCATTGAAGGAAGGGGAGCAGTGTGAACAAAAGTACCAATGCATGATAGAGCTTGCACATTTGGGGAATTGAAAGCAGTTTAGTTTGATTGGTGCTCAGGTTCCCCAAGAATAGACAGAAGAGGTAGATGGAACAACTATGTCATCATAGCAAGAAAATAGATGCAAAAGTTGGTCTCAAACTGCAGTGGGGACATCTTTTTCTTACAAACTAGATGTGATATAAATAACTTGTAGGGGTGGAGGTAGATAGTTGAAGGAGTGGACCCCTGCCTAACATTAATTTCATCTAATTTGCT
The DNA here is from genome assembly GCF_000001405.40 of Homo sapiens. NCBI lineage: Eukaryota > Metazoa > Chordata > Mammalia > Primates > Hominidae > Homo > Homo sapiens. The sequence goes on along the minus strand of NC_000001.11, from coordinate 99,782,377 downwards.
GAGAGAAGGTGGAGCGTGTGTATGTGTTGAGGTGGTTAGATAGATGGAGTAAGCTACAGGGATTCATAAAATCTTCTTGGCTGGGTGCGATGGCTCAATGGCTGTAATCCCAGTGCTTTGAGAGGCTGAGGCAGGAGAATTACTTGAGGCCAGGAGTTCAAGACCAGCCTGGGCAACATAGCAAGACCCTGTCTCTAAAAAAATAAAAATAAATCAGTTGGGCATGGGAGTGAGGCAGGAGAATAGGGAATTAGGGTAACCAAGGGTTAAGGCAGAAGCAAAGGAACAGCAGGTGCAGACAGTTCTAGGCAAGATTAGGCAGTATACAGGCCACATCAGCACTCCTGTGATAAGAAGACAGAAGTTTCCACTTCAGCTTCTGATTGACTGCAGGCCAAGTCTCCACTTCAGCCTCTGGTTGGTCGCAGGCCAGTCCTTCATAGGGTGTAACCAATGGAAGGGTTCTAAAGGGCACCAAGGGCTTTATAAAAACCCTGGGGACCATTGCAACCGGAGGGGGGTTGCTCTGGAGCTGCTCGCTTGAGCCTGCTTCCACTCTGTGAATTGTACTATTGCTTCTTCGATAAATCTGTGCCATCATTACTCCATTCTTTTGTTATTTTGTTCATCTTCATTACTTCTTTTGTTGCTGTGTTCACTTTATTCAATTATTTGTTCAACACGCCAAGAACCTGGACAAGACAACTCACAGGCAAGACCTTCCATCTGGTAACAGTGGCACATGCCTGCATGCCTGTAGTCCCAGCTACTCAGGAGGCTGAAGTGGGAGGATCCCTTGAGCTCAGGAGTTTGAGGCTGTAGTGAGCTATGATCATGCTGCACACTCCAGCCTGGCTGACAGAGTGAGACCCTGTCTCTTAAAGCAAAACAAAACTTCTCCATACTTTCCTCCACTGGGCCATGTTTTCCCATCTTCTGTTAATGAGTTTGATGACCTCCAACCTCAGAATCTTTTTATTTTATGACCTTTTGGAGGATGACAAAGGATTTGACAAAAGAGAAAGAGGAGTTCATTCCTAGTGCCAAAAGTGCAAGGGAGATGGAATAAATGAGGAATGAATAGATGAAGATAAATGGAAAGCATGAGCCTGAAAGCCTGGCTAACTAGTCTTTTTTATGTGAAAAGGGGTAGAACAAAATCCTATGGCATCTCAAAGGCAGAAGTTAGGAAGTAAAGTGCAGGAGGTGGGTACAAATGATCCACACATATCTTGGTTATACAAGGAGGTGCTATATGTAAAATTATAGGTTAAGGACACAAGAATGTAGTTGGCTTTGCTGCTGCAGTGGCAAATGAGCAATTTGATGCATTGAATCTATGTGACAATAGGCATGTAATCCTCTGAATGCCCTGCGATGTCTGGAAGGGTTGCAGCTGTCATTGTTAATGTACCCTAAAACTTAAAGTATAATAATACTAAAATTAAAAAAAAAGAAAACAATCTTAATACTAGCCAGTGTTGAGGCACACTCGTGTAGCCCAGAGAATGTTGGGAAACATTATTTATTTCCTCTCAGGTTGCCTCCCAGTCCACCCAGAGCTAGCATTGGATGAGCATTTTGGAGTTATCACTCGTTTCTAGTCTCTCTTCCTCATTTTTTTCCACCTTTCCCTACGGCTTACCTCAGTCCCATCTTCATGCATGCACCCTGGGTACTGAATCCATCCTGGTGATGCTCTGTAAGATCAAGTTTGAGAACACTGTCTGTGACACTCAGTCCTTCAAGTTCTCCTAGACATGGGCTGAGAGCTTTTAGATAATTCCAATATTTTCAATATTTATAGGCTCTTACAGAATTTTTTTTTGCCTTTTTTCTTTGAAGAAAGATTTCCATCAGGAAAAAAGAATTGAAGGAACAGAAGGAGTGAGTGATCAGAAAACCCTGTACAACAATACCAATTTCTGAAAAGAGCTTAGTAAATGTGAGTGACTATTTTAACAGTTGATTTGGGCTCTTTCACTGCCAGGGAAGGATGGGTGAGAGTCTGAATTCCAGGCAAAGGGGATGGTATTAGGAGAGGCATTGGATTAAGAAATAGCACAAGATGTGCCATGGATTATAAGCAGTTGAGTGTTACTGGAGCATAAAATGTGAGGCAGGGACTGGGGAGAGATGAGATTGGAGACCCAGTTCTTGGAAGGCTTTGCCATTTTAACAAGGTTTTAATTTGTTCATTAGGCCCCTGGGACCTATTAAAGATTTTAAGCTGATGAGTGGTATAGTCTTATTTCAATTTCTAGGTGAGTAGATCTGACAGCTGGATAGAGGATGGATTTGAAGGGGAAAAAATTGAGAAGCAGGAAAACTAATTAGGATACTATTATAATTCTTTAGGCAAGTAATGATGAAAACCTAACTAGGAGAGGAAAGATTAGAGAAATATTTAAGAGAATAGGTGTGAAGATATTTTAGCTAATGGGGCTGTCTCCATCAGTTTAGGCTGCTGTAACAATACCATAGGCTAAATGGCTTAAATAAGAAACATTTATTGGTCACAGTCCTGGAGTCTGGGAAGTCCAAGATGAAGGTGCTATCAGATTCAGTGTCTAGTGAGGGAGTGCTTCCTGGCTTGTAGACAGCCACCTTCTCATATCATCACATGGCCAAGACAGAACAGCTCTCATCTCTTTCTCTTCTTGTAAGGGCACTAATCCCATCTTGGGGGCTCTACCCTCAAGACCTTATCTAAACCTAATTACCTCACAAAGCCTCTACCTCATAATACCATCCCACTGGGAGTTAGGTTTTCGACATATGAATTTTGGCAGATCACAAATATATAGTCCCTAATGGGCAGCCTAGAAGGAGGAATCAAAGAGAACCCAAGGTTCCTGACCTTGGTGGTGCTGAGCATTAGGGCAGATGAAGAAATTGGGATGCAGGAAATGGTGCAGAAGTAGTTCTCGGAGAGTGGGTAGGGGTGGGGAGACAACGGACAGACACAGCAGACATCACAGAGAAACAGCTGCTCCTGTAAATTCTTCAAGGACTCTCAAGGTTTTTGGGAGAATCCATAAACTACAGAAATTATTTTCTCCATTTTCCCTAGCCAGCCTATTCAATGGCAGACTGTCTGGAGTGGTCTTTTAGCTAGCTGCTGGTGAAAGAGCTTACACCAAAAATGGAGAAAAGGGTGCACTATTCCCAGACTGCCTACAGGTTTATTTGCTTTCCCATTTTTCTTATAAGTCCTGTTTTTTGCCTTTGTCCCTTGACAGTCTAATGTCTACCTTCCTCATGTAAGAAATAAAAAGCATGCAAAATAATTAAAGGTCTCTGAGTTATTCTTTGACAATATATCACTACATGAAAAAAATATGAAAAGAGTCACATGCAGAGAATGATGCTACTTATGTTACAAAACCAAAGCCATATGTTTTTGCAAGTACATAAAACACAAATGCTTAGGAGGTAGGACACTGATAACAATAATTGTTTTTTTGGAAAAAATTTGGGATTGGGTGGTATCAAATTACATTTTAAATTTACTCTGTTTCAATTTTTACAATAAAATTGTGTAGCTATAGTACTCGTCTAATTAAAAAATAATTTAAAGGCCAGGCATTGTGGCTCATGCCTGTAATCCCAGCACTTTGGGAGGCTGAGCAGTTGGATCACTTGAGCCCAGAAATTTGAGACCAGCCTGGCCAACATGGCAAAATCCCATCTCTATTAAAAATACAGAAGTTAACTGGGTGCGGTGGCACACGTCTGTAGTCCCAGCTACTCAGGAGACTGAGGCAGGAGGATGGCTTGAGTCTGGGAAGCGAGGTTGCAGTGAGCTATGATCGCACCACTGCACTCCAGCCTGGGTGACAGAGCGAGACCCTGTCTTTAAAAAAAAAAAAAAAGGCAGAAGACAAAAAAAATTGCACTGAACATTTTAGGAGAATCTGAGAATTTTGCAGAGTGGGTGGTGTTATTTCCATTTTATCTTCAAAAAATTATTTTCTAATTTTTAAAATTTTTTATTTATTGTTTATTCTATTTTATCTTATTAGGAGGTTTTGATTGGTTTATGGCCAGCCCACTGTTGCATAAAAAGTCACTGAAGACTTGTGTGTGCCATTCCAGAATGCATCTGGACCACCACTTCTATCCTGTTCCATTATTGCTTTCTCCTGCTATTCTTGGTTGTCAGGATTCCTTATTTTGGCCACTTATTTCCACGCATGTTTTCCCAATGGTTGCTTTGATTAATGACCAAATTTAGATTTGCTCTTTTTGTTTTGATATTGCTGCCTTGTCAGGATACTACGTTTGGTATCTGCTCTCAGTTTTCATGGAACTTTTAAAGGCTTTTACTCCTACATTCAACTTTGGGACACTATAGGATAGACAAACTTCTGCTTCCTCTCGTGTGCTGAAGGGTAGGACTCATGTTGCTTATGACTCACTCATGTTCTAGGATTATTTCCCATTCCCAAAATGCATGATGCTGTTTATACCTCTGTGAAATAACTGGTGTTTGTTGTTTCATTTTTCCTGTCTAGGATGCCCTTGTCCTGCTAGTCTGCTTGGAGACACCCATCTTGTGTTTTCTTCTCTGTGCAGACTCATGCAAGCAGCTGGGAGTTGCTTTCTCAGCTTCCATACGTTCCTACTATACAATCTTCCACAGCAAGTGGCACACCATTTACACTGATTATTTAATTAGATTTCTGTCCGTCTGTCCTGCTAAACTAGGAGCTCCTGAAAGGTGGACTTTGTCTTATTTATCTTTACGCTTTATATTTGTTAAATTTTAAATCCTACAACTTTGAAAATTTACCCAATGGAGAAAAACGATTCTTGCAAAAATGGTTAGATAAGCTACCAGCTTTCATGATAAATGTTACCCTGACTATATAATATTTTGTGCATAGTAAACTGACTTTTGGCCAGGCACAGAGGCTCACGCCTGTAATCCCAGCACTTTGGGAGGCCAAGGCGGGCGGATTACCTGAGGTCAGGAGTTCGAGACCAGCCTGGCCAACATGGTGAAACCCTGTAACTACTAGAAATAACAAAAATTAGCTGGGCATGGTAGCGGGTGCCTGTAATCCCAGTGATTTGGGAGGCTGAGGCAGGAGAATTGTTTGAACCCAGAAGGCGGAGGTTGCAGTGAGCTGAGATCGTGCCATTGCACTCCAGCCTGGGCAACAAGAGTGAAACTCCATTTCAAAATAAATAAATAAATAAATAAAATAAAACAAAATAAAATAAAATAAACTGATTTTAACTCAATCATTAGATTGATTCTCAATCTGCTTGTGGAGAGTACTGTTTCTTTCAGTATTGAGACTACTTTTGTATATATTAAAGGTTGTCACTTAACTGATCGGAACCTGAGCCATCTTGTAAATAAATGACATTTTGAATAGGTCACGTAGCTCAAGAGCTGCTAAAGCAAAAATTCTATAGTAAATGGTACCTTTTTATTGTCAAAATTTGGTAAATAAAAATTAGGTTATTGCTGAATAGATCTAAGTGCTATTTTACTCTTTTCCTTGAATTTTTATTTCTTATTTGTTTTACTAGTTTCATAGATTTAATAAGAGAAATGACAGAAATGTGAATGTAGTATAACCCTAACTGATAGGAAACAGTAAAGGCTACTGATCATTATCACAACTTTTGATTTTATGTTATGTCTATAGGTAATTGACAGAGATTTTATTATTCGGCAGAGCTGAGTCAACCTTTTAATATTTTTACTTTGATCAGTGTTACCATCTCTGTGGCACATAATCACAAAGCATTAATATTGTCTTGTACTTAATTAAAATGCCACAAAAGAAAATTACATAATTAAAGAGGATAAAAAATGTCTGCCATCCTTTCATTATAGTCAATAAATCTGGCCTTAAAATGAGCTGATATTCAAATAGAATTTGAAGAGAGGTAAAAAACAAAAGATGAAGCCTTCTATCTTTCTGCCACTTAAATTAAGGTAAGGCCTTCTATTTAACATCTATTTTTTCAGTTTCTAAAAAGGGAAGTTGAAAGTAATGACAGATTAGAGAGAGTAATCACTGCCCCACTGATTGCTTAGAGTGACTGAATTTTCATCCATTGTTATTGACTGCTTGGTATAATGGATTGAGAAGAGTTCTGACACCATCTCTGGGGTCAGTAGTGAAGGGCATTGCAAGTAATTAATGATGGCTGCTCAAGTGTGGGAATGGCAGCTTATGTAATGTGTGTTTTCTCACTTTGATGTAAGACATTAAAGATTGTGTTTAAGACATTAAAGATTGTGTTATAAGGAAGTCTTCGAGATCACTCCCATGCTAGTGTGAGGAAATATTCTGTTATAATATAATCACAACAACCCCACTTATGTATCATCTTTTTTATACAAGTGAATAAAGTAAAATTAGGGGGTTAAGAAACTTGCCTGAAGTCAACCAGCTATTAATGAGCAGAGCTGGGATTTCAAGCTAAGTGAATTTGATTTCAGAAAGCATGATCTTTTTACCTGACCATGAAGTCATTTTTTAGATGGCAGAACTAATATTAGTTCAAATTGTCAGAAAAGTTCCATAGATAAATTGCGACTTTTTGCTAAACCTTGAAGAATGTCTGGTATTAAATAGGTGGAAAGAAAGGAGATTCTCAACAATGTCTGGATAGTTGAAAAAAAGAAAAGAAAGGAGATAAGGGAACAGCATGAACAAAGGTGAAAAGATGGGAATGAGTGTTTAATAGACTGAGTTAGCTGTACCAGCTGGAAAAGCAATAAGAATGCTCAAAGTGTGACCGTGGAGTGCTGTGAATGTCAGAAAGAGTACAGATATCACTGTATAAACCATGGTAAATCACAGTACATTATTGATAAAAGGAATCTTTTAGGAAGATTAAACTGAGGTTGGGCCATTGTGGACAGGATTGATGGGAGCGATGAGAGATGAAGTTAGATTAGTTAGAAAGTTACTGCTATAGTCTAAAGATTTAGAGCATAGATAATTATAGTGCATACCTTTTCTCAATTTTTATCTTCAGGCATTGAACTAAGCACTTTACATTTATTATCTCAATTAATCCTCAGAGCAGCATTATGAGGAGAGTAATATCATATTCATTTTACTATGAGGAAACAGGTTCAGAGACCCCCAGATCACAAAGTTAGGGGTGGAGTTTATCTTCAAATCCTGGGTCATCTGATTCCACAGCACCACATTGCCCTGCTTAGAATAAATAAGTGGGGAAAACACCTGCGTGTGAGTATTGAGAAAGAAGAAACTGATTGATAATTGACTTGATGAGATATTAAAAGCAGTTTGTTTCAAGATTTTGGACTGTCACCCAGTTTATTTCATAAACTAGGACATATCTACTCACAGATACAATTAGAAAAAGTTTACGAAACAACATTTATTTATCCTTATCATATATAATGTACTCTGACATTTTCTTTTCTATTTTACTAAAATGTTTTTGGTGGTGATTCACTAAAGATTTTTTTTTAAATTGTGGTAAAATCCACATAACATAACATTTACCATCCTAACCATTTTTTAAGTGTATAGTTCAGCGATGTTCAATACATTCATGATATTGTGTAACCATCACCACCATCCATTTCCAGAACTCTTTCCATCTTGTAAAACTGAAACTATCCGTTAAACAATAATTTCTTATTTCTCTGTACCCCCAGCCTCAGGGAACCACTGTTCTACTTTATGGTTTTGACTCCTCTAACAACCTTATATAAGTGGAGTCATACAGTATTTGTCTTTCTGTGACTATCTTTAAGGCTCATTCATGTCGTAGCGTATGTCAGAATTTCTTTTTTAAGGCTAATGTTTCATTGTATATATTTACTATATTTTAGTTATTTATCTATTAGACGCTTGGTTGCCTTCATGTTTTAGCTATTGTGAATAATGCTGCTATGAACATGGGTGTACAAATCTTTCTTTGAGACTCTGCTCTCAATTCCTTTGGGTATACCCATTAAAGATTTTACAATCCACTGATAAATGGGCTGTGGCTCCTGGCTGAAAAACTCAGAGCTATAAGCTATGAAAAGGATAAAAAATTGAAAATTATTTCTAGTTTTAGTTTGAGTGTTGAAGAGAATGGGTACCACTGATTGATAAACAAGGAGAAATTGTTTCCTGAGGCTGCTGTAACAAATTGGTATAAACTTGGTGGCTAATACAACAGAAACTAAGTTCTCACATTTCTGGAGGCCAGAAGTCCAGAGACAGTATCACTGGGCCACAGTTAAGGTGTCAGTGAAAACATATTCCTCCAGAGACTCTAGGGCAGATTTTTCAGAATTTTTTCTTGCCGCTTCCAGGTTTTTTTTTTTTTTTTTTTTTTGAGACGTAGTCTCACTCTTGTCGCCCAGGCTGGAGTGCAATGGCGCCATCTAGGCTCACCGCAACCTCCGCCTCCCGGCTTCAAGTTATTCTCCTGCCTCAGCCTCCCGGGTAGCCGGGATTATAGGCGCCCGCCACCACGCCTGGCTAATTTTGTATTTTTAATAGAGACGGAGTTTTTGCATATTGGTCAGGCTGGTCTCGAGCTCCTAACCTCAGGTGACTCTCCCTCCTGGGCCTCCCAAAGTGCTGGGATTACAGGCATGAGCCACCGTGCCTGGCCGCCTATTCTTAATAATTATTATCATAAACTGCAACCATGTGTAATCTCCCTCTGCCTTTCTTTCTTAAGGGCACTTGTGATTGCATTTAGGGCCCACCTGGATAATCCAGAATAATTTTTTCATCTCAAGATCCTAATTTAAGAACATCTGCAAAGTCCTTTTTTGCTGTTAGGTAACATTCATAGTTTCCAGAGATTTAGAAGTGGATATCTTTCTGGGGGCCATCATTCAATCTACCACAAATGTTGAGAGAAGAGAAAATATAGTGAATTCAGTTTTTGAATGGAAAGATGTTCAATTGCCTTGAAAGCAGTTAGGAAAACAGTACTTGCATTTACTAATATATAAAAGGTGAGTGTTGTGATTATATATTGGGTGTTTATTAATATCAACATGATAATTGAAGCTGTGAGAGTACGTGTGCTTATCCAAGTACAAACTGAACTCACCTTCATAAAACATACACTCTTGGGTATTGGACAAAGAGTATGCTCAGGTCAGATATCTGGAAAGCAATGAGAACTGTATGTCTATCAGGTTATTTATCTATTAGGTAATTATCAGTCTATCAGTCATCTATTCATGTATTACCCACCTAGAAAATCACAATATATTAGAGTAAATGTGGAGCTACTTTATACAAGTAGGGCCTAGCACAGGATCTGCCATATAGTAGGTGCTTGACAAAATATTTATTGAATGTAGTGCCTCTCAATCTTTTTTTTTTGACTGAGTCTTGCTGTGTCACTCAGGTTAGAGTGCAGTGGTGCAATCTCCTGGGCTCAAGTGATTCCTCCGCCTCAGCCCCTTGGAATAGCTGGACCACAGATACGTGTCACCATGCCCGCCCAGAAACTCTGGCTTATTTTCTGTCTCTTCTTATCCATCAGAAACCTGAATTTAGAATTTGGATGGGAACTCAGAGAATATACAGTTCTGCTTGTAACTCCTTATCTTTACTGTTTTGGTAACAAAAATAGAGAGGATAAGTGATTTATCCAGGATGATCTAATGCTCTTTTCACTACATACCTCTGCCTTTTTAGACTTATTTTAAGTTAAGCTTCTTTTGAATTTTTGTGTCAACTTGAAGAAGCTGCACTATTCTTCACTAGGAAGAGGTAGTATTCTAGTTCTTTTCTATCTTAGCATTTATTTTCTTCGAAAGCAAAATGCTTTGTTCCATTAGGACCCAGAGTCATCCATCTAATCGAAGCCTTACAGAGTGGATTGAGGCATTATTCTTGCTTCTGGCCACAACTTTGGAAATGTGTTGCTGCTCTTTTATTTTTTTATTATCACTATGGGGAAGAAGAGGGCTTTTGGGATTTCATAGCTAGGATTAGGGATGCTTATATATTCTGCAATGCAAAGGACAGTCTCTTACAACAAAGACATATCTCTCTCTCTCTCTTTTTTTTTTTTTTTTTTTTGAGTTAAAGTCTCCCTCTGTCACCCAGGCTGGAGTGCAGTGGCTCAATCTCGGCTCACTGCAACCTCCACCTCCTGGGTTCAAGCGATTCTCCTGCCTCAGCCTCTGAGTAGCTGGGATTACAGGCACCCCCCACCATGCCTGGCTAATTTTTGTATTTTTAGTAGAGACGGGATTTCACCATGTTGGCCAGGCTTGTCTTGAACTCCTGACCTCAAGTGACCCACTTGCCTCTGTGTCCCAAAGTGCTGGGATTACAGGCATGAACCACCATGCCAGGCCAGAAATATCTCACTTGAAAATAATTAATAGAAGGCCACATCCTATCCCACCAAAGAGCTATCTTCTATGTATTTGCACTGGAGTAGGCTTTTATGACTTCAGATAACCTCCAACTGGCTTTATAATGAAAAAAAATGGTGAAAATTGTGAAAGTTGCAGATACCAGGGTGAAATCACTTTTGTCATACTCAGACAAAATAGGACCAGGAAGGCCCTCCCCCAAAAAGGAGGTTCATGCTTACATGTCTGAGATAAGAACTGTTTCCAAGGACTTTCTAAAAACCCTTTCTGTCCTTCATACATCTCCTACTTTGATAGTTTATCATTAGGCATTCTTTAGGCCTGCAGGAATTCAGATAAGATGATCTTGGAAGAACACTTGCCCAGTAATGTCATCTCTACCAAAGAAATGACAATAACTCTGCCTTTGGAAATAAGGAACTGTTTCTAAGCAGTTTATGTAAATATTTTTTGCTAATAATAGCTTCCCTTACCCTACCCAAGCCAAAGGCACTGATGGCTTGCCATTTCATACATTCCAGATTATAATCCTTATTTCTATTTTTGAGTAAACCCAACACAGTTAGAGACAATTTTCTCTTGTGTCTTTTTTTAGGTGGACAAAATATTTTGAAGAGTTTAATTTTATCTAGATTATTCAAAACTAGTTTTCAGTAATAAGGTTAGCTCTTTCTGGAAGACACAGACAGCTCTAGCTAAGGGTGAGGACGAAGGGGCGGATATTCTTCAGGATCTGTTATCATAGGAAGGTCACATTATTTTGAATAAGGATTGGGTTGCGTTTAGAGGAGCATAATGTGAGGTGACCTTGAACTGGTGGGTAAGAAAAATATGAAGATGACTGTTATTACCACTAATTAAATGTTGAGAATGGCTTTATGTTGTCAGAAAGTAAAACATGGATTTACTGACCAGAGTTTGGTCAGAAGTCCATGGATAATTTTGGAACAATGTATTATTTATAGCACTGCGAAGAAGGGACATTTCATTTAAAAAGCCACTATCAAAACTTTTTTGCTATTGACTTCTATTTATTAAATACTTATTTTTGTGCCAAGCACTGTGGTTTACAGAAATTATTTCGTTTGACCCTCTGTTATTTGGTAAATGCAGCTGATAGCAGTAACTTAAGCATACCCTGGGGTTATCCTTTCCAGCCTACCGCCACTGAATTCTCCCCTGTGCATAAGCCCCCAGTAAAACCCCATATCTCATTTGCTAGCTCCGTGTCTTTGTCAGCCTTTTGAACCTGCTGCCATCCCCACTGGAATTGATAGAGGTTTGGCACAACATCTGTCTGCGGAATCTGGCCATTCATTCATGCAGTTATAAGTAATAAGTAGGTAAGTAAAGATTTTTTTGAGCATAGGAGTTACAAGATGTGAGTTATACTTGAGAAAGATTAGCTCTCCCAGGCTGGGCACAGTGGCTCATGCCTGTAATCCCAGCACTTTGGGAGGCTGACGTGGGCAGATCACCTGAGGTCAGGAGTTTGAGACCAGCCTGGCCAACATGGTGAAACCCCGTCTCTACTAAAAATACAAAAATTAGTTGGGTGTGGTGGTGCACGCCTGTAATCCCAGCTACTCAGGAGGCTGAGGCAGGAGAATCGCTCGAGCCGAGGAGGCAGAGGTTGCAGTGAGCCGAAATTGTGCCATTGCACTCTAGCTTGGGTGACAGGGCGAGACTGTGTCAAAAAAAAAAGAAGATTATCTATCCCATATTATGTGGGATAGCTAATTAGATTGATGAGAAACTGGAAGCATTTAGTAGATAATGACTGTAGTTCAGTTGAGACAACAGTCCAGGACATAAACCAGAATAGTGGCAGTGGAGATGGAGAAGAGGGGGTGAATTTGGCTGTTTGGGTGAGATGAATATAATTAAAGGCTAAGTGAGAATAAGTTTATTTTAGATGGTGGGTTTTGGATGTATTGAGTCAAGGCTGTGTCTAATCAACTGGAGACGTTCTCTTTGAATGTAAACTTGTTTGAAATGCTGAGTATAATAGGGCAGGCAAGTTCCTAAGTTTGGTTCATCAGACCTCATTCAGACTTGGCGGTGGTGCTCAGTGGAGACAGTGGTTCTGGCTTAGGATCCTGTCTACCACTTCTCTGTCTAATCTTCAGCAATTTACTTAGCCACACAGGTCCTTAACATTCTCAGCTGAAGGATGTTCATAATGGATAGGATAATACATGTGCCTTGGTTAAAATGAGTGTTCAATAAATGATAATTATTGTTCTTGCTATACTTTATTTGCCTTCTTCATTCTCATTTTCTCATGAATATACAGTGGAGTTTTCCAGTGGCTACATGAGGTGTTACATGATATCACAAAAGATTGAATGCAAGCAGATATGAGAATCCTACTGTCTTCTATTAAGCCAGACATTAAAGAGATTTGCAACAATTTAAACAATGATACTTTTTCTTTTTTTTAGACTAGTCAAATGCTATACTTTTTCATTAAATTTTTTATTGTTGAAAAACAATAATATAAGCAACAGAAAAGATACTGTGTTAACATGTAACTATTATTGTCACTTAAAAACAAATTTATGAATATTTAACTTTTTCTGTTAATTTTTAATACAAAAATATTAATAGATATCACCCACATAAAGAAGCATCTCTGATGTACATAATAATCTTTCAAAGTTGTGAAGGGACCTTGAAATAAAAAAAGTTTGAGAACTGCTGATATAGAGGCATGAGAATGGTAACCAGTAGGGTAGCTTTAACTTCTTAGGATCTAAGCTCCATTAAACTAATTTTAATAAAATTGGTCTCCTTTGTGACAACTGATGAGTTGATGAAGAGTCTGGTAGAGGTGATCTGGAAGGGAATGATAAGGTGGAATTATAGCTGGGGACATGGAGAGAAATGATAGTCTCAGAAGGGGTGGTGTTTTATTTATTTATTATTTATTGAGATGGAGTCTTGCTCTATTGGCCAGGTTGGAGTGCAGTGGTGTGATCTCTGCTCACTGCAACCTCTGCCACCCAGGTTCAAGCATTCTCCTGCCTCAGCCTCCTGAGTAGCTGGGATTACAGGCGTGTGCCACCACATCTGGCGAATTTTTGTGTTTTTAGTAGAGACAGGGTTTCATCATCTTGGCCAGGCTGGTCTTGAACTCCTGATATCGTGATCCACCCCCCTCGGCCTCCCAAAGTGTTGGGATTACAGATGTGAGCCACTGAGCCTAGTGAAAGGGTTGTTTTAGACAAAGCTAGCCTCTCTCTCCATTCAGTTCTTCCCACTGTGTCGTACCACTTCCTAAGAGTGCTTTAGAATGTAGGGTTCTGATAATATAGTCGAAGAGTTTTTGTTTTATAGACATATCATACTTTTGGCATGCAATGGGGACAGTTCCTGGAAAGGGTCTGTTATCTGCAGAAGGCTATTTCACCACTTGAGGCTTTGAAGAACTGAAGATCAGCTGACTTAGTTTAAAACTATTCATGTTCCCAGCAGCTTTAGGATAGCAAACCAACTCTGGGTCATCTTTATTTAAAGCCTCTCTTTAATAACCTGTAGAGAGGGGCTTTTGTTAATTGTGACTAGTTCTTTAAGAGAAAGCGTAACGTGATGGTGTTCCTTTCTCTGTTCTCTCTTTAAAAATGGTTTAAAGAATTTACTGGGGTTGATTGATAACCAGCATTCACAGGTCAAGGCATGGGTCATAATCTATTTTCCAGTCTGCATATGTTGAAAGCGCCTTTGCAAAAAGGCTTTTTGCAAAGCCTTTTATAACTGAGGAAATTATGGCAGTGAATGAGAACAGACCTAACTGGCTCTGTCTTGCTTCTAATCTTTAAGCTGTCCTTGTTCATTCCTGGGCATATGCCAAACTAACTTTGGGAAGGAATCCAGTTCATGTTTTGACTCTGAAACAAAATTGGTAGTAGCCCTTTCCTGAATAGACCCCCTTCTTGCCTGGGGACCAGTCTGCCTTTGCAGGACCAACAAATTAGCTACAAGATTAGAAATTATGGTTTAGGGGTCATGCAGCCTCTGGCTCCAAGAGTCTGAACCTCCCCAAATTGCTCCTGGGGATAACATCACTATTGTAAAACCTAAGATCAGTGCTTGAGATATTTTGCAGAGCCTGGACTCGGTGGATCAGCTGATGCCACACAGACCGGTAATTGGGCTCACCCAGTTCTGCCATCCCACCCAGGAACAGAAGACAGCAAGAAAACCTCACGTCGACCCCCCATGATTCCATCTCCAATCTGACCAATTAGCACTCCCACTTCCCAAGCCCCTACCCGCCAAATTATCTTTAAAAATTCTGATCTCCGAATCCTGGGGAGACTGTGTTGAGTAATAATAGAACTCCGGGCTGGGCGCGGTGGCTTATGCCTGTAATCTCAGCACTTTGGGAGGCTGAGGCAGGTGGAATCACTTGAGGTCAGGAGTTCCAAACTAGCCTGGCCAACATGGTGAAACCCTGTCTCTGCTAAAATACAAAAATTAGCCGGGCGTGGTGGCGGGCGCCTGTAGTCCCAGCTACTGGGGAGGCTGAGGCAGGAGAATCGCTTGAACCTAGGACGGGGAGGCTGCAGTGAGCCGAGATCATGCCACCGCACTCCAGCCTGGGCCACAGACAGAGACTCCGTCTCAAAACAAAACAAAACAAAACAAACAAACAAACAAAACAAAAAACTCCGGTCTCCTGCACAGCCAGCTCTGCGTGAATTACTCTTTCTCCATTGCGATTCCCCTGTCTTGATAAATCGGCTCTGTCTAGACAGCGGGCAAGGTGAACCCACTGGGCAATTACAATGTCACTCAAGGTCTGAAATGGAATGTTTAATATTTTCAATTACATTAAAGAGAAGAAAAAAAGTAAAAAACAGGAAAACAAAAAACAAAATAAAAACAAAGATTGTTAAAAATTCAATTACATTGTCTTTTCCTAGCCCTAAAATTTTTCTTTTGCAAAAGAGTCTTGTGAAACAGATTAAAGGCTTAAAAAGAAACAAAACTCCTAAATTTCAGGGGTAATTTGCAAAATAAAAGATTTCTTTTGCATTATATCATTCACACTGCAGAAAGGTTTCGGTTCTATGCAATCTGATCTTTTTCCACTTTTTAAAAGTTAATTTGCTTTTACTTAGCACTATTATAGAACAGGTATTTTCAAATAGTTTTGCAATTAAACACAAAAACTATAATTTTTGTGGCGAAGTAGGTACTAGTTGGCAAACACTGTTCCTTAGTGTAAAACAGAATTCTAAGTTTTCAGAAATGGAGTCCTAAAACTAGCACTGGTCTTGCAAATCAAGTTCTGCAGCTTAGTTTGGGAAAGGTTCCCTTTTGGCTCAAGGCTTAACTGGCTCCACCCAGCTGCTGAAATGTGATACAAGTTGTAACAAAACCGGAAGTTGGTTAGGCTGCCTTCGCTTCTCAAGGTAAGTGTCACGTCTTTTTCCTTAATGTCAAAGCTCTTTGTAAAGCGTTAAAAATCAAATCCAGCTTAGCGACAGACTGGAGAGCGAGTGCCTGTGCTGACCAGGGCAGTCGGCCAGGCAGAACGGGTGCTGTATTCCGAAACTATGTTCTGGAGCTTGAATTGAGCTAATGAGTGTTCACTAACGAGTTAGGTTAATATGTCCTGTGACTTTGACTAACAAGCTTTAATTCCAAGATATGGGTGGTTATAAGTAGAGACGTGTTTGGGATCCTGAAAATCATTGACTTTATTCTTGCAGGAGTTTTTTTTTTGTTTTTAATTTTAAATTTAAAACTGTAGGAACTCTTTTTTTATATTTAAAGCTAGTGGCATGGTTACCTATATCAGGGTCACTTAGAACCTTATTTGGTTTTTAAAGTGGCTTTTTATCTAGAACTTTTAGTCCCCTTACCCTCCCACTCCCTAGCCCTGGTGTGTCGTTAAAATTTCAGAAAGACTCCAGGGTGGCAAGGTGTTATCACTGCACTTATTTTTGTGTGTGCTTGTCATACTGCCCTAAAGGGTAAAGGGGATTTTTCAAATTGTAAATGTGTTATTAGGAATATTTCTTAACATAGCTAAACTTTTCAGTTCAGATATTTTCATTTGCTTCTGTATTTTTATTTTTTATTTTTATTTATTTATTTATTCATTTATTTTTGAGACGGAGTCTCGCTCTGTCCGCCAGGCTGGAGTGCAGTGGCGCGATCTCGGCTCACTGCAAGCTCCGCCTCCCGGGTTCAAGCGATTCTTCTGCTTCAGCCTCCTGAGTATACTGCTGGGATTACAGGCGCCCGCCACCACGCCCGGCTAATTTTTTGTATTTTTAGTAGAGACGGGGTTTCACTGTGTTGGCAAGGATGGTCTCTATCTCCTGACCTCGTGATATGCCCGCCTCCGCCTCCCAAAGTGCTGGGATTACAGGCTTGAGCCACCGCGTCTGGCCTATTTATTTATTATTTTCGAGACGGAGTGTTGCTCTTGTGGCCCAGGCTGGAGTGCAACGGCGGGATTTCGGCTCACTGCAACCTCTGCCTCCCGGGTTCAAGCAATTCTCCTGCCTCAGCCTCCTGAGTAGCTGGGATTACAGGCAGGCACCACCACACCCGGCTAATTTTGTATTTTTAGTAGAAACGGGGTTTCTCCATGTTGGTCAGTCTGGTTTCGAACTCCCAGCGTCAGGTCATCTGCCTGCCTCGGCCTCCCAAAGTGCTGGGATTACAGGCGTGAGCCACCGCGCCCAGCCACTTCTGTATTTTTAAAAAAGTGGTAAGATTTGAGTATTATACTGGGATAGAACTGAAGTTGGGGGCTTAATTTGATCTATCAGCTTATTGAAAACAAAGACCTTTTAAGAGATGGTTTTGTTAGGTTGGAGAAGTGAGTTTTAGTTCGTCATTTAGTTAGCCAGTATGTTGATTTTTTTGGTGAAGTGTACTCTCTGTTTCACACCTGTCAGCTTTTTTAATATTGGATTTTCTCAAAATTCACATAACAATCACACTGTATGAGTACTGTTTTGAAGGTTGTCTGCTAGTCAGAATGAATGGAGATCAATGTGTAGGACACCTTTACTGATATCCAGAGGTTTACCAAAAGACAAGTCACCAAATGTGGCAGAAAAACATGATAAAATTTATTAGGAAAAACTAAAGCTTATGGAGTGAACAGTTATTTCAGGTTGGTGGAATTAGGCAAGAATCCAAGAAAGGAAGACAGTTTTATATGGGAGACTTTGTTAATGGTGGTCATTGTGCTAGATATTTTGGAGATAGTATTTTATTTAATCCTCATGCAAGCCATTGATATTGGTGGCATTGTCTCTAACAAGTGAGAAAACTAAGACTCAGTAAGGTTAAATAATTTGTCCAGGGTCACTATGGTGGTGCCTGCTGGATTACATTAATGGACAGATTCAAACCTAGGTCTGTGATATTTCAAAGTCCATACACTTCATTGTATCATAGGACAGTAGTTGACGGCGTTTTAAATGGATCTTGAAAGAGGGGTGAAGGTCTTCTTTATCAAAACAAACAAAAATAGTAAAAGTAACATAGAATGTTTGAAAATAGAAAAAAGAAAATATCTAACCACCTTCAAATCAGTTTCTGTACAGTCTTACATGTACATACTTTGTAGTGTTTTTTGAAATTATAAAACACTACATGCTTTAAAAAAAATGCACATTATAAAGGGCATTAAAGAAAGGAAGCCCACTCTTCCCATCCTGAAAACACATACCTTCCTAAGGGGTAAACACTGTTGAGAACAATTGGAAGCATGTATAAAGGTTTTTTTCTTTTCCTTTTAAGTTATGTATATTTTGGTACATTCCATATCATTTTGCAGTTTTCTTGTTTTGATTCCTCAGTGGAGCATGAGCATGTATCTTCTTAACATGCAGATTCATGTCTTGGGATTTTTGTGAAATGAGTTCATACTTGCAAAGTACTTAAAACAATGCCTACCTCCTAGAATGCACTCAATAATTATTAGCTGATGTATTTGTTATCTGTTTACTCTATTTCATTTTGTTAACGTTTAGCAAGTATTATATAGTTTGGGTATAGCGTAGTTTATTTTTGTAACCACTTAAATTATCCAACATTTTTGCTACTGGAAATAATCCTTGCTTAACTGTATGGGTTTTTCTGTAAGATATATTTCTTTTCTTTTCATTCTTTTTTTTTTTTTTTTGAGACAGAGTTTCACTCTTGTTGCCCAGGCTGGAGTGCAATGGTGCCATCTCGGCTCACCTCAACCTCTGCCTCCAGGGTTCAAGCGATTCTTCTGCCTCAGCCTCCCGAGTAGCTGGGATTACAGGCATGCACCCCCAAGCCCGGCTACTTTTGTATTTTTAGTAGAGAAGGGGTTTCTCCATGTTGGTCAGGCTGGTCTCGAACTTCTAACCTTAGGTGATCTGCCCGCCTGGGCCTCCCAAAGTGCTGGGATTACAGGTGTCAGCCACTGCGCCCGAACTGTAAGATACATTTCTAGAAATGAAATTTCCAGGTCAGAGGATAAACATTTTTAATTTACTAAGATATTGTTAACATCTAAAAATGTGACAGTTTACCATTGTCCCTGTGTATGAGAGTGCTCGTTTCTTCACATCCTTGCTTATATCAGATATTATTACTCTTTTGCATATTACATGAAATAATGGGGAATACACAGTTCTACCTAGTTTGAGCATAGTGTACAGAGATTATTGTATCTTATTTTTCAGTGTAACATTTATTTTTATATGGACAGGAATTTAACCAAATTCCTGTCCATATAAAAATAGGGGGTCCCATTTAGGGGAAAAATAGGGGTCCCATTTAGAAGGCAAAACTTCAGGAGAAAAAGAAGCTTATTCCTGGAATAGCAGATGGCACATTGTTATTACAGTATAGGGAAAAAAAATTCTTGAAATTTTGGTTGTGTAGAAAAGTATAAAATATTAAATGTCGAGTGCCTTTGCTTCTTAATCTAATAATTCTTGGGAAGCTGCTGAGTGTTTTGCGGGGAGAGGAGAGGTATAATGAGAATTGTACCTTAGGAAAATAATCCTGTGTTGAGGAGATACAGAAACAGGGAGACCAGTTGAAAGTGTTTTATTAATCTGAGTGAAGGTAATGAAGTCTTCATGCTTGGAGGTGGTGGCAGAAAGGAAAACACTAGACAAATGTAATAGAATGGAAAGTAGAAGAGAGTTGCAAGAGGGATAGGTAGAGTGCAGAATTGGTGGAGGTAGAATCTGCAGAGCTTGTGTGGAAGTTGGGGACCAAAAGAGTGTTTGGAATCCAATCCTGAGAGTTCGGGGTTTGAAATCCTGCTGATGAGAAATGTGTTGACAGACCACCATCAGATTAGGAAAGTGAGGTTCAAAAACTAGTCTGGAGGAAAATATGAATTTCACTTCAGACAAATTGAGTTTTTTGTTATCTAAACAGAAGTCCATACCCAGTTGGAAATCTGTGTCACAGCATTGTAGAGCTGTGGGGTGGAGCAATTGAAAGATTTAAGAAATACTATCCTAGAGGTTATAATTGAGGCTGTGGAAGTGATGATCCTACAGAGAAACAGGGCAAAAAAAAAAAAGGGAAAAAAAAAGAAAGAAAGAAAAGCCAAGAGAAAAAGTCTTGGAGAAGGATATTTTCATGAAAGAGACGTAAAAGAGGAACCAGACTTAATTAAAATATTTTTACAATGACTATTTCTGACATTTGATTTTGATTCTAGTTAGACTTCCTTACTGCCTCCAAAAAATGTGGTGGAAAAACATGATAAACTTTATTAGGAAAAACTAACGCTTATGGAGTTTCTGTGGAGAGAGCAGTCCCCCCAAAAGTCCATTCTCACTTTTTTATTTCTACCTTTGATTCTCCCATTGCTCCAATTCAAATCATGCTCATTCAGAATCCCTCTTTTTCCATAATGCCTTATTTACTTACTGTGTCAGCCTTAAGGGTCTGATTTGAAGCTATGGATAGTTTGGTGATCAAAACCTCACAAAGTAGGCCAGAGACCATACTTTTCACCTCTCATTTTCTGTAACTTTGGCAAGTGTCTTAATCAGTGCCCTATTTTACATATGGGGACAATAGTACCTCCCATAGTTCCCTAGGTTGTTCTGAGGAATGCATACTAAGTCCTTGACATGATGTGTTGTAAGCCCTTAGTAATTGTTAACTCTTCTACTATTATTTCTTCCATACCTCTAAATTACTATAGCGAAATGCAGTTTTAAAATTTCTGTCCCTGTGTGATCTTAGGCACTATTTTTTTTTTTATAAGCTCTGTGAGCTTCAGTTTCCATACCAGTAAAAACAACAACAGAAAAAACCCTTGTATGTTTCTTCCAAGGATTAGCATTCATACATGTAAAGCAGGACTGTGATGACTGGAATAGAGCAGGCACTTAATAAATAGTAACATTATTCAATTATAGGTTAATAGTATTTACTATTGTTTTATCTATTAGTTTTGGGTCTTTAGAGAAGGGGCCATTCCACTTAGCACTGAATTTTGTTTTAAGGAAAGAATTATTGTGAGGGCTACATGGAGTGATCCAAATGAAACCTGTATATCATGTAATAAGATATTTGTTTCCAATCATTTTTCCAGAAAATGAATAAAGAAAATGGAAAAATTGGTCAGGTGAGGTGGCTTGCGTCTGTAATCCTAAGACTTTGGGAGGCCAAGCGGGAGGATTGGTTGAGCTCAGGAGATCAAGACCAGCCTGGGTAATATAGTCAGACCCTGTCTCTACAAAAAAATTAAAAAATTAGCTGGGCATGGTGGTATGCACCTGTGGTCCCAGCTACTTGGGAGGGTGAGGTGGGAGGATTGCTTGAGTCTGATACGTGGAGGTTGTAGTGAGCCGAGATTGCACCACTGCTCTCCATCCTGGGCGCCAGAGTGAGATGAGACCCTTCCCCCACCCCCCCAAAACAAAATTAAAAAGAAAATTGAAAGATTACTTGCTGATGGTGCTGTGATTAGAGAAACTAGGATTAGATTGTAGAGTTTCAAATTACTTTGTTTTCCCAGTGTTTTTTTCTTCCTTTCCCCTTACTTTGTCTTACTTTCACTCAAACTCTAAAATCTTTTTCAGAAGTCTTTCCTACTGGCCAGGCGCATTGGCTCATGCCTATAATCCAGCACTTTGGGAGGCCGAGGCAGGTGTATCACCTG
Source organism: Homo sapiens (assembly GCF_000001405.40). Lineage (NCBI taxonomy): Eukaryota > Metazoa > Chordata > Mammalia > Primates > Hominidae > Homo > Homo sapiens. The sequence goes on along the minus strand of NC_000001.11, from coordinate 99,760,883 downwards.
AGGTCAGGAGTTCAAGACCAGCCTGGCCAACATGGTGAAACCCCCGTCTATACCAAAAATACAAAAATTAGCCAGGCATGGTGGCAGGTGCCTGTAATCCCAGCTACTTGGGAGGCTGAGGCAGGAGAATCGCTTGAACCCAGGAAGCGGAGGTTGCAGTGAGCTAAGATCACACCATGGTACTCCAGCCTGGGCGACAGAGCGAGACTCCATCTCAAAAAAAAAGAAGTCTTTCCTACCATCTTAAGTTGTCAGATCTGACAGATCTTAAATTGGTATTGAATGTGCCACTTTTATGCTCTTTGTTTTTTAGAACCTTCTCTGAAAATGTCATAACTCTGATTGTTAATTTAAAAAAATCATTTTTTTCTTCACTTCCTTCTGTGAAAATGGAGTCTGAAACATTTTTATCTGGGGAAGTGGAAATACTTGACCTATTTTTCAATTTCCCTATAATTTGAGTTTCAGCTATCAAAGTCAACTTAGTTTTTGGCATAGAAGTTTTCTATGAAGGTAAAATTAAATTACTAGAAAGAAAAGGAGCACATTTTCTGAAATATTTTACGTTTGAACAAATTAAATACAAATGCAAGAAACATGCAAAAATCTCAGTTTATCTAAGCCCAATAGTGTTCAGAAGAAATTAGCACATATTGAGGAGATGGAAAGTTAATAGTGATATTATAAATAGTGGCAATTACCACTTACTGACAACTTGCTGTTTTCAGGCATCTATGGATTTTTACATTCATTCTTTCTGGAGTTTTAGTTCTATGAAATAAATCTCTACATTGCTATTCAGTCTCTTATAAAGCAGATTTAACATTCTGAATTAGGTAGGCGAACTTAGATTTCAACCTTTGTCCCAATAGCTCCCCACTCACTTTGTTTGTCCCTGTGAAATGTTGATCCTTGCTGGACCTGTTTACTTTTCACCTTCTCTCTAAACAGGGAACAGTGATGAACAGTGAAAAGAACATGGCTATTGCAGTTAGATTTTGGTTCAAATCCTAAAAGTATGTGTGATTTAGGGTATATTCCTTAACCTCAGTTTCCTCATCTCTAATAAGAAGATAAATCTGCTGCTTATAAGGATTCCATCAGACGTGGTTTCTAACTGCCGGGTCATCACTGAGTGTTCATTTCTTTTCGTCTTTCTCTATGTCTCCTTTCCTTTGACTCTACAGTAAAACTACAATCCTTTTCTTTCCCTTTGTCCACAAAATTTTATTGCTGTCTTTATATATCTTGTGCTTAGTCTTAACTTGCTGACTCTGTCAATCTCCTTATCCTTCTGTGGTTTTACCTATTTTTCTAAAAGTCTTCCTACCTAACTCTGCTACTCAGCAGGTGAACACCTATTTCCACCTCTATCCCCAGTCTAGGTTTTTGGTGACAATGCTAAGCCCACCAGGTTTGCCCCAAATCCTAGATGAAATGCTGAGCTAAGAAATGTACACTGTCCCCAGATTACTGGAGGAACCCGCCCCCAATATTTCAACATAGGTTCTTTCTATTTTCAGTAAGTGTCAGCTGGCTGAGAAATAAAGAGAGACAGTTTAAAGACAGGAATTTTACAGCTGGGCTGCTGGGGGTGACATCACATATCTGTAGGACCCTGATGCCCCCTGAGCCTCAAAACCAGCAAGTTTTTATTAAGGGTTTCAAAAGGGGAGGGGGTGTAAGAACAGGGAGTAGGCACAAAGATCACACGCTTCAAAGGGCAAAAAGCAGAACTACTAATAAGGGTCTAACAAAGATCACATGCTTCTGAGGGAACAGGACAAAGGGCAAAAGCAGAACTACTGATAAGGGTCTATGTTCAGCCGTGCAGGTATTGTCTTGATAAACATCTTAAACAACAGAAAACAGGGTTCGAGAGTAGAGAACTGGTCTGACCACAAATTTACCAGGGCAGAGTTTTGCCCCAACCTAGTAATTCTGAGGGTACTGCAGGAGACCAGGGCGTATCTCAGTCCTTATCTCAACCCCATAAGACAGACATTCCCAGAGCGGCCATTTATAGGCCTCCCCCCAGGAGTGCATTCCTTTCCCAGGGTATTAATATTAATATTCCTTGCTAGGAAAAGAATTTAGCGATATCTTCCCTACTTGCACATCTGTTTATAGGTTCTCTGCAAGAAGAAAAATATGGCTTTTTTTGCCCAACCCCGCAGGCAGTCAGACCTTATGTTTGTCTTCCCTTGTTCCCTAAAAATCAGTTATTCTGTTCTTTTTCAAGGAGCACTGATTTCATACTGTTCAAACACACATGTTTTACAGTCAATTTGTACAGTTAACACAGTTATCACAGTGGTCCTGAGATGACGTACATCCTCAGCTTATGAAGCTAACAGGATTAAGAGATTAAAGACAGGAGTAAGAAATTATAAAAGTATTATTTGGGAACTGATAAATGCCCATATTAAAATGAAATCTTCACAATTTATGTTCCTCTGCCATGGCTCCAGCTGGTCCCTCCATTCAGTGTCCCTGACTTCCTGCAACACCAGATTAGTTTCTAACTCAGTTTGGAATTTCAATTTCATTTTCTAATAGAAGCAATATGTGAAAGAAAAACCTAAACTCGACCTCAATTCATTATTAAAATTAAGCTGAAAGCTGAGTCATGCAAGCAACTGCATTTCCTTTTGTTTCAAAGCAGAGAGCTACAGATAAAAGGTTAGATATCTCCACAGGTAGCTACTGTATGTTCACCTTATCTTATGTAAAGTGCCAGCTTACTGAGCATAAGCCAATGCATACTTGACTATTCCCCTACCTGCTCATTTTGTCTTGGAACATCTGAATGACAAGTTCCTCTTTCCCCTCCAGCCCACTTTTCCCCTTTAGATACTGAAGCCCTCAAAGTCATCTTGGGAGAAAGGCACAGACAATAGACTGTTTTTGTGATTCTGTGTTTTTTTTTTTTTCCTCCCAGGCATTCTCCTTAGCCTGGCAAAATAAATTTCTAAGTTGATTAAAACCTGTCATAGATACTTTTTGGTTTCCAAATATTATAAATGGTGGTTCTATTTTCAGGCCAAAAGCCTAGAAATAAAAGCATGTTTAAGACATAAATTAATTAAAATATATTGCACTTGTGCCAAAATAAAAGAAAATAATGCCATTGTAATTCTCATAATAAAATAAAATGAAAACAATATTTAGTAGGAAGTGGCTATTTACCTTAAACATTGTAGAATGTACTTGATGGAAGAAAAAAACAAAAATGCAACCAATGGAAATTCTGAAAGGAGCTTCCAAGTGACTTAAGGATTACTGCGTTTTTATATTATGGGTAGTTAAACAACAACCTTTCTCATACAGAAGATTACTGTGAGAATGCTAATTTATTTGCCATATTTATACTTTTTGTTCAGGCTCACAAATGGAATGAAGTGAGAATAAGGCAAAATCCAGCTTCTATCTCCAAAAATTTTCCCTGTTGCTTAGCCTGTTTGTTCCTTTGATTCTGAGAACTTTTCTTTTTTACTGAAATTCTTGATACTCTTAATTTAGAATTTGATTCAAGGCTGAAACTTAATGGTCCATGCATGCCATAAAGTAATGTTCATCAGACTGCAGGTTAAGATCCATTGGTAGATCGTAAAATAATGCAGTAGGGTGTAACCAGCATAAAACAAAAAAAGGAAGAAATAGGAAACATACACATCTATAACATGTAGTAAAGGTAAATAATGTTTCATGAAATGTTTGTTGGGTTATAATGTAAAAATATTTCTTACTTTGGATGTAGTAAACGAAAATTAAAACCACTATATATTGCAAAAAAAAAAAAAGAGACCCTTTTCCAAATTATGTAGATATTTTATAGTGAACTATTTTGGCTAAGTTTTTGCTTTTTTGCATCTCAGTCTTCATAATTAAGAATTCCTTGTTGCCTCATACCTATGCATTAATTAAGACTCTCGGTACCTGCTTCACTCATATCTTAGGTAATGTAGAGTGGGTGTAACTGGGCTGAGTTCCCACAATTTTTTTGTGTGCATGTCAACTTTTGAACTCCTTTGATACTTTAATTTAAAATAAATGACTAACAAGAGCTAGAACTTGAATGCAATATAACTAGACATGATTCACTGTTTGCTAGCTTAATCATCTGACATGGTTTAAAAAGATTGTTTTCCTTCTTTTTTCTTATTCTCACATGTTCTTAGAGTTGCACAATACTAAGACGTTTAATGACCGATTTATTTTAAAAAGTCTTTTGTTAACACATACTCCTTTTTCCAATGACTTTCTTACATCTAAATATTTTTGATTGAATTCTAGTTTTGTCTGAATTTTTACTTTGTAATAAATATATTCTCTTTATTAACATCACTTGCTTCTGTGGCCCACAATCAAATAATAATTACATTTTCATTTAAGTACAAGAATTTTGTATTTACATAATGAAGAATATACTTGCTTTGAGGTTTTATCTTTATGTGAGATATATGTAGAACATGGTGTTAGCAGTCATCATACCCTTTTACTAAGCACTTGTCTTTCAGGTAAGAAAGAAAACTGTACAAATCTCATCAGGTTTGGGAATATTTTAGTTACAGAATCAGGATAACTGCTCTTTTGGTTTTTTAAAATAGTAAATCTCTCTGTCTTGGGTGGACAAAATAAATCTTTTTTGTTTTATCGTCTATTTTGTATAGACAACAGAATGGGAATATTAATTTAAGAAAATCATGCATAATTGATAGGAGTCCTTTCTGTGCTTAAAGGGTGATTTCATAATGTAATAGCTTATTGTTGACAGTCGATAATTTTAACTTAAATGTTTCCATGACTAACTCCTATTCTGTCATAATTATGTGATCTGTTAATATAGGTTGGCTAATGAATTTATGTATTAGTTTGAAAAAAAGTTGTACCTTAAAACATTAACTAGAAAACCATAATTAGCTATTATAATGAAAATTGAACTTTACCTTGAACAGTCAGCATTTGACAGAGGACAAAGAAGTTGCCATTGTACAGGTTCCTCTCTGACCTTGTTATATTTTCCTAATCGATGATGGGTGGTGGTGTCTTAGTCACTTCCCTTTCTTGTCTTATACTTCTTGCTCAAATAATTCCCAATATGCTTTTCCACTTTGCTTTTCTAAAATCGTAAAATTTTAGAATTGAAGGTGGCCTTGAATGTCTTCTGGTTCACTTGGTGTATTTTGCAACTGATGAAACAGATTTAGTGACTTGGTTGATGCTGTTCAGCTGTTTAGTGCACAGCAGAGACTGGATATCAAGTTTTGTTTCCATTTTCACTGACAGAAAGTTAGTGCCAAATAAATATTTGTTAAACTGAAGTAACTATTTTCACTATACCATTCTTTAGGTAAGTGGCACATGACTACATTTAATCTTCTTAATAATGGCGAAGTCGATTAAATAGTGATCTTCCTTCCCTTCCTTCCCTCTCTCCGTCTGTCCCTCCCTCCCTTTCTCTCTCTCCCCCTCCGACCCCAGGCTGGAGTGCAGTGTCACAATCATAGCTCACTGCAGCTTTGACCTCTTGGATTCAAGGAGCCCATCTTCCACCTCGGCCTCTTGAGTAGCTGAGACTACAGGCATGCCACTGTGCCTGGCTAATTTTTTTTTTTTTAAATTTTTGGAGAGACAGGGTCTCACTTGTTGCCCAGGCTGGTCTTGAACTCCTGGCTTCAAGTAATTCTCCGGCTTTAGTCTCCCAAAGTGTTGGGATTATAGGTGTGAACTACTGCACTTGGCTGCAGTTATTTCCTTAAATATTCTGTTTCCTATAATAATCAACCATATTATTATTATTATTATTTTCTCCATGGAGAAATCTTAAGCTCCTTTTATGTTGTAGATATTTTTCAGAAGCTCTTGGTTGGTTCATTTGTTTCTTTCACTCCTCCTTAAATGAAAAGAATTCTCCCCAGCTTTCATGTTTGATAAATAGTGGGGTATATGGTACTGTTGGACCCTATGCTGTTTACTCAGTAGCTCCTGGCATTAGGTGCAGGGCTGGTTAAAGTGTATATTTCCCAGCACAATATCTGGCGTTTAACAGGAATTCCTGTAGTTTAATTTAGTGAGGGATTTGTTTACGTAACTATATATGTGTTTAATGCTGTAAATTTCCCGTTAAGCACTGCTTTTGCGGCATCCCACGAATTTATTCTCTTAAATTTATTAAGTTGTATCTTATGGCCCAGAATGTAGTCTATCTTGGTGAACATTCCATGTGAGCTTGAGAGGAACGTGTATTCTGTTGTTGGATGAAATAGTCTATGGATATCCATTATATCCAGTTGACTGATGTTGTTGAATTCACCCATGTCCTTAATGATTTTCTGCCTTCTGGATCTGTGCATTTCTCTCTCTCTCTCTCTCTTTCTCTCTCTCTCTCTCTCTTTGAGACAAGGTCTCACTCTCTGTTGCTCAGGCAGGAGTGCAGGGGTGTGGTGTGACCATAGCTAATTGCAACCTTGAACTCCTGTGTTCAAGTCATCCTCCCTCCTAAGCCTCTTGAGTAGCTGAGACTACTTGTGTAGTCCACTGCACCCAACTATTTATTTACTTACTTATTTTTTGTTTGTTTTTACAGACAGTCTCATTATGTTGCCTAGGCTGGTCTCGAATTCCTGGCCTCATGTGATCTTCCCGCCTTGGCCTAACAAAGTGCTGGGATTATAGGCATGAGCCATGGTACCCAGCCTGGATCTGTCCATTTCTGATAGTGGATTCATCTATTTCTCCATTTAGTTCTAATAGTTTTTGCCTCACTTATTTTGATGCTCTATTGCATTGTTATGTCTTCTTGGAGAATTAACCCTTTTATTATTAGGTAAAGCTCTCTTTATCTCTGATAACTTTCCTTGGTTTGAAGTCTACTGTCTGAAATTAACGTAGCTACTCCTGCTTTCTTTAAATTAGTGTTAATGTAGTATATCTTTCTCTATGCATTTACTTTTAATCTATATGTGTCTTTATATTTAAAGTGGGTGTCCTGTAGAAAACACATAATAGGGTCTGTTTCCTGATCCACTTTGACAATCTGTCTTTTAATTGCTACATTTAGACAACTGACATTTAAAGTGATTAGTGATATAGAGGGACAGCTTGTTTTTTTTTTGGAGTCTTGCTCTGTTGCCCAGGCTGGAGTGTAGTGGCGTGATCACAGCTCACTGCAAGCTCTGCCTCCTGGGTTCACGCCATTCTCTTGCCTCAGCCTCCTGAGTAGTTGGAACTACAGGTGCCCACCCGCAATGCCCAGCTAATTTTTTTTGTATTTTTTTAGTAGAGATGGGGTTTCACCATGTTAGCCAGGATGGTCTTGATCTCTTGACCTCGTGATCCACCCGCCTCAGCCTCCCGAAGTGTTGGGATTATAGGTGTGAGCCACCGCGCCCGGCCAGGGATAGCTTGTTTTATGGCACTTCACTTTGTTGTGCTTTGCAGATAGTGTGTTTTTTACAAATCGAATGTTTGTCTTTTTAAAAAAAATCAAATTATAAAAAAATTTATAAAATTATTAAAAAAAGAAAAAGACAGGGTCTTGTTATGTTGCCCAGGCTGGTTTCAAACTCCTGGGCTCAAGCAATCTTCCTGCCCTTCCCTCCCAAAGTGCTGGGATTACAGGCATGAGCCACCGCACCCAGCCTTTTTTTTTTTTTTTTTTTTAAATCGAGACAGAGGTCTTGCTTTATTATCCAGGCTGGAGTGCAGTGGTGTGATTGTAGCTCACTGCCACCTTGAATTCTTGGGCTCAATGGATCCTCCTGCCTCAGCCTCTTAAGTAGCTGGGGTCATAGGCACGTGCCACCACAGCCAGCTAATTTTTTCATTTTTTGTAGACATGAGAGCTCACCATGTTGCCCAGGCTGGTCTTGAACTCCTGAACTCAAGGGATCCTTCATCCTCAGCCTCTCAAAGTGTTGGGATAATAGGGTTGAGGTTCCCTTGAGCCCAGGGTTTGGAGACCAGCCCCCTTGTCCTGTTCCTGGCTACAAATTGAAGGCTTGTGGCAACTCCTCATTGAGCAAGTCTGTTGGCACCATTTTTCCAACAGCATGTGCTCACTTTGTGTCTCTATGTCACATTTTGGTAAATTTCTATTTTATTATTTGTTATTTGTTATTTTTAATTAAAAAATAGAGATGGGGGTCTCATTATATTGCCCAGGCTGGTCTTGAACTACTGGGCTCAAGTGATCCTCCCAACTTGGCCTCCCAAAATGCGGGGATTACAGGTGTGAGCCACCACGCTTGGCCACACTTTTGCAAGTTTCTAAACTTTTTCATTATATCTGTTATGGTGATCTGTGATCAGTGATCTTTGATGTTTCTATTGTTTTGGAGAGACACAAACTGCACCCGTATAAGATGGCAAACTTAATTGATAACTGTGTATGTTCTGACTGCTCTACCAACTGGCTATTCTCCAATCTCTCTCCTTCTCCTCAGGCCTCCCTATTCCCTGAGGCACAACAATATTGAAATTGGGCCATTTAAGAACCCTATAATGGCCTGTAAGTGTTCAAGTGAAAGGAAGAGTCATATATCTTTCACTTTCAATAAAAAGCTAGAAATGATTAAGCTTAGTGAGGAAGGCATGCCAAAAGCCAAGAGTGGCTGAAAGTCAGGCCTCTTGTTCCAGTCAGCCAAGTTGTAAATGCAAAGAGAAAGTTCTTGAACAAAATGGTTACTCCAGTGAACATATGAATGATAAGAAGGCAAAACAGCCTTATTGTTGATATGGAGAAAGTTTTAGTGGTCTGGATAGAAGATCAAACCAACCACAACATTTCCTTAAGCCAAAGTCTAATCCAGAGCAAGGTCCTACCTTTGTTTAATTCTATGAAGGCTGAGAGAGGTAGGTCCCTAAGAGAGAGGTCCCTGCTCTATCTCACCATCCCTTATATCTTGTCATTTATTTTGCTGATATAGAAGCATACGAAAGTAAGCATATATAAACATATAAAAATAATTATATGTATTATTATTTTGAACAAACTTTCATGTTAGACTAAGTGGAAGAAAAACATTTTTACTTTACCTTCACTTATTTCTTTTCCAATGCTCTCCTTTCTTTATGTAGATCTGAATTTCTGACCTTTATTGTTTTTCTTTTCTCTTAGGAATTTCTTTTCACTTTTCTTGCAAGATAGGTTTTACCAGCAACACATTCCCTCAATTTTTGTTTGTCTGAGAAAGTCTTCCTATTTCTTCTTCACTTTTGAGAGATAATCTTTTGGGGTATAGAATTCTATGGTGCCACCTTTTCCTCTCAACACTTTAAATATTTCACTCTACTCTCTTCTTGCTTGTGTGGTTTCTGAGCAAAAGTCAGATATAGTTCTCATCTTTGTTCCTTTCTTTTTCCTCTGGCTTCTTTCAGGATTTAAAAAAACACTTAGATTTCTGTAGTTTGAAAATGATATGCCATATTAATCAGGGTTTTCCACAGTTACAGATTAAAATAAGATTTTATTTATATTTATTATAGATATTTATTATGGAAATTGACTTGTGATTCTGAAAGCCCACAAGTCTCAAAATCTGTTGTCTACAAGTTGGAGAACTAGGAAAGCTGCTGGAGTAGTTCAGTGTAAGCCTAAAGGCCTAAGAACCGGGGGAACCCATAGCGCACCTCCTGTTCAGGTCTGAGGGCCTTGGGTTGGGGAAAGGATTGCTGGTGTAAGTCCTGTGGTTTTAAGGCCCCAGGACCAGGAACCTTGATGTCTGAGGGCAAGAGAAGAGGGATGTCTCAGATCAAGAAGAGAGAGTAATTCCCTCTTCCTCTGCTTTTTTATTCTATTTAGGGCCTCAGAGGATTAGATGATACCTACCCACTTTGGTGAGGTGATCTTTTTACTCAGTTTCCTGACTGGGATGCTAACCTCTTTTAGAAATACATTCATAGACACTTCCAGAAATAATATTTTATCAGCTATCAGAACATCCCTCAGCCCAGTCAAGTTGACATATAAATTAACCATCATATATACCTAGATGTAGTTTTTTATTTATTATTTATTTATTTATCCTACTTGGTATTGTGTGTCTGATAATAGTTTGGGGGAAATTCTCAGTCATAATTTTTTCAAATAATTCTTCTGTTTCCTTCCCTCTTCTCCTTCTGGAATTCCGATTCCACATTTGTTGTACCTTTTGTAGTTCCACAGTTCTTGGATCTGTTCTCTTTTTCAGTCTTTTTTTTTTTCTTTTCAGTTTGATATTTTTCTATTGAGATATCTTCGGGCTAAGAGATTCTTATCTCAGATATGTCCAGTCTACCCACAAGCCCATACTTCACTTCTTTTAAAGTGTTTTTGATCTCTAGCATTTCTTTTTGGTTCTGAGAATTTCCATCTCTGTGCATTTGTTCTTGCATGCCATCTACTTTATCCATTGGAGCATTTAGCATCTTAATCATAATGTTTTAAATTCCTGGTCTAATAATTCCAACATCTCCATCATACCTAAGTCTGGTTCTGAGGCTTGCTCTATTTCTTCAAATTGTGTTCTCTGCCTTTCAGTATGCCTTGTAATTTGTTCTTAATAACTGGACATGATGCAGTGGGTAAAAGGAACTGCTGTAAATAGGCCTTTAATAATGTGGTGGTAAGGAGAGGGAGGAGGAGAACTGTTCTGTAGTCCTGTGAGTAGACCTCAGTATTTTAGTGAGCTTATGCCCCTGGAGTGTGAACTTCACAACCGCTTCAAGGTTCTTCCCCCACTTAAGTGAAACAGGATGGCTAATGTGGGCAGGAATTGGGTATTTCCCATCCTCCAGGTCATGTAGGCTCTGATAAAACCCCAGCAGGTTAGGCTGCGGTTAAATAGTTGCTCCTGATTGACATAACTAAAAAACAATAATTTTTTCTAGTGATTCTAAGGCTGCTATTGTCTATGACCAGATATATGATATAGAAAACTCCTTTTCTATAAATAATAAACTGCCTCTTAGGTGTTTCCCATCTGCAACCTGTCCATGGTGTTAACTTTATTTACTGCCATGTATCATGTCACTGCTCATCACCTCCAGCCTTGTTGAGTCCTGTGATTTGCAGGTTTTGAATATATGCATGAAGCAAAGTGGTTGATCTGGGCTACAAGAGTGTGGGACTGAGGTAAAGTAGCTGGTTTTCTATTATCCAGATGCTAAGAGGAAGATTGGAGCTGTGGGAGGGAAGAAGATTGTGTGGGCTGACAATTGTGTTTCTTAATTCAGAAGTATCTGGGCTACATGTAGTAGAATTATTATCTCTACCAATTGGTTCTCTGTTATCCTCAGTTTTCAGTATTGCAAATTAAATAATCCACCCAGTCATCATGATCAGTTTAATAGGAAGTTGGGAAAAGTCTTATCATAGATTTATTCAGGTGATGATATTTAAATCCAGAAGAAACATTTCTTCTTTGTTCTTTAAGCTTTCTAGGATGACGTGGAGTAAAACCTTTTGCTTTTATTGACTAGTTTATTATTTCCAATTGATAATAAAGAAAGCTATTATTTATTATCTTCCTTGTCAGATTTTGAGCTATATTTTCATTTTTATTTAAACAACATTGGGCCAGGCACAGTGGCTCATGCCTGTAATCCCAGAACTTTGGGAGGCCAAGGTGGGCGGATCACCTAAGGTCAGGAGTTCGAGACCAGCCTGGTGTAACTCCGTCTCTACCAAAATACAAAAATTAGCCAGGTGTGGTGGCGCATGCCTGTATTCTCAGCTACTGGGGAAGCTGAGGCAAGAGAATCACTTGAACCCGGGAGGCGGAGGTTGCAGTGAGCCGAGATTGTGCCACTGCACTCCAGCTCGGGCAACAGAGCGAGATCTATGTCTCGAGAAAAAAAAAACAGCATTGAAAAGAGATCTTTGTTTCCTTATTTTTCAGGTAAGGAAGTGGAGGATTAAATGATTTGCCCAAAGTCTCACAGTAATTTGTAGAGCTGAGATTGAAATTCGGGTGAAACTTCACATATCACATTCTTTTTATCAGGTATGTTGAGAATATGGTTTGCTGAACACAGAAAGCAAGTAGTTATCTAGAATTATGGTCCAGTTGTGTAAAAGCTTTTATATTTTAATTATATATGACAATAATGGGCTTTTACCCTTCTTTTTGAGATGGCAGTTTCTGGATTTACTCTTGGTACCTGCATACTTCTGTTGCACATTAGTTATGTGGCTAATTATCCCAATGGAAAAGTAACACAGTCATGCCATGGAATGATTCCTGAACATGGTCATAGTCCACAGTCTGTTCCTGTTCATGACATTTACGTGAGTCAGATGACATTCAGGCCAGGAGATCAGATTGAAGGTACCGTGCTGGGATTAACTGTTTACATTTTGGATTTCACTCTTTTACTGTTTATTGAATCTTTATTATTACTTGATTTAGAAGATTTCACTTAAATCTGTTTTCTTTTGTAAGATACTATCATACTTCTTATTTTTGGTTCCAGATGACTGTATTACTTAAGTAGTCTGTGTATTCCCCATCCAGAACAGGCTTTAAAATAAGTTTTTATCGTTATTTACTATTTTTATTAATTGTGCTATCACTTCAAGAGAAGAGAAAAATGAAGTTTATTTTATCTTGTTTAAAATATAATAAACCCTTGTCCTTCTTGATATCATATAATTTTAAGAACAATTCTCTAATTTCTCTGGTAAAATGTAGGCTGATTATTAAAGATAAATCTATAACAGCATTTTGCAAACTATTTTTTGCAACTCTAGAAATGCAAAATGTTAACAGGTACTCTGTTACATAGAGAGTATATAGAAAAATAAGTTTGGAATATTCTGTGTGATATATAATATACCTTAGAGTTCACACTGTACAGTAGGATATTAAATATCCTAAGAAATTTGCAGTAAAGAAACAAGTATTTACTTTCATCCAGTGTTTTTCTTTTTTTGTAATTCAATAAGAATTTATTGAGTGTCACTGTGAGCCAGACACTGTGTTAAATACTGCAATTCAAAAGAAAACACCTCATGTTTTTTCCTCTAATGAGGTCAAGTAAACATTTTTTTTTTAAACTTTTATTTTGGGTTCAGGGGTACATGTGTAGGTTTGTTTATAGGTAAATTCCATGTCACGAGGGTTTGGTGTACAGATTATTTCATCACTCAGGTGATAAGCATAGTACCCAATTGGTATCATCTAGCATTTTCCAAACTAACTTAGCCTTATGGACTGCCCCTGGACCATCACCTATTTTTCTTTTCTCTTTGCGGAATGGCTATTAATATCTCACAGATTGAATATCTTATGGAACACTGGAAAAAATTTTATGGAAAAAGTTTAGAGCTTCTTTGCCTATAAGATGACTGTTTTCTCTCCAGGAGTACTTTTGCATATGTAGACCTCATTGTAATTGTAATGTACAACCTCTAAACATTTTTTTTTGATATTACTAAGCTTTTTAACCAACCCTTTTGTCTTTTTCTCAGTTACTTTGTCAGGGCATCCATTTAAAGGCTTTCTCCTAGAAGCGCGTAATGCTGAGGATCTGAATGGCCCTCCTATTGGCTCCTTCACATTGATTGACAGTGAAGTGTCACAACTTTTGACCTGTGAAGATATACAGGTTTGTGTTTAGAGTTGATCCTTGAACAATGTGGAGGTTACAGGTGCAGACCCCACCCCTGGGGAAATTGGAAATCTGTGTATAACTTTTGACTCCCCCCAGACTTAACTACAAATAGCCTATTGGTGACCAGAAGCCTTACTGATAACAAATAGTTGATTAACACATATTTTGTATTTATATGTGTTATATACTGTATTCTTACAATAAAGTAAGCTAGACAAGAGAAAAATCTTATTAAGAAAATAAGAGAAAATATATTTACTATTCATTAAATAGAAGTGGATTATCATAAAGGTCTTTATTCTCATTGCCTTCATGTTGAATGGGCTGAAGAGGAGAAGGAAGAGGAGTGGCTGGTCTTGCTGTCTTGGGGTGGGTGGAGGAGGTGGAAGGGGAGGCAGGAGAGGCACCACACTGGTGTAACTTTATAGAAATACATTGTAATTTCTGTCTGACTTTTTTGTTTTTTCGTTTTCTTAAAAATGTTTCTATATGGTACCAATTCTTCCCCGCTTTGCTTTAGTTTCAGTGCTATATCATAGGAGGGTCCATGTCGTAGAAGAAGGCAAAAGCATTGTTGAATAATTGGAACCCTTCTGCCAGGTTGTCTAATGTCAGTTTGTTTGCTGGGACTGCTTCTTCTCCATAGTCCTCATCGTCATCTGGCACTGGTTTGGAAACACTCACCATCAAGTTGTCTTCTGTTAATTCTTCTGTTGTGGTGTCTATTAGCTCTTGAATTTCTTGAAGATTCATGTCTTGAAACCCTTCGTCCCCCACCTTTTTTTTCCATATTCACAGTCTCTTTTATGATTCCTTGATTGGCTCTGTAAATCTTTAAAAGTCATGCACAACATCTAGATACAGTGTTTCTTCAGCAGGAATTTATTGTTTTGGGTTTGATGGCTGTCTTGGCTTTTTCTATAATAACGATAGTATCTTCAATGGTGTAATCCTTCCAGACTTTCATGATGTTCTATCAGAGTTCTCTTCCATAGCGTTGACAATCGTTTCCATCGAGTACTGTGTGTAAAGAGCCTTACATGTCCTTAAGACTTCCTGAGCTAGAGACTGAGTTAGAGACATTGTATTTGGAGGCAAGGAGGCTACTTCAGTGGCTTTGGTGTTGAGCTCATGGGGTTCTGGGTAGCAGGGGCATTGTCTAATATTGTATTAGGCTGTTCCTGTGTTGCTAAAAGAAGTGCCTAAGACTAGGTAATTTAACAAGGAAAGAGGCTTAATTGGCTCACTGTTCTGCAGGCTGTACAAGCATGGCACTGGCATCTGCTCAGCTTCTGGGGAGGCCTTAGGGAGGCCTCATGGCCTTTTACTCATGGCAGAAGCTGAAGCCGGAGCAGACACTTCACATGGTGAAAGCAACAGCAAGAGAGAGAGTTAGTGGGGGGGGAGGTGCCACATTTTACAACAACCAGATCTTGCTCACTATCTCGAGGAACAGCACCAAGCCATGAGGAATCTGCTCTCCTGACACAAACACCTCCCACCAGTTCCCACCTCCAACACTGGGGATTGCAATTTAACTTGAGAGTTGGGTGGGGACAAATATCCAAACTATATCAAATATCAATAGAACACTTATTTATTTAGAGACAGAGTCTCGCTCTGTCATCCAGGCTGGAGTGCAGTGGTGCGATCTCAGCTCACTGCAGCCTTTGCCTTCTGGGTTCAAGTGATTCTCCTGCCTCAGCCTCCTGAGTAGCTGGGATTATAGGCGCCCACCACCATGCATGGCTAATTTTTGTATTTTTAGTAGAAATGGGGTTTCATCATGTTGGCCAGGCTGGTCTCGAACTCCTGACCTCAACTGATCCTCCCGCCTCGGCCTCCCAAAGCACTGGGATTACATGCATGACCCACCGTGCCGGCCAAAAGAACCTTTAAAAGGCAGTCTTTTACTGGCAAGGTGCTTCTTGTCTTCAGAGGTAAAACGTCCATGGAGCCAATCCAGACAAAGATTTCTTATTGTCCAGGACTTCTTGTAGTTAACAACCAAAACAGTGGCAGCTGATGTTTATCTTCTCCCTTCAAGGCTCGGGGATTAGCAGCCAGCAGCTTTATAGGTAAGAGCAGTCCTGATCATAAACTGACTGCATTTGCACAAAACAGTAGAGATAGCCTGCTCTTTCTTGCCTTAAATCCTGGTGCTTGCTTCTCTTCTTTACTAATAAGTGACTTTGTGGCATTAATTTCCAAAATCGGGTACTTCTGTCTGCATTAAAAACCTGTTAAGGCAGATACACTTTCTCCTCAATGATTTTCTTTTCTTTCTTTCTTTTTTTTTTTTTTTTTTTTTTTTTTTTGAGACGGAGTCTCCCTCTGTCGCCCAGGCTGGAGTGCAGTGGCCTGATCTCAACTCACTGCAAGCTCCGCCTCCCGGGTTCACGCCATTCTCCTGCCTCAGCCTCCCGAGTAGGTGGGACTACAGGCGCCCGCCACAACGCCCGGCTAATTTTTTGTATTATTATTATTATTGTTATTATTTTTGGACGGAGTTTCACTCTTGTTGCCCAGGCTGGAGTGCAATGAAGGGATCTTGGCTCACCGCAGCCTCCGCCTCCTGGGTTCAAGCGATTATCCTGCTTCAGCCTCCTGAGTAGCAGGGATTACAGGCATGTGCCACCACGCCCGGCTAATTTTGTATTTTTAGTAGAGATGGGGTTTCTCCATGTTAGTCAGGCTGGTCTTGAACACCCGACCTCAGGTGATCCGCCCGCCTTGGCCTCCCAAAGTGCTGGGATTACAGGTATGAGCCACTGCGCCCGGCCTTTTGTATTTTTAGTAGAGATGGGGTTTCACCGTGTTAGCCGGGATGGTATCTTCAATGATTTTCTTAATGACGCCTGGGAACTTGCCTGTTGCCTCTTGGTCAATAGAAGCTGCTTCTCTTGTTATCTTGACATTTTAAAAGCCAAACTTTTATTCTAAATTATCAAACTATCCTTTGCTGGTATTAAATTCTCCAGCTTTAGACCCTTCACCTTCCATTTGCTTTACGTTGTCATATAATGACTTTGCTTTTTCTTGAATAATATTAGTCTATAAGTATCCCTTTCTTACAGCAATTCTTACACCTGCATAAAAGCTGCATTTCCGATATGAGATGAAAAGGTCTTTCACAAAAAATGTGAGGTTTTTGCATCTGTTGGCATAGCTGCAGTGACAGCTTTACGAATTTTCTTTTCTTTTCTTTCTTTTTTTTTTTTTTACAATCGTTCTTATACTGGATTCATTTATCTTGATATGGCGGGCAACTGCAGCAGCAGACCTTAATCTACAGTATATATCAAGCAATTCAGCTTTTTCTTGTAATGTCATGAGTTTTCTCTGCTTCTTGAGAACTCTTACCGCATCACTAGTGGCACTTCGTATGGGCCCCATGGTGTTATTCAAGGTTTACAGTAGTGCACAAAACACGATAAAAGCTGGGTGCAGTGGCTCATCCCTCTAATCCCAGTACTTTGGGAGGCTGAGGCTGGTGGATTGCTTGAGCTCAGGAGTTTGAGACCAGACTGGGAAACATGGCGAAACCCCGTCTCTACAAAACAATACAAAAATTAGCTGAGTGTGGTGGCATGTGCTTGTAGTCCCAACTACAGTTAATTTTATGCAGTTATGATTTAATACTGCATTTTTACATTTGTTTATATGTCTCTGTGAATGGCACATGTGTGGTCTGTTTGTGTATGTATGTTTTGATAAATTTTAACTTTTTGTGATAGGTGTGTGCATATTTTATGGTAGTAAATGATAAAATAGACTAATACCTATATATTTTGTGCATTTAAGGCATACCTAACTTTTTAATTTTTTCAATATTTCTAGCCTATGCAGTTTGTCTGAGTTTTTTCAAATTGTTGAAAACCTCCAAACGCTTTTCTAATATATATATTGAAAAAAAATCTGTATATAAGTGGACCTATGCACTTCAAACCTGTGTTGTTCAAGGGTCAACTGTAGTTTGAAATTGCTCTCTGTCAGTTTTTTTTGGGGTTCTTTTCACTATAAGGTGGTGGTTGCAAGATAAATGATGACATTAACCATGTATTGTAAACATCTAAATGGATTTACAACAATCAGACTTTTTCCTTAATTTTATGTGCAATATGTTTTTACACATCAGCACCCTATAAAAGGTAAAGTAGTTTGAAGAATTTATAGCTTGTGATGTTTTATATGAATATTGGCTCTTAATTATATTAATTTTTGAAGGGTTTTAATATTGAAGACAGAGATCTAGAGTATGACAGGAGTCTAATTTTTTTTTCATTTATTTACTCATTCATCCATTTATTTTTACACCAAAAATGGTCCTGAATGGGAGGGATAGGTGATGGACAAGACTTACTCTTGCTCCTTGAAGAACTCCTTACTTTACATATAAGCACATCTATGAACACATAAGTAGAACCGTGTGATAACTTTGGTTAGAAGCATACACAGTGAGTGGGAAGCATAGCAGAGAGAGCCACACACAGCCTGGAAGGAATTGGGAGAGAGCTTCTTGGAGGAGGTGAACTTCAAGTAAGGCCTCAAAGAATGAGTAGGAGTTGGCCAGGTGCATGAAAGTGGGAAACAAGATTGTTCTGGAGAAAGGAATGACTAAAATATCATGCTACGTATTTGAAGGCAGGAAATTTTTCTCTTTCGAAGAATCTTCTGCATTCTATTTGTATCTATTAATGGAAGAGATATAAATTTATAATGTACATGAAACAATGAGCAAGCTCTATCTAGTGTTAACGTACCCAGTGTTCACAGCTCTCTTCAGTTCTTAGATTTCTGTGGACTCTCATTTATTCACAGAGCCAGCTGCTAATATGTTCTCAACCAATCAACATTTCATTTATGGAGTGCCTGAGTCCTTCTTCTAAATAAAATAGTCTTCACCAGAATGCTAATGTCATGCAATGATAAATTACTTCGCAAAATGATAGAAGTTCCAGCCATGCTGAGCTATTGAGTGACTGAATGGTAGCTCTTTTCCCTTTTATTTCAGGGATCAGCAGTGAGTCACAGAAGTGCATCTAAAAAAACAGAAATTAAAGTCTACTGGAATGCTCCAAGCAGTGCTCCAAATCACACACAGTTTCTGTGAGTATAAGAGTTTATAATTCTGGGCCAGGCATGGTGGCTCATGCCTATAATCCCAGCACTTTGGGATGCCAAGGTGGTGGATCACTTGAGCCCAGGATTTTGAGACTGGCCTGGGCAACATGGTGAAACCCCATCTCTAAAAAAAGGAAAAAAAAGTTTACAACTCTGTAACTACTAGTATAATTGAAACCATAATTAGTCTGTATCATTTTCTGTACCTATTGGACATTCACACATGTAGGAGAGCTTTGGTATAGTAATAACACAACCTTCCTGATGTAGGAGTTTGTTTTGCTTTTTACCAGTGTATACCTATCACCTAGCACAGGACCTGTCACAAAATACACATTTAATAGACATTTGTTAAGTGAATGAAGTCTTGTACTGCCTTAATCCTAATAAGAGCTATCAATTAATACTTGAGTCTTTATGTTATATAATACTACTTTTAGATTGGCTCCTGTATTAGCATGAGAATACAAATGAAAGTCTTGAAATTTGGATGACTCTTACTCTTTTGCAGTATTACAACTTGCAGATTAGACTCTCAGAAAGACTGCATGCCTCTCAAATTATGAAACTCAGTAGAATTAAAACAGAACTTCTTCCTTATCCTACATACAAGGGGAAATGGAATGTTATAATGCCATCTAATGATTCCTGAGGGGTGATATGGACATATATTTTAAGGGAAGGATTGCTATCCTGACATGACTGTTTTCTTCACTTTGTGCGTGGGTCCCCAACACACAGTAACACAACTCTGCACTGGTATGTTAGATGGAATGTGAAAAAGGGGGTGTGACCCCAGTGAAAGCTGATGGTTACTGATGCAGCCTCTATTATAGCTTGTTGCTGTTGTTGCTTGCTACACATGCCCTTTGGAAGAATTGAATACTGCACTCTGAAATGACTTGTAGTATGTTCTTCATATGCCAGGAAGTAGAAATCTGTGCAGTTTTGTCCCTGGGTCTGACATCATGGCTATTGTGAATATGCCCCCAAAACAGACAAATAAGGAAAGAGGGACAGAGGGAGAGAAAGCAATAAAAATTTGTCAAGTGATCGGGTGGGAGAGAGTGGTTAGAGATTTGCCTCAGGCAAAATTAATAGTCCTGTTAGGTAGTAAGTCATGTTTTTCTAGTTTAGTCTTTCTTTTTTTTTTCCTTTAACGTTTTGATCTGATTGTGACAGGACACAATTAGGGTTCTAATCTCACTGGTATTGCATTTCAGAGTCACAGTTGTTGAGAAGTATAAAATCTACTGGGTGAAGATTCCTGGTCCTATAATTTCACAACCAAATGCATTTCCTTTTACAACACCTAAAGCTACAGTAGTACCTTTGCCAACGTTACCTCCCGTTTCCCACTTAACCAAACCAGTAAGTAACAATTTTATTTTCTCTGTAGAGATGGGGTTTCACCATGTTGCCCAGGCCGGTCTCGAACTCCTGAGCTCAAGTGATCCTCCTGCCTTGGAGTCACAAAGTGCTTGGAATTACAGGTGTGAGCCACTGTGCCCAGCTTTAGTAACATTTTTATAGCTTCATTAAATGTAATCTAAATAATATGTGGCCAAATATAATGTCCATATATTATAAAATACAGAAGAGAAGGTAAACAAAATAAGACATTACATAGGAGTAAAGTGCTGTACTTAGTTTTCTCTATGTGAGCAAACAGGTAAATTTGTGATTGGAAATTGTGGTTCTGTGTATTTTGTGTGGCAAAGTGCATAGAGAAGTAGCTGTGCTGGGTAGTGGTAGCACGTTTTGGAGTCCTCTGTAGGAATCTGAAGGAAGCCTTCATTGCAACCTTATGACTTACAGGTTAGAATGAAGGGAATGCAAGACCCTGCATGTTCAAGGTTTGGTCATGACATTCACCTGTAGTCTTTACTGGTGGTGGATATGTTTTCATTTGAAAATAAATCTGATGAAGCAATAGTTTTTTTTTCTTTCTTTTAAACACAGCCAGATATCAAAAGAAGAGCTTAAGTTAAATTTAGACAAGATTTGGAGGAGATTCTTGAAATGGTGATAATAACTCTTAGATCTCATTTCATTAAGGTCAGAGAGTCCTAGGGAATTGTATATGCTGAACAACAGAAAATGTCTTGTAAATTCATCAGTTAGAATTTCATCTAGGCCCTCTGATTTAAAAGATTTATGATTGACAAGACGTATCTTGGAAAGTGTTATGCATATTAGAAACATAAGGAAGAAGGGTTTTACTGCAGGAAATTCTGATAAGTTAGACTTCTCAATTCAGAAGTGGATACAATAAAAAAAAAACGTGTTGAGAAAGGTTGTTTCAGTTGAAAGAACAAACGTGGGCCTAAATACTGACTTGCCTAATTTTCGTGTGTCTTTGGGCAAATTACTTAATTTTCAGTCTCAGTTTCCTCACCTATAGAAAGAGATGTAATAATATTTAGCTCTTAGTATCACTGTAAGAATTAAAATAATGAATGTAAGTTTTCTATAACTGTGTCTTGCATTTAATAGATATTCAGTAAACATTAGTTCCTTTTCTTTTTCCTTCTTTTTATTATCCTTCTGTACCTTTTTATTCACATAGAGAAGACAAAGTAATGCGCTTTGCTCCTTATTTTGTTTTCCTTCTCTTCAACGTCTTATAGCATATGGGCACTATATTTGATTACATTATTATGATTGTTGCACTTTCGTTTGACCATACAATTAGATCTGTTATTTGTACTAGCTCTCAGTTTAGGCTTAATCCTTATTTAATTAAAAGCTGCTTTAGGGAAATACACAGTCAGTTTGGACCTGAGCTTCCCAGTAGGAATCTGTTGACAATATTGTTGTCTTTCCGTATATTCAATCAAAGGCTCTTGTTGGAACTTTTATTGTGTCTTTGTGCCATGTTTATAATCTCTAATTATAGGGAGGTTCATTCAGAGTCAAAGGTTTATAGCATTTTTAGAGCTCGAAGATACCTCAGGGTCTATTTCTTACAGTTTTCTTGTTGTGTAGTTGAAGGTTCAGGGATCCTGAGAGAACAAGTCCTTTGGCAAACATGATGTAGGGAAGGGGAGAGCAGAGACCAAAGTCCAAGTTTCTTAATTCCCCAGTGGCTTGTTCTCTTCACCCTAGTATGATCTGTCTTTACATTTCCATGAACTCTAGTTACATAATGTTTAGCTCTCTTCTGAAATTTACTGTCACAGCATTCGAACAAAGTCTGCTCATTTATCAGATTATACAGCTGATTTTTTTTTCTAAGACTCTTCGTCTTATATTCCTTATCAAGAAGCTCGGGATTAAGTCATCCGATTGTTGCTTATTTCTCCCCCCAATAAATCACTATGGTTATTTGGAATGCTGGTAAATTGGGGCGACCATTTTTTTCTTATGTCATTTTAGTACGAAATTTGAATCAGAATTCTAGAAGCAGAATCCACAACCTAAATATAATAGCTTTCTAAGTATTTATTTGTTTGCTTTTTAAATCTTCATCTCTGAGAACTAGAGGATACCCTTTAGGCAGGAACGTTAGTGTCATTTAAGTCTTAGGGACTGAAATATTAACTCAAAAATTTCTCAAAACCTATCAGAAACTTTGCTCCAAAACTTACTTAATGTGAAATGTTTTGTGTATTACAGGAGCTTTAATACCCTTGCACAATTACAGCCCAACAAGTGTATGTTTTCCAAATTTTAATTAAAATTAATTAAGTTTAAAAGTTCATAACCTAACTACTGCTCCGATCATTTTTAATTTGGGATGTGTCTTTTGTTTCCTTATTTGAATGCTTATTATGGAAAGGTATTCTCATTAATTTGGGAGCTACCCGTACTTGAAGGTAGTTATTCTTCTGTCATTGCCAATGAACTGCTTGTTTGATAATTAAGATTTTTTTTTCCTCTGTCATTTTTCTAGTTCAGTGCCTCAGATTGTGGGAACAAGAAGTTCTGTATTAGGAGTCCTTTGAACTGTGACCCAGAGAAGGAGGCTTCCTGTGTCTTCTTGTCCTTCACAAGAGATGACCAATCGGTGATGGTTGAAATGAGCGGCCCCAGTAAAGGCTATTTATCCTTTGCATTGTCTCATGATCAGTGGATGGTTGGTACCTCTCACTTACATAAGTGGTAACAAAAGGAGAATCACGGCTAGGCATGGTGGCTCATGCCTGTAATCCCAGCACTTTGGGAGGCCGAGGCAGGTGGATCACGAGGTCGGGAGTTCAAGACCAGCCTGGCCGAGATGGTGAAACCCCACCTCTACTAAAAATACAAAAATTAGCCTAGCGTCGTGGCGGGCGCTTGTAATCCCGGCTGCACGGGAGGCTGAGGCAGGAGAATCACTTGAACCTGGGAGGTGGAGGTTGCAGTGAGCCAAGATTGTGCCACTGCACTCCAGCCTGGGCGACAGAGTGAGACTCCATCTAAAAAAACCCCCCCAAAACAAACAAACAAAAAACCAAAAGGAGAATCATTGAAACTGTTTGTTCCAGGGTCAAATGATCATCCAGGAGAAGCTAACTTAGAACAGATTCTAAGTTAAACGGCTTTGAGTACTGTATGATTTTAACAGTTGGGCAATTACTTCCAAGAACAGGCTGTCCTAAGGAAAGTTTGGAAGATCATTTTATTTCCAGTGTATTTGCCATTTTATGTCTGTCTGTCTCTTTGCGATAAAGCAGGAAATACAGTTAAGAAAAGTTGTTCTGCATAAAATGTCATGTTTTTTGTAATGCTTTTCAAACCAGAATTGTTTATTCAAGTGGCCAGAACTAAAACATGTGTTCCTGCTCTTTTGTCCTATTTTAGTAGTCATCAGTGCCTTTCCTAAAAAGAGAATTAAACTTGTATATCCAGGCAGCATGTATTACAGTAGGCTCCTTTGTCAAATCAGCAGAAGGCAGCATTTATTTTAAGCCGATTCTCACTCATCCTGGGTAGTGCTGAAATGGATTAAATGATTCTGTAGGTGGCAGCCTTGTGCTGTGGTGTGGAAGAGCAGAGGCCTGCATAAACATCTCGCTTTCCTAGGGAGCAGGAAGAGTATTGTGGCCAGGACGTGTATAAGTCCTGTTCAAGCAGAGTGGGCCTTGGGGCATAGGGATGACCAGAAATGGAGAAAGCCCCTTATTAGCACAGGCGTTCTTGTCTTGAGGGTTTTCTTCTTATCAGGATTTAAACTTAACACCACTTCTTTAGGGAATCATATTTCAGAAAAAGAAAAGGAACTCTGACATGGCTGTAATAGAAAAACTAATGCTCGTCCTGAAAGTGCACTTGATCACATTGGTCCTGGAGCAGTGTTTGCAAGTATTGTAAGACGCTGGATGTAACTAACTTTCTTTTTTTTTTTTAATTGTCCTAATTCTTTTTTTTATTCTTTTTTATTTTTATTTTATTTATTTTTATTTTATTATTAGTACACTTTAAGTTTTAGGGTACATGTGCACAATGTGCAGGTTTGTTACATATGTATACATGTGCCATGTTGGTGTGCTGCACCCATTAACTGGTCATTTAACATTAGGTATATCTCCTAATGCTATCCCTCCCCACTCTCCCCACCCCACAACAGTCCCCGGAGTGTGATGTCCCCCTTCCTGTGTCCATGTGTTCTCATTGTTCAATTCCCACTTATGAGTGAGAACATGCGGTGTTTGGTTTTTTGTCCTTGCGATAGTTTGCTGAGAATGATGTAGGATACCATTTCAGTATGTATATATGACCTACATATTTCACTAGACACCTCTAGAATGCACTTCTATCTTCTTTCATTAAACAAAAGATATACCTTAAGTCTATGAGATACAAAAGATACCATGTACTTAAAAAAATAACATATAAGAAATAATGAATCCTTCCCCTTCCAAGTTGCTTGTATAGGAAATTTTATACTTGCTCAGCTGATGCGCTGATTGTTCAAAACATCTTCCCCACTTCCTTTTGTGATTGCCATCAGACCTGTAGCATATTCTTTTGGATATTCTTAGTGTTGGCAAAAATGAACAATGTTTAGTGTATAAGGTGAATGAGGTTGAGTTGAAAATAAAATGTGACTATAAAGCAATAATGATAGGTGGTGGTAGTGCTGCTGTCATGTGAATGTGATAAAACTGGCTAGAAAGGAAATTCTGAAAATGAGTCCAAAAAGGATTAACCTGTTGAATGAATGTATAGTTTCATTAAGGTTCATCTCTGAGTTACAGCACTCATTTAGATATATGCTCTAGCCACTTAAAAAAAAATCCAACTTATTCCAGTCACTTTATAGCCAAGATTCATGCTATAGTATACGGATACATTTCCTTTTACTGGTTACGTAAAACCTGTAAGCAAGAGGGAAAGACTGTTACTGCATTCAGTATGGTAATGAGTAGCCCACAGGTAGGTCAGTTATTCTGTTCTAAATTGTAGGCATTGATGGCACAAAAGCATTTCTCTCTAATTCAAGATATATTTATCTTACTTAGAAATCTTATCTGTTTCCAGTATAGTACTCCTCAAAAATGTTTACAAAAAAGGCTTAATTACGCAGGTGCAGTTGATTTACAGAGAAATCCTGTTTAATGATTAAAATAATCTGTACACCTGTTTGACTAACTTGGGGGAAATGAATCATCCTCAAAATATATTTTTAAGTGGTTATTTCTATTTTTGGTTATTACTTTTAAAACTTTCAGGTATTTTTGTGACCTGCTATTTCTTTGGAGTGTATAATGTAAATTTAAATACTGAAGGTATCTGATGTCACGAATACTCATTCGATAACCTAAATTATACCCCTTTTTCAATTTGGCTTGTAAATTAATGTTAGCAATTATTTTGGTATGTTAGACCTCATCACTAAAATCAAAATGTGTAATTTACCCTATTTCTGATAATAATGACTTGCTAATGTGTGAATTTTAACTGAATTTCCAAGTACAATAAGTCCTCACTTCATGTCGTCAATAGGTTCTTGGAGCCTCTGACTTTAAGTGAGGCTACATACAGCAGTTCCTTGAATAATATCATTTCCTTCAATATCGTTTTGTTATGACATTGATGAGGAAAGAATATTGGCCATGTTGTATGTTGTTTTGCTTAAAGTCACAATTTTCAAGAACTTACCTATGAGTTTAAGTGAAGATGTACTGTACATACCTCTTTCCTATTTGAGATATTTTGTTAAATAATGTAAAGTCTATCAAGTATGCGCATTAGCTTCCTTCCTTCTCCTTCCACTGCGCTGTATCATCTTATTCCATACATGATCTCTCCATGCCCCAATTCCAGGATGTCCCCAATCCTGAACTCCCTTGGACTCCAGACTGTGATTTCCAGCTGCAGGCTGGTCTCGTCCAGATGTGTGTTCCTGGACAGCACAAAGCAACATCTAAAAGACTGAACTTTTTATTATGCCCCCTGATGTCTCCTTGTCTTCCCCATTCTTGGTGATCAGCAATGTTAGGAAAGCACCTACCATTGTTGATGGCTTGTTTCTTGTTGGGTACTGTCCTAGGCAATTTATAAACACATCAGTTACTGCTGCCAGCATCTTTTTTGGTATTCAGAGAAATGTTGGTTTTGACTTGGATTCCTTCCTTTCATCCATCTTTCAGGTCCTTCCTTCTGCCATTTCCAATTTTTTGTTTTGAAAAGTTTTAAACCTCAATAAAAGTTAAAAAGATAGTACAGTGAACACCCATAAGCCCTTCACCTAGATTTGCCACTTTATCTTTCTATTTCTATCTACCTAAGTTGATTTTTGTGGTGTATATAAATACATATTTTTTTCTTGAATTATTTGAAAGTAAATTACAGATAGTCATGACATTTCATCTCTAAGGTTTTCAACATGTGTCTTCTAAGAACATGGACATTCTCCTACAATTACCACAATATTTTTATCACATTAAGAAAATTTAACGTTAATTTTATGTAACAGACGATCTGTATTCCAATTTTCCCAGCTGTCCCAATAAAGTCCTTTGTTTTATAAAAATATTTCTTATTCAGGATCCAATCAGTTATTACTCAGGGCATTTGGTTGTTACATCTCTTGGATCTCCTTTACTTTAGAACAGTTACTTAATCCTTTTTCTTTTTTATAAATTAAATTCAGGCCAGTTATTTGTAGAATATTCTACAATTTATATAATAGATTTATGTTAAGACTTTTTGGCACAAATGCTATGTAAGGGATATTATTTCCACATCAGTGCATTATTTCAAAAGTTTCATAATGTCCAATTGTTCTATTATTGATGATGCTATGTTTGATCACTGGTGTCTGTCAGATTTCTGTATCATGAAGTCTGTTTTCTTTTTGTAATAAGTAATATGTGGGATGATACTTTGAGTCTGTATGAATAATCTGTTCCCCAATAGCCTGTAACTAGGTTTTTGCATTTATTGATGTTTCTCCTATGAATCAATTGTTACATTTGTGGTTGCAAAATGGTGATCTTCTAACTTACTTATTAGCTGGCATTCTTATGAAAATACGAGTTTTCTTTCCTCTGCACTTGCCTTTCCCTTTTATATAACACTGTGGACTAATGGGTTTCTTTTGTCCATTGTGTTGTAGTTTATTACCACCATTCATTCTTTCACAGGGTCATACTGACGCCAATTCGGCCAATGGGAGCCCTTTCAAGCAGGCTTCTGTGCCCTTTTGATGTGTCTCCACCACTTTTGAGCATGTCTTTGTTTCTGGTGTAACAAGATGTTCTCCATTCATACTTTCATGCATTTCATCATTTCTCAAAAGAGCTTTATTTCCTTTTAGTAGGAATAGATCTAGAAATCAAGATTTGGGTGCTAATATGTTCACTGCTACTGATCTCCAGGTACTTCTGATTCTATCTTTGACGTACCTCTTTCATTCTCTTTGTTGCATTGTCACTATCTCTGACTTGGCTTGTAGTTTTACTGTCTGCTTCCTGGACTGCTGTAGTAACCCGCCATTAGTCCTCTTGCTTCCATGATTTCCTCTTTCATTTCATCCTTCACACAGCCATTGGAATTTTCTCCCCAAGCCACATTTAAGATCGTCTTGGCTGGGCGTGGTGGCTCATGCCTATAATCCCAGCACTTTGGGAGTCTGTGGTGGGAGGATTGCTTGAGCCCAGGAATTCAAGATGAGCCTGGGAACACATGGCGAGACCCTCATCTCTACAAAAAATTCATAAAAAATTAGCTGGGCGTAGTGGCATGCAGCTGTGGTTCCAGATACCTGGGAGGCTGAGGTGGGAGGATCACTTGATCCCAGGAGGTCAAAGCTGCAGTGAGCTGTATTTGCACCACTGCATTCCAGCCTAGGTGACAGAACAAGATCCTGCCTCAAAAAAAAAAAAAAAAATTGTCTCAAAAATATCCCTCCAAACCTTTGGCAAAACTTTAGTAATTATAGAATTATATAATAATTATAGAAAAACTGTTCTTTTCTTAAAGCATGGTGCTCAATACTTTGGGAATACTTCTAGAATTTTCAGCCTTAGAGCTCTCTTTTTATCCTTTATATATTTTAGCTAGCAAAACTACCTGTTTCTTAAAATTTTCATATTTCTATATCATTGGTCCTAGAAGTCCTTCAACTTGGAAAATCTTTCCTTTAATCTCATCTTTACCTTGTCCTCCTATAAATATGTTTTATCTTCTAAGGTCTGCTTAATTACTGTCTTTTCTGATAAGCCATTTTCAATTCTCTGGCCATACATAATTTGTCTTTTCATGTCACTTTACCTATCTGTCTGGCTCAATAAAATATAGCTTTAGGTTATAAGAGCCATATTCTTATAATAAAGTCATTTTTGTTTCTCCCACAGTGTCCAGCTTAATGTTCTCTCATAGGATGCTCTCTAAATGCTTGACTTGAGAGGGGCAAACTGGGGAGAGAGCTTCAGTACAACCCAGGGATTTGGTGGAAGTTCTTATAGGGTGTACTTTTATGCTTTCAAACTTGAGGTTTCTAGAACTGCCTGGAGCCTGAGGTTGGAGTAGCACGTTCACTTACTCTTCATTTGGAATAGTGAGAACTGAGAGTTACCTGCTGTCTATCCCCATCATCTTCTCTAATATTTGGGAGGTCTACTTGTATTGATTTTATTTGACTTCTCATCCTCAGTTTGCCTCAAATCAACCATTATTTGTATTAAAATTTTTTGTGTAACAAAAGAATTTCTATGTCTCATTCATGATGGATATTATAGAAAACATGCATTGTTTAAATCAGGGTTCAGGCCCAGCATGGTGGCTTACACCTGTAGTCTCATCACTTTGGGTGGCTGAGGCAGGAGGATTGCTTAAGCCCAAGATTTCAAGACCAGCCTGGGCAACAGGGCGAGAATCCATCTCTACTTTTTTAAAAAATAAAAAATAAATCGGGGTTCAAAAAACGTTTTCTGTAAGGACCAGGTAGTAACTATTTTAGAGTTCGTGGGCAATATGGTCTCTGTTGTAGCTACTAAACTCTGTTGTAGTATAAAAGCAGCCATAGATGATATGTACATGAATAAATGTGGCTGTGTTCCAATGAAACATGGACATTGAATTTCAGTTTGATTTATTTTCATTTGTCATGAAACATTCTTTTCACCACCTAAGTATGTAGAAGTCATTCTTAAACTATGAGCTATATAGAAACAAGCTTTAGGTTGAATTTGATTTGCTGGCCATGGTTTGTTGACTCCTGGTTTAAGTCATGATTGCTCCAAATTTCTTATCTGGAATTGGGCTAATTCTGATTTTACTGTAATATGTGTAACAGTACATAATTACTTTGCTAAGAGTACATCCTTGAGAGTTTTTAAAAGTGGAACATTTAAAAATAAAGTTGAATCTGAAACTATAGAAGTATGTTAGAATCTAATATTGGAATTTATAGCAAGATTTGTTATAACTGGGTAGTCTTGGACCTTGTTTAAGGAATTGGGTGACTAAAGCACATAAAGAACCTTGTTAGATAGTTTATGGAGAAACCAAGTGAAAGACCAAACCATGGATAATAACTTAAAATCAAGATTATTCCTTTGTGCCATTGTTTAAATGTACTTTGAAGTTACAGTCTGCTTCTTTTTTGGTATTCTTTTTCATTCTTTTTCCCCCTATTAATTGACAGTCTGCTTTTTGATTATCACTTTATTTTATTCTGTTTTATTTCTCTTTTTTGGAGGCAAGGTCTCCCTCAGTTGCCCAGGCTGGTGTGCAGTGGCACGATCATGCCACACTGCAGACTTGACCTCCTGGGCTCAAGTGATTCTCCTGCCTTAGCCTTCTGAGTAGCTGGGACCACAGGCATGCATCACCATGCTTGGCTGATTTTTTTTTTTTTTTTTTTTGAGACTGAGTTTCGCTCTGTTGCCCAGGCTGGAGTGCAGTGGCGCGATCTCGGCTCACTGCCAGCTCCACCTCCCGGGTTCACGCCATTCTCCTGCCTCAGCCTCCTGAGTAGCTGGGACTACAGGCGCCCACTACCATGCCCAGCTAATTTTTTGTATTTTTAGTAGAGACGGGGTTTCACCATGTTAGCCAGGATGGTCTGGATCTCCTGACCTCGTGATCTGCCCGCCTTGGCCTCCCAAAGTGCTGGGACTACAGGCGTGAGCCACCTCGCCCGGCCCGCTTGGCTGATTTTTAAAAAATTTTTTTTAGGATGAAGTCTCACCATATTGCCCAGGCTGATCTCAAACTCCTGGCTTCAAGCAATCCTCCTGCCTTGGCCTCCCAAAGTGCTAGAATTATGGGTGTGAGTCACTGTGTCTGGCTTGATTATCACTTTAAAGAATAAGATCTAACTTTCAGAGTTAAGGATCTTTGGAGACTAAAGGATAGATAAGAGGTAGATTGTTTGACTAATTCCTCCTTGAGTGCAGGTATTTTTGCCTCAGTTATATAACATTAAATCTATTGAATATGTACACTATGTAGCAATATTTCTTTACAGTGTCTTCCATCTTAGAAGTTACCAAAAAATATCCAGTACAATGCAGTGTATTTGGTCATTAAAATATGTAGGATATAGATATTTATTAATAAATAAATATCTGGAGTATTGTTTATGGTAAGTTAATTGAAAAAAGGTAACAGAACTCTATATTTTCCCATTTGGGAAGGAAAAAATAGGTATAATACAAATAGGTTTGGATGAATATACATGAAAATATTAAAGTGGTGTTCGATTAGTGATGGGTTTATGAACATATAAACATGTTATATATCTATCTTAATCTATTATTTTACACTGAAATTCTAGTGCTTTTGTATTATAACAAAATTATTTGCTATTCGCAAATCAGATAGCCAGTTCTCTAGAATTCATAGCATCATTCATGATTCAGTAAATTATGTTTTCAAAGCATCACATAATATTTGGTTTCCTGATGTACTTTTTTAAAAAGAGAAAATAAAATGCTGAAATTCCTTTGAGCTTTTTTTCTCATTTGCAATTGTTTTTCAGGGTGATGATGATGCTTATCTGTGTATTCATGAAGATCAGACTGTGTACATCCAGCCTTCCCATTTAACGGGGCGAAGTCACCCTGTAATGGACTCCAGGGTAGGTGTGAAAATTCTGAGAACCTCCACCTGGAGACCCGCTTTCCGGCTGTGTGGCTATCACTGGCGTGGCTGTGCTGCTAGATTGCCTCCAACCCCCACAGTTCCACCTAGCCTGAGCAGGGGCCTGCCAGCAGGGCTCCTCTCATAATGATTTCTGAGAAACTTTTCTACACTTCAGAAGTTTCTGTTGTAGGAAAAGATGAATTCTTGCTTGTGTCACTTACATCCTTTTGGTTGTATCCTACAAAAAAGTACTTTATGGTTTATTAAGATGGTCAGGGCATCAGCTTCCTTTCAAAAGCTTACAGACGGGTTTCTAAGACAGGATGACATTAGTGACAAAATTTCTTGACTAGTGAGAAAGAGGAGCACATTTGATGAAGGCTGGAGATGCCTTGGACAGTTGTCTTAAGTGCCCTTTGTTGGCATGTGTGTCAAAGGTGGGCTATTTCTGGTAGAGAAGTGTCTTTTTTGCAGGACAGTTGACAAGCAAATGAGCTCTGAAAGAGCAGTAGCTATCACTTAATGACAGCAAATGAGCTCTGACGGAGCAGTAGCTATTACTTAATGACATAACTGTGCACAGCCTTCCCATGGGATTGACTCCCAAGGCTGGCTTGGAACTTCTCCCCAGTTGCATGTTGCATTTTGGCCACTAGGGTAGTACTTGTTAATTGTTTATTTCAATGTTTTTGATTGTATACTAGTGGCCAGATGGAGTTAGTACATCTGTTAAAATTTCTAACCTAGGTAGAGGAATTGTGGAGTTCTGGCTCAAAGTAAAAATAATATTTTTTCTTTTTGCCAAGTGGGATAAAGACAAATAAACTGGGAGAAAATGTTTCTTGTTCTCTTCAAAGAGGAAGTGGAAAAACAATGACACTGCAGACAAAGCATGGACATACGATCTTAGAGAAAGGAAACTGAACAGGGCAGGATTTTGATCATATCTTATTTTTAGCAAATCTTTGGAAAGTGCTGAGAAGACCCATTGTGTGTGTTTGTAGGATACCCTTGAGGATATGGCTTGGAGGTTGGCGGACGGTGTTATGCAGTGTTCTTTCAGAAGAAACATTACCCTTCCTGGAGTTAAGAATAGATTTGATCTAAACACAAGCTATTACATATTTCTAGCAGATGGTGCAGCTAATGATGGTAAGTATATTGTTAAGCTGTCTTTTCAAGTGTCTTTTTCTCTCTTCTTCCCTCTCTTTCCCCCATTTTTGGAAAAACTACTGTAATTGCCCGTTTTTAAGGCACACGCTTTCCTATAAATGTCAAATTTTGCCAGAAACTGGATAAAGGTAGAAAAATTTTGCTGGAAACTAGATAGAGGTAGAGTGTCCCTTGTGTTATAAGGCAACACGGCTCAAGACAAAAATGGCTTCTGATTAGTAAAATGCATGTGACCAGAAGAACTATAAATACCTAATAAGAAGCCACGTATTTGGGCTTCCCTGAGTGTAGTGATAGTAGATTAACATTGCAGGGGACCTAGAAGCAGTGACTTTGAGGTTGTTGCAAGAGATATTGGCTCCTGTGGGGAAACTTGCCCAATATGAATCTCATCTCCTTAGACCTGAGCTTTCTCTAGGGAGGCGGGGAGGGAAAAAAGAGAATAGGTCCTGGACAGCTGAGTAAGCTGCTGTAAGACCTCCCACTGAGGGGAGAATGCCTCACACTGCCTTGCTGGTGTGGTATGTTTCCTGTCTCACATCTTTCTACGTGACTCTGATGCCAAGTACAGCCTAACATAGTTTTATGAGTCTGAATCTTTATTCTCAAGAAGACTACACTGGTGGATATTGCAACACATATTAATAGGAATAATTCGATTTTGTTTCAGGTCTTGGCTAATGATTTTTGAGGAACTGCAGGAAATGTCAATGTAGCATTTAATGACTCATCTCTTAGGAGATAACATTGCTCCAAAACTTTGAGAATATAGCCCACTTTGAAAATGGCGAGAAGGTAGATGTCTAGAGTGGAGAGACAGAGATGGGGTAAAAGAAAGGAAGAGCAGGAAATGTGATACAGGCAAATTGTGAAAAGCCTACAATTCTATCATGTGTTTTAGATTTTCTGCTCTTGGTAAAGCAGACTCCCAAAAGTTTTGAAGCAGAATAAAATATCTGCTCAATGTTAAAATTTAGGAACATTTAAATTAATTAACTCGCTTTTTATTAATTTATTTTTTTTGCTGAAGGAAGAATGCTAAAGGAACATTTTTAGATTTAGATATAGGTGATACATGTAGTTATCTTAGTCAAATCATTTGCTCTTGTTTGCACCAGCAATAGCAAATATGGCTTGAAAATAATTTCTTAATATGGCTTGATAATAATGAGTAAAAATTTCTTAATATGAGTAATAATTTCTTAATATGGCTTGATAATTATGAGTAAAAATTACTCAGTGCTTACTGAGTGCCAGTCAGTGGCTAAGCATTTTAGATAGATTCTTCATTTTTATCTTCATAAAATACAAGCTAGAGGTGTATTATTATTATCCCTTTTATCTAGGAGGAAATTCAGACTTAGAAAGGTGAAGTAATTTGCCCAGACAAGTAAACGGTGCAGTTGGAATTTGGCCTTTAGAGCCTGTGTATTCAGTACTTTAGAACATGGGAAATGGACTGGGTGCAGTGGCTCACGCCTATAATCCCAGCACTTTGAAAGATCCAGACAGGTGGATTGCTTGAGCCCAGGAGTTCCAGACCAGCCTTGGCAAAACCAAGTCTCTATTCAAAAAAAACAACAACAAAAAAATAGAAATTAGCTGGGTGTGGTAGTGTGCACCTGTGGTCCTAGCTACTCAGGAGGCTGAGGTGAAAGGATTGCCCGAGCCCAGGAGGTTGAGGCTGCAGTGAGCTATGATTGCACCACTGCATTCCAGCCTGGGCAACTAAGGGAGACCCTGTCTCAAAAAGAAAAGGAACATGGGAAATGTAGGGAATTAATTTTTAATGAGGAAAAGGTCAAGTATTTGTGTTTTTAAACAGCTACTACTAAAGTGCAGATCATTGTGTTGTTGTTATGATTGCAGCTATCACTTGTTGCATATTACATGTATCTCATTTATTTCTCACAGAGGCTTTGCATGTAGGTATTTTGTTGCTTTTTTTAGAGATAAGGAAACTGGGACCTAGTAGGGTCAAGCAACTTGTTCAAAATCAAACAAGTAGCAGAGCCAGGAATTAAACCCAGGTTGCTTCCAATTACAAAAGTTGTATCCTTTCTATAATATCAGACTGCTTCTTTTGGTGTCTGTATTAGTCTGTTCTCACACTGCTATAAAGAACTACCCGAGACTGGGTAATTTATGAAGAAAATAGATTTAATTGATTCACAGTTCCACAGCCTATACAGGAAGCATGGCTCGGGAGGCCTCAGGAAACTTACAATCATGGCAGAAGGCAAAGGGGAAGTAGCCACATCTTACATGGTGACAGGAGAGAGAGAGAGTGAAGGTGGAAGTGCCACACGTTTTTAAACAACGAGATCTCCTTAGAACTCATTCACTATCATGAGAACAGCAAGGGGGAAGTGTTCCCCCATGATTCAATCACCTCCCACCAGGCCCTTCCTCCAACACATGGAGATTACAATTCAAAGTGAGATTTGGGTGGGAGCACAGACCCAAACTATATCAGTGCCCAACATGTTATAGATACTTCATAAATGATTATTGATTCAAATGGATTTCTTAAATTGCTAGGGGATTTAATGGTTTATACTTTTTAAAGTTTTATACTTAAAATTATACTTTAGAGGAAAACTATTTCATTTAAATGGAGGAATTCTGTTGTATAATAAATTTTAAATGTGTGGGTATACAGCAGGTGAAATGTTTCTTCATAGGTTAGCAATGTAGAAATCAGAACATGTTTTCTTTTAAGTGATAGTTCTAACACTCCCTCAGAAACACCTAGTTGATGGATGATCCATGTGAAAATAGAGCATTGTTCCCCCTCCCTTGCCGGCTGATGTTGCTGTGCTGATGGCATGGGAGGGAAAATCTCTGTCTTGGCTCCTCTGTGGTGTTTCTCCAAGTGTCGCGCTTAATGTGCTTCAGAACCACCTGGAGTGACTGCTAGCAATGCAGATTCCTGAACCCCATCTCAGACCCACTGAGTCTCTTTTGTTGGTGCATGGAATCTGCATTTATAGGCATCCCAGGTGGTTTTATGTGTGCTGTAGTTTGATAACTTACTGCTCTAGGATGGGGTTTTCCCAAGTAAGCTATGCACATTGCAAGGCAGTCGAGGGGATACAGGGAACAATACTAGAACTTTGTTTAGATTTACTTTTATGTCATTAAAATTTTAAATATTTTAATGTATTTTATAGTGTACATCAGGGATCCCCAACCGACGGGCCATGGACTGGTTCTGGTCTGTGACCTGTTAGGAACTGGGCCGCACAGCAGGAGGTGAGCAGTGGGTGAGTGAGCATTACTGTCCTGTCAGATCAGCGGTGGCATTAGATTCTCATAGGAGCACGAACCCCATTGTCAACTGCGCATGTGAAGGATCTAGGTTGTGTGCTCCTTATGAGAATCTAATGCATTTTGATCTAAGGTGGAGCAGTTTCATCCCAAAACCATCGCTGCCCTTCTTCCATGGAAAAATTGTGTTCCATGGATCTGGTCCCTGGTGCCAAAAAGGTTGGGGACTGCTGGAGTACATAAGATATTAATACATATTAATATCTTAATATGTATTAGATATAATAGATATTAATACAATATGTATTAGGTGTAATAGATATTAATACAATATAATCCAATAAACATGAATCTGTTTATTAACAAAAATATACATATATTTGCAGCACAAGCTAATTTTTTTTTTTTTTAACTGGTACAGTGCAAAGCACACAAAACAAAACACTCCAATAAACAAACCTGGAGATTGCTATTCCTGGGAATGAATTTTCCAATCTTTTTGTACTGGGGAACAAAGGACAGTTATCACATAAATCATTGCCTCTTCTATTACTTAGCTTTATGTATGTGGACCATTTATAAATTGAAATCTGCTTAAAAGCAGTAAGACTTGGTAAGGTTTAAGCCAATTTTCAAAGCTATCATATAATCTCTGTAACCCGTATAAATGTAAAATGTATCCAATTTCAATAAAGTCTCCTAACAATCTATCCATTTAAAACCTTTTTCTAACTGCTATTTTCTTCATGTTGCTGACATTGTCCTGTCTTGGGATAAGCAGTCATGTGAAATACTGAGTGTTTAAACTGAAAGATAGAAATCACTTGGGTAATTAAGTAATTCACAATGAGGAAATCTACCAATTTTAATAATTAATGAAGTAGAGACACAGCTGTCACATGACCTGTTATTTAAAGAATTTAGGAATACTGTAGGTAACCTATTACTGCTGGTTCTTGCACTAAGCATGAACTCCCTTTGAGCAAGACTGCAAAATTATAATGGAGCCACACAATGGAACTCTGAAATCATAATGGACTTCTGCTTTCATGAAGGTTAAGTTCATACTTAGTTCATGGCTCTATAGTGATTCAGAGTTTAAACACATTTTCTTCCAACTTGTCTCTCAGGCTTGTTGGGCTTGGAGTCTCTTTTTCATAACTACCACTCAATGAATGCAAGATTTTTGCTTTCCCAGTGCCTTTCTTGTCATGTTTGATAGTTTTCTTGATCATTTTCTTTTTGACACTTTTGTAGCTCCTGACAGTTACTGTCTTTTTCTTCTTGACACTCTCTTCTCTAGGCATTCATTACATAAAACTCTTCTTTCTCATTTTCTGCTTTATAAGAAGCCATGGTAAAATAGTATTCACTGGATGAGTAACCAGGTGTCCTAACACCATTTTTTTGAATAGTCCATGTTTTCTCACTGCTTTAAAAGCCTCTTTATCATATACTAAAAATCTATCAATAAATTGAATTATTTCTAGTGTATCTGTTCCTCTATTGATATATTTGTCTATTCCTGCATTAGTTAGAATTGCTATTGCTTTATAATAGGTTTGTGAGTTTTGATAGAACATGATTCCCCTTCTGGCCTTCTTTTTCAAGAATTTTTGCTTCTTCATATGTATCTGTTCTTCTAGATAAACTTTAGACATAATTTGTCAAATTCTTCTTTTTTTTGAGATAGGGTCTCACTCTGTTGCCCAGGCTGGAGTGCAGTGGTGCAATCACTGCTCACTGAAGCTCGACCTCCTGGGCTCAAGCCATCCTCCCACCTCTGCCTCCCTAGTAGCTGGGACTACAGCCATGTGCCACCATTCTCAGCTAATTTTTTGTATTTTTTGTAGAAATGGGGTCTCGTCATGTTGCCCAGGCTGTTCTCCAACTCCCCGGCTCAAGCTGATTTGTCAAATTCTATTAAAAATCCTGTTGGGGTTGTGATTGAAATTGTAATGCAATTTTAGAGCAAGTTAGAGAATAATAACTGTGCAATAGTGAGTCTGTCTATGCAGGAACACATTGGGATATTCCATTTATTCCAATCCTGCATATGTGTCTTTCAATGAAATTTTATGGTTTTCTACATATCTTCATATAGGGCATATATATTTGGTTACTTTGTTCCTATGTATTTTATAGTTGTCTAAAGCAAATTATTATGAATGGAATTGTTTTTCATACGTTTTCTAAATATATTGTCATATAGGAAAGTTATTCATTATTGAATATTTATTTAAATTTTAAGCCTCCTAATTTCCAGTTGATTATCTTGGATTTTTCTAGATAAATGTCATATCCTGTGCAAATAATGGCAGGTTAATAGCCCTCATTTTCTTTCTTGTCTCATTGCATTGTTTAGTTCTTGCTGAATAATGTAGAATGGTAAATGAGGTGGCAAGAATTTTTGTGGTTATTTTTTATTTTGATGAAAATGCGTCTGATATTCAGTGTTAAATGTCTTGTTTGTTGTATTTTTCTTGTGGATATCCTTTATGGTGTTGAGGAAATATTCTTTTGTTTCTAACTTTAATAAGAATTCATATGAATGTGTGCTGAATTTCATCAAATGTCTTTTGGGCAGTGATTGAGATGATATTTTATCATTACTTTAATAGATTTCTGGACAGTGAATGATCCTCACATTCCTGGAATAAACCTTACTTGGTCATGTTTTATTATTCTCTTAATATATAACTGATTTGATTTACTAATATTTTCTTTAAGCTTTTTACATCTATATTCATAAGTGATTTTGGTTTACGTTGTGAATGTGTGCGAATGTGTGGGGTGCTTGTGTGAATGTACACATGCGTAGTTTTGATTTCAGGGTTATACTAAACTCATAGAGTAAGCTCTAGAAGAGTTTAAATAAAAAAGAATTTTTAACAGGCGAGGCACAGTGGCTTATGCTGTAATCCAAGCACTTTGAGAGACCGAGACGGGCAGATCATTTGAGCCCAGGAGTTTGAGACCAGCCTGGGCAACATGATGAAACCCATCTCCACAAAAAATACAAAAATTAGCTGGGCATGGTGGTGTGTGTCTGTGGTCCCAGCTACTTGGGAGGCTGAGGTGGGAGGATCTCTGGAGCCTGGGAAGTCAAGGCTGCAATGAGTTATGATTACACCACTGCACTCCAGCCTGGACAACAGAGTGAGACCCTGTCTCAAAAATAATAATAATAATAAAATAAAATAAATAAACAAATTAAGGAAAAATTTTAATGGTATGGTAGAACTCACCCATATAACGGTCTGGATGTTGGATGGAAATATTTGACTAATTAAAAAGAATTTTTCGACCGGGCGTGGTTGCTCACTCCTATTATCCCAGCACTTTGGGAGGCTGAGGCAGGTGGATCATGAGGTCAGGAGTTCAAGACCAGCCTGGCCAAGATGGCGAAACCCCGTCTCTACTAAAAATACAAAAATTAGCCGGGTGCAGTGGCAGGCTCCTGTAATCCCAGCTACTCGGGAGTCTGAGGCAGGAGAATGGCTTGAACCTGAGCGGCAGAGGTTGCAGTGAGCCAAGATCGTGCCACTGCACTCCAGCCTGGGCGACAGAGTGAGACTCCATCTCAAGAAAAAAAAAAAAAAAGAATTTTTCTATTGTTAT
Source organism: Homo sapiens (assembly GCF_000001405.40). Taxonomy (NCBI): domain Eukaryota; kingdom Metazoa; phylum Chordata; class Mammalia; order Primates; family Hominidae; genus Homo; species Homo sapiens. The sequence continues at coordinate 99,721,580 of NC_000001.11, read as the reverse complement.
TACTCTCCATGGTTACTACTACTTTGGTCAATTTTTGTAATTCTGTATTTCTCCCCCCAAATTCACCTATTTTGTTTAGATTTTGAGATTTTTGGGGGCTGATTTAAAGTTGTATACAGTGTTTTTATATAAAATGGTCTTCTATATTAGCAGCTATGTCACCCTTTAAATTTCCTTTTTTTTTTTTTTTTATTGAGACGGAGTCTTGCTCTATCTCGCAGTCTAGAGTGCAGTGGTGGGATCTCTGCTCACTGCAACCTCTGCCTCCTGGGTTCAAGTGTTCAAGTGAGTCTCCTGCCTCAGCCTCCTGAGTAGCTGGGATTACAGGTGCCCACCAGCGCACCCGGCTAATTTTTGTAGTTTTAGCAGAGACAGGGTTTCACCATCTTGGCCAGGCTGGTCTCGAACTCTTGACCTCGTGATCCACCCACCTCAGCCTCCCAAAGTGCTGGAATTACAGGCGTGAGCCACCACACCCAGCCATCCTTTAAATTTCTAACATTTTGATGTTTCCTTTCATTGTGTGATCAGAGTTGCCAAAAACTCAATGGATTTTAATTATCCTTTTAGAGGACTGACTTTTCTGATTTTTAGGGTTACTAGCTTAAGTTCTACCTTTATTTTTAATCGATCTTTTTTTTCTGGTTTCCCAGATTATATTTTGTTACTTTAAATGCACCTTGAATGAAATGATTTCTGTGTGTGTGTGTGTGTGTGTGTGTGTGTGTGTGTGTGTGTGTGTGTGTTAGGAAATGCTTTTAAGATGATAAAAACTTTTTTTGAATAGTACCTTGATTGCATCACACATGTTTTGTTATGAAGTATCTTTATTGTTATACATCTTGATGAAGACATGTGATTTTAGTTTTAATTTCTTATTTAATCCAAAGGTTATTAAAAAGAGTAGTTTTATAAATATCTAGGTGGACAATTTTCCCCCTAGCTTTTCAATGTTAATTTTTAGTTTTGTTGCATTTTGGGCAGATAATATAACCTGTATCCTTTTATTTCCTTTTGGAAATTATTGAGATGTAGTTTGAGGTCTAATATTTATCATTTGTTTTAGACAAAGGTTCATATATATATATTTGTTATATTAAATGTCTCATTTTTGATGCAGCACAGTATTCTAAAAATATGTATGTTCCAGAATTTATTTACTCATTCCTCTAATGATGGATATTTAGTTTGTTTGCTTTTTTATTTTTTGCCAGCATAGAAAACATTGCTATAAACATTCCTGTACATATATCTTTGGTAAGATAGATTCCTAGAAAGAACACACACAGATCCACACACATTTGGAATAATTCTATACATTCACTGATTTAATTTTGTACACAATAAATGGTAATAATGAAATAATTTATCCTTAATTTGCTTATGTCACTACTATTTGGAATTTTGGTTTGTCAGTTCAAATTGACCATGTGTGAAATAATGTATCATAAAATGCTTTTCTTTGTCTTCCAACCATCCTCTTTCCCCCAGCCCAATTTCAGTTAGTTTATTCTAGGATTTTATATGCAGGTGGTGGTCAATGGCTTGTAGATTTTTAAAAAATATGTATTCTCTTTCAATATTTTTTTTAACATTTTCAATGATTTGTGACCATATTAACAGCACTTATTTTAATTTATTATTTAACTTGTCTCTTTATACCACCAGTTCTTTTACTATACATTCTCCATTCCTAGTTGTCATTTTAATTCATCTCTTGGTTGGCTACATTCTTTAACTTTTTTCAGGAAGTCTGTGCCCTTGCATATATCTTTATGTTGCTTTTGCATATGAATGACATCTCTGTTGATATTTAATTATTTTTTATTACCTTAAGAAATTTTGTTGCCATGCCCTGCCCGTATCTCAATTCCTTTTTTATTTGAGGAAGTAATTATTCTTTGTCATGTTTAATTTTGTTTTTAATTTGCAGGTCGAATTTACAAGCACTCTCAGCAACCTTTGATTACCTATGAAAAATATGATGTGACAGACTCTCCAAAGAACATAGGAGGATCCCATTCTGTACTCCTTCTGAAGGTTCATGGTAGGTTACATGTGTAACTACTTTGTGGAATCAACTTACCTGCTGACTCAGTGCTGGCTGGATTAGGAATGGCTGTGGGTATAATGTAGCTAATTTTTATAAAGCATTTTTTTTTTTTTTTTTTTTGAGATGGAGTCTCGCTCTGTCACCAGGCTGGAGTGCAGTGGCACGATCTCAGCTCACTGCAAGCTCCACCTCCCGGGTTCACACCATTCTCCTGCCTCAGACTCCCGAGTAGCTGGGATTACAGGAGCCTGCCACTGCACCCAGCTAATTTGTGTACTTTTAGTAGAGACAGGGTTTCACCATGTTGGCCAGGATGGTCTCGATTTCCTGACCTCGTGATCTGCCCGCCTAGGCCTCCAAAGTGCTGGGATTACAGGCATGAGTCACCGTGCCTAGCCTATAAATCTTTTATGTTTAAACACTAACACTTGCAGGCAGCATCATCTTTTTTTTTTTTGACACAGCTGTTGGTAAGCATCATCTATCTTAATGTTTGCTAATTTTCATTAAAAATGGAGACTAGGGCTAATTCAGTGGTTTTAACCTTGGCTACACACTAAAATCACCAGTGGAGCTTTTAAGACATCTATAATTTTGAAAAACTATCCTAGTTGTTTCTAACTGCAGCCAGGGTCAAGTGTTACTGGGTTAATTTAACTTTTATGAGACCTTAATTTTTACCATTTATTAAAATAAATGCTAATAAAAGAGTGGCCTGTGATTTTGATTAATTATAACAATAGTTTGGTTTCAAAGGTACAATTTTATTGTTGCATTGATCAATGTACAAGTATTTGAGAGCATACAAAGTATGTAGTGCTGTACTTAGGCATCATATATAATACCTAAATGAGGAATAGAATGAAGTTCAAGAACAGTAGCCTAAAAACAAGGCTCTAGGCCGTACGCGGTGGCTCATGCCTGTAATCCCAGCACTGTGGGAGGGTCTGGTGGGCGGATCACTTGAGGTCAGGAGTTTGAGACCAGCCTGGCCAACATGGCGAAACCCTGTCTCTACTAAAAATGCAGAAATTAGCCAGCCATGGTGGTGTACGCCTGTAGTCCCAGCTACTTGGGAGGCTGAGGCAGGAGAATTTCTTGAACCCAGAAGGTGGAGGTTGCAGAGAGCTGAGATCGCACCACTGCACTCCAGCCTGGGCAACAGACTGAGACTCCATCCCCCAAAAAACAAAAAACAAAACACCCAAGACTCTTAATATACTCTGGTTCTACAGATGAAAGTTGATTTCATTTGAAAACTAGCCTGGCTTATAGTTAAAAAGATGGGATTTAAAAGTATGGGAGTAGTGTAGGGTATACTAAACTACTGTAAACTCTTAGTGTTTTGGGGGAAACTTTCCTTATTTGGGATATTCCCTTTATATTTTCCAGAGTTATCCATTATAGTAAAGTTTTCGATAAATGCCATCACAGTTAAGCTTGAAAGTAACTTTATTGTTGTTGATTTACTTCTACTCATGTTGTAGCTCCAGTTTGGTAGTAATTGGATTCAGAAATAATGTGCCTAATTGTTTTTCACTGCCTTTTGGAGTGAGATGTGAGAAGATTTTGAAATAACTACACACAGGCAGTTATTAGTACAGTGGTTAAGAGCACAGTTGCTGAAACCAGATAGGGTTTGTATTCCAACTTTGTAACCTCAGAAGAGCTACTTAATTCTCTATGGCTTTGTTTCTCCATTCAGCAAAACTGGAATAATAGTTTTGCTATTCATAATCATAGGATTGTTGTAAAGATCAACTAAATTAGTATATGTAAAGCATTTAGAATGCCTGGCACGTAATAGGAGCTGTAGAAGTGTTTGCTGTTCGAAAGAGTAATGGTAGTAAAACTATAATGTATAGCATCTTTTTAGGTTGTACTTATGTCAGCTGAATGTATTTTGCTGGCTGTTTATATTTTCTGAGCATTTGGCTTGGTCATTTAAGCGATGGCTTGATTCGTTTGTGATTGTCTACTATTGCATTTATCTCACTTGTAGGTGCCTTAATGTTTGTGGCATGGATGACTACTGTTAGCATAGGTGTACTGGTTGCCCGGTTCTTCAAGCCAGTTTGGTCAAAAGCTTTCTTGCTTGGTGAAGCAGCTTGGTTTCAGGTAGGTGAGGGAAAAAAGTTCAATGCAATATTCATAGTATTTGAACATTGCAACATGAAAACATATGAAGTATGTGTGTATGTGTATGCGTTTTGTGGTTGCAGTTGTAGGTTTGGGATCCTCCTTTTTCCCTTTGATTTCCTGATCAATTGAGAGTGGACACAATGTGCTTGATAGAGATAAGAATACAGACAGTTTTAGGAAGAGTCAGGCTGGACTGGAGAATGTGTCAGGACCATGTGAGTCCCTTTGTAATATAGACTTTGGGACCCAAATGACCTTTACTTATACCTCTGTTTGTAGAGGGAGATGTGGGAAGAGCATTCACCCACTGCACTGTACTGAGTAAAGTCAGGCCAAGGAATGCAGAGGAGCTGAAGAAAGAAATAGTGGGGGCTTACTGTGTTTCAAAGCAAGGGTCACTCCTCTGGTTGTGGGCCATTGAATGTTAGATTAACTCATCAATTGGGATCATCTATCTCCTGTATGGGTGGAAAGAGAAACTGAACGTGTTATTTTTCATGCTCTTCCTTCCCTTGAGATGGGGAGGTAGTCTACTAAAAGGAATATAGCAAGAGCCAATGAGTATCCTTCAAAACAAAGCAAAACAAACCTTATCTTTCATGGGTCATGGAGTATAGATATTTACATATGTAGTGGAAAATCACTGAGTTCATGTTGACTTAGAATGTACATGCCTGTAGAAAAAAATACTGCTTGTTCGAACAGTTTTGACTTTGTAAGAGGGTATCCTTGACATTTAATATTCATATAAATTTGTAGATCATAAGGTTTACCTTATCGAGCCTCATTTCTCACTATTGCCTGGGAAGGCCAGTCTGATTTGTTCTCGGTACTGCTACCTGGCTCACCTTGCTCCTTTCTTTCTCTGCCTGTGGTTTGCTGCCAGGTGACTACTTTCTTGCTTGCACTTGCGTGCCTTTGCTCTTGTGCTCTCTCTCTCTCATCTGCTCATGTGGATATTCCCAGCTCAAAGACTGTGTGTATTCTCTTTATCAACTCAAATCCTCCACTGCCTTTAAATTTATGATGCTGATGATGTGTGTACATACATGTCATAGTTTTATCTCTGTCTCTATCTCCATCCATCCATCCATCCACCCATCTATCCATCCAGCCATCCATCCATACACACACACATACACAGGGTGCTTCCTACTTTCCCCAAGATAGTTTTGGTCTGCACCAGTTATCCTGGCATAATCAATAAACAGTGGCTATTTTCACACTTATTCTCCTAATTTGTATCATGAATTATATAGTTCACATATTTTTCTTGTATTGACTCAATTATATCTGAAGCTCCTCAGGAGACAGTATTTTTTGTTTGTTTGTTTCCTTACTATCTCATTGCACCTGTCATAGCACTGTGCTCGATGGTGGAGCTTAATAAATATCTTTGGAAGGAAATGAAGGACTTGGCAAGTAAATATGCTCTGTGTGTGAAATATCCATTCCTGCTGCTCTGTGCAAGTGAAGTCTTGGCAAACACTTTTGAATGATGAGAATGGCAGCTTAAGGTTTTCTTTAAAGTTTAATTGTATACTAAGTTTTTTTTTTTTTTCTTAACCTGGCTACAAACTGTGATTAGATGTCAGTTGAATGCATGCCTTCAGTGAATCTTACCCCATAGTCTTTTCCCCATTTTCCCCGTTGCAACACCACCTTTCTTTTACATGGATAAGTGTCTTCTTAATTTGTCATTTTACCTTGCAGGTGCATCGGATGCTCATGTTCACCACAACTGTCCTCACCTGCATTGCTTTTGTTATGCCGTTTATATACAGGGGAGGCTGGAGTAGGGTAAGTATATCTTAAATAGGGTTTTTTTTATAAATCCATTTTATGTCAAAACAGATTGCTGTTTTATTTTCAAATGATGGGTAAAAAGATATTTCAGCATTGATCCCTCTTTCTTTCCCTTTTGAATCATTGGATGGCTCTCTCACATGGTTGGAGGTTGGGGTATAGTGAGGATGTCAGTACAGATTACTTAGCAATGAAATGTATTTTTAGGGTGCATCATGAGTTATATACATGCTATAGCCTTAGTGAATTTTTTCTCACTATAGAGTGGTGACAATTCAATGTGTGATATCTAAGGAACATGAACAATGTGAGTGGTTTTCTCTAACTAGTACTGTGATGACCACTAAGCTAACATAATTTGGATTTCTACTCAGTACCCAGCGGTGCTAAGTGCTTTATATGTGTTATCTAATTTAAATCTCAGGCTGGGTGTGGTGGTTCACACTTGTCATCCCAGCACTTTGGGAGGCTGAGGCGGGAGGATTGCTTGAGCTCAGGAATTCGAAACCAGCCTAGGCAACATAGTGAGGCCTCATCTCTATATATTTTTATTAAAAAATCTTTTAAATCTCAAATATAGTAGGTATTAATAATAATCCCATGTCACAAATGAAGAAACTGATGCTTATTCCCAAATCTTTATCTCCAGTCCAGACTTCTCCCGTGGCTTGAAACTCACACATCTAGCTCACATTGCATGCAGGACCTTGACTTGCATGTCTAAGACATTAGACTTAACATGTCCAAAATGGGACTCCTGATCATCTTTTCTCCCAGGCCTGTTCTACCCACTGCCACCTCCATGGTAGCTACTGGGATTCCATTGTTAGATCAAAGCCTTGGAATTATCATTAACTGTGCTCTCTTGCACATCCCATGTCAAATCCACTGGGAAGTTCCACTGGCTCTACCTGTAAAGTATATCCACAGTCCAACACTTGTCACTGTCATCAGATACTACTGTAGGAGTGTGAGCCTCCATCATCTTTTGGTTGGCCATTGCAGTAGCCACTTAACTGGTCTCTCCACTTCAACCCTTGCCCGTGCACAATCTATTTTCTACAAAGAAGACAGTTATTTTTTTTTAAATGTAAACCAGGCCGGGCATGGTGGCTCACACCTGTAATCCCAGCACTTTGGGAGGCCAAGGCAGGCAGATCACGAGGTCAGGAGTTCGAGACCAGCCTGACTGATATTGTGAAACCCCATCTCTACCAAAAACACTAAAATTAGCCAGGCGTGGTGGCGCACGCCTGTCATCCCAGCTACTCAGGAGGCTGAGGAAGGAGAATCACTTGAACCTGGGAGGCGGAGGTTGCAGTGAGCTGAGATCGCACCACTGCACTCCAGCTTGGGTGACAGAATGAGACTCCACCTCAAAAAAAAAAAAAAAAGTAAACCAGACCATGCCATTCTTGTACCTCAAACTAGTTTCTCTAATGTCTCTCAATTTTATTAAGAGTAAAAGTCAAAGTTCTTCCAGGGACCTTCATGACTGCCTCCCAGTTATTCTCTGAACTGACCTCCTCGTCCTCTCCTTCTAGTCCATCTCCTTCCATACCAGCCTCCTGGTTGGTATGCAGACATGCCAGGCATGCTCCTGCTTTATAGTCTTTGCCATGATTCTTCTTTCTGCCTGGCACACGCTTCCATTACTCCCTCACCTTCCTCAAGTTTTTGCTCAAATAGAAGCCTCTCAGAGAGCCCAGCCCTGCTCTATTTTTTCCCATAGCACTCTTTATGCCATTTCATATAATTTACTTACTTGTCATATTTTTTCTTGATCTCCCTTCCAACACTACTATGTCAGCTCAGTCAGAGCTGGGATATCCACTGATATGTTCAGAACAGATTTAAGTATATAGCAGGTACTCAGTAAACATTTAGTGAATGAATGAATAACTCTTATTGAGAATAAGTGACATATGTTAAGTTCAGAGCCTGTGCTTTTATTATGCTTTTCCAGTTTTATAGCCAATGAGAATTTGATATCAAAATTTCACATTTCAGAGCTTGGGCTGGTGCTACAGGGATAAGATTGATGAATCCTGGGTCACAGATATTACTAGGAAAGCTCCCTCCTGCCTTTTAGGTAGTTTATGGGTCAGTCAACCTATCTTTTTAAGGAAGTTATGAAGATTTTGTGATATGAATTGAGACATGAGAACTTTATTTTATTCAGACATTTTGGACAAAGGTAACACTTATTTTGTAATTGTCTAGTTTATAGCCTTTGCAATTTATGAATACGATAGAACAAAGGTTAAGAGCGCCATTCTAAAGCTGGATTCCTTGGATTCAAATCCTGGCACCATGACTTATTACCTGGGGCACCTTGAGCAAGTTATTTAACTATGACCCTCAGTTTACTCACCTGTAAAATGGGGGTGGTATAGTATCTATCTTATAGGCTTTCTGTGAGCATTGTGGTTAAAATAACTGAAAGTACTTAGGACAGTTCCTAGCACATTCTAAACACATGCAAGAATCTTGTTGCTGCTGCTGTTTTATTTTTTATTAGATAGAACCCTTTATATCTCTAAAGTCATGGTTATAATTTTACCCATGCATAACTGAGTCCCAGCTGGGCTGCAGATGGCTGTTCTGATGTTGGTGGCCATCTATTAGGTTGGTGCAAAAGTAATTGTGGATTAAAATACTTGAAAAAAAACTGCAAAAACTGCAACTACTTTTGTACTAACCTACAACATCCTGATGGGGAAAGGTAGCATTCTGTACATGGATTCCACCACAACCATGTACATACTCTGTGACCTTGGACATAGTTCTTGATATCTCTGAGCCTCAGTTTCCCCATTTGTAAAATTGGGATATTGATAACCAGTTGTCAAACATTGTAGTTGTCAAAAATTAGTGTGTGTAAAGTGTATGCCTGGTACAACGTGTATACTCAGTGAATGTTGCATATTATTATTATCATCATTATTGAATCTTTAAAGCCATGGAAAAATACTAAGAATACATCTGTGTGTATTATTTTTAACTTGAGGATTTAAATTGATGAGAGAGATTGAGGCCATTAAAATGATGTAACTTTGTTTAGCATGCAGGTTACCACCCATACCTCGGCTGTATAGTGATGACTTTGGCAGTTCTTCAGCCTCTTCTGGCAGTCTTCAGGCCACCTTTACATGACCCAAGGTACTTAGAGCCTTTCTATATAAATGCTCTCTTAATGTAGATATCATTAGTTGGCAAACTAATCTGTTTTCAAATGGAAAAATTTTGCATTTTATAAAATTCAGTGATAAATTATAGTTACTTTGAAATACTTTAAAATGCATTTCAGATATCTAATTCCCAGACAATAAGGAAATTACATGCTTTTTATTCTAGTGGGAATTAATTATAGTTCCATTGCTTTTAAGAATACTGACTGGTTCTTATTTTGGTAGAAGGCAAATGTTTAACTGGACTCATTGGAGTATGGGAACAGCTGCTAGAATAATAGCAGGTAAGAGATTGTGATGCCACTTATTCATATATAATTGCTAGCTGCTTATATTACAAGTTGTAATTTGGCTTAAATGATTTTTAGATGCATTAGTAATTGGAGTAATTGGTTGTTGAGAAGAAATCAGCCTTAAACGTTGAAATCCAGAAAGTAATTTCTAGAGGTAATGATTTAAGTCATTATTTCAGTTTTAAGTTTAAGGTCTTTACAATAACTTTAAAACTCTCATTTAAAGACTTATTTTAGTATTTGCCTTTGCCAGCAGAATAAGCTATGCTGATGGCCAAACATTTGAGTAGCTCAAATTGAGGGTCATTTGTGAATTGGGTTGAGGTGGGTTGCTGGGTTCAAGCTTTCCATCTCCAGGTCCTTTCCATGGGGCTTGTATCTTCCAGGGCAGGGTGGTTTTCAAAAGTCAGGAATACTTATGCAGCATATTTTGATACCTTGTATAATAAACACCTAAGTAGGCACCTTCTACCTTAACACTGCTATAGTCTATGGGATTCTTTGTCAGAGTGGGAGTCCAATCAACTGTGGTTTCTATACTTTTCTCCTTTCATATATTGCAGACTTAAAACAATCTGGAAAATGTGGGTGCATCTCTTTTAAGGATTGGTAGATTACGCAGCCATAAAAAAGAATGAAGTCATGTCTTTTGTAGCAACATGGATGCTGCTGGAAGTGATTATCCTACATGAATTAATGCAGAAACAGAAAATCACATACCACATGTTCTCACTTATAAATGTGAGCTAAACAATGAGTACACACGGACATAAAGATAGAAACAATAGACCCTGGGGACTCCAAAAGAGGAGAGGGCGGAATGGGGGAAAGAGTTGAAACACTACCCTTTGGGTACTATGTTCACCACTTGGGTGATGGGTTCACTAGAAGGCCAAACTCCAGCATTATTACGCAATATGCCCTAAACCGCCCCCCACAATTGGTAATTCATAATCAGTTGCCCATCTTGCCCTATCTAGCCTTATAATTTTAAAAGTCTGAATTAACTATTTGGTCTTAGATATTAATCTTCTTTTATCTCAAACTCTTTTAGTATGTTTTACTTGATAATACACATACACAAACACACAATTGTCTCTCTTGGTGGGACTACATTTGAATGTAACTTTTTTCTTTTGTATGTAGTGGCAGCGATGTTCCTGGGAATGGATTTACCAGGACTGAATCTTCCTGATTCATGGAAAACCTATGCAATGACCGGATTCGTAGCCTGGCATGTTGGGACTGAGGTTGTTCTGGAGGTACATGCTTATCGGCTCTCTCGCAAAGGTAACCTGGTAAAAAAGCCATGTTATGTAGAAGCACTTCTATACAAACCATTGGAAAAGAATGCGCTTCCCGATAGTAATGGCTGACTGCTACATTGTTAGCTCACTAAAAACTTGTGATCACTCAGCCAGTGCTAGAAATTGTGATTTTCTGCCTTTGTTTTTTTACATTTGTTACTATTAGAAGTTGTGAATAAGATATAAAGGAAAGGTTTTAGGTTTTAGGCAGGGAGTCTTCCTTGTAAGTACTTTCACTTTGCTGGTCTGACTTAGAGCCAGTATGGACTGGGAACTCTGAATGCCTAGAGCTGAGGAAACCCTGAGATGGAGGAAGAAGAGACTCAAAGTCAACACTGGATGGAGGTGCAGACAACTTTGACCTATTTGACAAATTTACTGGGTGCTATCATTTAGGTTGTCATGTGCATAATTATGTAGCTAGGAGCAAGCCAGATAGGAAGGACTGATTTTGCTTTTGCTCTTTAGTGACAAGGTTTGTTTTGGTGCCAGGCAGGGTCAGGATACCTATAGCCACCATTAGGAGTGGAGAAATTAGTAGGGAATGGGTATCATTTAGCCTGGATTCTAGGCTAAATGTCCTTTGTGTCCTGCCTGGTTTTCATCCACCAAAATAAGTGAAGGTGGCCTTCTAAAAACAAAAATTCTTTGTTGTCTAGTGTATATGTTGTAAACTTAGGAGAGCCTGGGGTGGCTTCAGGAGCTGAGTAGTACATATCTGTCCTGCTACTTTTGATCCTTGATAGGCTTATATATGTGGGGCTTTTGATGACCACTGAATTATGGCTTACTGTTTTTTTGTTTGTTTGTTTGTTTGTTTTGAGACAGAGTCTCACTCTGTCATTTAGGCTGGAGTGCAGTGGTGTGATCATAGCTCACTGCAGCCTTGAACTCCAGAGCTTAAGCCATCCACCTGATTCAGATTCCCATCTAGCTGGGATCACAGGGACGTGCTATCATACCCAGCTAAGTTTTTAAATTTTTTTAGAGACAGGGTCTCACTTTGTTGCCCAGGCTGATCTCAAACTCCTGGGCTCAAGTGATCTACCCGCCTCTTCCTTCCAAAGTGCTGGGATTGCAGGTGTGAGCCACCATGCTTGGCTGATGGCTTACTGTCTAAAATACATATATACTTAAAACCTGGATAGTTATCATATGTTAATTAGTTTGATTTAGCTATTTTATAATGTATGCATATATCAAAACATCATGTCATACACCATGAATATATACAATATTTTGTCAATCAAAAATAAAACCAAAGAGCTTAGATCGTTATGACTTTGAGGTGGTGTTTAATGACTAGAAGAAGGCATATTTTAAGTTATTTAACAAATGTGTGCTCTTGCCAGATTGTCCACATTTGTGAGAGGCTTAATTGTTCAGGAAGTCTGCAATAATTAGTAGTTTGGAGTGGGAGAATTTCTACCCTGGAAATTGGGGTGAACAGTACAAATCAGGTTTTTTTAAAAAATTTAATTTACCTGCATAACGCTGCCCTTAAAAACTTATGTTATTATTCTTGACAGTTGAAATATTGGATGATGACAGAATTCAGATCCTTCAGTCATTTACTGCAGTGGAAACAGAGGTAAGTCCTTTTCTTGTTCATTGACACAAACCTTAATGGTAATACTTTTTTTTTTCATATCTCAATTTTTCTTTCAGGGTCATGCTTTTAAAAAGGCAGTGTTGGCAATTTATGTCTGTGGGAATGTTACTTTTCTCATCATATTTTTATCTGCAATCAACCATCTATGAGCAAGCAAAGACCTTGGCTTTTGCAGGCCAAGTGATAATTATCATCAAACCAAAGAAACTTGAAGCCTGTCCTGACTGCCTGGAGCATATTTGTGAATTCTCACTTGGAAGACTGGGGTCATGTCTGTAGAGGAATTCTGAAGTCCAGCCTTTAGAGAACAACATTCAAGAGGGTCATATAGACTATAAATTAATGTCATGCCCTATATGTAATTCTGGGTCTTAAAGGAAAGATTGTACTTCAGGAGAAGTAACTCTCAAATATTTCATGCCAAGATTTTAAGAATGTTGGTATTTAAGAAAATAAATAGTGATTTGGAAAATCACAACAGATGTCACTAGGATAATAAAGAGATATATTACGATATATATATATATATATATATATATATATATATATATTTTTTTTTTTTTTTTTTTTTTTTTTTTTGAGACAGAGTCTTGCTCTGTCGCCCAGGCTGGAGTGCAGTGGTGCAATCTCGGCTCACTGCAAGCTCTGCCTCCTGGGTTCACACCATTCTCCTGCCTCAGCCTCCTGAGTAGCTGGGACTACAGGTGCCCGCCACCATGCCGGGCTAATTTTTTTTATATTTTTAGTAGAGACAGGGTTTCACCATTCACAGGATGGTCTCGATCTCCTGACCTTGTGATCTGCCTGCCTCAGCTTCCCAAAGTGCTGGGATTACAGGCGTGAGCCACCACGCCCAGCCTATGGTAAATATATTTTGAACTACAAAGGTGCTGTGGTACTTTAAAGAAAAACTATTTTTACTAGTTTATCTGAATGGTCTGTGGACTTTATTTAGAAACTGTTTTTCAGTTTAGTTTTTTGGACATATCCTTTGCTCAGTGTATTTTGTTACTTCTCTAGTAAAGGTAGAAGTGAAGCAGATGCCATTGTAGGTTTTACCAGCATTTAAATATATTATGAATTGCTTAGCAATGAAATGCAAGTATGCATCTTTTACTTAAAGATACTATTTATGTATTCAGCTACAGAGATGAAATAGCATTTTATGTGTTAATTGTTTTGGCTATAAAATTTAAGTCCTTACAGCATTTGGGGATTATACACTTGGATTTCAAAATTGATAAAACCCTTGTGAACATATCTAATAGATATTCTGTTTACTTGTAGAAATAATATAATGTGTCTGGTTCTGTTTTGTTAGACATTTTTTATGTTCTACTGAATCAGAATAGTCAGTGTTATATTCCTTATTTCAAGAATTCATCTATTTTATGGCTACATCTCATATGTGCTATGAGGACTTCTAGCCAGTGGGTGGCGCTGTAATACCGAAGTACTGCACTGCTTTGTTCCTGTTTCCTTGTGCTGATTCCTTTCTAGTATTTAGGTAACATTACCGGATGGCATTTCCCTTAAATTCCACCAACTCTTAATCTTTATTTTAAAAATGGCTACTTTTTTTGGGTGGTTGGGGTAAGGGTTAAAACCTTAAATTAGTAACCGCTGTTTATTTTCCAGTTTATTTGTTTTCTGTGATTATTTATAATAATTGATATTTGTTTTTACAAGTCCCCTGACCCTGTAATAATGAATGCAGCTATCTTAGGCAAAGCAAATAAATAAACTGGGCATTTTTAAAATAAAAAATTTAGGAAGTCATACTTTATTTCTTTAGGTATTCTTTCTGATTATGTTATAGTTTCTGCTTGGCCCGAGAACCTAATTTCTATATGGTGTGAATAATAGCCTCAGCTATGTAGCCTACATCTTTATTTTATTAATATTTTTCAAAAATTTTCTCATTATTTCTTTTTTATATTTTTATTTTTTGAATTTACTTAACCAACTTTCTACTAATAGCCTACATCTTTTACTGGGTAAAATAATGTGGAAGTTTAGTTTTTGTTCCTTTTATAGGTGTTTATCATAAGTGGCTTAGGGCTTAGATATGAACTTTCTGTGTTCATATTCTATATGTGCCATGCTACTTATAATCTAAATTTTCCTTTTGAAGGTCTTTATTAAAAAAATTTAGTATAGCAAATTAAGTGTGTACTAAAGTTATTTTCCTCCAGTTTTCTATACTAAGGAGCTTAAATGTTAATAAATTTCTCTTAAGTTATATTCTACATCTGACAAAGAAAAATTCTCTCTTTTTTTTTTTTGTGACAAAGTCTCACTCTGTTGTCTAGGCTGGAGTGCAGTGGTGCAATGTTGGCTCACTGCAGCCTCCACCTCCTGGGTTCAAGCGAGTCTTGTCTCAGTCTCCTGAATAGCTGGGACTACAGGTGTGCACCACCAGTCTCGGCTAATTTTTATATTTTTAGTAGAGACGGGGGTTTCACATTTTGGCCAGGCTGGTCCCAAACTCCTGGTCTAAAGTAATCCACCCGCCTCAGCCTCCCAAAGTGCTGGGATTACAGGCACGAGCCACTGTGCCCAGCTGAAAATTCTTTTAAGGGAAAGATGAGTCTTGATGTGTTTGGTCTTCAAATATGTGGGCTTGCTATATTTCGAGTGTTGAGGCTAAGATATTTTAACTTTTTCTTTTTCAGTGCTTCATATGTTGGCACTATTTTGGTCTTTGCCAACTTACATACAGAGTTCCCCGAATAAGCCTTTGCATTTAATCTTTTTTTTTTTTTTTTGAGACAGGGTCTTACTCTGTTGCCCAGGCTGGAGTGCAGTGGTGCGATCTTAGCCCACTGCAGCCTTGACCTCTTGGGCTTTAGTGATCCTCCCACTGCAGCCTCCAGAGTAGCTGGAACTACAGGCACCAACTCCGTGCACCACCACAGCCAGCTAATTAAAAAAAAATTTTTTTTTTTTTTTGGTAGAGAAGGGATCTCCCTTTGTTGCCCAGGCTGATCTCGAACTCCTGGGCTCAAGCAATCCCCTTGCCTCAGACTCCCAAAGTGTTGGGATTATAGGCATGAGCCATTGCACCTGGCCCCAAATAGACCAAATCTTTTGATTAGAACCAAATTATTCTTCTTCTGCTTATGGGTGGTTGGTATCCACAAATTGCAAATGCCTAGTCTTCACTCCTCTCAGTTTTTCTTTTTGTTTCTGTAATAAACACTCTGGGAAGTTTTTCAAAAGTTATTTCTTTTGATAGTAATTATTGTTAAATTAAATGCTTTTATATCTTTAGCAATGTTGCCAAAAACAATGAGCAAAATCATGTTTTCTTCTAAAGAAGTGATGCAATATGAAATAAAGATGTGTGTGCTTTTCAGAAAGAAATGAAAGAAATTCTAGAAAATTGTGGTTGGGCTGGCATTAATAGCTGAGGCAATAAAAAAATTCTCTGGTCTGCAGAAATCAATCTTAAGGGCAAAGGTAGTCTATAGTATGGGTTATCAAGTAAATGAATCAAATTCACTTTAGTACTTTATTTTTGTCAAGGATTTTGTCTCTAATGTGTGTTAAGCAATACCTCATCCCTTCCACATCCTGCACCAGTCCAGGCTGCAGTGGGAAAAGACAAATGCAGCAGATGCCAACTAGGAAGCTCTCAGGGCACATGTAGTGTTTGGCTGAAATTCTATTTATCTGTATATTCTCATGAGGCAGGGAAAAAAAGAACAAAGGTCCTTGTTTAAGATAATCCATTATAGGTTGGAATGAAAGGAAAGATTCTTCTAAGAGTCCTTTTTAAATCAGATTAGGATATTCACAGTTCCTATCCACATCCTGCTTCTTTCTTCCTTGTGCAGCCCCTACCAAGCTCATCTCTGCACCCAGGTCACAGATGGTTACCAGCCTGGAATGCCCTTCTCAGTGAAACGGGAAATGTTCCCTTGTCCCCCTTGCAGGGTGTGGAATGGGGATGTGGCTGGCTTCTTCAGTGCCCCACTGCTCAAATCTAGGGGAGCATACAGATGGGCAGGCTGTGGGGCTCCGACCCCACAGCAATGTCTAGGGGTGAATGTTTGCAGCTGAAGCCCCAGTGGGCATGTGTTACCACGTGCTCTTTTAGTTTAGCTGTCCATAGTTAGCTTGTGTTAGCTCAATTAGACCCCTGCCTTATTGCAAGGACAGAGGGCTTTCTGTATCCCTGGGTTCTTGCCTTGGTGTACCAGGAGAATCGGATCACACCTGGGCTTGAAGAACGAGTGCAAGGTTTTACTGAGTAGAAGTAGCTCTCAGCAGATGGGGGAGCCAGAAGGGAGATGGTTTTCCCCTGGAGTTGGGCCGCTAGACTGCCTGGGCTCTCCTCTGATTGCCCCGGCCAAACTCCGCCAACTGTTCCTCCTTCCGCCAGTCGTGGCCTGTCGGCATGCTGGGATCTGTCGTGTGCTCTTCCTCTGGCGTGCTCCCATCCACATCCTCTCGCTGTCCAGCTGCTTGTGTCTTCTGCGATGTGTTCCTCTCCACGTCCAGCTGCTTGTGTGTCTGCCTGCTAGAATCTTGGAGGTTTTTATAGGCACAGGATGGGGGCGTGGTGAGCCAGGGTGGTCTTAGGAAATGCAACATTTGGGCGCTGAAGGCAGGGGTGCCTGTCCTCACTTAGACCCGTGGGCACGGGTTTGGGGGTGGAGCCCTCGCCAGGGACCACGCCCTCCTCTACCCAGCACTTCCTTTCCCTCCTTTCCTGTTATTTAAAGGGACCACGCCCTTCCCAGCACTTCCCTCCCGTTATCACTTACAAAAGCTAGTTTATCAAGTTCTAGCTCCTTCCCTGACTTGCTGTCCAACATTGGTATCTTTTTGTTTTGACCATCCTTATAAATGGGATGGGAGGCAGCTGATCCTGTAAATTAAAAAGGACTGGAAATTAGAAGACCTGAATGTGCATGTTTGCTTGTTGGTTTACAAGCTGCATGTCCTTGGGTAAGTCACTTATCTTCCCTGGGCTCTATTCTTTCATCTGTAAAGCCCATCTCACAGAGCAGCTGTGAGGATCCAATGAAGTGATGCCAGCAAAAGGTGCTTGCTTCGTACATGTTTTTGATGATGTCTTTGCCATTTGATTGCAGTGTTAAACTTAATAAATTTTGCATGTAAAATGTATACTTTTTATAAAAAATATTTGATATTCATCTTGAAAACATTATGCTGAATAAAATAAAGCAGACGCAGGACGACTATTGTATTAATATGATTTCACTTATATGAGGTACCTAAACTAGTCAGATTTACAGAGACAGAAAGTACAATGGCGAGTACCAGGAGCTGGTGGGAGAAAGGAAATGGGAAGTTAGCGTTTTTTTTTTTTTTTTTTTTTCCTTTTTTGAGATGGAGTCTCGCTCTGTCGCCCAGGCTGGAGTGCAGTGGCATGACTGGATTCTAGGCTAAGTGGAGCTGCAGACAACTTTGACCCGTTTGACAAACTTACTGTGGGCTCAGCTCACTGCAACTTCTGCCTCCCGGGTTCGAGTGATCCTCCTGCCTCTTCCTCCTGAGTAGCTGGGATTACAGGCATGTGCCACCACTCCTGGCTAAATTTTGTATTTTTAGTGAAGACGGGCTTTCACCATGTTGGCCAGGCTGGCCTCGAACTCCTGACCTCAAGCAATCCGCCTGCCTCAGCCTCCCAAAGTGCTGGATTACAGGCGTGAACCACCACACCTGGCCAAGGTTAGGGTTTAATGGGCACAAAGTTTGTTAAGGAAGATAAAAAGTTTCAGAGATGGATAGTAGTGATGGTTGTACAACACTGTGGATATGCGTAATGTACTGAACTGTACTTTAATAGCATTTATCATTATTATGTATTTTTTGCCACAATAAAAAAAGTGGAAAAAAGCTAATGTTCATAGCAGTGCTATTCACAGTAACCAAATGATGGAAACAGCCCACATATCCATCAACTGATGAACAGATAAATTGTGGTATATAAATACAATGGAATATTATTCAGCTATAAAAAGGAATAGAGTGCTGATACATGCTATAATGTGGATGAACCTCCAAACATTGTGTTAAGTAAAAGAAGTCAGACACAAAATTTACATTTTATGATTACATTTATATAAAATATCCAGAATAGGTAAGTCAATAGAGAGAAGAGAGATTGATGGTTACCAGGCACTGGGTGTGGGGCAAGAAGGGAATAGAAAGTAATTGCTTAATTAGTATAAGGTTTTATTTTGGGGTGAAATGTCTTGGGACTAAATAGAGGTGGTAGTTGACAAATTGTGAATATAAGAAATGTCACTGAGCGTCCACTTTAAAATAGTTTCACATTATGTGAATTTCATCTCAGTAAAAAGATTATCTTGTTACTGCTCTTGGATTATCACTTTGGGTAGAAAAAAACTGGGGGTATTGCTGGCCATAAATTTGGTATCCATCTAATTTATTATTTTGTTGTCAAAGAAGTTAATGTAATTGTATATTATGCCTGGTCATATACCTCTGTTTTAGGGGAGAGGAAGTTCCTAGAGCATGTGCTAAAGAGTATATCTTTTTCATGTGATATCTTATTCACATGTAAAAGAAATTGTACTGTGCTCTGGGTTTTCTATGAAGACCTAAACACACTTTTGGATTTTTCAATTAGACATTGATGTATGATAGTCAAACTCTTGGGATAAGAATTTCCTGAAATCACACATTCTAAATATCTGACTTGCATGGCATGTAATGTCTGAGTAAGAGCCTACCAAATCAACCCTTCTCCACAAAACCAGTGTAAACTTCAGAAAGCAGCTGCCTGAAGGCCTCAGAGAGTGAACACAGGGCTAAATCTTTGTGACCTTGGGTTAAGCATTGATTTCTTAGATATAATACAAAAAGTACAGGGATAAAGGAAAAAAAAGATTATATTGGACTATGCTATAAATAAATACTTAAGTGCTTCAAATGACAGCATCAAGAATATGAAGACAGCCCACAGACTGGGAGAATGTATTTGTATCTGCAAATCACATAAGAAATAAGAATACGTATTTCTATAGTATCGAATATAGAAAGAATTCTAACAATTCTAGGAAGATTCCTGGAGAGAAATCCACATGCAGAGGAGGAAAACTATTTGGAGTGAGCTCTGTTTCTACATTTTAGCATCAGGGCAGTTGTAGTCAGTAGAGTGCTGGGTGGCAGAGGATCCAGTGGAAAACCTGCAGTTTCTCTAGCATAGGAAATCAGAGGACTGATGGCCGGGGCAACTGAAGCTGCTGGAGTCAGTGGGTGATCCTGAAAAGGAAAATGCTAGAGAGGGGATCCCCAATCCTGTTTGCCCACATCTCTCTCTGGTTGACCCTTGAACACGTGTGAAGCCTGATAAAAAGCATCTAAGGAAAACCTACAACTGACATCACTTAATGGTGAATGACTGAACACTTTGCCCCTATGATCAGGAACAGGACAAGTGTATGTCTGTTCTCGTCACTTTGCATCAATGTTGTATTGGAATGGCTGTAATAAAAAAAGGTAATAAGTATTGAGAAGGATGCAGAGAATTTGCATAAATATACACCACCTTTACCTCTAAGGTATGAATTATATAATAGTCATTTAAAGATTTCTATGCTGGAAGAATTAACACAGGAAGAGTATATATTTTTAGTGAGGAATATCTGCATTTTTATCAAAAAGTACAATTTTCTATATCTATACCCTTTGTGATTTTTGAATTACATACATATTACAAAGCTACAATAATCAAAATAGTGTGGTACTGGCATAAAAACAGACATATAGATCAGCGAATGGAACAGACAGCCCTGAAATAAGCCCTCTTGTCTATGGTCAAATGATCTTTGATGAGGGTGCCAGGATCACTCAGTGGGGAATGGGCAGTCTCTTCAACAAATGGTGTTGGAAAAACTGAATATCCGTATACAAAAGAATGAAGTGAGCCCTTTATGTTACATTATATACAAAAATTAATTCAAATTGATGAAAGGCCTAAGCTGAAGACCTAAAACTGTACTCCTAGAAGAAAACATGGGGAAAAAGCTCATGACATTGGATTTAGTCATACAACTTCTTGGATATGACAACAAAAGGCATAGGCAACAAAGCAAAAATAGACAAATGGGACTACATCAAACCTCAAAACTCCTATATATCAAAAGAAATAGAGTGAAAAGCAACCCACAGAATGGGAGAAAATAATTGCAAATCTTATATCTGATAAGGTGTTAATATGCAGAATATATAAGGAATTCCTGCAACCCAACAATAAAAAACCAAGTAACAAAATTTAAAAATGGGCAAAGGACTTGAATAGATATTTCTCCAAAGAAGATACACATATGGCTGACGAACGTATGAAAAGATGTTTAAAATTGTTAATAATTGAGAAATGCAAATCAAAACCACAATGAGATATCACCTCATATCCATGAAAATGGTTACTATAAAAAAACCCCAGAAAATAACAAGTGCTGGTGAGGATTTGTAGAAATTGCAACCCTTGTGCATTGTTGGTTGGAATATGTAATGGAACAACGGTTACAGAAAAGAGTATGGATGTTCCTCAAAAAAATTAAAAATAGAATTACCATATGATCCAGCAATTCCACTTCTGGATATATACCCAAAAGTATTGAAAGTGAGATCTCTATGAAATATTTGCACATCATGTTCATTGTAGCATTATTCACAATAGCCAAGAGGCAGAAGCGACTCAAATGCCCATGTATGGATGAAGAAAATGTGGTATAAACACATCGTAAAATATTATTCAGCCTTAAAAAATAAGGAAATTCTGTCACATGCAACGACAGGAGTGAACCTGGACAGCGTGAAGCTAAGTGAAATAAGCCATCACAAAAAGAAAAATACTGTATGGTTCCGCTTAGATGAGGTATTGAAAGTAGTCAAACTCATAGAAACAGAAAGTAGGATGGTGGTTGCCAGGGATGGGAAAGGAGAAATGGGGAGATGATGTTCAGTGGGTATAGAGTTTCAGTGTTGCAAGAGGAAAAAGTTCTAGGGCTCTGTTGCACAACAATGTTAATTTTCTTAGCACTACTGAATTGTACACATAAAAATGGTTAGGATGGTAAATTTTATCTTAATGTATTTGTACCACAATTAAAAATAAAAATTAAAAAATTGTATATGTAACTAAAAAACCTTCCCAGAAAGAAAACTCCAGGTCCAAATGTCTTCACTGATGAATTCCAGCAAACATTTAGGAAGAACTAATATTGAGAGTACACAAACTTTTTCGGAAAATAGAGCAGTAGGGAACATTACCCAACTAATATTATAAGGCTTGCATTACCCTGATACTAAAACCAGACAAAAGCATCACATGAAAAGGAAACTACAGACTATATTCCCCGTGACCATAAACTGAAAATCCATAATTTAAAAAAGTACTTAATGAAATATTAGCAAATTAAATTCTGCAACTTACACAAAGAGTAATACATCAAAGCCAAATGAGATTTATGCAAAGAATGCGCTGTTGGCATAACATCTGAAAAATTTGTCAATGAAATTCACCAGTTTAGACAAAAAAGGAGAAAACCCTTCTGATGATCTCAGTAAATGCAGAGAAAGCATTTGACAAAATTCAAAACACATTCATAGTAAAAACTTAGCAAACTAGGAGTGGAAGCTTCCTCAACGTAATAAATAGCATCCAGGAAAAACCTACAGCCAAAATTATATTCAATGGTGAAAGATAATACTTCCCCTCTGAAAAATCAGAACAAGGCAAAGAATGCCTGCTCTCTGCATTTATATGTAACATTGTACTGAAAGCCTTAGTGCAATAAAGCAATGAAATGAAATAAAAGTCATAAGATTAGGGAAGAAGTAAAGTTGTTTTTATTTGCAGACAACCTGATCATTAAGTAGAAAATCCTAAGGAATATATTAAAAAATGCTAAAATTAATTGAACTTATCAGAGGTGTAGGACACAAAGTCATTATAGAAAAGCATTTTTAAAATAGATGAACAGTTTTTTTAATTCATCCTCCTCCTTTACTTCCTCCTCGTCTTCTTCATCTTCCTCTTCCACTTGTTTTTGGGCAACTTTAGCAGGACCTTTTGCACCATCAAGCTTTCTAGACTTGTAGTCAGCAACATCCTTCTCATACTTCTCTTTCAGCTTTGCTGCCTTGGTGATTGATATGGTTTGGCTCTGTGACCCCAACTCAATCTCACCTGGAATTGTAATCCTGATAATCCCCACGTGTCAAGGGTGGGACCAGGTGGAGGTAATTGGATCATGGGGGCGGTTGCTGTTCTTGTGATAGTGAGTTCTCATGAGATCTGATGGTTTTACAGGTGTCTGGCATTTCCCCTTTTGGCACTCACTCCATCTTGCCACCCTGTGAAGAAGGTGCTTGTTTTTCCTTGCCTTCTGCCATGATTGTAAGTTTCCTGAGGCCTCCCCAGCAATGCGGAACTGTGAGTCAATTAAACCTCCTTCCTTTATAAATTACCCCATCTCAGGTTTTTCTTCATAGCAGCATGAGACTGGACTAATGCAGTAAGGTAAGGCTCCTTTTCACTGTCATTTAAGTTATTCCACATCTCATCCAGCTTTTTTGCCACATCTTCAATAGAGATGTCAGGCTTTGTGAATTTGATCTTGGGCAGAATTCTGAACAGAACAGGAGGAATCCAGATGGTGGTCTTTTGTGGGCATTAAGATCCTTCTTCTTGCCTCCCTTAGCTGGTATGTAATCCTTCATTTCCTGATCATAGCATAATTTATCCGCCTTTGCCATTTCATCAAATTTAGACTTCTCTTTCCCAGACATGGTCTTCCACCTCTCAGAGCACTTCTTGGAAAATTCTGCAAAATTGACAGGGACCACTGGGTTTTTCTTCTTAGGTTCTCTGCGCATCTGCACAAAGAAGGCATAAGTAGATATCTTGCCCTTTGGTTTCTTGGGGTCATGGATCAGCAAACAATATTAGAATGAAAATTCTCTCCAAATTGATCTATAAATTTAATTCCAATCAAAAGCCTAGCAGCCTCATTTGAAGGGGTTTACAGACTGATTCTAAAATTCACATGGGAAGACAAAGAACCTTAAATGGTCAAGACAATATTTAAAAAGACAAAGTAGCAATGAGCATGCCTAGTGCCCAGATTTTGTTTTCTGTATCATTCTCCAATAAAAGCAACAGAAACTCTTGGATAAGTTGCTGATTCCAGAACTGGGGTAAGAAATACATAGGATGAGACTGGGTCATCTTGTAGTGCCAGAAAGTAAGGAAAAAACAAAGCAAAATCACTTACAGGGATATGTCAAAGGGGCACAGGAGCCTACTGAATGAGCTTTCAACAGCCAAAGCTGGACCAACTTGAGCAGCAAGTTGTGTTGGATTATAACCCATGGTTTGTACCCTGGTACAAAATACATACTCAGCAATTTTCAGAACTGTCAAGGTCATCCAAATACGAGGAAAGTCTGAAAAAGAGTCACAGCCAAGCAGAGCAAAAGGAGACATGACAACTAAAAGTACCATGGTTTTCTTTTTGGGATTTTGGAACAGAAAAAGGACATTAGCTAAAGACTAAGGGAATCTGAATAAAGTTTGAGACTTTAGTTAATAATATTGTATCACTACTGGATTGTTAATTGTAACAGATGTACAATGCTAATGTAAGAAGTTAAAATAGGAAAATCTGGGTACAGGGTATGTGGTAATTTTGTGCTGTCTTCTCAATTTTTCTGTTAATCTAAAACTGTTTTTAAAGTGTATTAAAAAAACAAGATAAGATTGGAGGACCTAACCCGACTCGATTCCAATATTTATTATAAAACTACAATATTAACCAGTATAAATAAAGTGTGCAGTATTCATGAGAGATATGCAGATGAATGGAATAGAGCAGAGACTCCATATGTAGGATCTCACTTCTAGGACCAACTAATTAACAGACGGGTCCAGGTAATTCAATGTGAAAAATAATAGTGTTTCAACAAATAGAGCTGGACCAACTGAATGTCTCTGGGAAAAAAATACCCTGAACTATTATTTCACTTACCCTTCCCCAAACTTTTCCTTTACTTACTTCTACTCCACTTAACTTGAAATGCCCCATTGACCTAAAATGAGCACTAAACATACAAAACACCAAGATATGAAATGATAAGGGTATATGGTGTCTACCTTCATGTGTGACACCTCAGCCAGACTTGATGATGGGCAGGACACCTGGTTCTTTTAATTCGCTGACAAATTGAGTCCTCACATGACTGTGTTAGACAGGTGACATGTACCTCATTTTATAGATAAGGATACAGGCTCAGGTAAGTTGTTTGTTGCCCAGGGTTATACAGCTAGTGTGGCAGACACTGTTGGTGCCTGTGTCATTTCCCCATGGTCCATTTTTGCAGCACCATAGCTGCAGTGGACAGTTCCAAGTGAGTTCAGACTTACCATCCTTCTAGAGGCATGTTCCGTGCTTCTTTCTTCTTTTCACTCTGGGCACTAAGGCAACCTGTGTGACTCTCATGCAAGTGCAATCCAGAAGTGTGGGGGAATTTATGCTCCCTCATTCAATGAGGGACCTGAGCTGGTGGATAAATGCCCTAAAGTTCTCTCCTTCAGACAGACAATGTTAGCTGCTTTCTGTACACTCTTTTTGAGATTATAGTAAAATTCAGTCTCTGGTGCCTAAAGCATTGACTTCTATTACATACCATTATATTTACCATTCTTTCCTGTGCTTTTCTTCCTACTCCTGGGATCACTTCTCAAACTACTGTACCCAAGTCCTAATTTCAGGCTGTACTTCTTGTTGGAACCAAGAGTGGCTCTACAGAGCAGATGCTCTGAATGGGACTCTGGAACTGGACAGTCCACTCACTGGTCAGAGGGCAATGAGGACTGTGTGATAAGTTAATGGTAACAACCTTTGGCTGTCTGTACTATTATAGTTACTAAGAAGCTGAGACTGGGTAATCTTGTAATGCCAGAAAGTAAGGAAGTAACTAAGCAAAATCACTTATATGGATAAGTCAAAGGGGCACAGGAGCCAACTGAATGAGCTTTTAATAGCCAAACCTGGACCAATATGAGCAGCAAATTGTGTTCAGTTATAACCCATGGTTTGTACTCAGGTACAAAATACCTGCTAAGTAGGTCTCGATTGCTGGAAAGGCTGTAGTTACATAGCAGAAGGTGAACAGAAGGCAGTACCTTGTCTCTGTACTATTATAGTTACTAAGACTCTCCCTTATACTGGATTGAGATGAGGTACAGGTAAAAAGGGAAGAGGTAGGTTATAAAGTAGCTCTGCACTTGACTAGTATGGGGCAAAATATTATCATGTACTGACATGTGCTGTGAAGTTGGCTGCTTTTTGATAATTGCCTTAGAATCTTTGAAGAAAAAGAATTAGGCTCAGACCAGCCAACTATTTCGGGGCATTCCAGAAAGCCAGGCAGGCATCATGGCAATGTTTAAAGAGAACTATGTCTGCTGTAGACAGAAGGCAAACTGTGTGAAAATAAAACCCATGCTTCAATCCTAAGGGTGGCAGGGCAACAAAGGAACGTGCAGGTTTGAGAGGTCACTTATGCTAAACTTAGAGCCATGAAAGGGAAGGAGTCCCTGGACCTGGAATAGGGATATTTGTTGAAAGTAATTTACTTCAAAAATTTGAACCTCCAGGTTTCCCAGAACATTTCAGGCCACCAGAAGTAGCTCTCTCCCGCTAGAGAACAGCTGCCCCTTGCAAAACCACTCAGCTGGAATGGAGGCTTTGCAGGTTAATGCATGTCCTCCTCAGAATCATCTGCTTCTCTGACCTCTCATTACCTTCAGACCAATAATTAAGATAAAGTCTGATCATACATAGTCCCAGCAGGGAAATTCAGTTTCTGTCCTGGGAGGAAACAGACTCTCATGGAAAGACTTGGATGAGCTGGATAATATATACTGGCATGATTCAGGGGAAGGTGTGTAGGAGTGGATCTCGAGGGGGTTTGAAGGAGGGACGTAAAATAAGGCAGGGTAGGAAAGAATTTATTGTCATGGGAGTACTCTGCTTCAAATTAGGATTGAATATCTTGGCAAGAATACTTAGAAGTAATATGCTGTAAACATTCCTATTAGTTTTAATATTAAGATTCGAACTCAAGCTTGCCCAACCTGCCGCCCGCGGGCCGCATGTGGCCCAGGATGGCTTTGAATGCATCCCAACACAAATTCATAAACTTTATTAAAACAGTATGAGATTATTTTGCGTTTTTTTTTAGATCATCAGCTACTGTTAGTGTTCGTGTATTTTATGTGTGGCCCAGACAATTCTTCCAATGTGGCTCAGGGAAGCCAAAAGATGGGCCACCCCTGTCTAACTTGTTCACAAGAATCAGTGAAATATTAGACCAGATCTGTGCTCTTTGAGGGTATGGGACATCCTCTATCCAACACCCTGAGGTCATAGTCTGTCATTGCACCACAGGGTTCACATTGAACTGAGTGAAAGAAAGGATGATAATTTAAGAAGAATGAATGTGCCGGTTATCATCTGTGCACTGGCCGGACTATCCAAACTCAGTCCCCAAATCTGAGGATCATTACGGGATGCACCTTTTGGATATGTGCAAGGGTTTGAAGTCTCTACCAAACCAACTGAAGTGATAGTTAGCAGGAGGATGTACTTTTATTAAGGCATTATTAATTCAGGATGACATATTTATTTGTCAGAGTTGAATACTTCTGTGATGAAGGGCAATGCTTTCCTATGATCTTTCAATCTTTGTATCATCAAAATTACAATGCCAGTTAATATACTATACTCAGAATATTTTAAATAACTTTATTCTTAAATTTAACAAGCTCTTATTAGAAATGCTTTGGTATCAATAGAATAAAAAATGCTGGTTTTCCCCCACTGAATCGTGTCAAGTAACTGGAAAAGTTACACATTTGTTTTCCCCAGCTTTTTGGGAATTTTTCACAAATAATGACTACTACTTATTCACATGGCTTAATATGGTACACTGTAATGATAATTTTTTGGACTTCAGAAAAAATAAACAAAATATCCAGAAGAGAAATTTGCAAATGCTTCTTAGTTTCTTCTTCAAAGGATGTTTATATAGGTGGTACAACTCTTAGATCACCTTTTTTCCCAGCTTTGCCATTCTCATCCTTAAAGCTGCAAATTAAAGAAAAAAAAAGAGAGTTATAAAAAAAATCCTCAATTTTTACTCTAAATGGCCATTCATAGAATGCAGGAAAGTTTAGAACATACCTCAGATGGTTTTATCCAACAGTGTGAGCATTGATTTAGTAGCACAAAAAGATAGTAGAAATAATAAGCTATGGTTAACTTAGGGCAGAAGCAGGTTCAGAACTAGAAGGAACCTATTTCTATAAAGATTAGAAAAATTAGTAGAGCAAACAGTACAAGTGGAACAAATACAGGATTAATGCACAGTTTCCCTATTAGCCATACATACAGATTCCTATAGGTTGATGACTGTTTTACATACATTTCTGAGTTATGTACTGCCAAAATAAAATGGTGTTTACACTTAAACTCTATTTCATGATCGTGTTTGCTTTCAGCTCATTCAACTTCCTTTCCCAAAGGAGCTCTGGCCTTTGGATATACAATAACAAAAACAAATTTCTTTACGAATGAAACAACAGGAACAAGTTATTAAAAGCTGGAGTGATTATAAAATGTCTTTGTCAAGATATAAGTATGTTTTAAAATGGCAAATATATCTTTTTGGATATATTCCTCTGCTAATAATATATTGAATGTAGAAAGCATTTTTTAAAATGTAGATTTAGAATGTATAACACTTTTCTGGTATTCTGGATGAGTATTCTGGTATTCTATTCTTATTATTTAGGATTTCAGTGTAGAGCTGCCTTAGTCATGTTCCAAAAGTTGATAGATGCTTTCAAGGCACTGATCTAAAGATTATGTTAATGATCTAATATTACATTCACATGTAATATGGCCCAAGAACAAGCTATGTAACTGATTGCACAATTTTGTCTCATGGAAAGTAAAATGGAAGACATGTTTTCTCATTTGTATACCATATATTGGTTACCTTTTGACAATGGAAATGACCCCATACCTAAGAAACCTTTTTGCACAAATATGAGAAGGGATGGGATCTAATTCTGTAACAAGACCATGATTATTTTAATTGTCACTCCACTTATATGAAATATTTTAATTTCAATGAAGCTAAAGAGCATTATTTCCCTTGAAACTTTAACAGGGATGATCAGTTCTAGTGGCAGGGCCAAGAATATTCCCTAGAATTTAGGATGAACTGAGAGAATGTGCTCTGTAGCAAGCAGGTCTCGATTGCTGGCAGAGGCTGTAGTTACATAGCAGAAGGTGAACAGAAGGCAGAAGGCAGAAGGCAAGTCTTTATGAAGTTTATACTGTTGGATTTTATGGACCTCTATCTTGCCCCTACCAACAAAAGAGAGTAGGAGTGAGGGGCTTTTTGAGTCTCTTATAAGTCACGGGCAAATTGCTTTTTCTTACAGTCACTCCTCACTGTAAGATTCCGTAAATCAGGCACATCCTGTGTGCTGTGGACATTCAGAGAAGTTTGCTAGAGTCTGCTTTCCTTTCTTTCCTTTTTTCAAGCCTATGGCAAGTAGGTAGTGTGAGTTCCAGTAAATGCATGGGGCCAGAGCATGTTGGCAATAGAAGGCTTGGTTTAGCAGCTAAAAACCCTGGGCCATCAGCTCTCTTTTTTACTTCTATTTTCTGCTCCTGTCTGATCCCTGCCTCTTCTTCCCATAGCATTTTAGATGCATGGTTTCAGCTGGCTGAACTTGATAGAAGTCTCCTTACTCTCATTATCCCTTGGACTCTAATGGCTGTTGCAGGTTGGCAATCAGCACCAGTAGCATATGAACTCCCAGAGCTGAGATCCCCACCACTTCATCCTGGAATGCCACTGACACCTCTAAGAGGACAGAATAGAGCTGGAAGTACAAGAATAGGTTGGTGAGGACTACCAAAGAAAGCCAACTACTACCCCCTGATTGGTAGGGGTAGCAGTGAGTTCCCATGCAAAGCTGGCTGGGGCCATGCAATGGTGGAAGTGTCTGGCATTGAGCTTTATCCTATGAATATGTTATATTTACATTAAGCAGATGGACATAATGTTGCCTGAATTTTTCTGTCATGTCTTACTCTGTTCAAAATTTTGACTAAAAAAATCTTGTCTTTTGAATCTCCAGGGTCCACCTTTTTCCATTTCTTTCTTCTTCACGCTGTTTTCCAAATTAAAATTGCTCTTAGATAAGGTATTGATAACCATATTTATACCAAGGGAAAAGAGACTAACAATTCTTAACTATTATGCCTACCAGGGCTATTTATATTAAATAGGGGATTTATACCATAAATAAAGGAATTGACCTAAATGGTGAGTTTTCAAGTATCATAAGCGTTTTTTGGGGGAGTTATGGGGAGAAGCTCAACCCACTTGGTGTTTGTGAAATGGAAGTACGTAGGTGGTTATGTATTCTTTGTATATGGATGGCATGTGAGGGCATATGACACTGTGACTTACTTATTTTTAAAACCTACTTAAAAAATACACATCAGCTCTGTAGTCTGTATGCCGAATTGGAAAACAGCAATGTAAAACAATATCATGGTGGAAGGCAAGGAATTTGGAGCATTCTGTTTATAAGATACTTTGATTGATAATACAGAACTCTGTATTGTTACTTTGTCTGGAATAGGTTTTCCTGTTTTCATTATTTTAGTTCAGGGGCATGATTAGTGTTGTCTGGAAATGTTAGTCACTTCCTGTCATTTTCCATGGGGTAAATGTGTTGACAAGGTTAGAGGAGAAGAAATAAGGGTGTTCAGGAGGAGCTGGCTAATATCCAAGTTCAGAAAAGGGAGGTTTTATAGTGGATAATGTCACTGCTATTGACCGTAAACAGTGTGTTCCTCTCTTCTAAGTCTTCTGTGTTTTTTGTTTTTAAAATGAGTTTAAGATGGCAAAGTTTGATCAGTGACCAAAGCTCTCTCTTAAGATGGAAAGAAACTTAGTATCTGCAACTTTCCATTGTGAGACATATCACTCAACTCTGATTGAGGAAGTTGTATACGTGTATACTTTCCAAAAGCTTAGAAATTCTTCAGGTAATTAAATTTATCATTGGGATACCTACTTTAACTACTTAAAATAATGGGAGAAGGTTCATTTTACTGTATTATTAGCTACCTAATATTGGGCTTATGGGTTGTAGAGGAAGAAACATTATTGAATTGTGTAGGTAATTGTGCAGGTACTACCACACTGCCATAGAATTATCAAGTTTGACTTGTGAAGTTAGCCAGTACTTAATATTTATTGCTTTTTAATGAGAATCCTTCCATTAGAGACATTTAAAATTACTATCCCTAGCAAACATACAGAAATTGTATGTCAGGGTAATTTGATTTACATCTTTAGCCAAGGTAAGTACAGCTATTATAACTGATTTTGTTAGGTTCTTATTTATTCTTTATAAATGATAACTAGAATATAGTATTTAAGTGATAACAAGAAATCTAAAATTGAGAAGCTATCACTTTTGTAGAAAAAAAGTGTTAAAGTTATTTTCCACTCAATGCTAAAATAGCTGGTTAGCTATAAAGCTATAAAAATTTTGCAAAGAATGAGAAATGCAAATATATAGAAAATAGAAAAGATAAATATGCTAAGTTGGGGAACACTATGCAAAGTTAAAGGTTATAGAAAACATAAAATAAACTAACATTCTATTTTAAAATGTAGAAAAATTAGGAAAATAAAATTAATGAAACTATAGACATATAGAGAAACAAGATACAGCAAGGTAATAAAATACTCTGAAAATAAAATTTGTTTCTTGTACTTTCTTGCAGAATTAAGGCAATTTGTTAACTTATATAAGAAGTTTAAATCACAGTGAGGCACAAATAAAGTAGTCATCAGATTCTAGTGGAAAAAGATATGTTATTGATGATCCAACATATTAGTGACCCAAATACACTCACAAGCAGCACCATACCATGATAGAAGATGAAATTCAAGTTATTAAAGTTCCTCAATACAATATCAAATAAGGCAATGATTTATTTTTACTTTCTTTATCTTTTGAAGTGACTTAATCACTTTACTGTGGTGATAATAATCTCTATCAGCATTAATAAAAAAATCTCAGTGCGTATTAGTTTATGAGGTGGTCAGAGAAGCCTGAAAGCAAGACTGCATTAGCACAAGAGAAGCTGGTCACATGACTGAACAGCAGTGGCATGCCTTGTCATTTTTATTACCTGTTAAGGATGGATCCTCAGTCCCATCTCCAGTTGTCTGAGCATCAAATGGGGAATGGTGGACAGGGCTGCCTAAGCTTTCTTCTTGCTCTTTCAGAGATATGGAATTTTTGTGGGGGGATTTATGATTTGTGTTTTCATGAGGACTAGCTTCTGATCTTTTTCTAGGAAGTGGTGTTGGTTTGGCTGGCTGGTACACCTGACTATGGGGAGCTATGGGGTGGTAGGACGGTTTCTCTGCTTCTCCTTCATCCTCCTCCTCCTCATCATCAATCACAACCAGCTCAGCATGGATGATCCCATCATATCCTGTCAGAAACTTCTTATCTTCTTCACTGTCTTCTGCCTGCTGATACCCCATGAAAATCATTGTCACCGGTTCTGTATCATTTATGTCTGGAGGCAGGGAATGAACGATATTATATCTGACATCTTCCTCGTCCTCCTGACAAGTGGGTGAAGAATTCTGGTGTTCAGATTTCCCAAATATTGTCTCTCTGGGGCTCAGCCTTGGCTTTGGAGAGGGTGCATCTTTGTCCTGCATGACATTCGATTCTTCCCAAGGAGTCATTAGCCTTTTTTGCGGGGTGTGAAGCTTCTCTTCTGCTTGTTGAATCACTGATCGGGGATGAGGCACTGGCGGAATGGGACTGATGTGATTGAAGTTGTTTCCCCTTTCCTCTGAAAGACCATTGCCCATATTGTGTATGGATTCATTTACACCAATACCCAGTCCATTAGTTTTAATCTTTATCCTTTCTTGAAAGTTTGGTCCAGGGGTCACCGTTTCTCTCTGTGGGGTTGTAGGCCTGTAAAAGGGATTGGCATATACAGGCTCATGATACTCTGTTGGGGATTTAGAGTTTCTCTCTGAGGCTTGTCTTAGAAGTTCCTCTACTTCAACTGGTGCCAGGCCATCGGTGCCATTGTATGCTGCACTGTGATTAGAACTTACTGCATACACTGACTTTTGCCCATCATCATAAACTTTTATTCCTGTACCTTTAAAGTCATCTGATGGCAGAGGTATTGAAGACAGAACTGTACTTTCTCCAGTCTTCAAGTCTTTTTCAACTTTAATTTCCATGGCATATAAAGCTGTTAAGAAACAAATTTGATCTTTGATTTAGTTAACTTTTCTTTTGTAAACTAACCTGCTTTCACTGTGTTTATTTTTATATTAAGTAGACCCTTCATGTTCTTGTATGTGAGATGTTGTCTATTTTTTAAATTTCTGATTTTACTCATTAATGATATCATGACCAACTGGAATAACACGGGTTTTTATGTAATGGTGTAGGGAATTGTACTGAAAAATGGAAAGGGTTGAAGAAGAGAAGTTGATTAGAGAAGATAAGCTGATGGTTCCAAATAGGAAAGAATTTCAATGGGGAACCGAAAAAGATATCCTCTTTCCTATTAATAAATTCAGCAAGATGGATATACTTTCTTTTGCATTTCTCAATGGGCAGAATCAATCTCTTCTTTAGTCAAGAAGAATATGTTGGACTGTGCATCACAGTGGGCAAAGTGCCTAGTACAGTATATTTTATAAAGTTACATCCTTGTTGTACAGGCCAGCAGCCTGGTGAAATTATAGAGGTGTGTTCTAAAGTTTTCACAGTGGAGAGGCTGTTTAAATGTAGAACTGGGATGGAAACGGGAGGGAGAAGGCTACAATCACACACTTCTCTTTCTGCCTTATGTTTCTTTTCATTTTCACTCCCATTTTCAAGTAGAGGAAGGGCTAAAAAGTACAGCAATATCAGCTGCACTGAGACAAATGGACTGGAGAGAACTGGGGAAGCTGAGATTTGCTTCATGACCTAAGTAAGATCCCTATGGCTGGAATTTCAATAGGAAAGGTAAAGCGAATAGAATTCTGTGCAAAATTACAGCTTGCTTTTGTTGTGTCCTCCCACCTTTCTTTCTGAACCCATTTTGTATTTCTTACCTCCTCTATAGCCTGGTGGTTCTTGGCCTTCCTTGACTACCCAAGAAAAACTGCAACACCCCTCATCTGCACTCTCCCTGTCCAGCTTCTCTGCTTTATTCTCTGTATTGCACTCCCTACCATGATATATTTAGTGAATACCTACTATGTGCCTAACTGAACCTGGCACACAGTATCTATTCTCTAAATATTTGTTGAATGAATAAATGACTACCATCTGCAAATAAAGAGTAGCTTTTCCTTCCACTGTAAAATTCAAAGTTTTCCTCTCTGCTCTAATGCAAACCTTCATTTTTCTAGAAGCTTTGAAGCATCAGTTTTATGTAACTCAATTTCCCATGGAGGTAAATAAGGCCTAAGCTTCCCAAAGGAATATTTTCATTTTCAAAAAAGATCTTTGTAACCCCCAAAGAGGTTCTATTGGATGGAATATGTCAGGAGAAATATTTTTGACCAGGGAATCTATGCTTTTAAGAGCTTCTTGTCTCCTTTGGGTCTCTATCTTCCTTATCCCTGTCTGGTTTGTTAGGGAATAAAATGCATGGAATAAATGCTATTATTATACCCTCATTATCCTCACCTATGCGGTGACTCACATAACTCACAGAACTTTGTAAAGTGAACCATTGCTTAACCTGGAAGAATAATATGTCATAGCAAGTTGTGAATATTTGACACTGTAAAATCTGAAATTAAGAACATGCCCTTCAACACAGATTTCTCATATACCTTTCCTATTTTGTTCATCATCTTCTTTTTCTTCATTTATCTCCTTCCTTAACCTAGAAGGTATGTAGGACTTTGGAAGGTCAGGGATATTAGCATAGATGTCCTCAATTGACTCTGTAAAATTAATATGAATTCAAAATACATTTAGAATATATTTACAATGGGAACAATTTCAAATTACCAAAAAAACTTAGTTTAACATAAAATAAGTTATTCAAAAACATACCTTCTGCTCTTTCTTCTCTTTCCACTTTCACAGACTGTAAGAAAAAAGAATTCTCCATGATTAATACAGTTTAAAAAATAGAATCTAAATGTGGATATGCTTTGAAAAATTATATAGTATTTGTGGATTCATTTTGAGAGAGAATTACAGTTTTAAAATTGGTTAATGCTCACTCTTATAATGTCTTCTGTTGTCCGCTCAATTGACTTTAGTTTCTTTAAAATGGCCTCTTCCTTCGTTGAGATTTGCAGTTCAGCTTTTTCAAGATCTTGGATCTCTTTCTCAAGCCTGACAACAAAAAGGTATACTTTTTATTGCTTAACACAGTACAAATGCGGAGTTCTCAAATATGTCTTCCCCATATATAAAGTTTCCTTGGAATATGCATGTAAGTAGCCAGACACTTTCTAAGAATATAATGTCACACTTAGCATCACACTAAGCATGATACTTAATATATGGAAGATACCTAATGCCCGACTTTGAACGATTTTCAAGTTTTCTTTTTTTGACAAAGGAATATATTAGGTAAAGCATTTGACCTTTGCTCCATGTTCTTCATTGCAATTACTAATGTTATTTCCAAATAAAAGAGATTTTTAAAATACAGAGACATAAGTTTAAAGTTGTACCGAAAGGAATGGTACATTTGTAGTTATTATGTAGTTCATCAGGTTTTCATATCCAAGTCATCATATAAATTATTTGAAGAAAACATTATAATTATTAAACTGATTTAATAATCATAGTCATTTAGTACTTAAAATTCTTGCATATTCTACCATTGAAAATGACACTTTGATTTAATTTCAGTTTCCTAAGAGTTGGGCCATATTATAGTGAGGAGGGTGAAGAGATGCAGAAATGGACCAAATATAGTACAGTAGCTTCAACTGCTGCTGTTTATAGAGGCTACATTTTCTGGGCGGGGGGTAGGGCACACATGGCCTGACACAGCATAAGGAACTTACAGCAACAAAGAGACAGACATTTGAAACTAGACTGTTGCAAGCATTCTGAGCTGGTATCTTGGCCAGTGTACAGCTGCGTGTCAGATTCAAATGAACTCCAGGGGGCAGCATCGTGACCTCTCCTCTATAAAAACATAGAGACACTGGCAATCACGCAGAAGGCTGGCCCTTGGCAGCCACGTAACACACATGGTTTCTCAGCCAAATACACTAAGGCTCTAAAGTCAGCTGCCTCAGAGGATGGCTGATTAGATTCAGCAGCTGGTCCAGGAGGTGACAGCTGTGGATATTCGTGTCAGCTAAGAGAACTGTCAGTTTTCTTGGCTTCCTTCTTGAAGATGGTCATGGGCCTGGCAGCTCAAAAATGCTGCACTATTGTCACACCAGTAAAAGCCCAAGATGTGGTCAGCTTGACAGCTCTCTTGCTCATTGCTTCAGTTTCAAAGTTCTTACTTTGCTGCTGCCTCTGGCCATTGGTAGATTGCCGTTTATAACTGAGGAGGTTTTCTTGTATGCCACAGACCTCTAAGTGAAATGGAGTAGCCCCTGGTTTCTTAGAAGTGACTGAACTGTGACTGCCATTTTATTAAAATTCCTCCACATCCATGGCAGCACTTTTACCCTTCAGCAGAGCTGTGGGGATATATGTTGGTCCAATTTGGTAAAGGGGAAAGCTCTGCACTAAAAGTGATAAATCTGGATTCAATTCTGTCTCTGCTACTCATTTCTTGTGAAAGCCAGTTCCCCTAACCTCTCTGAAACTCTGTTTTGTAATGTGTGTAATGAGCATAATTACAGATTACGCTCATTACCATATACAGACAGATATGTGGTGACACTAAGAGATGATGTATATGAAAGTACATTGAATATGGTTGATATCAGATGTAAATATGTTATGATATAATTTTTAAAAGTTTTCTGCAACATACTGTATGTCTTTCTTTTTTCATCCCCTGTCCCACAGGGTGCTTACCTAATTTGCCTGTTAGAGACAGTCTACAAAGGAAAGCCTTTTGGTAGAAAACAAGAAGGTTCAAATCATTGCTTCAAGCAGCTCTTGCACATCAGGGCCTAGCTGTGGAATCAGGTGGACCTGGGTTTGAAACCTGGTTCATCTGCCAGCTTCCTGTGTGACCTTAGACAAGTCACCTGACCTCACTAAGACTCAGTGTTGGGCTGAGAGAAGTGGCTCATGCCTATAATCCAGCACTTTGGGAAGCTGAGGCAGGAAGATTGCTTGAGCCTAGGAGTTAGAGATGAGCCTGGACAACATAGTGAGACCTCAGTCTCTACAAATATTAAAAAAAATTAGCTGAGCATACACCTGTGGTCTCAGCTACATGGGAGGCTGAGGTGGGAGGATTGTTTGAGCCCGAGTGGTCGAGCTTGCAGTGAGCCATGATCATACCATTGCACTCCAGCCTGGGCAACAGAGTGAGATCTGGGCTAACAAACAAACAAACAAACAATAAAACTCATTGTCTTTATTCATTCATTCTTTTAAAAATATTTACTTAGCATCTACTTTGAACCAGGCACTCTTCTATGTGCTGGGGATCTTACAGTGACCAAAACAAAGTCCCTGAGCTCAAGGAGTTTATGTTCTAGTGGGAGACAATACAGGGGCTGGCAACCTTTTTCTATAAGGGGCCGGATGCCAAATATTTTAGGTTTTGCAGTCCACATATGCTTTCTGTTTCTTATTCATCTTTTTTCCCCTTTTTCTTTTACAGCCTTTTAATAATATAAAAACCATTTTTAGCTTGTGTCTGTACAAAATCAGGCCAGGGCTAGATTTGGTCCTGGGCCATAGTTTGTCAATCCCTGCATTAATAAATGTGTAATACAAATATGTATATATTGCAGATGTATGTACATACATATATATACACATAAACACATTTATTTATGAAGAAAAAATATTTTTGATGAGAAAAGCAGGATAGGGGCTGTAAACAGCAAGATAAAGAATATAGAGAAAGCCTGAGGAGGGGGCACTATTTCACACAGTGTGGTGAGGGAAGTTTCTCTGATAAAGTGTCATTTGAGCAGAGACATGAAGGAAGTGAGAGCGGGAAACATGAGGGTTTCAAAGGGAGTGTGCTCCAGAGAGATGGAAGAGTAACTATAGAGAGCGAAGGAAGAGCCAAGAGAGTAGAAAGGTGAAATGAAGTCAGAGAGGAGGCAGATGACCAGATAGGCAGGGCCTTGTGCATGGAAGGGCTTTGGGGAAGCCACTGGAATTTTGAACAGAGAGGAAACATGCTATGACTTGAAATGTAAACAGTTACACTGGCTGCTGTGTGGAAAATAGACTGGATGGGGCAAACATGGAGGTCAATTGTGCTAAAAATCTAGATGAAGATGGTGTAATCCAGGTTGGTTGCCAGTAGAAGGGTGAGAAGTGGTTGGATTCTAGAAATATTTGACAGAAAGAGCTGTCAGAATTTGTTGATGATTACATGCAGGGGATAAGAGAAAGGGAGATGTCAAGGTGATTCCACTGTTTGTGACCTGAATAATTGGAAACATGCAATACAATTGGCTGAAGAAATCTGGGAGAGAGAAGAAAGGGGATTTGTGGGGGATGTGTTAAATTTGAGACAATCAAGTGTGATATGGAGAAGACAGTTGGATATACAAGACTGGAGCTCAGAGAAGTCTGGGTTTGAAGATATACATTTGGGAGTTGGTATTTATCACCACAGGAGTGGATAAGTTTCCCTAGAAAGTGAAGGAGATAAGAATTCCAAGGCCTGAATCTGGAGCAATTCAACATTTAGAGATCTGGTCAATGTTAACAACTTCATAGGGTGTTCGTTTCTTTCTTTCTTTCTTTCTTTCTTTCTTTCTTTCTTTCTTTCTTTCTTTCTTTCTTTCTTTCTTTCTTTCTTTCTTTCTCTCTCTCTCTCTCTCTCTCTCTCTCTCTCTCTCTTTCTTTCTTTCTTTCTTTCTTTCTTTCTTTCTTTCCTTCTTTCTTTTTGGAGACAGAGTCTTGCTCTGTCACCCAGGCTGAAGTGTAGTGGTGCAATCTCGGCTCACTGTAACCTCTGCCTCCCAGGTTCGAGCGATTCTCCTGACTCAGCCTCCTGAGTAGCTGGGACTACAGGAGTGCACCACGACGCCTGGCTAATTTTTGTATTTTTAGTAGAGATGGGCTTTCACCATGTTGACCAGGCTGGTCTCAAACTCCTGACCTCAAGTGATCTGCTTGCCTCGGCCTCTCAAAGTGCTGGGATTACAGGCATGAGCCCGATGACTTCAGCTAGTTTCTTCCTGTCTCTGCCCCTTTCTTTTCCTGGGGCATAGAGACAAAGCTCCTGGTCTGCTTGGCCAATGACACCTTAGGGAATTTTGAAATGCACTGGTGTTTGTTGTTGTTTCTCTCTGAAGATAAAGCCGTGGGTAATGTAATGCCATATGATTCATCCCAAGAATCTCTTTAGACTAATATGGTAAGAATATGAGGTTGAAAGCCTGCAAACCTCATCAGCGTATCTGTTAATGAATATTTTTGAAGGTTTTCAAGTCACTGGATGAAAGTTGCATTAATAAGTCGCTGTGGTCTCACAATACATCATGACATGTTTGTGAAAACTAAA
This sequence comes from Homo sapiens, assembly GCF_000001405.40. Lineage (NCBI taxonomy): Eukaryota > Metazoa > Chordata > Mammalia > Primates > Hominidae > Homo > Homo sapiens. The sequence goes on along the minus strand of NC_000001.11, from coordinate 99,682,387 downwards.
CATAAACAAACACCTCCCTCCCATTCTTTATCCCTTAGTCACAGCCAACTCTGAGTTGAAAAGGATAACTAGGAAACATCTTGGTACTAATTACTTAGAATCACAAACCTCTAACAGGAGATGCCTACTGATGTAGAACATTTCCTAAAATTTCCACTTCAATGCAAAACTTGACTTCTTATTTTTGTATGTTGATTTGATACTTCAAATATTTATGGACAATATAAATATCAGATGAATGTTAGAGATTTGCTGCTCTAGAAAAGCTTTCTAAAAGATCAGAATGCTAATGGAAATGATGAGAGACTTAGAAAGCATAACTGAGAGTAAGGAACTGGATGCTCCCAGAACCCCCGCAACCTCCTCCACTTGGTCAGAAGTCAGCAGTAGCCCAGCAATGGAGAAGAGGAGGTTTGACAACCTGTACACCAGATAATGCACTGAGTTTTTGAGGACTGACTGTCCTTAAGGAGCATAAAACAAAAATTGCAACTAGTAGGCAGGGCAATTTTTGTGTATCTAGTACAGTGGTTCGTAACCAGAGGCGATTTTGTTCCCTGGGGATATTTGGCAAAGTCTGGAGACAGTTTTGCTTCTCATAACTTGGCGAGGGTGAGGGGTGCTGCTGACATCTAGTGGGTAGAGGCCAGGGATGGTGCTGAATGTCCTGTCATGCACAGAACAGTTTCCTCACAACAAAGAATGATTTAGCCCAAAGTGTCAATAGTGCTGAGGTTGAGGAATCCTGGATACCTAAAAGAATGCCTGGTATAGTGTAAGTTCTTGATAGGTACTTTATAAGGAATTTGTTTATATCCATTTCTTTTATATTTTTATTTTTTTCCTCATTATTCCTTCCCATTCCAAGATACATATACGTTTGTGTATCTGTTGTTTTTCCTTGTTCAATGACCATTCATAGTTAAGAGAATATTCGGCCCTGATTTAAAGCTTAAACAATGCAAGACTTAAATTAGGGACTCATTCCTAATCCCTTCCCAAAGGTAGTTTTGGGGAAGAGAAAAAATTTGGCAAGTATAAATGAAGTATTGGGAAAATATATAGGATGGAATTTGAAATCAGATATTTACTTACAGAGTCTGAACTCTTACTCCTCTCCAATTAGCCACTATAGAAAAAATATATATATTCCTTAGGGTTATTTTGTTGTACTGGGGATTTTTCTGCTCAGCGGGTTAGTCCATCTAACAAGGATTAAAGTCCGGGCTCTATACATATATATATATACATACACACACACACACACACACACACACACACATATATACACACACATATATGTATATATATAGTCTATTTGCTGGGGAAAAAGAGGGTTATTTTCAAGAGCTCCTTGGGTAAAAGCAGGTAGCTTTCATTTCATGAACTGTTGCAGGAATAACCTCCCTTAATCATCATGAGATAATGTCTCCAATCCAATTCCAACATGCAATTTTTTGTCTTGGAAAAAAGGACAGCACATAAATGCTGGATGCATCAGGAAGAGGTTTTCCAGAAGGCAATATATATATATATGCATATATATACACACATATACACATACATGTATGCATGTACATAGATATACACACATATATGTGTATGTATGTGTGTTTATGTGTGGGTGTATATACATATATATGTAAAATTAAAATTTTTTCAAATGGAGAGCTTTTGGGGAGGTTACTGTGGGGTAACTCTCTAACTTTCACATGCCTATCTTTCAGCTGATGGGTTAGAATTTCCATAAGTGCTGCCGTCCCCATCTTTAGAAGGTATTACCTTTCAGAATGGGAATTGAGCTCCTTGAAATGCTGATTCAGTTTGGTGAGGAACAGGCAGCAGAGAAAGAGAAATATCCTCCTTGGTGCCTCCCAGGCTGTTAGGTGGGGCTTGATGGATGAGTCAGTACCTCTCACAATTTCTGAGAGATGGTGGGCAGGCATCATGTGCCAATTTAGATAAGCAGAGTACATGAAAAAGGATTTGTAATGCTATCCATTATTGGAATCTTGCTTTTCCTTGCCTATTCACTGGGGAAAAAGAGGGTTATTTTCAAGAGCTCCCTGGGTAAAAGCAGGTAGCTTTCATTTCATGAACTGTTGTAGTAATAACCTCCCTTAATCATCACGAGATAATGTCTCCAATCCAATTCCAACATGCAATTTTTTGTCTTGGAAAAAAGGACAGCACATAAATGCTGGATGCATCAGGAAGAGGTTATTTCAGAAGGCAATTTTTCTGCTGCTAAGGGTCCATTTATCTCTCTCAGCTTTTGGTGGAGTTAACAAGGACTCACAACCTGATAGAGTTTGCCATTAGGGGCCAAACAGATTGGAACTCATGAGGGGAAAAACCACACAAACCAAAATTCAAAAGTCATCATCCTACCTTTCAGTACTTCATGTGTTAGCATTTATAACATTTAACACATATTGCATATTTCCATTGCACCAGGCACTGGCCTATTTCGTCCTTACAGCAACCCCCATGAGCACTGTTGTTAGTTCCAATTGACAGATGAGCAAGCTGGGCACCTAGAAAGGCAACCGGCCCAGAGTCTCACAGGCAGCCTGAGGCAGGATGGAATTTGAAATCAGATCTTTACTTACAGAGTCTGAACTCTTAACTCCTCTCCAATTAGCCACTGTAGAAAGAAAACTTAAAAAAATTGATTCTTAGGAGCTTAGACACAACATTCATTTAGCTCAGCAGTATTAAGGGATTTTTTACTTTCTATGATAATGAAGGAAGTGAAGATTGAAATGATAGCTGGGGCCCACGAGTGTGTAAACGTGTTGACCCATTATATACAAAGGTAATATTTCTGTCCTAATCTTCGTTAGGGTTATTTTTCTGTACTGGGGATTTTTCTGCTCAGTGGGTTAGTCCATCTAACAAGGATTGAAGTCCGGGCTTTATCTTTTTTTTTCCTTTTGGCTGCTTGACTTTGGTTCTGGTAGGAGTTCTTAGAACGGTCTCCTTCAAAGAATCTGGGGTTTCCTAAGCTAATGCCACTTTATAGCAAGACTTTCTTTGCTTCCACACAAGACTGTGTTGTTTAAAGTAATTAAAGCAGTAGGTCTTAAATATAAAGCTGGCTAATGCAATTTGATTGTATTACTGCAGTTTCAATGTAACTACCAATGCTAGGTATGAAATTAAGTTTATGACTGGCTCTTATCTATACTTTGAAGGGACTGATGAATTACTTGCGTTTCAGTAGCCCAAACTCTCTTATTAAAAGCCAGGACTACACCTAAAGAGAGGGTCCAATGGCTATTTCTCTGGGATGGCCTGAGTCAGCAGGTGTTATGCCACTACTGATGTGCCTCTGAGGCCGGTCGATGGAAGTGCTAGGACCAAACCCCCACCCCCAACATTCCCCAAGCTAGATAAAGAAGGATTTTTTTTTTTTTTTAAGAGTCAAGGTATCCCTGTATTGCCCAGGCTTGTCTTTAACTCCTGGGCTCAAGAGATCCTCCCGCCTTGCCTTGGCCTCCCTAAAAGCTGGGATTACAGGTGTGAGCCACCATGTCCAGCTGGATCCAGTTTCTTTTGGGACTCACAGGCTCTCAGAGTGTCTTTGCCTCTGATAAGTATTGAATTCTGCCTAGAGTGGTGAGCAATTCTAGCTTGATTCTCCCCTAGAGATTCTCTTCCCTTTCTTCCCCACTAAATCTTGGGAGAACAGGAAACAGCTGGTGGTTTACCTATATTTTGTGAGTTTTTTTGTGAAAGCCCACTTTCTCAGGGGAAAAAAAGACTTTTTACAGCTCTACCCATGGAAACAGAAAATGAACCCATCTCAAAGCTAATACACTTGGCTTAATCATTTAACCCCTCCAAGCTTTTTTTCTCATTTAGGGAATAATAGTAGTATTCACTAAAGGTTGTCTTAAGGAATTAATTGAGGTAATTGTTCATAAACCCCTACAACAGGGCTTGATGTAGAGGAGTTCCTTAGTAAAGATGAGTTACTGGGCCAGGCGTGGTGGCTTAGGCCTGTAATCCCAGCACTTTGGGAGGCTGAGGCGAGTGGATAACTTGAGATCAGGAGTTCGAGACCAGCCCGGCCAACATGGTGAAACCTTGTCTCTACTAAAAATACAAAAATTAGCTGGGCATGGTGGCACGCACCTATATAATCCCAGTACTCGGGAGGCTGAGTCAGGAGAATCGCTTGAATCTGGGAGGCAGAGGTCGCAGTGAGTTCATGCCACGGCACTCCAGCCTGGGTGACAGAGTGAGACAGTCTCAAAAAAAAAAAAAAAATAGAAAAGGACTTACACTTTTCTCCTTCTTAGTTTGCTTGAGAGAGGAGGACCACCTGTGACAACCCCATTGGAAGACAAAAATCTAGCAGGTCCATTTGGGTGTTTGATCTGCAACTTTAGCAAGCATGGTACTAATATAGATTCAGGGACACACTTGTCCTTGCAAATACTGATCTAAACAGAAAATCTCAACAGTGATCCAGCATGATTGGAAGAGTTGTAATAATATGTATGAGGATGATGTCTATTTAGTAAATGTGAGCAGAAAGAACATCCTAGTCTTTTTTGACAACCTGTCGTTTCCTCTCTCCACACCCCATCCCCAGTCCATTCTCCTTTTGTTCTTTTTAGTGATAGAATGCCCTGAGTTTTATACGACTTCCTGGCTACCTTGCTATGGACTACATTTCCCAGTGTCCTTGGCATTCAGATGGTACCATGTGAGTAAATTCTGGCCAACAGGGTATTAGCAGAATTGACATCTGCAACTGTCAGGTCATGCCATTAAAATTGAACTGCTTGTCCTCCATTTATCTTCCCTTCCTGAAGTGGAATGCAGATGAGGTAGTGAGCTGGCTTTGACTGTATAGCCAAGGGCATCCCTTAGGAGGTAGCAAAGCAACAAGGCAGAAAGAAATAGGGCCTCTAGATAACCTCATGTAACATTGATGCTCTCCTCTGCTTGAATGTCTACCAGTTAGGATTTGATGTATGTGAGAGAAATGAACCTTTCTATCTCATTTAAGGCACTGCTCTTGAGGACCCTTTTAAAGTGACAAAACCCATATGCTGACTATTGTGTAACTTTATGGGGAATGAATTGTAGTGTGACACATTTTATGAGATTTTTCATAATTTTTTTCATTGATTTGCAGAATTACTCATTAGTATCTTGCATTTCAGGTTGTTAACTAGAAAAACAGAAAAATTAATCAGTCTTTGCTCTCAGTGGTTAAAGGATTTATGTGTTTCTAAAAAATGTATCAAATCTGGCATGATATGTGTTGACAGCTGGCTACTACTGAATGGTTAAGGTTTGCAGTGAAAAATGAAAGGTCTTTTTACTTTTTTAAATCATAACTCATCTAAAATAATCTCTCTGGAAATTCAATGGCTATTATTGAGTACATACAGTTGACTTTAGTTATCTTGACTGCAGTGTGTTAGTCATATGTAATAGGCAGATAAATTACTACTGATGGGTCAGAGGTTAAAGATATTTCATCTTTGTAGATAATTTGGCCAATGGTAGTGCCAAACTACATTTTCTTAATAAAGTTGAGGGTCATGTAATATATTAGAAGGTGAGCTTTTTTTTTCTTTTTTTACTTTTTAAAGTTGGGGTTTAATAAATTTCATCAAAATATAACAAACCTTTATTAAGGACCTATTATATGTCAGGCATATTTTCTTCACTAAGCTGAAATAAAATCATTATCTTAAGTGAAATAACTCAGAAACAGACAAATACCACGTGTTCTAACGTATAAGTGGGTATGAAGTAATGTGTATATATGGACATATAGAGTGGAATACTAGCCACTGGAGACTCAGAAGGGTGAGAGGGTGGGAGGGGTATTAGGGATGAGAAATTACCTAATGGATACAATGAATATATTGGCTGATGATTGCACTAAAAGCCCAGACTTCACCACTATTCAGTGTATCCATATAACAAAACTGCACTTGTACCCCCTACATCTACAAAAATTTTTAAAAAGTGCGTATCAAAAAAGATGAAGAATAATTCAGTGCATAGACAGTAGGTGAGAACAAAAACTATCCAATATGGCTGGTGTCCTTAAAAAAAAGGAAGAAGAAGAACTGCCTTAGAACCAGCCATTGTCAAAGGGCATGTGTATAATAAGGAAGATCTAGCCTACTAGTGCAAACTGTCACATGCTAGTGGTAAGCATGCCAGAGAATTAAAGGGCATTTGGCATACAGCAAACACTAAGTTTGCCACAAGTCAGATCTATTGCCTCTAATCCTGAGCATTTAAGAATAGGACAAACAATACAATGCAGCAGTTTTAAGATAACAAGAAGCAGAGAGGCAAGGGAACAATGACATTAAAACAAGCATTAGTTTGCTCTGATGGTTGGGAACAGAGCAGATGTTTAGAAAGCTGACTGATTATATGTGAATAGCTTTTGCATGGGTGAATCTCATCTCCTAATATAACTCTGCAAATATTAATAATTATCTTATGGGCAGATGATAGTATCCTAATTTGAAACTGCCGTGTAGGCATGCAACGTTAGAAGAGAGTGATTTAGTAGAAAAGCAAACCCTCTTAATCAGAACAATATTTTGCAAATTGAGGGTTTCATTTGCCATGAAAAATAAGAAACCAAACTGGTTTTCAGAGAATCAGCCACTATCATGCACAAGTTATTAAACAAATGTCATTTTCAAATGAATGCAAATAAACATATAGTCTCAAGGTTGATGTGATATGAAGGATTGGTTTGTTATGGGCTTCTCAACTGCTCTGGTGGGACAGAAACTAGGTGTGTGTGTTTTTAAATTAGGGCTTGTAGAGGACCTTGTAGTACATGCCAAACATTTAATAGGAGTGAAGTAATTGTAATAATTTGACTTGTACCCAGCTGTCATGAGTTTCCCAAGTGACCATCAACTACTGTTGTGGCCAGGACATGGCAAGTTAACTGAAGATATACTTATCCATGATTCTGGTAAGCCTCTTTTCTTTTCCTAAAAATAAATTGTAGAGAAAAACATTTCTATGAATAAACTACTTGTAATTATATAATGAAATGGCAAAAAGTATTCAATGATGTAGATAGTGACTCTTTCCTTTCAGAAATAATTCCTGGCTTTGTGCCTTGGTAACCCTTAACATTTATCCCTGACTATATTATACAGCAGTCACTATATTTTCTATTTTTTATCTACTTCATTTTTGCTTTGTTTCTTGATGTTAACTGTTCATATTTGATACCAAGGAACAGGACTCTATTGTTTGAAGATCAACAAATATAAATTCCAATCCTAATAAAACATAGAATAACCAACAAGAATCAGATAACCTTGGGTGGTCTAAATGGACGAAGTGACATTTGCCTTATGGCAGACAAAAGATGCATCGCAAGGGGGTGGGTGTGGAAGTTTTTTGAGCTGGTAAAATTAGTCACGGGAAACTCTCCTGCAGAATGCAGAAGTCTAGGCCTGGTGGCAGGCAGCACAGATCCTTTCTCTATTACAATGAGTCGCTGCTCTTGAACATTCATCCTTTATGACCAAGGCTTGGAGAACGGGTCACTGAAACTAATTCACCTCCCACTTTCTGGATTGTTCAGTTGCTCCTTTGTTTTGTCTTTACTCATGTCAGCACAGCCAAAGATTTATGACAACTCTGCTAATGGTGTCATATTTGTATTTCAAGGCACTGAATACCATTTGAAGTGAGATAATAAATGTAAATGCATTTTGAAAAGTTAAGGGATTTAAAGAGAGAAAAACAAATTTTTTTTTTTTTTGGGTGGGAGTTTATATGGAATCTTCTCTGTAAGACTCAAAGACTTACATATGGCAAGTTCTCAATAATGTTCATGGAATGAATCAAGAATAAGCAGTGTGAGGTCTGGTGGGAAGGGTCTGGAGTCAGAAAGACCTATGTGTGACTCCTGGCATGACTGTTGCCAGATTTATAGCTTTCTATGATTTAGTGTCCTTATGTACAAAATGAGGCTAATTAGACTTCCCTCAGAGAATTGTCATTCTCAGAATAGTGCTCCATAAAGAGTAGCTGTTGTTAAATAAATTGAAGTGGAGTGGAGGGAGGACCCTCAGAGTTTATTGCAATCTACTTTTCAGCTTATCATGGTGGGGGCCAGTAACCATTTAATCTTTATTTCTACTAACATATAGATGAGATTGGCAGGTATGAGCAAGAATGAATGCTGAAAGGTCGGGATAAGGAAATAAAAGGGCATATGGAGGAAGGGAACATGGAGAGAAAGTAAACAAAGTGCTGGTGAGATGTTAAAACATGCCATTGATAATTGTTTAAAAAACCAGGGCACTACTACCATTTAACTTTGCCCTTGACTCAAAATAGCTGGATGTTTATTCTTTTCTTATTTTTAAAAGAGTTTCAAGGCTTTCCTTTTCAGTTCATTAATGTTCAAGTCATTATCTAGGCTTCTTTAGCTGGTCCTCTTAGAAAGGTAGTATTTTTAAGTACTAACATTCATCTATACGTCATCTATTTTACTCATTCATTCACTTATTAAGCTATGTATTCACAGGTATTCCTACTATGTGCTAGGCGTTGTACTAGGGGCTTGTATGTGTGTGTTTCGGAGGGTTGGAGTGGGTAGACTTCTTCCCTTTTTTGCTTTTAAGTTTGGTTTACTTGGCTTTTTTTTGTTAAAAGTGAAGCTCCTGAATTAAAAATAATCAGACTATCTGGGAAATTGAAAACAACAACAGATGAACTATTACAAATCTGGTAAACCAATTAGTCAAATATGGAGAGTGAAAAACATGCTTGGAACGATTTTGACTCATGTAATTACCTTAGAATAATTTCTTGAGTGTCTCTAGGCAACAGCAAATTTAATAAGAAACAAATGGTAGAGTTTTTTTTCGCCTCTTTTTTTTTCTTATGTTGTCATAAAAGAGCAGCTTGTCTATCTCTCTGCTATGTGGTATTAGATACGGGTTAGGGTAGGAAGGCAGAAACATCTAGAATGTAGTATTTTTCACGTAGCATATCTCACCCGTGTTTGAGGAAACATTAGTTTCATTAAGGTACAATTGACCTGCACAGGTAGTTAAAAGCATTAAGTAGGGGTTAAACTTGGATGGAAATAATAATAAGATAAACTTTGATAAATGATAACCAGTAACAAAAAAATTTAACTTTTATATTTCTACATCAATGTTTTGGGTTCTCTTTTGAATTGAATTTTGCCTGCTCTCTTTTTAGTTAATTGAGTAAATTATTGCTTTACATGATATTGAGCAGAATGCATTTTCCTGGGTTTCAGCTCCTTTTGTGGAGGAATTTTCCTTAAGTTATGTGGGATGTGGCTATAGCTGCTGTACCAGCCCACTTGGCTTTTCTCATGACACGTAGTCACACAGACATCCAAGGCTTCACATACACCTTTGCCCATTTGTATCATCTGTGGAAGGCGGTTTCTAACTATTTGGGGGACAAATGAAAGTTCATTAAAAGAAGGCAGAAGGTCAGAAGGGCACTTTGGAGTATTAAAAAAAAAATCCGTGCTAGAGAACATTTAATCATAAGTAGCTTATCCTTCCCAAAGGGAATGCAGTGTATTTGCATCATTCTCCTCGGCAGTTGACCTTTTACATTTCATGCTTATGACATTTCTGTCAGGCGCTCTGTGTGCTCCAATTAAAGTCAGAGGTCTTTGGACACAGTTCAAGAAGTAGAGTGTCTGGCCGGGAGCTTGGCACAGGGCAGTTTGGCTAAGGGAGGTCATGGACAACTGCAGGGCAGCTGGATAGGAAAGAAGAACCCAGGATGTGAACAAGTTGCTGGGGGCATACCTCCTATGGAGACTTACTGGGGGTGTCATTTTGGGTGTGGGCTATTGGATAGAGGAGAGCAAGGAAAGTGTTAGGACAAGATTTCTAAACCAGGTATAAATTTGTGCACATGGATATTTGGACTGAAAAATCAGTGCACCTGTGCCTACAATCAGGCAGTAAATGGTTCAGTGGTCGCAGTAAGCGCAGGGCTCTTTTGGGAGGCAAATTGAAACTCTATTTAAGCAAAGTGATTCAGAAGGAGACGTTCAATATAGGCTTCCCCTGGGAACATTTCCTCCTAAGGTATTAATCAGGGCACAAGGCAAAATACTCCACAATATTGTTTGAAAGCTAAGAATGTAACTCAGAGACAGAAACCATGGAAACCCACTTATTTTCTGAAATGTTGCCTCTCTTTGGAGGAGACAACGACAGGATGAATAAGCAGATATGCTTTACTTAAAGGTTATGTGTGAGTCAGGGTACCCTCTGAATGTCTTTAATATGTTAAATATTCAGGTAAATGTCTACATAAAGTGGTACACATAAAAGTGAAATTGTAGCATAGATTGGAAACTTAAAAATGCTATAAAAGTATAGAGTTTACAGCATTTAACATTTGTAAAAAATTTCTACAGGCTCTGAGGTGCAATTTTATTTTTATGATTAGGACTTTTAATTAGGTTTTAAATCCTGGCTCTTTACGTTTTGCTGTATGACTTAGGGTGAGTTAGCCTCTGTAAGTGTCAATTTTTCTCATCTGTTAAATGTTACCTACCTAATAGGGTAGTTGTGAGAACTCAATGAAATAATGTACATGAAATGTTTAGCACAATGCCTGGTCCACAGCAAATGTTCCACAAAAATTAACCTCTATGGTAGCATTCTAGACTTTAAGCCATAAAAAAAATCATAGATTATTTCCAAATGGAAAGAATCCTCATTGGTTGGTATTCTCAGTTTACTCCAAGAAAAACACTCTTTGTACTAGCATAAAGAAAGGAGAGAACTTGGCCAAAAAATAAAAATACCTGGATAAAGATCCGTGCAGTGTTGTTCTTCTAATTTCACCTTTTAGTAAGGACTAGTATTTAATATTTTTTGTACACCTCCATGTGTCAGGCACTCTGTATTCACAGCAGTCCTGTGAAGTGGCTATAACTGTCTCACATTACAGGCAAGGAAACTGAGGCTCAAAGAAATGAAAGAACATGGCCAAGCCTGTGTACTATGTCAGCAGAAGAGGGATTTGAATGCCAGAGGCAACGCTATTTCAGTTCATCTTACAACGCCTTAGAAGTAGAAGGAAAGAAAGGTTCATGGGCAAAGTCTGGCCCTGCTATGGACTCCACGGTAATAGCAATATTTCTACTTTGATGTTCCCATTAAAATCTTATCCTCTAGCTGAGGGGGCCTGGCAGAGTGGCAAATGTCACCCTCGAGCAGGCACGTAAGTCAAGTGATAAATCACATTCAGAGTTTGAGTTACTTTCCCTGCTTAGGGATTGTGAGTGGGTCTCCCTAGTTCAAATTCATCAGTTGGCTCCATTGCTACTCAGTGCTAACAGGAAATTGTACTGATTTAGCTGGTAATAAGAGCTTCTCAAGCACTGTGGGTACTTGTTTAGGAGAAAGATTGAATTTAAAAACATGCACCTGATTTGTTTTTTTGTTTTTTTGTTTTTGTTTTTTTTAGCAGCTTTACAAACATCTGAGAAGAAAACGTTCCATTATCAGGTAAAGCTGCTTTGGCAATGTGATTTTTATAATGCTGGGCAGTAGGGGAGGTTGCTTAATACAGACAAGGCATAGATATTTTTTCTCTGTGTGTTGCTTTGGAACATTCTGTTGCTGTTATATTTTTAACCAGATAAACCTGCCTCTATAGGTCACAAGAAAACAAATTCTTTACTATTTTTTTTTGCAAATACATCTTTTTAGGATCATTCCTTAAACAAAGCAGTTTGCTGATTATTAGAGATACTTGTCTGTGTTAGGTGTTTTACTATTTCTAGAGCATTTGCATTTACAGCTCTCTTCATTTTTCAGCTGGAGAGCACTGAACCTGGCTTGCTTTGAGATCTAAGTCTACCCTTTACTGACTCTGTGGCCTTAATTAAGTCACTTTCTTTCTCTGCGCCTATTTCCTCATCTGTGAAATGGAGGTGTTGGCACTTTCTTTCTAGGATTGTTGTTTTCGATGACTTAATGTAAGTTCAAGTGCTTTGTAAATTATACAAGTTCCTTTAAAAATGAACCATTACTATTATTATTACTTATATTTAAGGACTAAACTCATTTGGTATTCACAAAGGAGTATTGATGGATTTAGCATCATGAAGATCTAAAAGTTGTAGTGAGATGCGAGAAATTGGGTAATGAACAAACATGGAATCAGTAATTTACCAAAGAGAATAGGGGGACATAGAAGGAGACCCTAAGTGTGGTTGGAGATTTTGGAGAAAGGAGAGCAAAGGGACAGAACACACTTCAAAGATTTTCTATAAGAGAGAATACCTTTTCAGTCCACAGAGGCTGCTGTGTGCCATCATTTCACAGGCACTGTGGAGTAGTCAAATGAGTCAGTCCCTGACCTCCCACTTCCTAGTTGTGTGAATTCCTTAACTTCTCTGAAAGAAGTGAAGGTAATAATACCTACCCTCACCGGGTTATGAAGATTAAATGGGACAATATATGTAAAGTGCCTGCTGTATACTATGGCTTATTAAATCTATCTCTCTCTTCCTCTCCCTCCTCCTTCTCCTTTTTAATTTTTGGTTAGGAAGGAGCTCTAACTAGACCAGCCACTGTCAATACTTCTGGGAGCTCGTGTGCTTCTCAGAGCATTCAGGCAAGGCCTAAAAGCAATCAGTAGAGTCCTGGTTAATACTCGGATTACTCAGAATGCTGCCCAAGCCTGTTAATGGAGTTTGAGTATATGTAGCCACTTCAATTATCATCAGATGCAGAGAAAGTTGTAGGTGTTCAGTGTGTGGAAAGACTCTAAAAGGAGGTTTTGAGGGGAAGCAAGTAGGTGTCTGTGCAGTGGGAAAGGTTTACGGGGATTAAATTCAGGACTCCTTCAGAGATAAGGGTTCTGTGTTGAGGAATAAAGAAAGTAATCACCCACTTATGCCGGGATCTTGGTGAGAATGTCTTGCTAAGGGATGCCTTGATAAGAATTGAGTTTTCCAAACTATAGAGTTGATTTATTGGGTTATTTTTAAAGTATTTATTATCCACTATTTAGAAGCACTTCAAATCTTTGAGTAAATAACTGAGGGGTTTATAAATGCAAACATTTCAATTATATAACCTTTTAAGAATTGTTAATTTCAAAAACATCTAGATAAGGATGAACAGTCAGTTATTTTAGCTATTCAATATACAAGTGCATGTAATTAATCAAGTAAAATGGAAATCATTTGAAGAGAGGAAGACTTTCTTCATGTTGTCAGTCTTAAGCCTAATGAGATCTGTTTGTATAGTGCAGTGAGTATGGACAAAATGCGGTCGTAGCACAGATACCAAATACTTTTGTGTTTCAGATCTTTTCTACAGTCCTCACTAAAGGCAATACATTATAGCGAATGAGGTTTTGAAAGTCGTCTATATTCAAAGATGGGTAGACTTTAATTTGTTGTCGTGATTATAACACAAGAAATTCCATCTTTTAAATATTTTCCCTTTGTAGGTTAGAAAATGATTCTGGCCTTTCCCGTATCTGTTTCTTTTGTGCTTTTTTGCATGTGATAATACTAATAATCCCATCTTACATTTGAGCTTTCCAGTTTTTTCTTGTCCATCACCTTATTTCAAGCCAAGATAATTTTAGAACATTACTTCTTACACCAGCAGTTGCCTGACTGTACTGATCTCACAAAATAAGCAGGAAAGGATGTTGAGAAATGAAGTGAACGCCTGTGACCAAATCATCAAAGAACTAGAAGAGGGAAACTGTGAGTAGAGTATTCCTATAGAACCTTCTTTCCAATATCATGGTTGTGACTGGGGAGGGTGCCTGAGAGAAATATGATGGAAGGACCGGGTAAACACACCTGTAGACTTGTCACCTGTCCTAAGGTGAGAGTAGGGGCTGGGGCTGTGAAGAAGGACTTTTGTTTGTGTACCTACCATGTGCTAGGTAGGTGCTGGTAGTTTAGTGCATGTATTTTTTAAAAGTTAGGCATTGTTACTACCATTCTGCAGGAAATAGGCTCAGAGAGGTATGAGTAAGTCATCAATATGCACTTAAAAATAAATCTAGTGTTGCTATACTCAGGTGATACTTATAGTAAAATTTCTACTGTGGCCTTTTGGTGTGTTTCCCTAGTCTTTTTTAGAAATTCATATGGAAGGCTGACCGCGGTGGCTGACACCTGTAATCCCTTTTTTAGAAATTCATATGGAAGGCTGACCATGGTGGCTCACACCTGTACATCGGGAGGCCGAGGCAGGTGCATCACTTTGAGCTCAGGAGTTCTAGACCAGCCAGGGCAACATGGTGAAACCCTGTCTCTACAAAAATACAAAAATTAGCCAAGCATTGGTTGTGGGTGCCCATCATCCTAGCTACTCAGGAGGCTGAGGCTGGAGAATTGCTTGAGCCCTGGGAGTGGAAGTTGCCGTGAGCCGAGATCATGTCACTGCACTCCAGCCTGGGTGACAGTGTGAAAGCGTGCCTTAAAAAAAAAAAAAAGAAATTCAAATGGAAGATTTGATTATGCCCCTGAAAGTGAGAATGGCATGTCTATGCACAACATGGGATAAAGTCAAAATAAAGGTAGTTGTGGAGTATCTCAGTGAGGGCCATACCTGAGGATACTTTGTTCTAGAACCTGGATCTGGTGCTGGTCTTGTTGATTTTGCTTCTTCATCTCTTCCTGTTCTTTTCCGCTGCTGATTCCATCTAGAAGCCATTTCTCCCTCAAGGCCTTTTTCTGATGTCAGGAAACATAAAGATATGTTCTTATATTGGTCAATAATTTCCAAAATCTCTTACTGCTTTCAAATCTTATGAATTTCAATAGGTGACACGTTAAAGAGGAATTATTTTCTGTCAGTGCCTTGCCTGAATAAATCTGGTATTTTCTTTCATTGTAACCTTCTTGACTGTATTCAAAGCCAGGTTTTATGCATCTAAATCCCATTTATACTTCAAGGTTTAGTTTGGGTCTCTCCTTTGGCATGAAGATCCCTGGCCCCCATACTCCTGGCAGCCCCATCCTGACCCTCACTTTCTGTCTTCAGAACCATGCCATACTGTGTGTTTATCACAGTCATAATGGGACCTCATAATATGATGTCTTTAGTGTCATCTGTTATTGATGGGTATATATCTTGTGTCCTAAACAAAGTCAAAAGCTTCTTGAAGCTATTTTGATATTCCCCCTGGTGAGAGCATGCAATGACTGCTTTAAAAAAATCTTTAGTGGGATTAATTGGAATGGTGGGCAAAACAGAAGGTTGCTGTTGTAACTTAAACATATTCAGTGTTATTCTTAGGCTGTGTGGCAGCTGTTTATTGTTTTGCCTACTTAGCTCCCCTTCTTTCTTCTCAGAATCTCCCTGGTTATAGACATTCTTAAGCGCAAAATTTACTGATCTGTCTAAATGTTGGTGAGTTTTTGTCAACTTTAACAACACACAAAAAATTACATTTCACCAGATGGAAAAAACAAAAACTCCTCTTGAATTTGCATGAGGAAATTAAACGCCTGGACCTGGAGTTTAAAGACCTAAGAAGACTTAAAACAAATGAAAAAGACCTGTAAATTTTGGATGGGCTTTAATTAGCATGTAGTCTACATCTCAAGTGGGAAGCATCAGATGTATGGTCATGTTATTTTCAAGGAGCTCAAGTTTCTCTTTTTCTCCTGGAATAAAAGGGCTCTCATTATGTATCCAATCTGCCCTATCAATTATTTGTTCAGTTATTCATTGTTAATTATTCATTGGGGATTCACTATATTTAAAATCTGTGAGGAGAGAATGGGAACTTTATTTTCTGGGACTTCTTTCTCTTATATTGAAATTTAAATGAGAGTAAGTAAGAATAACTTTGTGTGTTTGTGTGTGGGTGTGTTTTTTTAAGGATGCTAGAATAAATACCACTGAGATACAAGTATCTCTGAATTAAGAAAACATTTAAAATTAAGTTTAGTTGTGATAGATAATTGCCAAAGGATGATTATTTTTTACTGATACCACTGAGATACAAGTATCTCTGAATTAAGAAAACATTTAAAATTAAGTTTAGTTGTGATAGATAATTACCAAAGGATGATTATTTTTTACTGAGGCAATGACTTTTAAATCTTTTTTTCTTAAAAAAAAAACCAATATAACATTATAACTTACAACATTACAAACAAATGTTATATGGAACTATAGTTTGGAAAACAGATGAATTCTGGACTGCTCTAATTGAAGAAGTGAAGGGGCCTGAAAGCTTATGGATACACAGAACATGGTTTGAAAACCACTAGATTTAGTAAATAACAGCTTCACCCCAGATCATCACATTTGTACTGGCCTTTTCAGAATCTTAAGCAACTGCATGTGGACGATATACATCACAAGAGCAATTTGTATTACTCCATTCTGTGGCCAGAGATTCTTTACCCCAGTGTTATCTTAACCATTTATTATAGCTGTTTAGCTGTTTGCAAAAATGTTTTCCTGCAGACCCAGTAAATATGATTAACATTGGTCAAGATTCAGCTCCTGGGGTCAAAGATGCTAAGAAACTCTGAATATAGCAGCATTTTAATAATTTACTTTGATTCTAATTTATTTTTATCTAATGGAATTTTAGCTAATGCATAGGAAAGAAGACAGTAACACCTATAGAAGTAAGTTTTACTCCTTACAAACCACCTATAAGGAAAGTTCCAGCCAATGACACACATAGCTATATAAGAAACACTCAGATGGGGTGGTCTTATGAGGCTGAATTATAGAGAGTAGCGAATCATTCTTGTGATGTGATTAGGTTAACTTGGGGCTATATTCTTGGTTTTTAGTCTAGTTAGAAATAATTTTAATTTTAGTCTTGTAAAACTTTGTTCATACTTCATAAATTTTCATTTATGCCTCGTGGAGAACTCTTTGAACTTAAATATAAAATATGCAATTTGGATGTGCAATCAAAATGATATATGATGCAATCACATATATACTGTAGTAATCAAAAGAGTTATTTTGCTTTTATGTCACAGTTTAGACTTGTGCTTTAGTGGATGAGGCTAATGAGTATAATAAAATCTACTTTACAATGAAATTCAGAATTGAAAGCCATATGAACTAAATGAAAATATGTGACATGCAGGTGATAGGTCTTTCTGCAGTTTTTTTAGGAAAAGGTTTTCCTGAGCACTTCTATATCTACCCAGAAGTTACAGTAGAGTAGGAATAAATTGGTTTTTTGTAGATTGAATTGAACGGACTCATGGAAATCAAAAATTTTTCAGATTGACTGTATTTTGTGTTTCCTGGTAACATGAGATTGTGATCATATTACTAGGCAAGAAGATCCATACAGAAAAAAAATCTCTGTATGAGTAGTTTGAATATTAAGATGTAAAAAATGTCCCAGAAATTCCCTTGCTAGCACATTATGAGAATGATCATCAGGTTCAGGAGCTAAAGAATATCAGAGGGAGTTACTACAACTATTTTGAAATGTGTGTATTCTGATGTAGGAGGAACACTTTGTAAATGTTTATGCTTATGTTGTTTAATGTGTGTCACTGAAGTATAGTGAACTAGTTTGCAATCAGGAAAGTGGAGAGGATAGTCATGAAGACTAGGACGAATGGATGAAGAAAATAAGAGACAGGCTATAGAGGCCAACAGAGCTTTTTAATTTGGTGAAGACATTGTAGAATTATTTTAAAAAATACTTTTGCACATTTTGAACCCCATTTTGGAATTATGCCTTGTTGCTGTTTGGTATAGACAACTATTTTTTGCAAAACTTGGAAGAATGTGCTCTACTGAAATAGCCACTCTTTCTTCTCTGTGCCCTGTGCAGTTTATGCCTCCCATACAGTGTTTATCACAGAATAACTGTTATTATGAGTTTATGTATCAGTTACCATCTTAAGGACGCAGGCCAAATTTCACTTGTTTTATATTCTTAGTGTCTAGCTTCATAGCTTGTACATAATATGTACTTAATAAATATTTATTGACTAAAGGCCCTATATACATCCATATAAATTCTACTTACCAGTTAAGACTCAGCTTGAATCCCATACCTTTAATAGTGCCTTCTTGACCATCCCAGATTAAAGAATAATTATACTGTAGTTTAAATTAAAACAACTATCATTTATCTTGTTTATTTAATCTTGAATTTCCCAAATTAGGACAATGTGTCATTTCCCCCAACTCCTAGCCCTGCTCCATGCCACACACACCCCTTTTTTCCAGTGAACAGCTTGGGAAAGTGGATAGCACTTTTGTGCAGAGAAAATTGAAACCTTTTGCTCCAGGTATAAGCATCCCTGAACCAGAGTGCACGACTGGCAAAGGAATGTGGACAAGATTTTAGCACCATCATTTCAGGTACCTTTGTGCAGTACACAATCTGCACAACTGTATATGGCAGTCCAAAACATGATAAATGTTTTGATTGGATTGGATCAGGAGAGGTCTCCTGTGTTCTGGAGAGCAAACCAATAAGGAAGATCATCTACTACTTTCCAGACTGTTTTTGGCAAGTGCTGGAATGAGGTGCTACTTCAGAAATGGACCTTTCAGTGAGTCAGGCTTCTCATGCGAAACTTACTTCTAGAACGAACTAAGGGGATATTTAAATCTTCTCTTCTACTGTGAGCTCCACTGTTTTGTGGCTACCCATTCTGCAAGGATAACAATTGCCCATTCTCAAGGATAGCTAGAGAGCTATCATTTTACTCAGAGGCAGGAAGTAGTTCATTGGGAGATCCAGATTGTGTGTATTGTGTGTGTGATTGTGTGTGTGTAAATTGTGCAAGTGTGTGTGTGTGAGAGAGAGAGAGAGGAAAGGAGAGCAAATGACCTCTGGTTTTGGAGTGAGAAATGGCCTATCTAAAAAACTTTCTAGATTTGACTGTTGACTTCATTTGAATTGCACTGGAACAACTTGGAACTTTTTTTTTTTAAATTTCATTGATTTCCTAGGAGTACACACTACATTTCTTGACTATGTATACTACTCATGTAAATTCAATGTGACATATTGGAAGGGGAGCAGACTAACTGTGCTTTGAAATTATCCATCAAACATCGGAAATGTCAACTTGTTTAGAAGCAAAGAAGCAAACAGAATCCAGAGAATGAGGCTAATTGGAATCTTAAATTATGTTTTTTTTCAGAGGCAGGTACTTGTTCCATTAGAAAAATGAAGTCAGTTGCATTCAGCAAGTTTAACTTAAATTTGTAGACCCCTTGAGTGTGCAGCTTTGTATCATTAAGGGGATTCATTAAATCTATTGATAGCAGCCCTGTCAGATAAGTAGTTTCCTGCTTGGGCCTTTTCACAAGGAGCTGCTGTTTGTTATTTGCTTGCATCCTGTCACTAAGCTAAGTAATAAAATGTTGAAACTCAATGTGCTTTAATTACAAAATGGCCACACCCAGTGAAAGATGTAAAATCTGATTTTAAACATGGAAAGTTATTTCTGGTTATGATCTCATGTTCTGTCAAAACAAAATAAAACAAAAACCCGAAGCATACTCAAACAACATTGGACTCATTGCACTGAACTTTTAAATACAAGCATCCTTGACCAGGCCAGACACTGTTCTGCACCCCCGGGGGAATGACTGGCCTTTCATTGATTTCAAAAGGCACTTCCTAGCTGGATCCACTCCCTAGGGATGTTAAGCAAGACTGCGAGCAGGGCCAAATTCTCAAGGCTGAATTCTCAAGGTTGCTCAAGAAAATTGGGAAACTCAGTTATAAAGGATAAAAGTAATAAAACCATGTGTTCAACTTTGCACATGTTTGCTAGAAGGTATTAATCTCATATGCAAATGTTACTAGCTTGTTGGCCTCCCCTATGGTTATTACAATGTTAGTCAAACTATCTTGAAATTTTTTTCTTTCCTAAAGCTTTTTTACTATTGAAATTTGAGTACCAATAGAATTTTTGAATACAAAATCATTGAAATGAAATTAAAGCCATAAATTACCTTCAAATGCTGGTGCTTTAGTTTGTCTTCCTCTATTTTCAGACGCTTCTGTGAGATTTCTTCCTGTATTTTTCTTTTATCCTGAAATAAAAAAGTTCCAGTATATTTTATTTTTAAAATTTGCTTAATTATGTTTCCTTGGGGTTGTTGTCACTATCTGAATGGCCCGTTACTGATATTTTTTTGGCATTGGTGTGAAGCTGCTTTGGAAACTCCTATTTCAAAGCAAAGGAGAGCGAAGTGAGACATTTGAAGCATTTTCCTTATGGGAAAGAATATGAAAAGGCACTTTTTCAAAGAGGGCTTAAACATCCTTCTTCACTCCCCTTTTCCTTCTTCCCCATTAGTCTAGCAAGATTGACCTACTGAGTGATGTAATAGAAAAAGTGAATTGTAAAGAGACAAGTTGTGAAATAGGTGTGAGGAAACATCGTGAGAAGAGAGACTGATCCTGGTCCAAGGTTGAAGAAGCCTCTGGGTGAAAGGACTCCTTATGTGGAAAAACAGGTCAACCTATGGATCGTTAGAAAACTAGGAAGTTGGAAATTGGGACTGTTTCCTCCTTGCATAGCCTGCTATGGGAAGATAGAGGAAAATAGTTTAGATAGTGCTTCTTAACACTAAGAAGGCTTTTAGCTCAGGTAAAACAAAACTCATGAAGATATGTTGTATCTTTCACCAAGTTTAAATTACATTACCTCGGACAACCCAGAAAGCATAACTACTGATACAAAAAGGTTGTACTTTTAAGAAAATATAGCAAATATACTAAGTAGACAGCCTGGGTTTGACTTTTGCCTCCTCCACTTACTAGCTCTGTGTCTTGGGACAAAATCCTTAACTTCTCTGTGCCTCAATGACCTCATCTGTAAAACGAGGATACTGAGAGCACCTACTTCATAAGATGTGAGCACTAAATAACTGATATATGTAAAAGTTTCTAGAACAGTACTCGTCACAGTGCTCTAGAGGTATTTAATAACATTAAATAAATAAATATATAACTTGTTAATCACATAGAAAGCAACACATTAAATCTGACAGTGCTTTCATTAGCTTGAAATGTTTTAGAGATTCCCTGGAATTGTTTGAGACATTTGACTAGTTATGCAAAAAGGTCTTTATTTCCTCATTTTTGATCAGAGGTGACATTCTTCTCCATCTTATTCATAAGTGTTGGTTTTAAATCTGCTTTCAAAATTAAAAACTCCCAAAGGATAAAATTTTGTTGCCAATGAAGACATCCAAAAGAAGTAAGCTGTAAAGGTAATTTAGAAGAAGGAGATCCAAAAATGTTTGGCAGCATTATTGATGTAAGTGCATTATTGATATATAAGTGCATGGGTTCCCTGATGTGACTATTTTGAAGATAAAAACTCTTTTTTGATGTGTAATTTCAGGTACATTTGTTGAAGAAAAGCAACATATTGCTCTCCAACTGTATGCTGTGTTTCTCTTTGCATGTAAGGAGAATATATGACTTCATCAGCTTATTATTTTTATTATTGAGATAAGGTCTTATTCTGTTGTTTGTTGCCCAGGCTGGAGTGCAGTGGCACAATCATGGCTCACTGTAGCCTTGACATCCTGGGCTCAAACAATCCTCCTGCCTTAGCTTCCTGAGTAACTGGGACTACAGGCGCATACTACCATGCCTGGATAATTTTTTGGTGTTTTGTTGAGACAGGGTCTCACTATGTGACTCAGGCTATATCAGCTTACTTTTAAAATTTCGTAAGTATTTCTTTTGAAAAAAAAAATAGCTAGGCAACAGGCATGGATCTTGAGAATCACTTCTTTCTTTGGATGAAATCTGGCCATTAGTAACAAAAACTCTGAAAGCCTCTGTGAGTCAATTCTTCACTCTCTCTAGAGGTTGTTATTTGAGCAAATATTAATTGTACTTTAAATTCATTGTGCCAAACATTTTGGCAATATTTTTCAGGCACAATTTTACTTAATACTTGTCATAACAAAGAGATACTATGCTAATTTCCATTTGAAAAAAGGAAATGGAAATTTAGGGGAAATTAACTCATCCAAGTTTCATCTGACAATTGTCGGAGCCAGGATTTGAACCCAGGCAGTCTGAAGTCAGCCTCCACACTCCTAGCCAATTCACTGTGCCATTCCCTGGAGTGGAAAGTTAATCAAGCTGGTCACAGTTTCTTCCTTTTTCTTCTCCCTCATGAAGTACTGTGGCCAGGAGGCAGCACTAGGACAACAAGCACTGAGTGTGACCTCTCATTAGCAGGGAGCACATTTTTAGCTCCCTAGATGCTGGTGCTGCAGCTAGCTCTCCGTGAAAAGCCCATAGAGAAGAGCATGTTTTGTGGGGTGGACAGGATTGCTGAACCCAGCAATGCCTCCCCACCCCTGCTCATTGCCAGTTTGGGCTGGTTTGCCATTTGGGCTAGTTTCATCTTGGGGTTAGTAATCAGGCAATTGAATCTGTGAGTAGAGGCATGCCATCCGAAGTGTTTTGGCAACACCAGGCTTATACAAGGGTTGCTAGGGAATACTAATGTTTTGTCACTCAGGGGTAATATGATGCCTCTCTTATATCAGTCTAGGTAGGTAGGAAGGAAATTTCATAATGTTTATAGGCATGATCCTATTTTAAGATAGGCATACTTTTTCCTCATAAGATATTCATCAGCAGAGTTATTGTTCCTTTGCCAAATTTCATTGAACTCTGTTAGCATTAATGAAAAATAATATGACAATAACTTAGTTTCAGTATAGCAGAATAAACTATAAGTCAACCTTAAGATGTTTATCTAGCTCGATTGCTAGTATACCAAAAGTTATCATAGTCAGCTAATTTCTTCCCAGTTTTTCATTGGAGCAAATAAATGTGAAATGCCACCTGCTTCCCTAAATTTCCCCAGAACCTGGAGCACTTCTATAGATAGCTGTTGCAACCTGGCACATCAGACATTACTGGTTATTAATGTAACCATTATGAATAACATATTGTTGCTTATTTCTCAATGTCCAACTACCTTGACTTTTTGTTCAATGGACATTTACCTAGATTTTTAGCCATCTGACAGCCTATTTTAGCAACTGACGCCCAGAAATTTCAACCTGTTAAAGGTTATCTCTTAATTATTTTGAAAATTAATTTATTCGCCTTGTACAACTATAGTTATTGTGACCATCTATTAATATGATCCAATGATATTAACACAATCACATATTTGATAAAAGTCAGCACAATGCTTAAGAGTATAAGTAAGTATTTTAGTTATATTATTGATTAACAATGTGCTAAATTCTAATATGCCTAGTCCTGTCAGGAAGGCAGAATTGATCCTGAGTTGTTTGATTATTGATTTATTCAATACTTAGCTACTTATGTGCAAATGCTATATTCAAGATGATATTAGGAGTTGTGCAGTGTTTAAAAATTATTTGACAGATGTGAGTTTACATTCTTTTTTTTTTTTTTGAGACAGCGTCTCACTCTGTCACCGAGGCTGGAGTGCAGTGGCATAATCATAGCTCACTGAAGTTTCAATTTCCCAGGCTCAAATCATCCTCCTGCCTCAGCCTCTCAAGTAGCTGGGACTACAGATGCATGTCACCACACCTGGCTATATTTTTTATTTTTTAATTTTTTTTTTGAGATGGAGTCTTGCTCTGTCACCCAGGCTGGAGTGCAATGGTGGGATCTCAGCTCACTGCAAGCTCCGCCTCCCAGATTCACGCCATTCTCCTGCCTCAGCCTCCCAAGTAGCTGGGACTACAGGCGCCCGCCACCACACGCGGTTAATTTTTTGTATTTTTAGTAGAGACGGGGTTTCACTGTGTTAGTCAGGATGGTCTCGATCTCCTGACCTCGTGATCCGCCTGCCTCAGCCTCCCAAAGTGCTGGGATTACAGGCATGAGCCACCGTGCCCGGCCTATATTTTTTATTTTTATTTTTAAGAGAGACAAGGTCTTTCTGTGTTGCCCAGGCTGGTCTCAAACTCCTGAGCTCAAGCAATCCTCCTACCTTGGCTAAAGAAAGTCATTTGTGTAAGTAACTATAGTCTGAGAAATAAAGTTATTACATGTAATAGTTTTTCTTTTTTCTTTTTTTTTTTTTTTGAGACAGAGTCTTGCACCATCATCTAGGCTGGAGTGTAGTGGCACAATCTTAACTCACTACAACCTCTGCCTCCTGGTCTCAAGTGATTCTTGTGCCTAAGCCTCCCAAGTAGATGAGGTTACAGGCATGCCCCACCATGCCCGGGTAATTTTTGTATTTTTAGTAGAGATGATGGAGTTTTGCCATGTTGGCCAGGCTGATCTTGAAATCCTGGGCTCAAGTGATCCGCTCGCCTTGGCCTCCCAAAGTGCTGGGATTACAGGCTTGAGCCACTGTGCCAGCCAACATGTAATAACAACTTTAGTAGTAATACATGTTATCGCTAAGGCATTAGTAATGTATGATGCAGGTTGAGGGGAGACAGGGAGAGGTTGTTCCTAGCTGATGTCATTAACAGAAGCTTTGGAGTAGCATCTGAGTGGAATATTTTGGGTAGTTACAGTGAGGCTGGGGAGTATGGAGAAAGGGCATTCAAGTCAAGGGCTTGATGTGAACAAATTCTAAAAAATGTGGGACATTACTTAGAACAGCAAGTCTGGAATCTAAGTTACCATATAGGGAGTGGCAGGAAGTTAAGAACAACCAGGTGAGGATAGATTTTCAGTAGCTAATACTGAATGGCATGACAAAGGGTTCAGAATTTATTTACATATTGAGATAAGGAGCAATAAAAAGTTTTCAGGGGAAGAAGAATGATAGAGTTAAAAGCATGTTTTCAGAAGTTGAATATGGCCTCATTGTGTAATAGCTATGGAAAGGAGAGAACACGAAGAGGACACTCAGTTAGGCCACTGCACAACTCATACATAAGGCCATGAGAGCTTGAACAAGAAGGAGCAGAGGGCAGGGATGTCAGAGTTAGCAAGGAGTTAGAATTGTCAGGACTTGGCAACTGATGACATATCATTGAGGAAAAGGAAAGTGTCAGATGGAATGCAGGCTCTTATGTTCAGGAAACTGACGAGAGAGCAGAATGACGCATAGACAGAGGAGTATCAGGAGAAGGAAGAGTTTGGAAAAAAAGATGATGGATTCGCCAAGTTTGAGATGTCCTTGGGCCAAATAGGTAGAATTATCTGCTAGGCAGTTGGAATGTTGGATGGAGAGAGATGAAGAATCAGAGCTAGAGATAAAGATGTGTGAGTTTTGAAAGGGATAGATGAGAGCATGATGAGAGACATTTTTTATGAAAAGAAAAGGAGGCTAAGGAGAGCCTCCATGAAGCACCTACATTTAATGGGTATAGGAGAAGGGGAACCCACATGGAAGTTTATTTTGGATCAGTCTGATATTATTTGTAATAGGACTTGGTGAATTTGGCCACATAACTGAAAGGAGCAATGAATGAACCGTGTTATTTCAAATAAACAGATTGCGGGGAGCACAAAGGGCAACCACTGAGTCATGATATTGCAAGTTGTGAGAGATCTAGTGATCCTACGGTCCAAATGCTTCATTTTACATATTAGAGTTTGAAACCTTAAGAGGTTAAGTGGCTTGCTTAGAAAGGTATTTAGTAGCAGGGCCAAGACTAGTAAGAAGATCTTCTTAATTCTCAGTCCTGGGCTCTTTTTAGTTCTCACTAACTCTACAAAAGAAAAGCATGGTTGTGGGCATTTAGGCAAGGATAAAAGTAAAGAAAAACAGAAGCCATCATATACTTGACTAGAAAGAGGGTATAGGTGTTTTTTCTAAACCAATTGAAACAATTGGAAGGGGCAAGTTAGTGCAATGATTGAAGAATTAAAATAGTTGAATGTTTTCAGATTCATTTTTCTAGAAGCTGATAATCTTATAACTTCATGATTAGCTTTGCTGATATTTTCATTGCTTAGGTCTGAAAAGAACACTAGCGGAAACTGCTTATTTGAATTTAAGTACTACCAACAATGCAGAGTTGGTGGTGTGCAAATAATGGTAACTTTGAAAAAAAAGAGACGTGCTAACAGTGTTCTTAGGAAAGAATCCAGGGCATAATTAGAAGTTTACCAGATTTCAGTAAAAGTATATTTTACCATTCTTGAGAAACATTCTTAAAAAAATTATTGAAAATGGAGCAAAAATTTCAAGAGGGAAGATAGATTATAAGGCATGGGCAATTTACGAATGGAAACATGGACACAAAATTAAAAATGATGTCGGGTAAGAAGAAAAGAGAGCTACTATTTAAAAAAATAAAACCAAATCATTTGCTATCACTGAGAGTTTCCCAATAAGCTCACACAACCAAGAATAAAGATAAGATGGTGACACCTTGTAATAGTGTAAATAAGGTAAAAATTCAGGGTGATGAGATGTGAAACATGAAAACACTGAGGGCACAAAAAGTGCATGCGTGTGTGTGTGTGTGTGCATGTGTGTGTGTGTGCGTGTGTGTTATGCTGAGAACAAAAAGATAAAGGCACAAGATGACTGCTGAGATACATAGCGTAATATCAAAATGACAGAGATAAAATATGATTCCGTTTCTACTTTAATTTCATATTTTTGATTAAGGAGAATAATCTTGATCCTCAAAAGGGTAGAACAAAAATGTCTAAAGCGAAATCAAAGCTGAAGAGGAAATACAGCATTGAAGACAGAGCTGCTCTAGTCTTCAGTCTCTGATGGGTTTCATTTCAGGGGGTAGAAAAATTTATAGACATGACAGAAAAATATTGTTAAGTAACCTCTTTGGAATCTTGGATGAGGTGAAAAGATACCAGAAGACTGAAAGTGGCAAATGACCCAGTTTTTTTGAAGAGGCAAAGAGGTGAATGATGAATATTTAAAGACTGGTGAAATTACGGATTAATCCCTAGCAAAGTTGTAGAGTGAATTGCATCCAGACAAGGAATGTGGTATTTAGACAAGGAATAGGTCTAGGTGGTAGCAGTTGATGACTAAAAACAAAGCGTTTAAAACTCACACTATTTTTTATTGCTTAATTATTTTAAGATCTGCAGATGATGAAGGTTAAGACGGTTTTAATAATAACATTTATTAAGTTTTTTATGTTTTTAATATTATTTATCATCTAAGACTCAATAATTATTCATCCATATTTTCTTTTAAAAAATGACCATAATTCAGCTGAATTTATTTTGATTCATCATAGATGCTGAGTAATTGTTTTTCTAAATTTTTAACTATGTATCTGAAGTTTTATCAAATAATTCTTTCCTATTGACTTAGTATGAAACTTTTATTACTTACTAATTTTTAAAAATGTACATTAGGGTCTGGTTGCAGGTTATCTGTATAGTTTCTCTAACTATTGATTCTGGTACCAATACTGCATAGTTTAGATCATTTACCAATTAGATATATTCAAGTTTTCCTTTATTGCTGTTATAAAAAATGTATTGATTAATAGCCATAGTTTGTTTTTCTAGTTGGACTTTGGAATCATTTTGTTAAATTCCAACAGAAACAAAACTGAAAACCCAGCTAATTCCTTATTTATCCACATTCTCCACCAAATCAGAGAAATCAACCAACCAAGCAACCAACCAACCAAGCAACCAACCAACCAAACAAAAATCTACATGCCTTGATGAAATTTAAAAAGTTACTCTTAATGGTCACTATCCAGAGATAATCAGAGATTGATAATGTTATATAAGATTTATATCTGCATAATTTATTATAGTTCATATAAAATTGGGATTATTTTTACATGTTTAGTAATATAAATTGACCACAATTTATATTGTGGATGAGAATACCTCCTTAGAGATATTGATTGAAACTGTATTAAACTTGAAATAAATTTGGAAGTATATGATAGCTTTTCTGTTTTAAAACTGCACTTTCAGGAATAGTGTGTGTCTCTCATCACATATAGTATGTCACTTGGTAGAGTTTTGTGGCATAAATACTGCACATTTCCTTAGTAGGTATAAAAATGCAAACATTTCTTCATCTAAATCTGGCATACTTCCTTACTAGTATTATTTTTAAATTTTAACATAATAGCTATAAATTTAATATTATAGCTATTAAGGGTAGGATATTTTCACATTATATTTTCTGATTAATTTTTGTTTTTCAGAAAGCTACTGCTTTTTATATATTCATTGTGTATCTGGCTTCTTTACTGAACTTTCAAGTCAATTCTTAACTTTAGAGACACTGAAGATGAAAACTAGAGAGTTCATTAACTTTCTCAAGTCACGTGATTGATCGAGTGGTGGAACTTGTGTTGAACCTGATTTTCTATGATTCCAGGGGTGATGCTTTTTTATCTTTTATTTTTATTATTTTCTTTCTTCCTTATTGCTTTCCAAATATATCAGTAGAAATACAATTCCTCAAATAAGGGACATTATAGCACCAAAGGTCTCTATACTCATCAGAGTTCTGATCAACCCTTAGCACCAACTTCTAACAGTTACACTGACATTTTGGAGATTGTCTGGAATGAGTCTGTGAAGAATGACTGAAATCCAGAAAACAAAACTGTATAGCTTCAGTGGCAGGAGTCATGAAGATTGGGTGGAAGTTAAAGGCAACCAGATTCTGGTACATTATGTCAGAACTCTTAACACAGAGAGCTGTTCTCAAATGGAAAAGGGTTTTTTGGGGGGTGTCGATCCATGTGATATTGAAGTGCTCAAGGAGAAGCTGGGTGAACTTGGGCATGGTGTAAAGAGAGTGAGGACGTGGATAAAGAAGTTTCTACATTTTCTTCTGTTCCAATAATTATGTCTGCATCTAGCTTTGAAATATCCTAATTCTTAAGTTAGTCATGGAAATTTGGCATGGTTATCACTACTATTTATGGGGTGAATTAAAAAGCACAAATTTTCTAAACCTCATTTATCAAATAATTGTAGTCTTCTTTCCCAACCTTACAACACATTCTAACAGACCTCTAAACAGAATCCAGCGTGTGTTTTACTCTTTTTTTCCTTTGTCTACCCTATCTTGTTTGTTCTAACAAATAGTGACAAAACAAAACCAAACCAGGCTAAACAACAAACACAAAACAGACCCCTGAATAATCAAGGGGTGATGGTAAATTTGGCCGGGTCTTCAGTGAAAAAAAATCTGTCAGCAGGCCAGCCAATCAGTAGCTTTCACCCTTTCTCAGCTTGATTGTATTTGTTCATTCATTCATTCACTCACCCAGGACAGTTTTTTTGTTTTGTTGTTTTGTTTTGTTTTGGTGCTCCAGCTAGTGTTGAGCTCGTTGTTGAGGGAACTGTGAAAGATGCAAGGATGTCTTTGTCTTGAGAATTCCTGGCTGCAGGGAAGAGGCTACGTAAAGGAAGTGGGATGGGGAGGAAGGCAGAGGAAAAAGGGGCCTGAACTATTAGGTGCTCTGAAAAATGACTTTGATTCTGTTCCAAACCTCTTAAAAACAATAACAAATACTTCTGAAATGACACCACAGTCTCTTCTTGCCCACTTCTATTCCTTGCAAACTGGGGAAGGTGGGAAGAGACTGCAGAGGTGGAGAACTGTTTTGGGTTAGAAAATGTGGTTAAGCAAAGCAGACCCTCCATAGTTTCTTCTCTTGGCTCCACGTCAAACTGTATTAATAAGAGTGAACAATAGAAATCTGAGGAAGTTTTCTTTCTTTTCTTTTCTTTTCTTTTCTTTTCTTTTCTTTTCTTTTCTTTTCCTTTCCTTTCCTTTCCTTTCCTTTCCTTTCCTTTCTTTTCTTTCTTTTTTCTTTCCTTTCCTTTTCTCTTTTCTGTCTTTTCTTTTCTTTTCTGACGGAGTCTCACTCTGTTACCCAGGCTGGAGTGCAGTGACGCAATCACAGCTCACTGCAACCTCTGCCTCCCAGGTTCAAGCAATTCTCGTTCCTCAGCTTCCCAAGTAGCTGGGATTACAGGCGCAGACCACCATGCCCAGCTAATTTTTGTATTTTTAGTAGAGACAGGGTTTCACCATGTTGGCCAGGCTGGTTTTGAACTCCTGGCCTTAAGTGATCCGCCTGCCTCAACCTCCCAAAGTGCTGGGATTATAGACATGAGCTACCATGCCCAGCCAGAAATCTACGGAAGTCCTGAACAGGGGTCAGGGGTGTGATGTTGATGTTTATAAAAATTTGTCATGATGCTGTGGTCAGAAAATCTGATGAGCAGAGGAATAGATTCAAGTTCCGACATTTGACTAATTCCTTAGCTTTTCTTGGCCTAGGCTTTCTGCCATAAAATGGGAATGATAACATATGCTTTTGAAAATACTCATAGGACTACTTGGACAAATGAGATAAAATGGATGTGAAAGTTTTATTTTTCATAGCCTAAATGCTATGTAAGAATAGGCACTGTTATTATTGTTAGAAATCTCACAATTCTTTTTCTTAGGAGATGTCCATTTTATTCCAGAGTTGTTAGCGTAATTGATTAGGAATAGCTGTTGTAGCCCACTTTGCTATGTTACATCATCCTGTGTCAATCACTGATACATTTAATAGATTGAAAACTTGATGCTTAGGACAGAAGCTAGTTTTGAGTTCCATTCAGAACTCCTGAGGATAACCTAGCTCTACCTCTTAAGTGGCTTGACTGAATCCTCTCAGTCCCTGGGATTTTATGTAAAAACTTTAAGTATAGATCTCATTCAAACTGCTTTGATGATGTTTTAGGAAAATGTGCATGCCACAGGGTTCTGGGTAAGGGAACTTCTTAAGGTGGTAAATTTTCATGGAGTCTCTTCCCAAAATGACATTACTATCATTTAAATAAATTAAAATATTCTTATTTCTTTTTAAGAGAGGGTAGGTAGTTAGAGACTGCAGATTAAAAAGTGGAAGTCCTATTGCAGTTTTAGAATTGAACTGTGTTGCATTTGTTTATACTCTGGTTAGTCTTAGATGCTTATTCTCTAATTTGTTTTAATCACAGTTTTCTAAAGAAGCAGCTTTTCCTTTCAACCATCCAGTAATGTTCAGAAAGTTCATGGGGATCTTTGTCAGTAGAGGAGTTAGCAAAGTAGCATTATCATTTTGTTGCACAGTGGAAAAACCTTCCCCAGTTATCAAAAAGCAGTTTCCTTAATGAGCTATCAAAACTATTATACCTCATCACATGGTGTCCTTTATGGGTGGGCTGTTATGTTTGGCAAAGAAGTGTGGCGTACCACATTTGTTTGAAGAAACCTTTCCCTCTCTGGAAGAAACATGTAATCTTGGTACAGCACTGTGGAAAATTGTGCTGAGGTTTCATTGTTGAATATTCCAGAATGGGACTTTTTTATTTAGAAGACTGCTACATCTTCATGTACCATCTTCATGTGAATTTCTTTGGAAGCTCCTGACAAATTAGAAGTTGTTCCTCTAACTATGTCTTAATCATGAGGTATGTTGGTTAACAATGGGGCATTATGCATTCTTTGGCCACTAGTACTTTAAGAATTCCTTAGAGCTCTAAATAATACAATGATCCAAACACGTGTTAGGGTATGCCTTTGTTAAAGACACAGACTAGTTTACACTTGTTTTTACTCTCTTATTTGTTCAGATAGAACGAATAAGGAAAAATATGTATGGCCAGTCTGGAATACAGAAGCAGGGCTGACTTCTTGGGTTTGTGACCTGTGAAGTCACCCAGGTCATCATGCTCAGAAGGGCCTAGCACTTAGATCAAAGCTCTGTTGTCACCACCTTGACATTTTGAATATTTTTTGAACAAGGGCCACCACAATTCCCTTGTGTTTTGGGCCCCACAAATCACACAGCAGGTCTTGCTTTTGGGTCACTAACTGTCTTACTGACTGTTAGAAGAGCCCAGATATTGACAAAAAGGGAACAAGATGAGGTAGAGTGCCCAGAGACACTTGTAACAGGGAACATGTGCTAAAGAAATAACTAGAACCCATCCGTGCTCATGTTCTTGTTTTAATGTTGGTCTTTGTACTGTGGAGATTTCTGTTTTATGTAAAGAACTCCATGTCTCTTAAATTCCTATATTTACAAGTCAAGAAAAATTTATTTGGGTATTTGGGAGTGGAAAGCAGTAGGGAGTTGATCAGGGGAAATGTGAGAGCTTTTTTTTTTTTTTTTTTTTTTTTTTTTTTTTTTCATTATGAGCAGCTTTGGCCGGCAAAATCTGGCTCTGTTGCTCAAATTCCAGTGTCAGGACTTTATATGGCTCCTTTCCAAATGGAGGCAGTCCTAGGCAGGTGCTTGTACTTGTGATTATTTTTATTGTCTAACTTTTGACAGAACTCACCTCCTTCACATCTAGGCTCAAACGTCACCCTCTTTGTGAACCCCATCCTGACCACTCTATTTTAACTTACAATGCACTCCCATCCCCACTCCTCACATTCCAGACTCCCCTTATTTCACTTCTTTTCATTTAAATGCACAAGGCTTGGTGCATAGTAGGTGCCTAATAACCATTAATTGAATAAAGGCATGAGAGACTGTGTTGATAACACACATTCCTTACAGTTAAAGGTAAGCCTGGAGGAGAATAAAAATGTCAGCTTTCTTCTTACTCTCTTTTTCTCAGTTGAGTCTGTTCTCTGAAATTGGATTCTAGTTCTTAAACTTCCTCTGAGTTCATCCTTCAAATAGAACTGAGTCTATGATCGCAAGACAGTTTAAGATCTAATTTTCCAGTTTGAGCATATCCATATTTGTAATGGTATTTTCCAATGTCGCTGTAGGCATGGGGGTAAGAAAATGTATTAGCTGTGGAGGAGATGTTAAGAGTATACGGAATGTTACTCATCCTAAGGGAATCTTTGTGTTTCTGAGGAGAGACCCCTGGGCCTTTTCGTTGTTCTTCAGTGTGGGCCACGTTCACTTTCAGACAGTAACTCTGTAGGGATAACTCTGTCAGTGGTACGTTCAGTCCTTCATCTCACGCTTCTTCATCTCACTCTTCTCGAGAATGCTGGAGTCATTGGTATCCTCAGTTCCAGTATTGTTAAAGGTGAATTTCAAATTACTAGTCTATTTCAAAATACTATTGAATTCCAATTAGCTCACCTTTTGTAGAAAGATCAGCTATTTGTTCAAGTGTGTACTGACTTGAAAAGGGCCTCAAGAGACATTTTAAAGATCAAACATAATAGTTAATTAATTTTAAGCAGCCCTGTGTTTAAATTATAGTTGAAAACTGAACTTCTAGGCAAAGGGGTACTTTGACCATTAATTTAGTAAGGGAAGAGTTGGTGCATGGATAAAGTATTAAGGAAGAACATGAAAGTAATTGTGTAAAATAGAATCTATATTTGGTATACCCAAACTGAAGTATCTACCCTTGAACAATTGTTTCTGCATACTTTCATAATTTTGCTCTTATTCTCTTTAAATCTTTGAGAAGACATCTGACTAATCTAAAATTCAATTTACTGATCTGATATGAGAAATGAATGGCATCACGATAGTAATTTAGTTTTCAATTTGAGAGCCTAAGTGTCACATTTCAACTACTTAATGTGTTTAACCTTTTTTTTTTTTTTTTTGAGAAAAAGAAAAAGACTGGCACTTGGATCTTTGTTCTGTCAAATTCTAGGTATATACGTTTATTTTTTCAGTTCTTTGCAGTGAAAAATAATGACTTTTTAGGCACTTGAAACCAGGTAGAATAAATACAACTGTGAAGATTATTTTATTTTATAGCCAGCAATTGGAGAAACGAATTTTAATGTAAAAAGCAAATAGATCCTAGAGTGTAAAAGTTTTTTTTTTTTCCTCCAAAGTGAGGTCTATGTGTTGCTATGTCTGGGTGCATTGGGGAATTGCCTTCTGATTTCATTCTTGAAGTATACAAAAAATTATTTCAGTGTAGGTAAGTACTAGGAAAAAGCTAAAATGAGAAGATACTCTCTGAGTTTTAGTCTAGGTTGGAGATTCTGAGGCTTAAGCATTTCCAAAAATGAAATAATTCTTGCAAACTCTCTGCATACTCTGTGATTTTATTTTCCTAGGGGGAAAGAGACTAGCTGAGGTGGCTTCCTGGGCAAGGCAAGGGCGAGGGCGAGGAAAGCTGGCGTGTCCCAGGGCGTCCAAGAGGGAGGAGAGTGGATGTGTTGTTTCCATGGACACACCACTGCTCCACTTTTCCTCTAGGTGGTGACAAATGTGACTGGATTTAGCCTGGTGAGGTGTAGGCTGGTTTATGAGAAATTTGTTCCCATAAACTTTTTCCAGTTTTTTCCCTACAACCTTTATACAAGTATATTACTTCCAAGCTAGAATTACTTTGTGATCTTACTTGGGAGATTTGTTTAATCCTTTCTAATGGGATATATTTAGGCTGATGGAATAATCCAAAAATTTTTTTAATCATCAAAAAAGCATACATCTGCATATTCAGGAAGCTACTTACTCTCTTGATGGCTTTTAAGACATTATGAGGATTTTCTGTCTCTATTTGCGTTTGGAACCTTCAGTGACTAAGATTCCTAGCCTTAGAAATAACTGTATACAGCCATATCTTTGGAACATGTGTGGCTTTGGTAAGAGTTATAAGGTACACTGGAGGGAAAAAGGGCTTGAGCGAGGGTGTCCCCCAACTGAAAGAGGCAAATTCAGAACAAGGGTCTACTTGTCTATTTCAATTAGCTAATTAGGAGATATAAGCATTAGAAATAGTGGAGCCTGTGACCACACAACTCACGCAGTCTAATAAAGTAACCTTTAGACAACAGCTGTAATGTAAAAGGCCCATGCCAAAAACAACAGAGCAGAGCCGAGTTCCTGTCCCTTAAAGCAGGACAGCTGAGATGGTGGCTGAGTTTAATGACAAAAAAGGACAAAACAAAACAAACAATAATCCCGACCAAGGTTTTCTGAAGAGAGGAAAATGTAATAATTAGAAGCTAGACATTTAACAAAGCATTGTTTTATGGAAAAGTGCCAACCTTATCAATAGACTTCTGGTGTCTTACTATTGGCTAAGAAGACATTTCAATTTACTGAATGTTTCCTGGGTGAAACTAAGATATTGTATCAATTAGTAAAAAATCTAAATTAGGATTAGCATAATTAGTTATGCAATGAAAATTTTAAGAACAACAACAAAAAATCCCTGATCTAGCATCAGTTTTTAAAAAGTACTCATTTTTTTCCTATACCTAATGTCAGTGGCAGAAAATGCTGAGAAATTGGGATATTGCTTTCCAAAGATCTTTTTCTTCTTAAAACAATTACATCAAAAGTTATAGCTAGGGATAAATGATTGTGACACAGATTTCCAAGTTACTGCCAAATACAGGGTTTTATAAAATTAAAAAGAAAGCTGGATCATTTAAGAAAAGTAATTTATTTCTGGCTTTGACTTTTTCCCGGAACAAACATAAAAAATGTACGATTTTCCTTCTCGGTATTAACAAAATATTTTCCAAATCCACTGCATGCACTGCATTCCTTTATCAGGATCTTATTCAGTTTGTGACTCTGCTGGAAACTGATATCTTAGAATTAATCTGATACGTGCTTTTACCTAGTTTTCTCTTGTTTAATGCTTAAATTACGTATATTAACATTCATTTTAATTATTTTAGGCTTTCTGGAACATGCTACCACACTACAAATATAAAGTTTCAGGTCATTTTTAAAATTTCTTTTTCTCTCTTTAAAAAAAATTCTAACTTTTTGAGGCATTCATAGCTTAAAAAAGTTTCCAAGTTGGGGATCTGTTTTTTTATCTAATGCCAGTCAAATGGACATTTAAGGAAAAACTGCATTTCTAAGGTACACCACAGAGTGTGAAAGATAGTTAATCAGACTGCCTTAACAGCTTTTGATTGTTGTTTAAAATGCAGGCACAGCCTTTTTGAAAATCAAGAACGTTTGCCCTGCACTCAGGTTCTGAAGCCCCAGAGTTACAGAGGGTCATGAGGGTTAAGAGAGAAACAGAGACTCGTCCATGAAGGCTGACAGTTCTGTTTTTCCACTTGCGAGGGCTCAGCGACAGGGGCAGCCGGCCACGGTCTGCCTTCCTCTAAGTAACAACGTTAATGAGTTATAACTGTATGCAGACTTACTGTGATGGCCTGGAGTCTTCCCTTCACCAGCTCAGCTTCTTCCATTCTAGAAGTCAAGGACAGTCAGACGGGGAAGCAAGTCCAAAGCTACCATAAATCAAGGAGCCTCCTGGGGGAGAGGAGCGGGGGTGACAGAAGAGAAGCAGGGAGAAATCCGCTCTTTGCACCAGTGGAGAAATAGAGAAATTCCCGACTTGTCAGGAGCGTCTCCGAGCAGATGCACAGATCAGGCCAGACAGACACATGTAATGAGGGTGTGCTGGGGAGGCAGACGCTGAGGCTGCTGGCATGAGTTGACTGACAAGTTTGAACGGCAGCGGCACAAGCCCTTTTCCTTCAGGAGCTGCCAGCTCTTTGTTGTAATGTGCACAGTTAGCAAGGCACATTTTCTTATTAACTGTTCCTTACCCAATTCATTATTTTCCAGGAGTGGCACAGAGAGCCAACACACTGAGTGTTTAATCAGCCTCTGCTCTAGCAACACACAGCCATCCCCGGATGTGTTGGTCTGTGTGTGTTTGTACAAAGCTCGTTTACCTGCTTGCTAGCTCTAGGGGAGAGAGCCTTACCTTGACTGAGGCAGAAGTGCCAAGTCACTTGTTTGCCTTTCTTCCACTGATTGGATTTGATAATAATACAACAATCTATAGCTACTTTAAACTTCATGTAGTGGTAAATTTACATTGGTTCGTTCTCCCCCGTCTACACCCCACCCCCGACCCCCCTGCTCAGCACTTTGTTGCAAACTTTGGAATCTTTAGGTCATGGAGAAATCAAAGGTGTTAATGTGACTATATTAAGAAGTTGGCCCACCAAGGTATTTAGTGTGGCTTAAGCACCAAGTGCCACCTTTTGTTATTGCTTGACTTGGATTTCTATGGAATGCAGTTTTCTTTCTTGGACGCTGTTCAGAAATGACACTCTTGGCTTTCAGGAAGGTGCCCATTTTGACCTCACCGGTTACGCAAGAGAGAGGAGTGAGCCTTTGAAAATGTGATGAGACATTTGGTAACTGCCTGGAGCCCGGCACTGTGTGAATATTCGCCCATCCTTTAGAAAAAGGCAGGCAAGCCCAGTGAGACTCTTAGGTCAAAGCAGAGGCTGGGAAGCTGTACAATTGGCTCTGTCTGTTTTCTTTTCCCTACAGGTTCTTTAATTAAATTTTGCTGAAGTAAATCCTAATTACCAACTACCTTATTATTATGTGTTTGAATGCTATTAAGCGCTTTCATATCAACATTCAGCTGAAGAGGTTAAAAGGACAACCCAAACATTGAACATATGGTTTAATTTCCTTTGCAGTTTTGATATTAGTAATAATAATAGCTAATATTTGTTGCATTCTTTCTACAGGTAAATGCATACTTGCAAAGTGCTGAGAGATAAGTGCTATAATCCCTACTTTAAAAATGAGGGAACAGGCTCAGAGAGGTAATTTGCCATATAGCTAGTAAGTAGCAAAGCCAGGATTGGAACACCAGCTGCCTGACTTTATAAGTGGCATTCATCAAGGACTGCCCAAGGACACGGGGCAAGGAGAGGCACAGGCTGAAGGTTAAGTCAGTCTTTATGAGAAGTGGTTGGACCCCCAGCCTCCTTCTCTGTCTAGCTCCTAGAACACTACAGCTGGGTGTAACAGCCTAAGGCAGAACGGTGTGGGAATGTCCTCTGGAGAAACTTATTGGCCCTACTGAGGTTTCCCCACATTGTTGACTGGAGTTCCCCAACCACAGAGCCCTCATTCTGTCAGTCACTATAAGGTGAAACCCATGTTTTAAGAGTCTGAAATTATACTTGAGAGTAGTTTGTCCTTGCTCATACACCCTCAGAAGGGATACTTAGGGAGACCAGAGAATGGGAGGATTGTTTGGATGTGTGCCAAGTTTGATTACTGTTGGAAACATATTTAAGTGTAAAAAAAATCAAACCTTCAAGACTTCTGATTATGTTTATTTGTAGATCCTGGCTGAAATTAAAGACAAGAAAGCAGTAATGATAAATATCTCAGTCAGAATTGCATATTTGGTGCCTAGAACAAATGGGCAGTCATCCAATTATTAGTCTGGATCTTTTCCTAAAAACAATTTACCTCTCAAATCTCATTTCTGCTAGAGGAAAACCCAAGATTTTGCTAGTGTAGGGGAGGACAAGATTTAAAAAAAGAGGATGGGAATTTAGGAGGGAGCAGAGTTGCAACAACTGATTGGTATCATCATGTGAGTGGTAGGCAGAAAAGGCTGGAGCTGGGAAAATCTGGGGGACCTGAGTGGAATCCTGGAGCCAGAGCTCTGATGGTCTTGACAATCTCCCTTGGACTGCAATACAGATTAGGATGTTTCCACTCAACTTCGCCTCCCTTTCTCTTTCACCTGCCTCTTAGACATGTCCAGCTCCAGCCTTTTCTGCCTGTCCTCCCATGTTCTCTCATACAGTCATTTCTCCTAATAAAATTCTGTACATTTAACCCATCTTGGCATTTGTTTCTTATAGGATCCAGAATAACATCATCATTTCCACATCTACTGTATTTTGTTTACTTAATCTTTTATTGTCTACCAGAATGTAAGTTCCAGGAGAGGAGAAATTTTGTTCAGACACCTAACACAGTGCCTGACACATCAGAGGTTCTCAATAAATATGTGCAGAATGAATAACAAATGCTTAAAAAATTAACAAGTATTAGTATTGTCAACTAAATGAATGAATAAACACATGATGAGACACATCAGTTGTCAGCAACCAAAGTAGTCCAGTGTTTCTCAGGAATTTTAGCATTCTTGCCATGCTCAGTCACTGGCTGGGAGTAGCCCCTGGGAAGCATAGCCTTGAAGCAAACATAGGAATGGATTTCAGAGTGAAACAGCTTGGGACTCTTGGGTCAATTATGCTCCTGGAGTTCAATGTCTGAGAGGCACTTTCTCATCAGCCATAGTGATAAATGCTATGGAAAGAAAATAGAGCAGGGAGGAGAATAAAGATGGCTAAGGCAGGGAATGTTGCAATTTAGAATTGGGTCACTAAGGTAGCCTCAGTGAGAAGGCAATATTTGAGCAAGGTCTTGAAGAAGAGGTGAGAGTTCGTGATGAGGATATTTATGGGAAAAGCATATCAGGAAGGGCCTGTGCAAATGTCCTGTGGTGGGCCATACCTGCCATGTTTTATGAACAAGGCTAGTGTGGTTAGAGAGCTGGGACTAAGAGAGGGTTAACAGGAAATTTGGTTGGAAATGTAACAGGTCCCAATTCATGCAGGGTCCAGTAGGCCATTGTAAGGACTTTAGCTTTTAGTCTGTGTGGGATGAGAAGGCATTGAGGTGTTTTAAGCAGAGGAGTGTTTTGCAAGTGTGAAACAGGAAGACTAGATAGGATGTTATTACAGTAATCCAGATGAGAGATGATGGTGGCTTGTGTCAAGGTGGTAACAATGAGAGTGTTACCACCTTGGTTGTACCATGGTTGTACCATGGATAACTTTTGATTCTGTTGGTGGATTGGATATAGGGGTTTAAGAGAAAGAGAGGATTCATAATCACTCTTTGCCTGAGTGAATAGAAGTCGCCATCAATTGAGATAGTGAGGTTGATGAACTAGGTTTTTTTTTTTTTTTTCTTTTGAGGGAGAGGATGGATACCAAGTTTTGGAAAAGTCAATTGGTTCTCCACATGGAGATGTTGAGTAGGCAATTGGATATACGAATTTGGAGTTCAGGAAAGAAGTCTCAGGTGGATTTATAAAATTTATTGTAACTACGGAAGGATCACAAAACATCCAGAATTATAGTTCAAAAAGCAGTATATGTTAGCGAACTAGCTTCCATTAAATATTAACCTTATATTAATGACCAAATTCAGCCTTTGTAAAATAGATATATAATAGAGCACTATCTGCTGTCATTTATCTTATTGAACTACTTTTACCAAGTATTTTTGTTGTTTTCCAGCCAGTGTAAACGAGGATGGCAAGAGTTAAAAGTTACAGTCAATTAGTTGACATTATATTAGGAGGTAGGGATATAAGCGATTATGAGACAGTGCTCCTTCTTACAATGAATTTACTGTCTGGCTGGAGAGATAAGACGCGTGCTCAAAACAATTAGAAGACAAAAGAATAGTAAACCAACCGTTGTTGTATTCCGATGAAACAAAGTGCTAACTATTGCACAATTTGAGCCCAGAAAAGTATATCATAGTGAATGATAGTAGTGTGTGGGATTAGCAGTGAGTGCAACATGAATTGAAAATTGAGGTTAATGTGAGTTGCAGGAAAGCGACTGCAGGGAGAAAGTAGACTTTAGAAGCAGAGAAGCCATTTCTAAGCATGAGAGGGGGTGAAACAATGTGTTAGAGGTCCATAAGGGAGAGTGTCCTGTCTGGAGCAGAAAGGAGAAATTAGAGAGATTGATAGAGATATACATTTATACATAGAACTTGATGTTCAGGGAAAGTGGGAGAGAAAAGATCAGATTCATATTTTAGGGAAATAAAACTGCCAACTGTCTCAGAACATATAGAAGGAGGGAAAATTCAGGTAAAGAGATCCATCAGGAAGGGTGACTATGAAAGAGTCTGTAGAAAGAGCCTGTAGAAGGAAACTAAAAAATTGCTGATGTTCCACAAAAGGAAAGGTCCCCAGTGTTCTTCCTCACCTTCAGAAGGTCTGAACTCAGAGACCACAAACTGGATGAACATGAAGGACAAAGTAAGTAGAGGAGAAGTGTTTAAGGTGCTAATACAAATGTGTTAGAATCCAAGGGGGATGGCAATGGGAATGACCAATAAGGAAGAAATCTACAAGAAATTTCAATAAGAGTGTTCAACTGGAGAGAAGGATGAGAATTTGATAGGTTCCAAATGAAGTACAAAATAGGAGCTTGAATTGGAAATTTCAGATAGAAAATCACAAAGAAATGAAATCTAATGAAATAGTGGCAGGAGAAAATTGAAGGATGCCGAAGGCAGGATGTATATGTTGAAAACATCTCTAGAGCCTTTTTGAAACCAGATCCCGTGTTAAAAAACTGGATGCTCATTCTCCTTCTCACTCTTCTCTCTTTCTTTCTCTCTCTTTTTCTTCCCGTCTTTCTCTCTTTATAACTTCTCAGACTTCTGGAGGCCAGAAGTAGTGTCACGCTAAGAATACGGTGTTTATTTTTTATACGACATCTCTGAAGGAACCATTAGAAAAATCTTCACTTTCAGATTTACCATGTGCTAATGAGTGTGTTTCTATTTTCTTTTGTTTAATCCTTGACCCTTATTCTCTCACATCACTGGACAAGGTGAGTTTTTCATCGACCTTTTATTCTTTAGTAGACCATTGGAAGGGATTTAATTGCCATAGGCAAGTAACAAATAGTATGTGAGTAGGTTGACCACATAAATCAAATTAAAAAATCTGACCACATAAATCAAATAAAAATTATTTTGATTTGTTGGTACTATAACATACCCATTTCATTGTGAGGTAATTTGAGCTTTATGGTTTAAAGAGTAAATGAGGAAAAAATAGTAGGCTTCAAGACAATCTACAGTACAGATGCTTATCTTACTTGAACTCTCCATGACACTGGGCAGAGTTAATCTCTCCTTCTCTCTTCACTTGGCTTCCAGGACACCTCTCTTGATTTTATTTCCATGTCATTAGTCTCTCCCTCTCAGCCTTCTTTGCTGGTTCTTTCTCCTTTTCTCAATGTCTTAAAATTGCAGTGCACTAAAGCTGCAGTTGTTGGTGATCTTTTCTTTTCTATTCCTTTCCAGTCACTCTCAAGATCTCATTTACTCTCATTTTAATGCCATTTAGATGCTAAGATTCATGCATTTATTTATATCTCCAGCCTAGACTTCTCTTCTGTGCTGGAACTCCCTTACCTTAGAAATCTGTATGCCTCATTCTCTCACCTTCTTAGGTCTTTGCCGAGATGCTACCTTCTCAATGAGGCTACCTTGACTACACTATACAAAACCACAAATCCCTCTTTCTGAAACTACGAATCCTCCTCATCTCGCTCTATTTTTTTTTTTTTACCTTTGTCATGTTCTGTAATACTATATGACACACTTTTCTGGGGGGTTTATTGCCT
Organism: Homo sapiens; assembly: GCF_000001405.40. Lineage (NCBI taxonomy): Eukaryota > Metazoa > Chordata > Mammalia > Primates > Hominidae > Homo > Homo sapiens. Next base: position 99,640,284 of record NC_000001.11, on the reverse strand, counting down.
GTCTTCTTTCACTAGAATGCAAACTCCATGCAGAGAAGGTCTATTTTTTATCTGTAGTCTAAGTACTTAGAGCAGACTGGTACATAGTGGACACAACAGATAATTGTTGAATGGTAATCATTGTGATCCATTTGATTGCACAATATGTGTCAAATGCCTTATAGGCCTACTTAATGGATTGGGGAAACTGACATTCAAAAAGATTAACTAATCTACCAATGGGTGATATATCTAATAAGCAGTAAAACCAGGATTTAAATCTAGAACTGTCTGGACAAAAGGTTCCATCTTTATTCACCATACTATCCTACCTCTATTTTTTCCTTAGTTGCAATGAGACACCACAGCACAAGGTTTAACCAGACGTAGAATACAATATTATGCATGATTCACAAATTCAATCATTTCGATGATTTGTGGAATTGATTTTTAAGACTGGAAACAGTTTACAACCACTTTTTGACATTTGCTTAAAGATTAGAATATAACATTTTGTAAGCAAACAGAGTCCACAATCACTTTTTCTTTGAAATTTGCTTGAAGCTTAGACTATAATTTTTTGTAAGCAAAGTATTCCAGAGATAGACCACTACAAAAAAAATTCTACTTGCATGTAATCAAATAGTGTGTGTGGTTAAGCATGCTGCTGTCTCTTTAAACAGCTATGCAGTGCTTTCCAGCTAAGTCTCCTAGAGGTCAAACAACTGCTCCATTTAGTGGAAAAGGATATTTAACTAAACCAATTGACTTTTTAGAGATAAAAGGTGCAGCTGTTTTCTGAACACAGCCTAAGTTATCTAATATCCTATCAAAAATAACCACAGATAAAAAATAACCTATTACCAAACCAAGCACACAGCAAAGTCTCCCCAAATACCCATCAAACAAATTGAAAATGTTCTATAATTTATTTCCCTTCTCATGTCCATGTAACATGAGAAACCAATATTTAACATATTTGAGATCTTACATCTTAGTTTCCTCTGCCTCAGTTTACAAATGGACATGAAAATAATCAGCATCATAGAAAGTATTAGCATAGCTTTAAACTGGAGAAAAAGCAGGAGGCTAAACAGTCTGTAATTATCATTCCACAAAGATCAAGTGCTATAGGGTACCTCAGCACAGTGCATTTTTCTCTATCAATTTCCCACTTACACGTCCACACCTTGTGGTGCTTTTATACCCTTGTACAGTGTGTACCATACAGGAGGATGAAAAAGACCATCTAGGTTGAACTTTAGATGTATTTGTTATGAGTAAGAGCATTCAGTGTGGACCATTTGCCTTATTCACTTTCCTTCCTTTGTTAGTAGTGTAAGGAAGCCGCCCTTCCCTCAGCATTGTTTTCGGATTTGGGTGTATTTAAAAATGCTGTTCCACTGTGATACCTTTACTTGACACTTTCATTTTTAGCCAGTCAATTCAACATAATATTTAAAATATTTGGACCAAAAAGTGTTCCTGAAATCAAAAGCATTTTGAATACGTTAATAATATGTGGTAGTGCATACTAAACTGGATGTTTAAATTATCCAGGTTGCTTCTGTGTGTGCTCAGCTGTTTTATGAGCTTTAAAAATGTGGGCTTTTTTTGATTGTTGTTTTGAGGGTTATTTCTCCTTTTCTCTCAAAGTTTGTGATTTTAGTTTAAAGAGTAACTGATTGTAAGTTTTAGCATTTGGGTAGTTTCTGCCCTAGATTTGCACAAAGAAATACTAAGTGGGGTTTCTTCTATCAACTGAACTTGTTGCATTCCCTTTTTCTCCTTAAGTTTGAATCTCAATTTTTGTTGGTATAGCAAAATAAATACCCTCAAATTTATATTGATCTCATAAATGCAAATAGAGAAATTAAAACTGATCGTTGAGAAGCTGCCTTGCCTATAAAGAAGTCATTGATTCTGTAGCTCTACTAGACTCCCAAATGTAGATATGGACCTAATATGTGTATATAAAATACTTACATTCCCCCATAAAGTCTTGAAGAACAATTTGGCCGTCATAGGAATACAATTTGGAAACTGAATATGGAATTGTAAAAGGATGTCACCGCTAAGTGGAAACCCAGTACTTTGAGTTCTGATCACGTAGTCATTCATCTATCCATACATCACGTAGTGATTAAATATCTGTTGACTCTGTAACTGACATCATGCTATGTGCAGAAATAAAGATAAATAAGACAATGAACTTTTTTAGTGGAGAAGATAAGAGGTACACAGAAGACAAGTTAATACTGCATTAAAAGTGAAAAGTTCACCAAAGTCAGAATCAGGACAAGGAAGGCCAGAGTTCAGAGAAGTCATCCTAGCAGAGATAGCAGTTGACCTGAGCGCTTGAGTCTTTCAGATTTGGACAAGTAAGAGTTAATTAACCAAGAGAATGATTCCGGGATAGGAGGTATAGGGAAGTAAGGGGGACACGGCACAGTCACAGCCCCTGAATTTCTAGATCATTATAGATAAACTGAATAATTTTTCTAGGTGCAGAATTTTTAGTAGGTAATGGAATGACATCTTACCAAATTGTCCATGAACAGGCTTATACATCCCCAGGTTATTATGTAAGGTATGTGATATTCAAAGACTCTATGTGTATACATATATACACATATATATTATAAATATGTTTGTGTCTATTAATGATCCTTAGCTAATTCATGTACATCAAAATCTTGTTTCTCTTCCATTAGATAGTTAATGAATGTAGATGGTTTTGGAATCAGAGGTACTGGCTTATTTTCCAACCTTTCCATTTAGTAGATGAGTGAACTCAAGAAAATCACTTAATATCTGAGAGAGTGCATTTTTTCAGGTGTACAATGATGGGAATAAGAAATATGTCAAAAATTTTTTTCATCAAGATTAAATTAGTATTTAGGTAAAGATGGTAATAGGCTACAATAAATGCTTAATAAATGGCAACTTTACTATTACTATTTACCTTATTGTACAAGTCCAGTTCTTAGAAATGTATATTAAATCTTGCAGGCATATTATTATTTCTTTCAGTGCTTTTACATTTGCTGAATGCCTCTTTTAACATATATAACCTAATACTGCAATTGACTTGTTTGGGAGAAAGACCAGAGTCTCATTCTTCCCCACGAACCAAGAAGCTACCAGATATCTTCATTTCCAGTATGAGAAAACTGAGGCATAGATGGACTGACTGATTTGGGCAAGGAGCCAATTCATTAAATAATAACACTCCTTGTCTTCCCATTAGATTCCCTATGGAAATCTTGGAGGGCTCGGTCTGAGGTCTGATTCTTTGTCATTATGGAAATATCGTATAAGATTATCCAATTAGATTGGTTTCTAGGCAGAGCCATCACTCTGAAGGCTAGGGTGCAAGCCAGTTATGTTAAAGTGGATTTACATGGCAAAGCAAGAAATGAGCCAGCTGTCAGTGTGTCTGCCTTTCAGTCCATTTCACTATTAAGAGTGAAGGCTCTGAGGTTTCATTTACCAACAGATTGGGTTCCAGACAATTGTAATTCTAGCTTGAAGATTTTTGGAAATAAGTATTTTGAAAGATGCCAACTGAAAGTTTACTTCCAAAATTTTTAATGGCCTCTCTTTGGAGAGATGAATACTTTGTAGGGGCCAGGGTTTATTGCATGCCTTAGATAGGCTTTGAAAGCGAAAACTAAAAAATAAAACCACACATTTTCCATCTAGGAGTTTTACTCTTGCATAGTGTAAAAAATAAAATATCTTTGTTATTTCATCATTAGATCTGTCATGCAAAGTGAAATTCTTTTGGGTTTATAGCCTTCCTTCCCCTCCCCTCCTCTTTCTTTTCTTCCCCTCTCCTTTCTTTCCTTCCTCTCCTCTTCCCTCCCCTCCCTTCTCTTCTCCCTCTTCTCCTCTTCCTTTTGGTGAGATTCTAACTGTAGGAGTTAGATTGCTTAATGGGTGCCCAGGGTAAAGACTGAAAGAATTACATTATGCAGTGAAGCAGTGGTGTGGGCAGGGTGAGATTTAAAAGAATATTAAGTTCCAAGAAATATAGTTGCCACAAACAGGTCTGTAGGAACTCCTTTAGAGCTGGAGGTTAATTAGAGTCCTTACTTCCTGTGAAATTTGAAGGCCTAGAGCATAGCCCAGATAGTGACATAGGGAGCTGCCACTTTGTACCCACATTAGTTGGCCATCAGCCACTTAAAAAAAAAAAACTCAGCAACAAAAATATTCCTTTGTATGTATTTAATTTCAACCTCATAACATAAAAAATACTTCAGAGAAAACATTTAAAAGCAATTTAAGTGTAAATTTCTTTCTGAGTGAAATTCCAAAGAGCAGTCTACTCTTCCTCACAGGCCTTGGAATTCTTAAATATGAAATCCTAAGCTATTTTGGTATTGCAATAGTAACCAGCCTTCTAAAGGGAGTCCCTGAATAGAATAATAACAGTAATTCAGTTGAGAAACAAAGGTCAAACCAGATGAATATCTCGTGTTAATTTTGTCCAAGGCTTTATTAACATACTATGGTTTGTCCGTTTGACATTTGATTTTTATCAAGCTATAGTCTTATCCCCACCCTTTATTTATATAGCTCTTTTGGAAATGAATATGAATGAAATAAAAATCACAACCTTTTAGGGTGTGGGGCAGATCAATTTTCCTTTCTTTGAATTTACCAAATCTGTTTGTGTGAGGAAGCAAGGAAATGCATTTTTTGGGGCCTAATGGAGTAAGTACATTATTATGTTTCCCAGAGCTATTGAAGGCAGTAAGCTCACTTCTAAGTGAGCAAGGTAAACACCCCTCAGTTTTGTCCTGAGCTTTGTATGACTACTGGGTCTTCTCCCCCATCCTAGGATCTACTAAGCACAAATGTACATATGACAAATGGAATGTAAACAAATGATACCCCATGGCTACACAGCAGGGGAAATGTACAGAAAGGTTCTTACATGCCATTACAAATGGTAGCCTCCAAGTGCCAAGTTAATTATGAAAAGGAGAAGCAGTGACTCCCTAACATACGGCTCAAAATAAAGACGGGTTTGTCCACAAAAAAGAATGTAACAATTCAGTTCTGTGCATTTGTTTATTGATGATCTCTTTTTTCCCCTTACGTCTTGACATTCCACCAAAGCAGGCTGCATGATCTTCCCCTTAGGAAACAACTCAGAGCTTAGGTTTATTTACAAGCTTTATTCTACTAAAGAGCAAAATGTTCCAGCTGATAGAATAGATGTTACATGGCAGCCTACTGACCTCTCTATTTGGGGAGAAATATTCAACTCCTACAGAGAAGTCCTAAATGTTAGCTGATTCATGGTCAGTTTTTTTTCTTTTGTATTTACTGAAGACCAAACCACTGACTTTAGTTTATTTCTTTTTTTTTTCACCAGTAGGATGTTTCTCTACTTCATGTCAGATTCTGCAATAAAAAAGTAGCTTTGGGCTGCGAATTTGAGCTTTATAATTTTTCACCTCCATTAGCTTCAAAGGCACCAAGTTCAGGCTACATTAGAGTTTCACCTTAACAAGAAAAGGATGGTAGGGTGTTGGGTAGGAGGAAGCCTAATCTTCACACATTTTGGGAATGCTGTGAGATCAGGGTATTTGCATGCGGGCTTCTAGGAGAAATGGGGAGACAACTATAGAACTGATCCTTTGATTCTGGGGCTCCAGGAACTTCTAGAAGCACACTGAGTAGTAAGAAAACTCACCTTGATATAGGAGACTATTGAAAAGACACATATTTCAGTTTAGGATGCTGATTATTTTTGGGGGAGAGATACTTTTGTGTGTATGACATAAATGTCTCTGATTTCAATCTGAAGGAAGCTGACCTCAGGTCCTCTCAGTAGGAAGGGGTATAAAAACTAATGGAGAATTATGCCATTTGGGGCCTAATAAGATTAACTCTAAAGACTAGGGAGGAGAGGTCCTAGCTCCAAATTGGTGAGCTCTGAGCATGAGTAAGTAGAGAGAAGAGAGAAGTCCAGAAAGAGAGGACCAGCATGATTGAAGTAGCAGTTGCTAGAGTACAGCTTATCAGAGGATGGGGCAGAAAATTCCAACAAAGAACTAGGAGAGCATGGGAGCCCCCTGGGATGAATGAAAAGGACTTGGACTTTTAGGAGTGGCACGCACTCACAGGCTAGGAGCTCAAGAGTCAAAGATAATTGCAACTGTTGCTATGTCTTTCGTGGTCTCCCTGGCTCTCTAGGACTGGTGTGGCCTGGGGAAGATCTTTCAGGGCACAACGGCCATTCCACTACCAAGATGCAAATTAAACACTCTATAGAAAAAGATTACAATTTGAAGACAAGCTGTATTTTTTCTAAAGTCGCATTGTTAAAGTATTAGAATAAGAGTTGAGAGCCCTTGCTTCATACAGCAATATTGCTGCAGCTTTTATTCCTATTACTGACAATAGCTTTTAGTTCTTTTCACCAAATCAAGGAGTTCTAACAGATTTAGTACTTGTAGCTAACATTCTGACTCAAGTGGCATGCATAATTAATTCCATATCATGGCCAGTTTAATTTCTTCCCTTTCATCCAAAAGTACACAGAGGTCGTGATTATATCCTGTATCCTCACTACCTGAATGAAGCCCATCTTGCCCCTTCTCATATTCCTTCCCTCCCTTTAACCACAGAATTGTCCTTCTAAGGGAAAACACAACTAACTGAATCTATTTGTTAATCTACCACCTCTCAAAGTGTCTAGGTCAAACTGAATAGTATATTTAGTGGAGAAAACACTTTCCATAGTCTAAATGGAATGTGAGCCTATGCATTCATGCTTTACTGAGTGGTCAACTCATATATGAAAAGAAGTGATCCCAGTACGTTAGGCATTCTTAGTCACAGGATGAGATAGGAAGTCAGCACAAGATACAGGTAGCAAAGACCTTGCTGATAAAACAAGTTGCAGTAAAGAGGCAGGCCAAAACCCACCAAAACCAAGATGGCTGTGAAAGTGACCTTTGCTTGTCTTCACTGCTCATTATATGCTGATTATAATACATTAGAATGCTAAAAGACACTCTCACCAGCACCAGGACAGTTTACAAATCACGGCAATGTAGGGAAGTTACACTATATGGTCTAAAAGAGGGAGGAACCCTCAGTTATGGGAATTGCCCACCCCTTTCCTAGAAAGCTCATGAATAATCCACTTCTTGTTTAGCATGTATTCAAGAAATAACTACAAGTATAATTAGTTGAGTAGCCCACACTGCTGCTTTTGCCTATTCTTTTGTTTCTTTGCTTCTCTAATAAACTTGCTTTCACTTAAAAAAATAAAAAAGAAAAGCAGTGATCCTTTCCTTAAGGAACTAGCTTGAAATAAGTAGGCCTACTGTGGGAATTACGTTCTACATACCATGTGTGTGTCCACTGGTCATGAGTTGGTGCCTATGTGGTTGGTTGGAAAGGATAAGTCGCTTGGAATGACAAATATAATTTTGGGTTCAAACATGTTGCTGGGAATCAAATGATAATTGGAAGTCTCTTGAGATCTGAAACTCTGTTGGCAATGTGAAAGTTTTCAGTGATGCACACCTTGAAGCCATGATTGTTGTGGCATGGTTGATTTCATTCATTCAACAAATATTTATTGTGTATTTACCGTGAACCAGTTACTGTATAAGGAGTCGGTGATGGAATTGAGTAACATGGAAGCTGTCTCTGCCCTCTTGGGTTTTAGCCTTCAGTGGTGGAAGATGCGAGAGAAGCAAACAGAGTCTTAGATCATGGTAAGTGCTATGAAGAAAACAAAGCAGGACTTTGAATAGAGTTACCGGTTAGGGGTGGCGGTGGTAGTGAGATGTGTAGTTAATTTAGACTGAGAAATCAAGGAAGGCCTTTGAGGAGATAACATTTGAATTGTCTCAAGCTAAAAACTCAGGGTTCCTTCTGAATTAGATTCCCTTTTTCTTAGTTATGGACCTATGAAGTTCAGCTAAATATAGTACTTATTTGGTTTTTATTTGCTCCTTCTAAATTAGGCAAACCTTTTTTTCTCTTGCCATGTAAACATTTAATAAGCTTGCAAATTGGGCATAGGGAAGAGTTTCTTTCCTTTTAAGAATCACAGTAAATATCTCACAACTAGGGGAAGTTGCCTCCAGGTAATTGGTGTTACTTTACAAAAAAGAGACTCATGACTTTAATAGCCAGGCTTTAGTTGTGTACATAGCTATTTCAGATATAATAGAATTTTCTTCCTAATGAAAAGCTGTTTTGCTTTCAGTAATTCCATGTACTTATGTACTTATGTCTTATTGATGGCTTCCCACTCAAAGAAGTTACCAAAGAAGTCATCTCAGCCCTTTGCAGAGGTTAGCTGTGAGAAAAGAGAATTAATTTAGGTAATTCCCACCTATGGAAGAGCCATCAGCCTCCTCAGAAAACATACCCTACCCCATGTCTTCACTGTTAAATCAATTTACTGTACATTCCTTCTTTATTCATTTTAACCAGTTCCATGTGTAGTTAGATTCTGGAGTGAACCTTGCAAGAGTGATAATTTTTGTACCCTCGAATCCAATCCATTTCCACTAGATGTTGAGATAGTAGGCAGTTGCTGTCCTCATGCCCGCTCCTGTGATGCTTCAGAAGATGTCCATTGGGGTCTTGCCCTGGAGGCCACCCTGTCCTTCTCCTCCACAGAATTAAATATAAAATACAGCTCCACAACAGAAAAATTGTAAAAGCCCTTTTAAAAGTGATGCTGATTTACAGGAGTGTTTGAATGAGGCGCTTTGTTCATTTTGGATTCATTTATTCACCAATATTTATGGAAGCATAGCATGGATAGGTGGGGAGATGTTAGACTGTAATGCAGGTCTGCTACCTGTGAAAAGAGAAGGGGGAGAAAGGAAGAATTGTGTAGGAAGAGCTTTAGACCTCTGCAGTTTTGAGAAAGTTTTGGATAGGCTTATGGGGAGTTCCTGAACCAAGGTTGCCCATTAGAGAAGTCCCATGATGAAACCACTTGGCTCTAGTTCTCCTATTGCATTTAGTCATCCCAGGAGCAGCCAGGGGAAGCATTGCCTCCCCTAGCCTCATGAGTGAACACCTGGATAGATCTGAAGGTGGGTTCATGGAGGCTGTCAGTCAATCACACCTTCAAAGCAAGTTTTCTTGAAGGGAGGCTTAATATCTAGCATTTTATCTTCAGTGAAGGAGAATGATAGATTGGAGGACAGGCATGGTTTTGTTTTGTTTTGCTTATAAATTGAAGGTATAGTTTTGGACATGATAAGTTTGAAATACCTGAGACATTCAGGTGGAGGTGGATACACTGGAGAGAAGCTCAGAGAAGGGAGTTGCGCCGGAGATATCAGTCTTGGAGTTGCCATCGTTTATGGAAAGTATTTAAAGCCAAGGAAGTAGTTGTGATCATTTTGGGGGAGACTGTGTAGAGAAAGACGAAAGTGTCCAGGACTCAGCTCTGAGGAACTCCAACACTAAGAGTTCAGGCAAAGGAGAAGGAGACAGTAGGAGCAGCCAGAAAGGTAGGAGGAAAGCCAGAAAACTGTGCAAAATGAGAAGGTTTGACAGCAGGGATCAAGTGAGACAACTGTGTCCAATGAGAAGAGAGCAGAAACGTAGAAAAGCGTATTGGTGACATGGAAGTCTTTGGTGATTTCTTTCTTTATTTAGTTTTAGTGACATAGTGAGTTCGGAAGATAGTAATAGGCTAAAGGGAGAATGGAAAATGAGGTAGTGGAGTAAACACGTATTTAAAACTCAAGAAATCTGGCTATTTATGGGAGCAGGGATTGGGGCAGTACTAGAAGTGGGTATGTAAACGTTCTTATTTTCAATGAGTGCAGATATTGGAAGACGCTTGTAAATATATAGCAATGATCCCATGAAAGGCAAACAATTGATTTTGTAAGAGAAATAAGGGATAACTAAGAAGATGAGAGGAGTGCATCTCCCAGTGGAGGTGGAGAGATTGGCCTTTGCTAGAAGGGAGATGGATAACCATGTGTTCTAGCATATGGAGTATCATCCTCCCCCAGGGGTCTGTACTGCCTCTGCTGTCAACTTTTCATTTGTCCGAGGGAGACTGGAATAGAATCTTCATTCTGCCTGGTAATGTGCTTAGCTAGGGATTTTCTTACCAGGGAAGAAGAACAAAAAATGATATTGGGGGGAGTACAAGTAGTCTTTGTCACAAGATTGTTGGCTTTTCCCTTTAATTACAAAATGAAGTGCAAACCTTTTTTTTTTTTTTTTTTTTTTTTTTGAGACGGTCTCGTTTTGTCACCCAGGCTGGAGTGCAATGGCATGATCTTGGCTCACTGCAATCTCTGCCTCTTGGGTTCAAGCAATTCTCCTGCCTTAGCTTCCAAGTAGCTGGGATTACAGGTACCCACCACTAAATTTTTTTTTTTTTTTTTTTTTTTTTGTAGTTTTAGTAGAGATGGGCCAGGCTGGTCTCGAACTTTTGGCCTGGCAGTCAAAGCCTTTTGTAGCCTGTGCTCAGCTACCTGCCCCACCATACTCTCCCCAGTTTACTAACCACTCCCTGATATGAAATACATCTGTGACGCTACTCAGGTTCTTTTTTTCTCCCTAGCTTTAGAACATCTTTTCATTCTTCCAAGGCCTGATGAAAGGATATGTGCTGTCTGAAGCCTCCCTTTACTAACAGAACAAATCATTCTCTCATATATGTCTCCACAGCACATTTTATCTACTTTTATTATATCCCTTAATAAACTGAGGTTTCAAATGTATCTAGATATCTGTCTGCCTGCTAGTACATGAGGTCTGCAAGTTCAGAAAATGTTCTAGTCATCTGAAAGTAACTGCTTGTTTAACTGTTAATGCCAAACTCATAAGATAGGTTTTTAGAGAATTTTTTCTATAGGTTTACAAAGGCCATTTGATGGCATCCGGTGGGATTCATTTCACAAAAGGGTAATGACACAGCAGTTCTGCATTGGGTCTGGTATTTGGGTGGAAATGCAGCTGCTCCTACAACATTATAATTTCTTCTTGATAGCAAGAACAGCTTTCACCCAAAGACAGGAATATTTGTCACAGGGTAAGTGCCAAATGGAGAGAGGAAAGTGAGGAAACATACTTCTCTTGAATGCACTCCCCTTCTTTCTTCCCAATTTGACTCCTCTGGAAGGGCATACATGGGGAGTGCTGGAGTATGTACCATAAAATATATTGGAATCTCTGGCCATCCCTCTTTATATTCCTAACATTTTATAATGATAATAACTAAGCAGTCACTAAATGCCACCTTCTACAATAAGTGCTTTGCCTTTTTTATATCATTTAATTCTTACAACGATACTGTAAGACAGGTACTTGTATTATTTCCATTGAATATTGAGACTAAGGGCCATAAGGTGACTTGCCTGAAGTCACACGGACACACAACCTGCAGCAGAGTGAGAATATCAACTATTTCTGCCTGGATCTAGAGACTGAACCCTAATCACTGTGCTCCGAAAACTCTAGGTTGGCTTGGTCAGTGTGTGTTTCTGCTGGGGAGGCATTAGCAACCTTGGGCAGAAAGGCCCAAGATGATGTTGGAGTTGATTTAAGAGACACTTGGGTGTGTGACTTATCAGCAGGGCTCTAGGTCAAATTTCAAGAAAAATAGAGTTTCTTTTAGTGTTTTCTGAATTCTTTCTTGTAGTCTATTGAATGATGCTTGCAGCTGTCCAAAGCTCACCTGAACTCATTCAGTTTCTTTTTTTTTAAAAAAAAGCTTTTTTGAGATATAATTCAACATCATACAATTCACCGATTTAAAGTGTATAATTCAGTGGTTTTTAGTATCTTCACAGAGTTGTACATCCATTACAGCAATCAATTTTAGAACATTTTTATTACCCCCCAAATAAAACCTGTGCCCCTTATCTGTCTCCCCCATCTCACTGTACCCATAACCCTAGGAAGCCATTATTCTACTTTCCATCTCTATGAATTTGCCTATTTTGGGCATTTCGTATGAATAGAATTATACAATATATGACCTTTTGTGTCTGACTTTTATTTAGCATAATGTTTTCAAAGTTCATCCATGTTCTAGCATATATCAGAACTTCATATATTTTTATTGCCAAATAATATTCCATTTGTGTGGATATACCACTTATTTATTCATCAGTTAAGGGACATTTGGGTCATTTCCACTTTTCGGTTGTTATGAATAATGCTGCTATGGACACCACTCAAAGTTTCTTATGCCCTTTTTTCATATTTCTACTCAAAGCTCCTAAGTTCTCATTGCACAGATCTTAGTTTGGGATCAGAGAACACTGGAATAGTCTAATTATTACAATTCATACTGCAGCATAGATGACTGATACACTATATGCATTTTAAAACAGGAGTGTTATAAACCCAATACACGTCTAATTGTTGAAGTCATTGCAGGCGGTTCCTTTTGAGAAATGAGCTCTTCCTAGTTTCCTGTTCTTACACTAGCCGCCACCTGTCATTGTTTTCTCCACACCCACAAAATGCCCAAAGAAGCTACTTAGCAGCCCACTCCTGAAAAGCTGCAAAGCCTGTCAGCAGTTTGGTGTCTAATCCATTTTCATTTTCTTCTGCTCACACTCTATTTTTCTTCTCCACAGCAACGTTCTCTGCGTAAACAAAAAGATTATTGTCCTGAGTTTTGTCATTACTCATAATTGCAACCTTTCCATAATCTCCTCTCACCCTGTCACCACCTTCCCTTTCTTCTAGCTCACTCCTTCCGGAACCAAGATCCCAACAATTTGAACCTACCTAGATTGCCAGTTCATTGATCCTACTACTTGTAGGATCTGTCTGACATTTTTTTTAACTGTCCATCTTCTTCTTGACATCCTCTCGTCCCTATTGACCAAACTTAAATTCAATTTTCAACCATTCTAGTCACTCCCTTGGGGTCACCCTCAATTCCCTGCCTTTTTTGGCTTCAGTTTTCTTCCTTGACAAAGCCACAAGTTAAGTCTCCCTCTCTGTCTGCTATATACCTACACCAATGAATCTGAATAGGACTAAAGAAAACAGAAAATCTTGCCCCTCTGTACAATTTGTATAGGTTTGTCCCATTGCAAATTAATCACTACCTACTTCACATGGGCCTCTGATGCTTTGTGCTTCATCCTTAATGCTGCCAGGAAATTATGTTTCTCTAGTCCATTGACTGTTCCACTTTTTTTTTTTTTTTTTGACATGGTCTCTATTTGTCACACAGGCTGAAGTGCATAGCTCACTGTGTCTTTCGCCTCCTGGGCTCAAGCCATCCTTTGGCCTTAGCCTCCCAAGTAGCTGGGACTACAGGTGTGTGCCACCATGTTTGGCTAATTCAATTTTTTTTTTTTTTGTAGAGACAGGGTCTCGCTATGTTGCCCAGGCTGGTCTCCAACTCCTGGGCTTAAGCAATCCTCCCACCTCAGCCTCCCAAAGTACTGGGATTACAGGTGTGAGTCACAATGCCCAGCCCCACTTTTCTAGTTAATTTTTTAATTTTCACAGCTCTCCTAAAACCTCAACACTTCCTCCATTACCTTCAATCACAACTGAAAGAGAATTCTCCAGACTCCAACCACCATATTTACCATCTTCTAGTGTCTGCATCCATAAAATCTAACATCTGTGCTTATTTCTATTGTTTCTTCTTAGAGAGAAGGGTCATCTTTTCACTTGTGTGCTAGATCCCATCCTTTCTTACCTACTAAAGATCATTGCTCCAGCAGTTCTGCTCTCTCCTGTTTCATCATTTTCTCACTTTTTGGGAACATTTTCACCAATATGCAAATATATTATTAGATTTCCTATCTTAATGCAATGAAAACCAAATCTTTCTGCTGACTCCATTATCCCTGCCAGTTACTGCCCCATTCCTGGGCCTTCCCTTGCAGCAAAACTCTTTGAACCAGTTGTCTCTTATCACCAACTTCTTGAGATTTCCACTAGAAGAGCCAATCAGTATCTCAAACTTAATATATCAAAAATGGAACATCTGATCTCTAACTTTGTAGTACTTCACCCCCAGCTGTCTCATCTCACTTGATGGCAATATTGCTTTTTTTTTTTTTTGAGGTGGAGTTTCACTCTTGTCACCCAGGCTGGAGTGCGATGGCATGATCTTGGCTCACTGCAACCTCTGCCTCCCAGGTTCAAGCGATTCTCCTGCCTCAGCCTCTTGAGTAGCCGGAATTACAGGTACCCACCGCCATGCCTGGATAATTTTTTTGTATTTTTATTAGAGACAGGGTTTCACTGTGTTGGTCAGGCTGATCATGAATGCCTGACCTCGTGATCCGCCCACCTCAGCCTCCCAAATTGCTGGGATTACAGGCATGAGCCACGTGCCCAGCCGGCAATATTACTTTTTTAATTGCTCTGGGTCAAATTCTTAGAGTTACCCTTGAATCTTCTCTTTCTTTCATACTCCATATCCAATTAGTCAGAAAATCCCATTTGCTCTATCTTTAAGCTATATACTTCATCTGATGCATTCTCATCATCTCTACTATGAACACCCTGGTACAAGCCAATCATTGTCACTTACTCCCTAATTGATCCCCCGATTCCATTCTTGCTCGTTACCTTTTATTTCAACAAAGCAAAAGCCAAAGTACTAACAATGGCCAACAAAATCCTGGACAAGCTGAGCCCCCATTAATCTCTGAATTTTTCCCTACTACCTTTCCCCTCCTACTCACACAAGCTGGCGTATTCTACTTCAGGGCCTTTGCACAGGAGCATAGCTTTTGCCTGGAGCACTCTCCCACTTCACTTGCTCTAAGCCTTCTTCAGTGTCCCTTCCTAATGAGGTACACCCAGGAAACACTATTTACATTAGTGTAGCATCTCCACCCAGATCTTCCTACCCTGTTCTGTTTTTGCATAATGCTTGTCACCATCTAATACACCATATAGCTTTTTTTATTTTTAACATGTTTATTTTTATTTATTTATTTATTTTTTGAGTCCTGGGGGAACTGGGATGAATGAAAAACTTACATTTCATGAAAATGACCCTCAAGTTTCAATGACAAAAAATTACCCTTTGGTAATATTTAAAATGTTAAACTTGTATCTGTATTACCTTGACTAAAAAAAATTCTCAACTGAAAAAGAAAACAAATCCTAGGCCAGGCATGGTGGCTCACATCCGTAAACTCAGTATTCTGGGAGGCTGAGGCAAGAGTATCATTTGAGCTCAGGAGTTTAAGACCCACCTGGGTAACATAATGAGACCCTGTCTCTGCAAAAAATAAAAAGAAAATTAGTTGGGCTTAGTGGTGCACACCTGTAGTCACAGCTACTTGGGAGACTGAGGCCAGAGGACCACTTGAGCCTGGGAAATTGAGGGTACAGTAAGCCATGATTGTGCCACTGTATTCCAGCCTGGGCGACTGAGCAAGATCCTGTCTCAAATAACAACAACAACAATAACATCCCCCAAATCTTTATGCCTAGAATCACTTGACACCTCTGAAAAATTTAAAATAAGAAATAGATGCAATCACATTTCAAAAAGATCATTGGGCAACAGTGAGGAAAAGGAGGTGGAAGAAGTGCCTAATGGAGCCAGGGAGAACAGGTGGTTGTTGACTACTCCAAGAATCCCAGGGAAAAGTGATGGAGGTGCAGCAGTGAGGATCAGCACCCAGTGGGGACAGAAAAGTGAACTGTGAGCATGTCAGCACTCTAGGACATGGATATGGGAAAGTGAGGAGTGTAGCCTGACTGCCAGATTTGTATTTTCGTAACAACTGGCTGTCAGGTGTTGCTGTCACTAGAAAGGAAAAAATAGGGAGAAGAAAAAAATAATGAACACAGTTTTGGAATATGTCACACTTTGAGGCTTTGCCAAGTTTGAGGTGCTTTTGTTAAACAATTAGTATTCTTTGACTGAAAGGACTGGTGATCCTTGTTGGTATCTTCCAAGAATTCCCTTCTGGATTTCACACCCGATAACATGGGTTAACATCCAGCATTTCAGTGGGGTCCACAGTACCTAAGTCTTGCCTTTCAAATCAAAAAGATCCACCTTAGAAAATGTTTATTTTTTTGCTGTCTGTCTCTCCCCACTAGAGTGTGAACTCCGTAAAGTCTAGGGTTTTTGATTGTTTTGTTCACAAGCATTTAGTTCTGGGTCACAGTAGGTGCTCAGTAAATATTTGATCAATGAATTAATCTGAAATTGAGACATGCATTCAGGGTCGTCTATTAAATTTATTGACCAAATTGTTCTACTATGTGAAATATCAGTCTTCTTTGAAATTTTGATACTGAAATCATTTGTTAAATCTGATGCTTATTAAAAAAATAGATATATTATCGTCCCCACTACCACCCATAATGTAAGCTTTCATTGACACGGTTGTTATTTTAAGATTTTGCAATAGAAAAATCTTTTAGTCTACATTACATTTAAATGTAGCGTTCTTTTGATAACTAAAATCTTCCAAAATCATGCATTTATTTTAAAAAGAGAAGTTTGAAACAGTGGTATTAGCTTCATGTCCTGGAATTTGGCATTGAGGACTCCCCGGGATTCTCCAGCTGCGAGAGCTAAGAATAGTGCAGAATGTAAACTTCCATAGAGCCAACTGTGAAAGGAATTTTGAGAAGCAGAGTGAGACTATAGCATTCTCAGAAAGTTTAGAAAATGATACTCATTAATTGTCATATAGCACATACCTTAGTGATATATTTTACTGTTCTAAACTCAAATGGAATAGCTTGTAGGACCTCCTGCCTCCCCCAAGAGAGGTTTCATTCATTCTCTATGCATTCATGTGTTATTTAACATTATTATGAGAGAACATGGGACAAAGACCTGCCTTTAACAAAGGGCAGTGTATATTGCTACCTTTTATAGGAGTACTTTCAAGGCTCCCCAGAAATGCATGTGGCAATTTTATTCAGAATCAGATTTCAATTTGTTGAATTCATTTTAGCCCTAGGATTCTCATTTTTGTTTGTGAGCTTCCAGGGCAGGTGGTGGAATTTAGGATTTTTTCTCCCTTCCTTCCTTCCTTTCTTCCTTCCTTCCTTCCTTTTTCTTTCTTTTCTTTCTTTTTCTTTTTTTTTTTTTTTTTGCAACAGGGTCTTGCTCTGTTGCCCAGGCTGGAGTGCAGTGTTCCAGTCCTAGCTCACTGCAACCTTTGTCTCCCAGGTTCAAGCAATTCTCATGCTTCAGCCTCCCACATAGCTGGGATCACAGGCGTGTGCCACCACACCCAGCTAATTTTTTTTTGTATTTTTAGTAGAGAAGGGGTTTCACTGTGTTGGCCAGGCTGGTCTCCAAATCCTGGCCTCAAGTGATCCACTCACCTCACCCTCTGAAACTGCTGGGATTACAGGCGTGAGCCACTGCACCCAGCCGGAATTTAAAGTCTAGTAGAACTTGGGAAGTGAAGCAATGTCATATTTGCTTTGCTTCTATTTGCCCTTCCAGTACTCTCATTTCTCTTTTCAGCATCTTGATCCTAGCATTGGGTTTGCTCATGGGGAATCCCACAGAGGTCTGCCCTCCTCAAGAAGTGCCTTATGCACCCCTCGGATCTGCCTGGCTCCCTCCCCTTCAATGGAAGCCTGCTTTTTTTTTTTTTTTTTTTTTTTTTTTTGAGACAGAGTCTCGCTCTGTTGCCAGGCTGGAGTGCAGTGACGCAATCACAGCTCACCGCAACCTCCGCCTCCTGGGTTCAAGCAATTCTCTTGCCTTAGCCTCCCAAGTAGCTGGGATTACAGGCACGCACCACCACACCCAGCTAATTTTTGTATTTTTAGTAGAGACAGGGTTTCAACATGTTGGCCAGGATGGTCTTGATCTCCTGACCTTGTGATCTGCCCGCCTCGGCCTCCCAAAGTGCTGGGATTATAGGCGTGAGCCACCGTGCCTGGCTGCCTGTTCTAACTGGTGGGTTGTTGAGGAAAATATATTAGACTACATTTTTATTTCGGTAGAATAAAAAAATTGATCTAGATAATATCCAAGACCGCTCCCTGCTCTAAAATCTTGTGATTCTGTGAGTCTCCTTTCAGGCAATTAAAAACTACTGATAATTTTCCTGATAAAATTGTGCCATTTTCACCATGATTGTGGAATTATCCCTTTTGTTTGGTTAATCTCTCTCTCTCCCTTTTTGTAGTCACAGGACTATGATTTGAACCTAAAATAGTATTCTGCTTATAGCACATTTCACAGAAGGCAGTTCTGTCTCAGACCCGCTTTCTGGGTGTGTGGATTTCAAGCCCCTAACTGGGGCTGGTGGGCAGTTTGGTGGCAAGATGTTGGTGCATTTCCCACTCTTGGTCAAGGCATTGCTTCACGGCCAGCTCTGCTATGTGCTTTTCCACTTTCGGACTCAGCACGGACCACTGAATCCTCAATAGGATCACTTGTTAAAAGGTGTAATATTACTACATATGTTTTGATAGACTCAGTCCCTGCAAGCAGCAACATGTGAGAGTATGCTATGGATGAGAAAGAGGTAAATGAGTAATATGATTTGTCCTGAAACCCACAGGCCTCTACTGAGATTAATTGTTGGCAAACTCTCCCCAAGATCCTTGACCATAAAGTACTCCGGGGAGCGCAAAGGATTACAGTCATACCCATATAGCAAGCTAAGCTAATTTTGCCTGAGTCTGACCTTTTGGTTCCAGAGAGTCTAGCTATTTCAATTCCGTCTCTTAGATGACACACCATAATGATGACATTGAGAGCGTGATCAGCTGCTCATCAGGTGCAGGACCCCAGCATTTCCTTTCCAGCTCACAGATATTTCCCTGAAATTTAAAACGCCTGCCGAAACATGGGGCCTTCCATTCTTTGTTAGTCATCCCTGTTTCATAGCTGGTCAGTCACCATAGCCAGAGTGTGGGAGAACAGATGCCCTCAGTCACATGCATCTTTCAGTGAGTCCTGTGGAGCCGTAGAGCGACAGGTGCTAGACCCAGTGCCCAGGCAAGGCAATGCTCTCTCGGAGGGGGATTAGGGGCCTGGAGGCAAATTACCTGCACAGGGAACTCACTACCTTTTGTATTATTTTCCAGAAGGTTCCTCTTTGTTTCCATATGACTGACAGACACCCACGGTCACATTTGATTATAGTATTGCTTTCTTCATTACCAAGGCAGCTTTACTGAAACCTGGTGAAACAACTACAGAAAAGAGTCATGATGTGTTACTAAAAAGCTCCAATGAAGGAAAATAAATTCTTCATAAAAGAGAAATGATAATTTTCTTCAAGTTTTCTCAGCACTATATATCACTGTCTTGGTGATGCAGAACAGACTTGGGAAACAGAGGGGGAAGAATTGGGAATACTGTTTTTTAGTTAAACTATGGTTTCAGTGCACAGGTAAAAGTGGGGAGTTGAGGCTAATTAGAAACGAAATTACTTTGGCAGTTCTGCATAAGTAAAGGCCTGGCATTTCCTGAAGAGGAGGAGGAAGTGCTGATATCGCCTAAAATCCTCCCCGCTTCCAAGTGGTTAATCCTCAGGAACTATCCTTTGCGGAGGTCATTACTGTTACTGTGAGATGATAATTGAAAAAAAAAAAAAAAAAAAAAGCAGGCCCATTTCAAAGACCGTGTGAGCAGTATAGAAGACTGTGGCCTGAGTGCTCACCCATCCAGATTATTCTGAGGAAACTTGTCCCATCCTAGTACCTTTTGTGGTTCTTAATGGCAGAGAAACTGGGCATAAAGTAATACTCTTTTTTAGTTTCATTGATATATACTTAATGTGCAGAATTTGGGTGAAGTTTGGAATACAGGATAAGAAAAGGGCGTTGTATGCAAAGTTTTAAGTCCTATAAACACTTTTAGTGTCTTAATTGTACCTATATTTTATACATATAAATCTGGATGGGTGATCACTCAGGCCACAGTGTTCTATACTGTACATGCTGACTTTGAAATGGACCTACTTTTTTTTTTTTAATTACCGTCCCACTGTAGCAGTAATGACCTCCGCAAAGGATAGTTCCTGAGGATTAACTATTGTTTTTTTTTTTTAAAACAATAATTTGTCTTCTTTTTCTTCACAGAGTTGTCCTGCTTTGACTTGCTGACTCTATTACAAGGCCTATTTATAACACATATTGCTTAGTGTGGATTGGAGATCCTGATTCATTCATTCTCACCTTTAATCACTACCTAAGCATAGGTATTTGCCTTTTTGATGGTGCTCAGTGTTTGCCATAGGAAAGGGCTAGGGACCAAATTTTAGTTCTAAGGTGCTATTAAGAGCCAAAAATCGTTTTGAAAATAATAGTATGCTTAGCTTGTACCTGTGAGAAGTTTTCCAGCACTCCGTAGGCATTCTCAAACGTAAAATAATAGTAACAATAACATTTAGGGAAAACTTGCTATGCACCAGACAATGCAGATCCTTTACATATATTGACACACTTGATTCTCAGAACTGCCTGGTGGGATAGGTCCTATTGGCCTCCACTCAAGGGAAGGGCTGAATGGCTAGGGATTTGGTTCCACACATGGGCTAAGAGCCAAAGGAGGGCGGTGACTGATTCCAAACAGTGTGTGGTGGATGCCCTCTTGGATCCAGCTGCCCTGACTGGAAATAATGAGTAAGCATTGGAAATTAAAGAGAAATAAGCTTGAAATGAGAGTATGGGAGGCCGTGTGGCCATGCTTGTGATGTGGTGCAGCGTGGGCATCACCTTAGCAGTGAACAATTGTCTCATAGGTGGTGCAGGAACTCTGCGATTATGAACCATGCTATGGTGCTAATGGACAGGGGCCTTCCATTCTCTCCCTTTTCCTAACTTTTGGAAGAACAACTGAGCCCTGAATTGAATTATCAAAGCCCCTGGAATTCTTGCACAATTCAGGGTTAGGATGGGATGCTATCTTTAGGAGAAAAATGCTAGACTCCTACTAGGGCAGATGCTGTTTCCAGCAACTAACTGGAAAGATAAAAGAGGTATGCCAGTATTTATGCTAGACTCTGGAAGAGGGTCTTACCTCTGTGAATACACATTCTGTGGGTCACTGCCTTTTCTGAAATCTCCAGTGACTTTCCATTACATACAATGTCCAGCTCATTCCTCACATCAGCCTCCAACATACCTCACCTCTAGTTCTTTCGGAGTCAACTTTGGATCTTTTGTTGGATCCAAGTAGTCTCATTTTTGTTTCCTAAATATGCTGTGCTTCCCACTTGAAGCTTTGCTTATGATTTATTCTGTGGCCCTTGAGAGGAATAAGCCCTCTCCTCCCACTATCCACATTCTACCTTTCTTTCACTGAAACACCCATGACCTCCATGAGGATTTGAAGCAAGGGTTTATGTTCTGAGAAGGTTGAATTGCAGGACTTAGCATTTCTTCTGTGTCCACCACAAGGAAACTGTGACCAAAGGAAGGAAAGCCATGCGTTGAATCAGAAGACCTGAATTTTATTCCTGGCTCGGCCGTTTTCTCACTGTGACCTTAGGCAAAATTTTCAAGTCACAGCTTCTTCATCTGTAATAGCCATCTCACAGGGTTAATGTGAGAATTAAACGTAAGGTAGGTGAGAATAAATATATAAACACCATATAATTATTCAGAGTATTTGATCATAAAAATATGGATGACTCTCATGACTGTAATCCCAGCACTTTAGGAGGCTGAGGTGGGAGACCATGAGGTCAAGAGATCGAGACCATCCTGGCCAACATGGGGAAACTCTGTCTCTACTAAAAATATAAAAATTAGCTGGGCATGGTGGTCCCAGCTACTCAGGAGGCTCAGGCAGGAGAATTGCTTGAACCTGGGAGGTGGAGGTTGCAGTGAGCCAAGATCACACCACTGCATTCTAACCTGTCAACAGAGTGAGACTCCATCTCAAAACAAACAAACAAACAAAAAACATATGAATGACTGTCACCACAACCATACTTTTCTAACCATAGGAATATATGCCATTTTGGTACCTTAATTAGGGAATGCCAGAGTATCCCATAATACACAGACTTCATGTAAAACTTCTCTATTAAAATCATGATCTTCCTTCTAGGTGTCATTTGCTTTCCTGTGTAGCCTGGACTTTATTGTTAATCATATCAGAGAGGTGCTATCTATCATAGTAGATAGAGTTTTTTCCCCCATGATCTCCTAACTTTTTAACCTTGCTATATTTGTTATTTATTGCTCTGTGGGTTGCTAATTTAAACTTAGTGGCTTAAATTAGTAATAATCGCTTATTATCTCTTTTGGTTTTGTGGGTCAAGCATTTCGGAGCATCTTGTGATATTGTAGTCAGATGTCACGTGGGGCTGCCATCATCTGAAGGCTTGATATAGGGTGGAAGATCCACTTCCAAGGCAGCTTACTCATGTAACTATTGGCCAGGGGCTTCAGTTCCTCTTGTCATGGGAATCTCCATGGATTGTTTGAGTCTTCTCATGGTAAAATAGCTGACTTTTCCTAGAGTGAATGAACTGAGATACTAAGACAAAAGCTGAAATGCTTCTTATGACTAAGTCTTAGAAGTCACAGACTGTCACTTCTGCCCTGTTGTACTGGTCACACAAGGGCAGCCTTGACACATTAGAAGAGGGAACTGTAAAAGGGCATGAGTACATGGAGGGGAGGATCATTGGAGGCCATTTTTGAGACTGAATACCCTAGTCCACCCTATGGCCCCCAGTGATTCATGTTCCTCCTACTTAAAAATATATACTTATCTCCTTCCTCAAGGCCACCAAGTCTCATGCCATTACAGTATCAGCTTAAAGTCCAAGATTGGGTCACCTAAATCAGATCTGGGTATAGCTCCTTGAATATTGATCCTCTAGATCTGGAGACCTGTGAACTATGGAGACAAGTTATCTGTTCCTCATACAACCAGCACCCCTAAATTACAGGAAAGGTGTAGGGTAGTAGCATTCCACTTTCTTCAGAAAGGGAGAGAATAGGAGTCACACAGCAGTCACTGGTCCATGGCAGTTCTGAAATCTAACCAGGCACATGTTGCCAAGTCCTTAATTCAGGCTCAATCCTGCTGCCTTAGAATGATTCTTTAAGGTTCTTACCTCTGCTCTCTAAGCTCTTGGTTCTATCTTCTTTTTTATTTTTATTTATTTTATTTTTTTTTGAGGTGGAGTCTTGCTCTGTCACCCAGGCTGGAGTACAGTGGAGTGATCTCGGCTCACTGCAACCTCCACCTCCTGGGTTCAAGTGATTCTCTGCCTCAGCCTGCTGAGTGGCTGGGATTACAGGTGCCCACCACCACACTCAACTAATTTTTGTATTTTTAGTAGAGATGGGTCTTTACCACGTTGGCCATGCTGGTCTCAAACTCCTGACCTCAGGTGATCCACCCGCCTCGGCCTCCCAAAGTGCTGGGATTACAGGCGTGAGCCACCATGCCCGGCCTCGTTCTATCTTCTGAGTCTTCCTTCCTTTCTCATTAGAAATGGCCTGTATCTGCAGACGAGTGGTTTTCTAAACCTGCTTCTTGTCCATAGAGGTTTAGGGAACCAAAGCCTTCTCATTTTGTACTGTTTCAGTTCCTTTAAATCCAAGAAGATATAATTCTTTAAAACAATTTCGTATTTTAAAATGAACTAATTTATAGACCACTCCATTAGACGAAAGTCACATATATACTTTTTTTTTTTTTTTCAAGAGATACCCTCTTTACCATGATCTTCCTGCAAGGTGACTGACGAATATCACCTTTAAGAGTCTGAGAGGGATTTTTCTTTAAAGGAGTGAATTTGTGAGGCTTACTTTTGGAGTCTTAGAAGGCCTTTTGTCTGACTGAATGGTTTTCTCAGGGGCTGTATTAGATCTTTCTAAGGTTTTAACAAAGGATTTAATAGTTCTCCATTGGATTTGGTTTTTGCTCTGAAGTTATTTCTTAATTTGAGAATCTTGGAAGTGCTGAGAATGAGAACAGTTTTATTTTTGAACTCAGCAAGTCCTGGATTCTTTACATCTGATTTTTTTCTTTATCTCATCATTCCTCTCACATTTTACTGTAAGCAGCAAAAAGAAGCCAGGTGGCACTTTTAGCACCCTGCCTGGAAATCTCCTGGGGCTTGGTCATCTAGTCCATCAGGTACATGTTTTTACTTTGTCCATTACTATAGGCAACAATGCTAATAAATTTTCTGCCACTATATAAAAAGGAAACCATTTCCTCCAGTTTTCCATAACATTTTCTCACTATTTTCTTTTTAAAATAGACTTTATTTTTAGAGCAGTTTTAGGTTCACAGCAAAATTGGGCAGAAAGTTGAGATTTCCCATATATCCACTGCTGCCACAAATCCACAGCTTCCCCGACTATCAACCGCCAGCACCAGGGTGGTACATTTGCTGCAATCAGTGAACCTCCATTGATACATCATTATCACCCAAAATCCACAGTTTACATTCGGGTTCATTCTTAGTGTTATACATTTTGCAGGTTTGGACAAACGTATAGTGGTATGTATCCACCATTATAGTATCATAAGGAGTACTTTTGCTACCTTAAAAATCCTTTGTGCTCTGCCCATTCATCCCTCGTCTCTTCAGTGCCTGGAAACCACTGATCTTTTTACTGTCGCCATAGTTTTGCCTTTCTCAGAAAGTCATATAGTTGGAATCACACAGTATGTACCCCTTTCAGATCGGCTTCTTTCACTTCTTAGTAATATGCATTTAAGGTTCCTCCATGCCTTTTCATGGCTTGATAGTTCATTTCTTTTTAGCACCGATTAATACTTTATTGTCTGGATGGGTCAAAGTTTAATCACTTACTTCCTTTTAAACTCTCATTCAAAGCCTGCTTAAACTAAAGCACATCAGGCTTTTGCACATCTGGCTTTTGCTAGCAGTTTCCTCGAAGTCCTTTAGGTGCTCACTGATTATGTGTGTGTGTGTGTGTGTGTGTGTATTCCTTAATACATAAAAATCAATACACATACATAGTATAAAAGGATTTATTTATTTTAGAGCTTTAACCTTGTGCAATTATGGGAACTGAGTGCACAATTTGTATGAGGCTATTATTTCCTTGTCTGATAATGAAGCCCAAAGTTTGCAGGACAGGCAATTGGGAAGGGAAGACACAAACTGTTCCTGAAGGCAGTCTGGCACTGAATCAATGTCTCCCTGACTCTATAGCATTTTCTTTCCTTTCCATTTTTTTTCCTCTTCTTTTCCTTTTTTTAGAGATGAGGTCTCACTCTGTGGTCCAGGCTGGAGTGCAGTGGTGCAATCATAGCTTACTATAACCTAGAATTCCTTGGTTCAAGCTCTCCTCCCAGCTCAGCCCCCTGAGTAGCTGGGATTACAGATGTCAGCCATCATGCCTGGTGAGCCTAGCATTTTAAACATTTGGATGAATTCCCTTGGGCCTGGTGCTGCACACACTGCCATATCTAGGGTTAGCTCTATGGGTTTCCAGGAAGATCTTGAGACTATGGCATGTGCATTTCTGTTTTGGCAAGAAAAAACATAGTTGAATAAATGCACATCTAGACCATTGATGAGATGATGAAGACATGAGGAAAGGAAGTTTAAAGCTTGCCAATTTGGTGCAGCCATCAGGAAATTACTTTGCTCTGTGCTCTTTCATGTGTGTGACAGTTAATATCGGCTCCCTGGTCTTGTACTCTCTTGATGTTTAGACATGTGATATCCTAAAAGTGCTACATGTGTATGGGGGAAATTTCCATACTTCAAAAAGTTTATTTTCCTAATATTTAACCAAGTGTGGGCAAGAATTTACAGATACAATAAACATAAATATTTTTATTATATCTAAGGTTCTCATCCATATTTGAGTGTCTTGCTTCCCTGACAGTAAATTCTCATGGAAGTGAGCATGGGGCCACAGACAGGTATAATAAGCTTAAGAGTAGTTTCACTTCCTAATGAAAAGAGCACTGGGCCCAGGAGTCAGAAGACTCCTCGGATCTAGCCTCAGTTCTGCCATTGACATGCTGTAAGAGTTGAGCAAATCACTTAAATTATCTGTTTTCAGTTTTCTGTACTGTGAAACAAAGGGGATGAATGTGGTAATTCCAAAGGTACTAAGTCTAAAATTCAAAGGCAATTGTAATGGGAAATACAGGTTTATTAAGTAGCAGAACTGAAGTCATTATTCTGGAAAGTAATACAGAGTCATATTAAAATGAAAAAAAAATTGAAAAAAGATTTGAAAAATAAATTAAATGACCTATTATGGCTTTAAAACTTTTATCAGAGTCTTACAGGATAAACTAATCTTCTAACTGGCTTTAAGTGAATTGAACTTTTTGAGGAAGGTGAGAGGGCTAGCTGCAAGACTGTACCCTGGCATACCAATCTGTTTAACGTATTTCTTCACAAGGGCCAATGTCAACAATCAAACATATCCAAATAAAGCCATTGAGTCAAAGTTTCAATACATAAGTGACGGTGGCAAGTTGAGTTTTAATGGTGGAATTTGATAAAGCATCTAGATTACTTATTACCTTCATCAACTGAAACAATTATAAATACTCTGAAAAGATTTGATATGGAATGTCCTCCATGAAGACATCCCTTTGGAATTTGGCCACATCTTTTAGTGATGATAATTGCATGAAACAATTTGTAGCCTGATTTTTTCAGTATCAAGCATTGAAAATGTATAATGTTTCTTCTGAAGTAAACCATATTATTGGTGTTCAAGGGAAGATGATAAATTAAAAATAGATTTTTTTCACAAACAAAAGTAAAGATTTATAAGCAAAACTTAGATTAAGAAACTTTCTTTTTACTTCTAATATCTTAAATAGTAAGAAGAAAGAGAAACCTGGAGCAATCAAACCTAGAAGGAGAGCTGTGGGCTTTTAGGCCTTTGGTGATGCAACTGGGCTAGCTCTTGAAAAACTATGAATAAAGGTTGTTTTTGATGCACTCCCCATTTTCCTTTCATTCCTATCTCAACAATTTAATAAGGATCTGCCAAATGTAAGGAACAGTGATATATGCTGGCACTTATTCTCTATCCCTTTGTGTTTCTCAGCCAGGACACAAATACATGTAATGAAAGTTTGATGGCAACATGATGACATAGAAAAGAGCCCTGAACTGAAGAGCTCTGAAGAGTCCAAGGGGAGGAAACCCAAGGAGTCTTTACAGTGTTACTGGCCCAAGGGTGTGTATTTTTATAGAGGAAATAGTTCCATAGTAATTTTATTGAGCAGATACCTTTTCTAGTTTTCAAAAAAGTTCTTATAAAAATCTGTGGAAAAGTATCATTGTCTATTTTTTTTTTTTTAAGATGGAGTCTCACTCTGTCACCCAGGCTGGAGTGCAGTGGTGCAACCTTAGCTCACTGCAACCTCCACCTCCCGGGTTCAGGCAATTCTCTGCCTCAGCCTCCCGAGTAGCTGGGATTACAGGTGCCCGCCACCAAACTTGGCTAATTTTTTGTATTTTTTTTAGTAGAGATGGCATTTCACCATCTTGGCCAGGCTGGTCTTGAACTCCTGATCTCATGATCCAACCGCTTTGGCCTCTCAAAGTGCTGGGATTACAGGCATGAGCCACTGCACCCAGCCCATTGTCTATTTTTTAATTAAAAAAACCTGACCATCAATGGATGAATGAATTTTAAAAAGGTGCTCTATATGCCCAATGGAATACTTGAGTCTTAAAAGAGAAGGAAATCCTGTCATTTGCAACATGTCGTCCACAACATGGATGAACCTGGAGGACATTGTGCTGAGTGAAATAAGGTAGGCACAGAAGGACAAATGCCATATGATCTCACTTATATGTGGAATCTGAAAAAGTCAAACTCCTGGAAGCAGAGAGTTGAATGGTGGTTATCAGAGGCTGGGGTTATGGGAAATGTTGGTCACAGGGCATGAACTTTTAATTTTTTGACAGGAGGAATAAATGTTTTGAGATATACTCCACAGCATGATGACTATAGTTAATAATAATGTACCTTTCAGAATTGCTAAGAGTAAATTTCAAATGTTCTCATCACAAAAAGTGATAAGTATTTGAGGTGATGGATAGTAAATTAGATTTATTTAATAATTCTGCATATTATACATATATCACAACATTACTTTGTACCCCATAAATATATACAATAAAAAAACTTGAGCTTCAGTGTTTAAATAATTTCTCCATGATAAAAAACCTGGGAAGTGGTAAAAATGAGATTCGTACCATAGCTATCTAATGCCAAATTTCGTCCATCATACCTTGTTCCCTCTGATTTCAGGTCCTGGAACAGAAAATATGGAGTTCATTGAGAAATAGGGGTGGGATTACTAGATGTACCCCTAAATAATAAGGCTTGTTTATCTGGGCCATTAGAGAGGGTCTACTGAGTATAAAAACTGCCAAAAAGATTTTTCGAATATAGTATCCCTTCCCATTTATCCCCCACCCCTCCCTCATTTCTGACAAAGAAGGAAAAAGGAATTTGTAGAACTGTAGTATTTGCAGAACAAAGTTGGCTAATTCAGGAGGCTATGATCCTGTTATTAGGAAAAGTATGCACTGTTCTACAGAAATCCCTTGAAGTGCTTTGGTTAGTGATTGAAATACGGTCTTGACGTGACTGGCTAGCTACATAACTTGTGAGGCCCACTGAAAAATGAAAATGTTTCCAGTTTTTAGTGATTATTGCTGCAATTTATTTTTTGAATAAAGAGCAGCTTTGTTCAAAATCACTAAAAACTGGAAGCAATGGAGATGTCTTTCAGCAGGGGAAGGATAAACAATCTGTGGTATGTATACTCAGTGGTACGCTACTCAGCAGTGAATTTAAATTTGTTAAAGAATTATTAATTTCAAGACAGAGACAGCAGAGCATTAAACCAAGTGAGGGCCTTATGCAGCTGTACACAGATTGCATACCTTGAAGTTGGTCCTGAATCCTGAATGCAGAGAAGGAATTACCTCTCCCAATTTTTTAAACTGATCTACATTGAAGATAGCTTGCTATAAAGATTGATAGTTTATACCCATTAATAGGGTTGTAAAGAGTAAAAGTTCAAATTAAATTAAAAAAATTAGTCTGCATGATATTTTCAGGCACAGAAAAGCTCTAGAATTTTTGAGAGAAGAATCAAAGAGTGGAAGATATTTATTGGAATAAATGAAAGAGAATTTGAGTTCGTAATTAGCTCAGCTGTTCAGAAACTGCATATAGCATCATAGACAGAGGAGGTAATCAGAACATAAAAAATGCATTTTATTTACTTATTGATAACCTACTTTTATATCTTCTTTTTTTGGGGAGAGAATAAAAGAAAAGTTGCACATAAATTACACATTGAGTTGTAAATGAAAATATTGAAAATGCCTACTAATTATCTTCTGACTTTCTGGAGCTGCAGAGAAAGTAAAGAAATAAGAGAAACAAGCTTCTTTTTGAAGAGCTGACAACTTAGCTTACATTTTAGCAAACATATTTAGAAAATTTCTTAAGAAAGTGTATGACTGAACTTAATGAAGAAGTTTGAGGATAATATAAAGACAACTTTCAAATAATTTTGGAGTAATTCTACATGAATCAGAGGGTCAATGGAAAAGGTACCATTTAAGACACATGATATACAAAAGATGAGTTTCACTAATGAGTCTGAGAGACCATCATGTAATTTTTCTGAAAATTAATAGTTTGGTACTGTTATATTTGAGAGGCATGATGCTTTAAAGTAATGCAAACAAGCTGTTCTTTAACATTTGCAGAATTTTATTGTGCTTTGTAGAGAATTACCATCTTCTTTGTCTGATATTAGTTTACTCATATGAACTAGCTACATTGGCTACACATCCTCAAAACAGAGACTAATTTAACCTGGTAATTTTTGTTTGTGAGTAACACAGCACTATTCACAGATAAATAATTGGCCTGAGATCTTCAGTTACCCACAATTGTTGACATTTTTAGAGGAGCTTTTAACTAGAATAGTTTTAAAAATTATGTTGATAAACTATTAATGCTTAATGCTATATTGAATTTTATGGTTGAACTGATTTAAGACTGCTTTTCAACCTGCAGTCTATGC
Source organism: Homo sapiens (assembly GCF_000001405.40). Classification (NCBI taxonomy): domain Eukaryota; kingdom Metazoa; phylum Chordata; class Mammalia; order Primates; family Hominidae; genus Homo; species Homo sapiens. The sequence goes on along the minus strand of NC_000001.11, from coordinate 99,610,307 downwards.
TGTAATATTTTTTAAAAGCCTCTGGAAAGCCATTTGCCAGTTTCTCATAAAGTTAAACATACACTTACCATATGACCCAGAAGTCATACTCCTAGGTATTTCTCAAGTGAGTTGAAAATTTATATTCATTCAAAAACTTGCACATAAATGTTTGGAGCAGCTTTATCCATAATTACTAAAAACTGGAAACAGTGAAGATGTCTTTCAGCAGGGGAATGGATAGACAAACTGTGGTGTATACATTCCATGGTACACTACTCTGCAATAAAAAAGAATGAGCAATTGATTCCTACAACAACATGATGAATCTTAAATGCATTTTACTAAGGGGAAGAAGCCAGATCCTAAAGGATACATATCGTATTATTTCATTCATATGACATTCTGGAAAGGCAAAAGTATAGACAGAAAATAGGTCAGTGGTTGCCAAGGATTGGTGGATTGGAGGAGTGGTTGACTACAAAGGGGACATGCAGGAACAGTTTAGGGTGGTGGAACTATTCTGCATGGTACTGGGTTGATGGGTGCATAACTGCATTTTTTAAAGTCCATAGAACTGCACATCACAAGCAGTGAACTTGAATGTATGCAAACTATAAAAAATCAGCTTGGATGTCAGAGATCTTAGGATGGAAGCAAATGAATCTAACAGTTGTACTACAAATATACAACATAACTGCACTAAAGGGTGTGACTGGAAAAGAGCTGACCTAAGTAAGTTGAACAAATAAGTAAATGGGTAGTTGATGATAGGTACCACGATTGGAGTGGGAGGTTACAGGTAAGCAAGAGGGGAAGGCTAGAATGAATTCTGTGGGGCTGGAGTTGGAGACACCAGTATATCTCATGAATGGCTTGGTATATACAAAGATGGAAAATGCTAACCAGAGAAATCAGATAAGAGAAAGAAATAAAAGTCATTCAAATAGGAAGTCAAACTATCTCCCTTCACTGAAAATATGATTCTATATTTAGAAAATCCTAAAGACTTCATTAAAAGTCTATAAGAGCTGATAAATGATCTTAGTCATATTTCAGTATATGAAGTCAAAGTATAGAAATAAGTAGCATTTCTATACACCAATAACAGCCAGGCTGAGAATCAAATCAAGACACAACCCCATTTACAATAGTCACAAAGAAAATGAAATACTTAGGAATACAGCTAACCAAGGAGGCAAAAGATCTTTACAAGGAGAACTACAAAACACTGATGAAAGAAATCAAAGACAACACAAATAAATGGAAAAACATTCTATGCTCATGGATTGAAAGGATCAATATTGTTAAAATGGCCATACTGCCCAAAGCAGTTTACAGATTTAACACTATTCCTATCAAATTACCAATGACATTCTTAACATAATTAGAGAAAACTATTCTAAAATTCATATGGAAATAAAAGAGATCCTGGATAGCCAAGGCAATCCTAAGCAAAAAGAGCAAAACTAGAGCCATCACACTACCCAACCTCAAACTATACTACAAAGCTAGAGTAATGAAAACAGCATAGTACTGGTACAAAAACAGACATATAGATCAATGGAACACCTATGACCATCTGATCTTTGGCAAGGCTGACAAAAACAAGCGGGGGAAAGGACTCCTTAGTCGATAATTGGTGCTGGGATAACTGGCTAGCCATACACAGAAGAATGAAACTAGTCCCTTACCTTTCACCATATACAAAAATTAACTCAAGATAAAGATTTAAATGTCAGACCTCAAATGATAAGAATCCTAGAAGAAAACCTAGGAAATACCCTTCTTGACATCAGTCTTGGCAAAGAATTTTTAGCTAAGTCACCAAAAGCAATTGCAACAAAAGCAAAAATCGACAAGTGGGACCTAACTAAACTAAAGAGCTTTTACACAGCAAAAGAAAGTATCAACAGCATAAACAGACAACCTACAGAATGGGAGAACATATCTGAAAACTATGCATTTGACAGAAGTCTAATATCCAGAATCTATAAGGAACTTAAACCAATCAACAATCAAAAACAAATAACCCTATTAAAAAATGGGCAAAGAACACGAACAGACACTTCTCAAAAGAAGAGATTCATGTCGTCAACAAGCACATGAAAAAAAATACTCATCATCATTAATCATCAGGGAAATGCAAATCAAAATCATGAGATACCATCTCACACTAGTCAGAATGGCTATTATTAAAAAGTCAAAAAACAACAGATACTGGCAAAGCTGCAGAGAAAAGGAAATGCTTTAACTCTGTTGGTGGAAATGTCAATTAGTTCAGCCACTGTGGAAAGCAGTTTGGAGATTTCTTACAAACTTAAAACAGAGCTACAATTTAACCCAGCAATCCCATTACTTGGTCTATACCCAAAAGAAAATAGATCATATACCAAAAAGACACATATACTTGTATGTTCATTGCCTCACCATTCACAATAGCAAAGATAATGGAATCAACTTAGATGCCCATCAGTGGTTGATTGGATAAAGAAAATAAGGTACATATATACCATGGAATACTATACAGCCATAAAAAAGAATGAAATCATGTCCTTTGCATCACTATGGATGCAGCTGGAGGGCATAATCCTAAGTGAACTAATGCAGGAACAGAAAACCAAATACCTTATGTTCTCACTTAAAAGTGGGAGCTAAATGTTGAGCACACATTGACATAAACATGAGAACAAAAGACGCTAAAGACTACTAGAAGGGGAAGAGAGGGAGGGAGCATGGGTTGAAAACTACCTAGTGGGTACTGTGCTCACTACCTGTCTGCAATATACACATGTAACAAACCAACACACATACCCCATATGCAAAATAGAATTTGAATTTCTTAAAAAAAGTAATAAATGACATGAAAAATTGGAAATAAATAAACAATGGAAACTTCATACAAAAAAACCCCAAATACATACACAGAAGGAGCAAACCAAAACCAAATAGGAAATATTTTGATGTGTATATATTATACATATGATAATATACATACATTATCTGGCTCTGCCACAGTGAAAATCTAGAAGCAGTCACACCCAGGAGAGACAAGCACTCCAGTGAACAGATCTTGGTTTATAAATATGATTTTCCAATTTAATGAACCAGGGGTCCTTGGATAAATGGCTGGTTCTAGAACTGGGAAAAAAAATTCAAGATGGTCCTGGAGCATCTTGTAGTACCAAAAAGTAAGGATGTGCTAAAAGAAATTTAAGAATGGGAGCATATCAATACAATGCAGTAGTCAAACTGAAGGAATGCCCAATGTCCAAAGCTGGACTCATCTGAGCAACAAAATAAGTAGCATAATTTAGAAATGTAATATGAAATAGAAAATAAATTTATGGATAAATCCATACATATATACGAATACATATGTATGAATATGTATGAATACATATGTATGTATGAATATACATGAATATATATGTACATACATATGAATATACATGAATATATATGTACATACATATGAATATACATGAATATATATGTATGAATGTATCCATACATTCATTTTCTATTTCATATATATGAATGTATCTATAAATTTATGTATATCTATTTATATATATATCAGTATAAGAATAGATAAATATGATTGAATAATAAATAGGGGAGAAGAGACAAATCTTCCTGACAGAAAAATTTCAAATAATTTATGTAGATGAAACTTCCTTTCCCCTTTTTGAATGTTGTTAGACTTACAGCTTTGCTTTCAAAGAATAGAGTAGGAATTGGGAAAAATGGTGACTTTACAGTGGAGAAACCCAGCAAACTATCTTAACCGTGTGACCAAGGTTGACATCACCAGTGATGTTATATGCATATCATGTTCCCCTAATATGTGTAATGAGGACACTTCACTTCTGTGGCATTCTTTCCCAAAACACATAATCCCAGTCTAGTGATGAGAAAAGCATTATCATACAAAATCAATTCTAAGGACACTCTACAAAATCCATAATCAATACTCTAAAAACTCTCAAGGTGGTGAAAAATAAGGACGCTCTGAGAAACTGTCACAGACCAGAGGACATTAAAGTGACAGTGACATGATAACTAAACACATGTGGCTCCCTGGATTGGGTACTGGAATAGAAAAAGAATGCTACTGGGAAAATTAATTCAAGTCCAAGAAATGTCTGGAGTTTACCTTGTAGCAATGTACTAATGTTGACTTTTGACAAATGTACCATGGAAAAAGTATGATGGTAACATTAGGAAAAACTAAAACTGGGTAAAGAGTATATAAGAACTCTCTGTTACTATCTTCACAACTTTTCTGTAAACCTAAAAATATTTCAAAAGTAAAAAGTTTATTTTTAAAACAGCCCTGATGTTAGAATCTTCATTAATTACTTAGTGAATTCATTCAACACATAGCAACGGAAAACTTGCTGTCCCTAGTCACTGCTATAATAATGGTTATTAGCAAGTCAGATGCCATCCCTATCTTTCCAGAGCTTACAGTTTACTGGTAGATAAAGATAACAGGGATGTTCAAAATTATTTGATAAGTGCTTTGAGAAAGTGCCAGAGGTTTTAAAAATATTTTTCTCCTACATTTAAATTAACAAATCTGGCATGTTAAATAGATCTTGGAGCATAGTAAACATATTAGTCCTCAAATAATACTTCTCCTGAATATTTTCCATATCAGATAATCCTTAAACTCTGAACAATTTGCCAGGCATTGTTTTAGATTTTTTATTAGAGAAATTTGAGAATATTCTTTAGTTTAGTTCATTATACTTTGCTCAGTGATATGGTTTGGCTCTGTGTCCCCACCCAAATCTCACCTTAAATTGCGATAATCCCCATGTGTCATGGGAGTGACCTGGTGGGAGGTAATTGAATTATGGGGGCGGATTTTTTCTTGTGCTGTTCTCATGATAGTGAACAAGTCTCACCAGACCTGATGGTTCTATATCCCCTGCACATGCCCTCTTGCTTGCCACCACGTAAGATGTGCCTTTGCTTCTCCTTTATCTTCTGCCACAATTGTGAGGCCTCCCCAGCCATGTAGAACTGTGAGTCCATTAAAACTCTTTACTTATAAATTACTCAGTCTTGGGTATGTCTTTATTAGCACTGTGAGAACAGACTAGTACACTCAGCAAGGAATTATTTTCTTACAAAGTACAGAACTGTTTCCCTTTTCATGTAAAAAATGAAAAGTTAAGGCCGGGCGCGGTTGCTCACGCCTGTAATCCCAGCACTTTGGGAGGCTGAGGCGGGCAGATCATGAGGTCAGGAGATCGAGACCATCCTGGCTAACACGGTGAAACCCCGTTTCTACTAAAAATACAAAAAAAATTAGCTGGGCGTAGTGGCGGGCACCTGTAGTCCCAGCTACTCAGGAGGCTGAGGCAGGAGAATGGCGAGAACCCGGGAGGCGGAGCTTGCCGTGAGCCGAGATTTCGCCACTGCACTCCAGCCTGGGCGACTGAGCAAGACTCTGTCTCAAAAAAAAAAAAAGAAAAGTTAAACTAGATAATTCTTAAAATATCTTTCAATTTTAAACGTCATTGAGCTTTGTCAATTATGTCGTATTTTCTTGGCTGTTTATTAGATCAGTAGGAAGGTTTACTTATTGATCACGTAAAAACAAACATCATATTTTTCTTTCATCATCAAGATTCCTATTTCTTCAGTTTATTTCAGGTAGAAAAGTGTATTCCAAAGAAGGAAGATATTCCCATAGTGAAAAAGGAAAATACATATATTCCCTGAGGCAGGCAATACTTTTCAAAAGAATGAGAAGTCTTTTTACCATCATTAAAAGTCTGGGACCCAAAATGCAGACCACTAGAATCACAAATTCTGCACTTGCCAAGCCTAGTCAGTTTTCCTTAGCTCAAAAACCTCAGGAATGGGCATCTTAAAAGGAAATACTTTTTGTGGATTTGCAAAGTCTCACTGCAAAGAAATTCACCTCAGTTTGAAAGATCTTGTGGGATTAAAAGTCAAGATTCATTTGGGAATGCTGGCTGGTAGACATTTCATGTCTCTCTTTTGCTGAGAAGTAATCTCACAAAGAATTTATAGTCTATGACTGCATATAAAGGTGGCTTCTTTGAGGGGCCCACATTTGTATGTACTTTGAGAGGAGAGGATGGGAGCTGAATATAAAACACTGTGGCTGATTTCAACATCTGCTCCTATAGTTACAGAGAACCAGAGGCTGGACTCTAAAACACGAATGGAAGGTCACAAGCCAGAAGTTTCTGAGAATGTGTTGGGGAAGGAGTGGGTTGGGAAAATAGCTGTATTTCCTCTAAAGAAAAAAAGATATCTCTTTGAAGTCTGGGTATTTGGTAAATTTAAAAAAAAAAAGAATAAAAGACAATAGAAAAGGTATCACTAATGGGGTAGAAGGAACAAAACACTAAAATTGAAACCAAAACCAAATCACCCAAACCAAATAAAATTCCTTTCAGTGGAAGCACACTTGTGTAATACCACACTTTTAAAAATGACCTCTCTTCTGGATTATTTCATTAGCCTCCTATTTTACCTTTCTGCCACCAATTTCTCCCACCTTCAGTTTATTCTGCAAACTACTTTCTGAATGGTCTTTCTAAGACATTTTAGTGACAATGTAACCATAGCCTTCATGATCAAAAACTTTCAATGGCTCCTCATTGTCGCATGAAGAAAATCCAGATATTTCAGTTTTGATTTTCAAGTCTTTAGATGATTAGCCAAATCCATCATCCGTAAAATGAAATCAATATATAGAAATTTATAGGTTATCTCAGCAGTGTAGGTCAGTTACGTAACTAAATAATTTTTAAATGGTTAAAAATAGTGGGCTGGGCGTGGTGGCTCATGCCTGTAATCCTACCATTTTGGGAGGCCGAGGCAGGTGGATCATCTAGGTCAGGAGTTCGAGACCAGCCTGGCCAACATGGCTAAACCTCATCTCTACTAAAAGTACCAAAAAAAAAAAAAAAATAGCCAGGCGTGGTGGCACACACCTGTAATCCCAGCTACTTGGGAGGCTGAGGAAGGAAAATTGCTTGAACCCAGGAGGTGGAGGTTGCAGTGAGCAGAGATTGTGCCACTGCACTCCAGCCTATGTGAAGGGAACAAGACTCCATCTCAAAAAAAGAAAAAAAATAGTGTTTTCCTTTATATCTATCTATCTGTCTATCTAATCCATCAATTATCTATTTTATACCAGTACTAATTAGTACCTGGGGTGGATATAAATGTGGGGTATGAATTGTCCCATTTCTAATGTGATACTGATTTACCTATGCAAGTGGTTTTGATTTTAGTTACCTTGACTAAGACACGCTAAGTAAATAAATTGAATATCCAAAAATAAACCATGCTTTTACTATTTCTTAGGCCTTAAATCAATCTTGGCCATATTAACAAGAATGTTTTTGGTGTCTGCTATATATTTTCAGGAGCTTTTGTAAATACTTGGTCTAATTTAATCTCATAATCTTCAAAAGTCTGTTGAGCAAACCCTGAAAACATCCACTTCCAGTCTGGTTAATTAGAAAACAATTAGGTTCTAACAAGGCTTTTGCTTCCTTACTCTGTTTACCAGCACAGTTTCAACATCCTTCCATTGATATGAAATGTGCAGAGACATAATTTTTTTCTTTTTCTTTTTAATCTTGATTCTGGAAGCCCTGGTAGAATAGTTAAGGAAATTCTTAACAGCAAACAGGGGAAGTCTTTTATTTTCTTTGGGTTTTGATGGTACACAAATTAACTTGTTTCCTCTACTGTGATGGGAATTCAGAAAAGGGAACCTATTGGAAATGTGAACATTCCTATTCTTCCTGACTCTTAAATTTCATTAGAAAACTTTACATCACATAACTTTTACTAAGAGGAGACTGGAGGCAGTGTTTACCAAGAACGTTTGTTAATGTGGAGCTAAAAAACAACATAGAATCACTAGCCACTTGGATAATGAACACTGCAAACATCATTGTTTATAGAAATGGTGTAATGCTAGGATAGAATTTAAGTTCTAGCTCAGGTTGCCATTGAAAGAAGAGTACAAATATTTGCCGAGCACCTACTATGTGTCAGGCATTGAGTAAGGCTTTTTTCATATTTTTACATTTTTTAAATTTAAAATTTTTATTTTAAAAAGATAGAGATAGGGTCTTGCATGTTGCTCAGGCTGGTCTCAAATTCCTGGCCTCAAGCAATCCTCCCACCTTGGCCTCCCAAGTGCTGGGATCACAGGCGTGAACCACTGCACCTGGCCTTTTTTTTTTTTTTTCATATTTCTTCTCATTTAATTCTCAGTGCAACCGTGTGGCTGGACATTTTTTCAATCTAAATTATTAGAGATAAGGAAATTGAGAGTTAGGGAACTTTAGTAACATGTCAAAGGTCGCACATGTGTTAATTGCAGGGCTTAGTTTAGAAACCACTTTAGTTTGATGTGAAACTAGAAACATTTCCACTATAGCACACTATCTTCATGCATGTTTTTACACCCATCAGAGTCCAGTTTCCTACTAACCTTGACCTGTTTTGCAAGGATGAATGGGCTAATGAATTACTAATTGTAAAATATGCTTATAATTTTAAAGAACATGTAACTATTGAAAGAAAAATCATGACATTTTATAGTTAACTTCTCAGTTTCTTTTCTTTATATAGTCCCAGGATAATATATGAAACTATCTGTGTTCTCTCTTTCATAGCATAAATTAATGGAGAGCAAAGGCCTTTCTTTGCAAACATTTTCTAACACAGTTAACCCATGCTTCCCTGCTGCTAACTTCTCTCAAACGTTTAGATTCATGGGGACATAAAGGCCAAACTGCTGTCTTATTAAATTCTTCTTTTCATAAGAATATGCAAGATGCAAATGAGCAAAATGTTAAAGCTCTATAAAGAGCATCTCTGGATTTTATAGCCCTGCTTCCGAAGAGTGTGTCTATGGGATATCAAGTGAAGAAATAGGAGCATGCATAATTGCATATGTAATTGGGCTGCAATTTTGCAGTGTATAATACAAAATACATATACATTTATAGATGAAAGACCTGAAATAAATATGCCAAAATGTGAGCCATGACCACCTGTAGGTGAAGATCTATAGGGCAATTGCATTTCGTTTTTCAAATGTTTTTATGCATTTTAAAAATAAAAATATGTTTCTTCTATTACCAGAAGAATGCAATACATTTCATCCATATTTTAAAAAGACACATTGTTTTGAAAGCAGTTCTGGTTTCGTGTGAGGGTGAGAATATCCTCAAATGGAAACAATTTTGTTTGCTAGGGAATTCAGCTTTAAAACAGGAGCAAGGCATTTGTCTCTTTGATGCCATGGCAACCCCTGGGAAAACGCAGAGTCCAACAATGGGATAAAAATGTGCCTCAAGAGTGGGTAAGAAGGAGGCAACCTTGGACTTCTTTTTCCTCCACTTTCCCTTGAACAGAAGGTTGCATTGTGTTTTTCCAGCTGACTTTGCTTTCCAGCTAGGCTGCTGTGAGAGGAAAGAGCAAACAATAAGAAGAACCTTTTTCTCATGGAGTTTTGGGCTCTCCGAAAAATTGTGCACTTTCTCAGCGGAGAAAAAGCTCAGTTTCTTTTCTCTGTCTTCCCCTCTCCTTGACATCTCCCAATTCAGTCATTTTTATTACAAGTTTCTCAATCCCCTTTACATTTTCCCCTCAGGATACGCCACTTGTCTTCTTCGGAGCTGTAGGGCTGGATTGATCTTTTCTCTATGGTCACTGTTTTCTTCTATGGTCTTTTCTCTATGGTCACTCTTTCTTGATAGAAAGACTCCTGCAGTCTTTTTCAGATCTCAATCCTTAATGCATCTCTGTTGGTCTCCAATGATTTGGCTGTCTGAGACTCTTTTTTTTTTTTTAAGATTTTTTTAACCTAATTTTATTCCTTAGGTAAATTGAACTCCCCCAAGCCACTGAAGATTGCTAAGGGTCTTCATTTTGGCAATATAGATCCAAATATTGTGATAACAGAGGTTACCAAAGGACTTTGTCTCCATTATATAGGTAAGTAATGATGATGCCAAGCTTTTTCTGTGGTCTGTGCCATGTTTCCTTCTAACATGACAGCAGCATCAATACAGCAAGAATAGTTTACCTTGGTGCTGGGTTTTACATTAAGATCCTGTGTGTTTGGACTTAAAAACTTTAGTCCACTTAGAAGCTACCAGCAACCTGAGCAAGAGGCCCTGTAGTTTTACGCCTCAAACCAGCGTAAGCACTGCTTTTCAACTAATACAAAGAAAAGGAATTGGGGAGGGAGGTCTTTCGAGTAACCATGGAAGTGACTTTAAAGAATTGCAGGTTGTCATTTTGGCAACCAGAGGTGCAGTCTTCAGAGTGGAGGACTCTGTGTGGCAGAGCCAGGCCTTGACCCAGTGTGACCCCCTGATATCGGGAACCACAAGAGACTTGTGCAGCTGCCTGGCCTCCAACCGGCCTGGGAGGCTGGCCATTCCAGGAAACTAGCAGTGATGGTATCATTCCTAGGAGCATGATTCACCCAAGAAGAATGAAAACTTTAGAGCCATGAAGGCTGACTGTGGAGGATGGAAGGCTCATCTCATTCATCTTTCTTTCCTGAGCACCCATCAGTAAATATTGCCTTAAGTGAGATGTGCAAATTCCAGCTGCTGCTCAGAACTGATGGTTGTATGGCCTGTAGAAAATGTCTTCATTTCTTTAATAATTTTTTGCAGCCTACATAAATTTTCTTTTTTCCCGGATTGGCCCTTGTGCAAAAAAAACATTGCTTCCCACAGTTATAAGCCATTATAAATGATGTGTACTACTTCCTTAATTTCCCATCATTTGGAGTCTAGTGAGGAGACACAGATTAGTAGATAAGGTCAAATTCAACTCAATAAAAGTTGGGGGTCACTTCAGTCCTGAGTCAGGTACCAGCCTGGCCCAGCGGAGCTTAGTATGAAAGTACTTTATGAGGTTGAACATTTGTATGGTATTGTATAGCATGTTTAAAAAGCCTATCACATAGATGATCTCATTTGACTTTCACTGTAAGTAAAACCAAGGTATCAGTACTGGTATCAGTGATGAACAGACTCATATGGGTTCAGGAGCTCTCTCATGATGTCCCTCTGCCAGCTGGACAGGGTCCAGGGGCCTCAGAAAAACCATATTCTTCAGTTTATGTGGGATATTGCACATTTCTAGGACTGTGAGTGTTGATGAGAGGGTAGGGGTGTGTGTACTTGGGAAGGAAACGCATAATTCAGGTGTTCCTGAACAAATTGTGATCTAGATGGAGTCCAGCCTTTTTGAATCTGGCTACAATGCTAGTGAACTGTCCCAGGTTAAAGGAATTTGGATCAACCCCTGGTATCAATTTGGCACCAGGTTTGATATATAGTAGAGGGAGCTGTTTAACAAGCCATGTTCTTCATCCTGTTGATAAGGGAGAAACAGGAGAATATGAAGTCATGTAAGGGAGTGTGAGTTGTCCAAAGCTGAAACAATTTCATTTGCTGAAGTGATCTGAGGATTAGCATGTCTTTCTATAATACACAAATATATTTAGCACAGTGCTTGGCACTTAGTAGGTACTCAATACATGTTAATAAGGTATTATGGTAATAAATAATAGATTATGCATGGTCCTGTTATGGTTTTTTAAAGTTTTTTCCTTAGTCTTGAGTTCTGATTCCTATATTGCTTTTGGATGCCAGGTTATTCTATGTGCTTATTTGGTTCTTGATGTACTAGTTATGCAATAAAATCTGTTGAAGGAATAAATGAAAGAAGGAAGGCTTGCAGTGACACTTTGTATTTACTTCTAAGGCAATGTTGACATTCTCTATTCCAGAAGAACTAAAAATGATTCACATTCATTGGTGTCAAAATTTCCACATATTTATAATTTCCATTATATTAGGTTGGTGCAGGTGTAATTGTGGTTTTTGCCAATATTAAATATAATAGTGTTAATCAATTAATTTAATATTAAAATGTTAAAATAATCAGTATTTTTTTCTTCTCTTCTTTTTTTCCTTCTTGATAGACTTTCTTGTGCAGTCCTTAAAAAGTAGGACAATTCTACTTTTTAAATTGGCACTTTTGAAAGTTATTTCATTGAGTATTTACGTATTAGTAGACTGCTTGGTTCAACTTCTTACAGTTGACGTAAATTTTGGCCCAGAACTCATGTGTGAAAAAAATTAATTTTGTTTATTTTCTGTCTGATGATAAAAATTTTAAGTGATATTTCCACCAGGAGTTGGAAAACTTAATCTCTATCAGTTAGTATTTTACTCCTTCTAATTCTTTTTTTATTTTATTTTATTTTATTATTATTATACTTTAAGTTTTAGGGTACATGTGCACAATGTGCAGGTTAGTTACATATGTATACATGTGCCATGCTGGTGCGCTGCACCCATTAACTCGTCATTTAGCATTAGGTATATCTCCTAATGCTATCCCTCCCCCCTCCCCCCACCCCACAACAGTCCCCAGAGTGTGATGTTCCCCTTCCTGTGTCCATGTGTTCTCATTGTTCAATTCCCACCTATAAGTGAGAACATGCGGTGTTTGGTTTTTTTGGTCTCCTTCTAATTCTTGATTTGAAATCTAAATTTGGGGGATATTTTGGAGGCAAGAGGTCAAGTGCAGTGGAGTGAATTCCTGGTCTGGACATGCGGGCATCTGCCAGGAATCCTTAGGCCTGTCTGCTTCCTGACCATCGGTCCACACAACACAGATTGCTCTGACATCTTCCCATCCTGAATCTGATGCTTTTATGTGGCCAGCTCCCTTCATTACTTGGATGCACCTTCTGGGTACAAAGGCAACATTTAGCTCTTCTTACACTTCTTTGGGACACAGAGAATTCTGCCAGTTCCTTTTGCTTAAGCACTCCACAGAACTATCTCTTCTCCACTATTACTTTACTAAGTTGGTGACAGAAGCATTTTAGCTCTTGATACCTCTGCAGGATATCCCTCCTCCAGAGTGTGAAGATACTCTTTGCTCTTGAATCTACCAAACCAATCTGGGTTTCTGTGAATTCCACCATCACAGGGGACTCAACTCAGGGAGGGAAGAGAACAGTTCTTCTTCTGAAGGACATGCCATTGCCACTGCCTCCTCTCCAGCTCTTCCTTCCCAACTAATCTGGCTATGAAGATTTATCTCATCTGTGGTTTCAGGTGGAGGAAGAGGGTGATGTTCTGGACAGGGATGTCTGGAATTATGCTGAATTCTTCAAAAACTTCTGTGATGCCTTGAGTTCCAAAGAGTCTCAGGTTGCAACTTCAAGGCCAAGATTTTGATTCTCAGAGCTTTACAGTTGTCAAATGCTGACAACTCTTTAAGGTTCACTAGGTTCCATTGGGTCAGCCAATGTTATTTTTTACCAAGCACTTATTATGCGCCAAGTAAAAGGAGAAATAGGACAGAGCTAAACTAAAAGACCCAAAGTCTTTCATAATTGCATAGAGGTGGGTATTCAACTTAATAATTATGTACTGATATGGTTTGGCTGTGTGCCCACCCAAATCTCATCTTCAGTTGTAGCTCCCATAATTCCCATGTGCTGTGGGAGGGACTCAGTGGGAGATAATTGCATCACTGGGATGGTTTCTCCCATACTGTTCTCATGGTAGTGAATAAGTCTCACGAGATCTGATGGTTTTACAAGGGGAAATCCTTTTTGCTTGGCTCTCATTCTCTTTTTGCCAGCTGCCATGTAAGACATCCCTTTGTTCTTCTTTCATCTTCTGCCATGATTGTGAGGCCTCCCCAGCTATGTGGAACTCTGAGTCAATTAAATCTTTTTCCTTTATAAATTACCCAGTCTTGGGTATGTCTTTATATACAGCATGCAAATGGACTAATACACATATTGAGCATTTTCTATTTATCAAGAACATGGCCGGGCATGATGGCTCATGCCTGTAATCCCACCACTTTGGGAGGCCAAGGTGAGCTTGAACTTGAGTTCAAGCATTTGAGACCAGGCGTCCTCATGCCCACCTGGTCCCTGGTCATTAGTCCACACAACACAGATTGCTGTGCCATCTTCCCCTCCTGAATCTGAAGCCTTTTATGAAGCCAGCTTCCTGGTGAAACCCATGCAAAAATTTGATTCTACAAAAAATACAAAAATTAGCTGGGTGTGGACTACATCTGTAGTCCCAGCTACTCGGGAGGCTGAGGTGGGAGGATTGCTTGATCCTGGGAGATCAAGACTGCCGTGAACTGTGACCGCTCTACTGCCCTCCAGCCTGGGCAACAGATAAAGCCTCTGTCTCAAAAAAAAAAAAAAAAAAAAAAAAAAAAAAAAAAAAAAAAAAAAAGAAGGTACTGACAGTGTATCAGTGAACAAGACAAATACTTAGACAAAAATGTGGTTAAAAGCTTGAGCTCTGGAGTCAGATGGCTAGTTTAAAGGGGTCTTTTGTGATCTTAACTGTCTGAGCCTCAGTGGGCACATGTGTAAGGGAAGAATAGTAATAATATCCATTTTATGGATTGTAATGAGGATTTAACTGTGATAATATTAATATATATGAAATATTGAGGGCAGCACATAACACAATATGCATTTAATAAGTGTTGGTTATAATAACAGATATCTTATGTGGGCTGGCTCAACATCTCTTCCAAACTCTACTGTGCCTCCTTGCAAAGCTTGCAGAACTGTGTTGTCCAGACTCCCTTTCAGCTAGGATGCCATATATAATTTAGAGCCCTCCTAACAGATGGATTTGTTTCCTGAAGGCTCATAATTCTGGGTTTGACTATATTAACCTGCATGAGATTTGCATGAAATAGTACCCATATTCTTTTACCCTCAGAACACCGGCACAGTTGCAGCTCGTGCATGTAGTCTCTATCTGCTGGTTCACCTTTTTGGCATGGGGCAGGAAGGCATGGTTTCTATTAATATTTTCATGGAACTATGGCTTAGCAAGAGAGAAAATATTACAAGTGTGATATGTTCTTTTTCCTTTCATTGAAAAGATTTCCTTTGACACTTCTCCCAGTTCCCAGGAGGAAAGTAGTAGTGTTTTTTCCTTGCTACATTGAAAGAAAGCTGGGGCAGAGGGCATCTTGCTAAAAGTCATATGTAAGTTTGGTGTGAAAGTTGATGTCTCACTGCAGGCTAGCTTCAGGATTGTGGGAACTGATTCAGAGTGACACCTCCTTTGACACTAAGTTGGGAGAAGGTGCTGATAAATATTTTCTTGCTAAACATGGAAAATAATCTTTTCTTGTTAGTGAAAGAAAATACTTGGAATTTTTCAAAGGACAAGAAAGAACAAAAAAACCACAAAAAAAAATCCCAAACAAACCTATCAAAGGGCCTGGTGTATATCTAGATAGACGTAGCTGTTATATCATAAAAAGTCAAAAGCATCTTCTGCCTTATATTTGTGGTATATTTTTGCCTTTCCAAATGTAGCTGAACGTTTTTCTTACAGGAGTATTATGCTGAAGACTATAAATTAAAGTACTTAACACTCAGTTATAAACCACCATATTGAATTTAAGTTATTGCCATTTAAAATTTCTAAAAGTTACAATAACATTTTGTATTTTTTTCATCTAGCAGGATTTCAGAATTTTACTTTATTTCATAAATAACGTATGGTCAGGTGTCCCTTCAGATCTTTCAGTGATTAAAGTTATTTTTTCCACTGTTTTGCATTATCCAGTAACATTAACATTAAACGCTGATGAGGATGGAACACAAAGAAAACAAACATATTTTTCTCTCCTAAATCCCAGAACTTCAGAGCTTTAACTTTAGTCTTCAGATTTTCCTAATACATATATGAAATCCCCTGACTACCCAAATCTGGTAGGCGTTAATACCTAACATGTACTTTTCCCCCTGAATCTAAGCCGTCAGTTTTTCAGGATGGAAATAGTGAAGTTGTCAGGAAGTTGATGTCAACAACTCAGGAAATGGTGGGGCTGGATCACAGGATAAGGTGCCCACAGGGGAAAGAACAGTCTTTAGCTGATTTGGGGTTTCTCAGCTTACTGTTTCAGGATGGGAGATTTAGGTTCAACAGGGATTGAGTAGTTATTCTGTACTTGGCCTGTGCTAAACATTGGAACATTATTTATTTAATCTTCACAACAATCCTGGGAGAATAGCATAGGATACATTATGTGAAGGAAATTGAGAGAAGGGAATTGATGTTCAGAGAAGTTAAGAATGTTGTACACTGAGCAACAGTGGAGTCAGATTGTTGTACAAATTTCTCCTTTACACTGCTGCTGCCTTTCAGAGAAGACAGAAACATCATAAGTCCTCTTTCCCCTGACTTTCAGCCTCATAGACTTTTTAAATTAGGTTCAAGGTTTTGTGGATTTGGAGGTGGGAAAAAGGATTTAAAATAGTGCATCTGCATCCAAATCTGAGTTCCTGCAATGAAACAAAACCCAAGACCACAAATGTTGACTAGCAGAATAGGCAAAATAAATCACTTGACCCTTTAATGAGGTGCTGACCACTTTGTCCCTTAAAGTTTGCTATAATTTAAAATAATAATAGCTACACTATTCATAAAAGAATTATACATCCATTTTTATGAGAGACCCTTTCAAAATTAATTTCTGCTTCTTGTTTGGGAAAGGTAAAAAGATATTTGGGAGAATAAATAGGGAATATGCGGGATACTTTTTATAAGACCAGTTGGGAGAATGGAACATACTAGATGCCCCACAAGTAATTGCCAACTAAATAAACTAGAATATATTTCTTTCACCTCTGTTTTCCCTCTAACCACCTCTTCTTAAGAACTCTCTTCTCTTTAGATAATGGCCAGGCATATAGTAGTTTTAGCATGTACTTTCTTAGGTTAATAAAGTATCTTATGGAATTTGTTCTGCAAATGCTTCATATATGCATAAAAATGTTCTCTATTTGTGAGGTGCAGGATTCTATTTATCTCTATTGGATTAATCTTGTCAAAATATGTTGTCTGAATTTTCTTTTTTCTTTTTTTGAGACAGGGTCTTGCTCTGTTGCCCAGGCTGGAGTACAGGGGTGCAATCATGGCTCACTGTAGCCTTGACCTCCCAGGCTCAAGAGATCCTCTCACCTCAGCCCCCCAAGTAGCTGGGGCTACAGGTGCATGCCACCATGCCCAGCTAACTTTTGTATCTTTTGTAGAGGTAGGTTTTTTCCATGTTGCCCAGACTGGCCTCAAACTCCTAAACTTAAGCAATCTGTCTGCCTCAGCCTCTCAAAATGCTGGGATTACAGGCATGAGCCACTGTGCCCAGCCTCAGTTTTCTAAATCTCAGTTTCTTTTTCTGCTTGATATGTTTCTGATAGAGGTATTTAAAAATTGTCCACTGTCATTGTTATTTTGTTTAGTTCTCATTATTCTATTAGTTTTAGCTTTATAAATTTGAGGCCAAATTGTTAGATGTATATGTGTTTATTATTGTAACTTAGTGGAATGCTCTTTTTTATTATTTGTGCCCACCGTTTTTCTTGTAGTTATTTCCCTTTAAAATATTTCTTGTTTGAAACATGAGCTTTCTTGGGTTAGTATTCTTATGATACATCTTTTTTAGCCCATTATCTTCAAACTTTCTGTATACTTTTAATGTGTTTTTTAAAACTGCACATATATATATTTTTTTCTTGATGATATCTGTTATTTAATGGCTGGTTTAATGTATTTACATTAATTATGATTATTGGTATGTTTGGATTTGTTTCTACCATCTTATATGTGTGTTTCGGTTATTATTCTTTTTCTTTGCTTTTTTCTTCTTTTTTATTTCCTTTCTTTCTCCCTCCCTCCCTTCTTACCTTTCCTCCTTTCTTCTCTTTCTCTGTTGAAGTGATAGAGTTTTCTATATCCTTCCTCTTTTTGTTCTTCTCCTGGTTTAGAAATTAAAATTTTACACACACATACATACGTACACACACATACACATGCATTGTATATACAAATATACATGATTATATACAATTATGCCTGTAAGAATGTATATATATGTACAGATGTGTATATCTTACATACATACACAGACATTTGTCTCTCTCTCCACTCACATATAGAAACTTGTTTATGCAGTCAGTGAGTATTCTTATTATTTCTGAGGGTATTTTTATTTTGCTCATACTCTTGAAAGATAGTTTTTCTGGGTGTAGAATTTAGCTTGAGCATTATTGGCCCTAAGCTTTTAGGAGATATTACTCCATTATTTTCTGGCATCTATTCATACCGATGAAAAATCTGCTGACAATGAAGATGTGAAGAAAAGTGTTGACAGTTATGACTTTTTAGGTATTTTATCTTTTTCTTTTGCAGCTTTAAAAAGCTTTCTCTTTACACAGTGATATTCTTCTGATTTGTTCTTGTGTTTGGATGCAGATTTATCTTAGTTTATCCTGACTGAGCACTTAGACTGCTCTTTTAATGAGTGCTCACAGCCTTTTCCATATTTTAAGTGACTGTAGCCATGATCTCCCTGAATACTGCATCAAAACCATTCCCTCTAATACTCTATCATTGACACTGCTACTAGGAGTTAGAGACCCTTAATTTGTCCTTCAGTTCTTTTCATTTTTATATTTGTCTAGAATCTTTTTATTTTATTTTTTTGAATTTTGGTAACTTTTTCCAGTACTACATACTAATTTTCTAATGTATTAATTTTCTGTGTTGTTTAGGCTTTATCATGCTTGAATTTTTAAATACCAGTGACAATATTTTAAATGTCTGACACATTAATGCATTCATTTTACATTCACTTGTTTTACTTCTCTGATTTTGTTTTAAAATTTTTTCATTTACAAAATGGATGTTATTTCCTCAGTTACCTCTTTGCAGACTTTAGACATTTCCATTATGTTTTTTACATCTACAACAGGGTTTCTCAATTTCAGCACTATTGGCATTTTAGGCCAGGCCATTCTTTGTTGTAGTGGGTTGTCCTGTGCACTTAACGTGTTTAGCAGCATCCATGGATTCTGCCTACTACTACATGACAATAACACCTCTACCCCTTCATTTGAGATGGCCAAACATGTCTCCAGTCATTGCTAGTTGTTCTCTGTGGTTGAAAAAAGTCATTCTTAGTTGAGAACCACTGATCCTGAGTGAATTTATGCTCTGTTGATTTTTTTTAAGTAACTTCCTTAGTGCTAGTTTTCTTCATGTGTTTTGGAATATGATGTGTGGATTTATTCTCTCACATTCTCTGCTGTCTAGTTGTAGTTGCTGTCACTGGCTGCTTGGCCCAAAGCCCAGAACACATCTCATATAGATGGCTGAGGTTTCTATCCCATGGTGTTATTAAGGATATGACAAATTAAGGCTCTGAATGACTAGGCTCAGATCCTGGTCATGAGTCTGTGTATGTTTCTTTTACCTCCTCCGAGCATTCCACTTCCTGCAAGCTATTGTCTCAAAGAGCTGTACGTGGCAGCTTTTCTCAACTTATTTTACAACCTGGTTTCATACAGTGATACTTGTTTAATTCTCCACTTTTTCCATTGTTGTGTAGGACCCAAACTCCTGGCTGCCACTGCCTATCCTTGTATACAGAGTCCGGAAGGCTCTCCATTTCACATTGCTGCCTGGTTCAGTTCACAGGGATGCTTATTTTGCTTATAAGCACAGCTTTGAGTTTTGACGTCCTCTTTCTCTATTTTATCTGTCAGTACTGTGATTGGAACAAGGCCTTAGGGAAGATGAGGGGGGCTTAAAATGTGAACTTAGATTGGAATTGTTAAACTTTAACATTCACAATTGCTGAAAAGACCTGTTAACTTTTGATGGCTCTAGTATAGGATTTCTCTCAGTCTCAGAACTATTGACATTTGGGGCCAGATAATTATTTGTTAGGGGGAAGGGGATTATCTTTTGCATTGCAGGATGTTCTCCAGCATCCCTGGCCTCAACCCACGATATCCCAGTAGCATCTTCCTTTCCTCCAAGTTGTGATGACCCAAAATGTCTCCAGTTTTGCCAAATATGCCCTGGGGGGGACAAAATTACCCCCAGCTGAGAACTACTGCTCTAATCTACGAATGTCTGTCTTCGTACTCTGTCTATGTCTCATCCCAGGGTCCTTGATTCTTACAGTTTACAAAAACTTAAACTGATTTTTCATTTAGCATATTCTTTTAGAGTTTATATGGTTAGAGTGCTGGATTTCGAATGCATTCAATGAAGAAGGTCAAGATGATGTTGTCTGACTTTGATGTTGCTTTAGAGCATATGTGACTTGGAACAATGTTCTAGAGGGCATTAGAAGCCCACAAACAGTAGTGGGATTGAGCACTTTTGATTTGTCCTTGACCTTCTCTGTTCTAATCCCTTTGATAGCACTGCCTTTAAAATATAATACCACTTTAATGAATAGTTTCATTTAATAAATTCCACCTCTGCCCAGCCCATTGTTAATAGGATAATTTTGTCTAGCTACAGTATTGGGGAAAAGACATGGAGGCTGAGTTTGTTGTGTGAAAGGCTCTTCACTTCTCCTGACAACTCTGGCTAGGCCAGAAAACTGATTGTGTCTGCATTAGGGACTCTGTAATCTAACCCCTTCCTGAGTGCTCTACTCATTCTTTCAGGAAATCCAAGATTTAAGATTGGTTCTGACTTGGAAATTTTATTTTGCAATGAAGATTTACAGTTCTACTCCTATGGAATAACTGAGACATAAGCTCCTCTGGTCTTGGGCTGAGGTCCGAGTGTGTGGTAGACACCTGCTGCTTTACCATAGGACAGGACAATGATGCAGAGTGCTAGGGGATGTCTGGAAGGTGGCAGCTCAAGCTGTGCCTGCTGGCAGGGATCAAAGAGGTTCAGCTTGATGAAGAAGAGCCAGATTGGAAAGGTAGGAAAACAAAGGTGAGCATGTTCTCTCACAAAGGGTCGCTGCACTGGAAACAGAAGCTGTTCTGTTCTTTTTCCCTTGGTCGTATAGAGGAAGCTCTTTCTAACAGACTCCCACTGTTGTCCTTGTTTTCTTAGGCAAATCATTCTCTCAAGGTCTAGGAGTGTGTTGCTCCACTTCGGGTTTGGTGGGTTGTGTGAACTAAGGTGTGGCTTTTGTGACCTTTGGAACTCACTGCTGATGGGTAGCAGTGTTGTTGTAGACTTGTCCATTGCCAAGATATACTTCCTCTCCTCATGATTCTAGATTTTCCTAGCTTTATAGGGCCTCAAGTCCCAGAAAGGTGGAATATCATCTTGCCTTTTGCGTATATGGTTTCCTAACACTTTCAAAATAAAGGTTCTGAATTCCAAGTCATAGCTCCAGGTGTGGCTATATGATAATATTTATACATCTACATAATATCTAATTATGTGTTGGTATAAAAGAGATGAAATAAAACAGTAAGATAAATAAAATATTTGTTGAATGAATAAAATATTACTAATTTTTTCTGGCCCTGCTCAAATACCAAAGAAACTCCCTCTGAACCCAGTGAGCATGAACTCAGTAACATACCAGAAGCAATTCATTTGGTTGTAAACTCTTAATTTACCATGTTTGAACTTCTCACATCACATTAAAAAATATCTTCTCCACCCTGCCTATGGAGTAGCCATTCTTTTATTCATTTACTTTCTTAATAAACTTGCTTTCACTTTACTCTATGGACTCTTCTGGAATTCTTTCTTGCATGAGATCTAAGAACCCTCTCTTGGGTCTAGATTGGAACCCCTTTACGGTAACATCTTTCTGGTGAACCACAAAGAGATTATACTGAAGAGAACCCCGACCCAACGGAAAATCATTTGTGTGCACACCAGTTGGCCAACTTTGGAGTCAAGAAACTTTTATTTTGAGCAATTTACAGCTTGTAGCAATTGAGTAAAGTATACTCTTATGAACAAAATTTGGAGCATATTTGTTTCTTTCTACCTGATTTCTCCAGAATTTGGAAACTGTAAGTATTCTT
This sequence comes from Homo sapiens, assembly GCF_000001405.40. Classification (NCBI taxonomy): domain Eukaryota; kingdom Metazoa; phylum Chordata; class Mammalia; order Primates; family Hominidae; genus Homo; species Homo sapiens. The sequence continues at coordinate 99,588,406 of NC_000001.11, read as the reverse complement.
AACTTATGGCAGTATAGTTATTTGCATAAGTGCAACAAGAATCTGTTTCTTTTGCAATAGGACACAACTGGTTATTTTACCAAGGCTTTGACTGGAATGGTGTGTATTCCTTTAAGGAATCAAACTTGACTTATAGAGCCAATAAGAGCCCTTTGGGAAAACTGGCCTCATGTTTTGTCTTGTCTACACAACCCATGTACAGGGTTCCTGACCTGTGGTAAGTAAAGAATGTCACTTTCTGACAGGCCCAGGAGCCCCAAGTTATCTTGGGACCTCAAGAGAAGAGGAATTCATCCAACTCATAGGTATTTGAGAGTACAAACCCATGGCTGGGCTAGGCTTTAAAAAAGTCTTATCTAAGATTCCTTTTATGAAACAAAGTACCATGGAAGCCAATTTAAAAAGCCTCTGTGAAAAATTATTCTTGCTGCACTTCATACAAATAATCAGGCCAAGTATAATAAAGCAAATCGGTCTTACCATGATTTGTCTTTAGTAAAAATGGGAAACTGAAGAGAGAAAAATTATGTTTCAAACTATGGTACACCTGTTTTTAGATTCTAGTCTCATCAGTTTTTTTTAAGTTATTTTCTGCAATTTAGACTAACTCTGCTTATTCCTGTGAGCCTATGAGTGATATCTGACTGCTGCTCAGAAGAAACAAGAGAGATGGGTGATGTAAAAATCTGGATCAATATTCTAATTCTTGGCACATATTGGAATCAGCTAGCAACCCTGTAGCAGCTTGGTTCCAACATTTACCCAGTTCATGGAAAACTTTCTTATTTAGTTTACTTGGGATAATTTTGCTTATTTTGCTTTATTGTTGTGGAATGTATCACTATTGTACTCTTCGTGTAGGAATGCAGGATAAACAGCTTACTGAATGTTTTCTTAAACATTTATTAATCTTCCAGATATCACCTTTTGTCAGCTGGCCCTCATCATACTGAAGTTATGAATGGCCCTCATCATACTGAAGCTTTCTGACTGAACTCCTCTCTACCCCGAATACAAGATACCTTAGTAGTTAGGCAGGAATATCATTACCCCTATTCAGCCTGAGGAAGTTACAGAAGATGGATCTCTGTTCCTTTACAACCCTTAGGGTTAAGGGTTCTCTTATGAAAGGGAGGGGTGAAATACATCAGAGGCATCTGAACAAGAGTGATTCCATCTTGAATAGGGGCTGGGTAAAATAAGGCTGAGACCTACTGGGATGCATTCCTAGGAGATTAGGCGATCTAAGTCACAGGATGAGATAGGAGGTTGACACAAGGTCATAAAGACCTTGCTGATAAAACAGCTAGCAGTAAAGAAGCCGGCCAAAACCCACTAAGACCAAGGTGGCGGCAAAAGTGACCTCTGGTCATCCTCACAGCTCATTATATGCTAATTGTAATGCATTAGCGTGTTAAAAGACACTCCCAGCAGTGCAATGACAGTTTATAGATGCCATGGCACCTTTATGATCTAAAAAGGAGAGGACTCAGCTCCAGGAATTGCCTACCCCTTTCCCAGAAAACTTATGAACAATACACCCCTTGTTCAGCATATAATCAAGAAATAACTATAAGTATCCTTAGGCCAGCAGCTCAAGCTGCTGCTCTGCCTATGGAGTAGCCATTCTTTTATTCTCTTACTTTCTTAATAAACTTGCTCTCACTTTTAAAAGAAATCTAATTTTCATCAGAGTTATCTACATTTTAGACATCTTGTTTACTAGATTGTTAAGTTTCTTTTCTTCTTTTTTTTGAGTTCTGCTCTGTCCCCCAGGCTGGAGTGCAGTGGTGCGATCTTGGCTTACTGCAACCTTCACCTCCCAGGTTCAAGTGATTCTCCTGCCTCAGCCTCCTGAGTAGCTGGGATTACAGGCACATGCCACCATGCCCAGCTAATTTTTGTGTTTTTGGTAGAGACAGGATTTCACCATGTTGGTCAGGCTGGTCTTGAACTCCTGACCTCGTGATCCACCCACCTCAGCCTCCCAATAGATTATAGGTTTTTAGCAGAATTCATATCTTATTCATCTCCCTTGCTTGACATTGACAGAGTTTAGCCAGAGGTGGCAAAAGAGACCCTAATAAATATCCATGGGATTAATTTATCCTTAAAAATAAAAAGAGAAATCATGCCTGTAAGTCTCCCCAACCTCTCCATTATTTCTCTGTTCTCTCATGTTAATGTAAGTACTTAGCCTCAGGAGGGCAAGAAACATGAGAAACAGTTTTAATACACCATTATTTGCAACCTATATTCATAAATTCTTTTCCTCCTATGGCTTATCTTCAAGGCTAAGACAAACAGCAGATACTCTAATACTTGGCTTGGGCCCTTGTATGAGATAGATGCACACAATTGAGTGAAAAGCCCTTTTTGTGGCCCAGTGTTCACATCATTTTAACAGGCAGGAAAAGGATTCGCTATCACTGATCCAGATGTTCCCATGCATTTCCCATATGGAACTGTGTTAGGGTCCAGCCAGAAAGCTGAAACTACTATTGAATGTTATGGAATCTGGGATTTATTATAAGAATCAGACCTTTAAAAAATTGTGGGAGTAGCTGAACGAGTGAATGCCAAAAAGCCGAAGTTAGAGGATGAGAAAAGAGTCACTAACTGTTCCTTTTAAAGCACTTTCACAGATGGAGAAGTCAAAGTTCGTAGGGAAAATCTGAGAAGCTAAGCATGTCCAGCCATTGAAGTGGGAATAAGAATAGAAGCTCATGTAAATGTTTATACAAAGTTGCGTCTGTAGAGCTACCACCTCTGTGGGTCCACAGCTAGGCATCTGGTGGTGGACATGAGGTTATCATTTGTCACCAGGGTCAGCCGTCAAGAAGAGGAGCTGGATGTGTAGTGGAGGAGAACAAAGACAAGTTTGAACCTGCTGGTCAACTCTACATCTCTCCCTCACTACATCTCAGTACAAATACCTACTGCTTTACTTCCACTTACTAAATCATGCAAGTTTCTCTTTTGGCCAACTCAGACCTAGAACCTAGAATAGGGAAGAGGATTCTGGGAACTTTGGTTTCCAGCTTAATGATGTTGATAATAGAACCATCCAGCCAGCCCAATAACACTATCCTGTAGCATGTGGAAGGGCACATAGGTATAGTCTACCACCAAAAAATGCCCAATATGCGTGGAGCTTAGGAGAGAGTACAAAAACATATAGTTACCATGCACATTGGATCATCCGGTAGTTCATTCAGGTTCAGCTATCAGTGGTATGGCAGAGTGTATTTTCTAAAAGACAGCCATGCAAATAGCTTCCAATTCCATATACTCTTCTTATAGTTTGACTTATACTGCACCCACCAAGAAGTGGGTCCTATGTCCTCATCCTGTGAATCTGGGTTTTAATCAAGTATGGTGAAAGTGATGCTTTGTGACTTATGAGGCTAGGTCATAAAAAGCATACAGCTTCTGTTTCTCTCTCTCTCTCTCTCTGTTGAATGCTTGCCTATGGAATCCAGCTATTATATTATGAGGAAACCCAGGCCACATGAAGAAGCCACATGTAGGTATTCTAGTCCCTGGCCTGTGAGTCTCTCAGCTGAGACCCAGATTCCTTGAGCAGAGACAAGCCATCCCCTAAGTACACTGTGAATTTCTTATCTATCTGGAGAAACCCTGAAAAATAATCAATGATTATTTTTGTTTCAAGTCTCAAAGTTTTGGAAGGTAACTTTTAAAATTATTGATCAATAAGCAATACAGGTAGACACTAGAAACTCCTTTTCTAGACCTGTCCCCCTAACTCTCCTCCTTCCTGTTTTACCTCTTTGAAATCTTCCCTGGTTCTGTGCAGATGCCACCAAAATATATACAAGGCCAGTGGGATCCATTTTTTGTTCTTTCCTAGGAAAACTAAGAATTAGCCTTAATATATTATTAGGTTAGGCAACATATCTCATTCCCCACTAAGGATGAAGATGGGGAAGGACAAAAAGTGAAAAAAGGAGACAGACTCCTTTCCTGATACTGCTTGTGTGGCAGAATAGGGACTGGCACTAGTGGGCACTCAATAAATATTTGTTGAATAAATGAATAAATTATGATGCGTTAGGCATTAAGAGAAGACAGACATGGATCCATGGATGGTTTTTTTGAAGTCTATGTCAAAGCTGTTCTAGGTGGTTGGGTGGTCCAGGGGTCTTGCCCCATAGTAGAGCAGTTTGAGATGTCTAGACTGTGCCAAGTCACAAGTAGGTGGGTCTGAGTTATTTACATTTGTTCTAAAGCAAGCCAGGGAACCTATAGGATCTCAGTGGGGACTTAAGTGAATACTTTCCCTCCACAACTTGAGGGCTTTTCTTGACTGCTAATCACCTAAAGCTAGGTTGTAAATTCTGGGACTACTCTAGACTATAGTGAGCAGCACTCTAACTGTCTAGGCCCCAGAATCTACATTCTTCACCAAGAGGTCACCACAGTCTATTTACTAAGAAAATCAATGACCAAATGAGAACGGTGCTCTCCTAAGGTGGGCTTTGCTATCATCATTCCCTAAACTAATGTCATTCAAGGATGGAGGTTTTAGATACCTTAAGCAACATGGGTGGGTTCTGACTGGGAATTTTTTGAACAACTAGTAAACACTGTTTTCTGTGGGAAATATTAATAAAGCATGAGGTATTAGTGAAGCAGGTCAAGGTCTTGGTTCAGGAGTCCAGTAGAGCCCTGTTTGAATCTTAACACTGCTGCTTGCTGTGATTTTGAGAAACTACATAGCCAATTTAAACTTAGTTTCATTATCCTTTACATGAGGCTAATGATAGTATCTGAGTTTACTATGTAGATTAAATGTCATTATACAGTATGGCATATATTATATTACACTATGAATGTGGAACAGTAAGTGTTCATTAAGTGGTAACTCTTACTGTTATCATTACCAGTATATACTTTGGCAAAAGATACTTTCTGTTCAACTGTCCCTTGAAAAAGTCAAAGCCTTTCATTATGATGCACTCAGTTTTTCTACTTCCTGACTTTTTTTAACTTTTATTTTAGGTTTGGTAGTACATGTGCAGGTTTATTATATGGGTAAACTCGTGTCATGGGGGTTTGTTGCACAGATTATTTCATCACCCAGGTATTAAGCCTAGTACCCATTAGTTATTTTTTTCTGCTCCTTTCCCTCTTCTCAACCTCCACTCTCAAGTAGCCCCCAGTGTCTGTTTTCTTCTTTGTGTTCATGAATTCTCATCATTTAGCTTCCACTTATAAGTGGGAACATGTGGTATTTGCTTTTCTGCTTCTGTGTTAGTTTGCTGAGAATGATAGCCTCCAGCTCCATCCACGTTCACACAAAATACATATCTCATTGTTTTCATGGCTACATAGTATTCCATGGTGTATACAAACCACATTTTCTTTATCCAATTTGTCATTGGTGGGCATTTAAGTTGATTCCGTGTCCTTGCTATTGTAAATAGTGCTGCAGTGAACATTTGCATGCATGTGTCTTTATGGTAGAATGATAGATATTCTACTGGGTATGTACCCTGTAATGGGATTGCTGGGTCAAATGGTAGTTCTGCTTTTAGCTCTTTGGGGAATTGCCACATTGCTTTCCACAATGATTGAACTAATTTACACTCTCTCCAACAGTGTGTAAGTGTTCCCTTTTCTCAGCAACCTTGCCAGCATATGTTATGTTTTTACTTTTTAATAATAGTTATTGTGACTGGTGTAAGATGGTATCTCACTGTGGTTTTGATTGCATTTCTCTAATGATCAGTGATATTGAGCTTTTTTCATATGCTTGTTGGCTGCATGTGTGTCTTCTTTTGAAAAGTATCTGTTCATGTCCTTTGCTCTTTTTTTCTTTTCTTTTCTTTTCTTTTCTTTCTTTTTTTTTCTTTTTTTTGAGATGGAGTCTTGCTCTGTTGCCCAGGCTGGAGTGCAGTGGCGTGATCTCGGCTCACTGCAAGCTCCATTTCCCAGGTTCACGCCATTCTCCTACCTCAGCCTCCCGAGTAGCTGGGACTACAGGCATCTGCCACTGCGCCCGGCTAATTGTTTGTATTTTTAGTAGAGAGCTCCTGACCTCGTGATCCGCCCGCCTCGGCCTCCCAAAGTGCTGGGATTACAGGCGTGAGCCACTGTGCCCAGCCTTTTGCTCACTTTTTAATGGGGTAGTTTGTTTTTCTCTTGTAAGTTTATTTAAGTTCCTTTTAGATACTTGATATCAGACCTTTGTCAGATGCATAGTTTGCAAATATTTTCTCCTATTCCGTAGGTTGTCTATTTACTCTGTTGATGGTTTCTTTCGCTGTGCAGAAGCTCTTAAGTTTAATTTGTCATTTTTTGCTTTTGTTGCAATTGCTTTTGGTGTCTTTGTCATGAAATCTTTGCCTCTTCCTATGTCCAGAATGATATTGCCTAGGTTGTCTTTCAGGGTTTTTATAGTTTTGGGTTTTACATTAAAGTCTTTAATCTGTCTTGAGTTGATTTTTGTACATGGTGTAAGGAAGAGGTCCAGCTTCAGTCTTCTACATATGACTAGCCAGTTATCCCAGCACCATTTATTGAATAGGAATCTTTTCCCCATTGCTTGTTTTTGTCAGCTTTGTCAAAGGTCAGATAGTCATAGGTGTGTGGCCTTGTTTCTAGGCTCTCTATTCTGTTCCTTTGGTCTATGTGCCTGTTTTTGTACCAGTACCATGTTGTTTTGGTTACTGTAGCCCTGTAATGTGATGCCTTCTGGTTTGTTCTTTTTGCTTAGGATTGCCTTGTCTATTTGGGCTCTTGTTTAGTTCCATATCAATTTTAAAATAGTTTATTCTAGTTCTGTGAAGAATGTCATTAGTTGTTAGACAGGAATAGCATTGAATCTGTAAAGTGCTTTGGGCAGTGTAGCCATTTTAGTGATATTGATTCTTCCTATCTATGAGCATTGGATGCTTTACAATTTGTTTGTGACTTCCTGACTTTTTCTACAAAGCAAAATACTATAAATTAATCCTTTAAGCTCAATCTCCTTCATGAAGCATTCCCCCAGCACTTCCGCCTCACTTGTATCTTTTCTTTCTTAAAATTCTTATCACTCATATTACTAAGACCTATGCCATTGTATTTAATTTATCACCACTTACTGTTCTCACATGGCTCTGGGTATGGTCTTGTCTCCTTAATAGAATTTTAGGTACTTTCAGGGGGAGGGATCATACCTTATACCACATCTGTACGATCTTGAGATTCTAGATGGTTTTGGGCAAAGAGATGGTAGTTGAAAACAACTATTGATTTTACTTTGTATTTAGAGGGCATTAAAATAATATTCTTCCACTGGAATGAATCAAAAGGACATCTCATGAGATGTCACTGATAGCTCTGGGTTGGGTGCAGAGAGAGATGATCTCTGGGTTTCATGAGCACCAGAAGAGATTCTGGTATGTATTGCATGTGCACAGGATATGCAAGGTGCCCAGTGTACATTCAGTCAAGCTATCTGTTTTAAACAAACCAAATTATCATATGTCTTCTGCTTTGTCCCTGCCTATTGCTGGTCCAAAGCCAGTGGGATATGGCTGGAAAGGTGGGGAAGACTCAGATGCCTGGCTGTATGGTATGCATCATTAATAGGGCTCTTTCTTTCCAATAGCTCCCAGCTTTCTTGGTAGGTCAAGGGCGGGGCCTGGTCTAGAACAGAAGGTTGACAGACAACAGAACACTGTGCTTAAGCAGGACTGAGAGAATGGAAAAACTGATCCACAGGAGATCCGCCCTGCCAGTTCAGCGGCAGTTGGAGGAAGTGCTTTCAAAACATAATGTGTGGAGGCTGGCAGACCAGCACAGAGAGACATGCCAGCACTTGCAAGCTCCCTATCTGAGACAGGGTGGATTCCACATGGCTAAATCATAGCGTTCGAATGCTATCGTACCTCCCAACTATCTTCTGTATCACTGCCAATCTTTTAGTAGGAACCTGACTGACACTGTTTAGGCAGAGACCAAAGGAAGAAAAACAGTTGAGGTGTACAGAGAGTGATAGAATAGACTGGCTTATAGCTTGCACTTCAAAGAAATATATAACAAAATATCTTATTTTATGCTAGTTTTCCTATCCTTCATGGACCCTAATTCAAGCAATGAATTCCATGAATGCAGCTAGATTATAGAAGTTAAGCACTTCAGTTTCACAGTTTCCATACTTGCTTACATCATTAAACACGTTAGTAGAATATGGCAACCTTTCTAGTGCCGTCTGCTTCGGTTTCATAGATCACATGCTCAATAATAGATCTCTAAATGACCACAGCTCACAGTGGCTATCCTATGGAAGGGAATGGCCTGGTTTTTCTTGATTGGGAAATACACTTGTTTAACCAGATGACTTCATTCTTATTCTAGTAACTGGGAAAAAATACAACAAAAGAATAATAAATTCAAGAATGATGCCTGTTCCCCGGGGAACTGGTGGATAAGGGGGAGAATGGTGGTGTTGGAGGGACAGATTATGACCTGTTGGAATGAGAAGAAATACAATTGTGATTAACACTTACAGAATGGTGTTTAACCTTAGGCCTAAAGTAGCTGGCTCAAAAGAAAACAAATTCGTTGATGTGAAAACACTGAGATTATTGACTTTTGGTTGAGAGAGGAAAATGGAGCCATTGTGATGTGGAAATAGCTAACACATTGTTTATTCTGCCTGGTTCATGGAAATCTATTTTTCACAGTACTTTATTCAAGTACTTTGATTTCAAGTACTTCCATTAAAAAAAAGGAAAGAGCCTTAAACTTCATTTTGTAGGAATAGGAATATGCCTTCCCTCACCTCAGTTCTGCCAAATACGTACAAAGACTCCAGACTCACAGCTACCACGTAGTGATGGGAAAATCCTTATGGATAAGCCTGAGTGGAAAAGGAAGACCAATTTTTCAAAATACAGTGGGACAGATTTCTTTCTTTACTATTGGCTTCAGGTTTCCCTGTCTTTCTAATGTCATGTCTATGATCAGAGGACCTCTCAAAAGTCTTTGTAAAGGAAATCTTACACTTTGACTTGTCACATGTGTAGAGCAAGTGAAGTGACAGCAGCATGGAAGAAAATCCAGTCCTTTTCTGTGAGCAGGAGACTTTGATAGACTCTCAGACTGCTGGGAATGTTACCTTTTGCTCAAATCACTTCTTAAATGAGCAGAGACACTTAGCCCATTTCCTGCCAGTGGGATGGCAGAATAGCTGATACTTTAAGAGGGACTTGGGTAGTTTTGAAGAGATTTTTCAGAACTTCAGAAACTTGTATGAATGTCCTGAAATGTCATTGCATGAATATTTTTGTCAGTAATACTTTTTAAATTCAAAATGTCCATTTGGCAAGAAATTTAGGTTGATGTAAACCTAGGAGCTTTTATAAGAGCTTTATGTAAACTCAATTAGGATGCTGAATGAAGAACCCTAACAGTGTTAGCAAACGACATTTAGGAAAGAGAAGGAGCCATGAAAAACAAAAATACTTATCCTACTGGGTCTGGGGAAAATCAGAACAAAGCAAAAGGTCTGGCTGTTTATATGAAATTCAATTCCAAATAGATGATAATTTAAATGTAAAAAAACAAGGCATAATGGTAGTGGAAGAAAATTTAAGCAAGATTTTCATATTCTAGAAGTGAGGAATGATTTTAAACATGACAGCTAAAACCAAAATCCAAAGAAAAATGTATAGATTGGTTATATGAAAATGAAAAAAGTCCTCAAAGATGAGATGTATATGTGAGATACTCATTGCTGCTTCACACGTAACACAAAATGGAAACCATCTAAATATCTACATTTGAGAATTAGTTTGAAAAAATAAAAGCAAAACCATGCAATAGACTACTATTACAAATGATAATGTAAACAGAAATTTATTATGGAGAAGAACCTATAATATGTTTGTGAAAAAGGGTCACAAAACATTTCAATTATAATATAATAATTTGACAAATGGTCATGTTATGCACATAGGAAGTTTGCATACTTTTTTTCTTGATATCTCATAAAAATTATTAAGCATACAGAAAAGGAGAACAATAATGAACACCCATATATTTTCTACCTGGATTCAAAAATTGCTAACATTTTGTCATATTTACTTTATTTCTGTGTACATACATTGCCCCACATACATTTGACTTCACTAACTACCTGATTTATGAATCTTTTCTAAATATTAATTAAGGCCCAGATTCTGCTTGAACAAGTTAAGTAGTGATGATCTCAGTCTCACTAAAGGCAATCTATTCGGTTTTGGGTCACACTTCCTAACAAAGTTTTTTCCTTGATTGCATTAAAATCTGAACTTCTGGGGTGTTATTAATGAATACAATTTAGCTATCTTTTTTTTGAAATAAGATGCTGAAACAAAAATTTATTCAATTAAGTTAAACTAGGGATATTGCAATTCTAGCTTTTATGTTATTAAAAGTAGTAATAATATTGCACATGTATCCTAGAACTTAAAGTAAAATAAAGATAAATAATTTGATTATTCATGCAATTATATACAATTATATATGCCCGTTTAAAGACAAATATGTATAATGACATTAAAATAATTAAATAAACCAATCTTCGTAAATTCTAAAACAATGTAGTAGTAATAATAAATCTTTGGCAGATTTGTCTAAACAATAGTTTGTGTCTAAGACTTTAACAACAGAAATGTCTCAGGGAAGGGGAATAGCACCACCTCTAACAGATGTCTTCACCTGTGGAGCAGCGTTCTCTCTTACAGGCATGGTGAGAAACCACTAAGCAAAGGCACTGTGCTCTGGGAAGATTCCAATCTGTCAGGGAGGCAGATGCCAGATATGAATATGCTGACAGGCGTTCTGGTGCTGTTCCAAGCTCCCCTTCAATGTTCAACTCCTTTGTCCTCCTCTCCCATCTTCATCAACCCTCCTGCCTTACTGGGCAGGGCAAGGATTGTTTTCCTGACATTCTCCTTTGATTAGCCAAGCATCTCAGTGAGGATTATTATAATCAACTCTTTTGTAATCTAATACCTTTTAGAATATGTATGTCTGTGTGTGCATAAGCTTTTGCATGCGTGTGTGTGTGTGTGTGTGTGTGTGTGTGAGAGAGAGAGAGAGAGAGAGAGAGAGAGTTGAGGAGGAGGCAGCTTTCAGAAAGTGGTGAGAAAGGGCTACCTGCCTTCCTACTCCCTAAGAAATTCTCAGATTTGGCCTTAGCCTCCCTCCTCCCTTTTCCCTTTCACTACTTCCTTACTCCAATTTCCCATTTTTTTCCTTCTTATTGAGATTTCTCTTCTAAAGTTGCCACTTGTCTCAAGTCCCCTGGGATTTTATAGTTCAGTTGTGAAATCAGATTTCCTTCTTCAGAGTTGTCCGCTAGGTTCTCTCACAAACAATATAGTTCTTCCCAATTCTGGCACATCTCAAAATATTCCTATGGGGCAGCAGTTTCTTAAATCTCTCTCAGCATTGGGACTAGGGTTCAAGGTTAATGATATTAGAGATTTGAGCAGGAGTTTGGGCACTGGATGGCACGCTGGATATTCTGCTCATTATTATGAGCCTCCCATGTTAGTTTCAGTGCTGGCCTCCTGAGATTAGGCTTTGAGTTAACACAGGGTCAAGTTCCATAAACTGGATATGGTATGGAAACAGCTAGGGGAAGGCTTTCAGCTTTTATTCAAAATTTATTACCTTAGGTTGTTAAAGGTTGATACATTTTTAAAAAATTAAAAAAGTACCATTTTCATCAGTTAATTTGTCATGTTGCTTTGTATTACTATGCTATGTATACCTCTGTACCTTCCAAAAAGTCAAAATTCTTGGTAAGATCTAGAGATTCTTGGCAATTTCATCACATATCTGCTTTATGGATTAGTTGAGGCTAGAATGAAGTACATGCTGAATGTCAGTTGAATTTCTATATCAAAATACTGAGGTGAAAAACTCTAAGAAGCATTGGATCATTGAAAAGGAAATGGAATAATAAAATTGAGAAACATTTGTTAGATCTGCCAAAGCAGCAAATGAACCAATGCCTGGAAGTTTCAAAGCTTTGAAAAGATTTATACCTCAGCATCGTCTGGCAACTATAGAGTAGTAGATAGGTACCAAAACTTTTCAATCAAATCATAATATACAAGAATTATTAATTAATAACATAATATATCAAAGGCAAGATAAAAATAATTTTGGACATTATAACATTTTTCTATGCTGTGAAACAAGCAGTTAAAAGATCATTTATGCTGAAGGAGAAGGATGATTTGACAACCTCTCAAGGTCTATTCTGGAATTTTAATTCTATAATTCTTGCATTGTTTAAATTTTCATTAGTGACTATCTCAGCACCAAATATATATCCATATTAATTGCAATAAAGATAATATATATGAACTAAAAAAATTGAACTGATTCTGCTTTTCACATTATTAAAATATTTAAGCTCAAATATTTTGTGCTTATTAAAGAAGATAACCCTGGTTAAAATAAAAAAAATGCTAAGCAAGTCAACAGCTCTGCATCGTGTACCTTCTTCATGTATAACAGCGCTTTGGGCACTGAGGATCCTATAAAGATGGTTAGTCTACCTCTGCTTCTAGGACTCTATGTTCTATTGTTGGTGTGCAGATTCTGCACATGTAAGATATAAATAATCATTTATGAAAGATAAATAATACAAGATAATGCATAATACATGAGAAGTGAAAGATGCTGCCAATGAGTACAGTACTAGGACCAGGAGATGGTGTTTGTGTTGTGAAGATGATAGAATTTTCCAGAGGAGGGGGACTTTGGGAAAATTGGGGAGTGTTTTTACTGAGAATGAGTAGGCTGATGTGCCACAGATCTGGTCCCAACATAGGGAAAAGAGATACTATATATATTATTTACACTCAGATCTTCCTCTGAAGGGAAAATATTTTTAAAAATAAAAAAATTATTTTTAACATAACTCAATTATTTAAATGAGGATCAATTCAAAGCAGGTGACATGAATTTTGCCCAAATCGGGGCTTTGGCCACTTTGTCCTTTATATGCAAGACGCTACCAGATAATGTATTGCAAATTACTTCAGGGTTTAGGAATCCTAGTTGTATTTGTACATAGGTGCTGTGTTTTCTTCTAGGCAGTCTTGACCCAAAGATTTATATTCTTGTTTACACATTTTATTTTTCCACAGATACTTAACCAACCTGACCTCACTTGTTGAGTATTTGTTTGTGAGATTCTTTAGCAAAGCTGCCCACACAAAGAAAAATTCAGGAGCATTTACAGAGGAAAGTTAAGTACCTAGAATTCCAGATACGTTCTATACAAATACTTGACTTTATGCAACCTTCACCTAATATATCTGACTTATGTTTACCAATTTATATTAATATTCATTTTGCATTTCATTGCAGCTTATCAAATTGTTATAGACTTTAAGCCTCACTGTTTTCCCGGTCAACCGTGCCAAAATTTTCTTATAATAAGGAACTTTTCCAACTAATTGATAGAGGTAGCAATTAACTCTACCATCTAGAAGCAAGATCTTTTGAGATTGCAGATTCAAATCTTACAGCTTGATTTTATGTCTCAATAATAGCTGTAATTTGGCAAAATATCCCCAAGTAATTTCATCCAAAAGAGTAGTTCTCCAGGAAGAGAGAGTGCACATTTACAGGCTAGGGCTCTGTCACAAAATATGGATTAAATCTAGAACTGTGCATCTCTGAGATAGAAAACACACACACACACGAGACAAAACAATGGAGACTTTTTTTTGGAGACAAACACAAGGCAGATATACTCTTCTAACATGGTAAATAAAAGAGCGCCCATTAAGAGGCACGGTGGGAAATGAATTGCTATATGTATTAAGAGTAGGTCTTGAGTATATTTCTTTGTCTTTTGGTGCCTCTGTTCCTCATCTTTGAAATGAAGGCAATACGGCACTACTCATCCTGAAGAGCCCAGTATAGTGCTCTATAAATATCAGCGCCCCACTTCTCCCTAGCCCCACATCGAGCAAATTCTCAATCTAACAACTATGCCATCAAACACTATTCACATACTCTGAAAAAGAAGCTTTCTAAAAATAGAATAAAGATCAGCCCTAGATGGTTTTAAACATAAAACACATCTCGAGGAAAGATTTTCACAAGTCTCCACAAATGGAAAGCAAAAGCAGTCAGATGAGAAATAACTTTTATTTCAAAAAGAAACCTTGGATGGAAATGAAAGAAACTAGAGGTAGTATTGGAAAACAGTGGGTTGATTGTTTGAGTAATTAGTGGTAAAACACAAATGTCAGGTTGTTTTTGGATCCTAAAATCACTGTAGGAAACCTATGGGAAGCTTTTCTTTGTGGGTGGCAGCTGGCCAGCCCCTGAGTGCAGATGTTTGCATGTCCCAGGCTACTTAGGACCCAGGGCTGCAGGCTGTCTGCAAGGCCCATGATGTTCTTTGAGAGTGTTTCTGTGCTTGAGTTAAGAAAGGCCTAGATTTTTTGAGGGGTCTGCTTCTGTGGTCCTGTTTACAAAGTAATTTGAGAGAAGTGTCTAAAAACATGTCCTTACTTGCTGTCAGAAGTTTTGCCCTTAGGCATTTGTTTCTTTGGGTTAAAGTATTCTCATTTTCAGATGTTCTCTTTCAAAATAAAAAAATTCGTAGAGGGCTATGAATAAAAAAATTCATACAGCCGATGTTTGTCTTAGTCCTTAATTTAGTCTTACTATGCAAGTAGGGCATCAAGGTGAGCCTAGGCTTTGTCCCCTCCCAGGGTTCAGGCATGCTGGACATGTCTGATGAGATAGTGGGACAGTTGACAGAACTGTTTGTACAGGCTGAGCATGTCTGGGTGGAAAATTTATCCCAAAGCAAAAAGCCAGACCCCATGCTTGGTTGAGCCATAAAGCCTTAGACGTTGAAGAGGAAAAATCATTCTGAACATGAAAGTGTGGTGTTTGTCCTTTGAAAGGGAGAGAGAATAAGTGAAAATAGAAAAATAAATTTCACTAGAAGTATAAACAGTGAAGTTTGAAAAACAATTCTGAGAATTCCTACATTTAGAGATTAAGTTAAGTAGGAGAGAGGCATTGCCCCATTGCACCCCAGATGGCTTTGCAGGTGCTGGTGACTTGTGGATCAGAGGCCTTGAGCTGGTGGGAGTTTGGGGGTGTGGAATTAGCCTGGAGCTGCTGCAAGTTCTATGTTAAGAGGTATGAGGAGCCTGTGACATTTGCTCGGGTTACAGGTGGAAAATGTGTTTATAAAATCAGACTTGGTATCACATGTATAAGGAAAGAGAAAACAAAGACATAGATTTTAAATTACGTTATACTTCTGTTTCCTAAGTGATGAAAAAGTGAGGATTCAGTAAAATAGGCGGTCAGTTTGAAACAATGTTTAAGAGTTAAAACTAGCCAGGGAAAGAGCACCCTATTTCTGTATAGACAATTTTGGTCAAAGAGTAAATTATTAATGAAAAAAGGAACTACCTAGTGAAAGAAGTGGGAAACATTTTGATAAAAAATTTATTTTAAAAAGTCTATCAAAAGCTTGTCAGAAAAGTTTACCACACAGAAAATTAAGTCAATATAAGTAGTGGATTCGTGTATTGTGATAGTGGTGTCTTTACTCTGAGAATTATTTGATGCAATTATATAGTGCATATAAATGGATTTATTTTAAAATAGAAGTTTAAGTTTTTGAAAACTAAGGTTTATACAAAGTTGGTCTCAGTGCTCTGTAAAGCCTCCGTTCTCATCATTGGCACTGCATCTGGTGGCAGTAATTTGAAGGATGAGGTAAAATTTCTGGCTGAGACTTTTGAAGTCAAACCAGAAACCACCTCAAATACTCAAGGGCTCAAATAATATAACAGGGATACACACAGAAGAAAAACAGTAAATTCTGTTAGTTGTCAAGTTATTAATATAATTTAAAGTAGCTGCAAATAGGACCCTAGGAATTGGGATTGTTGATGGGAAAGAGAATGAATATCACCAAAAAAGATGGAAAAGATACAGCAAGAATGCGGACCCACAAGTGTGTGTTTGGGAGCTTTTGACAGCACATGGCTAAGGTGTCTAGGAGGAGAGCTCCCTGAAGGCAGGGACTGAAGGAGAGAAGGGATCCAAGAATGATGCAGCCTCCTTTAACACCAAGCTTAGATGCACCCCTTAGAGACACACTCAGGGTTTCCTAGGCAATTCCTGTTGCAACTTTTAATAATATCTTTAAAGTAAATGCCCCACTTCTTAGAAACTCAAGCACTTTCCCAAGCATTGCATGTGATACTCAATTATAATGATTACATTTTGAAGAAACCAGCACAGGTTTTAAGATTTTTGAAAACTGTTGGCTTTAAAACTTCTTTCTCTTCTCCTCAGTTCAATTCAACAGACACTAGTAAGCATTACTATGTGCCAGGCATGTGCTGGCCACCAGAGGTAAAAAGATAATCAATGAATGATTGGTGAGTGATTTTGAGGGATAGATGGATAGGTGGAGCTTAGGTAGAGATAGGAGATGACATGGAGGCTTTATGAAAGATAAAATATTTGTCAGATAAGGAAGAGAGGAAGAAGGTTTCAAATAAAGCCATGGCTTCTTCAGGAAATACTAATTTGGAGTTGAAATATAGGATGCGGGAAATAATCTAGAGAGAAAGATAGTAAATATATTTATAGCTATTATTTACTGAGTACTTTCTTTGCACATAAAACTAGATTAAAGTCAGCTTGTAAGATTTTAAATGTTATGCTAAGAGATTTACACTTAAACTTTATTATGGGAGCAAGTAGAGAATGATTTCCTGTGACAGAATTGTGGAGTTCAAAAGACTAAAGTAATTTAACCGTGGCTACAATTACTGAGTATTTATTTTATGTCAAGCATTCGGCTAAGTGTGTTAAGCATTATCTCATTTATTAGGTCATGGTTTATTATGTTAGAATAACGAGATATGATAAGGCCCTTGATTAGATTTATTGTACTAGGGATAGAAAGGAGTCAACAATTTAAATATGGTGGGGAAAATATTTCAGAACTTTAAGCATTCATTCATTTGCTTACCCATTCACTCATTCAATAAATATTTATTGAGTCACTTACTATTTCGCCAAACTCTGAGCTAGATATTAAAAGCCAGGTGTTTGTGATGTGAGCTTCCTTTGTGTCAGCAGCTTTTCCAAGTCCGTTGCAGGTATACGTGCCTTTTTATTGTCATTTTTACAGATGAAGAAATAAAGACAAAGAGACATTAAATTACTTATCCAAGGCCAGAGAATTAGCATGTAGGACTTGAACCACCTGGGCTGGCTCCAGATGTGGCCTCCTTTAATACTCTATACTACGTTTCACAGGTAGGTAAACCCTCTGACCTCAAACATGTCACTTTTTAGTTAGAGAAGAAAGACATAAAAGCAAATAACTAAAATACTCCAAATGCATACTTCCAGTGCACAAAGTGCAGTGTGGTATTTCCAGCTTTGGGCTATTATGAATACAACTGCTATACACATTCATGCACAGGTTTCTGTGTGAAGTCTTCATTTCTACAGGATAAATGCCTAAGAGTGTAATTGCCATCTGATCTTATGGTAGTTGCACGATTGGTGTTTGAAGACACTGGCAAAGTATTTTCTAGGGTGGCTGCACCGTTTTACATTCCTAGTAGCAGACTGTGAATAATCCAGTTGCTCTGCATCCTTGGCAGCACGTAGCGTTGTCACAATTTTTTATTTTAGTCATTCTGACAAGTGTGTAGTGATATGTCTTTGTGGTTTTAATTTGCATTTCTCTAACGGTTAATGATGTCAAACATCTTTTCATGTGCTTATTTGCCATCTGTATATCTTCTCCAGTGAAATGTCTCTTCATGTCTTTTGCCTACTTATTAATTGGATTTTTTTTTCTGTTGGGGTTTGAAAATTTTTTATATATTCTAGTTACTAAATAGTAGTCCTTTGTTGAACATGTGGTTTGCAAATATTTGCTCTTGGTCTTTAACTTGTCTTTAAAAGGTCTTTTGCATATTTAATCTTGAGTGTGGTTAAAAATAAAATTTGTGAAACAAATATATGTTTATCATATTGACTTTTTTTTTTTTTTTTGAGACAGAGGCTCGCTCTGTCCCCCAGGCTGGAGTGCAGTGGTGCATGGGTCACTGCAACCTCCACCTCCCAGGTTCAAATGATTCTCCTGCCTCAGCCTCCCTAGTAGCTGAAATTACAGACCCTGCCACCACACCTGGCTATGTAAATTTTTTCTTTTTAGTAGAGATGGGGGTTTCACTATGTTGGCCAGGCTGGTCTCGAACTCCTGACCTCAAATGATCCACTGCCTTGGCCTTCCAAAGTGCTGGGATTACAGGAATGAGCCACCACACCAGGGCTATATTGACTTTTTTAGAGTTAAACTTTAGGGGTCATGCCGATTCAGATGAGCAACTGTTAAAAAAATCTCTAAGCTTTGCTAACTTTAAAAAAAAATTTAAGTTGACATATCATAGTTGTACATACTTTTTGGGGTCCATGTGATATTTTGATACATGTGTACAATGTGTAATGATTAAATCAGGGTAACTGGGATAGCCATCACCTCAAACATGTATCTTTTGTTTGTTTTGGGAACATTAACAATTCTCTTTTTCTAGCTATTTTGAAATATGCAATAAATTATGTGTGTCTATGTTCATGGTGGATATCGGTCTGTAGTTTTGTTTGTTTGTTTGTCTGACTAACTTTATCAGGTATTTGTATCAAGGTAATATTAACATCACAAAATATTAGCTTCTTCCCTCTTTAATTTTCTAAAAGAGAATGTGTAAAAGTGGAGTTCATCAAGTTTGGAAGAATTCTCTATTGAAATTACCTGGACCTGGAGATTTCTTTCTTGGAAGTTTAAAAATTATAAATTCAATTTCCTTGATACTTACAAGCACATTTAAATTATCTATTTCATATGAGGTTCATTGTGAAAGCTTAAGACACTGGCCCATTTCATCTCCTTTCTCAAATTTATGTGTGTAAAGTAACTTATAGCATTTCCTCATTTTTCTTTTGTTATTTGTAGGGTCCATAGTGATATTCTCTTTTTCATTTCTGGTATTGGTAATTTATGTCTTTTATCTTTTTTACTTTTTCAGTCTTGCAAAAGGTTGTCAATTTAATTGATCTTTGAAAAACAGCTCTTTGTTTCATTCATTTTTCTGTATTTAATTTCAATGATTTCTGTTCTTACCTTTATTATTTCTTTCATTTTCCTTGCTGTTGATTCAGTTTGCTCTTCTTTTTTTGTTCTTGAAGTGGGAGCTTAGATTGTTGAATTGAAACTTTTCTTTTTTTTGTAATGCATGAATTTTGTGCTCTAAAGTTATCTCTCAGCACTGCTTTAGTGTGTTCCAGAAATTTTGATATATTGTATTTTCATTTCATTCAGTTCAATATATTTTTTAATTTCCCTTGAGACTTCCTCTTTTATCAATGGGTTACTGTGGTCTGGTCTCCAAACTTGGACATTTTTCTGCTATCTTTCTCTTATTGATTTGTAATTTTAGTTATTTGTGGTTGGAGAACACATTCTGTATGATTTCAATTTTAAAAAATTTGTTGATATTTCTTTTATGGTTCAGGATATAGTTTATCCCGGTATGTGTTCTGTGCTCACTTGACCAAATGTGTATTCTACTATTATTGGGTGAACTGTTTTATAAAAGTTGATTATATCCTGTTCGTTGATAGTGTTGCTGAGTTCCTTATCTTTGCTGATTAACTGTGTAGTTGTTCTATCAATTGTCGAGAGTTAGTTGTTGAAGAAAACAACTAAAATTGTGGGTTTATTCTTTCAGTTCTATTGTTTTTTTCCCCACGTATTTTGCATCTCTGTTGTTTGACACATACACTTTAATAATGCTATGTATTTTTGGTGGATTAACCCTTTTATCATTTTATAATGGGCCTCTTTATCTCTAATAATTTTCTCTTTTTTTAAAGCCTATTTTATTAGGTGTTTTTTTCCATCCTTTTCCTTTTAACCTGCCTATATTGTTTTACTTAAAGTGAATTTTTGTGGACAGTGAATAGTTGGGTCATATACTCTGCCAGTCTATTCTTTCACCCTCTATTTTTTAATTTGTAGATTTGGACCATTTTTATTTAGTGTACTTACTGATATGTAAGACATAAGCATATCATTTTTTTGTTTTGTTTTCTGTTGTTCCCTCTGTTTTTTTTTTTAATTTTCCTACCTTCCTATGAGTTACTGGAAGGTTTCTATTAGTTCTATTTTATTTTGTTTATAGTGTTTCTGAATAGCTTTTTTCACAATTGTTCTAGGTATTACATTACTTATACATAACTTATCATAGTCTATTGGTTTCATAATTTTACTAATTTGAGTGGCATTGAGAAACATTGCCTTCTTTTATATATATTTCCCTCACTTACTTACAATAAAATTGTCTGAAATTTTTTCTCTACCTGCATTTAGAGCCACATCACATTTTTGCATCTATCACCAAACATAATTTTGAAAGCTCAAGAGGAGAAGGAAAATATTGTATTCACCATATTTTTGTTTACCATGTTCTTTCTTCCTGATGTTCCAAGGCTCTTTAAAAAAAAAAACAAAACAAAAAATCAGTTTCTGTCTGTTTAGATAATTTAATCTATTTTTTTTACAGTATATATCTGTTAATGACAAATTCTCTTAGTTTTTTTTTTTCACCTGAGAATGTATGGATTTGCTCTTCATTTCTGAAGGATATCTTCTCCAGATATAGGATCTAGGTTGATATTTCTTTATTTTCAGTACTTGAAAATTGTGCCACTTTATTCTGCCTCTGTGGTTTCTGATGAGAAATCCACTGTCATTCAAATTGTTTCTTGTCTATACATAATATGTCATTTTCCTCCCTGCTTCCAATATATATATATATATATTTTCTTTAGTTTTCACAAGTTTGATTACAATGTATCTTGGAGTAAATTTTCTTAGGTTGATCTTGTTTGGGGTTTTCCCAGCTGTTGACTTTGTAGGTTTATGCCTTTTGTCAAATTTGAGAAGTTTTCATCCATTATTTTATTGAATACTTTTTAAACCCTGTTTTGTTTCTCTCTCTTTTTTTTTTTCCAGAACACCGGTGATGTGTTAGACCTGTTATAATCCAATTGGTCTCTTTATTTTTTCATCCTATTTTCTGTCTTCAGGTAGAATAATTTCGAGTATTCTACCTTTCAGTTCACTGATTCTTACTCCCTCCCCTCCATTCTACTGTTTAATCCATAGGTTGACATATTTATTTGGATCCTATGTTTATTTTATTTGCTCATCCTATGTTTTGATCTTTGAAAATCTATTCAGATCAAATGAGTTTGTCAACTAAGAAGGCTTTGCATTAAAGGGAAGATTTGGCTACACCTAAAATCACTGAACTTACATTGAAAACGTTGTCCTGCCAGTGTGTAAGTGCCAGATAAAGCCCCTTGATTGGTGAGAGCAGAGTGATATTGACCCACATCGGCATCATACAAAGTCCAAAGCTATTGGTCAGTTCTCCTTTCATACATGAGATAGATTGCCCAATATCCTTGTTCATCTAATAGTTTCATGCTTATCTGTGGAATGACTCTGGACTGGGCTGCTTATCTTTCTTAGTCTGACTTTTGTTCTGACTGGTGAACCCTGTTTTGGATTCTAGTTTTAGTGTTGTTGACCTCTTTTCTGCTAGTACTCACACATGAACTATGCTCTGTATGCTCTGTAGGTTTGATATTTGCTTTTTCTCTGCTCAGAGTTCTATTTCCTTTTCTCTTTGATTTCAATGAGGCTTTCAAAAAATATTTCAATTTCCTAAAGAGAATAATTTTCTAAATCACTGCTATTAT
This sequence comes from Homo sapiens, assembly GCF_000001405.40. Taxonomy (NCBI): domain Eukaryota; kingdom Metazoa; phylum Chordata; class Mammalia; order Primates; family Hominidae; genus Homo; species Homo sapiens. The sequence continues at coordinate 99,566,548 of NC_000001.11, read as the reverse complement.
GGAGTTGCCTCTATAATTATTTCAGCATTAAATTTTATTTTCTGTACAACGACAGCATTACCACATGATCTAAAAGGACCCCCTTCTTGAAATGATCTTCAAGTCAATCCTGTAGGGATGTGGAATCCAGTGGCCTTTACAAGGTGTTGGAATTGTGAAGAAATTTCATATGTATATTGTTTTTTGAGCCAACTCATCAAGCTTGATATAATAGAGCACAATTATCCAGAAGCTGTGTGTACCGAGTACATTTTCCCTCCTATGAGTCTGGGAAATGAATATTATTAAGACAATATTGGAAAAGTTTTACCAATACTGACCTCACCCAACTAGAGAGTGAGTAGTAAATGATTCACCTTTAGAAGTAAATGAATCTTTTCAGATAACTTTGGTACCTGGTAGTATGCCAGAGATATTCATTGCTAAATGAGTTAAGCAATTTATAAACAAATTTCCCTCAACTTCAAAAGCACACACTGCTAAATACTAGTCTGATCAAGCTCATCTCATGCTATATCAAACAGAATCCAAATACACCTTACGTTAATTGGCTCTCACATGAGACATCTTTCTGTAGTGCCCAGGGATTGCAAAATTTTTGTCAGCAGCTTTTGGGAGAGAAACTTTATGAAATTTGAACATATTTTATTATTAAAAATTAGCTTTTACAACTAAAAATTTCCCTGGGCATTGATTTTATCTTCAGTTGATTACTCAGTGTCACATCACTAGGCAAAAATTCCCTGGAGTTCAGCTACCTCTTGGTCACATTTATTTTGTTAAGAATATTTAACTGAGGACTATGTCAAATATTTGCTGTCTTGTTCTTTGAAACTTAAGGTATATTTTAAACCTTACCTAAAGCAATTGTAGGATACTTTTTGCTTTGGATTTTTATAGGCTAATAAACTTCATATTCACAAGTACTAAAGTAAAATATATATATATATATAATATGTGAAAAGTTATTTAAAGTCCAGAAGAGCATAATAACATATTAAAACCATTTTATCACTAAAATGTAAAACATATTAATATAATTATCATGCACTTCAATGCTCATTTCTTTTAGTTAAAAGAGAATAACTTTCACAGTTTGCTTCTGAATTTAGGAAAATGGCAGTTAAGTTGCTTATACAATTCTTGGGCCATGACTGAGAATTCTGTCATTTTATTTTCTTCTGACATGGATTGTTGCAGAAAGTATTGCTAAAGCCAGCTGATTTTAATTCCTTTGAAAGAGGCTTTCTCTATAACTTTAAAATTCCTTCTTTCTGCCTCATTCACTTTTTGCTTTTCTTCTGGGATTTCAAAGTTAGACTTCATGGTATCTCCTGTATCTCTTACTTTCTATTCTGTATTTTGCATACTTTAATCTCTTCATGCTTCATTTTGATTATTTATTCCAATTTTGCTTCCAGTTCACTAATTTTCTCCTTAGCTATGTATGATCTAATTTTAGACTCATTCATTGAATTTTTAGTATCAATTATTATACTGTTCATGTCCAGAAAATCTGTTTGGTTTTATTTTATAGTTTCTTTTTTCTTAGTTAAAGTTCTTAGTGTATGTTTTTCTTGTATCTTTGGACATATTATTAAATGCTTAAAGTCTGTGTATAAAAATTTCATAACCTAGGTGCCCTGTAGCTCTAGAACTGTTGTCTCTTATTTTTCTTGGTTTTAAAATACATTGTTGGGTTATTCTTGATTGTGCTAAACAATGTATATGAAAAACTATAAAATTAATTTGAAGCACCAGATAGTGTCATCCTAGACCTTATTAATTGTATGTTTTCTTTTGGCTAGGGATACCAGTAATCCCAGATTATCTCATTCTAATTATAGAAATTGATACAATATGAAGCCATACTTTAGCCTCTGCAAAGATTGAACCACTTCTGGTTTATCTTTATTCCTAAGGCTCAATCTTTGGAATCCTAACCCAAAATGTGGTGTATTTTACCAGAACTAGTTTGTTCCTGTAGTCAAAAAGGCTTTCAAAATTGCTGGATAGATTTCTTTTCTTTTTTCTTTTTTTTTTTGAGAAAACCCCAGAAATTCTGGATTTTATTTATTTATTTATTATTTTATTTTATTATTATTATACTTTAAGTTTTAGGGTACATGTGCACAACGTGCAGGTTTGTTACATATGTATACATGTGCCATGTTGGTGTGTTGCACCCACTAACTCATCATTTAGCATTAGGTATATCTCCTAATCTCCTAATGCTATCCCTCCCCCCTCCCCACACCCCACAACAGTCCCCGGAGTGTGATGTTCCCCTTTCTGTGTCCATGTGTTCTCATTGTTCAATTCCCACCTATGAGTGAGAACACGCGGTGTTTGGTTTTTTGTCCTTGCAATAGTTTGCTGAGAATGATGGTTTCCAGTTTCATCCATGTCCCTACAAAGGACATGAACTCATCATTTTTTATGGCTGCATAGTATTCCATGGTGTATGTATGCCACATTTTCTTAATCCAGTCTATCATTGTTGGACATTTAGGTTGGTTCCAAGTCTTTGCTATTGTGAATAGTGCTGCAATAAACATACGTGTGCATGTGTCTTTATAGCAGCATGATTTATAATCCTTTGGGTGTATACCCAGTAATGGGATGGCTGGGTCAAATGGTATTTCTAGTTCTAGATCCCTGAGGAATCGCCACACTGACTTCCACAATGGTTGGACTTGTTTACAGTCCCACCAACAGTGTAAAAGTGTTCCTATTTCTCCACATCCTCTCCAGCACCTGTTGTTTCCTGACTTTTTAATGATTGCCATTCTAACCGGTGTGAGATGGTATCTCATTGTGGTTTTGATTTGCGTTTCTCTGATGGCTAGTGATGATGAGCATTTTTTCATGTGTTTTTTGGCTGAGTAAATGTCTTCTTTTGAGAAGTGTCTGTTCATATCCTTCACCCACTTTTTGATGGGGTTGTTTGTTTTTTTCTTGTAAATTTGTTTGAGTTCTTTGTAGATTCTGGATATTAGCCCTTTGTCAGATGAGTAGGTTGTAAAAATTTTCTCCCATTCTATAGATTGCCTGTTCACTCTGATGGTATAGATTTCTAAAGATCAAAACATAGGTTGAGTGATGTCTCGCTAGCAAGCTTTTTCAGGATTATCTGAAGGAGACTGAGTGTTGCTTGATATTTGATAATCTTAGTGGGGGAGTCCAGAACCTAAAAATAAAAAAAATAATAATTTATGATATCTATATACTGGGTCAGAGCTAGATAGAAGTGAAGAAACATGTCTTGATCTGTAACTTCTCTTCTTTTATCTTAAGGAAACCGACTATATATGTGATGTGGATGTAGCCACAGCTCTGTGAGAATACACAAAATTTTATAGCTTTTTAGTGGGTTAGGAGGGACTCTTCTCTTACATTTCTCTCTTTATTTTCCCACAAGTTGGTTAGTTCTGGAATCTGGAAGAAGGCATGGGATTGTTTTGTAACTGTCTCCTGATGCTAAGGCCACTAAGGCTATCTCCTCCCCAGCAGTGACCTCACCTTGGCCCGACACTCATTAATTAATTTGAAGCACCTTGATTGTTAGTTTTAAAATCTTCTAGGGAAAGAAAAGTGAGAGTATAAAGTTGGCTCCACGTTAAGCATAGATTTTTCTTTAAAATTCTCTAAATATTTATTTAATTCTGAATGCTATATGATTGCTTTCATATTAATTTTTCAGTAGAGAAATTGAATACAATTCAATGAATTTTAATTTGATGAAGTACCTGATAAGATAATTTAAAAATCGGCTGGGTGCAGTGGCTAACACTGAAGTAATCCCAGCGCTTTGGAAGGCAGAGGTGGGTGGATCACTTTGAGCTCGGGAGTTGAGACCAGCCTGAGCAACATGGCGAAATCCCATATCTACTGAAAATACAAAAATTAGCCGGGCGTGGTGGCCTGTAATCCCAGCTATGGGGGAGGCTGAGGCTGGAGAATTGCTTGAACTCGGGAGGCAGAGGTTGCAGTGAACCAAGATCAGGCCACTGTAACTCCAGCCTGGGTGACAGAGCAAGACTCCGTCAAATATTTTACTTCAACTTTTACTTCAAGTTCAGGAGTACATGCACAGGATGTGCAGGTTTCTTACATAGGTAAACATGTGCTATGGTGGTTTGCTGCACACATCAACCCATCTAGGTGTTAAGCGCCAGTATGCATTAGCTATTCTTCCTGCTGCCCTCCCTCTCCCCACTCCACTCTGACAGGCCCCCGTGTGTGTTGTTCCCCACCATGTGTCTGTGTGTTCTCATCGCCCAGCTCCCACTTACAAGTGAGAACGTGCGGTGCTTGGTTTTCTGTTCCTGCATTAGTTCGCTGAGGATAATAGCTTCCAGCTCCATCCATGTCTCTGCAAAGGATATAATCTCATTCCTTTTTTATGGCTGCATAGTATTCCATGGTATATATGTACCACCGTTTCTTTATCCAGTCTATCACTGATAGGCATTTGGGTTGATTTCATGTCTTTGCTGTTATGAACAGAAGCACAGATTTTTTTTTATGGAGGATAATATATTTTTCTTTTGCTAACCTAATTGAGAAATTAGCTTGTATGTATTTGTCAGCATGATTTTCTTTCTGCAACAGAGCTTCCTGTGGTGTTCATGGGATGGAATTTTAGACCATTCTAAAATGTTGGTTTTCTTCATGTCTTGGAGGGGCTTAAGAGAACAACCATGCTGAGGGGATTTTGACAAATGTAAAATTGGCTTTTGGTTTCTATATTGAAAGAATTCTGTGTGCAAGACATTATACCTTGCAAATAGTTAGGAAATAACTGTTCAAAACTTTTCTCCAGTATATTTTTCACAACGATTTACTTGTGATTTTGAAGGATGGGTTAGAGTTGAGTGGTCTTTTGTAGACTGTGGAGTATTAAAATGGCCCAATCCCCCGTTTTATAAATCCCAAGACTCATTAGTATGTTGAGGAAATACAAAATTGTCCATGCCAAAAAGCAATCAGGGCCTGAAATGATCTTTGTAGTGAAGTCCAATTAAAACTAAGCTGTAAGTTTTGCTAAATCTATTGGCTGACCTAGTAGTACCCATTTCATAGTGTTGCTGAGGCCAACACAGTATAAGAACATGGTAACACAATATTGAGGATTACATCTGATCCTATTCTTTTTTTGTTTGTTTTGTTTTGTTTTGTTTTGTTTTTGCTTTCCAATGACTCTCTAAAGGAAGATAATATAAGGGCACCTCATTTTATGCAATTGGAATGGTTCTTGGTAATACACTTAAAGATATGTTAAACATTTTAAAGTGTACTTTGGAGAATATTTACAAGATTATGCTAATATTTTGTAAAACAAAGGAATATTTGAGAAACATGTCTCATGATTACTATATTTATAAGTTCAAATTTTTTTCTATTTCTTAAACTTTCTTAAATTTGGACATATCTGTGTAATAATGTGAATGTAAACGGAAGGGATTGTTAGGTAAGAGAAGGGTGAGGAGGTAGCTAATAGGGGAAGAAGGCAAGATGATATTTGGAGGTAGAACTCTTCACTGTAGGCCTTTAGAAAAAGGAAGAATGTAGCTCACAAAGCAATGATGAAGGTGAGCAATTTTAAGGTATGGCATAGAAAGAGAACAAACAATGCTGTTATGATAAAACCTTTTCCTTTGTGACAGTGAGATTAAGAACTATGTCTATCTGGTAAGTCAGGTTTATCAGCCACTATTCTTGTAGGTGTAAGAAAACAAGTTTACTTGTAATGCACGATTAACATCACCCTTCTAGCACCACAAACAGTCATTGCTGATGGCACTTCATAGTTAGCAGTGTTTATGTTTTAAGAGTTCAAAGTGCTTCATGAACATTTTCTCTATTTCTTTAGATCCCTTATCCTTTCAGATCAGCCCACACTGCATGTATACTGAGTCAGCCCACAATGGGAGTTTCACCAGAGTTTTTGACTAATAGAATCAGTCTATGAAGCTTCCTTAGCCCTGCCTAATGATGGATTTGCAGCTATCAAGAGATGCTTTTGGGTGTTCTGCTGAGATCTTCCTAATCATCTCTCTGTAGCCTGCCTTAATTTGTTCATACCACCTGCCAAGATCTATGCTAAGCTGCACAGTTGGAAAGGCTGAAATCCGTTCTACTTTTTTTGCAAGATCGGTTACACCTCCTCACCCTTATCTTCTCCCTTCCCAGTCTCATTAGCTTCCCCAGAAGGCAGTGAAAATGTCTATTCACAAGAGGAGGTCTGAAGGCCCAGAGAGTATTTGCTGTATTTCCTGGTCATTCAATAAGTATAAAAGAAGAATCAGAGTTCCCTCTGTCCTCCTCATGTGTCCTAACTGCTAGATCACTCCACTTCTTTATAGATGACTAATTTTCAGGAAAAGCAGAAAGCATTTTCTTTTTTTCTTTGAAGACACTTAAAAAGCATGAAATACTGAAATGAACAAGGAATTTCGGTTCAGAGGTCTAATAGTTGAGTTATATAATAATTCCAGCATTTATTACTTTCTTGATCTTACACTTTGGTTTCTTAATCTTAAAGTTAAGATTAATTTTAATCTTAAATATTTTAATTTTAATCTTAATCTTAAATTTGAAATAATAAAATCTGGCTCATGGGGGCTAGACTTTATTGCAAGTACTCTTCATCGCAAGAGTAATGAATAGTGGAAGTGCTCTGTATACCATAAAGATTCATAAAATAGTTAATCATTATTTGAATATTTGAATCTGTGAATGTATGTTCTCATAAAAATGCAGAAAATGTAGGATTTTCTAATTTTATGGTAATATTGAATGGCTGAAAAATCGGGCAGTTTTTACCATTTGGCTTTGGAGCAGGGAAGGGTAGAAGAAAAACGGGAAGAAATTTTGCTTCACCCTAGTTTGTCACTCAAGCGATTGCAATTGACAGCAACAAAAATTTAGACTATGGAAGAATACGAGTTTGACTAGTAGCTCCTGTTAATTTTGCTGCATTTCATTCTTGCATGGGTCCACGAGGAAGTTAAAAGCAGTGATAACATTAAAGGTAAGATGAATTATTCCTGTAATGTTGAGGCCAAAATTTCTGATGGAGCTTTCCAAAAGTGTATAAAGAATCATTCTTATAGGGCCGATCTCCATGAATTGTTCTTTATTTACCATGCAGAACTTTGTAAATATTTAACTTTCTTCAGGGTTTGGAATGCACAAGAGTAATTTATTATTTCTAATGATTAGAAAGAGTCTTGGTATGTGCAAATAAAAGGTATGAGTTAAAAGAGAAAGCATAATATATTTCTTTGTAAGTAGCAGGCAGAACAGCATATAAAGAGAAAAAATAAGGAATGGCTTATCCCTCAGCAATGCACAAGAGGTAGTGTTTAAAGTAATAGTAGCTTTTATTCACGGAGCACTTAGTATGTGCAAGATGCTATTTGGGCTACGTGCTTTGTGTGCGAGTTCTGTTCTCTGCAACAGAACACTGCCTAATAGAGGATGCAAATTCAATTGTGTTGAGTATGTTATTTGCCTATGTTGGCATGTTATAATATTATTTTTTAAAATTCCTTTTAATGATGAATTCAAAGACCCTTGAGAAAGAGAGAGACAGACAGACACATAGGAGAGAGAGAGAGAGAAAGACAGAGAGAGAGAGAGAGATTGAGAGAGATTAGTTGTGAGATTAGACCTTTTTGGAAAAACATGACTAAAGGCATGTAAAATAAACATGACTTTATTATTATCTCCTTTAATTGCTATTTCAGACATCCAATGAAAGAAATGATCTCTTGCTGCTGAGTCAGAACTTGGGTAGGTTCCATAACTTTTCTGCTGACACTTAAGTATTAGCATATCCTACCTTCTCTTTTAACCAACATGGCACATGTATACATAGGTAACAAACTTGCATGTTGTACACATGTACCCTAGAACTTAGAGTTTAAAAAAAGAGTAAAAAACAAACAAACAAAACAAGTCACAGACTGGGAAAAAAAAAAAAAAAAAAAGAAACAAACCTAGCCAGGCACAGTGGCTCATGCCTGTAATCCTAGCACTTTGGGAGACTGAGGTTGAGGGAATCACTTGATTTCAGGAGTTTGAGACCAGCCTAGGCAACATTGTGAAACCCTGTCTCTACAAAAAATACAAAAGTAAGCTGGGTGTGGTGGCACGCCCCTGTAGTCGCAGCTACTCGGGAGGCTGAGGCGGGAAGATGGCTTGAGACTGGGAGGTGGAGGTGGTAGTGAGCTGAGATTGTGCCACTGCACTCCAGCTGGGGTGACAGAGTAAGACCCTCTGTCAAAAGAAAAAAAAAGTAACACAGCAACAACAAACACAAAAACAAAAACAAACATAGTTTCAATGAATAAATAAGATTTGCCAAGTTTAAGATGTTAATACAAACTGAACTTAATTCAATGCCAGATGTGTTCATTTTCCCAAGTCAGGCCTTCTTCTAGCTGATATGATTCATGGGGGACATTGCAAGAGCAATGAATAGTGGAAGTGCTCTGTATACCACAATGACTCATAAAATTGTTAATCATTATTTGAATATGTGAATGTATATTCTCATAAAAATACAGAAAATTTAGGATTTTCTAATTTTATGGTAATATTGGATGGCTGAAAAATTGGGCACTTTTTACCATTTGCCTTTGGAGCAGGGAAGGGCAGAAGAAAAACTCCACGTGGTTAGAGTGTCATGGTTGGCATCTGTCTTTCTATGTTTTGCTGTAATTCTCTCTGGGATCATCTCATCCCAGCTTTTGAGCATGTTTCTGATGCTGTTGAGGTTTGGAAATGTATTGGGGTAGAAAAGGTCATGCATTGGTTCTTGTGGGTTGGGTTTATTCCTAAGGTGACTCTCTCCAGTGGGCATTTTGTGAGTTCTTTTGGCATTCTCATTTCTGGATACCCCCGACCTTGAGGTTTGTTGACCTTGTCAGAGTCATCTCTATATTGCACAGCCACGATGACTCCCTTCCACAGTCCCTAGGAGGAATCCAATGTCTTCTAGCTTCTTGATCCTGGGATTCCTTGTTACTCCAGGGGGCTCTACCTCACAGGACCCAACTCAATGCCATGCCAGCTTTCTCTACCAAGGCATCCAGGTCTGATCCACCTAAACCACTCACATAACCCTTGTCCCCCAAAAGATCACTTTAGCTAGCCCAGGTTGCAGTCTTCCATGCCCATCAACTTCAGGAAACACCTGTTCTTCAACTGGTGTCTTTGAAAGTCCATTCACTATGGCAGAGAGAAGTGAGGTAATACCAGAAACTCCTCTGTTCTGGGTAAGTGGGAGGAACTTAGAGCATGGCTCTTTCTGCAGAAATCTCAAGTTATTTTCCATTTTCATTTTTTCTCTCTCTCTAACCCGTTTATATGTCCAAAGTGAGTGAGATGACGTAGGGAACCATTTCTCTAACTTTTTGGTAGGGACACATTCTGTATATGGTGATCTGTCTCACACTCAATTTGGCATATGATATAGAACATACTGGTGCCTCAGTAGAAATTAAGGCAGGAGAAATCCTTCTCTACTTTAGTAGCAATCTGCTTTGCAGTTCAAATAAGCATGACAAGGAAATAGGCAAATCAAGTAATTCCAATGGCCTTATTACTTGTATTCTCAGAGCCTAGTACAGTACTGGATACATGGAAAATAGCCAGCAAATGTTTGTTTACAGTAGGAAGGGAAGAAGAATGGCAGACAAGTCGCCTTTTATAATCTGGTGCATGCACCCATATTCCAATGCCCTGCTTCTATTCCCTTAGCTTTTACCAGCTTTGACCTAGATTTTGCTCTTAGCCCCAGTGGTCATGTTTATTTTGCTTGTATCTGCTATTTCTCCTTTAGGTAACTCAATATCTGACCTTAATAATTTCTCTGACTACATTTTCTATGAAACCTGGTTGTGATGTGGGATTACACTTCTTTGATAATGAATCAAACACTTCTTTGATAATGAATACCTTGTTGTCATGAATGCATCAAACAATTATCTAGAACCTGCCATAAGCCAAGCATTAAGTAGGCACAAGGAATACAAAGCTTAAAAAGGTAGCCTTTGTGTGTTAACACAAATAAATGATGTAAGTGGCAGACACTAAATGTTTTATGAGGATTATCTCATTTAATCCTTACAATAGCTGTGCAAGTAGATGTCATTATCATCATTTCCATTTTACAGACGAGAAAATCAAACACAAGAAGGCTAAACAAATGGCCCAGGTAAAATAGGAGTAAAATGGAGTTGGCAGTCTAATTCTTAACCAACTTGCTACATAACTTCATCTAGTTAGTTCTCTCTGTTATGTTCAGTAACTTCTGTTTGCTTCTAGGGTAGAACTAGTAGGCTGGCAGCGGGGCTGAAACTGGGGCTGGTGATGGAAGTCAAATTCCCAATGAAAAACATGGAGATACAGTAGTATGTAATGATAAAGAGCATTGGGTGAAATCATGGCTTCAATATTCCCTAGTTGTATGTGTGTATGCGTGTGTGTGTGTGTTTCCCAACTTTATTAATGTTTAATTATATGTATTTCTAGTGTATAACATGATGTTTTGATATAGGTAAACATTATGAAATAATTAAATCAAGCTAATTAACATATTCATCACCTCATATATTTAACATTTTTTTGGTGTTGTGAGAACATTTAAGATCTCCTCTCAAAAAAAAAGATCTCCTCTGTTAGCAGTTTTGTAGTATATAGTAAATTATTAACTGTAGTCACCATGTTGTTTAATATAGCTCCAGAAATTATTCATCCTGTCTAACTGAAACTTTTTACACTTTGACCAACATTTCTTCATTACCAATCCCCCATGACATGTACTGTATATCCTCTTGATGCCTTAATTTTCTAACTTGTAAATAAAGATAATAGTAGTATCTGCTCATAGGGCTGTAGAATAAATGAAACAGTGCATGCAAAGAATTTAGTAAAGTAAATGACACTCAGCAAGCTTTCAATAATTTCTAACTTTTATTTTGTTGAAATAATTTTTTTAGCTCCCACTTTCAAGTGAAAATATACAGTATATGTCATTCTTTTTTATGGCTGAGTAGTATTCCATTGTATATATATCTCACATATTCTTTATCCATTCATGGGTTGATGGGCACTTAGGTTGGTTTAATATCTTTGAAATTGTGAATTGTACTGCAATAAACATATGTGTACAGGTGTCTTCCTGATATAATGACTTCTTTTCCTTTGGGTAGATACCCAGTAGTGGGATTGCTGGATTGAATGATAGGTCTACTTTTAGTTCTTTAAGAAATGTTCATACTGTTTTTCCATAGAGGTTGTACTAATTTACATTCCCACCGGCCATGTATAAGCATTCCCTTTTTACCCTATCCATGCCAACATCTATTGTTTTTTGACTTTTTAATAATGACCATTCTGGCTGGGGTAAGGTGGTATCTCATTGTGGTTTTAATTTGCATTTCCCTGATGATTAGTGATGTCGAGCATTTTTTTCATATGTTTGTTAGCTATTTATATATCTTCTTTAGATAAATGCCTATTCATGTCACTTGCCTACTCTTTGATGGAATTATTTGTTGTTTTTTTTCTCTCTGAGTTGTTTGAGTTCCTTGTAGATTCTGGATATTAGCTTTTGTCAGATGCATAGTTGGCAAATATTTTCTATCATTCTGTGGGTTGTCTGTTTACTCTGATGATTATTTCTTTTGCCGTGCAGAAGCTTTTTGTTTAATTAGGTCCTATTTATTTATTCTTGTTTTTGTTGCATTTGCTTTTGGGGTCTTAGTCATAAATTCTTTGACTAGGCCAATGTCCAGCAGAGTTTTTCCTCGGGTTCTCTTCTACAATTTCTATGATTTCAGGTCTTAGATGTAAGCCTTTAATCTATCTTGAGTTGTTTTTTGTATATGGTGAGAGATAAGGATCCAGTTTCATTCTTCTACATGTGGCTATCCAGTTTTCCCAGCACCATTTATTGAATAGGGTATCTTTCCCCAGTTTATGTTTTTGTGTGCTTTGTCAAAGATCAGTTGGTTATAAGTATTTGGCTTTATTTCTGGGTTCTCTATTCTGTTCCATTGGTCTGTGTATTTACTTTGGTACTAGTACCATGCTATTTTGGTAACCATAGCCTTGCAGTATAATTTGAAGTCAGGTAATGTGATGCCTCCAGATTTGTTCTTTTTGTTTAGAATTACTTTGGCTATTTGGGCTCCTTTTTGGTTTTATACAAATTTTAGGACTTTTTGTCTAATTCTGTGAACAATGATGTTGGTATTTTGATAGGAATTACATTGAATCTGTAAATAGCTTTGGGCAGTGTGGTCATTTTCATGACATTTATTGATTCTGCCAATCTATGAGCATGGGATGCATTTTCATTTGTTTGTGTCATCTATGATTTGTTTCAGCAGTGTTTTGTAGTTCTCCTTGTAGAAATCTTTCACCTCCTTGGTTAAGTATATTGCTAGGTATTTTTTTGTTTGTTTTTGCAGCTGTTGCAAAAGGGATTGAGTTCTTGATTTGATTCTCAGCTCGGTTGTCGTTGGTGTGTAGCAGTGCTGCTGGTTTGTGTACGTTGATTTTGTAACCTGAGACTTTACTGAATTCATTTATCAAATCTAGGAGTCTTTTGGAGGAGTGTTTAGGCTTTTCTAGGTATATGATCACATCACTGGCATACAGTGATAGTTTGATTTCCTCTTTTGCAATTTGGGTGC